>NC_000007.14:17740242-20240242 GCF_000001405.40 Homo sapiens | reverse complement strand
AAGAAAGAATACGTACCTGTGTTTATGCACTAGATATTCTAAGAAAGAAACAGAAAATAAACTCGTTAGCAAAGAGAGATGAAGAAAATATCTCTGAGGAGGTGGTATCTAATGTGACAAGGAAAGATGAGAAGCAGAAAATAATGAAAAACAGACTGGAAGGATGGTTACCAGAGACTGGGAAGGATAGTGGGAGAGAGAGGGAGGTGGAGATGGTTAATGGTTACAAAAATAATAGAAAGAATGAATAAGGCCTAGTATTTGATAGCACAACAGGGTGACTCTAGTCAATAATAATTTATTTGTACATTTAAAAATAATTTAAAAAGTATAATTGGATATTTGTAACACAAAGTATAAATGCCTGAGGGGATGGATACCCCATTTAACTCTGATATTGTTATACATTGCATGCCTATATCAAAACATCTCATGTACCTCCCAAAATATACACATATCATGTACCCACGAAAATTAAAAATAAAACATTTTAAATAATAAAATAAAATCATAGAAAAAGCTAGTCAAGAAAGCCCAGGCAAAGAAAATGGAAGGATTGCCATTAGAAGTAGAAGGAATAGAAGGAGGTGGGTTTAGTGACTCAATATAGATTAAGAAGAACAAAAAACTCATTTGCAGAGCCAATAATGAATCAAGTTTTCAGAGATCTAATCCTGTGATTTCTGTTATACTTTTCTGTTTCCACAACAGTAGAATGAGAATAAAATGTACTGAAGAGCCATGAGGAGGTAAAGGAAAAAAAAATACTCAAATTTTAGCAGGTTTTTGAGATCTCATGAGACAAATTTTATTTCCAGAGAATTAATAACTCTATAGGATAATATAGTAAGGAAAAAAATTTTAGGATACACAACCTATACTTATAAAAACATGCTATTTTCCAGCAGTAAATTGAGGCACTGGGGATGTTGAATGTGTTTTTAAAAGTATTTTGAAATTTCAATTAAAAAGTTTTATTGAAAATGTTATTCATGACAGTGCTCCACTTAATGTTTCAGAAAAGTCATTGCTGATGTCAATATCTATGGAAAATGTGACATAATTTTTGTTTCAGGTCAAGGACTGCAGAAATAAATTTTTACTAATGATTACTTCCTCATTTTAATGAGGTACTTTTTTAGTATTGTTACTCTAAGGTGGTGACACCTCATTACTTGGCAAATTTACATGGTTTTCAGATTTCTGATTTATAGAAAGAAGACCGTGTGAAGCCCTAATTCACTCAGTTTCATTATGTATACAACTGATTAAAAAATAAGTCATGAGGGAACCACTAACAATGTGACTGAAACTTTGTGGTTATCTGCTAGACTGTTGAACTAATCCAACACACACACACGGAAGTTACGTTCTCTCTAAGACTGTTATGGCAGAGCAACTTCCAGCTGCTTATCCAAGTTCTATGCCGTGTAGCCTGGGCGTGGGCGTAGCTGTCACATGAACGCTTCAGGGGATCTGTCAGCATGGGAAGGACAAGAAGGTAATGGGCTTAGGATTCCTGTTCCATGCCCATGCTTGACGAAAGCTTGTTTAGAATATTCTTCTAGGATTCTTAAAAGAACATTGGAATGTCCCTGCGTTATTCCTCAATGTTGGCTGTGCTTCTCTGCTGGGGAAGGGGCTTATCACATGCGACCAAAGAGGAGCACTGTCTAAGCATCATTAGTTTCATCTCTTTTTTTTTCTTTTTGCGGGGGCACGTCTCCAATCTCATTCTTTCTCTGCTGTCTAATTCTCTATATTCTTGCTTCTCAAGGGGAGGGTCATGAACCAGCAGCATCACCTAGGAGCTTGTTAGACATGTGGAATTTCAAGCCCCCGCCACCAGACTTGCTGAATCCAAATCTGCATTTTAACAAAGAAGCCTTACACGCACATTGAACTTTGAATCTCTCCTCTACATTCACACATGCACAGGTTTCCCCTATCTGGCAAGGCTATCATCATACCTTGCCCCTGTTTCCTTGCTCTAATTATATTTTTCCTTTCTGTTATGGCCTGACTTACATGTGCTGCTTCAGATATTCCCTCCAGAACGCTCTGCAATCTGGCTTCATTTCTACCTGTAGTAGCACATGTAAGAGTCATTGCCCCTCAGCATCCTTTCTCCTTACCTCCCTGGGGATCTACCCCTCCTCCCTTTTCAGACCAGGGGCTGCATACCCTTCCCCCAGGCTACTGCGTATAACCACATTAAGTCAAATACTGCATAACATTCCTTCTGACCATGGTGATTGGTGCCCACAATGAGATTGTTTTGTGACCACTTAGAGCTAATGAGAAGTAATCAGAATTGATTGGGACTTCTGGAGAGTAAGAGTTCTTACTTTTCTTACTGTGGGGTTTCAGGATGACAGGATATAAATGCTAGGGTTTCTCCTGCAATCAGTCCTGCCTTTAGACCCAGGCAGAAGTGGCTTCTGCTCTGGACCCAGGGTTATGGTTTTCCTCTAGCTCTACTTCTTCACACTGGTCAGGGAATCTGAAAGGCCATGAGGGTTTACCACCCAGAACCCATGATATCCCCTTCTTCAGGAACCCAAGACTCTGAAATTCTCTGTCCAATGTACTCCAGTCTTGCTCCCAAAAAATTCCTTGGGCTGTCTCTCAAGGTGTGTCTTGCTACTGGTGGTATTCATACTTCTCCAGCTTGAGTGGTGGCCAGGGAAAGGTTTCTAGGAGGGGAGTGGACAGAGCTTTGTTCTGTGTGCCTTAGTGTGCACATGTGTCTGTCTATCCAAGTCCCTTTGTTATACAGGATGGAGCTGAAGGTGAAGAGAAGCAGACACCGACAGCCACCACTTTTCATTATTGTTGGTAGCTCATGAAACCTACCCCCACCTCTGCTCTGGAATGTCGCTGATGATGTCTTCATTGCCACAACTATCCCTCTGTTTTCTTTTTTTTTTTCCACACTTACCCTTTCATTTAGCACTATCGGCTCCTTTAGCATTTAGAAAACTCAACTATTAAGTACTTATATTATGCAGGAGTCAACCCAGTCTGTTCCCACCTCCCACCCACCCCCACCACCTCCCTGCCTCAGGTCTCTTCATGTCCTTAGGCCCTTCCTATTAAAAATGGTTTTTATCAGTCACCTCTTCTCCTTCCTCACTGCAAATGTGCTGGTTTAGTCACTTCAGTGGATTTCAAACTAGTCTCATTTTTCTTTAATGCTTCCTCTACATAATCATGAGAATGACCTTCTACCAGGAAACTAATTATATTCCTTTCCTACTTAATCATCAGTGGTTTCTCTCCACCTAGAGAAAACAGACAGTCCTCATCACAATCTACAAATCCCTTTATGTCCTGTCCCTTCTTGTATTTTAACAAGAAGCCTTACATGAGCATTAAACTTTGAATCTCTCCTCTACATTCACCCATGCACAGGTTTCCCCTATCTGGCAAATCTTACATGTCCCACCTACTTCACTCATCCAGCAAATATTTATTGAGTGTCTACTTTATGGCAGGTAGAATTCTAGACAGTGGGGATGCCATGGTGAAAAAGCTAGGGTTCCTGCTCCTAAGAAACTACTGGGGAAATATAGTAGACAAATAAACAGATAATCCAATAGGAAAATTAAATAATACACACACACACACACACACACACACACACACACACACACACACACATAACACACATCACACATATATGCTGCTCAGGGCTGAAAATATGGTTATTTGCTGAGCAGAGAATGAGGAGCTCAGCTAAGTTGTACGGTCTGCGGAGATTTTCTACACACATGACATCTATGCTGAGGCTTGAATGACTGGAATAGGACACTTGAGGTAGGGCCGAGTGAACTTTCTGAACAGAGCTCCCAGACAGTGCACAGACCCCAAAAGGGAGAACTACCACCCGCTCTTTGATTCTCATTGTATGCTTCAGCTCAACTCCAGACTTGCAGTTCCCTGAGCGTGGGAGGCTATTTCAAGCCCCTGGTCTTTGAATACGCTTTCCTTTGTGCTGCCCAGTCAACTACCGCTCTTCTTTCTAGTTCACACCCACCTGTTTGTTACCTGCTTTCTTAAGGCTGCCCTGTCTACTCTCCCTTGGCCAAGCAGATTGAGAGGCTCCCTCCTCTGTGTTCCCCTTTCTGTGCACAAACTTGAACCATAACTTTGTTATGGCATTGAGATTCTCTTAAAAGATGGAGAACGTCTTTTATCATTGTGTTTTTCCAGAGCTTTTCATATACTACACACTCAATACTTATTAAAATAGAGGAAGGAAACTTTTTTGAAAAATCTCTCTTCTATTAGAATCCTTCATGCCACTCTGCCTAAGAATGTTCAAAAACTCTCTTGATTTTCTTATTTTTCTTCTTAACCTACTCCTCTTTCCTTTTTTTCCTCTCTATCTAGTTGTTCAGGTTTTCTAGGGCCTAAGTCTCACATCTTTCTATTGCAGAGATTCCTTGAATTTTCAGCACTTCCACAACCATTTCTATATTAGTGATTTAAAATCTAATAAAATAAAACTAGTGGGTTTTTTAAAAGTCTTTATTTATATTTGGTACACTTTCAGTTCTTTGTTTTATTCCTTGTACTGAAGATCTGTTAAGAGAGGAAAAAACAGGGATAGTAGGCATAAAAATCAGTCAGCGTGTATTTTCAAGGAATCTCTGCTATCCTCTGGTGTGATAATTTGCAAGTAACTGAGTCTGACATGCTAAGTGCTTTTCAAGTGTAATATTAGTCATCCAGCTTTGACAAGAGTCTGATAACATGGGTATTTTATTATTTATACTTTACAGACGGGTCAAATGAGGCTGAAAGAGATTGGAAATTTGCCCCAAGCTACCAATATGTGTTAGAGCCTGGACTCTAACCTGCATCTGTCGAATCAACATTTAATCAGTAGTTCCAAAGGAACACTTAAGACGTGGCTTCAACATAGAATTTTTTATGACAACTCTGTACTTTCTCAACTTATCATTCTATAGCTATCTTTCAAGTAAAGCTAAGAGTGCAAGAGGTCTCAAATTCCTGCAGCCATTTGATATATGGGGGTTATATTTCAATCTTTTACTATCTTGCTTTGTCTCATCGATGAACAAGTATCTATAAAATACGACTTGTCTGAATCCACCTGCAATGTTTTTGTATTTCTTGCATACACAAAATCATTTTACAAATGTAAAGGGCAAGAATAAGACTCAGTGGTTTGACAGAATTTTTGCTATGTAAGTTAGGAGGTGGAAATTTGAAATTCACTAAGAATGCTGAGAGAGGTACATTTTGTACATCAAACAATATCACAATCAGGCTCCCGGTACACCAAATGGCTTCTTCTAGTTGATGTTTTCAAGATTAAGTATGCTTTTCCTATAGAGCTACAGTAAGACATGACAGCGATCAGATTCCTTGGCTGATTAAACACTTAGTGAACACTGAAATAGACTTCACACCTCTTTCCCTCCAGGCAAGACAGAAGCCCATGTGGGAGCTCAACAGCAGTCATCCTCTCTGGAGAAAGGGAAATAAATACCTGATCACTACAGTAATTCAATATCAGAAGAGAAACCCAGGAGCTGAGCACATTGCACAGTCCTCAGCAAGTGGTAAATAGCCAAATGTGACTTCAGTGGCAAGTCAGTCCACAGGCACTCAAAATCTTTTGATTTCTGAAGAAATAGTGTTGATCAATTTAGTCTGTGACTTAAAAAAGCAAGTGAACTCTGTAGTGATGAATTCTTATGACTACAAATAGCAGGGTGGGTTCACACAACAATGGATTTGAGGGTAGTTATGCAGTTCTGTGTTGTCCTGGGAGTTGTGGAGGAGGTTGCGAGAATGATTCTGCATTTGCCAAGTAAAGAATAATGCAAGCTATCCTCATCTCCAAGTTTAGATCTGACTTTCTTCTTCAAAATAGAGTTTCACATGGCTATGAGAGGATACTTGGGGAAGCTCTGGAGTTAGGCTACCTGGGCCAGAATCTTGACTCTGCAACTTACTAGATGTTTGACTTTGGACAAGCAACTCTGTTGCTTTCTTTACCTTTAAAATGAAGATGTCAAAAGTGCCTGTTTTATAGGATATTGGGAGTATTAGACTGAAAGATTCACCCAAAGAAGATAACGGGCTTCAGTGCAGTGCCTGGCACTTAGTACTACCCAATATATGCTACTTTCCTGTGATCCTACTACCTAGTCAAATGTAAGTAATCTGGCTTTGCCTCAAGTCACATTTTAAAATAGTGAAGTTGATGACCATTGTATTCCATATACAGTAAACACTAAGACATTAACCTTGCTATGTATCAGGGCACAAAGAGAAGTGTGCTGAACCCAGTTTGTATGTTCCCATCACGTAGATTTTCTTGGCATTGCCTGTCTGCCTACATGTACTCTTTTCCTGTTGTCATAAAGGTCATCACAGTAATCACCTCATTTCCAAAAAGCATCAGTTGTTTCTGCCTCCTCTAAGATGAAATGAGCCATTATAGCTCATTTCCAGCACCTAGGTCCAATCTAACAGGACCCATGGGGGCCAAGGTTTGTCCACTGACTGCCCAAAGGGGCTTGGCAATGCACTTCAGTGTTATGGGAGTTAATGCCCTGTGGGTGAACCTTGACTAATGAAAGAGACAAAGGAAGAATAAAGAGAAGAAGTCACTCATCTTTTTTTCCCAGAGGGCCTGGTCTGAGATACAATGGTTTCATGTGGAACCACCGTATTCGTGAAAAATCACCTAGTATTTGCTTCACTCTTTTCCTACCTCATTTCACTTTCTCTTTTACTCTTGCTTCCTTGGCACTGTAGTCGTCAATAAAGTGCCAGTAGGTTAGTTTCGCCTTAAGACACTGTTTTCTAGGGATTCAGTGACAAGAGGCAATACATGTTTTCCCATGATATGTAATATTTTAATAGCAACTTTAAAACAGTGTGATATTGACTACTTTATTGCCATGGCAACATAGAAGACTGAGGAATGTATTCCTCAGGAAGGAAGGAAGAAAGTGTCAGGTAGATTTTTTTAAAAGGATGAATAGAGTTTATGAAAGATCAATAGAGATGGGCAAAAGAAGCAGAAAGAACAAATTGAGTTAAGGCAAAGATGTATACATGAATGCAAACTTACTCTAAAGAGGGCCCTATGACTGAAGTGGAGGGTATGTGGAGGCATTGGTATAGATAAGTTAGAAAAGGATGCATGACTCAGGTTGCGAAGGGCACTGGATGCTATAGTGTTATACTTTGGTTTCACTCTAGGCAGACAGAAGCTTTCAAAGATTTTGAGTAAGGAGGTGATATGATCATATGAAAGATACTGGAGGTAAGCAGCCCACTTAGGTGGCTACTTGCCACAGTCCACATATCAAAAGACAAGAGCCCAAACTAATAAAGGGGAAAAACTAGAAAGTGAAGAATAAATGCTAGAGATACTGTGGAGGTAGAATCAAGAAGACTTGGAAAATTTTGCATGTGGAGTAAGACATTGGGGTCAATGATGATGTTCATATGTTAGCTACAGGAGAGAGGAAGACATAATTTTGAGGAAGAAGCTAATTTTATAATAATGTAGTTAATTTCTCCAATGAACATCTAGGTAAAAATTACTAAAAAATATTTGGAAACACAGATCCAAAACTAAAGAATGTTGCTACCTTTTGGATAGACTACTCAAAGGATTTCAAGACATTGTAGAATAATGAAATTTATAAATACAAATTCATCATGAAGTCCAACCATCTATCCCTGAAAACGTGCATAAAAGATAATGGGAAGCTCTAATAAGCTTGAATAAGGATGACTACTCATGCAATGAGCAGTAGAGATTACAAACAACTGGACTGAGATGTAAACTTATTAGTTCACTCTAACTTGAACATCTGGGTACCTTATAGAACACAGGAGTCAGATATAGCCTTCAGAAAATGACAAATTATTATGTGCTTGAGACTTTTAGGATCCTTCCTGATTATGCAAAATTGGGACTAGTAGGAATTATTTATAAGTATAAAAGACATTCATATTCAGGAATAAATGAACAAGGCAAGACAGTGGAGAAATAGACCTAAAAGTGTTTTTGGAATATAAAGATTTATTAGGAAGGAAAGAAAACCTCAAATATGTTTATATTCCAGTAAAATGTGGTCCAATTTTTAGAAATAATAATAGCTAATATTTATGAAGACATTATCACCTGCCGTACACTGCTGTAGGGGCTTTACATGTGTCAACTCTCTTAATCCTTGCAAAATCCTGATGATAGGTTTTATTATTACCAGTTCTTTTGAGATGAGGGAACTGAGGCACACTAAGGACGTAGATCACATGAGTGATGAGCCAGGTTGGAATGCTATGTCAGTGCTCCAGCCTTTAACCATGTGCCATTTAACCTCCTTAACCCTGTGAGAATGTAACGATATTTTTCACATTTGTATAGCAATTTATAGTTCTTAATGCATTATTTCATACTGATGTACAACAAAACTATACTTGGAAAGGATAGAGTGTTATTAAGGGAATTGAGGCTCAGGAAGTTTGCGTTCTGCAAGGTTATACAAGCTATTTTACAGCTTTTCTCTCACATGAGCTTACTTTGAAGGTAAATAATATCAAGCCTAGAAAATACTTAGATCTGAGTAGAGAAGATAAAAAATACAAAGGTAAGCAACCAGAATGTGATATAGGAAATGAAAATTTTACTTCCTACAATAAGCATTAGCCCTAGCAGCCTCCTTAGGGTCTGTTACTGGGGAGGGAGAGCTCCGACTGCCAGACTTCTCCATTGAACGTGTGTCCTCCCTCCACAGTTTGCAGGAAAATAAATGTACTCTATGAGATTAAATTAAGGGAAAGAAGACTCCAGATCATTTCACCCAAAGCCTACTAAGACATAGTGGACAACTCTTTTACACCTCACTGCCCTGTGTAATCTGGCCTTCAGTGTGCTCAGAAAATAGGACCATTTTCCCTTTATTGCTCCAAGAAGTTTTCTGGATAACTTTGTATGGAGATGAAAGAAAATGGCCATCCTTTTTCATAAAATGATTTAATTAATACTGTATCCTTAATGTTATTATGGTTTAGATATCACCAAACAATTGTGGATGAAGATGGAAACTCAGTCATTTATTCAACAAATATTTATCTCTAGTGAAGTGCGGCATTTGAGAATTGACTCTGAAACCAGACAGGGTTCAAATCTTGCCTCTGCCTTTTATTCCCTGTGAGATTGGTCCATGCCACAGTTTTCTTACCTGTAAATAGGGCCTAATAATAAATAGTACCTAGATCACAGAGTTGTTATGAAAATGAGATGCATGACACATAGATTCTACATCAATATTAGGGTATTATCAAGGGCTGCTTGTGTGCCAGGCACTGTTTTAGGGACTGGGAATAAAATAATTATCAAGATAGACAAAGCTCCTAATTTTACATAGCCTGTATTTAGTCATTCTAGTCAGAAAGATAGATAATCAGCAAGCATCAAGTTCAGTATACACTGTGGTTTCAAGTTGTGATCTAAATTGCATAATGGTTGTACATATTCTTATATTCAACAATATGATACTTAGATGGTTATATTAGCTAACTAGCACTTAACAGTTTTCAAGCACCATCCACATCTCTTATAATCATTGCACATATTTATTAGCTCAGCAGTTACTAGGCACATATTATTTTGAATCCTCCTCCAAATTCAGAAGGAGAAGAAATTGAGATTCAGATAAATTCAATAACTTGGTAGGTGGTGGAAGTAAAATCTAAATCCACGTTTGTCTCATTTTGAAGTCCATGCTCTTTCATTGCTCTGTACTGCCTTACAACCATGAGATGTGATGTAACAGAAATTAGATCCTTTTCCAGCTGAGGAAAGTGACTCAGATTGTCTTGGGTCAAGGTCACATAGCTTAGGAAGTGAAAGAGCGGGAGTATGAATCCAGGTTCTTGGATTCCCGTTTCCATTTTTGTTTTTGTTTTTTAACTATAGCAACAGAAAAATTTCACAAACACTTGAAGAATTGAAATACTGCCTAGATGTTCAAAGCACTCAAACTTTACTGTTACTATTCATATTATTTTATGACTTAAATCACATATGCTTTTAAAAATTCTTATCAACTCTGTGTATGAGTCATTTTTGGGGGGAGAAGAGGAAAAGAGGAAGGAAATTTCCCAGAGAGACAATTTTTAAAATAGTGGTTAGGTTCTTAGACTAGCCTATGAACGCCTCCTTAACATTTAGGGGCATGGAAATACAATGTTAATGGAAGTCACCAGTTTCTAATGATTGATTAGTTCTGTTTACTTACATAAGAGGAGTTTTCTTTCTAGGACAATCTGAATCAAAGTAATGGGACCGCTGTTCAGTTGGGAGAGGAAGGATGGATGTCAGTACAGAGAGGAAACACCCTGTTCCTCAGTGGGGCATTCATTATTCTGAGAAGGCTCTCATTGTCATTCTCCTGCAACAATCCCATGACAGCATTAGTGCAGACGTTTCTGACTTTTGTGTGAGACGATAGTCATATTCTCTACAGTTTTTAATTGTTTAAAAATAGCACAACTCTTCTTAAGTTAATGCAGTGATCTGTCAATTCTCCATCCCCAGTCCCTCTGAAAGGGATTATGTATAGAAAGATTATTTGGAAATCACTTTTCAAAGTAGTATTTCTGATACTTCTACAGCCTCAGTGATATTGGGAATATCTTCCAGGAGAGAGATCAACAGACAAATCAGTATCAGCAGCATTAATATAAAAAGAAATCGTGTGGTAGGGCCACAAACTATCCCTGTAAGGCTCTTAAATTGGCCAGAAATCTTCTTCTGCATTATGTGGTTTACCTTTTGGCAATACAAACACGTGTATCCAAATGAGTCCCAGAGCTCTTTTATATTTCAAAACTTTTACTTTCATCTACCCACCAGTGAAAATAAAAGGGACTTTTCTCGGTTGAATTTCTTCTTTGGAATCCTAAAGCATTCCCCTAAAGTGTTTCTGATGCACACAAACCTTATGAAATCACTTTTTTTCCCCCGTTTACTACATGGTTTCTTTTAACCACTTATACAAAACATTTATTTAAAAATATGCAGCATCATGGTTTCCAGTGTATTGGCACATTGATGATTCCAGAAAGAAGACTGATATTAAATATTATCATGCTATGGTAGAAAGAACACTGGATTAAGAGCCCAGTTCATCCACTAAGAAGACTCATCTGACTCCTTTGAGTGCCATTTTGTTGTAGTGCTTCATACATTGTTGTATGTTGCATGTGTCAGGGCTTAGAACAAGATACTCTGGAGTATGGTGCCTTGGCCTGCTGAGTAATTCAAACTGAAGGAGAATGGGAGAGCCTCTGAAGCAATGCCTCCCTGACCTTCTTTGTTTACCCTCTTTCCATTATCCCCAAAGTAGGTCATAGAAACTTGAATTCCTCTCCCTAAAGCAAACCATAAACTCTAGAAAGGTCACTTTCTTTCTGACCTTCCCCTGCTTTTCTGTGTGAACATAGTCATGAAGGAATTCTTGGACCTACCTGGCCTGAAAGTAGGTCTTAAGACCTTCATTCCAGAGGGGTTCTATCCCAGACTTAGGAGGAAGGAGATGCTATACAGAGAGGTCAAGAAGAATCTGAACAAACAGGCCTTTCTGTTCAAACATATTTGTATACCACTGTACATTCTTCATCAAACCCTGGCACAAAAAAATACATGTTTTTCTGTGGGTCTTTTGGTCTTCATTTCTGAAGGCTCCTACTAATTTGTCTTTTATTATAGGAGTGTCAGCCATAATCCTTGTGATGGGCAAGTGGAAGGTATTCCTTTTTTCTCCTCCACATATGAATAAATATATATTGTGTGAAATTACAAAAATAAAGGTACTCTGAATCTTAAGAAATTCTAAGTAACCTTTCAAAGATAAGAATCTCTCTTCAGCTTGTATCCTAGTGTCTCTCTAATCTCCTTCTTGTGTATCTATAAATGGCTCTGGCATCATTACAAATTGAGCAGCAGGCTGCTTTCTAGATAATTAGCATATTATTAATCTCCTGCAAAATTGAGTGGAATAGGAGCAAATCTGTTTTATAGATTTAGATAATACCTGTTTTGTAGGTATAAAATAGGTATTTGCCCCCACGTAAAATAACTTTCTTATAATTACAACAAAATTCACTAATTAGGTATCTTCAAGAAGTTAGTGCTTTAAAATGATATGAAAAGTTTAAAATAATTTAGTTGCATAGAATAATTAATATGAACAGTATCTTTGGTTTTAGTCTTAAACATATTTGATATTTTGTCTTTTCTTACATATGCTGAAAGTATTTTGGTCATGTTTATTATAAAAAGCCTGATTGATTCCATCTGGTCTTTAAACATAGATTTTTGATCTTAACAATGTAAAATTGCCAGTGCCTGTTCCGTTAATGGGAAACTGATTACTCAATTCTAGGATGCTTGAAAGTAAGAAGAACATATATTTGTTGGGCAGCATTTAAAACTCCTCTAGAGGAACCTTAGTAACTTAAAAAAGCTAATATATGTAATTAAGATAAACTATTTCCTTCTTACTGGCAACATCAGTCTTAGGATGACCTCCTAAGAATACCAGCTTAGAATTTAGGGTGACACATTACCTCAATCTGTTTTGCCTGGGGCTAGTTAATCTCATTTCCCGGAAAGCAAATGAAATCCGTAGGCTTGTATTTATTTAATATGGACTCTATGACTTTAAGCACTAACTTTAGTAATTCTTAATTTTTTTTCTGAAATGGAAAATGGGAAATCACTGTCACAGTTTTCCAGTTAATTGCTCTTTTTCAGCAATGGCCACACACATCTGGATGTGTGTCTAGTTATTACCCTAGGTATTGTGTAAGAAGAAAGTCTGTAAAATATAATTGGGAAAAGATGAGAAACTGTGCTTCTTTTGTTAGTGAGGTTATCACTCAAAATACCACTAACAAGTACATTTTAGCAAAACTCTCATATATTTCTAAAAAAATTCTTTATCAATTTCTTTGATAGGACCATATTATCTTTTTTTTTGGAGAAATTTTAAACAAAGATATAAATTTTGTTTCCACTAAAATCTGATACACAAAAGGAATCTAGTGTTTGCCATTCAGTCATGCATGCAAGCTATGTTCAGCAAACATTTACTGTATCCCAGACACCATGCTTGCAGCTAGGAAAATAATGGCGAAGAAACACACACAGGCCCTGGCCTCCTAGAACTTATCTGAAAAGCAAACATGAATTCTTCACAAAAAATTTTTTTTTTTTTTTGAGATGGAGTTTCACTCTTGGTGCCCAGGCTGGAGTGCAATGGCATGATCTCAGCTCACTGCAACTTCCACCTCCCAGGTTCAAGTGATTCTCCTGCCTCAGCCTCCCCAGTAGCTGGGATGACAGGTGCCTGCCACCACGCCCAGCTAATTTTTGTATTTTTAGTAAAAACGGGGTTTCGCCATGTAGGCCAGGCTGCTCTTGAACTCCTGACTTCAAGTGATCTGCCTGCCTTGGCCTCCCAAAGTGCTGGGATTATAGGCGTGAGCCACCACGCCCAGCCAATAATTGTTGTGGAATAATTATCTTTTTATAGATACTCTAAAGAAGGCTTTTCTGTGGAACGGCAAAATCCAAAGGTAAAGAGGGAGGAAAGCATTTCAGGTACAACATTTCATTTCTTTGGTGGAAGAAAGCTGAGAAAATTCCAAGAACTAAAATAGGTCCTCTGGAGCAGAGCAAATCATTAAAGAGACACTTGATGAGAATGGAGAGATAGGAAGGAACTAAAGAGACCACGGAAGGGCTTATTGGCCAAATACTGATTTCAGCTTTACCCTGAGAACAAAGGAAAGCTATTTAAGAATTTTAAAGCAGAAGCATTGCATTTACTTTTTTGGGGGGAAAAACTATTTTCAATGTAAGAAGTGATTTATTGAGCACCAAAATGGATAAAGAGAGGCCAGCTGGGTTACTATAGTATTCCAGGTAAGGAATGTGGGTAGTTTGGAGTAGGGCAGCGTCAGTGAACATGGAAAGAGGAATACAGGTGAGATCTACTTAGGAGGTAAACCTGACAGCAGGGGCTGATAGATTAGATACAGGGGGAGAGAGGAGCAGAAAGAAGGATGGGTCCTGGGATTTTGGCTTTCAAAATTGAGTGGCTCATAGTACCACACTCCCTGAAGCAGCAAACATTTGGGGGCTAATTTACAAGTCCAGTTTAAGACTGAGATGCATAGGTAGAAAGGAAGAGAGCTGGATATCTGCCTCTGGGGTTCAGAGAGGGACTGGGACACGGATTTAATATTGTTAATGAACGGAGGGTAATAGAAGCAGTGACAAGGATGAGATTGCTCAGGGAAAGAGATGAGGTGCTAGGGCAAGCTGAGCAGAGGAAGGAGAGTGAGCCTGCAAGAACAGGAAAAGATCAGCCACAAGGAGAGCGGAGGCACTGAGACAGTGTGGTTTCTTAGATGCTAAGGGAGAGTAAGTTCCAAGGCATAATCAGTGAACTTCACTGTCGAAATTGCATCCAGCTCATCACCTTTTTCCAGCTCTCTGCTATGGGAACATTGGGAATATCTACTTACTGGCCCACTATGGGTGGGTGTGACCATGTGTTTAGTTTTGGCGAAAGACTTGTGAGCAGGAAGGATGTGTGTTGATTCAGGGAAGAGTTTATAATTGCCTGTGTAAAGTTCACCAGAGATCTCCCTCTATGAAGACACCAATGTTCAAAATGGAGCCTGCTCAGGTGGTCTAAGTCTTTGAGTGATTAAGAGAAAGTCCTCCCACTACTTCTCAATGGACAGGCAAATTGAACAAGAAAGAAATATCTGATGTCCTGAGCCTGAGATTTTGGGAGTTTTTTGTTCATTGCTTTTTTTTTTTTAATCTGTAGCACAATTTAGACCATTCTGACAAGTTTGAACATCTGCTGAGAAATCAAGAAAGATAAAGATTGAAAAAAAATGCGTTGAATTTAGAAAAATGGCCATAAGGAGAACTTGATGAAGGGAGAAGTCCGATTAGAAAGAGTTGAGGACTGAGAAGATAAGGAAATGAACAGCAAGTGTATATGGAGAGATTCTGTCAAAACATTGATTGGTGATAGGGAGCAAAGATGATCATAGTTGCTTGAGAGAGATGTAAATGTTTGTTATTTTTATAAAATGAGGGACATTGGAGAGATGTATGGATAGGAAGGATTCAAATGAGAGAAAGAGGTAAAATATACTGAAAACACAAGAGATACTTGATGTTAAATATTTCTTAAAAAGACAGGAGGGACATGCCTCGAGAATTGCTTAAAGTGTTAGGCAAATTTTGACTAATAAATAATTCTTGGCTCCTTATAAAGAATCAATTATTGGAACAGTAATGAATAAATAATTCTGCAATGATTAAAGAAGAAACAATGATGATACTTTTGCTATATTTAATTTAATTCATTCTTATTTTCTGGCCCTAGTGCCATCCACAAGAAGAGATAAGCTCTTGCTTTACATTCACTAGAATAAGACTTTTCTACATTTAGAACTGACCCTAAGCAAAACTCTCAAATATTAACTTTTATTTGGGCTACATTGGTTAGGTTATTTCATGTTTCAAGAAATAAAAATAATGAAGATGTGTTGAAAGGATGGAGAACACATTTAGGAAGCACAATAAGTCACTAACACATGTGTACAATCAGGAAGAACTTAAGTATAGGTTAGAACATAAGTCTTAGTACAATCCTCTACAATGCAGACTTCATGAAACCATAGATTTGTGTTTATTTTCTTCAATGCAATATAGCCAGCTCTTAGAACAGTCCCTGGCACACAGTAAGCAGTCAATAAGTATTTGTTGAATGTAAGAATAACTAACAGCTCACCTTGCCTTGCCTTTATAAATGGGTGTCTAATATTGCCTCATTCTGGGATCCTACCATTCCTGTGACTAGCTGTTCTCTTATTCTGCTTCCATCTCTTTCTGTTTCTACTGCCACAGCCAATCACCAGCCCTCCACCCTGCTGCTCTCTGCTCCAACAGCAAACTTTTGACTAGTTTGTAGTTTCTGCTTTCTGTCTTGTTGTGGTGCTTATCCTGGTTTTGCAATACTCCAGAGTTTGTACCTCTACTTGAAGTTTTCTGCTTGCATGCCAAAGAAAGAAAATTTGATTGGTTAGTTAGTTGGTTACTATCCCATGTAAAAATATTCTAATAAGACATAGCTTTCATGCTAGATTATTTTATAAGCCCACTATCTAACTGCATAGTTTTCAAATTTGCCTACAGAAAGGAAACCACTTTATATTGAACTCAACACTCAAAGACACACACACCACACACACACATACACTCACATACACATTAGAATGAACAGTTCATGAAACAACACTGACCCTTTTTAGTTCGATGTATTCTGATTTATTCTATTGTACTCTATTCATTTCATCTATTCAGTTCCATTCTATTTCAATTTATTCTATTTCACTTAAAAATGTTGATAAATTGATTAATGACCCACAAACTAGCCAAATATATTAGGTTGGTGCAAAAGCGATTGCGGTTTTTGCCGTTACTTTCAATACAATTTTAAAAATCCTGATCTAGTTGCAGATGGTCAGTTTTGGTTTGAACATCAATTTTCCACCCAGTGATCTGTGGTCAGTCATCTGTGGTGAGTCAGGGCAATGGAGTCATATAGTACCGGGCAAGGAAAATTGGATCCATGGCTCAGTTCTTTCAGGAGAAAGGAACCACTTGTGTGAGAGGCAATTCTTTCTGATGCAAGCAGATTCCTGCATTTATTTCTGCAAATAAATATCCCTCCGTTTAGTTCTCCCCTTATCCTTCCCCACTCAGCCCTGTTCATAAACTTACCCTTGCCAAAATGTCAATTGATGAATCCTTGCCATGGCAATCCCTCTAAGTTGTATTTCTGTTTTAATGCCATCTTGTTTAACTAATTTAATTTAATTGTTCTTGAGAGCAAACCATGTTTGAAGCTGAATCATCTGTTTATCACAATAAAATAATAGGTGACAGCCCAGAGGCAGGTGATGTTTTGGGGACACCATGCCTTTCTTTATGCTTCTTCAATCATACATCTTCTTCTAACACAGGTCCTGTAGTAAATCAAGAGACTGTCTCTTTTCCCCAATGGGTAGCCTATACAGGACTCAACTCCAACCTAGAATGTTACATGGAGAATTTCCTGAGGAAATTCCTGAGAATTGCTTAAAGTGTTAGGCAAATTTTGACTAATAAGTAGTTCTTGGCTCCTTATAAACAATCAATTATTGGAACATTAATGAATAAATAAATTAATTCTGTATGGTAGATGAACAATGGCCCCTCCAAAATGTCCTTGCCCCAATCCCTGGTATATGTAAATATGTTACCTGACATGGCAAAAGGAATTTTGCTATTGTGATTAAGGGTCTGTACCTTGAGATGGTGGGTGGGAAGGGGCTGATCCAGATTATCCGGGTGGCCTCAATGTAATAATGAGTCCTTCAAAGCAGAGAAGCTTTCCTGGCTGTAGTCAGTGAGAGAGATGTGATGACGGAAGGATCAGAGATGCGGCAAAAGAGCACTCAGCCTGAAGCTGCTGGCTTTGAAGAGGGAAAAAGAGATCTGCCCCCAGAAATGTGGGTGGCCTCTAGAAGTTGGAAAAGGCAAGGGGATGGATTGTCCCCCTAAAACCTCCAGAAAGAAAGAAATGTGGTCCTGCTGACACCTAGAATTTAGCCCAGTGAGACTTGTAGCAGCCTCCTGACTGCCAAACTTGTAAGACGTTAAGTTCGTGTGGTTTAAACTACCAAATGTGTGGTAATTTGTTGCACCAGCAATTGAAAGCGAATACAGTTAGAAGGAACATGTTAGCACCAGAAGAATGTGTGAAACTATAAGAAGCCAGCCTCATGTAGACTCCAACATCCGAGGTGGAAATTCTAATGGGGTATTGGATGGGTAACTTAAAGCATTCCTCTTCTATGTCAGAGAACACTGGGATTTGGCCCCTTGTCAGTGAACCTATCTGTGTCTCTGTGTTCAACCTTTTAATCTCAAGTTAGAGAATAGAGCTCACTGTGGCATAATACTTATTAGGTACATAAAAAATAAGAGACAATATTCCCAGGATATAAAATGTACTGCTTCTTTCTGACAGAGTTTCCAATTGTCAGAAAAATTTATCTACTCGTAAAATCCCACTAATGATGTCCACAGAACGTAACAGTAGGTGAATAGATGTTAATATTTTTTAAAAGTTTTGCATTTTCTTGTGCAAAATTTAAAAATGTGCAAGATATTTACATATATATATAATGAAGCCTATTATCTAAACATATTGGAAAATGAATTAGGAATATCTGCCACCCCCTTGTCTTGGGTTTATAGAATATAATTAAACATCGATATTCCATTCTCAAAGAACTTACTCACTATCTGGTATTCCAGAAACTCAGAGTAAATTATTTTTCCCACTAAAGTGGGTGAAGTAATTGATATGTTTGTCCACACACAGACACATACACATATATTTGTTAATGGAATGCACAAAAAGTGCTATTTTAATAGAGAGACACAAAATATTACATATTCATGGGACTTAGGGACAAAACTATGCCTTGGAAATTTTCTGGAAAATCACATAAGCTCCAAAGAAGTTGATACAAAGGCAGCTAAAGATCTTGGTTTGATAGTGGCAATTCTACCAATACAAATACAAAGGAATCAACAAATGGACAACTCTTTAGATTACAGTTATGACACAAGCAATCCACAGGCATTCCAGTGAAAACTGCACAGAGCTCTCTCTGTTGTTACTTGCAAAAGGCTAGCATGGAAATATCTTGTGTTCATGTGAAGAGTTGGCCCATATTTCCTTGCGTGTTATCCTGAAAGCAACAAATGACAGAAAAGAGTGATGAACATGTAAACCACAGCTTTGTGGGGGTCATTTTATGGATGATTCATCTTATGGTTGAGTAAGGCTCCGAAAAGATGTGATGAAGGAAACTATGAAATTGTTAACAACAACTTGGCTCACTTTCTTAATCTGGGGCAATAAAATCAATCTGACCTAAATTTACTCTGGCCCTAACATTTTACTATGATTTCAGCTATTCACTGAAATTAACTGGTAAATGGCATAGTCAAATGTTTTCAGAAAGTTACAGGATGATAATGACTCAGGGACAAAGTGACCCAGAAAACGGATGTCATAGCAGCCCGGGTTCTGAGAGTCAATACATACTGAAATAGGACAGAGAAAAAACTCCAGGGGGAACTTTCTTCCAAACTTGCAAATGTGGCCTTTCTCTTTCCAAGATAATGTCATACTAAGAAAAATCTGAACAAGGGGGGAATATGCTGTTTCCTATCACTCTTTCTGGTATATTTGTACTACAGGGGCCAAACATGAGTGACTTTAACATACGACATAGGTCACTGAAGGATACAAAAAAAAAAAAGAAAAAAGGAAACAAAAATCCTTTTGATTATTAAATAACAATAAGCAATAGCTTGTGTGCTTGAGTTCCCTCTCCAGTGTAGGAAACCACTAGTTCTGCTCCCTCTGAGATACAGAGAAGGGGTAGAGTCTAAATTCTAACCCTAGTTAAGAGAAAAAAATTACCTCTGCATTAATGAGCAACCTGACAGCTTCCATGTGGTCAGGCAAATTTTAAGTTAGAAGGAACTTTAAGCAAGACTTCCTCATTTTATTGACCAGTTTAATGTAGGTCAAATATATATACATGTACTCCAGGCACTGTGGAGATTTAGGATATTTAGAGATAAATAAAATCCAGTACTTGATCTGATGGAATCTAAATATACTGGGGTAGGTAGTGACAACGTGGTAAGAGTTGTGTGAGAGGTTCGTATCACTCAGAGTTTTTAGCTTCAAGCAACAGCAAATGACTGTGGCAGATCTAAACCGAAGAGCAACACACCAAACTTCAGTCCCAGAATTGCTGGGAGGGGCTTAAGAATCAGGCACACAGCTTACGAAGCCAGAGCAGCCCCCAAAGCAATGCCACTGAATAGGTTCCTTGTTTCTGCTAAGGCCCAGGAACCACAATTTGCATGACCAACGCCATGAGCCCTGGACTCTGCACCCCACGGCCACCACAGTCACATCCGGAACAGCAGGTTGTTTGCACAGCTGCCTCTGCTCACCACAAGAGTGAGTTCTCTTCTGTCCCTGCTTCTTTGTGTCAGCAGTTCCTAATTCCTGGTCCCAGATAGCCATGTCTGATTGCCATTCTAAGTGCTTTGCCTCTCCCTTATCTACAAGCGCAGCTGGGACAGTGAGTCATTGGGATTTCAGCTTCTATGTTGGTTGTGACCATTGCGTAAGTCAGTACAAGAAACATGGTAGGGGTAAGGAGGTCAGAAGAGACTTTCTTAAGGAAGTGATCCTGAGCCATGTGCTGAGGATGAGCTAAGGCCCCAACTTTACATAGCTGGTGATACTCACACAAGCAGGCTAAGGGGCCTCCAGTCCTTATGACATAATTAGAGGAGAGCTGGGAGGAATTTCCAGACAACAGCCACCTTCACCAGCCAGCCCTTTTGTCTGATGGTCCACACAAAACTCATTGTATGAGTCAGCAGGATCTAGAAGGTTCACTTCCTCCACAGTGGCCGACAGCTAGAAGACACAGCAGAGCATGTGGGGACCAGGAGAATCCCATAGAGGCAGAGGTGTGAGGAACTAGCAACTGTGGAAAGAATTCCCTTCCCTGAGGGAGGAGATCAGTGGTTAAGAACTATTTAAATAGTCCAAAGTGCACAGTTTAATCTTTAGAGCCCGTAGATTAGATAATAGGAGAAGGGATCCATAAATGCTGGAGCTGATAATCAAAAATCATAGATAGAGGTAGGGCCAGGTTTCCAGGACCATGGGACTGAGGACTCTAGGGAGCCCAGTCCTTGGGGAGCTGTTAGAAAGGCAAGTGCACAGCAGGGATTGGAGCTGGTAAACAGTGAGTGCTGACCCACTAGGGCTTTCATTTCGGGTACTGTCAAGGGTTCAATTGCTAGATTTAATGCTTTGCCTTTCTGCAAATAAAGGCTGTGGGAGCCACACCAGACCAGACTGCAGGGGGATTCTGATAACAGTACTCATGCATGGCATTTAGGTAGCTTTTTAAATGTAAATGTTTTCCGGGAGACATAAAGATGGCATTAGGCATTAACACACACACACCTTAGAGTTAACATCTCAGTTATTTTATGTGTTGATTGTTTATCACAAACATCTACTTGTACATTAATGAGTTAATGAAGTAGGGATACAATGAGGCCT
This sequence comes from Homo sapiens, assembly GCF_000001405.40. Lineage (NCBI taxonomy): Eukaryota > Metazoa > Chordata > Mammalia > Primates > Hominidae > Homo > Homo sapiens. The sequence goes on along the minus strand of NC_000007.14, from coordinate 20,218,925 downwards.
TGCCTTCAAATAGGAATGTAAGACTGCATAGGTACACACACACCCATGTAAACCAATGAAATGAGATATACAATGTGTTATGAGAGGAGCAGATGCAATATTATGAAATTGATTAGGAGGAAGAGAATAACTCAGATTAAGACAAACTGAGAAGGACATCTTGAAGAGTGTTTTTCATTGAGCTTTGGAAAAAATGAAATCTCTGAACATTTCAAGATGAGCAAAAATGGTTTCAGGGAGGAGAAATGCCATGCAGAATGCCCTCTGTAGGGTTTGGGGAAATTAAGAACCATTTGTTTTGGAAATAATATAATGACATAAAGGAAAGCTAGGTTCTAGTAGAGAGTTGAGGAACCTGTGACAAAAAGAAACAGAACAGCTCAGTTTGGATTGTGGGATGAGTCAAGGGGAAACTTCAAAGGGAATCTGGGTGGATTAGGTGATCTGGCAGCATGAAGCCAGGGATGCATCAGGGAGGAAGGGGTGGTTAGAACAGTAGGAGAGAAAGTGCAGAAAAGGGAAAGGAAACTTTTTCTTTGTCACCATTCTGCCATCTACTTACATTAGATGAATCCTTCTATTATGTTTCTGAACCCAGACCCAGCCAGGACTTGTCTCTATTCATTTTCTGGGCTGTGTCTAACAGGAGATAATAGGCTAGAGAGAGATGCTGTATGAACAAATAGAGAAACACATTTGTTTTAAACATTCTCTGTTGCTGATGTTGGAAAAAAATGTGAAACAATTATTGCACATTTCATTTCACTAAGTTTTACCTTTTTTCCCCTTTCCCCTAATTTTCTCTTTCTTGAATTTTGAACAAAATACACAGAAGGAAAACACAAAACACAGAAATGGAAAGTAAAATGGAAGAAAATATCAAGAAAACTTTATTCTTGCTTATATTTTAAAAGGCACATTTTAAAGTGTTATCTTAAAAATCCAGAGCATTTTAGAAGATGAAATGCCAAAAGGTCTCCATTATGTCTATATGTCTATGTCTTTGAGTGACAATCACAGTGCTGATGTAGAGGGAAAGGGGGAACTAGTTAGACACTGTCACTCACCTGGGAAGGCTTTATTCACCTGTTCCACAGGGCAGTGAGGCACCTTCAGCTCTGAATCACCGAAAGAGAATCTGGTGGGGCAAGTTCCAGCTGCATGAGGATTTGCTTGCATAAATATTTTTTACTTATTGCTAACACTGAGGGTGCCTTCTTACTCCCTGGCAAACATTAAACCACTTTTATTTCCTTTCATGGAAATAAGATTATATTTACAGATGGTTCTTAGATATACTCACCTGATTTTTTTTTAATTGCTTTTCCACCTGCTTCCCCTTTCTTCTTAGGGTGAAACTCTAGCCATACGCCCTCTTCTGGTTTCGGGTGAGGAGCCTGAATTGTGGGTATCGTAGTTCTCTTGCCTTTTGGGGTTTCTAGTTGGGCAGCTTTGGAGCCACAGTGGTAGAACTTCAAGTCCCAGGTGGCTCAGGAAGCAGGGGTGCAGTTGCCTGCCTGCATACGGAGCAAGGCATGTTTGAAGAGTACCCGGGTTTGGTAGAGTGACTTCTATTCACTAAAACCATGTGTCTGAACTGAAGAAGCTTGGGCTCACTTCCACAAATGTAAGTGCTGATTTTTTAAAAATAATATTCCTTTCACTATTGATATGTGCTACACACTAGGAAGTTGTATAATTTCCAGAAAAATGTAACAAACCAGCTGCTTAACAAATCAAGCCCTGCTTAAATAAAGGGAAGGTAACTGGTATTCTGTGGGCTTATGGGACATGTGTTAGAATAAACCTCATGACATAGAATAGAATAATACCTTGAGACATGGTTTAGAATAAAGTAGTTTATTTTAAAAAAAAGGAGGAACCCAGGTCACATTAACCATCAAAGGCAAAAACAAAACACTCTATGAGTTGCTTAAAATATGTAGATGGCTGAAATCCCCTAAAAACTTTAAATATCTCAAAAAGCATACAGGTATGTTAAAAAGACTGTGCTTTGAAGATAGATAAAGTTGCAATCAGCAGCCCCACTGCTTATTAGATTTATGACCATTGACAAGATGTTTCACCTCGCAAAGTCTCAGTTTCCTCATCTGTAAAGTGTGTGTGCATAACCTACCTCATTAGGTTAATAGCATTAAATTATGAATAAAAGATAATCATGTAATTAAGTTAAGGGGGTCATTAAATTAGCACAGTGCATTGTACTGAATAGACAGATGATACATGATGGAGGGTAACTTGGCTTCATCCTAATTAAGTTTCAATTAAGCTTGGAAAACACACCAAAGAAACAAAAAGACAAATACTGGATGATTCAACTTACCTGAGGTATCTGGAGTAGTCAAACTCACATAAATGATACTTAGAATGGTAGTTGCCAGGGGCTTGGGGGAAGGAGAAATGAGAGTTGTTTAATGGATATAGAGTTTCAGTTTACAAGATGAAAACACTTGGAGACTGTACAATAATGTAAATATATTTAATACTATTGAACTTAAAATTTGTAAGTGTAAACACTTACAAATGGTTAGGATGGTAAATTGTATGTTAAGTTTTTTACCACAATTAATAAAGATAGATTTTAAAAAATTTATTTTTAAGATCAAAAAGCATGTAGTGAAAATTCCAATGCCTTCCATTTATTAAAGGTCTTCCTAATTTCCTAAAAATGTCTTAAGTCTATATTCAGTGGGTCTAATTTAGGATTGATATTGACTTATCTATGTTAATGTCTGGTTTTTACATAGCAATTACTGGGTGATAATGATGAATTTCAGGTATATTCTTAAAGTTGTCTTAACCTCAGTGGTGATTCTTTTATGCCCCCCTGAACTTAATTACATGATTATCTTTTATTCATAATAGCGATTTTTAATATGATTTCATGGGTAGTGTACAGAATCTAGAAATTATGAAGTCATAATTATTAGTTACAATTTGCTTAAAAGCTTTAGTTATGACTCATTTTTAAAACTTAAAGCAAAAATATTATTTATTCCAGTTTTCTCAACTTCCTTGTAGCTAATTTACAAATAGAATATTTTTATCTGTTTGTGTTTTAGAGATAATAAAAACTATTAAGGCAAAGTTTGTTAAACACCATCTTATCTTAAAATGTATTGGCTGATTTGGAGGACAAAAGACATTTTGGAATTATACTAATTTTGAACTTGAAGACATGTCTGTTGAATTTTTAGAGAATTCTTTCTTGAAAGACCACACATATGCCTAGGTGTCTATTAAGACTAAACATCCCTTATGGCATTTGGTGATAAGTGAAGGTGATAACAACCAGCATTTCAGATGACTGTGCAGAGTTTTACATGTGATATGCCATATATTAATAAATGTAAACCCTATGTCAGCAAGTCCAGGATAGAATTAGAATGAAACTTGTAATTCTCCAAAGGTGGAGGAAAGCTGCAGAGGCACTGAACACTGTATACTTCTAAAAGGGTGGCTTTTTTTGTTGTTGTCAAGTGCCGTCTATGGTGTAGTGTCTCTAGGAAGTGTCATTCATTCAATTGACAAAGATTTCTAGCAATCCTGCAATATACTCCCCCTGGGCTGGGTTTAGAGGCTAGAAGAAACTCATGCACAGCCCTTGAGGGGATCCTTATCTACTAGCAGAGATATGACCTCATAAATAGTTAAAGAGAGTAAGTGCTAATTCATTAGTCATTCATGCTGTTCATAGAGTCACTCCACAGAAAGTGTGATGCTCAGTATCAGGGGATTAAAAAGACACCTTCAAAAACCTTTCTTTCAACTATAATTACTGGAGACCAAATAAATAAATAAATAAATAAATAAATAAATAAATAAACTTGAGATGTATATGAGTCATTCAGAAGCAGAGTGGAGTGACTTCCTAAAACACAGAAGAGACGCGTACCCAGGCTGCCAGAGGAAGGGGCAGTCACAGTGCCCTGAATTTCAAGAGGACATTGTGGGAGGTGGTGGAACTTTAAGCAGGCCTGGAAAAATGTGCAGAGTTGAGATGGGCAGGAAAAGGTCATGAAAGTATCTCACGTACAGCAGTGTTTTCCAAACTTTCGCACATTAAATGATTTTCGGAAACATATGGACTGATCAATCAATAACAATAACATTAAGATTACAGATTGAGAAAGTTATATTTTTTGACTTAGTTTCAATTCTTCAGAAATAAGTTTTGTTGTTTTTGATATGACTTAAACTTCTCCAAACACTTGTTTAAGCTTCCTTTATAACACTCACAGAATAAGCAATAAATGTTAGTAGGCAAAAAGTACTTAGTTTAATTTAATTACTGCTTTAAAATAACATTTATATATAGTTATTGCCTATTTATTACAATAGATATCAGCTTTTTTCATTTATGGTACTAATAGACATTAACCTTTCAAATATTTGTCTTACTTAAAATAAGAGTGAATTTACAGGAAATATTAAGTAAAAAGTAGTTCAGGTGGCAATTGGTAGTGGAAAAATCATGATGAGGTACCAGAATGAGTGAAGTTTGGGAAACACTGAAGTAGGGGGAATATCAAGCACAAGAATTAGGAAGTGAAATTGAATGGGCTGTTTTTATGTGTAGCTGGAAAGAAAGGAGGGATACTGGGTATTCCATGGAGGGTATTCTAGGGGATTTTGGATGATAATGCTGGAATAAGGTTGGTTGTGGAAGCTTTAAAGGGATTTATTCTTCAGCGGCTGGATAACAGGGGGCTCAAAATGGTTCTGACCAGGAGCCAACTGTGGAAATCCATACTTTAGCGGGTTCCTCCTGGGCATAGTGTGCAGGAGGATTGGAGCATAGGGAATATGACACCAGGAGAGCTCTTTGGAAATAGGTTTCAATAAGCTGAACATGAATAAATGAAGAGTGGTAGGAATTAAAATGGAAAAGAAGCAGAGGATGAAGGAGTAATTCAATAAAAAAGAAAACTGAATAATAATAATTATAGTGACAGCCAAGCTGCTCTTGAGTTTTTATTTATTTTATTTTTAACTTTTATTTTATGTACAGGGGTACATATGTAGGTTTGTTACATAGGTAAACTTATGTCATGGGGCTTCGTTGTACAGATTATTTCATCACCCAGGTATTAAGCCTAGTACCCAAGTTATTTATCTTGACCCTCTGCCTCCTCCCACCCTCCACCCTTCAATTGGCCTCGGTGTGTGTTGTTCCCCTTTATGTGTCCATGTGTTCTCATCATTTAACTCTCACTCATAAATAAGAACATGCAGTATTTGGTTTTCTGTTTATGATAGCCTCCAGCCCCATCCATGTCCCTGCAAAATACATGATCTTGTTCTTTTTTATGGCTATGTAGTATTCCATGGTGTATATGTACCACATTTTCTTTATCCAGTCCATCATTATGGGCATTTAGATAGATTCCATGTCTTTGCCATTGTGAATAGTGCTGCAATGATCATATGTGTGCATATGTCTTCATAATAGGATGATTCATATTCCTTTGGTTATATACCCAGTAATGGGATTGCTGGATAAAATGGTATTTGTGTCTTTAGGTCTTTGAGGAATTGCCAGACTGTCTTCCACAATGGCTGAACTAATTTACACTCTCACCAATGGCATATAAGCGTTCCTTTTTCTCTACGACCTCACCAGCATCTGTTATTTTTTGACTTTTTAGTAACAGCCATTCGGACTGGTGTTAGATGATATCTCATTGTGGTTTTGATTTGTATTTCTTTAATGATCAGTGATGTTGAGCTTTTTTTCATATGATTGGTAGCCACATGTATGTCTTCTTTTGAAAAGAGAGCTTCCAAAGGGAAGGGTGGGCCACCATCTTTGCATTTTCCACATCTTAATTATTCCAGCCTGTGGGCTTTGGAAATGTCAAGTCGACCAAGGTGGAAGTGGTATCCCAGCACAGAACAGCTGCTCTACGAAAACATGACCATACAGCTTCTTTAAGCCAGTCCCTGATCTCATTTCTTTTTACTAGGTGGAACCTACCAAATGGGGTCTCCAGCCACTCCCGCTAGTATTCTTCCGCCTACAGAAATTTGAAAACTCCCTGGGCCAGAACTCCCAGAGGGAGGAGCGGGCTGCCATCTTTGCTGTTTGAGCCTCTGGAGTTTTTAAGCTTGGTGGTCTGAGAGAAGGACAGTAGCACTGAAGGAAAGGAGAGGGAACTGGTTCTTGTGGGGAAATGCAGCTTTGTATCTCAGGTGATTTGAAATTGAGAGGAGAATGGACCTTCAAGCAGAAAAGGGAAACTATGTTGTTAATCATGTGGGATTGGAATTCTGGAGTGCCATCAGGGAGGGCCAGATAAATGGAGGAGACAAGTATGTTCCTCATTAAAATGACACCTAGCTCCGCTTTTCCTCCTGCCCCACTCAAGTTTCCAGGAGAAGAGAGCTGAAGAGAGATTCTTCAGGTACTCAGGGATGGGAAGGCAGAGGAAGGGCATGCTGACTCTTTCCTCCCAGGTTTTGTTTTCTCTTGGTTACTGTGGCCACCACCTTGCCCAGAGATAAGAGGCTTCTTTATAGGGGCCTTCCTTGGAATAAACAGAAACATCTTCATCTCCAGCCAGAACAGACATCAGGTTTAATTTCCAGGAATGGTAGAAGAGTTTTGTATGTTTTCTATTTCCACTGGGAAGACACCTAATTTAGATATTTCCCCAATACATGTAATATGTAGTAGACATTTAAAGATAGATATTGCAAAGACTTATGTACTCACCTCCCAGTTTAAGAAATAAAATATTAAAGATAAAAAAGTACCCTGCTTAATCCTATTCTCTTTTCACCCTCAAAGGTTACCACTATCCTATCTTTGTCGATATCACTGCAGTGTATGTTTTTATTCTTTTCTTTTTTAAATGCTTTTATTCTTTCCACTGCTGTGTATGTGAAGATATCCATAAACAACAGTCTATAAGATTGTTTTGAATGTTTGAAAATTTTGTGGAAACAATAAAGTATACATTATTCATCTGCAACTTGCTCTTTTCTCTCTACATTATACTTTTAAGATTAATCCATGTCTATTCTTACAGCACAACTTATTTTCATGGCTGTATGGCATTTTGCTATCATAAGTAGTACTATAAAATATTATAGTACATTCCTATTTGTGTCCAAATGAAAGAATTACTCTAGTGAATATTTGCAGAAACTGATTTGCTGAACCGTGGGCATGTGTACCTTCAACTTTATGAGATATTGAGAAATTGCTTTCCAAAACATTTATAACACATTATATTCCCAGCCAAAATAGGAGTTCCTGTTTCTATTCTAAACATACTTGTTTATCTCAAATGTTCTAATCAAATAACCTTTCCAGATGTCACTGAAAGCCAGAAGCTTGTGGCATCTGGGAGACTCAGATATGTTTGGAACACTCCCATTTCTAAAATATGGTGCAAAATTTGATCTGAAATCAACCTCTCCGTTTCTCAACCTATGGCGTTAGAGATTGACTGACTTTTCCACAGGTATTAACTTTAGTATTATTCATATGACTTTTCCATTTAACAGGCACTTACTTTAGTATTAATCATATTAATCACAATAATGATAATGATAATATTGATAGTAACTATTAGTACCAACTGAGTACTTACTATATGCCAAACACATTAATTATATTATATTATTTAATTAATTTTGAGGAGGAGCAGATAATGCTATTATACCTCTTTTAGAGATGAAGAAACTGATTCCCAGGAATCCTTATGTTAATAGTTAGTAAATAGAGATTGTTAGTCTATTCCATCTAGGACAGCTGAGAAATGATAGATGGGAGCAAACTGAGAAGAGAGACATCAAATTATTACAGTCCTTAACTTTTAAAAGTTTAGACTCTAGACACTATATAAATAATATCAAAAGAGCATACATACACACATAATAGGAGGCAGATCTCAAATAAGTGCTATATTTGTACTGAGAAGAATTTAGTTTTGCATAGGAAGATTGGGAAATGATTCTTACAGGTGACTAAACTTTACTAAGCCCTGGAGTCTTGACAGAGGAAATTAATGAGGCAAAAATTGGAGGCAGTAGCTCTTTAGAAAATATGGGAAAGTGGCAACTACAGAATATTTTTGAGAAAGTTAATTAATGTATTTAATCATTAATTAAACAAATAATTCCTGACCATCCATTAAGAGGTTCTGGGGCTACATTGTGGGATATAGCAGTGAACAAGAAAGATGCCATCCCTCCTCATTGATGGCAGTGCTAAGAGATGTACTTGGGGAAATGGGGGCAAAATATGAAAAGAAAAAGATTGAAAGGATAGGTAACATCTAATTTTGAAGGATTTTCAAATACCAGCCTAAGAAGCATGCACATTATTTCCTGAAGGCAGTGGGGAATCAATATAGGTCACTGTGACGTAGGTAGCGTCATTCATTCATTTATTCAGTTAGCATGTATTTTACCTGTATTTTGCTTAGCACTGGGTACATAGGGATGAAAGAGGTCATAGTGCGATGAAAGTGACAAATACATACATAAAACGTATAATACAATGTGAGAACTATGCCAGAGGTTTGTATAGGACAGTGATGCCTAACCTAGGCTGTGGATGTGCAGTGAGGAGAGAGAGGGAGAGGGAGACAGTGGAAGATATTCTAAGATGCTTTTTTGGGTAAAGAAATTTGCTTGAAAAAATCTGCCAACTTGATTTAGACTTTTATAAAATAATGTGTTTTTTGCTGATTTCAAAAGTGTTGCATGTTCACTATAGAAAATCTACAAATCACAATTATGCTTACCAAGGATGCATACCTTTAAGGTTTGTGTGTGCATTAGTTCTCATGTTGCTATGAAGAAATACCCAAGACTGGGTAATTTATAAAGAAAAGAGGCTTAATTGTCTCACTGTTCCACTGTTCCACATTGCTGGGGAGGCCTGAGGAAACTTACAATTATGGCAGAAGGCACCTCTTCACAGGGCAGCAGGAGAGAGAATGAGTGCCAGCAGGGAAAATGCCGGACAATTATAAAAGCATCAGATCTCATGAGAAGTCACTCACTGTTACAAGAGTAGCATGGGGGAACTGCCCCCATGATTCAATTACCTCTCATCAGGTTCCTCCCACAGCACATGGGGATTAGGAAGATCACAATTCAAGATGAGATTTGGGTGGGGACACAGCCACAACCGTATCATTTCACCCCTGCCCCAAATCTCATGTTCTCACATTTCAAAACACAATCATGCCTTTCCAATAGTCCCCCCCAAAGCCTTAACTCATTCCAGCATTAACCCAAAAGTCCAAGTTCAGAGTCTCATCTAAGACAAGGCAAGTGCCTTCTCCCTATGAGTCTGTAAAACCAAAAACAAGTTAGTTACTCCCTAGATACAATGGAAGTACAGGCACTGGTTAAATACACCCATTCCAAATGGGAGAAATTGGCCAAAACAAAGGGGCTCTAGGCCCCATGCAAGTCTGAAATCCAGTAGGGCAGTCATTAACCCATAAAGTTCCAGAATGATCTCATTTGACTCTATGTCTCACATCCACATCACGCTGATGCAAGAGGTGGGCTCCTATGGCCTTGGGCAGCTCTAGCCCTGTGGTTTTGCAGGGTACAGCCCACTTCTAAGCTGCTTTCACAGGCTGGCATTGTCTGTGGCTTTTCCAGGCATATGGTACAAAATGTCAGTAGATTTACCATTCTTGGTCCTGGAGGACAGTAGCCCTCTTCTCACAGCTCCACTGGGCAGTGCCCCAGAGCGGACTATGTGTGGGGGCTCCAATCCCACATTTCCCTTCTTCCCTGCCCTAGTAGAGGTTCTCTATGAGGGCCCCATCCCTGTAGCAAACTTCTGCCTAGATATCCAGGCATTTCCATACATCCTTTAAAATCTAGGCAGAGGTACCCCAACCTCAATTCTTGACCTCTGCCCACCTGCAGGCTCAACACCATGTGTAAGCCACCAAGGCTTGGGGCTTGCAGTCTCTGGAGCAATGACCTGAGCTGTACCTTGATCCCTTTTAGCCATGACTGGAGGTGAAGCAGCTGGGACACAGGGAACCATGTCCCAAAGTTGCATAGAGCAGTGGGGCCCTTGGCCCTGCCCACGAAACCGTTTTTCCCTCCTAGGCCTCTGGGCCTGTGATTCGAGGGGCTGCCTTGAAGTCTCTGACATGCCCCGGAGACATTTTCCCCATTGTCTTGGTGATTAACATTTGGCTCCTCGTTACTTATGCAAATTTCTGCAGCAGGCTTGAATTTCTCCCCAGAAAATGAGTTTTTCTTTTTTATCACATCATCAGACTGCACATTTTCCAAACTTTTATGCGTTGCTTTCTCTTGAATGCTTTGCCACTTAGAAATTTTTTCTGCTAGATACCCTAAATTATCTCTCTCAAGTTCAAAGTTCCACAGATCTCTAGGTCAGTGGCAAAATGCTGCCAGTCTCTTTGCTAAAACATACCAGGAGTGACCTTTACTCTAGTTCCCTATGAGTTCCTCATTTCCATCTGAGACCACCTCAGCTTCAACTTCATTGTCCATATTACTATCAGCATTTTTGTCAAAGCCATTCAGCAAGTCTCTAAGACGTTCCAAACTTTCCCACATTTTCCTGTCTTCCTCTGAGCCCTCAAAACTGTTCCAACCTCTGCCTGTTACCCAGTTTCAAAGTCACTTTCACATTTCAGGTATCCATATAGCAGCACCTCACTTCTTGTACCAATTTACTGCATTAGTCCATGTTTACGCTTCTATGAAGAAATACCTGAGACTGGATAATTTATAAAAGAAAGAGGTTTAATTGACTCACAGTTCTGCATGCTGGGGAGGCCTCAGGAAGCTTACAATCATGGTGGAAGACACTTCTTTACAGGGCGGCAGGAGAAAGGATGAGTCCCAGCAGGGGAAATGCCAGACACTTATAAAAGCATCAGGTCTCATGAGAAGTCACTCACTGTCATTAGAACAGCATGGGGGAAACTTCCCCCATGATTCAATTACCTCCCACAGGGTCCCTCCCATGACACATGGGGATTATGGGGATTACAATTCAAGATGAGATTTGGGTGAGGACACAGCCAAACCATATCAGTGTGTATATCCTGTTAACCTTTTAATGCCAATGATAGATATTATGAATGGATAATTTATAAAAGTTATGTAATATTTTTAGTTCACTTACCTATGTGTTTCATAATTTTGATATCTTTGTGTATTCTTCTATAATACAAGTTTAAATTTTGCTCATTTTATGTCATAATTTAAACATTCGTTTATTGATGAAAATACCTATTTTTTCCCCTAATATTTGTTATTAGAAATTCAACATGGTGAATAGCGCTATGTTGCACATCGTTCAAAAATCCTAGGACATATCTGATTTATTTTAAAGATAAATTTCTAGAATTTGAATTATAGGTCCTAACATATAAAAGCGTTTCACCATATTATAGAGGAGAAGGAAAGTCCTTTTAAAATATTTAAAAATAGGCTGAGCCCAGTGGCTCATGCCTGTAATCCCAGCACTTTGGGAGACAGAAGTGGGAGGATCACCTGAGGTCAGGAGTTTGAGACCAGGCTGGCCAACATGGTGAAACCCCGTCTCTACTAAAAAAAAAAAAAATACAAAAATTAACCAGACATGGGGTGGCACATGCCTGTAATCCCAGCTACTTGGGAGGCTGAGATAGGAGAATCGCTTGAACCTAGGAGGCGGAGGTTGCAGTGAGCCGAGACTGCGCCACTGCACTCCAACCTGGGTGACACAGCAAGACTCTGTCTAAAAAAAAAAAGAAAAGAAAAAGTTAACAATGGATTGAATTTGATGAAACTTGCATTTTAGAAAGATTATCCTAAAAATAATTTAAAGGGCAAATAGAAAAGATTGGAGGCAGTTTACCAGGTCAGATTTATCACAAAAATCTAGGTGAGAAAATAATAAAGCCTGCACAAAAGAAGTCAAATTACTAATGGAACGTGGCAGAAGATTTTAGAGATACTAATTTTGTAGAAGTTCATGGATTGGCAACAGTGACTGGGGGGCCGGAGGAGGTAAAACTGATTGTGGATTACCTCTCAGTTTCTGACACAGGTATCTAACTGGGTGGATGGGGATGTCCTCATTCCTTTCAACATGAAAGACAAGAGAAACAGGTTTGGAAGGAAGAACAGATAAGTTGACGTTGGCCAACTTTGACATACCTGTGGCCATCCATGTGGAGAAATTCCTTAAGCAATGGAACAGGTCTTGGAGTCAGGAGGCCAAATGGTTTAGAGATTAATAGATGTGCAAGTCAGCAATCCTTCAGTGTAGCTATAATCTTGGCTGTGGATGGCTCTCCCAGGGGTGTTAAGAACTGCAGCATAAGATTAGGGTGCTCAGGGTGCTGCTCTCTGATGTAATAACATTAATGTTTAATCAGAGAAAGAAACAGCCATAGAGGAGACTAAAAAGGAGAGATCAGAGAAACAGGAGAAAATCCCAATGGAAGGTAGAGTGAATAAGGACAAAGAAGGAGAACTTCTCAAGAAGGGAAGAGCTAACAGTGTCACATGTCACAGCAATGCCAAATAAAATAGAAAGGTGTCCTTTGAACGTCACTGGAAGTCTTGCCTAGAGCAGTTTCAGTAGAGTGGCAGGGATAGGCACTAGAATGTCATGATTGTACCTGTGATTCAGGAAGATGACTGTCCTCACTATGGGCAGAATGACTTAGGGAAGGAAGAGACAATAATGTGGGAGACAAGTGTGGTGAAGATGGGATCAGGACCCCAGAAAGGAGATAATAAAGGCTAACCCAAGGCAGGCACCATGGTATCAGAAAGAAGGGGCCTGGGTAGTGGATTTACCAAGCAGATGACGATAATGTGTGAGAAAGACGATGGAGTTCAAGAGGGCTCTAATATTTTCATCTGAAACAACAGAGAAGATTGTGAAACTATCCCAAAAGGCAGAACTAAGGAAAAGAAATAGACATTTTTGTTGATAGAGATAAGGAAGAAGAGATATATTGATGTGAGGTATATATGGAGGTGCCTGAGGGTAGGGTCAGTGTTCACATGGAAACAGTGTTCACATGGAGACGTCAGAAAAGTGAATGCTACAGTTCTGCAGCTCTGGGGAGGGGTCTTGGTTGGGGACAAACATCATTGAGCTTTCCCATAAAAATAGGGATTTCAAATCATGGAAAAGGATGGAACGACTCAAGGAGATTACTGAAAGTGAGAAGAAACAAACAAACAAACAAAAAACCCTTGAGAAATGTTTAAATAAACAGATATCACAGGAGGAGCCACCACAGAAAACAGGGAAGAATGGTCAAAGCAATAGCAGGAAAATAAGGAGAATATTATTTCAAATGAGTTTATATTTTTTGGTAACTAGGTGAGCTGTAAGAAACAAACTTTCTTTTCACAGGCGACTACAAAAAAAAAATAGATTGAATTACAGGTGAGGTGATGAAGTGGTTTTAGGAAATTGAGATCATGACCAAATCAGACCACACCACAGATCAAGCAGGATCAAGGAAGCCCCTTAGCATCTGGGCTTTTCCTAACTCCTGCTTTGTCCTGGAAAATATATTTTAAGAATATCTGCTGTAATACTGTGATTTATTAATATGTTATCTTTGAGTTATTTTTTCCAACTTCTATGTTCTTTTGGTATGAAATTAAGCACCTAACTTTAATTGTATGCAATAGCTTTTGACTTACTTTCCTCCCAACTGAAGTTACAGCAAAAAGTTGATGATCAAGGCACATTGCTAAAAACTAATCTGTTTTGACATCATGAAAATCCATCAGAGGTAAAACTTTATGAGACTTTCTCTTCATGTTTTTTTCCATTCTAAAAAAAAAATTGTATTAATATCCAATAAAGTATGAATTCATATATCAAACTTTTAAAAATTTACCGAAACTTGCTCATTGATAACCATGGTATCTAAATTTAATTATAGATCTAAATTTAATTATAGATCCTTAAACTAGGGTGCTAGGAGAGGCTCTTTATCCTTTCCTAGTTAAAAAATGTACAATCTCTGCTCACTGGGTCATCTTCATTTTGGATAATTTTAATAAACTGAAAAAGCAGTACAAGTATTACTTCTTTTAGAATATCAAGTATAAAGTATCATCTTTAAGATGTGGTGGTTAATTCCTCCTTATTTTCATGTAGCTTACAAACTTACAGTGTGAATGCAATTTTTATGTTATGCCTGTAATTCAACCTATTTTTCTGTAGTCGCCTGTGAAAAGTGTGTTTGTTACAGCTCACCTAACCAAAAAATATAAACTCACTTTTTCGATCATTGGTGTTTCATTCAGTTTTCCAGGTTGATCTTATAAACAAGTTGATCAGTTATGTGGGAAGTGCTTTTCACTTGGACTCGGATTGAGACACAATGTCTCAGGACGTTCAGGCTGAAAAAAAATGTTTGAGATATGCCAAATAGAAAGACTCGAAGATCACATCCTAAAGAATTGAGCAGGCCGGGTGCAGTGGCTCATGCGTATAATCCAGCAGTTTGGGAGGCCAAGGCGGGTGGATCATGAGGTCAGGAGATCGAGACCATCCTGGCTAACACGGTGAAACCCCATCTCTACTAAAAATACAAAAAATTAGCCGGGCGTGGTGGTGGGCGCCTGTGGTCCCAGCTGCTCTGGAGGCTGAGGCAGGAGAATGGCGTGAACCCGGGAGGCGGAGTTTGCAGTGAGCCGAGATCACGCCACTACACTCCAGCCTGTGCAACAGAGCAAGACTCCATCTCAAAAAAACAAACAAACAAAAAGAATTGAGCAATAAATTGAGCAATAAATTCAGGCTTCAATATGTACCCAAATATAGTATTTATAAAGATAATAAGGAGGAACCTAAAGCAATTCTTCTGTATAATTAAAAATCAAAATAATATAAAAGCATGTACATACATGTAACTTCTATTTTAAAATGCAAATGGAAACATGTCTGGCTTCCTTTTTTTTACTTAATATATTTTAGTGATGAGCCCACATTGCTTATGAAGGTACTGCTCTTTCCATTATGATTATGTAATTTTCCAGCCGTTAGCTATTATTACCAGAGCCACAATGATCATTTTTGCATAGAAACAAGTTGTTAAATTGAAAAAATTAATTAGGATTCCAAGACGATTGATTTCAGATACCAGAAAGAGGTATCTGGCAAAAATCCCAATTGGCAATATTTTCACAAATCTTGAGCTCCTCGCTGACTTCCAAGTTGCAATAAAAAATAAAGGGGGAATGAACACTGAGAGGATTTTGTGAGAATGATTTTTGAAGGACTATCCCAATCCAGAGGGGTAGGTGAGGAGATGAAGGATGCTATTGTTTCACCTCATTGCACATTCCAGGAAAGCTTGGTGTGTTTGCCTGCCTGGAAACCAGAGCTCAGGGAGGCTTTAGCTGACTTAAAAATTGGATGCATCATTCACTTCATAGGTTTAGCCGTTGAAAGCTTCTCAGGATCTTCCAAAGTGCATGTATGCACGCACACACCATCATCATCATCAGCAGCAGCAGCAATAAATATTTGCTGGTTCTCGAAAGGAGGGTCAAAGCTTCCAACTTCGGAGCCCTCAGTAGCAGCAGTAGCTAGTTAGTTGGGCGATGGAAGAGGTGAGGTAGAAAAAGAGGAGATACGCACTTGTATCCCTCTTCCCCAAAGGCTGTAGACCCATGTGGTGTGGGGAGGGGAGGATCAGTCTTGCCCTAGGAGATTGGTGCTGATGAAAATTTACAAATAATACTGCATTTTGAAACTTAAAATAACCCAGGACTTTTTTTAATTTTAATCTAAGAGTGACCAGGAGATATATGGGACCAACTGGGGAAATTTCATCAGTGGTATTAGAAAAAATTTCCCCCAATGAATAAATTTTTTAAAAGCACAGTGGTGGACAAAAATACAATTGTACTTTGTTTCATCTTACCAATTGCTTTTAAGAAGGTTACATACTTATCTTTGCTCACATATAAAGAGAACATTCATTTTTAAACAAAGACAACATACAATCTATGGATTTCCAGAACAAAGTTAGAATTAATGAATTTAGACTAGGAATAACTGAAACTGAATCAGTACTCTAGAGCTACACTTTCCAAAAAGGTAAGCATTAGCCACATGTGCCCTTTAAATTGATGAAAATTAACGATTCAATTTCTCAGTAAAACTAGCTCGATTTCAAGTGTTCAACAGCCACATGAAGTATGTTCAACAGCTGCATGAATGTAGCTATTATCTACCTGATTGGATATGACAGATATAGCACATTTCCAAAATCAAAAAGTTTTTGGTTCTCATCACAGATAGTAAATCATTTAATTCTCATAAAGCATAGTGGAAAGGGAATAACAATTATTATTATTACTACTTAATAGATGTAAAATTGAAGATTGGAGAGTTTTAGAAGCTCGATCAGGTTTTTTGGTTCCGGGTCCCATTTTCTTTCCTCTAAAACACATTGATTGATTATCAAGGCAAGTATGAAATGTATCAACCACTTTGCTCTACGTCCAAATACAAAGAGGCGTATTCTGAAATCTAGAAATTTCTAAAAGAAGGAAACTAAGTCCATCTCTATGTCATAGCTTTGATGGAAAACACAATCTTGTATCTGTTTCTAATACTTCCCATTTTACAATCCATAAAATGAACTTACAGAAGTTGATTTAACCAAAAGACTGTGAACAAATGGAAGAAGTTTTAGATAGCATTAATGAATTGCTAAATAACTGCACTTGTCTACACTATCCTTTCACTTTGGTATGATTGTCGAAGAAACTATTCACTGGCTTGGATGTGCGGACATGGTTTTGAGACCAGACTCATTTTCTGCTGGCATTTGAACCCAGATAGCTTTTACAAATGAAGATAAATAAAATTCATAATAAAATATTTATTCACACTAAACACCTAGGAGTGTGTGGGAAAAACAGTTTTACTGGGGAAAGGAAATACAGGGGCCAGTTGAAAAAACACGAAGAATAATTACCAGTAAGTGAGGTTTGAAACTCATTTCCTCTACAGGAAGACATGGTTCCAACTGGTACAGAGGTTAAGGTTCACATTTTGCATCCTTGGAGACAGAATCTCAAAAATGGAATCTAAGGTGGTCTTAAGTGCAAAACCTCAAAAGGGTAATTTATAATCCTTGGAGTTTAGGAGTCGAAAACAAGGGACAAGGTGAACTCTGTCCACTTCTCTCCATTCTTACAACCACTTTCCTAGTTCAGGCCACTGCCCTTGCTCTTTGTCTCTAGTTCTGCTTCAACTTTTGCTTTCCACCTTCCTGAAATGTAAATCACAGATGAGATCATGTCATTGACTGAACTTAAACTCCTCTGCGTCTTCTTTAGGCTAAAGTTCAAGTTCCTCAGTCTGTGTTATAAGTATGTCATGACCAGCCTCTGCCTTTCTCTGCATCCTTCCCTCTTGCCCCTCCCCCATCCTTGCCTCTGCCCCTACCCCACTGCTATGCCTCAGCCTTACTGAAGTGCTTGCTGCTTTCTGAACGAGTTCTGCTCACTCTTGTTTTTACACCATTGTGGATCATTTTCCTTTTACCTGAAGCACTTCATCCTGCTTCTCCCTACAAATTTCACTGTGGAGCTAGCATTTGAACCCAGATAGCTCAACCTTCAGAACCCATTTCATAAATTCTGCATAATTAGTCCATGGGGGGGACAGTCTGAGAGCCCCTCTTGGCCTCTTGTATTGCATGATCCTGCTGCTTCTTTCTTCCCTCTCTTTAGTTAAAACCTCAGACTGTGTCACATCCTTCTTTTGAGTGTGACCAGCTCTCATTCACCAATGAGATTCACTTAAATTTGATTCACCAATTCAGATGACATAGTACCACTTCTCTCCCTTTAGAATATTTTTTAAAATTAAAAAACATAATAATAGAAATCCATCCCACCAAATAACACCTAGTCATCTTGGAAGTTTTTAATAGGGAGAGGAACACTTCCTTGGTAGGCTTAGGTTGATACTTTTCTGAATGCAAAATGATATTAAAAATGTGCAGCAGTGAGTATGGCATGGACACTTGACCTGTCAGAATGGATGCTGGCCAGTGTATGGTACTCAGGTATTCTTACTGGATATCCACCCTGCCTGGAAGCAGAGAATAGGCATGAAAATATTGAATGGCTCTTAGAAACTTCCAGGATTAGATAGCACCCATGTTTCTAGCTGGGGTTGTGGGGGATATCTCAGGTATCTGACTGTGCATCAGTGAAAAGATTTCTTCTGGCTCCAGCAAAAAAAGAAATCAGGTGCTGATGGTTGAGTGCATTACTTCATCCCCCTTCTTAGGTAATTACATCACTCTGTCTCTCATGTCTTGTGATGAGTTTGGCAGTTTCCTAAACTAAAAACTTCCTGTAATTAACCTACGCACTCTTGCCTGTTAAATTTTGACAACAATTTACTTTCTCTTCCAGGATTTGTCGTTATGACCAGTAAATTGGTAGGAAATACTGATATCAAAGGTCTCCCAGTAACCTCTTTTTTCCTTGGAAGTCATCGTGTGTTTTCTTTGGTATTTATCAGTATTTTGAAGTATAACTTAATAGTGTTTGTTAATGAGGGATATAACTGTTATCTCTTTATCTATAACTGTCCATTTCTAGTAATCTAGTAATCTTTTAAATCTTTTAAATCTACTAATCTTTTAAATCTAGTAATCTAGTAATCTTTTAAAAGATTCTTCGTGTTTTTTCAGTTAGCCCCTGTATTTCCTTTCCCCAATAAAACTGTTATTCCCACACACTCCTAGGTGTTTATTGTGAATAAATATTTTATTATGAATTTTATTTATCTTCATCTGTAAAAGGAAATACATATATATGTATGTATATATACATACATATGTACACACACACACACACACACATAATGGTATAGCCACTTGTTTATCTTTATTCTCTATCTTGTTAATAATTGTATAGGATTTGGCTAATTCATTTGAGCCTTAAAACTTGGTTTGCAAGGTCGTTTTCCTTTATAAAAGCATGTATAACTCACTACTTTCTGATTGATTCATTTTATAGAACATTTAATTTTATTGTTTAAATTTATTTTTAAGATATCTGTTTTTACTTTAAAAATAAGTTTTTCTTAACTTTAAGAACAAGAAAAAGGTAAAGATTTAAAGTGAATTCTTCATCAACATTTTTGAATGACTCTGTACTCTTTGACTCACCTCTGTGAGTTCCTCTTCATTCACTTTGGTTTCTAATTTCATGTTAGTAAGTGCTCTGCTCTCTCTGTGTGCTTCCTGTTTCATTTGAAGACTTCCTTATTCTGTCATTTCATCCTTATTTCAGAGCATGCCTTCCTGATGATTATGTGACAAGGGTGTGGGTGGAGGATAGTGGTGTTGGAGAGGGCAGGTTGGTTTCAGGCCAAGTGGTTGCCAAGGCATCCATTCTGCCAATCAAGGCAAGCTGAGTGCTTCGCTGCTTTCTTCTGGGTTGAACTGAAGCCTCCAGTACTATCACACACACCAGGTCCCTTCTCCATGTAATATACATAATATTGCTTTAGATAGCTTTGGCTAGGACAATGCTTACTTTTTCCATGAGTATGAACAGGAGAAGATCAAACCTTGCCAACTCTTTATCTGTGGATCACATTTCTACCTTAGTAGCTAATAATTTTTCCTTCTCCTCACAGATTTCTTGTGCAAGCCTTGTATGAACCACATAATCTGTGTCTGTCTCAATTTCTTATCTGCAAATGGAGCTAATAACATTGGCTGCTTTTCTCCTGAGATAGTCCTGAGGATTAATAAGCTGGCTTTCAAAAGCACAAGTGTCTAAGATGATAGGCCCTCCATAAATTCAAATTACTATTATTGCCATTCTCCTTACATACTGGCAGCTGAATAATACACTCGCATAAAATATTATATTTACATAGACCTTTACATTTTGAGAAGTATTTTGTAACATTAACTTAGACAAGCCTTTCTCTCTGCACAGTCTCAGCACCACTCTTCTGTGGATAAAAGATTTGTTAGGCATCCTTGGTGGATCTCTCTTTTTCATTGAGTCTTCATTGTTTTGCCAATTCAAGTTACTATTATTATTTTTTAGTCCTATTCTGTCTCTGATTTGAAGGAATTGTTCTACATCAAGTCTCCTTGTGGTGCATGGGATTTATTCTTTAGATTGAATTAATTAGAAAATATACAAGTAATTTTGGCTTATAAATTGATAACCCTGTAAAAATCTTGCCTTGTTAGAAAGCGACAGAAGAAATTATAGGCGAGGCTGAGATCTAAAAGGAGAGCTCCAGAATGGAGGCTTGGACCAGGGGCAGACCAGGAGCTTATCAAGATACAATTGAATAATCAAAGGGTGGAGCCTGGACAAAATGTTTACTTGTCTGGTAAGCCTTAAATGTTTACATTGGCCAATTGATCCCCTTTCATCTTCTCTTGCCCACTAGGAGACCAACATCCATTAAACTCTAGTTTTTGGCAGTCCTGTTCTGTTCATTGTTTATATCCTGGACTAGCATGATATGCTTGGCTCTTTATCCCTCTATGATCTCCCATGCTGTCTGTGGATCTGATGCCTAATTCTGGTTCAGAAAAGCCCCTGGGACTTTACTTAGGCACCAGTTTAGTGCCTGGTTTTCCCAGCTCCCATGAAAGGGGATAAAACATTGCTTTGATCAATATCTCTTTGGTAATGGTTTGCTTCTCTTTCCACTACTCTCCTCCATACCCACATATCACATGCCCTCAGGGATCTCCAGATGATATGGTCTTCTTGAGATTTCTTGCCAATACCCAGACATCAGACCCTCCTGTCATTCCCTTTACCACCTGGATTAGCCACTGTGGTAACTGGAGGCATTCTGCCCCCAGGCCTTTGCTGTTTAAGGGTTTCACCACCAGAGGGTGGTATTTTCCTCTTAGGATCATTGAAATTGTTCATGTTGAAATGGTTTTTATTACATAAAATATTTCTATAAATGAAGTAGCCTATTTTCTAGTGAACAATATAAGCCTGTATAATATAAAAATAAAAATAAAAACAATACATGGTAGATTTGGAAACATTTCTCCTAAAAGCCATGATACTAAGTCATGATAAATACGTGATTGAAACTTTTCTGTTTCACCTGAAATTGAGTTTATAAATCATGACTTTGAAATTTGAAGCTCAAATAGGGCTTCTTAAACTTTCCGTGATCTATGCAGAGTTTGTCTGAAATCTTTGTTCATCATGCAAGTATATTTTAGTTAGTTTTTGTCTGGAGGTGTTTGCAAAATAAGCCACACTCTCAGATAAATTCAGTCCAAGTTTATTGTGAGTAGGCGTACGAGAACATGTTCAGGCTTTACTAAATAGACAGGAGATCTTGATATCCATAATGTTAAAAGCTAAAGCCAGGACAACATGTAAAAATGCTCGAGAAAGAAAAACAAATAGTCACTAAGATTCCACAAAATTGTTATCTTGGCTAAGTTTATTTAACATACAAAAAACACAAAGCCATGTGATTCTTTACCCAGGAGGGGTCAAGAAATTGGTATCCAATAGAGATTCCAAGGGAATAGGCAAACACAGCAGCAGTTGAAAGGAAATCTGAAAAGAAGGGAGGGCTGGCCTTTGCTGCACATAGGCCTGGGAGGAGGGAAAATGGCAGTGCTGGGCCTGAGAGAAAATATTAACTGACTTGTTGACTTTAGGAAAATCTTAGATTCTCTTTAGTTTTTGTCAGAAATTCCAAATAGCCCAACTCTTTTCAAAGACCAGAATTTTAATTTTCAGCCAACATTGGGATGGACCTTTCTATTTGGACAAAAATAAACTTCTAGAAATCAGGGAATTTGAGTTCTGGTGGGGTGACCTGGTCACTCACTAGGTAAATGTTTATAGATAATTTGCAACTTCATCGTATGTCATTTTTCAAACTTACAAAAGACAATGACTAAAATTGACTGGTAGTAGTCAAATGTGTACCATAGAAAATTAGGGGTTTTGTGGGGTGACTTGAGAATGCTCTGTTGCAGTGAAAGTGAGTGGCTGCGAGGTGAAGTTTGTGGGCTTTGATCCTTTTACCTTTCAGCCAAAGGAACTTTGCTTTATTTATTTTTCAACCTTATTTTTTTAAGTTTTGGGGCATATTTCATTTGAGAAAACCGGTTCTCCATGCATGATAGATATATGTTTGGAACAATTTAAATGATCGCTAAGCTCTTTTTAATTCTAAAGATGTTTTTCTATGACAATTAATGATAATATATATTACATAGAGCACATACACACATGCATGCATACAGATATATACATTGTTTTATATATATATATAAAATGGGCCGGCCGCACCCGGCCCATTGTTATAAATTTATACACTATCTTTCTCCAGTGTGACTGGATGTACCTAATTACAAAAGTATATAGTCAATAAAACTGAAAGTTGGCTGGGCGCAGTGACTCACGCCTGTAATCCCAGCAGTTTGGGAGGCCGAGGTGGGCGGATCACAAGGTCAGGAGATTGAGACCATCCTGGCTAACACGGTGAAACCCCGTCTCTACTAAAAATACAAAAAATTAGCCGGGCGTGGTGGCGGGCGCCTGTAGTCCCAGCTACTCTGGAGGCTGAGGCAGGAGAATGGCGTGAACCCAGGAGGCGGAGCTTGCAGTGAGCCGAGATGGCGCCACTGCACTCCAGCCTGGGAGACAGCGAGAATCCATCTCAAAAAAATAAAATAAAATTTAAAAAAAACCTGAAAATTATTACCAATAAAAGCTAAGCCTTGGAAACTAAAGATAAAATCCTAAACCTCCCACAGATTGAACAAACCCTCATTTGGCCAAAGGGACCCCAGAGAAGTCTTGAAAACTGAGTTCCCAACCATGATGAGACAGGAGGTCAGAAACGCTTTGTTACACCCCATCCCTTTGCAGTTTAGACACGACAACTGACCAGTATTAATGTTAAAATAGAGATCACAAGACTGACAGAATGGACTCTTCATGGCAATAAGACAACCTAATTATAAACAGGACCTAAGGCCATGCCAGGCAAGGTTAAGTCACACACCCCTACACTTCAGGAATAAACTATGTTCTAGCTGCAACAAGTTTTTTCTTTTTTTCTAGCAGCTAAAGAAGCATTGGCCTCAAGATGAGCAGTATTAAAATAATGACAACACATCCAGCTCACAGAAGCTAACTGATCCCCTGTTCCACAAGCCATAACTACAGCTTTGATTTCAATAACATTCTCCTGATGAAAAAACCAACCATAGATTGCACACTTGTGTGCCTTTGTGTCCTAAAAAGACCTTTTGATGTATAGGGCCTAATTGTAGTACATTTAAATGTTATCTTTACCCCAAGGTAAACATGGGTCATATATACGAATATTTGCTCAATACGCATGTGTCAGGACCCCCTTCATGAATATTAACAGCTCCTCCTATAGACTGTTGAATACATATGTTACTTTAATTTATTCAACTTAAATTCCTGTCTAAACCCTCCTCCTTTGAAGTAGCTGTCTCTGGTCTTTGTCGGATGCTATGCTTTTCAGCCTGTGGAATGGCCACCTTGAAGGCTATAATCTTTTATGAGAAATAAAGTCTCCTTTCTAAGCTCATAAATCCTGTAGTTTTTAAAGTTAACAACTTCATGCAATAATAGCAAGGTACGGCGGGTTGGAAGAGGAGCATAATTATATTAAACAAACAAACAAGAAAAATCAGAGATGTGAGAACTTACTGCACACAAAACCCAGACCAAGTTTCCCTGATAATCAAGGTAAAACTTAAAGCATAGGGGATACTTGTTTTTTTTTAATAAGAGAAAACGTTAAGATTAGGAGGAAAAAAATTTTCCTATCCCCAGACTTTGAGAATATCTTATATGTGGCTTTATATGAAGGAAAATGTGTGACATAATGGGCAAGCTTTTTCTGATTAGAGGTTTACTAAAAATTTAGGCAAATTCCACATCTCATCTTTATGACGAGAAAAAATTCAAGGAAGTAGTGTTAAGCCATCACTCTATAAAGGCAATTTTGTTAGGAGGCTGAAGTAACATGCTCTATTTTTAAAACTGCCTTTTGATTGCAATTGATTTAGGCATAAAACTAGGAGAAGTGTGAGTTGTGAAAGGCTATCATATCCTCTTTTAGTATTGAGATGGCTTTTAATGGAAACTACATGGTAGGCAATTTTAAATTCTCATTACCAAGACGTAGTTGAAAGACAGCCTTTCCTTATTGTTGCAAGAAGACAGCAAAATGATGTTTTGCATGAATGTAAAATTCCTGAGATGGATTTGCTTAATAGCTTTTCACTGGATCTCTAATGGATGGGCCAAGAGGTTGAGGCTGAGCCAGCAGCTGAGTGAATCAGGTGTAAGCTTTTAAGGGTACCATGAAAGGAGCGAAGCCTCCTTAAGTGAGGCTCTTCACACATCTGCCATGGGGGCAGATTAAAATGCCTCTTCGTGTGTTTCTTTCTAATGAAAACTAGAAAGAACAAACACATCAGGGGAGTACTCCTTTGTGGTCATGTTTTCTATGTTTGGAGTGGAGTAGACAAGCTGGGCTCCCTGCCTTCTGACATCACTGATCTCTGTGTCAGAACCTGGCTTTCCTTTTAATTCTTTTCTTTTTATTGCTTAAAATTTTATTATCCAAGATTCTATAATCTAAAATTAGGATATAAAAAAAGCGGCAAAAACCCCTCAGAGCAGCATGGCTTCCCAAATTCTCTGCTTTTCAAATGGACTCCATCGTATTTGACAACTGAGTCAGATAACGGTGACAAGATAGGATGTGGGTAGTTCTGTGGTGGAAACCCCCTCATTTTACAGATGGAGACATGGAGGCTCCCAGCAAGTGAGGAGTCACCGCAGATCAGAGAACCGCTGGCCACAAACCTTACCTAAATTCCAGATCTTGCTGTTTCTGCTCTACCTTTCTAGCATATCCACAAAATTATTAAAATAGCAAATGTTTTCTTTAAACATGGCTTCTTAAAGGTGTGTGTGGGGGCGGGGGAATAAAGATGGCAGAGCCGGGGTTGGAGAACAGTGATGTCAGCTGTTTGCTTTCTGGCTCCTAAGGGTTTTACTTTGCCATTCATGAGACAAAAAAAAAAAAAAGAAGGAATAGAAAGAGGCCAAACTTCCCCAAGAGTCTGAGTTTACCTTCCTAATGACATGTTTATTTTTCCACATTTTACAAAGTGGGACATGGCCCTCTACAACCAGGCCTGCCTTCCTGAGCTTTGGGCATGGCAGTCATTCCCTTAGTTTAGCTACAGCTTTGACAGGGTGTCTCTTATAAGATCGTAGAAGCTGAATTCTGAAAAAGCTTGCATCACTTACCATTGTCTATAACAGGATGCAACTTAGATGAGAAATGAGAATTGAAAAACAAACACTAAGAGCAAAGTTGTGTCTCATGACCATCACCTCAACATAATTGTTTTCACTTCTTCAAAATTCCTTCCAAGTTTTATCTGTAATATATACATTTTTATACTGTAATCACAGTTTATATAAACTTTCAAGATTAGCTTTTGCACTTAGTCACATTATAAACAATTTCTCATGTTGTTAGAAACTTTGTAACCATTTTTTATAAAGGTGACATCATGCCCTAAGTTGATAGCTTATAATTTATTTAATTATTCATCCATTACCAAACATTTAGGTTATTTTCAGTTTATTTTTCTATTATATATGATTCTCTGATAAAGAGTTTTATAAACATAGCTGTCCCCTTCCTCTTATTTTCTTGAAGAAAATACTGATTACTGAGAAGGGCCAGAAGAGTTTTATGATATTATTGTATACCTTCTGGGGACAGATTCTATTTTGCGGGGCCTAAAGTTTATACCACTTGGCAACAGGGGCATCTTAAGAAAAATAATATGAAATTATAAACATAAATCGCTAGGGAACTTTCCACCTTGAAGGGACTCATCACAGTGAGGAGCCATAAGATCACTTGGTGTCAGATTCACATTGTCAAAGACATTCCCTCAAATCCTGTAGTACTTTTCAATTTCATCAGTACGGGATGAGTACTTCATCCCTGAATCTTCATGAGTACCGTGTTTTCTGATTTAATTATGTTCAGCAAGTGTAGCACAACTTAATCTGGTTACATTTAATGTGAATAATTTGCTTCAGTGTGCATTTCTTTGTTTAAAAGGCCATGTTTCAGTATCTATTGCTATATAGCAAACTACTCCAAAACTTAGTGGCTCAAAACAATGGTTGTATTATATTTCACAATTTGGTGGCTGAGAGATCTAGTTAGGGATTCTCTGGGTGATTCTTCTACTTGGCCTAATATAGACTGTAGTTCTTAGGCTCCAGATGGAGTGGTTGGAAAGTTCAAGATGGGTACCCATTCATTTCTGGCACTTGGGAGGGGATGACTAGAAGTCAGGGCTTAGCTGGGACTGACAAGCAGAGCTCCTTTGTATGGTCTCTCCAGCGTGACGATCTTAGGGCAATAGTTCTAGATTTTGAAATCTGTGAACAGCGGTTTTCCTATATCTTATTAGTTAAGCAAATCACAATGGCTGGTCTAGATTCAAGGGCAATTTCAATGAGAATAGCAAAGAATTAGAGGCTATCATTAACCACAGGGTGATATTTTTTCCCTAATTGTTTTCTTCTTTTTCCTTAATTGTTTACCTGCTCAATAATACCCTATATTGGAATTTGAAAGAATAATAAAGATATAAGTAGAGCATTAACATGGTTTCATGAAAATAAGAAAATATATTAATTTATAACTTGCATAAATCTACTAAACGTACTTAACATTGAAAAGTCAGAATTTCTTTAATAACAGACTTAAAGTCACTAACTTAGAGTTATATTAAATATATTACATATAGTTTTATATCCTCATCCTTCATCGTATTATCTTATTTATTCGTTTATTATTATGATCCTTTAGCAAGATGATAAAAAACGGATATCAAATTTCCATTAGCAACTTTAGGCATAGTCGTCCTAAATAAATACTACAGAAAAACTGGCATTGAAGACAGTAGGTGTGCAAGCCACTTACCTCCTTGCCTTCAGCGTCGATTTCTGTCCTGTGTTCTTCTTTTATGTGTTGTAGGTTTCTGATACCGCACAGATTACCTTTCCAAATTTTTATTGCCAGCCGTATTTTAGTTAGATCTTGCCAGTGAGAGGTCCTGGAAAGGGAAGGATAAAATGAAGACGAGAGAAAGCGTGACTCACTTCTCCTTTCCAGCTTCTGGGCCTCCTTCCACAACAACTTGAAGCTATGGATGCCTGCATCCTCCGGCAATTTCAGTGCCCGTAGTGCGACTGTTCCCTGGTTCCAGCCCCTGTCCAGTGGCACTCCCCTTGGCTATACCAGCACCTGTAAGCAGAGACCCACTGATAGCACCAACTCCTACAGAGCAGCACCTCCTCATCAGTTCCAACGCCAGCTACGTAGGGCCAGGTTGCATTTCCAGACTGCTGCAAAACACACTTCATCCCAGCTGTCCAAGCACCTATTGCTTGGCACCCATCCATGCTCCCCAAACTAACATGGGTATGCCCTCCTGTGTTTCCAGGACCTCCTGAGACACCTCAGAAGTGCAAGTAGGCCCATGGGTTCTACAACTTCCTCTTCCCTTTTGTTTCTCTGGCCCTGGGGATAGTAACTGCATCCTGCAGGTGTTAATAGCTGGGTTATTTCACATTCTGCTGTTTGATCTTTCAGCCTCTAAACATTTTGTAAATAGTCCCCTCTGCTTGAAATGCCTCATGTGGATTCTACTGCCTTACTGGACTCGGAGTGATAGAGTAGGTGCTATGTTACTGCTAGTCTTTTGCAGATATGAGTAAAATGTCCACTAAGAAAAAATGCTTAGATTAGTGCAAGTAGTGTGACAGAATGGTGATTATATCAGCAAGCCATTTGTAAAATACTGGTGCTTTGTTTCTGTGTTTTTAATATCTTCCCTTGTTTATATGCTCTGTGTACATAGTAACAATTGTGTTTCACAAAGAAAGATTGTATTTTTACAAAACAGAAAGCAAACATTCTTGGGAGTGATACTTATGTTCCTTTTCAATGTCAAGTTGCATTTTATAACAGCTGAAGTCACAGGAATATGTCCACTGATTATTCTGTCATTAACAGTTCACAGGCAGGCTTTCAAAAATGAAAAAGTGGGCTGTTATTAGGAAAAGAGCTTGTGATGAAAACCTTTCCATTTTTTTTCGTTTGATAAAAACTAACCAATTTTGGCTTTGTTGCCATTTTAAAGCCATGAACTGCTCCAGAATTTTTATGCTTTAGGATTATCTCTGCAGGCTGTGGGAACTGAAAAAGCCAATGCTAATTCTGTTTTGAACAAGAATCCTCAAAGAGAAATGTTTATTTGCTATGCCTTGGCTCATATATTCATTTGCCAGTTCCACTAAATTTATATTGAGAAAGTTTTTCATTTAATGTCAAGATTCAATAAAAATTTATTAATTAATTTGTGGTTATTAGATATCATACAAATGCTAAAAAAATAAATGATTAGGATCAAATGTCTTGAAAAAAGAAAGCTAAGAGGAAAACTGTTCAAAATTAAACATTTATTTTGCCATGATTGCAATTATCTTTGATATTCAGCAGATAGAAACGGCATTAGTGACTATCACAAAGGTAATAGGTTTGGTGTTAGGTCACAGGGATTGGAGTAAAGAAAAATAGAAATCAGAGTCCCATGTACTTCACTGGATAGCTTTCCATTGTGGACTGAATGGTTGAATCCTTCAGTCCAAAATGTTGAATCCTTAATTCCATTGTGACAGAATTAGGAGGTGAAGCCTTTGAGAAGTGATGAGGTCATGAAGGTGGGGCCCTCATGAATAGGATTAGTGCCCTTCTAAGAAGAGGACACAGAGTTTTCCACTACATGAAAACATAGCAAGAAGACAACAATCTGTAAACAAGGAAGAGGGCCCTCACCAAGAACCTCACCCACCTGACACCCTGATCTTGGACTTTAAATTTCCAAAATGGTGAGAAAAAAATGTTTAAGCCTTTCAGTTTAAGGTGTTTTGTTACAGAAGCCTGAGCTAAGTCTTTCTTTTACTCTCTCTCTCTCTCTTTTTTCTCTCTCTGTGTATGTGTGTGTGTGTGTGTGTGTGTGTTTATGTGTTTGTGTATGTCTGTCTGTCTGTCTCTGTCTCTTTTCCCCATTTTTTCTCCTGCTCCTACGCTGGCCTAGAACTAAGAGATGGTGGAATTTAAGTATGTTACTTCTTGGTTATGCTTTCCAGAGCTTTCACACTGTTGCTGGCATTTCTTTCAGGAAAGCCATTCAGGCAAACTATGTATATATCACATTTGAACTAGATTTGCAAATCACCTAGGAAATCTTTACAAACCTCCATTGATTTGCCGCAATGACTTTTATTCTATTAATGTAATTTGTTTCTTTCTCAGTTTTCAAGGGGAAATGAAATTTATGCAACAGTCATTCCACAATTATTTATTGAGCACCTACTATGTGCTAGAAACTCTTCTAAGCTCTGGGGATACAAGAGTGAACAAAACAGATAAATAAACAAATTGTCACTCTTTTGGTGCTTGCATTCTAGTATGGTGAGATAGGACATAAAATAAATAAGTCAAATATATAGCATATTGTATTTTGTGAGTAACATGAAGAAAAATAAGGCAGAGAAGTACAATGAGAAGTGTATATTATTTTTTTTAAAAAATAAGGAGGCCAGGAAAGTCCTCATAAGTAAGGCAATATTTTAGCAAATACCTAAAGATGATGAGGAAGACATCACACATATCAGGGGAAAGAGTGTTTTTGGCAGAGAAGACAGCAAGTATAAAGGCCCTAAGGCAAGAACATGCCTGCTGTGTTCAAGAAATGAAAGGTAAGGCCAGTGCAGCTAGAGTCTACGTGAGATGATCTCAGATGAATTCACACAAGAAACAAGGCCAGATGTTAAAGAATAAAGCCATATAGGCTATATAACTTTAGCTTTTGCTTGATTGAGAAAGGAAGCTATTACAAGATTTTGAACAGACAAGTCATATGACCCAAGTAATATAATCTGACTATTTTAAGGAGGAGACAGTGATAAGCTGCCTCGCATGATGACAGGTCAAGCATGTTGAGCAATGAGAGTTTACCAGTGACTTTGGCAATAGAATGTCAGAGGTGACCTTGATAAAAGCACTTTTGGTAAAGTGGAGAATGGGTGAAAATTAATAGAAGGTGTTAGAGAGAGAGAGAAGAAAAATATTTTTGGATAAAGGGAGAAAGTACTTTGTGTGTGTGCCTGTTTTTGCTGTAAAGGGAAGGGGTGGGAACTGGAGAAGGAAGAAAGGAGGAAAGGCAAAGACAGGTTTGTTTGACTTTTCTTTAAAGATGTAAAAAGCATCCTGATGTTTTATGCTTATAGAAAAGGTGCAATAGAGGAAAATACACTTGTAATGCTAGAGAGATGCAAGAGAGTTTTTACAACTTCTTTGAGTCGATGAGCAGGAATGGACATGCTAGTCCTGTTGAGAGGTGAGACTTGGCTGATAGCACGGGCAGCTCACCCACAGTAATGAGAAAGAAATCCAAGCAAAGGGGTTCAAATACAGGAAGTCAAAAGAATGTTTTGTTAGAACCAGGTTGAAGTTCTGTGATATCGTTTGGCTCTGTGTCCCCACCCAAATCTCACCTTGAATTGGAATAATCCTCACCTGTCAAGAGTGGAACCAGGTGGAGATAATTGAATCATGGGGATGGTTTTTCCTGTGCTCTTCTTGAGATAGTGAGTGAGTTGTCAGGAGATCTTGTGGTTTTATAAGGGGCTTTCCCCCTTTTTGCTCGGCACTTCTCCTTACTGCTATCATGTGAAGGATGTGTTTGCTTCCCCTTCCACCATGATTGTAAGTTTCCCGAGGCCTCCCCAGCCGTGCAGAACTGTGAGTCAATTAAACCTCTTTCCTTTATAAATTACCCAGTCTCAGGCAGTTCTTTATAGTAGGGTGAGAATGGACTAATTCATTCTCTCTGATAGTTTTTTCCTCTTAACTAAAATATGAAGCAAGGTCACCAGGGGCAAATGACAACAGAGAAGGGTGTTGGAGATTCCACAAGAAGGGAGAGGGAGATGTATGTACCAGAAACATAAAGTTGCATTGTCTGGCAGCATGAAGAGCCCAGCTGGGGTTAACAACCCCAAATTGAAAGCAAGTCTGATCAGTAGGATTGTGTGCTTTCCTTCAGTTCCAAGAAGCTTCTGGGTTACAATAATTGGGCAGAGTGTTCAATTTCACCAAGGTCTTAAGTGTAGTTCCATTAGCTAGTCAAAGAAACTAATAGAGTGTTTAGGGAGTAAAGGGGCATGCACGAAGGTCACTCTGACTGTCCTTGGAGTTTAAGCTGTGGGAAGAGGGAGAAGGCTTGTGGGAAAGGCAGGCAAAGGACAAGAAGTTTGTCAGATTGATAGGTTGCTGGTCCTGTATAGTGAAAGGATTGTTAGAATCAAAGGATTCCCATGAAATATTAATTCATATTAGAGTTTACCACAATTTTAAGAATTTTTTTGTTCCTGTTGTGGTTTCCTCTTCACTCTGTTTTTCATTAAATGTATTCCTATCCCTCTTTAATTAAAAACTAGTTACAATTTTATTACTATTGTCCTCTCTATGTAAAATAATATCTTAATATGAAATAATGTATGCTCATTAAAAATTAGAAAATATAGAAAAGTAAAACAAAATTAGTATGGTCTTACCATTTACATGTGTTTACAGGTACTGGCAATAATTTTGAATGCAGGTGCTTCTTCACTTATGCTTGGGTTACATCCCAATAAGTCCACTGTAAATTCAAAAAATTGTGAGTTGAACCATTGTAAGTTAGGGACTTCCTTTATGTCATTTCAGTCTTGTTTCTTTTCATCTGATTTTATAAAACATGATAGTAATTATTCTATGTATTTTGTTTTGTACCATGTCTTAAGTTATTTCTTCTTACTATACTCTCCTAAGCATACGTTATGCTGTTAAATACTTTCGTCAAGATTATTTTTAATGACTGTGTAATATTCCAGTGAAGGATGTTTTATAATTAATTTTGTCTACATTACAGGTTATTTATACTAATTTGTTTGGGTATTAAAATTGTGTAGAGATTAACATCTTTATATTTAGGTTTTCAAAAAGTGTTATTTATATTCCCTAAGGAATCTTTTATAAGTTCATTCTTCCTTTTTTTTTCAAACAGACTAATTCAGGTTCCTCAAACTAATTCCTTAGACATTGTTGTTATTTATATAAATTGTCACAGTTTCCACATAGTATTTTAATAATTATTCCAGTGGATTTAACTATAATAGACTAATTTTCCATTTTTAATATGTTTGGCTGTCGTTTATTTATTTGATTATTTTACCTTTTCAATATTATGCTACATTTTTTATGGTGCCCTATTATGACAAAAGCCATACATTCACAAAGCCTTATTATTGTTTTGGTGATTATAACAATACTGTAATTTTTAATTACTTAGTATGAGTTAGTAAACATATTATTGGACCAATTTTTCTGTTGAAAGTATCCAATCCTATTTAGAATGTTGTTGGTCATAAATACCTCACATTACTTGTATTAGAAAACCTGGAAAGTGTCCCAGTTAGCAGGTCCCTTTCACCTCATAACAATCAAAGATGATTTTAGATTATAAGAGGTTATGGAAAGGTAACAGGAGGAAGTAAGGAAGAAAAACAACTTGTGCAGCCAAGAAGCTAGGCTTTACTGAACTGGAACTCTATCGTAAATGTAATAGTAGCTCTGTCCATTCGGCGATAATTCTGTAGTTATTCCTTCAGAAGAGCCTACTCAAGGCTTTCTACATTAGGGTCCAAGGACATTCGCCATATGCGACTTTGTGTGTAGTCAAAAGAGTAGTCATAGAGAATGTGGACCCTGGGGCAAGAATCTTGGGATTTTTCTCTTGTCTTCTTTACTTCCTACCGGGATGATGTTGGGTAGGTTAATTAATCTCTATGTATCTCAGTCTCCCCAACTGCAAAATGTAGACAATAATGTTACCTATTGCACAGCATTACTGTGAGGGTTAGAGGAGATAATAGATACCATGCATTTAGAAGCCTGCCTGCACAAAGCATGACCAGTAATTGCTAGCTATTGTAAGTTTCTGAAGATTTAAGTTAACGTACATTGGACAGTCTCGTCCTTACTTTTGCCAGATTTCTTATGTTTTCAATTTCTTTATTTTCTCATATCTTATCTTATAGGTAATGATTTTAAAATATTAAAAGTAATTGATTTCACTTTGTTCTCTATTTTTATCCTCCTCCTTTTATAAAAAAGCAGAAAATTTTCTTTTTCATATTTCTTTATAAATTAAAATCTGTTTAAAGAAAAAAAATTTTTTTTTTAAATAAACTTTGTAAGCACCATCTCATTTTTAGCTTGGGCGTCCAACCCAATCCCAAGAGTTTTCCTTATTTCTTGTCTCTTTTCTATGATTACATGTCAATTTCATTCAGTTGATGCCTCCTTGGTTTAGGTAATTGTAATGCCAATTTTTGATGTTGTTTGAATACCGGAAGATAGATTTTGCAAGAATAAATATCTCAAGTATTCTTTTAAAAGCTTCCAAAGCAGAAATGGCTGGGATATTGATAGAATTTGAAAGAGCAATCTTTCTTATGTGTTCTTATGATAGCAAAGTGTAAGCCTCTGTTCAAATAACAAATAACAATTTTGGGAGGAATTCAGGCTTAGTTTTTCTACCTCTTAGAGAGAACTGATATTATTTATTCTTCACAATCTTACCAGGAGATTGAAAAGTAATGGCGTGTGTTCTACCCTCACGATTAAAAAGGAAAAGTTCTCTGTGAATCATAATCAAAGAATCTTTGACCTGAAGTAAGTTCAAGTTGAGAATATTCTCGTCTCTAAGACTTAGTATAATAATGTTTAAATTGCATACATTTATGATAAAATCAATTATAATATACCTTTAAAGAAAATAAGAAATAATATGAAATATTGTAAAAGACGTTTCTTCCAGTTTCCTTTTGAATAAACTTTCCTTGGGAAAAGTTACATCATTTCTTTCAAATGTTTCATCAATATTGCTGGAAAATGGTGCTCCTACACAAAGAAAAATTTTTGTAGTTAAGAGTAAAGAGTGTTGTTTAATCAGTGAAAATATTTCGGCAGACAAAAGGTAAACATTTCTAACATACAAGGAGCTGAATTATATTTTTCTCCCTCTGTGTACCATTCTCCTGAACAGATACCCAAGAAATAGCATGAGTATAGTTATACAGATATAAATGCAAGAAATTTATTAGATAGGTTGAAAATTTATAACAATTCTTTGCTGCTTGCTTCTATTTTTTAGTGAAGTAGTTAGCTAAGAGTTTATTTGATAATGAGAAAGAAAAAAGGAGTTTTGCAAGTTTGAAATAAGAGTAGAAGATATGAGAAAATTGTTGCAGAGACTGGGAGGGTGAGTTAGGTAGAAGGATATAAGATTTGGTGTATTCTTTGTTGGGCACAATTGAGATTGCTGCTCATGTTTAAATCCAACAAATTTCAGCAAAAGGTAGTGAGTTAGATGTTGTTAATCTTGGGGTTTCTCAGATGAGTATGACTGAATAAAAGTGGTCTCGGGACACTGCTTGGGTGATGGGTGCACTAAAATTTCAGAATTCACCACTATATAATTCAACCATGTAAAAAAACCACTTGTGCTTCAAAAGCTATTGAAATAATTTTTTTAAGTGTGTTTGAGAGTTGAGAGCAAATGACTACAGTGTTGGAACTTAAAATCTAAATAGATGAAGGAAGCCAAGAAGGACCCAATGAAGTGAGGAATAATCCTTAAAAGTTAGAATCAGGGGCCAGGTGTGGTGGCTCATGCCTGTAATCCCAGCACTTTGGGAGGCTGAGGTGGATGAATCACCTGCGTTCAAGAATTTGATACCAGCCTGGCCAATATGGTGAAACCCTGTCTCTACTAAAAATACAAAAATTAGCTGGGCATGGTGGCGGGCGCCTGTGATCCCAGTTACTTGGGAAGCTGAGGCAGGAGAATTGCTTGAACCCGGGAACGGAGGCTGCAGTGAGGTGAGATCATGCCACTGCACTCCAGCCCGGGAAACAGAGTGAGACTCTCCCTCAAAAAAAAAAAAAAAAGTTAGAATCAGGTATTGAAGGACCCTGACTTGAATAACTGTTGGAATTAGGATATTACAGGGAAAGAAACGAAAGCAAGAAAAATACGTTGTGGAGAATTTCTCCTTCTGATGAATGTTAAAGCATCTTGTTGCATTAGATTCCATTTCTACAAAACAAATTACCATTTAAACTTAGAGATTTAAGGCAATAACCATCCATTAGTTCACAGTTTTGCAAGTCAGAAGTCTGGTACAATGAAGCTTGGCCCTCTGCTGAAGGTATCACAAGGCCAAAATCAAGGTGTCATTTGAACCGAATTCTCCTATGGAGGCTCTGGGGAAAAATCTGCTTCTAAGATTGTTTTTGTTAGTGGAAAGAATTAGTTTCTTGCAGCTGTAGGACTGAAGTCCCTGTTTTCTTGCCAACTACAGCCAGGGGCCACTCTCAGCTCTTAGAGGCTGCTCATATCCCTCAGTCTTCAGTCCAGCAATGGTTTGTCAAATTCTTCTCATGCTTTTAATCTCTGAATTCCTCTTCTGCAACGAGCTAGAGAAGATTCTGCTTTTAAAGGGCCTACTTCATTAAGTCGGGTACATCCACCAAAAATTCCCTTTTGCCATACAATGTCACGTAATCATGGATGAGGCATCTTATCATAATAGCAGATTCAACCCACATTCACAGGAGGGGATTGACATGGTTGAGAGTCACTGGGGGTGATCTTAGAATTCAGGCTACCCCACTCGTCAAATTCAATTAAGTTCTATTTAAATGTTTAATTTGAAAAATTGAGATCTTTACAGAATAAGAATTTTCTACAGTTTAATTTGTTTTTACATAAGATTTCCCATTAGTTTTTGTAAATATTGTGTATTGTAGATATTGCTGCTATTGTTAATGGGATTTTTTTTCATTACATTGTCTATTCTGTGAAAGGGCCATATATGAAAAGTGACTCCCATGTGTCAAAGGAGCCCAGAAACCAAAGAATGAGGAAGACAAATCGAGGTTGTTGGTATTGGGTGTTTTATGGGGGAAACTTACAAACAGAAGCATGGTCTTGGACGGTAGCAAGACAGGCAACTCTTCGCACTGTTTGTTCCCAGGCCCAGGGTTTATATACAGTAGGAAAGGGTATATATGGTCCAGCAAGACAATTAAAGGCAACCCTTCAGAATAGGCAAGAATGCGATGTGCATCATATCCTGTAACTTGTGCAATAATATTAAGGTTGACATGTTCTTACACTAAGAACAGCAAATAGGAATCAGGAGGCATTCATGGGACTGGAGTTAATCAGAAGTCAACATGGTGGGTTAACAGCCATAATGGAGTCACTTTTGTCTCCATATTATCAAATTGATTTATCACTAATTTTATTATTATTATTATACTTTAAGTTTTAGGGTACATGTGCACAACGTGCAGGTTTGTTACATATGTATACATGTGCCATGTTGGTGTGCTGCACCCATTAACTCGTCATTTAACATTAGGTATATCTCCTAATGCTATCCCTCCACCCTCCCCCCACCCCACAACAGTCCCCAGTGGGTGATGTTCCCCTTCCTGTGTCCATGTGTTCTCATTGTTCAATTCCCACCTATGAGTGAGAACACGTGGTGTTTGGTTTTTTGTCCTTGCGATAGTTTGCTGAGAATGATGGTTTCCAGCTTCATCCATGTCCCTACAAAGGACATGAACTCATCCTTTTTTATGGCTGCATAGTATTCCATGGTGTATATGTGCCACATTTTCTTAATCCAGTCTATCACTAATTTTTATTATTTATCTTTTATTTGACCTCCTAGACTTCTCATTAGTTCTAATAATCTGTCAGTTATTCTCTTGAATTGGTTAGGAGTATCATCATACAGTCTGTAAATAATATTTTTTCTCTCTCTTTTGAAAGTTCTATGTTTTAATTTATTTTTATTGTTTCATTGCACTGGTTATGAGCCCTTTGGTTACTGTGAAGGAAATTAACAGTAATATGGAATCTCATTACATTGTACCTTTTAAAATGCAAATGTTTTTAATATTTTATCATTAATTGTGGTATAAGAGAAAGGTTTATGGCAAATACTCTTTACCAGATAAAAATTTTCATCTATTTCTAGGTTGTTGGCATATTTTTATGAAATTCAATATGGAATTTTAGCAAATGATTTTTTAGAATGCATTGAGATAATCATAGTTTTTACATATTAAATTAATACAATGATTGCATGAATATATTATCAAATGCTTAAGCAGTCATTTGTTCCTGGCAAACCTAACTTCGTTAATATGTATTATTCATGTAATACACTTATAAGTTTTATTTGTTAATATTTTATGTATAATATTTAATCTAATATTCAGTGGAATTTCACTACAATATTTTATACTGTAACTGTCCTTTCTATCAATATAATGCTTGTTACAAAGACTCCATTTTTCTTTGTAATACATATTATTTATATAATGTAAGATTTTTATCACTAAAAGTTTTGTTAGAACCTGATATGGAATCAAATTGTCCAGGTCAGTTTTAGAACATAGTTTTAGCTGGCAGTCCTATTTCTTTCATGTTTATGTGTACATTGAGAATTTTTACTTTATAAGTAAATGTTAATTATACACACACACACACACACACACACACAGAGCACATACATCCTTAGAACAGTTTTTAGTATCGCCATTCAAATTTATTAGCTTAAAATCACATTTATGCTTTTTCAAAATCATTTATTGTTCTTAGAATCTGTAGTTATATTCTTCTGTGATTTTGTTTTAGTTTCCTTTATTTCTATACATATTTCATAAACATTTGCCAATTTATATTTGCCTTCTTAATGAATCATACTTTGGAATTATTATTATTATTATTGTTATTTGAGATGCAGGCTCATCCTGTCACCCATGCTGGAGTGCAGTGGTGAAATCTCACCTCACTGAAACCTCTGCTTCCCGGATTCAAGTGATTTTTCTGTGTCAGCCTCCTGAGTAACTGGGATTACAGACACGCACCACCACATCTGGCTAATTTTTTTAAATTTTTAGTAGAGATGGGGTTTCACCATGTTGACCTGGCTGGTCTCAAACTCCTGACCTCAAGTGATCCACCCACCTTGTTCTCCCAAAGTGCTGGGATTACAGGCGTGGCCACTGCGCCCAGGCACACTTTAGAATTATTAATCAATTAAACTGCTAGTTTTATGTACAATATTTCTATTTTGCTATTTATATGCTTTGCTAATTTAAGCCTATACATTTTTTTTTCTTTTTTTTTTCCTTTTTTTTAGATGGAGTCTTGCTTTGTCGCAAGGCTGAAGTACAGTGGCGCAATCTCGGCTCACTGCAACCTCCTCCTCCCGGGTTCAAGCAATTCTCCTGCCTCAGCCTCCCGAGAAGCTGGGACTACGGGCACGTGCCACCACGCCCGGCTAATTTTTGTGTTTTTAGTAGAGACGGGGTTTTACCGTGTTGGCCAGGATGGTCTCAATCTCTTGACCTCTTGATCTGCCCGCCTCGGCCTCCCAAAGTGCTGGGATTACAGGCATGAGACACCATGCCTGGCCATTGCCTATATATTTTTGAACATACTTTCTATCATTATCTGAATTGAATAAGTATATTCTCTCCTGAACAAGGCAAGAATTTTACTTTTTAATTAAAAAATTTAGCAGAATTTTGATCAAGATGAGCAGCTTCAGGTTTTGACACTCTTTTATCTCTCCTAAAAATATCAATAAACAGCTCATAGTAAAATAGAAAAAAATGTCTGGGCCCCAAAGCACAGTTGACAATTCATAGAGCAGAATTGGAGCAGAAATACAGTGTGATAAGGTGATTGAATTCACAGACCTACCACACTTTGTGTGTGAAAGCAAGAGTGGGAGCTGAATTTTGGCTTTAGTAAGTAGATTGAGTCTTAAAAGATCTTTGTTTGAGACAGAAGACCAGAATCTTATTTGTTGGTTGAAACCACTGGTTGATGTCAGCTACCCTTAACCCCCAAATCTTGGAAGCCTTTTGAAAACAAAAAACAAAAAACAAAAAAAACAACAACTCCTGCTGGCTTCTGTGTGGGGCTTCAGATATTAACAAGAAGCAGCCTAGGAAATGGAAAATACTCAGAAACAGCCTCCAATCAGGAACTGAACTGTTCACCAGGCTTTTTGCATGGATCTGCAATATATCGAATACCATCATGGGACAGAAGCAATACCATTTAGTGACCTAAGAAGCCCAATGGAGGCAACCGAAATCCACTGGACAGAGAGAAGAGAGCACAGAATTGAGGAGAGAAACGAAACAGACAAAATACCTTCTAATTAACATGACCTTGGAAACCAAAATTCTGAAACATTTGAAGAAATAGAATGCTGAGTAATATATCTAACACAGCCATAATTATTAAGTGGACTTAATCAAAATGAATTAATTATATAAAATAATCTGAAAACAGTCAGATTTTAAATGATGGAATTTTTTTTTTCTGTAAGATAGCAAGACCTTATTCAAAGGACAAATGGAAAAGAAAAAGCACTGATGAGAATATTTAGCATTGACAAATGTAGTCATAGTAATGGAAACCTAATATATGGAAAAAGAAAACCTCAACAAATTGGACATTAGCACTGATTTATTTGTTGAGAACACAGCACGAAGCAAAAGAAGATAAAAGTTCATAAAAGTTAATAAATCTGAAGAAAAGAGTATTCATTTCATCAGATTTCCAGAAAAAAAATCCAGAGAAAGTAGGATAGAGAAAATAGTTGAATGTTTTTCAGGATTGAAGAAAGGTATGAGTTCTTAGCATGATAAAAAAGGTAAATCTGGGCTGGGCATGATGGCTCACATCTGTAATCCCAACACTTTGGGAGGCCAAGATGGGAGGATCATCTGAGGTCAGGAGTTCGAGACCAACCTGACCAACATGGAGAAACCCCATGTCTACTAAAAATACAAAATTAGCCAGGCGTGGTGGTGCATGCCTGTAATCCCAGCTACTCAGGAAGGCTGAGGCAGAAGAATCGCTTGAACCCGGGAGGCAGAGGTTGCGGTGAGCCGAGATCGCGCCTTTGCACTCCTGCCTGGGCAACAAGAGCGAAACTCCATCTCAAAAAAACAAAAACAAAAAGGTTAATCTGCATAGGTGTACTCCATAGTGAAACTAAAGACTCTCAAGAATTTAGAGAAGTTCTTTAAAATTTAACAGAATGATAAAAAACTGCCTACAAAAGAACACCAACCAGACTGTTGAAGCTGTCTCATCAACACTAATACATGCCGAAAGATAATGAAATAATGTCTTCAAAATGTTGAAGGTATACAACTGTAAACCTTGTTAATTCAGGACAAAAGCATAGAACATAAGAATAATGATGACCACAGAATTGTATAAAATGTAGGCATAAATTGAATCAATTATTCTCTGGAGTGTGTGTGTGTGTGTGTGTGTGTGTGTGTGTGTGTGAAATAAGATTAACATTCTGGGCAGCAATAATAGTGTGAAATTTTTCAATAAGCAGATATTTTTATGATCATTTTTTGTTTTAGAGTATTAGTAAGAAACATAAAATAAATTTATACATTCTTATGAATATTTATAAGTAAGTAGGTAAACTGAGATCTTAAAACTTACTACAAAATGTGTAGAGTTTAAAAACCTGGAATTGGGAACAAGAGGAGCTATTGAACATTTTATTCATCTAATAGAAGGAGGAAATAAATAAAAGTAAAAAAGTAAACACAAAATAAGGTAATGGAGATAAATTTAAAAATCATGTTTTTAAATGATTTTAAAGGGATGGAACTCAACTATTTAAAGGTGAAGACTGCCAGTCAGTGTGAATTGTTTAAAAAAGTCCAACAATTTGGGGCTGGACAACCAGTCAAATGGTTGAAATAAGAAGATGGGAAAAAATATGTCAGGTAAATACTTTATTTCATTGGATTTATGACTTCCCCTGTAAGATGCATTATTATTTTATATAATACCAAAAAAAAAAAAACAACAAAGGCAGCTAAATTCTGAAATTAATTGCATATGCATCATGATTTCAGATATATTAAACTGTGAAAAAAGTGCGTTAAAATGGTAAAGCACAATAATCAAAATAAAGTTTGTATAGCAATATTAATATCACATAAAATATAAATTAGAACAAAAAAGCACTTATAGGGATAAAGAGAAACACCAGAGAAAAACAAAGAAAAAATCCTAAGAAAATATAACCTTCACATACTTATATGGTTTAACAGCAAAGCCCTGAACTGTTTAATATAGGAAGCACAAACTGACTGAATTACAAGAGACTGAGACAATTTCAAAATCATGGTGGGAGATTTTATCACATCAACAGAAACTTAAAAATTAAACAGGTATAAAATAGTTACAAGAATAGAGTGTATTTGAACAGCATAGTTTAAAAAGTTGATATAATTAGATACAAAGAGACAAATTTCAGGCCAAATGTTATCATTTGTTATTTAATTTCAGACATTCTGTGCTTGTGTATTTCCGGTTTTTTGACTTTTTATTTTAAACTAATCATAGAGTCCCAGGAATTTGGAAAGATAGTACAAAATCCTATATACCTTCCATCTAGTTCCCCTAAAGGGACCATCTTACATAACTGTAGCACAATATCAAAACCAGGAAATTGACACTTGTACAAGGTGTGTATGTATAGCTCTTTGACATTTTATCACGTGTAGATTTGTATAACTGCCAGTGCTATTAAGATACAAAACCAGTTCATCACTACAAAGATCTCCCTTGCGGTACCCCTTTATAGTTACATCCACTCCTCTTCCCTTCACCATCCCTATTCTCTGGCACCACTAATCTGCTCGCCATCACTATAATTTTATCATTTAGAGTATGTCATGTAAATGAAATCATACCTTATGCGACTGGCTTGTTTCACACAGCATAATGCCTGAGATGTATCTAAGTTGTTGCATGTGTTAATAGTTTCTTTCATTTTATGGTTGAGTAATATTTCACGGTATGGGTGTAACACAGTTCTTTAAATCATTTACTCACTGAAGGACATTTTGGTTGTTTCCAGTTTGGGGCTATTAAATACTAAGCTGCTATAAACAATTGTGTAAATACATTTCTATGAAAATAAGTTTTCATTTCTCTGGGATAAACATCCAGGGTGATTGCTGGGCACATGGCAAGTTTATGTTGAATTTTTAAAAGACATTGCATAAGGCTAATCTTTTAAATTAACTATTATTTTATCCCTATTTTCAGAGAACTGAGAAACATGATGATTAGTAATACAGGCTTTGAAAACAATAGACTTGATCAATTCAATACGGGTTGAATCTGGCACTGCCATCATCAGCAGTGAGACTTGACAGATTAATTAACCCTGCTACAGTTCTATGCCATTTTATCTCATGTATAGACTTCTCTTTTATTTTTACGAGTTTTATTGAGGTATAATTGATGAAGATTGTATATATTTAAGATGCGCAACATGATGTTTTATGTATATGTTGTAAAATGAAGTTAAATTATACTCTGACCATAAAACAATAGTCTATTCAGAAACCTAAAAATATTCTCTATTAATAAGTTTTGAGAGAACATTTGTTGTACTTAGTAATTTTTTTACAGTTTACAAATCACTATCATCTTTAATATCTCTGACTTGATTTCCACACCTGCCCTATGAAATGGGCACCACAGCATAAACAGAGGCTCAAGAGGTGCAATAATACTGAAGGATATCGAAGAGGTCAGTTGTAGAACCCACTTCTAACACTGATCTCTGATTTTCAGTGTTGTCTTTTCTTTGTAGCCTACAATGGAAATATTTTTATTATTGTTCCAGCTTTATATTTGCTATATTCCAAATAGTTCTAAGGAATTGATTTAAGGCTGCTCCAGCTTCACCGTCAGCAAACATATTAGCATTAGGTTTTATCACTGGGGCCAAGAGTCATGTTAAAATGCTATTTCTTCATCCAAGTAAAGGATAAGAAGGAGAAATAGAAGAAAAGCCTGCTTTCAAGATTAAACACTGTGACAGTCTTCTGGTGACAGGATGAAATGTTACCTAAAATTTTTCTTGGTTATTTACCAGTGCCAGAGGCACAAAACCCCCTAATATATGAATATATAGATATATAGTTTCATGAACATATATGCATATATGCAATTATATGAAAATGCTAATTTTGCAATACATTTGAAAATATATCAAGAGTTATATATATTAGATGCAGATATCTTTGAAAATAACCTATAAGTGTTTTTTTATGTTCTATTGCTTGATCAATTTTTTAAATCTGCCTTTGCCTGTCATATTTTAAAGTTGATGATCCATGAAAAAGAAGAGAAAAACCAAAACATTGATTAAATATGTGTATATATTTTGTACATATTCACACACATTTATTTTATGATATTGGTGGTAACAGATTTCTTTTAATGGTTGTTGGAATAATGGATAGTTTGGAAAATAATGCCATAAATTTTGCATCATATACCAAAATAAAATATTGCCGGGTTAAAGAGTTCATCAAAAAAAGTTAAAGCCATAAGGAATCAGAAGCTAATATAAGTTAATATTCATTTTATCTCAGAGTAGATGATATCTTTCTAACCATAAATATAGAAACAGAGGCCAAGTCAGAAAAGATTTATAGATTTGTCAACATAAAATTAGAATATGACATAAAATATCGTAAATAAAATAGGAGAACTGAGAAGATACTGGGAGATGATATTTGGGATATGTGATATACAACATATGAAGGGTTGATATATTTAGTATTAGAATATTTTTCAAGTTCATCAACAGAAAACTGGGAAAATGGTAGTAAAGGATTTTGCAAAAGCAATACAAAATAACAAATACATTTTTTTAAAATTTAAGGATGTAAATTGTTCTTGAAAGGCAAAGGGAAAAGAGTATTTAAATTAATGTTGATACCGTGAATAGTCATACACAAATGTGAACATTATTTTGCATTCAGAGATACCCACACAGTACATGCTTTTACTATATGCTTTATATTTTCCTTTTTAATAATATTTTATGTGAATAGGGAAATGCCATTTGAAATAATACACACAAAACAAAACATCAATAGTAGATTTTGGGGGT
This sequence comes from Homo sapiens, assembly GCF_000001405.40. NCBI lineage: Eukaryota > Metazoa > Chordata > Mammalia > Primates > Hominidae > Homo > Homo sapiens. The sequence continues at coordinate 20,174,606 of NC_000007.14, read as the reverse complement.
GAGAATTTTATTTTATTCTCGTACTTTTCTTTATTAAAAAACTCTGCAAGCTGTATATGTTTGTATACCCACACAAGGCATTATACCATATAAAATCTTTTATACCTTGCTTTTGCCCATAACATTATAATATCTGCAATTTCCCATATAGTTATATTTTTATAACATTGATTTTGCTGGGGCCATGAAATTTAGTTAACCATTTTAAAATTTCTTTCTCATACCTGAATTCAAACAGTAGATTCATTGTATTTGATCCTAGAAGTTTTAAAATGAACTTCTCACATTCCTTCCCCTGAAATATTTAAGTTTTGCCAGATGCTGATTGGGGAAAGCTTCCCAACACGATTCTTACAGATGAGCTGTCATCTTATTCACTGACAAATTCTGTCTCTTTGTCTTTATACACATATTGCATTATCATTTAATTTTAATAATTACACCAATATTTATTCATAACTTATTCTAGAATTATGCTAAGTGCTGGGGTCCAAAGAGGATTGAGAAAGTCCCTGTGATTCAGGCAACCTCAGATCATCAGGAAGTCACACTTAAGTGCTGAATGTTGTTGTCTGTTCATCCAACTAACCATCCATGAACTTACCTACTTCTTTGAAACCATACACCCAAACCAATTTTTATGAATCAAATCTGAATCTATATACCCAAAGGAAGCAGTTGTCCACGTTATGAACATACTCATGTGACGCAACTGCTCCTCAAAAGACAGGAGAGTTCCTTTAGCCTCACTTTCAGAGCTAGTTTCCCCATCATACCCAAGAGCATCAATCTCAGTGACCCCAGCCAGTACTAAAACAGGTTCATGGCACCATCATTTAAATGAATTTATTACATTTCAGAGACTACTGGTTAGTTGGGCCAAGATGGTATGTGGCTAGGACCCAAGATCAGATTGTCCATTAGCACAATAGGTTTGAAGCAGATAATGCTAGGCAAACACACAATTTTATGAGTGGCTGAGGTCGCACTCTATTTGCAACCCACTTTTTGCATAAGCTAGAGGCAGAACAAGGACTTATGCCAAAGGCAACCTTTACATCACCTTACTATCCAGAAGTGTCACTATCTAGATCTTACAATTCAAAGGGAAAGAAAAGACAAAGATATTGACCCTGACAATCACACTAAGGGAGGAAGAATTTGTCCCTAAAACCTGGAACAAAACTAATCTTTCCTATAATCACAAGGCTATACTAGAAAGGGCCATGCCCCAAGAAAGAGAGCTGTAAATTTTTCCTTTATCATAGTGAAATCCTATGTCTAGCACATAGTCCCGAGACATGTTTGTGCCAGGGTAAGGATGGGCATCTTCAGCTGCCATATATTTTATTATGTTTAATAATATGTTTTTAGAAAACAAAGCAAAACATGTATATTATCACCTCATAATTATGATTTGGTGGCTCTCAATTTATCTCCCAGAAACTTTTTATAAAAATAAATGAAGCCTGGGATCCATCTCGGATTTTTGGGATGATTTCTGGGCATCTGTATTTTTAAAAATAGCTCTGAAATTGATTTTGATGCAGAGGAATGGTTGAGAACCCCAATTTTATACTAAACTGTTTAGGGAAAATGATAAGGAGGTAGAAAGCAAGAACAGGACAAAACTCCTAAACAGCAGTCCAGGAAGACCCCAACCTGGCACCAGGTGGTGCTGTGGGGACAACTCTGAGGCTTTTTCCCGTCTCCCCAGCTGATCACAAGGAACCCACTAGCTTCCCCAGAGCAGCACAGGCTCTCAGCAAGGAGATAGGCTCCTGACCTTGAGTATTCCACCTGCATTAAATAAAGGGGAGATGGAGGAAAAAGGAGAGGAAGAGCTCCTTCTTGGAGAGGTTCACTGTCACTTTGGGCGGTTAAGTGATGGGGTTCAACTTTTAGGTCAATTGAAAGAATTAAAAATGACAGTGATGGACAATTCTGCCTATTCTATTCTGAATGGTTTCTTTTGTATTTTATTTTGTATTTTATTCTGTTTCCACTAGAATTTAACACCTGAAAGTAGAATAACAAAACATAATTAATTTAAACATGAAATTAAAGTCATTCCTATATAGCTCAAATATATATGTGTGTATATATGTGTGTATATATATGTGCGTATATATATTTATATATTTTATTTTCTCCCTCATGATGGTTTAAAATACTTTAAAAATCCATACAGATAGAAAAGAGATTTACATTGAATATTTTACATTCTTTATGTTGGACTACGTACTTATATACTAACATGTTCCTGTAACTGTGGTAACCAGCCATCCTGGTTTGCTCCGGACTGAGAGGTTTGGATTTTAAAACAGGGCAGTCCTGGGCAAACCCAGATCAATGGCAGCTCACCCTGCTTGTAACCCGTATGTTCATTTGGGCAGCTGTGTTTTCCTTTTATTCCTGCTGTTAAGTTGGACTCAATGCCTCTTATTTTACACTATAAATGTTTCCTGAATCAGTGAGTAACATGGATTTTTCTGAAGATTGTGTGGGAGAACTAGATATTAGGGTTGACAATGCATACCTCTCAGTATTTCCCTCAGAATATTCTCATTAGTTATGTCTTTTTATTTCGTATTTCCCTTCTAGGCTACAATCACTTGTCCCAATCCTCAGTCTCCTCAGTTGGTTTCCTTTCTTACCCAGGGCAGTTTTCCTCTCTCAGCTTTTTCCTCCAGACTTCTTGTAACTCACATCATCACTTGATACCGTGTTGAAATAAGTGAAATTTTGAAGATGTAATTGTCTCTGTGAGGCCGAGGTGGGCAGATCACCTGAGGTAGGGAGTTCGAGACCAGCTTGACCTATATGGTGAAACCCTGTCTCTACTAAAATTACAAAAATTAGCTAGGCGTGGTGGTGGGCATCTGTAATCCCAGCTACATGGGAGGCTGAGGCAGAAGAATTGCTTGAACCTGGGAGGTGGAGGTTGCAGCGAGCTGAGATCACACCACTGCACTCCAACCTGGGCGACAGAACGAGACTCCATCTCAAAAAAAAAAAAACAGATATAATTGTCTCTAAGAAAGAAAATAATCAGCCGGGCGTGGTGGCTCATGCCTGTAATCCCAGCACTTTGGGAGGCCGAGGCAGGCGGATCACAAGGTCAGGAGATCGAGACCATCCTGGCTAACACGGTGAAATTCCGTCTCTACTAAAAATATAAAAAAAAATTAGCTGGGCGTGGTGGCGGGCACGTGTAGTCCCAGCTACTCAGGAGGCTGAGGCAGGAAAATGGTGTGAACCTGGGAGGCGGAGCTTGCAGTGAGCCAAGATAGCGCCACTGCACTCCAGCCTGGGCGACAGAGCAAGACTCCACCTCAAAAAAAAAAAAAAGAAAATAAAATAATCTTCCAGTTTCTAGTAATCAGAAATCAGTGGAGCATTAATAATAACAAAAATACTTTTGTTCAGCTGAATCATATATATGTCTATATCAATATCCATCTTTCTCTATCAGTTGTCTATATTTCTGAATAGATATATGCACACATGTATGCGCATTAGTATTTTTCAAGTCACTGCTTTGACAAAGAGTTCATACTGTTGCACACCGTTCTGTTTACAAAAATAACAAATGGAAACAGTGTGATTCCCTGAAACATTAGAAACTAGATGTAATCAATTGTTGAGAATTTAAGGGAAATTCCTGCTGTATGAATTGGATGGTGTGGTGTAATGAGTCTCTCTTTAATCTTACCCATTCTACCAAATTTTATTCATAAGCTCTTTCTCATAGCAAACGTTAGTGCATAAACATTCTGTTTTCACTTAACAGTGACCAAAGATTCATGTTTATTCTCTTTCAAGTAGGTAGCCTTGTCAGATGATATGCAAATGATTCACATCAGTGTTTGAAGTTCAAACCAAGGAAAACTGTGAGTATACACAAAATGTCAGAGTGTTTTTCTCTTGGCAAAGAATGCTGGGAATCTTACGATTAATTCCATACAGTAACAACTCAGCAAGTGTTGGCTAAAAATACTTGCTTTTACTGCAAAAGTACTAACACAAATCTAATTTTAAACGATACAATAATTTTTACATTTTCCCCTTCAGAGAGGTGAAAAGTATTGTCAAGTTGAATAATCTGTTAAGCTAAAATGACAAACTTTCACAGTGTTTATTCTGTTTCCTCTTTTCCAATATTCTTTACATATCTTTGTCAGTAACCACTCATTACATTGTCTAAGACCAACGGAATTGGCACAGAAGTGAAAAACAGAGAAGAATTATCATTTTAAGCAGCAACTGATGTTCATTGGGGATTTATGTTATTTCAATATTTACAACAATTTTTTAAAAAAGCTTTATTGAGATATATTTCACGTATCATTGTAACCACTTTTTGAAGACAATATTTTACCCTCATTTTGTAGATGAGGAAATGGTGCTCAGACCAGTGAATTCATTTCTAAGCATTGGTCTGAAGTTACGTCTGTCTATTTTCAAAGACTGCGTTCTTTCTATTGCACTCCAGTGCCTCTGCTGTGATGAGTCCAGTCACTCTTTTGGCAGGAATCATGGCACTGGTAAAATTTTCTATGAAGGGTGAAGAATAGGATACAGGGTCCCAAGACACAACTTGTAAGCTATCAGAGATTGGAGTCTCAAGACATCTGATTGAGAGGAGAAGATTCTTGAATGGGCCCAGTTGGCAAAGTTATTTCTATATGCACTGGAATAACCAGGAGGGAGAGACCAGAGGAAAAGCAAGGGGTCCTCTTGTGCCACTTTTTATACAGTATTTCATTTGATCCTTATGAACAGCATGTGGGGTTATTATATGTTGATAGTAATACTAATTATTACCTATTTTAGTTTAGTTCTTTACAGATGATAAGTAGAGTTCCAGAAATGTTCAGTATCTTTCCAAGTTTATACTAGAAGGACTGTAACCAGAGAATTGTAACTCCAAAGCCTATATTCTTTCTACTTTACAAAAATGCATTTACATAAAAGAAAGGAAAGACATTGCTGACTGATGACAACCAGTGAGGTCTCCTGATATACTGTCAAGTGTTCTAGGAAGCAGTGGAGCTTTGCAGAGAAAACAAATACAGAATTTGGCTCAGTTTGCTAGAAAAGACCATGCAAGTGAGGACCCTACAGTTACAGCTTTATTAGCCACACTATAAACCCACGTCTTGTCCACCCCTTCTGAATTGGGGGTTGATCTTTATACCTTTTGAAAAGTACAACCCAGAACACGTTTTTTGCACTGAAGGGTACAGGAAAGAAAAATGACTGCAGGTCCATAACTACACAAAGTCATATCCAACTACTCTTGCAATAATTAAACTTGTCCAATCCCAGGGACAAGATTTGTAGCTAATTTATTTCTCAGAGTTTGCTTGAAACATCTATTGCTTAAAGTTAAACCTGAGAGACATATCACTGGGAATATTTTATGGCAACAGTGGGGATTAGGTAAAAGAAGTCATTAAATGTTTTTCACAATGAAAGTACTACAGCTTTGCTCTGTGGCCTTGAAAGTTGGAAATGTATGCTCTTGTGTGGGAGCAGTAACAAAACTGTTTCTGAGGAAAACTGCAGTCCCTATCATGGCACAGCATGCAGAAGTAGAATGATCTTCTGCTCAGGCTACATTTTAGCTACTCATCTCAATTGTCATCTCAAATTTACTCATCTCAATTTTCACAAGAGAACGTGACTCCTATCTTTAACTTAGTGAATTGTTTGGGTCTTCAAAAGAAAAAGCTGCTCTGGATCTTAGGCCTAGAATGTCTCAGTCAGCTCTGACTTGAAAAGTGGAAAGGGAAACTCTGTTGAGAGGAACCAAGCATAGTGGGCTTTACTGGACTAGGTCCTGTCCTTTTGGGATTGTAACCTGACATGTGTGCTTATCTTAGAATAGGGAGGCAGATAGCTGTCTAGCTGGGCCCACTCTTCTCCACCTGACTTGACAGAATTGCCTTTGGGTGAGATGACATCAACACACATTAAGAAAGAGCTCCATTAAAGAGATTTACTGTTGAACATACTGTAAAAGGTGGGACCGAGGATACTGTCCCCAGTAGTTACATGCTCCTCTTCACCCCTCTTTATTCCAGGTATTGCTGGTGCTGCTGTTAAGTGGCTTCTTTGTGTTCTATGATCACTGTGAAGCTTGTAACTAATCATGTTTACCTTATTTTGGTCACTTTCAGAAAGTGGAGAGCCAAATGTGTGGACTACTGCTAATAGGTATACTGGAATTTACAGCATGATGTTTGTGAAGTTGCTTTTATTTGAAGTTGTCCTACCAACTTCCTGCAAATGTCACCCTTATTTATTCACTTATTTTGTTTTTAAATTTTTTTTTTTTTACTGAAGAATAATATACACTTACTTGTTGTTTAAACTCATTGTGTTATTTGACTATTTGTAAATTTCTCAACATATTTTTAAGCCAAGGAAGTGCATGTGTGTTGTGGGTATGTTCATGCACACACACGTGTAAAATGAACATACTGTAGGGAATTCAAATAAAAAAGACAAATAACTATCAACCTCTCTGCAGCTTGGTTCATCATCTGTAAGATGAGCATTCTTCATCCAAAATAATGCTTTTCTCCTTTCTTCATGGCCCCTTGTAATTTTAGTCATTTCTCTGGGTCTGAAGAGTAAAGGTTGCCAACTCTGTGAACAAGGACCAGCTACATAATTTGCAGCACCAGTGAAAAATGAAAATATGGGACCTCTTGTTCAAAACATATTAGGTATTTCAAGATGGCAGTGGCAGAGCATTACACCAAGCATGGGGCCTATCCAAGAGTGGGGCTCTGTGTTATTGCACAGGTCACATGCCCATGATGCAGGTCCTGCTGTGAACTTGGAGATCTTCCGGGGTCAACACTGTGGCTTGATACTACTCTCCAGCAACAGGGTCAGGGTGTAGTCTCAAATTTCGCTTCCTCTGGAAGAGAAGTTTTAACCTATAGGTAGAAAGTGTTGTGTAGAGTTCAAAAATGTGTTTGCTAGTATCTAGTATCCTTAAGTTCAAAGACTGGTTTGCTACTTAGTAGCTTTATAATCTTGGGCATATAATGTCCCTAAGACTTTATTTCCCTACCTTTAAAATGAGGATAATGGAGGCCAGGCATAGTGGCTCATGCCTGTAATCCTAGCACTTTGGGAGGCCAAGGCAGGCAGATTGCCTGAGCTCAGGAGTTCGAGACCAGCCTGGGCAACATGGTGAAACCCCATCTCTACTAAAATACAAAAAATTAGCTGGGCGTGGTGGCATGCACCTGTAGTCCTGGCTACTCAGGAGGCTGAGGTAGGAGAATTGCTTGAACCCGGGAGGTGGAGGTTGCAGTGAGCTGAGATCACACCACTGCACTCCAGCCTGGGCGACAGAGCAAAATTCCATCTCCATTGAAAAAATAATAATAAATTAAAAAAAAAATAAGGATGATGGTAGAGCCAACTTTCTAGAATTGTTGCAAGTAAACAAGAAAAGCCATGCATGATACCAGAAGTGTGGCAAGCTCCAAATAAATAATGAATAATAGCTCTTATGATTATCTTTTACCTTTTTTATTTTTTACAGGCCCAAGATATTCCTTTTGTGTATCTGTTCAGGGAGTCCTTTATACCTTTTCTTCCAGATCTAGATTTCTGGATATGTTCCTTGACTACATCACTAAGCTGCACTTCAAACAGTTTCTGACCTACTGTTTTTATATCCCTGATTTAGTCTCACTAATATGATGTTATGCTGCACAATTATTATGATTTTCCTGAACTTCAGTTCTGCCAGTGATGGAAGGATAATAAGATAGAAAGAAGTGATAGACATCTTGACCTGGTGATATTAACAAGATGACGTATTGATGAAATGTTTTGAGTTCCCAGGGTTGGAGGTATCATAGAAATTATTATGGATTTCTAATACCGCTTAATGCACTGGGAGGCCTGCTCCCTTCCCTGGAGAATCTTCTGAAACTCTTTGCCTTGGGGAAAAGTAACTGCTGACATTTGCCCTGTCAGGTCTTTTAAATATTTGGTCAGAATCATCAGCTGCAACACTTGAAGTATTTAATAACTGGGAGAAAGTATGCTTGTGTATGGTGTATACTATTAAAAATTACCAATCAGAGAGTGCCACTATTCCATCAGAAGTTGCCCTAGGGTAAGATCCAGTAAGGCCACTCACAGCATGGTAATGTCCAGTAAAATCATACCAGGTGTGTATCATCAGCTGATTATGATTCCTTTGTGGGCCTTTTTAAAAAAATACTGGTTGCATTTACAAGTAATACAATGTTACTTGGGCAGGTTTGGCATTTGGCAGGTGAAGGAAAAGTCTACTAGTCCAACAGTTGCTCTCCTGTCACCTATAAGAGTTATAGCCTACATGGACATGTTTTTATTATCACATAGATCAAGAGTTAAATACAGTACAAATTCATGGAAATCATCGAGGTTTCAGGTATTCAAGCACTAACTGAAAAATACTTTGAACCTACCAGCTGGCTAACACTAGCAATTTTCACAATGTAATTACTATCATAAAAAATTCAAAGGACACATTTTAAAGAAATAATTCTTTTAAGTGTATTGTTTTCTTGGTTACTTATTCCAAACACTGCATTGCTCCCCACCCCTTATCCTCACAAAAAATATCTTCTGACTTTTTTGCTAAGTTGTACATTTGGTAAATGTTTCTAGTTGCTTAGGGCCTAGTTTAAATAGTAAAATAAATAAGGGCAAAACTTTGTTGGTTTCTTAAGGAAAAAAGTAATGGATCATGCAAAATCAGCATAAGTATTTTTAAAAGGCATATTGAAAAACCATGTCCCAAATTAAATGAATACTAGAGTACTCTATTCTCATTTACTCATTCCAACAAAGACTGACTCATGTTTCTCTAGATAAAGTAAAAAAAAAAATCCTGTTTTGGGCGGCAATTGTCATTGAGTATGGGGTTTAATTGGAAGAAAACATAGGGAAATGCTAAATGTGGCTAATGTGATTTGCACCTGTGTAAACAAGCAATGCCATTGTCCAGGCAGATCTTGGTCCTTCCAGTCGAGGATTTTTTTTTTTCCCCTATACCACCTCTCCTTGGATTCATAGAAAAAAATTTAGATTTAGGATGGTACTGTGAGGGATGGAGGGATGTGTTTGTGTAGAGAAAGATTATGAGAGAGAGGATTTGTTGTGGGATAGTGAGAGTGGCTAGGGAAACCATTTGGCTAGGGAAGGAGCTTTTAGAATGGCTTTCAGAATGTGGTTCTCAGCATGTGCCCCTTGGAACCGAACCACAGTATCAGCATCATTTGACAGCTTTGTTAGAAATAAAATTCTTGTGCACAATCCCAGACCTTCTGGATTAGAAACACTGGGGTGGTTCCAAAGGGTTGTTTGATTAAGCCTTCCAAGTGATCCTGGTGCCACTGAGTTTTGGAACAACTACCTTGAAGGACAGTGAAGACCTGCTTGAGTGACTGGAGAATAAGGATAATCCACAAAGAATCTCAGCTAACGACCCTTTGGTGCCTTTGTTTCTGAGAGGTTATGATCCTTCAAGGTCATAGCTGCGTAAGGCATCATTCCTGGTTTTTATGTGGTTGAGGACTTCTACCTACATTCCATTTGGTTATAACTATTTTTCATATCAACGGTTATTTGCCTCAAAGGAATCCTCAGTACATATTGCTCATTTTGCTCTTTCCTCATAAAAAAAAAAAGAGTTTAGGTAGTTTACTAAGTTGATTTTTTAAGAATATATTTTATCTTTTCGAAAATAGTTTTCCATTTAGACATTTGTTCCTCATTTTAATTTAGTTTGTTACATTTTGCTGAGGAACTTGAGCTCAGCTTTTCTACCTCAAAGTTTTGACTACTTATTCTGTGCTAAAAACTTTTAATTTTGGACATTATATTTGGTAAAATCAACCACAGCATTTGGAAGGTCTGCCAGGAAATTTGAGGTTTCCGTGCAACTTGAATATTGCATAATTCAACATTTTACCCATTTTTTCGATGTAGTTTCCCCAATCAGGGAAAGAAATGGTTATTGCAACATTGGATTTTTTTAAGCATGCCACCTTATGAGACAATTTTTGGATTTATTTAATTATCATGCCTGGAAACACATGCTTCCCTCCTTTTCCTTTTCTTTTTCTTTTATTCCTTTTCCCTGTTTTCCATCTTGTTTTAATTTTTTCTTTCATTTTTATAGATCAGAAAAGGCTTCTGCTTTCTTTAAAAAATAAAACTACTTGAAAAGAAAAAAATCAAGAATTAGAAAGAAGAGTATAACAATAAAGAAGGAGGGGTCACAGGTGAACGAGATGTGGTCAACACACACAAAGGAGAACAAAAAGTAAGGTTTAAAGTAACTGGGCCGGGCGTGGTGGCTCATGCCTGTAATCCCAGCACTTTGGTAGGCCAAGGTGGGCAAATCACCTGAGGTCAGGAGTTCGAGACCAGCCTGGCCAACATGGTGAAACCCTGTCTCTACTAAAAATACAAACATCAGACAGGACTGGTGGTGGGCGCCTGTAATCCCGGCTACTCTGGAGGCTCAGGCATGAGAATCACTTGAACCTAGGAAGTAGAGTTTACAGTGAGCTGAGATCACACCACTGTACTCCAGCCTGGGCGATATAGCGAGACTTCATCTCTGAATAAATAAACAAATAATGATAATTTAAAAAATAACTGGAAATGTGAACTAGAAGGTGGGACAGTCTCAGAAGGTACATTGGGAATCTTGAGTCTGACATAGGGTATGTGGCATCTTAAGTTATGGGCTGCATATAGTAGTTATAACATGAACAAGTAACTTCCGGTCAGTGGCTCACTTGCTAATCAATCTTGTGGTTTAGTTACGTTCTATTGCTGAGACTCTGAAAGTCATATTTATAATACCTGTTTTTCAATGTTGTCATGGGATGAAGAGAAATTATATATGTAAAGAAGGCTGAGTCCCAGACATGAGATACTGACTACCAGTATGTGTTCATACTTTTAGTTGTGATTCATCTGTTTCAATAGTTGTATGATACTTCATTGTGTTAATATGCCACAATTTATTTATCCACTTATATGGCAAAGGATATTCTGGGGAATATCCTAGGGATTTCAGTTTTCTTGATAATGTAATGAATATTCATGTATATCTCTTTGATGCACATCTGCAGAGTTTTCACTAAAACAAATAACTGGGATTGGAATTGTTGGGTACTAGGCTGTAAGCCTATTTCCTAGACAATGTCAGATTAACTTCCAAGTGGTTGCACATATTGACACTTCCACAACAAGTATATAGGCTTTCCCTTTGTTGCACATATTTGTCAATAATTGGTGTTACTAGACTAAAATATTTGCAAATTTCATAGGTAAAAATTGTGTTTCTTGGGGTTTCATTTTGCGTTTTCCTAATTACCAATGAGATTGATCATATTTCCATATATCTAGGGGCCATTGTGTTTCCATTTTTTGAGAAATGTTCATTTAGAGAATTTTTTCAAAAATTTCTATAGTGTTGTTTTATTTTGTTTATTGATTTGCGGGAATCTTTGATATATTTTGGAATCCAATTATTTTTCCTTTTTCAGTCATGTGCAATGAAAATAAATTGTCCTAGTTTTGGCTTGTGTTTTTACTGATGTCCTTTGCTATATAGGATGTCTTATTCTAATGTGTGGTTTTATTTTTTAGGATTTGCATATTGCATAAGTGTGTGTGCCTTGTTTAAGAAATTCTCTCCTTCCCAGAAAACATAAAGACGATCTCTAGACTATCTTCCAAATTTTAAGGTTTTGTTTTCACTTTTAGGTTTTTTAATCCCTTGGCATTTATTTTCTGTGCACAGGATGAGATAGTGATCAATGTAATATTTTTTTAGCATGCACAACAAATGGCAACATCACTGTTTAATGAATAATCCACCATTTCCACACCACTCTGTTTGGCCACCTGTGCCATGTATCAATCCTTCATATAAGGGTGGGTCTGATTCTGAGATCTCTATTCTGTGTCCTTCATATATTTATGTTCCACTTCCATGTTGTCTTACTTAGAGCCTATTTATGATAAATGCTGATATCTGATAGGTAGTGCAGTTACTTTTGTCATGCTCTTCTTCTGGATTGAGTATTAGCTCTTTGCTTTTCTATGTAAATATTAAAATAGCTTAAGAAGTTATTGCTGCTGTATGTGTTGTTAAACAACATGCTTCAAAACAATATGCTCTATGCAATAAATACATACAATTTTATCCATTGAGAAATAAATAAAATTTTAACTATTAAAAAAGAAGTAACAAATACACATACACATTTACGTGCAATTTTTCATGGAACTGCATCGAATGTATACAAGGATTTAGGGGAAAATTTTTAGTTTGTGATATTTAGTCCTCCAATCGCCAAACAGGAAATGTTTATTTACTTAGTTTTCAACTTACTTTTTTGTTGTTGTTGTTGTTGTCCTTGGAATTCTCATTAATTGCTTTTATATGGGATCAGTAATATATTTCCAGATTTGGTTATTGGTATTAATCTGGAATTTGATCATTTTTTAGTGGAGTGCTAACACATATTTTAGTATATCTAGTCGAGTATCCTACCAGGAGTAGAAGATTTATATAGAGGATTTTCACATGTAGTTCTTTATAGAAATACGTATGATGTCTTTGAGTTTATTTTCTCTGCCAGCCTGTATATGTATGCTTACAAAAAATACTTATCTATTTACTTTGTAGGTGGAAAAATGCTAATCACTGAAAGAAAACATTTTCGGTCAGGAAGAATTGCACAAAGTATGTCTGAAGCAAATTTGATTGACATGGAAGCTGGAAAACTCTCAAAAAGTTGCAATATTACAGGTATGGGAATTTATAACTGTTGTGATTTGTCCATGTAAGTATATGAAATTCATCACCAATAATTGTTGAAGGTCTACCTCTGAAAATGCTGGAAGATGAAAAGAATTATAAAATCTTGTTTTTATCATAGAAATAGTTAAAAAGATGTGCAAAATAAAATAGCACAGCCAACAGATTATGATAAATATTATAAAAAGGAAAAATGTTGTTAATAAATGAGTGTTATATGCAATAACTATAATGAATTTGGGGGTAAAAAGGCTCTCTGAAGGTTGATTGACCTAGGAAATCTTCATGGAGCATCAAAAAATTAACCTGATCCTCAGAGGAAAAGTAAGTTTTAAGAGAGTTAGGGGTAATTGTATTAAAGAAAAGTGTGAATATAAGAGAAATGCCACCTTTATTTTTCAAAATCCGTCTTCTAATTTTTAGCATATAACACTTAAAAACATTTCAATTAAGGTAATGTTTCTATGTATATTAAACAAAAGAAATTCTGACAGTTTGCTTGAATTATTTTTTCAGTAGAACTTCTGAAAATTTGGTTGGCTCTTCTGCCTGTCTCTAAAAGCAGCACTAGCTTCACAAAGTCTACAGAGTCTTTATAATTATTTACTAAGAAATGACCAAGTACGAGTTGCTCTACACAAACAAAAAATGGCTTCAATGTTGTGAGATATCTAGAAATTCTTATAATAGAAATGTAAATATTTTAATGTTACAAATTCTTAAGACACTTACTTTCCAAAATAATAATGCTTCAATTTCTAGTGGTAAAATTATTATTTGCCATTGCAAGCTTGAGTGCAATGAATTCATTTGATCAATAAAACCAATGGTGGTCTAAATTTTCAATGTTCATTTTATGAATTCCTTTTCCTGAAAAATGTTAATAACATTTCAATACAAAATTATAGAATTATCTAATAAATTAATGACTTTCTAACTTAGCATATTGTTTTAAACGTTATTTTAAATATTAACAGATGTATTTGATATTTTCTACATATTCAATATTATCTGAAAAGGAAAATATTAAATTAATATTCTGAATGTAATGAAACCAACAATTCAGTGCTTAGAAAAATATGGATAATTGAATAACTGATTTATTCTATTTGACCAGAAATTTGCTTTTGTAAACATGATACATAAAATAATAAAGCATAAGCACATGCTAGTCTGAGTCATTTTCAAGAAAATGTGTTAAATATATTATTAGGTCATATTAAATATTTATTTGTTTAGTTTATAAATCATGATGTCTTAAAATAACATTACATATGTTCAAAAAATAACCTGGTAGAAAAAATATTCTTCTCTCATTACATATAAATTTGAGCAAATTTAACATTGAGTTTATGTTAGCTAGTAGACTAGAGATCAGAAAGAAAAATGAAAAGTAAGTCCTGAATTTTTAAGCTATGGGAAAAATTAATCTTGATTGTAACTCACAGTGCCACCTTATCTTTGTTTTGCTTTGTCTTTCCTTAAATAACAAGAATGCCAGGACCCAGACTTGCTTCACAATTGGCCGGATGCTTTCACCCTTCGTGGTAATAATGCTTCCAAAGTTGCAAATCCATTCTGGAATCAACTGTCTGCTTCTAACCCATTTTTGGATGACATAACTCAACTAAGAAATAACAGGAAGAGAAATAATATTTCCATCTTAAAGGAAGATCCTTTTCTTTTCTGTAGAGAAATAGAAAATGGAAATTCTTTTGATTCCTCCGGTGATGAACTTGATGTGCATCAGTTACTTAGGCAGACTTCCTCAAGAAATTCTGGAAGATCTAAAAGTGTTTCAGAACTTCTGGACATTTTAGACGACACAGCACATGCCCATCAGAGTATACATAACTCTGACCAGATCCTACTACACGACTTAGAGTGGCTTAAAAATGATCGGGAGGCTTATAAAATGGCTTGGTTAAGTCAACGCCAGCTGGCCCGCTCCTGCCTTGATTTGAATACAATTAGTCAGAGCCCTGGATGGGCCCAGACACAACTTGCGGAGGTCACCATAGCTTGCAAAGTAAACCATCAAGGAGGGTCAGTACAATTACCTGAATCAGACATCACTGTTCATGTGCCCCAAGGTCATGTGGCTGTGGGAGAATTCCAAGAGGTGTCTCTAAGGGCTTTCCTTGATCCGCCACACATGCTTAACCATGATCTTTCGTGCACTGTGAGCCCGTTGTTGGAAATCATGTTAGGCAACCTCAATACAATGGAAGCCCTTTTGCTGGAGATGAAAATTGGGGCTGAAGTAAGAAAGGATCCTTTCAGCCAAGTCATGACAGAAATGGTGTGTTTACACAGCTTGGGTAAAGAAGGCCCTTTTAAAGTTTTAAGCAACTGCTACATTTATAAAGACACCATCCAAGTCAAGCTAATCGACTTGAGTCAGGTAATGTATCTAGTGGTTGCTGCACAAGCTAAAGCTCTTCCGTCACCAGCTGCCACCATTTGGGATTATATCCACAAAACCACCTCAATTGGAATTTATGGACCCAAATATATCCATCCCAGTTTTACTGTTGTTTTAACAGTTTGTGGACACAATTATATGCCAGGACAGCTTACAATTTCTGATATTAAGAAGGGTGGAAAAAACATATCTCCAGTTGTGTTTCAGCTCTGGGGGAAGCAGTCATTTTTACTTGACAAGCCACAAGATTTAAGTATTTCTATTTTTTCCTGTGATCCTGATTTTGAAGTAAAGACAGAAGGAGAAAGGAAAGAAATTAAACAAAAGCAGTTGGAAGCAGGTGAAGTAGTTCATCAACAATTTTTATTTTCTTTAGTTGAGCACAGAGAGATGCACTTGTTTGATTTTTGTGTTCAAGTGGAGCCTCCCAATGGTGAACCAGTTGCACAGTTCTCTATCACTACTCCTGATCCAACCCCAAACCTAAAAAGACTCTCGAATCTGCCAGGCTATTTGCAGAAGAAGGAGGAAATCAAGTCTGCTCCTTTATCACCAAAAATTCTTGTTAAATATCCTACATTTCAAGATAAAACATTGAACTTTAGCAACTATGGGGTAACCCTGAAGGCAGTGCTAAGACAAAGCAAGATTGATTACTTCCTTGAATATTTCAAAGGGGACACAATAGCTCTCCTCGGGGAAGGTAAGGTAAAAGCTATTGGTCAGTCCAAAGTGAAAGAATGGTATGTAGGAGTCCTCAGAGGTAAGATTGGACTTGTACACTGCAAAAATGTCAAGGTGATTTCAAAGGAGCAAGTAATGTTTATGTCAGATAGTGTCTTTACAACCAGAAATCTTCTTGAACAGATTGTCCTGCCTTTAAAAAAATTGACTTATATCTACTCAGTTGTATTAACCTTGGTGTCAGAAAAAGTTTATGATTGGAAAGTTTTAGCTGATGTCCTGGGTTACTCACATCTGTCCCTGGAAGATTTTGATCAAATTCAAGCAGACAAAGAATCAGAGAAAGTTTCTTATGTTATAAAGAAGTTAAAGGAAGATTGCCACACAGAGAGAAATACAAGGAAGTTTCTGTATGAACTTATTGTGGTGAGTATTGCTTGATCATGGTAATGAATTGCCATCGAGAATTGTATTAACTTGACAATATTTATAACTGAACATGTGAGAGGAGAAATGTTTAAAAATTCAACAGTCTTAAATACATTAAAGACACTTTATAGCAAATATAGTTTTTCCTACATGATCATAAAACTGGTTTCTTAAACTTGAGATTCAACTGTGATTTCCCCAAAAACCAGGATCATCTTTTAAAAGAAAATAAAAAGTTCTGTTTGTGCTGGGCTTAACAGTTCAGATACAACTTCTCTTCCTGTCTCAAATATTTAGACAACTCTTAAGATACCAGAGAGGCTCCATAACATGAAAGCAAACTAAAGAGAACTAACTTGGCCATTGTTAGGGATCTACTTTTCAGTGTGTGTGGGATTTTTTTCTTTCTTTCTTTTTTTTTTTTTTTTTTTTTTGAGACAAAGTCTCGGTCTGTTGCCCAGGCTGGAGTGCAGTGGCACGATCACAGCTCACTGCAGTTTCAACCTCCAGGGCTCAGCTGCCCAAGTAACTCAGACTGCAGGCATGTGCCGCCATGCCTGGGTATTTTTTTTTTTTTTTTAAGGGATGAGTGTCTCACTATGTTTCCCAAGATGCTCTTGAACTCCTGGCCTCAAGCAATCTTCCCACCTTTGCCTCCCAAAGTGCTGAAATTACAGCCATGAGCCACCACACCTGGCTGTTTCTTTTTTTTAATGTATTACCAATATCCTTTAGCAATTTAATATTCTTATGTATACAATGCATTACAGCCTAAACAATAATATTAGTAATTCTCATCTTAATCCTCATGTTTTAATAGGACTCCCAGTGCCAAATTCTTTAGTGTAGTATTCAACCCAGTGGAAGGCTCAGTGTAGAATTACAAAGTACTTTTTACCTTTAAAGTAGAAATTCAATATTTTATAAAAATAAAAAAAATCAAGATCATATTTCTAAAAATGGTTAAAACATGAGTGTAAAAATAAAAATGATTGTTAATGCTTCTCTAGTGCTTATTTAGCCATTAACAACTCTATGGGGTAAGTATAGCTAGTATCTTCATCTTATAGGTCGAAGAAACCAAGTCTTAAAAAGTTAGACAATTTGCCCACGTCCTACAGTTGCCTATTCTTATAGATGGGATTTGAATATTTTTTGGTTTCAAAATCATGCGTAAAGCCACTATGCCTTCATGAAACAAAGTAATGTGTGTGTGTATAAAAATGTTTGTATAAGTACTGTGTATGTGTAGGTATTTGTATTAAATATTATAATTGTGAAAGGCTGGTGCTCTGTAGAAGGTAAATAAAATTATATAGGCAGGTTCATGCAAAGGAGCAAAGTTTTAATCAAGATGCAAAAGAAGTAGAAAATATTTGGAGAACAAATTTAATCTGTGGCATTAACAATGATTCATATAATAAATAAATATATATAACATTATCTCTCTTTCAATATTTTTGATGATTCTACAGTGATACTTAGAGAAGTTGAAATTCAAAAGCTCCTATATCCAGTTGCTAAGTTGATAGATTTTTTATGGTGTGCTGCATTCTTACCTACCCTGGGACATTCAGAACTATTGGAGACTGAATGTTAGAAGCTGCTCTACCTGGTGGAAGCTGCGTGTGCATTTTGTAATAGCTCATTAACTCTCATAGCTCATATTTAACATTCACCTGCAAAGGTTTGAATTGGAAAATTAATTTCTTTTGTTTTTTTAGTGGCCTAAAAATGTTGTAATGGCCAAAGGTCATTAATGATGGTCTGAAAGTTCAAGCCTGATCATACCTGTATATTTTGGGGTATGATAATTACCAGAGTGCCTCAAGCGGCTAATTAGAAAATCTAGTAGAGACTCCATTCAAGCGGGGAGCTTCCAAGCTTTAGTGGAGGTTTCAGGATTTCTGTATGAAGAGGCTCAGGCCTGGTTCTCTGACTGGCAGGTGATGGAGCATGGGGTATAGAGTTGTCTCTTGAAACTTTATTTGCATAGTAAATATACATTTTTCTAGGATTGTATATTGATTTGGTGTGGCAGGGAGCGACCCGATAAGCTGAAAAAGACTGTGGGATCCAAACCCTTCAGTCATCTCTTGACATTGAGACTGGCTGTCCTTATATACTTGACACTCTCTAAAGCACTTCAGCATCCAATTTGATTTTCACAATGATTATGGAAGTTTAGACAAAGTGGAATTAACACTACATTGATTTTAAAAATCATTAAATAGAGATACTGTGTGATGCATGTAAAGTCTTATACTATGTGGAGCTGGATTTTAAACTCAGGTTTTATGGCTCCAAGTACAGATCTTTTCCCTAAAACAAGAAACTGGAATATAAAGTAGTAACCCCACTCCACAGTTTACTAAAAGCACCATCAGGGGCCCGCTAGCTCAGTATTGTTTCTCACTGAGGCTATAACTCTTCAGTATAAATGTATGGATCCATTTATGTATCAAAACCATGGGTAGTCCTTCTAATTGCATACTTTCAGGGGAATGAACATGCTATCAACTTTCATAGTTGCTTTACTTGCTTATTCATTTTAACTTATTGTTTCATATTGGTAGATAAAGCTCCAAAGTGCCATTAAATAATGAGGGGCTACCAAACATGTTTACAGTAGTTCCCCTTATCCACAGTTTCACTTTCTGTGGTTTGGGTTACCTACCATCAACCATGATTGACAAATAGGTGAGTAGAGTACAATAAGGTATTTTGAAAGAGAGAGGCCACATTCACATAACATTTATTAGAGTATATTGTTATGATCGTTATATTTTATTACTAGTTATTGTTGTTAATCTCTTACTGCGCCTAATTTATAAATTAAACTTTTCCATAGGTGTGTATGTATAGGAAAAAACACAGTGTGTATAAAATTTGGTACTATCTGCAGTTTCAGGCATCCACTGGACAGCCTTGAAATGTGACTCCTTTGGATTCTTGGATCTCCTTGGATTCCCCCTCCTAAGGGGGAGCTACTCTATTTGCTCATTTGAACAAAGAAGAGGTATAGATAGATGTAATCCCATATTTTAAAAATGGTACTCAAGGCAAAACACAAACTTGTAGACTTGTTTGAAACATGCATGGTTAGGTAAGAGCCTGATGGTTTTCTATTTTGCATTGTAGAAGACTAGGTGTTTTGTCTTTAATACCTTGTACTTTATGTTTAATACCATTATATTGGTGATGAGGGAGAGTATTTTTAATAAATTTATATATATATATTTTAAACTTATAAACATCAATAGCTTTGTTCAAAGTTGAAGGAGTGTCTCTTTTTTTTAAACACAGCAGGCATGATTCTGGGATGTTTTAAGTCATATTTTGGTGAAAATAGAATAATATTTACCATCACCAGTTCACATACACTTTAAAGAAATTCTTGTAGCCAATCCTCTCCTAGAACGAGGCTTTATTTCTTGTGAGTAAATAACTAATCCTAGAGTGATAAATTAGAGACTGCCGGAACTTCAGAGTACCATTGGAAGTGTGTAATTTAACTTCCTTTTTTCACAATTAAAGATACAAAGACACATATTAGTTAAGTGGTTTATCCAAGGTCCTATAATTAGCCACTGAATTAGTTCTAAATCTCCCCTAACTCTGGCTTAGTTATGTCTACTGTAGTTTGCTTATAGAATTTGCTTAAATGTGAATCAACTCCTTGAGCTTTAGAAAACTCGATTATACGTGTAGTGAAAAAAAAGGACTCCCATTTGTAGAATATGTAATAAAAATTCCAATTTATAGAGAGAAAAGCCCAAGTTAGTTGCTTTTAATTGTGACATGTAATTGTTGCTGCAGGCTCTTCTGAAAATGGATTGCCAAGAGTTAGTCGCACGTCTCATCCAAGAAGCTGCTGTTCTGACTTCAGCTGTCAAGCTTGGAAAAGGCTGGAGGGAACTAGCTGAAAAGTTAGTACGACTCACAAAGCAACAAATGGAGGCATATGAAATTCCTCATCGAGGAAACACTGGAGATGTTGCTGTTGAGGTAAGACTTCTGTTTGTGTAATTCAATAGTGAAAAGTTGCAGACCAAGTAACACTAATGTAATCAAACCCATACCACATTCACGGATTCACTGGGGGAATGTCCAAGATGATCCACTAACTGAATCACTGCACTAGTAACTCATCAGTACTATCTGAAATAAACACACACACTCTTAAAAGGCATTGAGAGCCCTTAAAATATTGATGTTTCTTCTTTTGGATTTCATATTCTCATGGCCTTTGATCAATGAATTAATTGATCAAATTGGGCCAGTAAGTGGGGATGGCTATAAGAACTTGAGTCATAAAACAGGTAAATTTTGAAGGTGGGAGACAGGATCAAGTCAGGACAATAGAGGAAGACATAATGATATGTACTTATCGGCCTCAGGCATAAACTTAGTCACTTGCGATAACTAATGCTCAGGGACAAGAAGTAGTAAGAAAGTGGATGTAGAGCCACTGGTGATGAGAGATTGATAACTAAGAGCTTCATTATCTCCTTCACAATGTTGCCTACAGTAACTACAGGCATCAGTTGCAGAATGTTAGCACTTAGTACAAAGTAAATATTTACCATGAAAATATTGTTTTTATCAAAACAAATGTATGCTGTTAGGCACAAGTTAAACACATATTTTTCTCCAGATTACCATAAAGAACTGGGAGTCAATTTTTATTGAATTAAATAAATAAAAATATTCCAGTGAAGGGCACATGTAAAATATTCTGTATCTTTCTCTCAAATGAACAAGCATTTTGAAGATATTTATGTTTAAGGAAATCTTCTCTCTATTAGAGATGACTTGGTGAGAGCAGAAGCTGTATTCTTCACTTTGTTTTTGGCGTAGATCTGGGTATTAATTTTTGGAGAAAATTTTCTTGCTTCGATGCAACCATTCCAGTTGGGTGAACAGGACAAAACCACCTTTGCATGAAAAGTAGAGTCAAATCAAGTCAGCTGAATTCCAGCAGCTGCAGTGGAAGTGTCAGCAGGCTGGTTTCTGAGTTCCTGCAGCCTGGCTCTCCAGCCAGGACTTCTCCAAAATAAGACTCTTTAGCCAGGAGCAACCAGGGACTGAGGATGTCTTTCCCCTCAGAGACTACATTTATCTCCATAAACTTAGAAGGGCATTACAGCCTATAAATAAGCATAATATAGCATTTGGTGCAGTACACAAAATGGACTCAAGTGTTTACAGAATGAGATGAAAGATAGGAAGCCTTTAAGAAGGAAAAACAAATATTATGAGGGATACGCTCTTCTGATTCGGACATTTCAGTTAACTGATGAAAAAGTTGTCTAATTGAAAGCAGGACCTTTTTTTCTTAATAAGGTTCTGTTTTGAAAGAGTTTTGTTGAGAGTTATTTATCAGAGTTATTTATTCTGTCAGCCTCCTTAAGCATCTGGCTTCTCTCTAATTGTGGTTGTTTATAGTTTGTCTTCCCCTAAATCTTGATGGAGGCCAGCAAACCACCCACTTTTCCATTATTTACTTTTGCACAGCCCAAATCATAAATGACTAAGTCTTTGCCTGAGGCTGATAAACACTCAGAAGCAGAAAGGAAAGCCCCTAGGTGTCTTTCTATGATAGTTCAACTTATTGTGATTAATAGTAATAGTCATCACTCAGATTCATGTTATTAAATACTTAGAAAAATCCACAGTATATTGGCCTGAGGTCATTCCAAATAATATACAGAAATCTTACGTACGAGGTCACTTAACTAATGGGTAAATATATGCTAATTTCCAACCTCCTAAAAAATAGCTGTATAATTTTTCTCTTTGGGAGGAGATTCCTAAATATGATCAATTTACAATTCAAGTAGTTGATTTCAAAGCACACTGATATTAGTTCTGGGTAGGGGGTGCAGAGGGAGGGAAGTGCACTGGGGCAGGGAGATAATTAGGTCTAGCAGTTGCTGGGCCGCTTTTTTTCCTGTATGTCATTTCCTCAGAGGGCACACACTCCAAAAACTGCCTTCTATGTGTGCCAATGCCTGCAGTTGAGCTGTTTCGCTTACTTTCTCTCCTTTAACTTCTTTCTCTTCCCTTTGTTCTATTTTTATTGTATCTTAGGGAGAGTTATCTGGCACTGACTCCGTGACAGACACTGTTCTGGAAATATTACAAAAATTAATTAATGTAATCCTTTCAATAAAAACTCATGGGGCAGACACTAATATCTAAGATATGGAGAGGATAAGTAACTTGCTTAAACATACACAGCTGGAAAGTCCTGGAACCATGTTTAGAGCACAGACATTTGACTTCAGAGTCCATGACTTTAACCATTACACTCTGTCCATCACTGTTTAATATGGTGACTATGTTGCAGAGTCAGAAGGTGCGGCCAGGGTTAAGCAACTTGTTTCATTTTTTATTTGTCCTCTTTTCAGGCCATGTCAAGTAGCCATGATACTATCAAAAATTGCCTCAAAATTAAATCTTTACCAAGCCTCAAGCTGGTTAAAAAATGAAGTATATTAATAATAAATTTGTCAGATTTTCTGAACACCTTAACCATTTCTTAATTTTTTCTAAGGTGAAGAAAAAGCCTCTCTTTGGAAACTTTTGAGAATGTCACTTTTGAAATTAACCATCTCCTCAAGTTAAATTTTAAGAAATGTTACTCGACTTTTCTAATGACATGGTAATTACTACATAAAAGCAAAGCTGTAAAGCTTGGAATCTGATAATAAGCAAAGTATGTTTTTCAGAGTATTTCTTTCAGAAAAAATGCACTTACACTATACAAAGATGTCACTATTGCCAAGGTTCTTCCGTGAAAGTTAGTGAAAATTTATTGGCATTTTCTGAATATATTTAGAGTTTTAATTTTTTAAAAAAGGAATCAATAGCATATTAGAAAAATAGCTCACTTTTTAAATGTTGAATTTTACAAGGGGACATGCTGGGGATTCAGAGATAAGAAATTCACTGGCCTAAATTGGGTGCTCTTCACTTAGCCTTCTAGGGATGGTTACCACAAATGACAATACTTTTTCTATGGCTCCCTCATTGGCCCCCTTGCTTAACAATATAGATTATGCCATTTTTATCTTGTTTAATAAGGACACATATTCACCAAGGACACTAAAGTTTCACTTCCTTTCTTTTTTTTTTTTTTTTCTCCTTTGAGACAGTGTCTGGCTCTGTCACCCAGGCTGGAGTGCAATGGCACAATCTCAGCTCTCTGTAACCTCCACCTCCCAGGTTCAAGAGATTCTCCTGCCTCAGCCTCCCAAGTAGCTGGGATTACAGGCGCATGCCACCATACCTGCCTGATTTTTGTATTTTTAGTAGAGATGGGTGTTTCACCATGTTGGCCAGGCTGGTCTCGAACTCCTGACCTCAGGTGATCCACTCACCTCGGCCTCCCAAATTGCTGGCATTACAGGTGTGAGCCACCACTCTGGCCTCACTTCCTTTCTTCAATTACCTTTGCCCACTGGGCTCTACCTCAGCCACAGGCACCAATAGTCCTGTTGATAATAGTTTCTTATCTGACCTGCCAGAATGGGCCACTCTCCCAATGGAAGCCAGCGAAGTCAATGTTCCTAATGGTAATTTTTTTTCGTCTCGGAAATTACTCACCTGTAGAGATTCATAATTGGGAAGATGTATTTTAAGTCTATTTGTAGTCACCATTTAATCAATGCAGATCTAATACTCCTTTGTATCTTCTATTCACAACCTGTTCCTCATTTTCTGACTGGCCGCTGGAGAGTTCAAAGTACTTTGTTCCAAGTCTAGATTAAAGATAAGAAAGTTGTTGATTTTCAAGAAGTTTTAGTCATTTTCTATAAGTGAATGAATTCCACATGGAATTCTTTCCACTTATTTAGTATCTTATATCTGTGTCCTAGCCTTCAGTATTTAATTCATCCATATACTTAACGCTTATTCTGGGTCTATCAGTTCTGGACATTGGTTTAGGAGCCGTAAAAAACACACAATATGATTATTTTTTCCTTAAAAACCAGGTTTTACTTTGGCCTGGGAATTGGGATAAACTGTTAATATTTGAATTGTTATAATATTTCTTAAAAGTATAGGACTAGATGACAATGTTAATAGTTGTAACTTACCAAATGTTCATTGTCAGCTAGTCATTATGAGCATTTTCTTTACAGTATCTCTATTATTTCAATATACTTTGTAAGGAAAACATTATAGCCATCTGCTCTTTACATATATACAAACTGAAGGTGAATGTATTTGTGTAATTTATCCAGTTACATGGCTATTAAGGGCAAGTACTTAGATCTGAATTCACGTTGTCTTATATAAAGTCCTAACCACTGTATTATACTAATGATAAGCCCTTTCAAATTTAACTTACTTAAAAAATATCAAAGTGGTGAGGAGTAATTAGGAGACATGCTAGCTTTGAAGGATGGGTGGCCTTTGAGTAATTGGAGAGGAATAGAAGTAGACTTCAGTGCTTCTAAATATCAGTGAGCTCTAGGGACCACTGAGAAGATGTGGCCTGGAGGGGAGAGTTCACCTTACTAATTACTGGGTGATGTGGTCAGGTACATATGTTGGTATCAATGGAGGGGAGTCTTCAGTGACTACCAGAGCATAGAGGTTAAGATTCTTGGCTGGACTTCTGTTCCACCTCTACCATCTATCAGCCCTCAAGCCTTGGGCAAATTACTTTACTTTTCTGGGAATCTATTTTGTGTGTCTGTGAAGTAAGGAGAATAATACTATCTTACTCACTGGATGTTTAGAAGATCAAATGAGATAATAAATGTGTAATATTTGGGACAATGTTTTGCATATTGTAATCACTAAATACATATTATTTATTATTTTAATGAAGAGGAAGAGGAAAAGGTGAATTTGATAACTATATAACTTTGAGTAATTTTTGGAAAATAGAATAAAATACACTGTTTTTTTAGTAATGTGACTGAGAGTGCCTATAGGAAGAATGTAAGGAAAAAGTTAGCAGTTATTTCAAGGTTTCTCATCTGAGAAACTGGCAGAATAGCAATGCATGGAAAAAAATGAGATAAAGTCTTGGCTGATCAGCTTATTTCTTATGGGCTTAACAACATTTAATTTTCCTTGGAAATTATCTCTCGCAAAAGTTAAAAGAAATGTCCTTGGGCTGTATGGTTTTCTGGCTTACATGGCAACTTCTGGATTCTGCTTACAGGGATGTTGAATTATCAAGGTCTGTATCAGGGCCTGGTTCAGTTCTAGCCTTGGTACTTAATTCTTTTGTTTGCTGTTCTTTTGAAATGAGAAATATATTTATAATTTCTTAGAGAAGGGAAAAGTATTATATGGAAATTCACATACCAGTTGTAAAATGTATAGAATGATATCTCAAATCTCCATTGTTTGAACTAGAGATTTGGCACAGTGATGTTATTTAGATTACCATTGTCTACTTTGTACAATTTAGATTACCATGTCTACTTTGTACAATTCTATACTTGTTACAAACTTTAATTTCAAAAAGATACTCCATTTTGGGAGGAATGAGGTAGGAAAGAAAACAAAGATAGCACAGTGAAATTTCTGGGGTAACACATTGTATTCCTATGATCTTTGACTTAATTCTATATTATACACTGAAAATCAAATAGAAATAACATGCATATTAAGTTAAACATTATTAAGAAAATTCAAAATGGATTTAAAGACACTATTTAATTTTGACTTTAGGTTTTCTTTTTCAAGCTTTAGTACTAGGGAACATAAACAATAAGGAATTTCAGAAAACCAAAATCCAGCTATGTGTAAGACCAAAATCAGCATTTGTTAGAACTGCTTAATAATGAAATAAAGTTGTGGCAATACTTTAGTAAAATGGCCCTAGATTTATAGCAAGGTTACCTGGGTTCTTTTCCTGGATAGTTGACTGTGATTTTGTTTCTTAACTTTAAACTCAACTATAATTAGCATTAATTGAGCACTTGGTGTGTGCCAAAAACATTTACATCCATTCCTTTGTATACTTAGCAATTCTTTTATAGCATTGGGTACACCTTTTTTCTCATTTGCCAGAAGGGGAAAGCAAGGGCCTAAAGAAAGGTGATAGCTTACCTAAGATCCTGGAGCTACTAAACCAAGAGTCTAGATTTAAACCAAGATGTGTGCCGCTAAATCCAGAGCTCTTGACACTGTATTTTTTCATTTGTTTTAATGTTTACATTGAAAAATTAAATTGAAGGAGCCCAATTTCTTTAAACATTGGTGTCAGTTGTCTCCATGAATATATGTTTTTGGCAGGGGCATGGGTGGCAGTGATGATGAGGAGGCAATGAGGAATCCTCCCAACTAGGAATTGGTAAGATGGCTTAACCAGCAGGTTTTCCTATAATGTTAGACTATTTAAGCAGATGCACTAGCAAGGAATAGGTCCTCTGTCTTCCTCTGGCTCATGCTTAACCCCTGAAGTTCCAAGTGGTTATTCTCACCCAAATTTAGCTGGTTGTCCTCAAATAGACTTTTTCAATGGAATCTTGTGTCAAGTTTTAACCAAGCAGCATCTCCCTCGTGAGGACATAGGGGCCCCCAGATATGTTAGCCTCCCTTCTCTTCTGAAGACAACAGCAATCTTACCTTCAACAATATTTATGTACTTACTAATTATAGGTAATGTTAAATGTTAAGTGTTAAAGCTTACCTGAATATTGTAAATGATGTACTGAGGATAGAACACATGAAATAATCATTAAGAAGGCAACCTTGCCTTAATACTTCTTCAGCTAATGGTACTGAAAATGAAGTGTTGTTCCTGTAAGTTTATAGGAGAAGTAAGTGGATTACTAATCCTTTAATGTGACAAAATGTAATTATCCAAAAGTAGTTAAAACCAATTGCATTCTTTATGCTATTCATATTTTATAAGCTAAAAAAAGACATACAGTGCTATGCTGAAATCTGAATTTCTTCTACTCATGTGGCATTTCATTTTCTAGTGCATTTTCTAATGAGTCTTATTGGCTTCTGGGAATGAGCACTCTAAATTTGGAAAACTATGTATGTTTTGCCTTTATTCCTATTTCATTTCTTTTGGCATCCCACTTATTACTTTTTATTGCTCCATTACTTTTTATTTTGTCCTATAACACTGAAAAGATAACCTAAGACACACTTCTTCCACACAAAAGCTTGAACTTTGGAAAACTGCTCAACTTTGTATGTTAAATACTTACTCACGCTGCTGCCCTTTTTTATAAAAAGAAAAGCACATAGATGAAAATTAACAACTTTGTGCTTTTATCAGCCTCACGCTTCCTATTCAAGAATGAAACTGCAACATCATGAAGTTACCATTAAAAATCTAAGAATAGAGGCATAAGAATGCAGCCTATGTATTAAATATTTGTGATAGAAATGAGAAGGCTGAGATAATTTTTGTGGTTAAGAATAATTTAACAACTAAAAAACAAGCCCTCCTGAGAGGGCTTTCCTTTAGATTTTTCAAAACACAAGTGTAGAGTTTCTGCATATCTTTTCTAATCATAACATTGAGCAAGAGAGGAACAACTATTTTTAAAACACAGAATAGATACAAGACAACATAAATCTGGAAGAGATCTTGGCTGTCTGCAACTCCTTTCTAGCCTTCGGAGGATTAAATGTTAGTCAGTCCGGAAAGAAAATTATTTATTCTACGCATTTTATTCCTTCAAACATTTCCAGAAAAGATGACTTCATTTTCTTTGTAATTTATTAAAAAATTTAGAATTTTTTGTGACCTTACTGGGTAGATATTTTAGGGCAAATTTCATAGAGTTTATTGTTAATTAATGTACACAAATTACCTCTTATGTCTCTGCCTTGGATAAAATGTATTTACTGTTTAAGAAAACCAGAATGAAATGAGATAAAAAATGCAGAAAAAATAAAAGTACCTTTAGAACTTGTGTCCAAATGTTCATATATCTATTCCACAAAGGACAATTAAACAACTGATTAGCCTATTTACTGTATTGAAGAGACCTGGACGATTAATCAGGTTTTTTTAAGGCAAAGCTCAAATAGAGATTTACTTTTTTTTTTTTTTTTTCTTTTTGAGATCCAGGCTGGAGTGCAGTGGCATGATCTTGCCTCACTGCAACCTCTGCCACCTGGGTTCAAGCGATTCTCCTGCCTCAGCCTCCCAAGCAGCTGGGACTACAGGCGCGTGCCACCACGCCTCACTAATTTTTGTATTTTTAATAGATACAGGGCTTCACCATAATGGCCAGGCTGGTCTCGAACTCCTGACCTCATGATCCACCCACCTCAGCCTCCCAAAGAAGTGCTGGGATTACTTGCGTGAGCCACCACCCCCAGCCTAGAGATTTACTTATTAAGGGAAAACATAGTTCCCCCAATTTAATATTTTTTATCAGTGTATTAAGTACATAAGTCTTGACATATGCTTTTGTTCTCATTCCTTCTCGATTTCTCATGATACTTGCCCCTCTAATTTTGTGCCCTAACTCCATAATGATTTTAACATCCTTTTGTATTTATGTTTCTGCCAAAGGAAGTTAACCTTTCTTCTTGGGTGCTTTATATATGCTACCTCTTTAAGCCTCATTAACCTTAAGTTCTCCATATGGCAAAGCTAAGATTCAAATCCAAATCCCCTTGCCATCATAGAATATTACTTTAAAAATTTTTTTTCTTTTTAAAATACCTCTATTTTCTACTGCTGCTTGTTCTGGTAGGATATTACTTTTTAAATTTGTTTTTCTTTTAAAAATACCTCTATTTTCTACTGCTGCTTGTTCTGGTTCTGTCTCTCTTCCTTTGACACTCAAATTTCAGATGTGACCCATTTGTTTGGTGTCTTCCATTTCTTTGATACCTGTTTGTACCTGTCGTATGCCCCCGACTATTCTCTTGAAACTGCCTTCTCCAAGTTACCAAAGTCCTGCTAATTTCCAAAATCCTGGATTTGCCAAGTTTTTCTTTATATTCCCACATTGTTGATGTTACAGGTAGCAGTGGAGGTAACAGAAAAGGGAAGTCCTCAGTGTTACACTGGCATATGTTTACCAACCAACCCTGCAGAGGGAAAAAATCTAAACTTATAGCTTTTGTTAATGTTCTTAGTGTAAATATTCCGATCGTACATCATTTTAACCTACCATTGTGGTGTCACTGGAGTTGTGGAACATGGAGTTGGGAGGATATCCAGGGAGCTTGTGTGAGCTGGCTCCAGCAAGCCAATGCATGTCCTTTTTGGGATGTTATTATACTTCTTGGCTTTTGCAAGATGAAGCATGTGATTCACTTTCTTTTTCTTTGACTCCAGCTTCTCCCCATCCTTTTATTGCGTCTATTTCTCTCTTGTATCCACTAATAATTGACTTAGTTGAGAATTAAATTTTGCATCCCTTTTTTCTCTTCCTTGGTGTTTTCTTCTGCTCTCATGTGTTTTGCCATCCCTGTAGCACAAGTGATGCTAAACCCTTGTCTGTCCTCTCAAGGTCATCTCCTCATTCCAACTGTAATTTTTTATCAGATACCCTCCCTTTTGCTTGATATTCAGTAGGGCTGAAAATAGGCTCTTTAGCTTGCCCCTGCCAAAAAAATAAGTACTTTCTTCTCTATCCTATTAAGAAGTATAAATGCAAACTATATGCCAGATACATCATGAGGTATTTTGAACACAAAATTTGGGAATGATTATCCATATTTTATAGATTAAAAAAATTCCAAGCTGAAATAACTTGATTAGTTTATCAAATTAACCTATCAAATAGGCAACAGAACTCAGATGTAGACACAGGACTCTGCCACCCAAACCTATCTTTCTTTCCATTATAGCATCAGTGAATACAACAATCATTTTTTCTCACACTGATTTAAAATATGCAAGTAATTTTTGAGTTTTTCTGTAATTATCACATCCTATTTCATCCCCTGTGCCAGTGTTTGTGCAGGTGTCTATCTCCTTCCTACGCTATAAGCTTCTAAAAGCAAGAGTCATGCAATATTCATCATTTTCTTACTGTAACAAAATTTATTGTAGTGGAAGATAATAAACCTTGATTTGATAAGCAAAATAGTTAATGAACAATGATAATGTTGAATATTTTCATTGTATTTATGCTATAAAAGTGTTTCTCTATCATCTTTGTTGAGAGCTACCAATGATTTTGTACACAGAAGATGAATTTTTGCACCAAAGGAATATTCAGGTTTAATTTGCTGCAATGAGGAAGAAAAATGGAATACAGAGTATGCTCATATTTTAGTGTAAATCGTAAAGTTTACCAACGCCCTATTGTTTTCAGCCCAATGCTCTTTTACCCATTTCTAGCCAGATTACAGCTTACACTCCAGGGAGTCTCAAATCGGTTTAGGGCAATATTCCCCCTTGCATTTCAGACAAATTCAGGGGACTCTTGGGAAGTCTTTACACCTTCAAAAATCTTAATTAGGGCCTAGGACTCAGTATTGTACCCAAATTTCTCTGATTTGCAAGAGCTATCGACACTACTCTGTTGTTAGTACAAATTGCCAAATGTAGGGCTGGGCGTGGTGGCTCATGCCTGTAATCCCAGCACTTTGCGAGTCCGAGGCGGGCGGATCATGAGGTCAGGAGATCAAGACCATCCTGGCCAAGGTGGTGAAACCCTGTCTCTACTAAAAATACAAAAAAATTAGCTGGGCGTGGTGGCGCGTGCCTGTAATTCCAGCTACTTGGGAGGCTGAGGCAGGAGAATTGCTTGAACCAGGGAGTGGGAGGTTGCAGTGAGCTGAAATCACACCACTGCACTCCAGCCTGGGCGACAGAGCCAGACTCCGTCTCCAAAACAAAACAAAGCAAAGCAACAACAACAACAACAAATTGCCAAATGTGAGGACGTTATGTGGTGCTCTGCGTAAGTGCATGAGTAGATGTGTCGTCGGACCTTTCCTGAATCTGTAGTTTCTATTTTTTGCATCACCTGTGGTATTTCCTGCCCTCAACAGCATGGAGAAGCTGCTTCTTGACTGAGTGTGCCTAAGGGCTCCTCTACACATAGCAATTCACAGTCCTGCCGCAAGATAGGCCATAGATACAGAGCTTTTCTTCCCATGAAAGTAGGTGGGGCCATATTGGCTGCTTTTGACTGTAAAAGTATTTGAATCTGTAGTGTAGTGGACAACCCCAAAATTACCCTTTTATAATTCTTGAGATGTCTGTTTTCTGCGATGCTTTACACTAATCTACTATGCCATCCCCTTTTTACAGAAATGTTTTAAGTTGCTGTTTATCATAAAATATCTTCAAATACATCATTTATCAGACTCAATCACTAGCAGACTTAGAACAGT
This sequence comes from Homo sapiens, assembly GCF_000001405.40. Lineage (NCBI taxonomy): Eukaryota > Metazoa > Chordata > Mammalia > Primates > Hominidae > Homo > Homo sapiens. The sequence continues at coordinate 20,142,897 of NC_000007.14, read as the reverse complement.
CTTAGAAGCCTTTAGCTATAAACACCATTATTTTAAAAAATACGTGACAATTTGAACCAGTTCGTTGAGCATCAGGGACTTTTAAGTGAATAGAAGGTAGTGTCCACGTCTCAGAGATTTTACAGACAGAATATACCCACTACAGAATAATCTATTTGTTTAGTGATTCTTTGCAACTGAGCAGCGACAACCAAGATTGAGTCTGACAAAAAAGGTTCCATTACTATGTCTCAACTGATATTCCATTGTTGAGAAACTAGTGGCAATTGTACTTTGAGAAGTTTGATTTCAATGTAAATCTTCAGAAATATAGATGAGCAGATGCCTCATTCACATTCCATCAGACATAGAAGATAAAATTATTAATCCGGTTGGTGAGGGTAAAACTTATATACAAAAATCTGAGATGATTTTTGTTGCTGCACCATATGCTGATATGGTATAACTTTGATAATTGTCTTTTATTCTCTACCTTGCAAAATTAAGCTTTGTCGAGAGAGATGAGGAAATGGCTGTTCATGGCTTCCCAGGAATGCCAGTTTGGACAAATAACATTAAATTGTCCTTAGAGCCTTTTATGTGGATTGAATCAAATACATAATGGAACTCCCTATTTAGGTCTTTAATTCTTTTAACTTTAAAATTAGACTATATGAGGATATTGGAGGATGGTGAAAATTATATGCCAAGGCTTTAGTTCATGTGATATTACTGAACTGTGATAGAGGTTCTACTTTAAAAGGGCAGTTCTGCATGATATTTAGCTCGGAGTCTATGTTCCTACATTTTGCAAGTGATAGAATCACAACCAAATTAGTTCAGTGAACCCCCCAAAATAAGCAAATAATAAAGTTTATATTTCAAATATTCCACTTACAAGTGCAGGGTTCATTTTGTTGTTTCCCTAGAGAAAATTCATTTTAAGGTGCTGTGTGTGTGACGTGTGTGTGTGTGTGCGTGTGTGTGTGTATTCTACAATTTGTCTTATTTGGTCTGCCTTTGTCTCTATTCTCCCTCTAGCCTGGTTGCCTTGGTTACCATTACATGCATGCTTGTATGTGAAGTTTCTCTTTGACGTACATTTATTTCTATGGAAACAATGACATCATTGGTATGGGTAGGTGCTTAGGAAAAGCAAAAAGAAGCAGCACTGAGTATTGGTTTTTCTTTCGATGATAAAATATATCATGAAATAAATATTTTAAATTAGAGAATTATATTTTTGCTTTCATCTTGACTTGATCAAGAAGCTAGATTTTTGCTTGTTTATAGACTTGCTCGAGTAAAATAATTTAAAATGTTAAATATACTATTTCTCTCCTGATACATTATTTGGTGTCATAAAACTCACCACAGATAGGTATAATAATAATAATTAACTCTAAAAGTCTCTCAAATAGTAAAAAGCCTATCTCAATAACATTTGTTACCATCAAAAAATTGTGCAAGGAATTTTATATTCACATGAAAGCAACAGCAATGTATAGATGATGGATCAAGGGAAAAAAGGCCCTATTTGTAGTTATTATTTTTAAAATCTCTAGTTTTAAAAACACAGGGATATAACAGGAAGCTGATAGTTATTAAACCATATTTTCTATGACATCAAATAAGTCCATGTGTAATTGGTATTCCGTTTTATCTTAAATCTTAAGAGGCTTTTTACATCTTTTTTTTAAAAACGATTTTCCTCTCCTTTCTACTTCCACACTACTCCAATCTATTTTTTTTCTTTATAGATGATGTGGAAACCTGCCTATGATTTTCTGTATACCTGGAGTGCTCACTATGGAAATAACTACAGAGATGTGTTACAAGACCTTCAGTCAGCTTTGGACAGAATGAAAAACCCTGTGACTAAACACTGGAGAGAATTAACTGGAGTTTTAATACTAGTAAATTCTTTGGAGGTTTTGAGAGTAACTGCATTCTCCACTTCTGAGGAAGTATAGAAACAAAGCGTGTGTTTTTGATGGGAGGGAAAATGAGGTAATGGTGTGTGTGTGTGTGTGTCTGTGTGTGTCTGTGTGTGTCTCTGTGTGTCTGTGTGTGTGTGTCTGTGTGTGTGTGTCTGTGTGTGTGTGTGTGTGTGTGTAGGAAAGAAAGAATCTCAGAAAAGCATTATATTAATTTTCTTCATGCTCAAAACCAGTTTTTTTTTCCTGATGAAAGCACAGCCTAACTGATAACCAAGATGGGTTTTATCCTCAAATATGTATTTTTGTGTATGTTTCAAATACAAGTATTAGGCTGCTTTGTTCTTAGAAAGGAAAGAAAAAAGAAAAGTGCCCTCTCTCTCTTTCAGTGTTATTTTAAATTTACTAAGTCAAAGCTGTTTGAATAATTACATCACACAGATATCTGGGTAAACTAGAGACTATCAACATGATCAAGGCAGTGTTCCCAGGAGGCAGCTAGAAAGAGGGGAAGCAAGCACACACCCTGTGGCCAGTCACGGCTGCCCGCTTTCCACACCTGACCTCTTCAGTTCATCAGTGGGGTTCACCAGCATCACCCCCATTTTTCATGGGGAGAAACTCAGAAGTGGAGAGAACGTCTGAGGCTACATAGCCAGTACAAAGTAGGTTTTCTGCTTGAAAAACCTGTTTCTATTTCTTTTTAAAAAATCATACTGCATAACAGAATAGTAAAAACAAAATGCGTGTTAAGACTTACAGGGAAACAGTTGCCGTTTCATTTTAAGTGAGACTTGCTACTCTTTTTCATCGTCTCTTGAAAGACTGACAGAAGGAAAATATGACTTATCAGAAATCTGTTGTCTGCATGCATGGACCTAGTGTTTTCATCAGCTCCCTTCAGCATCTTGGGACCTCTCTAATCCTGCCTAATTTGGGACTTTTTCTGCAGGATTGTAATGTAAAATAGTTCTTTAGCTCTTGGAGATTTTTAATAATACGAGTTATTAAAAACCACCACCACCAGAAACTTGATTAACTTGATTACCCTGTTGAGTAGAGAGGTCTTAACCACCGAAAACACTGATATCTTTATGTTGGCATGCTCATGCAAACACATGTGTGTGTGTGTGTGTGTGTGTGTGTGTGTGTGTGTACCACAGTGTTTTATAAAGCACAGCCTAATTGATTATATAGGACAAAAATTGTATAGGACCCTGGGTCAGTATAAATGCTAATGGCTGACAAAGTTCACAAAGAGATGTATTTTGCTTACTCCTCTGTTCAATCCTCTGGTTGCCTGCCAGTGTTTATGTGTGTATTTGGACAGACATTCATTTATTGTCATTCAGTCAATAGGTAGAGTATATGTGTCTATTTTTTGGCAGGCATATAGATGCTTGAGGCTAATGGGAAAAAACCAGCATGAACTCTGACTTTAGTAGTGCTAAGTAATAGATAATTTTAAAAAATGACACCGTTAAATAGAAAATGGCATGCATACTAACAGTTGCAATGGAGAGGCTGTGATGCTACGAGATATAAACGTAGAGATGCCATCATGTGAAACTGGAAGTGGGGGTGGGTCAGGGAAATTTGTTCTTGGAAAGAAATAATGAACCTCAAGGAAGAGTAGGCATTGTCCTGGTGTGGTGGGGTGTAAGCGGTGATCCCACAAAGCACTGAAGCTCTTAGATGGGTGGGAGCTGAATAGGTGCAGATAGCAGGGGTGAAGGAGTGAAAGGATAAAAGATTCAAGGTTGAGATGAGGATGGAGCAAGAAGAAGCCACATTAGGGCCATTAAGGCTGCTAGAATTTAGAAAGAAAACACACAGCCTCAAAGAAATGTGGGTAAGCCAAAGAAGGATTTTGTTTTGGGAACCTGAATAAAAGATGTCCATTTGGCTAAAAAGTAAAAGCAGAATCTTTTTAGGGCTTTTAATATACCCACCCTGGGATATTTGGTATGCTGGCAATGGTAATTCAAATTGGCGTTTAAGAATAATCTTGGCCGGGCGCGATGGCTCATGCCTGAAATCCCAGCACTTTGGGAGGCCGAGGCGGGCAGATCACTAGGTCAGGAGATCGAGACCATCCTGGCTAACGCGGTGAAACCCCGTCTCTACTAAAAATACAAAAAATTAGCCGGGCGTGGTGGCAGGCGCCTGTAGTCCCAGCTACTCAGGAGGCTGAGGCAGGAGAATGGCGTGAACCCGGGAGGCGGAGCTTGCAGTGAGCCGAGTTCATGCCACTGCACTCCAGCCTGGGTGACAGGCTGTCTCAAAAAAAAAAAAAGGAATAATCTGTACGGCTTTCAGTATTTATATTTGATTATAAGGGAACACAGCCTGACCAAATAATTATGTATACACATTCAAGGACAGAATTTATTTTAATTAAAAATAAATTATGAGAGAAGGAAAAAAAAGCACAGTTTTTACTTTCAGAACACAGTCCTTTTTTGTGGTGATTTTGCTTTCTTTAGAACATTCTTGGAATCTTATTAACATGTCAGCTAACCAGAGAATTTTGGGAAGGGATAGTGGGGATTAATAACTGGGTTTTTCCAGGCTCCAAGATCTAAGAAGACAGAGATCTTGTTAGCTGATTAGTGTAGTAAGATTAAATAAATAATTTAAGGTTTACATTGCATCATGTATTATGATTGTGATTGAGAATAATAAGAGTTTAAAAAAATGAAAAACAAGATCTCTGTAATTTGAGGATGAAACAATGGTTCTAATATTAATACACACAAATATATTTTATAATCTTGTAACAAATCCTTCCAGGGGAAATTTTTTTTTTTTTTTTTTTTTTTTTTTTTTGAGCCAGAGTCTGGCTCTGTTGCCCAGACTGGAGTGCGGTGTTTCAATCTTGACTCACTGCAACCTCCACCTCCTGGGTTCAAAAGATCCTTCTGCCTCCGCCTCCCAAGTAGCTGGGATTACAGGCATGCACCACCTTGTCCGGGTAATTTTTGTATTTTTAGTGGAGACAAGGTTTTACCATTTTGGCCAGACTGGTCTGGAACTCCTGACCTCAGGTCATCCACCTGCCTCGGCCTCCCAGAGTGCTAGGATTACAGGCATGAGCCACTGCTCCCAGCCTTCCAGAGGAATTTTAAGCCCATGTCCAAACATTCTGTTTGTATAAATATATTCTAATTTTTAAATAAATAGTTTCTACTTTTCTGAACTTTATATTTTTTCTTGCTATAATGGATTTTCATAATCAGAAAAGATTAAATTAGTAATCATGAATTGCCTTCAATATTTGGCAGTAAGTCAATGAAATAATAAGGCACTTATATACCATCTTTGACATCATTAAAAGTATCAAATCCCATTAATCTAAAACTTCTTTAAGCATTTTGAAAGCAGAAAATGTTTACATGGTTCTTTCAGTTCCTCAGGCTTTTTGTCTAATGATGCGTGACTTAGGATAAGATTTGAATTAAGTGCCCAGCTTGAAACATAATAATTTTTCTGTATAAGCCACAGATCCTCTACCTCCTTTGTGTTAAAGCCTTTATATGAAACAATTAAGTAGAAGCATTCAATAGTGTGTCATTAACTGTTCATACTAATAAATGGATACAGCACATTTTCATGGCCTGTAATGTAGAACATACTATATAAAGTTCTCAGTTTGGGGATGACTAGGTTTCTGGAAGGAATAGAATGCTAAATCAATGGATGGCATTGGGCTGAGAAACACTGCTGCTACTAATCAGCCTTGAATGTGTAATGTGAACATGCAAAAGAGAACATGCATACACTCAAATTTGTACAATGCTATAACTGGAAGTTGAAGGACTTGAATTTTTATATTGTGCTATTGTTATGTTTTCTGTAATTGTTTATATCTAAGGAATTTTTGAGGTAATATAAAAGAAAAAGAGAATAATGAACAATGATGTCACTGGAGGGTTTTTACATTAAATTAGATCATTTTTCTTCTTATTCACAATAATAATCTTAATCTTTAAGAATTAATTATAATTTAATATTATAATTCATAATCTTTAAGAATTAATAATTATAATTTAATATTATAATTAATAATCTTTAAGAATTAATAATATAATTTAATATTATAATTAATAATCTTTAAGAATTAATAATTACAATTAATAATTAATAATAATCTTAATCTTTAAGAATTAATAATAATCCTTAATCGCAATAATAATCGCAAGGAGGAGAAGTAAGTCCCTCCTCCTTCTGTATGAACTTTTCTCCCACATGCTGCTGTATGGTTTAGTGAGAGTGAAGTTCTAAAGAACATCAATATGATTGGTGGGATAATCCAAAGACATTTTTTCAGAATCAAATGGCATGTCGAAGGTTTGTTTCTTGCATATGTATTTACTGGTCCACAGCACAAAATAAAGTGACCACATATACATAGGAAAGTTGAATTTGTACACATACAGCATCTGAAATGTATCTGATGTTCAGCATCAAGATTTCACTGAACATTGTAGAAATGTGTATCTTTTGCATGTATATTTTACATTGATTTTCTATTTATGTACATCTAGAAAGTTTTAACCCTAATAAATAGTTTTGTAATTTTGAATAATAGTGTCAGTTTATATGTGAGGGAGTAGAGACAGAGAGGTTAGCACTGGATAATAATTAGTAAGGCCAAAGGAGAAAATTTCATAGAAAATATTGTTGTTGTCATAATGAGTACAGCATGAAAGGCTTCCTCTACAAGACACTAGTCAAAGAGTTGAGAGCTGCGGTTTCTAATCTTTGTCCATTACTCCCTTACTCCCTATGAGACTGTGGACCTGTCACTTGGCCTCTCTGGTCTTCAGTTTTCTCACCAGTAAAACAAGGAACTTGAACCAAATGACCTCTAGTGTTCCCCTTGGGTTTAAATGTCTATAAATGTTCAATGACTAGAATGTATTGCGTTTTTCTTTATTCTTTTTGCTTTGAGAAAAGAGAATGTGATTTAAGAGTAATAATTTGAATACCAATTATCCACATTAAAATTGTGTCCTCTATGTGTAAGGCATAGCACATTTAGCACACATACATAAGCACACTAAGCACCTTACAAATATCCTCATTTATTCTTTACATAATCTTTTGAAATTGATTATGTAATACACACTGTTTTTGAACAATTGGTGACTTCCAGCTGTTTAAAACAAACTACAGTATGGTGCTTGAGTACTGACTTAGGAGGTCAGCATTGGTTTCACTAGGAGCTTCTCAAAGCACGCTGCCAAACATGCTCCAGTCTCATTGTCAAGGCCTTAGACCAGGCAATCATTACGGCAGTGGTTCTTCAACTTCAGCAGCAGCAAAACGATCTGGCGGGGGCTTGGTGAAACAGACTGCTGGGCTCGACCACCAGAATTTCTCATTCAGAGGGTCTGGCCTGATCACTTGCATTTCTAATCACTTCCCAGGTGATGCAGATGTTTCTGGTCCAGGGACCCCAGTTTGAGAACCACTGTATTAAAATTTCCTTCATCTCTATAGAAATGGAAAGATTTTTTATAAGTCCTCTAATTTGCTTTAAGATAAATGAGATTTCACTTAATTCTGTTGGAGAAATTGTTTTAAAAATTGTGCTAAAGAACCGAAAATCACTTTATGTTAAGGCTCTATTTATAGCAAGTGAACTTTTCATGAGTTAATAAAGGCCTACAAAAATAATTTTGACTGTGAAACTAATTAAAATCTCTGTGTTTCATTTAAAGCATAAACATATTTGAATAAAAATAGGTTAACAATAATTTGGGACATGTATTCAGTATAATTTTAAGATAATTTTACAAAATATATGTAACATTGCATTTGTTTCTGTAAAATATCTTCGGAAAAAGCCTTGTTTTCCCTAGTGTGTTATTTGTTGAATTTCTTGTTAAATGTATTTTTTCCCATTGAAAAAAATGTTTTTAATCAATGTGATCAATACAGCTATCTATATGCCCTGCTTTCACTGTAGAATTAGAAAGTGTTAATAAGGTGATCGGATGTTCTTTCTAAGGATCATATTCCACATTTAAAGAGATGGTGACTGAGAAGAGGTGGCAAGCTGAACCATCTCACTTTGAGATTGACGTATCACGTTTTATCCTCTGCCATCATTTCCTTGTTAATTGTTTTTCTTTGGGTGATTGGAAGAATCTATGGCTTCCTTTTCTCTGTTCTTAAAGATATCAAGACTCTGCCCTTTTGTGACTGGAAGTAGATTTTAAATGTCCCTAATGTTTATATGCTCACTTAAACTCAATACATGGAATTTACTGGGGCATTTAACTTGTTCATGAAAATAGAGTGAGTCATTGAAAAATCAAATCTTTAGTTATGATTAAGTTATTGTTTTTACCTAAACTGGTTCTACCAAACTCACTCTTTAAAGCAGAATCTGGAATTGGCAAGTCTGATGTAATGCTGATCTTACACATATTAGATTAAATGACCTAATAGAACCAGCTACTGCGCCCTTTCTTATCAGAGTAGAAAAACCCATTCTCTGGGTTTACTCCCAGGAAATACATACTCAATGCTCACTCAGACGTTTTATATCATGACGAAAAATCAAGAAAGGGGTGAAGTGGAGCTAGGGAAGGGTTCAATTACGGTGTAAAGAAAGAAGGCTGCCTATTCATGACAATGGAAACTTTGTCTTCCTCTCTTTGTGTTGGAATTTTTATTTTTATTTTTATTTTTATTTTATTTTATTTTATTTTTTAGACAAGGTCTCCTTGTCTCACCCAAGCTGGAGTGCAGTGGTGCAATGATCGCCTGACCTACCTCCACCTTCCAAGAGTAACAGTGCTCCTGCTCCAATGTGACCTTACAAATCTTACATAGATTTCTCTGTGGTCAACTCTAATCAGCAACACTCAGAGACACTCAGTGAAGAAAGCCCTGGGAAACACTATTTAGTTTAGCCCAGGGGAAATTACAAGGCCATGTCACCTTGAAACTGGAACATGAGGAGAGGTGAGGATGGAGCTGCTGCAGCCATGTTGTTACCATAAAGGGAAAGCCCAGAGCTGCTGGGCAGCTTTGTGGAGCCCAGGGATGAAACTAATATAATCAAATATAGGTAGGGGAACTAACAAAACAAGAACAAAACACAAGTTTGATCACACTCTTCAAGCCTTGGATACTGGAATGCCTGAAACTGCCTCCTGGAGTTTTTAGTTGTGAGAGACAAATTCTTTGTGCCTAATCCAGTTTAAAATAGGTTTTCTGACACCAGCTCTCGAAAGACCGATAAATGACAATTTTGATGTAGGGCTGCTGCGTTTGCTCTAGCTGAAGTTTCTTTGGTGTTTTACAAAACAGTCTTAGATAGCATTAAATCCATCCAGGAGATAAGCAAACAACAGTTAATTTGTATCTTTTTATAGATCAGGTAAAGAGAAAGAAGGAAAGATACTGTGTTTTCCATTTGTAAAAAGACCAGGCCAAACACTGTGGCTCATGCCTGTATTCCTAGCACTTGGGAGGCCAAGGTAGGAGGATCGCTTGAGGCCAGAAGTTTGGGACCAGCCTGGGCAACAGCAAAACCCCATCTCTACAAAAAATACAATTAAAAAAAAATTGTTGAGCATGGTGGTGCACATCCGTGGTCCTAGCTACTCAGGAAGCTGAGGCGAGAGGATCACTTAGCCTCAGCACTATTTGCTGCCTCAGGAAATCTTTCTCCCTCAAGTGCAATTCAAGAAGCTAGTTTTCTGAGTCCTTAGTATGAGACTGGCAATGGGCCTGCTTTTCTATAAACTTCTGCAATAAATCAAATGATAAGTAAATGGAACTTCACTGGCAATATCTGCTCTCTACATACCACTTTACGAATTGCTGATGACATGACAAAACCACCTACAACCCCATCAAGGCCACAGGGGCACCTGGCCTAAGAGGACCAGAGGCAGATCTCCTGTGACTTCAATTACTCTCAAGCAGGACCTATAATGTAGTAGATGCACTTCACCTACTGCTAGAAAGAAGCTGAGGGGAAGAGAGGGACAGAGAAGGAGTTCCCAGAATGCTTGATTGTGAAAATTGTAAGGTTAGAATCGAGTGTCATGACCTGCTGGTGAAAAACAACCATGGCAAATTCCTTCAAACATTTCCTGAATGAAACTAGGAAAGCGGGGTCCAAGCTCAGTGGTATTTCACCTTTCTCAGCCATCTGACTTTTCACTGGAGATCTTTATCTCTTCTTTTGTCTGAGTAATAACCCCAAAATGTTGCCCAAGGGGAAAGTAGAACAGCAACAGCAATTGAAGGGAATTACATGATTCCAAGACATCATCAAAAAATAGGGCAAAATGTAAAGGGATACCACCAACAATGGTGGTGTGTTTGTTCTTTTTTAAAATACCTAACAGCTTTATTAAGATATAGTCAACATGTCATAGAATTAATCCTGTCTTTTTATTTTTAGGAGCCCATGATCATTTTTTCCTTAATATATAGTTCCTGTTTAATGTTTGTTCAACTATATTCATAATTTGCTGTACATAGAGAAATGCTCTTTGGGATGAAATTGGATATTAGGTTTTTCAAGGTTGAATGGAACGGTGTGGGTTGTGGCAAAATAAGAGATTAGTGATCAAGGTTATTTAAAAGAGGAAGATAAGTAAGTACTTGATATTACATTCCTAAATCTATTTTCAAGTGATTTCACTGATAGTTTAGAAGAAAAAGGAAAATCAAATATCCTTTCACGCTGTTAGAAAAGCTCTATATTTCTTTCTATTTTGATTGCTGAGAAGTTACTGTATGCTTAGGAATAAGAGTCCAGGTTCCAGTGAAACAGGTGCAAACCCACTGCATGTAATTAATCCACCCACCCTGGGTTCCTGTCTCGAGCAAAGTTTTAAATCCATCTTTAATGAGAGCTCTGTTTTGACCACTTAGTATATTCTGTGTTTATCTAGTAAAAAACTGCATTACTGTAGTCCCCCATTATCTGTGGTTTCACTTTCCATGGGTTCAGTTACCTGTGGCCATCCCCGTTCTGAAAATATTACATCACTACTCTTGTACGTTGGGGCCAATATTAAGTAAAAAAATGTTCCTTGAACACAAGCACAAGGAAACAGTGACAGTCAATCTGATAACCAAGATAGGTACTAAGTGATGACGGAAAAGGAAAGAGTGAGACTTCATCACACTATTCAGGATGCCATGCAATTTTAAAATTTATGAATTGTTTATTTCTGGAATTTTCCATTTACATCACAATGCCTACCTCATCCGCCTCACTTCATCTCATCATGTAGGCATTGTATCATCTCACATTGTCACAAGAAGGGTGAGTACAATGCAATAAGATATTTTGAGAGAAAGATCATGTTCACGTAACTTTTTTTTTACAGTATATTGTTATATTTGTTTGATTTTATTATTGTTGATTTCTTAAAGCTTTATCATAGGAATGTATGTGTAGGAAAAATTTACACAGGGTTTGGCACCATCAGTGGTTTCAGGCATCAACCTTGGGTCTTGGAATGTATCCCCTGCAGATAAGGGGGATACTGAGTGACTTAGAAAACAGAAATGTTTCTTACAATCCTGGAGGCTAGAAATAAAATCAAGGTTTTGGCAGGGTTGGATTTTTCTGAGGGCCGTGGGGAAGAATATATTTCTGGCCTCTCTCTTTAGTTTAAAGATGGCCGTCTTCTCCCTGTATCTTTACATGCTCTTCCTTTTATGAGTGTGTCAATGTGTCATGTCCTTTTCTCTTTAGGACACCAGTCATACTGGATTAGCGCCCACCTAGTGACCTCATTTAAGTTACCTCTTGAAAGACACTACCTCTAAATATGGTTACATTCTTAGGTACCAGGGGTTAGCACTTCAACGTGAACTTGAGGGAGGGTACAATTCAGCCCATAATAAAAATTATTTAGTCAGGTTTTTTTTGTTACTAAAACCAACTACTTCGTTCAAATGCATGTTAAACAATCCTGCAATGAGCCTTTTAAAATTTCTGCCCCCTTATTTCTCTATCACCAGAAAATCCTCAATGCCTGAGAAATGAGGGACATTCCAAAGCCACGGATTGATCTGAAATACAGTAAGATGATAGAACTACGCAGCTGGAACTGCCATTGTTCTTTTAATTCAGGCATGATAAAGAGTCAAACTCTGCTTATGGGAACTAATGGTAAACAACATTGGTGTAGGTAATACAAGTTCCAGCCCAGCCTGGGCAACATAACAAGACTTCATCTCTAGAAACAATAACAAACAAAACAAATAAATAAAAAATAAGCTTATTTAATACTCCTAACCTACAGAACATCGTAGCTTAGCCTAGCCTACCTTAAGAGTGCTCAAAACACTTATATTAGCCTACAGTTGAGCAAAATCATCTAACACAAAGCCTATTTTATAATAAAGTGTTGAATAGCTCAGATAATTTATTGAATACTATACCGAAAGTGAAAAACAGAATGGTTGTATGGGTACTTACTCAAAGTCTGGCTTCTAATGAATGAGTATTGCTTTCCCACCACTGTGAAGTCAAAAAAATCGTAGGTCGAACTCGTAAATAAATTGAGGACTGTCTGTTCATACTTGTAGATAATTTCCCTTGGGTTTTCATTGCTGCCAGTATAGGATTTAAGTGCTGCAGAAAAGGAATACTCTTTTTTCTGGTGGGGAACTGTGAAGACAGTCTAAGAACAGATTGTCACTCCTTTGATTTTGTTGTTGTTGCTGTTGTTGTTGTTGTTCTTGTTGATGAACACTGGGATGGCTGGGAAGCAAATGTCTCTTATAGAACAAACAAAAACAAGGGGAGGCTTGGATCACCCAGAGAGCACACTGAGCCAAGCATCTGGGAAATTTGTCTTGAAGGGTGTGGTGGGTAAGAAAAAAGACAGAATGTGCTGAACTCCTGAGGAGACCTGGTAGATTGTCCTAAGCAGGGATTTGAGAGAACAGGCTAAGAAAATCTCTAACTGAGAACTGCAATTTGAGAGAGAAGGCTAAAAAGTTTTTCTCAATTGCCATTTTTTACAGAATTCTTTGAGTGCACTTATGGTAAACAGCCTTTCCTGGTTTGTCCAAGACTGAGGGCTTTCCTGAGACGTGGGATTTTCAGTGCTAAAACCAGGGAAGTTTCAGGCAAACCAAGACAATTGGCCACCATAAGTACAAAACACTGAAGTCCCTGTTAAAAGTAAAAGTGGCAACCGGGAAAGATAACACCCTGTCATTATCAGGCTCTTTGTGCCGCAGCTTAAATAATCACCATATTAAACCTACGGTAAGGAAGGGACATAAGATATTTTTATAGATGAAGGGAATCGTGGAAAGTTCCCAGAATGGGCAAGACTTAAAGAAAGTACTAGATGCCAAAATTGACAGGGAGAGATACTGAGGACAAACAGGCTGAGGACCAGACCTAATGCAGCTCACGCCACTCTGATGTGGATAATTCTTGCAAGGGTATCTGTAAGTTCCTTACTCAATTACCAGTTTCTCTGACTACAAAACATTGTACTTCATTCCATCAAAAAATAAATACAGCAGTGAAAACAATTTGTAACTTTACATAAACCTAACAGCTAGTTTATGGGAAGGACAAAGTGTTTCTTTTAATTTATGGAAACTAGTATTAAGCTTGTTTATCTGCACAATAAATTTAAAACATAGAGATAGCTTTAACTTGCAAGAGGGAGAGGAAGAGAGAAAGCTAAATGTTTAACTTTTCCATCTTTGCAAAGGGTCTTTGGAAATCCTCCTCCAGATTCCCCAGAGCATGACAGTGACTTCACGTGGATACAGATTTTGCAGTTATCAACTAACCCATCAATTAGCATTTATGGAGCACTAATTGGTGTCAACCCAGGTACCATAAGTGTAAGCATGATCCAAATAAATTAAATGAGAATTGATTGTTTTAATTACGGCAATCCAGTCAATGGCAGGCTCTTCTTTCTCTGCTTTTATTTTCCTTCTCTTCCTCTTTCCCCTTACCTTTCTCTTTCTCATTCTTTTTCCTCTTTCTCTTCTTTTTTCTCATTGGCAAAAAAAAAAAAAAAGAAAAAATCAGAGGGATAGACCTATTATTCTTAAAACAATAGATGAAGTGACAACTTCTGAGAAAACAATGTTAATTGTGTATCTATTCTTAGCAAAGCACTATGCTGGCACAAGACATGACTGCAGAAAATCTTTTAATTTTTAAGGCCATTTTCAATCACATGGAGGAGCTGGACAAATATTTATACACATGGCATAAAATATAATTAGTCAACAGTTATTGAATTTACATGTAGAGAGGCCTTGAATCAATGCTCTCTGTATTAAAGGATTTCCAAAACATATTAAACATGAAATGTAGTGAGATCTGTTGTCATCGTTACAATTCAGTCCTGTTGCTTCCTTTGTAGTTTTGTGGCACAATAACAGACATGCTTGTGTTAACTGCAAATCGCTTTTTTTTAAATATCTACTTAGCTAGATTAAAACCTGATTTGACAGTTAATTTCAACTATTGCACATAGTAAAAACAGCAGACTTGAAGATTTATTCTTTCTGGACTACCTGCTTCTTAAGTTCCATTTTCCTGTGTCCTGGGATTGCAGAGTAAGTACAATCAACGAGCTTTCCTGCCTTCTCAGCCTTATTTGTATATTGATAGTTTCTGTATTATTTAGGAGCAAAAACACCTTCAAATGGAAAGTTTCTAAAATCCTAAGCAAGGTTTCTTATTAAATATTACAGTGACAACTACATTAATGCACTCCTTGAGTCCTTGAGGGCAAAGGACACTTGGAATACAACATTTAAAGCTCTGGGTAAATTCAGGAATCTATCAGTAAGCCCTGACTCAACAGAATTAGCTCAAGTTTACGGGCAGGCCTCTTACATTAATAAAGGAGACTGTATTTCCAAAACATTCCAGTGTTTAAAAAAATCTTAGAAAAACTACAACCCTGACTAAACAGTGCTCAAGTAGAAATAATTCCATCACTGAGTACTTCACACAAGAAAAGACCTTGAGAGAGGTCCAATTATAATTAACTATGAAGATTTGACTTGCTCTTATTTTCAGAAAAACCAAAATAAACATTTTGTTGATTGGGAATATACAAAATGAGTATTTTCTGGAATCAGATAAAGTAATTGGCATGAATTCTTGGGCCATGGAGGGTCAATATAGCTCCCTAAAACATCCTAACCAATAAAACTATAGACTATCGAAACATATCTGTGAAAGGATTATCTAAAATTGTATATTGTATAGGATTAGATAAAATGACCCAATCAGTCTGCATATTGCAGCAATTTTTCAATAGAAATCTGTAATAGGATAGATTTTTGTTGTTTTTATTTGTCTATTTTCATGAGCAATTGTATTCTCCACATAAAACATACTTTTCATTGTTTGAAGTGCTTTATTGAAAGAGTTTAATAGAATACCTACTTTGAAATCTTGTTATCATTCCTATGTTTTTCTTTTGAAAAACATTTTGAAATGAGACTGGGGCAGTAATGATGGATTGAATTTTTCTATTTATGCTTCTTTTCTGGAGGCCTCTGGATTAATACTATGATTTTCTAGATGACTGGATAATCTCACTGGTGAAGCAGTTTGTGTGATTATCAATCACATTCATACTTGGGTATAACTTTCAGAACCCATTGGCCCAGAAAATATTTAGTAACTCATTGGAAGTCCCATGCATAAATCAGGAAATCTTAGAATTAAACCCAGCTGATGGTTATCCACATTTTATTTTTATGGACTACATTTTGTAAAACTTGCCACCCAGAAAGGGCATTCCATTTTTGAACAATTCTCCTTTTATGAAGGTCTGCCTGTACTTGAGCCCAAATCTGACTTTTGTACCTTATTCATTCGTTTATTCATCATTTAATAAATGCTGACTGAGTGCCTAATCTGTACCACAAATGCTGAAGATAAAATGACACGACACATTCCCTGTTCTCATGGATTTTGCTGTCAGTGGGAGGAAACTATTTCACTAATGCCCTTCTACAGGTACTTCCTTCAGACATTTGGAGACAACAATCATTCCCTCAAAACTTTAAAACATTTCTTCACTAGGCTGCACACCCTAAGTCCCCTCGTTTCAAATAAATAATTTTCAGATTCTTCCCTGCATGTTACTTTCATAGTGGGTTGCCTATCTTCCTCTTCAGATAGTTGCCCCCCTAGAGCTAAACCCAGTGTCTTGGTGAGGTCTGTCCAGAGCACATTTACCCCTTCAGTCATTTATCTGGAAAACTTATTTGGCATCTGTTGTAGGTCAGGCAAATGTGAATATGCCCGTAATTTCTGTCATTAAGAAGTTTATGTTCTACAGGAAACCCCAAAATGATTGAACAAGACAATTGCTTCTCTAATTGTGGGCAACATAGTCCCGTTAATTCAGCCCGTGCTTTGCAAATAAGTTTCACTCGCGTCCGTGTGAAGAGACCACCAAACAGGCTTTGTGTAAGCAACAAGGCTGTTTATTTCACCTGGGTGCAGGCGGGCTGAGTCCAAAAAGAGAGTCAGTGAAGGGAGATAGGGGTGGGGCCGTTTTATAAGATTTGGGTAGGTAAAGGAAAATTACAGGCAAAGGGGGGGGTTGTTCTCTGGCAGGCAGGAATGGTGGTCACAAGGTGCTCAGTGGGGGAGCTTTTTGAGCCAGGATGAGCCAGGAGAAGGAATTTCACAAGGTAATGTCATCAGTTAAGGCAAGCACCGGCCATTTTCACTTCTTTTGTGGTGGAATGTCATTAGTTAAGGCAGGAACAGGCCATTTAAATATCGCTTTTGTTATTCTTCCGTTACTTCAGGCCATCTGGATGTTTATGTGCAGGTCACAAGGGATATGATGGCTTAGCTTGGGCTCAGAGGCCTGACATTCCTGTCTTCTTATAGTAATAAGAAAAATAAAACACAATAGTGTTGACGTTTTGGGGCGGCGAAAATTTTTGGGGGTGGTATGGAGAGATAATGGGCAATGTTTCTCAGGGCTGCTTCGAGCGGGATTAGGGGCGGCATGGGAACCTAGAGTGGGAGAGATTAAGCTGAAGGAAGATTTTGTGGCAAGGGGTGATATTGTGGGGTTGTTAGAAGAAACATTTGTCGTATAGAATTATTGGTGATGGCCTGGATATGGTTTTGTATGAATTGAAAAAAGAACGGAATAAGACAAGGAGAAAAGCAGGTATTAAAGGACTAAGAATTGGGAGGAGCTAGGACATCTAATTAGAGAGTGCCTAAGGAGGTTCAGCATAGCCCTGCCAGCAAAGATTATTTATTTACTTTAAGAGAGAGTTAAGAGTGGCAGTTTGGGGATAGCACCAGGAGATATCAGCTGTTATGGCTTGGAGAAATAGTGTAAACCGGCAGTGTAAACAAGAGCAGGGCATTTATGAGTAGTTGAGAATGGTGAATAGGAGTATGACTAGATAGAAGATAGTAGGGATGACAGGTTTTTTTATTTTTTTGTTTTTTTTTTTTTTGGAGGGGGGGCGTGCAGTCCAAGTTGGTCTGGTGTCTGAAATGAGACTGGGGCCTATAAAAAGGAGCGTCTATACAGGAGTTCAAATGGGCTGCACCCTGTAGCATTTCGAGGACAGACCTGAATTCTGAGAAGGGCAAGTGGTAAAAGTATTGTCTAGTCCTTTTTAAGTTGATGGCTGAGCTTGGTGAGCTGTGTTTTTAAAAGACCATTCTTTCACTGAATACTAAGAGCCTGGGAAACTGCTTGGGTGATTTGACTAATAAAGGCCGGTCTGTTATAGGACTATATAGAGGTGGGAAGGCCAAACCGAGGAATTATGTCTGACAGAAGGGAAGAAATGACTGTGGTGGCTTTCTCAGACTCTGTGGGAAAGGCCTCTACCTATCCAGTGAAAGTGTCTACCCAGACCAAGAGGTATTTTAGTTTTCTGACTCGGGGCATTTTGAGTAAAGCCAATTTAGTAGTCCTGGGCGGGGGCAAATCCCCGAGCTTGATGTGTAGGGAAGGTGGTGGGCGGGGGGGGGGTGGGTCTGAATAATCCCTGAGGAGTAGTAGAATAGCAGATGGAACACTGAGAAGTTATTTCCTTGAGGGTAGATTTCTATGATGGAAAGGAAATGAGAAGTTCTAAGAGGGGCTAGTGGCTTGTGCTGTAGCATAGCCTGCCTTTGCTTGTGTGTGGCAATTAGGCCTGGTGGACCTGCCATCAATAAACCAAGTGTGATCAGGGTGAGGAACAGGAAAGAAGGAAATTTGGGGAAATGGGGTGAATGTCAGGTGGATCAGAGAGATACAGTCATGGGGGTCAGGTGTGGTATCAGGAATAATGTGGGAGGCCGGATTGAAGTCCGGGCCAGGAACAATGGTAATTGTGGGAGACTCAATAAAGAGTGAGTACAGCTGAAAGAGCCGGGGAGCAGAAAGTATATGTGTCAGGTGTGAGGAAGAAAATAGATTTTGGAAGTTATGAGAACTTTAGAGAGTGAGTTGAGCATAGTTGGTGATTTTAAGGGCCTCTAAAAGTATTAGGGTGGCAGCGGCCGCTGCACATAGACTTGAGAGCTGGGGAAAACAGTAAGGTCAAGTTGTTCGGATAAAAAGGCTACAGGGCATGGTCCCGGTTCTTGTGTAAGAATTCTTACTGCACAGCCCTGCACTTCAGCTGTGGGTAATGAAAAGGGCTGGGATGAGTCAGGGAGAGCTAGGGACTCTAGAGCTAGGGGGCAGTCTCTAAAGCTGTCTTCAAGAAATGGAAAGAGGAGTGGGGAAAGGATTTAGGATCTATGGGGTCAGCTAGGTTTCTTTTTGCACTTTGTTAGGATGGCAAAACCAGGTATCTAAAGTCGAAAGTATCCAACCATGTCTAGGAAGGAAACGAGTTGTTGTTTTGTAGAAGGTGTTGGGGTTTGAGAGATCAGTCAGACACGACTGGCAGGGAGAGCACATGTGTTTTCATGAGAATTATGCCGAGATAGGTAACAGATGAGGAAGAAATTTGGGCTTGACTGAAGTAATGGGAGCTGTCTGTGAAACCTTGCGGCAGTACAGCCCAGGTAATTTGCTGAGCCTAATGGGTGTCAGGGTCAGTCCAAGTGAAAGTGAACAGAGGCTGGGATGAAGGGTGCAAAGGAATAGTAAAGAAAGCATGTTTGAGATCCAGAACAGGATAATGGGTTGTAGAGGGAGGTATTGAGGATAGGAGAGTATATGGGTTTGGCACCATGGGGTGGAAAGGCAAAACAATTTGGTTGATAAGGCGCAGATCCTGAACTAACCTGTAAGGCTTGTCTGGTTTTAGGACAGGTAAAATGGGGAATTGTAACGAGAGTTTATAGGCTTTAAAAGGCCATGCTGTAGCAGGCGAGTGATAACAGGCTTTAATCCTTTTAAAGCGTGCTGCGAGATGGGATATTGGCATTGAGTGGGGTAAGGGTGATCAGATTTTAATGAGATGGTAAGGGGTGGATGATCCGTCGCCAAGGAGGGAGTAGAGGCGTCCTATACTTGTGGTTTAAGGTGGGGAGATACAAGGGGAGGATGTGAAGGAGGCTTTGAACTAGGGGAAAAGGTGGCAATGAGATGTGGCTGTAGCCCAGGAATAGTCAGGGAAGCAGATGATTTAGTTAAAATATCTCAGCCTAATAAGGGAACTGCGCAGGTGGGGATAACTAAAAGGAGTGCTTAAAAGAGTATTGTCTAAGTTGGCACCAGAGTTGGGGAGTTTTAAGAGGTTTAGAAGCCTGGCCGTCAATACCCACAGCAGTTATGGAGGCAAAGGAAACAGGGCTTTGAAAAGAAGGTAATGTGGAGTGGGTAGCCTCCGTATTGATTAAGAAGGGGACGGACTTAACCTTCCACTGTGAACGTTACTTAAAGCATCTGTGATGGTCTGGGAAGGTTCCGAGGTGATTAGGCAGCGTCGGTCTTCAGCTGCTAAGCTGAGAAGATCTGGGAAGGAGTCAGAGAGCCTTGGGCCAGAGTTCCAGGGGCTCTGGGAGTGGCTGCCAGGTGAGTTGGACAGTCCGATTTCCAGTGGGGTCCCACACAGATGGGACGTGGCTTAGGAGGAATCCCGGGCTGTGGGCATTCTTTGGCCCGGTGGCCAGATTTCTGGCACTTGTAGCAAGCTTCTGGGGCAGGCGGGCCTGGAGGAATGCCTGGCCACTTCGTTTTAGGCGTTTGGAAGTTCTTGTGTCCTGGAGATGTGGCTGGGGTTTCTGTCACAGTGGAGGCAAGGAATTGCAACTCAGAAACAAGTTGCTACTTGGCCGCCTCTATTCTATTATTGTACACCTTGAAGGCGAGATTAATTAAGTCCTGTTGTGGGGTTTGAGGGCTGGAATTTAATTTTTGGAGCTTTATTTAATGTCAGGAGCAGATTGGGTAATAAAATAAAATGTATATTGAGAATAAGATGGTATTTTGACCTTTCAGGGTCTAGGGCTGTAAAGTGTCTCAGGGTTACTGCTAAACGGGTCATGAACTGGGCTGGGTTTTTCATATTTGATGAAAAAAGAGCTGAAAGACTAACTGATTCTGGGAGGGGTCAGATACAGAAAAAGGAGCATTAACCTTGACTTTGCCTTTAGTTCCAGCCACCTTTTTAAGAGGAGATTGCTGGGCAGGTGGGGGATGGCTAGTCGTGGAACGAAACTGTAAGCTGGACTGGGTGTGAGGAGGGGAGGTGATAAAAGGATTATAGGGTAGGGGGAGCAGAGGCTGAGGAAGAATTGGGACTTGGCTCGGCCTGGGGAGGAGGGGGGATGTCAGATGGGTCTGTAGAAAAGGAAGATTAGAAAGAGTGATGCTTGGGGTTGGGACTGAGAGGACAGGCGGGAGGGAAAGAAGGAGGATTTGGGACGAGTCACACTGGGGACAGAGACTAGGGAGGGAACAATGTGTAAAAGAATGCCTGGACGTTAGGCACCTCAGACCATTTGCCTATTTTATGGTAAGAAATATCTAGATCTTGTAAGATGGAAAAATCAAAAGTGCTGTTTTCTGGCTATTTGGAACCACTGTCGAGTCTGTATTGGGGTCAAGCGGCATTGTAGAAGCAAATAAGGCGTTTAGGTTTAGGTCAGGTGTGAGGTGAAGAGGTTTTAAGTTCTTGAGAGCACAGACTAAGGGAGAAGAAGGAGGAATGGAGGATGGAAGGCTGCCCATAGTGAAGGAGGCAAGCCCAGAGAAAAGAGAGAGTAGAGACATGGAGAGAAGGGGTGGGGGGTTCTTGCCCCCCAGAAAAGCGGAGAAGGGGTAGCAACATGGAGAGAAGGGGTCGGGGGTTTCTTGCGCTCCAGAAAAGCAGAGAAGGGGTAGAGACATGGAGAGAAGGGGTTGGGGGGTTCCTGCCCCCCAGAGAAGCGGTACTTGCTGCTAAGGGTGAAGGACCAAGGCAGGCATCCCCGTGTGGTCAGACAACTCTGAAACGTGGGTGAATAATCAGGCAGCCATCCCTGCGTGATTAAACACCAAGAGAAGACTGTCTTCCCAAGTCTGTGACCAGGGCTGGAGTTTTGGGTCCACAGATAAAACGTGTCTCTTTTGTCTCTACCAGAAAATGAAAGGAACTGAAATTAAGACAAGGGAGAGATTGAAGTGTGGCACCAAGACTGAAAGGAGAAAGAGGTTGAGGGATAGTGAGAGAGGTTGGAGAAGAGAGTAAAAAGAGGCCGCTTACCAGATTTAAAATTGGTGAGATGTTCCTTGGGCTGGTCGGTCTGAGGACCCAAGGTCGTATGTGGATCTTTCTCACGAAACAAAGAGCAGGAGGACAGGGGATTGATCTCCCAAGGGAGGCCCCCGATCCGAGTCCTGGCACCAAAATTTCGCTCGCGCCAGTGTGAAGAGACCATTAAACAGGCTTTGTGTGAGCAACAAGGCTGTTTATTTCACCTGGGTGCAGGCTGGCTGAGTCCGCAAAGAGAGTCAGCGAAGGGAGACAGGGGTGGGGCCATTTTGTAAGATTTCGGTAGGTAAAGGAAAATTACAGGCAAAGGGGGGTTGTTCTCTGGAGGGCAGGAGTGTGGTCACAAGGTGCTCAGTGGGGGAGCTTTTTGAGCCAGGATGAGCCAGGAGAAGGAATTTCACAAGGTAATGTCATCATTTAAGGGCAAGCACCGGCCATTTTCACTTCTTTTGTGGTGGAATGTCATTAGTTAAGGCAGGAACAGGCCATTTAAACATCACTTCTTTTGTTATTCTTCAGTTACTTCAGGCCATCTGGATGTATACATGCAAGTCACAGGGGATATGATGGCTTAGCTTGGGCTCAGAGGCCTGACAATAAGGAAATGGATCTTGGTGGGCTTATGACTCAACCTTTTCTTTTGTGTTAGTTTAAGGAGCTGTGGCCCCAGGCATAGGCCCAAATACAACAAAATTCACTGAAATAAGCAAATAATCTGCAACTTAAAAGAAATAATACAAGTTGCAAAATAATCAATTTTTAATAGGTAGAGTGGAATGATTGCAATATAAACCTCTTCAGGGTTGAGGTAAGCTAAACTGATAGAATTAATCAGTATTAGTTTGAAAATAGCAGAGTCTATACAAATATTTATGGTAGAACCAACTAGACTTACATGTTGCCATCATTGTTAATAACGTTTTGTTTTGTTTCTTCCTTCTGCTCTCAAGTAATGACAGCTTCTGAATCTGTAACACAGTCCTATCATTGATATCTCAGAACTAAATGTCCCTTCTCTGCCCTCTTGGTCTCTTTAAAACTGGTAGAAGTTTCCTCCCTACCTTGTCTTCTGTGTTAAGAGCCTCTATTTGGAGAATAATCCATGCTTATTCTACAAAAGAGAATTAGTAATCACCGTAGTTTTAGTCATTTGTTCATTTATGCATCTACTCATATCATTTTATTTATTCATTAAATTTTTAAAAATGAATTCAGTGCTTGGTCCATATTTGTAATTCACTTAATTTTTGTGACATGAGTGAATAAGTGGATGAGGACCCAATCAAGCTCATTTATTTGTCGATTATAATATTCATTTGCTTAGTAGATAAGAACAAGACCAGGGTTTCTTGCAGCTGGAGGAAGCTGTAAGTCTGTGATAGAGAGGTTTTGCTGGCAGTGTCAGGAACATCACAGAGGGTAAAGGCCAATGAGTGGCAGGCTGGTTGTATCTCTGATATAATTCTGGCCTCTCCAGTGGCTAATAAGTACCATGATGATATAGCTGTAACAAAGCCAGGGACTCACAGTAAGTTATTTGGTAAATTTTAATATTTCTTTAAATCTATCTCATGATTAATTTGAAAATGCTTCATATTCCCACATAATATGTATCAGTTTTGATTGGTTTTTGTGCTTGTACCTTACTAGTTATTAAATATTTTAGATATCACCCCTGCCACCATGAGATCTGCTTTTAGCTCAGGCACCATTTGGGAATGGCTCTTCCCACAAGAGATCCATGCTCCTCCAACTTCCCAGCAGGTTGGAGAAAAAGGCACAAGTGCTTAGGTTGGTGAACAGCATTTCCAACTTGATAGAACAGGCAGATGTCATTTCCAGGGTGATAAATTTGTAGGCAGTCAAGTTTTTGCAAGATGAAAAGAGCTTATAGACATTTATTGCTAAATGTTATTGCATACATTTTGGAGAACTGTATAAACAGAGATTAAGAAGTAAGAATCCAGGCACAGAAATTTTCATTCCTCAAAGGGAAAAGAACAACATAGGAAAACAGAAATCAGATGAGAAAGAATTTAGGCAGGACTAAGCAGAGGCTTACCTTCATTACTGGTTATCACTAGCACCTTAGTAAGAAGAAACTGGAAACTGTAGAGTAATTTCATAAACCTGGTAGAAGCAGTTGCAAGGATATAATTTTATGCCACATTTGCCTCTATAGTACTGTGAGTATGGTAGGATAAATTTCCTAACCCTCCTCACAACCAGTTCAAGAAACTTAACCTCCTCTTGGAGTATGTTGTATATCAAAGTTCAAATAAAAAGAAGGGGTTGTTTTATGGCAAATCACATTGAAGAACTGATAAAACATATTCTGTACAACAATACATACAAGATCTGATGGCAAGAGGGTGGTTACATTTCATGGGAAATGTTTGATTACCCTTTAGACAGTGTGCCTGAAGACCAGCCCATGTAGAACATATTTCTTTTCAATGCTCAGAATCTAAAGCTACTGGGCCCCTATCATTACCAAAATCCATGGTATAGAGGATGACTGACAAGACATGAGGCAAAGCCAAACAAAATAAGAAGGAGGGTGTTGGTGGAGGGTGACTGGGAACCAAGGTTGAGGGTTTTTGGATGAGGGAGGTGAGAACTCCAGACTCCTTGTGACGCTTTATCTTGATTGCAGAGTTAGCCATTTGGTGCACTTGAAATACCCAGGACTAACGTTCTTTGCTGTTGGAATAGTTTGCTACGGTTGCCATAACAAAGTACTACAGACTAGGTGGCTTAATCAACAAAATTTATTTTCTCACATTTCTGAAGAAGCGAGTCCAAAATCAAGGCACTGGCAAGTTGGTTTCTCCTAAGGTTTATCTCTCTGACTTTGCAGATGGCTGCCCTCTTGATGCCTCTTCACATAGTTGACCCTTTGTGCACTCACAGCCCTGGCATTTCTTCCTCTTCTCTGAAGGATGCTAGTCAGATTGGGTTAGGACCTCATTTTAACTTAATTACCTCTTTATAAACCTTATCTCCAAAATGCAGTTATATTCTGAAGTAATGAGGGTTCCGACGTCAACTTATGAATTTGGAGAGAGGGGACACAATTCAGCATACAAAATTGCCATGTATGGCATTCAAGAGACAAGTCGAATACTGTAGAGAAGATATGCCCAGATTCCAGAACACTCTCCAGGCATGGAGTTACATGTGGCTGGGGTTACAGGAGCACACACAAAATTGCCAGTCCTAAGTGTCAACTAATCTTTTGTTGTCTTCATGCAATTCTGAATTATACATCTTCCCAGATATTGTTACAGATATTTAGGTTGGTTGATTCTCATTTCAGTGTTACATCAAAAGGTGCACAGCCAAGAGGACGATATTGGATGATGAGCAGGCTCCTGTAGCGAAGACTGTCTTCATAAGCTTTATTTCTCTGAGTGGGCTATGCATTCACCTTTTTGATTTGGCATTGTGAAAGGCAAGACACTCTCTGGCTTTTGGTTGCAGCACTCTGTAAGGATGCTATTTGTGAAAATAGAAGCAAATTAAAAGGCTAGTAGTCTGCATGTCCCTCATTTTTAAACCTCTTACTGTTGTGAAAATCACATGAAGTAATGTCAGCAAACGTGATTTACAAAACTGTTAAGTGACATACACATGTGTATTATCACTTTGTAGTTATTTTGGCTCCAGTCGTGGGGCTCCTGGAGTTCCTCTAGTATTAGAATGAGTTATAAACCAATACTCTTATTGTCATCTCTAACTTCAGACTTAAAAGTCTTAATAGGAATAATAAGATATTAATCTTTTCACTTGAAAAAGCCATACTATATGTTTTATATGGGATGACGATAGAGTTCTGGAGAAACATCACTGCAGAAGCCACCAAGTTATTATGATTGCTTATGTTTTAGTCACACAAAATAGGCATGGAAAATGAAAAATTTGTGCCAAAAGGAATAACATGCCTTGGGGAGTTATTTCATGAGGCTAAAAGCATGAATAATGCAACAAGTCAGAAAGGCAAAATAATTTGTAGTTAATGGGAGGATGTTTGCAAAAGAGCTCCAGTGATGGGGAACTTGTCAGGAGGCTTCGTTGGGTGACAGAATTTCAAGAGAAGGGAAGAGATGTTCCACTGGCATTTTCTCTGGCTAAAACTCAGAGCTGGGCTAAGAAAAGATAAAGAGTGTTTGTAAGCACAGGAGAGTAAGATAGGCGGGGACAGGGGTATTGGAAAGGCCAGAGCAGCAGGTGGGCAATAGCCCTAGTGGCTCAGCAGGGCTAGAATCCAAGAGCATTCGGAATTCTTTACCCTTCTCTGGTGGGCCTCCCTTGTCCTAGATTTTCATGATGTTTTAGCAGTTGGTTCTCTGTATGTGAATACTTGGTTTTGTTTATATCTCCACTCCACTTTTATAATGTCAATTTTTCATTTTTATTTAAGAAGTATTCTATCTGCATTAAAGATGATAAAATACATAACAAGATACATGATAGTCTTTGCCTCACAGGGATCTGTTATTTAAATATGTGGTTTTCCTTCATAGTCATATCTTATACTCACATTTGTCATATGCCCTAACATCGAGGGATATCATTTATATGCCTAAAGATAGCAGTATCTTACTGAAAACTAGAACAAAACATGATGTCAGGGAAGAAAGTAAAGTAATATGTAGTTGTATAATAGATAACCCTTCAAATACATTTTTTTTTTTTTTAAACAGAGTCTTGCTCTGTCACCCAGGCTGGAGTGCAGTGGAGAGATCTCCATTCACTGTAAGCTCCGCCTCCTTGGTTCACACCTTTCTCCTGCCTCAGCCTCCCGAGTAGCTGGGAATACAGGAGGCCACCACCACACCCAGCTAATTTTTTTTTATTTTTAGTAGAGACCAGGTTTCACCATGTTAGCCAGGATGGTCTCGATCTCCTGACCTCGTGATCTGCCTACCTTGGCCTCCCAAAGTGCTGGGATTACAGGCGTGAGCCACCACACCCGGCCCCTTCAAATACATTTTAAACATATAAAATTATTGTATATTACCTATGACTGCATGCATATGTAAGTAGTGAAAGTATGTAAGACATGCGTAGGGACAATGTATGACTATTTCAGAAGAGTGGCCACATTTAGTAGAAGAAGCAGATGGTAGTGAGGCATTAGCCGTTTTTATAATGTTTCTGTTTTTGTTTTCTAAAGGGGCTTTAAACCATATGTAGCAAAGTATTAATATGTGTTTAGGTATTTTTGTACATGAGTACTTGCATTAACAGTAGTATATCCCATACTTTTCTACACGTTTGTTTTATCTAAATAAAAGTGAATTAAAAATTAAAGCCTTAACCCACTTTTTCTGCTAAAAGCTTCCTCATCAGGCAGAATCTCAAATCATTCACAGCTAATATTTACATTTAGTAGTTGAGAAATATTTTTCCATCTGGCATTGAGGTAAGGATGCTATTTTTAAGACAATACATTATTGTGTATTACTATTTTATAAAAGATAACACATATGCCATGAAGATAGTATGCAAGGGACTGAGAAACTTTGAAAGTGCCACAGTTTTCCTCTAAAACATTAAAATTGCACAAAAATTCTATAAATGAATTACTTCCCTTACAGAAAGGTATGTTGTCAAATAATTTTGAAAGTAGGATCAGAAAACTGGCTTCTAGCTCAGTTCTGCTAGTAATAGTTTAAGCATGGGCAAGGTGGTTAACTTTTCTGGTTCTTCACTTTATTTGTAAAATGAAGATATTCTTTCTAGCTCTGAGTCCTCTCAGTAGGTGGTAGAGTGGCGGAGTGTAAAGGAAGTAGGTTCAGAAGTCAGACTGGGGCATGTAAGAGCATTTACAGTCCCTATCTTACAGGGTGTTTATGAAAAATTTATAAAATAATAGAAACACGTCCTTAAAATAGTGCCTGGCAAATATAAAAGGGCTCAGCTTTTTTAATTGCTGTTTTAAAGTGTTGTGATTCAGTATACTCAGAACCATGCTAGGCTTGTGAAAGATTATAATACCAAATACATTGTTTTGGTTTATCACTTGTATATTTCCACTATTTTGTTACATCCCAGAATTGAAAGAGATACAATAAGTATAGTACATGAGATAATTACTAATCCATATAGTCTCTAAGAAGAGTGAGGTGGTGAGGTTCATCCTCAGTCTAGAAGAGGAGCTCAGGGATGAGACATGCCTGTGATGGGGCTTGGACTGAGTCTAAAAGGATTTAATGAGTAACGTGGAAAACTAGCTTAGTCTTAGTGGCCATTCTTACCTCAGTCTCTTCTCAGTTGTCAGTGCTAATTATTGCAATGAAATAACAAAGTCCTAAGTAATTTTTATCACTAACAAGGAGAGTTCTAGGTTATGGGAAGAATCTGACTTAATTCTTTACAACCTGGGGCATGGATTGATAATTTATTTCTTAAGCAGGAAGTTTATGTGCCAAAATTTGCATGCCTCTACTTAAAAGCATGAACTCTATTTCTTTCTAAAACTCAAATACTCTTTCCAAACAAGCTGTTTGTAATCTTCTTTGCCAGGCATCTCTCTGCACGCTCATCACTTTTCTCTTGCCCAATGAGGCAGTGCACTTGGTTTTGTGCTTCTTAGATTGAACCAGGAGGAGAATTCAGCTGTCACCAACAAAGAGGAAGTCAGCCTTGAGCAGAGGGTTACGTCACTGTCTAGAATTGTCAATGCCTTCCCCCTAGAGGAAAGGCAGCTTCTCTTAGAGAGCTAACCATTAAATTAGATCCTTTTAGAAATCAGGCTCTGGAAGAGTTTATTCAGAGTCTCTGGCTAACTAGGCAATGTGGTGAACTGCAATAAGCAAAGTTTCCCAGGCAGGTGGATCTAGGTTGGCTCTTCCTCCTTCAAGCTACTGAGATTATTGTGGCAAATTACTTACCTTCCCTGAGACTATTTTCTTATTTGTAAAATTGGAATAAAAATGAACCTACCTTATTGGGCTATTGCAAGGATTAACATGATAGTTCATGTATAGTATTTAGGAAACTAACCAATAAAATGAAAGTTACTTACGTGTGTGTTGCACATAATTTGGTATATCTATATTAGTTCCCATCCCTTTGCCCTTTCTTCTCTTTCCGAAAAGTAAATCAGTGTTTCAAAATAGTAGTATTGATGTTTTATATTTATTCTCTAGAAAGTATAAAGAGAAAATTCAATATAATCTCAAATATATTGAGATAGTGACTCTTCAAATTCAGTATAATCTTAAACAGTAGATATAAAACTCAAAATTCTATTTGATCAAGAGAGAGAAGACTACTATAAAGAGAATAGAATGGCACACAGTTTTCTTTTATATCAAGCCAGCTGTTTAGGTAGGTAATGGTGTTTGTTTCCCCAGTCCACATTGTTACCCACGTTAATTAACATTTTGTTTCTGTGAGGATCCCAACATGCCTTTGCTGATACCCTTGAACGTGACCTCCTAACATCTAAGGTTTTGTTGTGTTTCGTTTTGTAGTTGTGCATATTTCTCATGTTGTTTGATGTAAAAGGATTTTGAATGGAGATGGTACTTAATGAGTTAAGTGATCTCAGAAATCTGATTCAGAATCCAAATTGAGGTTTTTTTTTTCCTTTTTGGTCCCATACTAATCATTTTGTTCACCTGAGCTGACTCTCTAGTCACAAACTAATCAAGTCTTTGAAACGCTTTCATTTCCTCTTTTATGCTGTCTTTCACAAGGAAGCAGGAACAGAGTACTAGTTTTGACAGAAAGGAGCCACTGCTGCTTTTTACATCATGGTCCTCTGTGTATTCCCAGTGTGACACTGCTCTCAGAAGAGATGGCTAGAAAGCAGCTCCTGTGAGAGTGGCCCTGAATATCAGGTAACTTTTCCAGTGCTGAGGCATTTCTAGAACTCAGGTATTTTCTTCTGTTACCCTTGTGTGGATTAAAACACAGAATATTCAGACCCCTCCTGGAAATGACCATGATGAAACCATAGATAGCTAAGGAGAGCAAGGACATAATTGTGTGCTCTATAGTGTATTGATACCAGGTAAATCTAATGAGAAGAGATTCCATAAGTGATTCTCATTTTACCAATGTTTTCTTTTCTGTATATCTAGCTACCTTAATCATAGTAATGATAAAAGTTCATTAAACACTATATGCTAGGCATTTCTACTGTCTTAACATTCATAGTACCTACCTATGAGGTGTAGGTACTATAATCATATGCACTTTATCTATGAGGGCACTGAAGCACAGAGAAGTAAATAGATTATAGTCATACAGCTTGTAAGTCTAAGTGGTAGGCCCTGGAATCTAACTTGAGTCTTTGGACTGTAACTCCAGCAGAACCAGATTTGGAGAATGTACTTGCAAAAGGCTGCAATTTGTCCAAAGCTGCTGCTGCTTCCAAATGTCATTTGGATTGTGTGAACAAGATAGTTTTGAAAAGGGAGCTCCCCACTGAGATACAGGCTTTCTTTAGAATAGCCTTGCCTCAGCTCCAATTACTTTAGTGTTTAGCACATGCAGTGAGGCTCCTAACTCTCTCTCAATCTCAGATGGCTGTAGGGATTATTAGACAAGGCATATGTGATATTAGGCTGCTATCTGAGGACCTATTATAAAAAGATTATTTTCTAAATTTATTATAAATTTTCTCTGGCATGTACTAGATATGTTTGTTATTTTAATGCCCAGCTGTTTTTTTCAAGGATTCATTCTTTTTGGAAGATAAATAGCAAGGTGCAACAGAGAGTACATATTTTCACTTTTTCAATGTGCATACTTCATTATGTATATAAAAAGATAGACAACATGTTTTGGTGCTAAAAAAGAATTACAAGAAGAACCTGAAATCACAGAAATATGCTGTGTGTAAC
Organism: Homo sapiens; assembly: GCF_000001405.40. Taxonomy (NCBI): domain Eukaryota; kingdom Metazoa; phylum Chordata; class Mammalia; order Primates; family Hominidae; genus Homo; species Homo sapiens. Next base: position 20,112,443 of record NC_000007.14, on the reverse strand, counting down.
CAAGTCAATATAGAAATGAAAAAGTATGAATCAGAAATACTTAGAGGAAACTCATTTTTCACCTTTCCTTGGTAATACTCAGTAAAGGAAAGGGCTTTTCTAGGTATAGCTCAGAAGGAAATGAAAAGGGTTTTTTTAGAGAGAGCTCAGAAGGAAACAAGCAGTGATATCATTCATTCCATGAGGAAAACTCTAGTTAATGGTAACAAGAAAGTGACCCTTCGTCATTGAGAACATTTTCTACTTTTCTTGTGACACAATACAAGACACCGTGTGTATTTTTTTTTTTTTTTTTTTTTACAGAAATGTGAATGAATGAAAACAAATGTCCCTTTCCTCAGATCCTATATGGGAACTATGCTGGGGCACTTAATGTTCTACTGGGCTTACCATTTCTTTCAGTGAAGTTAATGATCATGCATCTTTACAACAACATGGATTAACAGAGCACCTGGAAAGTCCCTATTTCCTGGTTTCTGTGACTCAATAAACTTATAGATATTTTCACATCATAAAGCATCTATGCTTTATGCTTCATCTAAGACCTTAGAATATACCTTAAACAAACTGTAACTTCTATCATATATGGAGACCTGCATCTATCACTGTCTTTGAAAACAAGTATCATGAATTGTTACACCCGAGGGTAAAAACCCATGAATGTGGGATGTGGCATTAATGGACAAGGAATAGAGCAATAAGCAAGAGCAAAATAACAGAGCCTCTTATATTTTATACTAAGGAGTTTCAGCTTCAACAATGAGGTGTGGGATGCCACTGAAGTGTTTTAGAAAAGGCAGCATTATCATCAGACTTTTATTTTAGAGATATCACTTTCATGTCACTGTGAAAATGTTACTGTAAATGACTAAGAAAATCATATTTATATTATATATTACATTAGCTGACAGCATTTGATTTAAAGCTGGACTAGTGGAAGGGGGTTGTATTTAACCCTTTTTTATAATATATCTTCTGATATTCATATCTAAAAGGAAAAAAAAACCCAAATGAGCTACAACTCAAACGTGATAATAATAGACTATATCCTACAAATGACACAGAGAAAAGAATCACTAATACTCTGTATGGACTCTTCAGATTTCCAAAGTCCTCTAGTGTATGTATTTTTGGCATCTGTCATATAGCAGTGAAGCCTGGAGACAGGTCCTGAGTGCCCTCTATGATGTAAAGCATACTAATTTAGAAAGAATCCAAAAAGTTATATATATAGAAAGTTGAGTAATAAATATTGGAAATGCCAATTACAGATTTTTAAAAAATATTATTATTACAATACATAGTTACCATTATCTCAACTTTGAAGTGATAAAAAGAGGTGTCAAAAAGGATAGATGGCAAACTTAGTAGGTATTCAACAAAGATAAATATACAAATAAATCTTCCCCTCAAGTTATGTAAGGATTGGATCACAAGCATTGAGCTGTTACCTTAACACTGGTCAAAGACTGCAACTCTGAGTATATTAAATTGCCTTCTTTAAGAAACAGAATAAAAACTCTGAAAAATATTCTTCCATGCTGTGATGAACATGACAATAATAATAATAACAATGACAATGATGGTGATAATGGTGGTGATGATTTAGTTTTCCTCACTGGTAATTGTGTTTTCTGCTATTGACATATCCTAAACAATAAAGTGTAGGAGGAGCTAAGTATAGGAAGTTTGATTCCAATCTGCTATTTAGGAATTAAGTGAAATCATTCAATTTCTTCATTTAACTTTACTAATTAGGAAACAAGCTCAGACAAGGTGAAACACCACTTAATTGGACACAGAGTTTCAAAGCATCTTGCTTTATACACTTCATAATTCACACATAATTCTCATATATTGAATGTCCCTTAAAATATCTGGCCTTTGGGGCTCAGTCCCCAAATCAATAGGCACAGTAAGGGGGAACAAGACAGAAGTGGTTCAGTACCACCAAAATTTGTTCCCAGGTTGACGGCTTCCTTGGCTCTGCTTGGCAGCTATATATGAACATCCTGAAGTAGGAAGAAATCACTTCTCTTCAGAAGGGCAAGGATAGCCTTCACCAATCAATTCTTATTTCTCCTCTGCCACCAGAGGCTGAAAAGGTCCTAGGTAAAAACACCTAGAACTTAGCTCTGTGCCATGTGTCTTTGTGTGTTTCTTTGCTTGATCAGAATCTGGCTAGTTATAATTTAATCTAATCAAATGCCATATAAGTTTATCATTTGATCTCTCCATGGTACCAGTGTCCTGTGAAAATGTTCTAGGCATAGATTTTGTGAGACTGGTGTAAAAAATCGGACACAGATATATCTATTTTTGCCCTTTGGATGTATTTTTTTAGTCTGCTCATTTTCCACCCCAAATGGAGCTTTCCTTTTGGTTTAGAATGGTCTCTTTGCCTGACTAGGAAAAGCCTTCCAAAAATACCAAGGTAATTAAAAAGTATGAGTTATGATCTAAAAATCATATAAATTTGTAGGATGTGTCTAGGATTCTGCTAAAAATGGCACAAAGGAAAACTTTGTGGCCATCCATGGTATCCATCTGAGAGCAATTCTTGTAGAAAATGTCCCCTTATTGAATACGGCCAATATTGTAAGTTGCAAAATACAAGTATTATACATATTGTGAGAATGAAAGCTCAATATATTTTCTTAGGAACATAGTTTCACAAAATGAACAAATGGTGTGTATAGAATCAGCTTGTCCGGATGAGACCAGGAAAGCTGAATCAGCTTCATTCGAAACCATCAACATCTATGACCTTGGAACAAATCAATAGAATCTATTCAGCTTGTCTTTGGGAAATAGAGTTAATTCAACTTCTAATTCGAGTGAATTAATATCTATTGATTCCTCACAATGTGCCTGAGATACAAGTGGTTAACTTTCTTGTCCTCCAGTAGCCCACTGGCTAGACTAGAGATCAGTTTGTACATATTGAAATATAATCCAAAGTTGGGATATGACCATTGCACAAAACGTTAAAGGGAAATAGGTGATGACTGAAGGGTAAAGAAAGCTGGGGAAAGAGGAGGACTTCACAGAGGAGGTGAAATTTAAGTTAGATAATTAAGGAAGAATGCCCCTTTCCTCTCTTCTTAAAAATTGCTCAAGAGTCCTGTAAAATCACATATATTTTCTTCCTAACTGATCAAATACTTCAATTTTCTAGCATGTGAACTAAGTCTATTGGTAGAGAATAATGAGCTAAATTGACTTTATAAAATGTAACCATCCTGTCTTGCATATATTTGTGAAGACTAGAGTTGGAAGTAGACGTTCTCATTTGTCAAATGGAGAATTCGAATCAAAGATTTAATTAGATGAAAAATTAGAAGAAAATTGGCACTTCTGTTTCTTTCTGTCTCTAGAAAAATCTCACTATTTTGCTTGGAAATTTTTGTTTCAAAACAAAGCAAATTAACTAAAAACCAAAAAAAGCTAGCATCATATAGATTCCTTAAAGGATTATAAATTTGTATATAGAAGGATCATTAGACTGATTCTGTTTGGTTTCGTATTACAGAATAGGACCAATGATTCGTTGCCTGGGTTTTGGCTCGATAAAGGCAAACTTCTAAAAATAAGAGTGACTCAAAATTCAAATAGAATGACTTGGGAAGTAATGAACTATTAGTTTTCATAAGAAGAATGGTCACCACCATTCCAAGTTAAGCTCAGAGTTGTTACAGTCAAACATAAATTTTCTCTAGCAGTATTTTGGATTGACTCGAATAGTCAAAGCAAGAGGCAAGAGAAGCAAGAAAGTTCCACACTGTCGAGTAGGAGTGAGATGACTTTGGATCAAACATTAAAAATAAAATGAGAAGCTAAGAGGGAAAAAGAGCAGCAAATACTAATTCTCCCTCTCTGAACCATTTGGGAACGTTCTTTGTCCTCGTGATATATAAATAAGACAGGTTGAAAAGAAAACTGACAAATACTTTTTTTTTTATTACAAATTAAGAACCATCTGTACAGCCAAAAGGCTTAAACAATACAAAGTGTTCTATCATGGACTAGATGAAATGAGATATATAAAGAGTTAGGTGTGTATGCAGATTTGTCAAATAAATATAAAGGTACATTTTAAATGTCCTTTTAAAACATTAAGTCTAGGTATGGATTAACCTATTCAGTGCTTTAATTATAATTTTGCTTGACATCTCAAGACTAACTGCAGCTCAACACAGAGACAAGCAGAGAAGCTGAACTTTAATTCCAGCCAGATAATTCTGAATATCATTTTTCAAGCCAAGGAAAATGCAATGCTGAGTTGGATTTTTCTACTAATAGGAATTGATTTGATATTAACTGAAATTGGATGACTCCTAAGTTTCTTTCTATCAACCAAAAGGAAAAATATGACTATAATTTCTAATATACTTTCCCAGTCAAGGGACAAAGGGCAAAGAGCACTTGTAACATTGGGAATATTATTTTCTGGTATGTCTGGTGACCCTAGGGGTTAGAACTCCTTGTATTTCATCACAGGACTTTGATAGCATTTGTTTGGCTATCACCTTCTCTCTCTCTCTCTCTTTCTCTCTCAGCTTCAGGAACAATAGAATTGGTGGCAGAAGGAGAAGAGGCTTTATGAGCTTGGCTACATTTCAGTTCTAAATATTTGGTTGTTAGGGATAACCGAAGCTTCCTGGTACCTTTGCCAAAATGACTCTCTTCTGCCTCTCACACTGCTAACTTCTGTCCTTGCATCATATTTACTTGCCAAGGGCCGTCAGCACTGTTGCCCTAAGATTTTACTCTCTTAACAGTCTTTTCTAGAGAAATATATCTTCATCTTGACATGACTCCAGGTGGTAATCATTTTCATACTTGTATCTTCACTATTAACGATCACAATTGGCTTTAGAATGGAGTTGTCGTCTATTTCTTGCTTAGTGTGGTGCCCTACAGATAGCTGTTCCTCAATGAATATGTTGATTGTCAGGAGACATGATGTAAGTTTGGTAGAAATTTGATAAAAGTATTGTTTTCTCAAACTGATCTCATTTCTCTTTTCTATTTTTTGTGTGAATCACTACATAGGTCAGTCAGAGATGTCATGGACATAATAATTTGATTTTAATAAAGTTTCATGTGATAACCTTAAAAATCAGAGAAACCTAAGCTCAGTGATAGTGTGGTTAAGTAGATTGATAACTGGTTGAACAGTTAGACTCTCAGTCTCTTGATCGGTGGCTCAAAGGAGGGCTATTTTTGTGGGGAGAATTCAGGAATGCCATTCTGGAACTTCTCTATCTGAGTTACATAAGTCAGAACAGCATCCTATAGGCTTGTATCATCATTAAAAAGCACACAAAAATATACCATTAAAATATAAAATTTAAAAATTTAATCTCTTCAAACAGACTTTATATCTTCATTTCTTTATAAGAAATAAAGGGAATCATTTTATAAGATAGTTTCTTAAAAAGTCAGTGTGGAACTTCTCATTCTTGGGTCACATGTTGGTCAACCTATTTCACAGATACTACTGGGAAAATAATGAAGAGATGACTGCAGCAGTGAAATTTTAAATTCAGTTTTTATTAATTTGGGACATTATAATAGCTAAATGGTAACCCAGGCTCAGCTCATGGGTCTTGTTATATAGTGAAGTGGCTACTGAAAAAGGTTTCCAGTCAGAAAAAACTAATTTATGCTTTCCTTTCAGTATGGTCCTTTCCTTTCATTGTCTTATTCCTCTTAGACAATTAAGTCAAACTATTCTATAAAAAAAACTAGCTATATTAATATCCATGAGAAAAGTAATTATCTCTGGGGAAGGTGGTAACAGGAAAGGCAGAAAAGGTGGTGCCATATGCAGTGCTGAGAATGTTCTGGACCTTGGTTTGGGTAAATGGGTTTATATATAAATAAGAAAATTTGAGTAGTTTATTTGTGTACTTCATTGTATTTGTTTCTCACTTTTAAATGGAAGAATAGCATGATTACAGGCATTAGGCAGGAGTAAGCAAATAAGCAGACATTATAAATTTGATTATAATGGATGGAATTATATGGAAGGTAAGAAGAAGAAAGAGTTGAGAACATTGTTTTATCCTAAGTTCTTAAAACCATAAATGTCATGATGAAGAAATGAAATTTTATTCCTTAGGTCTAAGACAATTGTTGTGGATTCTACTGTTTTTGTTTTGTTTGTTTTTCTGAGACAGTCTCACTCTTTTGCCCAGGCTGGAGTGCAGTGGCACAATCTCAGCCTCTGCCTCCAGGGTTCAAGCGATTCTACTGTCTCAGCCTCCCAAGTAGCTGAGATTACAGGCACACACCACCATACCTGGCTAATTTTTGCATTTTTAGTAGAGATGTGGTTTCGCCACATAAGCCAGGCTAGTCTCAAACTCTTGACCTCAAGTGATCCACCCGCCTTGGCGTCTCAAAGTTGTTGGATTACAGGGGTGAGCCTAGGGCATTCTACTCTTAGCACTTAATCTTGAACTTCACTGGAGTGAACTGATGACTATGGGAGCTGGTTGGGGATCCTCTGGAAAGCAAACTGTGACTCCTGTGGAAGAAAACACTTTAACAGGTCATGATTCCTGGGTGGAGGCTCAGAATCATTCACCTCCATCCCATTCTAGATAAAACTGGATTAAAGAGTATGCTTTGAGAGGCTTGATGATCTTTGGTTTGAAAATGAGCTACATCAAAGAATCAGAGGCCTGGAGGAGAACAGGGAGGACAGTATACAGAGGTGACTTCTGAGCAAGTTCTTTGGAATATGGCAGAGTAAATCCAGGGTTATCTTCAAGAATGACCTTTCTGCATAGGATGGCTTCCTCACATCCTCCTCTACGAGCCCATGTATTTGTTTCTCTAGGACAGGACCAGCACATAGTAGGTATTTAATAAAAGTTTTTTGAACGAATGAAGATTATCCCCTTCACAATAACATTTTTGCAAACGAATTATTTTTGTTTTTTACTGGACAGATTGTTAAAAAATTGTGACCACTCTTAGTTAATATATTGTACTTCTTTCATCACCTAAATATGCCTTCCATGAGACATGTACCGATTTATTAATGAGTGTGTTGGGGTGTGTGTATGTAAGAAATACTTCATTAAATGTATACATAGCCATAAGCTGCATTCCAAGTGCAAAAATACTAAAAATGGAAAAATAATGCATATAAGATGAGGAAATAAACATGCACAAGTCCACTTCTCCCATCATTTCTTCAAGATTTACATAAAACATTTATGACACACTCACCTTTCTTTATCTCACATCTCCAACAGCTTCCAGAACCAGCCGTTATTCCTGCAAACTCTATGGGCATATCCAGTAGATTAAAATCCGAGGGGGAAAAAACGGTCACCACACACTTGCTCTGCACAATTTACAGAAAATAGAATGTAGTCCCAGATCTTACACCTTTAAAAAAAAAAACAACTAAAATTGGGAAAGAAAGAAAACCTTGGAAGTCCCCTCCTCTAAGATTTCATTCTTGGCAAGATAATTTCATGATTATTTTCATTTGCTTGAATGTTGTGTTTTGCTGCACACGCACTTCCAGTAAAACCTCTCAAAACATAAACAGTCAGTGTTGACTTCACCTTACTTGTCCTTACACAGAGTTCTCACTGTGAATTTATCCTTCTCTGTTTATGCTGGAGGCTTGTCTATTGTTTATTCACCTAGCTTATTCAGGGCCATAGGTGTTTATTCTGAGAATTAATAGTTATATTTACTATAATAATATAATCATGTAATTGCCTTAGCCTTTTGTGTTGCTATAACAGAATATGTGAAACTGGATAATTTATAAGGAACAGAAATTTACTTCTCTCAGGCTGGAAACTTCAAGATGAAGATACTGGCATTTGGTGAAGTCTCCTTGCTGTATACTCATGTAACAGAAGGCGGAAGGGTAAAAAGGGACAAACTCTGTGTCCTCACATGGCAGAAGAGCAGAAGAGAGTGAACCTACCCCCTAAGGTTTTTGTTTGTTTGTTTTGTTTTGTTTTTGTAGCAGCATTAATCCATTCATGAGAGCTCCACCTACACACACCTAGCCAAAGGCCCCACTTTCAACACTGTTGCATTAGGGATTAGGTTTTCAACATGTAAATTCTGGAGCACACAGTCAAACCATAGCAATAATTATATAATATATGTGTAATTATATAAACAGCTTTACAATTTTTAAAGAATCTTCATACATTATTTTTTAATGTGGGCAGGACAGCTGTTATTAATTTTATTTTAAAGGTGATTAAATTGAGACATGCATTGAATAAACACTTGTCCAAGGTCACACAGCTACTGAATGCCAGCTGAGGAACTAGAATTGAGGTACACAAAAGCTTTGACAAGTGCTTGAGCAAATCTTCCTACTCTTCCTTATGGTTTTATCTATTCCTTTCCTTTTTTTAATCCCACAAATAACACACTAATTTTCACTAGACCATTTTTTATCCTCTATTTATGTTAGAGCTTAATTTAATGCTTTATTCCTTTATTTATACTTGATTTTTAAAGGAACCATATCATTATATAAGACAAATATCATGGTAGCACACACCTGTCATCCCAGCTACTTGGAAGGCTGAGGTGGAAGAATCCCTTGAGCCCAAGAGGCGGAGGTTAAAGTGAGCTGAGATTGCGCCACTGTACTCCTGGCTGGGTGACAGAGTGAAACCCTGTCTCAAAACAGCAACAACAAACAAACAAAAAAGAAAATACAAATGTATCTGACTGCCCCTATATTTTTTTTAGAGATAGTGTCTGGCAGTAATGCAGGGGCATGATCATAGTTCACCATAACCTGGAACTCCTGGGCTGAAGTGATCCTCCTGCATCACCCTCCTGAGTAGCTGGCACTACAAGTGAACACCACCACATCCGGCTAAGATTTTTATTTTTTATTTTGTGGAGATGGGGTCTTGTTATGTTGTCCAGGCTGGTCTTGAACTCCTGACCTCAAGTGATTCTCCCTCCTTGGCCTTCCAAAGTACTGGGATTTCAGGTGTGACCCACTATGCCCGGCCTTAACTGTCCTCTATAATGATGAATATCTCGTAACATAACATGAATTTTAGCAAACAATTCTGTTCTTTCCCTCTATCTCTGCCTTCCCCTCTCCTTCTAGCATCCCACTTCCATTTTTTCTCTCCAGTAGCTCCCAACTGCTTTAAAAGATACGGTATAAAAAATGTGACAATGGCACTTCCATTTCCCTTCTGTCACTGAATTTCTGTCACTCATGTGTGAGCACTTAGAGGCTGTTCTCAAAATTACCCTTCAATTCCTTTTCACATATTCTTTGTTTACAATGCAGTTCATAATTTGTTGCTCATAGGAGCCTTCTGGATAATGCCAGCCTATAACTAGGCCATGCTTGCTTGAGTGCAAAAGCCAAGGATTTGCTCTTTGGGTTCTCACTGTTCTCCCACAGTGGTCTGAACCTGTTTGGCTTCTATTGTTTTCTATGGTGGACGGTATCATCCAGTTACACAAGTCACAGAGATACGGTTAATAACTCTCTGTACTCTCTCTTCATATCCAAGCCATTACCAATTCCAGTCACTTTTTCCTCCTAAATATCTCTTGAATCAGGCCACCTTTCTTTGTCAACACAACAGCACCCTTATTCACCCTTATCGTCTTCTCTGCTAAGATGTCTGCAGTGGTTATCTAACCCATTTCATTATTTCCACTCTCTCACTGCCTCCAATGATCACGTCATTCTCTGTGCTCCCTCAATAAAACTATTTCAATATTTCTCTTTGCTTCTGAGATAAAGATCCCTAATTTATCTTGTCCCACCCATGGTTTGAGCCAGTCAGGCCTGTCTGAAATCACTTCCCCTCCCCAGCCTTCTGTTTTGCTCCTCACAGTCCAGTCCCGCTGATTTCTTTGAGTTACTCAAACAGGCCTGCTCCTTTCCTATCCATATGCTATTTCTTCTGCCACCCAGCTAACTCTGGCTCTTTCTTCTGATCTCAGTTCAAACACCACTTTTTCATATAAATCTTCTCTGACTTCTCTGAGATGTCAGTTCCTGCCCCCACCCCCATAGTAGCATGCACTTTGGTGGGTGGGGGTGCGGACCGATACTTTTAAAAGTAAACCTCCCACAGTAGTGAGTGCCCCATGCACTTTGGGCACTCACCACTGGTAGGTATACTTTTATTTAGCAAATGGTTGGGCTAGGTGCTGAAAGGAGGCAGTCGACACTGGGTCCGTAACTCATTCTTTCGTATTTGAGAATACCTGAAGTGTTTTTCTTTTAACTCCAAACAGACCTCCTTGTAAATATTGACCGTTGAAATGTATTAGCTCCCAATGACTGACCTAGGAATGCTTTTTTATTATTATTATTATCCTTTAAGTTTTAGGGTACATGTGCATAACGTGCAGGTTACATATGTATACATGTGCCATGTTGGTGTGCTGCACCCATCAACTTGTCATTTAACATTAGGTGTATCTCCTAATGCTATTCCTCCACCCTCCCCCCACCCCACAACAAGCCCCAGTGTGTGATGTTCCCCTTCCCGCGTCCAGGTGTTCTCATCGTTCAATTCCCACTTATGAGTGAGAACATGTGGTGTTTGGTTTTTTGTCCTTGCGATAGTTTGCTGAGAATGATGGTTTCCAGCTTCATCCATGTCCCTACAAAGGACATGAACTCATCCTTTTTTTATGGCAGCATAGTATCCCATGGTGTATATGTGCCACATTTTCTTCATTCAGTCTATCATTGTTGGACATTTGGGTTGGTTCCAAGTCTTTGCTATTGTGAATAGTGCCGCAATAAACATACGTGTGCATGTGTCTTTATAGCAGCATGATTTAAAATCCTTTGGGTATATACCCAGTAGTGGGATTGCTGGGTCAAATGGTATTTCTAGTTCAAGATCCCTGAGGAATCGCCACACTGCCTTCCACAATGGTTGAACTAGTTTACAGTCCCACCAACAGTGTAAAAGTGTTCCTATTTCTCCACATCCTCTCCAGCACCTGTTGTTTCCTGACTTTTTAATGATTGCCATTCTAACTGGTGTGAGCTGGTATCTCATTGTGGTTTTGATTTGCATTTCGCTGATGGCCAGTGATGATGAGCATTTTTTCATATGTTTTTTGGCTGCATAAATGTCTTCTTTTCAGAAGTGTCTGTTCATATCCTTCACCCACTTTTTGATGGGGCTGTTTGTTTTTTTTCTTGTAGATTTGTTTGAGTTCATTGTAGATTCTGGATATTAGCCCTTTGTCAGATGAGTAGATTGCAAAAATTTTCTCCCATTCTGTAGGTTGCTTGTTCACTCTGATGGTAGTTTCTTTGGCTGTGCAGAAGCTGTTTAGTTTAATTAGATCCCATTTGTCAATTTTGGCTTTTGTTGCCATTGCTTTTGGTGTTTTAGACATGAAGTCGTTGCCCATGCCTATGTCCTGAATGATATTGCCTAGGTTTTCTTCTAGGGTTTTTATGGTTTTAGGTCTAACATTTAGGTCTTTAATCCAGGAATGCTTTTAGCAGAATGTACTTGATCTTTCTGGCCTGATTGCTGTAAGTATATCTGTAGTTTATAGATTTATAAACTATAGCTGTGCTGATGAATGCAAGTCCATCACCTGACTAGAGCTATACTGTGTGATGATGATGCATGAACAGAAAGAGCACATCACTCAGAGGCTCCTCTATGCTCACTCTAGCCATGCAGAGTGAGCACCACCCACTCCAGAACCAAATCACATCACAGTGCTGCAAACAGGAGGTTGCATCTGATGGGTTCAGGTATGCCAGATAGTGCTGTGGTATATACCATTGATGTTCCTTTCTTATTACCTTTGCTAATGACCTGTAAAGCTTGATGCTGGATAATATTTGCATTTCATCTGAGTCTGAAAACTCAGGCTTTTGTCGTTATGGAGGTGGAATAGCTCTATTTCTTCTTCATTGTCTCATGAGCTTTATGAAAGCTCTATTTTGTCTGACAGTTATTTTCCTGTTTACTGGCCCAGTATTTAACACATAGTGCATAATAAATATTTGTGTGGTAGAGATCACTAGAGCTAATCACGTCTAATTGTTTTCTTCCTGAATACATAGAAAAACTATCCAGTACCTCATGCAGTTAAGCTGGGGCCTTGCCATTAATTTTAACAGCGGATTTTGAGAGGAAGTAACATCTATAACTTCAGGGTAAAGGCAGTTAAGATTAGATGTAAATTATCCACATTATTTTTCCATTTTTTAGAAAATACTGAAACTTAATGTTAAGATGATTGCATGGAAAGATGGCAGAGTTTCTGTCATTTCTGGATTCTTGACTAATGTGTAGAATGCAATGCTCCTCCTATCCAGGGTGGATATACAGCATGAGTCAGAAAGCCCAGTTGATTAGTGAAGGTTCTGATCTTGTTGAGGTTAAATTGTTACTGAGGTATAACGTAGCCTATGCTGCCTAATACTTGAATGAGCATTAGGCAGGCAAGACTATCTATAAAAACCTTCAGAGCACACTTGCCTTCTTCTCTTCCCTTGATTCTTCTTTTCTTTCTCTTCCTTCTTAAAATAAGAATTAGTAAACGAGGTATGAGAGAGAGAGAGCATGGTGTCAAGTGGCACTGCACCAACAACTGACCTGCCTTAAATTGAAGTGACTGTGAATTAAACTGGTGTCATAATTTATTGAGCAGAGCATATTACGGGCCAGGCCCTCTGTTAGGAATTTGAGATTCAATCATGAAGAATGCGTTTTCTACTCTCTAAGTGCTCATATATTCAACTAAGAATAGTAGAAAAATCAGTAAGATATAAGAAAGAGATAAGGCAGAAAGGAGCATTAGTTATGATTTGTGGAAGGGGATTGGAAAATGACTTCACAGACTGGGTGACATTCAAACTAGATCTTTGAGAGGATGAAGAATTACACCAAATGCAGGAGAGAGGGCCCATTGTGGACAATTTCCCATGCCATAAATATTCATGGTGTGTTTGGACAGAGAATTTAGTACTTGTGAATTGGTAGCTGGGGTGAGAATTGGAAAGAGAGTATAGTAGGACAGCTTCCCATTTCCTATTCCCCACCTTCAATTCTTGCTGTCATGTTTTTCTTTTTAGCTTGAGACAAAACTACAGTGCTTTCAAATGGTTTTCATAATATATCTCAATAGGTTTTTGCATGAAAATTATAAGCAGGATAACCACATTTATCAAATAACAAAGGGAAGGAGAATTTACAGATAACCAACCAATTCTACCACCTATTTTATACCCAGTGGGTTCTCTTTACTTCTAACTTTTAGTTCAATGATCCACATATGGACTCTGCACCTCTCCACTCTCAGCTGTGCTCACTGTATATCTAGCTAGCCACTGCCATCTTTGCATTTTTAAGCTCTCTTCTCTACTCACATTTCAGTTCTTTTGCTGCTGTTTTTCTTTCATTGTAGTTCTTTATTATAAAGGTCAGACTTTCCAGGTTAACTACTCAGTGGCAGTTCCTCACATTTCTATACAATTTCATCATCAAGTGCTAAAGGGAAATCTGGATCATCTGGCCTTGAGGAAAAGTTAAATCAGAGTAGAAGCTGTTCACTTATAAGTAAAAAAATACATTGTATGCTCCTAGTCTGTCTCCTTACAGGATATTCAACCACATTTTCTTTTGTGCTTCTCAAAAAAATTTGGAATGTATAAAACTATCTCAGCTGGGTGCAGTGGCTCACGCCTCTAATCCCAGCACTTTGGGGGGCTGAGGCAGGCAGATCACGAGGTCAAGAGATCGATACCATCCTGGACAACATGGTGAAACCCCATTTCTACTAAAAATACAAAAATTAGCCAGGCATGGTGGCGCACGCCTGTAGTCCCAGCTACTCAGGAGGCTGAGGCAGGAGAATTGTTTGAACCCAAGAGGTGGAGGTTATAGTGAGCTGAGATTGTGCCACAGCACTCCAGCCTGGTGACAGAGTGAGACTCCATCTCAAAAAAAAAACAAAAAAATTATCTCAACAATTTGGTAAAAATGACTATTCAAATAAATTCCCTCAAGAATTCTGATTTATTAAGTTTGTGTGAAGTCTAAGGATTTGCATTTTATTTTATTTTTTGATGAAGCTGATTTTTATTTTCAACATTTAATGCAATCTTGAAAAATGACAATACACCTTGCCATTTTCTCTTACTCATCTTTTTTCTCAAGCAAAATATTAGATTTCTCTCAGATTTTATTCTCTCAAAACTTTTAAAAATTATATCTTTAAATGACAAGTAATTGTATATATTTATGTGATATAATGTAATTTCTTGATATATGTTTATAATGTGGAATGATTACATCAGGCTAACAAATTCATCGCCTCATATACTTGCCATTTTTGTTGTGAAACATTTAAAATCTTTTTGCAATTATGAAATAACAACGCATTATTATTTACTATAGTCATTATTCTCTACAATAGATTACTAAATTTAATTTCTCCTGTCTAAATGAAACCTTGTACTCCGGTCAGCCTCTCCTCTTTCTTCATCCACCCTTCTTCCCCAGCCAGTTGTAATCATCATTCTACTCTCCTCTTGTATATGTTCAACTATTTTAGATTCCACATATAAGTGAGATCATGCTACATTTGTCTTTCTGTGCCTGGCTTATTTTACTTAGCACAGTGTCCTCCAGGTTTATCCATGCTGTTGCAAATAACGGGATTCCCACCCCTTCTTTTTTAAACTGGTTGAGTAGTATTCCCTTTTGTATATATATCACATTTTCTTTATCCATTCATCTCATGATAGACACTTAGGTTGCTTCCATATCTTAGCTACTGTGAATAATACTGCAATGAACATGGGAGTGTAGATATTTCTTTGTTATACTGATTTCAATTATTTTGGATATATATATTCAGAAGTCATTTTACTAGATCATATGGTAATTCTAATTTTAGTTTTCTGAGGAACCTCCATACTATTTGCAAATGGCTGTATTAATTTACATTCCCACAAACAGTACACAAGGGTTCTCTTTTCTCCATACCCTTGCCAGTGATATCTCTATGTGGTTTTAATTTGCATTTCCCTAATGATCAGTGATGATGGGGATGTTTTCATATACCTGTTGGCATTTATATATCTTTTTTTGAGAATTATGTATTTATGTTTTTTGCCCATTTTTGATTGTATTATTTGTTTTCTTGTTACCGAGTTGTCTTAGTTTTTCATATATTTTGGATATTAGCCTCTTATTAGATTACGGTTTGCAAATATTTTCTTTTAATCCATGGGATGTCTTTTTACTATATTAATTGTTTTCCTTTGCTGTGCAGAGCTTTTTAGTTTGATATGATACAATTTGTTTATTTTTGCTATTAATTACTCTGATTTTGGGGTAATATCTAAGAAATATTTGCCCAGACCAATGTCATGGAGAATTTCTCTTATGCTTTCTTTTGGTAGATTCATAGTTTCAGGTCCCACTTAATCATAGTAAAAATGACGTTTTTAATGTGTTGTTGAATTCAGTTTATTAGCATTTTTGCATTTATGTTCATCAGTAATACTGGCCCATAAATCTTTTTTCTTATAGTATTCTTTTTCTCCCTTTCCTCCTCTAGATACTCACATCATTTGTATATTTGCATATTTCATGCTGTCCCCTAGATTCCTCATGCCTTCTTTGTTCTTTCTCAACCATTTTTTTCTTTTTCTTCCTCTCATTGGCTAATTTTGAATGACCTGTCTGAGTTCACTAATCCTTTCTTCTGCATAATTGAGTGTGCTGTTAAAACTCTCTTGAAAATTTCAGTTCTCTCATTGTATTCTTAAGCTTTAAGATTTTCATTTGATTATTTAAGGTTTTTAATTCTCCATGAAACTCCTCATTTTGTTTATGCATTGTTTTTCTAATTCCATTTAGTTTCTGTCTGTAATTTCTTACATCTTATTAAGCTACATTAAGATGATTATTATGAACTCTTTTTCAGGCAATTTGTCTATCTCCATTTCTTTGTTGTTGGTTATTGGAACTTAATGAGTTTCCCTTGGTGTTGTCATGTTTGCCTCATTCTTTGTTATCTATGTAGTCTTGCATTGGTGTCTGTGCATTTGAAGGTGAAAAGCCCTCTTTCAGTCTTATATACTGGTTTTGACAATTTAAAATATTTTCCTGTTAGGTCTCTGGGCTGATGGGATTGCCGCTGAGATCACAGTTGAATGGAGGTAGATCAGGGTCACTTGCCTGATAGTAGGTTCATAGTGGAGACCACAGTTGGTGGGCCTATTTCCAGTGGCTGTAGTGGCTGTGGATTCTTTCTGGTTCCTAGGCGAACTGGATTGTGCCCAGGAACTCAGTCTGTGGGGCTGGTGCTGAGATGAAGGACTGCCTGTGAGTTCACAGTCAGCAGGCCTGTCACCAGGTTACATTTATGTATCATGTGCTGATGAGTGTGGCTTCCTCTAGGTCTCTAGGAGGACTCCTGTTGGATCACTCTATGGGTCTTTGGGATAGTTGTATTGCTCAAGTCTGTGGTAGAGATGGGCTGTAACTGAGACACCTGGTTGTTTCAAGTCTATAGTCAAGACACATCTTCAAGCCTGTCTCTGGGGTCATGGATAGGCATGTCTTCTGGTGGATTTCTTTTTTTTTTTTTCTATTCCTTTTTTATCTTCATCAGCTTTATTAATGTTAAGAGCAGAAGAGCAGCTTAAACGTTTTGGTTTGATATGTCTTTTCTAAACACAAAATGAATGTAAAAACATCCTGGGTGGGGACCAAATGACACAAGCCAAAAACACAAGCCAAAGAAGGAAGATGAGCAAATCTCCTCGTCAAAGTGAATCAGAAGGCATCTGCTTTTTCCCTCCCAATGCTGTGGCTTCGCGGAGGTGGTTCTTTTGCAATTAATCATCATTTCTCTTTCCCCTTCTCCCATCCCAAAGAGCAAAATCAGAAACATAAATTAAGTCTCAACTTAGAAATTAGGAAAAACACTGTAGAAGCTATTTTTTAAATATTTAAAAAATATTTCCTCGGAGGAGGCTTCCAAAGGGAGAAACTCACTTAGAACATAGGTAATGGGAGCATTTCCTTTTGAGAGTTTTTGTTTATTCATTTTACTCCTGACAAAGTTAAGATTTCTCTGTGTGATCTTATTTTTTATAATTTTTATTTATTTTTCTAAGTCTGATTTTTATTTTTATCTTAAGTTCCATGGTACATGTGCAGGATGTGCAGGTTTGTTACATAGGTAAATATGTGCCATGGTGGTTTGCTGGCCTATTAGCCCATCAACTAGGTATTAAGCCCCACATGCATTAGCTCTTTTCCCTAATCCTCCCTGCCACCACCTTTCCTTTTTATGGCTGCATACTATTCCATGGTGTATATGTACCATATTTTCTTTAAACAGTCTATCATTGATGGGCATTTGGGTTGATTCTATGTCTTTGCTATTGTGAATAGTACTGCAATGTACATAGGTGTTCATGTAACTTTATAATGGAATTATTTGTATTCCTTTTATACCCAGTGATATGGTTTGGCTCTGTGTCCCCACCCAAATCTCCTCTTGAGTTCTACTCCCATAATTCCCACATGTTGAGGGAGGAACCTGTGGGCAATAATTTGAATTACAGAGGCAGTTTTCCCCATACTGTTCTCATGGTAGTGAATAAGTCTCATGAGATAGAATGGTTTTATCGGGGGTTTCTGCTTTTGCGTCTTCCTCATTTTTTCTTGCTGCTGCCGTGTAAGAAATGACTTTCACCTCCTACCATGATTCTAAGGCCTTCCAGCCATGTGGAAATATAAGTCCAATTAAACCTCTTTTTCTTCCCAGTCTCAGGTATGTCTTTATTGGTAGTTTGAAATGGACTAATACACCCAGTAATGGAATTGCTGTGTCAAATGGTATTTCCCAGTCTGAATCTTTGAGAAATCATCACACTGTCTTCCACAGTGGTTGAACTAATTTACATTTTCACCAACAGCATAAAAGTATTCCTGTTTCTCTGCAACCTCGTCAGCATCTGTTATTTCTTGACTTTTTAATAATCACCATTATGACTGGAGTGAGATGGTATTTCACTGTGGTTTTAATTTGCATTTCTCTAATGATTAGTGATGTTGAGCTTTTTGTCATATGTTTAATGGCCACATGTATGACTTTTTTTGAGAAGCATCTGTTCATATAATTTTCCCACTTTTTAATGGGGTTGTTTTATTCTTGTAAACTTAAGTTCCTTGTAGATTCTGGATATTAGACCTTTGTCAGATGGATAGATTGCAAAAATTTTCTCCCATTCTGTAGGTTGTCTGTTTGCTCTGATGCTAGTTTCCTTTGCTGTGCAGAAGCTCTTTAGTTTAATTAGATCTCATTTATCAATTTTTGCTTTTGTTGCAATTGCTTTTTGTGATTTCATCATAAAATCTTTGCCCATGCCTATGTCCTGAATAGTATTGCCTAGACTTTCTTCTAAGGTTTTTACAGTTTGGGTTTTATATTTAAGTCTTTAATTCATCTTGAGTTAATTTTTGTATAAGGTTTAAGAAAGGGGACAAGTTTTAATTTTCTACATATGACTAGCCAGTTCTCCCAGCACCATTTGTTAAATAGGGAATAATTTCCCCATTGCTTATTTTTGTCAGGTTTGTTGAAGATCAGATGGTTCTAGATGTGTGGTTTTATTTCTGAGTTCCCTATTTTGTTACATTGGTCTATGAGCCTGTTTTTGTACCAAACCATGCTGTTTTGGTTGCTGTAGCCTTGTAGTATAGTTTGAAGTCTGGTAGAATGTAGAATGATGCCTCCAGCTTTGTTCTTTTTGCTTAGGATTGTGTTGGCTATATGAGCTCATTTTTGGTTCCACATGAATTTTAAAATAGTTTTTTTTATAATTCTGTGAAGAATGTCAGTGATAGTTTAATGAGAATATCATTGACTCTATAAATTGCTTTTGGCATTATGGGCATTTTCACAATATTGATTCTTCATATGCTTGAGCATGGAATGTTTTTCCATTTGTTTGTGTCCTCTTTGATTTCTTTGAGCAGTGGTTTGTAGATCTCTTTGAAGAGGTCTTTCACTTCTCTTGTTAGCTGTATTCCTAGGTATTTTATTCTCCTTGTGGCAATTGTGAATGGGAGCTCATTCATGATTTGGCTCTCTGCTTGTCTGTTGTTGGTGTATAGGAATGCTTGTGATTTCTGCACATTGATTTTGTATCCCGAGACTTTGCTGAAGTTGCTTATCAGCTTAAAAAGTTTTTGGGCTGAGTCGGTGGGGTTGTCTAGATACAGGATCACGTCATCTGCAAACAAAGACAATTTGACTTCCTCTCTTCCTATTCGCATACTCTTTATTTCTTTCTCTTGGCTGATTGCCCTGGCCAGAACTTTCTTTTCTTTTCTTTTTTATTATTATTATTATACTTTAAGTTCTAGGGTACATGTGCACAACGTGCAGGTTTGTTACATATGTATACATGTGCCATGTTGCTGTGCTGCACCCATTAACTTGTCATTTAACTTAGGTATATCTCCTGATGCTATCCCGCCCCCCCACCCTCCACCCCATGACAGGCCCCGGTATGTAGTGTTCCCCACCCTGTGTCCAAGTGTTCTCATTGTTCAATTCCCACCTATGAGTGGGAACATGCGGTGTTTGGTTTTCTGTCCTTGTGATGGTTTGCTCAGAATGATGGTTTCCAGCTTCATCCATGTCCCTACAAAGGACACGAACTCATCCTTTTTTATGGCTGCATAGTATTCCATGGTGTATATGTGCCACATTTTCTTAATCCAATCTATCATTGATGGACATTTGGGTTGGTTCCAAGTCTTTGCTATTGTGAATAGTGCCGCAATAAACATATGTGTGCATGTGTCTTTATAGCAGCATGATTTATAATAACTATGTTGAATAAGAGTGGCAAGAGAAGGCATGCTTGTCTTGTGCCAGTTTTCAAAGGGAATGCTTCCAGCTTTTGCCCATTCAGTATGATATTGGCTATGGGTTTTTCATAAATGGCTCTTATTATATTGAGGCATGTTCCTTCATTATCTAGTTTATTGAGTTTTTAACATAAGGGGATGCTGAATTTTATCAAAGGCCTTTTCTCTATTGAGATAATAATGTGGCTTTTGTCTTTAGTTCTGTTTATGTAATACATGTATTAATTTGCATATGTTGAATCAGCTTTACATCCCAAGGATGAAGCTGACTTGACTGTGGTGGTTAAACTTTTTGATGCGCTGCTGGATTCATTTTGCCGGTATTTTATTGAGGATTTTTTGCATTGATGTTCATCAGAGATATTGGACTGAAGTTTTCTTTTTTTGTTCTATCTATGCCAGGTTTTGGTATCAGGATGATGCTGGCCTCATAAAATGAGTTAGGGAGGAATTCCTCCTTTTCAATTGTTTGGAATAATTTCAGAAGGAATGGTACCAGCTCCTTTTTGTACCTCTGGTAGAATTCAGCTGTAAATCCATCTAGACCTGGGCTTTTTTTGGTTGGCAGGCTATTACTGCCTTAATTTCAGAATTGGTTACTGGTCTATTCAGGGATTTGACTTCTTCCTGTTTCAGCCTTGGGAAGGTGTATGTGTCCAGGAATTTATCCATTTCTTCTTGATTTTCCAGTTTATTTGCATAGAGGTGTTTATAGTATTCACTGGTGGTTGCTCATATTTCTGTGGGGTCAGTGGTGGTATCCCCCTTAACATTTCTGATTGTTTTTATTTGAATCTTCTCTCTTTTCTTCTTTATTAGTCTAGCTAGTAGTCTATTTTATTGATTTTAAAAAACCGGCTCCTGGATTTGCTGATTTTTTTGAAGTGTTTTTTTGTGTCTCTATCTCCTTCAGTTCCACTCTGAGCTTGGTTATTTCTTGTCTTCTGCTAGCTCTGGGGTTTCTTTACTCTTGGTTCTCTAGTTCTTTTAGTTGTGATCTTAGGGTGTTGATATCTTTCGAGCTTTTTGATATGGGCATTTAGTGATATAAATTTTCCTTTTAACACTGCTCTAGCTGTGTCCCAGAGATTCTGATATATTGGTCTCTTTGTTCTCATTGGTTTCAAAAAACTTCTTTATTTCTGCCTTAATTTTGTTATTTACCCAGAAGTCATTCAGGAGCAGGTTGTTCAATTTCCACGTAGTTGTGTAGTTTTGAGTGGGTTTCTTAATCTTGTCTTGATTGTGCTGCTGTCTGAGAGACTTTTATTATTTGTTATTTTGCATTTGCTGAGGAGTGCTTTACTTTCAATTTTGTGATTAATTTTAGACTAAGTGCCATGTAGTGCTGAGAAAAATGTATATTCTCTTGTTTTGGGGTAGAGAGTTCTGTAGATATCTATCAGGTCCACTTGGTCTAGAGCTGAGTTCAAATCCTGCATATCTTTGTTAATTTTCTCTCTTGATGATCTGTCCAGTACGGACAGTGGGCATTAAAGTCTCCCATTATTATTGCATGTGGGTCTATGTATCTTTGTAGGTCTTTAAGAACTTGTTTTATGAATATGGGTGCTCCTGTATTGAGTACATGTATATTTAGGATAGTTAGCTCTTCCTGTTCAATTGAACCCTTTACCATTATGTAATGTGCTGCTTTGCCTTTTTTGACCTTTGTTGGTTTAAAGTCCATTTTGCCAGAAACTAAGATTGCAACCACTGCTTTTTTCTACTTTCCATTTGCTTGTAAAATTTCCTCCATTCTTTTATTTTGAGCCTATTTGTGTCTTTGAACATGAGATGTGTCTCTTGAATACAGCACATGTTGGGTCTTCTCTTTTTATCCAGCTTGCCATTCTGTGTCTTTGAATTGGGGCAATTAGCCCATTTATATTTAAGGTTAATTTTGTTATGTGTGAATTTGATCCTGTCATGATGATGCTGGCTGGTTAATTTTGCAGACTTGTTAATGTAGTTGCTTCATAGTGTCGTTGATCTGTGTATTTCAATGTGTTTTTGTAGTGGCCGGATATGGTTTTTCCTTTCCATGTTTAGTGCTACCTTCAGGAGCTCTTGCAAGGCAGGCCTGGAGGTGACAAAATCCTTCAGCATTTGCTTGTCTTCTCCTTCACTTATAAAGCTTACTTTGGCCAGATAGGAAATTCTGGGTTGGAAATTCTTTTCTTTAAGAATGTGTAATATTGGCCCCAAATCTCTTCTTGCTTGTAGGGCTTCTGCTGAGAGGTTCATTGTTAGTCTGATGGGCTTCCCTTTGTAGGTGACCTGGACTTTCTCTCTGACTGCCCTTAGCATTTTTTCTTTCATTTCAACCTTGGAGAATCTGACAATTATGTGTCTTGGGGTAGATCTTCTCATGGAGTATCCTACTGGGGTTCTCTGGATTTCCTGAGTTTGAATGTTGGCCTGTCTTGCTAGATTGGGGAAGTTCTCCTGGATGATATCTTGAAGTGTGTTTTCCAACTTGATTCCATTCTCCCCATCTCTTTCAGGTACACCAATCCATTGTAGATTTGGTCTTTTTACGTAGTCCCATAGTTCTCACAGGTTTTCTTCATTCTTTTTCATTCCTTTTTTTTCTCTAATCTCTTCTGCCCGCCTTATTTCAGTAAGATAGTCTTCAAGCTCTAATATTCTCCCTTCTGCTTGGTTGATTCAGCTATTAATACTTGTGATTACATCATGAAATTCTCGTGCTGTGTTTTTCAGATCCATCAGGTCATTTATGTTCCCCTCTAAACTGGTTATTCTAGTTAACATCTCCTGTAATCTTCCATCATTGTTCTTAGCTTCTTGGCGTTGGGTTAAAACATAATCCTTTAGCTTAGAAAAGTTTGTTATTACTCAATTCCTGAAGCTTGTTTCTATCAATTCATCCATCTCAGCTTCAGCCCCATAGTGTGCCCTTGGTGGAGAAGTGTTGCAATCATTTGGAGGAGAAGAGGCATCTGGCTTTCAGAATTCTCAGTGTTTTTGCTTCGGTTTTTCCTCATCTTCGTAGATTTTTATTTACCTTTTATCTTTGAGGCCGTTGACCTTCGGATGGGGTTTCTGTGGGGTCATTTTTGTTGATGTTGTTGTTGTTGCTTTCTGTTTGTTTGTTTTCTAACAGCCAGTCCCCTCCTCTGCAGGTCTGCTGCAATTTGCTGGGGGTCCACTCCAGACCCTTTTCACCTGGGTATCACCAATGGAGGCTGCAGAACAGCAAAAATTGCTGCCTGCTCTTTCCTCTGGAAGCTTTGTCCCAGAGGGACACCAGCCTGATGTCAGCCGGAACTCTCCAGTATGAGATGTCTTGCATCCCTGCCGGGAGGTGTCTGCTGCCATTTAGTGTTTCCTAGCAGCTTGATTTTAGCGCCAATGAAACCCAGAAAATCACAACTCACCTAATGAGGACTAGCCACATGAGAGAGACAGAACTGATAGGACTCTCAAACCAGGCTCCTGATATGGTACACCTGATGAACAGCTGAATACATCAATGACAAAAGCATTTAAAAATATTAAAGCACAGCCCATAACTTTATGGAACTTAAATAACACCATCTTCAAGTTTAAAATTTTAGTATTTCAATAGAAAGAGAGGTGTTCACTGTTGATTACTAAATTAGTAGCACAGAAGAAGTGGAGAAAATATCACAGTGCAAAATATACAGCGATGAAAAGCATAAGGGAATAGTTGAGTGACATTAAGGAAAATAGGAGTTCCAGAAAGAGAAAAATGAGAGATTGGGTTAAGACACTAATTAAATAATAGAGAAAAACTTCCCTATGTGTTAAAGAAAGACCAGTTAAAAGGACTTTACAAGTTCTGGTCAGGATTTACAAGAAAATGATTCACACCTTAGTAAGGTAAAAATTCCAAATTTCAGGCATGAATATAAAATATTAGAAACTTCTATTTAGAAAGAACAAGTACATTATGAACGCAGATGGATCAAACTGGAATCAGGCTGCTCATCTCCCACTTTGGGCCACAATAGAATGAAAGTCAACAGCAGAATCATATCATAGTAAAATAACACCCACAAGATCTCAATCCTGGCTGCATGTTCGAATCAGCTGAGCAGCTTTAGAAATGCTGCTGCTGGGCTCCACCCCAGATGAATTAAATCAAAATCTCTGGGGGTGGGGCTAATAATTGGCATTTTTTAACTCCCCAGGCATTTCTAATAAGCAACTAACATTGCAACTAACATTGAGATGTTATCTATAGACTACTGGGAGGAAAAATCCTACGTCCAGCCAAGCTAGCCTTCATCTGTCAAGGTGAAGTAAAGATTATTTACAGATATACACATTTTAGAAAATGTATTTATCCAATCTGAGAAAATAGAAAAGAGAGCAGATAAATTAGAATAGTCAAGATGGAGAAAGACAAAGAGCAAATAGAAGAAGCAATGGTAAGCAAAGGGCTATATATAATGTCTGATGACATCTAAATAGACATAATAGAAATGATGATCGAAGCCTAGGAGTTTACTGTAAGCCACCAAAATCAGGGTTCTTAAAATAGAAGAGACAAATTTTGTGGGGAGATTCAAATAATAGTTTAGAATTGAAAGGGTCAAGTTACTTCAGTAAAATTTAAAAGTTGGCTTAGGCTCATGATGAGAAAGTAGAAGTAAAAGGATTCCCTAGAGGTAGAAGTGGGGGTATAGTTACAGTATTCTAAAGTTCTCATCTTGTGGGTGGGACATCACTGGGGAATAGAGCATTTTGGTGGAGAAAATACTTGGTATCATAGTTTCATATACATTATAGAATGTTTTTGTTGCTGTTTTTAAGACAGGGTCTCAGTCTGTAACCCAGGCTGGAGTGCAGTGGTGTAATCATAGCTCATTGCAGCCTCCATTGCCTGGCTCAAGCAATCCTCCCACCTTAGCCTCACAGGTAGCTGAGACTACAGGCACGCACCATCATACCTGCCTAATTTTTAAAAATGTTTCTTGTAGAGACAGGATATTGCTATGTTGTCCAGACTGTTCTCAAATTCCTGGGCTCAGATGATCCTCTTGTTTTGGTCTCTCAAAATCTTAGGATTACAAGTATGATCCACAGCACCTGGCAGGGTCTTATTTTTTTTTTTTTTAATAAGCATTAGCATCAACAATGAAAAAGTAATCATGAATTGCATGGAAAATAATATATGTCTTCCAATATAGAAATAAAAAGCAATTTGGCCAAAAGGACAAAATGAGTAAAAGGGGATTTTCAGTCCTTGATTTGCCTTCCTACTTCTTAGTGTCAATGAGAAGAGTCAAACTCTGTAAAATATTTGAAGAGATTTATTCTGAGCCAAATTTGAGGAGCATGACTTATGATACAACAGCAGGAGGTCTTGAAAACATGTTCCCCAGGTGGTTGGGCTACAGCTTGGTTTTACACCTGTTAGGGAGACATAAAACATTAGTCAATACATGTAAAGTGTAAAAATTTCATCCAGAAAGGTGAGAGAAGTCGAAGCAGGGGGCTTTCAGGTCATTGGTGGATTCAAAGATTTTCTGATTAGCAATTGGTTGAAAAAGTTAAATTATTATCTAAAGACTTGGAATAAATAGAAAGGAGTTTCTGGGTTAAGATAAGGGGTTATGGATCCCAAGGTTTTTATCATGCAGACAAAGGCTCTAGATAGCAGACTTCAGAGAGAATAGATTGTAAATGTTTCTTATCAGACCTAAAAATGTGCCAGACTCTTAGTTAATTCTCTCCTGGATCAAGAAAGACACCCAGAAGAGAAAAGAGATTTTCTACAGAATGTAGATTTTCCCCTCAAGAGACAGTTTTCTGGGCCATTTCAAAATATGTCAAAAAATATATGAACAGGTGCGGTGGCTCATGCCTGTAATCCCAGCATACTGGGAGGCCAAGGTGGGTGGATCACTTGAGGTCAGGAGTTTGAGACCAGCCTGGCCAACATGGTAAAACCTTGTCTCTACTAATAATACAAAAATTAGCTGGGTGTGGTGGCAGATGCCTATAATCCCAGCTACTTGGGAGGCCGAGGCAGGAGAATCGCTTGAAAATGGGAGGCAGAGGTTGCAGTGAGCCGAGATTGCACCACTGTACTCCAGCCTGAGAAACAGAGTGAGACTCCATCTCAAAAAATATATATATATAATATATATATGTGAAAAAAAATATATATACGTAAAATACTTTGATTTCTTTCAGGGCCTGCTGTCATGTTAGTATCTTATTGCTACAAAGAGTCTGTTTTGTCATTCTTAAGGTCTCTGTTTTAATATTAATACTGGTCAGCTGTGCCTGAGTTCTAAAGGGAGGAGGGTATAATGAGACATGTCCAACCCGTGCCTTCCTATTATAGACTGAACTACTTTTTCAGGTTAACTTTGGAATGTCCTTGCCTGAGAGGAGGGGCCCATACAGTTGGTAAGAGGGCTTACAATTTTATTTTTGGTTTACATTAGTATAGCTACTGCCTCTAAAGGTTGACTTTCTACTTGTGCAGTAGGACAAATCTCTAGCTAATTTAATGATGCATCTCCATAAATTTTCTTCTCTCTCCCGTACTATCACTATTTCACTGTCTGTTGTATCATTCCCTTCAGCATCCAGACATGCTGTTATTTCTCCCATATTAAAAACATCTTCATTCCACTTCCCCTGTGAGTTACAGCCCTGTTTATATATACTCTCTGTTTCAGATTTCTTCCCTCCTAAATTCTCTTAGTCAGGTTTTCTCTAACTTAGTCAGGTTAACTCTACTAGGATCTTTGGCTAAATTTCCATATTGCTAAATTCAGTATTCAACTCACTGTCTACATCTTAAATCTTTCAGCAACACTTAACATAAGGAATTATCCTCTTCATTGCCCTCTTAACAGAAGCGATTACCTTCTTCAAGACACCCTTCCTTCACTTGTCTTCCAGGGCACCACACAACTTTGGTTTTCCTCCTCTCTCAACGGGAGTTCCTTAATAGTCCATTTGCTGGTTCTTTGTCTTTGCCCAACCACTTATCCTGAAGTGTTCCCAAGTTCATCCACCTCTTCTCTACCTATACTCATTCTTTTGGTGATCTCATTCCTTCTAATCACTACTGATTCTCAAATTTATGTCTCTGGCCGAATCTGTAATCCAAAGCCAAATGCTAACTTAACATCCATATAGGTTGTGTAATAGACATCACAAATCAACATGTCGAAAACGAAACCAGTAATACTTCTTTCTCTATGTGCAGCTTTCTCCATCTGCTTTTTGTCAGCTCATCCTTTCCGTTGTTTTTGCCAAGTAAGTCTTCTGACCTTATCTCTTTTTACTCATCCCCTTGCTCAGTTTTTTCAGTGATGCCAGCACTGTGTAATTTTGCAGTTTTGTTATTCATGTCATCTTGGGTCTTTTGCTAAGCTATTTTCTCCTCCAGGACCACCCTTCTCCCAGATATCTATCTCTGTTACCAGTTTTGAGACTTTGCTCAAATATCTCATTTATAATGAGGCCTACACTGAATACCTTATTTAAAAATATATCCTGCCCTTTTCATCACAGAATTTTTAACCATCCTTACCCTACACTATATTTTCATGACATTATATTACTATGGAACATATCAGCACATAACATATTATATGATTTACAATTTTATTATGTTTACTATTTGCCTCCTTTCATTAGAATTTGCATTCCTCAAGGCCATGGATCTTTATTTGGTTTCACTACAGTATTTGTTCCAGGAGTCTAGAACACTGCCTAGTACCAAATAGTGCTTAATAGATATTTACTTACAAATCATTGGGGTATATTTGTAGCTAAGTAGCATGAAAAAGAAAGATTCATGGGATATAACCAGAACCTAATTTTATTTCAATCTTTTAATATTTTTTTTAAATCAACGAATTCTGGGAAATCATTCTCATATCCCTGCAGGAAAACTTATACATTCTCCATAAGGTCACTTTAAGGCAAACATAGTCTCAAATTTATGATATTATTGATACTTGTCTTAGCAGGCATGAGCTATAGGACAGAGCCTGCATCTGTGGCTGGCTGCTTCTTGCTTGCCTCATTTTATTTCTTATTAGGTGGCTGCTTCTACTAACCTATCCAGGTAGCTCCATGGGAATGGGGAAAAGAATGGCAGAAGAAAGTTCATACTTAACAGATACTGTCGTAGGGTAGCTTTGTGCTCTCTGGGCCTGGTAGATGTATAAATCTGGCTCTTTCTCTCTAGAGCACTTTGATGGGCTTTGCAGGAGCTTCTCTGCGATCTCCTTAGACAACATCTTACTTTTCAAGGGAGAGGCATTCTCTTCTACTATCTGGCCTTTACTACCATTCACAAGTTTTATATTGGTTTACAGGAGACTGTTGGAAAGCCACTGCCTTTTCAAGAACTCACTGACAGAAGCCAAAACAACAAGTCTACCCTCTCTTCTGTAGTTTTCACATGTACCTTGTGCTCTGTTCACCATTGGAGGGGACCACAGTGGCTTCCCAGAAGCTGCGCTCTTTGCTGCCCCAGGCTACTTTTAGTTTCCTTCAGCATGAGTCACACACCAGTCCCCTTCATTGCTCAACTTCAGAGAACACATATGATGCTCCCTGCATGCTGCTGTTTTAGTCATAATCTGGAGTTATGAGATGGTCTTCTGTCACCTCATGCCATTCTTTTGCAAAAGGAATTTCTTTGTTAACCATCTCCCAATTTCTACACACTTTACTTTGTATAGACTACTTGTTGATTTTTAGGGCCATATTATATTAGTCCTTTTAACTTTGAAATTTCCTCAGGATATCTATCCTTCATCTTGAAGTTTTATATCTATTGTATTTTGGTATCCCAGATAAAACTTTTGATTTACCATCTTTTTAATATACATCTGTGTGTGTGTGTATACGTACACATATATATATATATATAAAATATATGTACATATAGCATTTTGATAACATATTTATACAGCTGGTGAAATTTGTAGATAAGCTTGGTTTGTTGTTTACATAAGTTATCATGAGTGAGATGAGAATTGGGGGATGATGCAGGCAGAGGAATGAGAAAAATGAAAGGTAGAGGGGAATATAAGAAAAAATAAAGTATGGCCCTAAAATGCCCTAGCACCTTATACCATTGTCTTTATAAACTCTGTGTATGTGTGTGTTTCTTTATATGTTCATTATAATATTTATATATATTTAGGGAAAGATGTCTTAAGTCAAAAATAGATTCAGAGTACTGTTTGTAATGTGATTCTATTTAGTTAAAACAAAAGAAGAAATTTAGAAATGTATACAGTTGTATGTATGCATGTGTTGGTAAGGAACAACTTGTGGGAGGAGTCATATAAGGTTGATAAATATTAACATTGATGGCCTCAGGAAAGTGGAATAGGAGGTAGGGAATCAGAGGAATAGGAGGTACAATATCTTTCTAATTTTTCACTTGCTACAAGTAGCACATCTTATAACTTTGTGAATTTTTAAAAATCAGTGTGGCATTGCCCTTCTAACATTCTGGGAAGGCAGATGAGGAAATCACCTGTAAAATGTTACCCGGTAGAAAAACACCTGCTGAGTATGAAGGTGGAAATAGTGAATTTTGGGATATGAGTAGAATGGGAAAAGCTGGAAATAACAGCAGTGGGATTTCTAATACGGACTATACTGGAATTACCAAATTGATTTTAGAAGCGAAAAGACTAAGGTGAAAATGAATAGAATGAACCTTTACAAAATTATCAGTTTAAACTAAAGCCTTTTGTTTATTAGTGACAAATAACTTTGGACTAATAATTTTGAACACAATACAAAAACAAAACAAACTGTAGATTATTACCAGGTTGGATTTGGTAGGTTGGGTAGGTAAAGAAGTTAACAGATCATAGGCTGTTGATGAAAGTATGGTTGACTTAGTTAGGGCACAGGCAGAGTAGAGACAAGAAAAGTATAAGTGAAAATGATAAGCTAGGAAAAGAGAAAAAATCAAGGAGCTGGAATACTCAAAGGTGATAGGGAATGTGTTTAATGAGAATGAGAGAACAAAATGGAGAGAAATAGGATTACCTTATATACAAGTGTGCCTGAGATAATCCCAGTAAAATTAATAATATGGTTTTACTTTACTCTCAGAATTGTCCTTTTGTGAATGATAATTTAAATGAGTTCATCAGGGGGTGGGAAGGGAAAGAAAGACTATTGAGTATAGTGATTAACACAGGAGGCAGGAGATATCTCACCTTCTTGAAAGTGAGGGATCTCAGCTCACAGTGTCTACTTTGGAGCAAAGCAATTAACTACATAAACAGTGATTTACACTATCTTTTGTGCAATGAAGACTCACAGATGAGATAAGTATATGGTTATTTAAGACCATATTTTTCAAACTCTGAGACTACCTTCAAAGTTTAACTGAAAGTTTTGGGAATTTTCTTAGGCATTTATTAAGCAGAGCAATGAGTCCCTTCATAGATTTCTGAACCATCTGGGGAGGGGATCTGCATTCTGACTCCTGTCAATAAGCATCTCTTTACCTTGTTATCCTTTGCTTATGTGTCTTTCAAAACACTGCCTTTGCCTCTGCCTTCCAGTTGTGCCTTCACACACTATATATCTGGATGCTGTAGTCCACAATGTGTGATGACTTCAGCCTTGTGGATGGGTAAAGAATCAAGTACTTGATTTTAAACCAACTAAATGTTGTAGTAAACTTTTGAGTCAGATTAACCAGGGTTAGAATTTTAACTGACATTTACTAACTTCATACAATTACACAAATTGCTTGAATCTTTCTGTTTCAAAAACTTGACACTCTGTAAGTATCTACTTTTCAGAATGTTTCTAAGCAATAGAGGATACATGCAAATTAATTAGCACAGTGGCAAGCATAGGATAAGTGTGAAAAAATGTTAGTTTCTTACTTCTCCTTTGCATGTATTTATAAGTATTTATTCTTCAACAAATTGTGTTCCTTTACTTAGCATCCTCATTGTTTCCTATGTAGTAATGGGTAAATGAATGCCTAACACCAGAACCTATCACCACTGTAACATTTTTGAGATAAAAATCATGCACAAGAAAAAGTTATCACAGAAACAGGGAAAATAGGCTCATCACTCCACATTTCACATATTTGATTTCAAAGTAAAATTTCAAACTGACATTGCAACATTTTTATCTTGCCTCTTACTTTCAGAAAATAATTCATTTAAATTTGTTTTAGATTGTTAGTTTTAAATGGATACAAAGAGAGACAAATTATAAGTTTAATTTTTTTCAGACACTTAAGAGAGTAGTATTTGTTTATTATTCTTAGAGCCTTTACATTGTTAAAGTTTAGGGGGAAACTAAAGGACGCGCTTCATTCTAGTTTACCAATGTGTTAGTTTTTTTATTACTGTGTAGCAAATTACCAGAGACTTAGTTGCATAAAACAATACCCATTTATTATGTCATCGTTTCTGAACATCAGAAGCCTGGGTGTGGAGTAGCTTGCCTCTCACAATCTCACAAAACAATCAAAGTATTAGGTAGGCTGTTTATCCTTTGAAGTTCAGAATCCTATTCCAAGCTGATTCAGGTTATTGACAGAATTGGCTTCCTTGCAGATGTGTGTTTAGGTCCTCACTTTCTTGCTAGCTATTGCCTGGGGACTGTTCTCAGCAACTAGTGACTGCGTCAGGTCACTGCTACATAGTCCCATCCACTCCCAACATGGAAGTTATTTGCTCTTCAGGGTCAGCCAGAAAATCTTTTCATTCTTCATATTTCTTCCCACAAGAAGGCACAGTCCCTTTTAAAGTCTCACTTGTTTAGGCCAGACCTACCCGGGATATTTTCCCTTTTGATTATCTCAAAGCAATTGATTAGAGACCTTATTTTATCTGCAAATGTTTTCATCTTTTTAGTATACCATGATCCATTTGCCATATAACTTGCTAATCATCAGAGTGAATTCCATTATGTTCACTGTGCTTCCTACAGTCAAGGGATGAGATGGGGAGTGTTATACAGGGAATATACACCAGCGGATGGAATCTTGGGTGCTATCGCAGAACCCTGCCTGCTATAATCAGATTCAGGGTAGTATCATATTCATACTGTTTTTGTAGTGAGTTTGGATTGTATAATGTGGAAAAATCAAATTGAATGTATGTGATGTGATTATATTGTACTTCTTTCACCTTTTATCATTTTAATCATTCACAATTAAAAGGATGTTTTTCTTTTTCTTTAACACTTACATAGAAACAATATTTTTAATGTTCACTCCATTTACAATTTAGAGTAAGAAAAATGTCCTGTGGGAGCTTATTACTTTTGGTCATGGTTCTCTTGTTTTATTGTAGAATATTTAAGAATAGCAAAATCATTGCCATTTATTTTTCAGACATAAAAACATAAAAGGGACTTTGTGTGTATGACATAAATTAAAAGTCTACAATTTCATATAATAGGCAGTATCCTATTAGATGAGTAGTGTATTACATGAAAATACTTTTTAATTCTTAGCATTCTTAATTATTGCAACGATCTCCTTTCTCTTTACTATTTCTGTGTAGTTTAAGTTAGTTATCTGCTAAATTTTAGGTAATCCTTTCAACTATATTATTTCTCTAATATTTAACTTTTAAAATACAATGAGAATAAAATGATTATAATAAGTATTAAACTAAAAAAAAAGGTTAGAAAAAGATGAGTTAGAAAAAGTACTATTAAAATGTCAAAACATTCCAATAAATACTCTGGGCCCTACTGCTAATAATATACCTGCAAAATAAAACTATGTTTTTCTATGAAGATCATCTGTAGTATTGTTAAAGAGAAGTCAGGTAGTAGACTCTCTCTTTATTTTGAATTTATTTACAAAGGGCATATTTTTCCTTTGAAAAAACTAGAATTATCTGGAAAGATTTAGGTTTATGGAAGGTTGTTTTACATGTCAGGGGGTCCTAATAACTTATTCCTGCCCCGCCCAGCGCCGCCCAGCACCGCCCCCACCCCAACCAACCAAAAGCATAGCTGGAGAGAAGGGTTTGTATGTAGTTACTTTTGCTAAGAGATTCCCAAGAACTGGAGGGGATGAATGAAAAGAGTTCAACAGGGAAAGTGGGAAAGCCAACCCAAGAGCATGATATTGAGCTGGTCACCACTGTGGACAACTGTGAACTGATCACACTGTAGACCTTCTAAGGACCTGTGTATAAGACACATCCAAATTGTCTGCCAAAGGGATAAAGTACTATTCATTTGAATAGCTCTATTCATTGAATAGGCTATTCATTTGAATATTCACTAACTCTCATTCACAGTCAGTCAAGTTGCTTCACAGAGTATAAATTTCCTTGCAGTCTCTGATTGGTGTCTGTGTCAGAATGGCAGAACAAGTTCTTGCACACATCTGACATGCTGGTGGCAGAGAAACTCTGGGGCAGAAAGTGAGCAACTTCTAGCACAGCTGAGGAGAGACAGCATGAAGTTACACTTGCTTGCATGTGACTAGAGATTGCTGGAACAAAACACTGAGTTGAAGGATTTTGATGTGAGGAACAAA
Source organism: Homo sapiens (assembly GCF_000001405.40). Classification (NCBI taxonomy): domain Eukaryota; kingdom Metazoa; phylum Chordata; class Mammalia; order Primates; family Hominidae; genus Homo; species Homo sapiens. The sequence goes on along the minus strand of NC_000007.14, from coordinate 20,078,987 downwards.
AGATGTCTGATACAGTCCACCATTCCTCCCACTAGCAGCAAGTCCTTGAATAATGTTGTTTCCCTCAACACCATTTCACTATAACGTTGATGAGAAAAAAATGTTTCTTTATCTGTTGTTTAACTTAAAGTCATAGTTTCCAATAACCTATCGACTTTATTAAGTGTGGACTTAGTGTAATCAAAGGAGCTTCTAGGCCTCATTCATGACATGACCACTCTCACATCAGAGACTGGTCAGTGTGGCATTTCCATGGTGCTCAATCCTGAATGCATTCATCACAGAGCAATTTGACAGCTGTACAAGTAGTGGAATAAAATTCTGCGAAGTTGGTTGGTGTTTATTTTTGCTACTACATTGCCATGATCTCACCGGAGACATTAAATAAGGAAAGCGCTAATTATTTAATTAACTGCAGCTGCTGATGTTGAGTCACCTACCATTTCTGCATAAATCAAAGGAAAATATACTCTTTTACTAGATAAATGTTTATGTAATTTACTCAATAATTTTCAGTAAAATTTTAGAAAGTGTTCACTGTGTACCAACAGCTACAAGCTAATATGTGGGGACAGAGCAGTGAATCAGAGAGATGGGATCCATGCTCTCTGGGAGGTGATAATCTGGTCATGGAAGAAGGAGCCTCATGCATGTGATTAGATGATAGTTTCCAATGTGGGTGATGTTGTTCCTGTAAGTGGGTGTGGTGCCCGTATAACAATTTATTCTGCATGTAAAACAGTTTTTCTTATTTCTTTTCTTATTCACCATTTATTTGTCTTTTTGCTGTACTTTCTGGGAAGATTTCTTCAGTTTCATTTTCCAGCTATCCATCTCCTATTTACTTTTTGTTTCTACTGACATATTTTTTTAATTCCCCAGAATTCTAATTTGTCTATTTTGTTTAACCTGAAGCAATTTAAGCAATGTCTTCTCAGATCTCTGCATATAGAAATGATATGAATCTTTACTGTCCTCCATAGTCTGTTTCTTCCAATGTGTTTTTGACCCTTTTTGATTGCCATAGCACTGTATTTCCACATCAAAGGCATTTCTTTCAAATAGAAGGGATAAGTTCAAGAGATCTATTGAATAGCATGTTGAATATAGTTAATGGTGATGTACTGTATTCTTGAAAAATGCTGAGGGTGGATATTAAGTGTTCTTGACAAAAAAAACTATATAACTAAAAATAACCATATGAAGTAACAAATTTCTTTATTAGCTGGATTGAACCATTCCACAATGCATATATATACAGTTGTGTGCCACATAACACTTCAGTCAACAATGGACTATATGCATAATGTTTTTTCCATAAGATTACAATGTAATAGTTCTACAGTACTCGTCTATGTTTAAATATGTTTAGATACACAAATAATTACTATTGTGTTACAGTTGCCTATAACATTCAGTACAATAACATGCTGTACAGCTTTGTAGCCTAGGAGCAATAGACTCTACCACATAGCCTGGCTCTACCACCTTGGTTTGTGTAAGTACATACTATGATTATTCAATGACAAAATCACCTAACCATGAATTTCTCTGTCCTTAAATGACTCGTGACTAAACTTCAAAGATCATATTGTACACAATAAATACATATGATTTTATGTCAATTTAATACAGTTAAAAATGGTATTCTGCTCAAGGATAAGAGTGGGGGACAAAAAGTTGATTGCAATTTCTGTATAATTTAAAATTCTCTTTTGGTTTGTTTGGGCTATTTTTGAGGAACCCTTAAGATAAACATCTTGAAACAGTGAGATTGCTTAGGGTTGTGAGTTCCAGAATTCTGGCAGCCAACTGAAAGAGAAGGGCTGGGAGTGGCTTCATATTCAGTGTTTCAAATGTTAATGGTGACTTAATCTCCCAATTTCAGTAATGTATTCTCCAAAATCTTCCTGGAGCCACAGTACAAAGACATTTTCTGTCTGGGCCAGAGACTAAACCTGCAGACTTGTGCTGGGGATGGTGGGGGCGGGGGATTTCTTGGAGATGTGGCATGGGAGAGGGATCCAGCTTCCCAGTGTTCACTCTATCCTTGGAGTCTTTACCATCTCTCACCCTTCCTGCTGCTCTCGCTGTACTTCTTAAAATATAAATTGTCAGTTTTTTGTTTATGCTACTGCCAACTTTAACTTTGGCCTTCTTGGGTATGCTAAGCTAGTTATCCCTGTGTGAATTAGGAAAAAGGGTTCTCCACAGGGGGACGCATGTCTTACTTGATGAGGGCAAAGCAAAGAGCTGGATTTTGTCTCCCACTGGCTTCCATCCCAGCCTCTGACATATACCGTGGCCATGGTCACCATGGGTCCATCTGCTGTTTATCTCATCCGTGTGAGTTTTTGCTTTTTTATGAAATCTTTTTGCAATAGCTTACATTTATGAAGAAAGCTAAATTATGCATATTTATGTAATCTACCATCATAACCCAGAAATGGTATTTAGAAATTTTTAAAAGCCAGATAAATACAATGTTCTGCAATCATTTTCTTGACAGATTTCTTTAGAAATCTGTATTTATCCCTGTGGCTAAATAGAATTATCTGCTTAGAATTCTTAAGACAGATCATGTAGCAACTGAGATCAGAATATTGCTAAATAAGCAACCCTGAAGAACATACCATTTGCAAAGCAAATTCAAAACCACATACTTGGCTTGAATAAGATAATATTAAAGCTTAGATGTCAGCTAGAATAAGCTTGATATTTAAAACTAATTAAAGAGTTGTGCAAATTGCACATAAATACATTACTCAGCATATCCTGCATCATTCAGTAACTGAAGAACATTATTCATCTCACTTAGTGACCTCTCATTCAAGGGTGAAAACAGAGATTACTTTATTCTCAATGATGGAAGCCAGGAGCTATTTATTCAAACTAAGATTCCCTACACTCTAGCTTTTTTAATGGGTGGGAAATTAATAAAATCACAAGAGACTTTGCACTTTTTCTCTTTGCCACGTAGGTAGGGAAAGGAATGCATGGCACGGATCTTTATCAGAGTCTCGCAATGTGCTTTAGACAAAAAAGCTTTATAAGAAACATTTTTTTTCTTCTGGGGATTAGAGAATACTTTGGTGACCAACGCCTCTGCCCATAACATCTATGCAGCCTTACCTTTGCCCACCTCTATAGTGGTCAACTCTAACCCTCATAAATAAAGTTAAGTTGAGATAGAGTAATCCATCCAAGCACTACAGTGCTCAGTGAGAGAGTCTAACGAGAGACTTGCCCATTTGTGTTCCTCAAACTCTACAGGCCGTGTTCTCAACGCAGTAATATCTCCAACCAAATAAAATCTTCTGAAGTATAATTCATAATTGCATCACTTTCTCCTTAAAGCCTTCTGGTGTTCCTCATGATCTGCCTATTAAAGTCTATAATTTATTAGCCTGGCTTCTAAAGCTCTCACAATGTGCCTTTGGTATAATTTTACCATGTACAGTCTATATTTGCACCAAGTCGAATGGCTTGCTGTTTTTCTAAAAATGTAAAATTTTCTTATTCCATAGGTTTGCACGTACCAATATTTCAGTTTGGAAACTGTTTCTTCCCCTTCTCCATTCCATAGACATTCTCTATGTCTGTTACATGTTATCCATCAATTAAGTTCCAGCTTAAGGGCCACTAACTTCACTCAATCTGACTTCAGAAACTTTACAAAATTAAATTTGATGTTATATTAGATAGATAATCAATACACATACACACATACATAGATGAGATATATATACATATATACATAGATGAGATATATATTTCTTACTCAATTTCAGTCAATTTAGACAAATTTCGCCCCCTCCCCACCACCCACACTGCTTTTTAAACATGATCTCCAGTTCTGGAACAGGAGCTTGGCAAATAATAGTGAATAATTCTTTCCTGAAAGAGTGTCATACTGAGCCCTTTAGACATTTTTTTGTGGGGCAGTAAAATTGTAATAGATTCTACTTGGATAGAGAGAAGACATTTGTTTTAAGAAATAAATTTTGTGGCTTTTGTCATTCAGAGTTGTAGGTGGGCATCTACATTGCATCTTCATGATGGGTATGAGATCTATTATTGTGGTTTGGTTAGACTTCTTTTGTGCCTCAGCATCAGGCCAATTTTCATAAATATTGCACGTGTGTTTGAAAATGATGTGCTCTCTCGTTTTTGGAAATGAGTTTGTTCAACAAATACTTTCTTGAAGAGCTAATATACGGTGGGCACTGTTCTGAATAGTAAGAAGGATAGTGTCATACAAGTCTTCATGGAATCTACTAGTTAAGGGGTAGGGAAATAAGCAAATAAACATGTAGTGTTATATTACATCATGTTAAATGCTAAAAAAAACCATAACCAAGATTTATGGAAGGTGTTCACCGAAGGCTTTTCTGAAGAGATCTTTTAGAATAAATTTAAATACAATGACAGAGCAAGCTATGTGATTGCACCCATTATTTGGGTGAATATCCTTTCAGGCAGAGGGAACAAATGGAACAATGGCCCTGCAGTGAGAATAAGCTTGCAATATGTGTCTGGAAGTGATTAATCAAGAGGGAGATTAGGAGGGGTCAGAGAGAGAAGTGTGAGATCATATGTGCCTTTGTAGGCTGTGGAAAATAATTGGGATTTTACTCTGAATGAGATGGAAGCCATTAGATGTTTGAGCAGGGATGTGGTGTGACTTAAGCATAGGGCCCAGGATGGTGGGAGATTAGTTGGAAGGCTATTTCAGTCCTTTAAATGAAATATGTTGAGGTCTTGGATGTAAGGAGAAGACATTGAAGGTGGAGAGAAGTTTCCATATTCAGCAGACATTTAGAAGGTAGGGATAAGCAGACTTACTCTGATGACTGAATATGGATATGCAGGACCTGGAGGAGTAAAGCATGACTAAGAGTTGGGGCCTGAATACCTTGAAAATGGTGCTGCCATTTAACGAACTAGAGAAAACTGGGGAAGAGGCCAGCTGCTGCCGAAAAATTTGCTGTCCAACCCTTCATTTTTTTTTTTTTTTTTTTTTGCTTTTTTGCTTTTTTTTTTTTTTTTTATTATACTTAAAGTTTTAGGGTACATGTGCACAATGTGTAGGTTAGTTACATATGTATACATGTGCCATGCTGGTGCGCTGCACCCACTAACTCGTCATCTAGCATTAGGTATATCTCCCAATGCTATCCCTCCCCCCTCCCCCTACCCCACAACAGTCCCCAGAGTGTGATGTTCCCCTTCCTGTGTCCATGTGTTCTCATTGTTCAATTCCCACCTATGAGTGAGAATATGCGGTGTTTGGTTTTTTGTTCTTGCAATAGTTTACTGAGAGTGATGATTTCCAATTTCATCCATGTCCCTACAAAGGACATGAACTCATCATTTTTTATGGCTGCATAGTATTCCATGGTGTATATATGCCACATTTTCTTAATCCAGTCTATCATTGTTGGACATTCGGGTTGGTTCCAAGTCTTTGCTATTGTGAATAGTGCTGCAATAAACATACGTGTGCATGTGTCTTTATAGCAGCATGATTTATAGTCCTTTGGGTATATACCCAGTAATGGGATGTCTGGGTCAAATGGTATTTCTAGTTCTAGATCCCTGAGGAATCGCCACACTGACTTCCACAATGGTTGAACTAGTTTACAGTCCCACCAACAGTGTAAAAGTGTTCCTATTTCTCCACATCCTCTCCAGCACCTGTTGTTTCCTGACTTTTTAATGATCGCCATTCTAACTGGTGTGAGATGATATCTCATTGTGGTTTTGATTTGCATTTCTCTGATGGCCAGTGATGGTGAGTATTTTTTCATGTGTTTTTTGGCTGCATAAATGTCTTCTTTTGAGAAGTGTCTGTTCATGTCCTTTGCCCACTTTTTGATGGGGTTGTTTGTTTTTTTCTTGTGAATTTATTTGAGTTCTTTGTAGATTCTGGAAATTAGCCCTTTGTCAGATGAGTAGATTGCAAAAATTGTCTCCCATTCTGTAGGTTGCCTGTTTACTCTCATGGTAGTTTCTTTTGCTGTGCAGAAGCTCTTTAGTTTAATTAGATCTCATTTGTCAATTTTGGCTTTTGTTGCCATTGCTTTTGGTGTTTTAGACATGAAGCCCTTGTCCATGCCTATGTCCTGAATGGTATTGCCTAGGTTTTCTTCTAGGGTTTTTATGGTTTTAGGTCTAACATTTAAGTCTTTAAGCCATCTTGAATTAATTTTTGTATAAGGTGTAAGGAAGGGATCCAGTTTCAGCTTTCTACATATGGTTAGTCAGTTTTTCCAGCATCATTTATTAAACAGGGACTCCTTAGCCCATTTCTTGTTTTTGTCAGGTTTGTCAAAGATCAGATGGTTGTAGATGTGTGGTATTATTTCTGAGGGCTCTGTTCTGTTCCGTTGGACTATGTCTCTGTTTTGGTACCAGTACCATGCTGTTTAGGATACTGTAGACTTGTAGTATAGTTTGAAGTCAGGTAGCGTGATGCCTGCAGCCTTATTCTTTTGGCTTAGGATTGTCTTGGTGATGTGGGCCCTTTTTTGGTTCCATATGAACTTTAAAGTAGTTTTTTCCAATTCTGTGAAGAAAGTCATTGGTAGCTTGATGGGGATGGCACTGAATCTATAAGTTACCTTGGGCCATATGGCCATTTTCATGATATTGATTCTTCCTATCCATGAGCATGGAATGTTCTTCCATTTGTTTGAGTACTCTTTTATTTCATTGAGCAGTGGTTTGTAGTTCTCCTTGAAGAGGTCCTTCACATCCCTTGTAAGTTGGATTCCTAGGTATTTTATTTTCTTTGAAGCAATTGTGAATGGGAGTTCACTCATGATTTGGCTCTCTATTTGTCTGTTATTGGTGTATAAGAATGCTTGTGGTTTTTGCACACTGATTTTGTGTCTTGAGACTTTGCTGAAGTTGCTTATCAGTTTAAGGAGATTTTGGGCTGAGATGAGGGGGTTTTCTAAACACACAATCGTGTCATCAGCCAACAGGAACAATTTGATTTCCTCTTTTCCTAATTGAATACCCTTTATTTCTTTCTCCTGCCTGATTGCCCTGGCCAGAAATTCCAACACTATGTTGAATAGGAGTGGTGAGAGAGGGCATCCTTGTCTTGTGCCAGTTTTCAAAGGGAATGCTTCCAGTTTTTGCCCATTCACTATGATATTGGCTGTGGGTTTGTCATAAATAGCTCATTATTTTGAGATACGTCCCATCAATACCTAATTTATGGAGAGTTTTTAGCATGAAGCACTGTTGAATTTTCTCAAAGGTCTTTTCTGCATCTGTTGAGATAATCATGTGGTTTTTGTCTTTGGTTCTGTTTATATGATGGATTATGTTTATTGATTTGCATATGTTGAACCAGCCTTGCATCACAGGAATGAAGCCCACTTCATCATGGTGGATAAGCTTTTTGATGTGCTGCTGGATTTGGTTTGCCAGTATTTTACTGAGGATTTTTGTATCGATGTTCTTCAGGGATATTGGTCTAAAATCCTCTTTTTTTGTTGTGTCTCTGCCAGGCTTTGGTATCAGGATGATGCTGGCCTCATAAAATGAGTTAGGGAGGATTCCATCTTTTTCTATTGATTGGAATAGTTTCAGAAGGAATGGTACCAGCTCCTCTTTGTAACTCTGGTAGAATTTGGCTGTGAATCCATCTGTTCCTGGACTTTTTTGGGTTCGTAGGCTATTAATTATTGCCTCAATTTCAGAGCCTGTTATTGGCCTATGCAGGGATTCAACTTCTTCCTGGTTTAGTCTTGTGAGGGTGTATGTGTCCAGGAATTTATCCATTTCTTCTAGATTTTCTAGTTTATTTGCATAGACGTGTTTATAGTATTCTCTGATGGTAGTTTGTATTTCTGTGGGATCAGTGGTGATATCCCCTTTATCATTTTTTATTCTGTCTATTTGATTCTTCTCTTTTCTTCTTTATTAGTCTTGCTAGTGGTCTATCAATTTTGTTGATCTTTTCAAAAAACCAGCTCCTGGATTCCTTGATTTTTTGAAGGGTTTTTTGTGTCTCTATCTCCGTCAGTTCTTCTCTGATCTTAGTTATTTCTTGCTTTCTGCTAGCTTTTGAACGTGTTTGCTCTTGCTTCTCTAGTTCTTTTAATTGTGATGTTAGGGTGTCAATTTTAGATCTTTCCTGCTTTCTCTTGTGGGCATTTAGTGCTATAAATTTCCCTTTACATGCTGCTTTAAATGTGTCCCAGAGATTCTGGTATGTTGTGTCTTTGTTCTCATTCATTTCAAAGAACATCTTTATGTCTGCCTTCATTTCGTTATGTACCCAGTAGTTGTTCAGGAGCAGGTTGTTCAGTTTCCATGTAGTTGAGTGGTTTTGAGTGAATTTCTTAATCCTGAGTTCTAGTTTGATTGCACTGTGGTCTGAGAGACAGTTTGTTATAATTTCTGTTCTTTTACATTTGCTAAGGAGTGCTTTACTTCCAACTAAGTGGTCAATTTTGGAATAAGTGTGATGTGGTGCTGAGAAAAATGTATATTCTGAAAATGTATATTCTGTTGACTTGGGGTAGAGAGTTCTGTAGATGTCTATTAGGTCCGCTTGGTGCAGAGCTGTGTTTAATTCCTGGATATCCTTGTAAACTTTCTGTCTTGTTGATCTGTCTAATGTTGACAGTGGGGTGTTAAAGTCTCCCATTATTATTGTGTGGGAGTCTAAGTCTCTTTGTAGGTCTTTATGAATCTGGGTGCTCCTGTATTGGGTGCATATATATTTAGGATAGTTAGCTCTTCTTGTTGAATTGATCCCTTTACGCTTATGTAATGGCCTTCTTTGTCTCTTTTGATCTTTATTGGTTTAAAGTCTGTTTTATCAGAGACTAGGATTCAACCCCTGCCTTTTTTTTGTTTTCCATTTGCTTGGTAGATCTTCCTCCATCCCTTTATTTTGAGCCTATGTGTGTCTCTGCGTGTGAGATGGGTCTCCTGAATACAGCACACTGATAGGTCTTGCCTCTTTATCCAATTTGCCAGTCTGTGTCTTTTAATTGGAGCATTTAGCCCATTTACATTTAAGGTTAATGTTGTTATGTGTGAATTTGATCCTGTCATTGTGATGTTAACTGGTTATTTTGCTTGTTAGTTGATGCAGTTTCTTGCTAGCATCAATGGTCTTTACAATTTGGCATGTTTTTGCAGTGGCTGGTACCAGTTGTTCCTTTCCATGTTTAGTCCTTCCTTCAAGAGCTCTTGTAGGGCAGGCCTGGTGGTGACAAAGGCTCTCAGCATTTGCTTGTCTGTAAAGGATTTTATTTCTCCTTCACTTATGAAGCTTAGTTTGGCTGCATATGAAATTCTGGGTTGAAAATTCTTTTCTTTAAGAATGTTGAATAATTGGCCCCCACTCTCTTCTGGCCTGTAGAGTTTCTGCTGAAAGATCCGCTGTTAGTCTGATGGGCTTCCCTTTGTGGGTAACCTGACCTTTGTCTCTGGCTGCCCTTAACATTTTTTCCTTCATTTCAACATTGGTGAATCTGACAATTATGTGTCTTGGAGTTGCTCTTCTCGAGGAGTATCTTTGTGGCGTTCTCTGTATTTCTTGCATTTGAATGTTAGCCTGCCTTGCCAGGTTGGGAAAGTTCTCCTGGATAATATCCTGCAGAGTGTTTTCCAACTTGGTTCCATTCTCCCCTTCACTTTCAGGTACACCAGTCAGACGTAGATTTGGTCTATTCAGTTAGTCCCATATTTCTTGGAGGCTTTGTTCATTTCTTTTTACTCTTTTTTCTCTAAACTTCTCTTCTCGCTTCGTTTCATTCATTTGATCTTCAATCACTGATACCCTTTCTTCTTGTTGATTTAATCAGCTACTGAAGCTTGTGCATTCATGTCATAGTTCTCGTGCCATGGTTTTCAGCTCCATCAGGTCATTTAAGGGCTTTTCTACACTGGTTATTCTAGTTAGCCATTTGGCTAATCTTTTTTCAAGGTTTTTAGCTTCTTTGTGATGGGTTCGAACTTCCTCTTTTAGCTAGGAGAAGTTTGATCATCTGAAGCCTTCTTCTCTCAACTCGTCAAAGTCATTCTTCATCCAGCTTTGGTCCATTGCTGGTGAGGAGCTGGGTTCCTTTGGAGGGGGAGAGGCACTCTGATTTTTAGAATTTTCAGCTTTTCTGCTCTGTTTTTCCCCATCTTTGTGGTTTTATCTACCTTTGGTCTTTGATGATGGTGACGTACAGATGGGTTTTGGTGTGGATGTCCTTTCTGTTTGTTAGTTTTCCTTCTAACAGTCAGGAATCTCAGCTGCAGGTCTGTTGGAGTTTGCTGGAGGTCCACTCCAGACCCTGTTTGTCTGGGTATCTGCAGCGGAGGCTGCAGAACAGCGAATATTGCTGGACAGCAAATGTTGCTGCCTGATCATTCCTCTGGAAGCTTCGTCTCAGAGGAGTACCCAGCCATGTGAAGTGTCAGTCTGCCCCTATTGGAGAGTGCCTCCCAGTTAGGCTACTCAGGGGTCAGGGACCCACTTGAGGAGGCAATCTGTCCATTCTCAGATCTCAAACTCTATGCTGGGAGAACCAGTACACTCTTCAAAGGTGTCATACAGGGATATTTAAGTCTGTAGAGGTTTCTGCTGCCTTTTTTCCAGCTATGCCCTGTCCCCAGAGGTGGAGTCTAAGGAGGCAGGCAGGCCTCCTTGAGCTGCAGGGGGCTCCACCCAGTTCAAGCTTCCCAGCTGCTTTGTTTACCTACTCAAGCCTCAGCAATGGGGAGCACCCCTCTCCCAGCCTCACTGCCACCTTGCAGTTCGATCTCAGACTGCTGTGCTAGCAATGAGCAAGGCTCTGTGGGCGTGGGACCCTCTGAGCCAGGCGTGGGATATAATCTCCTGGTGTGCTGTCTTTTGAAAAGCGCAGTATTAGGGTGGGAGTGATCCTGTGTTCCATGTGCTGTCCGTCACTGCTTCCCTTGGCTAGGAAAGGGAATTCCCTGACCCCTTGCACTTCCCTGGGAGGCAATGCCACACCCTGCTTTGGCTCACACTCAGTGGGCTCCACCCACTGTCCTGCCCCCACTGTCCTGCCCTCACTGTCCGACAAGACCCTGCGCGATGAACCTGGTACCTAAGTTGGAAATGCAGAAATAACCCGTCTTCTGCGTCGCTCACGCTGGGAGCTGTAGACTGGAGCTGCTCCTATTTGGCCATCTTGGAACCGCCCCCTTAAGATTTTTAAAAGCCCTGTTGAGTAGTTGAGAGGGTCTGTGTGGAACTTTAAGTATTTCTGAGGTCTCAGCAAAGGATCTTATAGTCATAAACTTGATATGAACTTTATATTGAGGGCAAGTTTTAATGGAAATGCCCTTGCTTTGATGTTTGCCCTGTAGCCATTTTTTACTGTAATAAGTCTTTTCATGTCTGAAAAGAATAGTTTTATTCATGAAAAAAAAAAAACTAGTGCTGGCCCCTTCATATTTTCTGTAAATTCTGCTTGAAAATTGAAAAATTCTTTTTCATTCTTTTTTTTTTTTTTTTAACTTATCTTGCTGTTCTTCTGTTTCACTAGAAGAAGCTTTTTCCAGCATTCTGACTGGAAAACTTCTTAGCCAAAACCATAAGTTCCTGAAGTGCCCTTTATATAGCCCATGTTATTGCAGACAATGCTGGTTGTTTTGCCAAAATAACTTGTTTTCTTTTTTTTTCCAGCCTGTAATAATATTTCTTCACTGTACTTTAAGCTTTCACTAAGAGTCTGTGCTTGTGTCTTGTCCCAAAACTCAACAGTTGATGTCTTAGGTTTTAGTTGTCCAGCAACCCACCTCTAGGCCCAACATCAATGGTTAAAAAAGAGGATAGAAGCATGAAAGCAAAAAAAGAAATTACTGTGAAAAAATATATACACAATTCACTATATAAATTTTAAAGCCTTATAATATCAACCTCTCTCACTGTAAGTAAAGCTAAAGTCAGTAAGCTAAGATTACTTGAACCATTTAAGATGAGTCTAGAATTAGATTTAAATAAAAAATGGGAAGTGATCTTAGAAACGAAACAATATATATTAAAGTTTAAAAATGTTTGACACAATAGCTTTATTCTTTGAAATGTATGCTAAAGAAGTCAGAGGTATACTTAAATGTATTACTATGAGGATATGCATTACAATATTATACATGCTAAAAGATTAGAAAGAAAAATAAAAAACTAGGTAAAATAAGAGATTGGCTAAATAAATCATGATATTGCTGTATTAAAAATTAAGACCCAACATCATGTTTTCTGAGGCTGTTTAACATACAGAGAAAAGCTCACAAAATATCAAATAAAAAATCAAGTTTAAAAAATTGGCGATAATACAAACAAATGCATAAAAATGGAAATATATATTCAAGTATTGAGTAGTAATTTTTTCTGATTTCCTAATAATAAATAGTAATAATTTTATAATTGAAAAACCCTCAACAAATAATATATACTGTTTCTAGTGTTTTCTGGGAGTTCAGTTAATGATTTATTATAATTATCATTATCATTATTATCCTTAGAGACAGGATTTCACTCTGTCATCCAGGCTAGAGTATGGTAAAACAACCACAGCTCACGGCAGCCTTGAACTCCTGAGTTCAAGTGATCCTCCCATCTCAGCCTCCACGGTACCTGAGACTACAGATGCATAACACCACACTAGGCTAATTTTTAAGTTGTTTGTATAGAAAGGGTCTTGGTATGTTGTCCAGGCTGGTCTTGATCTCCTGATCTCAAGTAATTCTCTCGCCTTGGCCTCCAAAAGTATTGGGATTACAGGCGTGAGACTCTGTGCTCAATCCATTATTGCTTTGAAAAACGGAAGTTGTGACTCTGACTTCCTTAAAACTGGATCCATATTCGGGGTGAAGTATATCTTGGCCTCTTAGGATTTATCTGATAGGTATAGAAAGTTAGTGTTGGTCAGGCACAGGCACCCTTGGGTAATAGGAAAGTAAAAAGAAAGAGATTTGGTACCTGCTTTAGAAAACAGCTATTAGTAAATAAAAACTGAATTGTTACTTACTGTATCTCTTGTAACAAGAAATTTGTGAAAGAGCATTTGCTCTTACTAGAAAGTCTAAGGTTAATAAATATAAAGTTGAAAAGATAACATTAAAATTATAAAGAAAACTAATTTTTACTTCCTTGGAACATTGAGACAAAAAAAATAATTAATGATCATGAAGTACTTTGAAAATGTATCTACATTGTATAACATCAGACTCGGTGCTAACCTTTGGTAGAGTTCACAACAAATCAATTAATTCTTGATCATCCTGGCAGCACTGCCAAGTATCATTAGTGCTAGAAGCCATAAGCAGCCACTGAAGACCTGCCTATTTGTACTTCCTGGAAGACTTAGTTTTCAGTGTGTGGCATGGAGCTGGCCCTGACTGTACATTATAGCACAAATAATTACTCCTCAAAACTTGGCTTGCTGCAAGCAATTCATTCTTCTCTGCACAGAAGTCCCCCACTCTGACCCAGAGCAGTATGAATGTTGGCTAAAAATAGCAGCTGCACAATGCGGCAGGCAGCCATGGTGAGACTGCATTGATGTGGTTTCATACCCATGGTTTCAGAGCACTTTGCTCACACAAATTAACCCTTAAATACCCTATCTTGTTTCTCTGTTCTTTGAGATATAATGCATGTTTCTTTTTAAGAATAAACTTTGCTTTGCCTGATGGAAAATTCTTCCTTTCTCTCAGTTTATGTGTTTACTGTTTCTTGTTTCTCCGTTTTCTTTCCTTCTGCAGTTGGAGTGGGAGAGTAAGAGTGTCAGTTCTGCCACTGTCACTGCAATTTCTGATCATACTACATGCTCAAAAGAACACATTCACTAACACTGGCTATGTGCTTGTATGTGCTAGGCACTGTGGAGGATAAACATAAAACCCTCATGTCCTTATCGCGTTAACCTCAGGAAAATCAAGCGCTTAAGTAACAAACAGTGAAGCATTTGACTCCAATCTTCAGTCTCACTAAGGTGATTCGAAGATCCCTGACCTCCTCACCCTATGCTTGGTTTCAAGGATCCTCTAATGTGAAGGTCTGCTGAGTGGAATTCTGACTTAAGGACTCCACCTGCATCACTCAAGTCTCAAGTAAAGCCCTATTACAAAGGCTTCTACCACCTTTTGCTGACACATCTTCTTAGTCTTGTTGATCTTGGTTTAAGATTCACTTCACAATCATTCCAGAGGGCCTGGATTCTGTTATGCTAATTGGACCGCTGGACATTCCAGAGTTCCTACGAGGCAGAGGCTGATTAAGCCAAACTCTAACCCTCAAAAAGGAGGATGATGGACAGATGCGATCTCTGCCCTCAAGAAATTTATGATTTAACCATGCATACTAATGGTGGTGATTATAAATACAGCATCTCACGTAATTCTGTTGCCAGATTTTGCTGGATCAATGAGCAGAAAGATGGACCCTGAGTTGCAGTCTATCTTAATATTAATTGTTAACTCCTTAATGCTCACTGTGTAGCAGTGAAAATATTTAGAGCAGCATTTAGCTCTTCTAAATATTTTACATGTGTTTAGTCATTGTATCTCCACAATAACCATATCTTCATCATCCTTTTCAGAGAAAAACTCAGCACTCAAGTTCACAAGAAAAACAGTGACAGAGTCAGGATTCAAACCCATGTGGTGTAATGTGAGAGCATACATGTTAACTATAATAGTAAATAACCACAGGTGGTACTGAATTTCTGGAACGGCAATTTGTATTCTTTGGAGGATCAGTACATTAAATGCTATTCTCAAAAGGAGGCTGTGAATATAAGTTTGGAAAACATTGTATATGCTATGTATGGGATTTATGGCAGATTTTAACATATTACAATTGCATATGTAAATACTGCAGGGAGGAAAACAGTTTTTAGGCTTGTTCAATACAAATTTTCCAGACATTTTTGCCCATGGAATATTTTTTCACCACATAGTTCCTTAATATGCTGCTGAAGAAGATATCTGAAAAGCCCACTTTTAGAAATGACAGGAAAGGAATATAAGAAAAATTGATGTTTCTAAAAAGGACTCATAGTGATAAAATGAGATGAAGGTTCCTATAAAGTCAGGAATTGGGGAGAAGTGTCTGTGTTATGCTTCAGTAAAACATGATGTCGATATTAGCTGACTGTGCTTTATATTTCTCCCTACCCCTGTTCCCATCTGCAATTCATTTTTTTCAAAAAGCTATGTAGTGTGTTTCATGTTCGTCTTGTCTATACTGTGAAGGAAAAACTTCCTTTAAACATTTATTGTAACGTAAAATGTTTAAAGAAGAATAAGATTTATTTTAAAAAGTACACATGTATCAGCTCCATTAATTTAAAATGTGAACACACATGTGCAACTAGCATCCAAATCAAGAAACAGAGTATGACTACAACCCCAGATGCCTCTCCCTTTTCCAGTGACTACCCACGTTCACCAAGCATAACCACTATACTGACTTCTCTTCCCCTAGATTTATTTTTAATTCAGTTTTTTACAGCCTTATTGAGGTATAATTGACATCTATTAAACTACACAAAATTAAAGTGCAGTTATTGATGATGAGTTTTAACATATGTATCCCACACAATCAAGATAATGAACATATCCACCATCCCCCAGATATTCTTTTTGACCTTTATATCAACTAAACGACAACTGCACTGCTTTCTGTCACTGTAAGTTAGTTTGCATTTTATGTAATTTTACATAAGTGGAATCATACCTGTGTATTCTGTCTCTTTTTGAGTGGAATCTGGCTTATTTCAATCAGCATGATTACTTTAAGATTTTTTCATGTTTTTTTTCCATTAGTAGTTTATTCTTTTTTATTGCTGTATAATATTCCATTTTATGGATATACCACAATGTGTTTACCTGTGTGTCTTTTGATGGAAATTTGAATTGTTTTGGCCTTCTGGCCATTAGAAATAAAGCTTCCATGAACATTTGTGTAGAAGTTTTTGTGCAGATGTATGCTTTCATTTCTTGCTAGCTAGCTAGCTATACCACCTAGGAATGGCATGCCTGAGTCACATGACATATGTATACTTAACATTTTAGGGAATTACACACTTTTCTAACGTGGATGGAGAAATGTACATTGCCGTCAGTAGCATACCATGTTTCAGTTGTTTCATATTCTCATTGACAGTTGATATGGTTGGGGTTTCTCATTTTAGTCATTCTAGTGTTATGTAGTGATATCATATTGAAATTTAATTCACAATTCCTAAAAGGCATCTTTTCGCATGCTAACTTGCCATCTGTACAACCTCTTTGGTGGAATATCTGTTCAAATAGTTTTTCCTTTTTATTTCTCTTTTTTATTGAGACTTGAATGTTGTTCTTTCTCTGTTTTGGATACAGACTCTTAGTTTGATATGAGTTATGCAGATTTTTTTTTTTTTTTCAATTGATAGCTTGCTACTTCTTTCTGTAACAGTATCTTCTGAAGAGCAAATGTTTTTAATTTGATGAAGTCTCATTTAGGATTTCTTTTTCTTTCTTTAATAGAGCATGTCTTTTGTGTTGTATTAAAGAAATTACTTCCAAACTCATAGGCACTCATTCTTCTACATCTTCTGGAAGTTTTATAGTCCTAGCTCTTGGGTTTAGGTCTATGATAAAATTTTGATAAATTTTGGCATATGATTAGGTAGAGTCAATGTTTCATGTTTGTTTCTTTGTTTTTTGTTTGTTTTGACTATTGCTAGCCAATTGTACTACTATCTTTTGTTAAAAAGACCTCTTTCTCCAAATGAAATACCACATTTCCCCCAACACAATATTATTTAAATTATTGTAGTTTTAAAATAATCCTTGAAATTAGGTAGTATATATCCTTCAACTTTTTTTTCTACAAAATTGTTTTGATTGTTGGAGGCCTTTACATTTACCTATAAATTTTAGGATCAGCTTGTCAATTTCTACAAAAATTCCTGCTGGGATTCTGATTGGGATTGTATCGAATCTGTAGACAATTTGGGGAGCATATACATATTACAAATATTGAGTCTTCTGATCCATATACTCCATATGTCTGTCCATTTATTTAAATCTGCTTTAATTAATATATTGCAGCAAAATATTCCAGTTTTCAGTGTATTTTGTTATATTTTTAATCAAATGTATCCCAAAATATTTTATGTTTTTGGTCCTATTCTAAATGGTAAGTTCTTATTTTTCATTGCTAGTACCACATAAATAAGTTTTTGCTGTTTGACAAGGCATTTATTTTTCTGAAAAATTAGAGAACATTTACCAGTATCTGAACAGTCATTTGTAATATTATAGCATTTTAAAAAAGTGTTATAAAGGAAAAATACCAAAAAAACCCCTCCCTGCTTTGAGACAATCTGTGAATCTCATGAAATTATTCATTTATATTTTTCCCCATTTATTCTTTCCCATTGAAATTTATGGTAAAGGAAGAATTTTAAGTTTTCTTAAATAGTTTTTAGGAAACTTAAGCTCGGGGTTGCAGAGAATTTCTAGGAAAACAAAGAAAATTTTAACATATAGACTCATGCTTTGGCTTTTTACCTAAGTGATATTGGTTTAACCCGTACTCTTAAAACTATGAATTACAGAGTGAGATGAGTCCACTGATTGATGGAGAACCTTACCAATCGTCATGGTAAATATCTTAGTAAAATCTTAACATTTTCATCTATTCTAAAGAGTCCTACTACAAATAGTTAACCACACTGGCTAGTGAATACTTTTTCAAACCTCCCTTTCTTTAACACACACACACACACACACACACACACACACACACACACACGGAGGAGCCATGTGAACACATTGAGATAGTGATTCTCTGCATGCCAGAAAGAGAGCCCTTACCTTGCTAGCACTCTATTCTTGGACCTCTAGCCTCCAGTACCTAGAGAAAATTAATTTCTGTTGTTTAACCTACTCATCAGTCTATGGTATTTTGTTATGGCAGCCCGAGCCAATTAATGAACAAGCCAAATTTAATCACATTTTCTACAGCTTTCTTTGTAATACAGTTGCTTAATTCGCTGAATGCAGTGAATTTGCCGATTACTGTAGGAGATTTGGGAATCATCTCCAGGCAGTCCATTCTGATGATTCTGGTGTTTTCTCATTGATTTACTGCCAGATATTATTGCCACAAGACCAACAGGTTGCAACTCATCAGTTTATTAAATAGCATGTCTTCCCGGAGTATGAAAATAGGCAACTCCTCTTAAGATAAGGCATTATTTTTCTAAGGAATTATTTAGTATAGTGAATAGTTTGTAGCTTTTGGCTTAAGAAAAACTGAATAAAAGAAAATAATCTTTCAATAAATGATGATTAATTTATTTTATTGAGCATTCAGTTATCTGAGTTAATGGTAGTCCTTTTTCAGGTGTTTCTAATGTTTTTCTTTATTTCCTAATACATTTAGAATCTCAGTTAATTTTTATGAAGAGGATCACAATCAAGACCAGACTCATGGAAATTCTTTAGGGTTTTTTGTTGTTGTTGTTTAGAATTATTTTCTTAAGCCTTCTAATGAAAAATTCCTTGGTAATTTGTCCATACAGTATTTTGAGAGTCAAACGCTCCTTAGGATGTTAGCTTCCATTCATTTATGGCTAGTGAGAAATAGCCATATTATACTTTTTACTTGGTATTAGACATCAATCAATGCACTCTAAATATTAGCAGGTTCTCGTTTGCTCAGATTCCAGAAACTTGGATACGCCTTCATAGGAACTATGTTGATCAGGAACACAAGCTAAAATGTGATTTTGAAAAAATGAGTTATAGATCAATGGAACAAAACAGAGGCCTCAGAAATAACACTACACAGCTACAACCACCTGACCTTTGACAAGGCTGACAAAAACAAGCAATGGGGAAAGATTTCCCTATTTAATAAATGGTACTGGGAAAACTGGCCAAACATATGCAGAAAACTGAAACTGGACCCCTTCCTTACATCTTAATTCAAAAATTAACTCAAGATGGATTAAAGACTTAAATGTAAGACCTAAAACCATAAAAACCCTGGAAGAAAACCCAGGCAGTACCATTCAGGACATATGCATGGGCAAAGGCTTCATGACTAAAACACCAAAAGCAATGGCAACAAAACCCAAAATTGACAAATGGGATCTAATTAAACTAAAGAGCTTCTGCACAGCAAAAGAAACTATCATCAAAGTGGACAGGCAACCTACAGAATGGGGAAAATTTTTGCAATCTATCCATCTGATAAAGGGCTAATATCTAGAATCTACAAGGAACTTAAACAAATTTACAAGAAAAAAACAAACAATCCCATCAAAAAGTAGGCAAAGGATATGAACAGACATTTACTTCTCAAAAGAAGATATTTATGCGGCCAACAAATATATGAAAAAAAGCTCATCAACACTGGTCATTAGAGGAACGCAAATCAAAACCACAGTGAGATACCATCTCTCACCAGTTAGAATGAGGTTTTTCTTTTTATAAAAATTAATCTATGCATGTTTGTAGTAATCTGAAATACTCATTTGTTTTCATTTTTAATAATAATCCATTATAGAACATTTATAAAAAAGGAAACCCTCTCAAATCTTAAAGAATCTAACAAAAACAGTTACATTGGCCGGTCGCGGTGGCTCACGCCTGTAATCCCAGCACTTTGCGAGGCCGAGGTGGGTGGATCACGAGGTCAGGAGATCGAGACCATCCTGGCTAACACGGTGAAACCCTGTATCTACTAAAAATACAAAAAATTAGCTGGGCGTGGTGGCAGGCGCCTGTAGTCCAAGCTACTCGGGGGGCTGAGGCAGGAGAATGGCGTGAACCCAGGAGGCGAGCTTCCGGTGAGCCGAGATTGCACCACTACACTCCAGCCTGGGCTACAGATCCAGCCTGGGCTGACAGAGTATTGAAACTCTGTCTCAAAACAAACAAACAAACAAACAAAAAACAGTTACATTTAGTTTTTTCTCTCTTTGTATTTTTAAATTTTTCTGTGTATACCATTGTAATTGAAGTAATGATGAATTAATGCAAACTTAAGAATAAAAGATTATACAATTATAGCTCTTTTCTCTGTAAAGCTTCTCACTATAACAAAATTCACACAAGACAAATGAAAATCTTCATTGTTTAGAATGGAACTTTGTGAACTAAAAACCTAAGTAATGCCTTCAAGCAGACTAAAACTCTTTAAAGACATTTTAAAAATAATAATATTTTTAGTTCTTTGGAGAAAAAATATTGTTTTTCCCCTGGAATCCAACACTCTTTACACCTGGCCCCTTACTTATGACAATGTGCCAAATTAGTTGCAGTTACAGGAAAATAAATATCCAGATAAGCAATAAAATATTTAGGTAATTGTGAAGTTCTCCCCAAACCTCCAGATGTTTGACATTATTGTTTGAGAGTACAGAAATAAACATTATGTCTGTTGTCATTGACTTTTCACAAAAGTACCTAGACACTTCAGTGTGGGAAAGGATAGTCCTTTTTTAAATTTCAATAGTTTTGGGGTGCATGTGGGATTTGGTCACATGGATAAGTTCTTTAGTGGTAATTTCTGGGATTTTGGTACACTCATTACCCGAACAGGGTACACTGTACCCAACAGATAATCTTTTATACCTCACCCCCCTCCCCCACTTTGCCCCAAGTCCCCAAAGTCCATTATATCCTTCTTATGACTTTGCATCCTCACAGATTAACTCCCATTTATAAATAAGAACATAAGATATTTGGATTTCCATTCCTGAATTACTTCACTTAGAATAATGGCCTCAACTCAATCCAAGTTGCTGCAAAAGACATTATTTCTTTTTTTTTCCATGGCTGAGTAGTAGTCCCTGGTGTATATATACCACATTTTTTAATCTACTCATTGGTTGATGGGCATTTAGGTTAGTTTCATATATTTGCAATTGTGAATTGTGCTGCTATAAACATGTGTGCGTGTGTGTATGTGTGTGTGTGTTTTATATAATGACTTCTTTTCCTTGGATAGATACTCTGTAGTAGGCTTGCTAGATCTAATGGTAGTTCTACTTTTAGTTCTCTAAGGAATCTCCATACTGTTTTTCACAATGGTGTACTACTTTACATTCCCACCGGCAGTGTAAAAGTGGTCCCTTTTTATCACATTCATGGCAACATCTATTATTTTTTGACTTTTTAATTATGGCCATTATTGCAAGAGTAAAGTGATATCTCAGTGTGGTTTTAATACTGATACTGAGAGATTTTTCATGTTTATTGGATCTTTATATATCCTTTTTTGAGAATTGTCTATTCATGTCTTTGGCCCACTTTTACATTGGATTATTTGTTTTTTTCTTGGTGAGTTGTTTGATTTGTGAATATTTTCTCTTATGTTGTGAGTTGTCTGGTTAATCTGCTAATTATTTCTTTTGCTGTGCAGAAGCTTTTAAATTAGGTCACATTTATTTTATTTTTGTTGCATTTGCTTTTGAGGTCTTAGTCATTAATTCTTTGCCTAAGCCAATGTCTAGAAGAGTTTTTTCCAATGTTATCTTCTAGAATTTTTATGGTTTCAGGTCTTAGATTTAAGTCTCTGATCCATCTTGAGTTGATTTTTGTATAAGGTAAGAGATGAGGATCCAGTTCCAGTCTTCTACATGTGACTTGCCAGTTTTCCAGTACCATTTATTGAATAGGGTGTTCTTTCCCTAATTTATGGTTTTATATGCTTTGTCAAAGATCACTTTGCTGTATGTATTTGACTTGATTTCTTGATCCTCTTTTCTGTTCCATTGATCTACATGCATATTTTTATACCAGTACCATGCTGTTTTGGTAACTATAGCCTTGTAGTGTAATTTAAAGTCAGGTAATTTGATGCCTCCAGATTTGTTCATTTTGCTTATGCTTTGGCTATAAATGGTCTTTTTTTGTTCCATATGAATTTTAGGATGTTTTTCCTAATTCTGTGAAGAATGATCGTGGTATTTTGATGGAAATTGCAGAATGATGATAGTATTTTGATGGAAATTGCATTGAAACTGTAGATTGCTTTGGGCAGTATGGTCATTTTCATAATACTGATTCTACCCATCCAGGAGCATGGGATGTGTTTCCATTTGTTTGTGTCATCTATGATTTTTTTCAACAGTGTTTTATAGTTTTCCTTATAGGGATCTTTCACCTCCTTGGTTAAGTATCTAAGTATTTTATTTTATGTTTCTGCAGCTGTTGTGAAAGGAATTGAGTTCTTGATTTGATTTGGCTTGGTCATTGTTGGTGTATAGCAGTACTACTGATCTGTGTACACTGATTTTGTGTCCTGACACTTTGCAGAATTTGTTTATCAGATCTAGGAGCTTTTTGGCTGAGTCTTTTTCTAGGTATACAATCATATCATCGAATGAACAGTGACACTTTGACTTCCTCCTTTCCAATTTGGATGCCCTTTCTTTCTTTGTCTTGTCTGATTGCTCTGGCTAGGACTTCCAGTACTATGTTGAATAGAAGTGGTGAAATTGGGCATCCTTGTCTTGTTCCAGTTCTCAGGGGGAATGCTGTCAGCTTTTCTCCATTCAGTATGATGTTGGCTGTGGGTTCGTCACATATGGCTTTTACTACTTTGAGGCATTTCCCTTCTATGGCTACTTTGTTGAGGATTTTTGTCACAAAGTGATGCTGGATTTTATCAAATGCTTTTTCTGAGTCTAACGAGATGATCATATGGTTTTTGTTTTTAATTCTGTTTATGTGATTTATCACATTTATTGACTTGCGTATGTTAAATTATTCCTGCATCCCTGGTAAGAAACTCACTTGATCATGTTATATTATCTTTTTGATATGCTGTTAGATTCAATTAGCTAGTATTTTGTTGAGGATTTTTGCATCTATTAATATGCTTATCAGGAATATTGGTCTATAGTTTTCTTTTTTGTTAAGTCCTTTCCTGGTTTTGGTATTAGGGTGATACTGGCTACACAAAATGATTTAGGGAGGATTCCCTCTTTCTACATCTTTTGGAATAGTTTCAGTAGGATTTGTTTGAATTCTTCTTTGAATGTCTGATAAAATACAGCTGCAAATCCATCTGGTCCTAGACTTTTTCTGTTGTTGACAATTTTTAAATTACCAGTTCAATCTCACTGCTTGTTATTGGTTAGTTCAGGATTTCTATTACTTCCTGATTTAATCTAGGAGGGTTGTATATTTCCAGGATTTTACCCTTCTCTAGATTTTCTAGTTTGTGCATGTAAAGATGTTCATAGTATCCTTGAATGATCTTTTGTATTTCTGTAGCATCGGTTGTAATATCTCCATTTATCATTTCTAATTGAGCTTATTTGGATCTTCTTTCTTCTTAGTTAATCTCACTAATGGTCTATATATTTTGTTTATCTTTTCAAAGAATAAGCTTTTTGTTTCATTTATCTTTTGTATTTTTTTGTTTTAATTTCATTTAGTTCTGCTCTCATCTTTGTTATTTATTTTATTCTGCTGGTTTGGTTTTAGTTTGTTCTTGTTTGTTTAGTTCCTTGAGGTGTGACCTTAGATTGCCTATTTGTGCTTTTTCAGACTTTTTGATGTAGGCATTTAATGCTATGAACTTTGCTCTTAGTACTGCTTTCGCTATATCCCAGAGGTTTTGCTAAGTTGTGTCACTATTATCATTCATTTCAAATAATTTTTAAATTTTCATCTTGATTTTATTGTTAACCCAAAAATCATTTAAGAGCCGATTATTTAATTTATATTTGTATAGTTCTGAGGGTTCCTTCTGGAATTGATTTCCAGTTTTATTCCACTTTGGTCTGAAAAGATACTTGATATGGTTTCTGTTTTCTTAAATTTATTGAAACTTGTTTTGTGGCCTATCAGATGGTCTGTCTTGGAGAATGTTCCATGTGCTGATGAGAAGAATGTATATTCTGCAGTGGTTGAGAAGAATGTTCTGTAGATATCTTTTTTTTTTGTTTTTTTTTTTGTTTTTGTTTTTTTTTTGCGACGGAGTCTCGCTCTGTCGCCCAGGCCGGACTGCGGACTGCAGTGGCGCAATCTCGGCTCACTGCAAGCTCCGCTTCCCGGGTTCACGCCATTCTCCTGCCTCAGCCTCCCGAGTAGCTGGGACTACAGGCGCCCGCCACCGCTCCCGGCTAACTTTTTTGTATTTTTAGTAGAGACGGGGTTTCACCTTGTTAGCCAGGATGGTCTCGATCTCCTGACCTCATGATCCACCCGCCTCGGCCTTCCAAAGTGGTGGGATTACAGGCGTGAGCCACCGCGCCCGGCCTGTTCTGTAGATATCTACACAGTCCATTTATTCTAGGGTATAGTTTAAGTTCATTGTTTCTTTGTTGATTTTCTGTCTTGAAGATCTGTCTAGTGCTGTCATTGGAGTATTGAAGTCCCCCACATTATTGTGTAGCTGTCTGTCTCTTTTCTTAGGTCTAGTAGTAATTGTTTTTTAAATTTGGGAACTTAAGTGTTAGGTGCATATAAATTTAGGATTGTGATATCTTCCTGTCGGATTAATCCTTTTATCATTATATAATGTCCTTTCAGATGTTTGACATTTTGTAAAGAAAATATCACATGACTGGATTTTCCACTTTACATGAGGATTTTTGCTACTATAGACATTCTCTTGGCTGTTAATATGAAACACTCATTTCTTGTCCAAATTCCTTAGAATGCAAAAGATTTCAAAATGACAGCAATGAAACAAATTATATATCTTCACATATCAGTCAAGTCAAAACTAAAGTGATGTGTGACAATCATATTTAAATAAATTGTAAGTGTATAGTTAGTGTACTTGTGTTCTTTTACAGCTGTGCAGGATATGGATAAATGTTATCCATATGTTATCTAATAAACATATCTAATGAGATATGCTTCAATTGACAATTAAAAATGATGATTCTACTATTAAAGTTGCTTTTAAAATTTTGTTTAGAAATTGGTAGCTCCTCATTGAATTTTCCGTTAACAGTACGTATGCTTTGACTTCAAAAGGGATGGAACACCGTGAAATTTACCTCAGATATCACAAAAGCAAATGCCCTGAGAGACCAAGGTTTTAAATGTTGTTGACTTAAATGGAATGGATGAAAGACAATAGGAACTCCTTGGGACAGGATGTGAGTGGACTAAATTCCCTACCAAAAGGGATGCAGACATTCTTTTCAAAGTTGATGTGGGGAGGTTGGGGAGATATTTGTCAAGGATACAAAATTTCAGTTAGATAGGAGGAATAAGTTCTAAAGATCTATTGTACAACATGGTGACTATAGTTAATAAATATATTGTATTCTTGAAAAATGCTAAGATAGTGGATGTAAAGTGTTCTTGTAACCACCCAATGGGTTCACCTTGCCTGCTGCCTAGACAGAACTGATTTATCAAGACAAGGGAATTGCAATGGAGAAAGAGTAATTCACGCAGAGACAGCTGTGTAGGAGACCAGGAGTTTTATTATTACTCAAATCAGTCTCCCCTGGGAATTCGGGGATCAGAGTTTTTAAAGATAATCTGGCAGGTAGGGGCTTGGCAAGTGGGGAGTGCTGATTGGTCAGGTTGGAGATGGAATCACAGGGAGTCGAAGTGAGTTTTTCTTGCTGTCTTCTGTTCCTGGGTGGGATGGCAGAACTGATTGAGCCACGTTACTAGTCTGGGTGGTGTCAGTTGATCCACTGAGTGCAGGGCCTGCAAAATATCTTAAGCACTGATCTTAGGTTTTACCATAGTTATGTTATCCCCAGGAGCAAATTGGGGAAGTTCAGACTCTTGGAGCCGGAGGCTGCAGACCCCTAAACTGTAATTTCTAATCTGGTAGGTAATTTGTTAGTCCTGCAAAGGCAGATTGGTTCCCAGGCAAGAAGGGGGTCTTTTTGGGAAAGGGATGTTATCAATTTTTTTTCAGAGTCAAACTATGAACTGAATTCCTTCCCAGTGTTAGTTCGGCCTATGCCCAGGAATGAACAAGGGCAGCTTAATGGTTAGAAGCAAGATGGAGTCAGTTAGGTCTGATTTCTTTCACTGTCATAATTTCCACAGTTATAATTTTGCAAAGGCGGTTTCATTCTCACCCCAAAAATAACTATGTGAAGTAATATATATGTTAATTAGCTAGATTTAGTCATTCCACAGTGCATATATATGTCAAAACATCATGTTGTATATCGTAAATACATACAATTTTATCTGTCAATTTTAAACAATAAAAATAATAATAATTTAAAATTATAAAAAGGACAGCAAGAGCCTAAGAAAACATGTCTGTGAACTGATTTTCGCTCAAGAACAATCTAGTTTCAAGCCTTTGATTTTAGTTGAATTTCTGTCTTTTATGGAAAAGGAGACTGAAGTCCAGTTTCTTAAACTAGAGAGCAGCCAACAAAGCACTAGAACCCAGTTATTCTGAACCTTCATCTAGTACCATGTGCACTCTCATTACTCTTCTTCATGCTGCTTTTGGTATATTCATACATTTATCAGCAGCAGATTCTTTTACAGAATTATTAGATTGTCAGTGCCTTTAAGTAATAGAGACATCAGTTCAGATAGTCTAGCTTTAAAAATAATTACCATGTTACCTTTGTGTGATATAGTTAGTGCAAGCATAAGCTTTGGAATTTGACTAAGTTCCAGTACCAACTTCATTGTTTAAAATTTGTGTGACAATGGGAATTGAGTCACTTAACCTCTATGAACCTCACGGTATTCATTTGAAATATAGGAGAACTAAGAGTACTACTTCACGTTGTTATTGTTATATATAAATGAGATGATGACCAAAGGTATTTAGCTCAATGTGGGAGGAACATTAAATGCTCAGTAAATATTGCTTATTATGATTATATTATAGAAACTGTCAACCTAGAATTGTTGTTTTAAGAATTAGTTATTATCTGCACATTTATCGCTTAATGTATATAATCTTCTCTACTTACTTCAGATTTTAGAAATAGATTCATTTGCCCATGCAGTCATTTTACAAATGTTTATTCAGCATCTCATGTGTACCAGGCATTTTTTCAAGCACTGAACTTATCATGTAAAAAGATACACAAAGTCCATGCCATCATGACGTATAGGCAATTTAGTGGAAGAAATAGAAAAGGTATGGGAAGTTCATTGCAAGTCACGGGTGTAAGAATTATACAGCCTCTTAGGGAGGAACAACTTGGAATATTCAAGGATTTAAAAGAATCCCAGGGATTCTGTAGCTGAGGATGAGAGGGATGAAACCATCAAAGATGTAGTCAAAGAGGGAATCAAGGGGCTAGATTATGTAGTGGTAGAAGCCAAAACAACGTATTTCTACTGTCAACAAAACAAGTCAAACTCTATAAAATATTTTAAGAGAGATTTATTCTGAGTCAAATATGAGTGACCATGGACCATGACACAGCCCTCAGGAGGTCCTGAGAACATGTGCCCAAGGTGGTCGGGGTACAGCTTGGTTTTGTATATTTTTAGGGAGTCATAAGACGTCAATCAAATACAATTAAGAAATACATTCGTTTGGTTCAGAAAGGAGGGACAACTCAACGTGGGTGGGGGTGGGGGGCTTCCAGGCTATAGGTAAATTTAAACATTTTCTGGTTGACAATTGGTTGAGTATTATCTGAAGAACTGTGATCAATAGAAAGGAATGTTCAGGTTAAGATACAGGATTGTGCCGACCAAGTTTTATTGTGCAGAGGAATCTCTCAGCAGACATCAGAGAAAGAGTAGGTTGTAAAATGTTTCTTTATCAGACCTAAAAGTGCACCTGGCTCTCAGTTGATTATCTCCTGGATCTGGAAAGAAAGGAAGGAAAACAAAGGGGGAAGGGGATTCCCTATAGGGTGTGTATTTTTCCCACAAGAGACTTTGCAAGGCAATTTCAAGGTATGGTAAGGAAATATAATTTGGGGTTAAATATTCTTTTTCTTGTCTCATAATGTTATGCCAGAGTCAGATTGAAAAGTAAGTCATGCTATATAGGGTCAAATGAAACCCATATGATGAGAATTTATGGTTTGTAGGGCATGACTCCCTAGATCACATAGATAGGAATCTGGGCAAGATAAATATCAGAGCTTAGTCCTCACTACATTTTTCAAAATGTGATAAGGAGCTATTAGAGGATTTTGAATAGAAAATGCCTTGATCTGACTTACACTTTAAAAGACTTTCTCTCTGACAGCTGAGAGGCAGACTGTAGAAGGCATGATGAAAAAGGCAAGCAGAAGCATTAGCTACTTTTAGCAGTAGTTGATACAAGAGATGACAGAAGCCTGTAATATTGGCAGAAACAATGAGACATGGTAAAATTCACTGTGTATTTTGAAGGCAAAGCCATTAGGATTTGCTAATGGATTGGAAGAATGCAAGTGAAAGCAATAAATCAAATATTTATCTGGTAAATGGTAGGGACACTGATTAATTTGAAAAAAATTTGGGGAGCTAGAAGAAAAAATCAAGAATCCTGCCTTGACCATGGTAGCTTGAAGTGCTTATGTGGCATCTAAGGGAAACACAAGGGAAATTGGGCAGGCTTCACTGGGGGAATGAGGCTGGACAGCATATGGGACTGGATGGAATCACCTAAGGAGTGAAGACAGAGGGAGTAGACTAAATATGCTAACTGAGCCCTGGCACAGTCAAAATTGTGAAGTTGAGAACAGAAGAAGGTTAAGAAACATTCTATTTTTTTTTCACTTGAGCAAAATGAAACATTGTATGTTCCTTAATTTTTTGCCCCTCCTTACTTTAGCAATTTTTTATTTTATTTTATTTTATTTATTTATTTATTTATTTTTGAGACAGAGTTTCACTCTTGTTACCCAGGCTGTAGTGCAGTGGTGTGATCTCGGCTCACCGCAACCTCCACCTCCCGGGTTCAAGTGATTCTCCTGCCTCAGCCTCCCGAGTAGCTGGGATTACAGGCACCCACCACCACGCTCAGCTAATTTTTTGTATTTTTAGTAGAGACGGGGTTTCTCCATGTTGGTCAGGCTGGTCTTGAACTCCTGACCTCAGGTGATCCACCTGCCTCCGCCTCCCAGAGTGCTGGGATTACAGGCGTGAGCCACTGCGCCCGGCCCTTACTTTAGCAATTATTTCATACTAATTTTCTAATTGCGTAGTTTTATTTTTTGGTCACTATTTACCTCTGGACCTGTAAATTGTGGAACAGAAATTCAGTGAAATCTGTTTTTAGCTAAATGTCCTCCAGTGTACATGGAATTTAGTGGTGAAAGCAGAAAGAGCAGTCATCATCCTCTGGTTGCCCTATTTTATTCCCAGAAGCTACTGAGTAGAAATCAAGGTAATTACTTTACAGTTATTATGGAAATAATACAAAATGAAGCTACTTAGGAGGATAATTTGAATTATAGACCTTATATGACATCTTTCAGTGAAATGAAGATTTCCCATGAGAAGGCAAATGTATTCAGTAACAGTGAAAATAAATATTAATATTAATAGCTGGCTCCAGTGGAAACATTCTCTCTTTAGGAAAATACGCAGATAAATTACGTGGAGTGGAATATGAGACCATGAGAAGAGGGTTTAAAGGAAGTCCAGGAAACAGAAGAAATACCAAAGCTCTTTCATATTAGAAATTCACAGACACAGAGAGCAGAAAGTTAAAAGAAAAAGTGAGTTACTGGGCAACGTTGTGAAATTGTCCAAGAAGTTTAGAAACAGCTATGTGTAATGATTATACTAAGTTGTTATTACTGCAACAATTTAAACTTTTAAATTTAAACTCCAAATTTTTATCAAAGTATGCTCCACACACAATGCATACTATAAGTGCTATTGTATGTTTACACCAGTGTGTCTGAGTGTGTTCAGGATTTTTTTTTAATGTGCAAAACAAGGTAAAGTGCTGAAGTTAACTCCAGGACAGACAGTAGCAAATTCAAAATGTAGCATGGAGAAAGAAGACATCCTTTCGTAATAAAAACTCACAACATATTAGGTTGAGGTAATAAACATACCTCAACGTAACAAAGGTTTATATGACAAACCCACAGCTAACATACTGAATGGGGAAGACCTGAAGCTTCTTCTCTAACATCTAGAACAAGACAAGGATGCCAACTTTCCTTGCTTTTATTCACATAGTTCTGGAAGATCCAGCCAGAGCAATTAGATAGAAATAAAGAAAGGACTTCCAAATTGAAAAAGAGGAAGTTAAACTGTCTCCATGTAGACATTATCTTATATACTGAAAACTCTAAGAGCTCCACCCAAAAAAACCTTTTTGAACCTATAAACAAGTTCAGTAAAGTTGTGGAATACAAAATCAACATGCAAAAATCAGTCGTGTTTCTATACACCAACAATAAACTAGTAGAAAAAGAAATCAAGACAGCAATTCAATTTATGATAGCTACAAATAAATAAAACATGTTGGGATAAATTTAACCAAGGAAGTGAAAGATCTCTAAGGAAAACTATAAAATACTGATCAAAGAAATTGAAGAGAATGGAAACAATGAAAAGGCATCCCATATTTATGGACTGAAATAATTAATACTGTGAAAATGACCATATAACAGCTATCTATAGATTTAATATAATCTCTCTTAAAATAACAATTACGTTCTCCATATAAATAGAAAAAAATACTAAAAATGTTATGGAAACAAAGACCTCAAATAGACAAAGCATTCCTGAGCTTTAAATAATGAAGTGTTCTGCCTTTCATCTATTTGAGTGTCACTGTGTTGTGTTCCACCATCAAAAATATCTTCAAATCTTACAAAACACACAAAAAACACCAGCTCGATATCTGAAATTCATTCATTTATGTGAATATATCTTACTATATGGAAGGCATTGATATAGTGATATACAGCACTACTTTTAACTGGTTGCATAAGAATCACGCCAAGGGAATTGTTAGAAATGCAGATTTGTATGGTCCTTCCTAGACCAACTGAATCAGAATCTCTAGAGGTTATGAAGTGGGAAAGTTTGTTAAGTTTTTCAGGTGATTCTAATGCACACACTGATATGGAAGATATACAAAACATACTGTTTCACCCTCAAAACTTTAATTCTATATTGAAATGCTAGGTCTGTTGCTTACTACTCCATTTCATGGAGTAAGTTACTTAATTTCTTTGAGATTCAATGTCCTTGTTTGTAAAATGAGAATAATAACTTGCTGGATTAGTAGGATAATTAAATAAGAAATTGTCTAAAATTACTCAGCATAATATCCAGTGCTTGGAAAACAGTATCTATTATAATTTTTTAGAGAAAAAAAAAGCTATCTACTAGAAAAATAAATATGCAACAAAGATCGGGATGAGCAGAAATTTACAAAGTTTGAAAATAGGAGACAGAAATGGTTCAATAATTAAAGGTATGTATGGCACAGATATATCCAAGCAATTTTGCCCTACAAAAACAACAGATATTATTAGAGTATTTAATCCTAAAATCTTAGTTTAGGATAAGATGCCTCTGTGATGTAAATATTCATTCATTTCATAAGTAAGTGTTTATTGAAGATTGACCTATATGTATTGTTTTGGTTGCTTTGCTGGCAGTTTGGATCGTCTCCTGCTTGGTGGCATACTTTCAGTGCCTGTGTAGGAATTATTGGGTTCGATACCTCTGCAACAAATCTTTGCTTTCACACAGTGTCACATGCTTTCACAATTTTTCTCTTTTTTGAAGTATTTTCATTATTAACAAAGCATATCAGACAATCAAGGAATGCCAATTCTCAAAGATAAAGTAATTACTAAGCAACTTTTGGATAAAATTTCTCCACTTGGAAGCCAGTAGAGCAATGAGTAATGTAGATGTTCCCAAATATGTACATATTGGAATAATTTAGTGTCTGGGCTCACATGCAAGACTCTAAATTTTCTATACTCTTTCATTTAAGTATAAATGGCCCAAAGGAATGATTATATTTTCTACTGTATTTATTTTTAATGGTGATGTCCATCTTGTCTTGTGCACGAAGTCACCCACATTGTTCTAAAACCACAATTACTGCCAGTACTCCCCTGTTTACGTTTACCCATTGCCAGAAGAAAAGGAAAGAAAAGATGTAAATTTAAGATCTTGATGGAAACTACTATTCTTGCTTTCTTCACTACTCAATTGCTGGATGATATTGAGAAAGTTATTAGCTCCTCTGAGTCCACTTATAGAATTAGAAATGGCAATACTTGCCACACAGAAATGTCTTGAAGGTTATATCAAATAAATTGATATGTTCGAAACTACTCTAAACTTTCAAACAATACATGTTCATTACTATTTTATTTTAAATGCATGCTGTGGTATAAGATTCAGAATGTTTGACTTTCTTACATTTTTCATCCCTTCCATATAGAATCAAACTAACTCAGTGTTCTTTTTCTCACTGACTTTCTGGCCCTAGTCTCACACCACCAGGGACCTTATAGGTCACTGTCATTCCTTTGCTCCATAGGAATAGAAATTACCAACAGGAAAGTGGAGACTATGCTCTCCAACTCCAGCTCCCTCTCTGGAAAGCATAATGACGAGCTGGGTTCTTTGCACCCAGCAGTCAAAGGTACTGAGAAGCTGTCAAGAGCTATTTTCTGTTACTGCACTTGGATTTCTCCAAAGCCCAGTGGGGGTAGTCTAGCATCCAACCTTGAATCAGAGGATCTACATTCTAAGTTCAGTCCCTCATGGATAGAGCATTTTATTTATGTTTCATTTTTATGCTTTTTTTTGGGGGGAGGGGGGATAAGAAAAATTCTATATTGAAAGTCTCTTCTTCTAAAGAGGTTTATAGTTCACAAAAACTCTTAGGACAGACATACTCACTCAAACCTAAGTGAAATGCTATTACAACTACATTTGTCTTCAGGCAAGTCATCTTATGCCTTTGCCTTTATTACCAAGATTATAAAAACTTGGAGGTAGGAAGTAAGAAGACATCATTACATTACTCTCTGTTAAAATGGCAAATATATTTCTATTCAATGAGATAATCATAAATAGGCACTCTATTCAAATACAGACATTTGTGGAGTCCTTCTTTGGTGGTAGGGATGTGGAAATGATTAAAATGTGGCTCCTGTCCTCTGTCAGATAAAAATCAAAATAATTTCAGCTCACCTCAGATCATTTTTCCTTCTACACAAAGTACCTGACCAGATGTACCATTTGTTGAAGTCTTGCAAGTTCACCCTGGAGTGTGGCTGCAAGGTAGCTGCTGCCCATTTTTGGCTGGCGCCTAAACACTGAGCAGGCCCATTATAAGCCATGCTTCGGTTTTTTGCTTCTCCTTCAGTTGGTCATTTAGGACTCCTCCATGTGGCCACAGGTGTAACCTGAGAGAGAGGAGGGCAGTAATGAAATGTAGGGGGTAACACTGAGGTTTGGGCTACCAATTTATGCAGCTTTCGTGCTTAGGCTTTATCTCATATGTACCATTTGCATTTTATATAGATCGCTTCTTGACCTGCACAACTTTCTGATTTGATGAGTTCAACAGAAACCAACTCAAGGTAAGCAATTCAGAGAATGCATAGCTACTTGCTGTTTTGTATGTTGAGTGCTAAATTTAATAGAGAGGGGCCTACTACTGAATGGGCATCACATGTTCAGATACATTCATCAGATGTTTCAGGGTTCAGGTTTTCCCAGTGAGAGCCCTGACTTGCCCTTTGGTTTTTTTTTTGTTTGTTTGGTTTTTGTTTTTTTGAGACGGAGTCTCGCTCTGTCGCCCGGGCTGGGGTGCAGTGGCGCCATCTCGGCTCACTGCAAGCTCCTCCTCCCGGGTTCACGCCATTCTCCTGCCTCAGCCTCCCGAGTAGCTGGGACTACAGGCACGTGCCACCACGCCAGGCTAATTTTTTGCATTTTTAGTAGAGACGGTTTCACCGTGTTATCCAGGTTGGTCTCGATTTCCTGACCTCGTGATCCGCCCGCCTCGGCCTTCCAAAGTGCTGGGATTACAGGCGTGAAGCACTGTGCCCAGCCTGACTTGCCTTTTTGTAACTTGATAATTCTATTAAAAGCTGGGTTTGGTTTTCACATTTTTATTTCTCTGAATATAAAAGATAAAGCCTTTTATATGCTACCAAAATGGCCCTCTGCTCATCAAACTTTACTTTTAATGTTTTAGTAACTTCACTCTGCTTTTCATTATCCCTACGTAGGACATCAATGTCATTTAATAATAATCAACACTATTATCTTATATACATTGCCCCCCCATACCCTTACTTCTATTTTATTTTATATTATTACTAATTTTTTTTGAGACAGGGTCTCACTCTGTCACCCAGGCTGGAGTGCAGTGGTGAGATCACTACTCACTGCAGCCTCAACCACCTAGGTTCAGGTGATCCTCACACCTCAACCTCCCAAGTAACTGTGATCACAGGCATGCATGGCCATATCCGGCTAATTTTTGTATTTTTTGTAGAGACAGGGTTTTGCCATGTTGCCCAGTCTGGTCTCGAATTCCTGGGCTCAAGTGATCCACCTGCCTTGGCCTCCCAAAGTGCTGGGATTACAAGGCATGTGCCATTGTGCTCAGCCTCCCCTTACTTTTAAAATCCTGATTTATTTGAATCATTACATAGTTCAGGGTAATTCCTTCCACCAGAACATTCTTTCAAATTAGCATCAGTTTTAGCATCAGGCTATCACACTGTACCAGAGACTGTGCTGTGCTCCATATACCACATAGGATGGATTGCTTATTACCAGGTAGGCAGTGAGCAATCCAATGCCAAAACAGTTTTTTTTTTTTTCATCTGTTTTCTTACACCACGTCTGATACCAGAGCATGTGGCCTGTGTAGGTCACATCAGGCCCTATGCTTAGAAGGGCCCTATGCTTACTTTAATGCTCTGATTTTCTTGCTTTATTAAAATGCTTAATACTTTTGAACAGGGAGACATGCATTCTTATTTTGCGCTGGGATTTACAAATTATGTAGTTGCTTGTTACTAGTATGAGACGCATAATTGAATTCTCCATAAAGCATATGCTGAGATAGTTTGAAGTATAAGAAAAATAGAACAGACTGGTAATGTCCATGAATAATAAAAGGAAGAAAACGTACAATTGGGTGGATGTCTTCATTTAAAACACAGATCTGATCCAACCTCTGTAATAGGAAAGGAGGAAGAAAGCAGGATTGTGGAGAAAGAGCTTCAGATTACAATGAAGATCTGGTGAATCTCCAACACACCCAAGTAGAGTTTCAGAACAAAGATTGGCTATTAGAGAAGTTTCATGGGCACACACAGCCAGGTCCTATGCCCATCTATGATCAGTCATTAACTGGGGGCTGCCTGGGAATAGCCTGGCTTCAGCTAGAAAGCTGAGACTGATCCTGAAGGGGTTGGTAGCTGGAGACTAGTAGTTAACTGCTCTTGTTGCAGCAAAATGGCAAATTCTTCCTTGAAAAGAGATCTGAGTGGTATCCCTCCATGGCTGCCACAATATATTTAAGATTGTTTCATGTACTGTGGGATGGATCTTGCAATCTGTAGTTGTTTATGTAGTGTCAATACACGAAAATTGGGTCAGATAAATTCGTCCCATTGTTTAAATCTTCTATAAACTTACCGATTATTTGGTCTGCTTATGAAATTGCTGAGTTACAGTTTTCAACTATAATTACGGATTTATGTATTTCTATACCAAATTTATTCTGCTTTTTGCTTTACATTTTTTAATACAACTCTTTTGTGCATGTATGTAATGATTTTTAAAGCTTCCAGCTTCTCTTTCATAATAGCTCTTGCCTTTAAATCATTCTAATATTTATAAAGCCCAATTTATTTTTTAAGTTTATATATATATAGTATATATACCATAGTATAAAATATACCATATATAATTATTATTTACTGATACTGTTGAGTTTAAATAAACCACTAAGCTATTTGCTTTCTAATAATCTCATATATTCTTTTCCTTTTATTTTTCATTGCTTGGATTCTTTTAATAAATCAAGTTATTGGTTTTATTAATCTTTTAATTAATGATTTATTATTTTATTGCTTCTATTAGCTTTTTATATCATATATCATATACATTGTATTATTCATTCCGTGGTAACCCTAGGTATACACCTGTGACTTACTACATTCAACCTTAAACTAGTGCTTTTACCACTTCTTAAACATTTAAGGACCCTAACAAGTTCAACTCCATGTGCTTACTCCTCACTCCTCACTTAACCCTTTGTATAATTCTTGTTTACATATTTTCTTTCTGCATATCCTATACACTCCGTGGGGTACTATTATTATTATTGGCATTTGAAACAGCCAACATTTGTTTAAATCTGCCTATATTTACCCTTTTTGGCACTCTTCATTCTTTTCTACAGTTCTCTACTTCTATGTGGAATCATTTCTCTTACAGTTGAAGACTTTAGTGTTTCTCATCATGCACATGCATATGCAAAGAATTCTGTAGCCTTTTTTAATCTGAAAATATATTTAATATTTAAATTAAATATTTAATCTGAAAATAATCTGAAATATCTTTTTTAATCTGAAAAAAATAGATACTTTTTCCCTCTAAAAGACAAAACAAAAGCAGTTATTTCTTAACCTCACCAAAAAAGCTTTTAAAGAATTAAATTGAATCATTGTCTAGCACATGGTTCACCCATGAACATTGCAGAGTTACAATAATAAAAGTAAACTTGAATGTTGAGATTTACAAATGTGTGTATTTGGCGGATGCTGCCAGGGAAAGTGTATCAGAGCTAAATATTTTCTAAAGGGGATGATAATATAGAAAAATCCATATATTCCATCCTAGACAAAAAAAAAATTTAAAAATAGAAAATTAAAACACAATATATAGGTATGAATTTGAAAATAATAAGGTAGTACAAAAAATAGCTAAGATTGTTACATATTTGCTGCCTCTGCAAAGAGGAATTTGAAGAGAAGTTGAGAAAGGAAACTGCTGCTTTTCAGTATAAGCCCATTGGGCTGGGTGCAGGATATATGGAAACTGTGCTATCTGAAGTTTTCTTTAAATCTAAACCTGTTCTAAAAAATAAATCCTACTCTAAAAAGCAAATATATGCCATTCAAAAGAAATATTTGTTTATAAATTATTAAATTGTAGCATATTAAAAAGCCTAATAGAGTGTCTGGCACACAGAATAAGATTAATAATGGTATTTCCTTTTTTTTATCCTTACGGTCTCAGGAAATTGATCTGCCATCTGGACATTAAACTGTGTGCTTATTCAGCCTTTCTTCCTCTCCTTGTCTGTTTTTTTTTGCCATTTGATTCACATTAATTCAGCCGAGTGCACAGATTTTGGGGAGTTCCTTATTTTGGAAAACCTTCAGACAATGATTTCTATAACAGGGCAGCACTTTTCTATTTGTTGTAGTCTTTTAATAAAACACCTTGAAAAACTCATCTTTTATCAAGGTTCTTGGACATTTACCCTCATATTTCAGTAAAGTACTAAAAAAAATAAATTATTAAAAATCATTCTGAATAACTCACATAATCCAGACCCTTCTGCTTTTATTGAATGCTTGCTATGAGGCTAAAACTTATCTAAACAAGCAAAAAGAAAGTC
Organism: Homo sapiens; assembly: GCF_000001405.40. Lineage (NCBI taxonomy): Eukaryota > Metazoa > Chordata > Mammalia > Primates > Hominidae > Homo > Homo sapiens. The sequence goes on along the minus strand of NC_000007.14, from coordinate 20,041,432 downwards.
TATTTCAAAATAGAAAGGCAACAGTTTTTAATGTCAAGAGCGATAATGATAATTCAGGGTTTCCTGGGATAATTTCCACATCCTAAATTATAGCTTGATTATGCAGGAAGGATTATTGGACCAAAACTTGACAAAGGGGTCCTAGTTCTTGACTTCCTTCAGTTTGGGGCTCCCTATCGGTCTTACTGTTCTTTGCTTATAAGATGCCTAATAGCAGCTCAGCATCCTCTAGTTTCAGTAAAATTTCTTGAGTGCTTAACTTTCTCTTTGTTACATAGTATTACTAAACTGCCTCCTCTTGAGCCACTGCATTTAGTTCCCATACATGTAACTATTTTGAAGTTGCAGGAACCTTCCCTGGAATTATGTACCCTGAGTTGGAGTTTCCTCTTCAGAAACTCTGTTCTTGGGTATGACTTGGGACTTCTCACCAGCTCTGTCTCCTTCCAACGCCATGGAAATTTAAGCTCTCTGGGATCTCTCTATACATTTTTTGCTACTAAAAGAGATTTTTCTTTTCCTTCTCCTCTTTCTTCATAATGATTAATGTAAGATGAATTCAATAATTCAGTGATATTAGCCTCTTAATGATGTAAGGCTACAAAAAGGAATGTGTTGAACAAATATTCATTTCTATTTTCTGACCATCTGTGATCTCCATTTCCTTGTGATTATTTCCTTTCCCCTAAGATCCCTTTAGGAATCAAACTGCCTAAGCTTAATTTGAGATCAATTGTTATGTTGCGTCTTAGACAGGTGGATGTACATATTTTTGAGTTATAAAAAATAAAATAAATCACACTTTCCTAAATTTTCTACTTTAGGAGCTAAAAGAAAAACGTTTTAAAAATTTGAAACTTGGCATGCATAACTAGAGAAACAGAATTAATGCAAGTCTAAATGAAAGCTGCTGACTGCTTTTCAAAATAATTAGTTTTGGAATATGTTTGATCCCAATCTCTTAGCCTGCCTCAGGTGTTGGGGGAAGGCTATGTGAGGAAACTGCATGAAAGATGCTGTATACCATTACCATTGCCTCCTTCAATGACCAACACACCCAATACAGCACACAAGATGCTCCCTTGGAAGGTTAAATGTGTATAAAATGACAGTGTGTTTAGTTACATTTTTCAGTGACTCATATTTGGAAAAATCCTAAATTAATTCATAATAAATGAGTTATATTTTAAGACATTTCAAAAGTGCCTGACATATTATATTCTATGTGTTTAAATAATATTATATGTATTTAAATAACATACATGATATAAATGGTTATATATGCATTATAAAATTTTTAAATAATATATGTTAGTACATATAAATGTGTATATATACACATAAATTAATATTATTATAATTCTGTAAATATTCAGTTTAGAAAACATGACATAATATAACCTAATTAACAATGTTAATATTGCCCAGATAAGAAAACTACAATTAAGGGATATTATGTGGCATTTCCAGTATAGCACTCCTAATACAAGACAGAGAATCAGCTTAATAGAGACATTTTACGGTGGGTGCTACCTGAGGATAATGGTAGGTGCCTTCCCACTGTCAGAGGTGTGTGAACCAGAAACCCCATCCTGAATAGGAGCTGGGTAAAATGAGGCTGAAACCTACTGGGCTGCATTCCCAGACAGTGTTGGCATTCTAAGTCACCGGATGAGATAGGAGGTCAGCACAAAATACAGATCATAAAGACCTTGCTGATAAAACCGGTTGCAATAAAGGAGCTGGCCAAAACCCACCAAAACCAAAATGGTGACGAGAGTGACCCCTGGTCGTCCCCACTGCTACACTCCTACCAGTGCCATGACAGTTTAAAAATGCCATGGCAACGTCAGGAAGTTACCCTATATGGTCTAAACAGGGGAGGCATGAATGATCCACCCCTTGTTTAGCAGATCATCATGAAATAACCATAAAGATGGGTAACCCATTCCTGTATAGCCACTGCTCACCCTCACTCCTTCTAAACACAACCTCAAAAACTGCCAGACTTAGGCCAGGTGCAGTGGCTCACGTCTGTAATCCCAGCACTTTGGGAGGCCGAGGAGGGTGGATCACCTGAGGTCAGGAGTTCAGGACCAGCTTGGCCAACATGGTGAAACCCTGTCTCTACTAAAAATATGAAAATTAGCCGGGCATGATGGTGCACCTGTAATCCCAGCTACTCAGGAGGCTGAGGTGGGAGAATTGCTTGAGCCCGGGAAGCAGAGGCTGCCTTGAGCCGAGATTGCACCACTGCACTCAAGCCTAGGCAACAGACCGAGACACCATATCAAAAAACAAATGAACAAACAAACAAACAAAAAACCTGCCAGAATTGTAAATGTCTTTAAGCATGTACTTATTTTTACTTTATACTCTACATAACAACAAAAACATTAAGAATATGTCTTGGTTTATGCCACTTTGAACTGTTTAGAAGCGAGATGTGAGAGTGTGAGAAATGCAGTAAATGCATAATTCAAAGAAGCAGACTGAGAAAAGAGAAGGAAAGGAAAATAGAGCTTTCCCAGATTTTGGATGAATCATTAACCACTGGTATTCTGCCATTTTGCTTCAAAATGGGACTCATGTTCAATCATACCCCAACAGCCCTTCTACCATCTGTTTTGAAATGCAAATTATGCAACATTTTGCTTAAATCTAGAGCAATGTAGACTCTTCCTCTATGGTCGAAGATCATATTTCTCTCTTTTGGGTATGGAGAAGATAGCAGATACATTTAGAGATCTCCATGCTTAGAAATACCTCATCTGGCGATCCCTTCAACCTCATTCTTCCTTGCATAATTTTTAAAATTTTTAAAATAAATTTTAGTTATGTGAATGCTATTTTATATGACACATTCATTTGTTGGCATAATAATTATCCACTGTTCAAATTCCAGGTAGCAGATCCAGAAATGATTAGAACACTTAGGATAATGAATTATTACATTTTCAAGGCACATCAGTGAATGTTATGAAGAGGTGAGCAGAGGACATCTTTACTCCTTGCATAATCTCAGTCTCTTCAAGACCTTCCCTTGTGTACAGCACCTAACACTTCATGGCCTGTGCTTTTAACATCTATTGTATGAATTTCTTTACTCTTTGTCTCTTTCATTGTGTGTAGACTTTCCTTGCATTTTGAATTCAAACTCCCCAAGGGAAACAGACTAGGTCAGCCAGGCATTATTCAATATAGGCTGTTCCTGTAGGGCAAGCGCTTACGCCGTGTTGAGATAATTCAACATCATAAGGGCGTCAGTAGATAAATTTTCTTTCTGGAATTAGTCACTTTGATTCTAAAAATATAATGACCCTAATAATAAATACTAATTTTAAAAATATACATATAAAATATTACATTGCTTACTCCATGGCTGATATATGGAAAAGAGGCATCTCCCCTAAGTAGTTCAGGAACAAGGTAAGATTTCCAGTATCTTCATAACAGTTTATTAGAGGTATTATCCAATGTGATTATACAAATGAAAGAAGTTAGATACGTAGGAATTGGAAAAGAAGAAGGGAATTTGTTTCTTATTGCTGCTGTAACAAAGTACTACAAATTCTGTGGCTTAAAACAACACCTATTTATTAACTCATGTTTCAATATCAGAAATCTGACAGGTCACACTAGGCTAAAATCAAGTTGTTGGAGGCTCGAAAGGAATATTGATTTCCCTGTCATTTTTAGCTTCTAAAGGCTGCCAATATTCTCTGGTTTGCGGTCCTTTCCTTAATCTTCAAAGTGTATCACCTCAACCTCTGTTTCCGTTGTTACATTTCCTCTCTGACTCTGACCCTGCTGCCTTTCTCTCCTTTAAGAACCCTTGTGATTACACTAGATTCACCAATATAATCCAGGGTAATCTTCCCATCTCAAGATCACTAACTTAATCACAACTGCAAAATTCCTTTTCCCATGTAAGATAACATACATAGACTGTGGAAATTAGGATGTGAATATTTTATGGGGGTGGGGAATATTCTCTCTACTACAAAAAAAGAAAATTATCTTTTTTATCAAAACAAGAAAACTACCTCTTTTTGCAAATGATATGATACTATACCTGAAAAATCTAACATAATATGCATTAAACCTAACAAAAATAATGGAAGAGTCTATTAAGCTAACGTAATATGAAATTAACATACAAAAATTCGTTGAATAATATGATAGAAATCATAATTTGCCATAGCAATAAAAATATAAATTAGAGAGACCCTTAAGAGATTTGCAAAATCTATATGAAGAAATCCTTAAAACACATCTGAAAGACACAAGAGTAGATTTGAACTAATGGAAAGACATCATTCTTTGTTCTTGAATATGATGTGTCAACATCATAAAAGTGTCAAATAGTAACAATTTATTTTCTGGAGCTATTCATATTGATTCTAAAGTATACATGGAAAAATTAGCATGGAAGAATAGTTAAGAAAATCATGAGAACAAGATTGCAGTGATAGAAACCATGAGAAAGGACAGCAATAAGGGTCTTTAATATCTAGTCCTGAGAGATATTCAATATATTATAAGGCCTTTATTACTAAAATATTGGCTCATTAATATTAGGTTGGTACAGAAATGCAAACTTCTATGTGCAAAACTTTTAATGACAAAAGCCACAATTACTTTTGCATCAATCTAATATATTGACTTAGTGGTTGATGGACAAATTATTAGAAGATAATTGAAAGTTGAGAAATAGATTCAGTTACATCTAAAATTAAGTATACGATGATGTTCATACCTGAAAGCTCTGGGGAAAATACAGTTTTTTAAAAAATAAATTATATTGGAAAAACTTAACTGACATTTGGGAAAATAATAAAAGTGGGTCTAGATCTCAACATATACCACAACAGACTTCAAATTAAATAGAGAGAAAAGAAGAAAGAAAGAAAGAGCAAGCAAGACATATGAACAATAGAAATAAAAGGGATGAATTATTTTTTAATGGTTATGAGGAGAGATGGAAACTTTGGAATCAAGCTCTATATGCAATAAATAAAAAGATTGATACATTATGCTGTATTAAACATAAAATTTTTTATGGAAAAACATCACAAGCAAAGTCAAAAACCTTATGTCAAACTGGGTATCCCAATCCCTTAGTGTAGTCTCCTCTTTTACTTGGTTCTGAACTTGGCCATGTGACTAACTTTGGCCAGTTTGGTAAAGTAATACAAGCAGAAGCTTGGGAAGTGCTTGTGACTTGATGACAGTGACAGGAGGCAGCCAAATGCCTAGGCAGATGGGACAGGTACCTGGTGAAACCCCGCCTCTAAGATGAAGACAGTTTAAAGCCTGAAAGCCAAGCTACAAGTTAAATCCTCGGACTGGATGAGAACTTGTCTTCCTGTTTGGCCCACTTTTCTCTGATTAGTCCCCACCCTTCACCTATTTTACGTATACCTACCCTTTTCTAATTGGTTTTCTACACTGTTATGCCCATGTTTGAGTGGTGTCTTCTCTTTAAACTGTTTTTGTATACTCACAAACCAATCAGCACGCACTCCCCATCCTGTTCCTATAAAGACCCCAGACTCAGTCAGTAGAGGAGGAGATGACTTGACTTCAGGCAAGAGACAACCTGACTTAGGGGAAGATGACCTGCCCTTCCCATCCCCTCTCCAACTTTCCTCTCAGCTGAGAGATGTTTTCATCACTCAGTAACATTCTCTACCTTCACCATGCTTCAGTAGTCCACGTGACCTCATTCTTTTTGGACTCTGGACAAGAGCCTGTGACCCACCAAGTGCAGGTACCCAGAAAATCTGTCTCACTGGCCCTTTGCCCTTGCCAGCGGAGGGCAGTCACCCCACACAATGAGGCAAGGGGCCAACTGAGCTGCTAATGCACTGCCATTTGTGGATGGCAGAACTAAAGGAGCACTATAACACTCCCTCTGGGCTTCAGGGTCATGGCACCCTCACCTGGGCACCGATGTGCTCCCCTCAAGGTGACACGCCTGGTCTGGCCATGGGCCCTGCACAAAGCTTGCTTGGGTGTCGGTACCCAGAGTGGCTGGCCAGATCTCACACTCTCTCATGTGCTCCTTCCTGCAAGGGGCTGAGCACAGTGGGCTGAGTAGACTCAGCAACCCTGCTATGAGTCTGGTGAAGGGGCTGAGAAAAATCCTGCATCATTGGGGCTTGGACTTTCTTGCTCCAGGGAACATTTGCTCCACCATATTAACAACACTGCTGGCCTTGCTGATGACAGACATTCTAGAGAGGAGCCCCAGCCATCCTAGTTGTCCCAGTGGAGATTTGTCCCAGTGGAGATCCTTGTTATGGGAATAAAGCCAACTCCACCCAAACCTTCCTGACCAGAAGACATGACCAGGTGACCCATATAATTGTAGGGGAGAAACTGTCTGGGAGGAACTATGTCGTCAATTATTTCCTGAATAATAATGATAATTATAATTTTAAGCCTTTCAAACTCTTTCATATATATTGTCTTCATTGATCCTCTTAATACTTTAGTAAAGTATTTAGCCAGGCATAATTTTCCTCCTTGAAATACAGAAAGGTTATGTGATCTGCTCAAGATGACCCAGCTAAGTGGGAAGACAGCTTGTGTGCTGCAAAAGAGCATCCATTTTTTTTTTTTTTTAATTTAGGAGACTTGAATTACTAATCTTATAACTTGGTGTTTGTTCCTATGCAAGTGAATTCATCACTTGGATCCTTAGTTTACTAACTTTAGGTGGAAAAATGCCTGCGTACCCTTATAATGTTTTTATGAAAATCAAATGAGGAAAGGTTTTGTGAAATGATTTGCACAAATTCTAAAACACTACACACAGTGAATCAGATTGGCTTCCTAACTTTTAGTTTAGGAAGTTTAGTTTAGTTTAGTTTAGTGTTTCACAGTGGTTAATTTAAAAAATGAAACTTTCTTGAAATCGATAAACTAGCACATTATATTTCATGGTCTTTCTATTCAAATATTTGGTCAGAACTGTATCAAAATGTCACAATAAGAGCAGTAGCCCAAGCCTCATGTTATTTCAATCTACCAGAACCACACAATGGGGAAATGAAGAAAAATGCTAGAGACAAATTAAACAGCACCATTAAAAATGATCAGTGACTTCAGTAATCTCCTGTCCAGTAAGAGACTCTTTTTGAATATGAGCCATGATTTTTCAACAAAGGAGGAAGTGTTTTTGAGTGCTTTATGTATGTCAGATATTCTGCAAATGCATTGCATACATGGCCTCTTCTTTTACATCTTGCAGCAACCTCTTGAAATGTTATACAATTTCCATTTTAACACGAAGACACTGAAGCCCAGGAATGTTAAACAGGGGACTCCTAAAATTTTATTACTACGTCAGGGAGCTGGGAACTAAACTCTGGTTTGTGCCCTAATTATGATTCGAAAAACAAAACAAAAACAACTTTAAAAAATCACTAGGTTTCCCAACATTATTCAAACTGTTGTTTTGGTTGCAAAATCATTTCATTGTTAATAATTATAGTTATGTTGCTCTTTGTCAAACAAGCATTCTTGCTATGTTTTAACCGCAATGACTAGCTCCTAAGTGATACAAGGAATGGAAATTTTAGTACAGTTAGTAAGACAACCTCATGATGATTTGTAGCATCAGCTCTATGATTCCAAAAATAGAGCTCACTGAAGCAACACAGCCTTTGGCTGACACAACAGCAAGCAAAAGTCATTCTAGCCCAAGGCTTCTAGTTGGACCTTGCATTTGTTAGAACTGCTTATGAATCTTCCTTTTCCCTTAACAAGTGGGAGCCACTATTGCTCCCTTCAGCACAGACAGTGCCTTTGATTTAAAATGCCCGTAGACTGCTTAGGCCAAAGAAGGTATTTGGGGAACCATTTTCCTCTATGGAAAAGCAAAATAACTCCTAGAGGGAAATATCCAGTAGAAATGACATTTGCAACATCTGCAACACAGCAGGGTGATCTCTGTGGACTGTATTTTCTGTCTGAAAGAGTTGTAAATGCTGAAGAGACATAATGCAAGGGATGGATTTGTTTAGCTGTGTTCTCCAAAAGTGCTTATCTTTGAGTTTAGGTTCTAAAGAAATAATCAAAAAGGCAAGTGAATGCACCAGACTTCAGAGGCGTAAGATTGATTTGTAGAGGAAATAAACTGAGGTATTTAACTTTAGAGACAACACAGCTCAAAAGAACAGTCATAGTAGTTTTTGTGTCTCCCTTAATTCATTTTTCTGTCTCTCCCTTCCTCCCTCATTCCTACCTCTACCTTCCCCTTGAACATGGGTTCAAATGATGATTAAAAAAGCAAAAAATAGTAATATTTTATGCCCAGTTACCTCACTGGTGTTTTATTGCTGAAAATAGCAATGAATCATGCTTGGTTTCAATGAAGTAAGTATCTTGTCCAGTGGAAGAGAGATTTGTTTTTTTTACCCATTGAGTGGGTAGTGTTTTCCCTAACATCTGCAAAGGCACTTCCACTCTCAAACTACTATAACAAATCAGAATAAAAGACGTACAAAATTTCCAATCTCAACAACTTCCAGTTTTTGGTAAAGATATGAGATGGGATAATGGGACTTCTATATAAAAATCTATTTTTAAGTTTTTAAGTGCTTCAAAAGAAGATCCATCTCTGGGGAATGAGGATGTGATACAGACTACACAACCCTTGGTGCCACTCTCATTACATAGTCTAACCAAGTGGGAATTCAAAAGTAACTTTCCAAAGTATCATTATAAGGACATTTATGTCTGACCAGATGCATCAAGATGTCACATTCTCATGGCCTTTGCATTGATTCAAACAAAAGTAGACCCTTCTGAGATTTTGAAACTTTCAGCTTCTTTTCTACTAAAATATAGAATTGTGGGTTGTATTGTGATTCAAATAAAGTTATGCCTTACTTACATTACTGCGTAAAATGTATACAAAAAATGCAGTCTCATTTTGAAGTATTTTGTGGCTTATTAAATAAAAGCAATATATTACAATAAGAGCAAACAAAAGAATATTGTTCTATAGAAATTAAGTTATTGATCTACCCACATATAAATGCAACAAATAACTTTTGATTGCCTATTCTGTGCTCAGCTCTGTGCCTGGTTCTGGGCATATACAAGAGGTAAATGACCTTCTGCAAATTGAGATGGCTTTTTGGTGACCTCATAATATCATGGCCTAATCAAGGCTATGATTAAACAAAAATAGTCAAATGCATAGTCATGTAATAGATTTGTAGAAGCAACATACAATGCAAGTCAAGGAATATGACAAATTAAGTTGGGAATTTCAACTGGAGAAGAAAGCAGAGAAAAGGTCATTGAAAACATAGCTAAGTGGCCAGGCTAGATAGTGTTCACTTCTGCTGATCTGATTAAATTGGGATGATATACTGAACTCTCTGACACAGACAGAATATTTTAGTTTTCTGAGCAGATAATTTGATGAATAAGGAATAAAAAGTCTGTGTTTACAGCCTACATATATGAAAAAGTTATGATCTGGGCAAAAACTTACAAGTAAATCCTGGCCTTGACTGAAGGATACTGTATTATAGAGGTATAGGTGCTATTATAGGAGTGTTTGCCTATATCCCTCTAACAATCTTTGTGAATTATGGCACATAAAAGGCACTGATGCACCTGGTTCTTATCACTGATTTCATGGAAGATGCTGATAATCAGTCGTTATATGCTTTCCTCAGAATCTTTCTCAGCACTGTGTTCTAAGCAGCCAATGGCTAACTACCAGAATTGGTAATTAATATAAAAGATTTTTGTTACTCTGCTTCTGTATGCCTAATTAGTGGTGACAAATTATGTTGTGAGATGGTAATTATTTCTCAGGACAGAAAAATGAAATGATAGTCTCAATATTTATTGATCACCTTCTATGAGTCAGTCATTGTGCATTTAAAATTACCTTTATTACCCCATTTGACTTTGAGTCCCACCTAGTGAAAAATATATTACTATCGTTCCCTTATAAGAGATTAAATAACTTGCCTAAGGTCAGGTAGCTGGAAAGTGGCAGAGCTGAGATTCAAATCCAGATCTGTCCAATTTGAGAGTTCAGGTTCTCACTGTCTCACCAAACCTAAAAATGCAATTTCCCCTCCCCTTTGTCAGAATTGAAGTTCAGTTTTGTGGCTCTGAGTTGACTTCTCTTTTCTAGTCATATGTCTAAATTAAGCTCCCAGGGATTCCCCCTCCTACCATTGCTATTCCAGGGAAATTAGTATCTAATGTTAAGCTCAAATTACATAGTTGTAGGTATTTATAAAAATTCCTGTGGGTAAATGTAGCCACATGAATATGGTAAATTGTATTTACTCATATTGTAAACATGAGCATCTACTGTGTGAGACACTTTGATAGTCCTTGTGAAAGATAAAAAGACAAGGCATGTGAAATTCAGCTGTACAAGACACTCAGGAGATCACATATTTCATTTTCTTTTGTTCTGCTTTCAGAAGGAAAAATGATCTGTTTCTAGCTGTGGGCTCATTGTGGACTGTAGGGAATGACTTTAGAAGACGATTTTGTTTTTAGTAAAGGCAAACTAAGTTATTCACACTCACAATCTATGACTAAACTTGCAGGATACAATCTTTCTCAAAAGCTGTGGATTACTGACAAAATAGTATGAAGTTATTAGGCCAAATAAAGGCAAAACAAGAACCTAGAAAGGTAAGCAGAGCATGAATTTTCTGTTGCATTACAGATGCTTCCCTATTTTAGCAAATTTGTACTTTTACTTTGATGCCTTATGAGTCAAAAGGGAATAAATTAAAGCTCAGAGGACATACAAGTAAAAAGGCTTAGAGGAGAACTACTTCCAATAACATCCAGGACAGCAAAGGGCTGCACCCTCAGGATAAGAGTGAACCAAAAGCTTACCAGCCCTGCGTGGGCTTGCCGCATGGTTTCACATTGTCTGGGCAGTCTGAGAATCTCAGCTCCACATTTGCTTTAAGGTGAATCTAGACTAGAGGTGCACCAAGGCACCTAGCAGAAGCAATTGTGCTTTCTTTTTGAAAATATTATAGTACATTTATCTGTACTTTAAATTATCAAAATGATTTTATTTCTTAAAGAATAAACATCAAATAGTCAAAATTAACAAAGCACATAAAGATATACTGCACCATCAGTGAAAAGAGACCCACAAAGATTCCTGTAAATTAGAATTTTCAGATTCAGATACAGGCTATTATATTGGAGGAAAAAAACAACTATGCTTATATGTTTAAATAAGTGAAAGATAATTTTGAAAATACATGCAAGTAATATATGCAACTTAAAATATTAACATAGCAGATATGTAAGTTTACAGATTTTTACCAGATGAAACTTTCAGAAATTAAAAAAAAATTAAATAATTCAAGGAACATTTTAAATAGCAAATTAGGCACAGCTGAAGAGATAATTAGAAACTTATAGATGCATCAAAAACAAAAATAAACTAATATACGGCACTGATGAAAAAATGTTAGAAATTATAGAGAAGAGGGTAAAAGATAGAATATCAAGTGAGAAGGTATACAGTATAATTAATCAGTCTCAGAAAATAATCCCATTTTCGCTGGGGCTTTGAAAAGACAATGGTTGAAAATCTTCCAGAAGTGATGACACCAATTTGCAGACTCCATATCACAACAAACAACAAGCATAAAAATAAAATAAAATCTACATCTAGAGGCTGAAATTTCACAGAACAAAGAAGATAGAAACAAATTCAAAGCAGAGTAAAAAGAGGGCAGCTATTAAATTTGCTCAGCAGCAAAAATGGAAGTCAAAATTCAAAGGAATATTTGAAATGTTTTGAAAGATTATAACTTAGAATTCTACACCAAGTCAAAATAGATTTCCAGAATGAGCTAAGAAATATTTTTATGTAAAAATAACAAATACAAAAATTTAAAAAATTGAGAGAGTTAATTATCAGCAGAGCCTCATTAAAGGAACTTGAAAAGGGTTGGGCATAGTGGCTCAAGCCTCTAATTCGAGTACTTTGAGATGCTGAGTGAGGCAGATCACTTGAACTCAGGAATTTGAGATCAGCCTGGGCAACATGGTAAGACCATGTCTCTACAAAAATTAGCCAGGCATGGTGGCACGCACCTGTAGTGTCAGGAGGCTGAGGTGGGAGGATCTCTTGATCCTAGTAGGTTGAGGCTGCAGTGAGCCATGATTGCATCTCTGTCCTCAAGCTTGGGTGACAGAGTGAGACCCTGTGTCAATAAATAAGCAAATAAAGAAATAAAATTGAAAAGGATATATTTCAAGCTGAAATAAAATGATTCCATTGGAAGATGTGAGAAAAAGAATGAATGGAGAACAAATAATGTGGTCAATAATAATCATATTAATTTTTTGTGGTTCTTAAACAATGTAATAAAAATAACAAAATGAATAATATAGAAGTTGTATTGAATTAAATGGAGGAAAATAATCTAAGGTCTCCATATTTGCAGGGAGAAGAATAAAGACATTGTTGAACTTAGACTTTGACAAGGTAAGTAAGTAAATTATATTATAATTTTTATGGTAACCATTAATTGGGCATATAAATAAAGATAATGCCTTTAAGTAAGTGGGGTGGAAAATACTGAAATATTTATAAAATATTTGACCAATCCAGTAGAAGAAAAGAAAGGAGAGAAAAAGAAATAGTACAGAATAAATAGGTGAAACCACAAATAAATAATTACCTTCCAAATGAATAGATTATTTTCTCCAATTATAGAAAAAGTAATTCAAAATACAGTACAAAATCTATATACTGCTTATAAAAGAAACATGGAATATAAAGTTTAAAGTGCAAGGAGAAAGGAGGTATGTTCAAAGTTAAAGGAAGTCTACTGCTGGAGGTGAAGACTTCACAATAAGCTCATCAACAGAAACATATAACCCTTTTTACATTTGTAGATACCTGTATTAGTTCATTCTCACATAGCTGCAAAGAACTACCTGAGAATGGATAATTTATAAAGAAAAGAGCTTTAATTGACTCAAGCTCTATAGGCTGCACAGGAGGTATGGCTGGGGAGGCCTCAGGAAACTTACAATCAATGGCAGAAGGTGAAGGGAAAGCAAACACATTTTCACATGATGGCAGGAGAGAGAGAGGGAAAAGGGAAGTGCTACATACTTTTAAACAATCAGTTCTCATGAGAACTCACTCACTATCACGAGTACAGCAAAGGGAAAATCTGCCCCCATGACCCAATCACCTCCCACCAGGACCCACCTCCAACATTCAGGATCACAATTCAACATGAGATTTGGGTGGGGACACACAGCCAAACCATGTCAGTACCTAGTAACATATTCTTAATATCTATAAAGACAACACACACACACACACACACACATACACACACACACACTCATATGGTGTTGAAATTCATATGCAAGGAGAAATAGATAAAACCACAATATTAGTGGTATAACTGGACCTAGGTTCCACTGCTCACTACCTGCAAGCCAAACATTAGAGGCGACGGTTGGTGGGAGGATAAGCAGATTTAATTGGAGAGCCAGCATACTGAGAAAATGGTAAACTATCACGCTAAAGAACCACCTTAAATTTTAAAATTTACCGTAGGGTTTTAAAAGAGAAACTTGGTATGAGAGATATGCAAGAGTAGTGCAGGATCCAGGGTCTGTGTGTCTTGTTCCTATGGCTATCTTGGGATATTGATCTTCCTGAGGGCTTATTGGTCTTACCTTGACTTCCGTGCATGGTGGTAGACTCATTGTTCACGACTACCCCTACTCGGGAAGATTCCACAATGGGGTCTCCTTCCCTCATTTAAGATTAGCCTTTGGTATTTCTTAAACGAGAGCATAATTAGGGAAGCATGAATTGCTAGAAGATGGGAATGTCTAGAGCATTCCCTCAAAGGAAGGAAGTGAGTGGGGAAGGAAAGAAGAAACAAAAAGTGTATGATTTTTAAAAGTGAGGTCCCCTATTACACTACAAAATGAATTTTACTAAATTTGGCTACTAAAAAAATTTAAAAAGCTGAATGGTTCTATAAATATTTTTAAAAATGAAGTTGGCAGGCAAAAAATGTTCCCTAAAGAATATTCCAAAAACCAAATGGCTTCCCTGAGAAGCTGTTCCAAATAAAGAAATAACGACAGTGTTAAGCAAACTATTCCACAGAATTAGGAGAAACAGAGGATTCTTACTCTACTCTGCCCAACATTTATCATTCAGCAGTTACATTGCATGTCTCTGGTGGGTACAATACATAACTAGATGCCAAGTACATAATAGTGTAAAACACCGATAGTGTCCTGAGCTCTTCTAGTGCGGGATATGTATATTAAATAAGTTAATTTAGTAATTGTTCAATCAACATTGTGAGTAGGTCTTCAAGGTTAGGTATAGGGTCCTGATCCTGTATGGCTGACATTATCAGGAGCGTCAGGAAAAGTTTCAGTGAAGTAACATTTAAATTTCAATCAGAAGGAAGTTTGCTAACTGAGAAACAGGAGCAGCAGGAGCGCATTCCAGGCATTTCTTTTTTTAAAAAAAAGTTCCCTAATTAAACAAATAATTTTCATCTTTATTGAGATATAATTGACCAGAATTGCATATATTTGAGATGCACAACTTGATCTTTTGAATAACATGGTCACAATAAAAGGTCACATGATTAAACCATGAAAATAAATTTAAATTACTCCATCTCTCTTTTTTGTCACTGCATCCAACTCTATGAAGCAAATGATCTTCTTGATAAAAGCCTCACACCCAGAATCCTTACCTCCCCTACGCTGCAGTTCTTTTTCATACAATTCAACTTACCCAATTCTACACCATATGAAGAAATCTCTCATGTATTTTAAAAAATGCCTTTCAGTGTTCTATTATGTATCTTTAGTTTTATTTATTTCTTTATTTATCTTAATAATATTTATTTATTTTTTATTATACTTTAAGTTCTGGCATACATGTGCAGAACGTGCAGGTTTGTTACATAGGTATACATGTGCCATGGTGGTTTGTTGCACCCATCAACCTGTCATCTACATTAGGTATTTCTCCTAATGCTATCCCTCCACTAGCCCCACAGCCCCCAACAGGCAATGGCATGTGATATTCCCTTTCCTGTGCCCATATGTTCTCATTGTCCAACTCCCACTTATGAGTAAGAACATGCGGTGTTTGGTTTTCTGTACCTGTGTTAGTTTGCTGAAAATGATGGTTTCCAGCTTCATCCAAGTCCCTAAAAAGGACATGAACCCGTCCTTTTTTATGGCTGCATAGTATTCCATGGTGTATATGTGCCACATTTTCTTTATCCAGTCTATCATTGATGGGCATTTGGGTTGGTTCCAAGTCTCTGCTATTGTAAATAGTGCTGCAATAAACATACGTGTGCATGTGTCTTTATAGTAGAATGATTTATAATCCTTTGGGTATATACCCAGTCATGGGATTGGTGGGTCAAATTGTATTTCTAGTTCTAGATCCTTGAGGAATTGCCACACTGTCTTCCAAAATGGTTGAACTCATTTACAATCCCACCAACAGTGTAAAAGCATTCCTATTTCTCTACATCCTCTCCAGCATCTATTGTTTTCTGACTTTTTAATGATCACCATCTAACTGGCGTGAGATGGTATTTCATTGTGGTTTTGATTTGCATTTCTCTAATGACCAGTGATGATGAGCTTTTTTTCATATGTTTGTTAGCCAAATAAATGTGTTCTTTTTAGAAGTGTCTGTTCATATCCTTGGCCCACTTTTTGATGGGCTTGTTTGTTTTTTTCTTGTAAATTTTTTTAAGTACCTTGTAGATTCTGGATATAAGCCCTTTGTCAGAGGGACAGATTGCAAAAATTGTCTCCCATTCTGTAGGTTGCCTGTTCACTTTGATGATAGTTTCTTTTGCTGTGCAGAAGCTCTTTAGTTTAATTAGATCCCATTTGTGTATTTTGGCTTTTGTTGCAATCGATTTTGGTGTTTCAGCCATGAAGTCTTTGCCCATGTCTGTGTCCTGAATTGTATTGGCTAGGTTTTCTTCTAGGATTTTTATGGTTTTAGGTCTTATGTTTAAGTCTTTAATCCATCTTGAGTTAATTTTTGTGTAAGGTGTAAGGAAAGTGTCCAGTTTCAGTTTTCTGCATATGGCTAGCCAGTTTTCCCAACACCATTTATTAAATAGGGAAATCTTTCCCCATTGCTTGTTTTTGTCAGGTTTGTCAAAGATCAGATGGTTGTAGATGTGTGGAGTTATTTCTGAGGCCTCTGTTCTGTTCCATTGGTCTGTATATCTGTTTTAGTACGAGTACCATGCTGTTTTGGTTACTGTAGCCTATAGTATAGTTTGAAGTCAGGTAGTGTGATGCCTCAAGCTTTCTTCCTTTTGTTTAGGATTGTCTTGGCTATACCAGCTCTTTTTTTGTTCCATATGAAATTTGAAGTAGTTTTTTTTTAATTGTGTGAAGAAAGTCAATGGTAGCTTAAGGGGATAGCATTGAATCTATAAATTACTTTGGACAGTATGGCCATTTTCACGATGTTGATTCTTCCCATCCATGAGCACGGAATGTTTTTGCATTTGTTTGTATCCTCTCTTATTTCCTTGAGCAGTGGTATGTAGTTCTCCTTGAAGAGGTCCTTCACCTCCCTTGTAAGTTGTATTTCTAAATGCTCACAAGAGAAAGCAGGAAAGATCTAAAATTGACACCCTAACATCACAATGGAAAGAACTAGAGAAGCAAGAGCAAACAAATTCAAAAGCTAGCCGAAGACAAGAAATAACTAAGATCAGAGCAGAACTGAAGGACATAGAGACATGAAAAGCCCTTCAAAAAATCAATGAATCCAGGAGCTGGTTCTTCTGAAAAGATTAGCAAAATAGACCACTAGCCAGACTAATAAAGAAGAAAGGAGAGAAGAATCAAATAGACACAATAAAAAATGATAAAGGGGAGATCACCACTGATCCCACAGAAATACAGACTACCATCAGAGAATACTATAAACACCTCTATGCAAATAAACTAGAAAATCTAGAAGACATGAATAAATTCCTGGACACATACACCCTCCCAAAACTAAACCAGGAACAAGTCGAACTCCTGAATAGACCAATATCAAGTTCTAAAATTGAGGCAGTAATGAGTAGCCTACCAATCAAAAAAAGCCCAGGACCAGACGGAGTGATAGCCACATTCTTGCAGAGAGGTACAAGGAGGAACTGGTACCATTCCTTCTGAAACTATTCCAAACAATAGAAAGAGAGGGACTCCTCCATAACTCATTTTATATGAAGCCAGCATCATCCTGATACCAAAACCTGGCGGAGACACAACAACAAAAGAAAATTTCAGGCCAATATCCCTGATGAATATCGATGCGAAAATCCTCAGTAAAATATTGACAAACAAAATCCAACAGCACGTTAATTAAAAAGCTTATCCACCACGATCAAATTGGCTCCATTCCTGGGATGCAAAGCTGATTCAACATATGCAAATCAATAAATGTAATCCATCACATAATCAGAACTAATGACAAAAACCACATGATTATCTGAATAGAGGCAGAAAAGGCCTTCAATAAAATTCAACACCCTTCATGTAAAAACACTCAATAAACTAGGTATTGATGGAATATATCTCAAAATAATAAGAGCTATTTATGACAAACCCACAGCCAATATCATACTGAATGGGCAAAAGCTGGAAGCATTCTCTTTGAAAACTGGCACAAGACAAGGATGCCCTCTCTTACCATTCATATTCAATATAGTATTGGAAGTTCTGGCCAGAGCAATCAATCAGGCAAGAGAAAGAAATAAAAGACATTCAAATAGGAAGAGAGGAAATCAAATTATCTCTGTTTGCAGATAACATGATTGTATATTTAGAAAACCCCATTGTCTCAGCCCAAAAACTCTTTAAGTTGATAAGCAACTTCAGCAAAGTCTCAGGATACAAAATCAATGTGCAAAAATCACAAGCATTCCTATACACCAATAATAGACAGAAAGCCAAATCATGAGCAAAGTCCCCTTCACAATTGCTACAAAGAGAATATAGTATCAATGTTTCTATTATCCACATGCCATTTTTGCATCTTTCTCACCTCCTTGACAACAGTGGCTTTCTAGTTTTTTGTTTTGTTTTGTTTTTTAACTTTTGATAATAAAGCTTTTTCTTCTAATGCTCCTGACTCACAGGAGGAAGAGGAGCATCCTCTTGCTATATATGGTAGTATTTAACTCACAGCTGTCCACCATTTCTAACAGCATCTCATTGTATGAAATTGACACTATTTACTCACCTGTCCTGCTTCCTTCATTTTATATCTTGCAACTCAGGGACCTTTCCTATATTCTTTCATGTTTCTATCTTAATGTTTCCATTTACTGTCATTTTGTTCTGTGATTTCAACAACTATGTGACAGTCAATTATTGTAAATGTGCCTTACACATAATCAAATTTCCTTGTACTTCATTTGTTTGTTTCTGAACATTGCTAGAAAGGCTTTTTAGAACCATGCAATGTCAGAGACTGGCTAGCTATTTACCTTCTATTTCCTCTTCTGTTTGGGCATGCAGGTAGACAGTATTTCTCAGCTTTCCTTGCAGTTATGTGCAGTCATGTAGCTGATACACAGTGAGAAAAAGTGATGTGTGCAATGAACCCAGACCTGGACCATAAAAACTCCTGCACATTATTCTGCATACTTTTACCCATCCATTCACTTAATGCTGATGAACAAATTAAAATGAGAAGTCAAGAGGGTGGAACTATAAAATAAAGGGTACCTGGAACTCTGAATTACTCCTGTGAGGAGAGGATCCTATTTATCAATGATTTGGATTTCATGTTAGCAAAAAATTTCTATTTTGCCTGAGCTATTGTACATTTTGGGGAAGCTTGATTATAGTAGCTGAAATTCTCTTAACTAATATATATACAAATTATTTACATTATGAATATATATTCAAAATGACATAACAATGTACTATTATTTAGAAGCCATTTTATTCATTTTTAATTGATTCATACTTTATTGAGTTTTGGAGCTTAGTTTTGGAGATGGTGATAAATTCCTTGAGAGGACAAGGTAGACAGAGATATTCATGATGAAAAATGGTATGTGCAATGATGGAGAATTAAATTGATGTGTGTTCAGAAGCCCATAAATTGTATAGTGGAGGAAACTGACAGGAGATAAAATTGGAATGTTAGTTCATGGCAAGGTCATGAAGAATCTTTTATGTTAGGCCAAAAATTAGTAATGAAGTGATCAGGACCAAGGAATGTAGCTTAGTTGTGTCCCCAAGTTCTTTCTGCCTGGCTCTTTAACTGCATTGCTCACATTATGTCATAATTTTTTGTATTTGTTGAAAGCTACTTTCTGAGGCTTAGCTCTAATAAGTCAGTGGTTCTAAACTGACCACAAAATTAATTCTAAGTCTTTTACCCTTAAGTTGCCCTGGTTCCTGTTTCAGTCTGTTGCACAGCTACTGTTTACTAGGACTGGGTTTCTCAACTTCCTTGGCACTATTGACATTTTGAGCTGCATTATTATTTATTGCAGGAGATTGTCCTGCACGTTGTAGGATGTTTGGCAGCATCCCTGGCCTCTATCCACCAATCCACTAGCTGACAGTAGCACTCTCCTCCACTCCTGTACTTGTGATAACAAAACTGTTTCTATACATTGTCATATATCCCCTGGGGGACAAAATTACCCTCAGTTGAGAAAAAAACTTGTTCTAGGATTTTATTGCCATATTTTTTGGAATTCATATCATGTCTTTATTTTGAAATATTTTTAATGGATCCTTTCTTGCTTGGGTCACCTGTTTTGCTCTTCCTTAGTGAATCACCTTATTTTAGTCAATTATATCCTCCTCTAGCTTCCTGAGAGAGACTGTGTGAGTGGTAAAATTATTGAAAAGTTGCATGCCTTCATTTGAACTGCTGTGTCTGATTAAAAAAATAGTTTGGCTGGGTATACAAGTCTTAGTTGGAAATCACTTTCTCTCAGAATTTTGAAGATATCACACCATTATTGTCTAGCTTCTAACATTTCTATTGAGGGTCTGATGTAATTTTGATTTCTGAATGTGGACTCTTCTGACTTCTCTTCAGAAGCTTCTAGGACTTCACTTTGTAATCAGTGTTCTGAAATTTCTCAGTGAGGTAGTTTTCCATGGGTCTTGTGTAACCATTGTATTGAACTCTTGATGATCCCTCTCAATGTGAAACTTCAAATCTTTCAGCCTGAAACATTTTTAAACATTTTCTTTATTTTTTTCTTCTCCATCTTCTCTCTTCTTTCTTTCTGTAATTCTAAGTGTTCAGTGTTTTAAGTCCTAGAATAATATTCTAATGTTTTCTATTTTTTTCTTTGTGAGAGATTTTTTCAACTTGTTTTTTACTTTTCTTATTGAACTTTATTTTACCATGATAATAATTGTATTTCCCAAGATTTTTGGGTTCTATTCATGACATTAAAACAAATTACCCCATGTTCTCATTTTATGAGTACAATAACTCTCAGCTCTCTGAAGTTCCAACATTTTTTATGAGAAAATTTAAAAATTCTTTTGCTTCTTTGATGAGTTTCTCCCCCTGCCACCCTTTGTTTACTTAAGTCTTCACCCTTTATGTTAGAGGCTTGCTTCAGTCCTCTAAATGAAGGCTTTCTTCTATGTCTGGCTATATGAGACTTTCCATTCAGATTTAAGACAGAGACAATAAAAATCTGATTTCAAGGTATGTGTGGCTGTGTGGGCCCTGTCTACTGGTGGGATTTACTCTATGATGCTTAATTTGGTTTTATCAGGAGATCTGCCTTTCCCAGTGTCTGCTGTTCTCCTATTCTCCTGGTACATTTCCGCAAGCAAAGAATACTCATTTATTAGCCAACTATTGATAGGCTGATACATCTTATGTAGCATTTTTAGATCCAGCTGGGGAAAGGTGACTGGGCTTCAATGATTGGTTAATGAATATCCTTTTTTTCCATGTGGTACCCTTTCCGTTAGCAATGTGCAGTGTCCCTGATTCCATGACATGGGGAGAGAGGCAGTGACCTGACAGAAAAGGGTTGGGAAAGTAATCTGTGGAATCTTGTACCTTCTTCTATAGCTAATCGATTCTCTTAATTTTCACACCACCCATTACCCTCTGTTGCAGAGGTACCTGGCTGCTGCCTTCAATGACTAAGCCTCAGTTAGCATTTTTCTGTGAAAAAAATGTCAGTTGCTTTCCTTACTGATAGTGTAGTTTTCAGCTTTGAGGTACTAAGCTTCTTACCTCAGTGATAGCTTGAATAATGTGCCCCAAAGATATCTAAGATCTATTTCATGGAACCTGAGAGAGTTACTTTACATGGCAAAAGGGGGCCTTGCATATGTAATTCAGTTAAGTATCTTCAGAGAGGGGGATTTTCCAGGTGTTTCCTAAATATAATCATGAGAGGAGGGTGGACAGAGATTTGACCACAAAAGAGGAAGAAGGTGATATGATGATGGAAACAGAGAATTGAAGATACTTTGCTGCTAGCTTTGAAGGTGGAGGAAGGGGTGATGAGCCAAGAAATGCAAGGAATGCAGCTCTAGAATTTGGAAAAGGCAGGGAAAGAGATTCCATCATAGAGCTTCCTGAGGAAGTGTACCCCTGCTAGCACTTTGGTTTAATCTATTGAAACCCTTTGAGCTTCTGATATCCAGAACTGTAAGAAAATAAATGTGCGCTGTTTTAAGTCACCAAATTTGAGGTATTGTTTAAAGTAGCCATAGTAAATTGATACACCTGCTTTCTAGTTTCCCAAACTCTGTTGTAGTACTGTCTTCTCACGTTGGCTTTATCCTTGTGCATTTATGTTTTTCAATCATCTTTCTTGTCTTTTTTGTAGAATTTAAGGCAGAATAACTAACTTTTTAAAAATTTTCTGTGTATTTTTGTTTAATTTTCTTTGTTTTTTTAAAAAATGTTTAAATGATGCCATGCACATGCAATTCCTTGAAGATGACTGCTAGATACTAAATGTATTGTTTTGTTTGCATTTTGTGGATTGTGATGAATGTCGGCTGTTTATTTACAAAGTCTGTTAGCACTCAGAATTTCCAAGAGGGAGTAGTAGATATGATTAAATAGAGAAAATATCAGAAATAAGAGAGGAATGCTACTATTTTTAATAACATTCAGTATTGTTGTGGAGCTATTTCTAAATGCAGTTAGGAAGGAAACATAAATAACTGGTATCAATATTAGGAAAAATTAAAAAAATTATCTTTATTTTCCAATGATATGGCAAAATACTTAACCTTCCTCTTGCAAATAACATTTTTAAAAGATTACAATTACAAACAAAAAGATTTCTGCAAAACAATATGCACACAGACTACAGATTTTAAATAACATACATAGATTACAAAATAAGGTAAAAATGCCTAATGTGTTTATTGGAATAAAAGATGGTACTAAAAGTAAAATGAAGACTGAAAGTCTACCAAAAATTAACTAGCTGATCTGAAAAAAAATCAGGTAAGTCTACTAAAAAGAACTACAGGACTGAAATTAGAAACTTAATAGAAAGGATATTTTTGCTTAGGGATAACTGAAGAAAGAACTAGTGAACTGAGGTATCAACAGAGTACACAGAAATATCAGAGAGAGACAAATAAGATAGAAAATATGAAAGGTTAAGTGGCATAGTGGATTGAGTGAAAAGTTCTATAACTAATAGCATATAAGAGGAAGAATAAAAGAGAAACAACATTAGAAGAGATAATTACAGATATTTTCTGGATTTTATGAAAGACAAAAGCCCTTCTATTTAGAAAGTTCAGTGAACCCCTCCAAAATGAATAGGTAATTCAGAGAAGATTGAATCAGGGAAATATAAATCTAAATTAAGATGGGATACTATTACACTCAATAAATTGCTTTAAAAAATTAAAGGCCTCAACATACCAAGCATTAGTAAGGCAACGGAGCAATGAGAACTCTCATAAATTGCTGGTAGACTGTCAGTTGATATGACTACTCAGAAAAGCAACTGGGGGCCTGACGCGGTGGCTCATGCCTGTAATCCCAGCACTTTGGGAGGCCGAGGCAGGCTGATTGCTTGAGCTCAGGAATTCGAGACAAGCCTGGCCAACATAGTGAAACCCCTTCTCTACTAAAAATACAAAAAATTAGCTGGGTGTGGTGGCGAAGGCCTGTAGTCCCAGCTACTCAGGAGGCCGAGGCAAGAGAATCGCTTGAGCTTGGGGGGCGGAAGTTGCAGTGAGCCAAGATCGGGCCACTGCACTCCAGCCTGGGAGACAGAGCAAGACTCCATTAAAAAAAAAAAAAAAGGCTGGGCGCGGTGGCTCATGCCTGTAATCCCAGCACTTTGGGAGGCCGAGGCGGGTGGATCACGAGGTCGGGAGTTCAAGACCTGCCTGGCCAAGATGGTGAAACTCCGTCTCTACTAAAAATACAAAAAATTAGCTGGGCGTGGTGGTAGGCACCTGTAATCTCGGCTACGTGGAAGGCTGAGGCAGAGAATTGCTTGAACCCAGGAGGCGGAGGTTGCAGTGAGCCGAGACCACGCCACTGCACTCCAGTCTGGGCGACAGAGTGAGACTCTGTCTCAAAAAAAAAAAAAAAAAAAAAAAAAAGCGACTGGGCAATGTCAATACAAATTAAAACTATATATACCCCTTGGCCTAGCAATCCTACTTTTGGAATTTAACCTATAGAAGTGAAAGCCTCATGCTGGGCACGGTGGCTCATGCCTATAATCCCGGCACTTTGGGAGGCCGAGGTGGATGGCTCATTTGAGGTCAGGAGTTCCAGACCAGCCTAGTCAACATGGTAAAACCTTGTCTCTACTAAAAATACAAACATTAGCCTGGCGTGGTGGTGCATGCCTGTAATCCTACCTACTCGGGAGGCTGAAGCAGGAGAATGGCTTCAGCCTGGGAGGCGGAGGTTGCAGTTCATGGAGATCGAGCCACTGCAATCCAGTCTGGGCGACAGAATGAGACCCTCTTGTCTCAAAAAAAAAAAAAAAAAAAAAAAAAAAGAAGTGAAAGCATCAATACATAAGATGTTTGTTTCAGCACTGTTCATAGAGGCAAAATGAAAAAGAAGAAAAAAAAAGAAAGAAAAGTATTAATGGCTAAAACTTCTTATGTAATATCATTCCATTTATGTAAAATTTTTACATGAGTGCATAAGGGATTCATGAAAAGAAAATCACAACATATTAATAGTGTTTATTAAATCTCATGATAATTGGATTTCCATTGATGTTTTACTTTATTATTTTATGTATTATTGGAAGTCTATCAATAAACATGTGTTGTAAAATATATATTAGGTTGGTGCAAAAGTAATGGCACAAACTGCAACTACTTTTGCACCAATCTAATAATTAAAAATAACATTATGGGGGTTTTTTGTAGAATAATGAAGCAAAACCAAAAAAGTGAATATTTTATCAGGGCTAATATTTTATTTGCTATGCTGATGTGAAGCATCACGTATGAAGTTTTATTAAAATTGAATCTTATAAAATGAGTCAGCAATTTTTATCATGATTAATAAATATACAATTATGAATCATCTTCCAAGGTCACAAAGAACAGAGGCAGAATTTCCAAAATAGTTGACCATGCCCGAAGATGCCTTTTCTTATCTGGCAAAGAGAAAGCCACTTCAGAATAAAGGTTACAATCATATGCCTTGGCATTCACAAAGCCACTGATGTATTCCTTCATCAATTCAAATTTAAGCTCCATTATAATGTAAGTGCATAAGGGCAAAGGCTTCATTTATCTCATTCCCAGTCATCTGCCCAGTAGCTAGCACAGTGACTGCCTCATCACAGAAACTCAATAAATATTTAATAAAGGAGGGAATGAACTTACACATTCATCCAAGACATAACTTTTTTACTTTTGTTATTTTATTATTTAATATTCACTCTAAATTTTCCCATACGTATTTGTTTAGTAATGACTATGTTCAAAGAAGTTAAACATGAATATTAGAGTAAGTAACTAGAACAAATACTAATTTGAGTCTTTCTATGTATCAGGTATTGTTCTAAGGGCTTTATTTATATTAGCTTATTTAATAATCGGAGAATATTACTCCAACTTTACAAATGGTAATGCGGAGGCACTTCATTTGTCTAAGTTTCCACAACTACCAAGTTGCAGACCCAGGATTTGACTCCAGGTAATCTATGTCTACAGTCAACCTTTCCCTCCAATCATATACTAAATCTCTAAGAATATAAGGATGCTGAAAACTGCTAGACCAGACATTCACAACTGACACAGCTTGGTTTTATTTTCTCTGCTAATGAAGGGTTGGCTTCATTGTTACTTAAGCAGCCTCAGAGCAGTGCAGTCCATGGAGATAGTTTGGTTAGGTAGGAGGTAGAACAGATGTGAACAACTTGCCTTGTAAACCAGTTGGGTAAAGATAATTAACAAGAGAAAAACGAAATGATGCCTTGAGTCTAGGGAGACAAAGGGCAAAGGCCAGATCAGAAGGCCAGAGGCCCATGTGAGGATAGATTTGAGAGGATGAGGTTTGACTAAGGTGAAGAGGAGCAGGCAGATGTGATTGACCCTGTACACAGAAGTACAAACCAGAATATTGGTGTTTAGACAAGAAAAAGAGCTCGGCCTAGGGAAATTGCCAAGAATTAAGTATCAGTTCTATGTAACAGCAAGAAATGGCACAGCAGGAGATGGGCTTGTTTAGACATTTACTAAAGAAGTGAATGAAGTTCCATATTCATTCGATACATAATTTTCTTGATTTGTGATCCTCTTATTATTTAATATTGACTCTAAAATGAATATTTTAGCATCAGCAAAGAGACTGATGCTCAACCAAAGATTTTTCTGAGGTACAACCTTCTGTATCCATTTAGCCCTAGGTAACAACTGGCTTGGAGAGCAGATAGGTCTGAGAGAGGAGGTAGAGTTGTCAACAATAGTTGAATGGAGCTCAGGGTTGGGGAAACAAAAAGCTAAACATGTTTTCCCATAGACTTAATTTTTATTCATTTTTACTTTTAAAACATTTACCAAGTAATCTGTGTTCACTGATAAGCAAAAGAAGAGAAGGAACCTTTACAATTCTACCACCTAAAATATTGCTATTAAAAAATGATGTGTAACCTTGTGTTAAAAATATTGCTATAAAAATTTTCAAACATTCACAAAAGTAGAGTGATTAGTAAGTTGTGCTCTCATGTACTCATTACTCCGCTTCAACATTCTACCATTTCTGTTTCTTCTATTCGCCTCCCACATCTCTTTCTCTCTGTCTATCCCTCTGTCTGTCCTTCTCTCTCACTCTCTCTCTCTCTCTCACACACACATGAAAACAGAAGATTGTCATAGCTCCCAGAAATGTCAAAAATGTCCTTTTCTTAATACAATACTATAATCATCAATAAATTAGCATGTAAATAAAACTATATTTAAATCAAGATTTTTTTCTGGTTCATATAATTCCATTCTTTGGCTATATCATGCATGCATTGTTTATTGCATTTTATTTATGCTTACCTTGTTTCTAATTTTTTGAAATAACACTGCCATACATGTGTGTATATGTGTATATATACACACACATAATATTTACTTCTTGCTGCCATATATATATATATACACATACACGCACACACACATATATATATATACTATTTTAGTTATGTCATTAAACTGCTAGATGTGGAATTGCTGGGTCAAAAAATATTTGTATTTTTATTGTCAAATAGCACTCCAGAATTTTTTTTTACCCTTTCACACTCTCACCAACAGTGTGTTGGGTAAGCATGTTTCTTCATTGCCTCAGTAATACTGAGTAATTTATGTTCTTTTTAATATTTTTTCAAGTTGATTTTTTAAAGTAGTCTCTTATTGCTTAAATGTACAATTCTTTGAATATTATTGATGTTAGATATATTTATATTTATGAGCCAAAAGACATTTCCCACAGCAAATGAGAAATGTGACTGAAATTAAAAAGACTCTTATGTATTCTGTTTTGTTTCATTACACTTAATCCTTGTGGGTTTTTCTAGATACATTTAACAAAGGAAAACTGCATTCCAAAGATATGTGTTTATTATTTAATTTGCTGAAGAAGAATGAATTGCTTTAAAGAAGATTGCTTAGTAAATTAGATTAACTATATTTAGCATTCATTTCCACAGACGTTGAGGTTTATATCCATCAGATGTAAATGTTACCTAAATTCATTCTTGCTTTCAATTGTTGTCACTTTATGATTGGGTGTTTTCCATTTTAAAAGACTCATTATTTGAGTAGGTTACATAATGGTTTGATAGTTTATAGAATCTTAAAATCTAGTCACTAGAGCACTAAGTTGCATCTATATATAACCTCATTTCAAAAAAATAGAGCTGTGTTATAGTAAAAGGAAGTATAAAAATATCATCTTTTCTAATGTCTGTGTGCTTTTTTTTCCCCCAGAAAGATAATTAATGTATGGCTGTCAACGTGTTATGCCTTGAAAAGCTTTGCTATCAATGTCTATTGATAGAGGAGGATTCAGAGCATGCTCAGCTAGTTTTTTCTGATATACGAATGCCAAAAATAGATTCCAGCAATGAAAGTCATCAGAGAGGGAATAATGGAAAGAGAGAATCCAGGCAAATTGTTCTATACTTTGCATAGCTAAAAGGCCAGATGGATTAACTAGATTTTTATTTTCAGAACCACCCACTGCAGGATATTTAACTAAGTTTCAAGTCAAATACGGTACTGCCAAATTAAGTTTAACAGCGTCTAGAACCAAGTCTGTTGCTTTATCCAGGCATTCCCCGGTTCTTCATCTTTGTGGCGCTGCCAGGCCTGTCTGCCATCCAAATTTTTGCTCAGAATCTGCCCTTTTTATACTGGTTTAGAGACTATTATAATTCTCTAACTCTTCCAGGCAGAGATGAAATAAAGAATTAGAAATGGTGCATGCTTGGGAAATGTTCCAGATTCTACTGTTGACTTCTGTTATCTAAGATTTAAGGCAATATCACTTTGGTGGAAATATTAAAAGTATTGTCCTTATCACTTTTATCTCATTTTGAAGTATGCTATAATGACAATCATACTTATCACAAAGATCCAGGAAAATTGATCCAAAGTATCAAACACATTAGTGATATAATTCATTGTTTAATTTTAGGGAATATTTATTCTAATGTTGTTAATAATCAATGTTATAGAATCATAACCAGGATTAAGCCATACAAATTATGTAAAACAGAGACTACTCATAAAACATTTACATCCTTGCTAAATTCCTCTTCTTCACTTACTACTTTAAATGACTTCCATTTTTCATTTGCTGGTTTTTAAATGTGCCATTTCTCTTTTTTCATTTTCTCTATCTCTCTCATCCCTGTATTTAGAATACTTAAATTCTGGCAAAAAAAAAAAAAAAAAAAGGAAACTAAATAGCCAAAAACCTCATAAAAGTCTGTACTTCGCTATTTCCTGACCAACAGGAAAAATGTTGGACTATGATTCTGGCTAGAAAAGACAAATGGCTGTTGAAAATGATACAGTTCATTTCTGTAGGCCCATTGTCTGGAGAGAGGTTCTGATCCTTATGTTAACATCCAAACTTTATAGTATACATCAGAATGAAAGGAAATGCACTAGGAATTGATTGTCATCAGTTAAACCCAAAGAGATGACTGGTAAAATGTTAATATAATTTCACTCAATTTGGCTAAGGTTGATTGTTTTTGTGAGATTGAGTCACTTTTCTAAAGAACTTTGTAATAAACCAGTTTTATGCCAGAAAACCAGGAAGGAATTGACTTTGGCAACCGTATTCTTTTGGCTTTCTATGCCTCCTCATATCCCCTTTAAGGAATATGGCATGGAATTGCCCATTTTGCTTTCTCTGCTCCAGTCAATTTCTATTAGTTCACTAGCTGCTTGGGTCTCTGACCCAGCCCTTATCTCAACCTACTCACTTAGGAGCATCAAACAGCACAGCCTACTACGGCCTCCCTATTTGGCCACCTTCCACTGTACCCAAATACCTATAGGACCAAAAAAACTACAACAGTATTAAAAATGTCAGGCTTGGGAAAATTGTGCTGACTCAGTTCATAGTTGAATAGAAAGAAATAGCGGTTTCATTACACAAGTATTCTACATCCTATTATACTTAAGGATGAGAACAATGCAAAAACACAGGGGCTTAGACTAATAATACTGTACCATTCTGTATACAGGTAGGAGAGTCCCTTCAGCCTAAGATCCTGCTCTACCTAAAGCATATAGGAATTAGCTTTTTGCTTTTCAGTATAAATCTGGCAATGTGATTTACAGCCCCTTTTAGTAAAAAGTAAGTATGACATGTTCATCTCCAGACAATTTATACCTTGATAATTTTTAAGTATTTTTTAGGTTTACATATTCAGAAAAAAATCAACTTTTCCCAAGAGTTAGCTGTACCTAACTCTTAAAAGAAGCAATAGTGAAATATCAAGTGAGTGACGCTTGATCAACAGCCTACTGCTTAAGAAATTAAGCTCTGATGTAACAGCAACTAACTTCATATAACATTTTTACCACTGAAAAATTGTATGATCTGGAACAAATTACTTCATCACTCTTAATTTCACTTGATCCACAGTATGGGCATAGCAATAGCTCTTGATTGTTGTATTTAATTCTATTGAGTAAACATTATATGGTAAATAAGGACCATTATTGGTTTTGGTAGAGTTTGGGTGAGGTGATTAATGGAGTGAATCACTCTGTCATCTTGCCCTTCATATCTTTTTCCTGGTTTCATCACACACATAAATTGTCAAGAGTGGGTCATAAAATGTAGCTTTGTAAATCTCTTAACTTGGATTTTTTCTTTCATTTTGGTGGGTTTTGTTGAGAATATGTTAAACTTTCTCTATGTAACACAACAGAGTGCTGTCAAATGCCCCAGGCTCTCTCTTTCTTTTGGATCTTGCCAGTACTTAGGTGAGCAGTCGTTTTCTTTTGTGTAGATAACCTTGTATATATCCCACTCTCCTTTTCTCATCATCATTATCTATTCATGATTCTCTTGATGAAAGTTTAAGTTCCTTTCCCAGTTCTCAGATGCATATACCTTCTGCTTGCCTTTTTAATATAATTCTCTGCACCATATCTTAAAAATAATCATTAAGGGAACAGAACATCATAAAGTCAACAATGATGAAGGAAAGTGAAGGCTCAAATATGATGAGAAAACAGACAACAAATCTGGCTGAAATCAAGCTCGATGTGAGAAACAAAACCAACAACACAAGACACAAAGTCCTAAAATAGAAGACTGCATGGTGGGAAAATTGTTTTTGTTTTGATTCTGTTTTGTTTTGTTTTCAGACAGTTCTCACCAACTGCCCAGGGAGGGGAAAAAAAAAAAGAACACAAAAACACAAAAAAACCATTTTCTAGCCAGAAGTAATGGGCAAAGGCATAGTCCAAACCAAAGGGCTTAGATTTGAGTGGAAATTTATGTTTTCATTCTTTTTTTAAGTAATTGGTTCTGCTACTTAAGAGTTCCTTGACCTTGGACGAGGTCCTTAACTTCTTTAAGCTTCAATTTCTTCTGTGAAGTAGGTATGATAATAGTCCATACTGCAGGAGGCTTGAAGGATTAAATGAAGTAATGCCTGCAAAGTTCTTACTTAGCTCAGTGTCTGGCACATAGTTAACAATTGTATGATCATATCCATTAATATTACTAAGAACTATCGTTACTCATTTTGAAAATTAATATAACCTCCATCTGGCTATATTGATTTCTAAGTAGATCAAAGTACATTTAGCACACGTACAATATTTTCTTATACTGTATTTTGAAAATATTTGAAAGGAGTTTTTATTTTCTTAAGAAAATTCAGAAGAGGTAATATTCTGGTAATGCCAGTACTTTGGGAAGTCAAGGTGGGTGGGTCACTTGAGGTCAGGAGTTCAAGACCAGCCTGGCCAACATGGTGAAACCCCATCTCTACTAAAAATACAAAAAAAAAAAAAAAAAAATTAGCCAGGTGTGGTGGCACACATCTGTAGTCTCAACTACTTGGGAGGCTGAGGCACAAGAATTGCTTGATCCTGGAAGGCAGAGGCTGCAGTGAGCCAAGATTACACCACTGCACTCCATTCTGGGTGACACAGTGAGACTCTGTCTTAAAAAAAAAAATTCTGGCTTTTATAAGAAGAGGGTTATAAAAGCCATGGCTTTTCTTTAATATTAATCAGGTACACTGGGTTAATATGTCAGAGAAGCACTGGACTTTCGTCTCCTTAATCCTAGACTTTTCCAAAGTCTTCCCACAAGGGATAAGTTATTTCTGTCAGCTAAAGTCAATTTGAATGACAGTTCAAATTTCTGAAATCAGAGCAGGAGCAGAAAAAACAAATCCCCATGAGTAAGCACTCTACTGAAAAAGATCAAGTTGGGCAGTGTTTTCTCCCATCATGTATAAAATCTGTGGAATCCAAGCTAGGAATAGGTGAGAATACTGCTTGTCCCATAAATATTTCTCTTACATGTTGAATACCTTTCGGAAAGAGTTTAATACAATCATAGGAGTCAGGGGACAGATTTTAGTTTATGTTTAAACTGAAAACAAGCAGTGATAGATTCAGTAAGAGATGGTCTCCATT
The DNA here is from genome assembly GCF_000001405.40 of Homo sapiens. Classification (NCBI taxonomy): domain Eukaryota; kingdom Metazoa; phylum Chordata; class Mammalia; order Primates; family Hominidae; genus Homo; species Homo sapiens. The sequence continues at coordinate 20,009,737 of NC_000007.14, read as the reverse complement.
ATCGGCATGTTTGTCAAGGAGATCTACTCTCAAAAATAAAAAGTGTCAAAATGAGATGAATTGCAGCATCAAACAAGCACCACATGATGGCCATAATATGGCAGAAAACAAACCAGAATCAAAAAGAAAATAAATAATCCAAGAACACAGAGGCACATTTGAGCTAACTGCCAATCCCTCCACCACCTCCAAGAAATCCCTCCCTTATGGTGCAAAAATATTCCCCTTAGATTTAACCTTCTGTTTTTGAAATGATCCTTTTTTTCCCCTCTGAGTCAAATGTCCAAACATATCCTCATAAGAACACTCTCCTCCAATATCCTTCCTAAGCATAGCAAAAAGAGAGGTATCTTTCTTGTTCTGTTGTCTTCTGAATGCTCTCCACAACATTCTCTTGTAGGAAGTTTCCACTATTCATATAACCTTCTGTCTTATGCTTATTAAACAATAACTCCCCATTCCCTCCTCCTCTCAGCCCCTGGAAACCATTATTCTATTTTCTGTTTGCACAAATATAATTACTCTAGGTATCTCATATAAATGGAATCATACAGCATTTATCTTTTTGTAACTGGCTTGTTTCACTTAGTATAATGTCCCCAAGGTGCATCCACATCCATAGCATGTCAGAATTTTCTTCCTTTTTAGGGCAAATAATATCCCATTATATGTATATGACATACTGTTTTGTTTATCCATTTATCTACCAATAGACACAGGCTGCTTCCACCTTTTGGTTATTGTGAATAATGCTATTATAAACATAGCTATACAAATATCTCTCTTAGAGACTCTACTTTCAGTTCTTTTGGGTCCATAATCCAAAGTGGAATTGCCAGATCATATGGTAATTTTTGCTTTAATTTTTTGAGTAATTGCCATGCTGTTTTGAGTACAGACTGAACCACTTTAAATTTCCACCAACAGTGCGTAAGGGTTCCAACTTCTCCATATCTTCTCCTACACTTGTTATTTTCTGTTTGTTGGTTTTAATTATAGTAGCTATCCTAATGGGTATGCAGTAGTATCTCATTGTGGTATTGATTTGCATTTCCCTAATGATTATTGATGTTAAGCATCTTTAGGGAGGTGGCCACATTATACATGTGGCTTATTGGCCACGTATGTATCTCCTTTGAAGAAATGTGTATTTGACTCCTTTGCTAATTTTTAAATTGGGATGTTTGTTTTGGGGGTTTCAAGCTATAGGGATACTTTGTATATTCTGGATAGTCTCTCCTACCATTAAGTCATGTTCTTGAGGTATTTTTCTTTATATTATTTAATAGCTGTCGCAGGCCAGGCATGGTGGCTCAAACCTGTAATCCCAGAATTTTGGGAGGCTGAGGTGGGTGGATCACTTGAGCTCAAGAGTTCAAGACCAGCCTGGGAAAGATGGCGAAACCCCATCTCTTCAAAAACCATAAAAATTAGCTAGATGCAGGGCCAGCTACTCCAGAGGCTGAAGAGGGAGGATTGCTTGGGTCCAGGGAAGTCGAGGCTGCAGTGAGCTGTGTTTGCAACCACTGCACTCCAGCCTGGGTGACAAAGCGAGACCCTCCCTCAAAAAATTAAAAAATAAAAACTTTCTCATACTTTTTTTAAATTTATATGGCATATTCTGTGATTCTAATGGCCATGTGGTTGTGAAATGGTTTGGATCTCTGTCCCCTCAAAATCTCATGTTGAAATGTGACCTTCAGTGTTGGAAATGGGGCCCAGTGGGAGGTATTTAATCATGAGGACATATCACTCATGAATGGCTTAGCACTATCCCCTTAGTGATGAGTGAATTCTTGCTCAGGTAGCTCATGGGAGATCTGCTTGTTTAAAAGACTGTGGCACCTCCCCACTTTCTTTCCTGCTCTCTCTTTCTCACCATGTGGTAGGCCTACTTCTCTTCAGTCTTTCACCATGATTGTGAGCTTCCTAATACCCCTCACCAGAAGCAGATGCCAGCACCATGCTTCCTACAGTCTGTAGAAACATGAGCCAAAATAAAACTATGTTCTTTATACATTATCCAACCTCAGGCATTTCTTTATAGCACTGCAGGAATGGACCAACACAGACTGTTTATTGTATATTTGCCTTATAATTTGGCAACTATTAGTAGCCTTTCTGTCCAGTTTATTTACTTATCCTCAGAAAAGATGTTTATAGAGCCACATAGAAGGAGAACCAAGATGGCTGTTCTCCAAACTAATTTTTTCTCTTTTTCCTAGACTATAGCTAGACGACATTCCTCAGTCTCCCTTGTCATCTGGGTGTGGCCATGTCACTGAGCTCTAACCAGTGGATTTTAAGCAGGAGTGATGCATGCTACTTCCCATACACATGTTCCAAAAATCTCTCACTTTCTTTTCCCTTCTTCACTTAATTCAGATAAGAATAACAATCTTGGAATATGCTGAAGATGGCAGACTACAAAGTAGAAGGAGACAAAGTTTGTGAAAGACCAGGTGGAGGAAAGTCATCCACTAATCAGGAGCCCTTTTATGGAATCTACGTAAACAAGAAATAAACAAAGGTTTAGTCCATTATACCTTTCAAGTCAACAGCAAAGCAGACAGCCTACTCTAATTAATGTATCCATTCTAAGGGAAAATTATATTAAATGTTATATTTTGAAATGTGGTGGCCACCAGGGATTCCTGTTAATAGAATGCAGTCATGCTTAATGATAGGGTTACATACATCACAGAGTGTACATACACAGGCCTAGATGGTATAGCCTATTACACACCTAGGCGATACGGCATAGCCTATTGCTCCTAGGCTACAAAACTATACAGCACATTATACTGTACTGAATACTGTTGGCAAGTGTACTACAATAAGTATTTGTATATCCAAACATAGCTAAATATAGAAGATGTACAGTAAAAATATGGTATAAAAGAAAAAAAATGGTACCCCTCTATAGGGCACTTACCATAAATGGAGATGGCTCTGAGTGAGTTAGTGAGTGAGTGGTGAGTGAATGTGAAGGCCTAAAACATTGATGTATGCTGTGTTGACTTTATAAGCACGGTACACTTAGGTAACATTAAATTTATTTAAAAAATATTTTTCCTTATTCAATAGCTAATTAGATTCTTGTAACTTTTTTTACTTTATAGACTTTAACTTTTTGACTTTTTTGTAATAACACTTAGCTTAAAACACAAATATATTACACAGCTGTACAAAACTTCTTCCTTTATATCCCAATTCCATAAGTTTTCTCTAATTTTTTTTTTTAACTTTTTATACTTTTTTGTTAACAACTAATATACAAACACACACATTAGCCCAGACCTACACAGGATCAGGATCATCAATATCACGTCTTTCGCCCCCACATCTTGTCCTACAGGAGGGTCTTCAGGGATACATGGAGCTGTCATCGCCTATGATAACCAAGTCTTCTTCTGGAATACCTCCTGAAGGACCTACCTGAGGGTGTTTTACAGTTAACTCTTTTTAAATAAGTAGAAGGACTACACTCTAAAATAAGATGAAAAAGTATAGCATAGCAAATAATAGACAACAGGAATTTTTCAACTCTATTAAAATCTTATAGGACCATTGTCATTTATGTGGTTCATCAGTGACTGAAACATTATTATGTGGCACATGACTATAGATTAAATGTACGGCTAAAGGAGAAAACTGCATAAGCCATTATTCATCTTTGCTTGTTATTCCTTTTTATTATATAATTGGCCATCAAGTCATATAATGCACAGTGATATTTTATATTTATACGAAGTGCTAACAAAATCTGTACATCACAGTTTTGACCTAAAGAGAGTGAGAGAGAAGCCTATTTAACTATTCATCTCAGTTGCATCTCCTAGTTCCTGAACAATGGACAGATATTTCCCATAGCAATGAAAATATCTCTTCATAAATACTGTTAAGTAATAACAATGAATGTGCCTTTTGTTTTTTTGTTTATAATAACATTTCAAATTTTAGTAGTGGTCAGAGCAGAACAGAATCCAATGTATACATTTTCAATATCAGTGCTCTCTATTCATTAATGCATCTACATTTAGATTGCATTTTTTGGTGGCCTCTTCGCACTTAGATTAATGAGCTCACTGTCAATTAAGATATTCAGTATTTTTTATTTGTTCTATAGTCAGAATGCAGCTATGCCTCCTTTTCCCCAACTTATAGTACTTATAGAGCTGGTTTTCTGCCTTAAAATATACAACCTAATATTTATTTTTATTAAATTTCATCTTATTAGATTCAGTTAAATAGTGCAATCTGCCAAGATTCTCTGGATCATAATTGTGTCACCTAACATACCAGCAAATCTTCAGTTTGTGTGTGTTGAAATTTGGTAAATATGTCTTCTTTTTCTTTGTCCCAATCACTGAACAGAATCTTCAACCAGAGGTACAGAATGAAGGATGGAGGGCCGAGTGGCATGCCACTGGAAACCACTAGGCAGGCCGACATTAATTAGCACCATCTGGGGAAGGATTATCTAACTAGGTACTTTGCAACCTAACTGCTGTTGTACTTGGCCACATTCTCTCTATCTTGTCCTTAAAAACATCATGAGAAATCTTGTTAAATGGTTTGCTGAAGCCCGGATATGTCATTCTTGATACATTTCTGTTTAGTAAGCCTATGGAAGAAAGAAATGAACTCTATCCACTATGACTTGTTATAAATGCATACATCCTGATTCCTCATGATTGCTTCCTTTTTAAGTGCTCAAAAACCACCCTTTTAATAATGTTCCTTTGAATATTGCTGAGATAAAGTCCAAGCCATTAGTCTATAGCTTGCATGTTATGCTGTCTTTCTCCTTTAAAGAACAAGTGTTTTTGCTAGCTAATAGCCATAGTCAAGGAGAAGATGAAGAGAATTAAAGAATACTTAATTCGTTAATTAAACATTAAGGTTTATTATCTTATTTCTCTTATCATCTCTCTTTCCTCTAATATGGGAAGATTCAAGGGCAGATGGAAAAAGGCAATCATGAAATTTTGCCTTCAATTATCTGTCTTCTTTTGACATTTCTTTAGGTTGTCTAACACACACAGGACTTCAGTTACCATCCATGTGCTGATGAATTCCACTTCTTTATCTCCTGAATTTCAGACTATTACTTTAAGATGTTTATTGAACACCTCAACCTAAACAGTCTGGAACAACAGTCCCTCTTAAACTTTCAAGTGCATAAGAATTACCGGGGAATATTCTTGAAATGCGGATTTAGGTTAAGTAGTTCAAGAGAGGAAGGTTTTAGAGTGTGCATTTTAAACCCTCCCAATTTAGGCCAATACTCCTAGTCCATGAGCAATATTTTGAGTAATAAGAGTCTAGAGGCACTTTAAACTCTTCATATTACAAACAGATTTTATTATTTTTTAAAAATCAATTTCTCCTCTTGTCTGTTTTTCTTAATGGTGCTACTATCTTTGAAAACATTTAAGATAGCTGTGGTCTTCCTAGAATTTTTTTGATCTGTCAACAAGTTCATGCTCTCCAATGTCCCAGCAAAATTCCTGGCACACAGATGTATTTTAAATGTTTGATAAATGAATCGGTGAGTACATGAATCAAATTATGAGTAGATGGATAGATAGATGAATGAATTAATAAATGAATGAATGAATGAATACATAAATAAGCTACCTGTAACTGCTAATTTCAGTAGTTATAATATGATTTTAAAATCTTGGCAATGGGCAATTAGAAAATGTTCAAACTGCACATAGGGTTTGGGGCAGGAAGGAGCACACAGTAGTGGGAACCCAGAAGGAGAAAACAATCAGCTAGATAGGCAGTATCTCAAGATCTTCTGGAGGGCACTAGTCTTTAACCTGGGCTTCGGAGGAGAATCTCATTTTCTAGGAAAGAGATCACTGATAGTAAAACATAGGGTAAAACAGGCTGCCAAGTCACGGGGCTGAGACATAGAAAATAAAGCAGATATTTAGTCATAAAAATTGGGCAAAAACTAGGACTTAGGAAGAAGGCAAACCGGAAATAAATTCAGGATCAGACAGGCAGCAAAACTGGACTGATACTTACCCTGTGATTATGGACTTGTGTTCTTCAAGTCCCTTTGCCCAAGGGGCAAGATTAGTTTTAAACATTTGGCTGTGGCTTGGTCTGCACTGGGAGTCATGTGACCCTACCTGCAGGGAAAGGTTAAAACCATTGTTTGACATAGGACTGAAGAAATTTATATATATAATTTGAGGCAAATAAACCTGTCCTCAGTACATGTTTACAACCATCTTGCAAGAATTTTCCTAAGTAGGTCATGATAATTGTGGAAGACCATGAATCAAGAAAAATTACCCTTAATAAGACAATATTGCATCTTTGCTGAGTCACTACTCATCTTCTGTGATTTTGTTTCATTTACAAAAGAAACTGATACTTAAGGTGATCATTTATTTATTTATTTATTTATTTATTTATTTATTTATTTTTTGTAGCCCAGAGGTCCTTTATTTTTTTTTTTTAACACCTATTATGCCATGAATTCATAGGGAATAGGTTCCAGCAGCTCAGGCTCCTTCCCATTGGTTCTCACAAAGTGTGCTTCTCTGGGTGGAGTAGGCTGGCGCTTTAGTTGAACCCAGGTACCTTTCTCTTTGGCTTCTTTCTTTTTCTGATCATTTTCCTTCACACGTTTCAGGAAGCTATCTCGGCTCTTAGAGTGCTTAATGTGCTCAATACGCACATTAATTCTCTTGGCAAGAATCTTGCCCTTAACTTGTTTGTTTACAACAATGCCAACAGCATGCTGGGTAACATTGTAGACTCTTCCAGTTTTGCCATGGTAACACTTGTGGGGCATTCCTTTTTGAACAGTACCCATTCCCTTGATGTCTACAATATCACCTTTCTTATAGATTCGCATATATGTGGCCAAAGGAACAACTCCATGTTTTCTAAAAGGCCTAGAGAACATATATCGGGTGCCTCTCCTCTTTCCCTTTGTGTTCGTCATTTTGGCGAATTACTGGAAGATGGCGGTTCCGGCCGAAAGGGCAAGGTGATCATTTAAATTTTGCTTGGATGCCAACTTGTCAGATTTGCAGAGGAGAGTAACCTAATGTAGGGAAATGGCATAGTAGTTTTGAAATTTGAATTGGTTTTCTCTGCAGCTATAAAAGTTAATACTCTCTGTGATTACCTAAATAATGTAAACCTATAATCTACTTTTTTGGACTAAAGATAAAAGAAACTGTAGAATAGGTAGAAAATGCCAGCTTTGATTTCCCAAATTCTAGGTAATGCAAAGCAAGTAGGCTAGAAAATATTTACCCTTATTTGTTAAAAATGTTTATGTTTACTGCCAGAAATAGTGACATCATGTTCTGATGAAGATAATCAAAGATAAATTTGTGTCCTGAAATGATCGTATAATTATAATCAAAGGAAACAAGGGGAATCTACAAATTCCATGATGTATTTTGTCTAGATGATAAATTCTCTTATTTAAAAAATGCATTGCTCTTGACAAGCATATAGAACATTATTTTCTGTTTTTGGATTTACCACACTAATTATGTTTTCTTTCAGGTTTCTCATGATTTGTGATGATCTAAGACTCGTATGTCTTATATGAAGTTCTTTGTTTTTTCCCCTGCTTTAGTGATATAATCAACAGTTCAAAATTGTATATATTTACGGTATACAATGTGATGTTTTGGCATACATATAAATTGTAAAATGATGATCAAGATTAAGCTAAATAACATAATTGTCTTCTCACCTGGTTAATATTTTTGTGACGAGAACATTTAAGATTTAGACTCTTAACAAATTTCCAGTATACTATATAGTAGTAGAGCTGACCCTCAAAGAATGCAAGGGTTAGGGGTACTGACCCCAACTAGCAGTCAAAAATACACATATAAATTTGATTCCCACAAAACTTTACTTATAGCCTATTGATGACGGGAAGCCTTACAAATAATATAAACAGTCCATTAACATTTGTATTTTATTTCATTGTTTTTCAACTTTGATTTTAGATTCAGGGGGTACATGTTCAGGTTTGTTTCCTGGGTATATTGCATGATGCTGAGGTTTGGAGTACAAATGATCCCGTCACCCAGGTAGTGAGCATAGTATCCAACAGTTAGTTTTTTAACCCTTGCCCTCATCCCTCCCTCCCCATTTTAGTAGTCCACAGTGTCTATTGTCACCATCTTTATGTCTATGAGTACCTGATGTTTAGCTTCCACTTATAAGTGCGAGCAAGTGGTATTTGGTTTTCTTTTCCTGCACCGTTAACACATATTTTTTATGTTATATGCATAATATACTATATTCTAATAAGAAAATATGCTAGAAGAAAGATTATTAAGAAAACTCTAAGGAAGAGAGAATATATTCACTATTCATTAAGTGGAAGTGGATCACCATAAAGGTTTTCACCTTCATTGTCTTCATGTCTTATAGGCTGAGGAGGAAGAGGTAGAGTTGGTCTTGCTGTCTCAAGGGTGGCAGAGGCAGAAGAAAATCTGCACATAAGTGGACCTGCCCAGGTCAAACCCGTTTGTTTAAGGGTTAACTGTAGGATTAACTATAGTCACCCTGCTGTACATTAGATCTTCAGAAATTATTTATCCTGCATAACTGAAACTTTGTATCATTTTATCAACATCTCCCCTTTCATCCATCCCACAGCCCTGGAAGCTACCACTCTATTCTCTGCTTCTATGAATTGCACTTTTTTAGGTCACACATATAAATGATATCATGCAGTATTTGTCTTTCTGTGCCTGGTTTATTTCACTTAGAATAATGTCCTCCAGGTTCATCATAGTGTAATAAGTGACTGGATTTCCTTTTTTTGGCTGAATACTATACCATTGTGCATCTATAACACATACCACATTTTCTTTATTAATTTATTTTTGGATTAGATTGATTTCATATCTTGGCTATTGTGAATAAGCCTGCAGTGAATCTGGAGTACAGATATCTCTTTGAGACCAGATTTCACTTCCTCTGAATATATAACCAGGAGTAGGATTGCTGGATCATATGGTAGTTCTATTTTAAATTTCTTGAGCAACCTCCATACTGATTTCCATAATGGCTGTACCAATTTACATTCCCACGAACAGTTTACAAGAGTTTCTTTTTATCCACATCCTTGCCAACACTTACATTTTGTCTTTTTGATAATAGCCATTCTAGCAAGTGTGAGGTAATATTTTATTGTGGATTTGGTTTACATCTCTCCAATGATTAGTGATATTGAACATTTTTCCATGTAACTATTGGCTATTTGTAAGTTTTTTCTTTTTTTGAAGAAATGTCTTCCAGGTCTTTTGTCCATTTTTAAATTGGGTTGTTTTCTTGCTATTGAGTTGTTTGAGTTCCTTGTGTATTTTTTATACTGACCCCTTATCAGATGTACAATTTGCAAGTATTTCCTCATGTTCAGTAAATTGTCTCTTCACTCTATTGATTGTTTCCTTTGCTATGCAGACTTTTTTTGTAGTTTGATACAATCTCATTTGCCTAGTTTTGCTTTTTGTTTCCTGTGTTTTTGGTGTTATAGCTAAAAAACAATTGCCCAGAACAATATCTGGAAGCTTTTTTCTATGTTTTCTTCTTGTAGTTTCACAGTTTCAGGTCTCACATTTAAGCCTTTAATACATTTTGAGTTTATTTTTGTATATGGTATAATATGATACTCCAATTCCATCTTCTGCATATGGATATCCAGTTTTCTCAGTACTAAATAGAAGAGGCTGCCCTTTCCCCATTGTGTGTTCTGGATATTTTGTCAAAGATCAGTTGACTGTAAATGTGTGGGTTTACTTCTGGGCTCCTTATTCAGTTCTATTTGTCTATGCATCTGTTTTTTATGTCAGTGTCATGTTATTTTGGTTTCTATAGCTTTCTAGTATATTTTGAAATAAGGTAGTGTGATCCTTCCAGTCTGCTTCCTCTTGCTCAATATTGCTTTGGTTATTTGGATACTTTTATGATTTTTATAAATTTAGGATTCTTTTTTCTATTTCTGTGAAAAATGTCATTGGAATTTTGATAGACGTTGTATTAGATTTGTAGGTTACTTTGGGTAGTATGGATATGCTAATATATTAATTCTCCCAGTCCATAAACACTGGATATTTTTCCATTGATTTGAATCTTCTTCGGCTTCTTTCATCACTGTTTTATAGTTTTTGGTGTACAAATCTTTCATCTTCTTGGCTGCATATATTCCTAAGTGTTTTAGTTTTTGATACTAGCGTAAATGAGATTGTTTTCTTAATTTCTTTTTCAGGTAGTTTGTTGTTAGTATATAGAAATGCAACTAATTTTTGAAGGTTGATTTTGTATCCTACAACTTTCTAAATTTGTTTATTAGTTCTAACAGTATTTTTATGGACTCTTAGGGTTTTCTATATAAAAAATCATGTCATCCGCAAACAGACAATTTTACTTTTTTTCTGATATGGATGCCTTTTATTGCCTTTATCATTGCTCTAGCTAGGATTTCTGTTACTACATCACCCAATAGAACTGGAGAGAGTTGGCATACTTTTCTTACAGAAAATGCTTTCAGATTTTTACCACTGAGAACAATATTTGCTGTGGGCTTTTCATATATGGCCTTTATCATGTTGAGATATATTCCTTCTATATCTAATTTGTTGAGAGCTTTTAATCATGAAACAATGTTGATTTTTGTCAAATGCTTTTTCTGCATCTATTGAGTTGTTTGACTGTATTTTCCCTAGAATGTTTAACAGGCTTAGAGATTCTGGTAAGAAATTATTTATTAAAACCCTCTCAGTGATGAGAAAAATAGAAATTTAGATCCTCTATATCTCTGGTTATACATTTATGAGTTATATGTTTATGAATTTTTTGTAAGAAGAAATAAATTGGATAAATTCATGCAAGCATAGAGAAAAAACTCTCAGGACATGCAGGCATCTTAATATTTTTTGAAACTTGATTACCAGCTTTGGAAAATTATATGCAATTATATGCTATAATCCAAAATCCCAAGAATATTTCCTCAAGGGAGTTATCTATGGGCACGAGCTTTTTTCTTTTGAACTTTCTTCTTTTCCTATTGCAAACATTTTTTTACTCCCTTATTCATCTTTCTATTGGTCCATTAGAAATAGACTACAACTACAATTTAAGAATTTTCAAGGAAAGAAAAAAACGGTTAAATGAATGATAGGGAAAAGAGAGTTGATAGTTTCAAGAATTAAAGAATATATAAACTTGTTACAAAGAATCTGACACTTCACATTAGCTCTCCTTTTTTAAGCATACAGATAATCAGATAAAAATAGTTACTTATATATTTGCCTTTCAGTTTTTCTATTTCCTTCTTTTTAATACTTCTTTATATATGAGTCCCATGTTTCCAGAAAGAATGTGGCATATGATAGAAATAATCTCATAAAACCATTCAGTAGATTTACCCTGTATAACTGATTCAAATTAAATGTTTGTTCTAAAACAATAGGTTCTGGCATTTATTGGCATCCTTTATTAAAAACTTGAAAACACTTATATGGAAAGAAAAACAATTCTATTGCTCTCTAATAACAGGAATAAATAAATTAAAATTTTATTTTAAGTGATCATGAATAAGAGAAACAATATATTTTGTATATGATTACCATGGGACCATGATCTTTAATTTATTTAATTATTCTTCTTGAGAGACACATCATTGTAATGATAGAGAACCATACGGAAAAGCATTTAAGAACAAATAAATTGTTTCACTATAATACAAAGGTTTTACTTCCTTAGTTTCATTTTCATCTAAATAGGTTATGGTTAAATAAGTGAAATAACAAATTGTTTTTAAAGAAAAAATTTATGTATCTATCTACTGGGTATTTCAAAGATTTGCTTGCATATTCAAGTCTGGTAATATTACAGTTTAAACCCAGCACATAGTTGCCACTATAAATTGAAAGCACATAAAACCCAAAGGCACTTGAGAGCTTAACATGCTATCAACTTTTCATTAACATTCCATAACATCCCATTTTCTGAGTAAATAAAAGTATTTTATTCTCATTACAAGTGGTAAAGAAAACCACTTTCATAACAGTTAACAATGAACATCAATAAAAAGTTTTATTCAGGGTGGGATACATTTCCCTTTCCATCCACTATTTTATGGATTAGGAAATACAATAATATTCTTACTTACAATCTCAAGTTAACATAAAGTTAGAAATGCAAATTGGAACAGTGAAGAACCACCAACTTCTCTATTTATTTATATTTACATGTTGTATTCATGAGAGTTTTGTTCATTTTGTTAAAACTACTCTATTATAACTCAGGAATATAGAATATTTTATTTAGTCTTGGCCATTGACAAATTTTGCTATTATAAACAATGCTGCATTAAAAATCCTTGTACAACAAATATTCATAGCAGCATTTTTATAACAACAGCCAAAAAGGGGAAAAACCAAAATATCTATCAATCAATTGGTTAATGGATAACAAAATGTGATATATCTATACAATAAAATATTTGATATTAAAAGGGAATGAAGTAGATACATGTATGAACCATGCAAACAATATATTAAGTGAAAGAAGCCCATTATAAAAGATCACATATTGTATTATTACATTAATACGAAATGTCCAGAATAGGCAAATCCATAGAGACTGGAAAGTACATTAGTGGTTGCCTATAGCTAGGAGGCTTGGGAAGCAGGCATGACTGCTAAAGAGGATGGTGTTTCTTTTGGAGGTGACAAAAATCTCTAAACTGAGACTGCAGTGATGGTTGGACATCTATGAATTGTATACTAAATAGGGGAATTTTAGGGTATGTAAATTATACATCAACATAGATATTAAACATTGTAGCCGGGTGTGATGGCTCATGCCTGTAATCTTAGCGTTTTGGGAGGCTGAGGCTGGTAGATCACTTGAGGTCAGGAGTTTGAGACCAGCCTGGTCAATATGGTGAAACCCTATCTCTACTAAAAATACAAGAATTAGCTGGGCTTGGTAGCCTGAGCCTGTAATCCCAGCTACTCAAGAGGCTGAGGCATGAGAATTGCTTGAACCTGGGAGGCAGAGGTTCCAGTGAGCTGAGATCATGCCACTGCACTCCCGTCTGGGCAACAAAGCAAGACTCTGGCTAAAAAAACAAAAGATGTTGAGGAATTTGGCACCTATATTTATGACAGATATCGGTCTGTTGATTTCTTTTTATCTTCTTTTGGTATTGGGATGATTCTGACCTCTTTAAATAAGTCACAAAGTATTTCTCTCCTTCTATTTTATGGAAGAGATTACGTAGAATCTGTATTATTTATTCCAACTGCTTGGTAGAATTTACCTGCAAAAGTACCTGGGCCTTTTTTTAAGGATAATAAATATTGGCTAAATTTCTATCATCGATGTATTCCTATTAAGATTGCTTACTTTTCCTTGTATGAGATCTGGTAGCTTGTATGTTTCAAGAAATTGGTCCATTTCCTCTAAGTTATCAATTTTTTGGATGTACATTTATTGAGAGCATTCTTTTATTATTATTTTCATTTCCATTGCATCAGTAGGAATGAGTGCCTTTTTTATTGCTAGTGTTTTCAAATCATGCCTTCTCTGTCTTGTCTTCATTATCCTAGCTATAGGTCTTTAATTTATATTTACATTTTTCAAAGAACCATTTTTTGGTTTTATTAGAGTTCTCTTTGTTGTTTCCTGTTCAATTCTAATGATTTATTATCTAATTTTAATTTTCTTTTGTTTACATTATGCTATTTTGCTCATTTTCTATAGGTTCCTAAGAAAGCAGCTTAGGTTTTTTATTTTAGATCTCTATTTAAAAATATATTTATTAATGTTATAAATTTTATTATAAGCATGACTTTTGCCACATCTCATACATTTTAATAAGTTGTATTTCATTTTCATTTAATTCAAAATATGATTTAAATTTATTCTGAGATTTCTTTGATGCATATGTTATTTAGAAGTATGTTGTTTAAACTCCAATTATTTTGGGGAAAATTTCTAGCTTTCTATTAATATTTTCTATTATATTCTTGTCTGAGAGCATACTTTGTATACTTTCTATTACTTTAAATTTGTTGAAATGTGCTAAAACTACAAAACCCCTGAAAGATAACTTAGAAAATACCATTCTGAACATAAGCTGTGGCAAAATTTCATGATGAAGTTGCCAAAAGCAATTGCAACAAAAGCAAAAATTGACAAATGGTATCTAATTAAACTAAACAGCTTCTGCACAGCAAAAGAAGCTATTAACAGAGTAAACAGACCACCTACAGAATGGGAGAAAATATTTGCAAACTATGCCTCTGAAAATGATCTAATATCCACAGTCTATAAGAAACTTAAACAAATTAACAAGCAAAAAACAAACAACCCCAGTAAAAAGTGCACAAAGGGCATGGACAGACACTTCTCAAAGAAGACATACACGTGGCCAACAAGCATATGAGAAAATGTTCAACATCACTAATCATTAGAGAAATGCAAATCAAAATCACAATGAAATAACATTTCTCACCAGTCAGAGTGGCTACTCTATTACAGTGTCAAAAATAAGAGATGCTGGTGAGGTTGTGAAGAAAAGGGAACGCTTATAAACTGCTCGTGGGAATGTAAATTAGTTCAGCCATTGTGGAAAGCAGTCTGGCAATTTCTGAAAGAACTTAAAACAGAATTGCCTTTCAACCCTGCAATCCCATGATTGGGTACTTACATACCCAAAGGTATGTAAGTACTTCTACATGCATGTGTATGTTCTTTTCATTACTATTAACAGTAGCAAAGGCATGGATTCAACCTAAATGCCCATCAATGATAGATGGGATAAAGAAAATGTGGTACATAAACATGATGGAGTAGTATGCAGACTTAAAAAAGAACAAGATCATGTCCTTTGCAGCAACATGGAAGGAGCTGGAGGTCATTATCCTAAGCAAACTAACACAGAAACAGAAAGCCAAATACCACGTTTTCACTTATAAGTGGAAGCTAAACATTGAGTACACATGAACACAAAGATGGGAACAAAAGACACTCAGGCTTACTTGAGGATGAAGAGTTGGAGGAGGGTGAGGATTGAAAAACTACCTATTGGGTACTATGTTTATTACCTGGGTAATGAAATAATCTGTACACCAAACCCCCATGATATACAATTTACCTATATATCAAATAGGCACATATATCCCTGAACCTAAAGTAAAGGCTAAAACATCAATTCATTCATCAGTTCATTAAGGTGTGTTTTATGGATGAGACTGTGGCCTGTATCAGTAGGATGAGAACGTGGCCTGTATCAGTAAATACTTTATGTTCACTTAAGATTAATGCATATCCTTCTGTTGTTTAATGGAGTATTCTGTAATTGTCAGGTGGATAAAGTTAATTGATATTACTGTCCAGGTCAACTATATTCTTACTGATTTTCTGCCTGCTTGATCTATCAATCACTGAAGAAGTGTTTTAAAGTCTGATTTTAATCATGGATTTGTCTATTTCTAATATCAGCTCTATCGGTTACTGTCTCATGTATTTTTATACTTATTTTGTTAGGTAAATATATTGTATGGGTTATTATATCTACTTGGAAAACTGACCCTTTTATCATTATGTAATGCCTATCTTTATTCCTGGTGATCTTCATTTTTCTGAATTTTGGCTTTGTCTAAAATTACTACTACTATTTCAGCTTGCTTTTGGTTAGTGTGTTAGCTTGATGTTTTTCTCTTTATCCCGTTTACTGTTAATGTAACTAGGTATTTCCATTTAAAGTGGGATTCTGATTCTTATAAAATACATGGTTGAGTCTTGTTTTTTTCCCCCACTCTGACAATCACTGTTTTTTAATTGACTTGAAGTGATTATTGAAATTGTTCTATGTTTGTAACTGTTTTCTATTTATTACATTTATTACGTGTTCTTCCCCCACCCATCATTTTTATGCCTCCTCTTAAGTAAAAACTTACGATTTCAATTTTATCTCTTCTCTAAGCATATCAGTTGTACTTCTTTTAAGATTTTTTAGTAGTTTCCCTGAAGTTTACAATATACATTCTTAACTAATTTCGGCCCATTTAAAAATACTCTGCCATTTCAGTACAGCACAATTACTTGATAATAGCATATTTTCAATTTCTTCCTCCCATCTATTATGGCATTACTATCATTCATTTGATTTACCATGTCCTATAATCACCCAATACTTACTGTTATTATTGCTTTAAGCTAACAGTTATCTTTTAAATCAATTATAAATAATAAAATACATTTTATTTTACCTTCTTCATTGTTTCTCTGATGCCATGACTTTCTTTACACAGATCAAATTTTCTAACCTATATCCTTTCCCTTCTGCCTGAAGAACTTTCAACATTTTTTGCAAAGGCATTCTGCTTATGATGAATTTCTTTTTTTTCTAGGTACACTTTTTGAAGGATAATTTCACTGAATATAGAATTCTAGGTTGATTTTTTCTTTCAGAACTTTAAATATTTCAGTCCACTCTTTTCTTTCTTGCATAGTTTCTTTTGAAAAATCTACTGTTATTCTTATCCATATCTCTCTATAGGTAAGGTAATTTTCCCACAGTATTCTCTATTTCAGTCTATGGCACCATTGTATTACAGATGCCTAAAATCTAAGAATTATGTATGATTTCTCTCCTTTTTTTAATCTAATTATTCAGTGTATTTTGTTTAATTCTCTCTGTTTTACACTACATACTTCCAATCTTGTACAAGTTACCATCCCTTGTATCTGGATTATAACACTAGCCTTCTAAGATGGTCTCTTTGCTTTGGTTCTATCTTTTCTGTAACATATTGCCCATAGAGCAGCCATAGTGATATTTTTAAAACATAAATTGGATCACATCATTCTTTTCCTTAAAACTCTACACTGTTTTACTATTGTATGTATTTATTATCATACTTCTTCCTCTTGTTTTTAAAGCCTTACACTATCTAGTCCTTGACCACCCTTTTAAATTTATTTCCCATAATTCTTTCCCTGTAGCCACATAGTCCTTCTCTGCTCCTTTAGTCCACTAGTTTGTTTTTAAGAGTGGATGAATTTTATATGGAATGGTCTTCTACTTGGTGGACAAATGCCAGCTTCCATCTTATCCTTGAAATCTCTGCTTAAATGCCATCTCTTCAGAGAGACTTTTCTTTACCCAAACTAATGTAGTCAGTCATATTCTACCACCACACCTTACTTTCATTCTCTGCTTAGCTTTTTCACTATACGATATTTATCAAACTTCATGAGAGTAAAGAATATTTCTCTCTTGTCCATTGCTATATACTTAGCATGGAGAATGGTCTCTGGTCCATGGGAGTTGTTCCACAAGTTGTTGCTCAATAAATAAATGGGTAGCTAAAAGCAATATGAATTCATTCAAAAATTTATAAGGGCTATCAATATAAAGGCAGGAAAATAGAAATGTTTGAGTAGAAAACCCAAAATTTTACATACTTCACAGTTTTGCCTAAACCTAACACTATGTTCTATTAACATTTCTTTGTTACGTGCAGCTTTCTGTTCTCTCTCTGTGCTCAGCCCATCTACACCGTCCTTTCAATTCCCAATTCTATCTAGATGACTCACAACTTTGTATTTCTATCTCAGATCTCTCATCTAAGCTCTAAACCTTTATATGCAACTGCCTACTTGGTGTTTCCTCTTGGATATCTCCAGCTTAATTCAGATCCAGCATGTCCCAAATACAGCCAGGAAATATTCCTCTTGAATCTTGTTTTCTTCCTGTTTTCACTGTCTCAATGACTAACACCATTTGTTATCCAATTATTTAAGGCACAACCCAGAAATCTGTCTTGAAACTTCCTTATACCTAAAGTCACATCTATCAGGTCACCCTGACTACTCTTCCTAAACATATCCTGTTTTTCCATTTTATCTCCAACTATACCTCCTTAAAAGTAATAGCTAAAATTAATAGAGCACCTTACTATGTGTAAGCACTCTTCTAAAAGCTTTTTATATTTACTAACCCATTTAATTTTCTCAGCTACTTCTGAGGTAAATTGTACTTTTATTACCATGTTACAAATAATGAATCTTGACATAGGAGGTTATGTGAGTTACTACAAGGGAGCACAGAGAGGTACAAACCTGGGCAGACTGGTGCAACTCTATATGTTTAAACTCTGGACTATATTAGTATAAGAACCTCGTCACCTCCAGCCTAGGCAACTACAGTAATCTTGGAAGGAGCATATACTTATTGGTTCTGGCTGTTATCGTGTTGGATCTTCAATCTGCAGCCAGATTAAGGTTTTCAAGGTACATGTCTATTCATTGTAAGCCACTGATTAAAACATTTTAATGGCTTCCATTGCTTTTATTACAAAAACGAATGTTCTTATTACTTTCAGTGTTTCTCCTTTGGGGGAATCTTTTCAAGCCTTCATCAGTAGCTCAATTTTCCTGTAGCACATATTGTTAAATTACAACCCCATCCACTTCTGAGTTGATCTGCGGCTGAGTGGACAGTTTCTGTGCACACTGATCTCTTCCCATTTCAGGTGCCTGTGTCATTTTTTTGCTTATTTGCCTGGCTTGCTTGGGAACTACTGGGGCTTTTAACCTATGAGCTGGCCAACCTGAGGGTGCCTAGAATTCAATGCCCCAGAGGCAAATCTTGACCAGTGAGAAAAAAGAATCAGTGGAAAACTATCCCCGATTCCTCATATATTGGTGGGACAATTCTGATATGTGTTACACAGAGTTCTTTAATGCTTTAGACGGTCTCTAGCAGGAAGGAATTCCTGCTGTCCACGGAGATAGCTCACTTTTTAGTAAATTGTTTTCTTCCCTAGATCACTTTCCCTATTACCTCACTTATGCTCCAGGGATAAATTCTCAAATAAACTTCCTTTATCTAATTTATTATCTCGGGGAATTTTTAGAGGTACCCAATGTATGGTGTCTCCTTAGTTTACTCTCTCCTACCACCATGTACCTCTGTTTCATAACATGTTTAGAATTTGCATTCATGTGGATGCACAGAAAAAAGTCTGAAATAGTGTTCAACAAATGACTAGTTTTCTGGGAATGGGATTTTCAATATATTTTTAAAAGCATTATGTTTAAAAGTGACATAATTTTTTTCCAGGGCCATAAGAATTAATAAAATGGTAAATTTTACTTTTAATTAAAAGAAAAACTTCTACAGAAGGAAATTTCGAATGTAAATAATTTCACCTTACATGACATTTTGATCATAATATTAATAATATACTGACAGAAGGAAATGGCTTATTTTGTTTAGTAGCAAAGATATCTAATTACCACAAGTCTAAAGAAGGTTCCTTTACTATCTTTTGCATAAAGTTGTTAAGGAATAAAAAGTTTAACAACACAAGGGGCTAAGGAGTTAGTTAGTATTTCGTCATACTTGTTAATTTCTCTTAAAATACATTTTGAATGTCATTTGGTCCCCATTATAAAGTCTAAATTAGAAAGGAACTAGTTATCTTTGTGTATATATTTCATAGTAAAACCATGAGCATTTTATGCCTACTTTTTAGCTGCTCTAAACAAACATTTTAACGAGGAAGGAATGCAGCTAAATTTAGATAAAGTGGTATTAAAGTGTGGCCCTAAAGCTAATATGAGATTAGTGGTTTTTCCTGCCTTTTTTTTTTTTTTTTTGGACTGAAGCTAAAGTAAAAATAGAAATAGAAAAAATTTAATCCTTTCAGTATGACCCAAACAGGACTCAGACTATGACTCTGGCTAAACTATCTCTGTGGGGCAATTTTCTTTTCAATACTGTTAAGGCTGTCACGAAGAAATCCCTGCTTTTCAAAATAAAATATTTCAAGACAATAGGGTCGATGTGAGCTTCAGAGAATAAGTATTTAGGGATCATAAATTTAAAAAATGGTTTTTTAGTTGGTAGAAAATACAAGCTATCTTTGGCTAATAAAAGTGTTTCACTCAAGTCATGAAACAAGTTTGACCTCAATTTGTTTTGATCCTAAAAAATTAATTTATAATAAATTACCAAGAATATTATTATATACTATCAAAATACAAGTTACACGAAGAATCTCTGGAGTCAGAAGATATGGACCTAGTAATAAATAAACTGCATTTTTCTTCTATTTAAGTTTTAAAAATTAAAATCATCATTTATGTTGGAAGGGTGGGACAATGAGGACATTCATGCACTGCTGGGGCCTTATAAAATGAGAAAATATTAATGTGCATCCCTTTCCACTTAAAATATGTATCCTATAAAGGACAAATGAACAAATGTCTAAGGATTTAGACATTAGACTATTCCCATAGCGTGGCTTATTACAACCAGAATATTTTGAGGAAAAGTTAAGTAAATAATGATGAAAGGCTTTCTAGCCTTTAGAGATGATAATAAGCAAATATTCATTGAGAGAAATATGTTCATAATTGGTTAAGTGAAAAAAATATATTTTGGGCTTGTGGTTTCTAGTCTAGCATGTAAACAGGTTGGAAGTTACAAATTTATCCCAACAAGAAAAAAACCTGAACAAAATAAACAAACTCCCCTTAGATCATCAGAGAAGTGAAGTCAGTCATAGGGTAATCTATTAACACCCAAAATTGGAGAGACAGGCAAATACAGAGCATCGCAAGCTCAGAAACACATGATAAGAAACCTCCATGGAAATTAGTACTTAGAAATGAACTGTAATTGATTAATTGCTGGAGGCTCAGTATGAATCAGTCTGAGAGTTAAAATTTTCAGGGAGGTTAAGCCACAGGCAGATCCCCACAATTTTTTGAGTCTTACCTCCGGGAACCTTACCAGGTTCTCATAGTGAATATCTGAGAAAAATCTCCTAGGGCTTCCAATGAAGGAGGGAAAAAATAAACATTTCGAATTCACAATAGCATTCTGTCCTTTAAAAAGGCCTGCATTCAAGAGAAACTATTTTACCAGAGCCTAACCTGCTGTTTCCTTGTTTTGTTTTGTTTTGTTGTTTTGTTTGTTTTTCAGAGTCTAACTTACCTGGGGAAGGGAAATACCCAACTCCAGTACCCTCTAGCCATTCTGTCTCACTTAAGGGAAAAAAAATACTGAGAATCACTGGCGAAGTTCACAGTCCCAGAGCACAGGTGTACCCAAACCCTCACACAGATTTATAAACTATAAGAATGCTTTATCTTCCCCCACAAAAACAAAAGCACAACGTACCAAAAGTAATGAAATGAAGCAAAAGCAGTACCAAGAGGGCAGTTGACAGTAATGAATGACTATATTATAAAGAGGAAGGATATTAATTAACAATTTAACTTCATACCTCAAGGAACACTCAAATGCATTTTATCAGGCCAGCATTACCTTTATACCAATGCCAGACAAAGGCATCACAAAAAAGAAAACAAAGGCATCACAAAAAAGAAAACAAAGCCAAGATCCTTGGTAAATTTGAATACAAAATTCCTCAATAAAATACTAGCAAACTGAGTCCAACATAACATTAAGAGAATCATACTAACATTAAGAGAATCATACACTATGATTATTGGGATTTATACCTGATACATAAGGATGGTTCAACTTTTTAAAATTAATGTATGTTATTATACAATATCAATATAGCACATTACATAATAAAAAATAAAAATTACAGGATCATAAATGCAGAAAAGGCACTTATCAAAATTAATTATGCTTTCATGATAGAAATTCTCAACACATTACGAAAAGTAAGAAATTACCTCAACATAATAAAGGTCAAATATGATAAGCCCACAGCTAACATCATACTTGACAGTGAAAAATTTAAAGTTTTTCCTCCAATATCAAGAACAAGACAAGGATGCCCACTTTTACCGTTTCTATTAAACATACTACTGGAAGTCCTAGCCAGAGCAAGTAGGCAAGAAAAAGAAGTAAAAGTCATTCAAATAAGAAAGAAAAAGTAAAATGTTCCCTGGTGTAGATGGTATAATCTGTTAACTTTTAGAAACTGTTAGAAAAATTGAATGAATTCAGTAGAGTTGTAGGATACAAAATCAACTTACAAAAATCAGTTGCACTTCTATATACTAACAATGAACTATCTGAAGAGGGAACTATGAAAATCCCATTTAAAACAGCACAAAAAGAATAAACTAGGAATAAACTTCAGTAAGGAGGTCAAAGACTTATATACTGAAACCTACAAAACATTGATAAAAGAAATTAAACCAGAAGAAAACAAATATGAAGACTTTCCATCTTCATGGATTGAACAACATGATATTGTTAAAATGTCCACACTACCCAAAGTAATCTCTACCAAATCCCAATGGTATTTTTTTACAGATATAGAAACAATTCTAAAATTCACATGCAACCACAAAAGTCTCTGAATAGCTAAATAAATCTTGAGCAAACAGAATAAAACCATAGACACCATATTTTCTGATTTTAAAATACATTACAAATTACAGTAATCTAAACAGAATGCACTGACATAAAGATGGACATAAAAACCAATGGAAAAGCATACAGAGCCTAGAAACAAATCTACATATTTACAGTCAACTGACTTTCCAGAAAGGTGCCAAAATACACAATGAAAAACAGAATGTCTCTTCAATAAATGGTACTGAGAAAACTGGAATCCACATGCAAAAGAATGAAACTGGACCCTTATATCACACCGTACACAAAACTTTATTCTAAACAGATTAAAGACCTAAATGTAAGATCCCAAACATTAAAATTCGTAGAAGTGAGAGTGGGCTAAGGACTCAAATAGACGTTTCTCCAAAAAGACACGTAAATGCCCAAGAGGTAGATGAAAAAGTACTCAATGTTTCTGATCTTAATGTAAATGCAAATCAAAACCATGATAAGGTGTTATATCAAACCTACCAGGATGACTATTACTTAAAAAAAGTAGAAGAAGAAACAATACTAGGGAAAGAAATTGGTACCCTTGCATGGTACTGCTGAGGGGAATGCAAAATGGCGCAGCTGCTATAAATAGTAAGAAGGTTCCTCAAAAATTTAAAAATAGCACTGCCATATGATCCAGAAATCCCATTCCGGATCTGAAATCATGATCTTGTGGATATATTAACACTTCTGTGTTCATTGTTGCACTATTCATTACAGCTAAGAAATAAAAATAGTCTAAATGCCATCAGCAGATGAATGGATACAGAAAATGTGATATATACATACAATGGAATACTACTCAGCCTTTTAAAATAAAGAAATTCTGCAATATGCAACAACATGGATGCAACCTAAAGACATTATATTAAATAAAATAAGCCAGTAACAAAAAGACAATGCATGATTTATGTAACGTAACTAACATAGTTACATTCATTGAATCAAAGTGTGGAATGGTGGTAACCAGGGGCTGGAGGATGGAGAAATGGAGTTGGAAATCAACAGATATAAACTTTCACTCAAGCAACATAAACAAGCCTAGAGATCTATTCTACAATATTGTACCTACAGTCAAAAATTATGTAGTGTACACTTAAAAATTGTTAACAGATCTCATGTTAAGTGTTATTTCACAATTTTAAAAAGTGAAGGAGAAATAAAACCTTTCTCAGACAAATAAATATTGAATAAATTTGTTGCCAGTAGACTTGTCTTGCAAGAATTGTTAAAAGAAGTTATTTATTTGAAAAGAAGAAAAATGATATAGGTCAGAAACACATATCTACGTAAAAAAGGAAGAGCATTAGAGAAGGAATAAATGAAGGTAAACAAAAGCTTTTATTTTTCTTATTCTTAGTTGGTCTAATAGATAACATTTTGTTCATAAAGTAATAGCAACAATGTATTTCATTATGTATGCTTACACATATATCTTTGTGTGTGTGTGTGTGTGTGTGTGTGTCTGCATTAGTTCGTTCTTGTACTGTTACAAATAAATACCTGAAACTGGGTAATTTATAAAGGAAAGAGGTTTAATTGGCTTATGGTTCTACAGGCTGTACAGGCTTCTGCTTCTGAGGAGGCCTCGGGAAACTTACAAGAATGATGGATGGTGAAGGGGAAGCTGGAACGTCTTACCTGGCAAGAGCAGGAGGAAGAGGGAGAAGGGGGAGGTGCTATACACTTTTAAACAACCAGATCTCATGAGAACTCACTCACTATCATGAGAAAAGCAAGGAGAAATCGGCCCCTCTGAGCCAATCACCACCCACCAGGTCCTTCCTTCAACATTGGGGATTACAATTCCTCATGAGATTTGTGTGGGGACACAAATTCAAACCATATCAGTATCTAAGAACAGTATATATGCTTAGATGTAAATGACAGCTATGATACAAGAAATGGGAGGAAGGCATTTTAATTATTTTTTTAAAATATAAGGTATTCATACTACCTGTGAAGCAATAGCATGCTCTTTGAAAGTGGGTTTGCATTAGCTGTAAGGGTATATTGCAAACATTAGAGAAATTACTTCCATATAGCAAAAGTAAATGGATTGAGAAAGATATTTCTAGTTTTCCACCTTAGGAAACTTGAAAGAGTAAATAAAATCAAAAGTAAGCAGAAGAAAAGAAATAATAAAAATTAGAGCAGAAATCAATGAAATTAAAAACAAGAAATCAATAGAGAAAACCAAAAGATGGTTTTTTGAAAAGATGAAAAAATTGAAAAGCTAAGAATAGAGATGATACTAATTACTAATATCAGAACTAAAAGTACTGGGAAAACTTAGATAAAATAGGCCAATTCCTTAAAAGACACAATTTCTCAACAAATACATAGTTATTTCTTGTTACAAAGGAAAACATTCTTACAAAAGAAATGTAAGGGATAGACATAAATCTATTAAAAATCAAATCAGGGGAGGTGGAAGAAGATGGCAGACTAGAAGTTTCCACTGATTGTTCCCCTCTCAAGGATGCCAATTTAACAATTATCTACAACGAAAAGACACCATCAAGAACTAAAAATCAGGTGAGCACTCACAGTACCTGGTTTTTACCTTCATGTTGCTGAGAGAGGCACTGAAGAGACAGAAAAAGCAGTCCTGAATCGCCAACGCCACTCCTCCTCCATGGCTGGCAGTGGTGGTCTGGGCCTCAGGAGAGCATCTCTGGGTGCTGGAGGAGGGAGAACATAGCAATTGTGAGGCAATGACTCAGTGCTATCCTATTACAGCAGAAAGGAAAACCTGGCCAAACTCAGCTGACACCTGCCCATGGAGGGAGCATTTAAATCAGCTCTACCCAGAGGGTAATCACCTCTCCCAGCAGTCTGAACTTGAGTTCCTGCAAACCTCCCACTGAGGGCTACGGTGAGGTCTGTCTCCAACTAAACATGAAAGGCAGTGTAGGCCATAAGGACTGCAACCCTTAGGTGAGTGCTAGTGCTAAACTAGGCCCAAAGACAGTAGACTGCGGGGGAGGGGCACAGGACCTACTGAGGTACTCCACCTGCTGGAGCAGCCAAGAGAGTACTGGCATCACCGTACCCTAATCCCAGTCTGCACAGCCTTTGGATCCAAAGAGACCCCTTCCTTCTGTTTGAGGAGAGGAGAGGGAAGAGGGGGAAGGACTTTGACTTGCCTATTGAATACCAGCTCAGCCACAGAAAGACAGGGTACAGATCAGAATCATGAGGCCCTTGGTGCAGGCTCTAGCTCCCAGATGGTATTTCTAGACAAACCTTGGGCCAGAGGGTTTGTCTAGAAACTGCCTTGAAGGAAAGGACCCAGTGCTGGTAGCATTCATCACCTAGTGACTAAAGAGCCTTTGGGCCCCAAATAATCATCAGTGATACCCAGGTACTCTGTCGAGGGCCATGGGTGAGCCTCTGAGACATGCTGGCTTCAGTTGATACTCATCACATTACCAGCTATGGTGGCTATGGGACAAAACCACTTATGCTTGAGAAAAGCAGAGGGAAAAGTAAAGGGGACTTTTTCTTGTACCTTAGATGCCAGCATAGCCACAGAGGGTTAGAGCACAAAGAAGCCTCTTGGGATCCCTGATTCTAGCACTTTACTCTTAGATGGCATTTCTGGACCTGCCCTGGGCTAGAGGGGAGCCCACTGCCTTATGGGGTGAGTCCCAGGTCAGGCAGCATTCACCACAAGCTAACTTGAGAGCCCTTGGGCCTTAAGGGAAAGTTGGCGTAGTCTGGTAGTATGCCTTGTGGCCAGGGGTGGCTACAGGGTGAAGTGCCTTTGCCTTTGGAAAGAGGACAGAAGAGTAGGAAGAAGTGTATCTTGTGGTTTGACTGTCTGGTCAGCCACAGTACAATAGAATACCAGGTAGACTTCTAAGGTTTTAGACTTTAGTCTCTTAATGCTGGATTGCACCCCTAGACTCACCTGGAGTCTGGAGGATCTCACCACCCTGAAGAGCAGGTCGCAGGCTTATCTGGCTTTGCCTCATGCTGATTGTAGAGCTCCAGAGCCTAAAGCAAACATAGGCAGCAGCCAGTGAGTGGTTACAGCAAGCCTTGGGTGAGACCCAGTGCTGTGCTGACTTCAGGTCTGACCCTGCACAGTCACAGTGCTGGTGGCCACAGGGGTGCTAGTATCACTCCACCCCCAGCTCTACATGGTTTTTAACGGAGAGATAGAGACTGTATGTTTGCGAGAATGTAAATGAAGAGAACAAGAGTCTCTGCTTGACAATCCAGAGAATTCTTCCAGATCTTGTTCAAGACCATCAGGGCGGTACCTCTATGAGTCTGTAAGAACCACAGCATTACTGGGCTTGGGGTGCCCCCTAAAGGAGATACAGCTTAGATCACAACACCCAAGTCCTTTCAAATATCTGGAAAGCTTTCCCAAGAAGGATGGCTACAAATGAGCCCAAACAGTGAAGACTACAATAAATACCTAACTCTTCAACGCCAAGGCAAAGAAGAACATCTACTTGCATCAACACCATCTAGGAAAATACTGTCTCACCAAATGAACTAAATATGACATCAAGAACCAATCCTGGAGAAACAAAGATATGTGGCCTTTCAGACAGAGAACTCAAAATAGCTGTGTTGAAGAAACTAAAAAAAAAAAAAAAAAAAGTCATGATAACACATAGAAGGGATTCAGAATTCTATCAGATAAATTTAACAAAGAGATTGAAATAATTAAAAAGAATCAAGCAGAAATTCTGGAGCTGATAAATGCAATTGGCACATGGAAGAATGCATCAGAGTCCTTTAATAGCAGAATTGATCAAACAGAAGAAAGAATTAATGAGCTTGAAGACAGGCTATGTGAAAATACACTGTCAGAGGAGACAAAAGAAAAAAGAATAAAAACCAATGAAGCATAGCTACAGGATCTTGAAAATAGCCTCAAAAGGACAAATCTGTTATTGGCCTTTAAAAGGATGTAGAGAAAGAGGTAGGGGTACAAAGTTTATTCAAAGGGATAATGACACAGAACATCCCAAACCTAAAGAAAGATGTCAGTATCCAAGTACAAGAAGGTCATAGAACACCAAGAAGACAACCCAAAGAACACACCTCAAGGCATCTAATAATCAAACTCCCAAAGGTCAAGAATAAAGAAAGGATCCTAAAAGCAGCAAGAGAAAAGAAACAAATAACATACAATGGAGGTCCAATACAATTGGCGGCCGCCTTTTCAGCAGAAACCTTACAGGCCAAGAGAGAGTGGAATGACATATTTAAAGTGCTGAAAGAAAAAAACTTTCACCTTAGAATAGTATATCTGGTTAATATATTCTTCAAACATGAAGGAGAAATAAAGACGTTCCCAGACAAACAAAAGCTGAGGGATTTCATTAATACCAGATCTATCCTACACGAAATTCTAAAGGGAGTACTTCAATCAGAAAGAAAGATGTTAATGAGCAACAAGAAATCATATGAAGATACAAATGTCTTGAGGCAAATAACAATGGAAACAATATATGAAAACCTATGGGATACAGCAAAAGCAATATTCAGAAGGAAGTTTATAGCTATAAATGTCTACATCAAAAAAGTAGAAAAACTTCAAATAAAAAATCTAATGATACTTCTTCAGAAACTAGAAAAGCAAGAGCACATCAGACCCAAACTTAGTAGAAAGAAGATTAGAGAAGAAATAAAATTGAAATAAAAACATATAAAAGATCAGTGCAACAGAAAGTTGGTTTTTTGAGAAGTTAAACAAAATTGACAAACCTATAGCCAGGCTAAGAAGAAAAAGATACAAATAAATAAAATCAGAGATTAAAAAGGAGATATTACAGCTAATACTGCAGAAATTCTAAAGATAATTAATGTCTACTATGAGCCACTATCTGCCAATAAATTTGAATATCTAGAAAAAATGGACAAATTCCTAGATACATACAACCTACCAAGATTGAACCAAGAAGAAATTCAAAACCTGAAGAGACCAATAACAAGTAACAAAATCAAAGCTATAATAAAAAGAATTCCAATGCAGAAAAGCCTGGGGACCCATGGCTTTACCACTGATTTCTACCAAACATTTAAACAATTAATACCAATCCTATCAAACTATTCTTAAAAAATAAAGGAGGAGGAAATATGTCTAAACTCATTCTACAAGGTCAGTATTACCCTGATACCAAAACCAGACAAAGACACGTCAGAAAAAGAAAACTACAGGCCGGTGTCTCTGATGAACATTGATGCAAAAATCCTCAACAAAATACTAGCAAACCAAATACAACAATGCATTAGAAAGATCATTTATTGTGACCAAGTGGGATTTATCCCTGGGAAGCAAGGAGAAACAACCTACACCAATCAATCAATGTATACATCATATCAACAGAATGAAGGATAAAAACAATATGATTATTTCAATTGATGCTGAAAAAACATTTGATAAAATACAACATCCCTTCATGATAAAAACCCTAAAAAACTGTTATAGAAGGAGCGTACCTCAAAATAATAAAAGCCATATATGACAGACCCACAGATAGTATCATACTGAATGGGAAAAAACTGAAAGCCTTTTTTCGAAGATAAGGAACATGATAAGGATGCCTACTGTCACCACTATTATTCAACATAGTACTTGAGGTCCTAGCTAGAGCAATCAGACAAGAGAAAGATATAAAAGGCATCCAAAATGGAAAGGAAGAAGTCAAATGACCCTTATTTGCAGATGATATGATCTTATATTTGGAAAATCCTAAAGACTCCACAGGAAACCTTTTAAAACTGATAAACAGGCCAGGTGCAGTGGCTCACGTCTGTAACGCCAGTACTTTGGGAGGCCTAGGTGGGTGGATCACCTGACGTCAGGAGTTCGAGACCAGCCTAGCTGACGTGGTGAAACCCGATCTCTACTAAAATACAAAAAGTAGCCAGGCATGGTGGCTTTTGCCTGTAATCCCAGCTACTCGGGAGGCTGAGGCAGGAGAATTGCTTGAACTCAGGAAGTGGAGGTTGCAGTGAGCCAAGATCATGCCACTGCACTCCAGCCTGGGTGACAGAGTGAGATTCCATCTCAAAACAAACCAAAAAACAAAAAAAGTGATGAATAGATTCAGTAAATGTGCATACACAAAATTAACATAAAAATCATTAGCATTTCAATATGACAACAATGAACAATCTGAAAAAGAAATACAAATATAATCCCATTTATAATAGCCATGCAAAAAATGAAACAATAATTATCTTAAAGAAATAAAAGATCTCTATAATGAAAAATATAAAACACTGATGAAAGAAATTGAAGAAGCCAACAAAATTTGAAAAAATATTCCATGTTCATGGATTGTAAGAATTAATATTGTTAAATATCCTTATTACCCAAAGCAATCCACAGATTCAGTGCAATCCCTATCAAAGTACTAATGACATTCTTCACAGAAATATTAAAAACAATTCTAAAATTTATATGGAAACACAAAAAGGCCCAGAAGAGCCAAAGCCATCCTAAGCAAAAAGAACAAAACTGGAGGAACTATATTAGCTGACTTCAAATTATAGTACAGAGCTATAGTAACCAAAAGGGCATGGTACAAGCATAAAAGCAGACACATACACCAATGGAACAGAATAGAGACCCCAGAAATAAATCCACACTGCCTACAGTGAACTCATTTTTGACAGAGGTGCCAAGAACATACACTGGGAAAAAGACAGTCTCTTCAATAAATTTTTCTGGGAAAACTGGACATCCATATGCAGAAGTATGAAACTAGAATCCTATCTCTCACCATATACAAAAATCAAATTAAAGTGAATTAAAGACTTAAATCTAAGATTTCAATCTATAAAACTGCTACAAGAAAATATTGGGAAAAATCTCCAGGACATTAGTCTGGGCAAAAATTTATTGAGCAATACCCAAAAAGTGCAGGCAACCAAAACAAAAAATGGGCAAATAGAATCACATCAAGCTAAAAAGATTCTGCACAGCAAAAGGTACAATCAACAAAATGAAGAGACAACCCATAGAATGGGAGAAAATATTTGCAAACTACCCATCTGACAAAAGATTAATAACCAGAATATATAAGAAGCTCGAAAAACTCTGTAGGAAAAAATCTAATAATTGGATCAAAAAATGGGCAAAATATTTGAATAGACATTTCTCAAAAGAAGACATACAAATGGCAAAGAAACATATGAAAAGGTATTCAGCACCACGGATCATCAGAGATATGCAAATCAAAACTATAATGAGCTATCATCTCACCCTAGTTAAAATAGATTATATCCAAAAAACAGGCAGTAACAAAGGCTGGCAAGGATGTGGAGAAAAGGGAACTATTGTACACTGTTGGTGGGAAGGTACATTAGTACAACCATTATGGAGAACAGTTTAGAGCTTCCTCAAGAAACTAAAAATTGAGCTACCATATAATCCAGCAATCTCACTGCTGGGTATATACCCAAAAGAAAAGAAATCAGTATATTGAAGAGATATCTGCACTCCTATGTTTGTTGCAGCACTGTTTGCAATAGCTAATAAGAGGAAGTAACCTAAGTTTCCATAAAAAGATAAATGGATAAAGAAAATGTGGTACATATATACAATGGAGTACCATTCAGTCATAAAAATGAATGAGACCTAGTCATTTGCAACAGCATAGATGGAACTGTGGATCATTATGTTAAGTGAAACAAGCCATGTACAGAAAGAAAAACACTTCATTTTATCATTCATTTATGGGAGCTAAAAACCAAAACAGTTGAACTCATGAACATACAGAGTAGAACGGTTACCAGGGGCTGAGAAGGGTAATTAGGAGTTATTAATAGTAGGGAAGTGGGGATGGTTAATGGATACAATACAAAATATAGTTAGAAACAATGGAATAATACCTACTATTTGATAGCACAATGGGGTAACGATAGTCAATAATTATTGTACACTTCAAAATAACTTAAATACAGTAGTTGGATTGTTTATTACTCAAGGATAAATGCTTGAGGGGATGGATACCCTGTTCTCCATGATGTGCTTATTTCACATTGCATGCCTATATCAAAACATCTAATGTACCCCATAAATATATACATCTACTATGTACCCAATAAAATTAAAAATAAAAATTTAAAAACAAAACAAATTCAGACCAATAATTAATAACCTTCCAAAACAGAAAGCACCAAGCCCGGATGGATTCACCAGTGAATTCCTTTATGTGTGTGTGTGTGTGTGTGTGTGTATATATATATATATATATATATATATATATATATATATATATATATATATATATATATATATATATATATATATATATATATATATACACACACACACACACATATATACACACACACACATATATATATACATAAATATATATATACGTATACATATATATACACACACACACACATATATACTTTAAGTTCTGGGGTACACGTGGAGAATGTGCAGGTTTGTTACACAGGTATACACGTGCCACGGTGGTTTGCTACACCCATCAACCCATCATCTACGTTAGGTATTTCTCCTAATGCTATCCCTCCCCTAGCCCCCCAGCCCCCAACAGGCCATGGTGTGTGATGTTCTCCTCCCTGTTTCCATGTCTTCTCATTATTCAACTCCCACTTATGAGTGAGAACATGCGGTGTTTGGTTTTCTGTTCTTGTGGTAGTCTGCTCAGAATGATGGTTTCCAGCGTCATCCATGTCCCTGCAAAGGACACGAATTCATCCTTTTTTATGGCTTCATAGTATTCCATGGTGTATATGTGCCACATTTTCTTTATCCAGTCTATCATTGATGGGCATTTGGGTTGGTTCCAAGCCTTTGCTGCTGTTAGCAGTGCCACAATAAACATACGTGTGCATGTGTCTTTATAGTAGAATGATTTATAATCCTTTGGGTATATACCCAGTAATGGTATTGCTGGGTCAAATGGTATTTCTAGTTCTAGATCCTTGAGGAATTGCCACACTGTCTTCCACAATGGTAAAAGCATTCCTATTTCTCCACATCCTCTCCAGCATCTGTTGTTTTCTGACTTTTTAATGGTCGCCATTCTAACTGGCATGAGATGGTATCTGATTGTGGTTTTGATTTACATTTCTCTAATGACCAGTGATGAGGCTTTTTTTTCTTTCATATGTTGGTTGGCTGCATAAATGCCTTCTTTTGAGAAGTGTCTGTTCATATCCTGTGCCCTCTTTTTGATGGGGTTGTTTTTTTTCTTGTAAATTTGTTTAAGTTGGTTGTAGATTCTGGATATTAGCCCTTTGTCAGATGGATAGATTGCAAAAATTTTCTCACATTCTGTAGGTTGTCTGTTCACACTGATATAGTTTCTTTTGCTGTGCAGAATTTCTTTAGTTTAGTTAGATCCCATTTGTCAATTTTACCTTTTGTTGCCATTGCTTTTGGTGTTTCAGTCATGAAGTCCTTGCCCATGCCTATGTCCTGAATGGTATTGCCTAGGTTTTCTTCCATGGTTTTTATGGTTTTAGGTCTAACACTTAAGTCTTTAATCCATCTTGAGTTAATTTTTGTATAAGGTGTAAAGAAGGGATTCAGTTTCAGCTTTCTGCATATGGCCAGCCCGTTTTCCCAACACTATTTATTACATAGGGAATCCTTCCCTCATTGCTCGTTTTTGTCAGGTTTGTCAAAGATCAGATGGTTGTAGATGTGTGGTGTTATTTCTGAGGCCTCTGAAAATTCTCAATAAAATACTGGCAAACCAAATCCAGCAGCACATCAAAAAGCTTATCCACCACAATCAACTCAGCTTCATCCCTTGGATGCAAAGCTGGTTCAACATACACAAATCAATAAATGTAATCCATCACATAAACAGAACCAATGATAAAAACCACATGATTATCCAATAGATGCAGAAAAGTCCTTCAACAAAATTCAACAGCCCTTCATGCTAAAAACTCTCAATAAACTAGGCATTGATGGAAAGTATCTCAAAATAGTAAGAGCTATTTATGACAAACCCACAGCCAGTATCATACTGAATGGGCAAAAGCTGGAAGCATTCCCTTCGAAAACTGGCACAAGACAAGGATGCCCTCTCTCACCACTCCTAGTCAACATAGTATTGGAAGTTCTGGCCAGGGCAATCAGGCAAGAGAAGAAATAGAGGGTATTCAATTAGGAAAACAGGAAGTCAAATTGTCCCTGTTTGCAGATGACATGATTGTGTATTTAGAAAACCCCATCGTCTCAGCCCAAAATCTCCTTAAGCTAATAAGCAACTTCAGCAAAGTCTCAGGGTACAAAATCAATGTGCAAAAATCACAAGCATTCCTATACACCAATAACAGACAAACAAAGAGCCAAATCATGGGTGAACTCCCATTCACAATTACTACAAAGAGAATAAAATACCTAGGAATACAACTTACAAGGGACGTGAAGGACCTCTTCAAGGAGAACTACAAACCACTGCTCAAGCAAATAAGAGCGGACACAAATGGAAAAATATTCCATGCTCATGGATAGGAAGAATCAATATCGTGAAAATGGCCATACTGCCCAAGGTAATTTATAGATTCAATGCCATCCCCATCAAGCTACCAATGACTTTCTTCACAGAATTGGAGGAAACTACTTTACATTTCATATGTTGCCAGTGAATTCTACCATACATCTAAGGAGGAAATTGTATCCGTTCTCTACAATCTCTTCTTAAAGATAGAAGGAGAAGGAATACTTCTTAACTTACTTTGTGAGGTCAACATTATGCTAATACCAAAACCAGACAAAGACATTACAAGAAAACTACAGACCAATAGTTCTCATAAATATAGATGTAAAGTCCTCAACAAAATAATAACAAAACAAAATTAAATCTAACTATGCATAAAAATAATTATATGGCATAACCAGGAAATTTATCTCAAATATGCAAGGCTCATTTAACATTGAAAAATTAATTAAGGTAAGTAATCATATTAACAGTCTAAAAATCACAGGATCAT
This sequence comes from Homo sapiens, assembly GCF_000001405.40. Lineage (NCBI taxonomy): Eukaryota > Metazoa > Chordata > Mammalia > Primates > Hominidae > Homo > Homo sapiens. The sequence continues at coordinate 19,975,362 of NC_000007.14, read as the reverse complement.
ATCCATAAATGCATAAAAAATACTTGATGAAAATCTAACACTCATTCAAATCTGAGAGTTTTTGCTGAGAGACAAATAACTCAGCAAACTAGGAATAGAGGAAAACTTTATTAACTGGATAAATAATATACACACAAAAATATCTTATGCTGACATCATACTTAATGGTGAAAATCTAGACAATTTCCTGCAAAAATAAGGAAAAACGAAAGGGAGTTCCTCTTACCTTTCTTTTTCAAGATCATATTGGTAGTCTGAGCTAATGCAATACTTTTGTTTTTTATAAAAAGAAATAAAGACAGGCATATTGGGAAGGAAGAAATAAAACTGTCTTTATTTTCAGATGACATACTTATCTATGTGGAAAAACCAAAAGAATTAACAATATTTTTCTGAAATTAATAAGTGATTACAGCAAGGTTGCATGATACAAGATTAATATAAAAAAGTCAATCATTTGTCTATATACCAGCAATGAGTAAGTGGAATTTGAAATTAAAAACATTATGCCATTTACATTAGTACTCCCTCCAACAGTGAAATACTTAGTATAAATCTAACAAAATATGTACAAGATTTATATAAGCAAAACTGCAAAACTCAAATATCAAAGAACTAAATAAATGGAGAGATATTTCATGTTTGTGGATAGGAAGGTTCAGTATTATCAAGATGTCAGTTCTTCCTAACTTGATATATAGATACAACACAATCCCAATCAAAATCTCAGTAAGTTATTATGTGAACAAACTGATTCAAAAATTTATATGGACAGACAAGAGAACTAGAATAGCCAATTCAATATTGAAGGAGAAGAACAAAGTTAGAGGACTAACACTATTGATTTCAAGACTTACTATAAAGCTACAGTCATCAAAATGTACGGTGCTGGTGAAAGAATAGACAAATAGATCAATGGAACAAAATAGAAAGCCCTAAAATAGACCCACATAAATATAGTCAACTGATCTGCAAAAAAGGAGCAAAGATGATACAATGGAGCAAAAACAGTCTTTTCCACAAACAGTGCTAGGACAATTAGACATTCACATGCAAAAAAAAAAAAAAAAAAAAAAGAAAAGAATCTAGACATAGACCTTACACCTTTCACAAAAATTAGGATGGATTACATATGTAAATACTGTAAATGCAAAACTATTATAAAAAATATACAGAAAACTCTTAAACTCCACAACAAGAAAATTAAAAACACAATTTAAAAAGAGCCAAGATCTTGACACCTCACCAAAGAAGATATATGGATGGCAAATAAACATATGAAAATATGTTCCACGTTATATGTCATAAGAGAAATGCAAACTGAAACAACAATGAGAAACCACTACACATCTACTAGAATGGCCAAAATCCAGAACACTAACACAAAATGCTGGTGAAGATGTGAAGCAGTGGAAACTCTCAGTCATTCCTGATGATATGGTACATCCATTTCTGTCTCAGTCATTGCTGGTGATATGGTAGAGCCAATTTGAAGACAGTTTGGTGGTTTCTTACAAAACTAAACATACTCTTAGCATACAACCCAGCAGTCATGCTTCTTGGTATTCATCCAAAGGAGTTGGAAACATATGTTCACAAAGTCCTGCACATGGATGTTTATAGCAGCTTTCTTCATAATTACCCAAATTTGGAAGCAACAAAGATGTCCTGCGGTAGGTAAATGGATAAATAAATGTAATACATACAGACAATGGAATGTTATTCACTAAAAAGAAATGAGCTATCAGGCTGGGCGTGCTGGCTCACACCTGTAATCTCAGCACTGTGGGAGGCTGAGGCAGGCGGATCACGAGCTCAGGAGATCGAGATCAGCCTGGCTAACACAGTGAAACCCCTCCAACCAAAAATACAAAAAATTAGCCGGGTGTGGTGGCATACACCTGTAGTCCCAACTACTCGGGAGGCTGAGGCAGGAGAATCACTTGAACCCAGGAGGTGGAGGTTGCAGTGCGCGGAGATTGCGCCACTGCACTCCAGCCTGGACGATAGAGCAAAACTCTGTCTCAAAAAAAAAAAGAAAAAAAAAAAAAGGAAAGAAAAGAAAAGAAATTAGCTCTCAAGCCATGAAAAGACAAAGAGGTAGCTTAAATGCACATTACTTAGTAAAAGAAGCCAATCTGAAAAGGCTATATACCATACGATTTCAAAATATGGCATTCTGGAAAAAACAAAACTATGGATATAGTAAAAAGTGGTTTCCAAGAGTTAAGGAGGCAGGAGGGAAGAAGAGTTGAAGCACAGAAAATTTTTAGGGAAGTGAAACTATTTTGTATGATGCTACAATAGTGGCTACATGTCATTATTCATTTGTCAAAATCCATAGAATGCATACTACCCAAAGTGAACCCTGAAATAAACTATGGATGTTAATGGATAATGATGTGTCAATGTAGTTTCATCAGTTGTAAAAAGTATACCACTCTGGTGTGGTATGGGAGGTTCAACATAAATCCATTTAAGTGGAAATAGTGAGCAGGTGAAGGAGAATGACTGTAACAGGACCATTATTATTTTTTAAAAAATTCCGTGGAGTCTCGGTGACAAAATAAGAAATTAAGCAGAGCTCCTCAAACTCCATTATACTTCTCTTTCCCCTTAAACACTACCTATTTCTGACAAGAGTCATGGATATAGGTTTCTTTTGTTTGTAAAAATTTTAATGTACTCCTTCAGTTATATTAAAGAATAGTTCAAAGGAGGATTTTAAAATTTCTTCTTGCGGAGGAAGTTGTGTAGACAGCTCAACAAGAATCTGAGTAAAAACTATTTGAAAAAGTTTTCTAAAATAAAAATAATGAAATGTTTTTGTCATCTTTGCTACAAGAACTGAAACTCATGAGAATAGAAAAATTAGAAAAGGGCCATAATATGTTTTGACAATAACAGAGAGCCGTCTAATAGCTCTCAAAATTAAATACACTAGAAAGAATTATAAAATTTAGGCCTTTGTTTTAATTTAAAAATGCAACTCCAGCGAATCAATACAAATATTATTTTTTCTTAATATAATGTATTTATAGACTCCTTTGCTTTTTGTGGTCACGGAGAAAGTATAACAAATGGAAAATTTGGTTGCTTAGTACAATTTCAAGATCAATCTCTCTCCAAGGTCAAATGGAAGACTCTAAAACTCCCAGAAGGGATTCTCTGAGACTCTTCCAGACAACATGCCTGATGAATGAGGTTGGATTCAGTGGAGATTCAACAGAACTTTCAAAAGGGAAATGGAGAGTAAGGATTTCATTAATCATTCAACTAGACTCTGAAATGAGGCCAAAGAAGCTCTAAGACTAGTCAGGACTCAGCTTTAGATTTTGGAAAGCTTTAAGAACGTTGCCATAAAATATCAAATATTTTAAGTAAATAATGCCTTGCTGCCACCAACACTACCACTATCACAAATTTGGAATAATTAGCTATTAGTTTATGGCAATTCTGGGGTGAATAGAGAAAGGCATCTAATAATCTATACAATATTCTATATCTTCCCATGCTCTTTTCAAAGCCTTAATAACATTCATTTATTCATTCAGTATTTATAGAGTGATAGCTTTGTAATGTGGAAAATATTAGAAATAGTTAGACCTTATCTTTTTTCTTAAAAATTCCCAACTAATCAAAGTAGACAAATAACAAAAATGACTACCATAAAATGATTAAAATAATAAATAATTATAAACAGAGAGACAGGATTGATTAAATCTTTTGGAGAAAAATAACCTATGTGTATATGGGAAGAAGATCCCAAATAAGATGGGATAGAATGTTAGCAAGTATAGAATTTGGAGGTTTAGGGTAACAAAAAAAATAATATATTTTGTTGAATATTGGAGTTAAGGAAAGAGATGAACTGTATTTTAAAAAGGGATATATTTTAGTGCTAAGGAGCAATTTTGAGAATCTCATATCAAATGACTAAAATAAAATAAAATATAAAGCTGTCTACTGATTGTAATAGAAAAAGGAAATTAGATTTATGTTTAGAGGGACATAGGCATGATTTTAAGCCATATACAATGGAATCTACAGACCATAGAAACATGGACCAAAAAAAAAAAAAAAAAAATCTGTGTGTGAACAAAAAGATTACTGAGTAGGATGAAAGATACCACATGAAACCAAGGAATTAGAACAGATACAATAAATGTTAGATTTTTACCAGTGCTGAGGATCAGAAGCCTCACCACGCTAAGTGTTTGCTAAAATATGAATGAATTAGGAGCAGTAATGAGCACATTACCAAATTGACTGACTATAGAACTCATCCTGGGAGAGAAGGGGTTGAATGAGAGAGAAGAGGAAGCAAGACCAGGGTGAGGTCAAGTAACTTAGAGATCATAATCAAGACAGAGATAGCTGTAGTTGGTCAAAAGGATGGGGAGAAATGAGAATCCAGGTGTTTATATGCAGAGAAATGCATTGCAGAGCTAAGAGGTTAGTTTCAAGTATAGCTTTTTCATTCAATAGTTCAGACATTGAGGATGATTATCTGTGCAGCCAAGATAATCAAATATGTTGATGATTAAATCACTGAAGGTAACAAAGACTGGGGCTGAAAGAATAAAAAAGGGTATAGCACTGATTCACTGAAGATTGTGAAGTGCTTTAATGGGAGTCAGTAGCCATTTGTAACCATCAATCTAAGGCAGAAAATTTATTCATTTATTTTACAAATACTTATTGCTTACTCTGTTCCTGGCAGACTTTCTCTAGTAAACAACATATAAGAAGTCCTGGCTCTCAAAGAACATACATTCTAATTGGAGAGACAAAATAAATAGTTAAGCAAACACAATAATACATCAAGTGGTGATAAGAACTAAGGAGAAAAAAACAGGGTTGTAATATTGTAATATTACATGAGCTTAGGGAAAGACTAAAATAGGTGATAACATTTGACATGGGAGCCGAGACCTGACAGAAGAAAGAAGAAAGAAAGACATGTTGATATCTGTATGAGGAGTGTTTCAAACAATGAAGAAAGCAAGTCATAAATCCTGGAGGCAAAGACATGATTGGAATGTATGAGGGACAATAAGGAGGCACATGTGACTCAGAAAGGCAAATATGCACAGAGTCTAGAATGTGGGGGCAAAGTTCGAGATTAAAGTAAGGAGAAAACAGGAGGAAGAAGATATTGAGCTTTTTAAGCCAAGATAACAGCTTTGGATTTGAGTGGAATAGAAACTTGGCAGTCTAAATAGTAGACTGCAGGACGAGAAAGAGTGAAACTAGAAAGAATAGTTAGGAAAGTAACTTAATAATCCATTGGACAATTTTGCTGCCCTGGGCTAGGGTGGAGTGAAAAGCCTGATGAAGGCTGGAAGCTAGATAAAGATTACAGAGGAATTGGATGTCGGGGGGGGGGGGGGGTGGTGTTGGGGGGAGACAGAGGGAAAGTAGAAAGCATCAATGTTGACCCTAAGGTTTTTGACCCAAATAACTGGAAGAATACAATTGCAACTGAGTTGACAAATACTGGGGAATGGACAAGTTTGAGGGTAGAAGAAAATCAATAATTCATTTTTGGTCATTTGAAGTTTGAGATATGACCAGGATGGCCTTAAAATTCCCCTCAAGTTGACTAAATTTTGGACACGTTTCTTCCTGACTATAGGCTCATAGCGTTTCTTTTTAAAGAGCACTAATTTTAGATAACTTGCAAGAGAAAACTGTTTCTGCCCTCTTGAGATCCAAATCTTCCACATCCCAGAAATATTCCTCCCAAGCTGCTAGAAGCAATCCCTTTGACATGTAATCACTAAGAAAAATGGCACTTCTAGGTTTATCCATGTTATTCCAAATGTCAGAATTTTGTTTATTATTATGGCTGAGTAGTATTACATTGTTTACATACATACCACATTTTTTAATAATCCATTCATTCATTGATTGACATTTAGGTTGATTCCCTATCTTGGCTATTTTGAATAGCGCTGCAGTAAACATGGGAGCACAGACATCTCTTTGACATACTGATTTTATTTCCTTTCGATGTAAACCCAGTAGTTGGATTATTGTATCATATGGTAGTTCTATTTTTAGTATTTTGAGGAACTTACACACTGTTGTTCATAACGGCTATACTAATTTACATTCCCATTAACAGTGTATATAAAAGTTCTCTTTCCCCATATCCTCACTAGCATTTGTTGTCTTTTTATATTATGTGAAATAAAGCAAGTACAAAAGGACAAATACCACATTATCTCACTTATATGTGGAATATAAAGAAGTTGATCACACAGAAGTAGAGAGTAGAATAGTGGTCACCAGAGGTGGGGGAGATGGGGAGAGGTTGGTCAATGGGTACAAAATTCCAGTTAGATAGGAGAAATAATTTCTGGTGTCCTATTGCAAAGTAAGGGACTACAGTAAAGAATAATGTATTATATACTTCAAAATAGCTAGAAAAAAGGATTTTGAATTTTCTCACCACAAAGATATGACAAGTGTTAGAGGTGATGGATATGCTAATTACCTTGATTTGATGATTACACAATGTATACATGTATTGAAACATTACAGTTTCTTAAATGTACCATAAGTATGTATATGACTATAGGCATATATGTATACACATACACATACACATATATATGTATATACAAACACACACACGCAATTATTACATGTCAGTTGAAACCAAAATAAAACTTTAAAAGAAGAAAGCAAGCAAGCACCTGTATTTCTTAGTCTCTGTGGGAGGGGAGGAGTCTAACTTCAATAAGCACCAATTGCAAAAAATGATGTACTAATCACCTGGATCAACCTTTCCCCTGATGTCAGTTTTCCACTGTTCTTCCATTAGCTCACTTCTGTGATTGAAACTCTCTCACCTTTTGTTTTATCAGAGTTGAGTTCAATCTTTTTCCTTTATTGCAATAGTCTTGAATAAAGTCTTCATTTCCCATTTAACTTATCTGGTGCAATTTTTCATTTACAGATGCATATTGGATATCTAAATAGAGATATCAAGAAATGAAGATATGCATTTCCAGTTCCAGAGAGAAATTCACACTGGAAATATAAATTTAGGAATTTTAAAGTTAGTGGTCACATTTAAAGCTGCAGAATACAAAGAGATCACCTGTGTGAGAGAACTGAGTCCTGAAACATACCCGTGTTTAAAGATCTGGGAGGTGCAGAGGAATTATCAAAGGAGGCTGAGAAGGAGCAGCCAGTGAGGTGTGTAGAAAAACAAGGTTGGTATTATGAAGGTGAAGTAAAGAAGTTGTTTCAAGTAATAACGTGTGAATAACGTGTGTGTAAATGACACTATTTGGTTAAATTGGAAGTCTAATAAATGACCACTAGACAATATAATACAGAGGATTTTTGTGCCCTTGCGAAGAGCAGCCCCCATGGCACAGCAAGAACACAAGCCTGAACAGAGTGGGTCCAAGAGGGAATGGGAAGAGGAGAAAGAAAAACTGTGACTGCAAAAACTCTTCTCTGTAGAGGAGAAAAGTGGGACAGAGACTATGTGAAGGGATATAGAATCAAGGGAAGATTTCTTCAAGATAGTTTGTGTTTATATACTAATAGAAACAGACCACTAGTGAAAAAAATGATGATGCAAGAGACAAAGTAAGCCATAGCAAGAGCATTGGCCTTGAGTACACTGAAGTGGATGGATTTAGTACTTAAATAGGTGGGTTTGCCTTGATATTCAGGTAAGGTATATGGATAATGATGTTGCTCTATACAGTGGTGGAAGCATGCAAGAATCTTCCTCTAGTTACTTCTACTTCCTCAATCAAAGGCAATGGAAACATAAAATAAAATAATTTCCCATGGGACTGGATAAGTGAAAATGAAGAGGGATGACGGAGCCACACTAAGGCCCCCTTAATGAGTGTGGTTATGAAATTAATGTGATCACAGCAAACATGTTATGCCTTTTGCCACCATTTGTGATTAGCTGCTATATTTCAGGAGCAAGATAGGAAAAGAGTTAGTTCTAAACAGGATTAAGGTTGGCCATGTGGCAATGATAGAAGGAATATTTTAATATTAGGCCATAGAAGCTAAGGAAAGTAAGGAAGAGAGTGAGGGCTTCAGTGAGACTCATGGTGATAAATTGCTAGCAGAAACGACTGACTAGAAGTGGTGTGGTTTTTGTTGTTATTTCTGTTGTTGTTGTTCTGTTTTTTTTTTATTTTTACAAACAGGAAAAGAGTTTTAGGAATCAGAGTACTCAAAAGAGGATAGAAGAATAGTATGTCATAGAGAACAGATGTGTTTGATGGGGTGATAAAAACTGGAAATTTTGGATTGGATAAAATTGTTACTAATGAAGTTTAGCCATGACCATGGTTGAGGTGGAACAGAGGTAAGATCACCAAAGATGGGGGCAAGAAATGGAGAGGACATGTATTGAAAGAAACACATATGTGGATATTGATGTCACTGAAAAATATGAGATACGTATTTATGGAAAAGAAACAGTTGGGAACTAAAATCTCTAAGGAATTGTCAGGCGCAATCAAAGGCTTGTGGATGACTGAGTAAAGGAGAGTTACTGGGCAATAAACATATTGGGTAGCGTGACCTTCAAAGGAACTGAGAGTTTTAGGGAAAAGGGATAGATCATCCCATGTCAAAAGCAGGGCACTCATCCTATCTCCTGACACAGAGGTACAAGACATATTAAAGAGATATGGCGGACATTTCTTCTGAGGAGTAATAGATGGCTTTGAGCAGAGAGTTGTGTTATAGCTTAAAACACGGAGTTGTTTAATGCTCTGTGAAATGTTAAAATTTAATATGGCACTTTGAAAGTTAGTAAATACAGGAAATATCCAAGGAACTGGTTTTAAAATGCAAATGCTTCTTAGGTGATCCAGGTGAACACTATAAGTGATGTTGTGTTGATCATATGTAACACTGCTTTAGTGTGATAAGAATGACACTTCACTTCAGTGGTCTTTCTCCCAAAAATCCATAGCCCCACTCTAATCATGAGAAAAACATCAAACAAACCTTGACTGAGGGATATTTTATGAAATATCTGACCAGTGCTTCTCAAAACTGTCAAGGTCATGAAAAACAACAACGAGGTCCAATAAATTGTCATAGTAGAGAGATGCTAAAGAAAGCATAATGACTAAGTGCATGGTATTCTGGGTGGGGTCCTAAGAGAAAAAGGACAATGAGAAAAAAATAACTAAATAATTTAGAATAAAGTACAGAGTTTGCTTAATAACAGTGTATCAATACTGGTTCATTAGTTATGACAAATGTGCAATAGTAATGTAAAAGTTGACACTGGGGGAGACTGGGTCCAGTGTATATAGGAACTCTGTATTATCTTTGGAACTTTTCTGTAAATCTAAAGTTATTCTTCAAAATAGTCTGTTGCCATAAATGCAGATGCTTAGGTAATAGGACACAAGAACCAGCATTTTTAAAAACTGAGATATAGTTTAAATACAACGAAAGATTAAGATCTTATTTATTTGATCAGTTTTTGTGAATATATATTAAGACATAAAGTATCTTCATCACCCAAGAAAACTTCCTCATGCTCCTTTCCACTCAGTATCCCCCTTCCAGGAGTGACTGCTGATCTGATTTCTATCACCAAATTTAGTTTAGTGCATATTATTTATTAATTTTTTTCAGACAGAGTCTCACTCTGTTGCCCAGGCTGGAATGCAGTGGCCCAATCTCAGCTCACTGCAACCTCCACCTCCCAGGTTCAAGCAATTCTCCTGCCTCAGCCTCCCAAGTAGCTAAGATTACAGGCGCATGCCACCACGTCTGGCTGTTTTTGTATTTTTAGTAGAGATGGGATTTTGCCATGTTGGCCAGGCTGGTCTTGAACTCCTGGCCTCAGGTGATCCACCCACCTCGGCCTCCCAAAGTGCTGAGATTATAGGTGTGAGCCACCATGCCCAAACCAATTTAGTGCATATTATACAATCCCTTTATAGTTTCCTTAGGTGATCAAAGTGAACACTGTATTCCTATGAGGAAACTGATATAAATGGATCATATAAAATGTACTTCTTTTGCATCCAATTTCTTTCACTCAGCACAATATTTGTAAAATATTTATTTTATCAGTTGCTAATATAATTTATGGCTAAATAGACTTCCATTGTATAGACGTGCCAGTATTTAGTTACATATCATTTGGTTGGTGAATAATGATCATTTTTAATAACCACAGAAGTGATTATTTTACGTGGTATACAGATTTTATTTTGAGAAACATTGTTTTAAAAAGTGGATACTGACTCCATTATTTCTTAGTTAATAAACACTTCCAAGCATGAGAAGATAACTGAGTATCTAAGAACCTTAATACAGCTGCAAAATAATATGTCAAGATTATCTCACTAGTCAGGTAAAAAATAACAATAAAAAATTAACAATAGCCTAGTAATGAAAAGGCACAATGTATTAGAATGTCTATATAGACAACAGAAATAATTTGTAGTCTAAGAGAGCTCATTTGTCTTTAGTTCAAAATGGTTCTGATTTGTTTATCTGTCTTTAGGGACCAATGAGAACAAAATGAATACAGGCAGTGTGTTTCTGATGAGGCAGTACACATGTCTGGTGATAGTTGGGCAGTTTGGCCAATACAAGGTGATCTTTTGCGTTTGTGCAGCATTGTGTTTTAGACATAATATATACACTGTACTGTGTTTAAGGAATGTTGAGGGAAAGGAAATAGCCTGATAAATTGCAGGGAAGAAAAAAAAGACGAACAGTTGGAAAGAATACACATCTGAATTAGGAAGACAGGAAGAAACAAGGAGCTAAGGATGCAGGCTTGCTCTTCACAGCTCTCTGGAGTGCAGTAATTGAGACTGAGAGCACAAATGATATTCTGAATAGGAAAAGAAGTCTGCTACTGCAACTTACATTTGGAATGCAGACTACCATGGCAGTAAGCTGCTTCTGTTCCCATAGGAACCTGTATTCTCCAGCCCCAGTCTGACTAAGCATTTGGACCGTATCTTCCACAGCTTCATGAGAAATGCATGAGTAAATTAAAATCTGTTCCCACTCTTTCCATATCCAGTGGCTGCAATTTCTCCCTTCTGTGTATTTTCTCTTTTGCTCATTCTCATTATCTCTTTATTTTTTCCTCTTCTTTTGTTTGGATTCATCTTGTGTGTATTCTCTTAATTTTACGCTTTAACTTTCTCAATAATGTTTATAAATCCTATGTTGGCATTTAAATGAAAATCATATGTGGCATTTTAATGTAGATTTGGAAGAATTAGAAAGGTAAAAAACCCTAAGCCATCAGAGAGATGAGCCGAACAGCTTTAAGAGAACATCAACCTCACCCTGCAGTATAACTGGGTGAGTCTGAAATTGGGACAGCTAAAGAGTGAACCCAGTCCCTAGGGAAGACTCTAAATTCCTTCCCCTAAATTTCACATGGAAATGTGTTTATCAGAATCAGGCAGGGATGGCTAGCTTTACTTTCTGGAAAACCTATGATCTCATTTTATTAGCTGTTTAGATTGGCTGCAAAATGCCTCCAAGATTATTTGATGGTTTAGTGTTTGGCCTTGTTGCACCATAATAATTTGGTGGCCTCATGATTTCATTTAGAGCCTGATATTGTCAGTCATACCAGATTCAAGTGTAGTTCTTACACAGCTGGAAGTAAAAGTCTTCAAATATTGGCATTGGTATAGCCCATTGATATGATTTTCATTGTTGAGGGAATTAAGAATAATATGATGAAGAAGCATGAAGCAGGTCTAGAGTCAATGAAATTATTCAGCTCGATGAATTCTCACTTGTTGAATATAATGATTCTGCTGGCTGTGTGCACGTTGTTACTGTGGCAGTGAGCCTGTGAGGCTCAGGGTTTCTCAGTATCTGATCATATAATGACTGGAAGGTAGGCTACAAAAATGTTTCTTAGCTAGCTTCAGAGTTGGCTGTTTCCTTCAGCCTCTGTGCTGCATTTAGGTCATCTTACCTCCTTTGCTGCAGCTGGGAAGGGTATTGTTGTGAGGCCATATCTCATGCTTGAAATAAAAGAGTTGGGAGCCATTTTGTGTTGGGTTCAAATCTCTTTCTTCTATTACCTCTCCAACTGTCCTAGGGAAGTTATTTAATCTCTTTGAATCTCCCCTTCTTCATCCTTAAAGTAGGAGCTTACAATAATATATAAAAAGAGTACATAACATCTATGGAGTTGTTTTCATGATTGAATGAGTTATAATCTGTCAGTCACTTGGAACAGTCACAGAACATAGCAAGGCGTGCTATTTGTTAGCCATTAGTGGTTTTATTGCTTAATATTTTTTTCTTTATATCTCTTTCATCTTAGTCGGCAGGATGTCTTTGATTGGTGATTTTTGTCCTACTCAGAGTACAACTCATTAAAATAAAATAAACACTTGCAAACAAGGTACTCTTCTGAAGATTTACACATAGCTTACTGTAGCAGTCTGGTGTTGCTCATGGTAAAGGTGATGTTTACCAGCTTGCTCACTACAAGTTTTCATAGAATATCAATGTCATAGCCACCTTTTCACAGATATGTGAGCTATACCAGGAGAAGTAACACATATGGATCAAGGTTGCCCATTAAGTCATAAGAGCTCTTCTTATAGCTAACATTTTCAGTACTCTCAGGGCAAGACTTTAGACTGAGGCATTAAGAACCTATCTTGGGCTGGACACGGTGGCTCACTCCTGTAATCCCAGCACTTTGGGCAGCCAAGGCGGGTGGATCACCTGAGGTCAGGAGTTCGAGACCAGCCTGGCCCAGATGGTGAAACCCTATCTATCTCTACTGAAAATACAAAAATTAGCCAGGCGTGGTGGCAGGTGCCCATAATCCCAGCTACTCAAGAGGCTGAGGCAAGAGAATCGCTTGAACCCAGGAGGTGGAGATTGCAGTGAGCTGAGATCACACCATTGCCCTCCAGCCTGGATGACAAGAGCAAAACTCTGTCTCAAAAAAAAAAAAAAAAAAAAAAAGAACCTATCTTGGTAAAAATTACACTAAAATAAAAGAGCTCATTTGTTTGGATGGGGTTCTTATGGCCAAATTTTGTATTTTATTTCTGATACTGTCATTATAATGACAACGAAGGGGATCAATTCATTATTAATTTTTCTATTTATTTGTGTATTTGTCAGCTTGGGCTGTCATAAAAAACACTATAGACTGGGTGGCTTAAACAACAGAAATTTATTTCTCACAGTCACAGTCCTGAGGGCTTAAAAGTCCAAGATCAAGAGGCCCGCCGATTTGGTTCCCCAGTGAAACTGCTCTTCTTGGCTTGAAAATTGCTGCTTTTTCATGGTATTTCATGGTATCATAAAGTGGAGAAAGGGAGAGAAAGAGAGAGAAAGGGAGGAAGCAAACTCTCTGTTGTCTACTCTTAGAAGGGCAGTAATCTCACCATGAGGCCCCCTGCCCTCATGACCTCATCTAAACCTAATTATTTTACAAAGACCCCATCTCCAAATACCATCACATTGGGAGTTAGGACTTCAACAAATGACATTGGTGGCAGGGTATAACTCAGTCCATAGCAGTTTGTTTAGTTATTGGTAAGAAACAGCAATAATTTGTGACAGTTCTTTATAAGGAAAAAATATAGTGGAGCTTGAAATTTAAAAGGATCCTGTTTTTTAGCCTGAAAATATGTGATAAAATATAAGCATCAATCTTACTGAGAAGGTTTAGTATAAACTCAGTATGATTGGAATGCAAAAACTCCCAAAAGGTTCTCGTTAGAGGACAGACTCATAAGGTCTGCCACTCCTCATCAGACACGTGTTGTCAAAGAATATTGAGATACACATGTGTAAAAGTTAGCAGATTCTCAGAAGATATTATAAACTGTAAGTTCCTTGAACTTTTTCTGTCTTTCTTAGAGCTAGTCAAATGCTAGAATCTGAAATTACCAATTTGGGGGTCACACATTTCTTTGGGTTAATATTATGCCTCCCTAAATGTTCTTTTTAAGTGGAAATATATTCCCTTGAAGGCAGGACATAGTAACACCTAACCATAGGAAAATTTTCCTGGCCAAGAGTGAATAGGAGAGAAAGCAACCTGGGGAATGGGACACAGAATTTCTAAGTATAGGTGTGGAAGGAGAAGAGAGGGGTCAGGGACACAGCCCTGGGGTATCCCATTATAATCCTGTGGAAGGCGAGGAATAGAATGAATAGAATGAGATCACCTAGGTACAGAGTGGTGTCTAAAGGATAATAAAGACCACTTACTGGTATATTTGCTTTGTTAATGTTTCATATACAAAAATAACCTAATGACCACCTGTTTTTCAGTTCCAGGTAATCATCATAATATACTAACTAACTCCATGACTTTCATTGTTTTTTTCAGATAAGCAAAAAGAAAAGCAAGAGATATGGAACTGAACTTCCCTTTGGCAAAAAATTTAGAAAATGATAATGAGGTGAGGAGAGACCTTAACACAGAAAATTATATACTCTGGGGTTACTGAAACACAATTTACTACCACGATATTATACTATATAAGAGAAGAACTGATGTGGAACTATATGGATAAGAGTAGTATTGAATGGTTTTATCATAAAAAATATTTTTTCATACCTAGTCCCACAGACATAAAAAATATTTTTTAGCTTATTCTTCTACTAAGACTCAAAGCAAAGTAAATGGAATATAAATCTCTCTTTTCCCCCCTTATTTACCTTAAGACATCTGGGAGTCATTCTTCAACATATAAAAAATATTTATAAGGCCAGTACCTTGAGAACATCAAAATTTTTAAAAACACGTATGAATTTACATAGTCAATAATAAGATTTGTCAAGAGCCCTGAGTGAAAGGAAATGGTGAATTAGCCTGGCGAATTAATCTGCTCATCAGTGTAGGAGTTATTACATAAAAGTGGAAACTTGGGTTATGATATTTTCTTTACATTTACCTGATGGATCTATGATCTTTAGACAGGCATGAACAGATGGTATTTTATGATCCAGAAGGAAATGATATTTTGTTTTTCTAAAGTCAGTTATTCACAGAGATAAATACTGAGTATACCTCAAACTTATATGGTTTTAAGTATAAAATCACAGATGAGTTATATAATACCCAGTTTCCGTGCACATTTGCTGAAAACATCTATCTTTCTATGTATTTTCTGTTCACAATATTTGTCAGAACTTCAGTGTATTTAAGCTGGGTACTATGTTTTTTGCCAAAACAAACCATATGAAGACACACCCTTTGGTAGGAACCCCGATATTTGGTATGCATTAAGCATTATTGTTGTTATGTTTATAATTTACCATGTATTTTCTGGTAATTAAAGATGGCATTTTATTTAATATGGCTAAGGTTATAGTTGTAAGAACTAGCTAAAATATATTCAAATCCTTTTAAAGCTCTGTGTTAGTCTGTTCTTGCACTGCTATAAAGAAATACCTGAGACTAGTAATTTATAAGGAAAAGAGGTTTAATTGGCTTATGGTTCTTCGGGCTGTACAAGAATCATGGCTAGGGACACCTCAGAAAATTTTCAATCATGGCAAAAGGTGAAGGGGAAGCAGGCAGGTCTTACTTGACTGAGCAGGAAGAAGAGGCGAGGGGTGCTACACGCTTTTAAACAACTAGGCATTGTGACAACTCACTCTCACGAGAACAGAGCCAAAAGGGAAATCCACCCCCATGATCCAATTATTTCCCACCAGACCCCACCTCCAACACTGGGGACTTCAGCTGGACATGAGATTTGGGCAGGGACACAGACCCAAACCATGTCAAGCTTCCTTTGTTCAAGCAGAGAATACTTAGAGGTAAACAGATTCAGAGGACCTAAAATATATTAAGAAGGATAGAAATTATATACTATTTATTCTTTTTGTGAATTTCAAGGACCAGGTTTTTCTTAGAGAGGAACTCCTGTGATTTAGGTTCACTTTAAATTCTTTTCTTTTCTTTTTTTTTTTTTTTTTGAGACGGAGTCTCGCTCTGTCACCCAGGCTAGAGTGCAGTGGCACGATCTCGGCTCACTGCAACCTCCGCCTCCCAGGTTCAAGGAATTCTCCTGCCTCAGCCTCCCGAGTAGCTGGGACTACAGGCGCCTGCCACCATGCCCGGCTAATTTTTAGTAGAGACGGGGTTTCACCCTCTTGGACAGGCTGGTCTCGAACTCCTGACCTTGTGATCCACCCGCCTCAGCCTCCCAAAGTGCTGGGATTACAGGCGTGAGCCACCGTGCCCGGCCAGTTCACTTTAAATTCTGAGCAGTACAAATGGTGTTTTTTAATAATGATTATCAATCTGTAAGTTTTGTTTTCCAGTAAAAGGGAGGGCCTAAATAATCACAACTCAGTTAGTTAATTTATAATTAATACTTCACCTAAAAAGAAAATGGGCTTATTGTGTGAAAAATAATAACAGTGAAATGCTCATATGAAATTTTATTGTAAAACTGTTTCATAATTAGAGTTTTATCAGATGTTATATTGTAGCATTAGCAAACTGGAACATGCAGTACTAAATATCAGCTGTAAGGGTTTTGGTAACTTCCTAAACTCTTTATAATTAATGACTCTTAAAAATGTTTGTAGTGTTATTTTTATTATGTCACCAAGTCATTAATATTTCAACATGGTAATAATCCAACTAAATGTAATTTTCCAGTTAAAACCACAGTAACCAAGGTGCCTTTTCAGTTAATAACAACATTGCCCAATATAAAAAAAATACTTCCTGAGAATTCCTGTAAAGCAGGATTTCTCAACCATGACACTATTGACACTTTGGGGCAAATAATTCTTTGCTGTGTGAGCTGTCCTGTGATTGCAGGATGTTTAGTAACATCTTTGGCATCTACCCGCTAAATGCCAATAGCACCTCCTTTCAGTTGTGACAACCAGAAATGTGTCCAGATGTTGTTAAGTGACCCATGGCTTGGTTGAAAATCAATGCGGTAAGAGCATAAACGTACCCAATTCTTAGGTGGCAAATAGTATACCCTTTGGTGGTTGAGTTAGCCTAAGAGTAAACCTAACTTTGTGGTCCTGAGTCACTCTTCCTTTTAAGTCATATCATCTTATCTAACTCATTCTAAATCTAGCCTATTTCTTCAACGTGCCCCATTTCTCAGCATTACTAATTTTGATGATTGAGTGCTTAAATGGATTTATAATTCAGACTGGCTCTGTCATTTGCTATAGGTGCACTTTACAAAAATACCACAATTTAAATGACTTTTTTTGTAAGCATTACAAAGGGTAACAGAGACTGCATGTTTACAACAACCATACAAATATATTTTAAAATGGTGTTTCTATTCATATCTCTGGGGTCTGTATCAATAAATAGGTATATTATTAGAAGTCACAAGGAAAATTAAGAAACACCAGAGAATGAATTGGCTCAGCCATGCTTATATCTTCTTGGCATACTGGGCTATTATCTTTCTGAATCTCCTTCACTGCCCCACTTTTTATTTAGTCTGACTCATTTTCTCAGGGATGAATTTATTAAAACAAAAACACACAGGCCTTTCAAATTTTGCTGAAGCTTCATTACAGTGGAGATAGGATCTAGAGCATCTGATGACAGAATCTCTTGCTCTCTCTCTCTTTCCCTCTCTGACACACACACACACACACACACACACACGCACACAATTTCCTGTGATACTAGAAAGCAATGATATATAAAATTTAAAAGTTAGAAAAACTATTTAGGTATTTTTAATGACGAAGAAGAAATATGAAATTCATTTTTTATTAGCACCAACCAGATGTGAGTATACATAAAATAGACAAATTGAGGAATAAAGTACTCCCAAAGGTAAACTGTATTGAAACCCATTATTCTCTGCATTCTCATTTGTTTTAAAAAAATGTATATATATATTAAAAACTTTACACTGTGTGATTTTAAAATACTGGATTCTAAAGTTAGCATTTATGGGGTATATACGAGTTGTGAAAATTTTCTTGATGACAGTTATTACAGGCACCTGTAATCCCAGCTACTCGAGGGGCTGAGGCAGGAGAATTGCTTGAACATGGGTGGCAGAGGTTGCAGTAAGCCAAGGCTGTACCACTGCACTCCAGCCTGGGTGACAGAGTGAGACTCCATCTCAGTTAAAAAAAATAAAAGCAAGGCTTGGGAAAGATACAGAACACTTTTGAAAGCCCTCAATAACATTACTTATCTGAGAAGTGCTCTCATTGTGCACTATCTACTATATCTTTCTGATTAATTCCCTTTGGTCATCACACATAAATCTGACTAGTATGTGCAACTGGTTACAGGTTAAAATTATCTTTGCAGGCTTCCTACCATTTAATTCTCAAAACAACTATATTTTGTGTAAAAGCAAACTCCCTTAGAGAGGCTAAGTTACTTAGTTTGCTAGTAACTGGTAATGGCAGGATTTGAACACAAATGCTCTGAACACCAAATCTCCATCTCACTTGTGTTTTTCCCTAGTCATCAATCTTATAAGAACTGTGTATTAGGCCATTCTCACATTGCTATAAAGAAATATCCGAGACTGGGTAATTTATAAAGAAAAGAGATTTAACTGGCTCAGGATTCTGCAGGCTTTACAGGAAGCATGGTGCTGGCATCTGCTCACCGTCTAGAAAGGCCTCAGGAAGCTTACAGTCATGGCAAAAGGCAGAGGGGGAGCAGGCGTGTCACTTGGCAAAAGCAGGAGCAAGAAAGCGATTGGGGTGGGGAGGTGCCACATACTTCTAAAGGAACACATCTGATGAGAACTCACTATCACAAAGACAGCACCAAGCTACGAGGGATCCACCCCCATAATCTAAATACCTCCCTCCAGACCACACCTACAGCACTGGAGAATCTAATTTAACATGAGATTTGGATGGGGTCATGTATTTGAACTGTATCATTTCACCCCGGCCCCCTTCAAATCTTATGTCCTCACATTTCAAAATATAATAATCTCTTCTCAGTAGTCCCCCCAAAATCTTAACTCATTCCAGCATTAATCCAAAAGTCCCAAGTTCCAAATCCACAGTATTATCTGGAAATGAGTTTCTTTTACCTATGAGCTGTAAAAATAAATAAATAAATAAATAATAAGTTAGTTGCTTCCAAGATACAGTGGGAGTTCAGGCATTGGGTAAACATTCCTGTTCCAAAAGACAGAAGTCATCAAAAAGAAAGGGGCTACATGCCCCATACAAGTTCAAAACCCCATGGGGCAGTCATTAAGTCTTAAAGCTCCAAAGTCATCTCCATTGACTACATGTCCCCCATCCAGGGAAAATGGGTGCAGAAGGTGGGCTCTCAAGGCCTTAGGCAGCTCCACCTGTGGCTTTTCAGAGTGCATACCCCAAGGCTGCTCTTACAGGCTGGAGTTGAGTGACTGCCCCTTTACTACATGCAGAGTGCAAGCTACTGGTATATCTACCATTCTCAGGTCTGGAGGATGGTGGCCTTCTTCCCACAGTTTCACTAGGCAATGCCCCAGTGGGGACTCTGTGTGAGGCCTCCAACTCCACATTTCTCCTCCACACTCCCTTAGTAGAGGCTCTCTGTGAGGGGCTCCATCACAACAGCAGGCTTCTGCCTGGACACAGAGACTTTCTCATATATCCTCTGAAATCTAGGCTGAGGCTACCAAGGCTCAACTCTTACACTCTGTGTACCTGAAAACTTAACTTTACATAGAAGCTGCCTAAGCTTACAGCATGCACCCTCTGGAGCTATGGACCAAGCTATACCTGGGCCCGTTTGAGCCAAGGCTGGATCTGGAACAGCCAGGATGTAGGGAACATTGTCCTGAGACTGTGCAGGGAAGCAAGGCCCTAGGCCTGTCCCACAAAACCATTCTTCCCTCCTAGGCATTCAGGACTGTGATGAGAGGGGCTGCTGCAAAGGTCTCTGAAATGCCTTCAAGGCCTTTTTCCTATCATCTTGGCTATCAGCACTTGGCTCCCTTTTAGTTATGCAACTTTCTCTAGCAAATGGTTGCTCCAGTAAAAGCTTTTTCTTTCTCTGCCACATGACCAGGCTGTAAATTTTCTAAACTTTTATGCTCTGCTTCCCTTTTAAATATAAGTTTCAACTTTAAGTTATTTATTTGTACCCTCATCTGAAGTTAGGTTGTTAGAAGCAACCAAGTCACATTGAAATGTTTTGGTTCTTAGAATTTTTTTCCACCAGATACCCTAAATTATCTGTGAAGTTTAAATTCTCACAGATCCCTAGGAAATGAACACAATGAGCCAAGCATTCTTGGGAAACACAAGTGCAATGGGGATTTGGTATCCAGAAGATTTGTGTTCAAATCCTGCCATTATCAGTTACTAGAAAACTACGTACCTTAGCCTCTCTAAGATAGTTTATTCTTACATAAAATATGGTTGTTTTGAGAATTAATGGTAAGAAGCATGTGAAGATAATTTTAAACTGTAACCCACCGCACACACTAGTAAGTTTTATGTGTGGCAACCAAAGGGAATTAGTCGGACATAGAATACAGTGCATAATAAGAGTACTTCTCTGGGGGGTCCTTTCCAAGATGGCCAAACAGGAACAGCTTTGGTCTGCGGCTCCCAACATGATCAATGCAGAAGACAGGTGATTTCTGCATTTCTAACTGAGGTACCTGATTCATTTCATTGGGACTGGTTGGACAGTGGGTGCAGCCCACAGAGGGCAAGCCAAAGCAGGGCGAGGCATCACCTCACCCAGGAAGTCCAAGGGTTTGAGGGATTTCCCTTTCCTAGCCAAGGGAATCCATGACAGACTGTACCTGGAAAATCGGGACATTGCCACCCCAATACTGTGCTTTTCCAACAGTCTTAGCAAATGGCACACCAGGAGAGTATATCCCGTGCCTGGCTTAGTGGGTCCCATGCCCACGAGCCTTGCTCAAGGCTAGCGTGGCAGTCTGAGATCAAATTGCAAGGCAGCAGCCTGGCTGGGGGAAGGGTGTCCGCCATAGCTGAGGCTTAAGTAGGTAAACAAAGTGGCCTGGAAGCTTGAACAGGGCGGAGCCCACTGCAGCTCAAGGAGGCCTGCCTGCCTTTGTAGACTCCACCTCTGGGGGCAGGGCATAGCTGAACAAAAGGCAGCAGAAACTTCTACAGACTTAAACGTCCCTGTCTGATAGCTCTGAAGAGAGCAGTGGTTCTCCCAGCATGGTGTTTGAGCTCTGAGAACGGACAGACTGCTTCCTTAAGTGGGTCCCTAACCCCTGTGTAGCCTAACTGGGAGACACCTCCCAGTAGGGGCTGACTGACAGCTCATAAAGCCGGGTGCCCCTCTGAGACAAAGCTTCCAGAGGAAGGATCAGGCAGCAATATTTGCTGTGCTGTTCTGCAGCCTCCGCTGGTAGTACCCAGGCAAACAGGGTCTGGAGTGGACCTCCAGCAAACTCCAACAGACCTGCAGCTGAGGGACCTGACTATTAGAAGTAAAACTAACAAACAGAAAGGAATAGTATCAACATCAACAGAAAGGACATCCACACCAAAACTCCAACTGTAGGTCACCATCATCAAACAGTAAAGGTAGATAAAACCACAAAGATGGGGACAAACCAGAGCAAAAAAGCTGAAAATTCTAAAAAGCAGAGTGCCTCTTCTGCTCCAGAGGATTGCAGCTCCTCGCCAGCAAAGGAACAAAGCTGGATGGAGAATGACTTTGATAAGTTGACAGAAGTAGGCTTCAGAAGATCAGCAATAACAAACTTCTCTGAGCTAAAGGAGGATGTTGGAACCCATAGCAAGAAAGCTACAAACCTTGAAAAATGATTAGACAAATGGCTAACTAGAATAAACAGTGTAGAGAAGAGCTTAAATGACCTGCTGGAGCTGAAAACCATGGCACGAGAACTACGTGACACATGCACAAACTTCAGTAGCCGATTCGATCAAGTGGAAGAAAGAGTATCAGTGACTGAAGATCAAATTAATGAAATGAAGCAAGAAGAGAAGTTTAGAGAAAAAAGAGTAAAAAAGAAATGAACAAAGCCTCCAAGAAATATGGGACTATGTGAAAAGACCAAATCATTTGATTGGTATACCTGAAAGTGACGGGGAGAAAGGAATCAAGTTGGAAAACACTCTGCAGGATATTATCCAGGAGAGCTTCCCCAATCTAGCAAGGCAGGCCAACATTCAAATTCAGGAAATACAGAGACCACCACAAAGATACTCCTTGAGAAGAGCAACCCCAACACACAAAACTGTCAGATTCACCAAGGTTGAAATGAAGGAAAAAATGTTAAGGGCGGCCAGAGAGAAAGATCAGGTTACCCACAACGGGAAGTCCATCAGACTAACAGCTGATCTCTCGGCAGAAACTCTACAAGCCAGAAGAGAGTGGGGGCCGATATTCAACATTCTCAAAGAAAAGAATTTTCCACCCAGAATTTCACATCCAGCCAAACTAAGCTTCATAAGTGAAGGAGAAATAAAATCCTTTACAGACAAGCAAATGCTGAGAGATTTTGTCACCACCAGGCCTGCCTTACTAGAGCTCCTGAAGGAAGCACTAAACATGAAAAGGAACAACTGGTACCAGCCACTGCAATAACATGCCAAATTGTAAAGACCATCGATGCTAGGAAGAAACTGCATCAACTAACGGGCAAAACAACCAGCTAACATCATAATGACAGGAACAAATTCACACATAACAGTATTAACTTTAAATGTAAATGGGCTAAATGCCCCAATTAAAAGACACAGACTGGCAAATTGGATAAAGATTCAAGACCCATCAGTGTGCTGTATGCAGGAGACCCATGTCACATGCAGACACACATAGGCTGAAATTAAAGAGATGGAGGAAGATCTATGAAGCAAATGGAAAGCAAAAAAAAGCAGGGGTTGCAATCCTAGTCTCTGATAAAACAGACTTTAAACCAACAAAGATCAAAGAAGGCCATTACATAATGGTAAAGGGATCAATTCAACAAGAAGAACTAATTATGCTAAATATATATGCACCCAATACAGGAGTACCCAGATTCATAAAGCAAGTCCTTAGAGACCTATGAAGAGACTTAGACTCCCACACAATAATAATGGGAGACTTTAACACCCCACTGTAAATATTAGATCAACAAGACAGAAGGTTAATAAGGATATCCAGGACTTGAACTCAGCTCTGCACCAACCATACCTAATAGACATCTACAGAACTCTCCACCCCAAATCAACAGAATATACATTCTTCTCAGCACCACATCACACTTATTCCAAAATTGACCGCATAGTTGGAAGTAAAGCACTCCTCAGCAAATGTAAAAGAACAGAAATCACAACAAACTGTCTCTCAGACCACAGTGCAAACAAATTAAACTCAGGATTAACAAACTCACTCAAAACTGCACAACGACATGAAAATTGAACAACCTCCTCCTGAATGACTACTGGGCAAATAATGAAGTCAAGGCAGAAATAAAGATGTTCTTTGAAACCAATGAGAACAAAGACACAACATACCAGAATCTCTGGGACACATTCAAACAGTGTGTAGAGGGAAATTTATAGCACTAAACGCCCACAAGAGAAAGCAGGAAAGATCTAAAACTGACACCCTAACATCACAATTAAAAGAACTAGAGAAGCAAGAGCAAACACGTTCAAAAGCTAGCAGAAGGCAAGAAATAACTAAGATCAGAGCACAACTGAAGGAAATAGAGACACAAAAAACCAATGAATCAAGAGCTGGTTTTTTGAAAAGATCAACAAAATTGATAGACTGCTAGCAAGACTAATAAAGAAGAAAAGAGAGAAGAATCAAATAGACGCAATAAAAAATGACAAAGGGGATATCACCACTGATCCCACAGAAATATGAACTATCATCAGAGAATACTAAAAACACCTCTATGCAAATAAACTAGAAAATCTAGAAGAAATGGATAAATTCCTGGACACATACACCCTCCCAAGACTAAACCAGGAAGAAGTTGAATCCCTGCATAGGCCAATAACAGGCTCTGAAATTGAGGCAATAATTAATAGCTTACCAACCAAAAAAAGTCTAGGGCCAGTCAGATTCACAGCCGAATTCTACCAGAGGTACAACAAGGAGCTGGTACCATTCCTTCTGAAACTATTCCAATCAATAGAAAAAGAGGGAATCCTCCCTAACTCATTTTATGAGGCCAGCATCATCCTGATAACAAAGCCTGGCAGAGACACAACAAAAAAAGAGAATTTTAGACCAATATCCCTGAAGAATATCAATATAAAAATCCTCAGTAAAATACTGGCAAACCAAATCCAGCAGCACATCAAAAAGCTTATCCACCACGATCAAGTTGGCTTCATCCCTGGAATGCAAGGCTGGTTCAACATATGCAAATCAATAAACGTGATCCATCACATAAACACAACCAATGACAAAAACCACATGATTATTTCAATAGATGCTGAAAAGGCCTTCGACAAAATTCAACAGCGCTTCATGCTAAAAACTCCCAATAAACTAGGTATTGATGGAACATATCTCAAAATAATAAGAGCTATTTATGACAAACTCACAGCTAATATCATACTGAATGGGAAAAAACTGGAAGCATTCCCTTTGAAAACTGGCACAAGACAGGGATGCCCTCTCTCACCAATCCTATTCAAGATAGTATTGGAAGTTCTAGCCAGGGCAATCAGGCAAGAGAAAGAAATAAAGGGTATTCAATTAGGAAAAGAGGAAGTCAAATTGTCCCTGTTTGCAGATGACATGATTGTATATTTAGAAAACCCCATTGTCTCAGCCCAGAATCTCCTTAAGCTGATAAGCAACTTCAGCAAAGTCTCAGGATACAAAATCAATGTGCAAAAATCACAAGCATTCCTATACACCAATAACAGACAAACAGCCAAATCATGAGTGAACTCCCATTCACAATTGCTACAAAGAGGATAACATAACTCGCAATCCGGCTTACAAAGGATGTGAAGGACCTCTTCAAGGAGAACTACAAACCACTGCTTAATTAAATAAAAGAGGATACAAACAAATGGAAGAACATTCCATGCCCATGGATAGGAAGAATCAATATTGTGAAAATGGCCATACTGCCCAAGGTAATTTATAGATTCAATGCCATCCCCATCAAGCTACCAATGACTTTCTTGACGGAATTGGAAGAAACTACTTTAAAGTTCATATGGAACCAAAAAGCTTGCATTGCCAAGACAATCCTAAGCGAAAAGTACAAAGCTGGAGGCATCATGCTACCTGACTTCAAACTATCCTACAAGGTTACAGTAACCAAAACAGCATGGTACTGGTACCAAAACAGAGAGATAGACCAATGGAACAGAACAGAGACCTCAGAAATAACACCACACATCTACAACCATCTGATCTTTGACAAACCTGACAAAAACAAGAAATGGGGAAAGGATTCCCTATTTAACAAATGGTGCTGGGAAAACTGGCTAGCCACATAAAGAAAGCTCAAACTGGATCCCTTCCTTACACCTTACACAAAAATTAATTCAAGATGGATTAAAGACTTAAATATGAGATCTAAAACCATAAAAACCCTAGAAGAAAACCTAGGCAATACCATTCAGGACATAGGCATGGGCAAGGACTGCATGACTAAAATACCAAAGCAATGGCAACAAAAGCCAAAATACACAAATGGGATCTAATTAAACTAAAGAGCTTCTGTACAGCAAAAGAAACTACCATCAGAGTGAACAGGCAACCTACAGAATGGGAGAAAATTTTTGCAATCTACCCACCTGACAAAGGGCTAATATTCAGAATCTACAATGAAATCAAACAAATTTCCATGAAAAAAATCAAACAACCCCATCAAAAAGTGGGCAAAGGATATGAACAGACACTTCTCAAAAGAAGACATTTATGCAGCCAGAAAACACATGAAAAAATGCTCATCATCACTGGTCATTAGAGAAATGCAAATCAAAACCACAATGAGATATGATCTCACACCTGTTAGAATGACGATCATTAAAAAGTCAGGAAACAACAGGTGCTGGAGAGGATGTGGAGAAACAGGAACGCTTTTACACTGTTGGTGGAAGTGTAAACTAGTTCAACCACTGTGAAAGACAGCATGTTGATTCCTCAAGGATCTAGAACTAGAAATACCATTTGACCCAGCAAACTCATTACTAGGTATATACCCAAAGGATTATAAATCATGCAACTATAAAGACACATGCACACGTATGTTTACTGCAACACCATTCACTATAGCGAAGACTTGGAACCAACCCAAATGTCCAACAATGACAGACTGGACTAAGAAAATGTGGCACATATACACCATGGAATACTATGCACCCATAAAAAAGGATGAGTTCATGCCCCTTGTAGGGACATGGATGAAGCTGGAAACAATCATTCTGAGCAAACTATCACAAGGAGAGAAAACCAAACACCGCATGTTCTCACTCATAGGTGGGAGTTGAACAATGAGAACACTTGGACACAGGGCAGGGAACATCACCCACTGGGGCCTGTTGTGGGGTGGGGGGATGTGGAAGGGATAGCATTAGGAGAAATACCTAATGTAAATGACGAGTTAATGGGTGCAGCAAACCAACGTGGCATACGTATACATATGTAACAAACCTGCAGGTTGTGCACATGTACCCTAGAACTTAAAGTATATACAAAAAAAAAAAAAAGAGTACTTCTCTGATAAATTATGTTATTGAAGGCTCTCAAAACTGTTCTGTTTATTTCTCCAGCCTTACCTTCTACTCTTCCATCATAGGTGTTGTACAACTAGTCACATCGATGTCTTTAAAGAATTCCGCAGAGTTTTCCTGTTGACTCAAACCCCTTGCATTTGCTTCTTCAGCTTGTTACCTAATTTCAGTCACTTCCACATTTTCAGGTATCTTCACAGCAATGCCCCACTTCTCGGTACAAATATTATGTATTAATTAGTTTGTTCATGCAATGCTGTAAAGAAAATACCTGAGACTGGGTAATTTATAAAGATATTTAATTGGTTCATGGTTCTGCAGGCTTTACTGCTGGCACTGTGCCAGCATCTGCTCAGCCTCTAGGGAGGCCTCAGGAAGCTTACAATCACAATCATGGTGGAATTTATTGAGAATTATGATTTAAAACTATAATGATGTACATATTGCTTTTTGATAGGCAAATATTTAAAAATATTGTTTAATAATGACCTCTGTTTTCTAGGATGTGGGCGTGTCACTTGGCAAAAGCAGGCGTAATGGACAAAGAGAGTGGGGGTGGGGAGGTGCCACACCCTTTTAAATGACCAAGAACTCACACACTATCACGAAGACAGCACCAAGCCATGAGAGATCCACCCCCAGGATCCAAACGCTTTCAACCATCCCCTGCCTTCAGCACTGGGGATTGTAATCCAACATGAGATTTGGGTGGAGACAAATACCAAAACTGTATCAAACTGAGAACTTTGGAGCCAGGGAAAGGAGAGAGCTTACCATTGCTGAGAGACAGAAAGATATCTATCTATCTATCGATAGATAGAAAGATATCTATCTATCGATAGAGAGATAGATAGATAGACAGATAGATACATAGATACAAACTATATATATGTCAACCATATATATATCAACTATATATATATCTTTATATATATATAGAGGGAGAGAGAGAAGAAACATAAATATTTGAGCAAGTTTTTCTCATAGATGTGTCATTACTAAACTTTTATTCCTTGGTTAGGAAATGGAGCTGATCCATAATGCACAGTTGAGATTCTAAATTTCATGTTAAAAAATTAGCTATAATAAATGAAATGAGAGGACTAAATATATTATAAAGTTATATTAATATACATGAATTAGTTACACAAGTTAAGACAGTTTATTACCAATGAATGAACAAATTAAATGGAACCAAATAAAAACTGAAGAGAGAGTTCTGAAAATATCAAAATTTAGTATATGATAAACAAAATATTTCAAATCAGTTGGAAATATTGAATTTAATGAGTATTGGGAAAACCAGATATTCATTCTGGGAAAGAAGAAAAAATCAGATAAATTAGATTAGCTTTTCACATCTTAGACACTGGTTATTTAAAAATGAATTAGAGATTTAACTATAAAAAAGGTAAATAGAAGTGTTTTTAAAATGGAAAATAATTGTTTTATAATTTTGCATAAGAAAGACCTTTCTAGATATTACACATAACCTGGAAGTCATATTAAAGAAACATTTTAACAAATTCAACTACCAAGCGTGCACACATGTACACAGACACACATGTGAAATCTTCTTTCACAGAAAAATGCATCATGAAGAAATACAAACAAAGAGAAAACAGTTTAAAAGTATTTACAATGAATATTAGACAAAAAGCTAATTTCTGTCTCATAGAAAGGGGCACTACACTTGATAAGGAAAATGATCAACAACCCAAAGAAGATATAAATATTTTATAAACATAAAATAGGAGTGGCTCTTAAGTATGTGAAAATATTCCTAGCTGCTCTCATAATAAGATAATTATGATTTAAACCTATATTGAGATACATATTACCTTTTGATAGGCAAATACTTAAAAATACTATTTGATCGTGAACTCTGTTTTCTAGGATGTGGGGAAACAACTTTCATAGAAATGTAACTTTTTACAACCACTGTGGAAAGTCATTTGGCAACACCTGTCAGAGTTATAAACACCTGCTCATTTAATTCTGGAATTTAACTTCTGAAATACATTATGTAGATAAACTTTGTGCATGCAAAACGACTTGGATGTAAAGTTCCTCACTGCAGTTTTATGTAAAAAAGCCAAAGATAGGAAATAATCCCATGTCCATCAAGATGGGACATGGTTACACCATGTTGCATCCACTGCTAAAGAAAATAATGAGGAAGTTTTTTATGCACTGGCATAAATTAATTTCCATGTTTTTTGATAAAAGCATGTTCATGTGGGCACATATACACCCATACATACTTTTATACACGTATCGGTTTAATACACACAATTACTCTAGAAGTGTATGCAGACCACTGATAAGCTGTTGCCTCAGAGTGAAAAACTAGGTACTTGGGAGTGGGGGCAGCAGGAAGATTTTTACTGTAAATCCTGTTGCACCCTTGGGATTGTGCACCATGTGAATGCATTGCCTTTTAAATAGTAAATTCAGGAAAACACGGTAAGAAATTTGAAATTGAGTCTCACAAAATCTGAGCAGTTCTTTAGAATCCACCATTGCTAAGGTGACTGAGACAGCCTAGAGTCTACTTGGTAAAAATGGGATTTTGTTGATTCTTCTAGTCACTGTGAACTGCTATTAAAAATCATTAAGTTATATTATCTGATTCTGTTTGACTTAGTATGTTTTTGAGCCTTTTCTGTTTCTACCAGCATCTCAACTATTTCTGGTTCAATGTTTCTGATTCAAATGCTTTTGGAAAGACTCTAAGATTGGTCCAATTACTGCCATCATCTCTGCAAGTCACTTCTTTCATACCAGATAATTATTTGCCATTGTCAGTCTATACATTGACTCACCTTTGTTGGTGACCCATTCTTGGGCAATCGTTTATGGTCAGGTAGACTACAATTTCAGTTATATGCAGTAATAATTCTCAATAATGTCAATGTTATTGGCCCCACTTCTCCTGCCTGCCAGCATTTGTTTGCTGCCCCCACAAAAGACCTCAACAAAAATACCTAATCTCTATTTCAACTTCTCTTTTCAATTGCTATTAAATCCATTCCAATCAAGCTTTGGTCCTCTACTAATCTACTAATACTACTTATCTCAAGGTCACCACTGAACTTTGCTAAATTAGAAGAAAATGGTTCATCAACTTATCTGACCGCTTAGCTGTCTCACCAGCTACTTGACAGTCTAGAATTTAGAGGGGGAAATAGGCAGGAATGTCTTTGGGGACTCTCCAGTGTTTTAAATATATATATATATATATATATATATATATATATATATATAAATTTATATACTATATATACAGTATATATATATACTTATATATATTTATATACTATATATAGTATATATACTATATAAATTTATATAATATAAATTTTATTATAGACTTTATATATATGAACTGTATATAATAGATTTTAAGAAATAAAACTTTAAACAATACTTTTTAAAAAAAGTTTTAGAATATTAGTTTAAAGGCTGACTGCATCCAGGGATGCAATAAAATTTCCAATTACTTGTCTTTCAATCTCAGGTCTATTATTCTTTGTTTAAATCTACTGTTATATTGTCTCTTTTTTACTGTAATATGAATGCTTGTTACTCTAAGATTATTATCTCTTTTCAGCAGCTCAGCTTTCCTCTACTAAGAGGTTCAAAAAAGACCCAGAACTGAGCCTCATTGAGCTATGGTTTAGTCATAACCAAGGATGAACTAATTGCTCTAGTCAGAGGAATGTGTTACCCTGATTGCCAGGTCAGGTCATATACTCACCTTTGTAGTTACAGAAGGAAGCAGCTCCAGTAATACCACAAGAATTAGGAGAGATGGAGGGATGGTGTCTTAGTCTTCTTTGTGTTGCTACAACAGAATGCCATACGTGGGATAATTTACAAAGAAAATAAAATTTGCACAGTTCTGAGGCTGGAAAGTCCCACATCAAAGTGCTAGCATCTGATAAGGTTGTTTTTGCCACACCATCGCATGGCTGAAGGTGGAAGAGCGGGAGAGCACAAGATGAGGCAAGAGAGAAAGTGGGCCAGATTCATACTTTTCATTAGGATGATACAGAAAAGAGTTATCTTATTAATAATTCACTCCTGTGATAACTCCCAGCATAATGCCATTAATCTGTTCATGAGGGCAGAGACCTCATGAACTAATCACCAGTTAAAAGCCCTACCTCTCAGCACTGTTGCAATGGGGATTAGGTTTCCAACACATGGAAGCTGGGGGAAACATTCAAACCGTAGCATATCATTTTAAGAGGAGAATAAGGGTGCTGACACCAGAAGAAGAGTCGAATATTTTAACTACTGACAAATATATCTACTTTCCTTACATTTATTCAAAAAGTTACTAATGTATATTTTTGAACTTTTAAAACTCAGCTTAAATCATTTTTTAAAGGCAGTTTTCTACAATCCTACCAACTTTTTGTAAATAGATGTTCAGCTTTAAGGTTGCATTCTTCAGCCTTTAATATATATTAAAATATATATACATGTATATTTTTTGCTATATGATTTTTCAGATCTGCTAAATTGAAAAGGAAATGTCTGAATCATGGGGTGCCAGATGTCAAGGAAAAGCAGTAGAGCAATGTGTTCCCAAGTGCTACTGTCTGAATCAAAATGCAAGATATTAACTTGACTGGTCTTTTTAGAATGTATAATTGTGTTTTTATTTTATAAAAATTTCTAATTTTCAGGATAAATAGGCCTAGATTTCAATCAACTTAGATGGGAGTTGTTTGGATAAGTCCTCTTAATTGCTGGGAGGTACATTGACTATAAATCTCCAGCCTGTCTCATCCCAATAAACTCTACATCTGTGTGTTTTGATTGAAATTGGAATGAGAGCAAAGGGATGATCGTGATTGGAAAGATAAACTGCTAGAAGCGATTAACATTTATTATGATCATCTCTACACATTAGCCAACAGACATTTTTAGTAAAGTATAAATTGATGAATACACGAGCAGGCTGCCACAACTTAATGAAACATTTCATTTTTCTTTCCCCACTGGCTTTATGTTAATGCAGAGTGAATTGTCTGGCAGGAACATCTGTTTATCTCATGGACCCAGCCAAAGTAATCTCATGTGCAAATTTTACGCATTTTCTTCAGGAGGTCAGGTGAATAAGAATGTTTCTGAAAATGGTAACAAAACACCAGTAGCACCAGCATAAATCTATCCTGAGCCCTCTTGTGTTGCAGGCCTTGGAGATACAACAATGGTACAAGAGAACATATTCACGACCACAAGAAGCTGACAGACTAGGTATACTGAGGAAATAAAATTAAGACAGACTGAAGCCAAATCAGGGGAATCTTCAGGCTTGCTCCAGGAAATCATAGGATCAATTATTGGACCATCTACTACTCTGCCTTTCCATCCCCATGAAACACTGAGATGATTTATATGAATGAAATTGCTGGTGATTTTCCAGGTCCAACATGAGTTAGTTAGTAAATCTTACGCACCATGGCAGGTGGAGATGGAGAGATGATCCTTAGGCAGACCCAGGTTGACCCTAGAGTTAGAAAATATTATTTTTCCCCATGCACACACACACACACACACACACACACACACACACACACCACTAGACAATTCCTCATAACCTTGACATGAAAATGCCACAGAGTGAGTGGTAAAAATAGAAAAATGCCTGCTTTCTGTAGCTATAGAACATATGGGAAAATAAAATCCTTAAAATGACATTAGACGACAAACTTTTTGTGATACTATCTATATCCCCTCCAACAAACAGGACCCATTCTCCATCCCTCAGGTTGGAGGCTGGAACATTAGAAATTCCCAAAGGAAAATACTATATGGATAGAAGAATTGGCCATGGATTGGCAGAAAAAAAAAAGATCTTCTTTTTTATTATCACTCTTAAAACCTCTTAACATTGAAACATAGTGACTGACAGCCTCCTCAAACAAACTGCAAAAGTACAATAAAAATAACCTCTTGCATAAAACATTGCATGGTACACAGACTCCCTGAGGCTTCTCCAAGGAACCCAGTCTGAGAAACCCTACTCTAGACCTAGGGTGCTCCTCCTTCCTAGAAAGCAGAAGAGTAAAGAATGGTGAAATGGGCAGGTGAGGAAAATAAGTGGTATCAATTGTTAAACTTACATTGATTTTAAAGATAACATAGGAATTGCCAAAAGTTTTTAAATTCTAATATTTTCAAAGGCAGTATTCCAAGAGTTCTATCAGATGGAGAGTTTTACAAAGAAGTCAGCTTTTCCCTGCTTATTTATAAGTCTGTACCATCACATTTTTGTAACCCTCTTTGCTTAGGGGTCTATCTGTGTTTCTCCTGTTTCTCCTTTTCTGTGTGTGTGTGTGTGTGTGTGTGTATAAACAAATATTTTGTGTATAAATATATGTATGTGTATACATAGACATATACACAAATGTGTACATATACATGCATATATGTATGTATATGTATACGCATATATACACATGTGTATATACATACACGTGTATATATACACATATATACACGTGTGTATACATACACATGTGTATATATACACATACATACACATATATGTATATATACACATATACACCTCTGTGATATACACACCTCTGTCATACATGTATGTGTATATGTGTACATGTCTATATGTACACATATATGTACACATATAGGTATATTTATATATTTGGGTATATATACATATAAAAATATACATACATATTTATATATGTATGTATACATATAAACACACACACATATATAATATACGTACACAAAGCAATAATCTCTAGAGCACTAGAGCAATTGAAATATCTTTCAAACACATTGTCAGTATTGAAATTGGATCACTTAACATGATAGCCACTAGTAAACTTGAAGGTGGGATTTGCATTATAATTTTTATCATTAGATTTACAGCTTTAGCCCCCTTCCTTGGTTCTTCTATGGCCAAAGTTCCTAGAGGTGCTGACTTGATGAAGCCAAGCTAGAGCAAACTTACTCTTGAACACACTTTCTTCTAACATACCCAAATGCTCTTATTTATTATCCATCTTTATTTTTCAAAGTCGGTTCTCTCTTAGCAATGTCCCACATTTCCAATACTTCCTGGGTATTAGTATTGTAAATAATGCTAACAGGAACGTTCTACCTACTTAAAGGGGTGACACATCCTGAGGACAGGCCACACAATGGGTTGACACCTCTGCTAAGAAGGTGTGTTTGTCTAAAAGGCCTAGTGAAGTGTCTACCACCAAAGGGACAACTCTGGCTTTGCTGTTACACAAATATCAGTGATTCTCCTTCTGTTGATCTTACCAGCCACTGATGACACTGGAGCCTATGTGTAGATAGAATGCCATTTGCTCTAACTCCGTGGCATCTCATTAATTATTCATGGCAGGCATCATTGTAGTAATTCTCAAATAGACATTGAACTATGATGTGAGCAATATTTATGGCACCCAACTGAGGCAAAAAATTCCGTTATTAGCATATATTGATGCATTCAGTAATAGGTTGCTCAAAACTTATTGACTGACTGCCTAACACCTATAGAGACTAATGAAAAGCCAAAGGATATGATTACTGGCTTCTCTCTATTTACCTTTACTTTATGTCTCCCTATTTATTCCAACAATTAAAGCAAACAGGAGGGAGAGAGTTTGCTTGGACAAAACAATGTTATAGGGAATGTAGCTGATAAATCTTAACCTTCATCTCAGCAGAAGAGCACCCCAGGCAGCAGCTGGGTGTTTTTGCTTTTGCTGATTTTTAAAATAAATGAAAATGAACTGCAAGTTATAACAGGAAAGCCTGACCTACACAAATAATAAGACACCCCACTTAACCTGTGCAATCAATACAGCCTCACGCAGGAAAAGTGCTGGGGAAGCTGGCTAGACACCCAGGGTAAATCCAGGCAGAGTGAGTGTTCACAGCAAGGCAGCCCTAAACTTGTGTTTGTCTCTGCATTTCTCTCTGGTTTGTCCATGAATCCAAAAAGGCTTAATTGAGTTCCTTTTTTCCTCCCCTGAACACATAATTAGTATTTGTTCCGAGTCCTCTGTTATTATCTCCTATCCGGTTTCCCTCTGCCCATCTGAACCACATTAATTCTGAGACTTATCTTTTCTATTTTCCTTATAGAAAGAAAATGATCTCTATGTAAACCTGAACAATTCAGGTTTTCTAGGCCTCCTGTCCTTCCTTGGCAACTTAATAGTTTAATACATTAAATCTCTTTACTACATGTTTACTATATGCCTCGTGCCATGTTAAGCACTGGAGGACAAAAAGAAAAGCAGAAACAGTGGAAAAGGCATGATGTCTGTTTCCAAGGATTATGGTAAGGTGGGTACTAAGAAGTAAGGAAATTAACCGTGGTGGGGTATGGGATTCAGATAAGCTTTTGGGACACTTTGCAAGGCAAGAAAGGGACTATGAGGGAGCAGGTGGTCACCACTCCTCAAGAGAGTTGTGCTTGGCTCAGGGCCTACAGGCCACACTGCTGCTATGTTCCAGGAGAAGACCCCACCCCTTGACGGCTCTTTTGTTTTTAATGCACATGCTGACCCTGAGAATGCCTTATGATGTCTGACCTAGGCAACTGGTTGTCTGAGTTAAGGATCCTGCAGATCTTTAGGAAATTGCTGGGAAAGGCAAACTGCCCAAATATCACATGTCCCAAGGATGACTGGATGGTTGTAGCCCTCCCACTGGAGGGAAAAAGACTCATGTCTCATGCTTGTTGAGTCAGGGGATGGAATTCCTTGGGAACTGATCACAGACAACCCTGCTTTTCACTTTATAATGAATGTTCATGCATGCTCTAGGTTATGTCACAGAAGATGATCCTGGCTTCTGTGAAGACAAGTGAAAGTAAACATTGAAAATAGACAGGAAGGGAAAGGAGGGATTTAGCAATGACCCACCAAGCAGATGATGCTTTACAGTCAGGTGCTGTGGGAAATGTATTAACAACATCAGCGCTTATTTTTTTTTACATTGTTTTCATGTTTAAACTTTTTGAAATAAATAAGAAAATTTCATTATAGTCTAGGAAAATGAGGCTTGTAAAGATCAAGAGGACTTTCTGCATTCACACAGATGTATGAATAGAATATTCAAGTATATGACTCCAAGCCATGTTCCTTTGCTAGTAGATGCTTAATGCGGAGCACCATGAAATACACATTTCCAGTGCCCTGTGAGAGTCATATGATGCTTTCCATTGAGCCAAACTTTGCAACTAGGATGAGGACAGATAGGAAACTTAGAGACTATTTTTAATAACAAAATTCCAGTTGGTATTTAGAGGAAAATGTTGTTGCCTAAAACAGTTTCTGATACATAGGGTTAATTATCACTTATTTGATATTATAATAACTTAGAGTAATAATACAGATTTTATATTTACTTTTAAATGAAAGGGTGATTACTATGGCAAAATGGGAGAAGCCATGGGGTCTATGGCTCAACCTCAGATTTGTTATGTGACTTGTGAAAAATCTCTTAATATGTTTTAGATTTCTGTTTTTGAGAGAAGTGAGAATAGAAATACCCATTTCAATTTTTGTGGTCTGTGTTTTTCATGCTAGCAATGGGAACTCACTCTGAGAGACAGGATTAATACCTGTAGATAGATACACAAATTTTTTAATGTACTATGAACATACTGAACTACAGAAGTTTTAAAATATGTAATAATCTTGGCCCTTGAAAAAATGTTTATTCCAATTAGAGTCAAGATGAAAACAGAAACAGAAAACATCATTATCACTTCAGAGGAAGGAGATTGAGGTAGTTGGCTCAATACTTGAATTTTCCCTTAATATACAGATATAAGTCTAAGAGATAAGGAGGGCTACCTGACCAGAAAAGATGATTATAAGCCCTGTTCCTCACAGTCTGTTTTTAAATGTTATATGAACGATGTTACTGGGTTCAAATAAATTTGTTTCTTTTAGGTTTTCCTCTAGTAGTTTCATAGTTTTGGGTCTTACATTTAAGTCTTCAATCCATTTTGGGTTGCTTTCTTTTGTATATGGTGAGTCATAGGGGTCTAATTTCATTCTTCTGCCTGTAGCTATCTAAGTTTTCTCAGAACCATTTATTGAAGAGACTGCCTATTCCCCAATGTGTGTTCTTGGCACCTTTGTCAAAAATAAGTTGAGTGTAAATATGAGGATTTATTTTGGGGTTCTTTATTCTGCTCCATTGGCCTATATGTTTGTTTTTATGGCAGTATCATACTAGTTTGGTTAGTATAGCTTTGTGATATATTTTGAAGTCAGGCAGTGTGATACCTCAAGCTTTGCACTTTTTGCTCAAGACTGCTTTGGCTATTTGGCGTCCTGTGGTTCCATACAAATTTTAGGATTCTTTTATTTATTTCTGTGCAAAATATATTTTGTATTTTGATATGGATTGCATTAAATCTGTAGGTCAATTTGGTGGCTATAAGTTTGTCATACATGGCTGTGTTAAGGAATGTTCCATTTGTACCTAATGTGTTGAGGGTTTTTATCATGTAGGGGTGTTCAATTTTATCAAATGATTTTTATGTGTGTCTATTGAAGTGATCATATACTTTTTTTAACCTTGATTTTGTTAATGTGATGTACCATGTTTATTGGTTTGCATCCCTCAGATGATTGAGGCCTCCTTGCATCCCTCAGATGATTGAGGCCAGCATTGCCCTGATACCCAAACCAGACAAGGACACAATAAAAAAAGAAATCTATAGGCCAATATCTTTCATCAAGTTAGATGTGAAAATTTTTAACAAAATATTATCAATCCAAATTCTTTTTTTTTTTTTTTTGAGACGGAGTCTTGCTCTGTCGCCCAGGCTGGAGTACAGTGGTACGATCTCGCCTAACTGCAAGCTCCGCCTCCCAGGTTCACGCCATTCTCCTGCCTCAGCCTCCCTAGTAGCTGGGACGACAAGTGCCTGCCCCCATGCCTGGCTAATTTTTTTTTTTTTTTTTTTTTTTTTTTTTTGTATTTTTAGTAGAGACGGGGTTTCACCGTGTTAGCCAGGATGGTCTTGATCTTCTGACCTCGTGATCCGCCCACCTCAGCCTCCCAAAGTGCTGGGATTACAGGAATGAGACACTGTGCCCAGCTCATTTTTTAAATATAACTTTGCTAAATATAAGAATTTTGTAGTAGAATCCTTTGGGTATATAATATAAAATTCTTACATTTAGCAAAGCAAACTAACACAGGAACAGAAAACCAAACACCGTATGTTCTCACTCATAAGTGGGAGTTGAACAATGAGAACACATGGACACAGGGAGGGGAACATCACACACCGGGACCTGTTGGGGGGTGGGGGGCAAGGGGAGGGAGAGCATTAGGACAAATACCTAATGCATGCGGGGCTTAAGGCCTAGATGACGGGTTGATAGGTGCAGCAAACTACCATGGCACATGTACACCTATGTAACAAACCTGCACATTCTGCACATGTATCCCAGAACTTAAAGTAAAATAAAATAATAAAATAATTTTAGTTGGAATTTTCATTTTGCTTGTTTCTACTTTGAGCACTTTGATTATTCTACTATCTTTTGGCTTCGTTTTTTGTTTTTTGTTTTTGTTTTTTTTCTGATGAGAAATCAGCTATTAACCAAGTGTGATGGCTCACACTTGCAATCCTAGCATTTTAGGAGGCTAAGGTGGGAGGATTGCTTGAACCCAGGAGTTCAAGACCTGCTTGGGCAACACAGGGAGACTCTGTCTCCCCCAAAAATAGCTAGATATGGTGGCATGTGTCTGTGGTCGAGCTACTCAAGAGACTGAAGTGAGAAGGATCCCTTGAACATGAGAGACCAAGGCTGCAGTGAGCCTTCATCACAACATTGCACTGTGGCCTGAGTGAGAGAGCAAGACTTTGTCAAAAGAGAGAGAGAGAAGAAAAAAATAAAGAAAAGAAAAAAATCTGCTATTAATTTTGTTGGTATTCTAAGTAGTAAGTCATTTTTCTCTTGTTGCTTTCAATTTTCTCCTTGTCTGACTTTCACCATTTTTACTCTTATGTGTCTGTTTGTGAAGATCTTCATTTTTACCCTCCTTGGAATTTGTTGGGCTTCCTTGATATGTAGATTATTGGTTTTTTAATAGATTTAGGAAGTTTTCAGCCATTATTTTTTTAAATATATTTTCTTCTCTTTTCTCTCTCCTCCCTTTTGGTATCCTGTTACACGTAATGTTTCCTTAGAGGCTTTCTTTATTGTCTTTATTGTTCTTCATTCTTTTATTCTCTCTGTTTTTAGGCTCACATAATCTTTACTGAGCTCTCTTCAAGTTTGTTTTTCTGTGTGTTCACATCTATTGTTAAGCCCCTCTAGTGTATTTTTTCCCACTTACTGCATTTTTTAACTCTAACATTTTTATTTGACTCTTTTTATAATTCTTTATTTCATATTGATATTCTGTATTTGAGGTGGCATTGTGATCATACTTTTGTTTATTTAATACTGATTTATTTTAGATCTATGATCTTGTTTATAGTGTTTAATTTAAAGTCTTTTTCTGACAAATACAATTTTATGTGTGTGCTCTCACAGGGAGTTTGTTGCCTGCTTCTTTCTATAAACCTCTGGTGTATTGTTATACTTTCTTGTTTCTTTGCATTTTTTATACTTTTTTAATAAAAACTGGACATTTTAGAAAACATATTGTAGCATTTCTGGGTACTGTCCCTTCCTGCCATCTAGGGGCTTGTTATTATTTGCTTATTTATTTGTTTAGAGGCTGCAGGGTTATTTCAGTGAAATCTACCCATTCTTTCAGTGTTAAACCCTGATGTCACTTTTTAGGGAGACACAGCTTTGGGTATGCCCACGGTCACTCTGGGATGACAGTGGTTTTGGTAGAGCTTTGTTTTTCCCTTTCCCTTACTGGACCTATCTGTTCAACTTCATTAATTGCTGAATGATATCTCTATTTTTTATAACAATGCCCTAGAACATAAATTAGCATACAAATAAACCCTATAAAATTTTAGCTCCTTTGAAAAAAGTTATTGAGGTCATCTTTTATCTTTTTTTACTCCAAAGTGGCACCTCCCACCTACCTTATTCCCTGGTTCCATCTTGCAAACAACCAACTTACAGTTCAGAGAATATTTTTTCTCAGTTGGCTTCTACCATGGTCTCCACTGTTCTTTTTTTTTTTTTTTTTTTTGAGATGGAGACTCGCTGTGGCGCCCAGGCTGGAGTGCAGTGGTGCAATCTGGGCTCACTGCAAGCTCCGCCTCCCGGGTTCATGCTATTCTCCTGCCTCAGCCTCCCGAGTAGCTGGGACTACAGGCGCCCACCACCACGCCCGGCTAATTTTTTGTATTTTTAGTAGAGACGGGGTTTCACCGCGTTAGCGAGGATGGTCTCGATCTCCTGACCTCGTGATCCGCCCGCCTTGGCCTCCCAAATGCTGGGATTACAGGCGTGAGCCACCGCGCCCGGCTCCACTGTTCTTAAGAGTTCGTTCAAGCTTGAACTTCTCCAAAATATGTTGCAAGTGAAGTTAGTTCCTTTGGGAAGAAATTAGATGCTCTTTTATGGCTTGTTGGTAAACTTTTCTCTGAGTGATATCCCTACATATTGCTCTCACTCTAGAAGCTGAGTGTGTGGTGGTGGAAAACTGTACAGAGGTAGCCTAAGGTCCCCTTGGCTCACCCCTTCTGGTGCTGAAGCATGCCTCCTCACAAGCCAAGTCAAAGATGATTAGGGCCCCACCCCATATCCTCAGCATTCCACACCTAAAGCAAAACATATCTGTGGCATGGGTGGGAATTGGGCAGATGAAGGTGACCTCTACTTCTCAACCACACTCAGCCTCTGCAGTAGGTAGCTATGTGTAAGATAAGAAATACTGACATCTTACTCCTTCTAAAAAGAAAGCTCTCCAACTGGGAGCAAAGAAGCAGGGTGGGGAGTGGCTGGGGGAGCGGGTCCTGTGTTCTTGGTTTCAGTAATCTTTAGTGAAATCTCTACACCTTACCGATCTGGGAAGGGAAAAAAAGAGAGCAGTTTGGACTTAAATACTATAGACTCTTGCCTTTTTTTACTGCTTTTTATAGATTTTCTCAAATAGATACTATTTTATTTGCTATTCGTACGTAGTACCATTTCTCAAGGCTTCAAATGGTTGCTGTTTTTATCTGGAGCTCCTTACACTGTCATGCCAAAAGTCAATTTCTGTTATTCTAGAGCTGTGGTGAACACAGTTGGTTTATTCATTGTTATTGTCAAACTACTTATAGGTATATTTTAATATAATTTACAAAGTACAACATTTCTGGATGTCTTTTTAAAATCAACTCTGTGGATGTATACTTTATACACAACAAAATCTATCCAAGTTTACATTACCAAAATGTTTGACAAATTTATACACCAGTGTAACCATCAACCTAATCAAGATGTACATTTCCATCACTTCAAAGGATTCCTTGTGCCTCTTCCCAGATAAAACCATGCCACCCAACCTCCAGCTCCAGACAACTACTGATGTGCTGCCTTCATGTTGCAGATTAGATTTGTCTCAGGTGACCCTGGGAGATGCTTCTTCTTAATCCTTTTTTCCCTAAAATGATGTATAGCCTGAATATTATAATTCTGACTCTCTTCCAGCACCTCAAACCTTCAGTGAACTATCACAGGGACAACGGTTGTAACACAGATATGACTACAGAGCTACTGAGGCCACCCAGAGCTGATTGGTTTTTGCCTGTTCCAAGTTTGCTTTCTGTCTCTTCTTTCCTGTGAGGCTTCCCATATCTAGCCACATCCTTCTAACATGCTCCATTTTACCTTAATTTAGCCAATGTCTGTATCTATTGCTCTCAACAGAACCATAACTCTCATAAAAATGTAACTTTTTATAAAATTTTTATAAAGAAAACTTTATATAGAAATACAGTATCATTACTTATGAGTTGTTAAATTCTTCCAACTTAGACCAGAAACCAGAATTGGTTGATTTTTAAAACAATTGCATTGTTGTTACATGGAGTGGAAAAAGAATTATTAATTGGGAGTCTATGAACAGGCTAAAAATATATCTGCCACAGTGAACATCAATAATCAGTTAACAATTAAAGGGCAATTTAAAACCCAAGCAGAGAATGCTAGTGAATAACTTAAATATTGAACAAAATCCAGAATTATAAAAAGAAGCTATAAAAATACAAAGCATTTAGACATTGTGTCTCGTGATTTGACTTTGTTGATTAACATGTGGGAAGCAATGGCAATAGTCGTTAATATTTTTTCATCATTCCATTTTCTGCATGAAAAATTTAAGTGTCAGTTTACAGTCATCAATCTATTGCCACTGTACTTTGTACCTTGTAGGTATAAGCAAAGCTAATTTAGAAAGGAAACCATTGTTCTCCTGAGAGTTTTATTTTAACAAAGGTTAGATAAAAGTATTTTTTTAATCATTGTCTTCTGCCCAGACCCTTGGCTTCAGACTTGTGCAGTCATTCACCTTCAAATCTCCATCACAGCTCTGCTGAGTCTGCACTCAACTAAGCTGAGAAATAAGCAGCTTTGACATTTAGGGGCCCAAGGCTTCTTTTCTCCTTGAAGGAATTATGTAAGTCAGCAACACGTGCTTTTGTTTGCTCATCTGGTTTCAAAGCAGATGGTGAATTTTCACGCCAGCTGGATGGAAGGGCCCTGAAAACATTTAGCAGTATTTACCAGGTGAATTCTGCGTGTGCTCCAGGGCCTTCAGGAACATATGATTTACATTCATGGATACCTAAATCTAGGTAGTGGAAGATATCAAATTCAAAACTAAAGGAGACCAATAACTTATGGTTCTGTTCCTGATGTACATCAAAGTTAGATTAGACTGTCTATCGTGAGTGAATATAAGAAAAGCTCATTTGATTGATTGAAATTTTAGCCACCAGGAAGTCCTCAAGGACTCCCTTTCCCTGCAATTGTTTTACTAATGACACTTTTGTACACAGTAGTGATATGATTTCATTTTGGTTATATTTACTAAGATTATCCCACCTTTGACTTTTTTAATTGCATATATTATATTGGAAATTGGTTTAGTGAGTGAGTAATAGCTGTTGTGGACTGTAGATCCCTTCACTCAAACAAGATTTGTGTTTCTATCCATGTCCTAAGGATGCCATTTCACTACTCCTAGGAGACAGCGACAGCTTTTGTGTGCTATAATGCAATCTTTAGGGCGTGAATATTTCTATAATAACTGAACATTGAACACCATAAGTATTTGCATAGTCACTCTTCTTAGGGAATAAATAAAAAAAATACTCTGGAATCCCTTTTACCTCTTCCTGTATTTTTTTTTGTTTTGTTTTGAGAGGGATTCTTGCTCTATCGCTAGGCTGGAGTGCAGTGGCACCATCTCAGCTCACTGCAACCTCCGCCTCCTGAGTTCAAGTGATTCTCCTGCCTCAGCCTCCTGAGTAGCTGGGATTACAGGCGCATGCCACCACACCTGGCAAATTTTTGTATTTTTAGTAGAGATGAGGTTTCACCATGTTGGTCAGGCTGATCAAGAACTCCTAACCTCGTGATCCACCCGCCTCAGCCTTCCCAAGTGCTGGGATTACAGGCATGAGCCACTGAGCCCAGCCCACCTCTTCCTGTATTTTTAAGTATTGATATGGTTTGGCTGTGTCCCCACCCAAATCTCATATTGGATTGTAGTTCCCATAATCCCCACATATCATGAGAGGGACCGAGTGGGAGGTAATTGAATTATAGGGGCGGGCTTTTCCCGTGCTCTTCTTGTGATAGGGAATAAGTCTCACAAGATCTGATGGTTTTATAAAGGGCACTTCCCACACACAAACTCTCTTGCCTGCTGCCATGTAAAATGTGTCCTTGCTCTTCCTTCACCTTCCACCATGAGTGTGAGGCCTCCCTAGCCATGTGGAGCTATAAGTCCATTAAACCTCTTTTTCTTTATAAATTACCCAGTTTTGGGTATGTCTTTATTTGCAGTGTGAGAACAGACTTATTCAATTATTATAGGCACTAAGGGGTTCATTGCCAATCAAATCATTCTCCAGTAAAGTAATCTACAATATTTCCATATGAGATTTTATTGTTGTATCTTGATGCTTAACTTGAAGTAAATCAGGACTGTGTGTTGCCCACATTGGTCCTTAGTCACATATTGGGATCTGTTTTTTCTAACAGTGAAGACATTAATTAATCCTACATGAGAGTATGTTTATGTATGAAATTAATCAAGACCATATTTTGTGGATTTAGGACGTTTCTAGCAAATGTATACACTTAAAGACTGTCTTGTAAGGTCAACAGCTGAGAGGATATAGAAGGAACATGCTGAGAAGTTCAGGAAGTACTAACATAAAGCTCCCTCTTCCCACAGGAACATCGATTTCAGCATACCTTAAACCTTTTGAACAGACTTGTCGATACTCTCTTGGAAAAGTATTTTTAAAAATAGAATTGAATATTTTTAAACTTTCATCCCAATAGAAAGCTAAAGTTAATGAGGAAACTTGGATTCATTTCACAAAACGTTGCTTGTAAGCTATTTTGCTTGGCTACATGTTCCCTGGACAAACCCAAAAGACTGGTATAAATTCCAATACTGTCACTCACAGTATCACAAACTTTTGGTGACTCAATCGCTTTACCTTTATGTTGTTCTTTCTAGGACCAGTTTCACAGAGGTTATGCCATTCTCAGATTTCTTAGAATTGGTCAATCTTAGGTCATTTGACTTGAGAAATCCTCAAAGATTTTACTGTTTTAAAGTATTAATACATCCATCACCACAAAGGAATCAGTTAATGTGCTGTTATATCTCAAAGAGGTTACAGTACCATCTTCATTTTTCTCAACAGCCTCCTCTAAATTCTATTCTTTCTCTTTGCCTTAAAAATCTACACAATGAAAGAGAGCACAAGGAAAGTCTCCCGGGAAATACAGGGAGAAAAAAATTAATCAAAATGTCCAACAACAGATTATCCAATAATTTATGATATATCAGGACATAGAATACTATACAACCAAGAAAAATACTAATGTACTTATAGATCTATTTATATTAAAAAAGTTAATGATATATATTTTGTGTATTCCATATTACAAGCACTAGGCTAAGTCCCAGATATATCATGGTGAGCAGGAGAGACTGGAGCCCTGACTTTCTGAAGTTTTGAATCCAGTGGGAGATACTAACAATAGATAAGTGAAGAACTACAACCATAAAAATTATTATTAAAAAAA
Source organism: Homo sapiens (assembly GCF_000001405.40). NCBI lineage: Eukaryota > Metazoa > Chordata > Mammalia > Primates > Hominidae > Homo > Homo sapiens. The sequence goes on along the minus strand of NC_000007.14, from coordinate 19,930,432 downwards.
ACCACGTGCTGGAATTTCTGAAAAAAATAAGCATGCCTATATTCAAATATGTAATGTAAAAAATAAAGGTATGCACAAAAAAGTCCATAAAGGTACAAACAAAATATGGGCAGTAGTTTCCAGTGGCTGCTGGCAGAACAGGCATCAGGAAGTATGCATGAATGTAGTCATGCAGAAGTTATCTAAAATCCCTGCTGACTGATCAGTACCCATGCCACACTGGTTATTATTAATACATACTTGGGATATCACCACTGGGTGTTAGTATTCTGGCCAATCCTTACTTCCATTATGTTTTCTAGATTATCTAATTTTTAAACACAATGCTTTATTATTTCATATTTAATTATAAAACATTTTAAACATACACACAGTAGAGAAAACATTCACTTTTTTTTTTCTTTTTTTTTTTTTTTTGAGATGGAATCTCTCTCTGTCACCCAGGTTGGAGTGCAATGGTGCGATCTTGGCTCACTGCAAGCTCCGCCTTCCGGGCTCCCGCCATTCTCCTGCCTCAGCCTCCCGAGCAGCTGGGACTACAGGCGCCCACCACGACGCCTGGCTAACTTTTTGTATTTTTAGTAGAGACGCGGTTTCACCGTGTTAGCCAGGATCGTCTCGATCTCCTGACCTCGTGATCCACCCGCCTTGGCCTCCCAAAGCGCTGGGATTACAGGCGTGAGCCACCGCGCCCAGCCAGAAAATATTCACTTCTTTATTCGACATATAAGTTTAACAACAGTTAAGGAATTGACATTTTTGTTTTAGGATTTTTTTTAATGAAATTATCATAGATAGAGCTAAATTCTTAAAACTTAATCCTTTTTTTTTCTTTTCCTCTCCTTCCCATGTGTAATCACTTCTCTAAAAATATGCTGATTTTATGTTCTAATAAAAAGGGCTTTAAAAATCAATATATAGTACAGATATAAAAGTCTGAACCACCAAAAAAGTAAAGAAAAAGAAAAGCAAGGAAAAAAAAAGAAAGAAAAAGAAAAAATGAGGCAAAAACCGTGGAGTGATGAGTAATTGTTAGGAGAATGAAAGAGAAAGCTTAACTTTACAAAAGTCCCTGCTGAATGAAATGGTCAAAGTAATTGTAAGAAATCACAAAAAGCATGTTGAAAAGCTCAGAATAGCCTTAAACTGCAAAACTTCCTGCAGCTTGAGAGAACCTTCCTGCTGAATTACTAAATTTTAGAAATATAAAAATAAACTAACCACTGAAACATCCAACTGTTGTAAGAAAGTTCTAGATTCAAAAATAAACAGAAGCAAAAGCATCGTTTAAGAAAGTCCTTTGAAGAAATCCCACACTCATAATTTAAATGAATGCTCAAATAAATGTTGTTATTAACTTTTTTGAGTGTCATCAATGAATCAATCACTATGCTAGTACTCGTTTTAGAAGATGAGTAGAAAATAATCTTTTCTTCAAGGAGTTCACAATCCAGTTAATAAAACTTATTAGATGACATGGCGTCTTTCTTTTCTCATATGTTCCCACTACTCAGAGAAGAGTTGCATATAATAGGCATGAGGGGTATTATTAAATGTTTAATAATTAGCTCTCTAAGGAAAACAAAAACCCGATTTGCAGCATTTTCCAATTTCCACGGCATTAATACTACCCCCATGGTTGATTTCAGGATGACATTATATTATGAAACATTGTATTTCTTTTTGGAAAGAAATACACACCAGAACACTAGATTCACCAGAGCTAGCTAGCTCAAGCATTGAACAAATATTTGTTCCATGAAGACAAACAGTATAATAATTTTTATAAAAGAGGTTGCTTTAACATATGACAGAAGCACAAAAAAAATGATCAGATCTGTTGGAAGGGAGGGCTTAGGTATTTCAAAGTCTTTTCTGAGGTGATCTCTGAATTTTTTTTTCCACTACAGCTATGTTTCATTTATAAGTTTCACTAGAGTCACTGTTCTCAAAGAGGGTACAAGATGACTCAGTAGTGGTAGTAGGAGGTTTGTATTACTGTTTCCAGTATTTTTAAAACAGCAATGCTACTAAACAATCTACAGTGAACAGGACATCTCCCCACACCCCTCCAGCAAAAACAACTGTGCAAATTGTCAAATGTATCAACAGTGCTGAGATTAAGAACCCCTGCACTGGAATAACAGAGAAGAATCTAGATGAAGGGAACAGCTGGTGCAAAGGCAATGAATAATGAAAGAAAAGTGTATTTTTACCTGGGATACTATGGAAACAAGCTGAGACTCAAAAACAGTGTTTTCACAAAGCTTTTAAAGAAGAGTTTTCCTATATTAGAATAACTCTATGCTTTCCTAATTTCATCTTTTATAACAATAACATCTTTTCATAACAATACACTTTCACTTCTTGTCTTTTGGTGTTTTCCTTTGTGAATCATATTTGCTTTCTCACATCCCATATTGTTTCAAAAATGAAGTTGCATCCTTAACTTTTTCCAACCATTACATACTTCCAAGAACCAATGGATCATCAAAATTAAAATTTAACATTGTGCTTTGCAGGCTTTAACTTACCTATAATGTTTCATATTACATAGAAAAACCTAAGTACCACTAAACATGATACATGATACATGATACATGACGGAAACAGAATGAGGGAAAGATGTATTATAATTATTTCTGGGAAAACAAAAAGATGCAAATATAGATACAGGTCTTTACATTGTTCTATTTTGAGAAAACCAGATCTCATAAAAAGTTAAATTGTGATGTAATCTTTGGGGTTTGAAAAATATCTTTAAATTATGAAATCTCACAAGAAGATTATAGTGAAAGCTGTAATATATATACTTGTATATTGTCACTACTTTTTCTTCTTTTGAGAAGTGATTTGGCAAGTAATTTCAAGATCGATTTTAAAAAAATCATGTTTGTAACCCAAACATTAGCTTCTGGAGATTTATCTTAAGTAAATAAAAAGAATAAAAGTTGCATTCAAGAATTAAAAAAAAGAGAGATTACAAAAAGAGGAAAAACCTCATTTAAAATCTCCAGCCTTTCAGAAAAATCCAAATTCTACTTAAATGGTAGTCCCCATTAGTTAATATTAGGCATATAACAGAAATGGTACATGGTATTAAATGCTAATTAAAGACCAAATTCAAAAAGGAGGGGAAATGTATATCGGAATGGAAATTAGATAGTCATTGTTCTTTGGTACAGTAGTTTCAATTAAGTGCTGAAACCAAAGGATATTATTTAAGGTAGAGTAATGGCAATTGCTTTGTTTTAGATTCCCTGTCTCCTCTCCCTGTAAAATGTTCCTACTTGCCTCTAGTAAACCTGTAAGCGACCAAGCGCTTTGGCTTATTCTATGAAATAGAATATGTAATAGCCAAACAGCATCTTCTACTTCAAGCTAACCTAAACATTATAGCCAGTGTGGAACTTGGAATCAGTCAGATCCAAGTGTAAATTTCATCACTGCCACATACTGCTTGTGTGATCTTTAGCAAGTTCCAAAATTCTAAATATGCATTTCCTCATTGATAGCATACAGTCCTAATAATACCTAATTCATATAAATGTTGCGAGGACAAATTCAAATAGCATCCTATCCAAAACAACATAATTAGAGAGTAGCTTATAGATGGGACTATTTAGCTTAATGTGGACAAGTTAGCACCTCTCTTTGGGTTGAATTTTTTTCTGGAAGCATTAATAATATATCTATTCAAGCTAATAAATATTTATTGAGCACTAAGTTACAAAACACTTTGCTGTATGTTAATTAAGATTAATAATAAACATGTGTCATACCTATGATCCAATACATTAATAACATGATGTGACAGTAACTTTCATACTGGTAAAGAAAATAAGAAAGATGGTCGGGCATGGTGGCTCACACGTGTAATCCCAGCACTTTGGGAGGCTGAGGCGGGCGGATCACAAGGTCAGGAGTTCGAGACCAGCCTGGCCAATATGGTGAAACCCTGTCTCTACTAAAAATACAAAAATTAGCCGGGCGTGGTGGCTCACACCTGTAATCCCAGCTACTCAGGAGGCTGAGGAAGGAGAATCGTTTGAACCCAGGAGGCAGACGGAGATCGTTGCAGTGAGCCAAGATCGTGCCACTGCACTCCAGCAAAAAAAAAAAAAAAAAAAAAAAAAAAAGGAAGAAAGAAAGATAATAGAAGTTTTTTTAAAAAGGAGTGATTTTATTAAGGGAAAGTTTTCATGAAACGTCAAACTGAACAGTAGAATAACTATCATTATACATATGAGCCAATAAAATAGAAGCCATAAATAGGTACGTGAATCTTCTCTTGGGACATTCCTTATGAAGAAATGCCTCTATATTTATCTATGTGAACTGATGGTAGGTAGCTAAGGGAAATATTTGGTGCACCATCTCTGAAATCAGCAGATGTGGTGTTATCATAAAGCTGAATTATCCTAAATAATAATTGCTTAGCATCTTTTAAGTATTTTTTTGAAACAGATGAAATAGTGAATTAATATTTTCTGATCTTTGGCTACCCCTGGGCCAATAATATTATAAATTATTTTATTACCAGTTCTATGATATATAAGTTCTGGGTGTTATAGTTCCTAAAATGTTCATCATTAGTTCTCATCTTGGCAGCCTTTTATAATATAAGGAAGCCAGTGCATCTTACAGAGTCCTAGTCATGAAGCAGAACATCAATACTGGCGAGCTAATGCATCATCTCAAGCCAAGCTCAACACATCAAGCTTGCACCATCAAGCACTATCTTTATCAGTCTCCTTTAGCTGTATGCCCAGTCCAACACACAACAGGAAATGGTAGGAAGGCAGGTAGAAAGAGAAGATGCAAACAGGCCATTAACTTTCAATTTAGAGATGATTGTCTTTGAGCATTAAGGGGGGTTGACCTTATCTTTCCCTTATGAACTCTTAGTATGCTTTGAAGTATAGCTCACTTTAGTATTGTAAATTATTTTAGTATTTTCAACAGCTCCTGAGTCAAGGCCTTCTGGATTTGGGTAGCCTCAAAGCCATTGGTGTTCTCCTCTTTTTTCTTGAAATTATGCTCTATTTCTCCCACACCATCCACTTTTTCCCTCTTCTGCATCATCTAATCAGCATATGGTAGTTCCTCCTTTATTAAAGCAAACAAATCCAGAAATTCCACATAAACTTTCAGCTACTATAAGAATTCTATGTTCTCTTTATAACAAAGCTCCTCAAAAAGAGGTATGGATACTTCCTTACACCACTTCCTATCCTCCTACAACCTCTTGTTTCCTTTTTAAAGCCCCTGGAACAGGCTTTAGTCCCCAGTCCTCCACTGAAACTTCTCATTAAGAACCTGTAAATTGCCAAATGCAATGGAAACTTTTCATTTCTCATCTTGCTCAGCTTATTGCAAGCATTTGATATAATTCACCATTCTCCTTTTTAATATAAAATTTTCACTTGTTCTCTGGGATACCACATACTCCTGATTTTCTCCTACATGAATAGTCTCCTCTACTTCCTTCCCTTTTCCTTTCCACTTCTATAAAATGGACTGCCCCAGGATTCAGTTCTTGGGTATTTCATCCCTAACTACAATTACTCCTTTTGTGATCTCCATTAACTTCACAGCTTTAAATACCATATACGTGCAGTTAACATACAAATTTATGTAATCAGCTCCAACCTCTTTTCTGACCTCCAGATGTATATATTCAATAACTTTTTGAAAATATTCTCTTGAATGTTTAGTGAGCATCTCACATTAAATATCCTCTGCAGAGAACTCTTGATTACCACACTCACTCCAAACTTGCTATTCCTCCAAACTCCCTAATCTCAGTAAATGTCATACTGCCATCTACCCAGTTCAAGCAAAACCTTAGTGTCACTCTTGAACCCTACCTTTATTTTAGATCCTACATTTAGTTAATTAGTAAATCTTGTTAATTCTTTAACTTTAACGTATTTTTCTAATTGAACCCCTTCTCATCTACTCCAATGACAACACTCTAAGCCACCACCACTTCCTGCCCAGTTTGTAGCAATGCCTTATTAACCAGTCACACTGTCTCAGCTCTTGCAAACTTGTAGTGTTCTCCCGCATACAGCAGTGAGAGGATACTTTAAAAAATGTTAATTGGATCATGTCATTTCAGCACTCAAATACTAAAAAGGTCTCCAATCTCTCTTAGAACATAATTTGAATTTTTGAATTTTTACCATGGCCTGATTTTTTTTTTTTTTTTTTGAGACGGAGTCTCATTCTGTGGCCCAGGCTGGAGTGCAGTGGCATGATCTTGGCTCACCGCAACCTCTGCCTCCCAGGTTCAAGCGATTCTCCTGCCTCAGGCTCCTGAGCAGCTGGGATTACAGGCAGGCACCACCACACCCAGCTAATGTTTGTATTTTTAGTAGAGACGGGGTTTCACCATGTTGGCCAGGCTGGTCTTGGACTCCTGACCTCAAGTGATCCACCCGCTTCAGCCTCCTGAAGTGCTAGGAATACATGCATGAGCCACCGTGCTTGGCCTTTACCTAATAAATACATATTCCAGCCATTGCCTATAACCGACCTCATTTACTATTGCTCTTCTTACTTGTTCTGCTCCAGCACTGCTGGCCTCCTTTGGCTTTCTTTAACTTGACAAGAATTTTCCTACCTCAGAGGCTTTGCATTTTTTTATATCCTGGGTCTGAAATGCCCTTGCCCCAGATAGTTCCGTTAATCACACCACTCACTGCCTTTAGGACTCTACTTAAGTATCAGCTCCTCAAAAGGGTATCCTTGAGAACTCTATTGGAAATAGTATCCTTCCCTCACACTCTGATATTTCTTCCTAACAGTGATCATTTCCTGGATGTATAATTTATATATGTATGTATGTATATGTATAAATTTACATTTTTAACAATAAATCTTTGGTCTTCTACATTCAAATTTAACCCCTTTGAAAACAAGGGCATTTTTGGTTTTGTTCATTTCTTTCCCCAATGCCTACAATTGTGCCTAACCTAGAGCAGGGATTGAATAAGTAATTATTAGATGAATTAAGTAAAAATATCATGAGGCCTTTATAGTTATTGCCTCCTAGGTAGAGACTTCAAGTGGCTGTGCGGGAGCATTTTGCATGCTCAAAGAAAAGCTCGGCCGGGCACGGTGGCTCACGTCTGTAATCCCAGCACTTTGGGAGGCCGAGATGGGCGGATCACGAGGCCAGGAGATCGAGACCAACCTGGTTAACACGGTGAAACCCCGTCTCTACTAAAAATACAAAAAATTAGCCGGGTGTGGTAGCAGGCGCCTGTAGTCCCAGCTACTCTGGAGGCTGAGGCAGGAGAATGGCGTGAACCCGGGAGGCGGAGCTTGCAGTGAGCCGAGATCGCGCCACTGCACTCCAGCCTGGGCGACAGAGCGAGACTCCCTCTCAAAAAACAGAAAAGAAGTAACAAAAAAAAAAAAAAAGAAAAGCTCACCAGACTTCAACATTGTCCTCACACTATCATCAATTGTTGAATCCACTCAACTGAAGAAACCTTGTCCAGTGGAACGTTGCGTGATAATGAAATATTCTCTATCTGCACTGCCCATTATGATGGTTACTACCCACTATTTTAACATTTGAAATGCGGCAGGTGCCACCGAGGAGTCAAGTTTCTAGTTAATTTTAATTTTTTAAATTTTAACTTAAGTAGCTCCACACTTGACTATCAAACTGAGTATCACAAGTCTAGATCATAGCGGGCAAGTGATTGCCTGCCTTAACTAACCTTGGGGTGGGCGTTTTCTAGTAAGTAATAAGTAAACCTATGTTTCCTAATTTCATTGTCCCATTTTTTGCAGTTATGTATGTTTAGCACATCTAAATAAAACAAAAAGAAAATACAAAACGTCTCTTTTTAAATGTGCTCAAAGCAGAAGTCCAATTTTCCAGCATTGGAAAGATGCTGTTGGCAGAAAGCTACCTTGCAAATGAGTATTAGGCAAAAAAAAAAAAAAAAAAAAAAAAAAAAGCCGGACACAATTGCTTTCAGTAGAGGCAGTCAGTAAAGCCATAGATTCCCACTTAATTATACTTTGCTTGCTTTCTCTACAGCCAGTGCTCACTTGAATCTCTGGATGTACATGCTTTTAGTGAGCAAATGAAAAAGGAAATACAGAAGTGAATATTTATTTAGCATCCCCTCTACAAAAGTAGTTCGTTTTTGCAATTTGACACAATATAATTTTAAAAATATAACCCTTCCAAATAAAGGGGCCAACAAGTATATCTCAAATAACTCCACTCTATATTTTAATAAAAATACATAAATTTTTTATAAAACAGTATTCTTTAGCATGTAAAATAAAGAGAAAGCCATATCTAGATAGCTTATTTTCATACAGAGTGAACACAGAGCAGACAAATGGTATGTGGTTCTCTTTAACCCTTTCACTCCATCCAACCTATTACAGCCTGATCTACCTCCTAAGGAAACAAATCAGAGGGTATCCAAGAGTGGTAGAATTTATGTCAGACATTCTAGGTTTCTCGCTTTAAATCAAGGTGACTTACCATTCACCAGATAACTACTCTAAATATTATAGATCAGGGTTCTCAATCTCAGTACTATTGACAATTTGGGCTAGATAATTCTTTCTTGTAGCAGGGCTGTCCTACACATTGTAGAAGGTTTAGCAGCATTCTTGGCTTCTAACTGATAGATGCCAACAGTACTCCCCACCCCACCAAGTTTTGATAACCAGAAAAATCTCCAGATATTGCCAAGGGTCTGCTGGCGGTAAAAATCACCCCAGGTTGAAAGCCAAGGAAACAGAAGACAGTGTAGTGTATCACACTCTACTTTCTTCCTTTATTTACCTTGATTTTGACCTTTTAAGTTTCCACTCTTCTCAACATCATGCAATTCACTTGGACCCAAAAAACATCTTTAATTGGTTTCGTTTGGCATTCTCTTCTACTCAATTTTAAGCTTGCCTGCTGATGTCTCTACCCCAGTGTGAACACCTTTCCCTGAATATTTAGCCAGTGCCTTAGATTGTGGGGCCTATCCTCAGGGTCGACTTTCTTTCAATTTACTTACTTTCAAAGTGGAAATTCTCATTCCTACCCCAACTGCTTCAAAGGTTTGCAAAGTTTAAATAAGATAACAAATGTTAAAGTGCTTTGAAAAGGTAAAAACCTTTTTCTGCAAATATATTTAATAAATGACCGTAACAGTAGGAATGTTTCTTACTCCATGGAAGCCTGTAGCAAGTTACAGACAGGTAAAGGCTGGTAACTCTCAAACATAACTACCCCATTAGTATACATTTTATAGTGAACATGGCAGCAAAGTTCAACTCAACTCAAAGTTCAACCCAAGTACCAAAGTCAAATGAGGCTTATGCACTACCTTGGGGAAAAATATTTTGGGTCGCTGGATAGCTACCCAAAGAAGTGTTGTAGCGCTGGATTTTAAAGGTCTGCAAACCCTCTCTCCTGTCCTGTTGACTCCCTCGGCCCCTTACCATTTCCTCTTCTGGTCTTAGGATAGAAAATGAGGGATACTCAGTAGAAGCACCAGGGGGCGGAACCCAGCATGTGATTACGCCTCGGCTTTCTAGCCAGGCACAGTAATTTCCCTCTTGAGGGAGTAACCACTTCTCTACCCATAACCTTTAAATCAGCTGCACCATACCCCTGTGCACTGTGTGTGAACTTCTGTGTGCATGTATGTGTGTACACACTAAGAATCGAGATTCTTTTAGGAATTTGGGGATTGCAGGAACCAGAGGATCAGGCATTCCTAGAACCCATTTATGATTTTGTAAAGAAAGAGGAGAAGACGATTTCCCTTTAAAGGTCTATTTCACTGTGAATGGTGGTTAAGAAGTGCCACCTAGAACCTCGGCACATGTGAAGTAGGACCAGACTTCTCTAGTCAAGAAACTGAACAGGCACTGCTAGCAAGGCAGGAAACGTGAACTTGACAAACCACGTCTGAGCTTGCCAAGAGGCTTAGCCTTTATTTCAGGGTCAGAATCTTGTCTTCTTTTATCCAACTTGGAAACGAAGAAAATATTTGCGTAGTATTCAGATGTATCATCCTTAAGAATGTGAATATTTAAGATAATGGATCAAGTAGAAATAGGTCAAAAGATATAGCACAGAGTTAAAAATAGCCACCACAGAAAATGTGTTTGCATTTGGCGTGGTGCCTTTTCACACTCATGTAATTGGCCATTTGGCTCGCTGTGTAAAGCAGCCAGCTTCCCTCAGCTCTGGGATATGGGGGTTAGGGTACTCTGTTACTTTCCCCAAACCACATAAATAGAAGACCAAATTAGTTATTTCTACAGTTAAAGCTAAAATTCCCTTCCTTTCATGTCAATGATGAGACTTTCTAATGTGAAAAAATTACCATTACTATCAGCAAAGGAACTATTCTCTCTTGAGGCTTGTTGTTTTGTTTTGTTTTAATTTGCGTATTCCCTCCTCCCTCCCAGTCTCTAGACCCCCTTCGTGGATGGTATCAGATGATTTCAGTCCAACCTTCCATTGCATTCTCTGACTGAGCCAACACAGCTGGATTCTCAGCCAACTATGAAGTTTAAATTGGTAACTCCAAATCTGTTCTATAAATTTCAGCAACAGCTGATTTGGCCAGAATTTCAGTGTTATCTCCATGCCTGAATTTCAACAAGAATAAAAGAAAAATAAGCGGGCTCTGATGATTTACTTAAGAGAATGTACAAAGAACCATCACACTCAAGATTTTTTCTTTTGAAAGATTATTCCTATAAATATTTTTGCCCCTCTAGTATTGTTTCACAATTTATTATGGCTATAGAGCCAGAAATTTTGCGAATGGCTTAGGAAACTAAGTAACTTTGTAACTAGACAAGTACATAAAGTGAACATACTGTTCTAAAAGAATAATTATATATTGGAGGGTTTGAGCTCAAGGAATAAAGGATTTTATTTTGTTTGTAACAGAGCCAAAATCAGCATATGCTCGAGTAATCTGCAGGAAAGACAGCAGGGTTATGGAAAAATTATATATCTATGATAACTAGTGAACAGAGCTTATTAAGAACTAGGAATCTGAGGGCTTTATGAAAAGCAATTCAGAGGGAATTCTGGCATGTGTCCAAACGGATATGACTTTTCTAAGGAGGGCTATGGGATGTCAGTTGTTTTAAATTACTATGCTTTCTCTCTAGACTCCGCTTTCTGTCTCTCTGAAGATAACGTTAAGCTGCAGCTCCGTATCTGTGAAAACCCATTTCACAGCATCTGCATCCCTGGATTGCTAAATACCCTTGTCTAGTTACCCAAATATTAATGGATCCCATGGAATAAGGTGGCATGATTTAGGCACAAGCAATTACCAAAGGATTTTGAAAAGCAGTAACTCCAAATTATCTTGTAAAGTTGAGAATAATCTGAGAAGAGCTATTGTAAGACTGGGAATCAAGTAACAAAATAAAGATATGAACCGTCCATTGGTCTATTTATTTACTTGTTTTAAAACAGGGAATACTTTTAAAATTTAGTTATGAATATAGTTTATATTTTTAAGGGACACAGATGATGTATAAATGTGATAATTCTGTACCTCACAGTCAAAACAGATATTTTGTAAACAAGGATTCTGGGTTACCAGACCTCCTGAAAATGAATGACTTTTGTTGTTATATCCACTTTTCTATCATTTCTCCTTTTCTGGTAACACAAACCTAAAATTACCTGTTCATTCTTCATTACCCCCAAAATACTTTTGATCTACTTTCCCATCATAGTTAACCTGGTTATCCAACATGTAATGAAATTAACATTTTAGACAAATAATAAACAAAAAAATGAGAACAGATTAAAGAAATATAAAATGTAAAGTTACCCAGAGACTTACAGGATGCTAAACTTTTAAATAGAATATGATGTGGCTAATTTTTCAAAGAGAAGAGACTGACAAGTTTGTATAGATATTGCATCTTTTTGAGTGTTGAGTCATAAACTAATTGTATAAGTCATTCTTCTCAGGATAATCCATAAAACTGTTAGCAATTTTGAAGTGACTGCCTTGTCAGAGATGCTGTTTTAATATTGATTATATCATACTGGCTTAGAATATGATTTAAAGACTTCACATTTAAGACACTGCTTAGCCTGGAGGATTAAGAGCAAGGAGACTGAAGAGAACCCACTGAGAAAATGAGATGTCCAAGGGACGAGGTATGAATTGGAATCAAGTCATCAACTAGGAATAATAATATGGACACTGATAACAATAATAATAATAATAACTAATATTACTGACTGCTTTATATATGGTAGGGATTGTTATTTAATTCTCACTACTGTCTCTATGAATTAGGAACTTTTACCATCCAATTTTACAGATAAAGGAACTAAGTGGTTTTGGACTTGTGGGGCTTACATTTTCTATAGGGATCCAAATTGAGTTGCCCGATAGGCATTTGGACATATGAATCAGAACCTCAGGTGGAATATCTGGTCTGGAGTTATAGATCTGGGAGCGAGCTGTTAGACTATAATTGATAATTCAAGTCACAGAAGTACATGAGATAAAGTTTTACGCCACTGGATGGGAAATTACCTTTGGATTTTTGGTCATTAATGATCACAGTAAAAACTAATTTGGGGCAGGGCGTGGTGGCTCATGCCCGTAATCCCAGCACTTTAGGAGGCCAAGGCAGGCAGATCACCTGAGATTGGGAGTTTGAGAACAGCCTGCCCAACATTGTGAAATGCCATCTCTACTAAAAATACAAAAATTAGCCAGGCATGGTGGCACACGCCTGTAATCCCAGCTACTCAGGAGGCTGAGGCAGGAGAATCGCATGAACCCAGGAGGCGAAGGATGCAGTGAGCTGAGATCGTGCCTCTGCACTCCAGCCTGGGTGACAGAGCAAGACTCCTTCTCAAAAAAAAAAAAAAAAAAGACTAATTTGGAACCATGGAAGGGACCAAAGCTATGTGGTGCTGGACTAAAGAATGAAGTGTACTCTTCTAAGATGTTTACCTATTAATAAAAAAGAGAAACAGATTAATCATAGTTTCATTTTAACAAACTATCTGGCCATGGAGAAAGTTGTTAAATAGGCACATTGACTGATAGTATGACTGGAAGTGCCAACATCTCAGCTTTTATCTAACAAATAGGCCTTTGTTACCTTTTGAAAGTAGTAGAAATACAGTATTAAAACTGCAGCTGTTTCTTCCATCTTCTTCAGTCTTGGCTTAGGAAAAGAATACCATGCAGAACCCGTGATGAAATAAATTATTAACAGACCCTACAATCTTTTTACCTAGACCTTAGAAAAATAATTATGAATCCCCCAATTACATGTTAACAATGAGCAATGATTGATATGAATTTGAGGATCTATGTTTATTAGATGAAGATCATCACTAAAAAATCCAATTTATTCATAAATAAATGAATAAATTACCCTTTTATTTATTTGTCTTTGTTGAGACTTACAACAGTCTCATGTTCACTCATTTTAAGATTCAAATAACTAAGCAATATTGCACTTATATTAGAAAACAATCATCCTTCTGGATTTTCTGTCTAATAACAGACAATAAAAATGTGCAAAATAATTAGCAATTTAAAATATAAGTGAGAAATTTTGTACATCTTACAGAATGATTGGATAAATTTAAAATTATATTTTAGTAATCACTGGTAATGTCATTGCAAAGATATGAACTTGCATGAAATTGTTCTGGCCCTTATTCTGTAATGGGCATTGCCATCTGTTCAGCATAATCAGTTCTTTCATACTTCCCTGATAAATGAAAACAATACAAATTTCTATTGAAACAATATATCAGGGAAAGAATATGTTCTACTGAATGAGGAAACTAAAAAAAGAAAGTCATATTCAGCAACCTGGGATGATTTCTTTCAATTTTAAAAGTTCTGAGACCAATAACTTTCCTTAAGAGGAAAGCTTTATAAAATTGGTTGAAAATTCAACAAAAAATAGCTCCTGTTATCAAGTCCATAAGTATCTTATGTCCATTTAAAAACTGAAGGAATAGCTTTTTCCATAATCCTTTGACATTTTTATGCGCACTGCTTCCATGATCAAGCCATTTGGCAGTAATAAAACAGAAAGCTGGCTCAACCATTATCCTCCACATTAAAAAAAAAAACTGTTTTGTTCTTTTCTACTAATGCCAACTCATTTGATGATCTGCACACACATTAATTAGAGCTGTTAGGTATGTGCAGAATGTAATGTGTCAACCAGGTCAAGGCTGATTCTAGATGTGACTCACAGGCCAGAAATGAATGGCAATTTTTACTTTTCCTTAAGTGTGAATCCACACTTTCAATCAGTTTTTATCACCATGCATAATTCCACCTTTCATCTTCATTTTTATTACCAATAAAAATATCAGACCCTAACTTTCTATATGAATTTTTTTTCTGCTGCCTAAAGTCCCCATTTTCCTTCTTAAACTGTCAATGGCATTTAGTTTTTAACTTTTAAAATTACTCTTCAAAGGTTTTTATTGATTTGACACTTCTTCTCAATTTATTGGGCTTCTTCTCAATTCAGAAGTAGACAAAAAAGGAGACAAAAAGCAACTCACTGCTGTAAAGGGTGATAATAAAAGGGAAAGTGCAGAATGCTGCTAAATGATTGATAAGGAAATTCCAAGGTAAGTCTCCTGGGAACAGGAAAGTCCTCCTTGAAAATGCAGGCTTTAGTTAGAATCTTAAAGGAAAGGAGTCAGCTAGGAAGAGTCAGGCAAGGGGATAGAGAGAGTGTTCCAGGTAGAAACAGAATGCACAAAACATGCAAGATGAGCTTTTTTAATTTTTATTTTTTAAAGGCATATATGTCTCTGTTTTCAGCTAAATTGAGATCCCTGTGGACAAGAAGACAAGGCATAGATTTTTTCTTCTGTCTCTCGTATCTTTTAAAACACCTCCACTTAGTAACTTAATACAGGAATATCTCATTTTATACTGTTTAACTTAATTGTGTTTCACAGATACTGCAGTTTTTAACCAATTGAAGGTTTGTGGAAACTCTGTATCAAGCAAGTCTATTGGGGCCATTTTTTTTGTAACAGGATGTGCTCACTTCATGTCTCTGTGTCAGATTTTGATAATTCTCATATTATTTACAATATTTTTATTATTATTATACCTATTATGGTGATCTGTGATCAGTGACCTTTGATGTTACTTTTGTAATTGTTTGAGTGCACCATGACAATGAACTAAATCAATGAATGTGTGTTTTCCGAGTGCTCTACCAAATGGCCACTCCCCCATTTCTCTCCTGCTCCTCAGGCCTTTCTATGTCCTCAGACACAAGAATATTGAAATTAGGCCAATTAATAGCTCTGCCATGGTCCTTAATTGTTCAAGTGAAAGAAATGGTTAGATGTCTCTTACTTTTAATCACAAGCTATAAATGATTAAGCTTAGTGAGGAAAGAACATTGAAAGTTGAGACAGGTCAAAAACTTAGCCTCTTGCACCAGTTAGCCAAGTTGTGAATGCAAAGAAAAAATTATTTAAGAGAATTAGAAGTACTACTCCAGTAAATACATGCAAATAATAAGAAAGCAAAACAAACCTATTGCTGTTATGGAGAAAGTTTTAGTGGTATAGATAGAAGATCAAACCAGCCACAACATTCCCTTAAGCCAAAGTCTAATCCAGAACAAGGCCCTAACTCTTCAATTCTGTGAAGGCTGAGAGAGAAGAGGGAGCTGAGAGGAAAAGATTGATGCTACACAGGTTGATTTATGGGGATTAAAGAAGGAAGCCATCTCTAGAACATAAATGTGGAAGGTGCAGCAAGTGCTGATGGAGAAACTGAAGCAAGTTATCCAAAAGATCTAGCTAAGATAATTGATGAAGGTGGCTACACTAAACAACAGATTTTCAATGTAGATGAAACAGCCTTCTATTGGAAGACGATGCCATCTAGGACTTTCATAGCTAAAGAGAAGTAAATGCCTGGCATTTACTGGATAGGCTGACTCTCTTGTTAAGGGCTAATGCAGCTGGTGAATTTAAGTTGAAACCAATGTTAATTTGCCATTTCAAAAATCCCAGGGCTCTTAAGAATTATGCTAAACCTATTTTGCCTGTAATCTATAAACAAAACTACAAAGTCCTGATGACAGTACATCTGTTTACAGAATGGTTTCCTGAATCTTTTTAAGACCATATTGAGACTTACTGCTTAGAAAAAATATTTCTTTCAAAATATGACTGGTCCCTGGCCAGGCACTGCGGCTCACACCTGTAACCACAGCACTTTAGGAGGCTGTAGTGGGTTGATCACCTGAGGTCAGGAGTTAGAGAAGAGCCTGGCCAACAGGGCATAACCCTGTCTCTACCAAAAATACAAAAATTAGCTGGGCATGGTGGCAGATGCCTGTAATCCCAGCTACTCAGGAGGCTGGGGCAGGAGAATCACTGGAACTGGGGAGGTAGAAGTTGCAGAGAGCCGCGATTGTGCCACTGCACTCCAGCCAGGGTGACAGAGTGAGACTCCATCTCAAAGGAAATAAATAAAATAAAATAAAATATTACTGCTCCTTGACAGTGTACCTGGTCACTCAAGAGCCGTAATAGAGTTATGCAAAAATATTAATGTTGTTTTCATGTGTGCTAACACAACATTCATTCTATGGCCCATGGATCAAGAAATCATTTGACTTCCAAGTCAGATTATTTAAGAAATACATTTTGTAAAGCTATTGCTGCTATAGATAGTAATTCTTCATATGAATCTTTGCAAAGTAAACTGAAAACCTAGAAATGATTCACCATTCTAAACGTCTTTAAGAACATTCATGATTTGTAGAAGAAGGTCAACATGTCAATATTAACAAGAATTTGGAAGAAGTTCATTCCATCCCTCATGGATGACTTTGAGGGGGTCAGGAATTCAATGGAGGAAGTCACCGATTATGGGATAGGAATAGCAAAAGAACTGCTGAAGATATTGTGAACATTGTTGAAATGGCAACAAATGATTTAGAATATTACATAAACTTAGTTGATATAGAAACAGCAGGGTTTAAGAGGACTGACTCCAATTTTGAAAGTTATTCTGTGGATCAAATGCTATAAAACAAGATTTCATGCTCTTTTGTGATAGGAAAAGCCAATCGATATGGCAAACTTCAATGCTGTCTTATTTTAAGAAATTGCCACTGCCACCTTGGCCTTCAGCAACCACAACCATAATCAGTCAGCAGTCATCAACACAGAGGCAAGACACTCAACCAGGAAAAAGATTATGGCTTGTTGAAGGCTGAGATGATTGTTAGCATTTTTAGCAGTAAAGTATTTTTTAATTAAGGTATGCACATTGATTTTTTAAACATAATGCTATTGTACATTTAATATACTATTGTATAGGGTAAACATAACTTTTATATGAACTGAGAAGCTAAAAACTTCAGTGATTTGCTATATTGTGATACTTGCTTTATTGTGGTAATGTGAACTGAGCCCACAACATCTCTGAGTCGTGCCTGTAGTTGATTACTAGTTGATGTAGAATAAAAGTACACAAAATTTCAAATGTGTGACAGTCATAATTTTTTATTTAAAGAACCACTTTGTAGATTGAGTTAAAATTGTTAGCATTAGACTCAGTGCTTCTCAGGGAAGCATAGAAAAGTGGGTTATGGGAAGCACATTAAGTATTGTATAAAAAATTTAAGATCATTTGGAGGGCTTAAAGCATTTGTCCCATCCAGACTCTTATTTTTGAAAGTATTAATTTTCCATGCTTATACTAGGGGTGAGGGGAGCAAAAGAAAGGAATGGAATTGAAAAGTATGTGCTGATAATCAGGTACCCACTAGTAAAAGCTAGAGATTATAACTGTATATTTCTTTAAACATTTAAAATAATATTTTAGCTACTACCAATAAGTAGATATTGTAATTGTGAATGTTCAAAGCTAATCTTTGCAGACACAACACCAACAACAAAATAATATTTATCCCTTCAAGTTCATAGTGGGAATATCTCTATATTTCTAAAAAGAGCCCAAGAAATGCTGAAAAGCCAGTAACATAAAGAAAAATATAAACGAAGTTGGTGTAAAACAAAAATCATTACTGAACAAAGACAATAAGATACATATCTTAAAAATAGAAATTTATTCTGAGCTACACTATATAGGAAGGTATTTTAAGGTATTAAAATAACATTCATGAATTGTTCCTGCCATCCCAGCACAAGACTCTGTTACAGCAGCCTTTTGTACAGGTCACAGGGGACCAACTTGTTGGCAATACCTAGCAACAAGTCTCCCTAAATGACTTCTGCCAACAATGCCTTCTGGTCCTCAGCAAGACTTGTTAATCAGGGCTCATTGGCTCTCTTTCCTTTGATTTGTAGCCTAAATTCACAGTTGAGGGGAAAAGGAAATCAATACAGATCTACATACTGTATATTAGAAATAGATCTTTGCTAATTATGTTTTAATACAAAATATATTTATTAAGTTTTTCCATATTTGACTCTGTATTGTTTAATGACACATTTCAAAAACAGATATGTCTATAGAAAATGTTATATTTTAGATTATTAATTCCATGAAAGACAGAGACCATGATGTATAAATATTGAACTGAGGTGGCAGTAGACATACTCTTTGAAAATGTAATAATAAAATACTGCTGTTAATACTTATTATCATTGGTTACATTTATTAATAACATTCTTTTGTTAGGTACCATCTATAAACCAGGAATTATGGGTTTTTTTATTTTAGTGGGTACATACTTGGTATAAATACTTATGAGGTATTTTGATATGGGCACAAACTGTGTAATAATCACATCGTAGTAAATGAGGTATCCATCACTTCAAGCATTTATCTTTTATTTGTGTCACAAAAAATCCAATTATTCCCTTTTGGTTATTTTTAAATGTACAATAAATTTTTGCTGACTGTTCTATCAAATACTAGATCTTATTCATTCTATTTAACATTATTTTTGTACCCTACCATCCCCACTCCCCACTGCCACCCTGCCTACCCTTCCCAGCCTCTAGGAACCATCATTCTACTCTCTATTTCAATGAGTTCAATTGTTTCATTTTTTAACTCCCACAAATAAGTGAGAACATGCAAAGTTTGTCTTTCTGTACCTGGCTTATTTCATTTAACATAACGACCTCCAATTCCATTCATGCTGTTGCAAGTGACAGGATCTTATTCTTTTTTATGGCTGAATATTGCATCATTGTTTATATGTACCACATTTTCTTTATGTATTTGTATACTGATGAACACTTAAGTTGGCTCCAAATTGTGGCTATTGTGAATGGTGCCACAATAAACATGGGATTGCAGTTATCTCTTTGATATACTAATTTTCTTTTGAGTACATACCTAGAAGTGGGATTGCTGGATCATATGGTAGTTGCATTTTTAGTTTTTTGAGGAACCTCGAAACGGTTCCTTATAGTATTTGTACTAATTTACATTCCCACCAACAGTGTACAAGGTTTCCTTCTTCTCCACATCCTCACCAGCATTTGTTATTGCTTCTCTTTTGGATAAAAGCCATTTTAACTGGGGTAAGATGATATCTCATTGTACCTTTGATTTGCATTTATCTGATGATCAATGATGTTGAACATCTTTTCACATAGCTGTTTGCCATTTGTATGTCTTCTTTTGAGAAATGTCTATTGGGATTCTTTTGACCATTTTAAAATCTTATGAGATTTTTTTATTGAGTTGTTTGAGTTCCTTATATATTCTAGTTATTAATTCCTTGTCAGGTGAAATATGACAGCAGATTTGCAATCAAATGTCAGTTTGAAATATTTTCTTCCATTCTGTGGATTGTCTCTTCACTTTGTTTACTTTGTCAGGCAGAAGCTTTTTAACTTGATGTAATCCCATTTGTCCACTTTCGCTTTCATTGCTTGTGCTTGTAGGGTACTACTCAAGAAATCTTTGTTAAGTCCAATGTCCTGGAGAGTTTCTTCAATGTTTTCTTTTACTGGTTTTATGGGTTGATGTCTGAGATTTAAGTCTTTAATTAATTTTGATTTGATTTTTGTATATAGTGAGAGATAAGGATGTAATTTTATTCTTCTTCACATATATATCCAATTTTCCCAGCACTATTTATTGAAGAGACTATCCTTTCCCCACTGTATATTTTTGGCACCTTTGTTGAAAACGAGTTCACTGTAGGTTTATGGAATTGTTTCTTGGTTCTCTATTCTGTTCCACTGGTCTTATGTGTCTGTCTTTATGCCATTACCATGTTGTTTTAGTTACTACAGCTCTGTGGTATAATTTGAAGTCAGGTAATGTGATTCCTCCAGTTTTGTTCTTTTTGCTCAGGATAGCTATAGCTACTATGGGTTTTTTTTAATATGTATAAACTTTAGGGTTCTTTTTTCTATTTCTGTGAAGACTGTTATTGTTATATTGACAGGGGTTGCATTGAATTTGTAGATTTCTTTGGGTAGTATAGATGTTAAACAATATTGATTCTTCCAATCCATGAGTATAGAATATCTTTTCATTTTTTGTGTCCTCTTCAATTTCTTTCATCAATGTTTTATAGCTTTTATTGTAAATATCTTTCATTTCTTTGGTTAAGCTAATTCCTAGATGTTTTATTTTATTTATTTCTTTTTTATACTGTTTGCTTTGGGCATGTAGAAATGATATAGATTTTTGTATGTTAATTTTGATCAGTTCTAACAGGTTTTTGGCAGAGTTTTTAGGGTTTTTTTTAAAATATAAGATCATACCATCTGCAAACAAGGATAACTTGATGTCTTCCTTTTCAATTTGGATACCCTTTATTTATTTCTTTTGAATGATTGCTGTAGCTAGGACTTCCAGTATTATGTTGAATAACAGTGCTGAAAGTGGGCATCCTGGTCATGTTTTAGATCTTAGAGGAAAGATTTACTTTTTCTCCATTCTTTATGATATCAGTTGTGGGTCTGGTGTATATGGCTTTTACTGTGTTGAGGCATGTTTCTTCTATACCCAGTTATTTGATGGTTTTTACCATGAAGTGATGTTGCATTTTATCAAATGCTTTTACAGCATCAAATGAAATCATCGTACGGTCTTTGTCCTTCATTCTGTTGATATATTACATGGATTGACTTCTTTTATGTTGAACCATCCTTGCATCTCTTGGATAAATCCCACTCGATCATGATGAGTGATTTTTTTAAATGTGTTATTGAACTCAGTTTGCTGTATTTTTCCCAGCACTATTTATTGATTTTCTGTCCAGTGCTGAATTTTTGCATGAGTGCTCATCAGGAATATAGGCCTGTAGTTTTCTTTTGCTATGTTCTTGTCTGGTTTGGATATCAGAATAATACTAGCCTCATAGAATGAGTATGTATTCTTTCCTCTTCTGTATTTTAGATTATTTTGAGTAGGACAGATATTATGTCTTCTTTAAATGTTTGGAATAATTTAGTAGTGAAGGCATATTTTCCCGACTTCCTGGCTTTCCTTTGCTGGGAGACTTTTTTTTTTTTTTGAGATGGAGTCTCGCTGTGTCCCCGAGGCTGGAGTACAGTGGCACGACGTTGGCTCACTGCAACCTCCACCTCCCGGGTTCAAGCGATTCTCCTGCCTCAGCCTCCTGAGTAGCTGGGATTACAGGCATGTGCCACCACACCTGGCTAATTTTTTATATTTTTGGTAGAGATGGGGTTTCACCATGTTGGCCAGGCTGATCTCAAATTCCTGACCTCAAGTGATCCGCCCACCTCGGCCTCCCAAAGTGTTAGGATTACAGGCGTGAGCCACAGCGCCTGGCTGCTGGGAGATATTTTATTATAGCTTTGATCTCATTACTGGTCTGTTCAAGTTTTGGATTTCTACCTGGTTCAATCTTGGTAGGTTGTCGTTTCTAGGAATTTATCTATTTCTTCTAGATTTTTCAATTTATTGTTATATAGTTGCTCATAATAACCTTTGTTTCTTTGAATATCTTTGGTATCAGTTGTAATTTTTCATTTTTCATCTCTGATTGTATTTATTTGGGTTTTCTCTCTTTTTTTCTTAGCGAGTCTGGTGAAAGATTTGTTAATTTTGCTTATCTGTTCAAAAAACCAACTTTTTCTTTCGTTGATCTTTTATATTGTTTCATTGTTTTAATTTCACACATTTCTGCTCTGATCTTTATTATTTCTTTTACTAATTTTGGGTTTTGTTTACTCTCACTTTTCTAGTTCTTTAAGATGCATTGTTAGGTTGTTTATTTGAAGTTTTACTACTTTTTTGGTGGAGATGTTTAGAGCTATAAACTTTCCTCTTAGTACTGTTTTCGATATATCCCAAAGATTTTGGTATGTTGTGTTTCCATTATCATTTAAGACTTTTTAAAATTTTGTTCTTAATTTCTTCATTGATCCACTGGTTATTCAAGAGCATACTGTTTAATTCCATGTGTTCATATGGTTTCCAAAATTTATCTTATTTTGATTCTGCTTTTATTTTATTGTGATCAGAAAAGATGCTTCATATAATTTAAACTTTGGAACTCTTTAGGAGTTCCTTGTGTCCTAAAATATGGTCTATTCTTGAGAATGATTCTTGTGCTGAGGAAAAGAATGTGTATTCTGCAGTCATTGGATGAAATGTCCTGTAAATATCTATTATGTCCATCTGGTCTATAGTGCAGACTAAGTCCAATGTTTCTTCATTGATTTTCTGTCCAGTGCTGAAAGCAGGATGTTAAAGTCTCCATATATTATTATATTGGGGCCGATCTTTTTATCTCTAATAATGTTTTCTTTATATATCTGGGTGCTGCATTGTGTGTACATACATATTTACATTTATATCCTCTTGCTAAATTGACTTTTTCATCATTATATAATCACATTGTTTGTTTTTATAGTTTTTGTCTTGAAATCTATTTTGTCCGATATAAGTACAGCTACTCCTGCTCTTTTAAAATTTCTATTGGCATGGAATATCTATTTCCAATCCTTTATTTTCAGTCTGTGTGTGTTTTTACAGGTGAAGAGTGTTTATTGTAGGGAATAGACTATTGAATCTTGCCTTTTTATACATTTAGCTACTCTACGTCTTTTGATTGGAGAGTTTAGTCCATTTACATTCAATGTCATTATTGATAAGTATTTATTCCTGCCATTTTGCTATTTGTTTTCACGTTTTTTGTGTTCTTCTCTTTCTTCTGTCCTGTCTTCCTTTTAGTGAAGCTATTTTTTCCTCAGGTGATATGTTTTCTTTTATTGCTTTTTATTTGTGTGTGTGTCTATCTGTTGTTGTTTTTGATTTGAGGTACCCTGAGGCTTGCAAATAGTATCTTATAACCCAGTATTTAAACTGATGATAACACTGATTGCATAAACATATTGACTAACTGACTAACAAACAAGGAAAGAGAAAACTAATAAAACTGCATTTTAACTTTGTCCCCCCACTTTATTACATTTTGTTGTTTCTGTTTATATCTTATTATACTGTTTATGTATTTAAAAATTACTGTATTTATTTTTGATGGGTTCATCTTTTAGTATTTCTACCGTAGATATGAGTAATTTATACAGCCCAATTATGGGATTATAATATAACCTTAAAAATATAGTGTGCATCAAAAGCTGTCAGAAGATGTGCAGAAACACAAGAGGTCTATAGAGAACTGTCTTTAAACAAAGGGTAACAAACAGTTTGTGGATAACTTGCCACCCACGTTTAGAGAAATAGGGTTGTATCTCAACTCACAAAAGAGTTAACATGGGGTGGTGGAGCCAAGATGGCCAAATAGGAATAGCTCCAGTCTACAGCTCCCAGTGTGAGCAATGCAGAAGACGAATGATTTCTGCATTTCCAACTGAGGTACTGGGTGCATCTCACTGGGGATTTTTAGATAGTGGGTGCAGGACAGTGGGTGCAGTGCACTGAGCCTGAGCCAAAGCAGGGCAAGGCAGCGCCTCACCTGGGAAGCAAAAGGGGTCAGGGAATTCCTTTTCCTAGCCAAGCAAAGGGGTGACAGATCGCACCTGGAAAACTGGGTCACTCCCACCCTAATACTGCACTTTTCCAACGGTCTTAGGAAATGGCACACCAGGAGATTATATCCCGTGCCTGGCCCAGAGGGTCCTATGCCCACGGAGCCTTGCTCATTGCTAGCACAGCAGTCTGAGATCAAACTGCAAGGCAGCAGTGAGGCTGCGGAAGGGGCGCCCACCACTGCCAAGGCTTGAGTAGGTAAACAAAACAGCTGGGAAGCTCAATCTGGGTGAAGCCCACCACAGCTCAAGGAGGCCTGCCTGAGGGTAGACTCCACCTCTGGGGGCAGGGCATAGCCAAACAAAAGGCGGCAGAAACCTCTGCAGACTTAAATGTCCCTGTCTGACAGCTTTGAAGAGAGTAGTGGTTCTCCCTGCACACAGCTTGAGATCTGAGAATGGGCAGACTGCCTCCTCAAGTGGGTCCCTGATCCCCAAGTAGCATAACTGGGAGGCATCCCCCAGTAGAGGCAGACTGACACCTCACACTGCTAGGTACTCCTCTGAGACAAAACTTCCAGAGTAACGATCAGGCAGCACCATTTGCTGTTCACCAATATCCACTGTTCTGCAGCCTCTGCTACTGATACCCAGCCAACAGGGTATGGAGTGGACCTCTGGCAAACTGCAACAGACCTGCAGCTGAGGGCCCTGAGTGTTAAAAGGAAAACTAACAAACAGAAAGGACATCCACACTAAAACCCCATCTGTACGTCACCATCATCAAAGACCAAAGGTAGATAAAACCACAAAGATGGGGAAAAAACAGAGCAGAAAAACTGAAAATTCTAAAAATCAGAGTGCCTCTCCTCCTCCAAAGGAATGCAGCTCCTCACGAGCATTGGAAAAAAGCTGGACGGAGAATGAGTTTGAAGAGCTGAGAGAAGGCTTCAGAAGATCAAACTTCTATGAGCTAAAGGAGGAAGTTTGAACCCATCACAAATAAGTTAAAAACCTTGAAAAAAGATTAGACGAATGGCTAACTAGAATAACCAATGCAGAGAAGTCCTTAAAGGACCTGATGCAGCTGAAAACCATGGCAGGAGAACTATGTGATGAATGCAGAAGCCTCAGTAGCCAATTCAATCAACTGGAAGAAAGGATATCAGTGATGGATGATCAAATGAATGAAATGAAGCAAGAAGAGAAGTTTAGAGAAAAAAGAATAAAAAGAAACAAAAAAAGCCTCCAAGAAATATGGGACTATGTGAAAAGACCAAATCTACATCTGATTGGTGTACCTGAAAGTGATGGGGAGAATGGAACCAAGTTGGAAAACACTCTGCAGGATATTATCCAAGAGAACTTCCCCAATCTAGCAAGGCAGGCCAACATTCAAATTGAGGAAATACAGACAATGCCATAAAGATACTCCTGGAGAAGAGCAACTGCAAGACACATAATTGTCAGTTTCACCAAAGTTGAAATGAAGGAAAAAATGTTAAGGGCAGCCAGAGAGAAAGGTCGGGTTACCCACAGACCTTCTGCCCATCAGACTAACAGCGGATCTCTCAGCAGAAACCCTACAAGCCAGAAGAGAGTGGGGACCAATATTCAACATTCTTAAAGAAAAGAATTTTCAACCCAGAATCTCATATCCAGCCAAACTAAGCTTCATAAGTGAAGGAGAAATACTTTACAGACAAGCAAATGCTGAGAGATTTTGTCACCACAAGGCCTGCCCTAAAAGAGCTCCTGAAGGAAGCACTAAACGTGGAAAGGAACACCTGGTACCAGCCACTGCAAAAACATGCCAAATTGTAAAGACCAGGAGGCTAGGAAGAAACTGCATCAACTAACTAGCAAAATAGCGAGCTAACATCATAATGACAGGATCAAATTCGCACATAACAATATTAACCTTAAATGTAAATGGGCTAAATGGTCCAATTAAAAGACATAGACTGGCAAATAGGAAAAAGAGTCAAGACCCATCAGTGTGCTGTATTCAGGAAACCCATCTCATGTGCAGAGACACACATAGGCTCAAAATAAAGGGATGGAGGAAGATCTACCAAGCAAATGGAAAACAAAAAAAGGCAGGGGTTGCGGTCCTAGTCTCGGATAAAAAAGACTTTAAACCAAAAAAGATCAAGAGACAAAGAAGGCCATTATATAATGGTAAAGGGATCAATTCAACAAGAAGAGCTAACTATCCTAAATATATATGCACCCAATATAGGAGCACCCAGATTCATGAAGCAAGTCCTTACAGACCTACAAAGAGACTTAGACTCCCATAGAATAATAATGGGAGACTTTAACACCCCACTGTCAACATTAGACAGATCAACGAGACAGAAAGTTAACAAGGATACCCAAGAATTGAACTCAGTTCTGCACCAAGTGGACCTAATAGACATCTACAGAACTCTCCACCCCAAATCAACAGAATATACATTCTTTTCAGCACCACACCTATTGCAAAATTGACCACATAGTTGGAAGTAAAGCACTCCTCAGCAAATGTAAAAGAACAGAATTTATAATAAACTGTCTCTCAGACCACAGTGCAATCAAACTAGAACTCAAGATTAAGAAACTCATTCAAAAACACTCAACCACATGGAAACTGAACAAACTGCTCCTGAATGACTACTGGCTACATAACGAAATGAAGGCAAAAATAAAGATGTTCTTTGAAATCAATGAGAACAGAGACACAACATACCAGAATCTCTGGGACACATTCAAAGCAGTATGTATGGGGAAATCCATAGCACTAAATGCCCACAAGAGAAAGCAGGAAAGATCTAAAATTGACATCCTAACATCACAATTAAAAGAACTAGAGAAGCAAGGGCAAACACATTCAAAAGCTAGCAGAAGGCAAGACATAACTAAGATCAGAGCAGAACTGAAGGAAATAGAGACACAAAACACCCTTCAAAAAATCAATGAATCCAGGAGCTGGTTTTTTGAAAAGATCAACAACATTGATAGACCACTAGCAATACTAATAAAGAAGAAAAGAGAGAAGAAACAAATAGATGCAAGAAAAAATGATAAAGGGGATATCACCACCGATTCCACAGAAATACAAACTACCATCAGAGAATACTATAAACACCTCTATGCAAATAAACTAGAATATCTGGAAGAAATGGATAAATTCCTCAACACATACACTCTCCCAAGACGAAACCAGGAAGAAGTTAAATCTCTGAATAGACCAATAAAAGGCTCTGAAATTGAGGCAATAATTAATAGCTTACCAATCAATAAAAGTACAGGACCAGATGGATTCAAAGCCAAATTCTACCAGAGGTACAAGGAAGAGCTGGTACCATTCCTTCTGAAACTATTCCAATCAATAGAAAAAGAGGGAATCCTCCCTAAGTCATTTTATGAGGCCAGCATCATCCTGATACCAAAGCCTGGCAGAGACACAACAAAAATAGAGAATTTTAGATCAATATCCCTGATGAACATCGAAACAAAAATCCTCAATAAAATACTGACAAACCAAATCCAGCAGCACATCAAAAAGCTTCTCCACCATGATCAAGTGGGCTTCATCCCTGGGATGCAAGGCTGGTTCAACATACGCAAATCAATAAATGTAATCCAACATATAAACAGAACCAACGACAAAAACCATACGATTATCTCAATAGATGCAGAAAAGGCCTTTGACAAAATTCAACAGCTCTTCATGCTAAAAACTCTCAATAAATTAGGTATTGATGGGATTTATCTCAAAATAATAAAAGCTATCTATGACAAACCCACAGTCAATATCATACTGAATGGACAAAAACTGGAAGCATTCCCTTTGAAAACTGGCACAGCACAGGGATGCCCTCTCTCACCACTCCTATTCAACATAGTGTTGGAAGTTCTGGCCAGGAAAATCCAGCAAGAGAAAGAAATAAAGGGTATTCAATTAGGAAAAGAGGAAGTCAAATTGTCCCTGTTTGCAGATGACATGATCGTGTATCTAGAAAACCCCATTGTCTCAGCCCAAAATCTCCTTAAGCTGATAGGCAACTTCAGCACAGTCTCAGGATACAAAATCAATGTGCAAAAATCACAAGCATTCTTATACACCAATAACAGATAAACAGAGACCCAAATAATGAGTGAATTCCCATTCACAATTACTTCAAAGAGAATAGAAACCTAGGAATCCAACTTACGAGGGACGTGAAGGATCTCTTCAAGGAGAATTACAAACCACTGCTCAATGAAATAAAAGAGGATACAAAGAAATGGAAGAACATTCCATGCTAATGGATAGGAAGAATCAATATCATGAAAATGGCCATATTGCCCAAGGTAATTTATAGATTCAATGCCATCCCCATCAAGCTACCAATGACTTTCTTCACAGAATTGGAAAAAACTACTTTAAAGTTGATATGGAACCAAAAAACAGCCCGCATCGCCAATTCAATCCTAAGCCAAAAGAACAAAGCTGGAGGCATCACGCTACCTGACTTCAAACTATACTACAAGGCTACAGTAACCAAAACAGCATGGTACTGGTACCAAAACAGAGAGATAGACTAATGGAACAGAACAGAGCCCTCAGAAATAATGCCACATATCTACAACTATCTGATCTTTGACAAATCTGACAAAAACAAGCAATGGGGAAAGGATTCCCTATTTAATAAATGGTGCTGGGAAAACTGGCTAGCCATATGTAGAAAGCTGAAACTGGATCCCTTCCTTACACCTTATACAGAAATTAATTCAAGATGGATTAAAGACTTAAATGTTAGACCTAAAACCATAAAAACCCTAGAAGAAAACCTAGGCAATACCACTGCAGGACATAGGCATGGGCAAGGACTTCATGTCTAAAACACCAAAAGCAATGGCAACAAAAGGCAAAATTGACCAATGGGATCTAATTAAACTAAAGAGCTCTGCACAGGAAAAGAAACTAGCATCAGAGTGAACAGACAACCTAAAGAATGGGAGACAATTTTTGCAATCTACTCCTCTGACAAAGGGCTAATATCCAGAATCTACAATGAACTCAAACAAATTTACAAGAAAAGAACAAACAACCCCATCAAAAAGTGGGTAAAGGATATGAACAGACACTTCTCAAAAGAAGACATTTATGCAGCCAAAAGACACATGAAAAAATGCTCATCATCACTGGCCATCAGAGAAATGCAAATCAAAACCACAATGAGACACCATCACACACCCGTTAGAATGGCAATCATTAAAAAGTCAGGAAACAACAGGTGCTGGAGAGGATGTGGAGAAATGGGAATACTTTTACACTGTTGGTGGGATTGTAAATGAGTTCGACCATTGTGGAAGTCAGTGTGGTGATTCCTCAAGGATCTAGAACTAGAAATACCATTTGACCCAGCCATCCCATTACTGGGTATATACCCAAACGATTGTAAATCATGCTGCTATAAAGACACATGCACACGTATGTTTATTGCGGCACTATTCGCAATAGCAAAGACTTGGAATCAACCCAAATGTATAACAATGATAGACTGGATTAAGAAAATGTGGCACATATACACCATGGAATACTATGCAGCCATAAAAAAGCATGAGTTCATGTCCTTTGTAGAGACATGGATGAAGCTGGAAACCATCATTCTCAGCAAACTATCGCAAGGACAAAAATCCAAACACCGCATGTTCTCACTCATAGGTGGGAATTGAACAATGAGAACACATGGACACAGGAAGGGGAACATCACACACCAGGGCCTGCCATGGGGGGGAGGGACAGGGGAGGTATAGCATTAGGAGATATACCTAATGTTAAATGACGAGTTAAATGCAGCACACCAACATGGCACATGTATATATATGTAAAAAACCTGCACGTTGTGCACATGTATATAAAACAAAAGAGTTAACATGAATATTTAGGAGAACTAAATGTAAAGAGTAATTTTTTTTTTACAGAAAATACCATATAGTATCCTTATTAACTCAGAGGTAATTTCTTAAAAAGATGTAAACATTACAAATTATTATATTGAACTATATGAAATTTGGATATGAACAATTCTTAGACAATGAAATAATAAGAGAATAAGACCCACTGTTCTACTGCTGTGTGACTAATCCTAGCACTGTTTGCTGTTTCTGAGTAAATCTCTTCTGCTCCAAAGAAAGGTATAAGAGGAAGGACAGTATAAACTGTGCATTGCTGCCTTAACATTTATACCTTATACATGTCTCTAAACATGTATGCAGACTCATAGATTTGATTTATTTCCCACTCTCACCCTCATGAAAGACATACCAAGGTCTATGTGTTTTTTATTCTCTTAAGGGAAAGAGAACAATATTCAGAAGTGATTATAACAAAAGAGGTCTTGAAAACGTAAACAATAATGACCCCAAACTGGAATCAAAGGTTTACTTTAAAATACAACCAAATGATTTGTTAGTAGGCTTGTTCTCTATTTAGGATGACATTTTTTCAGTCAGAGATTTGTCAAATTTCCATCGAGTTATTCTTTTTCTGGGACCCAGAAAAGTGAGGGTTGAGAAAAACCAGCTGATTTAATAATTAACTATAGGCCTGCATTTTCATAGGCCTCAGAAACCCTAGAATTATAGAACAAATAGAGGTCATGCAATATGTCATCACTAATTTCCACTTTATCCCTGACTTGCTTTCTCAAAACCACAATTTGGCTTGCGTAAACATTCTATGATTTGTCTTTGGATTCATGCTAGTTTGTAATAAAAGCCAAATGTCATCAGAGGAATCAGAAAATAAATAATCTGGTAACCCATTTTTCCTCATGTTGTTACAGCAAAGCCAACATTTCTAGCCGATGAGCAGGGATCTGTACCTCCTGCCGCCCTCAATTAATAATTTCCCAGTTCCCACAGTGTGTAAAGGGCTGTAGCAAAGGAGGACACTCTTTGTGCCTTTAAATGCTCTACTACATACCTTTTAAGAAATAAAAGCACCCACTTTTAAATAAACATGTTATGCAATTGAAGTTAAGTTATCTTTGGTATGCCAATTAAGTTAGAACAGGTAGCCGGACCTTAGAAGAAAGGTAAATGGCTAGAACACCTAGTAATGATGAGATCAAATCTTAAGTTCATACTAGTGGTGGTCTCTTAAAACAATAGAAAAAAGTCTTCAATTTCCTTTAAGAAAATTTTTGACAGATAATTTTAACATGCTAGATACATGAGAAGTCATGCATTGACACGTCTTAATATAAAAAATTTAAAAAATATATTTTCAAAGAGACACTTCTGAAGTTAGCATTACCTTTTATATGTAAGTCCTTTTAAAGTTTCACACATTATGTGATTTCTTTCACTGAATTTAATTTGAAGAGCAAAGTTATATTTGAAGAAGACATTATAAACCTGACTATATTCAATGCTAGCTTTCTTGTCACAGAATTTATGTAACAGAATCTGTTTTTATAATTTAATAAAAAGTGTAGGGGAGGGGATTTTAACATAGATTAATTATTCCTAGAGATATAATCTCATAGTTGCATGTATGTAAACTAAGCTTTTAAAGATCATTTTCAAAAGCAATAAAATACATGCTTTGGTATGGAGAGCATAGGTAATGTACCTACAAACCCAGCTATACCACTACAGCTGAAGCATTGGTCAAAATGTGGAAGTAGTTCTGTGGTTCCCATCTACCTATTCCTCAAGGGCCTATATTCTGTGTTTGCTTCTCTCTCAGGGCCCCATGGACCAAGACTTGCTGAAGAAACAAAGAAAAGATAGAATACCTGGCATAGAGGGGGCCATCAGAATTCTGCTTCAATGCTGTGGCTATTTTTATTCTTATTGGTCAGCAACCACGCAATATCAGTTGATATTCTGAATATAACCTTTAGCTATAGACACATAAAATAAGAAAATTTTCGCAACCTACTCATCTGACAAAGGGCTAATATCCAGAATCTACAATGAACTCAAACAAATTTACAAGAAAAAAACAAACAACCCCATCAAAAAGTGGGTGAAAGACATGAACAGACACCTCTCAAAAGAAGACATTTATGCAGCCAAAAAACACATGAAAAAATGCTCATCATCACTGGCCATCAGAGAAATGCAAATCAAAACCACAATGAGATACCATCTCACACCAGTTAGAATGGCAATCATTAAAAAGTCAGGAAACAACACGTGCTGGAGAGGATGTGGAGAAATAAGAACACTTTTACACTGTTGGTGGGACTGTAAACTAGTTCAACCATTGTGGAAGTCAGTGTGGCGATTCCTCAGGGATCTAGAACTAGAAATACCATTTGACCCAGCCATCCCATTACTGGGTATATACCCAAAAGACTATAAATCTTGCTGCTATAAAGACACATGCACACTTATGTTTATTGTGGCATTATTCACAATAGCAAAGACTTGGAACCAACCCAAATGTCCAACAATGATAGACTGGATTAAGAAAATGTGGCACATATACACCATGGAATACTATGTAGCCATGAAAATGATGAGTTCATGTCCTTTGTAGGGACATGGATGAAACTGGAAATCATCATTCTCAGTAAACTATCGCAAGAACAAAAAACCAAACACTGCATATTCTCACTCATAGGTGGGAATTGAACAATGAGATCACATGGACACAGGAAGGGGAATATCACATTCTGGGGACTGTGGTGGGGTGGGGGGAGGGGGGAGGGATAGCACTGGGAGATATACCTAATACTAGATGACGAGTTAGTGGGTGCAGTGCACCAGCATGGCACACGTATACATATGTAACTAACCTGCACAATGTGCACATGTACCCTAAAACTTAAAGTATAATAAAAAAAATTTAAAAAAAAATCCAACTCTTGGTTGTGATTATTTTTCTGTTGCTTTTCTATTATATATTTCATTAATTTCTGCTGTAATATTTATTATTTACTCCTTCTGTTAACTTTGGGCTTAGTTTGTTCTTCTTCTAGTTTGTTGAGGTGTAAAGTTAGAGATATTTTTTCTTTTTTAATGTAGGTATTTATTAGAAATGCTTTTACTGCATCTAATTAGTTTGGTATATTGTGTTTTCGGTTTGTCTCAAGATGTTTTCTGATTTTCCTTTTGATTTCTTCTTTGACCCATTAGTTGCTCAAAAGCTATTGTATTGCAGTCTTATAAGTTAAGAACTTTTGACACACACACACACACACATACATACACACACAGACACACACACACACACACACATATATATATACACACACATATAACAAACTTCCCATTTAAGATGTAGACTATTTTCATCTCTTCAGAAAATTATTTTGTGTCCCTTTATGATCTCCTGTCCCCTCTTCACAGCTCTCAGGCAACCAATGATCTGATTTCAGCCAATCACTGATCTGATTTCTGTCATCATAGATTAGTTTTGCCAGTACTATAAATTCTTAGAAATGAAATCATACGTATATAATCCCTTATGTATGGACTATTTTGCTTAGAATAATGTATTTGCTGTTTATCCATGTTGTTCTATGTATAAGTAGTTTGTTTCTTTCTATTGCTAAGAATTTCATTACATGGAAATACCCCAATGTATTTGTTTATTTATTTGTAGTTGGTGATTTGTGTTGTTTTCCAAGCTTTTTACAAATAAAGTTGCTATAAATATTTGTAAAAAAAAAAAAAAAGAAAGAAAAAAGAAAATTTTCGCAACCTACTCATCTGACAAAGGGCTAATATCCAGAATCTACAATGAACTCAAACAAATTTACAAGAAAAAAACAAACAAACCCATCAAAAAGTGGGTGAAGGACATGAACAGACACTTCTCAAAAGAAGACATTTATGCAGCCAAAAGACACATGAAAAAATGCTCTTCATCACTGGCCATCAGAGAAATGCAAATCAAAACCACAATGAGATACCATCTCACACCAGTTAGAATGGCAATCATTAAAAAATCAGGAAACAACAGGTGCCGGAGAGGATGTGGAGAAACAGGAACACTTTTACACTGTTGGTGGGACTGTAAACTAGTTCAACCATTGTGGAAGTCAGTGTGGCGATTCCTCAGGGATCTAGAACTAGAAATACCATTTGACCCAGCCATCCCATTAGTGGGTGTATACCCAAAGGACTATAAATCATGCTGTTATAAAGACACATGCACACGTATGTTTATTGCGGCATTATTCACAATAGCAAAGACTTGGAACCAACCCAAATGTCCAACAATGATAGACTGGATTAAGAAAATGTGGCACATATACACCATGGAATGCTATGCAGCCATAAAAAATGATGAGTTCATGTCCTTTGTAGGGACATGGATGAAATTGGAAATCATCATTCTCAGTAAACTATCGCAAGAACAAAAAACCAAACACCGCATATTCTCACTCATAGGTGGGAACTGAACAGTGAGAACACATGGACACAGGAAGGGGAACATCACACTCTGGGGACTGTTGTGGGGTGGGGGGAGGGGAGAGGGATAGCACTGGGAGATACACCTAATGCTAGATGATGAGTTAGTGGGTGCAGCACACCAGCATGGCACATGTATACATATGTAACCTGCACATTGTGCACATGTACCCTAAAACTTAAAGTTTAATAATAATAAATAAATTAATTAATAAGCAGAGTATTATTATTATTATTATTTTATATAGTTAGGTACAGTGAGAGCATCAAGCATGAACTTAAGCTATTCTGAATTTTGAAAACCTTAGATACAATAAGAAAGAAAAGTGCTTTTTTAAAAAGGTATTGCGTGATTCAGAAAGGACTCTGCTGATTACTAATAGTCCAAAGTTGAAAGTACCTAAGAAAGAGTGAAGTGAGAAGAGTAAAGTTATCCAGATGGCAAGATAGAAGGTCCCCAGAACTCATTCCCCCACCGAAACACTAATCTGGCAACAACTGATGGATAAAATCTCCTTTGGGATACTGGTAGGAGACTGTGACACTCCAGCGGAGCCCAAAACCGAGAAAAGCCACTTTGAGAAAGTAAGCCCATGTTCCTGGCAGCAGGTCTGCCAACTGTGAACCTGCCTGCAGGACCAGAAGCAGCACCAAGACCTGGCTCCAACTTTGCTCTATGGTGGTCCTGAAAGCAGTCCCATTTGCCTAGAGTTTTATAAGGGCCACACACTCCATCAAGCCCCTGGTAACAGGCACATCTATGAGGCACCCCATTGTAAACAAAAGTAACTCATGACCCAGCTTCAAACCCACTTAACCATTGTCCCAGCAGCAGTCCCATTCTCCCTGGGGACTTGGCTGGAGCCGTAATTACAGATCTGAGGGGAGAAATAGACAGCCATATAATAATAGTAAGATACTTTCACATCTCACTCTCAGTAATGTATAGATCAGCTAGAAGATCAACAAGGGAACAGCAGAACTAAAGACTAAATGGACTCAACAGACATGTACAGAACATTCTACCCAATAACAGAAAAAAATACGCAACCTTCTCATGTGTACACAGTACATTTTCCAGGATAGATCACATGCTAGGTTAGAGAATAAATCTTTATAAGCTTAGAAAGTTAAAATCATTCCAAGTATCTTTCTGAAAAACAATGGAATGATGTAGAAATCAATCATAGAAAACAGAAACTTTCAAAAATATATAAAAGTTAAACAACACACTACTAAATAAGTATTGGGTCAAATACAAAAATCAAAACACAAATTAGAAAATATCGTGGGACAAGTGAAAATGAAAACACAACATACGGAAACTTGTGAGAGGCAACAAAATCAGTACTAACAGGGAATTATGTAGCAAGAAATTCACACATTAAAAAAAAAGAAGAAAGGTCTCAGATAACCAGACTAACTTTATACCTCGAGGAACTAGAAAGTTAAGAAGAAACTAAACACAAAATTAACAAAATAAAAAAATTACAAAGAGCAGAAATAAATTAAATTGAGAATAGAAGAATAATTTTAAATGTCAACAAAACTAATAGTTACTTTTTTAAAAGATATTTTAAAAATTAATAAACCCTTAGCTAGACCAAGAAAAAAATAGAAGATTCAAATTAATAATATCAGAAATGAAAGAGGAGTCATTAAAACTAAACAATTATATGCCAACAAATTAGACAACCTGTAAGAAATGGAGAAATTCATAGTAGCATACATTCTACTAAAAGTTAATCAAGAAGGAATAGAAAGGCTGAAGCAAATAATAGTAAATAAGAGATTGAAGAGTAAAACAAATGAAAACTTCAAACAAAGAAAATCCCAGGATGAGATGGCTTCACAAGTAAATTCTACCAAACTTTTTTTTTAATACTTTA
The DNA here is from genome assembly GCF_000001405.40 of Homo sapiens. NCBI lineage: Eukaryota > Metazoa > Chordata > Mammalia > Primates > Hominidae > Homo > Homo sapiens. The sequence goes on along the minus strand of NC_000007.14, from coordinate 19,894,180 downwards.
AGTTCTGGCATACATGTGCAGAATGTGCAGGTTTGTTACATAGGTATACGAGTGCTATGGTGGTTTGCTGCAACCGTCAACCCTTCATCTACATTAGGTATTTCTCCTAATGCTATCCTTCCCCCAGCCCCCCACTCCTCAGCAGGCTCTGGTGTGTGATTCTACCAAACTTTCAAGGAACTACCTCTAACCCTTCTTAAACTTTTCCAAAAGACAAAAGAAGAGGGAATACTTCCAAACTCTTCTGTGAGGCTAGTGCTATCCTGATACCAAAGACAGACAAAGACACCACAGGGAAAGAAAATTACAGGCCAGTATCCCTGACGAACATCAAAGCAAAAATTCCCAACTACTAGCAGACCAAATCCACCAGTACGTTAAAAGGATTATACGTGGTGACCAAGTAGGATTGATCCTTGACATTCATGAAAGATTCATCAAACAATATGATAAACACCATGAAGAGAAGGTGGGATAAAAATCATACGATCATCTCAATAAATACAAAAGAAGCATTTGACAAAGTTTAACACCCATGACAAAAATGTTCAACAAATTAGACTTAGAAGGAATTTAACTCATCAAAGAGCAACATATGCAAACAACACAGCCAACATTGTAAGCAAGGTCAAAAACTAAAATCTTTTCCTCTGAGTTCCAGAAAAGGCAAAAATGTCCACTTTCATTACTTCTGTTTAACGTAGTACTTAAAGTCCTATCCAGAACAATTAGGCAAGAGAAGGAAATAAAAGGTATACACATTAGAAAGGAATAAGTTAAATTATCCCTGTTTGCAGATTACATGATATTATATGTAGAAAACCCTAAGAACTCCACCTAAAAGTTTTAGAACTAATAAATGCATTAGTAAAGTTGCAGGATACACAAGTGCCATGCAAAATTCCATTCATTTATATACACTAGCAATAATCTATCTAAAAAGGAAATTAAAATACAATTCAATTTACAATCACATCAAAAGGAATAAAATATGTAGGAATAAACTTAACCAAAGAAACAAAAGACTGTACTCTGAAAATTACAAAATATTAATGAAATAAATTTTAAAGTAAATGGAAGGGCATTTCATGTTCATGAATAGGAAGAATTAATATTGTTAAAATATCTATATTTGCCAAGGCAATTTTTATTAAAATCTCATAGCATTTTTATAGAACTAGAGAAAGCAATCTTAAAATTCATTTGCAATGAAAAAAGACCCTTAACAGATGAAGCAAACTTAAGCAAGAAGAACAAAACTACAGGTATCATGCTCCTGATCTCAAAATACATAACAAAGTTACAGTAATCAAAATAGTATGACACGGTATAAAAACAGACATATATACCAATGGAACAGAATAGAGATCCAGGGATATAAGCATGTATATATGATCAACTGATCTTCTACAAGTGTGCCAGTAATGCAAAAAGAGGAAAAGAAGTCTCTTCAATAAAGCATCCTAGGAAAACTGGATATCTGCATGCAAAATCAATGAAGTTGGACCCTTATTTCACAACATATACAAAAATAAACTTAAAAAGGGTTACAGACTTAAATGTAAAACTTGAAACACACCAAAACTCTTAGAAGAAAACATAGGAATAATGCTTAAAGACAGTAGACTATGCAAATTTTTTTTGGATATGACATTAAAAGCATAGGCAACAAAACCAAAAACAGAAAAGCAGGATTATAATTGGACTAAAAACCTTCTGCACAGCAAAGGAAAAATTAAAATGAGTAAATTATCTATGAAATAGAAAATTTTGCAGACCAAAAATTTTATCTATCTCTATCACTGTGTTTTATATTTTCATATAATTTCATGATATTAATTACTTTCATTTCATTTTTGGTTGAAGAACTTCAAGCATTTTTTGTAAGGCAGGTACAGTGTTGATAAATTCTCCAGATTTTGGTTGTCTGAAAAAGACTATTTCTTCTTAATTTCTGAAGGGCAGTATTACTGAGTATAGTATTCTTGGCCACCATTGTTTTTCTTTCAGGACTTTGAATATATTGTCCTATTCTCTTCTTGCCTGTGAGGTTTCTGCCGAGAAATCTACTAACAGTCTAATGGAGATTCCCTGTTATGACACTTGATACGTTTTATTGCTACTTTAAAATTTTTCACTTTCTCTTTAACTTTTGATATTTTGATTATAATGTGCCTAGATGAGGTCCTCTTTAGGTTGAATCAGTTTGAGAACTTTTAAGCTTCATAAACTGGACATTCACATCTCCCTCAGGACTTGGGAAGTTTTTAGTCATTATTTCATTAAGTACGCTTTCTGTGACTCCCTCCATCTATTCTCCTTCTATAACCCCCATAATGCAAATATATATTCACTTACTGGTATCCCATAAGTCCTGTAGGCTTTCTTCACTGTTTCTTCACTCATTTTTCTTATTTTTTTCTTCTTTTCCCCTGTTTAACTATACTATTTCAAAAGACTTGTCTTCAAGTTAACAGAGTCTTTCTTCTGCTTTATCTAGTCTGCTATTGTATTAGTCCATTCTCACTCTGCTATAAATAACTATCTGAGACTGGGTAATTTATAAAGAAAAGAGGTTTAATTGACACACAGTTTTGCATGGCTGGGGAGGCCTCAGGTAACTTACAATCATGACAGAAGGTATATCTTCACAGGGCAGCAGAAGACAACGTAAGTGCTGAGCAAAGAGGGAAGCCCCTTATAAAACCATCAGATCTTGTTAGAACTCACTCAGTATCACAAGAACAGCATGGGGGAACAGGCCCCTAAAAATTCAATTATCTCCACCTGGTTCCACCCTTGATATGTGGGGATTATTACAATTCAAGATGAGATTTTGGTTGGGGATGCAGAGCCAAACCATATCACCTGGTTCCCGCCATTACATTTGTACCAACCTAATATAATGCTAATCACATGTAGGAACATAAATGTTTAATGATTTTACTTAAGCACAAAAAATATGTGCAGAGTGCTGGGAAGATCCCAGAAATAAGAATTAGTAATTCTAGTTTGCTGGAGGTAATATTTGAACTGAGTCTTAAAATTTAGGTAGGAGCCCTCTTTAGAAAAATGAGGAATGGTACTTTAGGAAGATAAATAGCATGTACAAAGGCAGGATATTTACAATGAGCTGCACTTTACTGAGATGCAATAAGCACGCCTGTAATACCTGGGAAGACAGGGCTGAAATAATATAAGGATGAGAGGTAGTTAGCTACAGAAAGACTTTTGAGCCTCTTGGTCTTGAGCTCTATTTTTTAAGATATCTACATACAAAGGTTGTAGAGTAATAACTTCCAACACACACTTTTTCCACTACATATATATTTCAAAAAAATAATTAGGAGTTAGTACAGCAAATAAATCCAGTATAGTTTTATTTTACCTTATCAATTGGAAGTTTTACGGGCCACATAAAGATAATTTCTTCAGATAACTCTCTAAGTACTTTTGGCATAAATCTACAACCTATTTTAGTGTCTGTTACATAGTGCATGTTGGCAAGCAGTTCTCTAATTGATATTGTCACATATCTTAACTTCATTCCTAATTGCCTAAAGGGTTTTCATCATGAAAAACAGACAAAAATAAAATCACACAAATGCATGCATCCCCAAATAATTAATGCATCCCCAAATAATTAAGTGTGGTATGTTTAAATAATGAAACTATTTTACAAAAAGAAGAATGCTAAATTAGAATTTGTCCCACTTCTAGAATTTTAAGTAAATTGATATTTAAGGGTATGTGTTCCATAAATTCACTTAAAAGTAATTTAAAACTGCCTTCATAGTTTTTCTGGGTTCTATGTAACGTGAACAGTGAATGAGAAGTTATTAATAGGAAGCCACAAAGACTTGAAACACTATATCTGACCATTGTCACTAACAGTCATAAACTGTTACTGTGTTCTCTGTGGTGCCAAATTATTTTTATTGGCAATAATTTTATTGTGGGATTTGAAACTAAAATAATTACTGCAGCTAAATTTTTAGAAATCAGAACACCAAAATCTTAGCAAAATGATATATTAATGCTAGTTATTGTAACCAAAAAAGAAAACGGGGTGGGTGGAGCCAAGATGGCCAAATAGGAGCAGCTCCAGTCTACAGCTCCCAGCATGAGCGACGCAGAAGACGGGTGATTTGTGCATTTCCAACAGAGGTACCGGGTTCATCTCACTGGGGAGTGCCGGACATTGGGTGCAGGACAGTGGGTGCAGCGCAACATGTGTGAGCCAAAGCAGGGCGAGGCACTCCCTCACCCGGGAAGTGCAAGGGGTCAGGGAATTCCCTTTCCCAGTCAAAGAAAGGGGTGACAGATGACACCTCGAAAATCAGGTCACTCCCACCCTAATACGGCACTTTTCCAACAGGCTTAACAAAAGGCACACCAGGAGATTATATCCCACACATGGCTTGGAGGGTCCTATGCTCACAGAGTCTCGCTCATTGCTAGCACAGCAGTCTGAGATCAAACTGCAAGGTGGCAGCGAGACTGGTGGAGGGGCGCCCGCCATTGGCAAGGCTTGCGTAGGTAAACAAAGCAGCCTGGAAGCTCAAACTGGGTGGAGCCCACCACAGCTCAAGGAGGCCTGCCTGCCTCTGTAGGCTCCACCTCTGGGGGCAGGGCACAGACAAACAAAACGCAGCAGAACCTCTGCAGACTTAAATGTCCCTGTCTGACAATTTGAAGAGAGTAGTGGTTCTCCCAGCATGCAGCTTGAGATCTGAGAACAGGCAGACTGCCTCCTCAAGTGGGTCCCTGACCCTCGAGTAGCCTAACTGGGAGGCACCCCTCAGTAGGGGTGGACTGACACCTTACACGGCCAGGTACTCCTCTGAGACAAAACTTCCAGAGGAAGGATCAGGCAGCAGCATTTGCAGTTCACCAATATCCGCTGTTCTGCAGCCACCGCTGCTGATACCCAGGCGAAAAGGGTCTGGAGAGGTCCTCCAGCAAACTCCAACAGACCTGCAGCTGAGGGTCCTGACTGTTAGAAGGAAAACTAACAAACAAGAAAGGACATCCATGCCAAAAACCCATCTGTACGTCACCATCATCAAAGACCAAAGGTAGATAAAACCACAAAGATGGGGAAAAAACAGAGCAGAAAAACCAGAAACTCTAAAAATAAGAGCACCTCTCCCCCCACCAAAGGAATGCAGCCCCTCACCAGCAACACAACAAAGCTGGACGGAGAACGACTTTGATGAGCTGAGAGAAGAAGGCTTCAGAAGATCAAACTACTCTGAGCTAAAGGAGGAAATTTGAACCAATGGCAAAGAAGTTAAAAACCTTGAAAAAAAATCAGATGAATGGCTAACTAGAATAACCAATGCAGAGAAGTGCTTAAAGGACCTGATGGAGCTGAAAACCACGGCACAAGAACTACGTGACAAATGCACAAGCCTCAGTAGCTGATGTGATCAACTTGAAGAAAGGGTATCAGCGAGGGAAGATGAAATGAATGAAATGAAGCAAGAAGGGAAGTTTAGAGAAAAAAGAATAAAAAGAAATGAACAAAGCCTCCAAGAAATATGGGACTATGTGGAAAGACCAAATCTACGTCTGATTGGTGTACCTGAAAATGACGGGGACAATAGAACCAAGTTGGAAAACACTCTGCAAGATATTATCCAGGAGAACTTCCCCAATCTAGCAACACAGGCCAACATTCAAATTGAGGAAATATAGAGAACACCACAAAGATACTCCTCGAGAAGAGCAAGTGCAAGACACATAACTGTCAGATTCACCAAAGCTGAAATGAAGGAAAAAATGTTAAGGGCAGCCAGAGAGAAAGGTCGGGTTACCCACAAAGGGAAGCCATCAGACTAACAGCGTATCTCTCGGCACAAACCCTATAAGCCAGAAGAGAGTGGGGACCAATATTCAACATTCTCAAAGAAAAGAATTTTCAACCCCCAATTTCATATCCAGCCAAACTAAGCTTCATAAGTGAAGGAGAAATAAAATACTTTACATACAAGCAAATGCTGAGAAATTTTGTCACCACCAGGCCTGCCCTAAAAGGGCTCCAGAAGGAAGCACTAAACATGGAAAGGAACAACTGATACGAGCCACTGCAAAAACACGCCAGACTGTAAAGACCATCAAGGCTAGGAAGAAACTGCATCAACTAACGAGCAAAATAACCAGCTAGCATTATAATGACAGGATCAAATTCACACATAACAATATTAACCTTAAATGTAAAGGGGCTAAATGCTCCAATTAAAAGACACAGACTGGCAAATTGGATAAAGAGTCAAGACCCATCAGTGTGCTGTATTCAGGAAACCCATCTCAGGTGCAGAGACACACATAGGCTCACAATAAAAGGATGGAGGAAGATCTACCAAGCAAATGGAAAACAAAAAAAGGCAGGGGTTGCAATCCTAGTCTCTGATAAAACAGACTTTAAACCAAAAAAGATCAAAAGAGACAAAGAAGGCCATTACATAATGGTAAAGGGATCACTTCAACAAGAAGAGCTAACTATCCTAAATATATATGCACCCAATACAGGAGCACACAGATTCATAAAGCAAGTCCTGAGTGACTTACAAAGAGACTTAGACTCCCACACAATAATAATGGGAGACTTTAACACCCCACTGTCAACATTAGACAGATCAACGAGACAGAAAGTTAACAAGGATACCCAGGAATTGAACTCAGCTCTGCACCAAGCGGACCTAATAGACATCTACAGAACTCTCCACCCCATATCAACAGAATATACATTCTTTTCAGCACCACACCACACCTATTCCAAAATTGACCACACAGTTGGAAGTAAAGCACTGCTCAGCAAATATAAAAGAACAGAAATTATAAAAAACTGTCTCTCAAACTACAGTGCAATCAAACTAGAACTCAGGATTAAGAAACTCACTCAAAACCACTCAACTACACGGAAACTGAACAAACTGCTCCTGAATGACTACTGGCTACATAACGAAATGAAGGCAGAAATAAAGATGTTCTTTGAAATCAACGAGAACAAAGACACAACATACCAGAATCACTGGGACACATTCAATGCAGTGTGTAGAGGGAAATTTATAGCACTAATTGCCCACAAGAGAAAGCAGAAAAGATCTAAAATTGACACTCTAACATCACAATTAAGAGAACTAGAGAAGCAAGAGCAAACACATTCAAAAGCTAGCAGAAGGCAAGACATAACTAAGATCAGAGCAGAACTGAAGGAAATAGAGACACAAAAAACCCTTCAAAAAATTAATGAATCCAAGGCTGGTTTTTTGAAAAGATCAACAAAACTGATAGACAGCTAGCAAGACTAATAAAGAAAAAAAGAGAGAAGAATCAAATAGATGCAATAATACTGATAAAGCGGATATCACCACCTATCCCTCAGACATACAAACTACCATGAGAGAATACTATAAACACCTCTACACAAATAAACTAGAAAATCTAGAAGAAATGGATAAATTCCTCGACAGATACACTCTCCCAAGACTAAACCAGGAAGAAGTTGAATCTCTGAATAGACCAATAATGGGCTCTGAAATTGAGGCAATAATTAACAGCTTACCAAACAAAAAAAGTCCAGTACCAGACGGATTCACAACCGAATTCTACCAGAGGTACAAGGAGGAGCTGGTACCATTCCTTCTGAAACTATTCCAATCAATAGAAAAAGAGGGAATCCTCCCTAAGTCATTTTATGAGGCCAGCATCATCCTGATACCAAAGCCGGGCAGAGACACAACCAAAAAAGAGAACTTTAGACCAATATCCTTGATGAACATTGATGCCAAAATCCTCAATAAAATGCTGGCAAACCGAATCCAGCAGCACATCAAAAAGCTTATCCACCATGATAAAGTGGGCTTCATCCCTGGGATGCAAGGGTGGTTCACCATATGCAAATCAATAAATGTAATCAAGCACATAAACAGAACCAAAGACAAAAACCACATGATTATCTCAATAGATGCAGAAAAGGCCTTTGACAAAATTCAACAGCTTTTCATGCTAAAAACTCTCAATAAACTAGGTATTGATGGGACAGATCTCAAAATAATAAGAGCTATCTGTGACAAAACCACAGCCAACATCATACTGAATGGAGAAAAACTGGAAGCATTCCCTTTGAAAACTGGCACAACACAGGGATGCCCTCTCTCACCACTCCTATTCAACATAGTGTTGGAAGTTCTGGCCAGGGCAATCCGGCAGGAGAAGGAAATAAAGGGTATTCAATTAGGAAAAGAGGAAGTCAAATTGTCCCTGTTTGCAGATGACATGATGGTATATCTAGAAAACCCCATCGTCTCAGCCCCATATCTCCATAAGCTAATAAGCAACTTGAGCACAGTCTCAGGATACAAAACCAAAGTGCAAAAATCACAAGCATTCTTATACACCAATAACACACAAACAGAGAACCAAATCATGAGTGAACTCCCATTCACAATTACTTCAAAGAGAATAAAATACCTAGGAATCCAACTTACAAGGGATGTGAAGGACCTCTTCAAGGAGAGCTATAAGCTACTGCTCAATGAAATAAAAGAGGATACAAAGAAATGGAAGAACATTCCATGCTCATGGGTAGCAGGAATCAACATCGTGAAAATGGCCATACTGCCCAGGTAATTTATAGATTCAATGCCATCCCCATCAAGCTACCAATGACTTTCTTCACAGAATTGGAGAAAACTACTTTAAAGTTCATATGGAACCAAAAAAGAGCCCGCATCACCAAGTCAATCCTAAGCCAAAAGAACAAAGCTGGAGGCATCATGCTACCTGACTTCAAACTATACTACAAGGCTATAGTAACCAAAACAGCATGGCACTGGTACCAAAACAGAGATATAGGCAAAATGGAACAGGAAAGAGACCTCAGAAATAATGCCGCATATCTACAACTATCTGATCTTTGACAAACCTGACAAAAACAAGCAATAGGGAAAGGACTCCCTGTTTAACAAATGATGCTGGGAAAACTGGCTAGCCATATGTAGAAAGCTGAAACTGGATCCCTTCCTTACACCTCATACAAAAATTAATTCAAGATGGATTAAAGACTTACATATTAGACCTAAAACCATAAAAACCATAGAAGAAAACCTAGGGAATACCATTCAGGACATAGGCATGGGCAAGGACTTCATGTCTAAAACACCAAAAGCAATGGCAACCAAAGCCAAAATTGACAAATGGAATCTAATTAAATTAAAGAGCTTCTGCACAGCAAAAGAAACTACCATCAGAGTGAACAGGCCACCTACAGAATGGGAGACAATTTTTGCAACCTACTCATCTGACAAAGGGCTAATATCCGGAATCTACAATGAACTCAAACAAATTTACAAGCAAAAAACAACCCCATCAACAAGTGGGTGAAGGACATGAACAGACACTTCTCAAAAGAAGACATTTATGCAGCCAAAAGACACATGAAAAAATGCTCATCATCACTGGTCATCAGGGAAATGAAAATCAAAAGTACAGTGAGATACCATCTCACACCAGTTAGAATGGCAATCATTAAAAAGTCAGGAAACAACAGGTGCTGGAGAGGATGTATAGAAATAGGAACACTTTTACACTGTTGGTGGGACTGTAAACTAGTTCAACCATTGTGGAAGTCAGTGTGGCAATTTCTCAGGGATCTAGAACTAGAAATACCATTTGACCCAGCCATCCCATTACTGGGTATATACCCAAAGGATTATAAATCATGCTGCTATAAAGACACATGCACACCTATGTTTATTGCAGCAGTATTCACAATAGCAAAGACTTGGAACCAACCCAAATGTCCAACAATGATAGACTGGATTAAGAAAATGTGGCACATATACACCATGGAATACTATGCAGCCATAAAAAACGATGAGTTCGTGTCCTTTGTAGGGACACGGATGAAGCTGGAAACCATCATTCTCAGCAAACTATCATAAGGACAAAAAACCAAACACTGCATGGTCTCACTCATAGGTAGGAATTGAACAATGAGAACACATGGACACAGGAAGGGGAACATCACACACCAGAGACTGTTATGGGGTGGGGGGAAGGGGAGGGATAGGATTAAGAGATATACCTAATGCTAAATGACGAGTTAATGGGTGCAGCACACTGACATGGCACATGTATATATATGTAACAAACATGCACATTGTGCGCATGTACCCTGAAACTTAAAGTATAATAATAATAAAATTAAAAAAACAAAGGATGTGAGTATCCTTGATTTTTAAAATATGTCCTGAATAGTAAAGAAAATCTGAAAAGGGACTAATAACTACAGACTCACTTATATTTGTAAACAAATCATGTTTCCACAGTGTTTACCTCTAATTCACATATAATATTATAGAAAAGAAGAATGAGATTGGGGGCAGCCAAGATGGCCAAATGGGAACAGCTCCGGTCTACAGCTCCCAGCGTGAGTGACGTAGAAGATGGGTGATTTCTGCATTTCCATCTGAGGTACTGGGTTCATCTCACTAGGGAGTGCCAGACAGTGGGTGCAGGACAGTGGGTCCAGCGCACCGTGTGCGAGCCGAAGCAGGGCAAGGCATTGCCTCACTTGGGAAGCACAAGGGGTCAGGGAGTTCCCTTTCCTAGTCAAAGAAAGGGGTGACAGACAGAACCTGGGAAATCAGGTCACTCCCACCCTAATACTGTGCTTTTCCCACGGGCTTAAAAAACGGCTCACCAGGAGATTATATCCCGCACGTGGCTCAGAGGGTCCTACGCCCACGGAGTCTCGCTGATTGCTAGCACAGCAGTCTGAGATCAAACTGCAAGGTGGCAGCGAGGCTGGGGGAGGGGCGCCCGCCATTGCCCAGGCTTCATTAGGTAAACAAAGCAGCTGGGAAGCTCGCACTGGGTGGAGCCCACCACAGCTCAAGGAGGCCTGCCTGCCTCTCTAGGCTCCACCTCTGGGGGCAGGGCACGGACAAACAAAAAGACAGCAGTAACCTCTGCAGACTCAAATGTCCCTGTCTGACAGATTTGAAGAGAGCAGTGGTTCTCCCAGCACGCAGCTGGAGATCTGAGACCAGGCCGACTGCTTCCTCAAGTGGGTCCCTGAACCATGACCCCCGAGCAGCCTAACTCGGAGGCACCCCGCAGTAGGGGCAGACTGACACCTCACACGGCCGGGTACTCCTCTGAGACAAAACTTCCAGAGGAACGATGAGACAGCAGCATTTGCGGTTCATGAAAATCCGCTGTTCTGCAGCCACTGCTGCTGATACCCAAGCAAACAGGTTCTGCAGTGGACCTCTAGCAAACTCCTACAGACCTGCAGCTGACGGTCCTTTCTGTTAGAAGGAAAACTAACAAACAGAAAGGACATCCACACCAAAAGCCCATCTGTACATCACCATCATCAAAGACCAAAAGTAGATAAAATCACAAAGATGGGGAAAAAACAGAGCAGAAAAACTGGAAACTAAAAAGCAGGGCACCTCTCCTCCTCCAAAGGAATGCAGTTCCTCACCAGCAACGGAACAAAGCTGGAAGGAGAATGACTTTGATGAGTTGAGAGAAGAAGGCTTCAGATGATCAAACTACTCAGAGCTACAGGAGAAAATTCAAACCAAAGGCAAAGAAGTTAAAAACTTTGAAAAAAATTTAGATGAATGTATAACTAGAATAACCAATACAGAGAAGTGCTTAAAGGAGCTGATGGAGCTGAAAGCCAAGGCTCGAGAACTACGTGAAGAATGCAGAAGCCTCAGGAGCCGATGTGATCAACAGGAAGAAAGGTTATCAGTGATGGAAGATGAAATGAATGAAATGAAGCGAGAAGGAAAGTTTAGAGAAAAAAGAATAAAAAGAAACGAACAAAGCCTCCAAGAAATATGGGACTATGTGAAAAGACCAAATCTGTCTGATTGGTGTACCTGAAACTGACGAGGAGAATGGAACCAAGTTGGAAAACACTCTGCAGGATATTATCCAGGAGAACTTCCCCAATCTAGCAAGGCAGGCCAACATTCAGATTCAGGAAACACAGAGAATGCCACAAAGATACTCCTTGAGAAGAGCAAGTGCAACACACATAATTGTCAGATTCACCAAAGTTGAAATGAAGGAAAAACTGTTAAGGGCAGCCAGAGAGAAAGGTCGGGTTACCCACAAAGGGAAGCCCATCAGACTAACAGCTGATGTCTCGGCAGAAACTCTACAAGCCAGAAGAGAGTGGGGACCAATATTCAACATTCTTAAAGAAAAGAATTTTCAACCCAGAATCTCATATCCAGCCAAACTAAGCTTCATAAGTGAAGGAGAAATAAAATCCTTTACAGACAAGCAAATGCTGAGAGATTTTGTCACCACAAGGCCTGCCCTAAAAGAGCTCCTGAAGGAAGCACTAAACATGGAAAGGAACAACTGGTACCAGCTGCTGCAAAATCATGCCAAAATGTAAAGACCATCGAGACTAGGAAGAAACTGCATCAACTAACGAGCAAAACAACCAGCTAACATCATAATGACAGGATCAAATTCGCATATAACAATATTAACTTTAAATGTAAATGGACTAAATGCTCCAATTAAAAGACATAGACTGGCAAATTGGATAAAGAGTCAAGACCCATCAGTGTGCCGTATTCAGGAAACCCATCTCACGTGCAGAGACACACATAGGCTCAAAATAAAAGGATGGAGGGAGATCTACCAAGCAAATGGAAAACAAAAAAAGGCAGGGATTGCAATCCTAGTCTCTGATAAAACAGACTTTAAACCAACAAAGATCAAAAGAGACAAAGAAGGCCATTACATAATGGTAAAGGGATCAATTCAACAAGAAGAGCTAACTATCCTAAATATATATGCACCCAATACAGGAGCACCCAGATTTATAAAGCAAGTCCTTAGAGACCTACAAAGAGAGACTCCCACACAAAAATAATGGGAGACTTTAACACCCCACTGTCAACATTAGACAGATCAACGAGACAGACAGTTAACAAGGATATCCAGGAATTGAACTCAGCTCTGCACCAAGCAGACCTAATAGACATCTACAGAAATCTCCACCACAAACCAACAGAATATACATTTTTTTCAGCACTACACCACAACTATTCCAAAATTGACCACATAGTTGGAAGTAAAGCTCTCCTCCGCAAATGTAAAAGAACAGAAATTATAACAGACTGTCTCTCAGACCACAGTGCAATCAAACTAGAACTCAGGATTAAGAAACTCACTCAAAACCACTCAACTACATGGAAACTGAACAACCTGCTCCTGAATGACTACTGGGTACATAACGAGATGAAGGCAGAAATAAAGGCGTTCTTTGAAACCAACGAAAACAAAGACACAACATACCACAATCTCTGGGACCCATTCAAAGTAGTGTGTAGAGGGAAATTTATAGCACTAAACGCCCACGAGAGAAACCAGGAAAGATCCAAAATTGATACCCTAACACCACAAATAAAAGAACTAGAAAAGCAAGAGCAAACACATTCAAAAGCTAGCAGAAGGCAAGAAATAACTAAGATCAGAGCAGAAATGAAGGAAATAGAGACACAAAAAGCCCTTCAAAAATTAATGAATCTAGGAGCTGGTTTTTTGAAACGATCAACAAAACTGATAGACAGCTAGCAAGACTAATAAAGAAAAAAAGAGAGAAGAATCAAATAGATGCAATAAAAAATGATAAAGCGGATATCACCACCGATCCCACAGAAATATAAACTACCATGAGAGAATACTACAAACACCTCTATGCAAATAAACTAGAAAATCTAGAAGAAATGGATAAATTCCTCGACACATACACTCTCCCAAGACTAAACCAGGAAGAAGTTGAATCTCTGAATAGACCAATAATAGGCTCTGTAATTGTGGCAATAATCAATAGCTTACCAACCAAAAAGAGTGCAGGACCAGATGGATTCACAGCTGAATTCTACCAGAGGTACAAGGAGGAACCAGTACCATTCCTTCTGAAACTATTCTAATCAATAGAAAAAGAAGGAATGCTCCCTAACTCATTTTATGAGGCCAGCATCATCCTGATACCAAAGCCGGGCAGAGACACAACCTAAAAAGAGAATTTTAGACCAATATCCTTGATGAACATTGATGCAAAAATCCTCAATAAAATACTGGCAAACCGAATCCAGCAGCACATCAAAAAGCTTCTCCACCATGATCAAGTGGGCTTCATCCCTGGGATGCAAGGCTGGTTCAATATATGCAAATCAATAAATGTAATCCAGCATATAAACAGAACCAAAGACAAAAACCACATGATTATCTCAATAGATGCAGAAAAGGCCTTTGACAAAATTCAGCAACGCTTCATGCTAAAAACTATCAATAAATTAGGTATTGATGGGACGTATTTCAAAATAATAAGAGCTATCTATGACAAAGCCACAGCCAATATCATACTGAATGGGCAAAAACTGGAAGCATTCCCTTTGAAAACTGGCACAACACAGGGATGCTCTCTCTCACCACTCCTATTCAACATAGTGTTGGAAGTTCTGGCCAGGGCAATTAGGCAGGAGAAGGAAATAAAGGGTATTCAATTAGGAAAAGAGGAAGTCAAATTGTCCCTGTTTGCAGATGACATGATTGTATATCTAGAAAACCCCATTGTCTCAGCCCCAAATCTCCTTAAGCTGATAAGCAACTTCAGCAAAGTCTCAGGATACAAAATCAATGTACGAAAATCACAAGCATTCTTATACACCAATAACAGACAAACAGAGAGCCAAATCATGAGTGAACTCTCATTCACAATTGCTTCAAAGAGAATAAAATACCTAGGAATCCAACTTACAAGGGATGTGAAGGACCTCTTCAAGGAGAACTACAAACCACTGCTCAATGAAATAAAAGAGGATACAAAGAAATGGAAGAACATTCCATGCTCATGGGTAGGAAGAATCAATACCGTGAAAATGGCCATACTGCCCAAGGTAATTTATAGATTCAATGCCATCCCCATCAAGCTACCAATGACTTTCTTCACAGAATTGGAAAAAACTACTTTAAAATTCATATGGAACCAAAAAAGAGCCCGCATCGCCAAGTCAATCCTATAGTGACTTCAAACTATACTACAAGGCTACAGTAACCAAAACAGCATGTTACTGGTACCAAAACAGAGATATAGATCAATGGAACAGAACAGAGCCCTCAGAAATAATGCCACATATCTACAACTATCTGATCTTTGACAAACCTGAGAAAAACAAGCAATGGGGAAAGGATTCCCTATTTAATAAATGGTGCTGGGAAAACTGGCTAGCCATATGTAGAAAGCTGAAACTGTATCCCTTCCTTACACCTTATACAAAAATTAATTCAAGATGGATTAGAGACTTAAGCGTTAGACCTAAAACTGTAAAAACCCTAGAAGAAAACCTAGGCATTACCATTCAGGATATAGGCATGGGCAAGGACTTCATGTCTAAAACACCAAAAGCAATGGCAACAAAAGCCAAAATTGACAAATGGGATCTACTTAAACTAAAGAGCTTCTGCACAGCAAAAGAAACTACCATCAGAGTGAACAGGCAACCTACAAAATGGGAGAAAATTTTCACAACCTACTCATCTGTCAAAGGGCTAATATCTGGAATCTACAATGAACTCAAACACATTTACAAGAAAAAAACAAAGAACCCCATCAAAAAGTGGGTGAAGGACATGAACAGACACTTCTCAAAAGAAGACATTTATGCAGCCAAAAAACACATGAAAAAATGCTCATCGTCACTGGCCATCAGAGAAATGCAAATCAAAACCACAATGAGATACCATCTCACACCTGTTAGAATGGCAATCATTAAAAAGTCAAGAAACAACAGGTGCCGGAGAGGATGTGGAGAAATAGGAACATTTTTACACTGTTGGTGGGACTGTAAACTAGTTCAACCTTTGTGGAAGTCAGTGTGTCTATTCCTCAGGGTTCTAGAACTAGAAATACCATTTGACCCAGCCATCCCATTACTGGGTATATACCCAAAGGATTATAAATCACGCTGCTATAAAGACACATGCACACATATGTTTATCGCGGCACTATTCACAATAGCAAAGACTTGGAACCAACCCAAATGTACAACAATGATAGACTGGATTAAGAAAATGTGGCACATATACACCATGGAATACTATGCAGCCATAAAAAAGCATGAGTTCATGTCCTTTGTAGGGACATGGATGAAATTGGAAAATATCATTCTCAGTAAACTATCGCAAGGACAAAAAACCAAACACTGCATGTTCTCACTCATAGGTGGGAATTGAACAATGAGAACACATGGACACAGGAAGGGGAACATCACACTCTGCGGACTGTTGTGGGGTGGAGGAGGGGGGAGAGATAGCATTAGGAGATATACCTAATGCTAAATGACGAGTTAATGGGTGCAGCACACCAACATGGCACATGTATACATATGTAACCTGCACATTGTGCACATGTACCCTAAAACTTAAAGAATAATAAAAGAAAAGAAAAGAGAAAGAAAAAGATACTTGCACACTCATGTTTATAGCAGCACAGTTTGCAATTGCAAAATCTTGGAACCAACCCAAATGCCCATCAACCAATGAGTGGATAAAGAAACTGTGGTATATATATACTCTACTCAGCCATAAAAAGGAATGAATTAACAGCATTTGCAGTGATCTGGATGAGATTGGAGACTATCATTCTAAGTGAAGTAACTCAGGATTGGAAAACTAAACACTGTATGTTCTTACCGATATGTGAGAGCTAAGTGATGAGGACACAAATCCACAAGAATGATACAATTGACTTTGGGGTCTTTGGGGGTAAGTGCGGGAGAGAGGCAAGGGATAAAAGATTACAAATAGGGTACAGTGTATACTGTTCGAGAGATGGATGCACCAAAATATCACAAAGCACCACTAAAGAACTTACTTATGTAACCAAATACCACCTATGGAAAAATAAGAAGAGAGGGGAGGGGAGGGGAGAGGGGAGGGGAGATGAGAGAGGAGAGAGGAGAGGAGAGAGGAAAGAGAGAGAGGAGAGAGAGAGAGGAGAGAGGAGAGAGAGAGACGAGAGAGGAGAGATCTCACCTGAAGCTACTCCTACCCCTTATCTTTTCAGATATATCAGCCAATAAATTTCCCTTATTAAATAAAAAAAAGAAAAGAAGAATGAGATTAATTTCAAACTGCAAACCACAAAAAAGTAGTCCTTTATATTTTTAAATTTAAAATTATAATTAAAGACAGCTTATCAGCAATAATGGAGCTGTTAATAATCAAAGATATAGAGGGATGGAGAGGGAAATGAGGAGGTTTTCCGAGATTTTCATATAGCACAAAGAAAAAGCACAGAGATCAAAATATCTAATGTTCATTTAAATGAGCCACATTTAGTATGAAAATTGGGCAGCAGAATGATATGTTGAGTGGATAGTATAAAAATTGAAAACTATGAATAATTATATCAAATAAATCTTTAAAGAAAGAAACACAGAAGCTTGATTTGCTAAGACTTTAGCATCCCAAGTCATGTATTCACTGCATATAATATGGATTTTTAAAATACACTGGCGATGAGAAATTTGAGCCTGCAACTTACATGAAACATTCAGCCAAACAGCGATTGTCAGGTAATGAGAAAACAGCTCTGTGGTGGTAGTCTTTAATATTACAATTACAAAAGATGTGTGTCCAGGAGAATCCTAGTGCTAATCAGATAAATAAAGCAAACTCCTAGGTATCCATGTGCTCATTCTTTTTTTTATTTATTTAATAAACTTTATCTGCTGAGCTTTACCTCATATAGGACAAACACATTGATCATATCTCTCTGAGACTTCCGTCAGGCCACCTTCTGGAGTTCAGTTCCAAAAGATTACAAGGTGGACTCCAGAGAGTTTCCATGGTAACCTTGGTATGTTCCCATCTAAATAGCCAGAACTCTGACCCCTCATTCGCCTGTTAGCTCATCCAGGAGACCCAGAGCTTCCAGGGAACTCTACTTCCTTAGAACAGAGGTAGTAGGTAAAGTAATGCAAAGGGCAAGTGCTGGAACAAAAAATTTGACGACAGCAGTTTTATTTACCTCCTAGGAAAATGACTTTTCGTTTGATGATAACCATTTGTTATGGACCATGAAGAACTCACGAAAATGCAAGCTATTTCAAGATCTTATTGTGTAGTCACAATAGGCTTTGGTACTTAAAGTGTCCAAAGCAGACCTATTCCTCTTGCAGCCAACACAGGACTGCCAAAACAGGGCTCCACTGAGGGGTTTGCTCTCAGCTTCCGAAACATAATAGGTAGAATGAAGTGACTCTCAGACTCACAAAAATGTTAGAGATCATTTCAAATCATTCATTGATTGTTTGCCGTCTAACAATGTTATAAATAGATTCTTAACTTCTAAAAATATATTGTTGGAAAATATAAGCACCAGTATATAATATATATGCATATAAGAGCCGAGGAGTTTATTGCAGCTTTGTAGTTTTGTTTATAGTCAGAGGTGGAAGAAACTAAACTTAAGTACCCTGAATAACTATCAATAGAGAAATAATTTTTAAAATATGGTATTAAAATATGGAATATTATACCATTGTTAAAAATAATAGATTTATAGCTGTTGAATTAGGTAACTGTCTATTATGCATTGTTAAGAAAGAAGAGTAAATTGCAATATTTATTTGGACAAGCATGGAGAAAGTGTGGATGATTGACATAAACTCATTAATAAAATTTTCTCAGGAAAGGGTGAGAATAGGAAGAAAGGGCAGTCAGGGAAATAAAAAATAAAAGCACACTGGAAAAGTATGCACATTATAATAGTTGAAGTGTAAAAAACTATGGCATTTAATATTACTAAAAATGTTAAAATATGCATGAACACAAAAATTAAAAGTAGCAAGGATATATAAAAACATTGGTTTGAATTAATGATAAAATTTGGGATGTTTTTAATTTATTTTGTTATGTCAGTATAATCCTTAAAGAAAATGTCTTGTTTCTGGCTTTTAGTGCTAGAGTCTCAAAATCTGTATATTTTAAAGCTCCCAAGTTTGGAAAATACTTGCTGATATAAGAGAAACAAGTATTAGAATCTTTGTAGATAAGGGAGCCAAGAGATTTTAATAGTTTTTGAAGACACGACTTAGCTTTAAACAGTACATAGTTACATTCCTGGGACTCATATATATCATCAGTATTTTCATATATATCTTTTATAGTTATTATAAACCCAAGAGAATTAGTTTCATATTTTTCAGAAAACTCTGAATTCAGTTTAGCAGAATTATGTAGATTTAACAGAGAAACAAATGGAGGATTGTTTATTAAAGTCAATGACCTTTTTTTTTTTGAACTGTATATTGAGGCCTGTCATAGGAAAACCGTGAAGGAGAAACTTTCACTTTTCTCTTCCTGCTTCTTGTGATCGTTTTTTTAGAGTTCTTTCCCCATTCCCTTCAAAGACTACTCTTAATAGTTGCTCCCCTCTCCTTTTTATAAAACCTATTCTCCCCAAATGATATGGACCTATTATATCAAGAAGTAAATGACTGATTAGGTTAGTTCTTATTTTTTCCTAGACTTCAAGAATTTCTAATTCAATGGCCTTCCAATGTCTAATTTCTTGCCTTACTTTGGGTAGCTGTAAAATATTTAAGAGAGTCATACTCCAAGCTTCTGAACTATAGTAGCTTACAAGAGAAGTAGTCTGACCTTACTTGTGGACAGAGGTTTTTCATTCTGAGCTCAAAGCTGGCTTATAAGTTGCCAACATTTGAAACAGTAAAAGTTTACTTACCATTTGGATTATGTGGCAGAAATAAAAGGGGGCAACAGAAAATGTTCAAAGGCATAGGATTGAGTGATAGAGCAAGAAGTCCTTCAGACAATGAATAAGGCAGTGACATGAGTGGCACATCCCCACTTCAGCCATCATTTAATAATTTATCTGCTTCTGAGGTGGAGCTATAAGACTAGCAGAGAATGATGATATACTGCCATTTATAAAAGGCAAGACTTCCACTGTAGATTGGCCCAGGGTAAAATCTGAGGGACATCAGAATAGTGGGTCAAGAGATGAAAACTGAGACACATGTGAAAATGTCCTTCTTCTACACAGCTGAATTTTTTTAACTAATTCATAGATGAGAAAAATTAAACATTTGTACCAAACCACTACTGAATGTGCATTTTGATTATTATATATAGCATTATATATAGTTTCATGGTAAATTAAGCAGTTCTACATCTATTATGAGAGATGAGCAGAGCTAAGCAAAATTTTTTTACAAAATCCCAATTTATGAAACCCCTCAAGAACTATTAATTGTTGGGTTTTGTTTTGGGTTTTCGTTTTGTCATTGTTTTTCAGTTGAATTTGTCCCAGTTTAACAATGCCATCAAAATTCTGGTATCCAGAATGGGTAGCCAAGACAAATATGTCACCCAGCAAAATGCTGTCCTAAACTATTTATTCTTAAGTGGGTTCCTCATTACAGACACATAAACTGAAGACATGAAACTTTAATATCAGGGAGCAATGAGGAAGCAAGTATAAATAAGGATTTCCTAGGATAACAATTCTCTCCTCTGCCACAAAATAAATTTAATCAATTTGTATATCACAATTCCATAATCTGTTAGCTAATTAGAGTATGTATTCTCCCTTATAAGTAACATAAAAAGTAGATAAAAATAAAGTAAATGAGAAAAATCCAACTTCAAGCTCACAGAACATATCTTTAGTCAGGACTCTAGTTGTGAATGACTGAAAGCTAATTCAAACTAAATTAGAGAGATAGAAAACTATATTGGCTCTTGCAATCAAAATACAGGAATTGCTTTCTAGAGCTAACTGCAGGGCCAATCAGCACTAGTGACTGGACTCCATTAGAACCCTCTCGGCAGTCCTTATTTTTGCTTCTTTATGTGGGTTGCCTTAATTTCCTCCAACCTTTCCCACATAGTAGAAATGCCCACAGTATTAGTCTGTTTTCATGCTGCTGATACAGACATATCCGGGACTGGGCAATTTACAAAAGAAAGAGGTTTAATGGACTTATGGTTCCACATGGCTAGGGAGGCCTCACAATCATGGCAGAAGGCAAGGAGGAGCAAGTCACATCTTACATAGATGGCAGCAGGCAAACAGAGAGCTGGTGCAGGGAAACTCCCCCTTATGAAACCATCAGATCTCGTGAGACTTATTCACTGCCATGAGAACAGCATGGGAAAGACCTACCCCCATGATTCAAATATCTACTACCAGGTTCCTCCCACAACACATGGTAATTCAAGATGAGATTTATGTGGGGACACAGCCAAACCATTTCAGCCACCAACTCCAGATTCATGTATTCTCTACCAGAGAAGGACTGAAATACATGCTACATGGTGCCAAGTTTAAAGATACTAGGGAAACGATCTGATTTGCCTTCCTTCAGATAGATACCCAAACCTGAAACAATCAACTGTGTCCATAGTTACAGAGTCTGAAAATGGGGCAGCATGCACTCTAACCATATTGTTAACAGGAATATTTCTCAGAAGGGGAGTGAAAAAGCCATCCTGTCCACTATGGGTTATGATGTTTAATACACATAATATGTATGGGTAAATAATAACCCATACAGATTAAAAATTTTTAATGTTAAATCATAACAAACTGAAACCCAGAATTGAAAACAGGAAACTCTGTCTGAATGGTAAGCAGCTTATTCTGTGTGAATGTGTATGTGTGTGTGATGGATAAATAAGAGCCTGAGAGAGGCAAAGAGAGAAAGAGAAAGGAGACAGACGGAGTGAGAGAAAAGAGAAAAGCAATGCAATAATAGATTTGTAGAAAGCCCACATTCAGCACAGCATAATATTACAAATGCTGAGTAATCATAACAGTGAGCTTTACTCACCAAGAAAAAAGATCATTAAGCAGAATAATATTCAAGCAGATTCTGCTAGTACATTGAATAAGTTCCACTACAAGGTGATGAAATATAAGTAGCTCAGGTTTCAGCTGTCTTTTGCAGAAATAAGCACAGTTGAAGGTTAAAATACTTTAACATGAATCCAGTCATCTGTAGATGTTTTGTTTCTTTTATTGTTCAAGAACATATATTGGATGGCAGACTATGATTTAGAGCAGCAGTCCCCAAACTTTTTGGCATCAGGAACTGGTTTTGTGAAATACAATTTTTTTCACAAACTGGAGAGGGGAGATGGTTTGGGGACAATTCAAGTGCATTACATTTATTGTGCCCTTTACTTCTATTATTATATTATAATATATAATGACATTATTATACAACTCACCATGATGTAGAATAAATGCGAGTCCTGAGCTTGTTTTCCTGCAAGTATACAGTCCCATCTAGGAGTGATGGGAATAGTGACAGATCATCAGGCATTAGATTCTCATAAGGAGCATGCAACCTAGATCCCTCACTTACACAGTTCAAAATAGGGTTGTGCTCTTATGAGAATCTAATGCCACTGCTGCTCTGACAAGAGAGGGAGCTCAGGCAGTAATGCAAGCAATGGGGAGTGGCTATAAATACATATGAAGTTTTGCTTGCCCACCTGCTTCTTATCTTCTGCTGTGCAGCCTGGTTCCTAACAGGCCACAGACCAGTACTGATCCTTGGCCAGGGGGTTGAAGACCCCTAATGTAGAGGGCACTGTAAAGTGTAATTTTGGAGTTGTTTTATAGATTGCAGAAGAAACGGATGTTACATTTTGTTATCTCAATTAAAAAAATATTACCTCTCTGATTCATACTATTGGTGCCTCTTGACACCTCTACCCAAGTACAAGGAATTAAAATATAGTTTCCTGCCAGGTTTAGTTATTATCTAATTTGCCTCAGTATGCAAAACACTGTACCAGGTGCTGTCCATAGTTTCTGCACTGGTAATTTACAAACTAACCGGAGAGAGAGAACAAGTATGATAGTCTCTTTCATTTCCTTTCCTATTGCCAAGCCTGGAAATAGGGACTTGAGATCTGTAAGCATATTGTTTTAAAGTGAATTAATGAGAGTAGATGAGATACCAAGGGATATTCAGAAGAGCAGTAGAAGAGCAAAAAAACAGAAACATAAAAAAAAAAAAAACCATTTCACCTAAAGAGCTCTCTAAAGAGACAATGAAGGAGCATTCAGAGAGGTGGAAGAGAATCTACTGAGAGGTGTGCTGCGAAAACAGTGTTTCTGTAGCCAAGTGTGGGGAATTACATAAAATGCTACAGAGAAGACTAATAAGATACGGAGTAAACTGCATCCACTGGATTTAGCAACCAAGAAGTTATTGGCCTTGGAAGTGGAGGAGAGCACTGGTGGAAGAGTAAAAGGAGATGAAACTGAAGGTTGATTTCAAAGAACTGAAGAAAACTGAAGCTGTTAATGTACACTATGCTTTTCCCAAAATCTTGGCTGTGAATGCAATGGAAATAAAAGAGTAGACGTGAGAAGAGGGTGTAAATATGAGTGGGATGCATCTTAAAACATAGGAGAAGATGTAGAAAATGAGAAGAGAGTAAGCAGAAGTGCTAATGACTCTGAGAAGGTGGGAGAGATGGCACAGAAAGTGCAGGGAGGGAACTGAGGCTTCATATGCAGAAGGCAGCTCCCTTTCCAAGAGAAGGTAGTGAAAAATGTAGGAATGAGGACAGATGCGTGCATTTGTATTTGTCAGGAAGTTAAGGAAATTCAGATATAAGCATCTCAAATTTTAGGGAAGAAAGAGTAAGATCACCTGATAAGCTAATGAGAGAGGGGTGGAATTAAGTATTGAAGTGGTGTTACTATGTTACATGTCTATGGTGGACAATAAGAATATGTTTATCTGCTATCTGCTTGCCTGTCTACTTGTTTTTCTAGCCATCTCTTATTGCCCTGAGTACCCAGCTGACATTGCTTAGGAATAGAAGATTGAAAGCATTAGCTAGTGATGATTGAAGTGGCGCTCAAACAATAGAGACTCTAGGTTCATCGTTGAAGGAAATGAATGATAATGAAAAAAGGAAGCGAGAAGAAATTGGAGGCTTTGTTAATGTTGACCATTAAGACAGGAAGTAGAGTTTAGGCATTAAAGTTATGAGAAATATCTAAATTCAGAATAATGTCAAGGTTTAAGGTGTTGCTGTTTATGAAAGTGGCTAAGCTTCAGCAAAGGTAAAAACAGTCAGAATCCCAGCTGGATTAAGAAGCATTGACACTAATGTCGCAGATGAGTCTACCATATAGATGCCATGGTCACCCAAGACAGTCAAGAGAAGAATGTAAAAATCTCTGTAAGGCAGATGTCAAAGTCCTCAGGGATTCATGGGAGGGATGAGATATTGACAGATGACAGTGACAAAAAAGATTAGAGAGAGGTATTGCTTAAGGAAATGAGTCCTTCAAAGAAGAGAAGTTTGTTTGCACAAAGGAAAGAGTATTGAGCTGGAAGTGACACCAAAAAGTGGTGGATGCTGGAATAATATTGATGCAACCTCTGGGATCTGTGGGACAATGAGAGAGCTCTGAGACGGCCCAAAGGTAGGGGATGAACTGGTTCCAATCAAGACAAGGAGGTGAAAAGAGTAAAGAACTCAAAAATAAAATAATTCTCCTCCTCCTCCTCCTTCTCCTCCTCCTTGTTCTTCTCTTCTTCCTCTTTCTTTTGTATTTTTTACTAGTTTTTGTAATGTTGTGAGGATACCTGAAACAATAAAGTAAAGGGCTGAAAGGAAAATCAGTACAGATATACACTCACACAATTGGAGGTTGGTGAAATGGAATTTCTTCATGGACATTTTGCTTAATATCTCTGCAAGTTGTAATTTCCCCTTACTTGGTGATAACATAAAATTTAAGCTTCTTCTATTAACTAAACACTGTATTGGGATCCTTTCACTATGTTTTATATTTTATAGTATTTCTAAATATATGTATGCTCCTTGATTTAACAACCCAGATTATCTTTATAAATAATCTCAACACGCTTAACAGAGTTTTCTGCATGTAACTGGTACTCAATAATTCAATATCTCCTTACAAATTTTAGTTGAAAACACACACATGTAAATAATTTTAGAATATTTTCAAAGTTAATTATTAACAAGTATCAATCTGTGTGAAATAAGCCATATGGCACAGAGAACCAATGAACATTCTCCCCTTCTTCCTTAGAAATAAATATCCCATTTAAACTGGACACCTGATCACTCAGAACAGAGGCTACTTTTCCCAACCATATCATCATGTGATTAAGTTCTGGTCAATAGAATGCAAACAAAAGTTTCTTTTTAAGGTTCTGAAAAGTTTCATACAAGGGAGGGGGAATATCCCTCTTTCTACTTTCTGGAATGTGGATGTGATGACTGAAGTTCAAGCAAGTTTTATCGTCAATGAGGTAACACATGTAAACTGTGTGAGAGGCCACAAAGTAGAAGTAATACTGTAGAATTGGCATACTACCCTCTCTGTGCACCTCCAGACTTTTCCAACATGATAAAATAAAACTGCATATTGTTAAGCCACTTTTAATTCATTTGAGTTTTCTGTTACTTGCAACCAAATGCAATCTCAATTGATATCATGGATATCTTTGGAATTAGGTAGTTTAAGTGTAGCATTTTAAAAAATCTTTAGGCTAATATGTACAACTTTTCATCAAGATTGCAATGTAAAAATTCTTTTCTTTTGTAAAGTTGATATAAAGTTATTTTCCTCTTCCTGATATGAAAAGTTCTGAGTGACTTTTTGTTTCTTTAGCTTTCACCCTTTTGATTGAAGCAAAGGTTAAAATGTCCTATTAGAAATTATTTGCAGTAAAGTTATCATTACAGAATCAATGGCAAAATCTTATTCAAATTTAAGCTCTGGAAAGGTAATCAAAAGAAGAAAGCAATAGAATAATGAAATGTGTTTTCTTTAATAAAAGAAAAGAAAAACATGTGAGTATTTTACCCACAATGATCAAACTTACTCCTCTGATGTTCAATTTATTTTTTAAGTATTTAATTTGCTAATTCATTCTTGGTTTTACAAAACCTTCATACATTTAACACGTGCACAACTTTTTATTTTCTCAAGCACAGTGAACAAGGTAATTTGTTAATAATCTCAATATGCCTATGAATTAATATTTTCCTCTTTACTTCTGAAACTATGTAGAAGTCACTTTCTTAGAGGAACTGCAGAGATCGCTAAGTAGAATTGGGGCTGGGGTCTTGTATGCCTTAGTCATCTATTGTTGCATAACAACTACTCCAAAACACTTAAAACAGCAATCATTTTATTATTTCTGATGATTTGTGGGTCAGGAATCAGACAGGGCACTGCACGTATGATCCGTCTCTGCTCCATATGGTGTCTAATGGGACTGTACATTCAAGGTGGCTTCTTCACTGGAACCTCTGCTTGGGTAGCTATTCAACTGGGGTTAGATCTTGGGCCTATCCACTGAGTTTGCCAGTTCTCTTACATGTAGTCTTATCGAGGTTGTTGAGTTTTTTCTACGACAGTTTAGCACCCAAAGACCACAAGGGCAGAAGCTGCCCGGTGTCTCCAAAACTTATGCCTAAAACTGGCAGTGTTATCACTTTTGCTACATCCTTGTGGTTTTAGTAACAAAAGACCCAGTCCAGATGTAAGGGATCGGGGATATACTAGTGTGTGGGTATAAGGAGCTGCGTTTCATTAGGGGCCAGTGCTGGAGTTGCCAGGTAAAATATAAGATATTCAGTTAAATTTGAATTTCAGATAAACAATGAATTGTGTTCTAGTGTAAGTATGTGCTATGTAATATGCAGGATATATTTATACTAAAATATTATTTCTTATAAATCTGAAATTCAAATTTAACCTGGCATCCTGAATTTTTATTTGTTAAATCTCACAACCCTAGGATTTCCCATTGTAACAGATTACTAATGAATATAGACTGATATTCCCTTTAGACTTTCCAGAAGCACATTAGCAATGTGTATCTTAGTGAAACCACTCAGAAGACGCTCTAACTGCATCTTCTAATTCATATATTTACATTCTTAGCTATATCTCTGAGTTCAGCAAAAGTGATGATGGCAGTCAAATGAATTAATGAAGTGGATCTGAGCTGCTGGGAAAAGAGTCATTGCATTTTTCTATAAAGAAACTAGAAATAAGATGTCTAAAAGTAGCTTCCATACCCGAATTCTTCTGAGAAAATACCTTAAGCAAATATGATATTTTTCTAACATCTTTGGTATGAGTATTAGGTAGCATTGTAAGACATGATCTTTTGTTGTTGCTCTTTCATTTAAGCTAAATAATATTATGTAGGAAAGTAGTATCTTAAGACAAGAGACTTTACAGGATCCCTTTATACATTTTAATGATTAATTTTACTTCTTATTCAAAATATCTTCTAATTTTGATCTTTAGAAAATTATACTTCTAATCAGTTCTGACTTAGAAATCCTTCCTTTAAATGTTTCCAAAAGAGAATAACTAATCTGTCAGTCATTTGATCTAATCAACACTAGTTAAATCACCATAATCATTAGAAATCCACTTTCCTCTGCCAAGAACTCTTGTTCCATGTGATGTCACAAGGGCAGGTACCTTCAAAATTATGTCAGAGGTTGCATATAATTTTCTTGCATAAATATAATCAATTATCTAGAAAATTTTTATTTAAAATATAATAGTTTTCCATTGGGTTGACACTTATTTATCTAATATTTCTCAATCCCTTTTTAAACTTGACTCAAATTTTATAGCCACATTTTCAAAGCAAAGACACAGTGTTAGGCAAAAAGAATGAAGGAGAAGCTTGAGGCAACCCAAAGTCTTTTCCAGGCCAATACTATCCTCCCTAAATGTTCCATTCTTCTCACATCTTCTATCATTCCTGTTATAAGTTCAATAGTCTTTTTGATATTCAAGAATACCTAACATTGGCTATAGGACCTATGTTTAGAGAATAACCCATTGTCCAGACTGTGTATTAGAATCTTCCTAATAAACATGGAGACTCCCCATCCCTCAGAGGATTTGTGAGTAAGAAGAGACTGCTATATAGTACTTTATTCTGAAGGAATTTTGTTTGAAGTCTTTTTCAGCTGTTAAAGATGTGATCTCCCAAAGTATTAATATTAATGAAATAGTTGAGGTGGCAATGCTATAAAAGTTTATAAAACATTTGATAGCAATGGGTTCTTAGAGATTATACAATCCATGTGTGTAATTGTACAAAGAAAAATACAGTACAAAGAAATTCAGTGACTTGTCCAAAATTATGACAACATTGAGACTAATGGGACTGCAAGGCTTCTTAACTTCAACCAAATGTTACTTTCACTGAAGTATGTCCTAGTATCACTAATAATATACTACCTAAACACTGTATTACCTAGTCCTGTAACACTAATACATTACTTAAACACTAAAAGTAATGGCTTCTAAAAATCCATTTGCTTTAATGCTTTGTGCCTTCAAGAAAAACGTCTGAGAAACACTCCTGAAACACTTGTGTCAATAATTTTCCATTCATTTAAGGTACTTGGACACATGGCAGAAGTTTGAAGTTTGTGGCTACAGGTAAAACTTGTAACCAAGGTTCATTTTAACAATATGTGCATACAATTACCTGTTTACACAATGATATTTCATTATAAAAGTGTGCTGATTTTTATTTAACCAGTCTCTTCTTAATGATCATGTTGGTTTTTCCAATCTTTTGCTATGAAATACATCATTTACCATATGTGAAAGTATAACAATACATACATTTCCAGAGAGGGTTCTTACTCAAATTAATTAATTTCCCCTGTTGATTTGTTTTTGTGATATTATAAGCAATAAATAACTCTGAGTTGTGAAAATATATATATATACATATATTTGAGAGAGAATCTTGCTCTGTTGCCCAGCCTGTAGTGCAGTGGCATGATCACGGCTCACTGCAGCCTCCATCTCCCAAGTTCCAGTGACTCTCCTGCCTCAGCCTCCCAAGTAGCTGGGATTACAGGCACCCATCACCATTCCCAGCTAATTACTGTATTTTTAGTAGAGACAGTGTTTCACCATGTTGGCCAGGCTAGTCTCAAACTCCTGATCTCAAGTGATTCGTCTGCCTCAGCCTCCCAAAGTGCTGGGATTACAGGCACAAGCCACAAGCACCCGGCCTGATTATGAGTATTATGATGATGTTTAAGTGCTGATTTATCTACTTGAAATGTGAGATATCATTTTTTAAATTTTTTTCTCCCTAGATACATGACTATTATTTTAACTCATTTCTCATTTGAATTACCATTTTCATTTGGTTCCAACTGTTCAATTGGTGCAACCAATTTTACATAAAAAGAGAACCATGAATTTTCAGAGCCCATGAGATATGGAAAAATGGCCATCAATGACTGTACAAGGACACACATTAGTTTCAGAACTAATTTCAGATAGAAGCTCATTTAGTTTCCAGCCCAAATTAAGTGACTTTTATGTGACATAGCAGTTAAAAATCAATTTATGAGCTTTCTGGAATACCACTTAGAGCAAATATGCAGACATCCTCTTATTTAAAACCTGGAACACTGACAAACTCCAGCAGATTGAGTCTCATAGGTATTGAAACTGTGGGAACATAAACAATGGCAGTAGATCTACTTTTCATTTTCTAGATTCTCAATGACTTAACCGTGAAAACAGTGCAGCTATGTGCATAATTGAAAGTATTGGTTAAAATAAAGCTTTGGGTTAACTGAGATTTCAGCAAACTGTTTTATTCCTCCTTCTTTAATTAAAAACCCACTTTAATTTTTATTAATTCATATCTGCCAAGTATTGTACAGAATTAGGAATATAATAAAAGAGGGCAAGTCGGTATATGGGGCTTGTTTGGGAATTTCAAATTGTTTAATCACAAAACATAATTTTTTTTGAGAAACTGGATTTCAACATTAGTTATCTCAAAGAATGATTTCATTCATTAAACAGAAATATAATCATTTTGAAAGAAAAAGTGTCTGGTTTCTTCATATCCTTTTTTAATTGTATGACTTTTACTTGACTGAAGGAAGGTAATATCATTAGGCATTCCAGTTCAAATAGCACACTCTCAAATTCTGTTTCATTAAGAATATTTCATAGAACATAATCCTAAAGGTATGCTTATATTTAAAAAATATGTAGTTAAATGTGTTTGAGAAGCTTGGAAATTTCAGTATACATTATCATCTGAGGCTCGGAGAAGTCCTTAAGCAATGAAAATAGTTGAAGTGGGTTAAGTTAGTTGATCCCCTAAAGCACTGGTGCTCAAACTTTAGTGAACACTAGATAAATAATCATCTGAAGATCTTGTTAAAACTGATAACTGAGACCCACGTACAGGCTTTCTGATTCACTATGTCAGGATGGAGCCCAAGAAATTGAATTTCTAATAGTTTTCCAGGTGATGCTTATGCTGCTGGTATAGGGAGATACTTTGAGTACCACTGTCTACAGACCACTCCTACACTGTCTCCTACACTCCTAGGAGGCCAATTGAAATAGACATAATGAGTGGTTAAGACAGGCTATCCTGGTGGAGTGCAGAGATGGTAGATCAGAAACAGAGGCTGCCGCTCCACTGTGTCATACAGTTGCTTTCTGGAGGATCAGATGTAATTACTTTCATCATACTGGAGGAGGGTCTGTTCTTCTCCACTCATAAATACTAAGTGGCACAACAGAGCTGGAGGCAAGGTTTCCATTATGTCATAGCCATAACTTCAAGGCTTGGGTCTCAGTGTCTAATATCCCAGGGAAGGGAAAAGTTTTCCAACCAATAAATTTTAAGTTGGAAAAGTAGGGTTAGAGGTCAAGTTTTTCTTACTTTGTACTTTTATCTGTTGACTGCCAGCTCCTGATTATATCCTGTGAAGTTATTATTATGTGTCAACTTACAGGGCCTGGGGATGCCCAGACATTTCATCAAAAATTATTCCGGGGGAACCTGTTTCCTATCTGTTCTTTTTCTCTGGAGAACCCTGATTAATACAGCTTTTGGTACCGAGAGCAGTTGTAGAGGGACAGAATCTTAAGGATGAAGTCTCTGAATAGGTTCTGGGGTTTCTGGAATTGGCTTTCTAAATATAATTAGATTATATTTAAATATGCAAATCACTCTATTTCCAATAGTGAAAAGAGCACTCATAGTTCATGATGTGGTCTGGAAATACAGACACGCAAAATATCATCATTGGATATTCATAATCAACTGCTTATAAAAAATCAAGTATCTGGTTGACTGTATATAATATTATTGAACATTTTTGTCAAATTAACAAATAAAGGATTGACTAGTTGCTCCATTATTGTAAATGGGGAATAAATCCTTTTTGTGGGGTCTTTAAGGATTATTTCAACACAAATGGAGAAATTATATTCAGAGAGTGATTATTATACACACAGGTCCTAGAGGCAGCAGGCACAGCATGCCATGCAGGAGGCCATATGGGAGGAAATCTCAAGGAGTGAGCTCAATCAAGTAGATGAGGGCCTGAAAGAGAGAGAAGTTGGGGAGGGAGATTGGACCCATGGGCAAATGCTTTTACTGGGGGACAGGGTGAAGTACACAAGCAAAAACCATGAGGAGATTTTATTGGTGTGTTTGAATGTCACTAGGTCAGTAAAGGAAAGCCAAGAAGGGAATCTTGTGGCAGAGACCAGACTTACCCACACCAATGTACCTGGTTGTGTGGGCAATGTGTTTACAGATTATTTGTGGGGATGCTGAAGCATCAGGAAAACATAAAGTTTAAAAAATTTATAATATACTCCTAATGTCACCAGACAAAGTGCAAAAAGAAAAGGATAAGCTTAGGGATTTGAATCCCCAGCTCAAGAGCCTTACAAATGATCTGTAAGCTTCTACATATGCCCTGAATGAGACACTTATTGCCAGTAGTTGCAGGGCCGAGATTGCTGAATACCAAACCCCGAATCCCCACATTGGTTCCTTGACCTGTGGAGTGAGAGCTATTATTGTGGAAAGGGCAAATCCAATCCACTGGAACTACCTGTACCTAGGAAAATAATAAATTGAAAGCAATACCACATTCCTCAAGTGACTGTAGAATTGTGTGTCACTATGATGGATTGAAAGATGCAGGTGTGGTGATTTTCACCCATCACAATTCAACTCACCTATTTGGCCTATGCTGAAGACAGACAGATTTTCAAGAATAACTCTGGATTATCATAAGCTTAGCCAAATGGTGACTCAAATTGCAGCAGCTGTGCCACATCTGGTCTCACTGCTTGAGCAAATTGACACAGCCTATGGTATCTTGGAAGTACAATTTTTCCATCTCTGTTTATAAGGGCCATTAAAAATAGTTTGCTTTAGGCTGTCAAGGCCAGAAATATACCTCACAGTCTTTCCTTAGAAAGACACAATGCTTGTGGGTCTTTGGATTTTGGAGACACCATATTCTCATTTGTGTACGTTATCCAATCTTGTACCAAGTGACCCTAGAATCTGCTGAGTTTGAGTGGGGCCCAGAACAAGTGAAGGTCCTGCAACAGATTTACGCTTTTGTGTAACCTGATCTACTATTTGGCCATGTGATCTAGTAGATCCAATGGTGATTCAGGTGTCAGTGCCAGATATGGATGCTGGGTAGAGAATTTGGCAGGCCACTGTAGACGAATTGCAGAGCAGAGCCCTAGGGTTTTAAAGCAAAGCCTTGCACTCTTCTGTGGATAGTTATTCTCCTTTTGAGAATCAGCTCATGGCCTGCCACAAGGCCTACATAGAGACTGCCCATTTAACTATTGGTCACCAAGTTGCAATGAGATTGAGTTGAACTACCTATCATGAACTGAATGTAACATGATATATCAAGCCATAAAGTTGGGCATGCCCAGAACTCCATCATCAAATGGAGTGGTATATGCAATATGACTGAGCCTCATCAAGCACTGAAGCCACTTATGAAGAAGTGACCCAAATCAAAAATTGTATCCCTTCACTATGAAATTAGAATAGCAAAGAGATTAGTCAGATGGGATGGTCCCCAGGGAAGTCACCGATCAACTGAACCAGCAATCCCAGGACCATTTGATAATTTAGATCATAAATTGATGCTATTATTTTTTCCAAAGGCAAATTTTCACCACACAATTTAAGTATTAAATGAATAACTTTGTTTACTATTGGCATAAAAAATATTACCTGTCTAGACAATTCTGTTGGTCATTCAAGAGGATGTGTTTCTCATAACCAATATATCCTATAGAATATGGATTAACTGAGCTGGTTGGACAATAGTTTGAATCCAAGAGAGGTAAGGTAGTTGTTTTTAAGGCTTTGGGTGTTATTCTTACTCTTCCTTTCCTGTTTATTATAGGAACAATCCTCCAATGTTGCTAAGAGTGATATTAACAGGTACGATCTCAGCTTCTATTTGTTGAAATAGTACAGGTTGCTTAGAGAGGAAGGTGTAGTGTGCAACCCTTCAGTCGGGAGGGTGAGCTGAGAGGTAAGTGTTAATTTGACTAATTCCTTGCAAGTAAGACTCCCAGAAAGAGTGTTGACTTTTGTATTAAAATTAATAGAACTATACACAAATAATTGTTCATTTTACTGTTGATAATTTAATGGAGGAACAGTTTTACTTCCTGTCTGATTTTTTTTTCTTTCCTCTTTCTCTTTCTTTCTCTCTCTCTCTCTTTCCTTTCTTCCTTCCTTCCCTTCCCCTTCCTTCCTTCTTTTCTTTCTTTCCCTCCCTCCCTACCTCCCTCCCTTCCTTCCTTCCTCTTTCTTTCTTCCGTTCTTCCTTTCTTTCCTTGCCTTATTAAAATGTCTAGAACCTTTAGCATAATGTTGAACAGAAGTGGTAAAAGTGGACGTTCTTGCCTTTCTCCTGATTTTAGAAGGAAACAATTGATCTTTCACCACCAAGCTTAATGCTAGCTTTGCATTTTTTGTAGAGGCCACACATTAGATTGAGGATGTTCTCTACTAGTCTTATTTTATTGGTGTTGAAATTTGCAAAACACTTTTATGTATCTATTAAAATTATTACAGGATTTTTCTTTTTCTGTTAATTTTGCAAATTATATTATCAGCTTTCAGATAGTAAATCAACCTTGCATTATTAAATAAATGTAACTTGAGTTTTTATACCCTTTACATATTGTTGGATTTTATATGCTAATATTGCATGTTAAGTATATATTTATTAAGTAATATTGAGTTTGTCTATATTAATGAAGGATAACTTTGAATTTTTAATGTCTTTTTATAGTTTTATTAAGGTAAACTTTATTTTCAGTAAAATTCACAGATCTTAAGATTATGATTAAATGAGCTTGATATGTGATACTTCCCATGTAACCTCTAGCTCTATGAAGACATAGAAAATTTCTATAACCCCATAACATTTTCTTATGCCCCTATACAATCACACTGTATTTTCTTTTTATTCTCTTCAACTTTTAAGTTCAGGAGTACATGTGCAGAACGTGTAGGCTTGTCACATAGGTAAATATATACCATGGTGGTTTGCTGCACAGATCATCCCATCCCCTAGGTATTAAGCCCAGTATCCATTAGCTATTCTTCCTGATGCTGTCTCTCCCCTGGCCCTCCCTGACATACCTCAATGTGTGTTGTCCCTCCCCAATGTGTCCATGTGTTACCATTCTGCCCCCACTTCCTAGTGAGAACATATGGTGTTTGGTTTTCTATTCCTGCATTAGTTTGCTAAGGATAATGGCTTCCAACTCCATCTGTGTCCCTGCAAAGGGCATGGCCTTGTTCCTCTTATGGCTTCATAGTATATTCCATGGTGTTTATGTACCACATTTTATTTATCCAGTCTATTATTGATGGGCGTTTGGATTGATTCCATGTCTTTGCTATTGTGAATAGTGCCGCACCAAACAAATGCATACACGTATCTTTATGATAAAATGATTTATATTTCTTTACGTATATACTCAGTAATGAGATTGCTAGGTCAAATGGTATTTCTGCCTCTAGGTCTTTGAAGAATCGTCACACTGTCTTCCACAATAGTTGAACTAATTTACACTCCCAGCAGCAGCGTAAAAGCATTCCTTTTACTCCTCACCCTCTCCAGCATCTATTAATTTTTGACTTTTTATTAATAGCCATTCTGACTGGTGTGAGATGTTATCTCATTGTGGTTTTGATTTACATTTCTCTGATGATCAATGATGTTGAGCTTTTTTTCATATGTTTGTTGGCTGCATGTATATTTTCTTTTGAGAATCGTCTGTTCATGTTCTTTGCCTGCCTATGTTTTAATTGGGTGGTTTGTCTTTTTCTTGTACATTTGTTAAGTTTCTTATAGATTCTGGATATTAGACCTTTGTCAGATGGATAGATTGCAAAATTTTCTCCCATTCTGTAGGTTGTCTGTTCACTCTGATTATAGTTTCTTTTGCTGTGAGGAAGCTCTTTAGTTTAATTAGATCTCATTTGTTAGTTTTTGCTTTTGTTGCAATTGCTTTTGGTGTTTTTATCATGAAATCCTTGCCAGTGCCTATGTCCTGAATGGTATTGCCTAGATTTTCTTCTAGAGTTATTATAATTTTGGGCTTTACATTTAAGTCTTTAGTTTATCTTGAGTTGATTTTTTGTACATGGTTTAAGGAAGGAATCCAGTTTCAATGTTCTGCATATGGCTAGCCAGTTCTCCCAGCAGCATTTATTAAATGGGGAATATTTTCCCCATTGCTTGTTTTTGTCAGGTTTGTCTAAGATCATATGGTTTTAGGTGTGCAGTCTTATTTTTGAGTTCTCTATTCTCTTCCATTGGTCTATGTGTCTGTTCTTGTACCAGTACTATGCTGTTTTGGTTAATGTAGCCTTGTAGTATAGTCAGGTAGCATGATGCCTCCAGCTTTGTTCTTATTGCTTAGGGTTTTCTTGGCTATTCTGGCTCATTTTGGTTCCACACGAACTTTAAAATAGTTTTTTCTAGTTCTGTGAAGAATGCCAATGGTAGTTTAATGACAGTAGCACTGAATCTATAAATTCCTTTGGGCAGTATGGCCATTTTCACAACATTGATTCCTCCTATTAATGAGCATGGAATGTTTTTCCATATGTTTGTAACATCTCTGATTTTTTTGAGTAGTGGTTTGTAGTTCCCCTTGAAGAGGTGCTTCACTTCCTTTGTTAGCTGTATTCCTAGGTATTTTATTCTTTTTGTAGCAATTGTGAACAAAAGTTCATTCATGATTTGGCTCTCTGCTTGCCTGTTGTTGGTGTACAGGAATGCTGGCAATTTTTGCACATTGATTTTGTATTCTGAGACTTCGCTAAAGTTGCATGAGCTTAAGAAGCTTTTGGGCAGAGACAATGGGGTTTTCTAAATACAGGATCATGTCATCTGCAAACAAAGACAATTTGACTTCCTCTCTTTCTATTTGAATGCCCTTTGTTTCTTTCTCTTGCCTGATTGCCCTGGCCAGAACTTCCAATACTATGTTGAATAGGAGTGGTGAAAGAGGGCATCCTTGTCTTGTGCCAGTTTTCAAGGGAAATGCATCCAGCTTTTGCCCATTCAGTATACTGGCTGTGGGTTTTTCATATATGACTCTTATTATTTTGAGGTATGTTCCTTCAATACCTAGTTTATTGAGAGTTTTTAACATGAAGGGATGTTGAATTTTATTGAAGGCCTTTTCTACATCTATTGAGATAATCATGTGGTTTTTGTTTTTAGTTCTATTTATATGATGAATCACATTTATTGATTTGGGTATGTTGAACCAACCCTGCATCCAGGGGATGAAGCCAACTTGATCGTGGTGGATAGGATTTGTGATAGTCTGCTGGATTCAGTTTGCCAGTATTTTATTAAGGATTTTTGCATCCATCTTTATCAGGAATATTGGCCTGAAGCTTTCTCTTTTTTGTTGTATCTCTACCAGGTTTTGGTATCAGGGTGATGCTGGCCTCATAAAATGAGTTAGGGAGGAGTCCCTCCTTTTCATTTTTTTGGAATATTTTCAGTAGAAATAGTACCAGCTGTTCTTTGTAGCTCTGGAAGACTTCATCTGTGAATCCATCTGGTCCTAAGCTTTTTTTGGTTGGTAGGCTATTTATTGCTGCCTCAATTTCAGAACTCCTTATTGGTCTATTCGGGGATTCAATTTCTTCCTGGTTCAGTCTTGGAAGGTTGTATGTGTCCAGAGTTTTATCCAGCTCTTTTAGATTTTCTAGTTTATTTGCATAGAAGTGTTTATGGTATTCTCTGATGGTTGTTTGCATTTCTGTGGTGTCAGTAATGATATCCCCCTTATCATTTCTGATTGTGTTTATTTGATTCTTCTCTCTTTTCTTCTTTATTGGTCTAGGTAGTGGTCTATCTGTTTTATTATTTTTTTTTCAAAAAAACAGCTCCTGGATTTGTTGACTATTGAAGGGTATTTGTCTCTGTCTTCTTCAGTTCAGCTCTGATCTTGGTTATTTCTTATCTTCTGCTAGCATTGGGGTTTGTTTGCTCTCGGTTCTCTAGCTCTTTTAGTCATGATGTCAGATTGTTAACTTGTCAATCTCTACTCTCTATATGCAAACACTAATTGTGTTATTAAGATTTGTTTTGCCTTTTGAAAATCTTTGTATAAGTGGAATTACATAGTATTCTTATGTGCTTGACTTCTCTAACCCAAAATAAGATTTTTTTCTGATTTATCCATATTGTTGCATACATAAGTACTTTATTTATTTTTATTGCTGAGTAATAGTTTTGTCAGTAAGCATGTATATCACAATGATTTTTAAATGTATTTACTGATGGAAATTTGTGTTACTTCCAGGGTGTCACTATTAAAAATAAAGGTGACATAAACATCTTGGTATAAATCTTCTGTGGATGAATTGATTCATTTATTTGAGTAAATACCCATAGTAAAATTTCTGAGTCATAGTGTATATTCAGCTTCATAAAGAAATATGAAATGAAAATAATGGAGATGAAGTCCATAGGATAAAATTTAAAATTGTAATAAAAGTTCCCTCATCACTTGACAGAGCTGTGCTGGAAAGGAGGGATTGGTAAAGTACGGTACATGAACTGAATCTGATACTCTACCTATTGTTTTGTGTCATTTGAACTAAGAATGTTTTTTTCTTTACCTATTAAAGTGTGAAATTTAAAAACACTATTTGCCTTTTGTCAAGAACACTTTCTTGATTTTGGCTTTCGGGTCCTAAGGCCTTAAATATTTACCAGTTGGTTTTTAGAGAAAAATTTGCTGACCCCTGGGTCTAGTTTTAATAGTAGATACAATTATGGACTTAAAGATTATTCTAAGAATAATAATACAGATTGGTCAAGAGAAAAAAATGATTTTGAACCAAAAATATTATGAATAAAATATTGATTCAGAGATGATACATGAAAAAAATTGTTTCCAAAGATTAAATTGAAAGACCTAATAGATTCAAATATTGCCAAAGACAAACTAGATTGCCTACTATGACCAAATATGCCAGAATTATTAATTACTATGGAAATTAAATGTTCTATAAAATGAAAAGTAAAAATAATAGGAAAAAGGAGAGTCAAATAGAAAAACCACACCAAATTAAAACTACTATATCCAGGGCAATACTGCAAGGGAAAAAAAGGAGGACAGAAACCAATGATGATGATGATAATGATGATGATGGTCATGAGGAGGGGGAGGACAAGGAGAATGATTCATTGGAATAAAAAGGAAGCACAGAAATAATCAAAATTTCAAAGTGCAAAACCACCAAGCCATAAGAATAGCATAGTCTTCAAGTTGTGGTCATGTCAGGGAACAATTTCAACTCTACTATATCTGTACGTAAACACACTCAGTATTTTAAAAGGACCTCAAGCAGTATATAGGATCAATAGACATAGAATCCTAAGTAATCATAATCCTAGATGAATTTAGTCTTTGGGAAAATTTTCATGAACATAGGAGAGAAGAGTTGGGAGAATCTATAGCAAAAAGCAGCAGCCAATGCCTTTACTAGATTGACCCAAGGTTATATTAACAGCCCAGTAATACTGCATAACTTATGTAGAGAAAATGCCAATAATTTTAATAAAGGGCCTGGTATAATACACTGTATATATGGTATCATGATCAAGGGAAAAATAATACTTGCAAAGCAGAGAATGGTCATTAGCACAAGGAAAAGTATAATAGACAGAAAACTTAATAC
Organism: Homo sapiens; assembly: GCF_000001405.40. Classification (NCBI taxonomy): domain Eukaryota; kingdom Metazoa; phylum Chordata; class Mammalia; order Primates; family Hominidae; genus Homo; species Homo sapiens. The sequence continues at coordinate 19,854,989 of NC_000007.14, read as the reverse complement.
ATTTCTTAAGAATAATTTGATAATCCAAAGGGGCAAAAGTGGTATTATCTTTTAAGCAGAAAATTGTGAAAATAGTTCAAAAGATAAAAAGAAAGATGAAAATTTTACCATCTGCTTGTTGTTATATAAAGATCTACTCACTTGGAAATTCTTATATGGGATAACAAGAAAATCCTGAGATTTTAAATGGACAGAAAAAAATGAAAGAATATTATAGGAAGTCAAATAGTCAATACAATATTCTATTTCCTGGTCCCTACACCAAAGAATCTGATTTTAAGTTAGAAGAAATTACCCAAAATAAATATGGATGTGGGTTTTACAGCTGAGACTATTAGGAATTAGGATTAAATCATATCAGTCAATTGGGTTTGAGCCTGAAAGATGGCAGAATCAATAGTTTGGTTTTCTCTGTTAGAAAAAGTGGCATGGACCATTAATGATCACTAAATAGCCACTGAAATCTTAACTAGTTCTAACTTAGTTAACCTTAGAACTCAAGTGCTAATCATCCAATGGGCCAAACTGGTACCATAACAAATAAAAGATGTGGTACAGCAGAATATGTACAATGGAAAGGGTACATCTTATAATGGAACAAATCCAGCCTTTCAGGTGTCTCATCCTTACATCATGAGGTTGCTGCTATTGAGATGTGCTTACTGAATCTTGACTAAATTTGAGGGTGTTGCCCTGGTTGGGATCCACAAAGAATTAAGGCAAAGAGTAGTACATGGATGAAGAAGCTCTGTTTATAGCAGAAAGCACAAAATAAAAAGCTATTTACTAAATGTTATTCCAAAGATGGAATAACATTAATCCAGGAAAGGAGACAGACTGTAAAGCAGACATGGCCATAAAGTAAGTAATAGAAAAATCCTCGAGATTAAAACAAAACTCAGTTATATTTACATGGACTCCTGAGCTGTTATTAATGGAATTCCCATAAGGTATGCTCAATGAAAAGAACAAAATTACAAAACTAAGTGTGCTGAAGTGTGGGGTAAAGACATTTGCTAAGTATTGAAAAAAAATTCAATACAGCCATACATCACTTAATGACAGAGATAAATTTTGAGAAATATGTCATTAGGTGATTTTGTTGTGGGAACATCATAGAGTGTATTAACATAAACTACATGGTATAGCCTATTGCTCCTAAGCTACAAACTTGTACAGTATGTTACTGTACTGAATACTGTAGGCAGTTCCAATACAATGGTATTTATGTATCTATGCATATCTAAACATATAAAGGGTACAGTAAAAATACGGCATAAGAGATAAAAAATGGCATTAATGGAGCTTGCTGGACTGAAAGCTGCTGTGGTTGAGTCAGTGTGTGAGTGAGTAATGAGTGAATGTAAAGGCTTAGGACATTACTGTGTACACTTAGGCTACACTAAATTTATTTAAAAACAAAGTAATTGTATTAAGATGTTATCACAGCTATGATGTCAGTAGGTGATAGAAAATTTTCAACTCCATTATAATCTTATGGGACTACTGTCATGTATGTTTTCCATCACTGGCCAAAAAAACCCCACAATTTTGCAGCACGTGACTGTATATGTAGGTCATGTTTCAGCCCATGAAAGGGAAGTGTATCCAGGCGTGGTGGCAGGTGCCTGTAATCCCAGCTACTCAGGAGGCTGAGGCATGAGAATTGCTTGAACCCGGGGGGCAGAGGTTGCAGTGAGCCGAGATCATGCCACTGCACTCCAACTTGGTGACAGAGCGAGACTCCGTCTCAAAAGAAGGGAAAGGTAGAACAATCAAATACAATGAGATGATGAACCAGTTGACTAGGAAGCCTCAATTAAAGAAAGTAAAGGAATGTACACAGCAGTTGTTCATTGAGCCTATGAGAAATTTTGACATTTAGGAATCAATGTGTCAATCCAATAGGTTAAAAAAAAAAAAACAAGAAACTCTGATAGGGAATCAGACTGTGAGTATATGATAAATAATTATTGTTTCTGCAAAAAGTCCAAAACTCTAAAACACAAAATAGAAGCAGCTACTATCCATAGGGATTACAACTCAATACAAGTAATTCAGGTTGATTGCATTGTACCTATGTCTAAATTGTAGGAGAAATATGCCATCTTACTATTGTAGATATTTATCAAAAGTGAGGATGACTTACTTCTCTTATAGGATTAATGCCTATACCACAATAAATGGACAGTGTAACAAACAAAAAGTTTACCTTGTGGGAGCAATTTATTGAAAATCACCTATAGATAATTTGTGGAGATAGATAAGGGAAGCAATTTTAATACCAAAAATTTGAGTAATCAAAATAATATAGTTTTAAAAAATCCATCTTGTAAATAGTCTCAATGAAATAAGAATCAGTGAGAGATAGGACGGCCTCCTAAAATGCAGATTTAAACAAAGCTTCTGGCTAAAGAAAATACTAGATATTGCATGATAGGCTAATCAAATCAGGGAGATAAGTGACAGAATAAAAGCAAATTTACAACCTTTGAAACATACGGTCATTTTGCAACCAATCCTTATGATGGAACATGACAAAGATAATGGCATATCACTCCTATAATTACATTGTTATATAAGAGTTTGTCTTAGCTGTCTGAAGAGAGAGGCTTTCCTGCTGGCCTTGAAGAAGTAAAGTGCTATGATATGAAGTGTTTATGCAGGCAGTCACATGACAGATAAATGTGAATAGCTTCTGTGAGCTGAAAGCCTCAGTCATAGCACTGCAAAGAACTGAATTCTGCCAAGAACCTAAATGAGCTTGGAGGTGACCTAGGTAACATCTTGATTGCACTCTATGAGAAAGACCTGAAGCAGAGGACTCAGCTAAGCAATGGCTGGATTTCTGCCCACAAAAATGGTGATATAATAAATGTGTTGTTTTAAGCTGCTAAATTTGTGGTAATTTGTTATGCAGCAATAGAAAACTAAACAGCTATTTTCATAAACATATGGCTATCTCATTAATAAAAGAAAAGGATCTGTCAGCGTTTAAGATTTAAACACCCCTAAAACTATAAACATATTTATGTAATACCTAAATTATAAATAAGCAACATCTGCTGTACACATCCCTAGGAGTAGAAGATACTGAGAAAGATGGTACTTGTGTACGAGAATGTGAAGACACTGATAAGAATAATGCAAGTTTCATTAAATAAAATATTAGGCATGTTGAAAATATCCAGGTCTCCAAAGAGCATAAAAGCCAGAATGCAAATGTGACACCACCAACCAAGCAACAAGTTTCCAGTATGCCTTCCTGGGTATGTCAAGTGAGCTATGAGTCATCTTTACATTGGCCATAGGGCAATCCTAACCCCTTGCGCAGATTGAGCAAACAAATCTTCCCATAGCGGCAGGTAGACAGTTGGGATGAAAATTGATAGATGAGGTTGAGAGACTGAGATTGACCAAACCCTGAGACTTAAGTAGTGGGCTTTCCTGTTTTGTTAGGTCATATTGCCTTTTAAATTGCTTACTTGAATTATTATTTGATCAACTTACTGAGTGTAAATATTTATATGGTAGACAATAAATGGTTCAAAGTTTTCTTGGTTGGCTCTTTTGATTAACATATTCTAACCTATTCTTTGTAGTTATGCAAGTTATAAAGCACATTCTCAAGTATAATAGTTGGCATTTGACTCAAATACAGTATGTATACTTTCCTAAATTTATTTCTAAGTATTTTATGGGTTTGATGCTATTACAAATGGAATTTTTGAATTTGATTTTCTAATTATTTTATAATAATATGAGGAATAACATTAAATTTTGTATTTTGATCTTGTATCAAGTGGTCTTCCTAAATTTACTTTTTAGTTCTGGTAATGAACTTCTTAGGATTTTCCAAATAAACAATGATGGCATATGTGAATAAAGACAGTTTTATTTCTTCCTATAGAATTTTTATCAATTTTATTATTTTTGTTTTATTGCATTAACTAGAACCATAAGAACAATGTTGAACAAAAGCAACCAAAATGGGTAACTTTTGCTTGCTCCCAAGTTTACTAGAAAATAATTCGATATTTTACCATAAAATGTGATACAAGTTGCAGTGTTTTTTGTTTGTTTGTTTGTTTGTTTGTTTGTTTAATAGAGGCTTTGTATCAGAGTAAGGAAGCTCCTTTCTATTGTTGGTTTGTTGAGAGATTTTATCATAAATAAGTGCTGATACTTGTCACATGCTTTTCTTGTATTCCTTGAAAGCAATGTAGAGCTTTCTCTTTTTCCAGTAAGATGGTACATTACACTAATTGGTTTTCCAGTGTTATGTCACACTTGGTGTTGCTAAGAAAAAACCCATTGGTTTATAGTTATTACTCTCTTGATGTATTCCTGAATTCAAGTTTCTGATATTCTGTTTCTGAAGTGGTTTTTAATCCTGCTATTATTTTTTTCCTATGCTTTAATCTTATCAAATATTTTTTAAATTCTATGTTAATTTTTATACTGACTTTTGTGTTTTTTTGTTTTGTTTTGTTTTCGAGAAGGAGTCTCACTCTGTCACCCAGGCTGGAGTGCGGTGACACCATCTTGGCTCACTGCAACCTCCACCTCCCAGGTTCAAGCAATTCTCATGCCTCAACCTCCCTAGTAGCTGGGATTACAGGTGCCTGCCACCACGCCCAGCTAATTTTTGTATTTTTGGTAGAGACGGAGTTTCACCATGTTGGTTGGCCAGGCTGGTCTCGAACTCCTGACTTCAGGTGATACGCCCACCTTGGCCTCCCAAAGTGCTGGGATTACAGGTGTGAGCCACCGTGCCCAGACTATATGACCTCTTAAGTATACTTTCCAGTATTTTTTATAGCTTCTCAATATTGTTTTTAACTTACCGCAGTAAACTTAGATTTGATACTCTACCACAGGAAATGCTATTTTTGACATATAATTGAAATTTACATTTGTTATATACTTCACAACATGCTCTCTCTCTCTCTCTCTCTCTCTCTCTCTATATATATATATATATATATATATACATATTGCTTTCAATAATTGTATTTTTAAAAAATTAATGGGAAAAAGATATTTTGTTTTACATTTACCAATACATTATGTTTCATGCTCTGTTCATCCCTTCATGTGTATCATTTAGTTTTAATTCACTTCACCCAGGAGGACTTCCTTTAGCATTTCTTATAGATCAGTTTTCCTGGTGACAAATTTTCTAGATTTCATTTATTTGAAAATGTCTTTATTTCATCTTTATTTTTGAAGAATACATTTGCTGGTTATGGAATTCTGGGTTGATAGTTGTTTTAATTAATTTTTCTTTTGGATTATTATTTTTAATAACTCTTACTGTTTTTAATAAAGAGGCAGTATAACTCACTGTTTCCTATAGGAAAAATGTCATTTTTCTCTGGCTGTCTTCAAGATATTTACTTTATATTCAATTTTCAACAGTATGACAATGGTGTGCCTACTGTCAGTTTTCTCTGTATGTATGTGGCTTGTGATTTGCTGAGCCTCCTGTATCTGAAGGTTGTTTTACATTATTTTTGAATGCTCTCAGTAATTAAATCTTCAAGTTTTTCTTCTGCTGTATTATCTATTTCTCTTTTCTGGGACTACAAATCTGTAAATGTTAGACTACTTGGTATTTTTGCACAGATCAGTGAGGCTCCATTTATTTATATTCAATATTTTCTCTTTGCTGCTCACATTGAATAATTTTAATTAATCTCTTTCCAAATTCACTGTCCCTTTAATTGTCCATTTTCATTCTTAAGTCCATCTACTAATTTTTTGTTTAGGATATTGTTTATTTTAGTTTTTTTCATAGTTTTCACTTTTTGCTGAGGTTTTCCCTATGATCATTCATTATGGTCATCTTTTTCTTTATATTCTTAAACATATTTGTAACAGTTGCTTTCAAATACTTGCCAGTTTTACACCTGGGTCATCAATGTGTCTGTTTCTATACGTTCTTTTTTTTTAATTACAGATAATGCGATCCTGTTTGTTTGCAAGTATGGTAATTTTTATTGAATGTTGGACTGTTGGTTTTGGGGAAAAAAAAGACTGGCTAATTACCTTGAACATATAGCAGTTTGGTCTTACCTATCTTAAAGATGGGTCTGCTGCAATTTTTCCCTCAGTCTCAGTCTACAGATTTTTTTTTTTTTTTTTTTTTTAGGTGTAATCTCGCCTTTGTTGCCCGGGCTGGAGTGCAATGGCATGATCTTGGCTCACTGCAACCTCCTGCCTCCCACGTTTAAGCAATTCTCCTGCCTCAGCCTCCCAAGTAGCTGGGATTACAGGCATGCACCACCACACCCAGCTAATTTTGTATTTTTAGTAAAGAAAGGGTTTCTCCATGTTGGTCAGACTGGTCTTGAACTCCTGACCTCAGGTGATCCACCCACCTCAGCCTCCCAAAGTGCTGGGATTACAGGCATGAGCCACCATGCCCAGCAGTCTACAGATATTTTTTGTAGTTCTGTTTATAGTATTAGTATGAAGGTGACCCTTCTGTGATTTCAATGGAAAGCTCAAGTTATATGAACAAGACTCAGATCTTAAATTCTATCTTCTCTGCAGCGGACAAGAGCTAGTTATTTGCCCTGTTTTTACAAATATTCAGCTATTGTTTTACATTAGACTTCTTGGAGTTTTCCTTGTGCTTTCAAAAGTCAGCCAAAGATTTGAAGGGAATTTATATGCAGATTTGGGAACATATTTCCTGTGGTTCCTCCTTTCTCAGAATTTTTCCTTTCAATTTACAGTTGGTCTGGTAGCACCAAACTCCCTTCTTTGACACTTAAAGCTAATAAAGCAGATTTCTGCTGGAATTATACCTGTCCTGGCTGATATGAATTGGGAAGTAGCTTCAGGAAGAATGCCAAATAAATGTGAATCTGACCCAGTGCCATTTAATTCTGGGCACAGAGATTGAATCCACTATCATTTCTGCCGGCTCTTTGTCATTTTTAAATGACTTCAAATTGGTTGATAGATTATTTTGTTATAATAATTATTTGCAGCAGAGTGAGTCTTATATAAGCTACTCTGTCTTACCCATAATCTAAACTCATTTTCCTTGTGACAATTACAGGCATTTCTCTATTGCCTTTTAGAATTGAAAGTTTCTTTGAAGTCACCAACTTCAGGTTGATTTTTATCCCCCTCCTAGTTAACTTAATGTTTTTGTTTTGACTTTAAAAGGATTTTTCTCTTTGTAGCCAAGGAAACTGATGAGGTTATCTCTTAACATATATTGCCACATATTAATTTATTTATTCTGCAAATATTTGTCACCTACTGTGTGCCAGCGATAAATCTTTAGAAATACAGCAATGAGCAAAACAAAAAAATTATATTACTATAGAAGATCTATTTGGTAGTAAAGGGAGTTAAAATTTTTTTTATATAAATTTCTTTAGAAAAAATAAAGAGAAGTGTTATGGAGAAAAATAAAGTTAAGGATACTGTGGAATTATACTATCTGCATATTTCTGTTACTTTTTTACTGCTGCTATAAGTACATCATAATACTTTATAAATACATTGTAATTGATAATAATTCACAATAGTATAGTTTCTTTTTGTCATAAAATGTTCTAATTTACCAATAACATTAAATATATCTGATATTCATTTTTGTAATTTTTTTCTATGAGAGTATTTTTTTTTTATTTTGGAGCAATGTAGTTGCCTTCCATAAAAATTTTATGGAAACTTTTAGAGAAATTTGATATTTTATATTCTTCAATCCATACATGAATATTCATCGATATTTCTTGAATAAAATACCCATGCTTCAATCTCACTTTTACTGTGAAAAAGAGAAATATTCCTTTTTAGGATAACAAATATGATTGCTTGGTTCCATGCTTATAATAAAGCAAAGTAGAGTAAGTGGAATTTCTGACTAAGTAGGAAAAAACTACACCCACAGTTAGTTACCAGGGCTGATGCATGCACATAAATGGTCACATATCTGTGCTGTAAGTGCAAAGAGTAACATAAAGACATTTTATTTGGCTTTGGGATGGATGGTATATTTGCACATGTGTGCACATGAAATATATTAACACATTTTCTAACAACTCAGCTTTCTTTTTATTTGATGTTAAAAGTTATTATTGATATATACATGAAATTTAAAAGGACCAAAATTAATTGTACATAACAACAACTAAAAGTATCTTAATCTTAGTAATAATGTATTAATTACTGTAGTTTTCATTTTTTTAGTTTAAAGTTAGCCTTTTTCTCCATCTTCTTCATGTTGTCTCTGCTCAACATTTCTTTATTTTAAAATTACTTTTGAAATAGAGAGGAGTTTCTATGAAATCGAATATTGTACTTTGTACCTGTCAGTAGGCTACTGATTGTTCCCTGCCTTATCATTCCCTTGCATTATATGTGCTTCATTTCTTTTGCTTTCTTCTTCTCTGGACTAGAAAAAGTCAAAGATCTGCCAACATTTCACTCACTCTCAGACTGTGTCCACATTATAGTGGAAACAACTCAGTCGAGTCAGCCAAACAGCTGGTCAGTTCATTCACACCATGAGTTCAAAAGATGTCTGTTCTAATTCTATTGATTGGTTACATAAGATGAAGCTGTCAATTTTAGAACTTTGACTAGACATGAACTCGGTCTGACCCAATATGATTTCGACCCAGTTCGAAGCATTGGCTTGTTACCTGAGGGGTTCCAGTTGCAGCCTCTTGCTCATTGCCCTGTTTCAGTACTTTCTGGTTTATCTCTACTACAATGTCCTGGAACTGAGAAGGAAGTTTTGATCCTATTCTTTCTTATTTGCGTTGGATTCTAAAGAGTGATGGGTAAGGATAGGAATATAGGCTCTTCTGAACTATATAATCAAAATTTTATAAGATAGTAAGGAGGAAGAGAACCTAGTGTTCCCCTTATCCACTTTGAAACTTTGATCACTGGGCTTCTAGCATTTTTCTGAGTTGTCTTAGAGGCTAATAAATTTGTGTACACAGTCAAGATGAGTGGGGTGGGAACAGCCTTAGAGGTTGCTCAATGAACCGTATTTTCTCCTTCCTTGAGGGATACAAATCGCCACACCCATACATAGACATGTAGACATATTTCCTGTACCAGTTCTGGTTTTATCGGTTTCATATAGTGGAGTTCCATAAGAGATTACTTTAGAAAAAAAGTTTCTTTTGTTTAGAAATGTTCTAACACCAATAATTTAATTTACATCTGTCATTTTACAAATCAGAATATTTGAAATCAGAGAGGTTACGAGTTTCCCAGGGTCATGCTGCGATTTAATATTAAAACTACACCACCAAACACCAAGAAAAAAAAAAAAAAGCTTATTCACCTAGTCTGTAAACCAAGTCAAAAAATTTGGGGGCACAGATCTCTGTTTAATTAGAAAAATTAAAGGAAAATTTTAGTTCAATTTAAGGAGTTCAATTTGTGCTGGCTGTAGTATCAGAAATTATTCTTACCTGTTTGATTTCTATTAGATACTCAATTTGATCTAAATATTCATTCTTCAAATAATTATAAAAAGGTTGATTATGGACATGTCATGTGCCAGGCAGTGAGCTAGATATTGAGGATATAAATCTGAGGGAAAATAGACTTAGTCTCTGTATTTATATATTCTACATTTTATTGATATATAAATAACATATAAATAAGCACCTTAGGGCATAACATTTTTCACTGTGATTTGAACAATAATAAAACATAGCCACTGTTTATTGAGAGATATGGCTGTTTCAAACAATATGTATGAATGTGTGCATATATATTTTTTTCTTACAATTCTACAAAATGGTTATTATTTCTTTTTGTAAATTTAATTTTATTTTCAGTTCTAGGATACATGTGCAGGATTGTTACAGAGGTGAATGTGTGCCATGGTGGTTTGCTGCACCTATCAACCCATCACCTAGGTATTAAGCCACATATGCATTAGTTATTTTCCTGATGCTCACCCTCCCCTCTACCTGCTGACAGGTGCCAGTGTGTGTTGTTCCCCTCCCTGTGTTCATGTGTTCTCATTGTTCAGCTCTCACTTATAAGTGAGAACATGCGGTGTTTGATTTTCTGTTCCTGTATTAGTTTGCTGAGGATAATGGCCTCCAGCTCCATCCATGACCCTACAAAGGACATGATCTCATTCCTTTTTATGGCTGTATAGTGTATGTGTTCCATGGTGTGTGTGTGCCACATTTTCTTACCCAGTCTATCATTGATGGGCATTTGGGTTGATTCCATGTCTTTGCTATTGCGAATAGTGCTGCAATAAATAAGTGTGCATGTATCTGTATAATAGAGTGATTTGTATTCCTTTGGGTTTACACCCAGTAATGTGATTGCTGGGTCAAATGGTATTTCTGCCTCTAGGTCTTTGAGGAATAACCACACTGTCTTCTACAGTGCTTGAACTAATTTATATTCCCACCAACAGTGTAAAGGCTTCCCATTTCTCTACAGCCTCACCAGCATCTGTTGTTTCTTGACTTTTTAATAATTGCCATTCTGACTGGTGTGAGATAATATCTCATTGCAGTTTTGATTTCCATTTTTCTAACGATAAGTGACGTTGAGCTTTTTTTCAAATGTCTTCTTTTGAGAAGTGTCTGTTCATGTCCTTTGCCCACTTTTTAATGGGGTTGTTTGTATTTTTCTTGTAAATTTATGTTTCTTATAGATTCTGGATATTAGACCTTTGTCTAATGGATGGATTGCAAAAATTTTCTCCCGTTCTATAGGTTGTCCATTCACTCTGATATTTTCTTTTGCTGTGCAGAAACTCTCCCATTTGTCATTTTTTGCTTTTGTTGCAGTCACTTTTGGTGTTGTTGTCATGAAATTTTTGCCTGTGCTTATGTCTTAGATGCTATTGCCTAGATTTTCTTCTAGGGTTTCTACAGCTTTTGGTTTTACATGTAAACCTTTAATCCATCTTCAGTTAATCTTTGTATAAGATGTTAGGAACGGGTCCAGTTTCAATTTTCTGCATATGGCTAGCCAGTTTTCCTAACACCATTTATTAAACAGGGAATTCTTTCCCCATTGCTTATTTTTGTCAGAGTTATTATTTCTATTTTACAGGAAAAGATATCAAAGTACTTAGGGGGTTAAGTAGCTTATCCAATATATAAAAAACTAACTAAATTCTAGATCTAGGGTTAAATTTATGTTAGTCCAGTTCTAACCTCTCAGCTGAACATAGGGATTTTCTGTATTTAAGAAATTCTAGTAAAAAATATTTATAAAAATAACATTTCGGTCCTGTTGACACATTGATGAAGGTAAAGAGAAGAGATAAATGGTTGCAAGATTATGTCTGGATTTGAAAATTTTAAAAGAAAATGCAAAGGTTAGAAATATATAACATTGTACCTAATTCACATTTTAACTGCAACTTAGGCCTGAAAAAGCAACAGTCTGATTAATAAACAAATTTCTCCAGAATGTGTTAAAGTATGTAATATATGTAAATCTTTAATTAACCATGCCCCTTAACTTTTGGAAATTAAATATTAATGCAAAAGCTTTGTTCCATAAGTGAAATTAAATTATTTGGAGATGTTATACACATTTGCAAACTGTAGTTAAATTGTGGTCCTTTGAACACACTAACATTTTATTTTCCTTTGGCATCAATTCTTGGTGTTCACTATTCTTAATGGGAAACAATTATAAATGAATTATTTAAACCTGTAGTTTTAGGAACCTAGAAGAATCCTTATGATTATCAAAGCAAAGACTCCAGCAGACAGCTAGAAAGAAAAAAAATATGGACCAATGAGATTTTCCATATTCCTTTTTGTTTTTAAAACTTAATCTAACAACACCTGATATGTTAAGGTTAATATATCACTAACTTAGTCTTTAAATTATCTTAATAATTTTACTTTTGTGAGGACTACTAGTCCATCTTCTATATAGCTTCTATTTCTTTACTATGACAATTGGTCCAATATGACACAACATTTTTATTACCAGTGGTGTATTAGTAAAGATCCAATTATAGCATTTGGTAATAGTTTACTTTTATTGAATCTAACATTATTGGTTGTCAGATTAATACATTATTTTATGTTTATTAATAATAAATGAATTATTATTTTATATACTGCTGGGAAAGAAAAAAACACTTCTGCTTCAATTATAACTCAATTGTTTGTCCCTTAGCATTTTATATTATCCCTAAATAACTATTTTAGATATATTTAGACATAATTTTATACTATAATCCCTCATGCCTATATGAAAAGATAAATGTAAACAAAATAATTGTTTGAAACATTTCTAAATTTTTTTCTCAGTATTTCATTTTCCTGAGTCACTTTTTAACTCAGTCCTTAATATCCAGATTTTTCTCCCAGTAGCATCTTCTCTGCAATGAAGAACAAAAGTTATGCAACATTTTTTAAAATAATAGAATTTATTCTAAACCAAACATCATGCATTCCACAAATTTTAGTACTATCACTTTCTTTATCTTGCCAGGAAGTGTCAAAGTACCTATATATTTTCTCGGTAATATGAACCATCAAACTGGGTTCTCATGATACTGCAAGGTATCATGAAGCAAAGCTAATGGAGGGAACACAAACTTTGAGATCAGAAATAGCTGGTATAAATTATTGCTCTGTGTTTAAATTAGGAAATTTTAATGAACCTCTTTGATCATCAATATCTTCATTTGTAAAGTAAGGGGGATGATGCTTGCATACAAGATCTTGTGAGTATTGGAGATAATGTAAAGCCCTTTGCCCAGCACCTGGTACATAGCAGGCAGTTGCATATTTCTAATGGCAGGCACTTAATATATTTCTAATGCTAATGTTAGAAGAAATGTGAATCTTCTGCTAATGAGTATAAAAAGTTAGTTATGCAGTCTGGTTTGACTTTTGATATTACAGTGAATTTAAGCATTACTTTTCCCATCTTAATTTGGACATTATTCTTTCTCAAACTTATTTTAATTCTAACCCAAAAGCAGATATTATATTTAGCCATTCTTGCTTGCTAGTCCAAATTTTACATGTATATTTTGAATAGACCTATTTTTTCTACAAATTTGACATTAAAGAATATCTATTTTAAGAAAATATATAATTTATTAATTAGAAATTCATATTTTAGGTAATTTGAATAACTGTCAAAGTAATTGCATTTTAACATGGTGGCAAGAAAAGCATGGAAGAAAAGATAAATTGATAATTACATACTTTCACATTTTTGAAAGGAGAAAACAAATTATGAAGTGTTTTAGGAAGATATTTGCTATATAATATGACTTAATCCATATAGTCATGAAATCTGAAGCATGGTTGTCCTAGATAGGGTAATAATTTGTCACCTCTTCAAAACCACTGAAGGGAAATTGCTTATCATTCACAAAATCCCATTCTTCCTTTTTCCTATATAATATATCTGTGGCTAGTTGACCAACTAAGCTTTCTTTGCCTCTAATGAAGTCCTGAGTGATTTCTAGGATTTAAGACATTACACACACCTCCTCCACACTCTCTTCTTCCTTACTGCTTGCTGGAAACTGAACATAGCCACTGTCCAGCTTCCACCATACCAATGCCGACCATCTTGCCTGGGCTGCAGGGGCTGGGAAAGTAAAGCTTGTAGGCCAATCTAGCCCATGATCTTTTTGTGTGGTTGCAAGCTAAGCATGGTTTTTACATTTTAAAGGATTTATAATAAGAACATAAATAAGCAGAATTGCACAACAGAGACTGTACGTGGGCTGCTCAGCCTAAAATATATACTGTGATCCTTCACAGAAGAAAAAAGTTTGCAGATCTATGTCCTAGGGTATAGCAGACCAAAAACTTGAAAGGAACATGAGTCTCTGGATAACTACAAAAAGCATAATTTCCTTGGTAGTCTAGACAGCTTATAAAAGTCTGTGATATGAAATAGAAATAAACTGAAAAGGTGGGTCCCATTACACAAAAAAGAACAATATGAATGACAGCTGACTTCTCCAAGAAAGAGTGCAAACAAGAAGACAATGGGACATTGTTAACCTTTAACGTGATGAGAGAAAAAAAGTCAACCTAGATTTGTCTATCTAATGAAAATGTCTTTTACAAATGAAATTAAAGATGTTTTTAGAGAAACAGCAGTCAGCAACTCTGTTTCCAGCATAATTATGAAACAAAAGGTGCAAAATTGTCTTAAAGCTGAAACAAATTAATACCAAATAAAATCCTAAATGTACAGTCAGTCATCAAGAATCCCAGAAAAGGTAAATACTTAGAAAAATATATAACATCTTTTTAAATTATAATTTTGTGTGTATATAGTTTTAAATTTATGTAAAAATCTATTGATTGTTAAAAATAAAATAATAATAAGGTACTATACATTGAAATAAAATATAAAAAAATAAGGATAAAATTAACAGCAGATCGCAAAAAGAATTTGTTGCAAAGCTTTTTACAATATTTGTGAAGTAATATAAAATAATATTATTTGAAGTTAGACTGTTTTAAAGATTCTTATTGTATCTTTAGAGAAACCACTAAAAATAACAGAGCCTGAATAGCCAAAGCAATCCTAGGCAAAAAGAAGAAAGCCAGACGCATCACAATAACTGACTTCAAACTATACTAAAAGCTACAGTAACCAAAAGAGCATGGTACTGGTACAAAAAAAATGGACACATAGGTCAATTGAACAAATTAGAAAAATCTAGACATAAATCCACACACCTTTAACCATGTCATCTTCAACAAAGTCAACAATAACGAGTAATTGGGAAAGGACTTTGTATTCAATAAATTGTGTTGGGATAACTGTCTGGTCATATGCAGAAGAGTGAAAATGGACCCCTTCTTTTACCAATAGAAAAATCAACTCAAAATGGATTAAAGACTTAAATTTAAGACCTAAATCTGTAAAAAGCCTAGAAGAAAACCTAGGAAATACTATTCTGGACCTAGGCCCTGGCAAAGATTTCATGAGTAAGACTCCAAAAGTAAATGGAACAAAAGCAAAAACTGACAAGTGGGACCTAATTAAATTAAAGAGCCTCTGCACAGCAAAAGAAACTATTGAAACCATTTTTAAAACTATTGAAATTAATGGAAAAAAACACAATTACTTTTGCACCAACATAATACCAACAGAGTAAACAGACAACCTACAGAATGGGAGAAAATATTTGCAAACTATTCATATGACAAATGTCTAATATCCAGAATCTGTAAGGAACTTAAACCATCAAGCAAAAAACAAACAACCCCATTAAAAAATGAGCAAAGGACATGAAAAGACACCTCTCAAAAGAGGACATACACATGGCCAACAAGCATATGAAAAAATGCTCAACATGACTGATAATTAGAGAAATGCAAATCAAAGCCACAATGATATACCACCTCACACCAGTCAGAATGTCTGTTACTAATAAAATAACTGAGGTTGACAAGACTGCAGAGAAAAGGAAATGCAGTGGGAACTGCTGGGTGGAATGTAAATCAGTTCAGCCACTGTAGAAAACAGTTTGGAGACCTCTCCAAGAACTTAAAACAGAACTACCATTTGGCCCAGCAATCCCATTACTGGGTATATGCCCAAAAGAATACAAATGGTTCTACCAAAAAGACAAATGCACCCGCATGTTCATTACAGTGGTAATAATAGCAAAGGCATGGAATCAACCCAGGTGCCCATGAACGATGGACTGGATAAAGATAATGTGGTACATATATACCATGGAATACTGCACAGCCATTGGAAAGAAAAAATATGTCCTTTGCAGCAACATGGATGGAGCTAGAGGCCATTATCCTAGGCAAATTAATTCAGGAACAGAAAACCAAATACCTCATGTTCTCACTTATAAGTGGGAGCTAAACATTGAGTACACACGGACACAAAGATGGGAACAATAGAGATGGGGACCTACTTGAGGAGGGAAGGAGGAAGGGGTTGAGAGTTGAAAAACTACCTATGAGGTACTATGCTCACTACCTGAGCGACAAAATCATTTGTACACCAAACCCCAGGGACACACCATGTACTCATGTAACAAACCTGCACGTGTACCCTCCGAACTTAAAATACAAGTTAAAAAATGTAAAAAAGGCAACATAGAAGAAAACATGATATGTAAAAAAAAAAAATGATACACTCAAATGAAGAGAAAAAAGCTGAAACAGGGACAAATGAGATGAATAAAAACAAACATAAAAATGGAAGGCTTAAACCTTAGGATAGCAATACTACATTAAATGTAAATTAATGGACATTGTAACTCCTATTAAAAGGCATAGAATGTGACTGGGAAAAAAAAGAAAGACTTGTCTCTATGCCATTTTGATGAAACATATTTTAACTTGAAAGACAGGTTGAAAATGAGGTGTTAGGTATGCTGTATTATATTAACAGAAGAAGTGAACATGAGAAAGCAAATATGGCTGTATAGATGTCTGACAAGGTAGAATATGAGATAAAGTATATTAATAGTGATAAAGAGAAACATTTCATAATAACAAAAATATCAGTTTATTAAGAAGACATAACTCAAATTACGTCTGCATTAATTAACAGAGTTTTAAAATATAAAATGCAAAAGAGGAAATCAAAAAATTCTCATTTATAATTGGATAGAAGAGTAAACCAAAAATTCAGGAAAAGTATAAGAGTTTTGAGCAACAGAAATAGCAATCATGGGCCAGGCACAGTGGCTCACGCCTATAATCCCAGCACTTTGGAAGGCTGAGGCAGGCAGATAACGAGGTCAGGAGTTCTAAATCAGCCTGGCAAACATGGTAAAACCCCATCTCTACTAAAAATAGTAAAAAAAAAAAAAAAAAAAAAAAAAAAAAAAAGTAGCTGGGCATGGTGGCATGCACCTGTAATCCCAGCTACTCAGGAGGCTGAGGCAGGAGAATTGTTTGAACCCGGGAGGCAGAGGTTGCAGTGAGCTGAGATCGCACCACTGCACTCCAGCTTGGGTGACAGAGCAAGACTCCATCTGAAAAAAAAAAATTGCCATTATGTTTGTATGCTCATAGAGTGATTCCATAGTGAGTAAAAGGACTGTTGAAATAGGAGACAGGAGAGAGAATTTGTGAAGATTTTTTTTCTTGAGTTGGAGAAGGAGTGCTATTGAATTACACAGCAGAATAGATTGTTCATTTATAGACTCTCTGTTCTTGAATAATAGTTAGAAAAACAGATGTAGTAGAGAGTGTTTTGGCATTCCAACAGCATTTACAATCCTTTTTATGCTTTGCACTATATTGCATAAATGTAATGCTGAGTATTATGTTTCTCAAGCTTCCATGACAATATTCTTCTACCAATGAGTGACATTTGTATAACATTTTGAAGTAGAGAGACAGAACAGCCATTAAAGCTCTGACTATAGTGGATAGGCATGAGGGCTTCCCATATATAAGGTTTGTCATAAGCTTCAAGCATTTTCCTGCAAGTTACTCACTTTAGCATTGCAAGACCCTGAGGTCTTATATGGAAGTTTCCTGTATTTCTTCTACTCCCTGATTTCTTTGGTTCTAAGAGAAGTTTCCCTAAACTTCACTCTTCTAGTCCTTTTAAATCCCTATATTGAATTATTTTCTTCTTGAAATACTCAAAGTAGGTTTTGTGACAAAATTTGTATTTTATACCATAGTACATGGGTAGAGAGGCTGCTAGATGGTTCAATGTGGTGGTATGAGTCTGCAGAGGTTTACTTCCGATTGCTTGTATTTTCTCAGTGAAGTAGAAAGTAAGTCTTCCAGTTCAACATAAGGTGAGGGAGGAAATGAAAGAGGAGAAGATATGAGAAAGGAGGTGTTTTAGGAGTATAGTTAGAAGAATGGACTGTGATTTCTGGACACCATAAAGAATGCTCTTGAGGGAGGCTGAGGTAGGAGAATTGCTTGAACCCGGGAGGCAGAGGTTGCAGTGAGCCGAGATCGCACCACTGCACTCCAGCCTGGGTGACAGCAAGACTCTGTCAAAAAAAAAAAAAAAAAAAGAAAGAAAGAATGCTGTTGAAGTTGCATGATTATGAATTAAAAAAAAAAACTGGTAAATGTGATTTTGTGATTTTCTTCCCGTAGGTCATAGGTAAAAACTGCAAGGCCATTGACTGCGAATCCAAATAACTCAGGGTTTCTCAGCCTTGTTAATACGTTAGACTTACTTGAGAAGCTTTTAAAAAATACCAGTGCCTGTTTTCTCCCCGTGAGGTTCTGATTCAATTGTACTAGAGTGGAAGCTGGTCATCGAAAAAAAAAAGATAATTTTTTTTTTTTTACTACCAGGAAGATCCCAATGTGAGACCAAAGTTGAGAGTCACTTTTTTTGGACTTTAAGAGTTCTTGAATTCAGAAACTGTGTCCTATTTATACTTTATTCTTAGTGCTAGGCACAAGGGAGAAAACCAATAAATGTTCGTTAAATTGAAGAACAAATGTATGAAAAGTCAGGCTTTAAGGTTTATTTTCATCTTTTAATTTCCTCCTTTTAATGATTTCCCACACCCTGTAACAAACTGAAGTCTGTAGTACATTAAATTTGAATGCGGTTATGCACTTCCCTTACAGAATGAGCAATTAATATATTCATGATTAAAAATTTGTGGCAAAAGATCTCAGAAATTGGTGCCAGAGATAATCTACTGCCTCATACATAGACATTTCAGGTAGAGTTGGTTTGTTGGACATTTCCTCTTATTCCTAAGCACACAGCTAGTTTACATTTCCTGGTTTCTCTCACTGGAAGACATGGCATGTGACGGGATTCTAGTCAATGGAATGGAAGTTGAGGTGATGTGCACCACTCTAAGCCATAAAATCAATCTCACATCCATCTTTATTTTGCCCCATCTACAGGCTCATAGCAGATGAAAAGAGTGAATGTGGAAACCACACTATAAAGATGGTGGAGCCCAAGATTTAAGGATTCTGGGTCTCTGAATCATCACTTACAGAAAAATTACTCTGAGATCAAGAACAGCTGCTTTAAACTTTATGTGAGTGAGGAGTAAACTTATACTGTGAGCTATTATATGTGGTTTTATGTTTATGCAGTGTTGAAAGTGATATTTGTTTCTATTGTTTTCGTAAAATGTCTCTCTGTAATTAAATATTTTACCCAGTTGGGCTTATTATCACTGGTAAGAGACATCATTTTAATTTCAAATATCATTTTACAGCTAGAAATAAAACAGGAAGAAACATAAATGATGTGCTCTTGGCAAAAGTTGATAGCCTAACTATCTAGTAAAAAATTCCAGATTGTGGGCCTTAGGGCAATGCTTCTCAATCCAAATGTGTGCATTTGAATAAATAGGATATTTTTGTTTAAATCATATGCTTATTTTCAATAGGACTGAAGTGAAGCCTGAGATTCTGAATTTTTAATAATTTCTCAGTGACACCCATGCTTCTGTTCTGCAAACCACATATTAGGAGCAAGGCTGTAACTAGAGCATTCTCATTCCCTTTCTGTATCTGAAATCTCTAGTCTTCTCTGTGTGTTTAACTCTTCTGGTCAAGCCTTCCCTTTTGTTGAAGATTGACTTGTGTTTCCAAAAAAGATATATTGAAGCCCTAACCCCTGGTACTGGTGAATTACACTTTATTTTAAAAGAGGGTCTTTGCAGATGCAATCAAGTTAAGATAAGATCATTGGGATGTACCCTAATATATATGACTGGTGTCCTCATAAGAAGAGGGAAATGTAAACACAGAGCTTCATGGGGATTGCACCATGTGAAAACAGAGATTCAAGAGATGCATCTATATACCAAGGCTTGTTGGCTGTCCCCAGAAGCTAGGAGCAAGGCATGGAACAGATTCTCTCTCAAAGTCATCGGAAGGAAAGCACCCAGTCAATACCTTGATTTCAGACTTCTAGCCACTAGAACTGTGAGACAGCACATATCTGTGGTTCTAAGCCATTCGGTCCATAATACTTTGATACTACTGATATATATATATATATATGCCTTTGTCGTAATGTTGACTTGCTGGGATTTTTAGCACAATACTTGTCTATGAGAGAATAAAAATAACTTAATCAATATATATGTATATTTCCTTTTCTTTGCAAATAGTGAAGGAAAAGAAGGGATTCTTAACTTGTCAGCACTCACACAAAAAGATTTTTCATCAGTTAGTCATTGCTTACCTAAGAAGTCAAGAATGTTTAACTTCTTTGTAAAAGTTAAACATCAGAGCTCTAATTTGTTTTCCTGACATAGTTTCCTTAATGCATTTTCTACCTGGTTACTTTCTCTAGATGGAGGAGAGCAATGTGATGTTGAACTGCGTCAGGGGCTCCAGAACTTCTGGTACAGTTATACTTCCGAAGAATTTGGCCCCAAACCAATTTTTCTCAGATTTCCAGGTGATAAAACTATTAGCATCATTTTTTTCATTTTTTTAGTGAGTCACAATGGATGTCAATTTTCTAACCCTTTTTATTTCTATTTTCTTCCTGCTCTTTGCTGAAATTTTTCACACAGATAATAGCTAGGCAAAGAAAGTCCAGATAATTTTCCCCCTGCCTACTGTATGTAGGACAAAAAATTGTCATATATTTCTTAGAGAAAGGGAACATTTGGTATAATTAAATAAGGAATCCAAGGTAATACAGCATTAAAAATATTTTCCCTTTTTAATCTAAATTGCTATCCTAGAAGGAAGAAGATAACATTTTCACAATGTGGATGAGTAATTGCAGTGTTGAAAGTGGTATTTGTTGCTGTTATTATTGCATTGGCAAAGTGTCTACCCATCATTGAAAATTTTATCTAATTAAACATATTAGCAGTGGTAAGAGAAATCATTTTATTTCAAGTGCCACTTTGCAACTAGGAAAAGAAAAGAGGAAAAATTACAAATGATGTGCCTATAACAAAGTATGCCAGGGGAAAACAAGAAACTGAATTCAAATCGTGGCTCCTAGGTCCTTCTGCTTTTTGATGACTATATTTTACCAAAGATTTTTACCCTGAATTTTCCTACAATAAAGAATAATGGCATAAAATTTGGCACAAGATATTGCTACTGAATTGGCTTAGTTTATGTTTTGGATAATGCGTTGCCTCTTTTCAGGATGAAAACATACTCGTTTCTCCAGGTGTTGGGAATGTTGGTCACTAAGGGCTCTCAGCTGAGACCCTGTGCTGGAATTGTGTCATCCATAACCACACCCCTTTGGGCCACACCCCTTGTCTAACGACTGGTTGATAAAGGAGTATCAGGGCCAAAGCTTTTTGACTTAGAGTGGGACAAGTCCAAAAATCCATGCCAGCTTCAGAGCTCCCCATGATATTGGCAAGGCCTTTGTTGTAACTGCATCAAAATTCAATACCTCCTGTATCCTGTGTCCTTTACTGCCTGACTGGTGTTCATCCTAGAAATGCTCCCCTCCTTTAAATCTCAGAATCTCAACCTGTTTCTCAAATAACCAAATTTGTAAGGCTTATACATTCTATATATATAAGACAAACAGTGAAGGCTACTGATTTTATTTAGTGTACACACACACACACACACACACACGTTAGATACAATAAGGACCCTCCAAAGATGTCCACATTCATATCCTCAGAATCTTTGAACACATTACTTTCCATGTCAAAAGGGACTTTGCAGATGGGTTGAAGAATTTTGAAATGGATACTGGATTACCCATGTGAGTCCAGTGTCATCACAAAGGGCCTTAAAAGTAGAGAAAGGAACAGAATAGAGTCAAGAAAATATATGTGATCGTGGAAATGAAGTCGGAGTGATGAAATGTGGGAAGAACTCAGCCCACTGTTGCTAGCTGTGAAGACAAGAGAGGGCCACAAACTGAGGAATGCAGGCAGCCTCTAGAAACTAGACAAAACAACCCAAAATCTCCCTGAGAGCCCCTAGAAAGAAAGGCAGCTCTGCTGGAACTTTGATTTTAGGATTTCTAAGCTACAGAACTGTAAGATAACAAATTTGGGTGGTTTTAAGCCACCAAATTTGCGATATATTTTCTACTGCAGGCAGCAGTAGAAAACTAATAGCATATACTTCCTCTTTATTTTTCCAAGGACATGATAGCATGATTAATCCTGATATATGGCTTTATGAGGATGATAATAATGACTCTAATATACAATAGTGAATGATGGATGTCTGCCTGACACAGTAGTTCCCAAACAAATTGTTTGTATTATTTAATTTAATCTATGTAAATGCTGTGAAGTAGTTACCATTACCTTATCTTGTGATGAGAAAATTGGGTTTAGGAAATATATAAAACTTGTCTACAGTTCACATAACTAATGCACAGCAGATTGAAACAGCCTGTCTCATTTCATGGCCTGTGCACTCTTCAATTTTTCCATCTCATACTTCATTCTCAAAGTATGGGGCCAGCCTCAGGCTAATGGCCTCCTCATTATTTAACATATGTAATCTATAAATGGGTATATATTTCAATATACATGCATTATATATTCAATATATATACATTATAGATAGCATTTAAGATTTTTTGTAAGTTTTTCTTGACAATTAATAACTTGTAATTTTCTCTCATTTGAATTTTATTTGACTTGTCCTCAAAATCTGATTTCAAGTAAATATGGTAAGGAATATAGTTTAAAGGTTTGTCACCATAATGCTACTATTAGAAAGCAAAAACCACCTCGTTACCTCAGTGACCAAGCAACAGAATAATGATTTTGTCCCTACACCAATCAAAATATTTGAAACAAGTTGTTATATCATGATTTATCATTAAGGTACTAACTTTCAACAGTCTTTCTAAAAGTTAGAGTAATGGCCCATAAGGAAAAAAATTCTAAAGAGAAGTATCCTGAAATAGGCAAGAACTTATTTAGGGCACAATTTCTCAACCTTGGCATGATTAACATTCTCAGGCTGTCCTGTGCATTATGGGGTGTTTAGAGTGTGCCAGTGGCACACTCCTCATTTGTGACAACCAAAAATTTCTCCTGGCATTGCCAAATGCCTCGTGTGTGTGTGTGTGTGTGTGTGTGTGTGTGTGTGTGTCTGTGTGTTTGATTATGGGTGGGAGGAGGGATGGTAATCATCCTGGTGTGGAAGCACTGACTCAAGGTAATGATATCTACGTATTTGCTAAACCATCTAAGCTCATTTTTCATCTTCTTCTTTGTCTTTTTTTTTTTTCTGTGTATGGGCCATTTTATATACATGTTTCCTTCATTGGATAAAGAAATTTGAATTAAAAGTACACTTTATATGCTTAAATTAAGTTCTAAATTTTAAAAATGACAAAAATATTGTACCCCATCCCAAAGTGAAATGTATGCAAAAAAATTCCACTAAATTTAGACATCCAACAGAAGAGTGATTTCTATAAATGATTTGCCTACATGACTTTCTGCATGTTAAATTCTGTAAGCTGTATATTAAAATCAGTTTCATCATTTTATGATCATTAACATAGGTAACTTACTCTGCATGGGGTCCTGAACTTGCTGTGAATTAACCCTTCACTCACTGCCTGCCGCATTTTGGTGATCACATTTTGTTCTCTGCCACTTCCTGCTTGAGAGTATGATCTACAGCCAGCTAGACCATATCTGGATGAAGCTTGAGATATAACCACAGGTTCAGAACACCCTGTTATAAAGGTAACATTATTAGGGGGTCTCGGGTCATGGTCACTGTAGTTCTTTGGATCTTGGTCTAAATCGTAGCATTGTCATTTTGTCATTTACTAGCTATGTGTCCATAGGTCAGTTACCCAAACTCTCTGAGCCTTCTTTTTTCATACATCAAATTGGAGCAATGTCTATCTTACAGAATTGTTGAGTATTAAATTACATCAAATTCTTTCACAGTGTCCAGCACAGAACAGGTACTTAATAAAGGTTATTTTTATTATGACAACATAGTTTAATGGTTAATTCCACAAATGTTTTGTGACTCCCTACTGTACCAAAAATTGTTTGCTCAAGTTTCTTAATCATCACGTAAAAATATAACTGAAATTGGTCTTCAAGATTAGGGAACCCCAGTTCAGGCCAATACCTATTGCTGTGTCCACAATTAATACTTAATGTTAATTAAATACATTAATTCGTTAACAAATGGCTTTGGTAATTTTTATTCTTATTTTTAAATGTATTTTTATATTGATTGGAAGCCATATGAAAACACCTTGTACCAGCCAAAAAACACTTGAACCACACACAGAGTATTTGATGAAATCAGCATTTTCTCTACAGCCCCTGAAAAGATGTGATTGGGGTGGACTTCATTGCAAAAGGAGAAAAAGCTTTACAAGATTTGAGGGTGTGATTAAAATATGTATGTTTGTCGTTAGGTTATTTGAGTAGAACAACTTATACATATTCAATGTTTCATTAGAAAGCACATTCTTGCTCAGAGACATAACATATATTTACAATGAAATGATTCTATGTAGTTTCTCTTACAAATTTTGCCAGCACCACATGGAAGAACACCAAAGGATTTACTATTTTTATAAATCCATTCACCTAACTTTCAAAGACATTTTTCTAAACACCAATTAAAATTGTTTTTATTAATTTTATTTCTTCTTGAAATGCTTATAAAGTCATCAAAGGAACAGTCGTCAAAATTTAAGGCAAATATGAAGTACAGCTATAAAAGCTCAATATATCAAATACTAAGAAAACATTTTTTTAAATCAAAATATTTGAAGAAATAAAAGGAAAGGCTTAGGAGCTATTTTGTGAAATCTAATGGAAATGGATAAATATATTTGAGTATAAATATTTTAACAGATTCATTTATTTCATTTACAAAGAGAGAAACTAGTAAAAATCAAACATACATGAGGAAGAAAAAATAGGAAATGTTTGCATTGATTTTTTTTTTTGTCTTATGATGGTTAAATTCTATATTCTCAGCAGAGAACAGGGCCATCATTATCTTTGAACATGTCTAAAATAATTCTTTAGGTCTTTGAGAGGATTATAAAACCAATTTTGAGATCTTAAACCATTAAGGTTAATATGAAATTATTCACAAAGTATTAAGATTGCCAAAGGAGCTTTCAAAATAGGTTAGTAGAAAACTCTCATTTTATATAAAAGGAAATTGAGGTCCGAGGAGATGTGCTATAATCCAGTTTATGAGTCAGCCAAAATTAGAAGACTCAATATTTAGTTGTCTAACCTTGATTTTTGACCCTGTAGGTGTATCCAATGTTATTACCACCTCACTTAATAGGCTTAGTGGAAAATGACTTTTGACTGTTTTCTAAGATCAAGTCCATATTTAAAAAGAATTTGCTCCTAAAGTTTTTCCAAGAATATGCCCCAAAACTTTGAAAGTAAATAACAGTGACAAAATATTGCCCTGTCAAGTTAGTATTGTCTAGATAGCACTACCTAATAAAAGCATTTTCTGACAGATACATGGAAAAACTAAAAAGAAACAGGTAAATAAATGTTAATAATTTATTTTATTTAACTCATCAAAAATTTAATAATTTCAACATGTAAAAAGTGTTTAAAATTCTTAGCTTATATTTCATATTCTTAGTTTCTTACTTAGTCTTCAAAATCTAGCATGAATTTTATACTTACAGCACATCTCAGTTTGAACTAGACACATTTCAAGAGCTCGCTAGCCAATTGGGGCTTGTGGCCACCATATTGGACAGGGCATATCTAGAGTGACAATCATTATTCAAATTCTGCATTAAAATTAAATTTCTTGAGTTTAATTACAAACATGGACAATTGTTGAATAAATATTCAGTTGGTAATTTTAGATGCCTAAAATATTGGAAACTTACTTTGTTCTTATTTTCTGAATTTCATATTACATGTCTATTGGATTTCCCATGTCGATGTTTTTCCTTTTATTTATTTCCTCACCTTTTTCTGCTCTACTCTGGCAGATTTCCTCCAAAAGCTCTTCTAATTCATTGGTTAATTTTCCATTGTATCTTATCATATCTTAAAGTTTCCTATTTTACATTTAAATTTGATAATTTGGTTTTTCAATTGAGGCACTATTTGTTGATCCCAGAGTATTCTCCTTGATAGATTTCATTTCCCCTTGAATCTGATATTATGGATTATATATTATTAATTTTCTCCCTTTGGATTTATTTCATTTGATCCTCAGAATAAGTTTTCCTTCTTTGTATTTGTATTATTTAACCATTACATGGTTAAATATTATACTTATTATATCATATGTAATATATATTTATATATTATATTATGCAATATATTATATTAATATTATATTGGTAATGTATATCAAAATGCTGTGGCAAAAATGTGGAATGCATGTATAGGTTAGTTAACATTAGTCCACATCCCAGGCACAGGTAGTCAGCCACTGAAGCAACTAAGTTCCTTAATCAGCAAAGGTTTTCAAATAACATTATTTAAATATACACCAGAGGGATCATTAACATAAGAATCGTTGGAATTTATTTGGTGAATTTTTGAAGCACTTAAGATATATAAAATGATTGCACGGTCAACACATCTCTGGCATGAACAATATGCAAATAACCAGTATTCACAGGAGCTGAACATCCTTGGAGCAACACATGACATCTAGAACTCTACATGGTCCAAGGTCTGTCTCACAAGGAGGACTGTGTAATTAAAGCTAACTACAAACTAAGCTGATTCTACTGTCAGGTATGTTTGCATTTACCTTTGAGTGATTTAGCAGTCAAGGTCCTAGTTAGTCTGCATTCATCCCCAAATTTGCAAGAGCATGTTGTATGATTGTTTTTATTGTTGTCTTCTTATTAATAAATGTTGCTTCATTTGGCAGATTTGGTCCAAACCTACTTTTCTTTTAACAACCTGGTAACCAAGTGCCATACAAGATACACTGAACTCAAATCTACAGAGACTATCAATCCTTGAACAGCAAGTTCAGAGCAGTTGAATATGACAATAGGTTCAGTCTTTTTTCCTACTTTCTTTTCATAATTAATTGACAAATAATTGTATATGTTTACAGAGTATAATGTGATGTTTAGATATATGTATACATTATAGAAACGTTAAATTAAGCAAATTAACATATCCATTATCTCACCACCTTATCAATTTTTTATAGTGACAATGTTTAAAATCTATTCTGTTAGCAACTTTGGAATATATAATGCATTATTAACTATGTTCACCATTCTGCATAATATATCACTAAAACTTACTCCTCCTAACTAAAAATGTGTACCCTTTGACCAATTTCACACCTTTCCTCATGCCCCAGGCCTCAGGTAATCATCATTCTACTCCCTGTTTCTATGAGATAGACTTTTATAGATTCCAAATATAAGTGAAATTATGTAGTATATGTCTTTCTGAGCCTGGCTTATTTTACTTAGAATAATGTCCTCCAGGTTCATCCACGTTGTCTCAAATGACAGACTTTTCCTCTTTTTAAAGATTATATAGTACTCCTTATATATATATAGGAATATATATAATGATATATATATAATGATATATATATAGATATATATCACATTTTCTTTATTCATTTATGGACAGAAACTTAGGTTACTTCCGTATCTTGGCTCCTGTGGATGATGCTGAAATAAACATGAGAGCTTAGATATCTCTTCAACATAGTGATTTGAATTTCTTTGGATATATACCTAGAAATGAAATTTCAAGATTATGTGGTAATTCTATCTTTTTAGTCTTTTGAGGAGCCTCTATACTGTTTTCCATAATGGCTGTATTAACTTTCCCATAAACAGTTTACCAGGGTTCCTTTTTCTTGACATGCTAGCCAATACTTGTCATCTTTCATTTTTTTTAATTATAGCCATTCTAACAGACATGAGGGGATATCTCACTTGGATTTTACTTTGCATTTCCATGTTGATTAAAGATTTTGAGCATTTTTTCATATATCTGCTGGTCATTCCTACGTCTTCTTTTGAAAAATGTCTGTTCAGGTCTTTTCCCCATTTTTAAATTAGATTCAAGAAATCATAATCCTATGACCTATTCAAGAAATCATAATCCAGACCAATGTCATGTAGCTTTCTTCTTATATTTTTTCTAGTACTTTTATAGTTTCAGGCCATATGTTTACGTTATTAATTCATTTTGAGTTAATTTTTGCATGTGGTGTGTGAGTTCCAATTTCATTCTTCTGCATGTGAATATCCAGTTTTCCCAAGCACATTTATTGAAGAAATTATCCTTTCATTGTGTTTTCTTGGCTCCTTTTGCTTTTTTTTTTTTTTTTTTTTTGAGACGGAGTTTCCCTCTTGTCATCCAGGTTGGAGTGCAACGGCGCAATCTTGGCTCACCACAAACTCCGCTTCCCGGATTCAAGCAATTCTCCTCCCTCAGCCTCCAGAGTAGCTGGGATTACAGGCATGTGCCGCCACGCCCAGCTGATTTTTTGTATTTTTAGTAGAGACGGGGTTTCTCCATGTTGGTCAGGCTGGTTTCGAACTTCCTTTTGTTCTTCTAATAATCTCTCTGAAAATTATCACATGATCTCACTGAATGCCTACTGTACAGTATTTTTTCAAAGAATATTTTAGGTGTGCATTATAATAATACGAGAACTGCTCAATTACATAATCACCAAAAGATTTGACAGAGAAAGAAAACTGAATTTATCACCTCATGTCTATGATTTTATTTTTAAAGTCTTAAAGTGTGTATTCCATATGCATGAAAAATAACCTGACACATTTTTATTTATTCAATACAGAATGTTCTATTTTTAAGTCTGTACATTCTGATAAAATTTGTTTTCCTTTGTGATGATCTTATAATAAGGAGGCTACATAATCGTAGGAGTAATAGATTGAAAATAACTGGGAGTCTCTGAAAAGATGTTAAATATCCTGGAACCCTAAATGACTCCAAAAATGATACTTCATATTCCAAATGAAATAAAAACAAGATATGGTGCTAATTTTTTACTCAAAATATTTGAAGCACTGTCTTTGATAGAAAGAATTGTTGGAAAGCCATTTTTTAGATTGTAGAAACAGGAGCAAAAGTCTGTAGTTCAGGTAGAATGAATATGGATGTCAAAAAGTCATCCATCAGGAGGAAAATTCTGAATCCTGATAGTTCTCATTTCCAATTATAGTAACAGATGCAGTATTTTAAAAAACGCTGCAGTAAAATCCAAGCTCTGTCCTCATCTGACAGTTTTTCATCTGCTGTTTTTTATTTAGCAAATTAGTCTTTATAGTATATATACATATATATGTATATATATACATATATATGTATAAATATATATACATATATATGTATAAATATATAATTACATATATACATATATATGTATAAATATATATACATATATATGTATAAATATATACATATATACGTATATATGTATAAATATATACGTATATATGTATAAATATTTATACATATATATGTATAAATATATATACATATATACATATACATAAATATATATACATATATGGTATTATATATTTATACATCTATATGGTATAATATATATGGTGTAAAATTCTTGCATTTATGTCATAAGAGTTTTTCCTCATCTGTAGTATAACATATTTTTATATGTGATCAGCTACTTTCTGCTTGAATCTTTTTCATGCGACAAAGCATTACATTTAAAATAAAACTTCTCACTGTTACTTTTCAAATGTCAACTTCAGAACAAGCCTGAAATATTACTACAATTGGTAAAACTACCTAAAGGGTGATGAATCTTTATTAGATATAAAAATAATGCAGAAATAGGTCAACCAGTCTCATGAATATTGCAAACTAAAGGAACATTCATTAGGATAAAACTCAGCAGAAGATAGGGAGACATTCTGCCTTTAAGCTAAGTATGTGATTATTGTGGCACTACAGATTTATAAAGCATATGCCATCATTTCATTTGCAGTTGTATATGTCAATGTATTCAAACTCAATGACCAAGACATTTTATTGAAATGTTTTCTACCTTTGATTTTAGATCAGATGCACAAATGTAAAAGAAAAAAATTACGTAAGAATTTACTTTTTAATAAACAAGCTTATACAAGTGAAAAGAAAGTTTAATTATGCTTTCCTTGTATCCTTCCTCACCCACAGATATGCAGTGTTAATACAATGAGACTTACTACATAAAACTATAGCATAGTGACACCAGGAAATCATTAATTAGTTAAGTCTTAACTAGTTAATTAATTAGTTAAGTCTTAACTTGTTAATTAATTAGTTAAGTCTTCTAATTAACTAAACATATTAATTTTTTAATATTTCATTTTTCTCACTATGACAACAAAGCAATAAAATATGTGATACATACAATTTTAATTTCAAGGTTTGAAAGCAAAGTATTAGCATGGAATTAACCAACAACATTAAACTAAGCACTTCACTCAATTGAAGTTTAAAATGGTGTTGGACTTTGAGTCTAATTTATTGTCATTTAGGCTTATTTTGTTAAATTATATGAAGATAACCATGTTAATGCGAATAAATTTCCAACCAAAATTTTGTTTAAAAAAAAGAAACATATTGGCTCATAGCTGATGAGCACAATAAAATATTTTTTCTCTTAACCTTTTCTATTTTATCTAGCCTGATTATCTATTTGAGGTGCAGCTCTTGAAAAGCTATCCAATAATAAGTAGAATGTCCCTTTTGAAAAGGCACAGTCTTTAGGATTTAGGAATGTGGTCCTGAGGATTAGAGAGAATTTACTTAGAGAGGAAATTATATAGTGATTAAAGCACAGAGCTTTAACAAATTATATCAGGGATTTTACAGAAGGATTCTATTTCATTCCTTAAATACTACATAGTTAAAGCTTAGAGTATGATGTTACCAAAGAGATTATACTATTAAAAATAATGGTGAAACTCAGTTAATAGTATGAGAGGATTACACTGATATTGTCAAGGGTGGCCAGATTGTTCAATATTATTAAAGCCAATGGTAAATGAAATTAAAAAAAAGCAAAAGGAGTAATCTTATCTACCATAACTGGAAAATATTTTATTTTCAATACCCAAGTTATGGAATTTAGACACATGCGCACGTGTGCATACACATGCATAAATACATACTGGTTGACTATCCCCATCCAAAAGGCTTGGGACCAGAAATGTTTCAGATTTCAGATTTTTTTTTGTATTTTGGACTATTTACATATAGGTAATGAGACATCTTCGGGATGGGGCCCAAGTCTAAACATAAAATTCGAGTTTCAGACACACATTATACACGTAGCTTCAGGGTAATTCTATAGAATGTTGTTAATAATATTGTGCACCCATCACGTGAGGTCAAGTACAGAATTTTCCACTTGTAATGTTAGTTTGGTGCTCAAAAAGTTTCAGATTTTGGAGCATTTCATATTTTGAGTTTACATGTTAGGGCTGCGCAACTTTTATGTTATTTTAATAACTCATTCACAGAGACTAGTTATTAATAAATGATGCCTACAAATTGGCACTAGTTCTAGCATTAGTAACTCATGAACTTGCGACTTTTTATTTTGATGCAGAGAGTAATATTTCCCAGGAGAAAAAATGTGTAAATTAAAGTTCTTTCCAGTTCAAAAATTTTATAAACCAATAAACTGGAATTTGGATGCGTTAGTAATCCAGATTGAAGATAAACCCAAACCTTCTTAACAAGTATTTTAATCTAGGAACCAACCTAAACAAATTTTTACCTTTATATCCAAGACCTTACAACAGAGTATTTATAAAAAATAAACAATGTACAATGAAAGCACTTAAAAGTTAGCTTACAAGGAGCACAAAATTGTGTTCTGCTTATTGGAGTAGCTTTTTTAAAATTGTCGTGTAACACATGAAAGCATTCTTTTGTTATAAATTTTTTTTTTTTTTTTTTTTTTTTTGAGACGCAGTCTCACTCTGTCGCCCAGGCTGGAGTGCAGTGGCGCGATCTCGGCTCATTGCAAGCTCCGCCTTCCGGGTTCACGCCATTCTCCTGCCTCAGCCTCCCAAGTAGCTGGGACTACAGGCTCCCGCCAACACGCCCGGCTGATTTTTTTGTATTTTTAGTAGAGACGGGGTTTCACCGCATTAGCCAGGATGGTCTCGATCTCCTGACCTCGTGATCCACCCGCCTTGGCCTCCCAAAGTGCTGGGATTACAAGCGTGAGCCCCTGCGCCCGGCCGTAAATTTTTTAAATAATAAAAAAAGTTTGATATTCTATAGGGAACACACTCAACTGAACCTGTTCATATCCTCCTCTCTTATTGTCTCCATTGAAAAATCATCTCTATAATTGCAAGGCTACTCATTCACAAGATATAAATATGATATATAATATATTTTTATTTATTACCCATATGTAACTTAGAAAAAAGAGATTTTTGGCTCTTTGAAGTAGTAGAACATTTTTTAAAATAATGGGAATTTCCATACATGCCAGCAACTTAACTCAGCTTTTTCGTACATGCCTATAACTAGGAGAGTTTAGGACAAGAATGTGGGTAAGTAGGCTACTTATTTTCATTTCCATGAAGATTGATTAAAGAGCATGAGTTGAGTCATACTTATAAGTAATGATTTTTTAAATTTTCCTTTTCTTCTATTTTCCTTGGTAGTAGGTGCTTAACGATATTTATTTACATTAAAAAAAATGTAGCTACGATTCTTGTTTCTCATTAACCAAGAGAACCAACACAACTTTTCAAAATTAAGCTGGCCGTTCAAATACAAGGAAGCTAAACAACATACTTCCGAATGACCAATAGGTCAACTAAGAAATTAAGAAGAAAACTTTAACATTTCTTGAAACAAATGAAAATGGCAACCCAACATACAGAATATGTGGGATCCAGCAAAAGCTGTACTAAAAGGGAAGTTTTATAGCAATAACTGTCTACATCCAAAAACAGAAAAACTTAAATAACCTAATGATGAACCTCAAGGAACTAGAAAAACAAGAAAAACCCAAATAACTAGAAAGAAATGATAAATATCAAAACAGAAATAACTGGAAATGAGAGGAAAAACTACAAAAGATCAACAAAACAAAAAGTTGAATTTTTTGAAAAGGTAAATAGAAATGACAAATCTTTAGCTACACTAAGAAAAAAACACAAACAAAATCAGAGGTGAAAAAGGAATCATTACAACTGATACCACGGAAATACAAAGAATCATTAGTAACTGCTATGAAAAACTACATGCCAACAAATTGGAAAACATGTAAGAAATGGATAACGATTGGATACATAAAACCTGCCAAAACTGAACCATGAAGAAATTAAAAAACTCGAAGTGACCAATGGTAACTAAAGAAATCAAAGCAGTAAAAATAATAATAATAATATCCTATCACAGAAAAGCCCAGGACCTGACTGATTGACTGCTGAATTCTACTAAACATTTAAAGAACTAATACCAATTTTACTCAAACTATTTGAAAAAATTGAAAAGAAGGGAATATTTCCAAACAAATTATTTGAAGCCAGCATTACCCCAATACCAAAACCAAATAAGGACGCAAAAACAAAAGAAAAATAGCTATAGGCCAATATCCGTGATAAACACAGATGTAAAAATCCTCAACAAAATACTTGCAAACTGAATTCAGCAACACAATAAACAGATCATTCACCATGATCAAGTGGAACTAATCCCAGAGATGCAAAGATGTTTCCACATATGCAAATCAATAAATATGACATATCACATCAACAGAATCAAGGACAAAAATGTGATCATTTTAATCAGTGATGAAACAGTGTGCAATTAAATTCAACATCCCTTTGTAATAAGAACTCTTAACAAATTGGGTACAGAAGGAATATATCTCAACATGATAAAGGCCATATATGACAAACTCACAGCTGTTATTCTGAATGGTAAAATAATGAAAACTTTTCCACTAAAATCTTGAACAAAACAAGTATTCACACTTTCGGCTGGGTGCGGTAGCTCATGCCTGTAATCCCAGCACTTTGGGAAGCCAAGGCAGGCAGATTACCTGAGGTTGGGAGTACAAGACCACCCTGACCAACATGGAGAAACCCATCTCTACTAAAAGTACAAAATTAGCCCAGTGTGGTGGCACATGCCTGTAATCACAGCTACTCCGGAGGCTGAGGCAGGAGAACTGCTTGAACCTGGGAAGTGGAGGTTACGGTGAGCCAAGGTGGCACCATTGCACTCCAGCCTGAGCAACAACAGTGAAACTTCATCTTGGAAAAAAAAAAAAAAACCAGTATGCACACTTTCACCACTTCTATTCAACATACCACTGGAAGCTCTTTCCATAGCAATCACAAAAGAGAAATAAATGGAGATCAAAATTGGAAAGGATGAGAATAAATGAAACTTGTTTGTAGACAACATGATCTTATGTTTATGAAAACCTAAAGACTGAAGCAAAAAACTCTTAGAACTGATAAAAGAATTCAGTAAAGTTGCAGGACGCAAAATCAACATACAAGAAAAATCAGTAGGATTTTTATATGCTAACAGTGATCAGCCTAAGAAAGAAATCAAGAAAGCAATATTGTTTATAATAGCTACAAAAAACACCCAGGAATAAATTTAACAAAAGAAGTGAAAGATCTCTACAAGGAGGATTATAAAACACTAACAAAATAAATTGACGAGAACCTCCCCCAAATGGAAAGATATCTCATGCTTATGAATTGAAAGAATTAATATTGTTAAAATGTCTATATTAGGTAAAGAAGCTTCAATGCAATACCCATCAATACCAGTGTCATTCTTGACAGAAATGGAAAAAAAATCCTAAAATTCATATATAAGCAGGAAAGACCCCAAATAGCTAAAAACACCCAAAGCAAAAAGAGCAAAGCTGGAGGCATCACACTACCCGATTTGAAATTATACTACAAAGCTATAGTAACCAAAACAACATGATACTAGCATAAGAACAGACACACAGAGAAATGGAATGGAGCCCAGAACCCAGAAATAAATCCATACACTTACAGCCACCTCATTTTTGACAAGGCACCAAGAACTAGAAAGTCTCTCTCTCTCTCTTTTTTTTTTTTTTTTTTTTTTTTTTGAGACAGAGTTTCACTCTTGTCACCCAGGCTGGAGTGCAATGACACGATCTCTGCTAACTGCAACCTCTGCCTCCCAGGTTCAAGTGATTCTCCTGCCTCAGCCTCCTGAGTAGCTGGGATTACTGTCACCATGCCTAACAAATTTTTGTATTTTTAGTAGAGACGAGATTTCACCATGTTGTCCAGGATGGTCTCGAACTCCTGACCTCAGGTGATCTGCCCGCCTTGGCTTTCCAAAGTGCTGAGATTACAGGCATGAGCCACCACGCCCAGCCAGGAAGTCTCTTTAATAAATACTGCTTGGAAAACTGTGTATCCCTATGCAGAAGAATAAAATTATATCTCCATCTTTCAACATATATAAAAATCAACTCAAAATGGATTAGAGACTTAAATATAAGACTGGAAACTATAAAACTAGTCAATAAAAACATTGAAGAAATGCTACAGAACATTGATCTGGCCAAAGGTTTTTTTGGTAAGACTTCAAAAGCACAGGCACCCAAAGCAAAAATTTAAAAATGGTATTACCTCAAGCTAAAAAGCTTCTGCTCACAAAGGAAACAATCAACAAAGTGAAGAGAGAAGCCACAGAATGGGAAAAAACATTTGCAAAGTATTCATCTAATGAGGTATTAATACCCAGAGAATAAATAAGGAATTCAAACAACCCAATAGCAAAATATTAATAATAATATGATCAAAAAGTGGGGAAAAGATCAGAATTGACTTTTCTCAAAAGAAGACATACAAATGGCCAACAAATACAGAAAAAAAAGACTCAACATCACTAATCATCAGGGAAATGCAAATAAAAACCACAGTGGGATATCATTGTACTTCAGTTAGAATGGCATTATAAAAAGATTAAAAAATAACAAATGGTGACAAGGATGAGGAGGAAAGGGAACACTCTTACAACTACTGGTGGCAATTTAAAGTAGTACAGCCATTATGGAAAACAGTATGGAAGTTCCTCAAAAAACTAAAAATTGGGCTACCTTATGACCCAGCAATCACACCACATATGTCCAAAAGAGAGGAAATTGGTATATTGAAGAGATATCTGCACTCACATACATATCACAGCGCTATTCACAATAGTGGATACATAGAATCAACTAAGTGTCCACTAACAAATGAATAGATAAATGTGGTATATATATATATATATACACAGCTGAATTTATATATATATATATATACACACACAGAACTGTATGTATATATAGAACTGTATATATGTAATTTGTAGCAACATGAACACAACTGGAGGTCATAATAGTAAGTAAAATCAACCAGTTACAGAAAGACAAACACTGAATATTCTTTCTCATATGTGGAAGCTAAAAAGTGGATTTTTTTTTTTTTTTGAGACGAAGTTTTGCTTTTGTCATCCAGGCTGGAGTGCAATGGCACAATCTCGGCTCACTGCAACCTCCGCCTCCCAGGTTCAAGTGATTCTCCTGCCTCAGCCTCCCAAGTAGCTGGGATTACAGGCACGCACCACCATGCCAGGCTCATTTT
The DNA here is from genome assembly GCF_000001405.40 of Homo sapiens. Taxonomy (NCBI): domain Eukaryota; kingdom Metazoa; phylum Chordata; class Mammalia; order Primates; family Hominidae; genus Homo; species Homo sapiens. Next base: position 19,818,464 of record NC_000007.14, on the reverse strand, counting down.
TGTATTTTTAGTAGAGATGAGGTTTCACCATGTTGGCCAGGCTGGCCTCGAACTCCTAACCTCAGGTGATCCACTTGCCTCCACCTCCCAAAGTGCTGGGATTACAGGCATGAGCCCCAATGCCTGGCCTAAAAAGCAGATCTTATGAAGGTAGAGAATAGAATAGGGGTGATATGGTTTGAATTTGTGTCCCCGCCCAAATCTCATGTCGAATTGCAATCCCCAATATTGGAGGAGGGGCCTGGTGGGAGGTGATTGGATCATGGGGCTGGATTTCCCCCTTGCTGTTCTTGTGATACTGAGTTCTCAGGATATCTGGTTGTTTTCAAAGTGTGTAGCACTTCCCTCTTTACTCTCTCTTCCTCCTGCTCCAGCCATGTAGGATGTGCCTGCTTCCCCTCTGCCATGATTTTAAGTTTCCTGAGGCTCCCCCAGTCATCTTTCCTGTACAGCCTATGGAACCATGAGCCAGTTAAACCTCTTTTCTTTATAAAATGCCAAGTCTCAGGTATTTCTTTATAGCAGTATGAGAACAGACTAATACAGAAGGTAACAAGAGGCTGGGAAGAGGGGACAAAGAGGGGTTTGTTAAGGGGCACAAAAATACAGTTAGATACGAGGAATAAGTTCTAGTAATCAATAGTAAAATATGGATATCGTAGTTATCAGTAATTTATCATGTATCTTAAAATAGCTAGAAGATTCGTAATGTTCCCAACACAAATGAAGGATAAATGAGGTGAAGGATATCCCAATTACCCTGATTGGATTATTACACATTATATACATGTGTCAAAATATCATATGTGTCTCCAAAATGTGTACAGATTTTATATGTATTATATATAATACATATATATGTATTTATACATACACATGCATATATATGTACATATATATATGCATGTGTAAATATTCTACTCTTCCTGAAAAGAAAGAGCTGGAGGAATCCTGTTTCACCCAAGATCATAGTGATGACAGCTTCCTAAGAGCAGAGGACATTACTGACATCAGCTTGGTTTGTGTTTGAGAATATTCTATGTATTGCTTATAACACTTCAAATCCAATAGAAACAACTCTTCTCAGAGGTGTAAAAATTTAGTTAACCATGGTGAACTACATCTGACTCCATTATTATAATTCATGCCTGTCTTCAGCTTTAATGCTATCAATGAGAACAAGAATATTTGGCTTATCTTCAACATCTTCATACCATCAGATAACTCCAAAGTTAACACAGGTAACTCTACTTCTCCTCTTAAACCTAACTGAATCATCCATTGGACGTTTGTACATTTAACCAATATCAACTGTATATTCCATAAGACCAACACTCTACCAAACTGAAAGACCCAAAAGTAAACACATTAATTCCTATGTACCCCTTCTCTATCTCACACCTAATATTCTGTTAATATACTTTTTCTTATTGTTCATAAAATATCTGTTAAAGAAGTGTTAATTGTCTGTCTAATAATCATTTATCCTTCTTGTTTAGTAAGCCAATTCCAAATAGTCCATTTAGAGTGGCAAAATATTCAGAAAAAATTAAATATTTCCCAGCCAACATTGCTGCTAGGTGTGACCATGTTGCTAAGTTCTGGCAAACAGGTTAGGTGGGAATTCAGTGAACCTTAGGAAAAAGAGAGAAAAGACTGGGCTTTTTTACTTCTGGCTCCCTGCCTTGTATATGGAAATAAAAGTTGAGCTGCAGCAACTATCTTGGACAATAAAAATTGTCCAAGAAAAAAACATATGGTGGAGCTAAGTGATCGAAGGAGCTTTTGTCTCTGTTGACATTGTGTTGCTATTATCTAGGTCTAGAATACTTACCTTTATACTTGGATCATCAGAGAGAGAAATCAACTACTACTTATTTTCGCCACTGTTATTTCTGGTGTCTGTTACTAGCAATAGAAGAGAATTCCTCACATAAGCCAAGTCCTCAAGAGTTTAGACTCTCTCTCTCCTATATAACCAACCCCCATAGCCAATTAATCTCTAAGTCTTGTCAGTTTAATTTCTTAAATTGATTTCAAGTTTTATCTTTTCTCTCCACCCCCATTTTCATTACTTTAGTTCAAACACTCATCACCTGTCACCATACCATTACAGTGGATCTAATTCTGCTCCCATCTTGCTTCCCTAGGATACGTCATCCACATTGCTGCCAGAGCATTCTCTCTGAAATGATTATCTGATCATCATCCTCTCTTCTTCTCCACAAGCTCAAACACTTTCAGTGACTGATTTGAAACCAGGTATATTTTTTAGCGTGGCAAAAATATGAATCTTGGGTATTAGCCTTCTATCTGGCCTTATGATATAGAAATATCAAAACACTGGTAAGTATCTAAATACACCTTCTATGCCTTGTCAATGCCTCTTATTTTCTGGAGTGCCTCATTTCAGATTGTTGGCTGTAAAACTCTTAATCACCATAAGACTCTTAAGTTTCTCTTTGAAGATTTTATGACTCTCTGACTTTTGAAACAATCTTCACTCTGTAACATTCATTATATGCAATTCTTTGTTGTATATTATACTGTAATATTATTATTTATATGCATCTCTATTTCCTTTACAAGACTATAGGCAATCTGAAGTTAGACAGAATATATTATTCATTTTTATACCTCAAATTCCTGTCTCGGTGCCTGAGGAATATACAGGGCACTTGGGAAGTATTTGAGGAATTTGGATTGTAGCGTGGCTTCTCTCTGGGATACTGTTAGTCAACCAACCCTTGAGGGATGGTGACATCATGGATCATTCTAATTAAAGCCAAAATCATTCAGGATTATAATCATCTATGTTAAATGACCTTTTGAAATTACCTTCTGCTAAGAGCTACTGCCATGGTTGGGCTGATCAGAGAGGGCAATGGTCTTGGAAGATTCAAAGATAAGCAAAACAAATGGTGGTAGAATAATGTAAAGACGATTTTGGTCATGTGAGTTATAGCCAGCAACATCAACTCACCTTTGCAAGAAAATAAAACAACATGATAATAAATTAATATTTTGCTAAAATTCTTTTTTATCAAGTTTTATTACACAGAATTTATATTCAGTCCTGTATTTATAAACTTCATTTCCATATGCTTCAGTTGTGGTTATCATTTAATTCAGACCCAGGCAATAGATTTTTAGTTCTATTTTTTAAAGTTCAGCAAATATAGCTTCTCAGTACTTAATATGACTACATGTCTTGGATGTTTAGAAAATATTTCAAATAGGCTTTTCTACTGTTTTGAAATATTTACAGCCTCCTTTCCAGATACATTTATGATTTTAAGAGAAACAGTTAGTTTAACTACATTGGATAAAATTTTTTTGGCATTCATCTTCAGTATGTAGTGGCTAGTAGAGAATCAATCATTTTCTCCTAATACGTTACCCATTAGAATTGAGTATTTTATTTCCCTCATCCTAATCTACGATAATCACTACCAGATGAGCCCAATTTTAAGAACAGCCCATTATTTCCATAGTACTATTTGTATCCTCTATGTATGCTAAATAAGGAGGCCAAAAATCTCAGTTTGGAAGCTTATTCAACAAATGAACTTGATGGCTGGTCTATTTATTACTCTGCTTTTGCAGATATAGTGCTATGACTAAACTCAGATGCAGGTAAACTACAACACTATGTTTTTCAGCTTCAGGGACTCCAGCCTATTCAAATACATTTTTATAAATAAAATAGATTTTTAAAAAGTCTTTAGAGATATATCTTTTAAAATTTGTGATAGAATTTCTTTCCTATCTGACTTACTGTTGACCTCATTAAAATTACTGGTACAGAAAAGCAATTCCAGTCCTAGTTCCAAAAGAAAATAACATGTAAAGACACAGGAGTGAGTGAGAGGATTAAAAGATATTTTGAAACTCCTTTTTAAACCATATGCCATTGCATTTTCCCTTGCTGAATTTTAGGTAACTTCCCAAAGATTACAGAACAAGCATTGGAGACAGGTCTCATTCCTGGGTTGGCTGGCTCTGAAGCTGTACATTAAACATATTTTCCTGCATTGTCTCCCGTGGATATTAGATTAATATTTGACAAAGCATGTTCAATTAGACTCAAAACAATTCAACAAAATTTGAGAACCTACCATGATCCAGTTCCAAGACGCCTGACACTGTAGAGCTCACATTCTGGTAGGGGGAAACAATGAACAATAAACATAATAAATAAGTTATCCATTGTATTGGAAGATTATATACGCTATGGGAGAAAAATTGCAGATATAGAGGATGTTGGAATATTTGTGAATTGATTATTTTTGAATTGTTTTAGATTTGTTAGCTTGTACCCCCCATGGGAAACAACTTTATAACCTAGAATACGGTGATTTTATCTGGCTTATATTGATAATACAGAGTGAAATCTTACAGTCTTCACTCATTTCCAAAGTTACTTAGGTAACTTTGCAATCCAAAGTAGTTACCTAAAGTTTGCTGTTTTGTGTATATGTGTGTTTACTTTTATTGTATATTTGTTTTTCTAAACTCTTCGGCACAATTTTCTGGGGGCATTCAGACTGCCACAATATAAGTCGGGAGAGGACGTTTTCTTTGTACTGCCAATTCTGATCATTTAAATTTTGGTTTGTTTGGGTTGTGACTTTTTTGAAGTCTGAGTTCTTTATTTGTAACAATTATACTTTTATTTTTCTATGTCCTCTAATGCCAGTTTTTTCTCCCCCCTCCCCCCAACCACGTCTACATTCACAGTTGTACCGTATTATTAGGAAAGGCGCCTTGATGAAAAGATCAGGATAGGAGCTCTGACCATTCGACAGTGTTTTCCCTAAAGTAATAAAAATAAAATACAATAAAAAACCCAAAGAGCATCTTTCCTCGTTTTTGTTTGTTTGTTTGTTTGTTTACATCTCTTGTGCTGCATCAGTAGACAGAACTTTGGTCAGTTTCATGAAATGCAATATCTAACCCCTTGTTTTCTGGGAAAGGAAAAAGGAACTGCAATGACACGAAGTTGAGAATGTGGATACCGCCTCATTCACCCACACTCATTCTCAGACTGTAAAAAAATTCCTTACCTTCCTTCTAGCTGGCAGGCATACAGTACCACGTGGCAAAGATACAGAGAAGGTGGGCTTGAGACTCGGCTCCATCTTTCTCCTCAGTAGCAAAGGTCAGGCTGCCTTTTACAACAAAGCACCACAGCTGACACAACCCCTCCTCCTCTCCCAAACCAGTCATTCCAATTGGCTCCGGCCAGAAGGCAGAAAAGCTACTTCTAGCCTCTCCTGGGAAGAAATAGTTGTGTTTTTTGTTTGTTTGTTTGTTTTTTGTTTTTCTTAAATAAGTAACTCCATTGTTTTTCTCTTTTCCAAGATGGCTGATGTTCTGGTTTCTACGAAGTCGGTGCTTACTTAGGTCACTAACACCACTGCTGTTGGTGGCTGCAGCTGCTGCCGTGGCAGGATTTTCAATGTGGTCTGTTTTCAAGCATCACTCATTTATCCTCTCATTCCCAAACATTCAGCATCCTTGCACACTCCTCACTTATATTTTAGCTCACCTCTTCAGGGAGATTGTGTTCTTAATTGTGATGTGATTAGATTTTTTATTACAGTCTGCATTCCATCCTGGATCCCATGAATTCCTAAATAATTTTAATTAGAAACAACAAAAACAGATATATCAGCCTTGGCAACATAGAGAGACCTATCTCTACAAACGAATTTAAAAATTAGCCAGGTGTGGTGGCACATGCCTTAGCTACTCAAGAGGCTGAGGTGAGCAGATTGCTTAAGCCCAGGTGATCAAGGTTACAGTGAACTATGATCGTGCCACTGCACTTTAGCTTGGGTGACAGAGTGAGTGCCCATCTCTAAAATAAATAATTTTAAAATAATAAGGTAAAATAGAATTATGTACATTAAGGTATGATCTTGGTGCTGTAAAGTTGTATGAGTTTTGAAAAATGCACAGTTTCATATACCAACTGCTATAGTATAATTCCAAATACTTTTACCACCCCCAAATCGCCCATGTTTCACATATTAAACCCCGAGCTCCTCCTGCAGAACTTCTGACAATCACTGTTCTTTCTACTGTCTGTCTCTATAGTTTTGCTTTTTCCTAAATGTCACAAACTCGGAATCATATAGTATATATTCTTTTCTTACTGGGTTCTTTAAGTTTGAATATACATTTAAGGTTCATCTATATCATTTGTGACTTGATAGGCGTGATGATTAATTTTATGTGCTCACTTGACTGGGCCAGGGGGTATCCAGATATTTGGTCAAACATTATTTTAGATTTTAAGATGATATTAACATTTAAATAGGTAGACTGTAAATCAGGTTTCCCTCCCTAATATGAGTGGCCCTTATGGCAATCAGCTGAAGGCCTAAATAGAACTACAAGTCTGACTCTTCTATCAGTAAGAGGGAACTCCTCCTGCCTATAGTTAAAAACAGTCAATGCAAACAGCTGGAATGACAAAAACTGAATTGATAACCAAAACTCTTCATTAATGAAATGAAATAGTGTTAGCCAGATTGTGATGAGGTATATGATACCACGGTCCCCACATTCATGATGTGAGAGTTTGCTGAAGCCTCAAGCCCAAGCATCCAAGTTCAAAATTTGGAGTCTTCAGGAAACCTTCCCTCTCAGGTCTGGCTGCTATCTCATTAAGAAGATTTTAATTTATCTTGCTCATGTGAATACCATTCACCAGCTCTTCCTAAATTGGATATTAGCAGTTTCCTTAGTGCAGCAGAACTATTGTGCTGAGCAGAAAGAAGGAAATGCAAAATGTGAAGTTCAGAAACTAATTTTCAGTCTTGCCAATTGGGTCTCCAACTCCCACGACAGTAGTAACCATTTCTACACCTGGATGTCATTAAATTCATGTTGTTCTTCATGCCAAAATGAAATCAGAGCTTAACATGGACAGTAAACACCTGGGACAAAATTGCTGAAATGTTTTCACATAAGAAAAACCAAAAACAATCAAATAAAAACTGCCTATGGCCTTTGCTCTACTGCCAATACTTTTAATTCAGTAGGAAGAGGTAGGTTCTACCACTAAGATACTCTTCATTAAAATGAAAAGAAAATTAAATAACTACCTTATGAATTTGATCTATGTAGGCAGAGAATATTCTAGCTGAGTAATACCTTCAATGGCAGGGCAGAAACACTGTCCTTAATGTGTGTTTATTACCAACATTTACCTGGAAAAAATAGAATGTATATAAATGAGTATATTTTCCAGTTTTTCTCTCTCATTCTCTAAATGATGGTGTTCTCAATCAGGGGAAAAACTGTGTCTGGGGAAATACAAGAATCTTAAAAGTAAGTAGAGCCTGTTCTTTATGTTCAATAAAGTACATTCAAATTAAACAATTATAATTTTGAAAAAAAAACTATTGCTTTTTTAAATGCAGTAATGCTCAATAAAGCATACCCTATCCCCTTTACAGGAGGATATATCAAAATCTCCTGGGGGGAAAGCATAATATTTTTAGATCATAATAATATGCAGACAAGGGTTTAAAAAGATCTAAAATGTTTTACTGCAAAATATGGCTATTTCTAAATGGCACTTCTTTTCGTAATTAGACATATTACATTTTGCATGTTTTACAAGGACCTTCAACCTTTTAAAAGAACTATGGTCTAAATATTACCATAAACATTGCTCAAACCATTTGAAAATTCTCATCTTCAAAAAGCTAATGTAACTGACAAGCAGGATAAGAAAATACACCACTTTCCTTTACATTCCTATACCTATAGCCTATATTTGTGTAACTGTGCAAAGCCATTGGATCTGGCCCCACAGTATACTATATATTAACCCAATCGTGTTTTAAAGTAGTGGTTTATTAAGAAACTAAAAACCCTATAAAAATGCAAACTCCTGGGCCTTAACCTGAGAAATTCAGATTCATCTAGTTATTTTAGAAAATTCTGAGGTAATTTATGGGAAACCATGCATTTTGATAAACATTACATTAATGAATGGAAATCTGCTTCCATGAAGGAAAGCTAGAAGAGCATGCCAGAGGCTCCGAGGACATTTTAAAATAACATCTATAAGTAGCTTTGGGCTATGACACCAACAGTTTAATAAGTGCATAGTCTTCCCAGTTAATAAACTTCAAGGCAGAGTTTTCTTGAATGCTTGAATTGTAAGTTCATCTTTCTATGAAACCCACTGTGCCATCACTTATGGTATAGTCTAGGGCATGCTATTTCTGGCCTCTTTCTTCACTGACAGAAACCCTCTGGACCACGATATATTATCCCATGCACAGACTACTGTCTTCTGTGCATGGGATGATATGCCTGGTCTCCGGTGATTTTTGCTACCTGCCCTCTTCCTGCATTCTTCCATTCTTCCCCAGCTCCACATTATTTGGAGTTTCCCAGCTAGTAGCACATTTTGACTGTTAGGAAGAAAAGCTACTATCCATTGAATAACAAGCTGGGGAGCTGCTCAATAGCAGTCCCTAAGTGCCTGCCACCTTCCTGAGTAGAACACATTGCCTGGAGGAAAAAAAAAAAAGGAAATAGTTCCAATAATTTTGTAAGTTAATCATTTGCATTAGGTATAGACAAACTTTTGACACTTAAGATTGTAAAATATTAAACATGTTATAGCTTTCTCTGGAAGCCTCTAGGATGATTAACATGAAATTCTACTGGAAGTCCAAGGGAGAAATTTTGAGTTTCTGAGAGTCATGTTGTTTTCTGCTTGTTTCCTTTTGCCAACTGGGAAGGATTATCCCCATCTGGATTATTCTTGTTACTCCCCAAGGGCCAAATGTCTTTGGGTTCCTTAGTTTGAGAGTAAAGGATGGGGGAGAAGGCAGGGGACAAAGGAATGCAGATTCTTCACTCCATACTGTTATCAGACATTCTTGTTGATCCTTAAGACTAAAAACTGTGTAGTGCTCACTCTAAAATATAAACAATCCTGCATTCAAATTGGAAAAAAGTTTATATTTTTAATATACATTTTTGACAAATGCAACTTATCACTTAAGTTACATTATTACTGAATTCAACAAAGCTGTAATCTGAAATAGATTTTTAATACTTCTCCCAAGAATATTAAGTCAATGGCCTCTAATAATATGTGTGTATTTTGTTTACAAAGAAAATGAGCATGGATATTTATTTCCAGATGTGCTTAGAATATCAACTTTTGTATATTAACAAAAGGTTGTATCAGCTTATCCCTTTCCTTAGTTTAAAAATAAAGCTTTTATTTTTAAAACCTTCTATTTCACAGTTTTTCAGTTATCTACGCATTTGAATTATTTCTAGCATTCTTTCTTCTAATTAACATACTCCTGATAAAAAAAATTGATAATATTTATAGTGTTTATGCACTACCTGCAGAGCATTGATTCCTAACTAGGGTAATTCATATGCCAAAAACCACTTGGGCTTAGATTAAAGTAAATCAGACACATACAGCACACTGTACTGAAACATTTTAAAATAAATTACTACATGAACAATTTAACACATTCTAAGAATATCAGCTAAATTTAAATTCTAGAACAATAGCTATTTGAAATTTAAAAATCTTTGTGTCACCACAGGCATCCCACAGCAACTCAAATGCAACATGTCCCAAACCAGCCATTCCTGTGCCCCCATTTTCAGTGAAAAAAACCGTGGGCTATAACTGTGCATTATATTTCATTCTTTTTGCTCCTTCACCCATCACAATATAAATTTCCAAAATCCATGAATTCTAACTACCGAACATCATGAGCATCCATTTCCCTTTTTCATTCTCAAAGACCCACTCTTATTCCAGGCAGTCATTTTTTTCTCCACAGGGTTTCCACAGTATTTTCTTAAATGAGTTCCCTGCATTCAGTTTTCTCTCTCAAAATTATCCTACAATTCCACTAATCTCTCTGAAGCGGTAGTACTATTCTCTCATTTCTGCTCCTGGGCCACTTTCACCACCTTAGCATAGGGTCTTCAGGAGTAAGGCCCTTCAGAATCTCATCTTGGCTTATTTCTATACCCTTGAGAGTCATTCACTTCCTGTTTTCTTCTCTAGTACCCATCTACACAGCAATTCTTTTACATCTTCAAAATGTCCTATTCTACCTTGCCTCAGGGCTGTGCACATACTATTTTTGCTCCTGAAACAACTCCACCTACCCCCAAGCAACTTCATTGCTTTATTTGACTAGCTTTTCATTTAGGGGTTAGAGATTATTTGTTCTAGAAGTTTCCTTTATCTATGTTTTAACAGCATCTGTGTATCTACTGCTGTGACTCCTCTCATACTCTGTTTGCCATAGACTATAACCTCCAGGAGGGCAAGGAGCAATATTAATGCTGTTCATTATAATATATCCAGGCACAGTGCCTCACATATAATATATATATTTAAAATATACTTTTTGAGTAGACTAGTTCATTTTAAGTATCCATTTTCAGGGTATAAAAGCTGCATCTTCTCTATTGATAACAATGCTCAGGTTTATACACAACATATAAAGAGCAACATCAAGATAAATAGCTCCAGACTCAGTACCTTATGTGATGGTCATGATTCCCAGAAGAAATAGTCAAAATACTTAACAACTGGTATGACATGGCAGCAACCAATCAGGACAGACCACCAAGCAATCAGGCTCAGCCATAAACAAATAGAATTGCTGCACTGATGCATACCCACTAAAATATACCTTTTGTCAATACCTCACTGAAATTTATAAATGACATTGTCATCTAAACAAATTATTGATTGACTGCATCTCTCATCTTTTAGGTACTGAATTGTCATAACAAATCCTGACTCTTGAAGGAGTCATTCAATGAGTGGTAGAAGGAACTGGGACTTTGGAGAGGTCGAGGCTTGACGCTTCTTCCTAAGGGCTGTGGGTCCTCAGGCATCACTTACCTCTCAGAGTCTGGAAACAGGGATCATAACACCTACTTTTCAGAGGCTTATGAGGAGTATATCAGTGTGTGTCTAGGTCCTCACTGTGGTTGACACAAAGTAGGAGTGATCTTGGATGATATTCTTCACTCCTCATGGCCCCTGCATGGATTATTTTCTTTGTTTCTCTAACCTCTACTTCTCCAATAGACTGTTCCAAAAAGGAAATAAAGAGATAAGCAATATATTTTTCTTAGTAATTTTTTTATTAACCCTATTCTAATTCTGGTTTTCTTCTCTTCTATAAACTTTGCATTTGTTGCTGATATTCATCATGCTACTATCTGAAGCCTCAAGAAACAGTCTGGCCAAAAAGTCTTTAGACAATGGCTCAGGGCCTTTTGTCTTATAAAATTCAACCTGCAGTGAAATTCCATTGAAAGATATATTCTTGTTGTAGTGCCCAACCCTCAAATGAATATTCCCGAAGGATCTATCTTTGTTTGTTTCATAGTCTTACACTCATGACTTCAAGTGATATCTCCCAGTCTACGTCTATACCATGTGCTCTTCATCTGACATACACACTTGTTTTTCTCTTGATTGATTATCTCAGCCCTAATGTTTCAAAATAATTATTTCTCCTCCCATTCTACATTTCCAAAGCTCTACATCATCTCCCTCCACCAAATCCTACCCTTAACACCTACCTAAGTCAACGAAATCAGAAATCTGCGACCCACCTGAGGTTGCTCTATCTCTCATCACCTCTACCTCAGACAATACCTGTCCTTTCTGCCTTTAATTAATTTATTTACACACTCATTCATTCAGTTATTTAATGAGAATTCACTGAATGGCTATTATATTTCAGGTACACTGAGGAAAACAGGAGACAAAGACAGACTTGGCTCCTGCCCTCAATGAGGAAAAGGGAGGAATCAAAACATGACTTGGTTTTGGGATTTTCTTCTTACTTCAAATGATTCAAATGATTTTTGTGAAGCTCAAACTGAACAAATAGGTAAAAATACATTATAAATTTGCAATAGTCTATTCTGCCTTGTACTATAGTTAATTTTATGTATGTCTATCTTTTTTCCCCAGATAAGTGAGGGGGCCACATGCCATTCATCTTGGCAGAGTGTCTTGCACCTAGACTATAATTAATGAGTGTTCACTGAGTTAAAAGAGTGAGATGAAGTGAATGCTGAAATGACAAAAACTGTATATGATAAATAATCTCCATTGAGAAATATATTCACAACTTTCCATTTCAGGCTTTTAAAAGTAAATTGTAAGTTATTAATCATTCTTCCAGCTACATTTTTAAGCATCCATGAATGGAGTGAACCAAGCACTTAATGACACAGTACTTCCCTGAGGAATAGTCAGGGTCAGTGAATTGAGATATGCGTTGAATCACCACCTGGTTGTAGATATTTGGGAAAAAAATTAAATGCTTCCTCTCAAAACCTAAGTTCCCTAAGTGCTTCCCCTTTGATTAGATCCTCTCCCCTATGAATTGTCCTAAATTTATTCGTAAAAGACACTTATTATTATTAAGTGGCTGCGAGCAAGGCCATGGCTTCTGCAGACACCACAATTTTGACCTCCTAGAAACATGGCTTCCCAGACAGTGGTAAGAAGCTACTCTGTTAATGGTCTCAACACAGCAGGATAGTAATTTGCCCAAGGATAAGTCTTAAACCTGCAAGGAAGAACATTTAATGGAATAAAAAAATCCCCTTCCCCATATTTGCACCTGACACAATATGTTATTATCTTTATAAATATTAAATATAAGAGTAGACAAAGAGTTAAAAGAAAGCCAAGAGAAAATATAATGTGTGTGCTCCATTTCGAATTCCTATGATTTATAAGTTGTTTTTAACCTGCTTATTTGTTTCTGGACTGGTATAAAAATAGCATGTTCAGTGTGTTCTCCCTCTTAAGAATACTAGAGGAGTTCAATGGGAGGGAAGGGAATAGAATAAGTAATGAAAAGTTTACCATGCAAATTTCAGCTCAACAAATAATGCAGTACTTCTTCTTTAGACTAACATACATTTTATGAGAGCTATTTTTAAATGTATGCCTTCTCTGTTGACTTTGTACTTAAGGGAGTCTACAGAAAACATTTGTATTGATATTTCTAAAATGAACTTACTCATTTGGTAGAGTATTTCTGATTCATCCATCCTACTCTTTTAATATGAAGTAGCCCTACTTTGATTAGATATTAGCTGAGTACTCTTTCTTCTACTATATTTAGGTGACTACTCTTTCTTCTACTCTATTTAGGTGACTACTCTTTCTTCTACTAAGGATACTCTATTTATAATTGCTAATTAAGGAGAAGTTAAGGCTCATCCACAATTCCTCCACAGGAAGAACAGCTTATGTAAGACTTGTTCAAAACAGCATGCGTATTTACACTGTGACTAGAAATCAAACTTCTCCACTGAGACAGACTCTTGCCTGGCCAGCATCAGTAATCTCCTATCCCATTTCTAGTAAGAGAACTTCAGTTTTCAGGCTGGGCGCGGTGGCTCACGCCTGTAATCCCAGCACTTTGAGAGGCTGAGGTGGGCGGATCACCTGAGGTCAGGAGTTTGAGACAAGCCTGGTCAACATGGCAAAACCCCATCTCTACTAAAAAAAAAATACAAAAATGAGCCAGGCATGGTGGCGCACCTTGGAAGGCTGAGGCAGGAGGTTTGCTTGAACCCAGGAGGCAGAAGCTGCAGTGAGCTGAGATCACGCCCCTGCACTCTAGCCTGGGTGACAGAGTGAGACTGTCAAAAAAAAAAAAAAAAGAGCTTCAGTTTTCCTTTAGAGAACTAACTTTCTACTCTCATTCAATCAGAGCAACTGTGATCGGTTCAGAATGGGCACAGGATACAACTTGAGCTCAAGAGTCCCACTCTAGAATTTCACTACTTGAAAAAAGCCTTTCCTTCTTCTGATGTTGCTAAACTTTTAGAAAATAATTCTCAATTTTTCAGGACCCTTGCATAGAATGAGCCAATCTGAGAAAAGAGCCAATGCAGAAGAATACAGAATCCAAATATAGAGAAACATTTTCGTGAAGTTATTGCTGAGTTCTTAGATCTACCTTTGATTAGAGCTCACAGCATACCTGCTTCCTTAGTTAAATAAGCCAACATAGATGCTTTGTTTAAGCTAGTTTAACTTTTAGTTGGGTTTTCATCACTTACAACTCAAAACAAAAATTCTCACGCATTTTCTTTCTGCAGAACTAGCAGGTTTTAAAGGGTTTTCTGTTCAACCATCCTAAAAGATAACAAGAACTTTTTCCATAACTGAGCTGTAGTTGGTTGAGTCCTGACTCATCACTTAATATGCAAGTGAAAATTGAACGACAGTATTAGATGGTTGATACTGCCTTAAATATCTAGTACAGTTTTCATTAGAGTTTTCTGAGTAGCAGATGTACAAATGCTTACCTTTCCCTTACAGCACACTTTTATAGGTTTTCTAGAAGTCTTGCTGGATATTCCCAACTATAATTCCCATACTGGGACACTGTTCCAGCTCTCCTCTGTCTACTGGTAGTACACTCCTCTACTGAACATCTCTCTGTGGTCACTTCAATAGTCTAGAAACTCTCTTGGGAAGAATCTTTTTTAATAACACACCTTGAATTGACTTTTGTATATGGTTCAAGATGCGTTTAGTTCTCTACGGATATCCAACAGACTAAACACCATTTAGGTAAAATAACTTCCTTCACTCATTGTACTTTGTCATAAAACAAATGATATGTGTTTTCTCTCTTCATGATGTTTTTCCCTCTTTTCTGTAAGGAAACAGAGGGACAAATCATTTGAGTCCTTAGGGATGAGCTGACTCAAAATAGATTTACAATCATTGTAAGTCTTAGTCACCCCTGATTTACTCCATTAGAGAGTAATCCTTCAGGATTCCCAGCTGAGAGATTCAGGCATATCCTCAGCAACCTAAAAAAAACAAAACTAGCTCTTCTTTCTAGTTTCCCTCTGGTAGGATTCTTAGCTGCTTACCCTGCAGAACTTAGTCAACAGAAGCACCAAGGGTAAAACTGATGTGGCATATTACTGTCATTTGTCTGTGCCTCTCTTTTCTCAGAAATCTTGCAACTTCAAGTTGTGAGTGCTTTTGCAGCCTTATATCCGACTTTTTGGCTCCTCGGTCATGTAAGATTTCTTAAAATGCGTTGGCCTCTCATAACAAGCTTTTCAGCCTCTTTATAAGCCTTGAATTGCAAAATGCCCCAAGAACAAAAGCAACATACGGAGAAAACTATTAGATCACATGTCAGTGCAATTAAAAATAGGAAAACAATAGAGCTATGAATAAAATAAAAAACTGGTTCTTTGGGGAGATCAGTAAAATTGACAAATCTCTAGGTAAGCTAAACAGGAAATAAGAAGGGAGAAGGTACAATTTACCAATATCAGAAATAAAGTGAGGTCATCACTGTTGATCCCATAATACGAACAACTCTATGCTCACAGATTTTATAACTTAGATAAAACTAACAAATTTCTTGAAAGACACAAACCACCAAAACCTCAAACAGGGAGTAATAAATCATCTGAATAGGCCTACATCTATTAAATGGATTTAATCAACAATTAATAATGCTCCACAAAAGAAATAATTAGGCCCAGATGGCTTCTCTGAATTTTATCAAGCATTTACAGAAAAATATGATACTTGTCCTCCACAATTTATGCCAGAAAATAGAAACAGAAGAATGCTTGCTAACTTAATGAGGTCAGCATTACCCTAATACCAAAACTGAAGAAAGACCAGTATCTCTCATTAACATAGATACAAAAACCCTCCTCAAAATATTAGCAAATTAAATCTGAAAAGGTATAAAAATGTTTTACACCATGACCAAGTAGGATTTATTCTAAGCATACAAAGCTGATTCAATGTTGGAAAATCAGTGATGCATAAAAAGCATTTGACAATATCTGATGTCTATTTCATTCAAGAAAAAACTCTGAGCAAACCAAGAATATGGTGGTGTTTCAACTTGATAAAGAACATATACAAAAAGCTGACAGCTAATATAATACTTAATAGTGAGTAATTGGATGCTTTCACTCTAACATTAGAAACAAGGTAAGTTTGGCTTTACTCACCACTCCTATTCAACATCATACCAGAAGTCCTAGCTAGTGCAATGAGACAAAAATAAATAAATAAAAGGTAAACAGATTGGGATGGAATAAATAAAACTCTTTTTGTTCACAGATCATTTGGTTCTATAGGTAGAAAAATCTCAAGAATCAGTAAAAATCTCCTGGATTAATAAACTATAATAGCAACATTGCAACATACAAGGTAAAGCTTCAAAAGTATTTTGCTTTACTATAAGCCAACAATGAACAATTAGTATTGGAAATTTTCAAAATATACGTCAGTTAAAACAGCACCCTCAGAAATGCAATACCAAAGTATAAATCTAATAACATATATATGATGTATAAAAGTAAAGAGATAATCCATGATCATGGAAGGAAAGATCCAACTGATTTGAAATATTACATCCATACAAAAATCTGAACACAAATGTTTATAATAACTATGTTTATAATTAGCAAAAGATAGAAACAACATTCAAGAGATGAATGAATAAACAAACTGTAGTACCCTCATACAATAGAGTATTATTTAGGGATTATCTTAGTTTATTTGGGTGCTATAACAAAATACCTTCAACAGGGTAATTTAGAAATAGTAGAAATTTATTCTTCACAGTTCTGGAGGCTGGGAAATCTAAGACCAAGGCACTAGCTGATTCAGTGTCTGGTAAAATTTCACTCTCTGCTCCATAGAAAGCACTTCGCTGCCATGTCCTCACATGGCAGAAGGGGCAAGGCATCTCCCTTCAACCTCTTTTATATGGCACTTATCCCATTTATGAGGGTCACCTCCTTAAGACCCCACCTTTAATATTATTGCATTGGGTGTTAGGTTTTATTTGAATTTGGGGAGGACATCAACATTCAGACTAAATAGCAGCTATAAAAACAAAAGAGCAATCAAGCTACAAAAAGATATGGATAATTTTTACATGCATATTGCTGAGTGAAAGAACCAAGTCTGAAAGCCTATGTAGTATTTGACTACAATTACATGGCATTCTGGATAAAGTAAAACTATAGATATAGTAAACAGTTCAGTGGAAGATATGGGTTCCACAGAAAGGTTGGATAGGTGAATCATGGGGGTTTTTTGGAAGCAGTGAACCTCTTCTTTACGCTATCTGATGGTACGTACATGGCATTATAAACATGTCAAAACCCATAGAACTTTCTAGCATGGAGGTAACCTTAATGTTTGCAAATGTTATAAAAATAATTTAGGAGGCTGAGAATCCCAGGAAGTAATGTAGATTGCCACAAGATAATCTAACTGTATTACAAGTGTTGGAAACAATCTCACAGAACTGAATGGAGTAAAAGGTGCTAACCCAAATAACTTTAGAAGTGAGTGGAGTCTGTAAGACTAAAGGCAAAAGGAACTGCACTTAAGCCCTATACCTCAGGTGATAAACTTCATTCCTACAGGGGTACTGGATAGCAATTCCAATACTGCTATACCTGTATACTAAAACTGAACAATTAAGTAAATGTATGTTGGATGGTGGGAGTCATGTCCTTTATTGTTATATGGAAATGTACAAAAAGTATAGGGAGGAGGCTAAGATGATCCCTGTGGAAATGGATTAGAGTTACATACCAGTATGACTTTAGGTTTAGCTTAATACAGATACTGAAGGTTACATATAGTTATATTTATAGATGTATGTTTATACACAGGTTGGTATACATGCATATATTATACTTTCTATCAGCTGAGAGGGTCCACAAGTAATGATAACCCCTAGCAACTAGCATACAATGCACACAAAATTTGCTTTCTAATACCCTACTCCAAAAAGAAAAAAACAAAAAAACCCAAAGCTTCTTGGATAAATCACTGATTCTAAGACTAAAGACAGAGCTTAATGGCCAAAGCTAGAAGAGGCAAGAAACAAAATATTTTTATTTTTTTTAAGTAGTATTACACCATAACCCAAACTAAAAATAAATATCTATACATTTATACTGATATAAATGAATGATTAAATAAATAAATATAAATAAGAACAAGTAAATCTCTGTGCAGAAGAATTTTCAAAAATTTGTGTAGACACTCCTCCCACAAAGAGGGAGAGTGTAACTATATTATAACTGACATATCTGTGTATCTCTAGTGTATATATATATCCCCAGAGACACACAGTCCTTGGCTCAGTGTCTGGAACATAATAATTACCAATAAAAAGGAATACTTGTGATGATAGGTGACATAATTGAAATATAAACATTAATATTAATTATTTAATAATAATAAATACAGAGGCACTGGTAGAACCACTTGGAAATCTGTTGGATTATACCTACCAAAGCTAAATATTTGTATAATCTGTACCTCAGCAATCTTATTCCCAGGTAAATCGAAATATAGATGTCAAACCTTCCAAATGTGCATATTTTATCAAATGGCATGTATTAGAATGTTTATAATAATATTATTTATAATAGGCCAAAACTATAACTATCCAAATGCCCATCAACAATAGAATGTATGAATAAATTGTGGTATATTCACAATCCATGGAATAGCATAAAACGATGAGACTGACAATCTACCACTACATGGGACAATACAAACAAATTTCACTAACATAAGTTAAAGAGGCCAAATATAGGGGAAAATATACTATATAATGCCAATGATATAAAATGCAAAAACAGGAAGCAATGCATGTTGTTAGAACTCAGTATTCTAGTTATTATTGAAGGCTGATGGGATTGATAGTGACTAGAAGTAGACATAGGGGAGTTCTGGGTCTCTTGGTCTGGACGCCGATCACATGGATGTGTTCAATGTGTAAAACCCTATCAATCTGCAAACTTAGTAGCATTTTTATATACAGTTTTTTTAAAAGATAAAAACATAGAGAGGCACTATGTTGTAATATAAAGTACATTGCATGTATGGAAGATATCAGTAAGTAGCTGCAAGAGCCTAAGCAACTTCAATTCTGAAACTGAGTTTCTATATTTACAATATGTCACAGTGTTATTGTAAGGATTAAATAAAATCAAAGTACAAAAATTAAATCAGTATTAACGATGACTGACTATGTAATGGCTTTCAGACTGCTGAATTGTATCATTGATGTGGAGAAATGAGTGGTATATTATTCATTTTCAACTACATTCCAATTTTTTTTATCCAGAGAATGATTATGTCAAGCTAAGTCATCCATGCGGTCCTGTACTTATGAACTCATGCCACACGGTATGACTGCCAAGTGAATGTAAGGTGAAATAAGATAAAAATTGCTTCCTTATAGTGTCAAAGGATTCTGATGCTATTTGGGGCACTGTGTCATGGTGAGAGGATTATTATGACTTTCAAGATGACCATGTTAAGATTGCACCTGGAGAACTTAAAAAAAAAAACTGGCAGCTCAGAAGCCTCCAGCAGTACATCAAGTGGTAGGAGGCTTAGGATGCAGTACAAAGAAAGATAACCTATGAAGTTCCATACCTGTAAGAAATAAAGAAGAATGATGGGTTAAAAATGCATATAGTTTTGCTTTGTCAATGAGAATGAGTATAATAGCCCATAAATATCAGAAAAGCATAAATTCTAAAATAAGAGAAGAATAAATAATTACAATCAATTGAATAAGGTATATCTGAGTATTAGAATAGCATCTTTAAGAATATCAATTTATGTTAAACACCAGAAAGAAAAGCCTGAGATTAACAACTGTTCAACTATGGAATATTCATTTAAGGAAGACAGTGTGAGTTCTATTTCTCAAGACAATGCAGACAAAAGCAGGCTAAGCAGCCGGGGTGACTTACAGGTAGTAATACTTTGTAAATGAGATGTGGGTTTGGTTTATCATCTAAAATTCTGAAATTTGTCTCGTTTAAACTTATACTAAAAGATATTTAATTTCAGATAATTTAAGGGTTGGTTTTGATTTGTGGGTTTGGTTTTAGCCTGTTTTGTTAACAAATGTTGGTATCTGAGTAGGTGGATAAGAAAGATAAAAGATCTGTTTTATGGAAGACGTCAATGTATCCCTGTAGTGTCATTAAAACTAATGCTACTTTAAAGTGTTTTTTTTTGTAAAAAGCAGGGTTTTTTTTTTCTATTTCCAACTTTTAAAACAGTACAGGACACCTCGTATATAGACAATAAATATTTTTGGATAAATGATAAAAAGATTGAACTTAGAGAAAAACACACTCCTAAATTAGGCTCATTATTCAATATAAAATGAACAAATTATTATGCCATGCCAAATCCAATTTTCAGCACCATATTGAATCTTAGCTTTTGTTAGGATATTTAAATGCTGTGGAATAAATCCAATTTTTATATATTTTGAAATCAGTTATTTTGTTTTATTTTGTTCCTTAAAACTCTTTGAAGTTTTTTTAAATATTAGTACAGTATTAAATATTCTATGTGGAAATTAAATTACAATAATAATTTCAAAGTCTACCAACCTCTACCTACTTAATATTTTGTAAATGTAAGTAACAATAAAGAATAAAACTATATTAGTTAAAATAGACACGTTGCCATTTTGTTGGAATACCACTTTCCACACAGAGGAAATCTGTTTTGCCAGATTCTTCTTCAATCTCCCTCTATAAGTGAATGTTACACATATAATGCAAAGTATGATGGTAAGGATGAAGCAGATTTCATCAAAGACATATTAAACCTTAGAGGATAATTCCATTCTCATAAAAGCAGCATTTGTTTACTCTTTTGCTGTCTTCTGGATTATAAATTATCTATTATATATTATTGATATAAACATTCTCCTTAAAATTTATATATTAATAAACAACACATTGTTTTTTAATTCAAATACTTCAACCTAAATCGTTATTTCCAGGATTTCTAAGCAAAGTCATTATAATGGGAGGCAGAGGGAGACATTCTTTTCTTCCAAAAATTGTTATGGCTAAGACTCCACAAAAACAAACACAGGCAACAAAAATTAAAATAGGCAAATGGAACTATATTAAACTAAAAGATCTCTGCATAGCAAAAAAAAAAAAAAAAAAAAAGAACAGAAAAGAAAATCAACAAAGTGAAGAGACAACCTGTAGAATGGGAGTAGATATTTGGAAATTATTCAATCCAACAAGGGACTAATATCCAGAATATACAAAGAATTCAAACAACTCAACAACAACAACAAAACCCTCAGTAATCCAATTTAAAACTGAGCAAAAGAATTTCAAAGAAAAAATACAAATGGCCAACAAATATATGAAACATAAATTCAGTATTACTGGTCATCAGGAGATGACAATCAAAGCCAAAATGAGACATCATTTCACCCCAGCTAGAATGGCTATTAGCAAAAGGGGAAAAAAATAAGAAATGCTGGTGGGCATGTAGAGAAAAGGGAACTCTTATACACTGTTGGTGGGAATGTAAATTATTACAGCCACTGTGGACAATAGTATGGAGGTTTCTTGAAAAATTTAACATAGAACTGCTATATGATCCAGCAATCCCATACTGTATATTTATCCAAAGGAAAGGAAATCAGTGTATCAAAGGGATGCCTGCACCCTCATGCTTATTGCACCACTATTCACAATAGCTGATAAGTGGAATCAACATAAATGTTCATCAACAGACAAATGGATAAGGAAATTGTGGCAGCTATACACAATGGAATACTATTCAGCCACAAAAGAATAAAATCGTGTGGAACATCACACACCGGGGCCTGTTGTGGGGTGGGGGGAGGGGGGAGGGATAGCATTAGGGGATATAACTAATGTTAAATGATGAGTTAATGGGTGCAGCACACCAACATGGCACATGTATACATACATAACAGAACTGCACGTTGTGCACATGTACCCTAAAACTTAAAAGTCTAATTAAAAAAAAAGAATAAAATCATGTCACTTACAGCAACATGGATGAAACTGGAGGAATAAGTCAGGCACAGAAAGACAAATACTACATGCTTTCACTCATACTTGGGAGCTAAAAACAATTTTGAGCGCAAGAAAGTAGACAGTAGAATTGTGGATACTGGTCACTGGAAAAGATGTGGAGATAGGAGAATGGAGAGAGAATGGTTAGTCAATACGAAATTACAGCTAGAGATGAGGAACAACTTCTGGTGTTCTGCAACGTTCTAGGGTAAATATGGTTAACTATAATTTATCATATATTTTCCAAAAGCTGGAAGAGAGGATTCTGAATAGTCACAATACAAAGAAATTATAAATGTATGAGGTGATGGATATGCTAATTTCTCTGATTTGATCATTGCACATTGTATACACATGTTGAAATATCACTATGTATCCCATAAATTTGTACAATTATTATGTGTCAACTAAAAATCAAAGAATTGTATCAGAGTTTAGAAGAGCTTTCACAATGCAAAAAGTTGGAAAATGAGGTTTTTCTTGGCTCATCCTGTTCTTTGAGAAGGTCATCGTCTTAATAAGCCCTCCTCAACCAAGAGTTCCTTAAAAGTTAAGGCCTAAAGCCCTAAGGAATTCATTGTATATAATGAGTTAACTTTTCTCCTATGTTTCTAAATGGTGTTTTCTATAAACCATCCCTGGGAGAATTGACAAAATACTCATTTCCTATGGGGCTTAATTCTGATGCCAAACAATGGTAGAGAAAGGGTCCTTTAAATCCATGTGGTTCATTTTAAGCCTATTCCCTGATTGCTCACAGCATCAATTCATCTCTCAGCCATTGAAACCTTTTGATACTTCCAAGAACCTGTACCAGCAATCATACATAACAGTTCCATCAGGTGTCCTTCCAACTCCCTGGGCCCTGCCTAGTTTGTTCAGAGTTCTAATTATGAATGAATATTGAACTTTGTCAAAGGTTTTTTTCTGTAAAGATAAAGATGATTGTGGGTTTTTTCCCCCTTTCATTTTGTTAATGTGGTGTGTAAAGCAAATTAAAATGGAAACCAGACCTTGAAAAATCGCTGATAAGACAAAGCCACTTAAGCATTGAAATTAACCTTAACCTTGTTTAAATTGCAAACAAAAGTAGAACAACTTGGACCACTATATTAGTCAGGGTTTCCCAGAAGGACAGAACTAAAAGGGTAAATGTATCTATGAAGGAGAGTTTATTAAGGAGTACTGACTCACAGGATCACAAAGTGAAGTCCCACAAAAGGCCATCTGCAAGCTGAGGAGCAAGGAAGTCAGTCCAAGTCCCAAAATCTCAAAAGCAGGGAAGTGGACGATGCAGCCTTCAGTCTGTGGCTGAAGGCTGGAGAGCCTCTGGAAAACCACTGATGTAAGTCCAAGAGTTCAAAAGCTAAAGAACTTGGAGTTCGAAGTCTGAGGGCAGGAAGCATCTAGCACGGGAGAAAGATGGCGGCCAGAAGACTCAGCAAGTCTCCTCTTTCCACATTCTTATGCCTGGTTTATTCTAGCTATCTTGGCAGCTGATTAGATGGTGCCCACCCACATTGAGGGTGGGTCTGCCTCTCCCAGTCCACTAACACAAATGTTAATCTCCTTTGGCAACACCCTCACAGATACATCCAGGAACAATACTTTGCATCCTTCAGTTCAATAAAGTTGACAATATTAACCATAACAACCACTTTTCATAAATGTTTCTATTGGAGAAAAAGAAAACTTTTCTAGCTCAGCCGATCAGAAGCAGCCAACTAAATTTACAGTTATATAACTAGGTACTTTCTAGTGGGAAAGACAAAATAGGGAAACTTTATAACTGTAACCAATCAAATATTATCTTTGTTTTACTTCTGCATTCATCCCATAAAAGCCTGACTTCCTTCAGTTTTTTTTCTGATTCAGAAATCATCGTTTGCTCAAACTCTTTAAAATGTTTATTGTGCCTCAATTTTCTTTTAACAAATGTTTTCACATTGATTGATTTGTGTATATTGAACCATTCTTGCATCCCAGAGATAAATCCAACTGGTCATGGTTTATAAATCTTTAAATGTGTTGTAAAATTTGGTTTGCTAGTGCTTGATTTAGCATTTTTGCATCTATGTTCATCAAGGATATTTGCTTGCAGTTTTTTCTTGCAGTATATTTATCTGGTTTTGATATCAGGGTAATAGTATCAAAACTAAGGAAATTAGTTTGGAGGCATTCTCTTCTACTTTTTCAGGAGTTTAGGAAGTATTGGTATAAATTCTTTGACTGTTTGGTAGAATTCACCCGTATAGCTATCTGGTCCCAGGCTTTTCTTTGTTGGGAGGTTCTTGATTACTGATTCAATCTCCTTTTTACTTGTTGTGCAATTCAGGCTTTTTAGTTATCCTTGATTCCCCTTTTATAAGTAATATGTTTATAAGCATTTGTCTACTCCTTCTTGATTTCCAATTTGTTGGCATATAATTGAGTATAATAGTCCCTTGTGGTCCTTTTTAGTTCTGAGACAGCCATTATAATATCGCCTCTCATTTCTGATTTCATTTTGAGTTTTCTCTGCCTTTTCCTTTGTCAAGATAGCTAGTCTAGTTGATTTTGTTTATTTGTTTCCAAAACTAACTCTTAGTTTTATTGATGTTTTCTAATGTTTTTCTAGTCTCTATGATTTATTACTGCTGAAGTCTATGATTTATTACTGCTAAAGTCTGTATTATTTCCTCTCTTCTGCTACTTTTGGATCAGTTTCTTCTTTTTTTCTAGTTCTTTGAGGGGTAAAGTTAGGTTATTAGAGATCTTTCTACTTTTTTAATGTGGATATTTATTGCTCTAAGCTTCCATTTTAGTAGTACTTTTACTGAATCTCATAGGTTTTGGTATGGTGTGTTTTCATTTTTGTTGGTCTCAAGGTATTTTTTAATTTCTCTTTCGATTTTCCATTTGACCCAATGGTTCTTCAAGAGTGTGTTGTTTTGAGTCCATGTATTTGTGATTTTTCCCACTTTCTTACTGTAACTGATTTCTAATTTCATTCCATTTTGGTCAGAAAAAAATATTTGAATATATACTGTCATTGTGATACAGAAGTTAAGAAGAAATTACTTAGGCAGTTAGTGAGGGTAAGAAGTCTTTGGTAAGGTTTTCTTTTTAGTAAAAAGCAGTCCCAAATTATTTTCCTTTCTAACAAAGAGCAGCCTGTAAAATCGTGCTGCAGGCATAGATGCTGGCAGTTGTGCCAATCACGTTCAAGATGGCGACTCCTTCTTCCCTTCTCTTTATCAGTCCCACGTGCAGTAAGGAGCAGACAAGGTGGTGCCAGCCAAGGGGAAATTTCATTTGCATAATAAAATTAGGGTGATGTGGCCAGCCTTTCCCATGTGCTATGTAAAGAACCAATCTGTGAGCCCTCTGTAAATCAGACATCACCTCCTCAAGTCTGACTCTAAAATCTGGCACATTCACCTCTGGCCGGTGTTTTCCTCTCGTAAGTCTCCTCTCTCTCACTAGAGAGAGGGCTGTTTTTCTTTCTTTTCCTTTCTCTTGCCTATTAAACTTCCACTCCTAAACTCCTTGTGTGTCTATGTCCTAAATTTTCCTGGTGCGAGACGATGAAACCCGGGTATTTATCCCGGACAATGTAGACGCTTCAGTTGGTTAAGACTTTTTTGGAATTAGCATGTGAGCTATCCTGGATAACGTCCCATGTGCACTTGAGAAAACTGTATTCTTTGTTATTGGGTGGAAAGTTCCGTATATGTCTGTTAGGTCCATTTGCTGTATAGTGTTGTTCAGGCCTGCTATTTTCTTGCTGATTTTGTGTCTGGATTATCTGTTAATCACAGAAAGTGAGTTACTAAAGTCCCCTATCATTGTTGTATTACTATCTATTTCTCTCTTCAGTTTGCTTTAGATGTTTAGATGTTTATATATTGGGTGCAAATATATTTACAATGTTATACCTTCCTATTGAATTGACTTTTGTATCATTATAGAATAAACTACTTTGTTCCTTGTGACCAAAAAGAAAAGAAAAAAAAGAAGCTTTCCTCAGGTTTTGCCTTTACAACCTCCTAGATTTTGCAGCCTGATAACTGGATCCCAAATCTTCCACAAAGGCACTTTTATCTTTGGATGGCTATCAGATCATACCTTGAAAGGACACATGTGAGATGGGAACCTCTTATTCCACCATCTTGCTGACATCACTATTCCTACAAATGTAATTTTTAAATTTCTTTTTTTCAATTTACAAATTTTATTCAATGCAATAAATACTTTTCATGTTAGTAAAATATAATTATGTCGACAAGAGTGTAGATTTTAAGCAATTAACTATGATTTCACTGATGTTAATTTGAATTCTGGGGGCTCAATATATAGATTATATTGTTACATGACATTGCTCAAATAACTGTGGCAGACTGCACATGCAGGATGGCGATGAGTTTGATTTATTCTTATAGATATGGTTATTTTTTCCAGTTATCAATCACCTGCTGGTATTCCTTAAGGAAAAATTTGAAGCCTATGTCTGAATATGTGTAGTGCACAGTGAAGGAATGGAAGTTAACAATGCTTTGGGCTGATTTTCCAAAGTGAATTTTTTTTTTAATTATTATTATACTTTAAGTTTTAGGGTACATGTGCACAATGTGCAGGTTAGTTACATATGTATACATGCACCATGCTGGTGTGCTGCACCCATTAACTCATCATTTAGCATCAGGTATATCTCCTAAAGCTATCCCTCCCCCCTCCCCCCACCCCACAACAGTCCCCAGAGTGTGATGTTCCCCTTCCTGTGTCCGTGTGTTCTCATTGTTCAATTCCCATCTATGAGTCAGAATATGCGGTGTTTGCTTTTTTGTTCTTGGGATAGTTTACTGAGAGTGATGATTTCCAGTTTCATCCATGTCCCTACAAAGGACATGAACTCATCATTTTTTATGGCTGCATAGTATTCCATGGTGTATATGTGCCACATTTTCTTAATCCAGTCTATCATTGTTGTACATTTGGGTTGGTTCCAAGTCTTTGCTATTGTGAATAATGCCGCAATAAACATACGTGTGCATGTGTCTTTATAGCAGCATGATTTATAGTCCTTTGGGTATATACGCAGTAATGGGATGGCTGGGTCAAATGGTATTTCTAGTTCTAGATCCCTGAGGAATCGCCACACTGACTTCCACAAGGGTTGAACTAGTTTACAGCCCCACCAAAAGTGTAAAAGTGTTCCTATTTCTCCACATCCTCTCCAGTACCTGTTGTTTCCTGACTTTTTAATGATCGCCATTCTAACTGGTGTGAGATGGTATCTCATTGTGGTTTTGATTTGCATTTCTCTGATGGCCAGTGATGGTGAGCATTTATTCATGTGTTTTCTGGCTGCATAAATATCTTCTTTTGAGAAGTGTCTGTTCATGTCCTTCACCCACTTTTTGATGGGGTTGTTTGTTTTTTCCTTGTAAATTTGTTTGAGTTCATTGTAGATTCTGGATATTAGCCCTTTGTCAGATGAGTAGGTTGCGAAAATTTTCTCCCATTTTGTAGGTTGCCTGTTCACTCTGATGGTAGTTTCTTTTGCTGTGCAGAAGCTCTTTAGTTTAATTAGATCCCATTTGTCAATTTTGGCTTTTGTTGCCATTGCTTTTGGTGTTTTAGACATGAAGTCGTTGCCCATGCCTATGTCCTGAATGGTAATGCCTAGGTTTTCTTCTAGGGTTTTTATGGTTTTAGGCCTAACGTTTAAGTCTTTAATCCATCATGAATTAATTTTTGTATAAGGTGTAAGGAAGGGATCCAGTTTCAGCTTTCTACATATGGCTAGCCAGTTTTCCCAGCACCATTTATTAAATAGGGAATCCTTTTCCCATTGCTTGTTTTTCTCAGGTTTGTCAAAGATCAGATAGGTGTAGATAAGTGGCATTATTTCTGAGGGCTCTGTTCTGTTCCATTGATCTATATCTCTGTTTTGGTACCAGTACCATGCTGTTTTGGCTACTGTAGCCTTGTAGTATAGTTTGAAGTCAGGTAGCATGATGCCTCCAGCTTTGTTCTTTTGGCTTAGGATTGACTTGGCGATGAGGGCTCCTTTTTTGGTTCCATATGAACTTTAAAGTAGTTTTTTCCAATTCTGTGAAGAAAGTCATTGGTAGCTTGATAGGGATGGCATTGAATCTATAAATTACCTTGGGCAGTATGGCCATTTTCATGATATTGATTCTTCCTACCCATGAGCATGGAATGTTCTTCCATTTGTTTGTATCCTCTTTTATTTCATTGAGCAGTGGTTTGTAGTTCTCCTTGAAGAGGTCCTTCACATCCCTTGTAAGTTGGATTCCTAGGTATTTTATTCTCTTTGAAGCAATTGTGAATGGGAGTTCACTCATGATTTGGCTCTCTGTTTGTCTGTTATTGGTGTATAAGAACACTAACATACCAGAATCTCTGGGACACATTCAAAGCAGTGTGTAGAGGGAAATTTATAGCACTAAATGCCCACAAGAGAAAGCAGGAAAGATCCAAAATTGACACCCTAACATCACAATTAAAAGAACTAGAAAAGCAAGAGCAAACACATTCAAAAGCTAGCAGAAGGCAAGAAATAACTAAAATCAGAGCAGAACTGAAGGAAATAGAGACACAAAAAAACCTTCAAAAAATTAATGAATCCAGGAGCTGGTTTTTTGAAAGGATCAACAAAATTGATAGACCGCTAGCAAGACTAGTAAAGAATAAAAGAGAGAAGAATCAAATAGACGCAATAAAAAATGATAAAGGGGATATCACCACCGATTCCACAGAAATACAAACTACCATCAGAGAATACTACAAACACCTCTAGGAAAATAAACTAGAAAATCTAGAAGAAATGGATAAATCCCTCGACACATACACCCTCCCAAGACTAAACCAGGAAGAAGTTGACTCTCTGAATAGACCAATAACAGGCTCTGAAATTGTGGCAATAATCAATAGCTTACCAACCAAAAACAGTCCAGGACCAGATGGATTCACAGCCGAATTCTACCAGAGGTACAAGGAGGAACTGGTACCATTCCTTCTGAAACTATTCCAATCAATAGAAAAAGAGGGAATCCTCCCTAACTCATTTTATGAGGCCAGCATCATCCTGATACCAAAGCCGGGCAGAGACACAACCAAAAAAAGAGAATTTTAGACCAATATCCTTGATGAACATTGATGCAAAAATCCTCAATAAAATACTGGCAAACCGAATCCAGCAGCACATCAAAAAGCTTATCCACCATGATCAAGAGGGCTTCATCCCTGGGATGCAAGGCTGGTTCAATATACGCAAATCAATCAATGTAATCAAGCACATAAACAGAACCAAAGACAAAAACCACATGATTATCTCAATAGATGCAGAAAAGGCCTTTGACAAAATTCAACAGCTCTTCATGCTCAAAACTCTCAATAAATTAGGTATTCATGGGATGTATCTCAAAATAATAAGAGCTATCTATGACAAAGCCACAGCCAATATCATACTGAATGGGCAAAAACTGGAAGCATTCCCTTTGAAAACTGGCACAAGACAGGGATGCCCTCTCTCACCACTCCTATTCAACATAGTGTTGGAAGTTCTGGCCAGGGCAATTAGGCAGGAGAAGGAAATACAGGGTATTCGATTAGGAAAAGAGGAGGTCAAATTGTCCCTGTTTGCAGATGACATGTTTGTATATCTAGAAAACCCCATTGTCTCAGCCCAAAATCTCCTTAAGCTGATAAGCAACTTCAGCAAAGTCTCAGGATACAAAATCAATGTACAAAAATCACAAGCATTCTTAAATTTCTTATGATAATGTGAATGCTCTTCAAATTCAAGCTGATTTTTTGGTATCAAATGTTTCCCAATAATGATCTCTAGTTGGAAAACTGCTTGCAACTGGCTTGCATAACACTAAAAGGGCACAAAGGTCACATAATAATTTTCCAGTAAATGGGAAGACAGAGGTTCAGCACTACCCCTAAGATACACCCTCCAGATAACTTTACCTGGCCACCTCCTCCTTTTGTACATTTGACTCTATCACCTTATGGTGCTTCAGTGATTCTTAGTCCCCTTAGCATTCTGTCACAGGCCACTTTTCTCCATGAAGTATGTTTGTAGCTGGTTACTTAAATAGATTCCCAAAAGACAGAGCACCTTCTTGGCAATGCTCAGTACCACAGAGGATAGCAGTAAATACTAGGTAATACTGAATACTCTGCTGCCTGTGGTGACTGTAGATTGCAACCCACAGTGGGAAGTATCCATCAGTAGGTATGGGAAAGGTGATAAGGTGATGAAGGAGGGTCTTCATTCACACTACACTCCACCCCACAAACCACTGTAAAGACTGAGAAGGCAAATATTTGCTGGCACATGTGTAACACATTGACTATGCTGCAAAGCAATTACACATTAGTACAAATCTTTGCCTTAGGCTATTACAAGAGCCACTCTTCCTAATTATCTCCTGTTCAGTTCTTTGACATGGTTTCAGTGTTTTCAATCCAACACTATATAAGAAGAATGCAGTTGAATACTATATATTTTTTTAAAAATTCAGATTCTTCATTGTATGATATTGTCAAAATGCACTTCTCACCACTTCCAATACTGCATTTGTAGTCCAAGACTTGCCTTATAATTGTAGTAGACTCCTATTGCACCTAAACCCACTCCATCTCGCTACAGTTATATCTACAGCCAGCAGATTAGCAGACTGATTTAATTAAAATGTAAATCAGATAGTACTACTCCTCTTCTCAAAACCCTCTAATCTACCTACTTAGAATTAACTAAAACATTATCATAGTCAAATGGCCTTAAATAATCTAATCTCTGCCTATTTATTCAATCTCATTTTCAACTACTTTCCCCCAAACTCATAAAGTTTTACCCATTTTAGAAATACTCAATACTCCTTTCGGTCCTTTGCCTGCCATCTTTTTTCCTCAATTCTTCCTATGGTTCACACACTCACTTCATTGAATTATCTCTGATCATGTGTCACCTGCTTGATGTTCTATCTAAAATAATCATCTATCACTTCTTCATTCTCATACTTTGGTTTAATTTACTTTGCCATCTGAAATTACATCATAAATTATTTCTTTACTTTTTTGTTGCATGAATCACCCACAGAATGAAAACTGCCTAGGAAACATTTTCTATCTTATGTGTTATCCTCCATTTTTAGAATAGTATCTGCTACATAGTAAGCACTCCATAAATACTACATCTTGCTTATATTCAATATTGTTTCATGAATCGGTCTTATCCTGCACTTCTCAGAATAGGTTTTTAGGGTCTGAGCCCACTATATCACCCCATTAAGATCTGATGTGTAGGTGTGCATTTACTAATTAGAATAACTCAAAAGAAAAAATATTTTAATCAAACTTGTTTTTGCATTATATAGTATCTATCTCCTAACCTAGGCTTCTCCAAATAAATCTGACCTGCTTATTTAAATTTTCTACAATTATAGACAATAAAACTGTCAAGTCCATCAATAAAACTACAGCTTTTAAGCACCATTGGCTACGTACAAAGATCTAGACTAAGAACCATTCCTAAGTTATCAAGGAAATGCAAAAGTTTTATTTTTTGGGATTTTGCTAATTGAATATGTAGAAAGTTAAATAAAATAATTATTTTTATCATGTATCAATTACCTGAAAAAACGTCAATAGTACTTCTGTGTTTCTTATTTACTCCCAGTAGTTGGCATATGTGCTAAGAGAACATAGTATTGGCTGAGCATAAAAAGCTTTCATTGAAATCTGCAGAAACTTTATGAGTATTTAACCCTATGGCATATGATCTAACACAGTTACAGCCTGTCAGTGGAGGAATGAGCTTTAAACATTATTGGATTGTCCATATTCTTTATCCTTCCTTAATGGCAAAAGAATACATATTTTTTAAAGCTTAAAGATTTCTAATAAAGAAAATTTTTAAAACTTTTCATTTATTTCCCTGGCTTCTTAAACTAGGCAAATTAAACACAATATAACCTTAATTTCCATTCAGCTCTGATTTTTATTTCATGTCTTCTGGTAGCTTTGGGGTTGGTTTGCTCTTTTTTCTCTAGTTCCTTTAGTTGCAACATTAGGTTGTTAATTTGAGATCTTTCTAACTTTTTAATGTGGGCATTTAGTACTGAAAAGTTTCCTGTTAACACTTCTTTAGCTGTGTCCCAAAGATTCTAGTATGTTGTATCCTGTTCTCATTAGTTTCAAACAATTTCTTAACTTCTGTCTTAGTTTCATTCTTACTCAAAAATCATTCAAAAGCAGGTTGTTTAATTTTGATGTAATTATATAGTTTTGAGCAATTTTCTTAGTATTGATTTCTATTTCTGTTGGACTGTGGTCTGCGAGTGTGGTTGGTATGATTTTAGTGTTGTTTAATTTGCTGAGGGTGGTTTTATATTTTATGTGGTAGATCTTAGAGTATGTGTCATGTGAAGTTGAGAGGAATATGTATTCAAAATTTTGAGTAGAGTGTTCTGTAGATGTCTATTAGGTCCATTTAATCAAGTGTCAAGTTCAGGTCCTGAATATCTTTGTCAGTTTTCTGCCTCAATGAAATCTGTAATATAGTCATTAGGATGTTGAGGTCTCCCGCTACAATTTCATGGTTATCTAAGTCTCTTCATAGGTTTCTAAGAACTTGCTTTATGAATCTGGGTTCTCCTATATTGGGTGTATTATATTTAGGATAGTTAGGTTTTCTTGTAGAATTGAACCATTTGCCATTATGTAATGCCTTTCTTTTGTCTTTTTTGACCATTGCTCATTTAAAGTCTATTTTGTTCAAAATTAGAGTAGCAACCCCTGAATTTTTTGTTTGTTTGTTTGTTTGTTTGTTTGTTTGTTTGTTTGAGACAGTTTCACTCTTGCTGCCCAGGCTGGAGTGCAATGGCACAAGCTTGGCTCACCACAACCTCCGCCTCCCAGGTTCAAGCAATTCTCCTGCCTCAGCCTCCTGAGTAGCTGGGATTACAGGCATGCACCACCACGCCCAGCTAATTTTGTATTTTTAGTAGAGATGGTGTTTCTCCACGTTGAGGCTGGTCTCGAACTCCTAACCTCAGGTGATCCACCTGCCTCAGCCTCCCAAAGTGCTGGGATTACAGGCATGAGCCACTGCGCCTGGCCTGAATTTTCTATTTTTTTATTTGCGTGGTAGATTTTTCTCTATCTTTTCACTTTGAGCTTATGAGTGTAATTGCGTGTGAGATGAGTCTCTTGAAGACAGCAAACAGTTGGGTCGTTCTTCTTTTTTCAACTTGCCACCCTGTGCCTTTTAATTGGGGCATTTCATTTAAGGTTAATATTGATGTATGCAGATTTGACCTTGTCATCATGTTGTTAGCTGGTTATTATGCAGACTTGTTTGTGTGATTGC
Source organism: Homo sapiens (assembly GCF_000001405.40). NCBI lineage: Eukaryota > Metazoa > Chordata > Mammalia > Primates > Hominidae > Homo > Homo sapiens. Next base: position 19,785,103 of record NC_000007.14, on the reverse strand, counting down.
TGTATAGTGTCAAGGGTCTATGTACTTAAGTGTGTTTTTGTTTTTTTTGTGGTAGCCGGTAACAGTCTTTCCTTTCCTAGTGGTAAAGAATTCCCTTAGCACTTGCTTTTCTGAAAAGAACCTTATTTCTCCTTCAATTATGAAGCTTAGTTTGGATATGAAATTCTTGGTTGGGATTTATTTTTTTTTTTTGAGAATGCCCAGCATAGGCCTACAATCTCTTCTGGTTTGCAGGGTTTCTGCTGAAAGATGTACTGTCAGTCTGATGGGGTTCCCTTTGTAGGTAACCTGTCCCTCCTCTCTAGCTGCCTTTAACGTTTTTCTTTCATTTTAAACTTGGAGAATCTGATGGCTATGTGTCTTGGGGATGATTGTCTTGTATAGTATCTCAGAGAGGTTCTCTGTATTCCCTGAATTTGAATGTTAGCCTCTCTGTTGAGACTAGGGAAATTTTCATGTACAATATCCTGAAACATGTTTTGCAAGTGGCTTGCTTTCTCTCTTTCTCTTTCAGGGATGCCAATGTGTTGTAGATTTGGTCTCTATACATAATCCCGTGTTTTTCAGAGGTTTTGTTCGTTCTTGTTTAGTCTTTTTTGTTTTCTGACTGAGTTATTTCAGAGAACTTGTCTTTGAGCTCTGGGATTCTTTCCTCAACTTGGTTAGTTCTCCTGTTAATACTTAACAATTGTATCTGAAATTCATAAAGTGAGTTTTCCAGCTTTATCAGATCAGTTTGGCTCTTTCTTAAAATAGCCATTTCATCTTTCACCTCCTGTATTATTTTATTTCTTAGAATGTTTGGATTGGGTTTATACTTTCTCCTGAATCTTGAAGATCTCCCTTCCTATCCATGTTATTAATCCTATATCATTTCAGCCATTGTAGCCTAGTTAGGAACCACTGCTGGGGAACTAGGGTAATTGTTTGGGGGTAAGAAGGCATTCTGGCTCTTTCAGTTGCCAGGGTTCTTTTGCTGGTTCTTTCTCATCTGTGTGGGATGATATTCCTTCAATCTTTGAACTGAAGAAAATTCAGAGTCAAAAGATCAATGAAGCTAGGAGTTTGTTCTTTGAAAGAACAAGTAAGATAGATAGACTGTGAGTTAGACTAATAAAAAAAGAGGGAAGATCCAAATAAACACAATTAGAAATAACAAAGGGATGTTACCACTGATGCTACAGAAATATTTAAAAAAACAGAGACTACTATGAACATGTATATGCACACAAGCTATAAAACCTAGAAGAAATTGATAAATTCCTGGAAACATGCAACCTCCTAAGATTGAGTCATGAATAATTTGAATCCCTGAGCAGACCAGTAATGAGTTTTGAAACTGAATCAGCAATAAAAAGCCTACCAACCAGAAAAAGCACTGAACCAGATGGAATGACAGCTGAATTTTACAAAATGCATAAAGAACTGGAAACTACTGAAACTATAACAAAAAATCAAGGAGAAGGGACTCCTCCTTAACTCATTCTATGAGGCCTAAATCATTCTGATATCAAAATCTGGCAGAAACACAACAAAAAAAGAAAATTTCAGGGCCAATATCCTTGATGAACATCAATACAAAAATCCTCAACAATATACTAGCAAACCAAATCCAACAGCACATTAAAAAATAAGTTCACCTTGATCAAGCAGACTTTATCCCTTGGATGTAAGGTTGGATCAACATATGTAAATCAATAAACATGATTCATCAAATAGAACTAAAAACAAAGAGCACATGATCATCTCAATAGAAGAAGAAAAGGCTTTTAATAATTAGGTCCCTTCGTGTTAAAAATTCATAACAAACTAGGCATTCAGGGAATGTACCACAAAATAATAAGAGCCATCTATGAAATACCCATGGCCAACATCATCCTGAGTGGGCAAAAGCTGGAAGCATTCCCCTTGAAAACCAGAGCAAGACAAAAATTTCCTCTCTCTCCACTCCCATTCAACATACTGGAAGTCCTAGCCAGAGCGATCGGGCCAGAGGAAGAAATAAAGGGCATTTAACTAGGAAGAGAGGATATCAAACTATCTTTTTGCAGATGATATGATTCTACACCTAGAAATCTCCATAGTCTCTGCCCAAAAGTTCCTTGATCTGATAAACAACTTCACCAAAGCCTCAGGATACAAAATCAATGCACAAAAATCAGTAGCATTCCTATACAACAAGAATTTCCAAGCTGAGAGTCAAATCAAGAATGCAATCCCATTCACAATAGCCATAAAAAGAATAAAATACCTAGGAATACAACTAACCAGAGAGGTGAAACATCTTTAAAACAAGAACTACAAAATTCTGCTCAAAGAAATCAGAGATGACACAAACAAATAAAGAAAAATGTTCCATGTCCATAGATAGAATCAATATTGTTAAAATGGCCATATTGCCCAAAGCAATTTACAGATTCAGTGCTATTTTTATTAAATTACCAATGACATTCTTTATAGAATTAGAAAAAAAAATTAATTCATATGGAACCAAAAATGAGCCCAAATAGCTAAGGCAATCCTAAGCAAAAATAACAAAGCTAAATGCATCATGTCACCCAACTTCAAAGTGTAAGTTTTCAGTAACCAAAACAGCATGATACTGGTACTGAAACAGAACATGAACGAATGGAACAGAATAGAGAGTCCAGAAATAATGCCACATACCTACAACCATCTAATGTTTGACAAAGTTAACAAAATCAATCAATGGCGAAAGAATTCTCCATTTAATAAATGATGTGATAACTGGCTAGACATATGCAGATTGAAACCAGACCCCCTTCTTACACCGTAAAATTAATGCAAGATGGTCAGAAACTTAAATAGAAAACCTCAAACTATTAAAACCCTGGAAATACTATTCTGGACATAGAACCTAGCAAAAATTTCATGATGAAGATATCAAAAGCAATTTCAACAAAAACAAAAGTTGACAAATGAGACCTCATTAACAAAAGAGCTTCTGCACAACAAAAGAAACTATAAACAGAGTAAACAGACAACCTGTAGAATGAGAGAAAATATTTGCAAAGTATGCATCTGACAAAGGTCTTATATCCAGAATCTATAAGGAACATACACAAATGAAGAAGCAAATAAACAATCACATTAAAAATTGGGCTGAGTATATGAACAGATACTTTTCAAAAGAAGAGACATAAGCAGCCAACAAGCATATAAAAAAATACTCAAGATAAAAATCAGTAGAGAAATACATATCAAAACTACAATAAGATACTATCTCACACCAGTCAGAATGGCTATTACTAAAATGTCAAAAAATAACTGATGCTGGTAAGGTTGTGGAGAAAAGAGAATGTTTATACACTTCTGGTGGAAATGTAAATAGTTCAGCCATTGTGTAATTCAGTTTGGAGATTTTTTGAAGAACTTAAAACAGACATACTCTTTGATCCAGCAATCCCATTATTGGGTATATGCCCAAAGGAATATAAATTGTTCTACCATAAATACATCTGCATGCATATCTTTATCACAACACTGTTAATAATATTAAAAACATGGAATCTACCTATATATGCCTATCAGTGGTGGACTGGATAAAGCAAATGTGGTACACACACACCATGGAACACTACACAGCCATGAAAAACAATGAGATCATATCCTTTGCATCAACATAGATGGAGCTAGAAGCCATTATCCTAAGTGAACTAACACAGGAACACAAAACCAAATATTGCATGTTCTCACTTATAAATGGAAGACAAAAATTGAATACACATGGAAACAAAGAAGGGAACAACAGACACCAGCACCTACTTGAGGGTGAATGGTGGAAGGAGGGAAAGGATCAAAAAACTAGCTATTGGGCACTATGCTTATTACCTGGGTGATGAAATAATCTATACAACAAATTCCCATGATATGCAATTTGCCTGTATAACAAACCTGCACGTGTACCCCTGAACCTATAATAGAAGTTAATAAATAAAAATATAAATAAAAATAAAATAAAAAACTAATAAAAATTTTAATAATAAAAATAGAAAACTTTAATTTTCAAGCATTATCATTAACTTAAATTTTGAATTACATTTTAATATAATGAAGTTCTCATGAGATATTGAGATTCATAGACATTTTTCCACCAACATTAAACAATTCCAGATTGCTGTGCTTTTTATTTTTTGTTTCAGTTATATGACATTTTTTAATTAAAAATCACGTTTTTTGTTCACAAGTTGAAAAGTACAGAATGTATAAAAGAGAAAAGGAAATTATAATCACCATCTAATGCACTAATGAGTGTGTAACTTCTTACAGTGTTCTTTATATTCATACTGTTAAAGAATATGAAGATTATTTTGTTTACATGCATAAATAAAACATGTATGGCTTTAAAAATATTTTTGAATTGTTATAGCTAGATAACACATGATTTTAAAATGTAAATTTTAATGACTAAATTATTCTATTTTATAGTTTTACCATTCTTTATCTCAACATTAGACTTTAATTGGAAACTTAGGCTGATTTTTATTTTTTTAAATAACACTGTTATACACATTTCTATATTTAAACTCTGAATCATAAATGAAAAAGTGTATTAGAATAAAAATGAGAAAAAATTCCTGAGTCAAAGTGTGTACACATTTTCAATACTCTTGATGAAGATTGCTAAATATATATTTTAAATGTTATCATTTACATTTCCAATAGTATTTTTGGGAACAACCATTTTACTTTGTCATAACACTAATTATTCTTTTAAAATTCATATTTTTGGTCCAATAAGAGAAGTTGTGACTGATTACACTTTTTGTTTACTACAGAGTCTTATCATTTTCTAACATGTTCATTGGCCATTTTTAATACTTTCTTTGAGTATGAAAATTTCCTGTTCATTATATTTTCCATCAGGTTGTTTTCTTTTGGGTTTGAAATAGCTACTTGTGTGTGAAGAATAAGATTTTGTCATAAATGTCTCAAATTTTTTCAGGTTATAATTTGCCTTTACATTTTGTCTTTAAATGAATAAGTGAAAAAGACAGGGAGGGGAATCATGCTGATTTGAAGTGTTGTAGTTAAATACAAGTAGTTTATAAAATTGAAGTGGATAAAGTATTTTAAAAATAACATTTCTCTTGCTTATTTTTTCATCAGTTTCCTTTTTCCTTTTATTTTTCCATATATTTGTACCATAAATGTTTATTAAGTATTTGTTCAGTGAGTCCTAAGTTAGTGTCATCTTAAAATTCTAAACAACATAGGAAAGAAGCTTTGACGTGATATAGCAAGACATGTATCATCTAAATCTCTGCAATATCTGAGATGTGTCCCTGGCCAGATACTTTAGTTGTAAGAAAACTAATTGAACAGGAGGAGGACCCTTGAAACCAAAATTCTGATAACTACAAATTCTCTGTGCACCAATGAAATGAATAAAATCTATTAAATCTTGTGCCTGCCCTAAGATAAGCATACAGTTTGAAGGAGATATGAAAAGATGAAAGGTCAGGAATATGACCTTTACTCAATGGTAAACCCTAGAGTGGCAGGAATTAGAAGGCAGTGATAGTAAAGGGGGGAGCTATACAAGTAATGCCCCAACTCTATTCATTTTTAAAATGTCTTGTTTATTACAGTTGTTAATTTTTACTGATGTATTTTCAGATTAACTTACTCTTTCTTTTAAACTTACTTTTTCTTTGCCATGTCCTTTTAAGTGTGAAACCCTTCCAGTGTATTTTGTTCTTTGATTTTTTTTTTAATATCCAAACATATTTTTAACTTCTAGAATCTCCATTTGGCTATTTTTATTGCTTTTATTACCTGCTAACATTTCCCAGTTCTCTGCTGAAATATTAATTGGTTGAAAAAATATTCTGTTTTAATTCATTAAGGATAGTTATAATTACTCTCTTAAAATCTTTATTTGTTAGTTCCAAAATGTGGTTTATTTTGTGGTCAGAATCAATATTTTCTCTTGAAAATATTGTCTGTTTTCTTGGTTCATCGTTGAACAATGTTTTATTATGCCTAGGATATTATAAATGTTAAGTTGTGAAGATTCTTGATTCTCTCATTTTTCTCTAGTAAACATAATTTATTTTGTTTTAGCTACTAATTTTCTTGGTTGTGCTGGAACTGCAGATTCTGTTTCTTACATAGAAATTCTGGTCTCAGTTTACGTCTTCGAGCCAGTTACATACATGTGCAGTGCAGGGGTCTACCAAAGATTGGAGATCTATTCTGTGGTTTCTTCCTTTACAAGTGTTCCCTATTCTCAGAGGCATTGACCGTTGTCCAGATTCAATTTCCTGGTTATCCCAGCCAGAAAGACTCCATGCCATGGCCCTGCCATGGCTGGTTGCCATTATACAGCCTGCATCTAGGCCTAGACTGCAAACCACAGAGTTGGGGAGTTACTTGTATAGCTCCCCCGTTATTATCACTGCCTTCTAATTAGAATGGTAAAACTACTTGTTTCATTGTAACTATTGATATGGTCAGGGTTGATCGTATCATCTTGATATTTGTTTTTTATTTGTCCCAACTATTCTTTGTTCTTTTTTTCATTCCTTCTTTAAATCAATATAGTAATGTCTAGTATTCATCTCCATTTTTAGCTAATTTTCTGTGTTTCTTTTTATCATCATTGCTTAGTAGTTGCTCTAGCTTAGGGCTGATAATTGCATCTTTAACTTATCACAACTAATTTGAAATAATATTATAATATAAGAACCTTACAACCGTCTATCTTGTTCTTTCTATTGACTGTGCTATTGGTGTCATAAATTAATTATAAATGTGTTATAAACTCCAAAATATGTTATTATATTCTCTTTATGCAGCCAATTATTTATTAAATAAATAAGTTGAAAATATTGTTTACAATTACCCATATATGTACCTTTATGATATTCAGCATTCTTTTGTGTAAGTCTAAGTTTTCTTCTGGTATATTTTAATTGTTTGAAAATATTTATTTTAACAACCTTTTTTTTTTTTTTTTAGAGGGTGTCTCACTGTGTCACCCAGGCTGGAGTACAGTGACATGATTTCAGCTAACTGCAACCTCCGCCTCCCTGCCTCAGCCTGCAGAGTAGCTGGGATTACAGGCGCCCACCAATACGCCCAGCTAATTGTTGTATTTTTAGTAGAGAAGGGGTTTCACCATGTTGGCCAGGCTGGTTTCAAACTCCTGACCTCAAATGATCCACTCACCTCAGCCTCTCAAAGTGCTGGGATTATAGGAATGAGGCACCACGCCCAGCCTATTTCAACAACTTTTATGGTGAATATCTTACGTTAGAAAATTCTCTCAGCTTTTTTTAGTCTGAAGAAGTCTGTTTCCCTTTTATTTTTAAGTTATTTTTGCTAGGCATATAATTCTAGATTAATAGGTTTTTGGGTTTCTTTGGTTTTAAAAAATATTTCATTACTTTAAAATGTTACTCACTTGTTCTCTGGCTTGAATAATTTCAGATTAGAAGTCTAGAATTGTTGCCTTTGTTCCTATCTACCTAATGTGTCCTTTTTCTTTTGGCTGCTTTTAAGTTTTAATCCTTATCATTGGTTTCCAGCACTTTAATTGTGATATGCTTTGGTGAGGTTATCCTATCTGAAATAATTTGTGTGTATCCTATGGGTTTGTAGTTTTCACCAAATTTGGAAAATAATTGACCATTATTATCACTTCAAATACTTTTATACAGCCCTGTGGAATTGCACCCTACAATTTTGTGGCTTGGAATTTAGCAACAGGCTCGAGGAATCCTTATGAAGATTTATGGGTCTCTCTTTCTGTGAAATACCCTCATCTTCCTGAAAATTTTGGCTATCTCAATGTCTCAGTCAGTTGGAGCTGCTATAACGACATACCATGGACTGGATGACTTAACAACAAAAACCTACTTTTCACAGTCCTGGAATCTGAGAAATTCAAGATCAGGGTGCCAGCAGATTTGGTATCTGGTGAGGGCCCACTTGCTGGTCTGCCGTCTTCTCATTGTATCCTCACATGGTAGAGAGTGAACACTAAACTCTTTCTCCTCTTCTAAGAAAACTAATTCCGTCATGGAAGCTCCACCCTCATGACCTCATCAAACCTAATTACCTCCCAAAGGCCCCACCTCCTAATACCATCACATTGGGGTTTAGGGTTTCAACATCTGAGTGTGGGGAAAGGGGGGAAACAAACATGCAATCCACAACACTCAGCCCCCAAGAACTCTGCCATTTGTCTCTGACATTTTGTAAGCCCACCATTCTCTGCCTGGCACCCTTCTTCCTGGATCATTATATATTAAGGGCCTGTTGTAAGAAAACAAGCACAGCAAACCTTGTTACTCTCTTACCAAGGATCACAGTTCTGTGCTGCCTGCTATGCAGTATCTGAACACTATTATATTTTGTATGCAGTTGGAGAGTAAGTCCAGTCCACCTTTCTTTATAATGGCCAGGAGTGGAAATACCCATACATTTCATGAAACATTAGAATTTACTATAAACTATCCGTTTGTTTGCATGTTTACAGGTTATTAATAATCAGAAACTATTTTGAACATAAATGAGAAAACGTGCTAAATATAGTATTCAATATGACACTTTCTTTGATTAATTTCCACAAGCACTGAAGTTACTATTGGATACTGACTTCTGAGCTACATTATTACTAAAAGCCAAGAAAAGGCAGAAGATAAATTCAGGTTTTATTATCTCTGTTTCTTGACCATTAAATAAAAAATAAAAACTCCAGATGTGGGCTATTTTTCTGTTTTAGCAAAACTAACTACTCCATCAAATCCTGGGTAGATCCAATATTTTTTAACTACACTGACAAGAGTATTAAATATTAGATGAACTTCTAGCTAAATGATTGAACTACTAAAAATTTTATGATTTTTCTTTTTCTAATTTTTTGTACTGCATTGGCAATTCAGCCCAGTGCCCACGACCACCATATAAATTTTGCTTATAATAGCTTAGATACATTAAATCAGATCTTAAAATTAATCATTTCACATTTTTAGCTTTTTCAATAACTCTATATTAATGTGGCAGCATTGATGATTTTGTCAACTTACTTTATTATATTAAGACAGGAGACATTAGTGTACTGTCTACCCATTCCTGGATTTTCCTTCATCCAGATACTAAAATTTCCATAATCTAATTTGGGTAAATGGGTGAATGAGAGAACCTCAGAATTCTTGAATATTTACTGGAAGTGCTTAGGTCCTTAAAGTTAGCCACTATAAAGATGTTTTCTTTTATTAAGGCATCTAATAAGAATTATTTTGAGGCTACTCACATTCACTTGTATCATGCATAAGCCAGCAGATGGCAAACTTGAGATTTTTTGTGCTATTGCTCTTGCCAAAGTTGTGGAAATATTGAATTATCTATCAATGGATCTCATGAATAGCTCTTTTGGTGTACTACAGCGTTAGAAAAATCAAATTCAGAAATTGTGGAGCTACTGGTATTTGGATAGTGGTGTGCTTCATATGATTTTTTCTTGATTTATAGTTTTTACCCTATAATTATTTGTCTAGCAAATAATTTGGAGGGATAATTATAATAAGAATCATAAATAATTTGTCAGTTTGAACTCTTTTTTCTTGATTTCTGTATTTAGGAGGAAATTTTAGGTGTATTTGGATTTATCTTAGGAGGATCATTACATGATATTTAAAAGGCACAAAAAATATCCTTTGTGTCCCAATAAAGATAACGTAATTTTTTTTGAAAATTTTAACACTGATGCTCATGTTTTAAAACTCAAAACAGCAGTTTCCTCTATAGAAAATAATTGTTTTTATTTGTAAAAATATTTGTTTTATTGTGAATTATTGTTAGTTACTTATGTGAAGATGAGTTGAATTTCTTCCATATACAAAATCAAAAGTTTTGGATTTCTAACCAATGACCCAGAATCAATCAGGATTGGTTTTTATCAGGCATATGATAACCAATCTTATATTCCAAGCCATCACATTCAGAGATAAAATGTTAACCGCAATATATGTTTTGTTTGTTTCTTTTTCTCTGTGAAATTCAACTATTGTTAATACCATCCCTGTGTTCTCTACAAAAGTTTATTTCCCTTCCTATATGTCTCCATTAATCAATTCATTTAATATTACAACTTGTTGTCTTCCTAACAGAGAAGCATTTTTTTCCTAAAGAAAAGAAGTGACTAAACACAAAGCAAAACTTCAACAACATATATGCTGTATTATTTATGCATATAAATTGGATCATTTAGATGACTTCTGTATTATTTAAATTAAATAAACTTTACATCATTAAAGCCATACACTAATGAGGTACTTTAGCATGTCTTTGAGGATTTAAAAGCATAGAAATGAATCCACTAATTATCATTCAGTACCAATGTTTATTTGTACTCCAAATATCACAATAACTGAAGCTCTTTAAGGCCTAACAAATTGTAACTCTTCTTCCTTACATTTGTTTTATTTTTAAGAGAAAAGGATTCAAATTTTTAAATTATAGAATATAAACATATGAAAAAAATTATAGTGTAGAATTGAGTTTAAACTCTAAAAGAAGCCCTTAATCAAATTTAAGAAAACTGAAACTGGCATTTATGTTACAGAACTTATGCTATAGGTCACCGAGCTTTTATGTTCTCATCATGGGAGCTTTAAGAAGCCTCTAATAGAGGCGCCTGCACTGCACTGATGTATAGAAGTCAACATTCCCTAGTCTTGTGTTATTGTACCCTAACCTCATCTTCCTTTGTTCTATTTTCCTTCAGTCCATGTCGAACTGGAGAACCCAGTTTTTGAGAAAGATGACCCACACCCAAAACCCTCTCTTTATCCCACTTCCTAGATCTCCTTGATAGAATACCTTGAGATTTTTCATAAAACTAGAGTAATGAAAATGGGGTCTAAACACAGCGATCCCTAGACATCTAGAGTCTCATAGGCATCAAAAGACAATGCAAAAATATCCCAGGCCAAGCTGGACTGGCCCCTGCCCTAAAGATTCTGATGAAAGTAGACTGTCAAAAATAATTGTGCATTAAGCCAGACGTGTTTTTTTTTTAAATAATGCCTGTTCTAATGCATACACATCTCTTGAATTTTGTTGAGAATATATAATCCCAGCTCAGTTGGGTCTAGCTATGCCTCCCAGAACGTGTGGTCACGCTCCTAGGGGAAAGCAAGGGTCTGTGGCTGGAGAGGAACAAAATCACCGTGGAGGTGTGGCCCCCATCAACTGCTTCTTCGCCCTACGACACGGAAGGTGACAGGCTGTGATGGCCGGGAGTGGACATTCCTTGTAAGCAGGCTTGAATCTAGCTCTCCTAGACAGGGGAGTTCCTTGGTGAGGGGCCTTGAGAGTCCTAGTGACATTAGGAGTCTGGCTTTTTCCACCCCCCTGGGGTTTCCGTCTTTCTTTGCTCACTGCTCCCCCTACCCCGCGTACAAGCTAAAGAAAGTTTTTCTCAGAATGAGCCCGCGTTGACGTAGGCATCGCCTCCCCTCTCCGCTGGATAGAAGCCCAGAAAGGAGCCACGGGGAGAAGCGGAGGTAGGGGTCGCCTGGATTTCTGTTGCTGCGGTCCGGGGGCGGGGCGGATCAAAGGCCAGCCAAGAGTACTGGTCCTGGATCTACAAATACATTAGGCTTTTTCCTCCTCCGTCAACCTCCTAAACCCCAATGAGGTCATAGCAATGAAAGAGAATCAGCTCGAGAGAAAGGAGGAGGAAGAGGACGACGACGAGGGAGAAGAAACCCAGACGGAAAGAGGCCATCAGACAAGGTCGCTTTTTCTGGCGACAAAGCAACTGCAAGGAGCGTGGTGCTGAATATCATCCGCCCGCTCTGCCTGGGGACCCAGAGACTTGCAGAAGCACTTCGCATTGCCACGAAAACAAAGGAGAGGTGACGAACGGGAGAGGGAGAGAGAAACTCGGAGCGGTTCCCTTTGGATCTCCGGGAAGCAAAGCTCCTCTCCTCGGCAATAAAACAGAAGGGACCCTGTGAAAGGGTCTAGTAGGCTGAGGAGGGCGCGGGTTTCCCTGCGGAGATTTGGGACGCGGCAGAACTCTGGACAGCGCCTGGGGAGCAAGGCTCGGAGCTCCCTGGGCTCCTCCAGGTTTTCCGCTGCTTAAAAGCCCCGGTACCGGTGTGCAATCTTCGCACCACCGAACCCAGGAAGATCCTTCTACGATCCCTATCTGAACGTGCCAGGGGGTGGAGCAGCTCCTTTGCCTCTGGCCCAGCCAGGGAAGGTCTTCGTTTCTGGAAATCCAGCCCTTGTGGATAATGCCTCGCTCTTGAAGAAAGAAAAGTTTTGGGATCTGGTAGGGGGTGGAAGGGGTAAGGAGGATAGTGGAAGAAAAAAAGGTAGATGGTTGATTTCCCTCTCTGATCTGGAAGGAAGATGACCGAGGAAGGATGTGCACCAGCGGTCAGATTATTGGGAGCCTCTTGGTGCTCTCCGTGCTGGAGATAGGGCTGGGGGTGTCCAGCGTGGCCGTGGGGGCGGTCAGCTTCAGCCTGGCCCTCCGAGAGCACAAGCCGCAGCTCGGAGACTCGTCCCCGGTATGGAGCGGGGTGTGTGTACGTTGAGCCATTTCACTCTCTCTTTACCTCTTTACGGTGATGGTCAGGGTGCGCGCATTAGTCACTCCCTCCCTGGGAAACAAAATCATAGATCTCTGGCTTGCATGTAGGTTCATGCTGACAAGCTATGCTTCTTTATATTGTCCTTTATTCGTTTTCTGTTTTGTTTTGTTTTGTTTTGTTTTGTTTCTTACTTGGGCTTAAGACCAAATTAAATGGCTTTGTTTAAAGGTGGGGGTGGGGGGTTAGTTTCCACTGGCTGATTCTACAAAAGGCTGCTTTGCCCAGTGGTGCTGTTTGGGAGGCGGGGGGAGGGGGGTGTCACACCTGTCAAGGGCAGGCTCACTTAATCTTTTGTTCCTTCTACAAGGAAAATCAAAATAAGAGTATTCCATCATTTTTTTGTATCAGGGAACAAGCAGGGATAGTTATGCATTTATCCCTGGGCAATAATGCCCAAGGTACACCAGAGGCAACACCAATAACAAAAACAGAAACGTGGTGTGAGTGTGAAAGGAAGTTTGTGGGTGCATTTCATTCCAGAAAACATTGCTGTTAATTTTCCTTTGCTACATTTCTGATATTTCACCTCTGAAAACGCTTTTGTAAGTTCTAGACAGTAAGTTAGAAAAACATCAGATGGTAAGACGTGTAATAACATTCTAAATGGAGAATAATTCTGCTTACAGAGTACCTAACTGCTCAGAGAAACTGTCATAGTTATCTCTAGGTCAGATGTCAGACTCAACAAGCTTCTTTTTTACTAGGATGAATCTCCAAGAAAGCCTTAGAGACCCATTTCTTCCACCAAGATTCAATAAAATAACTCAGCACCATTCCTAATGTGAATCTAATTGTGAAAACCAGTTTTTTCCTTCAAGCTATATATGTGTCATATACTTCTGGATGCCTAGCTTGATCCTACTTTTCAAGATAATTCAATAGAAAGTATTCTGTCACTGATAATCTGTAGCATGTTTAACCATCATGGCTTAATCACTTGAGCTTTAAGTCACTAAAAGAAAATGATTATTACGGAGTTCAAGAAAAATTATTCAAAAGTAATTCATTTTTGAAAGATGCTGTAACTTTTTTTTGAAACTGGCAAAATTTTGCTTTGGATAATTAGATTTATATATTTTTTCAGGTGAGATAAATGTTTTTAAATTGCAGAACTACAAAAAAGAAAAATAGTGTTCAATCCTAACATTGAATTCATCCAAGAATCCTTACTTTGAATTCAATAATAAGTTACTATCAGCCTCCAAATAATTATCTTGTTCTTTGTCATGTAATTTTTGTCAATGTATATATTAAATTTGAGTTTGAAAGGATAAAGATATCTTAAATCTGATAATTGTTCATTTTATATGTGGCAGTAATTATTTGGAGAGTTGTAGTTATTGTTCTTGTTTTTGTTGTTATCATATAAACAGAAATAACGCTTTAAAACTTCATTGAACAACTGTCAAAATGAAGTGTAATGTCAACATTTAGGGAAAGAGGGAGAAAAGGTGATCTTATGATATCTTAATGGGGAGAAGCCTTAAATACTCTACAGCTCAATCCCCGCCCCCAACGAAATTCAACAAATTGAGTCAATTAAGTTAGGTTTTCCCTAGATAATATCAAAGTATCCAGCTTATCTTTGAGAATTAAAAAATGGTTATGTTAGCTTAGTATCATGTAAGAAAAAAATGATTAAATATTTTTTCTTTTTCTCAGACTATTTACTATTATCTAGATGTGTATGTACAGAAAATGAAAATTTTGAATCACCTCATGGAAAAGCAAATAAGTCAGACATATCTACATAGTCACTATAAGAAAGAATTATTTCCTTTTTTAACTGGTTGTTTAGAGTGAGCAAAATTCATTTGGGTTTCTAGAACAATAGTTTTGAATTCTATTGTCTGATTCAATAAAATCAAACAATACATCTGACTGAATGAATGGGTTTGACACCAGAATGACCAAACAGTTGCTCACTTTTATAAACCCATTTAAAAAGTGAAATTTGTGAAGAAACAAATACCCAGTTGGGATCATTGTGTTTATTGGGTGACAGACTGGCTAAGTAGTTTCTAAATTATTTTGGGGAAATCATTTATGGTACAGTCTCAACTACCTCACTTTCTTCAATGATGAATTTATGTAGCCAATATTTGTGGAGGGCTTAGCATGTGAAAGGCATTTTACCATTTACTACCAATACTATAAAGATGAGTCAGAGCACTGTCTTAAAAAAACTACTCCATAGTGGAGGAAACAAAATGGTACATTACTAACTTTGCCAGCAATGAGAAATTAGAATGTGACTTCAGAGAGATACGGAGGCAAAAAAGGGGGAGAAAGATTGGGATGGTCAATGAAATATCCATGAAAGAAGTATTATTTTATTCTTGATCTTGGAAGTTTATCAGGACTTAGAATCAATGTACTGCAGTGTTAACTAATGCTTCACAGTGTAAGATCTGAAGCCATACTACCTGGTTGCAAATCCCAGATCTACCACTTACTTAGCTGGGTGACTAGCCCAAGTTTCCTTATCTATAAAATGGGGTCATTAAAAGGAACAAATTAAATACAGTTGGCCCTCCCTATTCATAGGGGATTGGTTCCAGGGCACTCCTGGTTACCAAAATCTGAGGATGCTGATGTCCCTTATGTAAAATAGTGCAGTATTTGCAATAACCTAGGCACATCTTCCAATATACCTTACATCATCTCTAGATTACTTATAATACCTAAAACATGTAAATGCTATGTAAATAGTTGTTATACTGTATTTCCTTTGTATTATTATTGTTGTTGTATTGTTTTTTTTCCCAAATATTTTCAATCAGAGGTTGGTTTGTATTCATGGATGCAGGACTTGGGAATATAAAGGGCTGATTGTAATGTTCTTAGTAAATTGAATGGACTGTAGTAAGCACTGAGTAAATATGAGCAGCTAATACTGAGTGCACAGACTGGCAGTGGAGGGCATGAGAAGAGAGAGTCTTTCAGTCAGCATAGATGAAGGCAAAAAACTGGGACAGGTTGGGTTGTGGCCCAGGAAGAGTAGGCTCTTCCATTTTTCTGGGGCTTAGGTGTGTAAGAGGAAGATAAGGATAGAAAAAATGATTGGGGCCAGACCATAGGAGACTGTGTGCCAGTTTGAGGTGACAGAATTACTTTCTCATATTTTGAATAATAATAATAATAATACCCATTCTTACTTCCCCTTCCCAAAGTGATACTAAGGAAATGCAGAAGAAAGCTAGATAGAAAATTATTCATCTCTTTGCTAAATTATGAATTAAAAATCTGGATTATTTATAAATGCCAAATAAGATTTTACAATAATTAACCTGTCACAATACATGTAGTCTACAATCAAACTATATTTTGATTAGTGCTGTAAAACTCCTTTCAACACATTAATATCATTACTATAAGATTGCTGAATTAAATTTAAAAGTCAGTGGAAGTAAAAGCTGCACTATAAAAGGATTATTTTTATATAGAGAGACCCTAAAATCATAAGCTTTTTATCTAGGACAAGTGCATTAAGGTTTTAAGCAACTGCTGCATTTTGATTTTTTGGCCCCGAATATGGAAATACAAAAACCTGAAAGATGGCTTAAAAATAAAGATAAGGGCTTAAAATGTATGAGAAGGATGCTTACACAGATTATTTCCAGGCACTATTTCATCTGATTAATCAGGCAGGGATGCTTCCTGTGATAAATTTTTAAATATGGGCAATTAGAAGGAAAAATCAGTTAACTATAATTTCATAGAGAAAGAAAGCTATAGGTGTCATTATAGCATTTTTGTTTCTTCTTGATTCTTTGTTATAGCTGATATGGTCATCTACAATGAAAGCACAAAATCAGAGGCATAACTGTTAGATAACAATTAATAAACTATTGAGTAAAATGCCTTGGAAAAGATATAGTCATGTGAATTATAACTGATGTATCAGATTTATAGACAGGAAGTAAAATGGACAGAGCTCTGTTTCCAAGTTGCTGTGTGAAAGTCACTCTTCTCAGCCTCCAGTGCATCATCTATAATGGGAATGGACTAGGTTTAGTAGCACACAGATTTATAAATCCCTGAGAATTTTATTGCTGTAGGTTGAGATTTGGAAATCTAAAGATTCAAATGATGGTATCCAGAACAAAATATGATGCTAAGTTGTATTTTATATATATTATGCTAAAATTCCATCCATCTATTAACATATCTGATAATATCCTGTAAAACTTAATTTATTAAACAAACTTTTCTAAGCCTAGTTCTCCCACATGTAAACCACGAGGTAGTATTTTTAAATATTTAAAAGTTTTCTTATCTAAATCATTTAATGTTTACAGGTTTTATTGCTTATTTTTCTGGAGCATATTTGATCTACAAATTATATCTTTATCTGCTTAATAAATCTGATGTTTTGCTTCAGCGAAATTTACAGCATAGCCAACACACATACCTTTTATGTAGACTGTTGGTTTACCATGGCAACAACTCAGCCAATTGTAGGATTTTGTTGAAATTCACCTCTGTGCATTCTGATCTATATTATAGCAATCCAAATGAGATGCTGTATATAAATCATAGCTGCTCCAAAGTATTATTTTTAATATTTAAGCTTTTAAAATATATTTAATAAAAAAGAAATAAAATAAAGTGAAAGAAACCTCTCAGTTACTGCAAATGTACACAATTTGAAACTAGTGTGTCTCTAACCAGGTAATACATCATTTTTTCTCCCACATCAAGTACTTAACATAAGGGATTCATATCCTTTAGCATAAGATGAAAATGCTGCTCCTATCCCCCCAAAAAATTACAAACGTATTTTTATGGCCCATTTTAAAATTAACTGAAATTATACAAGTAATTTATAAATATGTTCAAAATGTTGTTCAAAGTTATAACTAAAGTCCTTTTCCCTACTCCCTCATCAAAATCAGGCACCATTATTTTATTATAGTTTCACAGACATTTCGCCATGTAGAAAAAATAGTTTTGTTCTGGGCATATAAACCAATTTTCATCAAATTTTTGCATATAATAAAGTCCACTAATGGATTCTGTAGAGCCCAGGTAAAGAATCTCTTTCTTATATGATTAATACTCTCATTTGCAAATGCTACTGATTATCCACTGGGCATAAGCAGTTGGATGATTGACAATCAGATAAGTTAGGCAAGCCAAACTACTGGGAAATATAGTTATTATTCAGGGGGCCATACCATGCGTCAAAAGAGATGTAAATATGTGTTTATTTCTGGTGTAAATTGATAGTGGTATAATAGAAAATTTGGTGAGTTTTGTCACATTTTTCTTTATTTCATGAATTTCTTAGTCTAGATTCTGTTCACATGTAAATCGCACATACTGGAATTTCTATCCAAAGTCCATGACAAAATCTGCTTTGAGATTTTTGTTCTTATTCAAGGGTATAACTGGTCTTGAAGTCTTTGTCCTAGAAACATTAAGAGATAACTAATAATATTTGCATCAGTCACCTACTAATTGACAGTTTGCTTGATAGAAACATCTGAATAAATTCAAAACTTTTAATTTGGACATTTTTGCCTAAAATATATCTTAGTTCGGTCTCTGTATTGCCTTAATTATGAGCCAGATTATCCAATGTGTACTTTGAATAGAACCAAACTATCTAACTTTTTTGTATATTCATTTGGTTTTCATGCAACAATTAATCATATTGGTAGATTAATCCACCCTGAAATGTCTCTCCTTGGCTTCAATAAAAGCTATAATAGATTTTGATGTGTGTGTGTGTGTATGCACTTGCATACACACACACGCAAACTAAAGGTGACCAAAGGTGAGAGAAACTGCAACAGTTTTTGGGTTTGAACCATCATTTTACTTGTGAAGTGATCCAAATTTCATTTCACTACTGCATTAAAAAAGTTATATATATATGTGTATATGATCCTATATTTATCATATGTAATATATATGATCCTATATATTTTATATATATATACACATACACACATGAGATCCTATTCACGCAAATGGAACTCCTGTACCTAAATAACTAGGTCCAGCATTGGTCTAAATATTTAAATTTGTCTTAGTAATCTAGAGAAATTTTCTTGCGGCCACTCTGCAGATAGATGTTCCAACATGCGAAATGGACAATGCCTTGATAATTAGACTCTCATTGAGCATATTTCTAGAAAAGAGAAAGAGAGAAGAAACTGTGTGACTACTTTCCCCTGTAATGTACAAAGCCATGCAGTCCTTATAACTGCAGATCTAATCTATATATACTTCATTAAAATTAAATGACAATCAGATTAGATTTATACATCTCACTCAATATAACGGTATCAGTGGAAAAGTTTTATTTCTTCACCAAATCACAGTCTCATTATTCCTAAAAGGAGGAAAATATTAGTACCTATTTCATGGAGTTCTTGTGAATCTCAGAAAACGATGTTTCTAAAGCTGCTAGTTCTGGGCCTGGCATAGAGTAAGAGATCAGTGAGCATCAGCTGCTGCTTTCTCTCTGCTGGCCTGTGCTGCTCCTTGCCTCCCTAGGACCTAGAGTCCACTAGTGATGCTCTGGCTCTCAATATTTCTCCCACACCTTTCATCAACCCTAGTTTGACCCATTCTTTTTGTTTTCGTTGTTCCTGAATGGTATGTATCTAGTTAGGTTTTGATTTAATTAGGATATTTACATTAGCAACTATGAAAATGTACCAAAATATCTATATTAGAAAAGTTTTGTAAATACTTAGTCTAAAACTGAATGAGGAAACATAAAACACCTCTTCTTTTGTTTTTCTTTTGGAGTGAGAGAGGGTGGTAGAAACTCTATCATAAAGCTACTTGGCAATCAGATTAACAAGATAATTATATAAATTAGGCAAATCGAATAGTGTGAATATGGTGACCATTATTTATGCCATAAAACAAAGTATTCAAAAAACATTTAGAACTATGTAAATACTTGTTGAAAAGTGAAAGTACAAATTAACACATCTAATAAAGATGCTTAATATCTTAGAAACTTGAACTGCCTGAATAGTAGCTTCACAAGCCATGTTTATTACATGATGTATTATTCACAGATACCTCAATTAAATACCTAGATTTCAATAATGACTATTATAACCTTAACTGGTGTCCATGATTTATTAGTACCAATAGTAAAACTCCCAAGAAGCAACTCTAAGTTCCATTAGTTCGTAATCTATTGTTAAATATTGAATAAAACCATGTGGTCAAGGCAAAAAGAAAATATTAATGGTTAAATAAATAGATCAACTTGGGAGATAGAGTGCCCTGATCTATTTACCCTATAGAAATAATTCTAGACATGATTTATTAATAGTTAACTAATGTCCAGATGCTTCCATATGTATTATTATTTCTAATTTTAACAACTTTATGAAAAATGTGGTATTTTATAAAGTTTAAGTAGAAAAAGGAACTTACTTATTTAAGTAATTTAATCCACTGTTATTTAATCAGCTTAGTCAGTACTTTAAGTCAGAGCAATATTGTTTCAAAGTCTATACTTTTTCTATTGTGTTGTGTGGGACTTTGGAAATTTTCATGAAAAACTTTCGCTGAGGCCTGACCTCATTATTTGCTCCCCACCCTTGAATACATGGACCAGGCAGGATGTCTTAAAGGCTAAGTCCCAATCATTCTTTTTATCTATTTTCCGGAAGAGACTAGCACAGTCAATCAATCAACAAGCACAACCTCCATGTTACCAGAATTTTGCATCTAAGATATTGGACCTAAATCGTTCCTGCCATTAAAGCTTAAGCCTTAGTGTTGAATTATGAATCTCAAACTATCCTTAAATATTATGAGGGCTGGTCAGTATAGCACATGACAACAAATTTAAACAGAGTTCATAATAAAAGGCATAAGCAAGAGATCACTTTCTCTTCATCTAAGCCTTGAAGACAGAATAGGTTTCCAGTGGGCAGAGGAGGAAAAGTGTGCAAAGCAAAACTATTAACATTTGTAAAGTCATGGAGAAGAGGTAAAGGCAATGAAATGGAGTCTTTGTGGGTCACTGAGGATATCAGCCTTGTTAGGGTGAGACATGTTCATGTAAAAACTGCAAAATGAAGATCTGCCTCAACTAAAAAAGATGGTACCAGTCTTGAAAAGGTCCTGAAAGAATGCCAAGACTGGTCTGCTCTTGATACCCTGCTAGGCTTGGAGAGCTCTGCAGGGCAGAACTTGACAATCATGAGTTCAAGACAGTTAAGCCCAGGCAATGCTGCTCAATTTCAAGGCAGAATGCCAGCTGGGTTCTGAGATGTACATCCTGGATCAAAAGAAAGACTTGAGGAAATTCTTGAAATTGAGGAAAATTAAATTTACCATCACAAATCTAACCACATTTTCAAGTGTCATTCCTGTTGATGGTAGATTTTTAAACTTGCAAGTTTCTTATGTTCAGTGAATCTCACAGCTGGCTGGCATATAAAAATAGAAATTTGTGCATTTAATTGGAGATATTGGCATAATACAAAGAAGTGAGAATAGGTTTGGAAGCTATTAAGATCTGGGTTCGTATTCTACCTCTAGCACTTTTTAATTGTTTAGGCTTGACTGAGTTACATTATCTCACTGAACAATCAGTTAATTCATCTGCAAAACAGAAATACTATCACTTATCTCATGGAGTTGTTCTAAAAATTAAATGTGATATTTATATTATTCAATATACACATTAGATATTGAAAAACCATGTCTGACCCACAACAATGGGATGCATATTTTTGTCATTTTTCTGGAAAATCTATAATCTGTGTGTGGTTTCTATTCGTCGTTTATAGACATATTTATTTTTATACATTTATGAAGAGGATCTTGCTGTAAGACCATTGATGAAATTGACCTTGGACTCTAGGCTTGCTAACATTTAGGTCATATACCCTCTCTTAGAAACTGTTTACTCTACATAACTGATTTTGTTCCTTAGTAATAGTTGTGATTTGGTGTGCATGTTCCAGAGTCCCAGGAATAATTGTTTTAGATCAATGTTGGAATACCAAGGTATAATTTTTGTTTGTTCTACCAAACAGAGACATATGTTTGATTTTCTTGTTATATTTGGCAGGGTTTTTGGAATTCTTAGTTGCCTTCTTTTTAAATTTGTACCCTGCCAATTATTTTTCCATATGGATTATTCTGAGGAATTAAAATAATATCAATGATGTTGATAACAGCAATGGCAGCTTATGTTTATAATAAACCACATTGCCCAAGAAATCCAACTGCTTTCGTTACACCATTTATCCCAGCAGATAAATTTATTCACTTAAGGGATGAGAGACTAAAGGATTTAGGCTTTAGTGATTTAAGATCAGAAAGTGAAACCAGTAACAGAAGTAGGATAAAAATCAAAATCACCTAAAGAGAGAAATATGTGTAGGAGTCTGTGTGTGCACACCCAGGCACAGAGAAGGTAAAAAGATAAGCAATTCCTAGGAAAAAGTTGGTAATTGTCATCGATATACAATTTAATCTGCATTTAGGCTGCTATTACCCTGACTTGGGGGCAAGTTCCTAATGCCATGACCTTCTGTGCAGCTATGTTTGTTTCCATAACTGGCTAGCTTTCGGAAACCGCTATGCATGTTGGATGAACATTCATCTGTTGTGTTGGCAATTCTTGGGAAGAACATAACTTCCATTCCTTAATCCCCTAGGGTCACTGGCTATTTTCAAATATGTAAGAGCAGGTCACAAATCAGACTCAAAGCTGGCACAACTCAAGGGAGTAATTTTTTTTCTTTCTCCTTCACTAAATTCATCATCTACATTTTAAACCCTATTATAGTTTCCACATGTTTCAAGTTGTGAGCTTTATATCTGAATGTTGTCCTAAGCTATAGCCAAGTACATTTTAGTCATACTTGATGTGAAAGAATCTTAAACATAAAATATAAGCAAAATGATGTAAATTGGAATAACCTACATTAATATAAAACTACTTTAAGTTACATAAATACACTTATTAAATTGTTATTATGAACTATATAATACAGTCGCACAAGTATATAAAAAGTTTAAGTTACTGCAGTAACTAGAATATTATTGATAATATTATCCATACATTGATGCTTAATATTAATCACATTCCTTTTTACTTCCCTCTAGAAGTAATCACTATTATAATGGTTTATATGAATTTAATTTTAAAATTTATTTATTCATTATATTTGACTAAGATAACACAAATTTGAACTCCAAAGAGAAACTCTTCTGGTTTTTTTACTACTATCTATGAGACGGGTTTTCTTTTGTTTTAAGAGCCTATGTGAATAATGACTATAACTAAGATTTATTTAGAAAAATGACATTTAAATATACTGCAAATTCAAAGTTCCCCTTATATAAAATTCACAAGTTTGGTTATGATTTTTCTGTCACTTTTGAAGCAGAAACAGCTCTAACACCTAAAAGCCTTATTTACTTAGCATGCTCAAAATATTCAAGAGATAATTTTTTAAAAAAGAAAAAACGATCACAAAACAGAATTGGAACAGAACACAATGCATAATGCATTAAAAACAAGAAAGCTTCATTACATGAACACTGAGGGGGAGATGTGAAGAAATTGCGTTCTGAGAATTAAGGCTGATCTGTTCTGTGCACTGAAAGATTTGGGTCCTGGGCCAGTTTGAAATTTCTGAGATTTTTTTGGACTTGGATTTCTTTAGAAGTGTGTGCATGCCTGTTAGCTACATGCTATGTCTGGTGATTTCTTCCGAAATTTATTCTTAAGTTCATCTTTCTTTCAGTTACTTTAGTCTCTGAAAAGGTTTCTGTCACTACCTGATGTGCATCTTCATTTAACACCATGAAACTATTCTTTCCATCTCTCTCTTGAGTGCTTCTGGTTTAATTTCTGTTTGCTATAGTTGCATCTTATCTCACCTGGTCTGCTAAGCCACCAAGATGGCTGCCGTTAATGGAGGAACACCTTATCACATAAACGTGTCTGTTGTACATTTTATTGGGATTTTATTTTTCTATGAAGTTGATTACATGTGTGAGAGGTTATGTCTCTTTTGATAAAAGATGTACATTACCCTTTTCCAGTTAAACTGATGGTGAAATTTTCTATAGTGGAAGAAACACGGTGTATGGAACTATATTCTTTACATTATTTCAGTCCTTCATTACAGTTTAAAAAATAAGAAATTAGTTTGAGCTTAAGGAAAAAAGAACATTGCATAATTAGCAGGGTTTTCCATCGACTAAGAAAAGAAAGAAATATAAATAGGAAGATGGAAAGTGGCTTCTTTTGAAGATGTACGCTATGCTAAAATTGCAGAACTGGGAGAGGGGAAAGCTGAAAGCCAAGACCACTGAGGAGGTCTGTAAGTCTAATAAAGGCAAGGAAGGCTCAGGGATCTGGATTGTGAGCCCAGGGAGTGGGACCTGCAGGGATTAGGCTTATGAAGATGGGGCCAAGTCAACGTTGAGGTCAACGGCAATAACACTTGATGGGCCTTAACTCTGTAGTCCACACTGGGTTGGGATGAGACAAAAGAGGAAAAGACAGCGTGGTGTGGAAGAAAGCTCTGCGGGACTCCAGGAGCACAAGCTTCTGTTATGACTCTCATGAGCCACCCGCTTACTCTCCTCGGTTCTCTTTCTTGTTAGATTTAGTGAACAAATATTGATTCCACGGCTACTGTGTTTTATGTTGTGATTTTGTCCTGAGGGTCTAGCAGTAAATAAAATAACCATAATCCCTGATCTTCTGCTGCTTAATTAAAAAAGAAATATAGACAATGAGTAAATAATACACAAATTAAAATTAAAGATTGTGCTATGTTAAACAGGAAAATAGGCTGGGCGCAGTGGCTCACGCCTATAATCCCAGCATTTTGGGAGGCCGAGACAGGCAGATTGGTTGAGGTTGGGAGTTTGAGACCAGCCTGGCTGACATGATGAAACCTCGGCTCTACCAAAAATACAAAAATTAGCCGGGCGTGATGGCATATGTCTGTAATCCCGGCTACTTGGGAGACTGAGGAAGAAAAATCGCTTGAACCCAGGAGGCAGAGGTTGCATTGAGCCAAGATCATGTCACTGCACTCCAGCCTGGGCAATAGAGTGAGACTTCGTCTCAAAAAAAAAAAAAAAAAAAAAAAAAAGGAAAATATATAGGCTTATGAAGAATATAAAATAACTTTCTTAACAGTGGGAAAATCAGGAAAGCATCTCTGAGGAAGCAATATTTTCTCAGGAATGATGAGGCATTAGTCAGACATATAGAGGGAAGAGCATTG
Source organism: Homo sapiens (assembly GCF_000001405.40). Taxonomy (NCBI): domain Eukaryota; kingdom Metazoa; phylum Chordata; class Mammalia; order Primates; family Hominidae; genus Homo; species Homo sapiens. The sequence continues at coordinate 19,760,217 of NC_000007.14, read as the reverse complement.
TTTCATGCAGAGGAATAGCGTGAGTAAAGATGCTGAGATAGGAAAGCTTTGGTGTGTTTCAGAAACTGAATGAAGTCCAGGGTGACTGAAGTATGACCTGAGGGGGAGGAGGTAGAAGGCATTGAGTGAGATAGTGAGCCTAATAGGGGTAAAAATTAGAACTTTATATACGTGCCACAACATTTAGATTTTTCCGTAATTATAAAAGGATCTATGGAAAACTTTTGAGCAGGAAATGGACAAGATTATAAAGGTCATTCTGGTTTTCAGTTTAGAAAATATATTGATGTCACACAGGAAGTCACAGGTGTAATTAGGAGGCTACTAAGATGTATGATACAATGGTTACTGCAATGAAAGCAGAGGTGGTAAAAAATAGAAGCACAGATAGTTACTTGATAAGACCTTGTGTTTTGTGTTCAATTTTATGCCATTATAGAGGGGATGTATTAAGAATAATTACCAGATTTTGAGATCAAGCAAATGATAGAATCGAGTTTCTGTTTAGTCTTTTGAGAAGTAGATAATTAGAAAAAAACTCTGTGTGCATGTGTGTGTGTGCCTGCGTGTGTGTGCGTGCATGTGTGTGTGTCTGGTGTAGGATGGGAGATCAAGAATCTGTTTGTGACCTGTGAAAGTAGAGATGCTTGTGAGATCAATATAGAGAGATGCTGTGGACTGTTAGATAAATAGGTCTAGAGTTCAGAAGAAAGGGCTGTGCTAGAAATATCAGTGTGGGAGTAATTAGTAAATACAAAATATTTTTAAGGTCATATGTTTGGTTGACACCACCGAAATAAAGCTTTTAGTTACTGTAATATTTAGAGAATGGATAGAAATGAGGAACCAGAAAAAAGGTACTGAGAAGTTTGGCCAGAGAGATATGCTGAGGACCAAAAGAGTGGTGTAAGAAAAGACCGAAGGAGAGACTTCCTTGTAAAATGAAGGCTGAAACATGGCTGTCATTGTTTGCTTTTGCAAGAGTAGCTGAAGTAAGGTAATGGGAACATAGGCCAGGCCAATGTGTGCTGAAAATATAATGAGAATTGAGAATCTAGACATTGTAAACAAGAGGCTTAGTGGTGAAGGGAGATGGGTTCCGTGTAGAGATAGAGCAACAGACTTTGGAGTCAAGGAAGTTTTCTGTTTTTAGGGGAGATTTTGGAACATGTTTACATGCCAATGTGAATAATGGGGTACAAAGGGAAAAAAATAAATATGTAAAGAGAAAAAGTCTTTGAGTAGGTGAAGGGTAATTGGATTTAGAGCTAAAGGGGGAGTTTTTTTTATTAATTCTCATCTTTGTCTACTGTAAAAAAAGAGAGAGCAAGTCAAGTATGAGTGAAGATGCAGGCTAAAGTATGACTAAGTCAAGTATGAGTGAAGATGCACATTAAATGGCCAATGCAGATACGAGTCTTGGACAGCTTCTGCTTTTTTGTGTAGCCTGAGACTCTAGCAGTCAATAGCTGAGGGTAAAGAAGGGATAGAATTCTGAGTACGTGTGCACTGAAAGCATCATTAAAATGTTTTCTCTTCCTATTGGTTGAGAATTATAATTGAGTCATGCAATGAACCAGAGATTTAGAAATAATTTATTCTAAATTCATCATTTCACAAATAAGTAAACTAAAGTCCAGAGAATCAGCATAGCTGGCTAGCTGTAGAACTAGGACCAGAGTCCAAATCATCTGTTTTTTTATTCTAACATTATTTCGACAGATGATTCAAAATATTAACTATCCTTAAAAAAATCTTTCAACCAAAAGGAAAATGCAGTTATCTGGCCACTACCCAAAACTGAACAGGAATGATCCCAAATTATTAGCAGTGCTAAGCCATAATGGAAATATAATTAGTATGTTAACAGATTTCAGAGGTTTCTACCTGTTTGGAAGTTTCAAAGAAATGGCTTTCTACACCAATTTTGGCATCTTTTCCATGGTGCTTTTCCAGACCAAATGAGAAATGGAAGCTAATTTTTAGAAGCTAATATTTTCCAAACCAACAAGAGCTATTGATCAATTTGGATAAGTAAGTGAATTGCCTTCAAGAAGGTTTTTTTAAAAACAGAGTCCAAAGCTCATTTATCAAGCAGTGAACATTCAAAACTTTGGACTGGAAATGTCAAAGTCATTAGGCTATTAACATTTGCTATCTGAGCATTTTCTTTTTAATTCAAATATATATGAATTAAAATTTATAAATTTACTACACCATTTGCCTGGGGTTCTTAGTAAAAAAAAAAAAAAGTATATATATAAAAATGGCTTCATTCAACACTATTTTAAAAGATAAATGCCTTTTAATCATCCTATATGTTTAAAAAGGTAACCTTTTTAATGCTTTTATTTTTAACCATGGATAGAGTACAGCATATTTACTAGTGATGGAGTGGGCTGTTTTCTAATATGAAAGTAAGAAACTAAAATATCATATAAAAGACAAGCAATATTAATTAATTTTATATACCAATCACTTATAATTAAAGTAAAATATTTTCTCAAAGGATCAGTTACTTTGGAGTAAAAAAAAGGAGTAACTTTAACTCATGATTTTGCTAATGTCTTTTCAGCTCCAGCCAAGCTATCTCACTAAACCTCTTAGACCCTCAGACCTACAGAATAGTCTTTTAGAGGGGACATGAGGGTTTAAAAAATACTAAGATGAAAGCATTGACTGGGCATCATGGCTCATGCTTGTAATCCCAGCACTTGGGAGGCCAAGGCGGGTGGATCAATTGAGGTTAGGAGTTCGAGACTAGCCTGGTCAAGTGACTAGGTTAGGAGTTCAAGACTAGCCTGGTCAAGTGAAACCCCATCTCAACTGGTGAAACCCCATCTCAACTAAAAATACAAAAAAAAAAAAAAAAAAAAAAAAGCTGGGTGTGGTGACACGCACCTATAGTCCCAGTTACTTGGGTGGCTGAGATGAGAGAATCGCTTGAACCTTGGAGGCGGAGGTTGCAGTGAGCCAAGATTGCGCCACTGCACTCCAGCCTGGGTGACAAACTGAGACTTCATCTCAAAAAAAAAAAAAAAAGTATCTACTGCAATATAAGATGCAAGTTTTGGGGATATTACACTATAGGTTATCAGAAAACTTATGCAGGTAAAAAGCAAACTGCCTTTAGAGCTAATTTAGGAAAACATTGTATTTTCTGAGTGATAAGATATTTGGGAAGAAACTTGTCTTTTCTTGACTTGTAGCCATTACTGGAACTGTGCCTCATCTAGACTTGCATGGTAAAATGTAGTAGCCAATAGCCACATGTGGCTATTGAGCACTTGAGATGTGGCTAGTGTGAATTAAGATGTGCTTTACACTATTCACCATAACAAAGACATGGAATTAACCTAATTGCCCATCAGTGATAGACTGGATAAAGAAAATGCGGTTCATATATACCTGGGATACTATGCAGACATAAAAAGGAATAAGATCAGGTCTTTTGCAGGACATGGATGGAGCTAGAGGCCATTATCCTCAGCAAACTAACACAGGAACAGAAAACCAAATACCACATGTTCTCACTTATAAGTGAGCTAATGTCTTTCAATAAGAACTTTTAATAAGAGCTCACTTTTAAAGTGAGCTAATAAGACATTAGCTCACTTATAAGAGAGCTAAATGATAAGAACATATGGACTCATAGACGGGAACAACACACACTGGGGCCTTTCAGAGGGTGGACGATGGGAGGAGGGAGAGGATCAGGAAAAATAACTAATGAATCTAGGCTTAATACTTGGTTGAGGAAATAATTTATACCACAAACCACCATGACACAAGTTTACCCATATAACAAACCTGCAGATGTACTCCTACACACGTAACTTTTAAAATAAAAGTTTAAAAAACAAAGATGTGCTACAGGTAAAAAATACATACTAGATTTCAAAGACTGAGTATGGAAAAAAGAATGTAAAATGTCTCAAGTCGTTTTATGTTGATTACATGGAAAAATGACAATACTTTTTATATATTAGATTAAATAAACTACATTGCTGAAATCCCCCTTTTGATCTTTTAATGTACTACTAAAAAGAATAGTGATATATGTGGTTTGCATTTGTGGCTTACATTAGATTTCTATTGCATAGCTTTTGTCTGAATACATTTTTTTTTTTGATCAAAAGAAATGAGTAGCTGGTCAGGAAACTTCATGCTTTTTTTTTTTTTTAAATAGAGTCTCACTCTGCTGTCCAGGCTGGAGGCTGGAGTACAGTGGCACAATCTTGACTCACTGTAACCTCTGCCCACCAGGTTCAAGCGATTCTTGTGCCTCAGCCTCCTGAGTAGCTGGGATTACAGGCATATGCCAGCATGCCTGGTTAATTTTTATATTTTTAGTGGAGACAGGGTTTTGCCATGTGGGCCAGGCTGGTCTCAAACTACTGGCTGCAAGTGATCTGCCTGCCTCAGCCTCCCAAAGTGCTGGAATATAGGCATAAGCCACCACGCCTGGCCTCACATTTTGTTTTGCTAAGACATTAACAATAGATGAGGAAAGTCTTTAAGACAATTTGTGTTATTTTTTGGCATATTCATAAACTGGAAAGGCAGAATTGGCTTATTTGCCTTGTAGTGACACCAGAAACAGGTGTTACAGTACAGCATTTCTCAAAATGAACCCTTAAATTATTTGTACCCATGACACAATACTTTCAATCTTATTTTTTTACTAGTAAAATCAAAGTCTCTCTGTTACTTTTTATTAGTGGGATTTCAAGTATAGTATAATCTGGCAAGTACCAAAAGTGTTCCAGGCAAGGGAAGACTATTTCCCACTTCTCCCACTGAACTGAAATTCATTCACTCATCGATCTATTCATCACCAAACATTCACTGAAATTTTTGTATGTGCACGTCTCATGTTAGTGATAAAGGTTTAATATATATTTTAATAGCAGTCGACCAGGAGGAGTTTAAAACCTTTTGCAATGACAGATATATAATTAATAATTACCAAAAAGTATGATCAGGGCATCAGTGTTAAAATATGCATTAAAACAATATTTTGTTAGATTTTGCCTAAGTAGAAAGGTTAAAGAAAGCATCACAAATAAAGTTAATAATTGCACTGAATCCTGATGTTCAAAAAGAAATTTTTCACATGGAAGGAGGAAGATAAACATTTATTAACACCTGCCATGTACCATAACCCAAGATTGAGCACTTTCACATGAATTGTCCCTTTAAGACCATAGTTACGTGATATTACCATTAGTCTCCTTATTCTTATAAAAAGAATGGAGAGAATCATTTCATTATAAATAATAAGTGCTGTATCAGCTGTGATTTTCATCATGGTAGACACCGAAGAAATGCCTGCTAAAAATGAGTGGGAAAAAATAGGGTTATATAGATTCGTGATCAGAAAATGTCAGAGCTGGGAGAGATTCACAATTTCATGTGATCCAACTGTCTCTTTTTGAAGATGAAGCCCAGAGAATTAATTGACTTGCTTAAGGTAAATAAATAACAAAGGAAGATAGAGTCGCCACCTAGAGGTTCTGTTCTGAATTGCAGAACTTTTTTTTTTCTTTTTCCTTTTTCTTATAGTTCATGGCCACGAGTAGTTAGTTGACAAGCTTTTAGCCCATGACTACAGAAAAGAATTTCATCAAAACCTGCACTCTGGCAACAACACACTTCAAACAATGCTCACGATGTATTGCAAGCTTTCAGATTACTTGTAAAAGATTCCCATCTGTATTCTACTGATTAGAGTTGTAATTATAATATTAACATTTAATCATATTCTCTTTTTGGAAATTCTGATGATTTTTTTCATCTGCTTCCAGTGAATCAATTTGACAAATAATTATTGGGCTAACTTTGAATGAAGCACTTGGCTGAGAATTTGAATATAAATAATAGACTGGACTCTGGATCCAAGGGCTTTAGAGTTGTTAGAAGAAACATACCTGCAAACAATAATAGATAGCGAGCACTTGAATTCTTCCAAGTGACTTATACCTACAATTTTATTTAACATTTACAGCTATTCTATGAAGTGTACACTGTTATGCATCTCAGTAAAGAGGAAACTGTGGAAAAATAAGTAACTTTCTCAAAGCCACACAGCCAGAAAATGGGAGAGCCATGATGCAAACCCAGTCAGTATGACTCCAGAGTAGTCATTCCTTATCACTAAGCTACACTACCTCCTACTCAATCCACATAAATATAGTTCAATACACAATAAAGTGTATGCAAATCCTGTGGATGCACAAGGAAGGTGAAGAGGGTCATAGATGACTTCATGAAAGATGTGCCTTCGGTGGCAAACCTGGAAAAACAAAGTAGAGAGAGCTTGAAAAGAGAGGAGGAGAGATATTCCAAACTCGTGGAGGCAAGGCCTATGAGAGCTTGAGAATGGCCAAGAGAATGTTGGTTTCTAAGCACAGAATGAACAGAAAGAAGGGAGCTTGAAGAGGTAGGCTTGGTCCAACTATGAGGAACCTGAGTATTAGACTATAGGATTTGAAGCCTTCTTCTTTAGAAATGAACAGGTACAAAAAATGTTTGAGGATAAGGGAGACTAGAATCAATTTATTTTAAGAATAATCACCTAGGGAATAGTGTGAAGAATTAGAGGCAGGGGGATTGTGTATGCCTTTAATATTAAAATTAAGAGTCAGAATGAAGGGAACACCAAGAGCAATGGAATTACGTGAAAAATTATAGATGCAGATTCGACAAGACTTCATGGGAGTCACGCTTTTAAAAACATGGGTTGAAAAGATTGGCAATTAAGTCGGACTTTCTGCCTGGGTTAAAGAGAATGAACATGTGCTGAGATCAGAAAAACAAAAATGAAGGCAGGTTTGGGAAGGGGTAAGAAAATGAGTTTAGATAAATTGTACCTCTTTGATTTATTCTGAGTGGGAGTAGGGTGCTGGTGGTGGTTATAACATAGAATAAAAAATAGACTTCTCTTTAAAGTGCTTAAGGGGTAGTAACAGAGATAATAAGCATATAAATATTTATGAGTCAAAACGTAATAAGCCACATAAAAAAGGTACTCTGAGAATTAGGAGAAAAAGATGGGATTTTATCTGAGCAGAGAATTTCAGATGGACCCTGGAGAATAGTAAGAATAAGAATAAAACTGTCCAAGAAGAGAAGTAGAATATGCAAAAAGGGATAAACTGAGAGTGTACAGAATAATTTAAGTGCACTTTGGCTGTAGAAGATCCACAGTAGACCAGTTGTCAAATTGGCTTGGAACCATCCATTTGGGCCCTGATGCCAGGCCAAGAAATTTGGAGAGACATTGATTTTAAAAATTGAACAAAAAGGCCGGGCGGGTGGCTCATGCTTGTAATCCCAGCACTTTGGGAGGCTGAGGCAGGTGGATCACGAGGTCAGGAGTTCGAGACCAGCCTGACCAACATGGTGAAACCCTGTCTCTACTAAAAATACAAAAATTAGCCAGGCGTAGTTGTGCGCACCTGTAGTCCCAGCTACTCGGGAGGCTGAGGCAGGAGAATCGCTTGAATCTGGGAGGCGGAGGTTGCACTAAGCCAAGATCGGGCCACTGCACTCCAGCCTGGGTGACAGAGCGAGATTCCATCTCAAAAAAAGAAAGAAAGAAAGAAAGAAATACATAAAATTAAATTAAAAAAATTGAACGAGAAAATAAGGCACTAATAAGGTGCTAAAAATCATACTAGGAATGAACTTAGAGTGAGTGATATTAGAGAAACTAAAGGCAGAGGGACTCGCTCAAAAGCCCTTAAATAATCCTGTTAAGGGCTGGTGAGGCCTTGAATAAAAGCTAAATTTCACTGTGGATATAAAAGTAATGGCACACTGTAATTAATGTGATGAAAATGACGTAGGAGGAGAGGGGAATCAATAGTGTCTTTGAGTTTTGAGAGAACAGTAATAAGAGTAATAGACACAGGAAAAGTGGTGAGTGGAAACAGGATTGAGATTCATGTTTTGAGTCTGAAGCTGACAATGTAAGTCTAGATCTCTTTCATTAACTGCTGTGCATCTGGCTACATGCACACTGAATTGCAAAATGATTGTAGGCTGAGCCAAAACTAGACATAAGCTTTTATGATGACCAACATCTTATGTTATTCTTTAGTTTCTTGGAGCATCGACACAATCTGAATATAACATTATGCTTTAAAACATGACATTCAGAAACAAGTATGATTGGTAGCATTTCGAAGACTTCCTTTGGAGTAAATAGAAATTAATACACAATTATTTTCCAGAAGACAGTCCACTTACAATCCTTGAAATCTTGTTAATTGTAGCTTAGTGTATTAGGGCCAGAGGTTGCAGAGAACAATGGTACTCAAATCCCTGAGTATATATATTGGTGTGATGTAGGAAAATCTGCCTCCATGGATGAGGAAACATGAGTATTCTGAAGCAAACATACACACAGTTTTGGTACAAGGGAAGATCCTGTAAATAAGAAAATAAAAGTATAAAATATTCTTTATAATTCTGTTAGGAATTCTGACACTGGTCTGTACCCATCAGATGCTCAAAAGTTATAAAATTTTAATAATAATTATTAACAGCTCCATTTATTTATAGTTTATTGGACATTAGAAATATACCAAAAATATCATAAGCATTATCACGTTAATATTTTTAACAGCACTTTTAGATAAGTATCAGCATACCTGCAGGAGTACATCCATTTTACCAATGGGAAAATTGAGAGTCAGAGACTTTAATTAGCTGCTATAAGTCCCACTTGTGTGTGACACAGCCAAATTTACAGCACATGTCTGTCTGACTCCAAAGTCTGTACTCTTAACCATTGTGTCATACTCCATTGGTTTCTTTTAAGCCTTGGTTCTAAAGAGCAGTGCTGGTTTTATATTCCAAACCTTTGTGGACAGCACCTATCAATTAACCTTTTCCCAGAATGAAAAATGTCCTGGAGCATAAATACGGTTCCACTAGTGCTTCAGAAACTAGCAGCTCAACGTGAAAAGCCATTGCAGATACCTCTCTCCCCTGTATAGTTGCATTCTGTTAGCTGTTGCAGAATCATCATGCTATCTATCTTGTCAAGGGAGAGGAATTATTTTCTCTTCCAACATTTATATTTCTTCTTCACATGGTTTAGTGGAAAAATCATGCCATTCTGCATCTTCCTATTTCTTCTCTAACAAGAAATATATAAAATAAAAATAATCATGACATCCTTTATTTCGAATCAGAGAGTCTTTCCTCAACAATGAGGGAGAAACTTCGAATGCATTACATTTTTAACCATTCCTCTTAACTTGATCCACATATTACAGTTACTCCTTTACAGATACCTTTGGAAACAAAACACTTTTCAAGGAAATAGCGTTGGGGAATTACAACCTTTAAAACCAATATTTTAAAAGATATAATATATGATTGTTCTTTTTCAGATATTCTGAAGGTATATTTTTGGTGTAGATTGTGCAAGATTCACTCTATTTCTGAAGGAATGATGTTATTTTTATTGAGTTCTGTAAAAGGATAGAACTGCCTATAAAGGAAATAAATTGCATAATGAATGGTACTTGTTTATAGACTGCTAAGCACTGTAGACCCCATATATTTTAATCTCTGTTGTCCTATTTGGGAGTAGAAAATGGCCTGGTCTCGGTAAAGCACCAGAGGACCACTGCTTAAAAGTATTTACAACCCCAGAGCAACTTTTCACCAGCTTAAGGCTGACATGTGTTAAGGAGTTCTTGTGAGATACGAATATGTGTAAGGACATAATAATGATTAAATACCTCAACTACTTGGAAATTTGCTAAAAAAAAAATCCTCTTCTGACTAACAGAAAAAGGTCTTCCAATTTATTCATTTGCATTGTAGTTTCATTTTTAACTGCCAAATAATAATTGTATATATTTATGGCTACAATGTGATGTTTTGATATATGCTTACATTGTGGTATAATTAAATCAAACTAAGTAAGATATCCATCACTTTGCATACTTATCTTTTGTGTGTGTGACAAGAACATTTAAAATCTACTCTTTTAGAGGAATGGGAAGTTTTGCTGACTCTTAAAGAGAGAGAAAGACAACAGAACGTTTTGGAGAGAATGATCATGAAAATGGCTGAGAAGCTAGGGCATGTTTTTCCTAGGGGAAGATCCAGGGTTAATGGTGCTCTTGTCTTAATGTGTAGACAATGGGTAGACATGCTGGGTATAAAATCTTCAGGCTTAATGAGAGAGAGAACTTTCTAACAATCAAAGTCATTTAGGATATAAAAGGCTGCCTTTGTTAATGGAAGACATTGATCCTAAACTGTGAAAACTTGTCAAGCAAGGAATGAGAGTAGTATAGTTATGCCAGACGAGTTATGATTGCAGGCAAGTTAAGATTGCATGACTCACTGACACTCTAATTTCCACTGCAGCGGGCTGAGCTTAGCCTCAATACGTAGGAGAATTGTTTGTGAGTGTTGTGTATTTGGAGGTACGAACTGTGAGTGAGGGAAATAAAGGAGACAACAAAAATAGATGAGAAAAATCTGGAGAAGTTGTTAATGAATACAAGGCTAACTTACAAAAGGCCTTGTTCTCTCCTTGCATTGAAAGAGATGATGGATATGTTCATTTGTTTCACTATGGTAACCATTTTATTATCTATATGTATCCCATAACATCATGTTCCATACATTTAAATATACACAAAAAAATTTATTTAAAAAAAAGAGCAGAACTTTCCAGGACATTTAGCATTGCTCTGGGTTATTACCAAGGGTTTGTGACATGCGCACAAAGCAAGATGAAGGTGTTTTCCCACTTGGATACTAATTTTGTGAATGCAAATCCCACCCACTTTATAGGTTACATGCTAAATGGATGGCTTTTGGGGAATCTGTGACTTAATTCAAATGAATCATTCACATAGTAGGAACTTAAGCCAAGAGAGGGAAATATTTTGATTGGCTCTCTCCGTATCACGTGTTATAAGTAGGTCTTCCTCCACTTCTAAGAAGGGTGGCTTCTCTTGGTTTATTTTTATCTTGTTCATATATTAACTCCTATAAATGTAAAAGCCATAGACCAATGGCCTAAATAAAGTGATCAGGACAAATTTCTGGAAATATTATACTTAGTATCCTATCATTTTTTACAAGTTTACTGTAGAAAATTGGAAAAATACAAAATAACAAAATGACATTAAAATTGCCAATAATCCTGCCACTCAGAGATAATCACTATTTACATTGATTCATAATAATTTTCTAGTTTAAGAATAAAATGTGCATAAAATGTTATATTCCAATATTTTATTAAATTGAAAATAGTCATATAAACATTTTATTGTGACCTAACATATGCTAAGAAAACATGATTTTAAGGAATAGTAATTTTTTATTCTAGTCTTCTGCTTTCAATTTCATATAATTATTTAAGGCAAATATTGTCTCTACCTCCTAAAAAACTTTCTGCCTTATCTCATTCTAGTAGACCACTCCAAATTTCCACTTGCCTTTTAGCTAAGCAAAATGTATCTTGATCACTATGAACTCATTTCTTTTACTTGTCTTTACGTTGGAGAGTTCAGCATTCTTAGAATTTTGATATTCCCTCCTGAAGTCTTTCTGTACATGTCTTCCCTTAGGCATAGTACTACCATCATCAGACGGAGCATGACACAGAGGAGGGTGGACATGTTTATGTCAGACGACTGGATTTGTGTCCTGCTTCTGCCATTTATGAGCTGTATACACTGCGTTTAAGCGGACAGAATCACTTAAATTTCTCTGAGCCTGTTTCTTGTTCTATAAAATGGACTGGTTGTGTGTATAGAGACAACACACTTAAAGTTCCTCGATTATTGTAAATGCATAGTAATAAGTTAATGCTCAATGATTATAATGTCTCTTCTAATTCTGGTTTGATAAGCTCTCATTCTTTCTAAGTTCTGTCATTACACTGTTTTTTTTTTTTTTTTTTTTTTTTTTTTGGACAGCCACAGTGAACATCTCTGAATCTATAAGGTTGAATGAAGGAAACCTTTATATTGTCATTATGTATAAACTTTGTTATAAAGGAAAACGCAAGGATTTTAACTTAGGAGATGCAGGATAGCATTGTAAGCAATGCCCCAGAAAATCATAATCATAATAAATAATAAATAAATATGCATGGGAGAGACCAGTGGAAATACATGTATTACATGGAAAAATTAATTAATTGAAGGAAGTAATCCTTTTTACAAATCACTCCCAGTTAGAGGTAACGATCAATATTTTAGTTGTTAATTAATTGGGAGCTACTGCCACCAAGTGGTAGGAAAGTACTTCTTCGGAGACTAGAATCCAATAACCTTTAGGGAGAAAAGCTCCCTCACCATACTGTGGACCCAAATGTATTCCATCCTATCCCATCGCATCACAATCACCCAAGATCTGATCTTCATTAAATAACCAGCAGCTGTCTTTGGTTTCTGTTACCACACTAACAAAATATTTTTCTGTCAAGAGACAAAACTGAAGTTTAGTTCTAATAGAGGAAAATAAAACAACCAAATACTGAGAGGGTTCAGGTAAAATCATAATTGAAAAATTCCAAATGAGGTTAGCCTCTAGAGTTAAAAAGGCTGAAGTTCAAACGCCAACTCTGCCACTTGCCTGCTGTATGACATGAAAAAAATGTATCTGAGGATCAGTTTTCTCAGCTGAAATATAGAGGTTCATTTAGATGATGTGTGCAAAATGTTTAGCCTAGAGGCTGTTACCTAGCAAGTGCTTGATAAACATTACTCCATTCCTTTTTATTATTGTAACTATAGATTGTGTTCCTCTTCCCTAAACCTAAATACATATTTAGTTCATTAAAATTATGACATATAATCAACTCAACTGTAAAGAGGTTTAACCTCAGAGAGTAAAAATCACCACAAACATAATAGGGATTTTCTTTTTTTTATTTTTATTTTTTATTTTTATTTTATTTTATTTATTTATTTTTTTGAGACGGAGTCTCGCTCTGTCGCCCAGGCTGGAGTGCAGTGGCGCGATCTCGGCTAACTGCAAGCTCCGCCTCCCGGGTTCACGCCATTCTCCTGCCTCAGCCTCCCAAGTAGCTGGGACTACAGGCGCCCGCCACTACGCCCGGCTAATTTTTTGTATTTTTAGTAGAGACGGGGTTTCACCGTTTTAGCCGGGATGGTCTCGATCTCCTGACCTCGTGATCCGCCCGCCTCGGCCTCCCAAAGTGCTGGGATTACAGGCGTGAGCCACCACGCCCGGCCGGGATTTTCTATGATTTACCTAATTCCAAAGAAAGAACTACAGTGTAAAAGACAGAAATGAAAAAATCTCATACGTTCTAAATCTAGATCAGGCAGTAATAATTCCTTCCTGCTGAGGTTCTGAGCAAGGCAATTAAGCCCCCTTGAACCTCGTCTAACTCAGGCAGTGCTATAAAATATACAAATCAATTAATTATTTTGGAAGGTGGCCCAAAATACAAAATTTGTATGTGGATGCCAATTATAATTTTATGCAATACAAACCATAAAGAGTTATCTGCTATGATCTTTAATCAAAAGAAAAGTAAAAATAGTGTGGTTGTCTCTTTGGTTATAGAAAGCTGTTATCTGGAATTCTGGATTCAGTAGCCTTAATTAACCAATTCATGCATATAGCTATGAGTTCAGTAATTTATATTCACAACAATAAATATCCCAGGACACTGAAATAGCCTAAATTGACTTGTTTTATCAAAGATGAATTACATAGTGCCACATATACGTCACTGAACTCCAATTCTTCGAAAATTGAGCATCTACATTTCTTTGAAAATTGAGCATCTAGCCACGTGGTAAATTACAATTAAAAAGAGAGTCGGTATATTTCATAGGATTCTACTTCAACTTCTTGCCAGATTTGTACCAGTCTTATCCTCTGTACTCCCACGTGGTACTCATTTACTGACTCCCTAAACATTTCCCGTTTAACGGACCTCATTTATGTTATGAGGAAACTTAAGCTATGTTGTGGACAGCTCTATTGATTAGAAATTATTTACTGATGATCGGTTAAAGTCTTCCTCTATATAACTCCTTTCCATTGTTCTTGGAGCTAGCATTTAGATTCAGAAATAATAGGTAACGTTTTAGACTACCCCAATTTCCCAGGTAGGTCAAAGAACAGAACTTTTAGTAGTATTAGCTTCAACCTATGAATGTGCATGTCCTGCAGCACAAAATGTAGTTCTTCTGTGTATCTCACCTTTCAGCAATCATGTATTTTTATGACTTAGCACTTTAAAATAAATAAAATATAGGTCCTCTGAGTTATTTGATTTTTTAAAATCTGGATATCAATCAGAACAAAATGCCAAAAGACCATAATTTTTATTAAAATAACCCATAGAATACGCCAATGGACAATTTCAATTAGGAGCAGATGACCATGGAAGTGGCCTTTGTCTCCTAAGGTTTGATGTCCTCTCAGCATCCCCAGTACTGGCTCACTGGGTGCCTCCAACAGGATGTGGGATGGAACAGGGCCGGCATATTAGATGAATTATGCACCAGGAAGAAGATTCGTGCTTTAATTTTCCTCTTGTACTTCTTTATTTTCTAGCCATGTCTCTTTGAAAATATTAACTTATTTTAGCTGTGTTAATAGATAAATGGAAATAAATTTATTCTAGCTGTGTTAGGCTTTATCCCCAGCTGGGCAAGAGATACAGTGGGAAGCCTAAGTGTGATAGTGATTGTGAGGGAAAAAAAGAATCTTCAGGGAAAGGTGAAAATTAAGGTGACAGGCATACTCATTATCAACCCTTCCCTCCCAGTAAAAATCTTTTTACTGGGAGCAATTTATAATTGATCTATTAAATAGAGTATTTTGTGACAAGGTGTTTCCAATATACTTAGTGCTAATGTGAAACCAAGAATAGTTGGCCCTCCCTATGCGCAGGTTCTGCATCCACCAATTCAACCAACTGCAGATTTTTTAAAAATTGAGAAAAATGATAAAAATAAGAGTACCACAATAAAAATAATACACATAGAAAAACAATATAGTATAACAACTATTTACATAGTAGCATTTATATTGTCTTTGCATTAAAAGTAATTTAGAGATAATTTAAAGTATATAGAAGAGTGTAGGAAGATGATATGCAAATAGTGTGCCTTGTTACATAAGGGACTTGTGCATCATCAGGTTTCAGGATCTACGGTGGTCCCAAAACCAATCTCCTGCACATATGGAGAGATGACTGTAATGGGCACAATAAGGAATAATTAGGAAATCCCAAGCTTCAATTGTCATTAAAATTCTGCCACTGATTTGCTGTTTTGTTGTTGTTGGCTTTTTTTGTTTTGCATCTTTATTTCTCTACACACAAAATAAAAACACTTAAAGAATGTTCTTTTCAGTATTCCCAGAAATATTGGGAGAGAGAACTCAGGTAGTCAGTGTTACAAACTTTTGAAAAAAGTAAACTATTGAAATTTGAGAATTTATTCCAAAAGAATATTCAGAAATGTTTCCATTTGGGGTCATTCTTGATTTAACAGCAAAGTAAAGGAACTGGATGATGAGGGTAAATTTCATCGTTAGATATCTTATAAATTGTTTTTTGTTAAGGCTAAGAATTGTACCCCTAAGGGATATTGATAGAGTGCAGTGTTTAATATTTTCTCCAAAACCCAAAACCCACATGTTTTTTATGCTCCCAAATTATTTCTTTTTGCTACACTATTATTTCTTGCTGCAACCTTTGTGGGTATTTCAGTAAAAGCACACTGTTACTCCAGGAAACAGAAAATCTGTCAGGCTTAATCTTTTTGCTTCTTTAAGAACCAGCACCTATTGTCTGGCTCTGTAGAGAGTATAAGTTATTTTTTATTCTCTGTAGAATCATCTTATAATACTACAAAGACATACAAGTGTTAAATCTTGTATGCAACTGCACAGGCCTAAGAAAATTGCTGAGTAATGAATAAATGAATCAGTGAAAGGCTAGAAAAAGAGTTAAAATTATTTTATGATGGTCCTGTTTATCCAGAGAAAGCTGAAAGCTGTTACATTAACAACACAAATCAACGAGGCTCAGAAACCACCATTCATAACTATTCTTAAATAATTCAGAAACTCAGCATCTTCCCTGGGTCTTTTATTAGCTTAAGTTTATAAATCACCTAGACCATTACTGTACTTCAATTATAACGCTTTCTTCCACAATCTAGTCCTTAAAAACCTCACCCTCCATATTCATTTACCAGAATCTTCTATCTGATTCGGATCAGACAAGATTCTGATTCATGTTCTTGTAAGATCTTATTTTAGATTTTTTGAGACAATGAGAAATGTATAATTACTTTTCAATTATATAAGTCTCCAATATTTCCTTTTGAGATTTGATTTAAAATTCTCCCTATTTGCCTTGTCAAGATTTTAGGACTCTGTGGCAAATCAAATTGAACCAGGTACTGGAAAGATGTAATTCATGTTTGCTTTCCTTTAAAACCAGTTTGAACTTAACAAACTAGGTATGTGGAGAGATGAGATATTTCTCCCTCAGGAAATTTCAAGTGAGTTATAAATAGTGCTCTTTAACTCGTTGATTTCCCATAGAGTTTGGAAACAGCTCATTCTAGCTTACTATTTCCAACCCCTTCGTTTTCACAGTCCAATTATGTATACTGATGACCTCTGGCATAAATGTATTCAGGAAGAAAATCATACTTTTATACCTGATCCAAAATATTTATTATAAAATTGATACAAACAGAGAGAGCATGGCTAAGTAATATAGACTATAATACTGACTCACAGAGTGAGAGTAAAATTCTTCCCTGTGTTTATTTCAAAGGCCTCAAATCAACTGCTCTAGAATCTCTGAAAAGAGAGAGTGAAACAAACAGAGAAAGACAGAAAAAGTTGGGTGAGACAACTACTTTTGTTAATACCTCTTGAAGAGGCCATTCTCTCATTCCTTAGGGGCTCTATCTGGGATGATAGCTCCACCTTCCCTTCAATCCAGGTAGTCTGATCCCCAGAAATGATCCCTCATCATGACAAACAGAAAAACAAACAAAGCTTAAAGAACTTAAAAGCCCAGATATACCACCAGTTCTTTGATGGGGGAAATGAGCCTCTCAAAGACAAACTACACAAAACTTCCCATGCAAAGGCATAAAAGGTCAACAGGATCTAGAGAAAGCAACAGTAACCTCCTCTCCCCATAGCTAATGGAGATAAGTATGAACAAGACACTGACTCCTGACAAGGTGCTTCTCTGACAACTGTCTTAACACCTGGGAATGGAAAGACAAGTGTTCTCTATGAGAGTCCATACCTTTTAGGAAAGAGAAGAACCTTGTCCATCATAAAAGCTTAGGGAGTCCTTAGAGTATGTGAGACATCAATTGCTGCTCCCTTCAGGACTCTTACATGAGTCTGCATTTCTAAAAAGTATCCCCATGTCATTCCAATATAATGGTCTATGGAAGTCATTATTTGAAAAATTATTGTGGATGCTTTGGAACTCAGATTATTCTGACTAAAGTGGGTCCAGTTGTTAAGACAGCCAAAACTGAGTCCTCACAAACTACCTGTGGAGAAGAAACAGGCAAATAGCATCGGCAGCTTTTATACACTGCCTCATTCCCAAGAGTGTTGACACTGGATAGATGCACATTCAGATAGGATTATTGAATAAAACATATGTCGTCAAATGGAGCGATGTCTCTTTACTTTCAGTGATATCTTACAAAGGATTTCAAGCAGAGTCATAAAGTCAGGATTATTATTAATATGACGTAAGCCCTGGGGTTTAAGGAAGTTCCTCTAAGGGCACCATACTCTCCCTGTGAGAGCATACTCTTTTTCCTCGGAAAGGACAAACAAAAAAGATGGCAACAGCTTTGGTTATAGTCCTTCGAAGACCAGTCATTGTTTTCAATCAGAAAGTGAGATGCCTCTCTCCTTTAGGAATTGTGTTTTAGATAGGCATGGCATGAAAAGTATAGTACCTGATGGGTTAAAATAACCATAAGATAACAAAGAAATTGACCCTATTTAAAAATGTATTCTGATATTTTAATGTCCTGAGACATTTTCTAATATATTTTGACTGTTCATACGTTATCTGATCTTGACTGAACGAAAAGTATCTGGATTTCGTCCAGATGCAAGATTCTAGATGATATTAGGATAGTGTGTGCATCAAGGCTAAAAAGGGGTCTAAAGAGGAGATTGAACTACAATCACTCAGAACAGTGAACCAGTCAATAGCAGGTAATAGCATCTCAGCATTCAGATGAAAGTGCTAAGACGTTGTCCAACTTTCAGTTTTGCCAAAAGGGAAAAGCTATTCTGCATAAATTCTGAAGCCAAACCTGGTGTTTGAGAGAAAGTGAATCAACTACTGGAATATATTCTCTTAGGTAAATTTTGCAAATCATTTTCTGTCTTAACAATTAAAAACAGAGTCTTTTCTAGTTTGGGAAATTACTTCTCATCTCTAAAACATATTTTTGCAATCATCACTCAGTGCAAAAGTACTGTCTTTTTCAGTGACTTTTATGTAGAAAAGTCTATTTGTATTGACATCTCAACAACATCTGAGGACTGAGAAAGAACTTTCTGAAACACACAGTGTCATGACTGTGACATGTGGAAGGTCAACACCATCCAAGTTATTTTCAAATGCTACCATTCAGAAAAGAATTAATCTATCATGACTAACCATAACTGTTTTCAAATGTTTAAATTAACTGGATTTGATTCAGTGATGATTAATTGCACCCAGTTATGTGCCTTAAAATTGGCTGAAATTGATTAATTTTTGTACCTCCCCATGGATACTGTAAATACACTCATCAATGCATTTACTGATTCATTCATTTCATCTGAAGTTCCATTATGTCATCTAGAAATATTATTTCAACAGCACAGCTTTGTCAGAGAGGCTATGGCAAAGCTGGATATAACAAGTAGATGATCTGTCACTCTAACAATGCCAGTAATTGCAAACGAAATAACACATTGAATTCCATTGTTTATATGGAGATTCATATGAGGTTTGAAATGGTTTCTTAGATCCATAATTTATTTTCTTCATAAACTCGCCCGTCACAGAGCATAATTCCTTTTTCAATCCATCTGTTTTTTCTAGAGGGTCGAGAGACTATCAAAATGCTTTACAAAATGAAGACTTTATTTCAGCAACTATTATGAATGTGTGGGAACTACAAGCTACTTTCTAAATAAAGATGAAATATGTTAGTTATTGAAGGTGGAGGCTGCATCTACTTCAACATGTAGTGGTTTATCCTTCATTATATTTAAGAAGAAAACTACGCTCAGCCTTCAACCTCAATCTTCCATGATAGGCTTAATTTATTTCTGTACTCAATTCTTATAAACTACTCTATGGAACTTTTGAGTTTGTTCCTGAAATACCTGACCCTCCAGATTCTGAATTCATTTCAATTCCACATGCAAAACCAGCCTTGGATATAGGCAGGCAAAACAATGACCTCGGTGGTTGTGGTTGAAAAAACGCTAGCAGAGCTCCTTGGCCCACCCCAAAAAGGGGTGCCACCCTCTCATTCCAAATACACATTCTGAGTATGTACAGATTAGGGAGTTTTTGTTAGTATTTTTTAAATAGCCACGGAGAACACAAAACTGAATAACAATGAATCTTGATGGGCTATTTTTTCTTAATATTTACATCATAATTTTGCCTTGAGCAAATAGGAGTCAACTTATTTAACTTTTTGAATAAGTAACTCCTAAAAATGGTTCAAATGTAAATAAAACCAAAAGCATTCAACAAAAGTTCAGTCCCCTTGATCAGGTTGCCATCACTCCTCTAACCCAAATAATCACAGCCATTTGTTTCTTGTTTTTCCAGAGTTACTTTACACATGTATGAGCAAACTTGTATATAGATAATTATATATTTCTTGCCTTTCTACACAAAAGGTAGTATATTACATACACAATTTTACACCTTGCTTTTTTCCCTTAACTATATGTGTTGGAGAACTCTCCATATCAGTGAATAGTAATCTTTCTCATATATTTTTAATAGATGCAAAGAATGCCTTTAAATTTAACCAGTTATCTACTGACTGACATTTGGGACTGCTCTTCTTGTGTTATTACTAATAGTGCTAAAATAAATAATATGGCACATGGATCAGTTTGTACACTTGCAGCTAAATCTGTTGGATAACTTCTCACTTGTGGGACTGCTGAGGCAAAGGAGATACATGTGTGCACACACACACACACAAAACACACCTGTATAATTTTGATAATTGTTGCTGAATTCCTTTCAGTAATCAATTTATCTATAAGCATTGTATGATTCTGTAGTTCTCTACATCTTTGCCAAGATTATCGAACAGTAAAGAACAGCATCAAAGGATTTCTGCCAATCTGATAAGTGAAGAAACATATTTGAGTTAGTTTGAAATTGCATTTCTCTTATTACTGATGAGGTTGAGCATATTTATGTTTAGAAGTCATTTGTATTTCAGGGAAGTATCTGTTCATATCTTTTGTGTATGTTTCCATTGAATCGTTTATCTTTTCCTTATTAGTTTTTAGGAGTTCATTTACATTAGGGAAATTAGTCTTTTGCTTATTGTTGCAAATATTTTCCCCAGGCTGCCCAGAGATTCAGTGTCTGTTGAGGGTTCACTCTTTGCTTCAAAGATGGCAACTTCTAGCTGTGTCTTCAGGTAACTGAAGAGATGGACAAGCTCTCTGAGGCCTCCTTTATAAGGTCACTAATCCCATTCACAAATATTCAGACTATAGCAATTATATTTTATGTATTTTCATTTGTACAAATCTATAATATTCTTCATTAATGTTTTTAAGTTTTCTCCTTATTTATACTTATATTACACAATTTATTTTTAGGAATTTTATCACTGGCATATATGAATATTACTGCTTTCTAATATTAATTTGTGCCTTGCTACCTTTCTATATTACCATGTAGAGTTGATTCTCTTGGGAATTTCATATATCAATTATATTGTCTGCAAATAATGATAGTTTCACTTCCACCTTTGCAATTTTCATACTTTTAATTTCTTTCTATTGCCTATTTGAATTGTCTACTGGCTCTGCTCCAATGTATAACACAAGTGGTAATAGTGGGCATCCCTGCCATTTTCATCACATTGTATGAAGGATATGTACCATCAACATGATTTATCACTGTTGGCATTGACCTTGGTCACCTGATTGAGGTGGTGTTTGTTCAGTCTCTCCACCCTAAAGTTACTCTTTTTTCTCCTTTCCCATATGGTACTTTTTCGAAGAAAATCATTACGTGTGGCTCACACTTAGATAGTGGGAAGTTATGCTCCACTTCTTTGAGAGCAAAATATCTACATAAGTTATTTGAAATTTTTCTGTACAGTAGATTTTTCTCTTCTCTCCATTTGCTGATTTAGTCTATCATTCATTTTTATGGCCTCAAGGATATTTATTGTACACATTGGGTCATAATCCCATGCTGTTTTATTTTGGTGCTTGAATTGCTCCAGCCTTTAGTCATTGGAAGCTATTTCAGTTGGCTCCTTTGTCCCTTTGACAAACCTCAATGTGGGTTTTGTTTGTTTGTATGCTCCATGTTCATCTTATATATTTCCTGCCCCAGTCCAAAATTCAGCCATTTCTCCAAGGATGCATGGTTCCTTTTATAGGAGAAGGTATTAGAAACCAAGATCTGGGTGATAGGTGTGCTCATTGATACTGGCATGTTGCTCCTCCTGCGACTTGTCAGTAAACAGAGCAAAGAAATATATGTATGAGTATATGCCAATGTGTGTATAGACATCTATATAAATAGTTATATATGTAACCATCTGTATCTATATTAAACTAAAAATTGCTTAATACTGATACCTACAACTCCAATCCCTTACGATGTGGATCATTCTAGACTCTTACCCTGACTTATTTCTGAACTCTCACTCTAACAGTAAGAAATCTGGCTTTTACCATCTACGCATTTACTTAATTGTTCAATTTCAGTATACATGTATAGTGGTGTCAAAATCATTAACCAGTAACCCTGTAGGAAACAACTTTGTTAAATAGAGTATAATGCTTATATACCATTGCCTTTTTGTCTTTTCTTCAGTTTTACAGATTCCACTTATTTCTAAAGTTACATCTCAGGTCAGCCTTTTCTCCCTGACCCCTTTCATTGAAATTGTCTTATACATTTTATTATAGTTATATAGTATGGTTACATTCTACATTTTATTCTGGGATTCCCTAACCCCCTAATTTTTTAATTTTTAACAAAATTAATTTTAAAAAATTGTTTAGACGTTAAGATTTTTTGTGTTATAAAGTTCTATGTGTTTTGACAAAAGGATAGTATCATGTGTCCACAATTGCAATATCATACAGAATAGTTTTATTTCCTTAAATATATACCCTATGCTTTGCCTTTTCAACCCCCTTTACCTCCCTGAAACCCTAGCATTTACTCTTTTTTTTACTGTCTCTATTATTTACTTTTTCCAAAAGTTTACAGAATTGGAATCATACAGTGAACAGCCTTCTCAGACAGCCTTTTTTATATAGAAATATGCATTTACATTCTACCCATGTCTTTGAGTGTCTTGGTATCTCACTTTTTTTATATCAGTGAATGGCACTGCATTGTATGAATATACCACAGTTTATCCATCTATCTATGAAAAAACATCTTTATTGTTCCTAGGTTTACAAATCATTTCAAATTAGTTAGGTAAATACCTAAAAGCACAATTGTTGGGCCACATGGGAAGACTATGTTTAGCTTTGTAAGAAACTGCCATCTTGTTTTACATAGTGGCTACACCATTTTCTATTCCTATATGTAGCAAATGAAAATTCCTGCTGCTTCACATCGCAAGCAATTGATAACATCAATTGTTTGTTTAATTTTAGCCATTCTAACAGATTCGTCTTGGTATTTCACTGTTGTTTAAATTTATAATTTTTAATGACAAACAATGTTGACTATCTTTTTTATGTTTATTTGCCATCTGTGTATCTTCTTTGTTCAGTTGTCTGTTCAGATCTTTCACCCATATTTTAATTCAGTTGTTTGTTTTCTTATTCTTGATCTTGTTTAATTTCAGTTTATTTCCCTTCAATATTTTTCTACAGTGGTGTTTATTTGTATAGGTGCCTTTCTTTTGCCTATTTCTCAATTCTCAATAAAAAACTGGCCTGATTTACCCAGATAATAGTGTACCATGCCAAATTCTAGGTCTAGTTAACTAAAAGAAAACAGAAAGTTTGAAAAAAATTTAGAAAAGATTAGAGACTTGGGGAAAAAATATGTATTAGCAATGATGAAAGGCACTGAGTGAAATACAGGATGATAAAATAATGATCTCTATGTCTAAGACCTATTACAAACCAAACAACTCTCACTCTTTGACCTTATGTTTTGAACATTGACTCCATGTTTCTCCCTTGAAGAGCGGTTTATCTGGTCTTCATGTTTATTGATATCTCAGTGAGAGTAGTTAAGGAGAATTTCAGTGCTGAAGTGGAGAACCCTAAAATGAATAGGTCTATTGGTAAAGCACTGCTGAAAACACTGCATGTGATTCCCAGGGAAATGGATTCTGTACCTTGACTGTACACTAGAATCACCTGGGAAGATTTAAAAATAATGATGTCTGAGTCCTACCCCGGATACTCTAATTTTTAACTGGTTAAAATATCAGGAATTATGAAAGCTAATATGCAGCCAAATTTGAAAAACAGTGCTTTCAGGCAAGCTTTCCAACTTGATAAGCTTTCTCCATTTTACAGAGATAATTTATATATATATATATATATATATATATATATATATATATATATATATAGTAGGAACCACTAGAAAAGTGGGATCTCAAATGAAACGAAGCACATAACAAAGGAGGCATCCTTATGAGTTGAGCCAGGATATGATGTAAGAAAAACACAATCATCAGCACAATATCAAGAAAACTATGAAATGCTTTTTATGTGCATTTTGTGTGTTGAACCACGAAATAACCTTTCTAAGAGCTTCCAGAGTTATTCTTTAATTAAAAGGTGAGTGAAGTAGAGTAAAACTATTCAAGAACTAGTGGTCTCAAAATAAGTCTTTCAACTTTTAATCCAGGTACAGGATAAATACATCTTTTAGCCAGAACTAGATTCTTTCTAAACAATTTTTAAACATTTAACATTTGTCTGTGTGTTTTCCTGATGATTTTTCTATGCATTTTAAAGAAACGAACTAACGTTATGAAATTAAAGGTTATCAAAGTATTAAATTCAATTCGTGGTTCAGCTCATTATCTTGTGGGTAAAAAAAGTAGTGTTCCTATTTTCTAATGAGTATATCTCCTCTAATAACTAGAGAATTTCAGTGAAACTTATTTCATCTGAAGTAGTTAAATATTATGTGGGAAACATTTTTAATAAGCTGTGTTAAAATAGGATTGGCCTGTCATCTTTTATAATCCTATCAGTTCAACTTTGCCTGCTCTCCTTCAACCTTGCCTGCTCTCCCTGCCGGCTAATAGAACCATTGCTTATATCTGCTTCCACAGTAATCATGGTTCCAAAATTTTCCATTACATAATTCAAACTGGAAAATTCTACCATTGCCTTTTTTACTCTTAGTTGCTCTTTCCCAAAATAAACTTTCTTGTACAGAAAAGAATAGTAATAAGGAACTCATTGACTAGCACCTAGGCCAGTGCAAGAGAAAGAGAGAGAGAAAAAGAAAGAGCGGGAGACAGAGAAGAGAGACAAACTAGCAGGGAAAGAAAAGGGTTTTACTCATTTTAGAGAAATTCTAACAGAGTACTTTTCTGGTCTCCATTTTTCCTCTTGCTAAGAAAATGGAAAACATTCACATTTAGTCTTATTGTTGACTTTATTCGAATTATTTACACCAATTTATTGCATAGTTTCACTTTTTAAATTTTTTTCTAACTTTCCTAATACCTGTTGGTTTAATCTTTGTTGTCATTGCATCTTTTTTTAAAAAATTTGTCTTTTAGTTTTCTGATCTATAATTTAATGCACAAATTTAAAGTTTGACTTTTTAATCAATATCTAAATCTAGTTAGGATCTCTTTATTCAGTTAAGTAATATAAGAATGTTACAAATTTTACTTACATCATCTGTACTCCCACTCAACACATCATAGCTTATGCCAAAACCGCCTGGGGTATTGGCAGATATTAATTTTTTCAATAACGTATTTTCCATATATTTACTGTTTTTTATTTTGTGCTTTTGTTATTTCATTCCTTTCCTGTCTGATAGCTTTCCCTATTTATTGTCCTGAATACTACTTCCAGTAATTCTTTTAGTTTTATGTGGAATAATATTTTTGAGCCTGTATTAGTTTCCTGTTGCTTCTGTAACAACTTTCTGCAAATTTCGTGGCTTAAAACAACGGAAATTAGTTTTCTCACAGTTCTGAGAGGCAGAAGTCTAAAATTAGTCTTTAGGGCTACATTCTTTCTGGAGGCTCCAGGGAGAATCAAATTCCTTGTCCTCTCCAGTGCCCAGAGGTCACCTACATCCTTTGCCTCATAGCCCCTTTGCCTCTCTTCAAAGCAAACAGCGTAGCATCTTCAAATTTCTTCTCCCTGTCTCTTTGTTTCTGTCAACACATAGGCTTCTGCTTCTTTTGACCTTGCCTACCTCTTAAATGACCCTTGTGATTACATTTAAGGCATCCCTGGATAATCTGCAATAATCTCCCCATCTCAAGAAACTTAATTCAATCACATTGGCAAAGCCTTTTTTACCCTATAATATTCATGGGTTATGGGGGTTAGAAGATGGACATATTTGGAGGGCCATAATTCAGTCTACCACCATGCCCTTGGCCAAGTGAACATGTCGTTCTTATAATCTCTTGCTTAAGTAAGAGTTTGGCTGGATATACATTGAAAAGTTTGAAAGTCATTTTTTTTCAGTATTTTGTATTTTATCTTAATATCTACTTTTAGGCTGTTAGTGTGAGAAGTGGAGTCAGTCTGGTGTCAGGAACTAAATGTTGTTTGGCTGTGATTATCTGTGGTGCAAAATAGTCTTCACATTCCTCTAGTGGTGGGCTGTAGTTGCCTTGTGCTTATGTGCTGGAAATTTTTTTTGATGTGAGTGCCCCACCTTCAGCTTGAGCCCCTGTTCATCTTCATCACAGGGTTGGGGTGGAGGGTATCCTCCCATGCTGTTGTCTCCCCCTCATTGGTAGACTGCTGTCAGTTGTTACTCCCAACTGCTAACTCATGGTGAGTGAAGGTGGGGCTGAAGGAGAAAGTGTTTTGTTGTTGTCAACCAGTTTCAGTTTAGGAAGTCCTTGTGCGCCTGATCTCAGGTGTGGGGCTTTCTCAGTATTCTGTACCTTCCTTCCTGAGACAATTAAACTTAGCCTTATATCTGGGGTTGATCTTGGGCGAGAGGCTCCTGCCTCTTCTCCAATGGTCAATGTCCTCTACTTCGTATAGGCATAGGATGCCAGGCCCAAGATGAATTCCTGCCTCTCCCTCTGTATTTTTTTTTTTTTTTAAAAAAGGATCTTCTACTTTTCCTCCAGTTAGAGTGGCAATCTATATTTGAATAGGCCCTGGAAATGAGAAGCTTTGCTACCCTTCTGCCAGAAGCCTAAGCCTTTTGCTTCATAAAAAAGAAGGTCTAGGGAAGGAGCAGGGCTTTACACCTCCCTCAACACAAACAAATGTGTGATGACCAGTGTCTCTTCCTCCCTTACTCTGCAACAGGTGACATAGTGTCAGACCTTTCTTGGAGAAGATTTCCCTCTTTGAATTGAAGTTATCTCATTGTCTTGGAATCTCAACCAGCTCTCTGATGGGCTCTAAAATATCATTTCCTTACTGTAAGAGTGGAAATGACATCTTTGCATCTTTCTGTGTCCTAAGCAAAAGCAGAAACCTCCAAGGACTTTACATAAAGAAAATCCACTCAAAGTGTAAAATACTGTCTTCATAATCATGTCATTTCGTCCAACACGTCACAATCTTAGTTTTCTATTGAATATAATCTAAATTGGAATCAAATGAAGTTCGCTTGGAGGATGAACTAATTTTATTTTATTGTGTAGCACTAGATGCCTTATCATTAGATTGCTACATTTATATCATTTCACAGTAAGATCAACGCAAATAATCCTCCCTGGATTTAAACATCCCATCTTCTCACAAATAAAATCATATTTTCTCATGGTTCAGGCTTTACACATATGCACATACATACAGCTATCAGCTTTACTTTTTTAGCTAATTTGTTTTTTACTTGCTTAATAATTGCCATGATGTGGGTAAGTGCTTTGCATCCTGGATAAAGTTATGTTGAACAAAAGAAAGTGTATTTTGAAATATTATAACAAATTCCTTTATAAAATAAGATGCATTTAATTTTAGAATGTAACACAATTGACTGATGTTCTTATTATTTTGATTACATCAGAAGTTATATCATAAATTAACAATGGTCTTGCAGTTGTAGGTGAGTAGGTATTCATTGAACACTTCTAGTTGGATTTGCTAGTATAACCTACACTGAACTAACACACACAAAAAAAAAAAACTCTAAAAATCACTTCCATTCCGTTTTTTTTTTTTTTGTTTTTTTTTTTTGAGATGGAGTCTTGATCTGTCACCCAGGCTGGAGTGCAGTGATGCGATCTCGGCTCACTGCAAGCTCCGCCTCCTGGGTTCAAGTGATTCTGCTGCCTCCCCCTCCAGAGTAGCTGCGACTACAGGTGACTGCAACCACGCCCGGCTAATTTTTGTATTTTTAGTAGAGACGGAGTTTCACCATATTGGCCAGGCTGGTCTCAAACTCCTGACCTTGTGATCCGCCCACCTCAGCCTCCCAACATGCTGGGGTTACAGGTGTGAGCCACCATGCCCAGCCCATTATTAAAAACAAATTAATTTAGACACTTAATAAAGTCTTAAATTAGATGTGTGATTTCTGACCTTGATGTGTTACCTTGAGCAAGTCACTAACTCTCTGGACCTCTCTGGACCATGTCCCCACGTGTAAACTTCGAGGGATTAATTAAATCATCTTTTAAGATCTCTTCCAGTATTATGACTTGTGGTAAATAAAGATAGCCAATGAAATAAAATATCAATTTACTACTTTGGGGGCCTCTTTTTCTCTTTTCTATAAACTGTGGTGGCTAAATTTCAACCAAGATCTTTTAGATCCTCCTCATAAATCCCATGATTTCATATACTTCCTGTTACATGTGTCCACTTTTTCTCAGGTTACAGCTTTTCTCTAGGACATGTGATTTTGGATACTCTAACAGAAGTAACAGTTGGAGAGTATTTACATTCATCTGCTGAAAGTAGAAAAAATATTGATTGATTCCTCCCCTACTCTCCCTTCCCTCTCCCAATCCTTGAATTCACATTTCTTAGCTCCATCCAATTGAAGTGAGATAATACAAAATAGCAAATTTATTGCCACCTAGATGTTCTAACCAAATGGTTGGATGGAGAACTCTGCTTATGCTCCTGACCACCTCTTGGGCTTTACTGTAAATGAATAATGGCAGTGTTTACAGATTTCAAAACAGATGCAAGGAACACAAAACTACACTGCTTTCAAATTCTTTTCGAATGAGTTCTGGATAAATGGGACTTTCAGGATGAAAATGGGGTAGTCAGGGAAACTTAAGGAGAAGAGTATGCTTGAGCTTTGATCTGAAGCTTGAAGCACTGAAAGGTACAGAATTGGTCCAAACTGGAATTTCTTGAGCACTGCCTTCAAAAATGTGAGATGAAATTAGTAACAGAAAGAGTCCATAAGAGGACATGATCATCTACACTTAGGACACAGTGGGTGGTGAGAAACGGTCACTCTGAAATAGCTTTTTAAGGCTACTGAAAATTATGCAAGTATTCAGGTTTTATAAAGTTCTGAGTTTCTATCTTCTCATGGTTTTATAATACTAAAAATATTTTATTAGATCTATTTCTAAAGTATGTTAACTATTTGGCTATCATATACTTTCCGAATATAATCCCAACATTTTTTGCCTTTGAGTGTTATGTTTTTGACCGTCAAAATTAAATTTTTTCTATTAATAAATACTTTCTACTTTGGTTTATTACTTTGGTGCTACATTTAGAAAATCCTTTCCAGTCCTCTAAAATTATATAAATATTTAACTTTGTTGTCTCCCAATGCATTTAAGCATTTTTGTATAAATACTCAATTTTACATTAATTTTGGTGTATGTTAGGGAACGTTAACACATTATTCTAGCTCTATTTATTGGGCAAATAATCCTTTCCTTTCCATTAATATGAAAGGTCATCTAAATTATATACCAAATTCTTATATATTCTGTGTTCCCTATTTCTTCTTGCTGCCCCACTGCCTGCATAATAATCATTCTGCTCCCTTATAGGAAAAGTTTCTTTGCAACAACTTCCCTTACTTATTGCTTTTTAACAGATTTTCTTGGTACTTCTCACATGCATATTATCTCAGATAATCCTTAGTATATTTTGATATGTATTTGGAAATAAATCTATCCAGGTGTCAAATATTTAGTGAAACAAGCTATATTGTTAGTTCTGACTTCAGATAATTAAACAACAACGACAACAGTGAAAACTAGTTCTCTTTGCGAATAAAAATTTTCTTTACAAATCTGAAGTCCTTTAGTGGACTTCTTACTTCTTAATGAATATTTTATATAGCTATTTCAAGTTAGAAGTATGTGAAAACTTGCATTCAAATG
Organism: Homo sapiens; assembly: GCF_000001405.40. NCBI lineage: Eukaryota > Metazoa > Chordata > Mammalia > Primates > Hominidae > Homo > Homo sapiens. Next base: position 19,730,446 of record NC_000007.14, on the reverse strand, counting down.
GAACTGTTTCTATTCAAATTAAACTATTTATCATTTTATGATTACTAAAATATCTAATAGTCTCTCCTTGGTAGATAATCTGATGTGACTGCCTTTGCAAAGCAATTATGTCAACAATGTTTTATTTACAAGAAATAATATGCTATCAATTGCTTTATCCCTTTGTGTTCTTTTTTTTTTTTTTCTTTTTTGAGACGGAGTCTTGCTCCGTCACCCAGGCTGGAATGCAGTGGCGCGATCTTGGCTCACTGCAAGCCTCGCCTCCCAGGTTCACGCCATTCTCCTGCCTCAGCCTCCGGAATAGCTGGGATCATAGGCGCCTGCCACCACGCCCGGCTAATTTTTTGTATTTTTAGTAGAGACGGGGTTTCACCGTGTTAGCCAGGATGGTCTCGATCTCCTGACCTTGTGATCCGTCCACCATGACCTCCCAAAGTACTGGGATTACAGGTGTGAGCCACCGCGCCCAGCCTATCTCTTTGTGTTCTTCTGACATATCCATAAGGCCAGTTTCTTGTAGAATAAGGAGGTTGTCATTGTACCAATTGGAGTGGTACAAAGAGTATCTCTATAGAGAATCATCTCCTTGTCTGATGCATTATCTTTTGATTTGTGCAGATTCTTTCCTGTAGTATAACTTACTGATTTCTAGTTGTTAAGTGTGAATGAATGTATCACACCACTTTTCTCCCTGAGAAAGTAGAAAGGAATCAGACGGTGAAAAGAAATGGGAGAAACAAAGCTCTAAATTCATTTACTTAATAATTTTACCTGATGCTAAAACTGATTCAATTACCTCTAACAATCTAGCAAAAAATAAATTTTTATTAGGGTTTATACTTTTATCCTTTACTATTCTAGAATGAGATCTTATCCTCTCCAGGTTTTGAAGGAAATTTAAAATGTTCTATCTTCCCTGGAGAAAGTGTCATGAGTGAACTACAAGCTAAAATCTAGGGGTCCTCGTGTCTTTGGATAAGGAGTAATTGTTCTTCTTTTCCTTTTCAGTTTCTTCTTTGTGGCATTTGTGGAATATTGTGTGCCAAAAAAAAATCAGGACTTGTCGTAAGTGTTTGATTTGTTTGTATTGTGCATTGAGGTGTATGAAACGTAAAATTCTAAAATAGAAATGATGGCTAGCCAGCTTTCATATACTGAATATTGCTAGTTTGAGGCAAAAAAAAAAAAAACTGACAAATAAATCCTGCCTTTTCTGTTTTCAAAGAAAACCATCAAAATTATTAGAAACTATGACAAAAGCCCACCGATGTAAAAAAACTTTAATAAACTCTTTAAATATCTGAATATGCAACCTTTAATGACTGCTACGGATGACAGTCTCTAGTTTTCCAATCTGGAGACTGCCAGACAATCGCCTGAATCCTTCAGTAAGCTCAAGTAGATAAAGCTTCAGCCCATGAGAAATGTAACCATTTAAATATGGAACTGGGCCTAAGGATTATTGGCTTTCTTTGACTGTGAAGCAAGTTTTGCGAAGCAGCAAGACAGCTGTGTTGCTATGGTTACAGTTTAATTCTCAGAGATTTATTTTATTTTCTTTTATTACTGTGAATGCACACATAAGTGTTTTCAGATGTTTTATGGTACTATAGTGGGTTTCTGGGGTATGGAACACACTCCCAGTTAGCTCTGATATTGGCTGGATGAGCCACACTGCATGCTGAAGTGTGGATTCCCCATCGCCTTTCATGATTTTTCATAAGGGTTTGGAAATAAGGAAAAAGTGTGGTTTATTTTACCAAGTATTATGGGAAAGAACATAGACACAAATTGGCAAAATTAATACTACACAGGGACCCTAGGAAGTACCCTTTGAGCCTAAAGAGAGTTTTCCAAGGTGAGGCCAGTTATCTGAGCAGATCAGGGAATGGGAAGCATTGCAGTTATTTTTATTTGACCCCTTTTTCTAATCACATCTTTCTTCGTGAGAACATCTATTATGGCAAAAAGGCTAAAGCCCTCACTGCTTTAGACAGCAATTTTAGATGTAATTTTTAAAAATTACATAAAGGGAAAAATGAAACCTTTAGAAAAAAATGTATTTTTTCAGGCTTGTAACTTGCATTTATGATTCTCCCATCATTTTTTACACATGGTCTTCATTCTCCTTATGCCCTTCCTCTACGAAGACTCTTTATGACTATGTAGGAACAACTCCTTGGGAGAAAGCAAGTAAACAAGCAAGGAAGCATGACAAAAGGAAAGAGAAAGAGAAAAAAGAGAGAGAGAAAGAAAGAGGAGGGAGGGAAGGAAAAAATAAAAAAGGAAGGAAGAGGCTTTTTGTTGTTGTTGTTTTATACAAAGGCAATAGTGGCACTTCTCTGTCTTTCTCTTATAAATTACAAGGAAAAAAATGATGAAATCTGATTTTTTTAAGAAACTACCGCCCAGGTGGTAGCTGTACCTACTATTAGAAGGTACATTATCCTGTGTACTTTCTAAGGTCCCCATTGATGGCATTTAACTATCAATATTTTCTACATTTTAATGAAATTAAAAAAAAATTTCACTCCAAATATATCTGCAGTCTAGAGTCTCCAACCTGGTGAAATTTGAAAATAGTATATGGTTACAGATTTAAACATTTTAATTCCTGGATAAGATTGTTTTGTTAACACATGTTAATGAGGTGTCATGCCTTTAAAGAATTAATCAGAATGACATCAGCAAAGACATGGGCTTTCCTGTAACAGAAAACTAAAGGTATTGTCTGCTTTCTCTATAACAATAATTAATTATTTGAAGCTAGATTTTAATATCTTTCCGTATTTTCAGAGAATGAGTAAACACCAAAATATATCCCCAAAGAACAGCATGACATCCAAATCTACTTTAAAATAAAATATAATTGGTTAATTCTACTAGGCATCTTGAGCTACAAGTTTACACTTAGTAGGATGATTTAATTATTTGGTAACTGATCTTCAGTATTATATTTAATCAAGTATAAAAAGATTTTACCCGTTCATTATTGGATTTTTAGCTCTGATGATATTTACAGATGCAATAAGGAATGCTGAATTAAGTTGAAGAAATGAAATTAACTACTTGTAGTTACTGACCTGACATATTCTCAAGAAAGCCTTCTCCAAAAATCTTGGCTGGGCTAAATTCTTCTCCTCCCTACTCCTAGGGCAACACATGTATCCCTTTCTTAATACTTATCATGCCATGTTAAAATTCTGGATCTTCTCTTTCACAAGATTTAACTATTCTCAAGAGGAATTATTATGAATGATTGATTGTAATGCCAGCAGCTGCTGCACTCAGGGGCTAACAGATGCTAAGTGCTCAATAAGTGCAGGCTAAACTCAACCGTCAATGAAAAATAATATCTGATAAAATAAAATTAAATGTTAAAGTGAGTTACAAAGCTGTTTGACCTGGGGAATTACAACAAAGGAGGAGATCAATAAAGTCCAAGTTAGGACTTAATTTGTGCCTTTCATCCATGAGTCTAAGGAAGAAGCAAAATTATTTCCAGGAAATGAAAAATGTCACTGATGTGGGAATGAGTAACCCATATTGAAGGACAAGAGAGGTGACTGGAATAAGTCTGTGTTCCCGAGAAGAATGGAAATTAGATTGCATAATTCAATTAGTATCATAGTACAAAGTATCATGAAAGCCCATAGAAGAATTTAGACCAGATGCAAAAAGAAAATATAATTATTAAAGTTATTTGACTAGTTAATTAAATTTATTAAATATTCACAAAGTACTTACTTCTCAGAAAGCATTATTCTTGGTTCTGCCAGGGATCCTATGATAGTTGTTGATTAAACCCCCCTAGCTCTATTAATAGACACCGAGATTCAACCAATAGTAGGACCAAAAGCAAAGCCACATCATCTGTTTCTCTAAAACGAACAAACGAACAGTATTTTTGGAACGCCTATTGTATATTCTTCAATGATGATAGTGCCACAAAGTAATAAAATATTTGTAATATATAGGGGTCAGTTCATAGGAGTCCCTAAAGTACTTGCTTAGGAAATACATGCACAATGAAATATGAGTGAACTTTTTTTTAAAAAAAGAGATTTAACTAAATTTCCTAAGCTCACATAGGTAGGAAGATATAAAGATTTGAAGTTAGGTGGAACTAATGACAATCCAAAGAGAAGCTATTGAGATATTTTTGAAGGACTGACACAGTGAAAGTAGATTTGGAATCAGAAAAATCTGGGTTTGGTGCCTAAATTTAGTGTTAGCTATTGACCATTCATTTTTCTAAAACGTATGTTACTATCTCAGAGGCTTGCTGGGAGTGTCAATTGAGATGATATTTGTTAAAGTTCCTAGCATGGTAGCACACGGTAGATGTTAAATAAATATTTAAATCTGAATCTACCTAGACGATAAATTTTGTTTGCTTCAGAGTTTTCATAAGCTATATCCTTGGCTTTAATATAGTCAGCTATCAATTTCTGAAACACTGTGGTATACTCCCTCTGTCTACTGTGAGTCAGAGTGAATAGAAACTTGGCAAAAATAAAATGTAAAAAAAAAATCTCCTGTCCTCTGTGAAGCACCAAAACCGCTTATTCTTCTTTATTGTAGGCTAGTCATCCTTGACATGCAGCCGGACAGGGCAACTGTGTTCTGGTCAGGTTTGCCTTTTCAACTTTAACGCTGCCTTTCTTTTTCTTATCAGATGATCCTCTTTTCAGCCTGCTGTATCTGTGGACTTATTGGGGGCATCCTGAATTTTCAGTTCCTCCGGGCAGTCACAAAGAAAACTTCCTCCCTATACCCACTGCACCTTGCCTCCATGTCTCTCGCGTGCATTGGGATCGGGGGCTGCACTCTCTCTTCCTGGCTCACTTGTCGACTAGCCAGTTATGAACAGAGGAGGATGTTCTCAGAAAGGGAGCATTCCCTGCATCACTCTCATGAAATGGCTGAGAAAGTGAGTTTTGTACCTTTTCCTCTCACTGCTAGCACATGATGAAGACTGAAGTCCACTCTGGGTGAATCAACTTGAAACTTTAGATCACAATTTGAGGAATCAGATTTTATACATTTGGCTCTATTGGGTTAAGAATAGAAATTTTATTTTATTTTTCTCTGCAATTCATGGGTACACCTATTTTCAACAACATTTTGTAGTCTGTCTATTCAAAAACACAGTGCTTAAAATAGTATTTCATAAAATATTGAATACCCTATAAATATGGATTTTTATGTATTATACTGAGGAAAAACACAGATACTAAATACACTCTCCACTCAATAATGCCAGTTTTAGAAATTGCATGAATTCCCTTTTCTAGCTCTTCCCTTGTTCTATTAAGGAGATGCATTTGATTATGTAAATTTGATCTTCAAGTATAAAGGGGCTTTTTAATAAGGTGACAAAAAGCCTTGTCTATCAGTGCAGATATTACAGTCCATATAAAGCTTCATTTAATTCTCATCTAAACTTATGCATATTTGGAGAGCTTTGCCTGTATTTTAAACAGTTGTCCTTGCATAATTGTTTCATGAAACCCATATAAATAGGAAGTTAAATTAATTGTATAAAAGGACAAATGGTATAGTATGATGTCTGTGTTTCTATTACATTTTGCACATATTCCTTAATTCGGTTTCTCCTACTGGATCTAGTAGAGAAGAGAGGAAACATTTGTAAAATAAACTCACTAAGGTAATGGCCACATTATATTTTGCTTCATATCATGGAAATAAAATTGCATAAGCACAGAGGAGAAGTGATAATAGCAAGACTTACTGCACATCTCTTTATAATGTTATTTTGAAGGAAAAATATTTATTCTGTAGCGTTTCCATTTTGTGTACAATCTATACATTCAAATAAGGAGAGCAAGTGTTCTCAAATTGACTCAAGAAAGCAATTTTAAACACAGCTATGCATGTCCTTCATGAAACAGTTAATAATATACATAGCAAGACTCCAGTAATTTAAAGAAATGATTGTTAAAAATAGATGACCATTTTATATGTATATATGAATAGTGGCTCTTTTGTGCTTTATTTTATACTAGTCTGATTTAGTTTTCTGTATATATTTGTGCAATATTTATTGTATGATTGTTATATTTACATTAGAGATTGAGGGCTATTGAAATAACCGACTTGCCCAGCTGCCCGGTGGTGCCCCCGACACCAGAGTTACCTACAAGGTACGCTGATTTCTAGGGAGTTACCATGTTGTAATGTCGCTGCAGAAAGCACTTCCCCTTCCAGAAAGCCATGATGTCAACAGATCAGTCTGAACTGATGTTGTTTAATGTTGTTTCTCAAAGTATCGCTTTCGTAAGCGCTTACTTTGCAGAGCTGACATAAACCTACATGGCCGAGTCTTGCAGCTTGAAAGTTGGTTGAGTATGTAAAATACTCAGCCCGCCTATAAGCATCCAAACACATTTCTGCTTGGATGATTCATGACTCCTTTTATTGTCTGCTACTTCATGGTTCTGACTCAGTATAATCATTCATGGGCCAGAGTTTTGTTTTTAATAATAGATATGTCTGGATAAAGACAAACTGTGTATTTTCCTCATGCTAAAATTGCGTGAGAAGATGGCCAAAGTTGGACACTAATACGGTAAAATTTTGGTATGAAAAGATTCTTCTTGTAAAATTATCTTATGTGATGCATTTTAAATTTAGTTCCCACGTTTCAAATTGCTAAAAATAAATAGTAATGGTTCTTGGTTTGCTCAAACAAAGTAATTGGACAGACAGAAAGTCACATGGATACTATGGCCCATTTGCAGAAAGCCCATTTGCAAATAGTCACATTGGTCCAGCCCAAATTTAAACCACAATCTTCCTATTAAATTAAGCATGCCTATTTGCAAATTTTTTTGCAAACTGGAGACTCACTCATTTTAAAACGAATTTTCACTCTTCTTTCCTATCAGTGATTTTACTGTGTTTATGGTAGAGTGAATTCAGTTAAGAAAATTCTTTTTTTGTAACATTTTAAAAAATTGTTTTACTAAATTCTGCAATAAAAGGTTAATATAACAGATTCACTTTTTATCATTTCTAAGCAGTTTTTGAGTGGAAAGTCATTGTAGAAGGAGAAAAGGCACCTAACGGGTTTATGTAAATTTATTAGAAATTTGATTTTTCTCCTAGTAGGTAAAACAGGAAAAGTAAATTTTGTTGAAGATCATTGGGGGTGGGGGGTGATTCTACCTATTTTGCCATCAATGGTGAGTTCCTCAATGAAGCCTCAAATCAGATTTCTGAGCTATAAACTTAACTCCAGCACATAACCCTAATATATTTTCAGATTTTTCATCACATACCTCTCTAGGAGACTTTCACCATGTACATCTCTAGCAGATTCTCCAAACAGAGCTAGATAGAAATAGATATAGAAATAAAATAATTGAGAAAATAATTTCCACTTCTAATTTTTTTTTTCTGCTCTGTTGCAAATAGGCTTGTTCAAGCATGGAAAGATGCTGCCAATTTATTTTTAGATAATTTTATCAACATAATTTTACTATGGTGCTCTAACCATTAAAATATGAATGGGCTTCATATCCTATCACTTTTTATTGTGTTGGGAAGGGTTTAATATTTAACAAAACATATGAATTAAAAGCATCAAAATTTTTCATAATGTATTTCATATAATTGAAAATGAAACTTTCAATGCTAGTTTGTCCTTTGCATCTATATTTTCAGTGCTTTTCTATATAGTTTTACTTATTAACTTTTTAGTAATTGATCCATTAAAAACATGTTAAGAGACTTCACTGTTTTTGCTTCTTACTGGAAGAGTGATAGTGTCATGAAAAACAATCTTTCCCACTATGATTTTTTAGTGATCCATAGTTACAAATGAGCAATGATGCCCTCGTAGGCCTTTTTCTGTTCTTAGCAAAAAGGCCACACATTTTCCTGTAGAATAAAGGTCACCTCTAGAATGCATTGGCACTTTGTTGACATGCTCAGCAGAGTCTATGCATTAGAAAAACTTGCGCATTTAACCATCTTCTTCTTTCTAGGTGAGGTCTTTCCAAAATTGAGTTGAAGAAAGAAAGAGGAAACTCAGGAAAGTGGGGAGAGAATGGACCGTTGTTGTGGAGAGAATATTTTGGTCTAACTGACTCTTACTTTGGCATTTGCATGTGCTCCAAGATGCCATGAAATTTTATTTCCTCAAATATAACAGCAATATCCTTGTCTTTCCCCAAAACTTAGCAAGTTTTTCAATGGATTGAAATTTCTGTTTTGCAAACTCATTAACCAAAACAATGTCTTACTCCAAAAGCGAATTTTAATTAATCATGTCATTTTTCTAACAGGAAATAACAGACAACATGAGCAATGGAGGACCACAGCTGATATTTAATGGAAGAGTGTAATCAATGTTTTAAAGAATTGAACACTTTTTAGGATTTTCATGAGGCAATGAGACACCAAAGGACTAGAAAATAAAACAGTTTTTGCATTTGCATTTATCTCTCCTGAGCATCCACTAAAATTATTCTTCCTAAAAAATATATTGCCTCACTGGTTTCTCCACCCTTTTTTATGGGGTAAAAAACTTTCCAGAAACATTCTAGTACAATAATTTCAAGAGGCTTTCCAGATTGTTCTAAAGAAGACTTTTCAGGAAAAAGAGATAATAAAACAGAAATAAAATGCATATTCTATACAAACACTATTTGACTAGCATGATTATTATATTTGTAATGACATATTTCATATGAGTAATTGAAAAGTGCAAATATCAAGAAATAAAAATAACTTATTGACGTCTTTGTTCTGAAAGACAGATGGCTTCAAGGATGCTACAATTCAAAACCTCAGTAATGCCTTGTTATAAAAACATTGTAATTATTTTCAACTTGTGAATGAAATATATTTCATAATTTATTTGTAAATGACAAAAAACCTCAAGCATAAAAAAGAGACTTTTTAGAGAGAGAGAATACTAATCTATATGGTATTTTTGCATTTTTGCACAAAGAGTGAAAAGTTATATGTGAATATCATTTAAGAAAATAAACATGTTTTGATCATACTGTGCAGATTGATCTGCATGTTCATGAATGAGCCTAAGAATAAAGTATGTGTGTGAATGTGTGTATACATACTGTAAATATAGAACATGTATACAGCATATATTATAGCATACATGAATGTAAATAGGTATTAGAAAAGAAATTGTGATGCTGTGGGGGTATTATTAAGATTCTACTCCAATAGAAATGGGAAGGCAATTGCTCAAGGCCCTTCTATGCCCACAAAATCACATGTTTAATTTCTACTAAAATTGCCCATTTTTCTTCTTTTAATTAGGTTTTGTGTAAATATCATTGTGGGTGATATTTATGAAGATGAGTGATCTGAATAGTGTAGTATACAGATAGACTACTTATTTGACTATTTCACTATGATTATAGTATTTATGTATAGCAATTAAAATTAATTTATAAACGAACATGACTTTAATGACATACTTCCGTATTTATAAAGATATCATGACTTAAAATTATTGATGATATTGATATTTCAAACACCTTGCAGTCCAGTTAAATGATACAAAAGGGCAGATGATGTAACCCCCCAACAATGAAGTTATAATTACCTTTGCTGTAATCTAATTTAGGTGTTTTGTTTTACGATTCTCATGAAATAATATAGGCAGTCCATATATAAGAAAGCCTATATCCAAAGATCCTGAAAGAATTCTTTGAGGAAAAAGTGAAAAGATAGGCTAACATTTGTATAGCTAGATTCAATCCTTTCCTCTAATAATGGAATGTTAAAATAGCAAACAAGAACAACACATATAAGTGAAAAAACAACATATATCTGAATATATTTATCAGAATATAACCTCTGGCAACAGACAAAGAAATCTATCATTTTTAAATACATAACTCTCACTATATTGTATACTTTTCTTTTTCCTCAAATCTAATCAATTTTCAAGTCATTTTTTATGAGTTACTTGTTGAACCATAGGTAAATTAAAATATTTACTGTTCAGTATGAGAATATAATTTATAAACAAAACATGAGTTTTAATTGTGCTAACACAGTAATGATCATTCAAGTTAATGAAAATTTGAAGGTCTTTTATAGCAACATGATCATCGTTTAACCTATTTAAATCAGCTCACTTAAAATTCTGGCTGTCATCTATTCAACAGAAATAACTGGACTCTGCTTGTTTGGTGCACTTTTTGAAGTCTCCCAATTCCTTTGGATAACTTCATTGCCTAGTAGATTACAGAAGTTGTCCATAAATGCAACCTCATATAGTGAATCAACATCATAACTATTCATTCAATGCCACAAACAGGCATGATCTTTGCCAATGAAAATCTAAATTACATCATGAAGATATTTGTGTGTGTATGGTCCTCCTGAATTCATGCAAGGATGTAGTTTTGTACTGAAAGAATAAACACTGACTCTAATTTTCAGTAGCATTTCTCTATAAACATGCTTGTTCAATACAAAATTATAATACATCAGAAAAATGTTGTAATGCCTTTTGAACTGATCTATAACATAACACATTAAAGGACAAAAGGAGACATATCACTGCTTTGATGTATAGTTAAAAAGAGATGCCATCATCACAATTATTCAAATAGTTTACAGTGTATGTTTAACCAAGTATAGATATATTTTTAAATATGATTATTTCTACCTAGTATTTTCAGAATTGAGTTTAGAATGATTTACTTGGGATGTGCGGCGATTCTTTTTTAGATAAGTGGGGGATGTTAGGAAGACATTGTTCAAGTGCTTGAAACTTTAATTTGGACAATACATTGAACCACATGCTGGAATGTTTTAAGTGACTACCTTATAGTTTTAGTATGAGCCTACCCTTGGAAGAAAGTAAGGTGATACTAAATTAGAAAAACTATGTGAAACTGGAGTGGTGGTATACTTTGGACCATATCAAATAGGTAGAGTATTATAAGCATAAAAGAATAAAATTGGGCTCGCTTTGGAAATTTTAAACATATATGTGTATGTGTGTATATATATGCATATACATACACATATGTGTATATACACACACACAATGGTTTGGAAGTGGAACAGGAAATGATAACTCTACTGACATGTCTATAATAAAATGATGTGCTTTGAAACTATATATGGTGTTGGCTTTCTTTTCATTATAATACAGAAATACCTTCCCCAATAGCTACATGAATAAATATGCTATTCTGAGAGTGGCAAGGGATGGCCTGCTGTGAATGAGGGGAAAGAGACAGTCACAGACGAAGGATACAGAATTAAATAAGAATATTATTTGAGATACAAAAGCTAGAATATGTTCAAGTATAGAGAGAGACTGGTTGAAGCCATCAAACAAAATGATTATAATAAGAATGTGAAGTCCCTGAGGGCAAGAGAAAATAAGACACAGATCATATGAGACAGAATTTACTATGGTAGGACAGAGACTGCAGGTGATGTCACAAATTAAACCACAATATTTAGAGAACCCTGAAGGCCTACTTGAGTTTGTCAAATTGGTTGTTACTGGCATTTGGGCTGAATAATAACTTATTATGCAGACTGTCCCACACATTTCAGGCCATTTAGCATCTCTCATCTCTACCCACTAAATCCCAGGAGGACACTCTTATCATTTTAATAACCAAAAATGTCCTAACAAATGTTTACCTGTTTCTTTGGTAGGGAGATATTAGCCAGTTAAGAATGACTGAGGAAATCCTTTGAACGTAATCCAGAGCAGCCAATTTTAATGCTACCTATAAGTGAAGACTTGAATTGCTCAAGGTCATAAACTCACTGTTCTAAGGTCTACCTACACTGTCTAATATGGTAGCCACTATCCACATGTGACTATTTAAATCTAAATATAAATTAATTAAAACAAAAGAATATTTTTGTTTTTCAGTTTCTCCATCAAACTAGCCATATTCAAAGTGTCAAACAGACATATATGGGCAACAGTTACAGAATATCCCCATCATTTCAGAAAGATCCATTAGATAATGCTAGTCAAAAGCACATAGGAACTTCCCATTTCCTTCAGTCCTTGTACAAGTTCTTGCACAATTAACCAATTATCATTACAATTGAAAATATGAAAAGAGTTAGTAAATACTCCATGGAATTTGAAAGGTGATGCACCAATTATAAATCCATGAACTGGGCAGGGCGTGGTAGCTTACGCCTGTAATCTCAGCACTTTGGGAGGCTGAGGTGAGTGAATCACAAGGTCAAGAAATAGAGACCATCCTGGCCAACATGGTGAAATAATTTTATTAAAGCTATAGCTTGGTTTTTAAGCAATATATTACTTGTGAAATGCATTTGCATTCCTAATAAAGGACTCTTGTATTCAATAAATTGTTTTCCTGGCAAAGGGAGTAAAAAAGAATGGTGAAACCCCATCTCTACTAAAAATACAAAAATTAGCTGGGCGTGGTGGCATGCGCCTGTAGTCCCCCCTACTCGGGAGGCTGAGGCAGGAGAATCACTTGAACCTGGGAAGTGGAGGTTGCAGTGAGCCAAGACAGCACCACTGCACTCCAGCCTGGTGACAGAGCAAGTCTCTTTCTCAAAAAAAAAAAAAAAAAAAAAAATCCATAAACTGAGCAAAACTTGTAATAATTAGCAAATGTGGTAGAACAACCCATAATAAAGTAGAAATTTTTTAAGAGATTTCACATTTAAAAAGTTCTGCTCAGAAAAATTCCACTAAATTATTAAATATTATATGCTTGACAAGCAAAATGAGATGTTGTGTAACCCCTATTTTTGAATATTTTTACTCGACCTATTACATGTGTCAAAGGATACCCTGCATTTCTTGTGTTTAGGGATGTGACAATAACAAATACATGGTCCTCCACTTTATTCTTTGACTTAGTTCAAAAATGGTGTATTTAAAAACCTTATGTCCCAAACTATTTTCAAAGATTATTTAGCAAACATATTTCAGAAACTTAGAGGAGCATCTTAAGTATCATTTAGTTAGAACACTGTTTCCAAATAAAATGTCAGAAGTTGGCATCACTTCACTCTTTTCTTCTTTTAGTCATTTTTTTCTGGAAACATATATAATACTTCTTACTCAAAGTGTATGACGGCCAAGAAATTCAATTATTCCAAATCCATAAATCACAGGTTGTCAGTTACTCATAGCAAGGGAAACCAATTCAGAAATTGCTGGAAATGTGGATGCCTAGCAAAATTATACAGAGGAATTTCTTTTTTACTCCCTTTGCCAGGAAAACAATTTATTGAATACAAGAGTCCTTTACTAGGAACATAAATGCATTTCACAAGTAATATATTGCTTAAAAACCAAGCTATAGCTTTAATAAAATTATTTCAATATTTGAACACTTCAATATTATTTACATCAATGAATTACAGTGAAAAGAGACTCCTTCATTTTAGGCAGAAGGCCTTCATTTAGTTGGAAATCTTGCCATCTTTGCCTTTCTCCACATCAACTAGGGACTATTGTTTTCACAAGATTTTCTTCACTGAAAGGCTCCACCTTCTTCAGCCACACAATACATCGCAAGCCTTTCCCCAAAGCTGAAAGTCATTATGCCACTGAAAATCGCCAAGAAGACTCTAGAACTTGCCTGAAACTTCACAGAAAAATCTAAAATGTTGTTAAAATTTCACCAAGTGTTGTATTAGCTGCAAGTAATCTCATGACTGCTCCTTAGTACCCAATCAGGGTGTTGATCTCCACCTAATCATTCTACAGCATCCATCCCAGAAGTTGGAGTTGGAGTTGGGGGGTGTGGTACACTAAAAGAAATCCCTTGAAATAGCTAGGGTCATTGCCCAGGAAAGAAAAGCTACTGATACCTTTGGGGGTGGCTCTATTAGCCAACACTACCCCTCACTCTGAACTATAACTCAGCCCAAGGATGAGATAACACTCAACTGTGTAATATAGAAGTACTCTAAGGGCTTGTTTAGATAGCAGTCTAAATGTCCACTCCTTTCATTACTATCCAAAAAGGCTTCTGAAAGCCAGACTTCTCTTTCTATCTTCTAAGTATATTAGTATTCTTCTATCAACCTCTCAAAAAACAAAATAAAAGCCTCAATGTTCTCTGTAATAAAATGAATTGCTGGAGAGAAGGTCAAGTTTCCAAGTCTCAATATACTTAGTAGTGGTAATATTAGCCTATTGCCATTTACCAGCAAAATGATGGTGGCACAGCAGGTGAAAATAAGCATTTGTCAATCTCTATTTAGCAAATGCTATTATAATATACATTATCTATAAAGGTGAATATCCCTCTATGATATTAACATCACTTATTTAACATGAAATAAGAAATAGAATAAATAAGAAAAAGGTGGGTAGACATCATTTTACCTGAAAAGTGAGGTCATTTCTGATGGTACTCCTGAATCTTAAAGCCATTCAGCCAAATCATATAACATGTATGTGTATACACACACACACACACACACACACACACACACACACACACACACTCTCATGCTTAGGTCCATAAAACAAACCAACTCTATATGAACCATTCTCCTTTATTTAATCTACTTCTTTTGATTTTAGATTCAAATTTCTGGTTCTGTGATGCTGCCTTGATTTCAGTTTCTGGTCCCTGCACTTGAACCTGAGACTTCATCTCTCCAGTTGTCAAGCTTTGACAGCTACCTTCAGTCATTTCACTCTAGGCACTTGAGTTTGTTTAACAAAACTCCCTACTCCTGAATCAGCCAATTGAAATCCAGCTTTAGTCACTGAGGCAGCAGCAGCTAGTGAGAGAAGCGACTGTTTTAGTCACCTGGCCAGCAAGTATGTACACATATTGAAAATAGGAATTCAAAGAAAGGATTTCAGCCAACTGAAAGAAAACTTGAGCTCCATAAACCTTGAATATAAAGAGGATGGAAAATCTAGGAGGTCATTGGAGACAGGCAGAAAGCTGTAACAGAAACGGAAACAAGATCACTTTTCCCCTAGGCTTTATTGATAAGGTGCTTGGACCTGTAGGCTATAGAGAAAACTAATTTGGTCATGAAAAAAATTATGCCCTTATATTAAAGATATGTTCATTTCTGGTAGGCTCTGGTGTTTTTTTTGTCCTACTTTTAAACATCCAGTTTAGTCTATTCGACTGTGCCAAAGATTTCAGGAGAAAAGGTTTTTTTCAAGCGGAGTTAATACTGTCAGTATCACCCTAAAGCCAATATGGTACAAGAAAACAGGAATCACAACAAAGAATATCAAGGCAAAGTGAGACACAAAGAAATCGAGTAGCTTTCTTTTATTCATTAGTCTTTCATTTTATTCATTAGTCTATCCTACTCAGTGCAAATTTTGGACTTTCAGATATTTTACTAACAACTGTGGCCTTAAAGTAATGACTTAATTTGTAAATTCCTGCAGGGCATTTTTCACAACTGGGCAAGTTCACTTTGCCATTGGACAACGATAAATTCATAACTATAATAATTTCCAAAGCATAGGTGTATTAAGCACCCTGTAGCTGTAACGGGAAGTCTAGAATATGATACATTAATATAAATTGTGTTTGGGCACTTCAGAGTAAATTGTGTATCAAAAGGCACTGCATCTAAATTTCATTTTTTTAATTACCACCCTCAAACTTTCCGTACCACATTCTTCGGAACTATTTAATGTCAAGAATCTTGGAGTTCACATCTACACAGTTTCTGCAGTCAGCAAGTGCTTTATTAAACTACAGCATTAAAGTAATCTTCAAAATATAAAAAAGAAAACTGTTTTCTATTTCTATTCTGCACTGAGCAAAAGACAGGTGGAAGTAAATGAGAATTTCCACAGTCACCCTTGCAAGCATCACAGCCAATTGTATTAGCTTAATTCACTGGATTTGAAAAACTTGAAAGGAGGATGTTGAAATTTGATTGCAGAAAGGTCTGATTAGAGAGGAAATAGGGCTTAGAAGAAATACTAACACTAGTTTTTGTAAGAGGACAATAAATACAGATGGCATCTTGTCCTCCTAAAGTAGACTCACCCCCTTGAGATACCTTGTTTACCTCTTCCCAACCTCTAGAAGCAGTCATCAGTGCTCACATCTACATGTACGCAGACTCGTACACACTCACACACCTCAAATTTATTTTATTATTTAAGCTAATCCTTTCTAGCTGACATCTTTCATCCAAAGTGCTAGGCAGTTGCCTTCTTGGCTTTTACCTAGATAGATAATTGTAACATCAGGAGCTAAAAAATTGGCATGACTTTATTTAGGTCCATATTTCAAAGCTCAGGTTTAAACGATATGTGTGTGTGTGTGTGTGTGTGTGTGTGTGTGTGTGTGTGTGTGTGTGTATGTAATATAATGTGCTCTGTTAATATATTTCCTCATTCTCTTTAGGCACATGTGTATCATGTAGTGTCAACAATCTAACAAGCAAGTAGAAGGAGCCTTCAGAGTCAAAAATTTATCCTAAGTTCTCTGTTGAAGAAGGATTGTAGATAAAAACAAGCCATCAATAAAGTTTCCCTTCACTTTTGTCATTTCTACAGTCCTTAAGCTAAAGCAAAACTTTACAAATTTAAGCTCATTTTTGCCATCTGCTGGCAAATTTGTGAAACACAAGTGGTCTGCATCAACAAACATTTGGTTGATATACCCTGTATTATATATATTTCGGCTAAAACTGGTGCTTGTTTGACACCTTTCCAATCCTACTAAAATGTTAATATTTACCAATTTGGTCAAATATCTTACCTTAGCACTTTTCTAGGCAGAGACTAAATAAAATAAACCATCAATTTTTACAATTTCCTTCTTCATCAGTTTTTGATATAGACATAGAAAAAGTGAGGATCTTTAGTGATTCAAAGCATAAATTATGGGATAACTCATGCCTGGGTTAGATTCCTTTATTGATAAATCGCTGGGTATTCTTGGGAAAGTCATTGGTTCATTCACTCAAGGAGTATGCATTAGGCCCTGGGCATATGACTGTTAGCAATACAGAGAGGATAGCTACCATCATGAGGCTGACATTTCTTTTAGAATACAGGCTTCTCGCTTGTAAATATATGTCATTAGTGTAATCAATTCATAAAGATTATCTGTCAGTGATTTACCTAGGGCACTTGGCATAGCATCTGGCAGGTTTGTAGTAAAGTTTACCTGTGATAATGTTGGTCATTGTGATGTTGACACTCATCACTCATTCCACCAATTTGATATAAACAGTCATATAAGTGTGATTAAATCCTTCCTGTCAGTACTAGTATTGCTCTTTATCCAGGGTGGGCATTCCTAGGGACGTATATACCCCTGATATATGACAGAAGAAGCTTCTGAGCCTCTCTGAGGCAAAGAACAAAGTACATGAGATCAGATGTACCCCATACATTGGATTGACATTGTGGAAGTTCTAGAGTCTAGACAGAAGGTCTTGTGTGCTTCCTGCTCTATCTTGGAAATCTGCATAGCTGCCAGGAGAGCAAGCTCACTCTAGCCTGCTGGAACACCAGACACATGGGGCCACACATGAGGACAGATGCACAAGTGAACCCAACTGAGTGCTGCCCAAATTTGTACCCATAGAATTATGAGTTAAATTAATAGTTTTATTTAAAGCCACTACATTTGAGGATAGTTTGTTATGCAGCAAAAGCTAACTGATACAATGACATTTTTCATGGAATGCTCTTTATAGGAATTTTTTATGCAAACCATTACATATAGTCAAAAATTCCTGTCTGATTCCATCTTCACATAATCCTACTGTAATAATTTTAGCTTTTTGAAAAATGAAAGAAATGTGCCTAACATCACACATCTAGTAAGTGACAGAGCCAGGATATGAACTCAAGCAATGTGACTTTAGCATCTAGGAGGCTCTTCTCCTTGTATTAAGGCTGGTGCAAAAGTAAGCGTCATTTTTCCCACTAAGAGTAATGGCAAAACCCACAATTACTTTTGCACCAACCAACACTATTAAATCATCTAAAACTAGAGTATGTCCTGTAACAACTTAAATCTTCTGATTAAGTTTCTGATTTTTTTCTGTATAAACATTAAAATAATATATAAAAATTCACAAAAATAAAAGGAAAGTATAAATTCATACTCAAGAGATGACTAACTTTAACATATGGTATAGACATGTGTCGCTTAATGACAAGGATACATTCTGAGAAATGCATAATGAGGCAATTTCATCATTGCATGAACATCATAGAGCATACTTACATAAATCCAGATGACATACCTTACTACACACTTACGCTATATGATGTGCTATGCTAATCTCCTCCTTTATCAGCTTTGGTCATGTACATAGAAAATGTGAAGATCTTTAGTAATTGAAAGGATAAGTTATGGCATAAGTCATGCCTGGGTTAGATTCCTTGATTGATAAATAGCCTATTGCTATTTAGCTGGTTGATAAATAGCCTGTAGCCTATTGCTCCTGGTCTACAAACCTGGACAGCCTGTTACTGTACTGAATACTGTAGGAAACCGTAACACAGTGGCAAGTATTTGTGCAACTAAGTATATCTAAACATAGAAACGATACAGTAAAAAGACATGGCATTATAAACTTACAGGGCCACCGTCATATAGATCAGCTGTTGTTGACCTAGATGCATGAATACAATCATGTGCCCCATGATTTTTTTCTAAGCATATAAATGTGCATGTGTTCTGTAACAATCAGAGCATATGTCACATATTACTTTGTAACCACCATTATTTATTTCAGCAAACCACCAATTTTTGCACATTTATGTTGCTCCAGGGATTATCTGATTGTGAGGAATAGAAACACACTAATATAATAAGGTATATGTGTGTGCATGCTGGAGGTGGCAAGGTCAGTGATAAAATAATACAGACAGTTGCACAGGAAATTTTCTCTCTCTTCCTCTGAGGCCATTGGTCATGGGGTCAAAATTATTTCTAACTTTCTTTCTCCTCCTTGTAGAATGAAGATCTTCTCAGCACATTGCCTTTGACTTGACAGAGCTTTTCATGAGACAGGGACCACCAATGCCTTACTTTTTGTGGAACTTGGACAAATTTTAGAGAAAAATAAAATGGTTCAGTTCAACTACAGGTCTTTGAACAAATAAACTTTGTATATGTCTGCAGGGTAGGGTAGGTAGGAGGAACTCATGGTTATTTCTGTTTTCTTCCCTGTGTCGAAGGTGGAGCAGGTTAATTTGTAAAGTAACCCCACAATGGTGAACACTGGCATGCAGGCAGAATCACCTTGTTCGCTCTCAAATCATGCAGAGCATGGATAGCAGCTAATGATCAAGTCAGAATTTTTAAAACTGAAAATGAGAAAATCAGTTTCAAAATTTAAACAAGCAAACTTCTAACTGCAACTGGACATACCTAGGGTTACAAAACTACTGCATGGGTGCACTACATTTACTAGTTGTGAAAGATTATTACTGGAATATTTGATTTCAGGTAACGTTTTGTTTTGATCAAATTGTCATGATGTCCAGCTTGTTTTTTACTAAATTCTTTCTTGGCCAAATTGTTTTCATTCAAATCACTTACAGCCAGTCTAGATCCATCTTGACTGTAAGGTGTAGTCACCTGGAGAGGTTTTGATTGAATTGATCTGTGATGTCATCCGGGCATCAGGAGTTCTTAAAGCTCCTCACCTTAGGTGACTTCATTGTTTAGCCAAGTTTGAGCACATTGAACAAAAGGGTCCTGCACAGGGGTATCACAGGACTTTGCAACAAAATGAAGGTAAAAGCCATTATGTTTCCCATTTATGGACTTAAAAGTGTCTACTATTAGGTTTTGGGGGCAGTCTCATCCCACTATCATCTCATGCTGAGTTTGCAGTTATTTAAGGAATATTAAAGAAAATGCCTTTTATTTATCTTGTTTGACCCTCCTATCATCTCTCTAAGGTAGCAGGGCAAGTATTATTTTTCGTATTTTACAAGTCAGAAATCAGGTTTAGAGAGGCTAAGAGGCTTTTTGCAGTATTTAGGAGATGAGGGAGTATGTTAATACTCACATCACTGCTATACATTTCTCTTGGCACTTATCCAGCATAACCTGTTATATGTTTATGTTTAGATCCCACTTCCACTTAGGCTGTGAGCTCTTTATCACTTATTATTTATTAACTCACTATCAGGTTATTCATTCAAGATGTATTGGTTGGGTTTTTCTTGGTTTCGTTTCTTTGGAGGAGGGATAAATTGTGGGGGGCTACTGTAGTGAACAATACAGATATTATGGTCCCCACTTTAGTGAGTGTAGGAATCTATTGATGGAACAGGCAAGCAAAGACAGTTAATAAAAAATTAACATAAAAACCAACATAGATGGGTAACTACCTAATCCTTATAGAGAAAGAGGAGTGGGGTGCTTGAAAACTCTTTGCAAAGGTATAGAATGTAAAATCTAAGCTAGAAATTCATACATGAGTAGAATTTACCCTTGTGAAAAATGCTATTATATTCCCTGGTGGAAGGAACAGCGTGAGACTGCACAAAGAGAGACCTGAAAGTAGATCAAGCAGCATGATAATATTAGGGTGGGGAGTGTGACAAATGAAGCTGAAGAGAGAGGCTGTGTGCCCACGCAGATCACAAAATGGCCTTGTAACTTATAAGCCATTTTCATGAGTTTGTGTTGTCCTAGAGAAAATGGGGTGCCTATGTAGGGCTTAAACAGGGCACAACACGATCATATGTATTTCAGGGAAGATCTGGCTGCCCCAGAGTGTCCTCCTGACCATTGAGCTAGGCTTCCACAGGCAGGGAGTCCTGCGGTTTTGGCGGCAGGGAAAGAGAATAGTGTCCAAATAGAATGATATTTCCACTTTGGGCAATACAGGTCTTCAGGCTGATTTGATACTTGGGGATACAAAAGAGGATCCGAGGCTGACAGCTTGGCTGTATGATTCCCTGATTTAGCAGTTGCATAATGAGAAGAGAAGCGGGACAGGAGAGAACTAGTGGGTTCGTTTTCAGATGCGTTGCATTACAATTATCAGGCCTGCTTAGGATTCCGTGTACTGCATAAAATATACTCCATAAATATTTTGATTTTTTATTGTACAGTCCAAGCCTGTAAAATTCTACCAAACCCACCTCACTACTGGAAATGATCAAAGTGAGAACCCCCATTTTTAAGCTACCTACTTAATCCAATAAGCCTCTGTGCGAAAACACACATTTGCCTGCCCTTA
The DNA here is from genome assembly GCF_000001405.40 of Homo sapiens. Lineage (NCBI taxonomy): Eukaryota > Metazoa > Chordata > Mammalia > Primates > Hominidae > Homo > Homo sapiens. Next base: position 19,709,248 of record NC_000007.14, on the reverse strand, counting down.
AAAGAGCAGTCGGTTGGCTTTCCTGCGTGCTCAATGCATTTCCGAGGCTCTAAGCTCCCGTTCTCGAAGCGCGAAAACGCGGTTCCCCCTGCTGGTCAGGGCTGCGTAATGCAGCGAAAAGAGGGGAAATTCCTAGGGGCGTGGTCGTTGGTGGATGGCGTAAAACGAGCGCCGGGGACATGGGATTGTGCTTGCGTCAACGGCGCGCGCCGTGGGAACCTTGACAAGCAGCATGGCTGCAGGTTGCTCAGAGGCGCCGCGGCCAGCGGCGGCTTCTGATGGGTCTCTGGTAGGGCAGGCTGGCGTCCTGCCTTGCCTAGAGTTGCCGACTTATGCCGCTGCTTGTGCGCTGGTGAACAGTCGCTACTCATGCCTGGTGGCCGGGCCGCACCAAAGGCACATCGCGCTGTCGCCCCGCTACCTTAACAGGAAACGCACCGGCATTCGAGAACAGCTTGATGCGGAGCTCCTTCGCTATTCTGAGAGGTACCGATCTCTTTGCCTGTTCCTTCTTTTGTGCACGGGAAGTAAAGCAGGTGGATGTGCTGACGACGCAGCAGAAAGGGGCAAATGGCAAAGGTCGCATTGCCCCCCAGAGCTTAGCCCCCTGGATTTCTAGAGTCGCGATCCGTCCCTCAAGGCCAGTACCGCTCTGGTAAAGATCTATACAGGGTCCCTTTCATAGATAGAGAAGAAAACTTAAAGATGAAGTTCAGGTGTGGGCGGAGGGAGTGGAGATTCTTGCTCCAGAACCCTGGTGTAGGGGTAGGAAAAGACCAGGGATCTGGAGACCTAGTAGGCCCAGTTCTGTTTGGCATTCAACGTTTCATTTATCCCCTTACGGATGATGCTTTCTCATTTGACGATAAAAATCTGGTTTGCAGTGCTTGAGTAGATTCTCATTCCATAGAAGATAGCATACGAAGCATTAGTACAACCGTTCTATTTGTAAAACATGAAGGACCTTTTTTGTTGTTGGATTTCGCTCTGGTAATTTCCCCATTTTCTCTTCTCTTGGACCTGATCTGGGGATTATGAAAATGCCATTAGTTTAGCGGGATTTTGTTGTTTTTAAGAAGATTTATTCAGTCGAACTAGTGAGCCTGTTGCTTTGGGGAGAGAAAAAACCAAAACGTATGCATTTATATTACGGTATTCAAAAGTGACTTGAAAACTTAGAATTACAGAGGTGTGGGGCGGGGGGCGCGGGCATGTGCTTGAGTATTCCTCTGGACTATACTTTGGTTTAAAAGCGGGGTTCTAAAACTAGAGGGAATGGATTCTCTAGGGATTCATGATTGCCCTTCAGGAATTCCTATGTGAAGTTCCTTGGGCACTGCATCGGAAGTTTTTATCAGTTTCTTAAGGGATCCTGGACCTCCACCCATGTCTAGAATCTGCAGATTCTTCCAAGCACCAATATACACTTCTTGTATGTTTATATTACATACCGAACACTTGAGATACAAAAACAAAAAATAAAATCTCTGTTTCAAGGAGCTTTAAGCTGTAGGAGAGATACAAATACAAGCCAATAAATAGTAAAGTGTTAAAATTTGACAGAAATCTAATAAGATAAGGAGTGTAGAATTTGGATCTTGGGACCTTTGAGAACAACTTGATTGAAGAGGGTACTTTAACATGGTAACATTCCAGGCAAAGAGAGTGGCATAAACAAACGGATACTGGATGTGAACTGGTATGCTTTGCCCAGAGAACTGTATCTATTATATAAGTAGAATAAGGTTTATGTCAGGGGAAAGGCATTGGATGCCATTGGAGAGGAGGGCAGGGGGTCAAAGATGACTCAGAGAGGATGGCCATTTTGCTTTTCCCTTCCTGCCATTGCCAGTTTTTGTTATTTTGGGGGTAAGGTGGGGTTGTTGTTGTTTTTCCTTTTGTGTTTCTGTTTTCTTAAGCAGGGTTAGTGCTCCGTCCTCTCAGTCCCTTTAACGCTGAGACTTGGCACACTTTTGAGAAACTAGTACTTCTCTGCAGTCCCTGGCATATCAGATTTGCAGTTTAAGAAACAACATTTACTTAATGGTTAGCTACCAAATAGGATGAGAAAGTGGACAAGGAGAGGAATTAAGATAATGTTATAATTGTCCAAGAGAAAATGATTAGAGAGGATGGATTTGAGAAATTAAAGGATATACAAAGTAGTCATAACATTTGGAAACACAAGCAACTATCTTGTTTTCTGTAACCAGTACTGCCTGCACTTGACAGGCTAGAGGGGGAAATCACGCAGAGTGGCTCTGAACAGATCTGGACACCACTCCTTCCATATTACTTGGGTATGCTGTTTATTCAAGTGCAAATCAGGCACCACACTTTGAACTATGCATTACTAATAAGGGACAAAACATTGAACATATAGTATTAAAGAACTGAAGTGAGGCTACCACCTTGCCCTGATACCTATTTAGGATGGTATCTGAAAAACAAAAGTGAAGGAGGAAAAAGTATATAGTGTTGGGTGCCTGTGTTCACATATCTGATGACTTTTAACAAAATCCCCCTTGAATTTATATACTGCTAAGTTCCTGAAAATTTTAATATATATTAAAACTGTGCAAAGATGACTTTGTGTTGATGTGTTTTAAGAGTTAAATTAGGTGCCTAGCTATTTGTAAATAGATTTGTCCTTTTATTCAAAAGTCAGAGCGAAGGACATTTCCTCATTGTATCAGACTGTCCTGTACATGACAGACTCTTTTCTTCCCTGGCTTCTGCAAAGTTTGTGATAACCATGACTAGTATCACAAATTTCCACATGTCCCCCCTTCCACCAGGGGACCACAGCCCTCCTTCCCCTTGAGAATCACTCTGATACTTGAGAGACAAGGCTTTGATTAGCGGAAATAAAGTCTTGATAATTTGTTTTTCTGTCTAGTATGGCAGTTAATTTTTCTTCCTATTCTCTGTTTTCTGTGTCCCTAACATTGTCTTAGTGATAGGATGATTCCAGCTTAGGAATGCCACATGCGGAAATTAAAACCTCAGAAAATTGCTTTCCCGAGTAAGTCTCTGAGTTAGGGTTTTCCTAATTTGGTAATTCTTAAAGTGTATTTTCTGTGGCTTCTGGCTGTTTTACTAAACAACATCTGTTAGGGATAAATTCTTTCCCTTATTTTATGTGAATTGTTAGAAGTTTGAGTTCAACAAAAAATATTCTTTGCTATCAAAGGCCTTAGAGTCATGTGTGAAATTCAAACATATATACAGATAGGTTCAATACAATTAGATTAAGAACAGTGAGAAAGTTGGCCTATAGGAGTAGAGGAATGATTTCAGCTTTGCCTGGGGGAGTCAGGGAAGTTTTCTCCAACAAGTAGTGGGTGTGGTAATGAAGCCACCAGGTTTTGTTTGTTTTGTTGTTTTTTGTTCCTTTGTTTGAGATGGAGTCTCCCTCTGTCGCTCAGGCTGGAGTGCAGTGCTGAGATCTCAGCTCACCACACCCTCCGCCTCCCACCACTAGGTCTTTCTCCTTAATAGTTATAATTCCTTAAAAGCTAAGAAATAACAGTTTGAAAAATAGTTGTCCCTTAATCATGACTGTTACATTTGTAGACTAAAGTGTCAGTCAGTTCCTAAATAATGTAGTTGTATTAACATTTGCATTTACTATCAACAGTTGAAGTTTGGGATTTTCTCTATTAAGTCATTGACTTTAAAATTCAGGGGCTTCAGCTTTAACCGTAATGCTTCCCTTGTTATACGCCGTCAAGTACTGAAATTCAGTAATGGTGAATAATACCAAAATTGCCTCTTATTCAGTCATGTCCACAGAGATACACATTTTCTTTGCTAAGTCCCTTCTTTCTATCCTAGTATAACTTGAAGAATTCAAATAGTCATGCTAGGATAGAAAGAATGGGACTTGGCCAGGGAAGAAGAGTTGATTTACTGCTAATGCATTAATTGGGCATTTTGTTTCTGTGTATCTTGAGTCATCATTTTAACTTAGCCAACACATCAGAATCCATTGGTGAAATGGGACTACTAAAGTTGTTACAGACTAATCATATACTATTGTTTTTGACATAGGTGGTGTATTTAGGAGATGTGTAAGTTTTGGATAGAATATCTAATCAGTATGAAAATGGCCTGGTTTGAAAGAGTGCAGTGGTGCACACCTATAATCTCAGCACTTTGGGAGGCTGAGGCAGAAGGATCAATTGAGCCCAGGAGGTCGAGGCTGCAGTGAGCCCTGTTGATGTCACTGCACCCTATCCTGGGTGACAGAGCAAGACCCTGTCTCCAAAAACATAAATAAATAAAAGACGATAAAAGGTATCATTTTCAACTTTTTCTTTTTACAGCCTTTTAGGTGTCCCTATTGCATATGATAACATCAAAGTTGTGGGAGAGCTTGGAGATATTTATGATGATCAAGGACACATTCATCTTAACATTGAAGCCGATTTTGTTATTTTCTGCCCTGAACCAGGGCAGAAGCTTATGGTATGTGTATCACTTTTTTCTAGCTCCCTTTGTATAATTCTATAATTATGTAACTTGGAACATTTTAAGAGATAATATATACCTTGGGACTCAAATAAATTGCTATTGTGAGTAAATAAATATTATTTTTAAGGAAAAATTAATTTGTATCATTCAAACGTAGGTAAGTTTTTGAATATCCTCCTAAAACACATACATGCACACGATATATGTCCCATCCACTTTATTCTTTTCATAGTAGCAGAATGATTTTAAGGGCAAAAAAATCAATTATCATTATTATTTCAAAAGTTCTCAATTCTACACAAATACTATTTCTTTATAAAGGATTCAAAGAATATAGCAGTATATGAAACAGGAATTCAAATGGGCCAGGCAGTAATGAAAATTTATCAATGACAGAGGACAGGGCAGCCAGTCTGTGCCTTGGAAATGGAAGCTCTGTGGGAAAGGTCTTCCAGTTTTTCATAAGCTGGAAATGCAGATATTGATACAAAATCTGCTGAAATAGATCCTTTTTTACTCTTTACTTTCTCCTCTCTTCCTCCAGCAGTTCTCTGTGTGTATACACATGTTCGTATGTATACTTGTATGTGTGTGTATATGTTCTTTTCCTTAGCTGATAAATATTTTAATAGATCAGAACTGTTAACCCTTGATATTGTTCATAAAAATATAGATCAATTTAACCATGACAAAACCCACAAGACACTTCCAATTTTTTTCATTTTTCAATATCAAATTAATACAAGTAGTATCCTTTGCCTGTTAAACTGGGATCTTATAACTGGACTACTAAAGTTGGCAGTAGATTTGTATTTGGAAATTAACAAACTTAACTTTCATCTACTTTGTGTAAATTATTATTTTAAATATAAACATGTAGGCCAGCCACAGTGGCTCACACCTACAATCACAGCATTTTGGGAAGCTGAGGCAGGAGGATCACTTGAGGCCAGGAGTTTAAGACCAACGTGGGCAACATAGTGAGACCTCATCTCTACACAAAATAAAAAATTAGCCAGTCATGGTGGCATGCATCTGTAGTCCCAGTTACTCAGGAGGCTGGGGTAGGAGGATCACCTGAGCCCAGGGGTTCAAGGCTGCAGTGAGCTATGATTGCGCCAATGCATTCCAGCCTAGGCAACAGTGAGACCCTGTCTGTAAAAATACACACACACATACACGGAAATAACATATATACATGTACATGGAAATAACAGATTGTAGAAAAAGTATGAAATGAAAAATATCCCTTTTAATCTACCTACTACAAGATCCACTCCTCAAATATTTTTGACCACCCACTTTTCCTTCAATTATTATTATTAATATTTGGTGAGATAAAATTTACATATAATAAAATGCACAGATCATATTGTTCAGTTCAGTGAATTTCGTCAGGTCTGTATACCATTCCATCTCCTTAGAAAGGATCTTCATGCCCTTTCCTGGCCCAATTCCTTCTCTTTATTGCAGATATAATTACTCTTCTGATTTTATCATAAGTTGGTTTTGCTTATTCTATAGTTCCATATTAATGGAATTATTCATTATACATTCTTAAAATCTGCCGCCTTTTGATCAGCATGTTTTTGAGTTTCATCCATGCTGTTGTGTGTATTGGTAGTTTGTTCCTTTTTATTGCTCATGGTATTCAGTTATATGACTATATCACAATATAATTATCTGTCTTCATTGATGGATTGATTCCAGGCTGGGGCTTTTATGAATAAAGCTATTGAAAACATATATTTTCAGACATATGAATGAAAACATACATTTTCATTTCTCTTAAGTAAATAACTAGAAGCAGAAGAGCTAGTTCACAGGGTATTTATATAAAACCATTGTCAGACTGATTTCCCATTCAACACTTCATTTACTCTGTATCGTTATTAACATTTGCTATTGTCCTTTAATTGTACTGATGGGCATATAGTAGTATCTCATTATGGTTTTAATTTGCATTTCCGTTTCCCTCATAAGCAATTTTTCATATATTTCAGTAAGAAGGGCCTGTTCAAGTATTTTGCCCATTTTTAATTGGGTTTTTGTATTTTTATTATTGACTTATAGCAGTTCTTTTTAGTCTTAAAATGAATTCTTTTCAGATAAGTATTTTGAATATTTTCTTCCAATCTGTGACTTGTCTGTTAACTTGTAATGGTATTATTTGATGAACAGTTACTTTTAATTTTGATGAGGTCCAATTTATCATTTTATATGTTTATGACTATTGCTTTCTGGACCCTATCAAAGAAATTTGTCTGCCGAAAAGTTGTGCAGATACTGTTCTGTCGACTTCTACAAGCTTTTAGTTTTAGCTTTTCCATTTAAGTCTGTGATCATTCTCAAATAATTTTTGTGTGTAGTGTGAGGTAGGCCTTGAGATCCACTCTCTCCTTCATGTAGCTTTCCCGTTGTTCTGGATTCATATATTAAAAAACCTTTTCTTTCATTGATTTTCTGAAATTGACATATTTTTAACAGCAGTTTTAGGTTTACAGAAAAATTGAATGGAGAGTATAGAGTTCCCATATAACCACCCCCTTTCCCCTATTATCAACATTAACTTGCATTAGTATGGTGCATTTGTTACCATTTTTGTGCCAATATTGATACATTATTATCAAGTAAAGTCTGTAGTTTACATTAGAGTTCAGTCTTTGTGTTGTACATTCTATGAGTTTCCACAAATGTGTCATGGCATTTATTGAGGTATTGCTCCTCACAAGAGGGCATTAGCTGCGGGGGTCTGCCTGCAGACCTTGACCTAAAAGATGGATGAATGAAACGTACACTGACACACAGATATTGCTTTGCCAGTACTGCTGAGTGTCCGACTGCCTACACACCGAGAGAGGTTTGTCACTGCCGCTGGCCCTGAGTAGTTCACACTCCAGGCATTTATTTCGTATACAATTAACAACAGAAGCTCTGAGTCCACACACTTTTGGATAATTAACATGGTTAAGTGAGTAGTTCTATGAATGATTAAAGCTCAGGTACCGAGGTTTAAAGTAAATATCACTGGGGGCAATATCCCTGCCCCCCCAGAGGCCATCTGACTTAAAGGTTAGTTAACAGAGGTAGGGTAAACAGACTTAACTGGGGAAGCCTCTATTGTCCCTAGTATTTACTCTGTAACTTAATGCTCTAAGGTAAGAACCGGCTGTCTTCGGCCTGTTCAGCTATTACAAGCTATGTAACCTTTTGGCCTTCCAAAAAGGTTTGTGACTATTCCCTATAACTTTCCCTAATATTTCCCTTTAATATTTCTGCCACTATCCTGAGTGAATCCCAACAACTTATCTTCCATTATAGTATGATACGGAATAGTTATCCTCTCCTAAAAACCGCTTGTGCTCCACCTATTCATTTCTCCCTTCTTCCCTCCGTTCCCTGTAATCCCTGGCAACCACTGATCTTTTTACTGTTTCCGTAGTTTTGCCTTTTTAAAGAAGAAGAATAGAGTATGTATCCTTTTCAAATTGACTTCTTTCACTTAGCAATATGCATTTAAGGTTTCGCTATGTCTTTTTATGGTGAGAACTTATTTATCTTTATTACTGAATAATCTTTTATTTTATAGCTGTACCAGTTTGTTTATCTAGACCATCTGGAAACTACCAGTGGGAACACTAGACTTCTGATCATACCAGATAGGGAAGTTTTATTCTGTCACATGTGTAAAGGGTTGCTGATGTTAAACAGCATTGTATACACATCGGCATTATTTGCAGTTTCATAATTCAGAAAATGTGAATTTTTAATATTTCTGAGTCTCATTTATATGCTTTGTATATATTGACCCTGAGAAGAAAAATAAGTTTTATGCAAAGTCTCATCTTAAAATCATATAGCACATACTTTTGTTTTAGTTTTAAAGCTTCTAATAATACTTTCGTGATTTAGCCAAAAAATAGTCATGGTCAATATTTACATTTAAAGGGTAAGCTGTCTTCTAATGGAATGCTTGCATCATGCTAAATTAAATAATTAAAGAATGCATTTTTAAGCTTTGAAATTTGGTCTATTTACAGAAACGTAACATGGATCCCAGTTATAAAACGCATATGAGGTCTTTTTAGAAGTTATATGGGGTTTGCTTGGTTTCAATGTAGCTAAAGAGTAATACTGTCCTCCCTAAGGAATCCTGCAGTGGGGAGTTGAGATGGTTTTTTTTCTTGGACAGGGTGGCGGGGGCAGGTTAGTTTATCCAGTTAGAAAGTTAATGTGCCCAGTTAGACAGTTAATGTGCAATTACTTATATAATAAAGTTTGAGCTTTCTCAAAACCCAGTGGTATTCTAAAGTGATGTTTTGGCATGACATGTGGTAAGTTTTAATTGAGGTAAACTTTTTCCATATTAAATTAGACCATTAATTTGATGTTTGTTCTTTGAAGATTATTTGAAGCTTGTAAAGTTTGGTTCACCTTTTAACTTTGTGGATGTGTTCTTTATGTTACGCTCTTTCTTCCTTCTTCTTCCCAGGGTATAGTTAATAAAGTGTCTTCTAGCCACATTGGCTGTTTAGTACATGGGTGTTTCAATGCCTCCATTCCTAAACCTGAGCAGTTGTCAGCTGAGCAGTGGCAAACCATGGAGATAAACATGGGTGATGAACTAGAATTTGAAGTATTTCGTTTAGACTCAGATGCTGCTGGAGTATTCTGCATTCGGGGAAAACTAAATATCACAAGGTTAGTTTATCATTACGTAATTATCACTAGGTACTTAATTTCTATTTAATTCTGAATTTTAAAGAGAATTTTATTTTAATTTTAAAGAGAATAAGCCTCTCTAAAAATACCTGTTTATAGGAATATTCATGCTTTCAAACCATAAAGTCAATATAAACAATACTCTTAAGTAATCTGTAACAGTGCATCAAATAAATATTCTGAAACACAGACTAGCTAACTGGTCTGTATTTTAATATTTAATAGTTCAATTTTGCTGAGTATTTTCTATTTTGTTGTTAACTTTTTTTTTAAAGTTGACCTCTAAACTTGAAACTACTGAAAGCACAATTACCTTCCTAACTATTGGCCTGCTTTGTTTTTACACACAAAAAATTGTGTTGATTATTGTCTTCTGTGCCAGATATTTTAATTTCTGTATTATTCTGTATAGAAATTATTATAAGAATTAACTCTGATCTTGAGCTTGATTCCATGGGAGCCAAGTTTAAAGGAAGAAGGAGAGAGACAACTCTTAAAATGCTGCTATTGCTAATAATTTTTTCTGTATTTTGCCTTAAAGTTACAAGAGTATGGGTTGAAGTTCTGGAACAGCTGTTCAATTTCTGTAATGACAGAAATACAGTTTATATACATAGTACAGCAGCCTCACTATTGAGCATTGAAATATGACTAAGTCTGACTGAGGAACTGAATTTCTAAAGTTATGTTTTTGGTAGTGATTAGGTACATGTGCCTAGTGCTACTGTATAAGACTGAAGTTCTGGAGAGAAAGCTACTTCATCGATCCATGTTTTATTTTAGTGGTGTAAAATAATTCACAATGTTAAAGTAATACTATCTTAGTATCAGCTAAGTAGAACAATGGACTATTATTTGAAACAAGATTAAAATAGTAGACTGGAAACTCCATTGCTTTGATAAATACCAGATCATATTTTCTATTAGATGTCAGTGGTTTGGTTAATAAGCCTAGGTATTGTGGTGTTTAATGTTCAGTGACCAAATTTTTCTGAAACAACCCAAAACTTGGAAGACATGTTTTGACAAGATTTTTATGTCATTTTTATGTGTGGAAACAGTCTGGGAGAAGTTATTCATAAAGAAAGAATTTAACATTTAATGTTAAATTTAACATTTTTCAATTTAACATTCAGCAGCCCATACATATTTTAGTGGGTTGAGGGATAACAGGATAGAATATTTGGAATTTATGCCATGGTTATGTGTCTTGTACTGGAGTCATTATTTAGAAAATCTTAGCCTGTTGGGATATCTTGATCTCAATTTGTTCTTTGTTTTTTGCTTATTGTTCTGTTAATTTTTTTAACTGTTAATTTATAGTTTACAATTCAAGCGCTCTGAAGTTTCTGAAGAAGTTACAGAAAATGGCACTGAGGAAGCTGCTAAAAAACCTAAAAAGAAGAAAAAGAAGAAAGACCCAGAGACATATGAAGTGGACAGTGGTACCACAAAGCTAGCAGATGATGCAGATGACACTCCAATGGAAGAGTCAGCCCTGCAGAATACTAATAATGCGAATGGCATCTGGGAGGAGGAGCCAAAGAAAAAGAAGAAGAAGAAAAAGCACCAGGAAGTTCAGGACCAGGACCCTGTTTTCCAAGGCAGTGACTCCAGTGGTTACCAAAGTGACCATAAAAAGAAAAAAAAGAAAAGAAAACACAGTGAAGAGGCCGAATTTACCCCACCTTTGAAATGCTCACCAAAAAGAAAAGGGAAAAGTAATTTTCTTTAGTGTATTTTAAACACGATTCAGTTTTTAAAAGATCGATCTACATACAATAGATGAATAAATGTTTTCAGTGATATGAAAAGGTTAAGTATGCCAGTAGTTTACAAAACAGAAAATACTTAACTAGGAGTAGGAGGCTTTATATGCTAAAAATGATAAAACTGACTGTAAATTAATTTGGGGAAAGCCAGTATTGTTAAAATACCATTTTATACAAAATAAAAAGCTGCTCTCACTGTCAGCTCTCATATTCTTCCAGGTTTTGCACTCTACATAAAATTATTTCTACAATGTCAAGACTAGCCAAAGGACTTTATAATACAATATTATATTACTAAAGAATGAGTTAAGTTTGAGATTTTGATGATTTGATTTTGTGTGTGTTTAATAGGCTTCACCTTATTACATGCTATTTTATTTTGCTTTTTTAAAAACTCAGGACATTAACTAATTTTAGGTTTTCCTTTATCATGGCTTTCTACAGTATTTCTATTGTTTAACATAAAATAGTTTGCCAAAGAAGTTTCTGAAGTCTTCACAGCTCTTAAAAGCCAGGCCAGTACTGACTGTGTGGTGGTAAATGCTATTCATTATTTTCTTTTCTTTCTTCCAAGTGCATGTGTGTCCTTGTCTTCTTAAGTCTGAGAGGTTGCTGGAAAGGACTGTTTTCTTGTACTTGTTCATTTGTGCCTCAGCCATTCTAGTTTTGTTGTGTGTTGGAGGACAGTCTAATGAAGACAGGATAAATGTGATTCTGACTAGTGGGAAATTTCAGATTACTTTTTAATGATTGGAATGGGCTATAAGATATTGTGCTGAAGAGAAAACAGTTGTTCTGTTCACTGCTTTCATTGAGAAAATGTGGAATGTCTCTTGACTAATTGACAAAGTGTAATGAAATGACAAGCTGGTTGAAGCTGGTAATCAATGCATGGCCATATTTATTCATTTTCCACACACTTGACCATCTACTTTGTATAACACATTCTGCTAAGGCCCAGGGATACAATGGCAAACAAGATAGATGTAGTTCCTTCCCTTGTGGCATGTCATAAGAGAAACAGATGTGCATATACACACAATAAATAAGAAAATTAATAATTGTATTAAGTGGTATGAAAAAAAGGGGGAGGATTGTTCACTCACTGTTACCTGTGTTAGTATCTGCAAATGCATGAATGGTTGAACTCCCATGTCAGCATTTTTGTTGCCATTTATTTAGTACCAGACATAGTGCTGGTCTCACAGCTTAATATTTGGTAATGAATAAATTCTGCTAGTGGTATATGTTGATCTGAACTTACAATGATGGGATATAGAATTGGCAGAGTGGCAGATGTTCACAATTGTCTACAAGTAGATGTGCTAGACAATGGAAGGATGCAGGCCAACCTCTTTGATTACAATTGAGATTCATGTGACTATTGAGCCCTGGAAATGTAGCTTGTCCAAATTGAGATGTGCTGTCAGTATAAAATACATACCAGATTTTAAAGATGTACCAAAAAATGTAAACTATCTCAATTTTTATATTGGTGAAATCAATATGTCTTGGTATAGTGGCTTAAATAAAACAATTTTAGCCTTTCTCAGTTTATTTTTCTGCAAAAAGATTAAAAATTGTACATGAAGCTCATGTTAACTTTCTTTTGGTCAGTGCTATTTTAAAGGAAGTATGAGTTGAAAAAAAATTGAAATAAACTATATCATATTACTAGGACTTAATATAGTGGCATACCCAGGAAATGCTTAGTAAGTGTTCCCTTCACATTTTAAAATTTGAGTATACAATCATGTTTGACAATATAGAAATTTAATTTTTAGTGAAACAATTCTAAACCCCTTTTCCATAGACACAAGAAAGATGGCAAATTTATGCTATTCCTGGAAAAATACATTGTGGCTTAGCAAATAAGCAAGTTCCCACGTTACTTTTGTTTTGCTTCAAGTAATACTTCTGCCAGTTGTGTTTTATGAATTAAACAGGGAACGGCATGCTGAACTTGAAACTAGATTTGTTCCTGCTTTTTTCACAATGTGAGTAGTTTTGAAAAGTCAGATCTGGCCATTTGTCTTTCCTAGAATAGCATAACTTTGTTCATTGTTTTTTTTGTTTGTCTTTCTGACACAGAAAGACTGATGATGGTGTCCACTATGTATTCTTCAAAACATTTGGCACATGCTGCACTAACCTAGTCTATCTTTTCTATCTTGGAATTTGCTCATACAAACCCTATAGCCTAGACTAGATCCCTTACCCTCTCTCCAGTTCCTATCATTCACCCATTTCACTGTGCAAGACACCTCACTAGTCACCAGTGATACAGAAATGACTTTTAAGCAGTTTCTGCTCTTAAGGGCTTACCGTTTTGTCTATAAGATACACAAGTATAAATGACAAGTACAAATAACAATGAATGTTTAATGCTTTACGTTTAGTGTTTAAGCTTGTTGTTGGAAGAGCAGCATTTTGACCCTTGGAGAAGAAAAACTAGCTGTGGCATTCCAGGTGGAGAACCTGACAGAGGACTAAGAAGTTATCTAATGTAAAAGACCTCAGGCACCACCTTCGCATAAACTTTTTCCAGACAAGGCTAAATGTGCATGCTTCATAACCATAATTCTTATTTTTCTTTAATAAATATTTTTCTACTTGTAACACTGTGCATTATTTCAAACTGTTTACCTGTTTGTAAAGCTTGTCTCTTAATCAAATTTGTCTTGACCAAATAAGTTTCCTGAGGGCTGGAATTATGCCTTAACTATATCTATAGTATTTAACAGTGAATCCTTTGTATAATGAAAGCATCAACAGATAATTTTAAATTGATAAATAAAAAGCACAGTTTCAAATGGTATCACTTGGCCTCTGATGTGATATTATTATTTTCACTTGTTTCAATAAATGCATCTTTTTTTTTTTTTTTGGCCTATATGTAATGTGGTTTTTAAGCACTTTTATCACTTTAGTGTGTCAGGGATAGAATACTTAAAAATGACAGAAATTTGATCTCTTTTAATTTGTTTTATACATTCACCACATGGGTCATCTTTGCCTTTTTTTCTCAAAAAGTAGATATTTTGTTACAAAATCAATATATATTTGTTTAAAAATTCATATAGTAAAAGTATATACATCTTCCCACTCTACCAGTCATTGATCTCCCTCCCTATTCCTCCCCACACCACACACACCCACTTGGCAATTCTGCTTCCAGAAATAACCACTATTGTCAATTCCATGTGTAGTTTTAGAGATTTTTAAGTAGTGAATTTTAAAATGTTTTAAGACATGGAATCAAACTACCTGCACTTTTTGGGTCTACTCTATTTTATAGTAAATGTCTTCCCATATGAATATATAGAGGTCTTCCTATTTTTAATGTTTGCAGAATTTCAGTGTATAATTTATTTCATTTCCCAAGGATAGATATTTAGGTTTGTATTTTCCCTCTTAAAAGGGTATTGTTAACATTTCTAAAAGCTTTCATTGTTAGTTTAATTGCTTATTTCCAGCTGTATTGTACATTGTGACTTCCAAAGGTAAGCTCTGATTCCTACCTTTAGAAATGGAGGTATTTCAGGGGGCCAGTACATAGTTCAGTTTTAAAAAATATTCTTAAAAAATATTCTTTAGGCACTTGAAATGAATAGTTATTTTTTAAGTAGAAAAACACTTTTAAAATAGATTTTATATATCATACAGTGAGAACAAAATTGAAAAATAATGGATAATTCTGCACATTATGTGACTTTTTGTGGTATTTTTCCTGGACAATTCATGGAAAAGTTCAACCCATCTTCAACTCAGAATATCACTGGCTCTCCTTACTAAACATAAAGATCTTCAGATGTTTGGTCTAAACTCTTTTCTCATCCAAATCTCCGCTTTGGCAGTAGGAACTAACTTCATGGCATCATTTTGTCTTCTACTTCTTTGAAATAAATATTTGGTACACTGAATCACCTTAAAGCCCAGTTGTTTTATCTGAATGCTAGACTTGTTCCTACTTACTCACATTGATTTGATAACTCGTCCTGAATATGTTTGAAAATTTTTAGTAAGACAAAAATTTAGTAAGTTATAAAATTGGAGTAAATAGGGGGGAAAGGCAGAATCAACAAACCTAAGTCTACAACCAGGATTTCAATAGCAAATAAGCTGCAGTCTGTATAGTTGTAGGTAATTAGTTCCACATTCATTGGCTATAATTAGAAAATGCTCCGGCACTTATTGAGTCACAGAAAAACAAGGACACATGAAATACCTCGTCCATTCTTAGTAAACAGCTGGAAATAGAAGCTAAAAGCCGTCAAAGAGGACCATAATTTAGCATTTAAAAGTAGAATGCATTAGTAATTAAAATGACCTACAAATTTATGAGATTATGGACAAGAAAGAGCTAAATACAATGTATCTAATACAGGAGAGAAGTTCCTGCTAATTCTGCATCCCACCATAACTTGTTACAGTCTAATATCTCAAATTTGGTTGCCTATAGACAAGATCACCAGTTGCAGAAGATTCTTATAGGCATCAAATATACCATATTTTGTGTGTAATTATGCCTATGTGCAAGGGAGCCTGAAAGAATACCAACTCTCTGAAATGAATGATTAAACAAAAATATTTAAGTGCCTAGTGTTCTAAGATATTCACACCCAATTTTTATTTCTTACTTTTAAAATTTACATGGTAAATGACAGTGATTTAACCCCATTGGGTGGAGTTTTTATAAACAATTTTATTGACCTCTCTAAGCTGTGTTTCTTTACCTATAAAATGAGAACACTGAATTGGAAACCAGATTATCTAAAAGTTCCTTTCACTTAGAGAATCCTGAGTATCATTGATACTGCTATCTATTGAAGGAAAGAACTGTGAAGAGTCTAAGATTTCATCCAATTTGCAAACTAATAAGTTACTCTGCCACAGCTTCATGGATGCTAGCTTAAGACAAAAGACTCCTAAATCAGAGACAAAAGGACTTTAATTATTACTCACTGCACCTCAATAAGCTCCATGTTTGTACCAGCCAGTTCCCATTTGCACCCCAAGTCCTATAGGAACAATGCAGAGTCGTAGGGAGCTACTGTGCATGAAAGGAGTTTGTGTCACAGCTGAGAAACTCCATGCTTAGGGAACTCCAGTGATTTATATAAAATGGATTGCAATCATTTTATATAAATATAAAATGCCCAATCTTTGCCCCAGAGGAAGATATCTTTATTACACTGGAAAATAAACAAATCTTTTTGTTTACTTCTGTATGTTGTCTTCTGCTCTAGAAGGGGCACTGTTTTTATTTCCCAAGGCTTTAACTATCTAAACATTCTTGAAAAGTTAGTCTGGAACAAAATCTGTAAGTACCTCTGTTCACAAGGTTTGCAGAAATTCAAGAGACTTGTGCAATATTGTCTCAGCATCACCTCACCCAAAGGATAAAGTCAGTTAACGTCATTTAAGTAACGCATACGTATACTAAATATCACTACAGATTGTTATAATTTATGCAAATGTACATAATGATATTTTCATATTGAGAGGTGACAACGTGCTAGCAGCCCCCGCTCGCTCTCGGCCTCCAAGTCCACTCTGGCCGCGCTTGAGGAGCCCTTCAGCCCACTGCTGCACTGTGGGAGCCCCTCTCTGGACTGGCTGAGGCCGGAGCCGGCTCCCTCTGCTTGCAGGGAGGTGTGGAGGGAGAGGCACAGGAGGGAACTGGGGCTGTGCTAGCACGAGTTCTGGGTGGGCATGGGCTCGGTGGTCTCTGCACTCGGAGCAGCCAGCCGGTGCCCCCGGCCCAGGGCAGTGAGGGGCTTAGCACCTGGGCCAGCAGCTGTGGAGGGTGCACCGGGTCCCCCAACAGTGCCGGTCTGCCCACACCACGTTCGATTTCTCACCAGGCCTCAGCTGCCTACCCACGGGGCAGGGCTCAGGACCTGCAGCCTGCCATGCCTGAGCCTCCCCCACACTGTGGGCTCCCACTCAGGCCAAGCCTCCCCAACGGGCAACACCCCCTGCTCCGCGGCCCCTGGTCCCATCGACCACCCAAGGGCTGAGGAGTGTGGGTGTGCGGTGCGGGACTGGCAGGCAGCTCTGCCCGCGGCCCCTGTGTGGGATCCACTAGGTGAAGCCAGCTGAGCTCCTGAGTCAGGTGGGGACTTGGAGAACTTTTATGTCTAGCTGGAGGATTGTAAATGCACCAATCAGCACTCTGTGTCTAGCTCGGGGTTCATGGATGCACCAGTCAGCACTCTGTATCTAGCTAATCTGGTGGGGACTTAGAGAACTTTCATGTCTGGCTAGAGGATTGTAAATGCACCAATCAGCACTCTGTGTCTAGCTCAGGGATTGTAAACACACCAATCAGCACCTTGTCAAAACAGACCAATCAGCTCTCTGTGAAACGGACCAATCAGCTCTATGTAAAATGGACCAATCAGCAGGACGTGGGTGGGGCCAGATAAGGGAATAAAAGCAGGCTGCCTGAGCCAGCAGCGACAACGTGCTGGGGTCCCCTGCCACACAGTGGAAGTTTTGTTTGTTCACGCTTCACAATAACTCTTGCTGCTGCTCATTCTTTGGGTCTGCCCTGCCTTTATGAGCTGTAATACTCACAGCGAAGGTCTGCAGCTTCACTCCTGAAGCCAGGGAGACCACAAACCCACCAGGAGCGACGAACAACTCTGGACAGGAGGAACAAATGACTCCAGACTGTAACACTCCCTACAAAGATCTGCAGCTTCACTCCTGAAGACAGTGAGACCATGAACCCACTAGAAGGAAGAAACTCCAGACACATCTGAACAGAAGGAACAAACTCCGGACACACCATCTTTAAGAACTGTGACACTCACCGCGAAGGTGTGCGGCTTCATTCTTGAAGTCAGCGAGACCAAGAACCCAGCAATTCCAGATGCAATATATAATTATGAAAACCATTATTTCAACTTTAATATCAAACTATTAATGCTTTTTCAGTTTTGAGTTTCTTATTAGAAAACTATCTTCAAGTTACTTATTGTTTATGTATTTTTTCTTTTAAAACATATGTTCATTGTAAAATACACTATTAACATCTTGTTATACTACACACACGTACATACAATTTGTATGTATATACAGTCACATACTAGTGGATATCTGCTAATTTTTTTGTCTAAAAAATTGGGTATGAATAGCTTAGAACACTAGGTAGTGAAATATTTTTGTTTAATCATTCATTTCAGAGAGTATTCTGTCAGGATCTCTCACACATGTGCATAAATACACACAAAATATGGTGTATTTGATGCCTATAAGAATCTCTCTTAGAATCCATCTCTCCTCTACTACATGGATTCACATGGGAAGGTACAATTATGGGATCCAGTCTTGGGTCCACTTGTGACCTCAATTCGTGAGTCATATGTCCTAAAATAACCAAGTGATTAAACAAATGTCAGGGTGAGTTTTTAGAATAATTTTGATCCTGCAGGAAAGAAGGTTTTATTGTCTCTTGGACCATGTGACAGCCATGAGAATGCACCTCACAGACCTTCAAAGTGGAGCTTAATTGGCTATGAGCTCTAGCTGCTGTGCTCTGAAATCCATCACCACATCTGCATCAAAGCCATGCTTCTTACTGCCGCTCCCAGCCAATGCTGGCTTGCAGCACAGATATGAAGGCAGACCCATTTCTGGGACATACAGGACTCATAGTAGCCAACTTTGGCTTGACTCCCTGATGGTCCTGCCTGGAATCTTCTGTAAATTACATAGCAGCCTATAATGCTTCCACCTTTCTTTTCCTTTCTATTTCCTTCCGGGTCAAACTTACACTGTGTTCTGACAGCTTACCCTGTCTGTCCCAGTGCCTTTCCCATTTTCTCCCACAAGCATTTTCTCTAATAAAATCCTTGCATGTTTAATCACATTTAGGTGTCTGCTTTTCAGAGGACCTAACATACATCACTGGCTCTTAGTAGGATCTAGAGGTTCTGGTGACTATTTTGGCTGTCAGGTTTTCCCAACATGGAAACACAGAGGACAATAGAGGCAGAGAGATGAAGTCAATGGATAATATTTGTTGAATTCCTACAGTCAGAGAACCTGAAGCCAGAACCATCTTCTTGGACTTCCATAGTACAAAAACCATGACATCCCCTTCCTCTTCTTTTTCCTGTCTCTTCTCCTCCATGAGAGCAGGAACTCTGCCCATCTCCCTTTGTGAGAGTAGGATCAGAATTGGTCCAGATTGCCTCTGAATAATACCAGTGCTGGTACAGTGCTGGTAACATAGTAGATACTCCATACATATTTGTTGAGTAAATAAAATTTAAGAACATTCTAATTCTCCTTGTAACTTCTAACCACTT
Organism: Homo sapiens; assembly: GCF_000001405.40. NCBI lineage: Eukaryota > Metazoa > Chordata > Mammalia > Primates > Hominidae > Homo > Homo sapiens. The sequence goes on along the minus strand of NC_000007.14, from coordinate 19,689,957 downwards.
TAAGGCTGAATTATTACAGAAATACAAAGGATGTCCATGGAAACAAGTATACTTCCTTAGTCCCAGGAATCCAATGGGCAGAACCTTTGTTATGTTCCCCTTCAAATGCAGGCAGAAGGTCTGCACAATCCACCCTTGGAAGAGAGGAGAACTTCTCAAATCTATTTTAAATAAGAAAAGCTCTAATTTTGCTCACTTTCAAGCTACATGTCAATTATATACAACTCTATTTTTTGTTCTGTTTTGTTTTGCTTTTTTTTTTTTTAGAGCCACATTCTCTTCTTGTTCCATTCAATTAGCATTTCCAACTGGATAGGCACTGTTGGAGCAAACAAGAATCTCCCACAAAAAAATTTATCTTCTCCTAATACAACATTTTAATTTAGAATTATTTGTTCCCAAACAAATAAAACCTACCAGAATTTACTAAAGCTAAAAACCAAACTAATGAACTAACAAAAAGCAGCATGAGAATTGCTATGAAAATTCAAGGTGCCATAGGAATTCTGGGACCAGCATGCAGCTAGACCTCACTGCGCTTTTCCAATGGGCTTAAAAAATGGCGCACCATGAGATTATATCCCGCACGTGGCTCAGAGGGTCCTACGCCCACGGAGTCTCGCTGATTGCTAGCACAGCTGTCTGAGATCAAACTGCAAGGCGGCAGCGAGGCTGGGGGAGGGGCGCCCGCCATTGCCCAGACTTGATTAGGTAAACAAAGCAGCCAGGAAGGTCGAACTGGGTGGAGCCCACCACAGCTCAAGGAGGCCTGCCTACCTCTGTAGGCTCCACCTCTGGGGGCAGGGCACAGACAAACAAAAAGACAGTAGTAACCTCTGCAGACTTAAATGTCCCTGTCTGACAGCTTTGAAGAGAGCAGTGGTTCTCCCAGCACGCAGCTGGAGATCTGAGAATGGGCAGACTGCCTCCTCAAGTGGGTCCCTGACCCCTGACCCCCGAGCAGCCTAACTGGGAGGCACCCCCCAGCAGGGGCACACTGACACCTCAAATGGCAGAGTACTCCAACATACCTGCAGCTGAGGGTCCTCTCTGCTAGAAGGAAAACTAACAAACAGAAAGGACATCCACACCAAAAACCCATCTGTACATCACCATCATCAAAGACCAAAAGTAGATAAAACCACAAAGATGGGGGAAAAACAGAACAGAAAAACTGGAAACTCTAAAAAGCAGAGCGCCTCTCCTCCTCCAAAGGAACGCAGTTCCTCACCAGCAACGGAACAAAGCTGGATGGAGAATGACTTTGACGAGCTGAGAGAAGAAGGCTTCAGACGATCAAATTACTCTGAGCTACGGGAGGACATTCAAACCAAAGGCAAAGAAGTTGAAATCTTTGAAAAAAATTTAGAAGAATGTATAACTAGAATAACCAATACAGAGAAGTGCTTAAAGGAGCTGATGGAGCTGAAAACCAAGGCTCAAGAACTACGTGAAGAATGCAGAAGCCTCAGGAGCCGATGCGATCAACTAGAAGAAAGGGTATCAGCGATGGAAGATGAAATGAATGAAATGAAGCGAGAAGGGAAGTTTAGAGAAAAAAGAATAAAAAGAAATGAGCAAAGCCTCCAAGAAGTATGGGACTATGTGAAAAGACCAAATCTACGTCTCATTGGTGTACCTGAAAGTGATGGGGAGAATGGAACCAAGTTGGAAAACACTCTGCAGGATATTATCCAGGAGAACTTCCCCCATCTAGCAAGGCAGGCCAACGTTCAGATTCAGGAAATACAGAGAACGCCACAAAGATACTCCTCGAGAAGAGCAACTCCAAGACACATAATTGTCAGATTCACCAAAGTTGAAATGAAGGAAAAAATGTAAAGGGCAGCCAGAGAGAAAGGTCGGGTTACCCTCAAAGGGAAGCGCATCAGACTAAACAGCAGATCTCTCGGCAGAAACCCTACAAGCCAGAAGAGAGTGGGGGCCAATATTCAACATTCTTAAAGAAAAGAATTTTCAACCCAGAATTTCATATCCAGCCAAACTAAGCTTCATAAGCGAAGGAGAAATAAAATACTTTAAAGACAAGCAAATGCTGAGAGATTTTGTCACCACCAGGCCTGCCTTACAAGAGCTCCTGAAGGAAGCACTAAACATGGAAAGGAACAACTGGTACCAGCCGCGCAAAATCATGCCAAAATGTAAAGACCATCGAGGCTAGGAAGAAACTGCATCAACTAACGAGCAAAACAACCAGCTAACATCATAATGACAGGATCAAATTCACACATAACAATATTAACTTTAAATGTAAATGGACTAAATGCTCCAATTAAAAGACACAGACTGGGCCGGGCGCGGTGGCTCACGCCTGTAATCCCAGCACTTTGGGAGGCCGAGGCGGGCGGATCACGAGGTCAGGAGATCGAGACCATCCTGGCTAACACGGTGAAACCCCGTCTCTACTAAAAATACAAAAAATTAGCCTGGCGTGGTAGCGGGCGCCTGTAGTCCCAGCTACTCGGGAGGCTGAGGCAGGAGAATGGCGTGAACCCGGGAGGCGGAGCTTGCAGTGAGCCGAGATCGCGCCACTGCACTCCAGCCTGGGCGACAGAGCGAGACTCCGTCTCAAAAAAAAAAAAAAAAAAAAAAAAAAAAAAAAAAAAAAAGACACAGAAAGAGTCAAGACCCATCAGTGTGCTGTATTCAGGAAACCCATCTCACGTGCAGAGACACACATAGGCTCAAAATAAAAGGATGGAGGGAGATCTACCAAGCCAATGGAAAACAAAAAAAGGCAGGGGTTGCAATCCTCGTCTCTGATAAAACAGACTTTAAACCAACAAAGATCAAAAGAGACAAAGAAGGCCATTACATAATGGTAAAGGGATCAATTCAACAAGAAGAGCTAACTATCCTAAATATATATGCACCCAATACAGGAGCACCCAGATTCATAAAGCAAGTCCTGAGTGACCTACAAAGAGACTTAGACTCCCACACATTAATAATGGGAGACTTTAACACCCCACTGTCAACATTAGACAGATCAATGAGACAGAAAGTCAACAAGGATACCCAGGAATTGAACTCAGCTCTGCACCAAGCGGACCTAATAGACATCTACAGAACTCTCCACCCCAAATCAACAGAATATACATTTTTTTCAGCACCACACCACACCTATTCCAAAATTGACCACATACTGGGAAGTAAAGCTCTCTTCAGCAAATGTAAAAGAACAGAAATTATAACAAACTATCTCTCAGACCACAGTGCAATCAAACTAGAACTCAGGATTAAGAATCTCACTCAAAACTGCTCAACTACATGGAAACTGAACAACCTGCTCCTGAATGACTACTGGGTACATAATGAAATGAAGGCAGAAATAAAGATGTTCTTTGAAACCAACGAGAACACAGACACAACATACCAGAATCTCTGGGACGCATTCAAAGCAGTGTGTAGAGGGAAATGTATAGCACTGAATGCCCACAAGAGAAAGCAGGAAAGATCCAAAATTGACACCCTAACATCACAATTAAAAGAACTAGAAAAGCAACAGCAAACACATTCAAAAGCTAGCAGAAGGCAAGAAATAACTAAAATCAGAGCAGAACTCAAGGAAATAGAGACACAAAAAACCCTTGAAAAAATTAATGAATCCAGGAGCTGGTTTGTTGAAAGGATCAACAAAATTGATAGACCGCTAGCAAGAACTAATAAAGAAAAAAAGAGAGAAGAATCAAATAGACGCAATACAAAATGATAAAGGGGATATCACCACCGATCCCACAGAAATACAAACTACCATCAGGGAATACTACAAACACCTCTACACAAATAAACTAGAAAATCTAGAAGAAATGGATACATTCCTCGACACATACACTCTCCCAAGACTAAACCAGGAAGAAGTTGAATCTCTGAATAGACCAATAACAGGAGCTGAAATTGAGGCAATAATCAATAGCTTACCAACCAAAAAGAGTCCAGGACCAGATGGATTCACAGCCAAATTCTACCAGAGGTACAAGGAGGAACTGGTACCATTCCTTCTGAAACTATTCCAATCAATAGAAAAAGAGGGAATCCTCCCTAACTCATTTTATGAGGCCAGCATCATTCTGATACCAAAGCCAGGCAGAGACACAACAAAAAAAGAGAATTTTAGACCAATATCCTTGATGAACATTGATGCAAAAATCCTCAATAAAATACTGGCAAAACGAATCCAGCAGCACATCAAAAAGCTTATCCACCATGATCAAGTGGGCTTCATCCCTGGGATGCAAGGCTGGTTCAATATACGCAAATCAATAAATGTAATCCAGCATATAAAGAGAGCCAAAGACAAAAACCACATGATTATCTCAATAGATGCAGAAAAGGCCTTTGACAAAATTCAACAACCCTTCATGCTAAAAACTCTCAATAAATTAGGTATCGATGGGATGTATTTCAAAATAATAAGAGCTATCTATGACAAACCCACAGCCAATATCATACTGAATGGGCAAAAACTAGAAGCATTCCCTTTGAAAACTGGCACAAGACAGGGATGCCCTCTCTCACCACTCCTATTCAACATAGTGTTGGAAGTTCTGACCAGGGCAATTAGGCAAGAGAAGGAAATAAAGGGTATTCAATTAGGAAAAGAGGAAGTCAAATTGTCCGTTTGCAGATGACATGATTGTATATCTAGAAAACCCCATTGTCTCAGCCCAAAATCTCCTTAAGCTGATAAGCAACTTCAGCAAAGTCTCAGGATACAAAATCAATGTACAAAACTCACAAGCATTCTTATACACCAACAACAGACAAACAGAGAGCTAAATCATGAGTGAACTCACATTCACAATTGCTTCAAAGAGAATAAAATACCTAGGAATCCAACTTACAAGGGATGTGAAGAACCTCTTCAAGGAGAACTACAAACCACAGCTCAGTGAAATAAAAGAGGAAACAAACAAATGGAAGAACATTCCATGCTCATGGGTAGGAAGAATCAATATCGTGAAAATGGCCATACTGCCCAAGGTAATTTACAGATTCAATGCCATCCCCATCAAGCTACCAATGACTTTGTTCACAGAATTGGAAAAAACTACTTTAAAGTTCATATGGAACCAAAAAAGAGCCCGCATCACCAAGTCAATCCTAAGCCAAAAGAACAAAGCTGGAGGCATCACACTACCTGACTTCAAACTATACTACAAGGCCACAGTAACCCAAACAGCATGCTACTGGTACCAAAACAGAGATATAGATCAATGGAACAGAACAGAGCCCTCAGAAATAACGCCGCATATCTACAACTATCTGATCTTTGACAAACCTGAGAAAAACAAGCAAGGGGGAAAGGATTCCCTATTTAATAAATGGTGCTGGGAAAACTGGCTAGCCATATGTAGAAAGCTGAAACTGGATCCCTTCCTTACACCTTATACAAAAATCAATTCAAGATGGATTAAAGACTTAAACGTTAGACCTAAAACCATAAAAACCCTAGAAGAAAACCTAGGCATTACCATTCAGGATATAGGTATGGGCAAGGACTTCATGTCTAAAACACCAAAGGCAATGGCAACAAAAGACAAAATTGACAAATGGGATCTAATTAAACTAAAGAGCTTCTGCACAGCAAAAGAAACTACCATCAGAGTGAACAGGCAACCTACAAAATGGGAGAAAATTTTCGCAACCTACTCATCTGACAAAGGGCTAATATCCAGAATCTACAATGAACTCAAACAAATTTACAAGAAAAAAACAAACAACCCCATCAAAAAGTGGGCAAAGGACATGAACAGACACTTCTCAAAAGAAGACATTTGTGCAGCCAAAAAACACATGAAAAAATGCTCATTATCACTGGCCATCAGAGAAATGCAAATCAAAACCACAATGAGATACCATCTCACACCAGTTAGAATGGCAATCATTAAAAAGTCAGGAAACAACAGGTGCTGGAGAGGATGTGGAGAAATAGGAACACTTTTACACTGTTGGTGGGACTGTAAACTAGTTCAACCATTGTGGAAGTCAGTGTTGCGATTCCTCAAGGATCTAGAACTGGAAATACCATTTGACCCAGCCATCCCATTACTGGGTATATACCCAAAGGACTATAAATCATGCTGCTATAAAGACACATGCACACGTATGTTTATTGCGGCATTATTCACAATAGCAAAGACTTGGAACCAACCCAAATGTCCAACAATGATAGACTGGATTAAGAAAATGTGGCACATATACACCATGGAATACTATGCAGCCATAAAAAATGATGAGTTCATGTCCTTTGTAGGGACATGGATGAAATTGGAAATCATCATTCTCAGTAAACTATCACAAGAACAAAAAACCAAACACCGCATATTCTCACTCATAGGTGGGAATTGAACAATGAGATCACATGGACACAGGAAGGGGAATATCACACTCTGGGGACTGTTGTGGGGTGGGGGGAGGGGGGAGGGATAGCATCGGGAGATATACCTAATGCTAGATGACGAGTTAGTGGGTGCAGCGCACCAGCATGGCACATGTATACATATGTAACTAACCTGCACAATGTGCACATGTACACATTTATTAAAGTATAATAAAAAAAATTTTAAAAAAAAAGAGTTATTGGAAAGCATCAGTAGTTTCTCTCAGTCTTTCATATGTATTCCATACAGTCACTTTGCAGTTCCAATCACATGGAGATTAATTCTTTGGCTCTCAGTACCAATTGCAGATCCCCAGGTGGGAGAATCCAGGCCAATTTGGGGATGGATTCACTGCTCGTATTACTAAGATGACTGTCTGATATCCAGATTTATGAAAGAGGGGTTAAAAGGTGAGAACAATTCCCCCCCAAAAGAGGAATTATTATTACTTGGAACACATTCCAAAACATGACTTCTATCCCAGGTACCAAATATACATATTATTTTCATCCTAATAATCATTTTGAAATGATGAAATTTTCTTTTTGTGTGTTTTCTTTCTTCATAGGGTTCTTGACTGAGTTACATCTTCCATTGAGCGAGAAAAGGCACAAGATAGTAGTAGGAACATTATAAAGTAATGGAGAGTCATCCTACTCCATGTAAATATAGCACCAGAATCTACCAGCAAATTGCAAGCTGAGGCTGTTGCTCAATGTATCAGTCAAGTTGGGAACATCAACTTGACTGACGTATGTTCTGTTTTCATGACCTAAAGGTAATATGTACAAGGGGTCGTAACTGGTGGGAGGACTGGGAGAGGCATTTATAAACTTATTTATAGTGATAGAAGTTTGTATTTTATAATATGAAATACATGATCATCCATTTCCTCCTTTTAAAAATCATAAATTAAAAAACATGGGAAGGAAGCTGTATTCGTTTGTTTTCATGCTGCAGATAAAGACAAATGGAGACCATGCAATTACAAAAGAAAGCTGTTTATTGAACTTACAGTTCCATATAGATGGGGAGGCCTCACAATCATGGTGGAAGGCAAGGAGGAGCAAGTAACATCTTACATAGAAGGCAGCAGGCAAAGAGAGAGACAGCTTGTGCAGGGAAACTCCCATTTCTATATAACCATCAAATTTCATGAGACTTATTCACTATCATGAGAACAGCATGAGAAAGACCTGCCCCTATGATTCAATTTCCTCTCACCAGGTCCCTCCCACAACAAGTGGGAATTCAGGATGAGATCTGAGTGGGGATTCATCCAAACCATATCAGAAGCCATTTATTTATTTATTTATTTATTTATTTATTTATTTATTTATTTACAGACAGAGTCTCGCACTGTTGCCCAGGCTGGAGTGCAGTGGCACCATCTCAGCTCACTGCAATCTCTCCGCCTCCTGGGTTCAAGCGATTCTCCTGTCTCAGCCTCCTGAGTAGCTGGGACTACAGGTGCCCACCACCACACTCAGCTAATTTTTGTATTTTTAGTAGAGATGGGGTTTCACCATGTTGGCCAGGCTGGTCTTGAACTCCTGACCTCACGATGCGCCTGCCTCGGCCTCCCAAAGAGCTGGGATTGCAGACTTGAGCCACCCTGCCCAGCCAGAAGCCATTTATTTTTTAAATCACTGATTAATTATTGCCAGCCCTGACGCAGCAAAGTTTATTCCAGTCTCCGATCCAATTTTTTAAGTTACCATAGATACTATAGCCTGGGGTACTGGCACACTGTTTATTGCTCCATACATTACAAACAAATGAAAACAAAGGGTGCTGCCAAAGTGCCTGAGTTGTGGGTGCAGTCAGATCTTTAAAAAAGCTGAGGTATTGTTTCCTCCAGCCAAGCATTAGAGATTGTATACATTTTACCAATCCATGTGACAGCAAAAAAGAAATAATATGTGCTCTTAGCCTAAATTTGGGTTTCTTTGTTAACTGTCTCTACATTTTAGTTTGATTTATTTCAAAATTTATAAAACCTGTACTGCCAACACATTTAAAAAAACGAATGGTGAAAACTTCTCCTTAGTTTCCAAAACGTCCACAATTATTAACACTTCAAAGGCAGGCAGACTTGAACTGGAGGGGATCTAAGCACGAATTTTAAAAAAGAAGAAGAAAAAGAAAAGACTAAGGCCAACTTTATTTCTGACATTTTTCTAATGTCTTGAAAGTGATTATGTGTGTAGTAAGACTTACATTTTAAAATGTATTTTCTATGTATTTTTTTTTCCTCCTCAATCTATTAGTTGTAAGAACACCTATGACTTGAGAAGAGAAGAGAGAACATTGGAGTAGTAAGTAAAATCTCTTCACGTGCATTCCAAAGTGAGCTTTGGATTTTTCCCAAATAGTTTATAGACAGAAACAACTAAAGTCATAAAACTGACTGATCTAACCTCAAACAGAGAACATTATGGTTCTACAAATCATAACTGAAGAGTTTCTATCCATTTTTCTTTGAGACATCTTTATAATTCTGATAAAATGAAAGAGCTTTGCTTGTAATTTATCATGTTCATATGCATAGCTTTTAAAACTTAAAAATTTATTTTCTGTTAATTTTGGTTTCAGGCTACACAGCCTATTTGATGTCACATGATAATGTACATTAAGGCCTAGACTTAATAGTCTCTGGTGGCCCCAAGTTATTTTGTGAGGTAAATGTGAACGTACCCTCACATTAAAGAGCCATTTGCCTTGTGATTGTTGGAGATTTCTGGTTTTTTGTTTGTGTTTTCTTTTTCTTCTGAGCCATTCAGTCATGCAATCAATATTTATTGGATGTCAACCATGTGATAAACTCTGATTTGAGCACTTATTAGGGAAACAAAACAGACAACATTGCCTGCCAATGCAGCATATATTTTAGAAGCAGGAGGAGAACAAAAAAGAACTAAGTAGGTAGTATGCCAGATGATGATAAATGTTGTGGAGGCAAAAAAAAAAAAAAAAAAAAAAGTGGCAAAAGATATGTCAGTGTGGTGAGGGTAACAATTGCAATTGTAAAAACGGTAGTGAGTAAAGGCCTCACTAGAAGGTGAAATCAGAGCAAATACTTGAAAGAAATAGATTCTAGAGGAAGAGAATTTCAAAGTGAGGACACAGTCAATGAAGAGGCTCAAAGACATGAGGAGTGGCCTGGGTTTCATATTTCTGAAAGATAACAAGAGCAACAATAATTTTTGTGTGACTATAGCAGAGAGAGCAAGACGGAGAATGAGATATGATGAGTTCAGAGCAAGTTGATTTCATTTTATATCTTTGTACGTTTGACATTATTCAACCATGTCCAATAATCTAAAGAAACTATTTTGAAAGAAGTACTGTTGTTTGCTTAATAATTATTTGATGATCAATTATATCAAGGATAACTGAAGACTTAATTAGAAAACAGTATTTTAAATGTTTGTGTATTAAGTGGCACATGTAATATGCCTTATCTATTTTGGTTTCAAATTACAAAAAAAGAATATATTCATAGGTTTTCAACTCATATGCCATAATGAGATCAAATAGTATCATTCCTGTTTGACAGATGATGTAGTAGTTTCCAGATGTTAATTTTTGGTTATTTTATCTTCCAGTAAGTTTAAATTATTGATTCCAGGTGTGCTTTCTTTTTATTCTCAGACATATATAATACTAAAAAATCTCTAAAAATACCTAGCCTGGAAGTCCAGTACTGCAATAAAAGCACGTGAGTTAGTAGCATAAGGTAATGTGTGTGTGTGTAATTTAAAATCCTCATTACTGGTAAGTGGCAAGGGAAATGCACTTTAGATGTAACTAGAAATGAATTTCCTCTCTTAGCATTTACATCCTTTTTAACCCAGTTCTGGCCCATAGTCCTAAGAAGGGCAACCTTTGTATCATACAACTACAGTTTTCTAGTCGTATTGATTTGATCATGGATGAACAATGACCCAAGCTGGAATAACCATGTTCTCTTTCCAAAAATGTTGGGATATAAAAACATAGACTGAAACACCATGTTATATTTCTGTTGGAAACTGGAACTGTAAATTTATGGAGAGAAGAGAGAATGTCAGAAAAAGAGCCAACCAGATTCTTCTGGTGCAAGCTACAATCACTAAAAAGTAAAATCTAGAACTTTGCAAGAGAGCATCGTCTATGAGAAAATGATACATTGTATCTTTTCACAAGGATAGAGTGTGAGAGGCTAACTGCCAGGCAAACATCTACTTCATTGAAGGCCTAGCAATGTTGCTTGCTGTTGTGTTCCATGAGATCATTTTTCTCTTTGTGATAAACATCCTATTAACTTGGGCCTTTTTGAAGGGGTTCCATTTCTTTCAACCAAAGAGCTCTTTACTATTGCTAATGACTGGATATAGTAAAGACTTGACATGTTGATGAAGTAAGCTTGTTGAATTGTTTAAGCAGGCTTTCAAAATATTGTTTTAAGTATGATAGAAAGTTGCTCAGATTTCTGATAGATATGCACAGCTAGAATAAGTAAGATACCACTCTTCTCCCTCATTTGAACAAGGCTGAATTTAGTGATTACTCAGCTGCATATGGGCACTGTGAAGATACACTTGTATGTAGCATGTTCACTATTTGAGGAGAATATTTAGACTTATACCTACCCTGTTCTAGATATGAATGGATCTTATTTATTCAGTAATTTGAAACTATAACATCTTTCCTACCTCTTGTTTTTTCTTTTCCCTATTTTATAACACAGTGGCCAAGTTAAATGGATGATTTTGATGAGAGAAGAAGGTTTGTATTACATTTTATTTTTAAACTTTAAAAACTGTGCATTGGCCAGGTGCAGTGGTGCACGCCTGTAATCCCAGCACTTTGGGAGGCCGAGGCAGGTGGATCACGTGAGGTCAGGAGTTCGAGACCAGCCTGGCCAACATGGTGAAACCCTATCTCTACTAAAAATACAAAAATTAGCCAGGCATGCTGGTGGGCGCCTCTAAACCCAGCTACACAGGAGGCTTAGGCAGGAGAATCACTTGAACTCGGGAGGTGGAGGTTTCAGTGAGCCGAGATTGTGCTATTGCCCTCCAGCCTGGGCAACAAGAGCAAAATCCCGTCTCAAACAAACCAACTAAAAACAAAAAAAAAACTGTGCATTAAATGCCTACTATTTGCAGGTGTTCTGTTGAGTGCCAAGAAGGCTATAAGTATGATTAACGGATGGTCCTTACATTGTCTCCTCCTCTACAAAGAAACTCTTGAACTAAAGAAAATCTTTTGAGCAATGGTCCGTTTTGCTCACCACAATGGCCAAATTACGCAGATTGGTTCACTTTCCTTCATAGTAGAGACCCATCTTTGGACAGCCGATTATGTCACCTTTCTCACAAAATGGGCAAGATTTTTTAGAGTAAATCTGGAAGTCACTATGACGTTACTTTCATAAAATATTTAATACATTTCTCAAAGAACCTAAGGAACTCTACCTTAGTAAGATTTAGTTTAGTCTTTTAAACACCAAACCCAAAAAACACATAAAACAGGTATGTATATGGGACGGGGAGCAGATGAACAATGGTTTTTATTATGAATTAGTCAGCAATTGAGTTAGTAAATATTATAAAAATACAGTAGTCCCCATGAGGGATATATTCCAAAGCTCCCAGTGAATGCCTGAAATTGTGGATACTGCCAAACCCTATATATATATATATATATATATATATACATATACTATGTATTTTCCTATACATACATGCCTATGATAAAGTTCAATTTGTAATAAGAGTACTGTAATAAGAGTTATATAAATATGGTGTCTCCCTCAAAATATCTTATTGTACTGCACTTCCTTCTAGTTTTTTGTTTGTTTTTGTTTGTTTCCTTGTTTAAGAGAGAGGGTCTTGCTCTATTACCCAGGCTGGAGTGCAGGGATGTGATCATAGCTCAAAGCAGCCTTGAACTCCTGGGCTCAAGCGATCCTCCAGCGTTGGCTTTCCAAATTGCTGGAATTAGAAGCATGAGCCACTGCACATGGCCTACCCTTCTTGGGATCAAGAAAAGACAGAACAGAACAGTGTGAGATTTCATCAAGCTACTAAAAATGGTGCACAATTTAAAACTTATGAGGTATTTATTACTGAAATTTTCCATACAATGTTTTCAGACTGGTTGACCACAAGTAACTGAAATCAGATAAAGCAAAACCACAGATAAAAGGGGACTACTATATTTTATGCTTTCTAAAGTGAAGGATAAATGAGTTATTTCGAAAGAGGAAACAGTGTTTATAGTTGTATTCTTCCTCACTCTATTTTAACGCTGCAGGACAGCTGGTCTGTTACATTATTATATTTCAGTTCCAATTATTTGTCATTCAAATTCTAAATGTGTGATATAATGAATGTGGAAGAGAGAAGTATTATGGCCAATGTTTTTTGGCAATTGTGCTCATGGTTTTTCTAATGCAAACTATGTCCAATCCTAAAAGTCAATAAGAAAAATATCTTTAAAACTTTCAAGTACTTATTATAGTTAAAAGTTAAAGCCATGCTATTATGGTAAAAAGTATAATAGTATATATAAAACTATGGGCCTAGCTGACAAATTGAAGATTATTTTGAGAAGAGAAATAATTAAGGACCAGACAGATTTAAGCAAGATTAAAGTAATGTAATAACTCAATAATAGGACTTCATGACTGTTAAATGGATGGCAAAGTAACCTCAGAATAACTTGAAGATGTACAAATTAAGGCAGAGTAAAATTGATTATAATAGTGTAAAATTGAGCAAAAAATGTACATAGATCATTACATAAAACACAAGGATAAATGTAATTGGATTAAAGTTATCTCATAGAAGAAGTGATTTTATTTGTAATAAGTCAACTGCATTTTTATCCTTTTTAAAATCTGAAATAAACTTAATAAGACATCATATAATTTTTTCTAGAGGTAACCAGGTAACAAGTTCTAATAGCTCAAGTTTTCTATGAATAGAATGAGACTAAAGAAAGGAAAGTATCCTGGGCCTTCTGAATGTTACTAATGAGTGGAAATAAGAGAACATTAATGAGGAACTTTAATTTCTCATATCCCCATTTAGAAAAATGTATTCATTATTTTTTAATTTTTTGCTCCTGTAGAGAATTAAAATAAACATTCCAATTTTACAATCCACACAGGGAGTAGTAATAATATCTTTCTCATGGTTCTTGTCTCCTAACTCCTCTTACTTTTTCATATCTTCTTTTTTAAGTTCAGGGGTATGAGTGCAGGTTTGTTACATGGGTGAACTTGTGTCTTGGAGGTCTGTTGTACAGATTATTTTGTCACCCAGGTATTAAGCCTGGTACCCATTAGTTATTCTTCCTGATCCTCCCCCTCCTTCCACCCTTCACCCACTGACAGGCCCCAGTGTGTGTTGTTTCCCCTCTATGTGTCTATGTGTTGTCATCATTTAGCTCACACTTATAAGTGAGAGCATGTGGTGTTTGGTTTTCTGTTCCTGCATTAGTTTGCTAAGGATAATGGTCTGCAGCTCCATCCATGTCACTGCAAAGGCCATGATGTCATTCTTTTTTATGGCTGCATAGTAGTCCATGGTGCATATGTATCACATTTTCTTTATTCTATCATTGATGGGCATTTAGGTTGATTCCATGTCTTTGCTATTATGAATAGTGCTGCAATGAACATACACGTCTGTGTGTATTTATAATAGAATTTTTTATATCCCTTTGGGTATATATCCATTAATGGGATTGCTGGGTCAAGTGGTGTTTCTGTAGGTCTTTAAGGAATAGCCACACTGTCTTCCACAATGGTTGAAATAATTTATGATACTGTCTCTTTTTTAATCAAATTAACTTTTCCACATCATTCCCATGTACATGTACCATTTTACCTTCTCTTCTTCTTGCTTGCATCTTTTGTATATTATATAATATAAACAGTCATTCCTATAGCAGAATAATCAAAAGAACTTTAAAAATCAACAAATATAAATGCTAATATGCTTGATGAGAGCTTCCTACCCTTTCTGATTTTTATTTGGAAACTCAGTTCTTCATTTGTTTGATGCTATTTCGTTTCAATTAGTGTTTCTAACTATAAATCACAGATCAACTGATTTATTTTGTTTATTAATATTTCATTGCTAAGTTCTTAATATATTTGGAAATTCAGTGCAATATTTTTTTCTCAGAAAATAATTATCCCTTCCACCTTATGTCTATCTAATTCCATTTTATCCCTAGAGTCATCACACAGATGAAGGAGCTCTTGAAGTACACTCCAAAGTCTTTCACAATATACATTAACTAAAATGCTATCACATGAAAAATAATTACATTTAATACTTTTTAGAGGTGCTTCTGGTTATTGTCAACCAGTGAATTGGCAAAGGAAACTAGAAAGTAATATACCATACAACCAATAGTGAGTTTCTCATTTTTTTCCCCCAGTATCTTCTGACCTAAACTTAAAAGCAGTCAAGAAATGTACACTGGGTGCAGACAGAAAGAGTTCCAAAGGAACCTATTTCTAGGCCATCCGATGAGCAGGAAAGGAGGCCCCTGTGAGTCAACGAGAGTGGGACAATTTTCTTCTTTTTTGTGTGTGTGTTACTTTTGGCGCCACCTTCCAAGTAATCCTGTAGCAGCAATGGCAGCAACAGCATCAGTGAGTAGTCAACAGCCTAAAACTTAAGAGAGTGGCGTTTTATCGTTGACCAGAGAATCTGATCTCAAGAGGGGAGAATGTCCAATAATTTATTTTTCTCTCTTTACCCTCTCACCACTTGGCTCTGGATGCAGACACATTTTCAGGAATGCATGACACAGTAGGAAACTAAAGCCACAGCTTTTTATGAAGAGGATCAGTGAGAAGGGCCTCTGGGAGTTAGAAACCACTGGGAGAGTATAGAGAGGAGAGAGCTCAAGAAAGCAATACTCTAAAGTTTTGTATTTGCTTTTGTCCTTGCCCTGTAACTATTTTCAAATTTGACTCTAAACAGTGTGTAGAAGGATTCAAGAACTGAACTGTGAATTTAGACTGCCATCCACGTCTCATAGTAGCTATCGTGTTGCATTTGAAATTGAACTAACATTGAAACTACAGCCCACAGAAAGCAGGTATAAACTTGCTGCTTTAATCTCACAAGCCAATTTCATGCCCAAACAAGCAAGTAAATAAATAAATGAGTATTTTTCCATAGGACTAAAATAAAACCCAGAGTCATATAATATTCAAAAGACCCAAGATATAATCCAAAATTGTTCAATATATAAGAACCAGGAAAATCTCAGCATGTTGCTAGGTAAAATACAATAAATACCAACACATAGCAATTGAAATTATTAGACTAGGATTGTAAAATAGCTATTATAGCCATGTTCCAAAAAGTAAGTACATTGAACACACCTGAAATGAATGGAAAGCTGGAAAGTCTCAGCAGAGAAAGATATAGAAAGAAACCAAATGGACATTTTGGAACTGAAAATTACAAGTGAAAACAATTTCACTGTATGCTTGACAGCAGAATGAAGATGACAGAGGAAATCAGTACACTTAAAGACAGATTAATATAAATGATCTAATCTGAACAAGAGGAAAAAGATTTTAAAATATTGAAAGATAAATAAATACCTTCTCAGATTGAGAAAAGCTGAGGGAATTTGTTAATAGCAGACTTACTCTTAAAGAAATACTAAAAGATCTTTAGATGAAAGGGAATTGCTACTAGAGAGAAAGAATTTTAAGAATAAAGGGAGAACAATGAAAATGGCAAACATCGGGGTAAATACGATAGATAATATTTCTCCTCTAAAGTTCTATAAAATATATATGATGGTGCTTCAGTGTATATATGTGCAACACTTATGATACCTGCAAGACAAATGAAGCAGAGTAAAGGGACCTATCTATATGATAAGGTTTCTACATTCCCTTTAAATTAAAATATTAATTCAGAGTAGATGATGAAAAGTTAACCATGTCTATTTTAATTCCTAGAGCAACCACTATGAAAAACTATTCGAAGAGATATAGCTGAAGTGGAATATTAAAAATTATTCAAATAATTCAAAATAAGGCAGAAGCTAGGAAACAGAGAAACAAAGAATAAAGAGAACAAATGGTAAAGAAATAATAAGATGACAGAGCTACTGTTACATTCTAAATTTCATCCTAGGAGTCCTATGACCTCTTAAATAATTTTTAAAGAAATTTGCATATTTAAGCCTCTCTTTTTGCTGTAAAGTTCTGTGAGTTTTGACAAATACACAGTATTTTGTATCCATCATTATGGTGTCATAAAAATAGTGACATTGCTCAAAAAAATGCATGGTGCTTCACTTACTTAACTCTTCCTCTTGTTCTAAGCCTCTCTTAGCCACTAATATTTTTGTCATCTCTACAGTTTTGACAGTTCATGAATGGCAAATAACCAAATCATACAATATATATAGCCTTTCAGAATGCTTTCTTTTATTTGGCAATATGCATTTAAAATGAATACATGTATTTTCATGGCTTGATAGCTCATTCCTTTTTATTGCTGAGTACTATTCCACTGAATGGAAGTTTATTTCACCTTTTGAAGGAGATTTGGCTCCTTTCAGTTTGGCAATTATGAATAAAGCTCCTAACAACATTTCAAATCAATTGACTAAATACCTAGAAGAAAACTGCTAAATTGCATAATAAGGCTACATTTTACTTTGTAAGAAACTGTCAAGCTGTCTTCCAAATTTGTTGTACCATTTTACATTCACATCAGCAATGGACTTTCTGTTGCTCTGCAACCTTATCAGTAATTAGTATTGTCAGGGTTTTTATTTTATTTTATTTTAGACATTTTAATGTGTGCAGTCATATCTCATGGTTGTTTTAATTTGTATATCCCTAATGTATATTGAGTATCTTTTCATAAGCTTATTTGCCATCCGTCTATCTCTTTGGAGAGGTGTCTATTTAGATCTTTTGCCCAATTTGTTCATTGAGAGGCTTTTAAAAAAATCTTAACTTGATGGGAATTTTATTAGAATTCCATTAAAGGAAGATTTAACATCTCAGTAATATTACACCTTCAAATTCATTAATATAGAATATCTCTCAATTTACTTATATCTATGATTTCTTCATTCAATGTTTTGCAGTTTCTGCATTCAGATGGTATTCATACTTAGTTAGAATTATATCTACAAGTATTTCATTTCTGGCACTATTGTAAATGTATTGTTTAATTTTAAGTTCCAATGTTCACTGATGGTGTATAGATAAGAAAGTGGCTTTTATATATTCACTTTATAATCTGTGACCTTGCTGTATTAACCTATTGGTTGCAGAAATTATTGCGTAGATTATTTGAAATTTCTGCATAGGCAATCATGTCATTTCCAAATAAAAACAGCTTTTTTCAATATGCATACCTTTTCTTTCTTATTTTAGTGCTCTAAATAGAGCTTCCCTTATGACGCTGACTATGACTGCTGTGAAAGGACATCCTTACATTTTCCCAAACTTAGGGAAAAAGCATTCAGTCTTTCAACATTAAGTATTAATTGTTTCAAAAAGAGGCTTGTTTCAGAATGGTGGTATGTAGATTTTTTTTTTGCATAACTCTTATTTTTTCTAGCAAAAAAATTTTAGAAAATTTTCTCTATTCTTAGTTTGCTTAAAAATTTTATCATGAATTGGATTTTTTTCAAACGTTTTTCCTGCATCAGTGTATGATTATATCCTTTTTCTTTTATATCCTTTGACAAGTCAGATTATGTTGAATGGTTTTTAATGTTGAACAAGGCTTGTCCATATTGAATAAATCCCACTTCATCCAGGTGTATCTTTTTATATTATTAGATTCAACTTGCTAATATTTAGTTGAAGATTTTTGAGTATATGTTCATTAGAGATACTGGTCTGTAGTTTTTCTATTATGTTAGGTCTCTATCTGGCTTTGAAATTAGGGTAACACTGGCCTCATAGAATAAGAGTATTCTTTATGCTTATTTTTTATGGAAGACATTGTGGAGAATTAGTATTATTTCTGACTAAATGTTTGTTAAAATTCACCAGTGAAACCAACTGGGCCTGGTGTTTTATTTTGGAAGGTTATTAATTATTGGTTAAATTTCCTTAATATACTTAGGGCTACTGAGGTTATTGCTTTCTCTTTGGGTATGTTTTTCAAGACATTTATTCATTTCATTTAAGCTATCAAATGTATGGACATAGAGTGTTCATAGTATAACTTTGTTATAATTTTAATGTCAGTGAAATCTGTAGTGGTGACCCTTCTTTCATTTCTGAGACTAACTGCAGCATTTCCAAACAATTTTCTTGAAGCCCTGACGCCTATTGACTATGTCTTCTCCCCTCTCTTTGGTGAGACAGGAAGCCTGGAAGGAGGGCTGAAGTGGGAATAATACCTTGGGGTAAACTACAGCCCAGTCTTTTCTCCCAGAGATTAGGCCTTTATTATGGAGAAGGTTCTCAGAATACTTCAGAATGATTAATACTTCCTTTCTCTGCTAGAGCCACAAGGAATCTTTCTTGGATCTTCATCATATAAACATGCTGTGATTCCTGGAGGCTGCCCTATGACTATGACCTCCAGTAGTTTCTCATATCACACCAGTCCACACTCCATCTCCAGCAATTCATTAAAATGACCATAAAATATTTCTATCAGATTATGACTCCAAGGTAAGCGGATCTTGGCTGTGTCTCTCTGGATGTGTCTGTCTCTCCAGATTTCAGGGTGGAGGTTTGTCCTACAACCTCAGTTGTCTGATGGGTCCAAGGAAAGTCTTGATTTTCAGTTTATCCTTCTTTTTCACGATGTAAGGGTAGGAGTGACAACTTTCAAGCTCTATATATGTCAGGGTTGAAACTGGAAGTCTACTAGTTGATTTAAGTTGCAAAGACATTTCAATAAAGTAAGGACTGTCCTTTGAACACATGGTATTGGAACAATTTTATATAAATCAGTCAGAACACCTCAATCTAAATCTCACACCCTATATAAAATATTAACTCAAAATAGATACATCTAAACAAAAAATTTCAAACTATAAATTTTTTGAATAAAACATAAGTGAACATTTTCCTGACATTGATTTAAGCAGTGTTTTTATGTATGGCACTAAAAGCTTGATCCACAGAGAAAATAAAACCTAAGCTGGATTTTATGAGAATTTAAAACTTTCTTGTAAATTTTTAAATTTGCTTTCTGAAAGACATTTTTCAGAGACTGATAAGACAAGCTCTAGACTGGGAGAAAGCACAGTCGCTTCTTGTTATTTGCGCTGGTTATGTGCTATAAAGTACCATGAACAATGAATTGGTGAGTACCGAATAATTGCTTCTGGAGGAAATACATGGTTAATTCTCTGGTCACAATATTTTCATTAACTGATCAATACACATCCTTGTTATATGTTTGTTTCTGTTTAAATATGCCTTATTTAATAAGTATTGTTTGCTCTTTAACATTGAATTCACGGCCAACAGCTCTAAAGTCACGCCTGAATGAACCTTGTCTAACTCATAACATTTTTTCTGTAAGGCACATCACAGCCTTCTTGTGCTCGAGATCACTAGACGGCACTTCAGCACTATGTTCGGGGCCATTCTAAATGACTGAATTCCAAAAAAAAAAAAAAAGAGTGAAAAATATGTAATTAAGTACGCTGCAAAAAGGATGCTTTACTATGAGAGCTGAAGCAAGAAAGCAAAGTGTCACCTTATTCAACCTTGGTGAGGAATGCTAGGCAACACAAATGTTTTACCACTCTTTGCATGCCTGTGAATTACTGCAAAAAGATGGTGAGAGTATTAACTTGGAGTTATTATTAAGTTTTAGTGAGCAGACCAATGTGCACTATGGAATCTGCAAATAACGTTCAGGTGTATTTTAAAATCATATATCCACCAAAGTACTTACATTCTGAATATGTAACAGTTAAACTCCACAGTAAAAAAAAAAAAAAAAAAAAAAAAAAGCAATAAAAAACGGGTAGCAGGCAAACATTTTCAACAGACACTTTACCAAAAGAGATATAGGGATGGCAAATAAGCACATGAAAAGATGCTCAATATCATATTAGCATTAGAGTAATGCCAGTTAAAAGCACAGTGACACACCAAGTCCTATGACATACCTAGTAGAACCGCTAAAACAAACAAACAAAATAAACTGACAAAACCAAGTGCTAGCAAGGATTCAGAACACGTAGATATTTCACACATTGCTAGTGCAAATGAAAAATGTACAGCTATTCAGGAAAACAGATTGGTGGTTTTAGGTAAACTTAAACTTATACTTACCATTTGAGTCAACAAATCGATTCCTTATTATTTACCCTGGAGATACAAAAACTTAGGTTTGGGAACCTGTACATGAATGTTTATAGCAACTCTATTAATAATCATTAGAAATTAAAAACAGTCCAAAGGTATTCCAATGGATAAGTGCATCATACAAACTCTCATCCATAGATACATCCATACAATGGAATACTGCTTAGCTATAAAAAAAATAAATCATCAACACATGCAACAATATAGATGAATCTCAAAGGCAGTTTCTGTTGAATGAAGGAAGCCAGTCTCGAACAGTTACATACTATATGATTTTACTTAATAACATTCTGGGAAAGAGAAATCTGTAAAGACAGGGACAAGAGCAGTAGTTGCTAGATTGAGTAATGGAGAGATGGTTTGACTAGAAAAAAAAAAAAGCAGAAGAAAAAGTTCTGCGGTGTAATAGAACTAGTCTGTATTTTGATTGTGGTGTTATATCAATATAAATGCATTAAAATACAATTGCGCACCAAAAAAATCCTTTTCACAGTATTTAACTTAAAAATATGGGGGTCATAAACATTCAATTGTTAGAAACGTTAAATTCAATATATTCTTCTTATAAGTTTTATTCTTTCTCTTTTCTCATGCACTACTTAAAAAAAAAATAAAATACACAGTGTTTTAACACATCCAAATTCTCCATCAGTGAGAAAATGAATGAATGTATGTTGTGCATATATATGTACAATAAAGAAAATTTTGATAATTTCTCCCCAGTTCTCGTGACCATTTTCTGCACCATTAGGTACTCAAAGAAATGTAGTTAAGTCTAGTGCCTAATTTTACAGGCTCAAGCACACTTCTTTCAAGCTCTGCAATCACTTTTCAAATAGTACAATATTATATTAGTTCTTTCTTGCACTGTTATAAAGAAATACCTGAGACTGGGTAATTTATAAAGATAAGAGGTTTAATTGGCTCACAGTTCTGCAGGCTGTACAGGAAGCATTGTGGCTTCTGCTTCTGCGGAGGCTGGAGGAAACTTCCAGTCGTGGTGAAAGGCAAACAGGGAGCAAGGCACTTCAGAAGGAAAAGGCTGGAGCAGAAGGAAGAGAGAGATGGGAGAAGACGCTAGACACTTTTAAGCAACCAGATCTCATGAGAACTCACTCACTATCAGGAGAACAGCACTAAGCAGGATGGTGTTAAATCATTCATGAGAAACCACCCCCATGAACCAATCACCTCCCACCAGGCATCACTGCCAACATTGAGGATTATAATTCTACATGAGATTTGGGCGAGGACACAGATCAAAACCATATCAAATGGTCTTGAATTCATCTAGATTAGGAAAATCTTCACTCTTCCTGAATTTCAAAAAGTTTTTCAAAATAATTCAGTCATTATTTCTTTCCTTATGTTTAGTTTGAACTCTTAGAAAATGCCATTTCATTTTTCCTCCAGTTTGAATTCTATTTTTTAATTTTTTTTGAGATGGAGTCTCACTCTGTTGCCCAGGATGGAGTGCAGTGGTGCTATCTCGGCTCACTGCAACCTCTGCCTCCCGGGTTCAAGCGATTCTCCTGCCTCAGCCTCCCGAATAGCTGGGATTACGTGCCCATGCCACCAGTCCTGGCTAATTTTTGTATTTTTAGTAGATACAGGTTTTTGCCATGTTGGCCCGGCTGGTCTCAAACTTCTGACCTCAGGTGATTTGCCTGCCTTGGCCTCCCAAAGTGCCAGCATTACAGGCATAAGCCACCATGCCTGGCCCAGTTTGAATTTTAAATGTAAGGATGGTTTTCCTAACAAAATGTCTTATGTACTATACTCTGTATGAATGCATTGTTAATTAAAAGAGGACTTGATACCAGCTCTTTGAGATGGGACCCAGAAGATCCCAAGGTTGCTGATCGTAGCTGTCCTCATTTATAGCAAGATTCTTTCTACTTGGACAAGCTACTTTAAAGTAGAGGTGGCAATTTTGATTTTTTTGTTTGTTTGTTTTTACAAACTGTTTAGATCATCTCCAAAGGGATTTTCAGTTTTCCTAAAAATAGCAACTTTAGGGAAATTGTGAAATCATGATGCTTTCCTAAAAGGAGATATTCTACATTCCATATCACATCTTTCAGACATGTTTGAAAATTTCGATAAATATGTCATTAAACGATCCATTAAGTAAAGTTATTTTCTACCCTTCAGCTTTTCCTCTAAGGGGTTTTCAAGATAGTCCATTTAGGTTAAGCAAGTACTTGTCAGGTAAGTCAGGGTGTAATAACGAAGTATTTTTAGCCCAGGAGACTCCCACTGGATCTTACTCAATTTGTTCATCTTGGTTTTTATTACGACATTTAAAATCAGACTTAATATTTTTTACAAGGCTAATTTATACTGACCTAAGATAAAGCTTACCTTTTAATTCTTGCACTGTTAGACTCATTGTTGGACTCAGACATTTACATATATACATACATAGTCCAAGTGTTTTTAAAACTTCATTAATAACAGCAATATCAGCTTAATCATTCATTTAAAATGTTATTTCTCATTTGTTTGTTAAAAAAATTAGTCCTTCTCAGATAATTTTTAAAATTCGCTTAGTTTTGTAAATAAGACACTTTGTCCTTGCTATGCAAATGGAAAGATTGCATGAAGGAGTGCATGGGTGTGAGCCTTGGCAGAATTAGGTTCAAACCTTTGGGTGGATTACTTAATTCTGAACCTCTGTTTTCTCATCTCTCAAATGGGGACAATAATATTTGTCTTGTAGGGATGTTAAAGTTCTAGAAATAGTATAAGAAAAGGAATCAGTCAGTGGCTGGCAGTAGTTGTTGGCCCACAATTAATGGCAATAATTTGAAACCAATAACTTCTACAACCCACAGATTTAATTTTTTTCCCTGAAAGAAAACTCAGCTCTCTTAACAGGTATTCTTTCTTTAGTCTAGCATCCAAGAAAAATTTGTTTATGCAGTATATATTTATGTTAGAGATTGTATTCCTTAAAAAAGAAAAAACAAAACAAAATAATAATTGATATTTATAAAAACACCCTTAAAACTTCTAGATATTTTTACTATTAAATTAAAAATGATTAATATCAGATTTTAAAATGGTAATGGCTATCAACATTTCCAGAATAACTTTTTCTTCCACTTTTCTTTTAAATATTGGATTTCTTTTCACTGTAAACATAATACCATTGTTATCAAGTACGTTTTTCCTTATGGTGTATAAAATTATTTATATTATATGATATATACATATACATTTAGTTTTTAATTTGAAATTTTCTAAGATTTCTTCTAGTCTATGCCTTGGTTTTCCTTAGAGAAAACTAACCCAGCACTTGTGTTTTTAATTTAAAATGTATTTTTAATCAAAATATGCATATTAAAATTAGTCCATGATATTACCTAGTATCAGTGTTTTGTTCTTCTCAAAGTTTTTTTTTCTTCAAATTAGGTGAAATTTTGCTCTTGAGTAGTCAATAGTTGAGAAGTCATTATTTAAAAATCAATACATTTTCTGGTATTTCTTCAAAGAGAGAAAGTCAAGGAAAAGCTTCTATTTCAGAGTCAATAGATTTGTAATCATTTATTTGTTGTTGAAGGAATTTCTATGCATTTTTCATACTCTACCACAAGGTGGAGTATTGCTTTAAATATTGGACCTTTTTACCCCATGTGTTCCCAACTAGACTAATTCTATTATGTAGGTAAACGGTGAAATAAAATTTTGGTGAATGTTAACAGAACTTTGGGCAGTAAAATTTTGATCACTAAAGGATTCACCTGATAACTACTAAGGTATATTAAGAAAAAAAGCCATAAATATTGCATTCAATGGCCCTCAACAGAAGAAAGCAAATTTATTCCACTGTAGGGACTTTATGACATAAGTCTTGAAATGATATTTAACTTTCATATATCTTTTTCCTCAAAGGCAGGAGTGTCATAGCCTACTGTTTAGATAATTTACTTCTATTTTGTATATATGCATTAATTGTGATAATGTAGTCTGTGCTGAAGAGCATTCATTGAATTCCATTACATTGTTTTGAAATGACGGCTGTGCTACTGAATTGCTTTAGAATCATGCTGAAAACTTACCAGAACAAAATTTTTTATTGACACTAAATAATTTCTAGCTGAGGTACAGTCAAAGGAAATCCTTCAATTACTCGATGCTGCTTTTAATTCAGAGCAAGCAGATGATCTCCCCAGAAGCTAAGGCTACTTGCAGGAATTTTTATGGATTTAACGGTCATGAGATTACATCTCTCTGACATCTCTCTGCCTTACCACTCTTGTTTGTAACTCTACAGGCTAATGGCAGGGGCTATGATAGGTAGCAACATAGATATAACAGAATCACAAATGACAGTTATTTATGAATGTGAAGAATGCATGCTTAAATAGTATCCAGTGGCTCACCTCTCAGACCTCTATGAGAAGACAAATGAAATGTTTGAAGTGCTGCACATGACTTAGACCAAAATGTCTCATATTCTCATTCAGACATATCTATTTTTTAAAAAAAATTTCAACTTTTGAACATTGGATGAAGAAGTAAAAAAGAAAAAGAGGATTTTTCCTAGCTCCTCAGCCCACCCCCAGCATGTATACAAAGCTAAGATTAAGACAGTAAAAAGACAAATTCTAATTTGGAAAGGTAAGGATGACATTTAAAGCCATTATTTCAAAATCAAAGAGATGTTTAATTTTTCTTTTTATAATTG
This sequence comes from Homo sapiens, assembly GCF_000001405.40. Taxonomy (NCBI): domain Eukaryota; kingdom Metazoa; phylum Chordata; class Mammalia; order Primates; family Hominidae; genus Homo; species Homo sapiens. The sequence goes on along the minus strand of NC_000007.14, from coordinate 19,664,519 downwards.
CTGAATAGTAAGACACCAAACAGTTTATGTTTAGACCAAATTGTACTTTTTCACTGATGTGCAGTTCAAATAACATACAGTAAACCATTTTAAGTTGTACAATGCAGTGGCATTTAGTGTATTTGAAATGTTTTGCAACTACTTCCTCTTTCATTTTCAAAACATTACCACCTCAAAAAACACCTTGTAGCCATTACATGATCACTCAATATTCTCTGCTTTCTCTGTCCCCTAGCAACCAGAAATCTGCTTTCTGTCTGCACGAATTTGCCTCTTCTGTATATTCCATTAAAAAGACATAATATATAACCTTTCAAATCTGGCTTCTTTCATTTAGCATAATGTTTTCAAGGTTCATGCATGTTATAGCATGTGCCAGAATTTCATTCCTTTAAGGCTGAATAATATTCTATTGTATGTATATTACCACATTTTGTTTACATTCGTCTGCTAATGGACATTTGGCTTGCTTCCACCTTTTGTCTATTGTAAATAATGTGGCAATGAACATCGGCAAACAAAAACCTGTATCCTAGAAGTGGAATTGCTAGATCATATAGTAATGTTATATTTAGATTTTTGAGGAGCAGCCAAATCGTTTTGTACAATGGTTGCTTCATTTTACATGTCTACCAGGAATGTATGAGGATCCCAATATCTCTGTATCTTTGTCAATACTTATCTTCTGTTAAACAATTATATAATTCCTAATAGTTGTGAAGTGGTATCTCATTATGGTTTTGTGTTTTCTTAATGACTAATTATGTTGAACGTCGTTTCATGTGCTATTGGTCATTTGTATTCTTCCTTGAAGAAATGTCTGTTCAAGTCCTTTGTTCTGTTTTTAATTAGATTGTCTTTTTGTTGCTGAGTGTTAGGAATTCTTTGCATATACTGGATATTAAACCCTAATCAGATATGATTTGCAAATATTTTCTCCAATTCCGGAGGTTGTCTTTTCACTTTCTTGGAACTGTCCTTTGATGCACACAATTTTTTATTTTTATGAAATCCAACTTATCTTTTGTTGTTGTTGTTACTTGTGCTCTTGGTGTTAAATCTATGAATTCATTGCCAATTAGAAGTCATCAATTATTACTCCCAATGTTTTCTTCTAATAGTTTTAGAGTTTTGACTCTTGCATTTTGGTTGTTTTTCCATTTTGAGTTTGCATATGAAGTAAGGTAGGAGTCTAACTTAATTCTATAACATGTGGTTGCCCTGTTGTCTCATCACGTTATGGCAAGGAACTATTCTTTCCTCATTGAATGATCTTGGCACCTTTGTTAAAAATCAATTGTCCATAGATGTTCAGGTTTTCTTTGGGACTTTCAATTCTAGTCCATTGATGTAGATTTGTATCCTTATGCCAGTATCACATTGTTTTGAATACTGTAACTTTGTAGTAAGTTTTAAATCAGGAAGTGTGAATTCTTCAAGTCTGTTTTTCCCTTTATATATCATTTTGGCTATTTGGGGGTCCCTTGAAATTTCATGTGATTTTTGGAACTGGCTTTTCCATTTCTGCAAAAAAAAGGCAATAGGAATTTTGATAGAGATTGCATTGAATCTCTGTATCACTTTGTGGATATCTGTTGCCATCTTAACTGAATTAAGTCTTTCAGTCCATGAACACAGGGTGTCTTTCCATTTATTTAGGTCTTTAATTTCTTTCAGGAATATTTTGTCATTTTCAGTATATAAATCTTGCACCCCATTGTTTAAATTTCTTCTTTGGTATTCTTTTGGATGCTAATGTAAATATTATTATTTTCTTTATTTGACCTCAGATTGTTTATTGTAGGTGTAAAGAAACACAGATTTTTTAATAATGATCTTATAACACAACTTTGCTGAATTTGTTTATTAGCTCTAATAGGTTTTTTAAGGGGTTCTTTGGGATTTTCTATTTATTTCATCATCAAATAGTTTATTCATTCTTTTTTACTTGGATATCTTTTATTTATTTTTCTTGCCTAACTGGCAAGACTGGCCAGAACTTCCAGTATAATGTTGAAGGGCAGTGGTAAGAGTGGACATCCTGATGTTATTTCTAATCTTAAAGAAAAGCTTTCCATCATTCACCATCGAATATGATGTTAGCTGTGGGTTTTTTATAAATGCCTTTACCATGTTGAGGAAGTTCCTTGCTGTTCCTAGTTTGCTGAGTGTTGTTATCATTAAGGAGTGTCAGATTTTGTCAAATGCTGTTTTCGTGCCTATTGAAATGACGACAGGTTTTGGAGTCTTTTTCTCCCCGTTGGTTTTATAAATATGTTGCTTTTTATTGGCTGATTTTCATATGTTTGACCACTCTTTTACTTCTTGGAAAAATCAAACTTGGTGATGGTATATAAACATTTTAATGTACTGTTAAATTCAGTTTGCTAGTATTTTGTTGCAGATTTTTGGCTTTATTTTACTAATGGGTATTGGTCTATTTTTTTCTTTTCTTGTAATGTCTTTGTCTCATTTTAGAATCAGAGTAATGCTGGAATCATAGGATGTGCTAGAAAGTGTTTCCTCCTTTTCTATTTAGGAAGAGTTTGAGTAGGATGGGTGTTACTTCTCTATATATTTGGCAGACTATATCAGCAGAAGTTATCTGACTATGGACTTTATTTCTTGTGAGATTTTTGATTACTTACTGATTCAATCTTTTACTTGTCGGAGCAGTGTTAAGATTTTCTGTTCTTTCTGAAGTCAATTTTGATAATTTGTGTGTTTCTAGAAATTTGTTCCATTCACCCATTTATAAAATTGTTTAGCCTACAATTGTTCATAGTATCCTCTCAAAATATTTTTAATTTCTTAAGGTCAATAGTAATATCCCTACTTTTATTTCTAATTTGAGTGATTTATGTATTCTGTTTATTTTTCTTAGCTTGACTAAGAAATGCCAATTTTGTTGATCTTTTTAAAAAACCAACTTCTGGGTTTGTTGATTCTATTGTTTTTCTGTTCTTTATTTCATTTATCTCTGCTCAAATCTTTATTGCTGCTTGTTTGGGATATAGTTTTCCTTAGTTTTTAAAGCTCCTTAAGGTGTAAAGTTGGGTTGTTGATTTGAGCTCTTTCTTCCTTGTTAATGTGGATATTCATAGCTATATACTCCTCTCTAGGCATTGCTTTTGCTACATCCTCTGTTTTGATTTTTGTGTTTTAATTTCCATTTTCATTTATTTCCAAGTATATTCTAATTTTTCTAATGACTTTTTTTGACCCATTGGTAGTTTAAGAGCATGTTGTTTAATTTTCATTTATTTGAGAATTTTCATTTTCCTTCTGTTATTTATTTCCATCTTCACTCCACTGTACTTGGATAAGATACTAAACATAAATTCAATCTTTTAACATTTACTGAGAATATATTATAGCTGTAAATATTTATAGCCTGGAGAATGTTTTATGTGAACTCCGCTTTCATTGTGTGGTGTGTTTCTGTATACAGCTGTTAGGTTTAATTGGCCTATGGTGTTGTTCAAGTCTTCTACTGTTGATTTTATTTATAGATATTCTATCCATTCTTGAGAGTGGAGTATTGAAGATTCCAACTATTATTGCCAAATTATCTATTTTTTAAATTCAATTCTGTCAGTGTTTGTAAAATGGACCAATCAGCTGGATGTGGGTGGGGACAAATAAGGGAATAAAAGCTGGCCACTCCAGCCAGCAGCGGCAACCCATTCATGTCCACTTCCATGCCGTGGAAGCTTTGTTCTTTTGCCCTTCACAATAAATCTTGCTGCTGCTCACTCTTTGGGTCTGTGCCACCTTTAAGAGTTGTAACACTCACCACAGAGGTCTGTGGCTTCATTCTTGAAGTCAGCGAGACCAAGAAGTCACTGGAAGGAACTAACTCCAGACACATATTGGTGACCATGAAAGAAGCATCACCAACTGGTGAGTACCATCGGACCTCTTTCGCTTGCTATTCTGTCCTACTTTTCCTTAGAATTCAGGGGCTAAACTCCAGGCACCTTTCAGCCAGTTAAAAGCAACTAGCGCAGCCAGCAGACTAAAGACACAGGTGTCAGGCTTTCTGGGAAAGGGCTCTCTAACAATCCCCGACTCTTCGGAGTTGGAAGTGTTGGTTTGCCTGGAACCAGCTTTCGCTTTTCCTGTACTTCTGGGCTGAGCTGAGTGTTGACAGAGAGGAAAACCATTCAGCTCTGGGGTCCCGACAAAACGTTGGTTGACCCTGCAGACATGAGCAGAACTCTCAAAGTCACGTTGCCCAAGTGAGACTCTCCCATCTATCCTATCTTTCCTGACCCTTGCCTCCTGGGTCCTAATGCCTTCAGACAAATTTCCTTTCACTTCTCTTCTCCAAGGCTATTTCCACTTCTAAAAACCACTCCTTGTCTCTGGTGCTTTTCTAGTTTCTCCTAGAAGAATGATTTCTAGTATAAATTTTGGGACTCTGTTCCTTTCTTCAGGCACCCAGGCTCACCAATCAGAAAGACATAATTTTTGCCCAAAGCCCCATCAGCGGGAGACTATCTGGAATTTTAGGATCCCTCCTCACACAAGCAGGCCTAACAAAGGCTATTCCTGAAGTTAGGATATGGGGAGCCTCAGAAACGATATCCTTCCTATCCATAAGATGAAAAGTGAGGACAAAAGGCATCACTCTTCCAACCCTAGAGATCTCTTCCCTCCCTCAGGGTGTGGCCCTCCACTCCATTTTGAGGCATAACATCTTTATAGGACGGGGTAAGGTCCCAATACTAACAGGAGAAAACGCTTAGGACTCTAACAGGTTTTAGAGACTGTGTCGGTAAGGGCCACTAAATCCGATTTTTCTTGGTCCTCTTCATGGTCTAAGAGGAAAGGCAAGGGTGCAGCTTTTCAAGAATGCATTGCTAAGGGCCACTAAATCCGACCTTCCTCAGTCCTCTTTGTGGTCTAGGAGGAAAACTAGTATTTCTGCTGCTGCATCAGTAAGTGCAACTATTCCGATCAGCAAGGTTCAGGGACCGTCGCGGGTTCTTGGGCAAGAGGGGATCTGCTGCTGTGTTGGTGAGTGCAACTATTCTGATCAGCAGGGTCCAGGGACTGTTGTGGGTTCTTGGGCAAGAGGGGGACCTGCTGCTGCGTCGGTGAGTGCAACTATTCCCATCAGCAGGGTCCAGGGACCCTTGCGAGTTCTAGGGCAAGGGGGGAATAACAAACCAAAACCGCAGGTGATTTTTTCTTTTAGATAGGAAACACTCAGGCGTCAACAGGCTCACCCTTGAAGTGCATCCTAAGCCATTGGAACCAATTTGACCCGCAAACCCTGTAAAAGAGGCAGCTCACTTTTTTCTGCACTACAGCCTGGCCCCAATATTCTCTCTCTGATGGGGAAAAATGGCTACCTGAGGGGAGTATAAATTACAATACTATCCTGAAGCTTGACCTTTTCTGTAAGAGGGAGGGCAAATGGGGTGAAATACCTTACGTCGAAGCTTTCTTTTCACTGAGGAGAATGCACAACTATGTAAAGCTTGCAATTTACATCCCACAGGAGGACCTCTCAGCTAACCCCCATATCCTAGCCTTCCTATTAATGATAAGTCTCCTCTAATCTCCCCTGCCCAGAAGGAAATAAGCAAAGAAATCTCCAAAGGACAACAAAAAACCCCTGGCTATCAGTTATGTCCCCTTCAAGGGGTAGGGGGAGGGGAATTTGGCCCAACCCAGGTACATAACCCTTTCTCCCTCTCTGATGTAAAGCAGATCCAGGAAGACCTGAGGAAGTTTTCAGATGTTCCTGATAGGTACATAGATGTCCTACAGGGTCTAGAGCAAGCCTTCAATCTCACTTGGAGAGATGTCATGCTATTGTTAGATCAAACCCTGGCCTTTAATGAAAAGAATGTGTCTTTAGCTGCAGTCTGAGAGTTTGGAGTTACCTGGTATCTCAGTCAAGTAAGTGATAGAATGACAGTCAAAGAAAGGGGCACATTCCCTACTGGTCAGCAAGCCGTTCCCAGTATGGATCTCCACTGGGACCTAGACTCAGATCATGGAGACTGGAGTCATAAATATCTGTGGACCTGTGTCCTAGAAAGACTAAGGAGAATTAGGAAAAAGTACACGAATTATTCTATGATGTCCACCATAACTCAGGGAAAGGAAGAAAATCCTTCTGCCTTCCTCAAGCAGCTACGGTAGGCCTTAAGAATATATACTCCCTTGTCACCCAACTCACTTGAAGGTCCATTGATCCTAAAAGACAAGTTTATTACCCAATCAGCAACAGTTATCAGGAGAAAGCTCCAAAAGCGAGCCCTGGGCCCTGAACAAAATCTGAAGGCATTATTAAACCTGGCAACCTTGGTGTTCTATAATACGGACCAAGAGGAACAGGCAGAAAAGGAAAAGCAAGATCAGAGAAAGGCTGCAGCCTTAGTCATGGCACTCAGACAAACAAACCTTGGTGGTTCAGAGAGAACAGTAAATGGAGCAGGCCGGTCACCTGGTAGGGCTTGTTATCAGTGTGGTTTGCAAGGACACTTTAAAAAAGATTGTCCAGTGAGAAACAAGCTGCCCCCTCGCCCATGTCCACTGACATGGCAAGGCAATCACTGGAAGGCGTACTGCCCCAGAGGTCAAAGTTTCTCCGGGCCTGAAGCCCCCAACCAGATGATCCAACAACAGGACTGAGGGTGCCTGGGGCAAGCGCCAACTCATGTCATCACCCTCACTGAGCCCCAGGTACATTTAACCTTTGAGGGCCAAGAAATTGACTTCCTCCTGGACATTGGCATGGCTTTCTCAGTGTTAATCTCCTGTCTCAGACAGCTATCCTCAAAGTCCGTTACCATCCGAGGAATCCTGGGACAGCCTGTGACCAGGTATTTCTCCCACCTCCTCAGTTGAAATTGGGAGACTTTGCTTTTTTCACATTCCTTTCTTGTTATGCCTGAAAGTCCCACACCCTTATTAGGGAGGGACATATTAGCCAAAGCTGAAGCTATTGTCTACGTGAATATGGGGAATAAGTTACCCATTTGTTGTTCCCTGCTTAAGGAGGGAATCAACCCTGAAGTCTGGGCATTGGAAGGACAATTCAGAAGGGCAATTCAGAAGGGCAAAAAATGCCTGCCCAGTCCAAATCAGGTTAAAAGACCCCACCACTTTTCCTTATCAAAGGCAATATCCCTTAAAGTCTGAAGCTCATAAAGGATTACAGGATATTGTTAGACATTTAAAAGCTCAAGGCTTAATAAGAAAATGCAGCAGTCCCAGCAACAAATTCTAGGAGTACAAAAACTGAACAGTCAGTGGAGACTAGCGCAAGATTTTAGACTCATCAATGAGGCAGTAATTCCTCTATATCCAGTTGTACCCAACCCCTATACCCTGCTCTCTCAAATACCAGAGGAAGCAGAATCGTTCACTGTTCTGGACCTCAAGGATGCCTTCTTCTGTATTCCCCTGCACTCTGACTCCCAGTTTCTCTTTGCCTTTGAGGATCCCACAGACCACAACTCCCAACTTACATGGATGGTCTTGCCCCAGGGGTTTAGGGATAGCCCTCATCTGTTTGGTCAGGCACAGGCCCAAGATCTAGTTCACTTCTCAAGTCCAGGCACTCTGGTTGTTCAGTATATGGATGATTTACTTTTGGCTACCAGTTCGGAAGCCTCATGCCAGCAGGCTACTCTAGATCTCTTAAACTTTCTAGCTAATCAAGGGTGCAAGGTGTCTAAATTGAAGGCCCAACTCTGCCTATAATAAGTCACATATCTAGGCCTAATCTTAGCCAGAGGAACCAGGGCCCTCAGCACGGAATGAATACAGCCTATACTGTCTTATCATTGCCCTAAGACATTAAAACAGTTTTGGGGGTTCCTTGGAATCACTGGCCTTTGCCAACTATAGATCCCCGGATACAGCGAGATAGCTAGGCCCCTTTATACTCTAATCAGGGAGACCCAGAGGGCAAATACTCATCTAGTAGAATGGGAACCACAGGCAAAACAGCCTTCAAAACCTAAAAGCAGGCTCTAGTACAAGCTCCAGACTTAAGCCTTCCCACAGGACAAAACTTCTCTTTATACATCACAAAGAGAGTGGGAATAGCTCTTGGAGTCCTTACTCAGACTCATGGGACAACCCCACAACCAGTGGCATACCTAAGTAAGGAAACTGATGTAGCAGCAAAAGGTTGGCCTCACTGTTTACAGGTAGTTGCGGCAGTGGCTATCTTAGTATCCGAGGCTATCAAAATAATACAAGGAAAGGATCTCACAGTCTGAACTATTCATGATGTAAATGGCATTCTAGGTGCCAAAGGAAGTTTACGGCTATCAGACAACTGCCTGCTCAGATACCAGGCACTACTCCTTGAGGGACTGGTGCTTCTAATACACATGTGTGGCCCTCAACCCTGCCACTTTTCTCCCAGAGGATTGAGAATGAATCGAGCATGACTGCCAACAAATTATAGTCCAGACTTATGCCCACTGAGAGAATCTCTTAGAAGTCCCCTTAGCTAATCCTGACCTTAACCTGTATGCCGATGGAAGTTTATTTGTGGAGAATGGGATATGAAAGGCAGGTTATGCCATAGTTAGTGATGTAACAGTACTTGAAAGTAAGCATCTTCCCCAGGGACCATCACCCAGTTAGCAGAACGAGTGGCACTTACCCGAGCCTTAGGACTGGGAAAGGGAAAAAGAATAAATGTGTATACAGATAGCAAGTATGCTTATCTAATCCTACATGACCATACTGCAATATGGAAAGAAAGGGAGTTCCTAACCTCTAGGGGAATCCCCATTAAATACCACAAGGAAATCATGGAGTTATTGCAAGCAGCACAAAAACCCAAGGAAGTGGCAGTCTTGCAATGCCGAAGCCATCAAAAATGGGAAGGAGAGGCAGGGAAAGACCAGCAGAGAGGAAAGAGACAGACAGAAAGTCAAAGAGAAAGAAAGAGGTGGTGGGGAGGAGGGAAAAGACAGTCAAAGAGAGCAGGAAAGAGAGAGAGAGGAAGAGACAGAGAGACAAAGAAGGAGTCAGAGAGAGAGGAAGAGACAGAGAGACAGAAAGAGAGACAGACAGAAAGGCAAAGAGAGAAGGAAAGAGAGAGAGAGAGATAAAAGTATAAAGAAAAAACTGTGTACCCTATTCCTTTAAAAGACAGGGTAAATTTAAAACCTATAATTGATAATTGAAGGTCTTATCCATAACCCTATAACACCCCAATACCACCTTGTCAGTGTAAACAGGGGCGTAGCCCGAAAGCACTGAGGTCACTCACAACCCATAGCCTTCCTACTAAAAATCCTTAACCCAGGAAGTTTCCTAACAGGGGATCTAAATCTTAATTAATTACCATACAAAGGTCCAACTAGACCTAGGAGGAACTCTCTTCAGGACAGGACAATAGATGTTTCCTCCCGGGCGATTAAGGGAAAAAGACACAGGGGATATTCAGTAAGTGATAAGGAAACTCTTGTAGAAGCAGTTAAGAAAAATGCCTAATAATTGGTCTGCTCAAATGTGTGAGCTGTTCGCACTCAGCCAAACCTGAAAGTATGTACAGAATCAGGAAGGAGCCATCTATACCAATTCTAAGTTAATATGGACTGAACGAGGTCTTATTAATAGCAAAGAATAATTGAAATCCCAAACTTCAAAGGTTTTCAACAAAAGTAAGTTTGCTACCAAAACCACTAAGGCCTAGACCTCCTCACTACTGAGAAAGGAGCACTTTGTGCCTTCTTAGGGGAACAGTGTTGTTTTTACACTAACCAGTCAAGGATAGTACGAGGTGCCACCCAGCGTTTACAGGAAAAGGCTTCTGAAATAAGACAATGCCTTTCAAACTCTTATACCAACCTCTGTAGTTGGGCGACATGGCTTCTCCCCTTTCTAGGTCCCCTGACAGCCATCTTGCTATTACTCGCCTTTGGGCCCTGTATTTTTAACCTCCTTGTCAAACTTGTTTCCTCCAGGATTGATGCCATCAAGTTACAAATGGTCTTACAAATGGAACCCCAAATGAGCTCAACTAACAACTTCTACCGAGGACCCCTGGACTGACCCACTGACCCTTTGGCTGGCCTACAGAGTTCTCCTCTGGAGGACACTACCACTGCAGGGCCCCTTCTTCACCCCTATCCAGCAGGAAATAGCTAGAGTGGTCATCGCCCAATTCTCAAAAGCTGTTGGGGTGTCCAGTTTAGAGGAGAGATTGAGAGGTGAAGCCAGCTAGACTTCTGGGTCAGGTGGGGACTCGGAGAACTTTTCTGTCTTACAAGAGGGTTGTAAAATGCACCAATCAGCACTCTGTAGCTAGGATTGTAAAACACACCAATCAGCGCTCTGTGGCTAGCTAGAGGTTTGTAAAATGTGCCAATCAGTGCTCTGTAAAAACGCACCAATCAGCGCTCTATGGCTAGCTAGAGGTTTGTAAAATGGACCAATCAGCACTCTGTAAAATGGACCAATCAGCAGGACATGGGTGGTGACAAATAAGGGAATAAAAGCTGGCCACCCCAGCCAGCAGTGGCAACCCGCTCAGATCCCCTTCCATGCTGTGGAGCTTTGTTTTTTTTGCTCTTCACAATAAATCTTGCTGCTGCTCACTCTTTGGGTTTGTACCACCTTTAAGAGCTGTAACACTCGCCACAGAGGTCCGCAGCTTCATTCATGAAGTCAGCAAGACAAAGAACCCACCAGAAGGAACCAACTCCAGACACATTACTTTAAAGTTTATTTTGTCTGAAATTAAAATAGCAACACTTGATAATTTATGTTTTCCACTTGCTTGATAGATTTTTCTCCATCTCTTTACTTTGAGCCTATGATGTCATTGCATGTGAGATGGGTGTCTTCAAGACAGTATACCATTTTTTGTGTCTTGCTTCTTTATCCAATTCACCACTCTGTGTCTTTTAATTGAGGCACTTAACCTATTTACATTTAAAGTTAGTATTCACATGTACAGATTTCTTCCTGTCATCATGTTGTTAGCTGGTTATTATGCAGACTTGGTCGTATAGTTTCTTTATAGTGTCACTGGCCTATGTACTTAAGTGTGTTTTTGTAGTGGCTGGTAATGGTCCTTCCTTTCCATGTTTACCACTATTTTCAGGACCTCTTGTAAGGCCAGTCTTGTCTGGTGGTAACGAAACCCCTTAGCATTTGCAAATTTGAAAAGGATTTTATTTCGTCTTTGCTTAGGAAGCTTAGTTTTGCTGGATTTGAAATTCTTGGTTGGAAATTCCTTTTCTTTAATAATGCTGAGTATAGGCCTCCATTTGCTTCTAGTTTTTAGAGTTTCTGCTAAAAGATCTACTGTTAGCCTGATTGGGTTCCCTTTGCAGGTGACCTGCCCCTTCTCTATAGCTGCCTTTAGCATTTTTTTCCTTTTATTTAGATTGGAGAATATCATGACTGTGTGTCTTAGGGATAGTCTTCATTTGTATTATTTTGGAGGTATCCTCTGCATTTCTTGAATTTGAAATGTTGGCCTCTGTAGCGAGGTGTGGAAATTTTCATGGAAAATATACTGAAATATGTTTTCCAATTTGCTTGCTTTCTCCCCATCTCCTTCAGGGATGCCAGTGAGTCCTAAATTTTGTCTCCTTATGTAATCTCATATTTCTTGGAGGTATTGTTTGTTCATTTGTTCTTTTTCTTTAGTTTTGTCTGAGTTAGTTAGTTTGAAGAACCTGACCTGATCTCTGAGATTCTTTGCTCAGCTTGGTCTATTCTCCTGATAATACTGCAGTTGCATTATGAAATTATTCTAGCGTTTTTTTTCAGCTCTATTAGATCAGTTTGATTGTTTCCTATAATGGTCATTTTGTCTATCAACTCCCACATTAATTTATTGTAATTCTCAGATTCCTTGAATTGGGTTTTAACTTCCTCCTGAATCTCAGTAATCTTCATGCCTATCTGTATTCTGAATTCTGTTTCTGTCATTTCAACCATTTCAGCCTGGTTAACAACACTTGCTAGAGAACTAGTATGGTCATTTGAAGGAAAGAAGACACTCTGGCTTTTTGCATTGCCAGAGTTTTTGCACTGGTTCTTTCTAATTTTGTAAGCTGATTTTCCTTTAATTTCCAGGTAATTTGAGTACAGTCAGTAGATCTTTTTTCTGGATGTTTTCAGACAGTCAAGGCTTTGTGCAGGGTCCTTATCTGTAGCTGAATTTTTGTCCTTGTTTTCACAGGGGTGTACATTAGCAAAGCATTTTTGGTGTCAAAGTTTGGGCTGCAATCCTGTAGACAGTGTTTGGGCATAATGGTTAGTAGGTAGGTTCTTGCTCAGCCACCTGGGTTCTCTGTATTACCTCATGATTGCAGCCATGCTCCCTCTCAACGCTCTCAAACTGTGGGCTCCTCTCTCATTTGAGTGCTGTCTGCATATCTTGGCTTAGCGCTCTTGAGCTGCACACTGCAGCTCTGGGGTGAGCTTATACTTTATGTTCCCTCTGCAGCTTGGAGGCAGGAGGGGAAGGGATGTTGGTAGTGGATGTGGCAGAGGGTCTTTTACTTGTCTCTTGGGGTTCCACCCCAGAGAAATGCAGAGCCACTATAAATAACTCTGACTGGCCCAAGGTGGGGGCGCCTTCTCTGTGGGCCCAATCTGAGGGGACTCTGCCTGGTGATGAACATGGGGTACAGAGGGGTCATGAAGACAGACTGGCCTCATCTCCTTACGGTCACTGCAGCTTGCTGGAGGTGTGCTTAAAGCACTAAGGATCTTTGCCCTTTCCCCAGTCCAAGGGTAAAAATAGCAGTGCCACTGCAGTGGTACTGGCAGAGGGGCTTTCAGTTGTCCCTGGGTCTAGCTCAGAGAAATGTAGAGCAACTGCTACCAGAAATGTTCAGTGAGAGGGTAGAGAGGCTGCACTGCTGCCTGAGTCAGGGGCTCTTCTTGGTGAAGAGCCAGGGTTGACGGCTCTCAGAGAGAAGAGACAGAGCTCCTCTCCATACAGTGACTGTGGCATGCTGGAAGTACAAGTGAAACCCTTGCACTTGCAAGTGGTTCAGCAGGAACAGAACCATTGCTGTGTTAGTGGCAGAGAGGCTGTTGGTTGCCTCTGGGGGCCCCTTCCCAGGGAATCACACAGCCAATACCAGTGGGTAAGCTCAGCCAGGGATGGGACAACTGTTTTGTGGTCCCAAGTTGGGGCCTCTGCATTCTGAAGAGTGGAGTATGGAAGCTTACAAGGAAGAGAGGCTGGACTCCTCTCTGTATGGCAGCTGCCGAGTGGTGGAGGTTCCAGCATAGCAACCAGGCCTTTTGTTCCTTCTCCAGCCCAATGGTGGTTAGGGCAGTACTACGGCCGCTGCAATGGCAGAGGGGCTATGGGTTGTCTGTGTGATTACCTCCTCAGAGAAATGCAGAGCCATCTCTGACTAAAGTGTTTGGGTAAGGGCAGGGTAGTTGTGCTAGAGTCCTAGGTCAGGAAGCTTTGACCAGTGAAGAGAAGTGGGAACGGGGACCCATGTGGAAAACAGTCTGGCCAGTTTTCTGTGGGGCAGCTTTGCTGTGCTGAGGGATCTGTGCCAATTCCTAATCACCGTGCTCCACCCAGGGCCTGAGGGCAACAATGGTGAGGGTTGTAGGACAGCAAGAATGGCCACCTGCATCTCTGGGAACTCTGTCCCAGGGAAGTACAGAGCTGCTACTGGCCTGAGAGCCCAGCCGAGGGTTGGCTGGAGTCCTAGGTTGGGAGGCTCTGTCCAGTGAGGAAAAGCAGAAATGAGGACCTGCATTGAAAACAGTCTGGTCACTTTTCTTTGGGGTGGCTTCACTGTGCTAGGGATCCACTCCAATCCCTAATTACCATGCTCACTCCAGAGCCTCAGGGCAACAGTGGTGAGGGGTGTGAGAGAGCAAAAATAGCAGCCTGCCTTTCCCTCTGGGAGCTCTGTCTCAAGGAAGTTCAGAGCTGCTACCAGCTTGAGAGCCCAGGTGGGGCAGAGGAGGGCACACTATGGTCCCAGTCCAGAGGGCTTTATCCCAAGAGGGCCAGTAGAGGCAAACTCTGCAGTCTGTCATGGCTCAGCCCCCAGGATTTGGCTCCTTTTTTCAGGGTATGCAAGGGAGCCTGACCTCCCCCATAGCTGGAGCTGGAGCCACTAATGCTGGGATGCCTGGGGATCCAAGGCACCTGGGACTCCATGTGTGCCTGAGTGGTGGCCTTGCCCAGACTCCATGTAGCTCTCCATGTCAGTCTGGAGGACTTGGAGTGGGGACTCATGCGGGAATCTCCTGAGCCCAGGGTTGCAAAGCTCCGTGGCAGAAGTGTGGGTCCCTGGGGACTCTCACTCACTTACAATTTCCCTACTATAGAGGGACCTACCCTGGCTTTGTGCCACTCCTGGGTGGGCAGTTGTCCTGTCTCGCTCCTCTCTGTTCTCCATGGGTCGAATTGTTTCCTTGATTAATCCCATTGAGTCCACTTGGACATTCCAGCAGAAGAGGTTGTATTTACTCACAATTGTTTCTCTCTCAGTGAGAACAGTGCACACTAGCTGCTTCTAGTCAGCCATCTTTACTCTTCTCAAATGCTTTTTATCTTTTCCTTTCTCTGTCTTGTCTTCTGTGAATTCTATAACGTGCATATTGGTATGCTTGATAGTGTCCCATAAGTCCCTTTGTGTCTTCATTTTTCTTTCTTTTTTCTTTCTTCTCCTCAGGCTGGATAATTTTATTTTAGCTATCTTTAAGTGCCCCAATTCTTCAGAAGTTACATCTCGGTTTAACCATTCTAGTGATTTTTTCATTTTGTTTGTTGTACTTTTTAGCTCCAAAATTTATAGTTGGTTTCTTTTTATAATTTCTATCTCTTCATTTGGTATTTCCTACTTGTTCATACATTATTCTTCTGATTTCCTTTTTTTTTTTGTCCATGGTTCCCTTCAGTTCTTTGAGCATATTTAAGATACTAAAGTATTTGTCTCGTAAGTCCAATGTAAGAACATCCTTGAAAATAACTTTTCTCATTTTATTTTTCTAAGTAAGTAGGCTAGAACTTTCTCCTTTTATTTTTGTTGATTTTGTTGTTGTTGTTTAGAAATGGACCCTTTGACTATTTTAATGTATTGACAGTAACTCTAGAAATCAGATTTTTCTCCCTCTCCAGGATTGTTCTTTTCTAATTGCAGGTTGCAGTCATTCATTTGTTTATTACTTTTCCAAACTATTTTTGCAAAGACTATTCCTTTTTTTCTCTGTGGTCACTGAAGTCACTCTTCTGTTATCTGTGCAGTCAACCTATCACCTAAGATATTTCCTTGAATGCTTTGACTCAAGGGGTAAAAAAAAAAAAAAGGTGTCTGACTCTAAATTCTTTCAACAGATGCTTCTAGGGAAGTAGCTTTAGACTGAGGGTGTTGAAACAAAGGCCAGCTTCTGAGCAGGTTCCTCAGTGAAGCACCAGGCAGATTCAAACCTAAAACTCCAATTATTGGAGGACAAGGTTTTCACTGTTCACCCTGACAGAGGCAGACTACACCATGAGTTTTGGCCACGGTTTCCATGGCCATTTGCCCTGGGGCTGGAGATGGCTGTTGCAACACAAAATGCTGAAATTCACCCATATTCACCAGCCCCTTTCTTTCATCAAACACTCTTGTTGATGAGTGAAGTTTACAACTAAACTTGAGGTCTAAAATAGTTGATTCTCACAGTCTTGAGAGCTTAATAGTTGTTCTGGTGGCGGAAGTGATTCCTGAGCTGCCTACTCTGATATCTTTTGTGTCATCACTACTAGAAATCCTAACAAATTTGATGATATACTATCTTTCTGATAACAATAAAAATCCACATACCTGCTTGTACATAAATTCCTTTAATTTAGGTTAGATGTTTTATGAAAATAGTTAATCCTTGGGTGGCTTTTTATTTTTTGCCGTAAGTATTATTTCACCTCTTTTTTTCCCTTTTAATATAGTCAAATATTAAACTCTGCTTCTGTAACACATGCTCCAAAGAAACCTTAAATATTCTGGGAATGAAGAAAACTCTTTAATCTGATGGTTCCACCTCATTTCTTGTTTATGTCACCTCTACAAGAACCCACCAATCTTCCATTTAAACATCTCAGGGCTTGGAGTTTATATTATTATCAACATTATTCCATTCCATATTTTAGAATCTTTGATTGCTGTAATGATCTACTTTGTATGAAGTTGACACTTTCCCCCACTACTTTGGTACTAGTTTATTTATGAGGTAATCACAAAATAAACCTGAACTTCTACCACATAACAGAAATGGATATTTGTAAATGGTTGTTCTCTGGGTTGTCTGAACTAAGTGTTCTTAGTCTCTTCCATTTTTTTTTTCCCACATAAACTTTTAATCAAACCACTCAGGTAATAGCTTATTTATGGACGTTTTCATCCTGGGAATATTATTCCTAAAGCAGAAACTCAGTACTCCAGAACAACTGACCAGCTTCGGATTGATCATTCTAGAAACTACTAAAAAGAAATAATTACAATCCGGCTTTATTTTCTTCATGAACTCACCGTGGCATCTTCCATTTAGATACTAATAAACTCATATTCTATAATGCGTTTATTAGTATTTAATTCCTTAGATATATATATTACAGAAACTGTAGAAAATAGAATAAAATGGATTATTACACTACTCTAATACTACTATTATGATTTTTCAGTGTTTCTTCTTGTGCTCTATTGTGTAAGTATAATATCTTAAGGTTTTTAAAGTCTTAGAGATAAACTTAGGAACAATCTATATTCTCACCATTATAACATAATTAGTATTTAGAGTAAAATTAATACAAATTTTGGGCTAAATGTTTCCTTTCTTTTTTTAAAGTAAGCATTTTAATGCAATTAGCACATATGCAATTTCATATACTACTTTTTAATATTATATGTGATTACATGGTATTTGTAACTATCATTTTCAGGTTTCGTTAACAATTTCCCTAAAGGTGCTATATTTAATCTTGATGTAATATTTGTATACATCTTTATATGTATAATTTTGTACTAAGTTTACTTATGTAAGTTAGAAAATTGAAAAGAATGGGCTAAACACCATGAATCTTGAAACCAAGTAGATATTTCTATGTTCCAAAAACAGGTTACAGAAATTCACATTGCTGTGAGAAATTTATGCCCACTTCACTTTGTACTTTTTAACATCATTTTTCATCGTCTTTTATTAGGTTGGTGCAAAAGTAATTGCAGTTTTTTCTGCGAGTAATGGCAAAAACCACAAATACTTTTGCACCAACCTAATAGTTTGATAAGCAAAAAAAGTCATTTATTTTTTTCTTTGCAGTTCTCTGATTACAGTTGATATTAAGTTTTTAACTCTCCATGTTTGTTTACTATTGTCTTTCTTCTATGAATTACCTATTCATGCTATTTGTCAGTTTATTGATATTTTATCTTTTCATCTTGATAATGTTTTTGAAAGTAATATTAACTTTAATTTTTGCTCCAAATCTTTTAAATCTTGAGTTGCTTCATTTTCTTTTCATGCATAGAAGTTCAAATATCCATGTATTTCTATATTTTCTATTTATTCTGTTATTTTGTGCTTAAATTGTTCCTCCCAACTGTTCCATACCATTTTTTCTAGGCTGTCTATGGATTGTTATTTTGCATTTAATTCTTTAATTACCCTCAAATTTACTTTGCAATTTTAATGAGATTCTGTTCTGGTTTATTTTTCTAAGACACTGAATATTTATTTATAACAGTTGTGTTGACATCCTTTGCCCTCATCTCTTTCTTCCTGGATAACAGGAAACCATCTCTCCGTTCATTGAAGGTGTGAGTCTCACGGTGTTCTTAGGTCAGTCCACATGATACCATTCTTTCAACCCTGCCAACTAGTCTTAAAGGGCAAGACCCCTGAAAGAAACTGATGAAGTCTCTGACAAAATACTTTCAGTTCTATCAAACAAGTTTTCTTTCATGGGAAATATGAGTATGTTCTGGAGAGCTGGATCATGCAATGACTGTGATTTCGGTGGTGATTATTATGTTTGTTTTTTGTTTTACACTCAGGTCTTGTTTCTTAGTCTCTTAATTTTCCCAAATAGTGATTTCTGTCATGATGTTTATCCTTTCCCCATCAGTTTTTTATTGGCTATTAAACCTGTGTGTATACTTGTGAACCTGTTTCAACACATGAGGCTGAACTCAGATTCTGTCTAACGAGGCTCCTGAGCCTGTGAAAATCAGGAACTCTACTTAATAGTGAGAAATAAAAGATATATCTTAACTGTATCAATCAAGTTATTTTTAACTGAATTTCAGCTCTCATTTTGCCCAAATACCCAATATAATATTCTTAAAAGACCCCAAATTAGACCTAAAATTTTCAACTTACTCTCAAAACAAAGTCTTTTCAACTTGTATATTTAAATAACTAATCACAGATATAGTAAAGGAAAATGAATAAAATCTTGATTTCTCGAATGAAAAAGATCTAAGTTTGAATCTTAACTCTCTCACTTCCCAGTTCTGTGACTCTGGGCTAACAGACTTAACTTTTCCAGATTTGAGTAATAACTTCTTTACAGTTTACTCTGAGGACTAAAGGGAGATGATTCTTTAAGTTCTTAGCAAGGTAACTGGTGTGTTATAAACATCCTCCAGTCTTGGGTATTATTATTTTATCTATTAACATACATATAATATGCATAATACAATATAACAATTTTCAACTTTGTTGAAATGGGCAGTTGGGAAGTGGGAGTTTGTATGCTAAGTTAAACCTTGACATAACAATGAAAAATATTGGAAATCAAAGGTCTAGCAATTTAAGCCTCTAAATATATCTCTAAAACAACAACCTGTTATATTGAGGAAAAATAACTAATTTCTATAAAAATCCTACTAAATAGGTAACAATTTCCCCCATTTAACAGATGAGTAAATTGATGTTCATAGAATTTAGTTTGCTAAAGTTTATTCAGCTGAGAAATAGCTAAATGGAAATTTAAATCCAATTTTATCAAATCTCTTTTACTAACTAGCTATAGCTTTTGAATAGTTTTTATTGAAGACACAATTTACATAATGTCAATAATTTTTATTTGAAAGGATTCTAGGTAAATCAAGAGCAATTCATAATATCTTCCCATGTATGAAGTTAGATTCTATGGCAGAAATATAGTACTTTAGAAATGTTATAATTTAAATAATAGGCTACTTCCGGCACCTATGAGACACCCATAATTTAAGTATTAGGTTACCTCAGAATCCTATAAAACACTGCACTGTTTCAATAAGAAGTGTGTCTAATATCCATATTGAGGATGGAAAGAAGGTATTATCTTTTGTTGCAGAGACAAGGGAGGTGAATCCAACTCATCATTTATGCTGTTGATTCGCTTTCCTACAATATTCTCAGCTTTTACCCAGTGAAAATGCTTATTTCCTAGCCTAGAGGCCAACAGGTTAGGGAGTAAAACAAGGATTTGACTGAATGTGGGAGGTTAGTGTTTCTGAATGGGAGAGAACTGAAGTTCTTTGGAAGAAATGGTCAATCCCCTCCATCAGTTGTGGTAAGAGGAGACTACAACAAACTCAGCAGCCATCCTGTATTAGTCAGGATTCTCCAGAGGAACAGAACTCATAGGATATATGTATATATGAAAGGGAGTTTATCAGGGAGAATTGGCTCACATGATCACAAAGTGAAGTCCCATGATAGGGATAGGCTGTCTGCAAGCAGGGGAAGAAAGAAGCCATTGGCTCAGTCCAACTCCAAAAGCCTCAAAAGAAGGAAAGCTAACAGTGAGAGCCCCCAGCAATCCACTGGTGTAAGTCCCAGAGTGCAAAGGCCAAAGAAATTGTAGTCTGATGTCCAAGGGCAGGAGGCATCAAGCACGGGAGAAAGATGAAAGCCAGAAGACTTAGCAAGCCAGCTTATCCTCTTCTTCCACATGCTTTGTTCTAGCCATGCTGGCAGCCGACTGGATGGTGCCCACTCATATTGAGGGTAGGTCTTCCTCTCCCAGTCCACCTACTCAAATATCAGTCTCCTCTGGCAACACTCTCACAGACACACCCAGAAACAATACTTTACCAGCTATCTAGGCATCCTTCCATCCAATCCAGTTAACACCTAATATTAATCATCACATATCTTCAACCCTCTTTTCCTGCCCATCATTTACTACATCAGCTAAAAATTCAATATACTGTCTTTTCCAGTAAATTTTGTAGCTAGGGTATCCATGATGAAGCCCAACGAGATATAAAAAGAACTCTGCTGGAGGATTTTATTAAGGATTTTTCTTCTCCTTGATAAACATGCAGAAAAAGAAACATGCAAAAAATAAAACTTGCTTGCTGTCTTCGGGCATGATCATGTGAGAATATGGTCATGCATCAATAGGATGCTTGTTGCTTTGAAAACACACCTTGTGACTATGGGAGAAGAGCCAAAAGAACACCAGTGACACGAACAAAGCACACGGTATTGTTGAACTGCTAAGCACCCTGCCTCCAGATTCTTCCTTATGTGAGCTGTCTTTATTGTGAAAGCAAGTACTAGTTTGTTTTTTTCTTCTTGTGTGCATTTGAAAATGCCTTAAGTGAAGCAGGAATCTCCTGGAGATTCTTCATTTTCTTAGCGTAGTTTCTATTATTTTTACTTACTGTTATTATAGATTCAGGGGTACATGTGAAGATTTGTTACATGGTTGTACTGTGGAATGGTGAAGTTTGGGCTTCTAGTATACCCATCACCCAGATTGTGAACATTGTACTCAACAGGTAATTTTTCAAACTTTAGCCTCCCAACCACCCCATTTTTGGAGTTCTTAGTATCTATTATTTTCATCTTTATGTCCGTAAGTACCCTTTTTTTTTTTAGCTCGTACTTATAGGTGAGTACATGTGGTATTTGATTTTCTGTTTCTGAGGCACTGTTTTTCTTATCAGATCCTTTCACCATTCTCAGTAATTGATCTGCCCGCTTCCCTTTACACTACCCCAAATCAATTGCTGTGATAGCAGAATGTTTCCACATTAGCTCAATAAAAAGCTACAAGATATTATATTTTATTTTCAAACTCCCCTGCCATTGGACTAAGGGAGAGATATGAGGGATGTGTCATCTTCCTAAATTGCTATTGTTTACCAACTCTGGAAATCAGAATTTTCATCATAATTAAGAGCTGGATGGAATTCCTCCATTGTGGAATTCATCAATTCCACATATCTATCTAAGGCAATACATAAATGTGATGTCAAGATACGTATTTTGGGGTGTAGTGGTAGGCGTTTTACTCAGTAACTAGAAACTTTACCCTAGTTCAGTATATGTCAAATACACAAAAAAAGAATTAACTAAGTAAGACGTCTTCCCATGACATGAAATGATAAAAACTTATTAACTACTAAACAGATAATTCAGGTATGAATGTATATGTATTCAACATGTATTTAGTATACATAAAGCAAAGTACATATTCTATGAAGAGAGGATTCGTTCCAGATTGAGTTCATGATAAAAGTGACCATACCATATTCTAGAATTTGGAGGTATCATAAAATTTCAGGTAAAATAATTTCAAGTCACCTATGAGCATTTTACTCTTTAACCAGTTCATGGCATCATTACAAAGTATACACAAGCACATCTTTTGACTTTTCTCTCTCATTTTTTGTTGATACATAAGGATATGGGAGGATTTTTATTGACCAATTCATTGTTTGATCAGTTAACAGAGGGATTAGGTTATGCTTCTTAAAGAGAGCCATGTCATAAAAGTTTTGTGCCAGGGGTGTGGTCTTGGGTACAGTGGTGGTATTTATAAAAGTGTCAGGGGAACTGCTCCCAGAGAGAGAACATGTGGTTTGAGACAGTCAGATGTCTGGGCTCCTGCTGAACTTGGTGTAAAACCTTCCCCCTCTCCTGTCTCCCTGGCACACAAAAATATAAAGTAGAAGTAAAAGACCACCATGATTGACATGATGTGATAAATTGCTTATAACAGGCATAGGAGAAGATGCAGGGACAGAACTCATATGGCCAGTTTGGAACACTTTCTACATGGCAGAATCACTTGGAATCCAAGAAAGAAGGGTTTGTATACTGTGGGAAGAGGAGAAGAAGCCTAAAGGAAGCAGATTATTGAAATGTCACAGTCATATCTAAATATATGCAACATTTGCAGGTTGCAGCTTGAAAAAATACAGGCTAGAATCAAGCCTAGTTCAGAGTAACAGAAGTAGCTACACAGAGATATGATCTGTTTTTTTTTCCCCACTACTTCAGCATAAAAACAGAAGAAGGAACTATTGCACTTGAAGCAGGTATCCTGGTCCATTCCAATGGGAATACAATCATCAGAGTAAAAGAGGGCATATTTTATTTTAAACTGACAACTAAGAAGAGTTATGATTGAACATGTACAAAGATACAAGAACAAAAGTGAAAATAAACACTTTCTAACAGATAATAAAGACACAACAAGAAAACATAGCCATGAAAAGACAAATGGTGTAGCCACATATTTTAAAACAAGGTAAAATAAACAAAGATAAAAGATTTTTAAAAAGGTATAAATCTGAATTAGATAACAATGATATAGTTAGGCAATAGGTAAACAACATAAAGATGATATAATGACAGAACTTAGAAAAGCATTACATGGTGCATAACGATGTTCTGGTCAACAGCAGTCCACATGTATGACAATAGTTGCGTAAGATTATCATACAGATGAAAAATTCCTTTCACCTAGTGATGTCCTTGCCATGGTAACTATGTAGGGCAAAGTATTACTTAAGTGTCTGTGGTGATGCTAGTGTAAAAAAACATACTTTGCTGCCAGTTGTATAAAAGGATAGCATATCCAGAGATTCAACTTCTTCCTCACTTAGTTTTGGGAGGGTGTATGTGTCCAGGAATTTATCCATTTCCTCTAGATTTTCTAGTTTATTTGCATAGAGGTGTTTATAGTATTCTCTGATGGTAATTAATAGACTACCAACCAAAAAATGTCCAGGATGAGACAGATTCACAGCCGAATTTTAACAGAGGTACAAAAGGAGCTGGTACCATTCCTTCTGAAACTATTTTTTCAAACTAAAAGAAGATATTTATGCAATAGAAAAAGAAGGAATCCTCCCTAACTAATTTTTTGAGTCCAGCATCATCCTGATACCAAAGCCTGGCAGAGACACAACAAAAAAAGAGACTTTTAGACCAATATCCCTGATGAACAATGATGCGAAAATCCTAAATAAAATACTGTCAAGCCGAATCCAGTAGCACAGCGAAAAGCTTATCCACCACGATCAAGTTGGCTTCATCCCTGGAATGCAAGGCTGGTTCAACATATGAAAATCAATAAATGTAATCCATCACATAAACAGATCCAACAACAAAAAACACATGATTATCTCAATAGATGCAGAAAAGGCCTTCGACAAAATTCAACAGCCTTTCATGCTAAAAACTCTCAATAAACTAGGTATTGATGAAACGTCTCTCAAAATAATAAGAGCTATTTATGACAAACCCACAGCCAATATCATACTGAACGGGCAAAAACTGGAAGCATTCCTTTTGAAAACTGGCACAAGACAAGGATGTCCTCTCTCACCACTCCTATTCAACATAGTGTTGGAAGTTCTGGCCAGGGCAATCAGGAAACAGAAAGAAATAAAGGGTATTCAATTAAGAAAAGAGGAGTCAAATTGTCCCTGTTTGCAGATGACATGATTGTATATTTAGAAAACCCCATTTTCTCAGCCCAAAACCTCCATAAGCTGATAAGCAACTTCAGCAAAGTCTCAGGATACAAAATCAATGGGCAAAAATCACACGCTTCCTATACACCAAAAACAGCCAAACAGAGAGCCAAATCATGAGTGAACTCCCATTCACAATTACTACAGAGAGAATAAAATACCTAGGAATCCAACTTACAAGGGATATGAAGGACCTCTTCAAGGACAACTATAAACCACTGCTCAATGAAATAAAAGAGGACACAAACAAATAGAAGAACATTCCATGCTCCTGGACAGAAAGAATCAATCTTGTGAAAATGGCCATACTGCCCATGGTAATTTATAGATTCAGTGCCATCCCCATCAAGGTACCAATGACTTTCTTCACAGAATTGGAAAAAACTACTTTAAAGTTCATATGGAACCAAAAAAGAGCCTGCATTGCCAAGACAATCCTAAGCCAAAAGAAAAAAGCTGCAGGCATCACGCTACCTGACTTCAAACTATACTACAAGGCTACAGTAACCAAAGCAGCATAGTACTGGTACCAAAACAGACATATAGACCAATGGAACAGAACAGAGGCCTCAGAAATAACACCACACATCTACAACCATCTGATCTTTGACAAACCTGACAAAAACAAGAAATGGGGAAAGGATTCCCTATTTAATAAATGCTACTGGGAAAACTGGCTAGCCATATGTAGAAAGCTGAAACTGGATCCCTTCCTTACACCTTATACAAAAATTAACTTAAGATGGATTAGAGACTTAAATGTTAGACCTAAAACCATAAAAACCCTAGAGGAAATCCTAGGCAATACCATTCAGGACATAGGCATGGGCAAAGACTTCATGAATAAGACACCAAAAGCAATGGTAACAGAAGCTGAAATTGACAAACAGATCTAATTAAACTAAAGAGCTTCTGCACAGCAAAATAAACTACCATCAGAGTGAAAAGGCTACCTACAGAATGGGAGAAAATTTTTGCAATCTACCCATCTGACAAAGGGCTAATATCCAGAATCTACAATGAACTCAAACAAATTTACAAGAAAAAAAACAAACAACCCATCAAAGTGGGCAAAGGATATGAACAGACACTTCTCAAAAGAAGACATTTATGCAGCCAACAGATACATGAAAAAATGCTCATCATCACTGGTCATCAGAGAAATGCAAATCAAAACCACAATGAGATACCATCTCACACCAGTTAGAATGGCGATCATTAAAAAGTCAGGAAACAACAGATGCTGGATAGGATGTGGAGAAATAGGAATGCTTTTACACTGTTGGTGGGAGTGTAAATTAGTTCAACCATTGTGGAAGACAGCATGGTGATTCCTCAGGGATCTAGAACTAGAAATACCATTTGACCCAGTGATCCCATGACTGGGTATATACCCAAAGGATTATAAATCATGCTACTATAAAGACACATGTACACATATGTTTACTGTTGCACTATTCACAATAGCAAAGACTTGGAACCAACCCAAATGTCCATCAATGATAGAGTAGATTAAGAAAATGTAGCACATACACACCAGGAATACTATGCAGCATAAAAAGGATTAGCTCATGTCCTTTGCAGGGACATGGATGAAGCTGGAAACCATCATTCTCAGCAAACTGTCACAAGGACAGAAAACCAAATACCACATGTTCTCACTCATATGTGGGAATTGAACAATGAGAACACATGGACACAGGGCAGGGAACATCACACACTGGGGCCTATCATGGGGTAGGGGGCAGGCGGAGGGATAGCATTAGGAGAAATACCTAATGTAAATGACAAGTTGATGGGTGCACGAAATGAACATGGCACATGTATACGTATGTATCAAACCTGCACATTGTGCACATGTACCTTAGAACTTAAAGTATAATAAAAAAATAAAAATAAATAAATATCTCCAATACTAGGATGGAAAATACATATGGATGGCACGTACTAGATGGTCCTACATTTTATTTTTATTTGGATTTGCTTTGATTTATAAAATTATTCTTTTCTGAAAAAATGCACACAATTAAAAAAATAAAAGTATAGTATATTCAACTATGTACAGTACATAATACTTGATAATGTCAATAAAAACTGTTGCTAGTTTATGTATTCAACATATTTTTAATTATTTTAAAAGTTACTGTATTTATATAAAAAAGAAATGGACAAGAGTCTCAAGCAAGGTCTTCAGGAGGTATTCCAGAAGAAGGCATTGGTATCACAGGAGATGACACCTCCATGTGTTATTGCCCCCAAGACCCTCCAGTGCAACAAGATGTGAAGGTGGAAAACAGTAATATTGATGATCCTGACTCTGTGGAGGCCTAGGTTAATGTGTGTGTTTGTGTCTTAGTTTTCAACCAAAAATTTTAAGAAGTAAAAAATATTAAAAATAAAAAGCTTATAGAATAAGGCTATAAAGGAAATATTTTTGTACAGCTGTAGATGTATTTAAGCTGTATTACAAAATAGTCAACAAATTAAACTTTAAACGTTCATAAAGTGAAAAAGTTACAGTAAGCTAAGGTTAATTTATTATTGGAGAAAGTAATTTTTAAAAAATAAATTTAGTGTCGTCCGAGTGTGCTGTGCTTATAGTCTATAATTGAATATGGTAATGTTCTAGGCCTTCACATTCACTCATCTCAATCACTCACTGACACATCAATACCAACTTCCAATCCTGTAGACTCTAATCATGGTAATTGCCCTATACAGATGTACCACTTTTTAAAATCTTTTATACCATATTTTACTGGAGTTTTCTATTTAGATGTACAAATACTTACTATTGGGTTACAATTGCCTATAGTATTCAGTACAGTAACATGCTGTACAGGTTTGTAGCTCAGGAGCAATAGACTATACCACCTAGGTTTGTGTTAATATACTTTATGATGTTCCCACTATCACAGAGTCACCTAAGGACACATTTCTAAGAATATATCCCAGTGTTTACATGACATATGACTGTATACATAAAATTTTTGGTCTTCATCTCTTAATATTTCTCTTTCATAGCCTAGTAATTTTATATCTTTATCCTCTTTTAATACTTTTTTATTTTATTTTATTTTATTTTATTATTATTATACTTTAAGTTTTAGGGTACATGTGCACATTGTGCAGGTTAGTTACACATGTATACATGTGCCATGCTGGTGTGCTGCACCCATTAACTCGTCATTTAGCATTAGGTATATCTCCTAATGCTATCCCTCCCCACTCCCCCCACCCCACAACAGTCCCCAGAGTGTGATGTTCCCCTTCCTGTGTCCATGTATTCTCATTGTTCAATTCCACCTATGAGTGAGAATATGCAGTGTTTGGTTTTTTGTTCTTGCGATAGTTTACTGAGAATGATGATTTCCAATTTCATCCATGTCCCTACAAAGGACATGAACTCATCATTTTTTATGGCTGCATAGTATTCCATGGTGTATACGTGCCACATTTTCTTAATACAGTCTATCATTGTTGGACATTTGGGTTGGTTCCAAGTCTTTGCTATTGTGAATAATGCCACAATAAACATAAGTGTGCATGTGTCTTTATAGCAGCATGATTTATAGTCCTTTGGGTATATACCCAGTAATGGGATGGCTGGGTCAAATGGTATTTCTAGTTCTAGATCCCTGAGGAATCGCCACACTGACTTCCACAATGGTTGAACTAGTTTACAGTCCCACCAACAGTGTAAAAGTGTTCCTATTTCTCCACATCCTCTCCAGCACCTGTTGTTTCCTGACTTTTTAATGATTGCCATTCTAACTGGTGTGAGACGGTATCTCATTGTGGTTTTGGTTTGCATTTCTCTGATGGCCAGTGATGGTGAACATTTTTTCATGTGTTTTTTGGCTGCATAAATGTCTTCTTTTGAGAAGTGTCTGTTCATGTCCTTCGCCCACTTTTTGATGGGGTTGTTTGTTTTTTTCTTGTAAATTTGTTTGAGTTCATTGTAGATTCTGGATATTAGCCCTTTGTCAGATGAGTAGGTTGCGAAAATTTTCTCCCATTTTGTAGGTTGCCTGTTCACTCTGATGGTAGTTTCTTTTGCTGTGCAGAAGCTCTTTAGTTTAATTAGATCCCATTTGTCAATTTTGGCTTTGGTTGCCATTGCTTTTGTTGTTTTAGACATGAAGTCCTTGCCCATGCCTATGTCCTGAAAGGTAATGCCTAGGTTTTCTTCTAGGGTTTTTATGGTTTTAGGTCTAACGTTTAATTCTTTAATCCATCTTGAATTAATTTTTGTATAAGGTGTAAGGAAGGGATCCAGTTTCAGCTTTCTACATATGGCTAGCCAGTTTTCCCAGTAGCATTTATTAAATAGGGAATCCTTTCCCCATTGCTTGTTTTTCTCAGGTTTGTCAAAGATCAGATAGTTGTAGATATGCGGCGTTATTTCTGAGGGCTCTGTTCTGTTCCATTGATCTATATCTCTGTTTTGGTACCAGTACCATGCTGTTTTGGTTACTGTAGCCTTGTAGTATAGTTTGAAGTCAGGTAGTGTGATGCCTCCAGCTTTCTTCTTTTGGCTTAGTATTGACTTGGTGATGCGGGCTCTTTTTTGGTTCCGTATGAAATTTAAAGTAGTTTTTTCCAATT
Source organism: Homo sapiens (assembly GCF_000001405.40). Taxonomy (NCBI): domain Eukaryota; kingdom Metazoa; phylum Chordata; class Mammalia; order Primates; family Hominidae; genus Homo; species Homo sapiens. The sequence continues at coordinate 19,636,182 of NC_000007.14, read as the reverse complement.
CTGTGAAGAAAGTCATTGGTATCTTGATGGGGATGGCATTGAATCTATAAATTACCTTGGCCTGTATGGCCGTTTTCACGATATAGATTCTTTCTACCCATAAGCATGGAATGTTCTTCCATTTCTTTGTATCCTCTTTTATTTCACTGAGCTGTGGTTTGTAATTCTCCTTGAAGAGGTTCTTTACGTCCCTTGTAAGTTGGATTCCTAGGTATTTTATTCTCTTTGAAGCAATTGCGAATGGGAGTTCACTTATGATTTGGCTGTCTGTTTGTCTGTTATTGGTGTATAAGAATGCTTGTGAGTTTTGTACATTGATTTTGTATCCTGAGACTTTGCTGAAGTTGCTTATCAGCTTAAGGAGATTTTGGGCTGAGAGAATGGGGTTTTCTAGATATACAATCATGTCATCTGCAAACAGGGACAATTTGACTTCCTCTTTTCCTAATTGAATACCCTTTATTTCCTTCTCCTGCCTAATTGCCCTGGCCAGAAATTCCAACACTATGTTGAATAGGAGTGGTGAGAGAGGGCATCCCTGTCTTGTGCCTGTTTTCAAGAAATAACTAACATCAGAGCAGAACTGAAGGAAATAGAGACACAAAGAAACCCTTCAAAAAATTAATGAATCCAGGAGCTGGTTTTTTGAAAGGATCAACAAAACTGACAGACTGCTAGCAAAACTAATAAAGAAGAAAATAGAGAAGAATCAAATAGATGCAATAAAAAATGATAAAGGGGATATCACCACCGATCCCACAGAAATACAAACTACCATCAGAGAATACTACAAACACCTCTACGCAAATAAACTAGAAAATCTAGAAGAAATGGATAAATTCCTTGACACATACACCCTCCCAAGACTAAACCAGGATGAAGTTGAATCTCTGAATAGACCAATAACAGGCTCTGAAATTGTGGCAAAAATCAATAGCTTACCAACCAAAAAGAGTCCAGGACCAGATGGATTCACAGCCGAATTCTACCAGAGGTATAAGGAGGAACTGGTACCATTCCTTCTGAAAATATTCCAATCAATAGAAAAAGAGGGAATCCTCCCTAACTCATTTTATGAGGCCAGCATCATCCTGATACCAAAGCCTGGCAGAGACACAACCAAAAAAGAGAATTTTAGACCAATATCCTTGATGAACATTGATGCAAAAATCCTCAATAAAATACTGGCAAACCGAAACCAACAAGAACAAAGACACAACATACCAGAATCTCTGGGACACATTCAAAGCAGTGTATAGAGGGAAATTTATAGCACTAAATGCCCACAAAAGAAAGCAGGAAAGATCCGAAATTGACACCCTAACATCACAATTAAAAGAACTAGAAAAGCAAGAACAAACACATTCAAAAGCTAGCAGAAGGCAAGAAATAACTAAAATCCCGAGTAGCTGGGATTACAGGCACATCCCATAATGCCCAGGTAATTTTTGTATTTTTGCTAGAGACAAGGTTTAGCCATGTTGCCCAGGCTTGTCACAAACTCCTGACCTCAGGTGATCCACCCACCTCAGCCTCCCAAAGTGCTGGGATTACAGGCATAAGGCACCACACGGGGCCAGAATCATCGTCTTTTTTATGGCTGAATAGTACTCCACTTTGTATAAGTACCATATACTCCTTATGCATTCATCTTTTGATGGGCACTTAGGTTGTTTCCAAATCTTAGCTATTGTGAACAAAGCTGCAACAAACATGGAGTGTAGATATTTCTTTGATATACTGATTTCCTTTTTTTTTGGGTATACACTGAGCAGTAGGATTTCTAGATTGTATGAAAGCCCTATTTTTAGTTTTTTGAGAAACCTCCAAACTGTTCTCCATAGTGGTTGTACTAATTTACCTTACTAACAACAGTGTATGAGGGTTCCCATTTCTCTACATCTTCTCTAGCATTTGTTATTGCTTGTGTTATAGATATAAGCCATTTTAACTGTGGCAAAATGATATCTCATTCTAGTTTTGATTTGCATTTGTCAGATGATCCGTGATGTTGAGCACCTTTTCATATGCATGAGTGTCATTTGTGTATCTTCTTTTGAGAAGCGTTTATTCAAAATCTTTTGCCCATTTTTAAAACAGGTTATTAGATTTTTCCCCCCATGGAGTTGGTTGCACTCCTTATATATTCTGTTATTAATCCCTTAACAGATGGGTAGTTTGCAAATATTTTCTCCCATTCTGTAGGTTGCCTTTTTGCTTCGCTGATTGTTTCCTTTGTCATGCAGAAGCTTTTTAACTTGATGTGATCCCACTTGCCTACTTTTGCTTTAGTTGCCTGTGCTTGTAGTGTATTACTCAAGAATCTTTGACCAGATCAGTGTCCTGGAGAGTTTCCCCAATGTTTTATTGCAGTTGTTTCATAGTTTGAGGTCTTAGTTTAAGTCTTTAATTCATTTTGATTTTTGTATATGGTGAGAGATAGGGGTCTAGTTTCATTCTTCTGCTTATGGATATTGAGTTCTCCCAGCACCATTTATTGACGAGACTGTCTCTTCCCCAGGGTATATTCTTGGCCCCTTTGTTGAAAAGGAATTCACTGTAGGTGTGTGGATTTGTTTCCGGGTTTTCTATTCTGTTCCATTTGTTTGTGTGTCTGTTTTTATGGCAACACCATGTCATTTTGGTTACTAAGCTCTGTAGTATAATCTGAAGTCAGATAATTTGATTCCTCCAGTTTTGCTCTTTTTGCTTAGGATAGGTTTGGCTTTTCTGGGTCATTTGTGGCTTCATATACATTTTAGAATTGTTTTTTCTATTTCTGCAAAGAATGTCATTGGTATTTTCTTTTTCTTTTTTTTTTTTTTTGAGATGGAGTCTCCTCTGTCCCCAGGCTGGAGTGCAGTGGTGCGATCTCGGTTCACTGCAAGCTCCACCTCCCAGGTTCACGCCATTCTCCTGCCTCAGCCTTCCAAGTAGCTGGGACTACAGAAGCCTGCTACCACGCCTGGCTAATTTTTTGTATTTTTAGTAAAAGTAAAGACGGGGTTTCACCGTGTTAGCCAGGATGGTCTTGATCTCCTGACCTCGTGATTCGCTCGCCTCAGCCTCCCAATGTGCTGGGATTACAGGCGTGAGCCACTGCGCCCGGCCATGTCATTGGTATTTTCATAAGGATTGCAATGAGTCTGTAGATTGCTTTAGGCGGGATGAACATATTAACAATATTGATTCTTCCAATCCAAAAACACAAAATGTCTTTTTTTTTTTTTGGTGTCATCTTCAATTTATTTCATAAATGTTTTATAGTTTTCATTATAGAGATCTTTCACTTCTTTGGTTTAATTTCTAGGTATTGAATTTTATCTGTGGCTAACTATAAATGAGATTAATTTTGTATTTCTTTTTCAGATTGTGCACTGTTGCCATATAGAAATGCTATTGACTTTTGCACGTTGATTTTGTCTCCTGCAACTTTACTGATTTATCAGTTCTAATAATTTTTGTGTGTGTGTGGAGTCTTTAGGTTTTTCCAAATATAAGATTATATAATCTGCATATAAGGAACATTTGACATTTTCCTTTCCAACTGGGTACCTTTTACGTCTTTCTTTTGTATGACTGCTCTAGCTAGGACTTTCAGTACTATGTTGAATAACAGTGGTGAAAGTGGGCATCCTTGCCATGTCCCAGATCTTAGAGGACAGGATTTCAGTTTTCTCATATTCAATATGACACTAGCTGTGGGTCTGCTGTATATGGCTTTTATTATATTGAGCTATGTTCCTTCTATACTCAGTTTTTTGGGGGATTTTTATTATGAAGGGATGTTGAATTTTATCAAATGTTTTTTTCGGCGTCAATTGAAATGAGCATATGGATTTTGTCCTTCATTCCGTTGATATGATGTATCACATTGATTGATTTGCATATGTTGAACCATTCTTGCATCCCTGGAATAAATCCCACTTGAACATGATGAGTGATCCCTTTAATGTCTTGTTGAATTCAGTTTCCTAATATTTTGTTGAGGAGTTTTACATCAATATATATTAGAGATGTTGGCCTGTGGTTTTCTTTTTCTGATGTGTCTTTGTCTGGTTTTGGTATTAGAGTAATATGGTCTTCATAAAATGAATTTGGAAGTATTCCTTCATTTATTTTTTGGATTAGTTTGAGCAGGATTGGTATCAGCTCTACTTTAAGTGTTTGGTAGAATTTAATAGTAAAGCCACTGGACCCCAGGCTATTTTTTACTGGCTGACTTTTGTTACGGCTTCAATCTCGGTACTTGTTATTGATGTGTTCAGGTTTTTGGATTTCTTCCTGGTTCGATCTTGATAGGTTGTATGTGTTTCAGAATTTCTCCATTTCTTCTAGATTTCCCTATTTATTGGCATATAGTTGCTCATAATAACCTCTAACGATCCTTTCAATTTCTACAGTATCAATTGTTACGTGTTCTTTTTCATCTCTGATTTTATTTAGATATTCTCTTTTATTCTTTCTCTGGCTAATAGGTTGTCAGTTTTGTTTAATTTTTCATAAAACTTTTTGTTTCATTTATCTTTTGTATTGTTTTCTTCATTTTGATTTATTTCTGCTCTAATTTTTATTATTTCTTTTCTTTTACTAATTGTGGGTTTGCTCTTACTTTTCTAGTTCTTTAAGATGCATCATTAGGTTGTTAATTTGAAGTTTTTCTTATTTTTTAATGTATCCACTTATATCTAAAAAAGCCTCTCTTAGTACTGCGTTTGCTGTATCCCATAGTTTTTGATATGTTGTGTTTACATTATTGTCTATTTCCAGAAATTTTTCAATTTCTTTCTTAATTTCTTTATTGACCCACTGTTTATTCAGGAGCATACAGTTTAATTTCTGTGTGTTTGTATAGTTTCCAAAGTTCTTCTTGTATTGATTCCTAGTTTTATTCCATTCCAAAGAACATGCTTGATAGTAATTTTTTGAGTGTTTTGAGACATGTTTTGTGACCTAGTATATGCTCTATCCTTAAGCATGATCCAAGCGCTGAGGAAAAGAATGTGTATTCTGTAGCCTTTGGGTGAAATCTTCTGTAAATATCTATTAGACCCATTTGGTCTATAGTACAAATCAAGTCTGATATTTGTCAATTTTCTGTCTGGAAGATCTGACCAATGCTGAAAGTTGGGTGTTGAAGTCTCCATCCATTATTGTATTAGGATCTCTCTTTCTTTAGCTCTAATAGTATTTGCTTTATATATCTGGGTGCTCCGGTGTTGGGTGCATATATAATTAAAATTGTTATATCTTCTTGCTAAATCGACCCCTTCATAATTATATAGTGACCTTCTTTGTCTCGTCTTACAGTTTTTGTCTTGAAATCTGTTTTTGTCTGATATGAGTATAGCTACTCCTGATCTTTTTTGGTTTCCACTGGCATGGAATATCTTTTTCCATCCCTTTATTTTTAGTCTATGTGTGTCTTTATAGGTGAAGTGTATTTTCTTTAGGCAACAGATCACTGGGTCTTGTTTTTTAATCCATTCAGCCAGTCTATGTCTTTTGAGAATTTAGTCCATATACATTAAATGTCATGATTGATAGGTCAGGACTTACTCCTGCCATTTTGTTATTTGTTTTCTGGTTGTTTTGTGATTTTCTCTTCCTCCTTTCTGTCTTTCCTGTCTTACTTTTAGTGAGGTGATTGTCACTGGGGACATAATTTAGTTTCATGCTTTTCACTTTTTGTGTATCCATTTTGTGTTTTTTTGCATAGAGGTTACCATTAGGCTTGCACATACTATCTTATAACCAATTGTTTGAAGCTGATAAAAATACTGTTTGCATAAACAAAGAAGCAAAAACAAAAATAATAAAACTCTATGCTTAAATTCATCCCCCAGATTTTTACTTTTTGTTGTTACTATTTATATCTTGTTGTACTGTTTGTGTCTTGAAAATTTGTTGTAGTTATTCTTGTAGATTGATTCATCATTTAGTCTTTGTACTTACCATAAGAATAGTTTACACACCACAGTTACAGTGTTATAATATTCTATGTTTTTTCTGTACTTACTATTACAGGTGAGTTTTGTACTTTAAGAAGGTTTATTGGTGCTCATTAACATCCTTTTCTTTCTGATTGAAATACTCCCTTCACCATTTCTTGTAGAATAGGTCTGGTGTTGATGAAATCCCTCAGCTTTTGTCTGGAAAAGTCTTTAGTTCTCCTTCATGTTTGAAGGACATTTTCACCAGATATCCTATTTTAGGGTAAAAGTTTTCCTTTCCTTCAGCACTTTAAATATATCATACCACTCTCTCCTAGCCTATAAGGTTTCCACTGAAAAGTCTGCTGCCAGACATATTGGAGCTTCATTGTATGCTGTTTCTTTCTTATTGTTGTTTTTAGGATCCTTTCTTTATTCTTGACTTTTGGGAGTCTGATTATTAAATGCCTTGAGGTAGTCTTCTTGGGGTTAAATCTGCTTGGTTTTCTACAACCTTCTTGTACCTGAATGATGATATCTTTCCCTAGGTTTGGAAAGTTCTCTGTTATTATCCTTTTGAATAAACGTTCTACTCCTTTCTCTCAACCTCCTCTTTAAGGCCAATAACAAATATGCATTTTTGAGACTTTTTAAGATCCTGTAGAGATGCTTTATTTTTTCTTATTCTTTTGTCTTCTCTGACAGTGTTTTCAAATAACCTGTGTTCATGCTCACTATTTCTTTCTTCTGCTTGATCAATTAAAACACTCTGATGCATTCTTCAGTATGCAAGTTGCATTTTTCAGCTCCAGAATTTCAGCTTCTTTTAAATTATTTCAATCTCCTTAAGTTTATATAATAGAATTCTGAATTTCTTCTGTGTTACCTTCAATTTCTTTGAGTTTCCTCAACACAGCTATTTTGAATTATCTGTCTGAAAGGTCACATATCTCTGTTTCTCCGGGATTGGTCCCTGGTTCCTTATTTAGTTCATTTGATGAGGTAGTATTCTCCTGGATTGTCTTAATACTTGTAGTTGTCTGTCCCTGGGAATTGAAGAGTTAGCTATTTACTGTAGTCTTCACAGCCTAAGTTTGCTTGTATTCAAAAGGACTTCAGTGTTGTGATCTAAGCTGTATCTGTTTTAGGAAGGACCCCAAACCCAGTAACTCTGTGGGTTTTACAGACTCATAAAGATACTACCTTGATGGTTTTGGACAAGAAACAAAATAATTCTCTGAATTGCCAGGCAGAGACTCTTGTTCTCTTATCTTACTTTCTCCCAAACAAGTGGAGTCTCTCTGTCCCTTGTGAGCTACTTGAAGCTGGGGGTAGAGTGACACAAACACCCCTGTGGCCACCACCCCTAGGACAATGCTGAGTCTGACCTGAAGCCAGCACAACACACAGCACTAGGGTTCGACGAAGGCCTGCTATAACCACTTCCTGGCTACTGCCTGTGTTTGCTCAAGGTCCTCATGCTCTATAATCAGCAGGTGGCAAAGCCAGCAGTCCTGTGTCCTTCCCTTCAGGATGGTGAGTTCCCATCTGGGAGCCAGGGATTAGACTCAAACCTTAGAAGTCTGGCAGGTGTTCTATCATACTGAAGCTGAGTTAGCACTCAGAGTTAGCACTCAAACCACAGGTTTCAGTCTTTCTCACTCTTCCCTCCCCTTTCCAAAGGCAGAGGAACATCACTTCATGGCCACCACCACCTCAGATACATGGGGAATACTGCCAGACTACTGTTGGTATTTCCTTAGGGCCCAAGGGCTCTTCGGTCAGCTTGTGGTGAATGCTGCCTGGCTTGGGACTCCTCTTTTGGGTCAGTGGGCTCCCCTATGGCCGAGGGAAGGTCCAGAAATGTGAGCCAAGTCCTAGAACCTTTGGTGCTCTACCCCCTGTTGCTGAGCTGGTACCTGAAGCCTACAACTCACAGAGTCTCACCCAAGGCCCAGAACATAGTACCTGGGTATCACTGCTGGTTATTCAGGGCTCAAGGGCTCTTCAGTTAGCAGGTAATTAATCCTGCCAGGACTGGGTCCTTCTGATAAAGGCAGCAGTTTCCCTTATGGCCCAGGGTGTGTCTAGAAATGTCATTTAGGAGGTAGGGCCTAGAAAGGGGACCTCATGACTCAGATCAGTACCCTATCCTGCTGTGGCTGAGCTGGTATCCAAGGTGCAAGACAATGTCCTCCCCACTCTTCCATCTCTTCTCCTCAAGCAAAAAGAAGTGGTCTCTTTTGGATCCACGAGCTACGCAGCTTGGAGTTAGGGGAGTGGTGATGCCAGCACTCTCTTAGATGCCCCAGCTGATGCCTCAGCACGTCACGTGTGCCCCAGTTCACTTGCTCTGGGCTCAGTCCAGTACTAGACTTGCCCAACAATTGTAGTTCTTGCTGTCTTTCCTAAGCTTTCTTCCTTGCTGCAGTCCTAAGCTGTCTTCCAATTTCATTAAGGGCCCCAGATCTTTTTAACCCATGGTGCTGAGGCTTGGGGAACTCAGATTCTGAGCATTGGGATCAGTGATTCCTCTCTAGCTAGGGCTGGTTAAATGCTCCTTCTGTGGGCAGGTGTCAGCTGAGTTTGGTCTGGTTTTGCTTTCTGTTATAACAAAGGCAACACTGAGTTCCATGCCACACAATTACTGGCTCTCTCCCTCAGCGCACAGAAACACCGCACTATGCCACTGCTGCCGAGGGATTATGGAGGGGTGGGGTTGGTGACTGGAGACTGTTTTTCCTTCTATGCCTCTTTTGGCAATATGAAAATAAAACTGGGTACTGTTGAGTGCTCACCTGATTTTTGGTTCTTATGAAGGTGTTTTTTTGGTGTGTGTAGATAGTTGTTAAATTGGTGTTCTTGTCGGGGGAACGATTGGTGGAGCCTTCTATTCCACCATCTTGCTCTGCCCACCAGTCCTATGTTTTTTAGAAATTAATAAACTTTAATATTTAAAGCAGTTTTAGTTACACAGCAAAAGTAAGCAGAAAGAGTTTTCATGTACACCTTACCCTCACACATGCAGAATTTCACCTACTATCATTCTGCATCCCAGTTGTACTTCTTATTACAATTGGTAACCTACATCGACAGGTCATTATCACCAAACTCTATAGTTTACATTAGGGTTCACTCTTGCTTTTGTACATTCTATAGGTTTTGACAAATGTACAGTGATGTGTATCCACCACTGTAGTATCAAACAGCGTAATTTTACTGCTCTAAAAATCCTCTGTGATCTGCCTAATTATGCTTCCCTTATCACTTACCCCAAGAAACCACTGATTTTTTTTTTACTCTTTATAGTTTTGCCTTTTTCAGAATCTGATGTAGTTGGAATCAAGCAGTCTGTAGAATTTTTAGATTGTCTTCTGTCACTTAGCAATATGCATTTAACTTTTATCCATTTCTTTCCATGGCTTGATTATTTTTTTAGCACTGAAATATATTCTATTGTCTGAACATACTGCAGTTTACCCACTTATCTACTAAAGGACATGTTGGTTTCTTTCAAATTTTGGAAATTATGAATAAAGTCGTTATAAACATCTGTGTGCGGGCTTTTTGTAGACATAAATTTTTAATTCATTTGGGTAAATACCAGTAAGTGTGATTGCAGTATTTTATGGTAAGAGTATGTTTAGTTTTTAAAGAAAATGCCAAACTGTCTTTCAAAGTGGCTGTATCATTTTGCATTCATATCAACAATGAATGAGAGTTTCTGTTGCTCTACATCCTTGCCAGCAGTTGGTGTTGTCAGTGTTTTGGATTTGGGCCATTCTAAGAGTTGTGTAGTCATATCCCATTGTTGTTTTAAAGTGCAATTCCCTAAAGACATATGATGTTGAACATCTTTTCGTATACTTAATTGCCACCTCTATATCTTCTTTCGTGAGGTGTCTGTGCAGGTCTCTGGCTCGTTTTTCTAAAATCTGGTGCTTAGTTTCCTTATTTTTTATTAGGTTGGTGCAGATATGATTGTGGTTTTTGTCATTACTTTCAATGGCAAAAACCGCAATCACATCTGCACCAACCTAATAAGAGTTCTTAATATATGTTAGATAATAGTACTTCATCAGATGCAAATTTTTTCCCAGTATTTGGCTTCTCTTCTCATTTTCTTGACATCACCTTTTACCGAAAATAAGTTTTTAATTTTAGTAGATTCAATCTTCTCAATAATTTTATTCATGGATCATGCCTTAATGTTTTATCTAAAAAGTCATCTCATACCCAAGATCATCCAGGCTTTCTCCTATGTTATTTTCTAGAAGTTTTATAGTTTTGAAGTTTCAATTTAGACCTTTGATTTACTTTGACTTAACTTTGGTAAAAGGTGTAAAGTCTATGCCTAGGTTTATATTATTGCATGTGGATGTTCAGGTTTTCTACCACTATTTGTGGAAAAAGACTATCTTCACTTCATTGTGATGCTTTGCTCCTTCGTTAAATATCAGGTGACCATGTTTATGTTGGTCTATTTCTGGGCTCTCTATGCTGTTCCACTGATCTACTTGTCTATTCATTTACCAATACCACACTGTCTTAATGAATAGCTTTATAGTAAGTCTCTAGGGTAGTGTCAGTTTTTGATTTTGTTCTTCTTCAATATTAATGTAACTATTCTAGGTCTCATTAGAATTGGTTTGTTGATATCCACAGAATTGCTTGCTGGGATTTTTATTGTTTTGTATTGAATCTCATAGATCAAACTGGAAATAACTGCCATCTTGACAATATGGTGTCTTCCACTCCATGACCACAAATTATGTTTCCATTAATTGGTTCTTCTGTGGTTTCTGTCATCTGAATTTTGTAGTTTTCTTCATACAGATTGTGTACATATTTTGTTATACTTATAACTAATATTTTTGATGGATGCTAATGTAAATGATAATGTTTTTAATTAGAAATTCCACTTGTTCATTGCTAGTATATAGAGAAGTGATTGACTTTTGTATATTAACCTTGTAATCTGCAACCATTCTATAATAGCTTATTAGTTCCAGAAAATTGTTGCATTTCTTTTGGGTTTTCTACATATTATTATCATCTTATCTGCAAAAAAAGAGTTTTATTTCTTCCTTCCCAGTCTGTATACATTTTATCTCATTTTATTGCCGATTACACTAGCTGGGACATACAACACAATGTTTAAAAGCCATGATAACACAAGGAACTCATTGCTTTGTTCCTGATTTTTGTGAGATAGCGTCCAGTTTCTAAGCATTATGTATGGCATAAGTTTTATTTTTTTAGATGTTCTTTATCAGGTTGAGGAAGTTCTCCCTCTTTACCTAGTGTTCTGAGTGGTTTCTTTTTTTATCATTAATGAATGTTGAAATTTGTCAAATGTTTTTTCTGCATCTATTGATATAGTCATGTGATTTGTCTTCTTTTGTCTGTTGACATGATAGATTAAATTGATTGATTTTCAAATGCTGAACTAGCCTTGCATACCTGGGATAAATCCAACATAGTTGTCATGTATAACTTTTTTCATGTAATGTTTTTGTCTGGTTTTGATATTAGGGTAATGTTGACCTCATAGACTGAATTTGGAAATATTCCCTCTGCTTCTATCTTCAGGAAGAGACTGTGTAGGATTGATATAATTTATTCCTTAAATGTTGTCAGTGAACTCATCTGGTCCTGATGCTGTTTTGGAAGATTATTATTAGTTATTGATTCAATTACCTTAATATATATAGGCCTTTATCCATTAAAGAAAGGCAGGTATAGGACTATTTATATTGTTGATTTCTTCTGTTGGGAGTTTTAGCAAATTGTGTCTTTCAAATAATTGGTCCATTTCATTCATGTTAACTAATTTGTAGACATAGGGTTGTTAATAACATTCTTTTATTTCCTTTTTAATGTCATCGGGATCTGTAGGGATGTCTTCCGTTTCATTTCTGACATTTGTAATTTGTGCCTTCTGTCTTTTTTTCTTAACCTTTCTAGAGGCTTATCAATTTTGTGAATTTTTAAAGGAACTAGATTTTAGTTTATTTTATATATATATATATATATATAATTTAATTTGGAGTTCTTGAAGGAATAATAAATCAGAACATATATATAAGATTTTCAGTCAAGAAAACTTTTCCATTTATAGAAAATAACATATTAGAATCAATATACCAAAAGGTATACTAATCTTCAGAGAATAAAAATAATTTGGGTTACCATTGATTATAGTTGCATGGGGGAAAGAGCAATTGACATGACATATCTATACAGAAATATTTTCTAGTAGAAGAAAATAGAATAATGCTTTTAAGATACCCAAGGGAAGAAAATATGAGCCAAGGACTTTATACTCAGCCAAATTTTACTTCATGTACCAAAGCAATGCACAAACTATTAGAAACTGGCAAGAACTCAAGACATTACTTTCATAACCACTTTTTGAGTAACTTAAGATAATGGTGTCCCAAGCAAATAAGAAATAACTGGAAAAGCTTCACCATAAATTCTGGTGGATTTCACTAAACATACTCCATTGTAGAAAGCAAGTTTAATACAGAGATAAGGGAACGGGTGTATGTGTAGTGCTTTATATTTTGCAAAGCACATTTATGTACTCAATTTTAGTTTATATTCGCTAATAGTTTTGAGAGCAAGAAAGTCAAAGATTAGAAACATTACATTTGACAAATGAGTAAATATAGTAAACCAGGTAAAATGATTTTCCTAAGTTTACATAACTGGAAAGTGGCTGAGTCAGAGTTTGAACTCAAATCTTCCTTCGCATAAGTAAAGTTGTAAAGGGGAATAAAAAGTAGGTTCGGGGATGGTGAATAAATCACTTGGAAAATAAGCAAGATTTGCACAGATAAGATGTAGGAAATTATTTTTTAAAAGTAAACTAAACCCAAATATCGAGAGCTTTGACAACCAGGAAAGCCCTAAAATATCTAAGCAGAGAAGTTATATGGTTGTAGGGATATTTGAAGAAATTAATTCCAAAGTCAGCTTGCAGAAATAAATGAAAAGGGACATTAGAGAGAAGAATTGTTATGAGAATGGTTTTACCATTATGTCTATCTAAATGGCCCAGTTTATGGGTTAAAAAGTAGTGGTGTAAAAGGAAGGCAGAAAGAAATGTCGGAGCCATTTTGTCATGAATTTATTAAATCCCTACCAAAATAATTCTCAACTGTGTGTCAGAGAATCTATGAACCAGAAACTCTTGGAGAAATGACACAGAAAAGGTAATTCTGATAAACACCTAAGTTTGAGAACCCATGAACTTTATATTGTGGCAGGAATAATTAATTTTAATGACTAAATGAACACAGAAGTAAGGATGCATATAAAATCAAGATGATTCCAAATTTTTAAGCCTGGGAGACTTTATCCCAGGAAAATGAGAATAACTTTGTCACTATTATTATTATCAAAAATAATCTATCAATTCTGCTAATTCCTGTTGTGTTAAATTTAAAATTCACTGAAACATAGTGCCTAGATGTTAGAAAGTTTATAACAGATGCAATTAAAACATTTATTGGCATATATAAACTCAAGGAAAAGAGACATGGCAATTTAAGAGTCATGGCAGAGTAATTAAAATGGATTACTATGTATCTACCTATAGTTACAGAAAAAGATAATTTTAAAAGTAGAAAAGATACAATATGTGAAGAGGTAATAATTATACATTTGTCAAGATTAATGAAAGACAAGAGTTCCTTTACTCACTGCGAACACCTATGAGGCAATGAATGAATACTCTGGCCATTAATTTCCTGTTTCTGAAGTCTATGAATTTTTACCTTGTCAAAGCATATAACATTGGCATACTGTTAGCCTTGTTCTTATCATCTGAAGATAAAATGAAATCAAGTATAAAAACATGCTTTGTAAAACACTACACAATATCAATTCATTTGTCTTTATTTTAATATTTCTTTCTAATTCCCCTGCCATTCAAGGCACAGTTGGGTTTTTAGACTATTTTTTATTAATGCCAATCATTAGGTCCTTTGTTCACTGATGCGCATTTCTATTTATATAGACTTCAACTATTAAAAATGGTGATGCATTTTTTGAATCAATTTCAATTTGTAATCTCTCCTCTTGTCTACTTACCTAGAGAATAAATACACTAAGGTAGTGAATTTCATCTTATTACCACTCCTGCCAAAAAAGAAACTACATCTAACAAGTACCCAATGTTTGATGGCTTTATTGATTTTCTTCGGAACAGTTTCCATTAGATTTTCCCATAAAAAATGTGGCAGGATTTATGTCATTGTTCCAACTGCAGGTGGCACTGACTGACTTAATTTGTCAGTTCTGTTCTTGGTTATTCTTTCTTAACCTGGAAGTGAACAGAATACTACACATCATGAATCATCCCGAAGAAAAAGCTGGATAAATAGTTCCTTTGAGGGAGCAGTTTCATGTGGGAAACCCTTTTCTCTTTTTATCTATTGTGCTCCTAGGAGTCCAGCCAGGACCACATCTCTTTAGTTTATTTGATATATCTTAGTGTCTACCATGGTGATGTGAATATGTAGATATTTGATAAATAATGTATCATGATGGTTGTGGCTATCATCATTAGGGTGATTATGTAACCTATTCAAGGGTTTTGATGTTTTGACTTCATGGTATGATTTGTTTCGTTTCTAGATTTCTCTTTATTAATGGAGGCCTTGAATGAATTACATTTTGTTTAAGCATTCAGAGAGTCAAAAGAAAGACCTATAGAGGTCACCAGTCTATATATATTATTTCACACAGGAAGGATTTTGAAGAACAGGGAGGTTTGACTTGCTCAATATAAAGCATGTAGTTTCAGTTCTAAGACTTAAAAAGCAGGTCTTCTGATCCTAAACACAGTATAATTTCCACTACACTAAAATTAGAAATTGCCTTTGCTATTACATAAATGGTAATGTACAGCTCTGATTCAAAATCATATTTTAGAATTTTGCTTTAGAATTCACAATGAAGGACAAAGAATAGAGAAGTGAAAATCACTTGATATATTTCTTCCCAATTTAGAGATTTTGACAGAGTGGGTGGGTCCATCCCATTTTATCAGGCATTATGGAATAGCAATAAAATCCTGAGCTAAGAGAATACAACCGAATTAAAGCTAGTTGGGTAGCCAGTTTCAACCACAGCTGACAAAGGAAACTGACAGAACGTAAGTGAAGAGAACTTCAGGATATGTGTTAATACTGGCTGAGGGGAATTTAAAAAAAAAAAAAGGAGAGATTTAACTCCCTGTTGAGATGGCTAGTGTTAAAAGCAAATGTTCTTTATAGTGATCTGGATATCAATTTCTGTTGGGGTTCAGAAAAATGATTCGGGACTTCAAAACATACAATATCATGTATATTCTGACATTAATGATTTTCATCAACTGAGGTAAGGAGATGGAGTATAAGATGAATATCCTATACATCCCAAAGTCGGCTTGATGCACAAGGCAGCTACCATAACAAACCTCAAAAGACATTTGTTCATGTGGTTAATTTTGTAGCCAAATGTTTTATTTCATAATTCTGGAAGTCAACCAATTCTCTGTTCCCTTACTACATTTCAACACTGAATAAATACAATGCTGGACCTGGCCCACTGAAAACGACCTGCTATCACTCATATAGGCAAAGCCATGATTCTGAATTGATTTGGTCCTCCTTCTGGATTGTGGTAGGGAAAATAAATGCATGTGGTGACTTATGACTGTTTCTTCAGGTGACTTGCACCTTGGCTGATTTGATTTGTACTGATGGGACCACAGAGAGACCTTTATCTGCTTCCCAGCCACCAAAGGTCAAGCTATTTTCATGCTTCTCCGTCTCATTTTCCTTCCTTCTGGGATTGGTACTGTTTTTGCAGGCTCTATATTATTGTCATATCTACTTTTTTCAACCCATATTTACTTTTTGATTATTGTAAGTCCCTCTTAAATATAGCATAAACCTATGTAATTATTTTACAAAGGAAGAATCATTATGTAAGGCCTTTTCTTTCCCTTTCATCTCTTTTTGCTTTTGTCTATGCTGCTTCATTTGCCTAGAATGTTCATTCTTTCCTTTTGTTCCTGGCTAATTTCTATTACCCTTCAAGATTTAGTTTAGCTACCACTCTACCAGAAAACCTTTCCTAACCCATTCAGTCTGAATTCAGTGCCCCTATGTTGCAATTGCAAAGTAAATGCTATCTTGGCTTATTATTCTATTTCTCGCACTATATTGTTATTGCCATTTTATTGCTCTCACACATCCCACCAGCACTCTATAAGCCAACTCAGAGCAATTACTGGCTTCTTTTTTTTTTTGTCTGGGCCAAGCATAGGGCATGGGACACAATAAATATATAACACATGGCAGATGAATAAATGCATGGATATTTAGAATAAGATTCAGCGGTTCGTCACTTATTTTTTAAAAAAATACCGAAGTTATTGGTATAGATAGAAGAAAATTATATTTAGAATCAGAAGACATGAGGTATGACCTAGACAAATCTTAGCTTACCTCCTCATTTTAATTTACTCATGTGAAATAAAGCTATATGTGATTTATAATGATAAAAACAGTTCTTAGAGACAGATTACACTTTTCTCATCGTAAGAGACAGTGAAGTGTTGTGACAGTTTAGCTGCAATTGGACACCACATATTAAATCTCTAAAAAGTGTTTGTCAATATATAATGTTGATAGCACTTTTCAAACTTATTCAGAGCTGAGCTAATAATAATAATAATAATAATAAATATTCACATAAATAAATGTTGTAACCTTAACAAAACCAATTTGGTGGAGACCACAGGTGACATGCCAATGTCTATAGAGAAAGGAAACTATGACTCAGGATGATCCTAGGGAGAAATGCTACAGAAAAGGAATTTCACAATTTAAGGGCTCAGGACCAGCAAAGGCTAATTTAATTATAAAAAACCAAATAGGTTCTTAGGGTCACCAATCTCCTTTGATTTAGAACAATTTCAGTTGAGGTTTGATGAATCATACCAAATCAAAGGAGTCACATAGTCCTTCCCTGGGCTTAAAGTTTCTCAATCTGATACTCTTTTCACTGTAACATCTGACCTGCAATATAATAAACTAAGGCTACGAGCTAGTACTAACAAAGCACATGTAAAGCCAAAGATAGGGGGAAAAAAGTAGAGCACATGTGAATACTCTATACCTAAAGAGCAAATGTAGCCTCAAAACTCCAGCTAGATATTTTAGACAAAATTTGGGCATATATTTCAAATGCTATGTGAAGTAAATGCCTAATTTTTTTTTCACCCAACATCACTTTCTTTATTATAAGAAAACTCCAATTTTACTCAATAAACTGTCTCTTCCAGCCTCAATCTTTATAGTAATAGCTTGTGTCAGGAGCTTCTTGATCTAGGAGCAACCTTGTTGCTAATCTGTGTATTTCTAAATTTATTGCCCCAGAGTCATAGGCAGTTGAAGAGTAAATGTTATAAAGTGGGTAAAAGAATATATTTCTCCTGTCTAACTTTTGGAAGCTCTGAGATCTGACCTATTGAAGATTATCATCTATTCTATAATAGATGATATTTATATTATAAATACAGCATATTTATGTCAAATACAGTTGACCCTTGAACAACTTAGGTTTGAATTGTGTGGGTCTACTTACGCACTGATTTTTTCAATAAATATACTGGAATTTTTAAAAGATTTGCAACAATTTGAAAAAACTTGCAGGTGAACCTCAGTAGCTTAGAAATATTGAAAAAAAAAGAGAAAGTCAGGTATGTCATGAGGCCATAAAATATAGATACATATTAGTTCATTTTATCATTTACTATCATAAAATATGCAAAAATCTGTAATAAAAAGTCAAAGTTTATCAAAATATATACACACAAACACAGACCATACATGGTGTCAGCTGTAGCTGAGAGAAATGTAAACAAACATAAAAATGCAGAATGAAATCATAACAGAATAAGATTAACTGTTGTACATATTATACTACTATAATAATTTTGTAGCCATCTCCTGTTGCTATTGCAGTGAGATCTGTTTAAGATGCCATATGATGCTAATCATCTCCAGTAAATTGCATGTCACAGAAAAAAATGATCTCACAGTTCTTGTGTATTTCCCATTTTTCTTCATGCTTAGTGCAGTACTGTAAACCTTGAGTAACGCCACTGGATCCCTATGAAGTGTCACTAGCAATGCTGGAAGTGCTGCCAAGAAGCAGAGAAAAGTCATTACACTACATAAAAAAGTTGACTTGCTTGATACGTGCAGCAGGCTGAGATCTATAGCTGCAGTTTCCCACCATTTCAAGAGAAATAAATTCAACATGAGGCACATTGTGAAAGACAGGAAGAGAGAAGAAAGGGAGGGAAGGAAGAAGGGGAGGGGAGGGATGGGGTGCAGGGGAGGGCAGGAGAGAGAGAGAGACAGAGAGAGAAAAGAAAAAAGGAAGAAAGAAAAGAAAAAAGGAAGAAAGAGAGAGAGGAGAGAGGGAGGAAGGAAAGGAGGGAGGAAAGAAGGAAGGAAAGGAGGAAAGAAAGGAGGAAGGAAGGAAGGAAAGAAGGAAAGAAAAAGAAAGGAAGGAAGGAAGGGAGAGAGAGAAAGTAAAGGGGAGGGAGGGAGGAAGGAAAGGAAGGAAAGGAAGGAAGGAAAGGAAGGAAGGAAGAAAGAAAGAAGGAAAGAAGGAAAGAAAAGGGGAGGGAGGGAAGGAAGGAAGGAATTCATGAAGCTGTTGCTTCATGAGTAGCTGTGGAAGCAAGTATAAAAACCTTGCACTTTCTGCAAAACACTTTTTAATCTCATATTGAAAATTCAGTTTATATGTGGGTACAGGATTACTATAAGAAAGTATACCTATAGACTAAATTTATTTTTTTTAAAGGAAGTCATTATGCAACATCTTAAAATGAAAGTCTCTAAACCTGGAGAATTTAATGCCAGCAATGGATGGTTTGATAATTTAGGAAGAGGTTTGTCTAAAAAAAAAAATCTCAAGATAACAGGAGAAGCAGCTTCAGTTGATCAAGAGGCTATAGATGAGTTCCCAGAGGTGTCATTAAGAAAATTATTGAAGAGGGCTGGGCACGGTGGCTCACGCCTGTAATCCCAGCACTTTGGGAGGCCAAGGTGGGCAGATCACAAGGTCAGATCGAGACCATCCTGGCTAACACGGTGAAACCCCGTCTCTACTAAAAATACAAAAAATTAGCTGGCGAGGTGGCGGGTGCCTGTAGCCCCAGCTAGTCGGGAGTCTGAGGCAGGAGAATGGCATGAACCCGGGAGCCTGGGAGGCAGAGCTTGCAGTGAGTCGAGATCGTGCCACTGCACTCCAGCCTGGCCCACAGAGTGAGACTCCGTCTCAAAAAAAAAAAAAAAAAAAAAGGAAAAAAAGAAAAAGAAAAATATTGAAGAGAAAGAATATTTGCTCAAACAGATTTTTAATGAGGAAAAAGTGCTCTACTTTGGGTAAAACAATGCCATAAAGAAAATTTACTAGGAAGGAAAAGAAGCAAGTACCAGGACTTAAGGGAAGAAGAAAAAGGTTAACCCTACTGTTTGTTGCACAAATGCAGTCAGGTTTATGATCAGGACTACCCTTATACATAAAGCCACTAAGCTCTTACCCTCGAAGGAAAAAGGGAAACACCAGCTACCGGTCTTCTGGTTATAAAAGAAGACCTGAACGAGACCCTTTTTCTGGATTGGTTCCATTGATTTTTTGTCCCTGAAGTCAGGAAGTATCTTGCTAATAAGGGACTGTCTTTTAAAGTTCTTTTGATATCGGACAATGTTCCTGGCCACTCAGAACACCATGATTTCAACAACAAAGACAATGAAACTGTCTACTTGTCCCCAAACACACCTTTAATTCAACCTGTAGTTCATAGAGTCATAAAAACCTTTAAGACCAATTACACATGGTGCTCTATGGAAAGGATTGTCATTGCTATGGAAGAGAACCCTCAGAAAGAGCATCATGAAAGTCTTAAAGCATTACATTGAAGATGTCATCATTGTTACATAAAAAGCTGTGAAAGCCATCAAGCCTAAAACAATAAATTTCTACTGGAGAAAACTGTGTCCAGATGGTACACATGACTTCACAGGATTTATGACAGAGCCAATCAAGGAAATCATGAGAGAGATTGTGGATATGGCAAAAAAAAAGACAGGTGAAAAGTTTCAAGGTATGAATCTTCAAGAAATTTGAGAGTTAAGAGACACCACACCAGAGCAATTAACAGAAGACAACTTAATGGAGACAAGTGCTTTTGAACTAGTTCCAGATGATGAGGAAGATGGAGAAGAAACAATGCCAGGAAACAAATTGACATCAGACAATCTGGCAGGAGAATTCTGATTATTCAAGACATTTGTGACTTTTTTTAGACATGGATTCTTCCATGATATGAGCCACAGTGGAAGAAGGAAGGATTGGTACCATATAGAAAATTTTTTGAGAAATGCAAAAGCAAAAATATCAGGCAGAAATTATGATGATGATTTCTGTAAAGTTACAGCAATTGTAACCTGCCTCTCCTTCCACACCCCAACCTCTTTCACCTCTGCCACCTCTGATACAATAAGACCAACCCCTCCTCTTCTGCCTCCTAAGCCTACTCAATGTGAAGACAATGAGGATGAAGACCTTTAGGATAAAACACTTCCACTTAATGAATAGCAAAAATATTTTCTCTTCCTTAGAATTTTCATAGTAACATTTTCTTTTCTCTAGCATAATTTATTGTAAGAATATAGTATAAAATACATATAACAAACAAAATAGGTGCTAATCGATTGTTTATTTTCAGTGAGGCTTATGGTCAACATTAGGGGTTTAGTTAAGTTTTGGAAGAGCCAAAAGATAATACACAAATTTTCGACTGTGAAGGGGTCACTACCCCTAAGCCCTGCATTGTTCAAGGGTCAATTGTATTTATTGTAATTTTTTTCCACCTCTGATGCTTTCAACCTTCGCCTTTACCTGCTAAGGTCATCTTTAAGATATGTAAACTTCATTCTCAATTTCCCTACATGCAAGGTTTCCATCAAAAAGTTTCTGCTAGACCATATTCCACTCAAACTCTTATTCACAATCCCTAATTACCAATAGTAATAGTCTAATTTTCCTCTTCCTTAATTGTACTTTTAAAACATTGCCTCTCTTTACAGAAGAGTGCTGACTCTACAGATGAACATCTTTGGGTTAGAATGCTGGCTGAGCCACATGTTAGCTATACAACCTTGGGAAAACTACTTAACACTTCAAAGCATAATTTTATTCATCTGCAAAATATATAATAATTTATATGTACTGCACATGAATTTTGTAGGGCTAATATAGGTTACATAACACATTTAGCAGAGTTCATAGTACTTAGTGAGCACCCTATAAATATAGATATTATTATCATTATTATTATTTTAAAGCAGTAACTTTGGATACTCTTTTCCATGTAAGAGTCTTACATACTTATTAATACTAAGACTCTTACATACTTAATGCAACTGTATTCTTTACTGATCATTTGGTGATAAAATAAATATTTGATTATCTCTAACAACTCTAAGCATTTCAGAGAGAGAGAGGGAGAGAGAGAGAGAAAGTTGGCATGTCTAGTCTGTGCCACTAGATTTCACCCTCTTTCTTAAGGAAGAACTGAGAGCTTCTGCGTCCTATTATCCCTAGCTCCTAGCATAAAACCTGGCACTCAGAAAGAAGAAAGGAGAAAAGACAACAAAGAATTTCATCACAGTATTTTACAATTTTTTCACTGTGAATTCTAGAAAACTTTTTAAACTGGTAAATAAAATTATATATGTTTCTCTATATAATCAAAATATAAATAAACTGGCCAGATTTCTTACCTGATTAAACTATAACATGTCAAATATTTCTTTAAATAAAATTATCAACTGAGACTTTTTAAAAGGGGTGTCAAAACAGACATATTTCTTTGTATAAATAAATTTTATTCATTTGACATATAAGATTATTGACCACCTATTATGAGGCAGGTAATATGCCAGATGCTGAGAATGTGAAGACAAATAAAATATAATCTCTGCCTTTCAGTGGATTACGGATTAATGAAGTAGAATGACTAGTAGGTAGATACACTGTGATATAACATGGCAAGTGTGTGATATGGTGAAGTTGTAAGTTAGTATGGATCCTGAGGATGAGATAACTAACACAATGGGACGCTGAATGGTTATCTGAACACTAGCTCTTGGTTCTTTTTGATGGAATAGAATGTACTCGTGTCAACTTTAAAAAAAAGTATTTTTTCACACATCTGAGGCTTTGAAGGTGACTAGGTGTGTTCTCCTTGCCTTCCCTTTACAGGGGCCGATATTTTCTTCTCTAACGCAACTCTCTGACTTTTACCTCTATCATTTTTCTCCTCCCAAAATTGGATAGTAAGGGCACAGCCAAGGACAAAGGCAGGACTGGAGACATAAGATTGTTGGTATACAAGTGGAGATAGTATATATTACCCTTTTGGTGCAGTGACAGAAATGCAACTCAAACTTGCTTAGACAAGAAACGTGAGGTATTATCCTTCACTACAAACTGTTGCTGGGGACTACTGCTGCTAGGGAATTTGAATGCTGACAAAATTCTCTCACCATTTCACATATGTACTACTTCTATTTCTATTTCATTCTCTCAGACATTCTCCATACTACTGAAATGATGGTTGCTAGTAGCTTCCAGGCTTCCATGATACAGCAAGGGGCTGTACTGTTAGTATCTACTTTAAAACATCTTTAGAAAAATTGTAATTGGCCAGCAGTGACCAGGAACAATAAAATGTGTCCAGAGGAGTAAGCTCTAAAAGAAGACTTTGGCTGTTGTTCAACCATGCAGTGGAGGGAGAGTAAGAAAAAACCCATTCTAGAAGAAAGGGGATGAGGGGGTAGGGCAAACAGAAGCAACCATACATAGATGCTGGCATTCAACAACTGTCTATTGAGTTCCTAATGTGCCAAGCACTGGACTTGGTGCTATAGCCTAGTATGGGAGAATAATACTAATCAAATAATCTATAGACAAATCCTCTCTATGGAGAACAGGAGCAGCTTCCCTGTTGCACCTGAATTCCACCATCTGGCAGCTTCCTGATCCTGACTACAGCCAGTGCTATCAACCCAGAATCAGTCAGGAAAACAGAGCTATCCTAACTCTTCCAAGAATAAGGTTTCGCTCAGAAATTAGGCTTTACACAGATGTTGGAAGAGCTGGAGAGGGAAGGTCAGAGCGTTGCCATGGTAAAACTGGGACTGCTGAAGCCGGAAAGTCAGGGATGCTGGGGAAAATCTCTGCCATCTGCCGCAGTATGGATGGTTCTCGTGTGCTCACTGAGTAGCTGCTATCTCTCACGCCTGCCTATAAGTTTGGTTGCAATCATATCCAGAGAATAAGAGCTTTTTCTCTTCTGCTGTCTAAATCTCATGCAACTTCCTCTCAATGGGAAATTCTACCCGGAAAATAATAGGGAAGGGGAGTTTGGGTAATGCAATTTTCAGACCCTAGAAGGGTGGGGTAATGATGCTGAGCTGACAGTAGACAATCCAGCCCAGCAGCCTTACCCAGTTTCAGATATTAGTATGTTGGTCAATCATTTTATTGATGACCCATCCTGACAGTCCCTGTGCTCAGTATGTTGTATTTCCTTAGCCTTACAGCAACCCTAATGGTATTGTGTGTGGTGTGGGAAGAGAGCAGGAAGAGGAGGGAGTTTTTTCCTACATGTACAGATAAAATTAAAGCAAATCAGGGTAATTGATCCAGGGTTCCACAGCTGTAGTAACAGTGGAGCTGAGGTTCAAATACAAATTTGCCTGATATAAAGCCTGATTTCTGAACTATACACACTGTTGCACCTATATCTCTTCTATATAATTGTGGGTTGAGACTAAGGGAGCCAAAGCCAGTTCATTTTCCCATGTAATTTCCCTGTGGATGGTACTTCTAATTCCAATTACTCCTATAAAACAGTCTGGTCTCCAGAATAATGTAATTTATAAGGGGGCAGTGTTCAAAGGGCTTAAATGAAGAAGGCTTCCATCTCTCTACAGTCCTTCTCTATGATCTCTCACTCTCCAATTTCTTCTTGCTAATTTGACTTCTGAATACTATGATACTGGAAATGAGGTATTTTTTTATAGTAAAAATGATTTTATTACTGGAAAGATATGTTCCAATATAAATACATATATCTGAAAATTGCTTTATAAATGCATTTCAGATGCATATATAATCAAATTTCTCAATACTTTATGTATTAACTAGTATATTAAAATCTTGGACATAGAGAGCTGAGAGCCACATACTAGACCACTAAGATGACTCCACTAGCAACTTCATGGATTTCATCATGATATGGCCTGCAGCCCTGTCTTCCTATGTCTAGAAGAGGAAAATACAAGGGTATTTCAGTCCAACTGAAGTTGAGAAAATTGTCTCAAACATGTGCCATTGGGAGTTAGGGTGCTGTATTTCTTGTTTCTTAGCTTGTGTAAGGAGGATGTTAAGTCTGTCTCCCTTTAGTATCTGTGAAGATTTAATACCATTTTTATAAATGGTAGCCAAACTACTCTTTAAGTGCAGGAGAATGTAGTTTTAATTAATGGTAAAGGTCATTTTGGGAAGATAGATTCAATAAATGAAATTAACCTTTTTTTAAAAAAAAGTCATGAGGCACAAACAATAAATTGACTATAATG
Organism: Homo sapiens; assembly: GCF_000001405.40. Classification (NCBI taxonomy): domain Eukaryota; kingdom Metazoa; phylum Chordata; class Mammalia; order Primates; family Hominidae; genus Homo; species Homo sapiens. The sequence continues at coordinate 19,611,518 of NC_000007.14, read as the reverse complement.
AAATGGTATTTTTTAACCCTATTGGTCAAATTGACTTGTATTTGTACATTTTAAGCAATAGCATCATCAAATGTAAGGTAATAAAAATATAATAATCTGCTACTTCCAAACATTTTTCTCTCTAAATTTTGAGAATAGATAAGAATGGCACAGTTAAAAGCAACATGCACCTTTAGTGGCTTATAATAACTCTATTGAACTATTCAGAGTTCTCAAGGGAAAAAAACTCTTTCATTATTCCTAGATATTTTCTTCAAAGACTTTAAGCTTCTTTCTACTCAACAGGTAAAGGCTGCATCATGCCAACCTGTCATCATTCTATCACCTCTCGCCACCGAAATTCAAAAGAAAATTCTTGCTGAGGTGGCTTGGAAGGAAACAGAAAATTGTAAAATGCCTTCAGTAAATAAGGCTCCTTAGCCAGCAGTCAGACAGCATGCATTCACTGTGAAACTCAGTGCACTTACAAACACCTCTGCTGTCTCCTCCTAGGTTGGCTTCTATGTGGTAGCTGGGAAAATGCAAAATATAAATAAACAGAAAAAAACAGGTGTCATGGGGATTTGGTAAAGCAACCTTTCATTTCTGGAAGTCTGTGTGAAAAATAATGCTGAAATCAAAATCCAAAAGTGTTGGGTGGAGTGAACCCAGTCTCTGGATATTTGGCTGTACAAACTCAAAAGCCCTAAGCCTTCTGGCCAAAAGGAGCATGATTGGCAGCTTACAGAGATGGCTGGGATGGAAACAGCAGGCATGTGGATCAGGGCTGAGGTGAGTGAACAAAAATGCCTGGATCCCTGGGGGAAGAGTGTAGAGGGAGGATAAATGATATTTTGGCATTTAGGGAAGTTTCTGGCATATCATATTGAATAAAAGATAATGTGTACTTGGCAATAGAAATGAAACTCAATGACTCATTAGTTGAGATAAATCTGATTCCTCTTGAAAGAAATTCTGTCTCAGGTTGCAGATATAAGTAATTATGTATGTCATGAAGTGACTTATTTAATTTTAAATCAAAATGGGGATGACTTTGAATAGCAGCAAAAAGAAAAAAGCAAAATTAATGATGATAATGTCTTTTAGCAGTGTATTAGTACTTAGGCAGGAGTTATAAATTGCTGAGGTCTGCACATAACAGTTTACAAGCATGTGATATACAGCCCTGATGCATTGATATCTATTTTAATTGAGTTGGTGTTTTTAGCAGTAAATAATCTACCAGCCAATTCCAAAAGGAAAAAAAAAAACCAAACACATAAACCTAAACCTTCAGCCTGTATAAAAATTCAGGCTTTAACACTGAATCACTAACATGTAGTAACAAATAAGACAAATATGTAGGAGTATTAAATAGGATCCGTAGCACCCAATTGCCAAGTTCTAAGAATACTCATTTATTCTGCCAATCTGGAATGTGACATTTATTTCACATATTCGCAGACAAAATATCTCTGAAACGAGGAAGCTATGATGGAGAAAGGCATTATATGGCACAATCCTAGAGCCAGAAAGACATTATAACATGTTACAGAAACGTAAGAAAGGGGGAGAGGGAGGAAAAGAGGAAGAAGGAACAGAGGGAGGAAGGTAAGGAAGGTCAGGAGGGAGGAAGGAAAGAAAAAAGGAAGGAGGAAGGATACAAGCAAGCAAGCTGGCTGCTGCTACTAATATTATATATACAGTATAATATAAAAATATATATTAGAGAACCCATATATTATGATTCAGATAATTAAAAGTTAGAACAATAGACTGATAATCATAAAGATTTCCAAGCTGTATGTATTCCATAAATTTAGAAAATACAGGGAAAATGAGAGAGGTGTGCTCTAGGGAATTATAGGAAAGTAAAGGTAGATAATCTGTACTGTAATGAGGTACGACAGCAAGTTTCTATGATGTTCCCCTTCCTGTGTCCATGCACATGTACCCTAAAACTTAAAGTATAATAATAATAAAAAAAAGAAAGTTTCTATGGAGGCAGTGTTCTAGTCATTCTAGTCACTTTGACGTTGATAAGCAGTATATTTGTAATACTGTGTAGAGGCTGGTGCGTCATATAAACCAAATATAAATGGACACATTTCAAAGTGCTACATGGATTATTTCTAACACAACTGTTCAACTGTAGTTTTGTTTCTCATTATATGAGAAATATATCTTTGACCATAGGATTTGTTCCAATAGGCTTACCTAGGGTTAGCTGCAATTCTCTGATGGCTGGTGAGCTCCTGTTCATTCCTTTTTATCCAACAAGCTAGATAGGAAAGCAACCAATGAAGAATAATATTATTATGGAAATTATCTTATATTTGCTTCTCTTTTTTGTGAAGAGATACATATCATATTCCTTTATTTAATTTTAAGCCCTCTTTTAGTTTTGTTCCCCACCATTTCTTTTTTTCTCTAATTTTTTATATTGTGGTAAAATATACATAATATAAAATTTACCATCTTAATCACTCGTAAGTGTACAGTTCAGTGATATTAAATACATCCATATCGTTGTATAGCCATCACCACCATCCAACTCCACAACACTTTTCATCTTGTAAAACTGAAACTCTATACCTATCAAATAATAAGTCTCCATTTCTCCCTCTTCCTCATCCCTGACAATCACTATTCTACTTTCTATGTCTATGATTTTGACAACTCCAGGTAATTCATATAAGTGGACTCATACAATATTTGCTTTTTTGTGACTTGCTTATTTCACTGCCATAATGTCCTCAAGGTTCATTCATATTATGGCAGATTGCAGAAGTTACTTTTTTAAAGGCTGAATAACATTTCATTGTATGGATATACCACATTTGTTTACTCTTTCATCCACTGAAGGACACTAGGGTTGTTTCCACATTTTTGCAATTGTGAGTTATGCTACTATGAATATGGATATGCAAATGTATTTTCAAGACCCTGCTTTCAATTCTTTTAGGTATATACACAGAAGTGAAGATGCTGGATCATATGGTAATTCTATTCATAATTTTTTGAAGAACCACTCACTATACTGTTTTTCACAGCAACTACACTATTTTCCATTCCAACCAGCACTACACAAGTGTACGAATTTCTCCACATCCTCATCAACACTTATTTTTACTATTTTTTATAGTAGCCATTGTAGTCTGTGTGAGGTGGTATCTCAATGCAGTTTTGATTTGCATTTCCCTAATGATTAGTGATTTTGAGCATCTTTTTATGTGCTTATAGGCCATGTGCATATCTTCTTCGGAGAGATGTGTACCCAAGTACTTTGCCCATTTTTGCATTTTGTTATTGTTGTTGTTGTTATTGAATGTTAGGAGTTCTCTACATATTCTGGATATTAATTCTTTAGATGTATGATTTACAAATATTTTCTTTCATTCTGTGGGTTTTCTTTTTACTCTGTTGATAGTGTCTTTCGAGGCACAAATTATTTTTTTAGGAAGTTTAATTTGTGTATTTTTTCTTTTGTTGCCTGTGCCTTTGGTCTCATATCCAAGAAATCATTGCCAAATCCAATGCTGTAAAGCCTGTGCTCTATGTTTTCTTCTAACAGTTTTATTTCTTTTAGTCTTATATTTATGTTTTTGATCCATTTAATTTTTGTATATGTTGTTATATAAAGTTCCAACTTTATTCCTTTGCTTGTTAATATCCAGTTTTCTCAGCACCATTTATTGAAAACTGTCCTTTACCCAGTGGATGCTCTTGACAGTCATGTCAAAAATCATTTGACAATATATGTGAGGGTTTATTTGTGGGCTCTCCATTTCACTAGTCTGTATTTGTACCTACACCATACTGTGTTGATTACCATAGCTTTGCAGTAAGTTCTGAAATCAGAAAGTGTGAGTTCTCCAGCTTTGTTCTTTTTTTCAAGACTATTTTGGCTACCCAGTTTCCTTTGAAATTTCATATACATGTTAAGATGAGTTTTTCTATTTTTACAAATAAACATTATTGGGAATTTATTACTGTATTGAATCTATAGATTTCTTTGGGTAGTATTGATATCTTAACACTATTAAGCCTTCCAATCTATGGTCATGGGATGTTTTCATTTTTTTATGTCAACAATTTCTTTTACCAATGTTTTCTAGTTTTCATTGTACACGTCTTTCACCTACTTGGTTAGATTAATCCCTAAATATTTTATTCTTTCTGAAATGATTGTAAATTGAATTATTTTATAATTTCCTTTTCATATTAGTTATGTTAGTGTATATTAATGCACCTAGTTTTTGCATGTTAACTTTTTGTCCTGCTATTTTGCTGAATTCATTTATCATTTATAACAGTTTTTGATTACTGAACTTATATTAATTCAATCTTCTTACTCGCTATAGAAGTTTATTCAGGTATTTTATTTCTTGATGATTTAGTTTTACAGGTTTTATGTTTCTAAAAATTTGTCCATTTCATCTAGGTTATCCAATTTTTTGACAAGCAATTGTTCATAGAACTCTCCTAGAATCATTTATTGTGCTGTAGAATCAGTAGTAACATCTGCACTTTTATTTCTAATTTTAGTAATTTGAGTCCTCTTAACTCTTTTTCTTAGTCTAGCTAGTTAAAGGCTTGTCGACTCTATTCATCTTTTCAAAGAACCACCTTTTGGCTTTAGTGATTCTATTTTTTCTATTATTTATTTCATTTATCTATGTTCTACTTTTTATTATTTCTTACTTCTGCTAGCTCTGGGCTTAGTTTGTTCTCTTTTTCTAGTTCCTTAAGGTGTAAAGTTAAATTGTTGACTTAGGATCTTTCTTGTTTTTTTAATGTAAGTATTTATAAATTTCTCCATTAGTACTGCTTTCACTAAGTCCTATTAAGTTTTGGTATGTTGTGTTTTAATTCATCTTTAACTATTTCCTTATGTGCCTTATGGTTTTTCTTTGATCCATTGGTTGCTTAAGAGTTTGCTGTTTTATTTTCACAATTTGTAAAGTTTCCAGTTTTACTTCTGTTTTTGACTTCTAGGTTTATCTTATTGTGGTCAGAGAAGATACTTTGTATGACAGGTATTTTGAAATATACTGTGACTTAACTTTTGGCCTGGAGAATGTCCCCTCTGCACTTGAAAAGAATGTGTATGATGTTGTTAAAGAGAGTGTTCTGCATATGTCTTTTACATCTAGTTGGTTTATTGTGCTGTTTAAGTTCTATATTTCCACATTTTCCTTTAGTTCTTTGAACCTCTTGAAGACAGTTGTTTTAAAATTTATGTAAGTTAGTTCTGTCATTGGGTGCTTTTGAATGACAGTTTCTGCTGATTTATTCATTTCCTTTGAATAAGTATTACTTTCCTGAATTTTTATATGCCTTATGATTGTTTGGTTGAAAATGGGATATTTGAATCTAATAATGTGGTACCTGGAAATTCGATTCTTCTCTCCTGGTTTGCTATTTGCTGTTGTTTTATATTGTTTTTGTATTTTAGAAAAATATTTGCAAACTGTCTCTGTACTGAGAATCAGTCTGAGACCCTTAAGGTCTTCTCAAGTCTTTTTGAGCTTGTGCCTTTTCCTGAGCATGCTCAGTACTTTCCAATTTTTCTCCTATATGCAGTTGTTTTTGAGTGTCCTAGTCTTTAAGATCTGACTTCTAAAAGGGGGAAAAGAGAAAAATGAAAAGAAGGAGGGGAAAGGGCCCCAGCCGTTTAAATACTCTGGAAGTCACTATAGCTGAGGGAGAAGCACTTTCACTGCTGGTGGATGGTGCCATAACAATGGTTATCCACCTTTTTATTTGCACCTCTGTGATCAGAGGGAGCAATCGATGATCATAGCACCAATCCCTAATACTGAAAGACAGGGTGCTTTTTGCCCACACTTACTCCTGCAAGCTGTGGCAAGTTGCTCACAGAAGCGTGCACAGCTGGCTGCCCCTGGCTGGGGGTGGGGGATAGGAAGCTTATATTATACTAACAGCTGAGACTGATAAAAATTAACTGCATTTTACCATCCAAGCCTTCTCCTAAAAGTTGCAAGACTTCAATAGCTCCAGAGTTTCAAAATAATTATACCAGACAGGTACTGCCAGTGCAATTGTTGTCTAGGTAGGGATACAGATTCATGGTTGTTCCTACTCTGCCATCTTCCCAGGATCCTCACATTTATTTTAAAAGAAGAAAAATAACCTGCAAATTTAAGTTATTTTCAATATCACATTGCTTGGACATACCTTATAATATACCAAGGTATAGCAAATTTACTCTCAGAACCACTATAAATGGTAAAGGACTCTTCAAAAATTTAGAGATAAAAGGGCCAAAATCCATTAGAAAACTGAGCAAAGCACATAAAGACAAAATTCACAAGGAGTTATATGTAAATAACTCAAACATATGAAAAGATGTTCATATTTAGTTTTTGTCCAGCAATTCCATGTTTAGTAACTTAACCTGATGATATATCCTCCCAAATACAAAAACATATGTTGAAGCTTATTCATGGCAGCATTACTTACAATATAAAAATATTGAAAATGAACTAAAAGTCTATATATATGGGAATGATAGAATAAACTATGGTAATTTCCTATAATGGAAGGCTAATACATTATTTAAAAAGTGAGGAATATGTCTATGAACTGATATTGAGAAATTTCATAGGATGTATACATTAGATAAACAGAAGCAACAGGGAAAGGGCATCTATTGAACACTACCTTTTGTGTGAACACAAGCTCATATGTATGTCTGCATATTTACTTCTAGATATCTATCATCACTGTATGCTCATTTTTCAAGAAGACATGCAGTAAGGATAAATTAGCCACTGATAAAATTGTTTACTTACAAGAAGTGATTAAGAATCCAGAGAAAGAGATTGGGAAGGAAATTGGATTTTGAAACATGTTAATATTTTACATAAGCAAAAAATAAAACTATTTCAACAAAGGGAAGAAATCCTAAAATTCAATATAAACAGAAACGGCCTATAACTATGTATCAAGGAGATAACATATTCACTTAGATAGAAAGACTAAAATTTATCCAAATAAGTTTTTCATATGATAATTTAACTGTATAATTCCAATGGTATATATTCTAAGGACAAAAAACATTAAGGTATCTTGAGCTTTCCTTATTAGGTTTATTATTTGCAGTGGTACTAACACAGAAATTCCAACACTATTTTGTATTTATTGTAGAATTGAGAAAATAAGTTATTATATATTGATATTGTTAATATATTAGGATTTTTTTGCTGTAGAAGAAAAAATACAATTATGGAATAGGAGAAAAAGAAGAAACATATTGTGGTGCTAGAATTGGAATTGGGAGTATCTGTCTACAAAAAGGATCTAACAAAATGGCACCCTAGTAGCAATAATAATTCCTAGCTTACCAATATCACTTTTGACATATCATTTTACACTAAAAGGAACAAGAGCTCCTTGGAGAAAAGGCTGATTCCAGATCGAGAGCAGGAAGGTTATAGTGTGACCCTCAACTATCCCGTTGTGCCAGGAAATAAGAAGAACCTGGAGAACTAACAGAGACATATCCTGAGGAAACCGGCATTAAGAGTCTTTCACTGGCCAAATTTGGGACAATTTTTTGCTTCAAAATAAATACTTACAGAAATAGAATTACACACACAAAAAATCTACAAATCGATACTGATTTTAAAATAGATGAATTGGGAAGGGAAAATTTGAGTAAATGATTTTTTAAAGAAGACAGACTAATAAACGTTGAAGAAACTGTATTTATCAATTATAAAATGCTAAGTAAATCTTTACCATGAAGAAATCGTATCTTAACTAATCAAACTTAACATAAACAGTTATGGCGAAGAGTGATATCATGTACTCCCAATGTGATAAATTGGGAAAGACCAAATATTACTAACATAAAATTTCTGCCAAAAATGTTTCTGCTTACTAGGAAATTACCTAACAAGGCCAAAATATGTGTCAATCTGACCTTGATTCTTCAAAAATATCAGTTTCAAGAAAGACATAAAAAATGCTGATGTCTTCTAGATTATAGAAGATTACAGACATCACAAATAAAATGCATGATTCTTGAGTGGTCATTGAATTAAATGAAAAACAGCTTTTCCCTAAAAAATGGTGGAGTCAAGACTTTTTGTGTGTCTCAGCCAGTTGGAAATAACAAGATTGTACATGAAGATCAACTTTTGAGTTTTAATTTAAGAAGAAAGACACGAATCCACCAGAATCATGAAGATATCCCAGATCTCAGGGAGAACAACAGGGACAAAGAGCCCCTGTGATGGTATCCAGGTGATAAAAGGAGATCTCTAGGCATTGGCAGCACACTCTCACCTGGATCAGCAGCCTGAGCCACCCCACTCTTCGTGTGCATACATCGTGGTGCAGTGGGGTGCTCTCCACTACATGACCAGGAAGATATCCAGGCATTCAGAGCAACTACTTTCCTAGTTCAGCAGCCTTAGCCACTCCACCCATCCTAGACATATATCATGGTGTGGTAGAGCCCTTTCTGCTCCATGGCCAGGCAGATCTCCAGGCATGCAGAGTATCTGCTTACTTGGATAAGCAGCTGGAGCCACCCCACTCTTCCTGTGCATAGATCATTGTGCAGTGGGGTCCACTCCGCTCCATGCCCAGGCAAATCTTCAGGCATTCAAAGGACTGGCTTGCCCTACAATTCCTGTGCAGAGATCCTGGATCCAGGGTGGGGTGAGGGTCCCTCTCTTCTTCATGCCCTTGCAGATCTCCAGACATTCAGAGTACCTGCTCACCTGGATAAGCAGCCCCACCCTTCCAGTGCACAGATCATTGTGCAGTTTGGTCCAATCTGCTTCATGCCCAGGCAGATCTTTGGGTATTCAAAGGACCAGCTTGCCCCACAATTCCTGTGCAGAGATCCTGGCGCCAGGGTTGGGAGAGGGGCCTTCTCTTCTTCACGCCCTTGCAGATCTCCAGGCATTCAGAGCACCTGCTCACAAGATTCACAGCCTGAGCTGCGCTACCTTTCCTGCATAGAAACTGCGGTGCACCAGGGCCTTTTCTACTCCATGCCCAGGCAGATCTCTAGTGATTCAGAGCACCCACCTGCCTGAATGAGTAGCCTGTGCCACCTATTTTTTCTGTGCAGAGATTTTGATGCACTGTGGCCCTCTGCACTCCACCCTCAGGCAGATCTCCAGGCATCTAGAGTGCCTACCCTCCTGGAATAGCAGTTTAGGCCACCCAACTACCTGTGCAAAGAACTGAAAACTAAGTAGGTTGCCCAGCTCTATGCCTAGACATAATTCTGAGTGATTGGTAGCACACCCACTGGATTCTCTCTCAGCACTGGTGCTTGTGCTTGCCATGAGGGAATATGTAGGTGGTCCTGCCCGGTCTAACCCTTGCCATCTTGAGCCCCACTCCCTTGGGCTGAACAGGGAGCTCAGACTTCTGTGCAAACCACAGATCAGCCTGTGGCCTGAGACAACAGATAGTTCTACCTGGTAAACAAGAATCAAGTACATACCTAGCCATGTTGGCTTCAGCTGGCTATTACCCATAAATGTTATATATTGACTTGCAGGTTGAACCATACAGCCTAATATAAAACCTGCTGAAAAACCTGAATAAGGCTATAAAAGCAAAGCCAAAAAACTCTAATCAACGTTCTCTAAGGTCACACCCCCAAGGGAGGGGGTGGGGTGAAAGGTAAAGGAAAAAATATACTGAAAGAAACAAATTCTCCTCGCACAAAAATAATTACCAAAATTAGAAGGGCCAGCATATCCAGATGAAAAGGAACCAGTGCAAGAATTGTGGCACCATGTAATACCTGAAAAAAAAAAAAGGATCATACTAGGTCTCCATCAGGAAATGAATAAACTGATATATAGCTTTAAAAAAAAGCAATTGGAGATTTTGGAATAGAAAAACTCATTTAAGGAATTTCAAAATATCAGTGAAACTGTTATCAATAGAGTGGACAAAGCAGAAGAAAGTATTTCAGAGCTTGAAGGCACGTCTTTCAAACTAATTCAGTCAGACAAAAAAAAAGAATAAGAATAAAGCATTAAAAAAATGAAAAGTCTTCAAGAAATATGAGATTCTATAAAGTGACCAAGCCTATAAAGTGTTGGCAATCCTGAGAGAGGAGAAAAAACAATTTCAAAAACATATTTTAGGAAATACTTCAAGAAAATTTCCCTAATCTTGCTAGAGATGTTGACATTCAGATACAATAAATCCAAAGAACACCTGTGAGATACTGTATGAAACGAACAACAGCAAGGCATAAAGTCATCAAACTATCCAAGGTCAATGATAAAGAAAGAAATCTTAAAGGCAACTAAAGAAAAAGGTCAGAAATGTACAAAGGGAATGTTATCAGGCTAACAGCAGAGTTATCAGCAGAAATCTTACAAGTCAGGAGAGATTGAGGTCTATTTTCAGCATTCTTAAAGAAAATACATTCCAACTGAGAATTACATATCCCACTAAACTAAGCCTCATAAGCAAAGGAAAAATAAAATATTTTCCAGAGAAGCAAGCAATAAGGGAATTTATTACCATTAGACCAGCCCTCCTTAGGGAAGTTCTAAACATGTATATGAAAGAATGATACTTGCTACCATAAAACACACTTAAGTACATAGTCCGTAGACCCTATAAAGCAACCGCACAATAGAAACTACAAAGCAACCAGCTAACAACTTCACAATAGGATCAAAATGTCACATATCAATATTAACCTTGAATGTAAATGGTCTAAAGGCCCCATTTACAGGCAGAGTTTCAAATTGGATAAAAAAAAAAAAAAAAAAAAAAAAAAAGACCTATCTGTCTTCTGTCTCTAAGAGCCCCACCTTACAGGTAAGGACACACATGCAGGACAAAATGATTGGAGAAAGATCTATCACATAAACGGAGAACAGAAAAGAGCAGGGGTCACTATTATTATGTTAGATAAAAGAGACTTTAAACCAACAAAGGAGAAGGAAGGGCATTAAATAATGATAAAAGATTCAATTCAACCAGAAGACTTGACTATTGTAAATATAGACACACCCAACATTGGAGCACGCAGATTCATAAAACGAGTACTTCTGGACTTAGGAAAAGACTTAGACAGACATACAATAATAGTGGGGGAACATCAACACCCCACTGGCAGTATTAGGTAGTTCATTGAAGCAGAAAACTCACAAATAAATTCTGGACTTAATTAGATGGCCAATTGGACCCAATAGACATCTACAGAACACTACACCCAACAACCACATAATATACATTTACAGAATATACATTTGTATACAGAACATACTCCAAGACTGACCACATGCTCAGCCATAAAGTTTCAATAAATTCAAAAATATTGAAATTATACCAACCATATTCTCAAACCATAGTGGAATAAAAATAGAAATCAGTACCTAGAACATCTCCAAAAATAGCACAATTTCATAGAAATTAAACAACTTGCTCCTGAATGACTTTTGGTTAAAAATAAAATTAAGGCAGAGATCAAAAAGTTCTTTAAAATAAATGAAAATAGACATACAACATACCAATGTCTCCCAGGTACAGGAAAAGCAGTGTTAAGAGAAAAGTTTATGCTTTTCCACTAAATGCTTACCTCAAAAAGTTAGAAAGATCTCAAATTAACAATCTAACTTCACACTTAGAGGAACTAGAAAAACAAAGACAAACTCCAAAGCTATAAGAAAAGAAATAACTAAAATCAGAGTGGAAGTGAATGAAATTGAGACTCAAAAATCCATACAAAGAATCAATAAATCCAAAAGTCTGTCCTTTGAAAGGAAACAAGATTAATAGACCACTAGCTAGATTAACAAAGAAAAAAGAGAGAAGATCCAAATAAGCATAAGCAGAAACAACACAGAGGACATTAAAACCAATCCCACAAAAATACATTAGATCCTCTAAGACTATTATAAGTAACTCTATGCACATAAACACGATAACCTAGAAAAAATGAATAAATTCCTAGAAACACACAATCTTTCCATATTGAACCAGGAATAAACTGAAACTCTGAACAGACTAATATTGAGTTCTGAAATTGAGTCAGTAAGAAAAATCCTACCAACCAAAAACAGCCTTGGACCAGACAGATTCATAGCTGAATTATACTTGATATACAAAAAAAGAGTGGGTACAAATTCTAATGAAACTATTCCAAAAAATCAAGGAGGACAGATTCCTCCCTAACTCATTGTCTCATTCTATGAAACCATCATCACCCCTATACCAAATCCTGGCAAAGAAACAATGAAAAACATAACAAACAAACAAACAAACACAAAAACAAAACCAATATTCCTGATGATCATAGATGCAAAAACCCTCAACAAAATACTAGCAAACCCAATCCAGTAGCACATAAAAAGCTATTTACCACAATCAAGTAGGCTTCATTCTTGGGATGTAAGGTACATTCAACAGATGTAAGTCAATAAATGTGATTAATCACATAAACATAATTAAAAACAAAAATCATATAATTATCTCAACAGATGTGGGAAAAGCCTTTGATAAAATCCAATAACACGGTGGGGCGCGGTGGTGGCTCACGCCTGTAATCCCAGCACTTTGGGAGGCCGAGGCGGGAGGATCATGAGTTCAGGAGATCAAGACCATCCTGGCTAACACGGTGAAACCCTGTCTCTACTAAAAATACAAAAAAATTAGCCGGTCGTAGTGCCGTGTGCCTGTAGTCCCAGCTACTCGGGAGGCTGAGGCAGGAGAATTGCATGAAACCGGGAGGCGGAGCTTGCAGTGAGCTGAGATTGTGCCACTGCACTCCAGCCTGGGCGACAGAGCCAGACTCCGTCTCAAAAAAAAAAAAAAAAAATCCAATAACACTTCATAACAAAAACCCTCAATAAACTAGGCATTGAAGGATCATAACTAAAAATAAGAACCGTCTATAACAGACCCACAGCCAATGTCATACTGGATGAGCAAAAGCTGGAGGCATTTTCCTTGAGAACTGGAACAAGACAAGGATGCCCACTGTCCTCATTCCTATTCAACATAGTACTGGAATTTCTTGCCAGGGCAATCAGACAAGATAAAGAAATACAGGGCATCAAAATAGGAGAAGAAGAAGTCAAACTATCTCCCTTCATGAACAATATGATACTATACCTATAAAATCTTAAAGACTCCACCAAAGGCTCCTGGAACAGAAAACATACTTCAGTAAAGTTTCAGGATACAAAAAATCAATGTACAAAAAATAGTAACATTTCTATATACCAATAATCTTCAAGTGAGAGCCAAATCAAGAATGCAATTACATTTACAATAGCAACAAAATAAATAAAACACCTAGGAATTCATCTAATCAAGGAGGTGAAATAACATATCTCTACAAGGAGAACTACAAAACACTGCTGAAATTAATAATAGGTGACATAAACAAATGGAAAAACATTCCATCCTTATGGATTGGAAAAAGCAATATTATTAAAATGGAGATACTGCCCAAAGTAATTTGCTGATTAATTGGTATTCCTATCAAATTACCAATGTCATTTTTTGCAGAATTAGAAAAAGCTATTTTAAAATTCATATGGAATCAAAAAAGAGCCTCAATAGCCAAAGCATCGCAAGCAAAAAGAGTAACTCCAGGGGCATCACATTACCCAACTTCAAACTGTGCTGTAAAGCTACAGTAACCCAAACCAAATGTTACTGTTATATAAACAGACACCTAGACCAAATGGAACAGAATAGAGAACCCCCAAGTAAAGCCACACACCTATAGACATCTGATCTTTGATAAAGTTGACAAAAATAAGCAATAGAGAAAGGATTCTCTATTCAATAAACGATACTGGGATAGCTGGTTAGCTACATTCAGAAGAATGAAACTAGACCTCTACCTTTCACCATATATAATATTAACTCAAGATGGATCAAAGATTTAGATATAAGTCTAAATCTTCTAGAATTCCAGAAGAAAACCAGGAAACACCATTCTGGACATGGGCCTTGGTACATAATTTATGAGTAAGTCCTCAAAAGCCATTGCAACAAAAACAGAAACAAATGAGAAGTTAGACCTAATTAAACTAAAGAGCTTCTGCACAGCAAAAGATATTATCAATAGGGTTAAAGCGACAATCTACTGAATGGGAGGAAATATTCACAAACTACACATTCAACAAAAGCCTAATATCCAGAATCTATAAAGAACTTTAACAATTCAACAAGCAAAAAACAAATAAACTCATTAAAAAATTGGCAACACATGGGCAGACACTTCTCAAAAGTAGACATACAAGTGGCCAACAAAGACATGAAAAAATGCTCATAAACACTAATCATCGGAGAAATGTAAATCAAAACCACAATAAGATATCATCTCACACAAGTCAGAGTGGTTACCAGAAAAAGTCAAAAGATAACAGATTCTAGCAAGGTTGTAGATAAAAGGGAATGTTTATACACTGTAGGTGGGTATATATTAGTTCAGCTACTGTGAAAAGCAGTTTGGAGATTTCTTAAGGAACATTAAGCAGGGCTACCATTTGACCCAGCAATTCCCTTACTGGGTATATATACAAAGGAGAGTAAATTGTTCTACCAAAAAGATATACAGTGTGTACATTCACTGTAGTGTAATTCACAATAGCAAAGATAAAGACTGAACTTAGGTGCCCATCACTGGTGGTTTAGATAAAGGAAATGTGGTATGTATACACCATGGAATACTACAGAGCCATAAAAAGAATGAGATCATGACATTTGCAGCAACATGGATGCAGCTGGAAGCCATTATACTAAGAAAATTAATGCATTAACAGAATACCAAATATCACATGTTCTCATTTATAAGTAGGAGCTAAACACTGGGTACTCATGAACATAAAGATGGTAACAATAGACATTGGGGACTTAGAGAGTGGGGAGGAAGAAAGGAGGCAAGAAATGATAAACTAAGTGTTGAGTACTATGCATACTATCTGGGTTACAGGATCATTCATATCCCAAATATCGACATCACACAATATACTCATGTAATGAACATGCACATATACTCCCTGAACCTAAAATAAAATATAAAATTACTTTAAAAATACAAGCTATAAAGAAAACTATTGTTATTATTGGGAATATATGAATACATATCATATATTAAATATACCATCCATATTCAATGCCAGATTTCCTGAGTTTGATCATTCTATTCTATTTAAGTAGAACATCTTTGTTCTCACCAGATACGTAGAAAAGTAGTTAGCTATAGACTGCCACAATGTCTGAAACTATGTCTCAGTAAATACAAGCTTTCCTATATATTTCATGTGACATTTCTACTGGTAAAATAAATCCACCGTCTTCATATCTCTGTGAAGTGGTAGGGCCAGCAAGACAGCTGATGTGGAGCCCAGAAGGTTTGATGCAGTAGCATCAGTAGTGGAGCACAGCCAGGGACAGCCATCCCTCTAGGCTCAACTTGCTCCCATAGCAGACTTTAGCCCTAGGGAAACTGCTGGACCTGATCTCTGCAGGGTAGTCTTGCCCAACAGATGGGGCTGCTCTGACCTGAGCACCCCGTGGTCTGCTGCCCACTCCTGGGGCCCTAGCCTGGCCACCCCTGCTTGCTGGGAAGTCTTGGGTGCCCTGGGGACCCACACCATAGCTTCTGCCCTGGCAGATTTTGCCTGACCAGTAGAAAGCTCCAGTGAGGCAGCCCTATGGACACACACCAGTCCGTCCGCTCCCTCCCTATAATGCACCTTCCTCCAGGCACACAGCAACTATCCACATCACTTTGCATGTGCATGTCTGCACAGGCAGGTTTTGCTTTCCTTGCCCTGCCAGCAGTCCAGCAGTCTACCCCCTGCCGACTGTCATTGCAGACAGAGCCTTGGCAACACAGAGCCAGAAAGCCTCAACCCCACCAGCACCCCACCCTTGCACTAACACTGCTCAGAACAGTGGATTCTCCCTCACCCTGAGCAATCACTTCTGCTTGCAGGGCACAGAGAAGGCACCCAGACCTGTATCCATGAGCACCCCACTTCCAAGTCAACGCCACCTCCAGCATGACCACACCCATAGTCTCCTACCCCACCCCCAGCAGCATTGTTTCTGCCACTGTGGTGAATGCCCTCAGGAAGGCAGGCACCCTGACACCCACTAGCACTCTGCCACAGCTACCGCACCTCCACTCCTTCCACCCACAGTTCAGTGGATTTCAGACTTCAAGAGACATAGAAACAAAGTTGGGGTCCAGTACAAGTCCCCAAGACTTACAGCATGCAGTCCAGGAGTTGGGAGCTGAGTGTTGGCCCCCTAAAATCTTCCAGAAATGAAGCTGGCTGAATTCACCTTATACCACAATCAAACCCTCAAGGTCATCAGATAGGATAAAAGAAAAAAAAATCTAAAGGTCAGAAACTTCAAAGATTGAAGATAGATAACCCCACAAAGATGAGGAAGAATCAGCATAAGATTCCTGAAAACTCAAAAAGCCAGAGTGCCATCCTTTCTCCAAATGACCATATCTCCTCTCCAGCAAGGGTTTTGAACGAGGTTGAGGTGGCTGAAATGACAAATAGAATTCAGAATATGGATAGCAATGAAGATCACTGAGGTACAAGAGTATGTTGAAACCCAATGCAAGGAAGATGAAAATCATGATAAAACAATGTAGGAGCTGACAGACAAAACAGCCAGTACAGAAAAGAATGTGACTGACCTAACAGAGCTGAAAAACACACTATAAAAATTTCATAAGGCAATCACAAGTATTAATAGCAGTATAGACCAAGTGGAGGAAAGATCGCAGAGCTTGCAGGCTGGCTTTCTGAAATAAGGCAGTTACACAACAATAGACAAAGAAGAATTGTAAAGGAATGAACGAAACCTTCAAGAAATATGGGATTATGTAAAGAGGCTGAATCTACGACTCATTGGTGTCCCTGTAAGAGATGGGAAGAACGCAGCCAACGTGGAAAACATATTTCAAGACAACATGCATGAGTAGTTCCCCAATCTAGCTAGAGAGGCAAACATTCAAATTCAGGAAATGCAGAAAACCCCAGTAAGATACTTCACAGAAGATCATCCTCAAGACACATAATCATCAGATTCTTCAAGGTTAAAATGAAAGGAAAAGAATGTTAAAGGCATCTAGAGAGAAAGGTCACTTACAAAGGGAAGCCCATCGGACTAACAGCAGACCTCTCAGCAGAAACCCAACAAGCCAGAAGAGATTGAGGATCAACATTCAACATTCTTAAAGAAATTACAATGCAGAATTTCATATCCACCCAAACTAAGCTTCATAAGTGAAGGAGAAATAAGACCTTTTTCAGCCAAACAAATGCTGAGGGAAATCATTACCACCAGACCTGCCTTACAAGAGCTCCTGAAGGAAGCACTACATATGAAAAGGAGACTGTTACCAGACACTTTAAAAACACACTAAAATACACAGACCAGTGAAACTATAAAGCAACCACATAAACAAGTCTGCAAAATAACCAGCTAACATCATGATGACAAGATCAAATCCACACATATCTATACTAACCTT
Organism: Homo sapiens; assembly: GCF_000001405.40. Taxonomy (NCBI): domain Eukaryota; kingdom Metazoa; phylum Chordata; class Mammalia; order Primates; family Hominidae; genus Homo; species Homo sapiens. The sequence goes on along the minus strand of NC_000007.14, from coordinate 19,594,000 downwards.
AAATGTAAATGGGCTAAATGCCTTAATTAAAAGACAGAGAATAGCAAGGTGGATAAAGAACCCAGACCCACTGGTATACTGTCTACAGGAGACCCATCTCACATGCAATGACACACAGCTTTAAAATAAAGGGATGGAAGAAAATCTACCAAGCAAATGGAAACCAGAAAAAAGCAGGGATTGCAATTCTAGTTTCTGACAAAGCAGACTTTATACCAAAAAAGATAAAAAAGTAACGAAGGGCATTACATAACGGTAAAGGGTTCAATTCAATAAGAAAATCTAACTATCCAAAACATATATGCACCCAATACAGGAGCACCCATATTAATAAAGCAAGTTCTTAAAGACCTTCAAAGAGACTTAGATTCCCACACAATAATAGTGGGAAAATTTAACACCCCACTGACAATATTAGGCAGATTGTTGAGACAGAAAATTAACAGATATTCAGGACCTGAACTTAGCACTGGACCAAATGGACCTGAGAGATATATACACAACTCTCTACTCCAAAACAACAGAATATACATTCTTCTTATAGTTACACGGCACATATTCTAAAATTGATCACCTATTCAGAAGTAAAACACTCCTCAGCAAATGCAAAAAAACTGAAATTATAACAAACAATCTCTCAGACCCCAGAACAATCAAATTAGAAGTCAAGACTAGGAAATTCACTCAGAACCATGCAATTTCATGGAATATTGAATAACTTGCTTCTAAATGACTTTTGTGTAAATACTGAATTTAAGACAGAAATCAACAAGTTCTTTGAAACTAATAAAAAGAAAGTTACATCATACCAGAATCTCTGGGACACAGCTAAGGCAGTGTTAAGAGGGAAATTTATAGCACTAAATGCCCACATCAAAAAGTTAGAAATTTCTCAAGTTAACTTAACATCACAATTAAAGAACTAGAGAACCAAGAGCAAACAAATTCCAAAGCTAGCAGCAGACAAGAAAAACCCAAAATCAGAGCTGAACTGAAGAAGATAGAGATATTAAAAACCATTCAAAAGACTAATGAATCCAGGAGCTGTTTTTTTAAATGAATAAAATAGTTAGACTTCTAGCTAGATTAATAAAGAGGAAAACAGAGATTCAAATAAACACAACCAGAAACAACAAAGGGGAGATTACCACTGACCACAGAGAAATACAAATAACCATCACAGACTATTATGAATACCTCTATTTACACAAACCATAAAGTCTAGAAGAAATGAATAAATTCCTGGATATGCATAGCCTCCTAAGACTCAACCAGGAAGAAACTGAATCCCTGAACAGACCAATAATTAGCTTTAAAATTGAGTCAGTAATAAATAGCCTACCAACAAAAAAAGCCCAAGACCACATGGATTCACAGATGAATTCTACCAGATATACAAAGAAAAGCTGGTACCATTCATGCTGAAACTACTCCAAAAAATTGAAGAGAAGGAATTCCTCCCTAACTTATGCTACAAAACTAGCATCACACTGCTACCAAAACCTGACAGAGACACAACAACAACAAAAATTTCAGGCAAATACTCTTGATGAACATTGATGCAAAGTACTCAACAAAATACTTGCAAACCAAATCCAGAAGCACATCAAAAAGCTTATCCACCATGATCAATTTGGCTTTATCCCTGGGATGCAAGGTTGGTTCAACATCTGCAAATCAATAAATGTGATTCATCACATAAACACCAGTAAAGACAAAAACCACATGATTATCTCAATAGATGCAGAAAAGGCTTTTGATAAAATCCCATATCCCTTCATGTTAAAAACTGTCAATAATCTAGGTATTGAAGGAACATACCTCAAAGTAATAAGAGCCACCTATAACAAACCCACAGCCAACATCATACTGAATGGGCAAAAGCTGGAAGCAATCCCCTTGAAAACTGGAATAAGACAAGAATACCCTTTCTTATCACTCCTATTCAACATGGTATTGGAAGTCCTGGTCAGGACAATCAGGCAAGAGAAAGAAATAAAGGCATCCCAGTAGGAAGAAAGGAAGTCAAACTATCCCTGTTTGCAGACAACATGATCCTATAGCTAGAAAACCCCACAGTCTCAGCCCAAAAGCTTTTTAAGCTGATAACTTCAGCAAAGCCTCAGGATACAAAATCAATGTGCAAAAGTCAGTAATATTCTTATACACCAACAACAGTCAAGCCAAGATCCAAATCAGGAATGCAATCTCATTTAAAATTGCCACAAAAATAATAAAATACCTAAGAATACAGCTAACCAAGAAGGTAAAAGATCTCTACAAGGAGAACTACAAAACATGGCTCAAAGAAACCAGAGATGACACAAACAAATGGAAAAACATTCTTTGCTCATGGATAGGAAGAATCAATATTGTAAAAATGGTCATACTGCCCAAAATGATTAATAGATTCAATACCATTCCTATTACACTACCATTCAAATTCTTCACAGAACTAGAAAAACACTATTTTACAATTCACATAGAAACAAAAAAGAGCCCTAATAGCCAAGGCAATCCTAATAGCCAAGTCAATCATAAGCAAAAAGAACAAAGCTACAGTCATTGTGCTACTTGACTTCAAACTATATTACAGACCTTTGGTAAACAAAATATCATAGTATTGGTACAAAAACAGACACATAGACCAATGGAACAGAATAAAGAATGCAGCAATAAGGCTGCACATCTACAACTAGCTGATCTTTGACAAACCTGATAAAAACAAGCAATGGGTAAAGGACTTCCTATTCAAAAAATGATGCTGGAATAACTGGCTAGCCATATGCAGAAGATTGAAACTGGACCCCTTCCTATACCATATACAAAAACTAACTCAAGATGGATCAAAGACTTAAATGTAAAGCCCAAAACTATAAAAACCCTGAAAGACAACCTAGGCAATACTATTCAGGACATAGGAATGAGCAAAGATTTCATGATGAAGATGCCAAAAGCAATTGCAACAAAACCACAAAATGACAAATGGGATCTAATTAAATAAAAGAGCTTCTGCACAGCAAAGGAAATTATCAATAGAATGAACAGACAACCTACAGAATGGGAGAACATATTTGCAAACTAGGTATCTGATAAAGGTGTAATAACCAGAATCCATAAGAAACCTAAAATAATTTACAAGAAAAAAACGAGCAACTCTATTAAAAAGTGTGCAAAGGACATGAACGGACACTTTTCAAAAGAAGACATACATGCAGCCAACAAGCATCTGAAAAATAGCTCAATATCACTGATCATTAGAGAGACGCAAATCAAAACCACAGTGAGATACCATCTAACACCAGTCAGAAGGGCTATTATTAAAAAGTCAAAAAATAAAAGACACTGGTGAGGTTGCAGAGAAAAAGGAATGCTTATACACTGTTGGTGGGAGTGTAAATTAGTTCAGACCTTGTGGAAGGCAGTTTGGTGATTCTTCAAAGACCTAGAGGCAGAAATGGTAGACCTAGAGGTTGAATGGTAATTCAACCCAGCAATCTCAGTACTGGGTATGTACCCAAAGAAATATAAATCATTCTTTTATGAAGATACATGCCTATGTAAGTTCATTGCAGCACTATTCACAATAGTGAAGACATGGGATCAACCTAAATGCCCATCAGTGATAGACCGTATAAAGAAAATATGGTACATATACACCATGGAGTACTATGCAGCTATATAAAATAAGAAAAAGATTATGCTCTCTGCAGGAACAGGGATGGAGCTGGAGGCCATTATCCTTAGCAAACTAATGCAGGAACAGAAAACAAAATACCACATGTTCTCACTTGTAAGTAGGAGGTAATGATGAGAACACATGGGCTTATACAGGAGAGCACCACACACTGGGGCCTATTGGAGGGTGGGGTTGAGATGAGGGAGAGAGTTAGGGAAAAAAAAAAACACTAATGGGTACTAGGCTTAGTATCTGAGGATAAAACAGTCTGTACAACAAACCCCCATTACCCACGTTTGCCTATATAATAAACCTGCACATATACCCTGAACCTAAAATAAAACTCTTTGCAAATACATATATTGATATTTTGGCATACCCCTTGCAATTCTGAAATGTTTACTACAACTTCTTTACATTCATTTACCATATATATTTTTTGTTTTAGCATTATTTCTGTCTTCCCTTACCCCCCTTATCTGAATGCCTACAGCTTCATTCACCGGGGCTATTTCTGGCGGCTCATTGTAACCTTTATTCAGTACAAAATCATTTCAAACTGCAATTTCTTTAAATAGATTCCCTTTAAATTTTTAGACATGAATTATCTATTTATGAAGTTTCTCTAATTACAGCATGAGTTACTTGGAAATTCCCATCTGTATCCAATGTGCAGTTGGCATCATGCTACAGTTATTTTCTTAAGTTTCTTTCTTAGAAGAAAAAAAGTGGAAGAAAAATCATACTAAAAATTGCAATCATATTTCTATAAACATTAATGCTAGTGCAATCTTCCTCAATGTCTTAGCTAGTATTTTTTTCTTAATATGTATTTATCTGGAGCCCAGCTCCCTCGACAGCTTCTTTGGAAACCCTTCTAATATGCGACAGGTCTGCAAAGGGATCAGCGTGTTTCAACATCATATACTCAGTGCAATTTAGAATAGTCTAAACCAACAGACAGCTTCAAACAGTATGAATTTCATGTCTATTTACATAGAAGACATTCATTGGAGGAGAACTAACATTATCTATAAACAGACATACTTACCCATACAAACATAATCAGTCAATGTTGTTGATTATCCTCCTGGAAAAGACCAGAGGGCTTACTGTGATTCTTTTAAACTCCTCCCCAGTTCCAATCGAACTGTAAAACAGTTGTGTCTCTTTACAGATCCTGAAAGCTGATATGAAATTATATGAGCAAGTAAGTATTCAACTACATATTTTCTAATTTTAGGATTTTTAGTATTCCTCTTAAAAATCATTGGTGGTTTTATACTCAGACGCTGGAAATGTTAAACAAACTAAAAAAAAGGCCAAGTCACCTAAGGAGTACTGTATGTAATCAAAAGTTTGTGATAAAAGTTAAAGCTTGTATCTACTCTGTCAGCCCTGTTGTTCAGTAGTCTCAATCATTATTTAAAATTCCAGTATTACGTATAATTGCTTTTACTTCAAATGGCATAAGAACGAAACAAAGGAGAAATTTGTGAGATTGTCTTTTAAGAAAAAATCCAGCAAATATGGTAGCCATAGTGTTCCTGTCAGTTACTAACGATGGAACAAATAGTAAAGTTTTCTACAGGAACTTCAGGGGATCTGTGCCTGCTACCTCTCCACAGTAGCTATCTCCTTCTAACCTGGGTGGCAAGGAGAAAGCAATTCTTCCTCCCAATATGTCTAACAAGCTCCTCTCATAACTTCTTTCTTAGAAGAAAAAAAGTGGAAGAAAAATCATACTAAAAATAGGAATCATATTTCTATAAACATTAATGCTAGTGCAGGGTATAGAAAAACACCGATTTCACAGAAAGAATAGATGCATAATCACACATTAACAGCTAGCAGTTTTCAAAGCATATATTTGAAGGCTTCAATAGAAATCAGTTTATAAAATCTCAGTTCTTTGAGACAGATTAATTACATAAAGAAAACCTAACACTTAGGGCCCTGAAGCAGGAAGCCTAATATCTATCAGTAGGCAGGTTTAGATAAGAACCAAGGGAGGCACAGAAATGAACTACTTCCCTGCCCAATTTGGCTAAGCCTTCCTACCAATTCCATGCTGGAGAAATTAGAACTGATACAACATTATCCTTTTTAAAAAATAACTTACTGTGATTTAAATACAAAGTAAACTGAATATGGGGAATCACTTTCAACATACCCACTTGTCAATTTCTTCAAGTCCTAAATTTAAAAACTGCTATCAATTGCTGCATATAGGTTCCCAGACAGCATAGAACCTCCCTGATTATGAGAGTCAAGGTGCTGGTGCTGAGTTATGACAAATCTAGATATGCAGTTCCTTTAAACGCCTTTCTCAGAAGCGTACTTTTGTCTGGCTGTACTCGCAATGACATTGTTTTGTTGCAAAGAAAAACATATCTAACTCCTGAAAAAAGTGGGCAAATCATTTCATTTAGAGATACACCCTTAATAATAGAAAGAAAATAATCTAAACATAATAATAAGACAAAATAGAATGTTATTTATCATTATTACTACATCAAATTGCTTTTGGTCTGAAATTTGTCCTCTAATGAGTCTGGACTTTATAGTTCTGGTCTCATCTCATTTACTATTTCACAGCATCTATAGTCAAAACGCCAGGCACAGTGTACATGGACCCTTTCCTAGCATCTTACAAAGCTAAAAACAAGGTATCCATATGGCTGGAGTCTCATCTGGAATTTGGGGTACTCTGTCAGGTTTACTCAGGTTGTTGGAAGAAGTTTTCTGCAGTTGCAGGACTGAGGTTCCCTTCTTCTTGGTGGCTATTGGCCTGGGACCACACTCAGCCCCTAGAGGTCATCCTAAGTTCCTTGCCACATCCCTCAACCACAGTCTATTAACGACATGGTGGTTGCTCTTTCAAGGCCAACAAGGGAATATCTCTGTCTCTTTTAATCCTTCTGACTTATTTTAAGGGTTCACCTGATTAGATAGGGCCGGTCCAGGATAATCTTTCTCTCATAAACTCAATTTATGTGAGACTTTCATTATATCTGTAAAATCCCTTTACAGACCCACCTAGATTACTATTTAATTCAATAAATGAAAGAAAATGTGTATAACAGAGGGGTGGGGATATTGGGGCCATCTTAGAATTCTGCCTTCCACAATCATATGCTTAACTCAAAACTCATCATCATTATTGTCCCATGTATGACTATTTTATTGATTTACTTTTACATTTATTTAATACTATAATGAATAGCTACAAACCTCCTGTTCAACTCAAGAAGCAGAGCATAGTAATAATTACCAATGTTTACCAAAATGTACTTCCACATTCTATCTTCCTGATAAGCAATAGCTTTCTAAATTTCATTTATTATTCATAATACTTAACATTTTTACCAATATACATGTCCACATATTTCATTTCACTTATTCTGAACTTAAGATACACTGTAAGTATTCTGCTGGGACTTGCTTCATCCGTTGTGCTTGTATAATGTTATTACTTCCATCTCCTTGGTTGGTATAACTTCAGGGGTTTGATTAAAAAGCCTTTTGTACATCTTGTAGATAAGAAAACTAAGGTATAGAAAGCCCTTACAATATCATTTTGTATTGGTGGACTTTTATCACCAAAACTCACTGTCATTTCTACTGTTTAGTACATTTCAATGAAATCACCTACAGTATATTAAAAGATGTTTATTTGTACCATTATAAATAAAATTTGAAAACTTTATTAATGAACCAAATTATGCTAAAATCAGTAAAACTCTTCCCAATGTGTCACGATACAAATAACAAAACACAAAATTATCTTGTCAGAGTGGTTAGAATTTCTGCAGTACCCCTTTATAAATTATAGAAAAAGAAACATAATAAGTAAAACTCTGGATTTAAACTGACTTTTTCAAAAACCACACAAACCACTATCTGAAATTCTCAAATGATATTCCTGGCAATTACTGTGTATTTATTGAATAACAATGAATGGTTAGCATCCCATAACAGGCATAATATAAAATATTTGTAGAATGAAAAACTTCCTGTAATACATGTTGTTATTATTGGAAGGAGTAACTTTAGCAGGATAAGCAATGCTTTAAAACAGGAGTTATTGCCACTTGATAGAGATGGTATAGTGTAGTACAGCTAAAAGACAGAGTGGTGGGTAGTAAAAAAGTTAGTATTTCTTAAACTTTATGATCTATAAGGATAGGTTTCTTTATACAAGGTATTGGATGAAGGAGGAAAGAAGTTGACTATTTCCTTCAGCTAACTGTGTGTTTGGAAAGGGACCCCCCTTAGAGTCACGAGACCAGATGGTTATGCGATAGCTGCATTTATCAGGTCTATCAGCTACCTCCTTTTGCATCATCCATTCCTTGTGTTATTGCACAACCACCAGAGACATCAGTTATTAGAGAGTGGGTAGAGAGGAGTAAATATTTGGATGCAAAAAGGACAGATCAAGAACAAGATATGACTATATGAAATATAACTTTAGGAATATCCCTTGCTTCTGCCTCTCCAACCCCCAAATCTTTTATATGGTGTTCTGTGTCATTTTAACTGTGCACAGTCAAATGAAACTGAAATTTACTTTAGCAACAAAATGAACTTAACAGTCCTGAATCCTGCCTCCTGTCTGTCATTTTCCTCTTCCTTTTAACTAGTGTTGCCTATGACTATCTCCCAGACATTTGTGTAGTTCACTCATCTTAACTTGGTTGTCTCCTTAAACAATTAGGAGTCCATGAACTTTATTGTGAGAATGAATACTGACCTCTTACGAGCATTTCCTAATCCAGTGTGTCCTGTCCTGTCTTCCATAAATTGATTTTTTAGACTATTAGATATTGAGATAATTAGAAAAGCTTAGGCCAATTGGGATTACATATAAAGGCCATAAAACAAATAAATAAAATAGAGTTTAATGAACCAACTATAGACCACAAAATATAATTACAGCAGCAGCAGCAGAGATTTATAAAACCAAGAATGTCTTCTCTTGTTTAGTATACTTAGCTCTTACTGTACTTAGCAGGAAAATTTGCTAATTACAATAAGGTAATCTTAAAATGACAACGTATACTTTAAAATCTTAAGACACATTAGAATTCTAAGTAATCATGACAGAATTTAACTTGTTGAAAAGCCATTTAATTTACCAATAGTACTGGTACACAGGTGAATAAGGAATTCAATAAGTAGCAAATGAAATAGATCACTGATGGCCCCAATAATGAATATTTGGGGCTACAAGTCTCTATATCAGCATTGAGTGTTTTTGTTTTTGATCACATAGCAACTGTGCCCTGTCCACAAGATCATAGGCTCATGGAATTTTTTTCAGGACCTACTAATTTGTGCTAAAAATCTTATGAAAAATATCACCAGCTTTTAATGACACAAAACTTTCTCTTTAAATTTTCATTTAATTTAAAAGATAATTGTATATCCACATGCTATTGTAAAAAAAAAATAAGAGATTTCATGTATCTTTTAACCAATTCTTCCCAATGGTAACATCTTGAAAACTGTAATCCAATATTGCAATCTTAATATTGACATTGATACAGTCAAAAAACACAGCATTTTCAATATCACGGGTCCCTTATGTTGTACTTTCATAGCCACAGGCCTTTCCCAACTTAAACTCTGGCAACCACTAACCTGTTCTCTATTTCTGTAATTTTTTTCATTTCAATGAAATATAAATGGCCTCATATGTTATATAACCCTTATAGCCTAATTCTGTGGATCATTATTCAGTTTGCTGCATTTATCATTATCTTGCTCATTTTTTTGCTGAGTGGTATTTCATGGTATAGATGTATCACAATTTAAGTGTTCACTCATTAACAGACAACTGGGTTGTGTCCAATTTTTGTATATTATGGATAAGACTAGTATAAACATGTACAGATTTTGTGTGAACAGAAATCTTCATTTCTCTGAGATAAATGTCTAGGATTGCAATTTCTGGTTTTATGTTAGCTGCATGCTTAGTTCTTTATGAATGTACCAAACACATTTTCCACAGTGGTTGTACCACTTTCATTCTCACCAGCAATATATTTAGTGATCCAGTTTCTCTTATTCTCTCTAGAATGTGGTATTGCCACTATTTCTATTTTAGCCATCTTAATAGGTATACAATAATATATCAATTTGGTTTAATTTACATTTCCTTAATGACTTGTGATGCTGAAGATCATTTTATGTGCTTACTTCCCAAGTATATATCCCTCTTCAGTAAAATGTCTTTTCATGGTTTGAACCATTTTCTTTTTTTAATTAATTAATTTTTAAATTTTGTGGGTACATAGTAGGTGTATATATTTATGGGGTAAATTAGATGTTTTGATATAGGCATGCAATGTGAAATAAGCACATCATGCAGAAGGGGGTATACATTCCCTCAAGCATTTATCCTTTGAGTTACAAATAATCCCATTACATCCTTTATTTCAAAATGTACAATTAAGCTATTATTGACTATAGTCGCCCTATTGTGCTATTGAATAGTAGGTATTATTCATTCATTCTAATTTTTGGAGCCGTTAACCAAACCTACCTCCCCACTACTCTTTAGGTTTAATTATGAGAGTTCCTTCTGTATTCTAGATACTGTTCTCTTGTCAGATATGTGGTTAGCAAATATTTTTTCCCAGTCTATACCTTATTTTTTAATACTCTGAACACGGTGTTTTGTAGAAATGTGCATTTTTTAGTTTTGGTTAAGTCTAATTTACCAGTTTTTCCTTTTATGAATTGCATTTGTTGTGTTAAGTTTGGGAACTTATTGCCTAGACCTTGCTCTGATACAGTTGTGGATTTCTCTATTAATAATTTTTCTTTCAATTCTGGGTTTTTTCCTTACACATTTAATAACTCTGTTGCATAGTGCATACATATTTAGCACTGCTACATCTTCTTTGTAACTTAAGCCTTTTATAATTGTATAAACTCCATGTGGTAATTTTTTATTTTTTGCTCTGAAGTCTGATATTAACATAGCTTCTCCTGCTTTCCTTTGATTAATATTTCTATGAAATATATTTTCCATCCTTTTTACTCTCAACCTGAATATGTCACTATATCTGAAGTGACTTTACTGTCAACAGCCTATAGTTGGGTGGTTAATTCAATGTGTCAACTTTCATTTTTTAATTGGTGAATTTAGACTATTCACATTTAGTGTAATTATTGATATGTTAGGGTTCGAGTTTGCCATTTTGTTTTTGTTTGTTCTGTTTTTCACTTCCTTGTCTTTTTCATGATCTCTGAGTTCAGTAAACACCTTTTTAGAATGTTATTTTGAAGTTATCTATATAATGGACTACATCTCTTTGTAAAGATTTTTGCAGTGGTTGCTCCAGGCATTACAATATATGTGTATAACTTACCACAGTTTATTGATGTCCTTATTTTACCAGTTTGAGTATAGAAATTTATCTCCCTTTATGTCTCTCCCATTTGTAACATAATTATCTTAAATATTTTCTGACTCTATAGAGATATTTGGTAAATTATTTCTTTCTTCATTCATCAAACAGCATTTTGAAAACCCAAGATAAAATAAAAGCCTACTGTACGTACTCATATTTTTGCTTACTGTGTTCTGTCGTTCTTCCTGGAATTCTAAGTTTCTTTCATTTGTACCTTTCTGTTTAGGGAATTTCCCTTAGCCATTATTTTAGGGTAAAATTATGGGACTAATTATTTTAGTTTTTCTTCCTCTTGATTTCCCTTTCATTCCTGAATGGTATATTCACTGTCTATAGAATTCTGAGCTGACAGTTCTTTTCCTGTAGCACCTGAAATATACTGTTGTCATTTTCTTCTCATCTCCATGGTTTCTGATTAAAAAAATCTCATCAATCTGGTTAATCCGATACATAAGGCATTATATTTGTCTGATTGCTTTCTAGATTTGTCTTTAATTTTCAGTAGTTTAATTGTGATGTGCTTTGTCATCGATTACTTTGTGTTTATCATATTTGGGTCTTATATATAGTACCTTGAACTTGTTAAGTTTTTATCTCTTGCCAAATTTTGAAGGTTTCTGGACATTGTTTCTTTGGTAATTTTTTCAGACCTGCCCTCTCTTCTCTTCTAAAACTTTGAAGGATATTAGATATTTTGTTATGATCACCAAGGTCCTTGAGGCTCTGTTCATTTATGGTCAGCCAATTTGCTCTTTCTCACTCAGATTGGGTAATTTCAATTATAGTGCTTTCTTCAGACCCCTCCAGTCTACTATGAAGGCTATTTATTCACTGGCCTGTTAATTTCAGGTATATTTTTCAGTTGTAAAATTATCATGTAGTTCTTTATATCTTCTATTTCCTTGTTGAGACTTGAATTTTTCATTGGTTTCAAGTGTGATTTTAATTGCCCACTGAAGCATTTTTATGACATCTCCTTTAAGATATTTATTAGATAATTCTAACACCTGTGTAGTATTTCTGTTAATATCTTCTGATTTTTTGTTTCATTCAGTATGAGATTGTCCTCATTCTTGGTGTGACAAGTAATTTTCGATTGCAACTTGGATATTTTTGTGATATGTTCTAAGATTCTGGGTCTTATTTAAAACTTCAGTTTTAGCAAACTTTCATTAGCACTTCTCTGGCAGGGGAAGAGGGACCTCTGCATCATTAATGTTAGTTGGTGGTAAAGGCAACATTCTCCACTCATCTTCCATTGACACAAGACAGGAGCTAGCTTCTAGTTATGCTGCATGGGGTATCTATTGTGAAAGTCCTAACTCTCCCCTAGGTCTCCACTGACTCCACTCCAATGGGAAGGTGAAGAAGTGCCTTGTTACTGCTGGGTGAGTGTGGATGAAAAGGCTCCACTCTTGCCCTCTGCTGATACTGAGGCTTGGAGTGATGGCTCACTAATGGCCAATAAAGATGAAAGTCCCAGTTCTCTATGTGGCTTTTCTTGACATCACACAGTGGGGAGTTGTGGTGCCTCGTTGCAACCTCAGGCAGGTGAATTCTAGACACCCCACTTAGCTTTTACTAGTAGGGTTTGGGGAGATGCCCTACTGTTTCATGTGGTTTTTGGCTAGAGTACTTATTATCTAAATGTTTTCTTTTTTGTCATGGCTCATAGAATGTTAATGTTTAAAGGAACTTAAGAAATTGTGTTGTTTAATTCTTTAATTTTACTTATGAGGCCCAGAAAAAATTTAATGTATTGCTGATGATAAATATTTCTACTTAGTATCAGATATTGTATTAAAACATAAATGTTTGGATTCCCACTTCAATATTGTTTTCATTTGTCAGGCACTTTGTACAACCTCAGTTAATTCAAGGGATGGAAGAGTACCATTCTAGATATTTAAAAATTACTTTGCTCTTTTAGACAACTATGTATTCGTAAATTTAATGATCCAAACATAAATGTTTCCCTTCATTATATCAATGTAAATATAGCAAAATCCCAAAACCTCTGGAGCTCTAGTTTTAACAAAAATTGATGTAATATCATGGTCTTATAGTAAAATATTTCTTCCCATTTCTTTCCATAGAGTCCTACAACATTGCCTTGGAATTTGTTCTTAGAATACTTCACTGTTTGAAGTTCATTAGAAAAGATGCCATCACAAGAAATGATATTTTTTTCAAAGCTGACGTTAAAATTAGTTCGTTCTTCATAACGGCATATAGAAGTGGTCATCACAGAAGAAAAGATGGGGCATATTTAGAATTTATGATGTGCTCCTTGGAAGAGGTCTTTGCCCTAGATAGACATATTTATTTAGTCTTGGATGAGAGAACCAGTTTGAGGTGTTACTTTTAACACTAGGATTAGAGAATTGGTAACTATCCAAAGTGAAGGAAAAGGTTAAATCTACTAAAACCAAAACTATTTTTATAGGAGGATTTCCTTATTTAAAACTGTTTCTCAGGTCCATGCTTACTTTCCAGTGTTGGAGATTAGAGAGAATATAAAATTATCTTAGTCACAGCTTGACTGGGGAAGCAGTCAGGTTGACACATAAGGGAACCCCAGACAGCTGGCAAAGCATTATTTCTGGGGTATTTGTGAGGGTGTTTCTGGAAGGCACTAGCATGTGAATCTGTAGATGGAATAAAGAAGGTCACCCTCCCTGACATGGGTGGGCATCATCCAACCCATTGAGGTCTGAATAGAACAAAAAGGTTTAAGAAGGAAAAATTTGCTCTCTGCTTGAGCTGAGACATCCATTTTCTTCTGTCCTTAAGAATAGGCATTCCTGGTTCTTGGGCCTTTGGACATGGACCTGGACTTATGCCATTGGCTGCTCTGAATCTCAGGATTTTGGACTGAAATGATAGCACTGGCTTACCTGGATCTCCAGTTTGTAGACAGTGGATAGTCTCCTCAGACTCCATAATTAGGCAAGCCACTCCCTCATATTATATCTTACTCTTTCTATCTAGTGTATCTATCTATCTATCTATCTAATTATCTATCTATCTCTATCTATCTATCTTATTATTTCTGTTTCTCTGGAGAATCCTGAGTAATACAATGGTGATTAATAACTTCATTTTTACTTTCAAAAATAACTCACCTTAGCCCATTAGAAACTTGAGATTATATATAAATTAATGGCACACATATTTTGAGATTTAGACATCATATACCTTTCATAAATAATACATTATCCAATTTAAAGGCCCTCACTGTTTGCATGGTAAAAGGAATGAAAGAATAAAAGCAGTAAGCTACTACATGGTGTGCAAGAGAACAGAGTATATTGGATGTACAATAGTAGGAAAGTGTAAACAGTGTCATAAAAACAGAGTATAAAAATATAAATATAAATAATGTTTTATAGGAGCTTATGAATAACAGTGATACATTAATTTGTATAAATCAGGTTATTACATATTTCTGTATATGTGTAATAATTTTAGCCTTCTATTATTTAGTGTTCTGTCACATTTAGCTAATTTACTATTTTTCATCTTAACACAACTTTTACTTTAACATAATCCTTATTAAGCATAAAATAACAATTTATTATGTTATCAATAATTTATTATCTACTATGAATCAGACAGTAGACCAAGTGTAAACATTTTTAAAACTCAATAGTGACTTGCAGTTGTTTATAGTTTCACGACATGACATAGATTTGCAAACAAGTACAAAATTATAACCAAGATTGTATGATATGTGTTGTAAGAGCAATATATATTATTATAGTACAGAAGATTTCAAAAATTACTTTCTTTGAACGTTGAAATTCAGGAACAATGAAACATGTAAAAATACTCCATAGTTAGAAAAACCCAGGAAGCCTGTTTCTAAATTTAAAGTATGCCATGAAAGAGGGGATTATTTTCTGAAATTTGCACATAAGAACAAAATACAGTCACACGTAGCTGAGAATTGTTACTTAATGTTAATCTAGTTTGATAAAGATTTATATTCCCTTATGAAAACAGATGGTAAAGATTATATATTTTGATATAAAATGGGTAAATATGGCATGATGGAAAGAACACATTACAGGAGAACTTTGATCTATGGAGGCGCTAGAAACAATTAAAGATACGAAAGCAGCAAGTATCACAAGTCCCAGATGGAGTCCCTGTGAATTTGACTAAGTGTCCCAAGACTCTTTGACAATTTCTCTAGCAGATGTTTTTAATCTTGGATTGAGGGCTCAAGTGTTACCTGGATCCATGAAAAGGCTACTTTGGGAGTAATGACAGGAAGGGTATACAGGATCTTGACACTGGCTCTTCGTTTTGAATGGTCTTTCTGATGTCAGTTCTATCAGCCAACTTCCAGTCCTCGGTGATTTCTCTGTATGATGCACAAGAAAGGATGCGGGTCATTTGAGATCATTTGAAGGATATGATAGGAAGGGAACCAAACATGAGTATATATTTCCTAAAAGTATGCAAAGTAATATCTTACAGTAAAATGAGCTAATTAAAATAAACGTAGATTATTAGATTCTTTCAGTAAGAGTAGACTTGGAGGTAATATGTCACTCATCTAAATGGCAAAACAGAAGATATCTTACCCTGACATGGTCCAGATATTCTGGACATCTTAAGATTCAGTACAGAGGCTAAAGGAAAATTACTATCAGAAAAAAAATGGTTAGCATGACACCAAATAATAAGTTGTCTGTTGTAGCCTGAAGTTTAGATGCAACCTAAAAGTTCGAGAAGAAAAGACAGTTTTAAGTTCAACAATGTCTGCTTATTAGAGAAGAAACAAGGAATTAACAGTCATTTATTGACTTACTATTGGGTAATTAAAAAGAAGTGTATTTCTGAAGAAATGAGGAATAATCAGTAGACTTTTCATTCACACTTCTGGATTTTTCTGTTAGTATCTTCCAGTCTCACTTGGTAAGAGTCAAATATATTCTCAGGGAAATGCAAATAGGCAAAAGGATTTTTTCATGGGCATGGATACTACTGACTGAATTACAAAGCAAATGTAACATTTAAATGACAAACTTTAAAGTTGTACAATTGCCTTACTTTACTTTTGATAGGTAATAACAGAGTCACTGAATCAACTCTAACAATAAAAATTGATCATTTGTCAAAAATATTTCTCTCTCCTTCCTTCCCTATCTCTGTCTCTCTCTCTTTTTACTTTTGCTCTCACTTTTTTTATTCCAGACACTTTCATTTAGAATCCTGGAGAAATAAATATTTCAGAGACGAATTCCATGCTTTCTTTGGAAGAAAAATTCCCCAAGAGTTCAATAATGCTCTATAGAAACAGTTAGTGGTGGGAGGCCTTCCCTACTAAATTTAAAACAATATTATCAGCATGTCAGTTAAAACCCTTGTGGGATCAGGTGTGGTGGTAGAAGCAACTCTAGGTCACTACACAACACAGAGAAAATGTTCAAAACAAACCTCTAACTTAAGTTGGGTCTTTTTTCCTTCTATTTTAATAGAAGGATGGTTCATTCTTATATTCATTCTGTTATTGATATAACCTTAATGTTTTGGCAACATGTCTCAGAAAGACTGACCACATCCCTACCTTTTATTCCATGAAAGATGGGGAAATGCTGATCTGGGTAATTTCCTGAGGAGACAGAGAGAAGGTTCGTGAACCTTAGCATTATTATAGTGCTCAAAGCAGGACTGTTCCAAGAAATTCGGACAGTGGGAGAGCACAATGATTTTCATCTTAAAATGCCATTGTCTAAATTTCTCTATGGACCACCAAGAATAATAGTGTTATAGCATAAATGGGTAACATAGATTTATGAAACAGTATTATGACATGTCTAGCAAAACATTTGGTATGTAAAGAAAAAGCAAAAAAAAACCTCCTATACTTCCATGATTATAAATCATACCTATTTCCACATTTTTATATTTCTAAAATTTGGATGTACTTTTTATAATTGGTGTATATGTTTGTAGTGAGACTTTTTAAAAAAGCTGCTAGGAAATCGATGACACTTTTTAAAGATATCCAAGTATATTGTTTGTTATAAAATGGTACTCTTTAATTTCCTAATTTGGATTTTTCTTTTACTATGTGTAATATCTAAAACAAAAGACTATATGACTATATGAAAATCAAGTACATTGTAGACATTACACGACAAGATTTGGAGAACCCTTGCTTACACATGTGTAACACATGCAAATTCAAACGTAGAGAAATATGCCATTTTCTTCGAATAGAGCTACTATGCAAAACTTCCGATTATGAAAGCAGGTCATGGGCCAGTGAGAAGCTAGGTTCTCATGTGCAGCATTTTGGACTACATATGGGCTAAGTGAAAGGTGGTGGGTCACTTCAATGTATGCTGTGCTGTTTCAACCCAAATGTTTCTCTTCTACATTGATATAAAATAATTGAAATAAAGTTAAATATTTAAGTTAGGATGAGGTAGCCACTTAAGGGGAAAAGGAATGCTGTATCTTACTTCATATGTGTTGAAGGTCATCATTATGCATGGCAACTCTCAATGTTTATGATTTCTTCTCTGAGAAGCTCATATATACTAAGTGATTCATAGGTAAGTCAATACTGCTTGAAGTTTAAATCGTCTTCCAGTCTGGAAGAGAATATATGACACTAGTTAGTATTCTTAGAAAATGTGGAATAATGTACCATTGGATATTTTTTGCATAGAAAAAAAACCTATTCAAGTTCAAGACAATACTATTGGGAATGAGAAATGCCATGAACATAATTGATTAAAAGCAGATGACTCACATACCCAACCCTCTTAAATACATGTAGAAACATGTATTTGCTTTAAAGTGAGTAACTTCACTGAAGATGCCAACCTCTCCCTCTTAGATAAGGGCTTTCTAATCCATTTTGCAAAAAGATGTCACTTGGGGTCAAAATGGTGAGCGGTGGGAGAGAACAATTTTGAAGGACATATAAAATGCTTCTAGTTGGTCATCCTGGGTAAAATTTCTGTAACTCTTTCTTTGATGAAATTATGTATATGTAAGCACATCACATAGCCACATACACAAATAAAAGCCTCAATTAAAAAAGATTCAAGGAGTCTGTATTTCCTGCACCCACTGTAATTCTTAGACATCATTGATGACCTAATATCTCTATATCTTCTCCCTCTAACAAAAGCCCAGGTTGAGGTATAGTTCAGGTGTCTAAGCTATTCAGTGGAGATACAAAGTCCCTTGTTTGAAGGCACTTAATGAAAAGCTTCTGACTACATGTCAGCACTAATTTTCCAAATATTTAGCTAGTTAAGAACTAGTCACCAAATATGTACCATAGCTAGTTGTTTTGACTTCTACAAAGATGAAATCCTGAAAATACAAGCACACCTCACAGATACTGGCAGTGAGTGGTTCCAGATCACCACAATAAAGCAAACATTGCAATAAAGCAAGTCACACAAATTTTTGTGTCCCAATGCATTTAAAAGTTACATTTACACTATCTTGTACTCTTTAAGTGTGCAATAACATTATGTCTAAAAAAGTAATGTACAATCCTTAATTTAAAAATATTCTATTACTAAAAAAATGCTAATGATCATCTGAGCCTTCAGTGAGTTGTAAACTTTTTGCTGGTAGAGAATCTTGCCTTGATGTTGATGGCTTCTTCCCAGTCAGGGTTGCTGAATGTTGGGAGGCTGTGGTAATTTCTTAAAATAAGAGAACAATAAGGTTTGCTGCATTGATTAACTCTTCCTTTTATGAAATATTTTTATAGTATGCAATGCTGTTTGATAGCATTTGACCCATACTAGAGCTTCAAAATTGGAGTCAATACTCTCAAATCCTGCTGCTGCTTTATCAACTAAGTTTACGTAATATTCTAAATCCTTTGTTGTCATTTCAACAGTGTTCACGGCATCTTCACCAGTAGTTCCAATCTCAAGAAACCATTTTCTTTAATTTCCATTCAAGTTTTATCATGAGATTGCAGCAAATAAGTCACACCTTCAAGATTTATTTCTAATTCCTGCTCTCTTGGCTATTTCTATCACATCTGCATTGATTTCCTCCACTAAAGTCTTGAACCCCTCAAGTTATCCACGAGGGCTGGAATCAACTTCTTCCAAATTCCTATTAATGTTGATATCTTTGCCTCCTCCCATTAATCATGAATATTCTTAATGGTACCTAGAATGGTAAATCCTTTCTAGAATGTTTTTAATTTACTAGGCCCAGATCCATCAAAGAAATCATTATCTATGGCAGGTACAGGCTTATAAAATATGTTTGTTAAATTAATAAGGCTTGGAAGTCAAAATTACTCCTTGATCTATGGCTTGTTAAATGGATGTTGTGTTGGCAAGCATGAAAACATTAATATCCTTGTAAATCTCTATCAGAGTTTTTGAGTGACTAGATACGGTGTCAACGAACAGTAACATTTTAAAAGAAATCTTTTTTTTTCTTTTTCTGAGTAGTAGGTCACAACAGTTGGCTTTAAATGCTCAGTAAATCACGTTATAACCAGATGTGTTTTCATCTAGGCTTTGTTGTTTATTTATAGGTCACAGGCACAGTAGATTTAGCACAATTCTTAAGGACTCTAGCATTTGGGGAATGACAAACGAACATTGACTTTAACTTAATTCACCAGCTGCGTTAGCTCCTAACAAGAGAGTCAGGCTGTTATTTGAAGCTTTGAAGCCAGGCATTTACTTCTCTTCTCTAACTATGAAAATCATAGATAGTATCTTTTTCAAGTAGAAGGCTATTTTATCTACATTGAAAATCTGTTTAGTCTACCTTCATCAATTATTTTAGCTAGATCTTCTTGGATAACTTGCTACAGCTTTCCCATTAGCACTTGCTGCTTCACCTTGTACTTTGTTATGGAAACAACTTCTTTCCTTAAACCTCAAGAACCAACCTCAGCTAGCTTCAGGCTTTTCTTCTACAGTTTCCCTTACCTCTCTCAGCCTTTACTGAATCAAAGAGAGGTTGGGTCTTTCTCTGGATTAGGTTTTGGCATAAGGCGATGTTGTGGCTCATTTCATCTTCTATTCAGGCCACTAAAACTTTCTCCATATCAGCTGCTTCTCCAAAGCAGCAATAAGTCTGCTCTTCTTTCTTATAGATTAACACTTTTAATTTTCTTCAATAACTTTTCCTTTGCATTTACGACTTGGCAGTATGGTGAGAGAGGCTTAATTTTTGGCCTGTCTTAGGTTTTGCATACCTTCCTCAGTAAGTTTAATTATTTCTACCTTTCTACTGAAAGTAATGAGAGATATACAATTCTTCCTTTCACTTGAACACTTAGAAGCCATTGTAGTTTTATTATTTGGCTTAATGTCAGTATTATCATGTCTCAGGGAATAGGAAGGCCTGAGGAAAGAGAGAGAGAGAGAGAGAGAGAGAGAGAGAGAGATGGTGAAATGACTGGGTAGTGGAACAGTCAGAACACACACCAAAATTATCTATTAAGTTTGCTGTCTTACATGGGTACAGTTCATGATTCCCCAAAATAATTCTACTGGTAACATCAAAGACCCTGATCACAGATCACCATAACAGATACATAATAAAAAGTTTGAAATATTGCGAGAATTTCCAAGATGTAAAACAGAGTCACAAAGTGAGCACATGCTGTTGGAACAATGGTGTATGCAAACTGTTCCAGTCCTCAATCAGAAAAGTGTACCAGGCTCTTAACACTTTTTTCTAAGACCTGACAGAAGTGACAAATCATTATAGCCATGTCTAAATTATCTTCTCAGAATTTCACACAGACCAAGTGGAAACCTTTCAACATTGTACTTCAGAAAATTGAAACCAGCTTGATAAATTTGTTTATTTTCCTCTAAGTGTGCCCTGGTTTTCGTAACACAGACAGTTTGTAAGTGTGCTAATGAATGGTAACTACCCCATCTGATTCTCAATCTTCATACTCACTCTGCCAAGAAATTAGTTTTGTGAATCTTCAACATTTGTTTTTCTACCACCTGAAGCTAGCCATGGGACCTGGTTTAAAGTTCGTTCATGCCATTTTTTTTCCAAATTCACTTACTTTCATAACTGAAAATGACCTCAAAGAATGATTAATACCCTGTGGGGGTCCATGACATAAATCCGATCCAGTGTGCCTGATGCAAGCTCTCTCAGAAGGAATGTTACAGCTATATTGCCGTGGAAACCTGGTGACACTGAGCAGACCACCAGATATAAAATCTTCAAAAGGCATAACTACTTAACTTGGACTCAAATTTATGTTTACTTGACTTGTTACCAACAAAATGGAGTGAACTATTTTCCCTAGAAATTGCATAATGCGTTGCAAAACTACCAAGAATAATAATAGAACAATGAATGATAGGTCATTTTTATTTCTTGGGTCTCTTTATGTTTTTTCCTATCTTAGGGAAAGGTAGTATAGTAAGGGCAATGAATGATGGGGGAAAGTAGGTATCAAAAATCTCTTAAATGTGTGTCTACACAAGGTACTGGGCCAAAATGGTAGGTTTTGTTCAAAACATTCGTAAGGGAAATCTTTAATATAGTTGAAAGAATTATTTTGTAGGAATCCTGTATACATAAATGAACTAATATTAAATCAATTCAGTACTTCTGTCCGACAAACTAAATAAATTATGAATTAGGAAACATTTATGGTTATGGTGACACAGGGAGCTTATCATAGTGGTTAAGAACATGAGTTCTGGAGTTTAGTCATAGAGATCAAAACCCTGAGTGACCATGGGAAAGTTAATCTCATATGCCTCAGTTTCTTCAATTGTAAGTTGAAGATAATAATAGAAGCTATCAAATAGGGTTAGTAGCTATCTAATATGGTTATAATGAAAATTAAATGACTTATTTTTTTAAAAAGGCTTGGAAGAGTTGCTAGCAAATGCTCGATAAGAATTCTTTTAGATTCATATAAATGATTGTATCAATATAAAATATTAACTGAATGTAAATATAGTCATGTGGTAAGTGCTGAATTTACAGAGCTAATTTCACAGTTGACTGTTCAAAAACACAATCTTACCAATGTGACATGGTATATGCATACACAGGATTAAACTTACAGCCAATGAAGCTGCAAGAAACATAATAGGGTAGACATTAGGCTCTTTGAGAACAGATTTTAGTTATAATCTAATATGATTTTCCAGGAAAGGAAACCAAGGTCCCCAGAAATTAACTGGCTTTCCCAAAGGAACATAAATTAGTGGCAAAGCTGAGCCTGGAATGAAGATCTTTGGATTTTGTGTACCTGTAGAAAATTCATAGACAATTTACATTTTGGGGACAGTGTGTTTTAGACACTGTATTATAAAAAGATAATTGTATGTTAGCATAGAACAAATTCTATAATTTGGTCTTTTGATTCTTATCAAACACCATTAAATAATTTAGCTATGACTGACATGAGTTATTTAGTAATCATAATGTTACAATATGTATGATTTGTATGATTATTTAAAACAAAAAGACTTTGGCGTATCCATACTGTAAATACTGCTAGTATAAGGTATGGTATAAAGCATAGACAGCATTTTAAAAACCAATCCTATATATTGAAGAAGAGAAACAAATATTTTCATTTTTCTTAATGCTAATGACATATTTTTTCATGTAATTCTCACAATTTTATAAGTAGTTATTATTGAACTTATTTTATAAATTACCTGAGGACCAAGGTTATTAGGTAGCTTTATCCAGGCTCACACTATTAGTGAGTGGTCCAGATGAATTCAAAGCCAGATCTCTAACACCAAATCCCACACACCTCCAGTATACTGAATGAATTTATTCCACACATATTTACTCACTCTTTCCTTTGCCTTCTGAGAATATAAAAGTCTCTTGGAGATTATTTCTTTGCACGGTCCACATTTTTTTAATGTTAAATGAAATTTGATGATTTTCTTTTTTGCTCAAATTTCTTTACACAAGTCAAGGTGTTCAAAATCCTACTTATTTGAAGGATAAGCTAAGGCTGCCAGTATGAGCATTACCTAGGAGCTTAGAAATGCAGATTCCTAGCTCTTCACTCAGATCTACTGAATTGGAATCTGCATTGTAACAAGCTCCCAGGTACTTTACATGTACATGAAACACTGAAAAGCACCAGTCCAAATTACTATACACTTGTTTAAATGCTGTTCGACCATTAGTGGTGTTAATAATGGTAGTTCCAGTGCTCATATTTCACAAATTAAACAGTTTGTGGAAAAAATTGTTTAAATCAAAAGTTAAATCAATATTTATGATCTTTATTTATTTTTTCTCTTCAATTTACCATAAGTTCTGCAAAGCAATTAAAAAGTGTGAATTAAGGAAGTCAGAGGATTTCATATGCCTTTGAAAGCAAAGGGATTAATTACTGGATCATTGGACCTTTTACAAGGACTCTCAAAATACCTTCTGGAGAATTAGGAAGATAGGAATAATGGAGCTTTGAATCACCATCCATCACCTTAATTGCTAACATTTATAAAATCTCTAAAGTTGAGAGGAAATTTCACATACATGATTATGAATGTTTCCGGCAGTGGGGGAAAATCGTATAATTGAATAATCCAGAAATTAAGGTATATGACTTTAAGTGCAATGTAATTAGAAAAGTTTCTCTTAAAATTTGCTACTTGCACAAAGGCCTTTACATGTCATGTAGTTTGTAGGTCTCATGTTAAGTGTCAAAAACAAAATGTTTTTTTTAAAAAATACAACACATTCCAAAAAGCTCACTCTTATAGATAAGTTGAGATAGAGTAATAGTGTAAAGACAGAAATAGGGGACCTGCTGGGAAAATATTGCAATAATCAGAATTGTAGGTCAGATCAAATTGGCAGTAGAAGATATGAGACATGAACAGATTCTGAAACTTTTGAATATAAAGAGAACTTGTTGGTGGATCGGAGGCGGAATGTGAGAGAAAAAGGGGAACAGAAGTTGGTCTCCAGTATTTTAGCCTGAGAAACTGGTAAGGAGTTGCCATCAAATAAGATGCGGATGCTCTACTTGGAACATGTTTTTTTCAGGAAATATTATTAATATGAGGAAAAAATACTAGGAATAGGTGATGGGGAGATTAAAAATTTGCAATATGAAGGAAAGGTGTAACAAAAGCATAGTACTACAGTAAGGGAGTGAGCTTGAGAACATTGTGATTGTACACTAATTTGAGGTTTTGGTCATGAAGCTATAGTAATACCAACTTTTCAGGATATGCAATCATTTTCATCATTACCCAGCTGTACACATTCAGTAAGGCAGAAGACAGAGTTTGGTTTATCCTGGATTTGATTGTTGAAGGAAGAAAAGGAGAGTGAGTTGAGGAAATTCACCAAGGAATGTCTATAGTGTTGAGCTACAGAATTCAAGCAACATAAAGGGGAGATAAGAATTAGCCCGGCGTGGTGGCAGGTGCCTGTAATCGTAGCTACTTGGGAGGCTGAGGCAGGAGAATCACTTGAACCCAGGAGGCAGAGTTTGCAGTGAGCCGAGATTGCACCACTGCACTCCAGCCCAGGCAACAGAGCAACACTCTGTCTCAAAAAGAAGTTGTGGAGTACAGGGAGAGGGGAAGTAAGGAGACACTAAAATACCAACAACATATAACATTTGTAGGATTCAATGATCTTACTGCCTTTAAGCCTATTTCTAAAGATTAACATTGACGTATGTGCCCACAAAGAAAAATATTTATCACATTGCTGGTAATAGCAGTGCCTGAATTGTTCAGCCTAGATATTATTACAGAGTGTAAGAGCAAATATACTTTCAAAGTTCAAGCTCATTTTCATTTATTCTTTGTGACTAGTGGACTTAATAAGAACTTCTGACAGAAACAGATTTTCATCAACTATAAATAGAACATAATTCTTGAATTTGTGAATGGTTCTTTGCTGTTATTAATTAGTCCTTTCTTTTTCACATGTAGACTTAAGTTAGTGATTAATTGAAATGTGTTAGGACACTTGTGTTGTCTTAGCAGCTCTGTAGGATTTATGTACTACTTCTGGACAGCGATATAAAATGTGGATTTAATCAGAATGCCTTATACCCTATCTCCAAGAAATTCTATAGGAAACTAAGCTTTCCTAGTTCTAGTGCTTGTTTGGCAGAAAGAATTAAACTTTTTAAAACCATATGGCTCCATCATTTTATTATACAAGGGCTTTCTCTATGAGGATTACCTAAATGACATAGCTGAATCTAATGAGCCAAATTTATCAGAGACCTGTAGGTCTCATAACCTCCTCAAGACCAGATAGAAAGCATAATCAGTGAGTGTGGATTAAAGATACATTTCCTATAATTGTTAAGACTTTATCATAACCAGATTATGAATATCTAGATACCAGTTCAACTGTCTCCTAGGAATTTTAGTGCTTATTTATTAATTTGAGGAACAGAATGCCATCCTACTTCTGGCAATACTATGGACTAAATTAGTTTGCGTAAAATTTCTCACCTTCTTATCTGGTTCTAAGCCTGTAATGACATGAGTTTTCCTCTGTTCAAAAAAGACATATCATCTAGTCTAAGTATCATAAAACACATATTATCATTAAACATCTCTGCCTAATCTGAAGCTATTATACTGGTTCTTTATCTTGGAAGCAGTCAACTAACACCACCCACAGGGATCAAGTATATTTAATGCAGGAGGGATGACGTTTGGGTTTGTCTGATATTTTCTCATGAGTAACTTCAGGTGCTAGGCCTCCAAAAATGGCTGTCTGAGGAAGTTAAGCCATTCTCCACCACAGAAAGTTAGAATAAAATGTCACAAAATAGAAACAAATAGATAGATAGGTATTTCTGCATACTGCAAAATGATCAAAGGCATACAACAAAATGAGATATGTGTTTACTCTTTAAAAATTGCTATTGCCAGTGAGGTAGCTCATGCCTGTAATCCCAGCACTTTGGGAGGCTGAAGCAGGTGGGTCACTTGACGATAGGAGTTTGAGACCCAGCCTGATCAACATGGCGGAACCCTGTCTCTACTAAAAATACAAAAAATTTATCCGGGTGTGGTGGCAGGCATGTGTAATCCCAGCTACTCAGGAGGCTGAGGCGTAAGAGTCACTTGAACTGGGGGGCCGAAGTTGCAGTGAGCTGATATCACACCACTGCACTCCAGCCTGGAGGATAGAGTGAGACTCTGTCAAAAACAAACAAGCAAACAAAAACCTGCTACTACATTGGAGGAAACCAATGGAACATCTGTGGGCTTCTTACCCAGGGATGCTCAAAATACCACTGACCTCCACCCACCACTACCACCAAAGCTCAGGCAGTAAAAACTGGAGCTTTATGAGTGGTGAGTGATGGTTCGCACAGTTCAAGATTGACGGCACAAAGGTTTACTAGCTATGCTGGTGGACTCATTCAGGAAGAGAATATAGGAGACAATAATTGGCAACTATGATGGCCAGGTATTATGGTCTCAATGTGGGGTGGGAGGCAGAACATTAGAATTTAAGGGAGAAATCTTGAAATTGAGTTATAGAAGGCATAAAATAACAAACTCTCCACATCTTTGGTGGACTGCTAAGCTATGCCTTAAGTTGGAGACCTGTGACTGACCAATGAAAAGTAGAAGAGATTCTTGAGTCATGAGTAAAATCCAAGTCACTTGTGATTTTGAATGTAGTCCTCTACCTACGCAGCCCAGTTAGCAGACAGTGGAAGCCTTACAAATTTGAGGTGATTCAGCATAGTTTCTGCCCAAATCACTGGGTAAATGTGAAAATACTCAATCCTCTAGGGATCAAGCTACAGACATGTTGAGTGGAGATATATGCAGCTATACGCAAGAGGAAACGGATTTCCCAGGATGAATCTAATCAATTAACGGAAACAAAAAACCTTAACAAGTAATTACAGCAAGGTTATAGAATAAAAGGTTAATATACAAAATCAGTTGCTTTCTTATATATTAGCAATGAACAATTATAATTTATAATTAAAACACAGTATCATTTATATTAGTGCCAAGAAAAGAGTGAGAAAGAAATAATTA
The DNA here is from genome assembly GCF_000001405.40 of Homo sapiens. Taxonomy (NCBI): domain Eukaryota; kingdom Metazoa; phylum Chordata; class Mammalia; order Primates; family Hominidae; genus Homo; species Homo sapiens. The sequence goes on along the minus strand of NC_000007.14, from coordinate 19,566,878 downwards.
TGTACACATCAAACAAATTATATACAGGATACATGGGAGAAAACCTAGAAAATGCAATGAAGAATCAAAATCTAAATAAATAAGGACAGTCTATGTTCATGGAAATAAAGACTCATGAAAATGTCATTTCTTCCCCAAATGAATTAAAAATCCAACACAATCCCAGTCAAAATTCCTGTAAGTTATTTTGTAGATATTAATAAACTTATTCTAGGGTTTACATGGAAAGGAAAAGATCCAAAACAGCTAACACAATACCAAAGATAAACAAGGTCAAAAGACTGACACTAACAACTTCAAGGTTCACCATAAAGCTAGGATATTCACAACAGTGTGGTATGGTGAAAGAATGGACAAATAGATCGATGGAATAGATAGCCCAGAAATAGACCCACCAAAATATAGTCAACTGATCTTTAACAAAGGAGTAATGGCAATTCCAAAAGAGAATGGATAGTCTTTTCAACAAATGGTGCTGAAACAACTGGACATCCATAGGCAAAACAGAACTAAACAAAATAAAAAACAGCCAGATAGGCATTTTATGTCCTTTGCAAAAAAAATTAACTCAAATGGATCTCAAACCTAAGTACAAAATGCAAACTTATTATACTTGTGGAAGATAAAGTGGGGTAAAATTCATGCAACCAGATTTGGTGATGAGTTTGTAGATAGAACACAAAAAGCACTAATCATGGAAGAAGAAATTGATAATTTAGATGTTATTAAAATTAAAAACTCCTGCTCATTGTTAAAAGAATAAGGAAACAAGTCACAGACTGGGAGAAATCATTTGTAAAATATATCAGATAATGAATTTGTATACAATTATATACAAAGAACTCAAAAACTCAACAAAAAACACACAACACAATTAAGAATGGGCAAAAGATCTGAATAGAGCTCAGTAAAGAAAATTATACAGATGACATATAAGCATAGGAAAAGATACCTCATATGAAGTATCTTTAAGAAATTATAAACAAAACAGTAATGAAATACCATTACACACCTAGTAGAGTTGCTAAAATTAAAAACAAACAAGCAAACATGATACCAAATGCCAGTGAGAATGCTGAGCAACAGGAACACTCAATCATGGCTGGCAGCAATGCAAATAGCTCAACTATTTTGGAAGACAGTTTGGTAGTTTCTTTTAAAGTTAAAAGTAATTTTACCATATGATCCAGCCACCATATTCCTAGGTATTTACCCAGTTTTGAAAATTTATGTCCACACAAAAACCTGCACATAAATGTTTAGAGCAGCTTTATTCATAAATGCCAAAAACTTAAAGAAACCAAGATGTTCTATAATAGAGGATGAAGAGACAAACTGTAGTGCATTTATGGAAAGAAATATTGAGCAATAAAAAGAAACCTGCCAGTGTTCAATAGCACTATTGGGTGAGTATAATTAACAATTTATTGTTTATTTTCATATAGCTAGAAGAGTGGATTTTGAATATTTACATTAAAATGGATACATGCTTGAGTTGCTGGATACGCTAATTACCCTTGTTTGATCATTGTACATTGTACACATGTATTAAAATGTTATGCTATACTCCATAAATATGTAAAATTATGTTTCAATTAAAAATAATAAAAGCAACACAAAACACATGTGCTATAAACCATGAAAAGACATGAAAACAATGTAGATGTATACTGTAAAGTGAAAGAAGCCAGTCTGAAAAGGCTCCATGCTATATGATTTCAATTATATGAAATTTTTGAAAAGGCAAAACTATAGAAATCATTTTCACTTACAGTATTTAATGGATCACTTTTACAATTTTGCAATTTTTAATGAATCAGTTTTACAGATATTTTTAGATCAGTGGCAGTCAGCAGAGAGGGAGGAGAAGGATAAGTAGGTGAAGTACATGGTATTTTTTAGGATGGTGAAACCATCCTGTATAAAACTGTAATGGTTAATATATATTATTATGCATTTGTCAAGCCCTGTAGAACTTTACAGCACAAAGAATGACCTTAATATAAACTATGAATTTTAGCTAATAATAATATATCAGCATTAGTTCATTAATTATAACAAAGGTACCATCCTACTGCAAGATGTCAGTAACGTGGGAAACGGTGACAGTCATGGTAGAGAATGGGGTTTGAATGTATGCAACTCTTTGTAATACCTGCTTAATTATTTTGTAAATCTAAGACTATACTAAAAATGGCCTATTTATTATTTTAAAAATCAACAACCCTAAAACAGAACAGAATCTAGTCACTGTCACATATTACTTATCATACTAATTGCAAACAAAAAATGCCAGACATGTAAATAAGCAAAAATGTGTGCTGCATAGTTCAGAAAAAAAATCAAAAGAAATTGACTTCGAGTGGGCATGGATATTAGATTCAGCAGACAAAGACTTTAAAGTAGGACTGATAAGTATGTTCAAATAATTAAAGAAAGAATAGCTAAAATATTAAAGGGAAATATCATAACAATGAGACAACAAATAGAGGATCTCTATTGAGGAATATAAAGTATAAAAAAGAACCCAGTAGAAAATTTAGAGCTGGAAAGCATAATAAATTAAATTTAAAAATTACTCAATGAACTCAATAGTAGATTTGAAATAATAGAAGATTCATACCTTTGAAAATAAACAAATATAAATTATTTTATCCAATAAAATAGAAAACGTTAAAAAATAAACATTACTTCAGAGATGTCTGGGATAATATCAATCACCCTAACATATGTGTATCTGGAATTCCAGGAAAAGAGGTTGAGAAAGAGAGAGGCAGAAAAATTATTTTGAAAGAAATGGCCAGAACTTTACCAAATTTGGTCAGAAACATTAACTATATAGATCCAAGGATCTCAACAAACCCCAAATAGGATAACACAAAGAAAAGTATACCTAGAAATATTATAGTAAAATTCCTAAAAGACAAAGGTTAAAAGAAAACAAAACAAAAATTTTAAAAGTATCAAGACAGCTATAATTCATCATGTAGAGAAGGACAATAATGAGGTTAAAGGCAGACTTATCAGAACAATGGAATCCAGGAGATAGTAACATATTAAAAAGTCCTGAAGTAAAAGAAAATGTCAACTAAATATTTTGTGTCAAAATTATTCATCACAAAATAAAGACATTTCCGGGTTTAGAAAACAAAAACAAAAACAGAATTTGTTGCTATACACTTTCCTTTCAAGAAATAATTTTAAAATTTCATCAGATGGAAAAGAAGGGGCATCAAATGGTAACTAAAAACCACAGGAAAAAATGATGAATACATAGATAAAAGATTTTGTGTAGGTGTACGTAGGTATTATCTTTTTCTCGTTAATTTAAACATATTATAATTAAAATCCAAAAAAACCCCACTCAATTGTTGTTTCTATAATGTATACAAACACGATATATATGTCAATAATAATAGAAAGAGAAAAAAATGGAGCTATACAGAGACAAGTTGCTATATTTTATTGGAAATGAAGTCAGTGCTAACTTGAAGATTGTATTACATTACAGACGCATATTTTAACTCCTAGAGTAATCAAACACTGAAAGTTACACACCTAAGTGTCAGAAGAGTTAAAATGGCAAAGTAAAAAAGTTTGTTTACCAAAAAAGAAGTAATAGAGGATGAATAGAGAAACAAAAATAGTTAAATAGAATAAAGCAAAATGTCCAACCTAAATCCAACCTTACCTATTATTATATTAAACATGAATTGAATAAATATTTCAAGCAAAGGCAGAGAATGTCAGACTGTATAGAAAAAAATATTCAACTAGATGTTTTCAACGAGAGATGTACTTTAAATACAAAGTCACAAATTGATAGGACAGCATGTAAAAAGATGTTCCATGCAAAAAAATTACAGTTTACTGGAGTGGCTATATTACTATTAGAGAAAAGAAGCTTCAATATTTAAGTAATAATAATAAATATTACCACTAATAACAATTACTAATTATGCTACCACTTGGATAAATATTGGAATAGATGCTTTTCTAAAGAAGGTACACAAATAGCAAATAAGTACATGAAAAAATGCTAACCTTTGCTAATTATTAGAAAAATGCAAACCAATTACATAATAAGATGCTGCTACACATACACTAGAATAGTTGAATTAAAAAAAAACACTGACAATACCAAGTATTGGTAAGAATATGAAGAAATCAGAATTCTCAGACATTGTTTGTGGGAATTTAAAACTTGACAGCCACTTTGGAAAACAGATTGGTAGGTTTCTACAAACAGACACTTACATAATTTAGCAGTTTCATTCACAGGTATTTACCCAAGAAAAATGAAAATCTATCATCACACTAACACTTGCATATAAATATTTATAGGAGCACTGTTTATAGCAATGAAATAAACCAAATGTCCTCTAGCAGAATTTCTTCTTCCTTGGGGAGCCTCATTGATTTGTCTTAAGGCCTTCAACTGAGTATGAATCTCATCCAGTTTATGGTGGGTAACTGGCTTTACTCAAAGTCTATTGATTTAACAGTTAATCGCATCTAAAAAGTGTATCCACAGCAACATCTAGACTGGTATTTGATCAAATACCTGGACACCATAACCTAGTTAAGTGGACACATAAAATTAACCATCACAGTATACTACACACATAGCGCCACGTCTATCAGTCGATCCTTCCTCCTTTCAAAAACCACCTCATTAAGCTCTTGAGTTCCTTGAACCCACCTACTTTTTGTTCCCTTTCCATATTTTCCTTGTTGAGTTTTCCAAGATGACTCCTCATTCTCTTCCATGTCTAACAAGCTCCTTTCCAACTCTGGGTCGTTTTTACTTCATATTTTCTCTGTTTCTAGTGTATGGCTGCTAATGAGCAAAAACTGTTTCCTTGTATCTAATAAAACTTCATGCTATCAGTTCTCTGGGAAATTCCTTGGGAAGCCTCTTATTCATTTCTCATAAATTCCCTGTTTTCTACAGCAATGTGACAGAAATCTTCATAAACCAAATTTCTGATATCATCACTTTCTTTATCCCTCTTTGAGGTGTAAGATTTGCCATCATCTCTTGACCAAAATCAGTTAAGATCCACTAATTAATATTTGGACTCCTCCTAACTCTGGCTTCAACTTCTTACATGACCATTACCCAACTTCAAATTCTAGCCACATTTCACTGTAACATAAATCTGATTCTTCATAAAAACTGGATCATCAACATTTCCTCACATAAAGACCTTGCCTTATGCTTCAGAACTAGTGGAATGCCCTTCACTCAAATGTTTACTGAAAACTTTCTAAACCCATGAATGAGTAAATGCATAAACTCTTGAATCCATGCTTCTTTCTCAATCTTTTAAATTCGAATCTACCCCTTAAGGATTACCTCAAGTGCCATTTTATGTTGTATATCTGACCTGATCAGACTGCCTGAATCTCAATAAAAACTCTGTCTGCCTGTCTATAGCACTGATTTTTTTTGTATCACTCATCTGGTACATAATATATATCCGACCTTTTAGAAATATGCTCATGCTGATCTCCATTAGAAAGTAAGCTATCTGTCTTGTTTATGCAAGAATTGCCTCACAGTTGTACTAATTGCAACTCCTTTAGTGTAGTGTTTCACACAGTATCATTGCGAAACAACAGGTCTCAGCACAATAAATAAATGGGTGGAGGGATAAAAGAATTAATAACTGAAAAACAAATGTTACCAGTAGATTCCTGATAGTACACCATGGATTTATCTTTAGTTAGTTAGCTCTTTTTATTTTATTAAATACCCTACAATATTCTCTAAAAATAAGAGCTATATTTTAGGTCAAGCTGTTAGATCAGAGAAATTTAGAATTAAACACACAATGAAAAATACATTTATTTTAAATAGCGAAAGAAAAAGCATAAATTTTATTGAAAGAGAGATAAAAAGTTAAGATCTAGTGGACTTACGCTTACTTTAAAAAAATATGTAAAGGGACATGGGGAGAAAAGAGAAGTAGTCTTTTAAAACAATGCTGCTGACTCAGCCCTCCAAATAAAAACATCAATGATACTGGTACGACGAAATAGAGTCTAGCTTAACAGAACTCTAAAGGTATAAATGAAGTTGACCTTTAAAAGAAAACAAGTAAAATAAGAAGAAAGTCAAAGAACCTTAACAAGCACCAAGTATCTTCTTTTAAACCGTGACAAATATGTTCCCAAGAGATGATTCATCAACATGAGACTACCAACAGAAGTTCCCAGCCAGTACCTAATGTTCTGGATAAACCCACAGGATTACACTGAGAAGTGAGTAGAAGGAATTTACTGCCTATGGCTTCTTCACCCCTGGCCCAAAATAGTAGTTTCACATAATTTTAAAGGAACCTTAATATTCTCTTTAAGTTAAATTTTAAATTCATAAAACTTCCTATCGTATTTCTTTAGAATTTCATAGAATTCTTCTATCAATCTATTCGCAAGTGAAATATCACAAAGTCACTTTTAATTTTGCATTTCCCGTCAGGAAATAAATAAGTTGAGGATATTGAACATCTTTTTTTGCCTAGTTATGAAATTAAAGCACAGGGTGTAATCTTAGCTGCTGCTCTTTCATTATTTGGGAACTCTGTTCTTGGAAACAGCTAGCCTTTTGTGCCAGGGGTCATATTCCCAATTATTTCATAGAATAATTTGACACCACACTTAGCCAGGGATAATTTCTTACAGTCGTGATTCGATCAGATGATAATTCACTGAATTAGCCTAATTAGACTTACCTCACTTTGTCCTTTGGCTTTGAACAGAGGTGATTAGAGTAATACACATTCACTTATGATTTTTTAAACCCACCAAGTTAAAAATAGTTTTAAAATAATCTGTTAGCCAGATTATTTTTCTTATTTGGTAAGCAGACAGAAACATTTAAAAACATAATCTGTTAACCAGAGAAAAACTTCTTTTTTGATTACAAATACAGTTTACATTGTTGAGCAATGGAGATTAAAATGTGACTGGAGATTATTGAAATCTTAACTGCAATTTAATTTTGATAATTAAATCCAAGCCACGGATGACTTTTTTATATTCAGGAAATATAAAAAAAAAGAGCTTGGATGATCTTCTTGTGCCAAAAAGTAAGAAAGCAGCAGAAAAAGAATAAAAGAAAACAAAATGATACAAGTGAGGTATGTCAAATACACATAGAAGACAATTAAAAGAGATCCTAATGGCCAAAGCTGACACAATTTGAAGAACAGAATAGACAACGATATATTAGGTCAGAAAATAAATATCCATGAGTCTATAGTGATAGAATAAAAATAAATAAATAAATGGAAGAGAATAAACAAATCTTGTCTGTAGAAAAATTCTAAATAATTTTAACATCTCTAATAATGCAGATATACTCCCACTCAAAGATGTGGAACATAACTCCCTACACCTCCAGTCTTTATGTGTAGGCTGTATATAGAGTGACTTCTTTCCACAGTTCAATATGAAAAGAGGGGAAAGAAGAATTAACTTCACAATGGAAAATTTTAACATGGTCTGCCTCGTCTAGCTAGTGCATGTCAAGCTTATCTCTGTGGTCTTCCTTCCCCAAATCCATAGCCCCAGTGGAATCATTAAAAAAAAAAAGAATCAACAAATTGAGGGACATTCTTACCAGTGTCCTAGTAAAATGTCTTACCAGTACTCCTCAAAACTGTCAAGCCATCAAAAATAAGGAAAATCTGAGAAAAAAATCAGACCCAAGAGGAGCCGAAGGAGACAAGAAAACTAAATATAATGTGGTATCCAGAATGGTATCTTGGAAGAGAAGAAGGACATTAACTAAAATCTAAGAAAATCTGAATGAAGAACAACTTTTAGTGAATAATTATGCCTTAATATTGATTCATTATGTGTGACAAATGTATCATACAATATAAGATGTTAAAAACAGAAGAAATTGAGTGTAGGGTACAAGGAACCTCTATAATATCCTTGAAGCTTTTCTATAAAAGTATTCTGAAATAAAAAAGTGTGTTTCTTTTTAAAAGCAAAATGTCATGTTTAATTTTAAATACATCTTGAATGGGATACTTATATGCTGCAGCATAGTCATCAAATATAATACATTTTGAAAGAAGATTCCACATACTTTTCAGATGCATCAGCCTTAACCACAGGGTGGATAAAGAATAATGATGGGACAGATATCTCCAGAAGGTTGTTAACACCGCAAAACATTTCCTCAAGAAATCTGCAGTTTGATCATTCACAGCTCACTAGAACTTCAGATCTTATGATAATACAGGCTGCCTATTAATTTAGTAATAAAAGCAAATCTCCTGCAAATCTTAATCTTGGACCATCTTTTCATCATCACTGTGCCTTCTCAGTAAATGGGCCATTTAGTTATTTGCCCACTCCCTTGTGTCTTCAACACAGTTGAATACAAATCCAGTCACCAATTCTATTAGCATGACAGAATCAGAATCAGCATTTCAACATTTATTTGTACGATCAAAGCCTTAAATTGGAAGAACTGCAGGTTCCATATGAAACTAATATCCCCTTGAAGGAGCTGCTGGAAAGATCTGATCCAATTATAACAGAAGTCAAATCCCCAGGTTTTCACAGTAGCTAGGTTGTCATTCAGATAGAGGAGCCAAATACAACCCTCTTGCCTTGGCAATACCATCACTTGGATGCCTGTCATTTGCTTTGAGACAGGATGGACTATTGAACTTCTTGAAGATTTTGGGACTGCACTTACAAAATAGTTTTAGTAGCACTTATGAGTATTGGGACTACAAAAATGATTCTGTATTTAAAACTGGAAAGCAATTTTATTTAACTGTGAACAACGCATATTCCAGATGTTTTTTATAATGTTGAATAAGTCACGCAAACATAAAGGCAGTCTATATATTTACCAGTCTTATTCATTATTATTTTGAATGCAATGGGAAAGTGAAAAATCATTACTCATCACAGACCAGTCAGTCATTTGCAATGATTCCCAATGATGGGAGGAATGAGAGAATGCCTTTCTGGAGAGCAGATTGTATGTCATTAGCTGGAGTGGGCAGGGGAAATGTGTATACACACACACACACACACACACATATATACACACACACACACATTTTATATAAATTCTGTAACATTTTCTGTTGATGGGACTATGCATAAAACAAAGTGAAAAGTAATTGTTGGTTTCAAACCATTAAGAAACATTGTGTGAAGATTCAGATATTGCATTTAGACATAGGTGCACCGTTTTCCAGTTTCAGTTCTTTCACTGTCCTAATTTTTATTTGTAGAAATATACTTTTCCTTGTGGGTTCTCCTCTGTGACCAAAACTAATTGTTACTTTTCTATCTTTGGATGTAAATTATGTGCCCTAATTTCTCTACTTTTCTTTATTGTTATTATACTTTAAGTTCTGGGGTACATGTGCAGAACGTGCAGGTTTGTTACATAGGTATACATGTACCATGGTGGTTTGCTGCACCCATCAACCTGTCATCTATATTATATATTTCTTCTAATGCTATCCCTCCCCAAGTCCCCCATCTCCTGACAGGCCCCAGTGTGTGATGCCCCCCGCCACTCCGTGTCCATGTGTTCTCATTGTTCAACTCCCACTTATGAGTGAGAACATGCGGTGTTTGGTTTTCTGTTCTTGTGTTAGTTTGCTGAGAATGTGTTAGTTTTTGTGTTAGTTTGCTGGTCTCGAACTCCTGACCTCAGGTGATCCGCCCACCTCAGCCTCCCAAGTGCTGGGATTACAGGTGTGAGCCACTGCACCCTGCCGTGTGTTTAGTTTTTTAATAACGGCCATCCTAACTGGTGTGAGATGGTATCTCACTGTGATTTTGATTTGCATTTCTCTGATGATTAGTGATGATGAACTTTTTAAAATATTTTTTGACCACTTATATGTCTTCTTTAAAGAAGTGTCTGTTCATGTCTTTTGCCCATTTTTTAATGCATTTCTTTGGGGTTTTGCTAGTTGATTTAAGTTCCTTATAGATTTTGGATATTAGGTCTTTGTCTGATGCATAGTTTGTGAATATTTTCTCCCATTTTATACATTTTCTGTTTATTGATAATTTCTTTTGCTGTTAAGAAGCTCTTTAGTTTAATTAGATCCCACTTGTCAATTTTGGCTTTTAAGGACTTAATCAAGAATGGCATTTCCTAGGTTTTCTTCCAGGACTTTTATAGTTTGAGGTCTTACATTCAAATCTTTAATCCATCTTGAGTTAATTTTGCATATGGTAAAAGGTGGGGGTCAAGTTTTATTCTTCTGCATATAGATAGCCAGTTACCACAGCACTGATATATTCCCTATATTGAATAGGGAATCCTTTCCTTATAGCTTGTTTTTGTTCAGCTTTGTTGTAGATCAGTTGTTCATAGGTGTGTGGCTTTATTTCTGTGTTCTTTATCTTGTTCCATTGGTTTGTGTGTCTTTTTTTACACCAGGACTATGTAGTTTTGGCTACTGCAGCCTCATAGGATAGTTTGAAGTTAGGTAGTGTGTTGCCTTCAGCTTTGCTCTTTTTGCTTAGGATTATTTTAACTATTTGGGCTCTTTTTCGGTTCCACATGAATTTTAGAATAGTTTTTTTCTAGTTATGTAAAAAATGACACTAGTAGTTTGGTAGGAATAGAGCTGAATCTGTAAATTGCTTTGGGCAGTATGGCCATTTTAATAATGTTGATTCTTCCAATCCATGAGCATGGAATATTCTTCCATTTATTTGTGTAATCTCTGATTTCCTTCAGCAGTGTTTTGTAGTTCTCCTTGTAGGGATCTTTCACCCTCTTGGTTAGCTGTATTCCTAGGTATTTTGTGTGTGTATAAGGGAGGTAATTGTAAATGGGATTTATTCTTGATTTGACCCTCAGCCTGAACGTTATTGGTATATAGAAATGCTACTGATTTTTGTACATTGATTTTGTATCCTGAAACTTTACTGAAGTAATTTATCTGTTCTAGAAGCCTTCTGGTGGAGTCTTTAGGGTTTTCTAGGTATAGAATCATATCATCATTGAAGAGAGCTAGTTTGACTTACTTTCCTATTTGAATGTCTTTTGTCATTAATTTATTAATTTAGGCTCTGAAATATGGTTATTTTAAGCAAACGTCCCTGATGTATATAGTTTTAAGCCCCTAAATTATTATTCCTTTGATTTAGAAATGATTACAGAACAGAATTTTTTCCATATATACAACATTCATTCCTCAGTTAATTTCTCATTACTTCAAGGAGCATGAATTGCCTATTCTATTTAAGGCACTATAAGGTACAAAAGATTAATAAAATTCAGACTCATTCCTTAAGTAGCTGAGAATCTGCTGGCAGAGTCAGAAAAAAAAAACAATAAAAATCAAATAAACAAAAAACAGTGTGATAAATAGCAGTGTGCTAGTAACACTAAATGCTCTATTCTCTATGAGAAGGTGGAATCCCTGGTTTGTGGTGTTTGCCAATTTCCATGGTATAAATATTCCCACTGTGGTCAATTTCAAGACACCAGTGTGGTATCACTGAATATGGAGTTGAGAAGAGATGCATATAATTGGCTCTTACCAGCTGGTTTCAGCACACCACTGAATTAGAAAAGAGATATGCCTTAACACTACAGGTACGCAGCATAGGTGGTCAGAAGAGAGACATTTGACTCTATGTGTTAGGTCAGGAAAAGATGGCAGAATAGGGAATCTTTGTGTTGATATTTAAAAGACAAGTAGGCGTCAGTCAAGTGGGCAAAGCAGAGAAGAGTATTGCAGGCAGAGGAACTAGCATGTGCAAAGCAAGGAGGGATGACTTCTTTTAGAACAGAAACCAGCAAAGATTTTCTTAAAGGGCCAGAGGGTATAATAGTAGGCTGTGAGAGCGAAGAGGAAAATTCTGGATATTATGCAGGGACTCATATAACTATAAAATATTACCATTTGAAAAATGTAACAAACAGTTTGAGGGCTATAAAAACAGGCAGCTGACTAGATTTGGCCCAAGGATTGTAGCTTGCCTGACCTCTGTTCTAGAAGAAGATACAGACTACAGGCAAATCACACTAAAGCCTCCCTTCTGCAGAGTTGGTGTGTTTTTCTCATTCTCTTAAGATATAACAGAGCCAACAAGTCCACTCACAGACTTCTGGAAATAGCATTTTATTTGGCTTGACCTCACACTTCCTGATCCAGCAGCACTAAGGAGTGTTAGTGAGCAACATCAAGTGAGTAAAATTCCCCTCATTCACTTTATGTACCAAAATACACATTGCTGCACATTGGATGCTATGATATCCCCACCAAGTCAGGGAGGAGAATGGAGTTCAGAAATTATTTCAATGCCAATGCTTACAGACGAACTTAAGCCATCATTCTTACATAAAGTGCAGTAATAGGAATACTCAGATTCTTCAACAGGATTAACTTAGCGTGAAAACAGTTAAGTGTTTGGTACGATATTAGAAAAGAGACATTCATTGACATTAATCTTTCTGTGACAGTCTCGGAAGATAATCTTTTCCTGGTTTTAGCTTTTAAAAAAATATACAAAAGCTTTACATGTATTACATTCTTAAAGGATCTGATTGCTTCTCTTTATAACAAAAGCATCTTGTGGTGCCAGGAAATAAGGATGTACTCAGAAAAGGATAGGCTTATGTCAAAAGGGCACAGGAGCCAAGCTAAAATCTTCCCCAATGGCCAAAACTGGAATTATCTGGGCAAAAGTAACTGCAATATTACTGGATTATAACTATTATATAACATAAATACCTCACATAAATAAATATCCAAAGCTAACCATAATTCAACCAATAAACAAATGAAATAGAAGAGATAGTTAATTCTTACAGAAGAATTCCAATTATAACTGTAGAAGGGATAAGACCATTGTAATGATCACCATTAGAAGACAATGACAATTACTGCAAGCAAATTCTACCAATGGATGCTAACATTAGTGAGCAAAAGCTTGAGGAAAAACAGAGTATTTGCATAGTCTCAAGGTATTATCTCAAAGTATAACCTTTGAAATTTAGAAATATCTACTCCTAAGATATTTCTAAATTGCAAAGGAGACACCTGGCAGACAGCTTCTTAACTAAGTTATCAAGATTAACATTGCTAGAAGTAAGTCATATCAATATTTTGTACCCCTTCATATGATATTCTGATTGAAGTAATTACATTACTTATGTGTTACGCTTACCAAAATTTACAACCTCAATCTAATTATTAGTAAAACTCAAAGCCAAATTGAGAAACATTCTACCTTACCAGTAGTCTCCAAATTTGTCAAGCTCATGAAACATAAAGAACAAATGATGAGCTGACACAGATTGAAACAGACTTAGGAAACAAACATGACAATTAAGTGCAATATGGTACCCAGGATTGGATCTTGAAACAAAAGGAGGACACTAGTAAAACAAAAAAACAACCACCACAACAACAAAATTGGCCTATACTGTAAAGTCTGCAGTTTGGTTAATGCATTTTATCAATGCTAATTTCTTGGTTTTGTTAATTTGCTATGGTTAATCAAGGTATTAATAAAGGGAAGTTGGGTGAAGGGTATACCAAAATTCTCTGTACTATCGTTGCAACTGTTCTATAAGTAAAAAAAAAATTTCAAAATCAAAGTTTAAAAAAATAGGGAAAGACTGAATTAACATTTTTCATTTACAGCATATTTTCCCTTCCTGGACCCTGTTTGGGTTTTCACCATTTGTTCTACTTCCTGCAGGTGAGTAAGAGCCATAGCTTAATTACATAGGAGGGTATACTGGACTTGAATCCCTTCTCCAACCTGCTTAAGGTGGAGAGTAGAGACTTTAATGTGCACAACTGTACATCTAGCCTGACTAATTTTATAAAATCCCAGGAATCATCCAGGAAATAAAGTATCATTTTTATCTCCATTTTACTTTCAGTGTTATTGAGGCATTAAAATATAAACTCCATCAGCACAAATTTTTGTCTTTTTTGTTTACTGTCATGTCTTTAGCATCTAACATATTTCATAGCATATGGTATGCATTCAATAAATATTTTGAAAGAAATGAATGAAGGAATCTTAAAATGACTAAGCAACTTACCCACACAGCTAGAAAACAGAAAGTTGGGTTTTTACCTAGAAACGTCTGATCTCAGAAGACAAACTCTTACCCACTGTACTAGACAACATAGGTCTGAAGATTCTGAAACAGTGGGAATAGACAATACATTTTTGTGGTGACTGCTCATTTATACTAGTCAATTCATAAAAGACATGAGAACCAGGAAATCTAATGAGACCGTTAGTCTGACTTCTGCAAAATTTGTTTTCTCTCCGTTTGCTCAAGCAATTAAAAAATGGACAAGATATTTCTTAGCAAACCATGACTGCAAGTAAGAATGATACAAAAACACTTTCCTAGAAATGGCATACAAAGTACCACAGTGGTACGGCTTCCACTTTAAACAGTAGGAGTACATTGCTGATGGTTTGGCTAAGTTTAATTCACCTTCCATGGAGTAGTTTGCGGAATTTTCCCCAAGTATTTGGCTGAGTTTATTTGAATTTCTCTCAAAGTTAAACTTGAATAATATTTTCATTTCTTTACCACAGAACGTGACAATTAATTTAAATCACATCTCATATTTTAACATTGTAGCACCTTTGGGACTAGACATTTTATTTCTGTGTTACTTTGGAAAAGAGTCTATTGCAAATTGAAGGCCTGGCTAATGTAGTTGAAAGACCTCTGGAGTGAAAGTCAGAATAGAGTTCTAGGTCTGGCTCTACTATTAACTACTTGTGTGACTTCTAGCAAGCAATTCAAAATATATCTGAGACTCAGTTTCCGCATCTCTAAAAAGGGAAAATTATTTCTTGGCCATTTTACACAAATCTGTTTTTAAAATTAAATGATAAAATAGGCCAGGCACAATGGCTCATGCCTGTGATCCCAGCACTTTGGGAGGCCAAGGCAGGCTGATCACTTGAGGCCAGGAATTTGAGAAAGGCCTGGCCAGTATGGTGAAACCCCACCTCTACTAAATATACAAAAATTAGCTGAAGGTGGCAGCACATACCTGTAGTCCCAGCTACTCAGGAGGCTGAGATGGGAGAATTACCTGAGCCTGGGAGTCAGAGGTTACAGTGAGCCAAGATCGTGCCACTGCACTCCAGCCTGGGCGACAAAGTGAGACTATGTCTCAAAAATGTAAAAAAATAAATAAATAAAGATAAAATATATGTGGCTATGTTTTATAAATTTGAAAGCATTATATCCAAGGCTGTTTTTTTTTAAAGTAAGAACTCAGAAAAGTAGCATATTCATAAAATGAACTGTAAGTACTTTTATAAAACATCTTTTATGTTTGTAACCTATGAGTGATTTATTTTATATAGGTTTTCTAGTTTTTTCTACTCAAATTCATTCTATGTTAAATTTTTATCATTAGTATTTACAATATATGAATTTTCCAAAATTTTACATAATCCTGTAGTCAATAACTTTTTTCTCAATAACTTTTACTTTGAAATCCTAGGACAATATTTTTAACTAGAAGCACGTTTTTCTTTTTTTTTTTTAAAAAAAGGATATAGTCTTTTAAGTTTACATGAAAGGCTATCTCTTAAAAAACAAAGGACCTACTTAAAGACTTAAAGATTAACCTCCAGATAATCATTTAACTATTTTAGCCATCCCTCAAATTTATTGAACACTAAGAACACAATTCTGAACCTCCATTAATTAGAAAAGAGAGAGAGAGAATAAAACAAACCAAACTTGGTATTATTTACATCAGTCATTCACCTGAATTGATTCAACCTTTAAAAAGTGGTCCACTGGTAACTATAGTCACCATGTTGCACATTAGCCCTCCAGAAGTTATTCATCTTGCATAAATGAAACTTCGTATCCTTTGACCAGCATCTTCCCATTTTCCCTAGCTCACAGACCTTGGTAGCTACCATTCTGCTCTGTGCTGCATTGTATACATGAGGTTTACTAGAAGGACAGACCTTAAATATTTTTACCAAAAACCTTGAAAGTGGTGATCATTTCACAGCCTATATATAGGTATATATAAATATCAAGTTATTATATATGTAATATATATCATTTAAATGATATATATCATTTAAATATATATTTATATTTATATATATCATTTAAATATATAATACATGATTAAATGATATATACCATTTAAATGATGTATAATACCTCTTAAATATAGATCATTTCTATTTGTTCATTACACCCCAATGAAGCTGAAAAGTGTGATTTATTAGTAAGTATTATAAAGATAAGACTATATTGGATGTCACGAATTCAAACACCACTGGGGACAGGCAATGTGAATGAGTCAAGCAGGCAGAACAGGGAACTACAGTGAGGACTGGGGACCCAGTGGCAAAAGGGGGCCACTTAATTCTAACTGATTGCTGCCTCTCAGTAATGCACACAAAACTCAGCCTTTAAAGATATGTGATCCTTCAAAACAAATTGAGAATCTGATTTTCAGTGAAATCTTCAGTCTTTAAAAGTTACAAATGAGTCAAATTTTTATAAAATTGCATGGGACAAATAAAATAGTCCTCAGAGTTCACTAGTTTGGTAATTCTGTTCGTTTTTTCATCACTATCAATCCATTGCCTTAGTTTATGAATAAGTTCTTTAGATAGACATGTGTCTCCACTTAAGAACCTCTGATATGAAAGCAATAATATTGGAATCCAGCATCACTGGTATTAGAAAAGGAGATTTTACAAAGTGACTCACCTTAGGAAAGTAAATAAGTAGCGTGTTATTGAGAGGTGAAGCCAGATGGACTTCCTGGGTCGAGTGGGGACTTGGAGAATTTTCTGCCTAGCTAGAGGACTGTCAACGCACCAATCAGTGCTCTGTGTCTAGCTAAAGGATTGTAAATGCACCAATCAGCACTCTGTAAAAATGCACAAATCAGCACTCTGTGTCTAGCTAAAGGAATGTAAATGCACCAATCAGCACCCTGTAAAAATGCACCAATCAGCACTCTGTGTCTAGCTAAAGGATTGTAAATGCACCAATCAGTGCTCTGTAAAAATGCACCAATCAGTGCTCTGTGTCTAAAGGATTCTAAACGTACCAATCAGCGCTCTGTAAAAACGCACCAATCAGCTCTCTGTGTCTAGCTACAGGATTGTAAATGCACCAATCAGCACTCTGTAAAATGGACAAATCAGCACTCTGTAAAATGGATCAATCAGCAGGACACGGGTGGAGACAAATAAGGGAACAAAAGCTGGCCACCCCAGTCAGCAGCAGCAACCCCCTTGGGTCCCCTTCCATGCTGTGGAAGCTTTGTTCTTTCTCTCTTCACAATAAATCTTGCTGCTGCTCACTCTTTGGGTCCACACCACATTTAAGAGCTGTAACACTCACCGTGAGGGTCTGCGGCTTCATTCCTGAGGTCAGCAAAACCACGAACCCACCAGGAGGAACAAACAACTCCAGACATGCCACCCTTAAGAGCTGTAACACTCACTGCAAAAGTCTGCAGCTTCACTCCTAAAGTCAGCGAGACCATGAACCCACCAGAAGGAAGAAACTCCAGACACATCTGAACATCTGAAGGAACAAACTCCGGACACACCATCTTTAAGAACTGTAACACTCACTGTGAGGGTCTGCAGCTTCATTCTTGAAGTCGGTGAGACCAAGAACCCACCGGAAGGAACCAATTCTGGACATACTATTTTGCTACATTTAAAATAAAATTAAGCACAGCAATGCAACAATAATATACAATCCTTCTACCTCAGATGTCTCCAACCCCCTGGCCACAGACCACTGCCAGTGACCTGTTAGGAACGAGGCCACACAGCAGGAGGTGAGCAGTGATGAACCAACAAAGCTTTGTCTGTATTTATTTACAGTCACTCCCCATCATGCAGATTACTGTCTCAGCTCTGCCTCCTGTCAGATCAGCAAAGGCATTAGATTCTTTTGGGAGGGGGTACCCTATTGTGAACTGCATATGTAAGGAATCTAGGTTATATGCTCCTTATGAGAATCTAATGCCTGAAGACCTGCCACTGTCTCCCATCACTCCCAGATGGGACTGCCTAGTTGCAGGAGAACAAGCTCAGGCTACCACTGATTCTACATTATGGTGAGTTGTATAATTATTTCATTATTTATTAAAATGTAATAATAGATTCATGGGCAAGATAGCCAAATAGGAACAGCTCTGGCCTGCAGCTCCCAGCGAGATCAACACAGAAGGCAGGTGATTTCTGCATTTCCAACTGAGATACCCGGCTCATCTCATTGGGACTGCTTAGACAATGGGTGCAGCCCACAGAGGGTGAGCAGAAGCAGGGTGGGGTGTTGCCTCACCCGGGGAAGTGCAAGTGGTCAGGGAAATCCATCCCCTAGCCAAGGGAAGCCATGAAGGATTGTGCCATGAGGAATGGTGCATTCTGGCCCAGATACTACACTTTTCCCATGGTCTTCACAACTCACAGACCAGGAGATTCCCTCAGGTACCTACACCACCAGGGCCCTGGGTTTCAAGCACAAAACTGGGTGGCCATTTGGGCAGACACAGAGCTAGCTGCAGGAGTGTTTTTTTCATACCCCAGTGGTACCTGGAATTCCAGAGAAACAGAACTGTTTACCCCCCTGGAAATGGTGCACTAAAGCCAGGAAGCCAAGTGATCTAGCTCAGCAAATCCTGCCCCCACAGAGCCCAGCAAGCTAAGATCCACTGGCTTGAAGTTCTAGCTGCCAGCACAGCAGTCCAAAGTCGACCTGGGATGCTCAAGCTTGGTGGGTGGAGAGGTGTCCACTATTATTACTGAGGCTTTAGTAGGTGGTTTTCTCCTCACATTGTAAACAAAGCCACTGGGAAGTTTAAACTGGGCGGAGCCCACCTCAACTCATCAAAGCTGCTGTAGCCAGACTGCCTCTCTAGATTCCTCTGCTCTTGGCAGGGCATCTCTGAAGGGCGGCAGCGTCAGTCAGGGGCTTATAGATAAACCCCCATATCCCTGGGACAGAGCACCTGGGTGAAGGGGCGGCTGTGGGTGCAGCTTCAGCAGACTTAAACATTCCTGCCTGCTGGCTCTGAAGAGCAGCAGATCTCCCACAGCACTCGAGCTCTGCTAAGAGACAGACTGCCTCCTTAAGTGGGTCCCTAACCCTGTGCCTCCTGATGAGAAGACACCTCCCAGCAGGGGTCGACAGACACCTCATACAGGAGAGCTCTGGCTGGCATCTGGCAGGTGCCCCTCTGGGATGAAGCTTCCCGAGGAAGGAGTAGGCAGCTATCTTTGCTGTTCTGCAGCCTCCACTAGTGATACCCAGGCAAACAGAGTCTGCAGTGGACCTCCAGCAAACTCCAACAGACCTGTAGCAGAGAGGCATGACTGTTACAAGGAAAACTAACAAAAATGAATAGCATTAACATCAACAAGAAGGAAATCCACACAAAAACCCCATCCAAAGATTACCAACATCAAAGACCAAAGGTAGATAAATCCGCGAAGATGAGAAAAAAAGAACGCAAAAAAGCTGAAAATTCCAAAAACCAGAACACCTCTTCTTCTCCAAAGGATCATAATTCCTCACCAGCAAGGGACCAAAGCTGGATGGAGAATGAGTTTGACGAACTGGCAGAAGTAGGCTTCAGAAGGTGGGTAATAACAAACTCCTCTGAGCTAAAGGAGCATGTTCTAACCCAATGCAAGGAAGCTAAGAACCTTGATAAAAGGTTAGTGGAATTGCTAACTAGAATAACCAGTTTTGAGAAGAACACAAATGACCTGATGGAACTGAAATGCAGAGCATGAGAACTTCATGAAGGATACACAAGTATCAATAGCTGAATCGATCAAGTGGAAAAAAGGATATCAGAGATTGAAGGTGAACTCAATAAAAGAAAGCATGAAGACAAAATTAGAGAAAAAAGAATGAAAAGGAATGAACAAACCCTCCAAGAAACATGGGACTATGTGAAAAGACCAAACCTGTATTTGATTGGTATACCTGAAAGTGACAGGGAGAATGGAACCAAGTTGGAAAACACTATTCAGGATATTATCCAGGAGAACTTCCCCAACCTAGTAAGGCAGGCCAACATTCAAATTCAGGAAATACAGAAAATACCACAAAGATACTCCTCGAGAAGAGCAACCCCCAAGACATATAACTGTCAGATTCACCAAGGTGGAAATGAAGGGAAAAATGTTAAGGGGAGCCAGAGAGAAAGGTCGGGTTACCCACAAAGGGAAGCTCATCAGACTAACAGCAGATCTCTCTGCAGAAACCCTACAAGCCAGAAGACAGTGGGGGCCAATATTCAACAAACTTAAAAGAATTTTCAACCCAGAATTTCATATCTACCAAACTAAGCTTCATAAGTGAAGGAGAAATGAAATCCTTTACAGATAAGCAAATGCTGAGAGGTTTTATCACCACCAGGCCTGTCTTACAAGAGCCCCTGAAGGAAGCACTAAATATGGTATGGAAAAACTGGTACCAGCCACTGCAAAAACATACCAAATTGTAAAGACCATCGACACTATGAAGAAAACGCATGAACTAATGGGCAAAATAACCAGCTAGCATCATAATGACAGGATCAAATTCACATAATAATATTAACCTTAAATGTAAATGGGCTAAGTGCCCTCAATTAAAAGACACAGACTGGCAAACTGGATAAAGAGTCAAGACCCATTGGTGTGCTGTATTCAGGAGATACATCTCACGCGCAAAGACACACATAGTCTCAAAATAAAGGTATAGAGAAATATTTACCAAGCAAATAGAAAGAATAAAAAAAAGCAGGGGTTGCAATCTTAGTTTCTGATAAAACAGACTTTAAACCAACAAATATCAAAAAAGACAAAGGGCATTACACAATGGTAAAGGGATCAGTGCAACAAGAAGAACTATCCTAAATATATATGCATCCAATACAGAAGCACCAATATTCATAAAGCAAGAGACCTATAAAGAGACTTAGACTCCTACACAATAATAATGGGAGACTTTAACATCCCACTGTCAATATTAGAAAGATCAATGAGACAGAAAATTAACAAGGATATTCAGGACTTGAACTTACCGCTGGACCAAGCAGTACTAATAGACATCTACAGAACTCTCCACCCCAAATTAACAGAATATACATTCTTCTCAGCACCACATCACACTTATTCTAAAATTGACCACATAATTGGAAGTAAAACACTCCTCAGCAAATGCAAAAGAATGGAGATCATAAACAATCTCTCAGACCACAGTGCAATCAAATTAGAACTCAGGATTAAGAAACTAACTCGAAACTGCACAACTACATGGAAACTGAACAACCTGCTCCTGAATGACTACTGGGAAAATAATGAAATTAAGGCAGAAATAATTAACTTCTTTGAAACCAATGAGAACAAAGACACAATGTACCAGAATCTCTCTAGGAAACAGCTAAAGCAGTGTTTAGAGGAAAAGTTATAGCACTAATGCCCACAGGAGAAAGTGGGAAAGATAAAAAATCAACACCCTAACATGACAATTAAAACAGCTACAGAAGCAAGAGCAAACCAATTCAAAGGCTAGCAGAAGATGAGAAATAACTATGATCAGAGCAGAACTGAAGGAGATAGAGACAAGAAAAACCCTTCAAAAAAATCAATGAATCCAGGAGCTGGTGTTCTGAAAAGATTAACAAAATAGATGAACCACTAGCGAGACTAATAGAGAAGAAAAGAGAGAAAAATCAAATAGACACAATAAAAAATGATAAAGGTGATAACACCACTGATCCCACAGAAATGCAAACTACCATCAGAGAATACTGTAAACACCTCTATGCAAATGAACTAGAAAATCTAGAAGAAATTGATAAATTCCTGGACACATACTTCCTCCCAAGACTAAACCAGGAATAAGTCAAATCCCTGAATAGACTAATAAAAAGTTCCAAAATTGAGGCCATAATAAATAGCCTACCAACCAAAAAAAGCCCAGGACCAAATGGATTCACAGCTAAATTCTACCAGAAGTACAAAGAGGAGCTGGTACCATTCCTTCTGAAACTATTCCAAACAACAGAAAAAGAGGGACTCCTCCCTAACTCATTTTAGAGGCCAGCATCATCCTGATACCAAAACCTGGCAGAGATACAACAAAAAAAGAAAATCTTAGACCAATATCCCTGATGAACATCGATGCAAAAATCCTCAATAAAATACTGGCAAACCAAATCCAGCAGCACATCAAAAAGCTTATCCACCACCATCAAGTTGGCTTCATACCTGGGATGCAAGGCTGATTCAGCATACACAAATCAATAAATACAATCGATCACATAAACAGAACCAATGCCAAAAACCACATGATTATCTCAATAGATGCAGAAAAGGCCTTTGACAAAATTCAACACCCTTCATGCTAAAAACTCTCAATAAACTACGTATTAATGGAACGTATCTTGAAATAATAAGAGCTATTTATTACAAACCCACAGCCAATATCATACTGAATGGGCAAAAGCTGGAAGCATTCCCTTTAAAAACCAGTACAAGACAAGTATGTCCTTGCTCACCACTCCTATTCAATATAATATTGGAATTTCTGTCCAGGGCAATCAGGCAAGAGAAAGAAATAAATGATATTCACATAGGAAGAGAGGAAGGCAAATTGTCTCTGTTTGCAGATGACATGATTGTATATTTAGAAAATCCCATCGTCTCAGCCCAAAATCTCCTTAAGCTGATAAGCAACTTCAGCAGAGTCTCAAGATACAAAATCAATGTGCAAAAATCACAAGCATTCCTATACACCAATAATAGCCAAGTCATGAGTGAACTCCCATTCACAACTGCTACAAAGAGAAGAAAATACCTAGGAATACAACGTACAAGGGATGTGAAGGACCTCTTCAAGGAGAACTACAAACCACTGCCAAAGGAAATAAGAGAGGACACAAACAAATGGAAAAACATTCCATGCTCATGGATAGGAAGAATCAATTTTGTGAAAATGGCCATACTCGCCAAAGTAATTTATAGATTCAATGCTATACTCAGCAAGCTACCATTGACTTTCTTCACAGAACTAGAAAAAAACCACCTTAAATTTCATATGGAAGCAAAAAAGAGCCTGTATAGTCAAGACAATCCTAAGCAAACAGAACAAAGCTGGAGGCATCACGCTACCTTACTTCAAACTATATTACAAGGCTACAGTAACCAAAACGGCATGGTACTGGTACCAAAACAGATATATAGACCAATGGAATAGAACAGAGGCCTCAGAAATAACACCACACGTCTACAACCATCTGATCTTTGACAAACCTGACAAAAACGAGCAATGGGGAAAGGATTCCCTATTTAATAAATGGTGTTGGGAAAACTGGCTAGCCATATGCAGAAAATTGAAACTGGATCCCTTCCTTACACCTTATACAAAAATTAACTCAAGATGGATTAAAGACTTAAACATAAGACCTAAACCACAAAAACCCTAGAAGAAAACCTAGGCAATACCATTCAGAACATAGGCATGGACAAAGACTTCATGGCTAAAACAGCAAAAGCAATAGCAACAAAAGCCAAAATTGACAAATGGGATCTAATTAAACTAAAGAGCTTCTGCACAGCAAAAGGAACTATCATCAGAGTAAACAGGCAACCTATAGAATGGGAGAAAATTTTTGCAATATATCTATCCGACAAAGGGCTAATATCCAGAATCTACAAAGAACATATAAATTTACAAGAAAAAAACAACCCCATCAAAAAGTGGGCAAAGGATATGAACAGATACTTTTCGAAAGAAGACATTTATGCAGCCAACAAACATATGAAAAAATGCTCATCATCAATGGTCATTAGAGAAATGCAAATCAAAACCACAATAAGATACCATCTCACACCAGTTAGAATGGCCATCATTAAAAAGTCAAAAAACAATAGATGCTGGAGAGGATGTGGAGAAATAGGAACACTTTTATACTGTTGATGGGCATGTAAATTAGTTCAACCATCGTGGAAGACAATGTGGTGATTTTAGAACCAGAAATACCATTTGACCCAGCAATCCCATTACTGGGTATATACCCAAAGGATTATAAATCATTCTACTATAAAGACACATGCACATGTATGTTTCTTGCAGTGCTATTCACAATAGCAAAAGCTTCAAAGCAACCCAAATGTCCATCAATGATAGACTGGATAAAGAAAATGTGGCACATGTACACCATGGAATACTATGCAGCCATAAAAAAAGATGAGTTCCTGTCCTTTGCAGGGACATGGATGAAGCTGGAAACCATCATTCTCAGCAAACTAACACAGGAACAGAAAACCAAACACCACATGTTCTCACTCATAAGTGACAGTTGAACAACGAGAACACATGGACACAGGAAGGGGAACATCACACACCAGGGCCTGTCAGGGGTTGGGGGTCTAGAGGAAGGATAGTATTAGGAGAAATACCTAATGTAGATCACGGGTTGATGGGCGCAGCAAACCACCATGGCATATGTATACCTATGTAACAAACCTGCACATTCTGCACATGTATCCCAGAACTTAAAGTATAATTTAAAAAAAGAAAAAAATAGTAATAATAATAAAGTACACAATAAGCATAATGCACTTGAACCATCCTGAAACCATCACCCCCTACCTCCAAAACCGGGTCTCTGAAAATAACTGTCTTCCATGAAACTCATCCCTGGTGCCAAAAAGGTTGGGGACCACTGTTCTACATTATAAACGCCCCCATGCCTTCCTTTCTCTACACCCAGAGGCTCTGAGAATTTAATTCTATTAGCTGAACAGTAAATTAAAGGTAAGAGAATAAACCTCACACTGGTAAATCTCTATGACATCCTGCCCACTGCAGAAGTTTCTCAAATCTCATTGATTCATATAACTCGTTTTGACTGAATATAAAAGATAAATAGCTGTGTCTTTTGACTTCTGTTTAACGCAGCTTCAATATAGTACCTGTCCATCCAATAGAGAGAACTGTAATGGTGATTATCTAAGCCAAGTGACACTGCCGTTTCCCACATATTTTCACCCCAATTTCTGAGAGCTCTCCCAAGATTTCCAGTCTCAAAAATATGGCACCTCTTTTCAAACCTCTCCGTTTAAGTCTCCTCCCTCCCCTACCTTTACACCGTCTCTGGGACTTCATTACATTTTCCTTCACCAGCCACTCACCAGATGCATTATCCCAGCCCTCTGAGAAATGAAAAGTGAAAAGTGGTTCTTTTCGAAACTAGATAGAGAAACTTCTGTCTTAATATTTTTCTGAAGCTTGCTTTTATTTTCCAAATGATCTGGGTTTGGCAAAATCCTTTTCCTTAAGTAATAGACAAAAACATGACATTCCAAAAGGGAAATGGCAAACCTAAACAATACCGTGAAGATTAAACACTCGACCCTTTTTGTTCAGCCCAAATAATCTTCCCCAAAATGGAGACCCTCTTGCACTTCTTCGATAGCTAGTATAATAGGATATGCATTGCTGTCACTTAAATTGGGGTTTTATTTTATTCCTTCTCTTCTTACATAGACTTGTAGATGACAAGTAAAAATCTTCATTTATGTCTAGAGCCCAAGGCTCTTAGAGCAGAACTTAAACCCAGAGTGAAGAAGTCAAATAATGTTTTCAGCCTTGTGGTTAGATACCACTATTATCCTCATTTTAGAGAAAGTAACTGAGACACAGCATGGCTAACTAATTTGAACAAGATTCCACAATTTTAAATTTTGAATCTGGAATTAAAATCTTGGTTCTCTTTTTCCAGAGCCTTTGACCTTAACCCTGTGCTATGTGGCCTCTCCACTACTCTATTTTTATATCCCTTTATGAAGTATCTGATTCTGGGAATGTATTTCCATTTTGAATTTGAAACAAGCCATTGCTATTGGTCTGAGACCCAAAGTCTCTATAACTTTACATTGCATATATAGCTCTCTAGTTCTGATCTTAAGACTGAGAATCTTAGATTTTGATGTTCATTACAGTGATGAGCATTTTAAAAAAAATCCTTTCGGACAAATTCTTAAGAACAAAGCTCCTATTAAAAGATTCTTTATTCTAAAATAAATATCAGAAGGGAAAGTTCATATTGAAATTATTAGAATACTTCATAAAGCAAAAGAAGAAAAAGATGCTGAGGGAAGAGAGAGCCCTCAAAAATACCCTCTGAGCCATTTTAGTGAGTTTTCTAAACATATTGTACCAACCTTAGTTATCCATCCTCTCCAGCCTCAGGCTGGGGCAACTTCTGAGGATGGTGGAACATGTCCTGTTACTCCTCGGGGCTCTTGTTCTCTGCCAATGGGACCCTGGTAACTTAATGGAGAGAATGCACTGCCGTTGGGGATGTGTCTCATGCCCCTGTAACATCAAAGAAGGTCTTCTCAGGCACTGTCAAAGCTTGTTTTCCTGCTCTATTTTTAGTAGCAGTCAATATATAGAATCTGAACATTTAGGCCTATTGGGGCTTCATGGCCTGTCATCATAACTAGTAATGACAACAGAACTCAGTGAGGATCTGTATCTCTGCTCTTTCAGGTTGAGACTTGCCCATCTCATATTCCTGTCGTGTTGTACAGTCTTAGTCCTCTCTATGAAAAGCAGGTCCCTGAGAAACACTAAAGTTGTACCTTAAAATCTGTCAAGACGCTTTCATGTTTCTCTCCCCCTTTCTGGCAACTCCTTTCACCTTTGAAGGATCCCGGCGATTCAGAATTTCTTTGAAAAGCAGGAATTTCTTGAAAGTAAGGTTCAACTCAAGATGAAGAAGTGAAAATAAGTACTGTCAAAAGCGATTATCAAGGGTTTCACACCCAGAACAGAAAGTAAGCAGGTACCAATGCCTACAGACGCTGATGGATTTACAGCATTTACAGTAGACGGTTAATGAGGTCATCCAGAGTCAAAGAGCAAAATCTTGCCGTTATTACCTCGGGGTCCTTAAGCAGGCCCTCAGCCATAACTGTGAGTACCATGTCTTCTCAGGTACATATGTTCCAATTATCTCCATAGCCTTTAAGCGAGTAGCTTCAACAAGTCCATTCTATAACACTGTTCCCTAAGCAGGACAGAGCATTCTGAACCAGCCCCTGTCCCTAAGTTTCCCTCTGCACATCAGCAGAAAAATATTACTGATTTGAGCTGCTCTGTTCTTATGGAAGGCACGGCTTCCTCTGGTTCTCTATGTTATTTGTGCCCAAACACAACCCAGCAAATGATACTACACGACTTTGCTCCTGTCTTAGTTCAGAATGGGCATGGCCCTTGGGCCAAGATGAGATGGGAGGCACATTTTCAGGTCTAGAGTCTGTGATGGCCTCTCACATCTCTGAATGTGCCTTGCTTATTCTGTCCTTCCTTTTTCAAACACCATGAACTTCCCTCTTTCCAAGCACCAGCTCCAGGCCCATTCATGTGGTCTCTTTGAGAGGATGCTGTGCCCACCCCTACTCTCCTGCCTCTGCTAGTGATACATGTCAAGGACTTCCAGGTACCTAGATGGGCTCCCTGGACCTTAAGTTCCTCATATTCATCTTCATAGCCATGTAATGTTTCTCTCCCACCAGATCCCCACCTCCAGCAGCCATGGTCAACCTCCTGGGACTCTTCCCCAGAAGTAGATTCCCCATAGAATTGCTCCTAAATTGATGTGAGAGACAATAGAAAGAAGCAGTTCTATATCCTCATGACTCTTGCTCATTTATGCTTTCCTCAATGGCATATGATGCACTGGGCTCACTGTAACAAAGGAAAAAAAAAAAAAAGAACTAAATCAGTTAACCAGGTAGATGACCCTCACCTTTTTCTGTTTTGTGCCTGGGGCTGGGACCCATAAATAAAAAAGGGAAGGGAGGGTGTGGTAGATACAAAATGCAAACCCCTGATGTAAGTGGATAGTTATATAATACTTCGAGGAAAAAAATTAGTTTCTGTTATTTTCATTTACTATAAATTTGTATTGTACAATAAAACCTTGTCTAATCAAATTCATGTTAAGAATGATTGGGTTTTGTACATTAATTGCTGTCATGAAAATAGTATTTCTAACACAGTTAAGAAATTTTGGAATCAAATTCCCATTGTAATTGTCTTTACCTGATGAGTTGATTTACAAACTCTTTATAAATCATTCTATGCTAAACTTAAGGCAAGCCCTTGTTGAAAGTATCACAGACTATCAATTTATAAGATTTTACTGTGTTCCTAAGTCCTATTTCCCATCTCTAAGTATTTTCCCTTATGAAACCGAACAGTTTGATGGCCTCTTTGATATTAACCTGTGACATTTTCAGAAAAAAAAAATTCCTCATTCCATTTTTACTGCCTTAAGGAGATACAATCCAATTTTACTTTTTGCCTTCCTAACAATACACAGAGAAATCTTAAAAGTTCTATCAAGAAAATGTTTACTGCATATTTCCAATTCAAATGGAAATAGCTTTCACTTTTGATCTTGTAGGAAAAGCTAGCTAAGTGATGAAGTACAATACTTTCTTTGTGTTACACTAGGCTGCATGACTGTTACAGAATATGTTTGAGCATTTGAGCTAAGAGACCAGAAGAGGCTTTCCAGCCACATGTTTAAAAGAACAGGCAGCAGAAAACGGCTTAAGTCAATTATAACCTTCCTTTCAGAACCATCTTGTGGGACGGATACTACTATTATCCAGATACTTGTATCTAACAGTCAGCCAATTCTCCTCTTAACTGGCTATGTTTTTGAAATCCACTTACTCTTGAGACTGACCATAAAATCAACACACTGACAAAGCAACAGTTTTAAATTCCAAACATGCACAAAACCCAGAACTGTAATTACCTCAACTCTAAGCCCAGTGGGAAACTGAAGCATGTCGCCTCCTGTGTTTTATTCAGTGCTGGGGACCTTGTCAGTCCTTCACGAATGCTAAATAAATCCTCAGAACAACAATCCTCCAATCTAAGGGCCAGTGAGACAGGGAGAGATTTATCCTGAAAGGCAATGCACATCCTAGACTCCATGCTCACTTTGTGATAAGTTTTGCCATTTTAGCCAGGGGCCACTCAGAGAAGGAAATCAGGACCACCACCCCATGTGAACATGGTCCACCGAAGAACGGCTGGCTCATACAAGCTGCAGGCATGGGGTGCTTATTCTAAGCACAAACTGAGACACAGCTCACTGAAATTTCAGTTGGTTAGATAATTGAAGTCTTATACATTTAAAGCCCAGTTCTAAGGAGAATATTGAAGAAAAGTTAGTTTTTTGTTTTTTGTTTTTTTGGCTTTTTGTTTGTTTTATTTGGTTTTTGTTTTTTTGTTTTTTTTTTGAGACAGTCTTGCACTATCCTCTGGGCTGGAGTACAATGGCGTGATCTCGGCTCACTGCAACCTCCGCCTCCCGGGTTCAAGCGATTCTCCTGCCTCCGCCTCCCAAGTAGCTGGAATTACAGGTGCCTGCCACCACGCCTGGCTAATTTTTTGTATTTTTAGTAGAGACGGGGTTTCACTGTGTTAGCCAGGATGGTCTCGATCTCCTGATCTTGTGATCCACCTGCCTTGGCCACCCAAAGTGCTGGGATTACAGGCGTGAGCCACTGCGCCCGGCCAAAAAGTTAGTTTTTAATAACCCTCTACCACCTCAGAAAGAAGAACTTCTTTAACATTGACTCAAACAGATAGATTGTTTTTAATAGGTCTTTATACTAGGGATGTTCATTATTACCATTATTATTATTAGCAAGACCCAAGGATCCACTCTGTTACCCAGGCTTGAGTGCAGTGGCATGATCTCAGCTCACAGAGACATTATTTTGAATGTTCTGAAGCATACTGGATGTTATTGAGAATAAAAATCCTGTCAAATCCGTACAGCAATAATCAAACAAGCCAGTGGGACTTTTTGTAACTGAATAATGTCAGGTAAGTGATTATTCACAGAGATGTATTTTATGAATTTTTTTCAACAAATAACAAATAAGTATCAATTTTCTACCATTCACTGAGCACTATGCTAAAGGCACTATGTATCCTATGGGAAACAAAAGAGAAAAAATGGCTCCTATTCCTGGTGGAGTTTCCAGGGTAGTAGGGAAGGCAGACATTATCAAACAAAATGTTAGGGAATTATTCATTAACAAATGATTCCTCAAGGTCTTAAAAAGCCTGTGTGTTAAAAAGTTGTATTCAGGGCGAGATGTGCTTTCCTGGGTGTTATATCAATCGATCAGGGATAGAGAGGAGGCACAAATTTCTTATAGTGCTGTATTGCCTCTGCCACTAGAAAACCCTGTTCAGACACATGGTGACTTGGTCCCAGAAGTAAAGGCATAGTCTCCTTATCATCACCCTCTTAATTAAAACTTAGCATCCAGTGGAAACTCTACTGATGTAAGTTACTAAGGTGAAAAAACACATGGCAGTTATGGCAGCATGAACTATACACATTGGCCTCCAGGGCAGGCTTTAATTGTGAACAAGAGGCTGGATTTTATTTACAAGAACACTTTACCTCTGCCACAGGACCAAAGGAACAGAAAGCAACTACCAACTGTTTCCTAACAGTCTGTCCAGAAAGCATGCTTATAAACTGAGCACTGATCTTCTGATTATGGATCTACTTGCAGAAGTAAATTTTCAAATGGATTCATTGTGATAGGTACAGTTTTTAGTGATCTCAGTTAAAAGACAGGTATGAGTTTGAGTAGCTCTGAGACATAGACTACTAATTTGAGGTGACGCCTACATTTTCTCTATGGTAGCTTCCATAAAAGGAAAAGATGCATTCTTCACTCACTACAATTCTGTAGCCATGTATGAATTTGAATCATAATTTTGTCATTATATACCTATTTTGAGACAGGACAATAAAAAACAATTCTGTGTTCAAAAGTAGCAGGTCTTATTTTGGATATAATACTGGAATTTTAGTTAATTAGATTTAAAACTGCAATTTCAGTAAATAATAATGTGCAACTTTTTGGTGTGGTTATGAATATGGATGTTTACATGTGGGTATATGTGAGTAAACATTAATAGATATTAAGTTGGTATATGGTGAGAAAAATCAATTGTCTCATAGTTTTGCATAATAAATTCTGTGGTAACTGTTCCTATCATTAAACAAGTAGAGGAATATGCTACATAATAAACTGAGTGTTATCATTTTCTAAAGTAACTCACACAGAGTTTTTTGATTCATTGCAGATTCTGAATTATTGAGAAAAAATGGCAGTTAATTAACCATAACACCTATGCTGGAACACCTTGGGGGAAGGAAGGGGACTATGAAATTAGCACTTTGCAACTGAGTTAAATACATCATTTTAGTTCAATAGAATTGACTATCATAAGCCAAACTCAGGTTATAATGAATTAATTTCTTTTATATGCAAAAATGTATTTATTTAATTCATTAATGCACTCTTTTATTGATTTTGTTCCTAAACAAGGTCTACTGCCAAAAATTGAGTCAGAAGTGGGTCTTTCCAAAATAGTTTTAAAATAAACTAGAACATGCAATAGCCCTTTCTTTCTGCGGTTGTAAAATGGTTTTCCATTGTATTCTAGTCAGTGATGTAATATTGTAACTAGTTTTACCCTTCACCTCCAGGGGAATATTCAGTTCTTGAAAGAGAAAGAAAATAATGTCTTATAACATTTAATGTATAGATGAAACATTATGTACTTGAAAATATTTTCTGTGCCTTGATCTTAAACCACCATAATGTATTAGAACAAATAGCAGGTTATGAATTACTTAATATAACTTCTCACATTTATGAGAAATTCTGCTATAGATTCAACAACTGTAATTCGGAGCCATGTATGCACCCAGTTCTCTATGTATTCATTCAACAGATATTTATGGAGAGTATACAATGTATATTAACACCATGACAGTTTCTGGGGGATGTAGAGCTACGTTAAGGCAGGCCTGATTTAGGTACCTACATACATTTTTCATTTCTCTCCAGAAAAAACTTGAGTCACTATCATTTTCTGAGCTCTGTAGTTAAGTGGTTAAAATTGGAAGATAAGGCATGTACACCCCTCCTCAATGTGGAAAATGGAAAGGGAGAGTAAGTTCCAGAATTTGTTTCTATCATCCTCTAGGGTGGAAAAATGACAGATTATATAATAAGTGTAAATTAAGTAACTTTAATTGAACAATCATTGAAATAACATTTTAATCAAGCCATTATTTTATATGTGTGTGCACACACACACACACACATAAATATTTCAAAATTCTTCCTAAATAATGCCAAGTTATAGAACCCTCACCACAATCTAGTTTTAGAACATTTCCATGGCCCCAAAAAGATCCTTGTGCCTGTTTACAGTTAATTACTGTTCCCACCCACAGCTCCAGGCAATCACTAATTTACTTTCTGTTTCTCTAAATTTGACTTTACTAGACATTACGTATGAATGGAATAATACTACAATATGTAGTCTTTCTGTGTCTCGTCGAGCCATTCTTTCAAAACATAGCTTTTAAGTTCTTATTAAATTAGATTATTTACCAATTCACTCATGTACCTTATAACTCTAGGAACTCATTAGGCATAATTGGAAAGCTCAAGGCCTCAAGTATACATGTTAAGAAACAAAACAATCCAGGCAGATCTTTTGTTTGGATGACCAATTCATGGAAACCAGATATAGACACAGTTGTTATTGTTGTGTATACTTATAAGGTGATACATTGTCTCAGCAATTTTCTTAGTGATGAGCAATGAAGTATATATTTTACAACCAAAGTTATTGTTGACTGCAGTCCCAGAGTCTCATTAGGTTATATGTTTGAATATAATTTAAGAAGGAAAATCTGAAAATCTTGATATTTTAATGAAATTTAGTGCATGATTTTACATACCAATAATATGCTGACAGATAGAACTATATTGGATTGGAATAAAATGTAAGTATGATGATCAGAGAAAAATGATGGTATTAGGGAAATAGATTCATCAATTGTACATACTATTTTTTCAAACTACTTTCATTTTGGCTATATGTTTTTTGGGGGTGATAATACAATTTATTTTAAAATTTTTTCCAATTTTTTTCCAACTTTTATTTTAGGTTCAGGGGGTACATGTGCAGGTTTATTACAAAGGTAAATTGTGTGTCGCTAGGGTTTGGTGTACAAATGATTTAATCACCCAGGTAGTGAGTACAGTACCTGATAGGTAGTTTTTAGATCCTCATCCTCCTTGCTCCCTTCACCCTCAAGTAACCCCCAATGTCTATTGTTCTCCTCTTTGTGTTCATATGTACTCAATTTTTAGCTCCCAATTATAAGTGAGAACATGTGATATTTGGTCTTCTGTTCCTGCATTAATTTGCTTAGGATAATGGCCTACAGCTGCATCTATGTTGCTGCTAAGGAGATGATTTCATTCTTTTTGACGGCTGCATAGTATTCCATTGTATATCCATGGTGTATATGTACCACATTTTTTAATCCAGTCCACAATTCATGGCCATCTAGGTTGATTCCATGTCTTAGCTATTGTGAAAAGTGCTGCAATGAACATATGTGTGCATGTTTCTTTATTGTTGAATGATATGTATTCCTTTAGATATATGCCCAGTAATGGAATTGCTGAGTCAAACGGTAGTTCTAAGTTCCTTGAGAAATCTCTAAACTTTTTTCCACAGTGGCTAAACTAATTTACATTCTCACCGGCAGTGTATAAATGTTTCCTTTTCTCTGCAGCCTCACCAATGTCTGTTATTATTTGACATTTTAATAAGAGCCATTCTGACTGGTATGAGATGGTGGTTTTGACTTGCATTTTTCCAATGATTAGTGATGTTGAGCATTTTTTCATGTGCTTGTTGGCCATGTGTATGTCTTCCTTTGAGACGTTTCTGTTCGTGTCCTTTGCCCATTTTTAAATGGAGTAGTGTTTTGCTTATTGCTTTAAGTTCCTTATAGATTCTGGATATTAGATCTTTGTCAGACGCATAGTTTGCAAATATTTTCTCCCATTTTATAGCTTGTCTGTTTACTACATTGATAATTTTTGGTTGTTTTTACTTTTATTTATTTATTTTTATTTTTTGCTCTGTAGAAGCTCTTTAATTAGGTATGTGTTAGTCTGTTTTCACACTGTTATAAAGATACTACTGGAGACTGGGTAATTTATAAACAAAGGAGGTTTAATTGATTCACAGCTCCATATGCCTAGGGAGGCCTCAGGAAACTTATAATTATGGCCAAAGAGGAAGTAGGCGCCTTCCTCACAAGGCATCATGAGACAGAGAGAGAGAGCGCATGTGAAAGACGAACAGTCAAAAACTTATAAAGCCATCAGATCTCATGAGAACTCACTTACTATTATGAGAACAGCATGGGGGAAACTGCTCCCATAATCCAATCATCTCCCACCAGGTCCCTCCCTCAACATGTGGAGATTATGGGGATTACACTTCCAGATGAGATTTGGGTGGAGACACAGAGCCAAACCATATCATTATACACCTGGTTGCTCCCAAATCACGTGTTCTTTTTACATTTCAAAACCAATCATGCCTTCCCAATAGTTCCCCAAAATCTTAACTCATTTCAGCATTAACTCAAAAGTTCAAGTTCAAAGTCTCGTCTGAGACAAGTCCCTTTGCCTGTAAGCCTGTAAAATCAAAAGTAAGTTAGTTACTTCCAAGATACAATGGGGGTACAGGCATTGGATAAATGCTCCCATTCCAAATGGGAGAAATGGAGAAATTGGCCAAAACAAAGGGGTTACAGGCCCCATGCAAGTGTCCCTCTTGTCAATTTTTGTTTTTGTTGCAATCGCTCATGGAATAGGTTAGGGGATCAGAAATAAAGCCACACACCTACAGTTGCATGAGAAGATCACATCTGCTCCTCTACAAAGTTGACAATAACAAGCAATGGGGAAAGTACTCCTATCAATAAATGGTGCAAGAATAACTGGCTAGCCATATGCAGAAGATGGAAACTCGACCCCTTCCTTTCACTACATATAAAAATCAACTCAAGATAAAAGGAGACAAATGCAAATCCTGAAACTGTAAAAACTCTAAAAGAAAACCTAGGAAATACCATTTTGGACGTACACCTTGGCAAAGATTTCATGACAAAGCCCACATCTTTGAGGTAAATCACTGAACACACTAATGGAAGCAAGAGAAAACAAAGCCTTTTTTCTCTTACCTTTTCTTGTAGGAAAGTAATTAAAACTCTACAAG
Source organism: Homo sapiens (assembly GCF_000001405.40). Lineage (NCBI taxonomy): Eukaryota > Metazoa > Chordata > Mammalia > Primates > Hominidae > Homo > Homo sapiens. The sequence continues at coordinate 19,531,645 of NC_000007.14, read as the reverse complement.
GTTTTTATTGGTAATATAGCCTGAAGAGTAGCAAGAGAGATTAGTGTAACTAGATGATTTTTAATCACGTAAATCACTAGATACAGAAAGTTAGTATAAATAAGGAATTAAGTGCCATTAAAATAAAAATTTGAAATTAATAAAAAGACTACTAGAGAAAACAAAACAGGCTCTACACACTTAATGCTATAAGAAGAGCTTGGAGAAGTTTCTTCCAGAGCAATTACTGCTTTTGAAGAAGTTAGGAGAGTTTAATGAGTTGGACAAATTTGTGACTACTAGTGGTATCTGTAGCAGTAAAGATAACAATGAGGAAAAAGAAATCACAAATTAATTGATTGTGTCCAAATGACCAGAGAAGTCATTTGTTGCAAAAACCATAGAAAAACACAGGCAAAAACTCTAGTAAAGTTCTCAGCAGACGTAGTTTTGTAATACACCCGAGTAAATTCCTCAGGGTAGTTTTAGTTAAAAACTAAAAACAAAACAAAACACTTTTGACCTAATTCAGTTCTTACAGATGACTTTTAATTCAGATGTGGTTTCCCTAGGTGCTCCCAGTAAGGGAGGTTGTCTTTATCACTAACTGCTGCTGGACACTGCTGACGTCAACCTAGGATAGAGCTGACCCAGTGCTTCTCTGGTTCTTAGGGGATCTTAATAATTCACCTCTAAACTTTCAACTATCCTAGAAGTAGTATTTATCCAAGTTGGGAAACTAGAGAACTTCTTTGATTGATCTGATTTACAAAGCCAAATTCATTCTATGTAAACATATATACATTTTCACAAAAGCATATGCCCTCCAGTTTAGAGGGGAGAGGGGGTCTCTTTGAAACAGACCACTTCAGTTGATCTCTTGTTTGGTAAAGAAATGAAGTACAGTACACTTCGAAGAATGATATAGTCACATCTTACCCTTATACATCATCTATCTTACCCTCAAACACATGATGAAAAACCGTATTTCAAGCCTCCCCATTCTTATATACAGAAAATATAAGAAAGTGAAATATTAGAGTTCATAAGAAGAACAAAATGACATTCAATCATTATTCAATTGGTTTGTCTATGTGGTTATGCATGAATACATAGAAAAAAATATTCAACCAAATGTTGATTCCATAAAGAAAGTCAAACTTAATCCCTTATTCCCCCAGGAGTGGCTAAATTTCTTAAGTTGTTCCTCCAAACTAGTGATACAATGCAGCTGGGAAAGCAAGAGCAAATCCCAGGCTTGCTCCCAAAACTGCAGATATCTGGTAACCTTAAATTTAGAAATAAAGCTACATCAAAACTTATCAGCCAACAAGAAGCTCATTTAAATATCACAGACTTTGAAGTTTCTGTCTCTCAGGTCTAACTCCCAGAAAGGCAGATGCTAATTTGGAAGGGTTGTGAAATTACTCTGAAAAAAATAAACAAACAAAAAAACAACCAGCTGTGGTCTTTCACAGCCTTCCTCTCAGCTGACTTACCCACCATTTCAAACATCAGACTTTTCAGAAGCTTTGGTCCATATTCTATAAGCCATTTTATGAAAATATATTTTTACAAAACATTTTCTAGCTTCCATCACAAATGTGTGGAAATAGATAGAGTTGAGTCAATCTGTAAGATCTCCTGCAGTTACTAACAATTCTCACAGCACATCAACCTTTCCCAGTGACCGGTAGGTTTTGCCTCATTTATCTTTGATTTTTTTTTCCTCTGTCATCAAAAAAGTTTAGAAATAAAGGCATTCTTACAAAATATTGGGGAGCTGGACAGAGGCTGTTCTCCTAAATAGCTATTTTCATTGGGATTTTGTTTACAATTCACAAATAATAGGTTAAAAATTACTAGGTTTGAGTTTTTAATAATTATTATAAAAATAATGGTAATATAACCACATCAGAGGAAAAAGTTTGGAAAGGAGAAAAGGAAAAATATCCATAAAATGCTGCCCCAAAATAGCAGCTACCATGATTTTGGAGTATTACTCCCTATCTTTGTCAGATGCATATTTTTAAATAGCTGTATAGTGTGCACAAAATTTTTACCCTGTTTTTTTGTTCCCTAACATTAGTTCATAAGCCTTTTTTCATGTCAATATATAATAATAACCATCACTTTAATGGTTGAGTAATATACATGTGGTTGATGTATCATAATTTAAACAATCACTTGGTATGCTGGGAGCGGTGGCTCACGCCTGTAATCCCAGCACTTGGGGAGGCCAGGGCCAGTAGATCACCTGAGGTCAGGAGTTCGAAACCAGCCTGGCCGAGATGGAGAAACCCCGTCTCTACTAAGTACGCAAAAAATTAGCCAGGCATGGTGGCGGGTGCCTGTAATCCTAGCTACTGGGGAGGCTGAGCAGGAGAATCGTTTGAACTTGGGAGGTGGAGGTTGCAGTGAGCTGAGATCACACCACTGCACTCCAGCCTGGGTGACAGAGTAAGACTGCCTCAAAACAAACAAACAAACAAACAAACAAAAACAACCATTTGGTTATCACTGAATGCTTTTGTGTTTTCAGTTTTTGGCTGTTACAGATATCACTAAACAACAGGGTTACCTTCTGAGAAATGTATTGTCAGGTGATCTTGTCATTGTGCAAACATCATAGTGTACTTACACAAACCTAGATGGGAGAGCCTACTACACCTAGAATATACGGTATAGGCTATTGCTCCTAGGGTACAAAGCTGTACAGCCCATTACTGTACTAAATATATGGGCAATTGCAACCCAATGGTAAGTATTTGTGTATCTAAACATAGAAAAGTTTACAGTAAAAATACCATATAATTTTATATTTAAGTCTTTATTCCATCTTGAGTTAATTTTTGTATATGGTGTAAGGAAAGGGTCCAGTTTTAATTTCTGCATATGGCTACCCAGTTATCCCAGCACCATTTATTGAATAGGGAGTTTCAATATTCATTATTGCCCATTGCTTCTTTTTGTCAGGTTTCTCAAAAATAAGACTGCACATGGTCTTATTTCTGGGTTCTCTATTCTGTTTCATTGGTCTATGTGTCTGTTTTTGTGCCATTACCATTCCTATTTTGGTTACTGTAGCCCTGTAGCATAGTTTGAAGTCAGGTAGCATGATGCCTCTAGCTTTTTTCTTTTTGCTTAGGATTGCCTTGGCTATTCAGGCTCTTTTTGGTTTCATATGAATTTTTAAATGTTTTTTTTCTAGTTGGAGGCCATTATCCTTAGCAAACTAACACAGGAACTGAAAACCAAATACTGCATGTTCTCACTTATAAATGGGAGCTAAATGATGAGAACACATGGACACATAGAGGGGAATAACACACACTGAGGCCTTTCAGAGGGTAGAGGGTGGAAATAGGGAAAGGATCAGGGAAAAAAAACTAATGGGTACTAGGCTTAGTACTTGAGTGATGAAATAATCTTACAATAAACCCTCATGACATAAGTTTAGCTATGTAACAAACTGCACCTGTATTGTTCAACTTACAAGTTAAAAAAAAGCCATATAATAATTTTACAGGACAACCATCATATATGTAGTCAGTCATTGACTGAAACTTCATTATGCACAGAGTAACTATAGTGCTTTTCTAAAAGTCTTTGTTATTTTCTTGTGATAGACAGCCAGATACCAGACTAATGGATTATGGTATTGGTTGTATAGATACATTGTAAAATTAGTTCCTCAAATATCATGCTCCTTGTTAATACCATGAAGAGTGTATGAAGTCACCAACTTCAGTTGCATTTTGTTATTTATCTATTTCTGTAATTTCACACTTTGTAAATTACTAATGAGATAGAATTTAAATTTTTATTATTTCCCATTTTGTGTGAATAGACCAGAACCCTTTTCTTTGTTATTTTATGAACACAATGCAAACCAATTTATTATTCTATTTTGGTTAAGTTACTAGATGACTGAATATCATATGACAATAATAAAGACTTTTTCTAGATTACACATTAAAATAATTAGTCATTTTGTTCTTTTATACCAGGTCATGATCTTTTCATAAGTAACCTCTTAATTTGAGGCTCACAAAAGATATTAGCTAAAAAAAACAAAACAAAACAAAATAAAATACATTGGTTTAAAATCCCAGGATCATGCCATGGATATACTGTGGACCATATAGACACTCTACAAATGAACTACACTAGGGACCAAAAAACCCTCATTCAGTTAAGGTCATCACAATACTGATATCTAAAAGATGGAGTGTGTTCAAATGGAAGTTTATATTCAAATTATTAACTAATATTTGCCTTTCTACCTGTATTTCAGTTATACATAAGGTTCAGTTTGAAATAAAGGTATAAAACATTGGCTTATCTGAACATAAATGATAACCCAGTGCTTTTGGAGAAATGTCATTATCATAACCACATAGTGAATCATATCCCATGGAAATTCATAAGAAAGAAATTATAGAATTTCAATAGTGTGACAAAAGTTCAAGTGAAATGTTAAAGGGTATTGTATAACCTTCTTCATAAATTTTAATTTGCTCATTATTCTCTTTGAAAAATATACATAATTGATAATAAATGAAGTAACCAGGTTATTAGACTTTGGCCTAAGAAACTGGAGCCACAATATAATGTGTATTCACAGCGGCCACTTTTCCAAAACTGAAATGCTAAACAAGTCTAAAAAAATATCCAGCCTAAATGAGCAGTTGGTAAAGCAATCAGCCTTTCACACTGGAACAAGCAACAAACATATGCAATGACCTTAGCGTTTCTCTTTTGATTTATAGCACCTTGGAAAGCAGCTTAACAAGGTGACACAGAACTTCCAGAGCAGTTGCAGTCAATTTATTGTCTAAGTTGTTAAAGACGTTAATTAGATTAGGAATTTGCTGAGGCCTTTTATTCCTTGTAGAAAGAAGAGTGTTTCTAGTGTTTCTCTTTGAAATTCAGCTTTGTGGCATAAAAATACAGGAAAGAAGAAATCCTACACTCAAGGAAATTGTAGGGTCCCATTGAATGCCATAAAATTGTAAAAATTCCAATAATAACATTTAGAAAAGAGCCAAGAAAGTACCAGACCTGTTTTTAAAAATAATATACTCCAGTGATTCCTGAGCTGTTTGATGTACATAAGACAAAAAGTGGGCACATCATGGATGGTATATCTAGGAGGCCTGGGCTTACGGAATGGAAATTATATCAGGGAGCAAATCCAAGCATGCACTGAGACAAAACAAAGAGTTTCCAGAAAAACAACAGGCAGGGCTTTTTAGTCCAGTGCAATGAGCATCACTCTGTATGTCATTTTAGCACTCTGGACAAATGTTTTAATAGTGAGTTGTTGCATAGGCATTGGAAAGGTCATTAGATACTTTGCTTTTAACACAATTCCTTTGCAGTAGTCCATTGTGGGAACATGTTTTGCCTTAAATTAAACACAAGAAAACATAAAACAGTCCAGTAAATTACCTATTCATCTATAAAAAGCGTGAATAGAAAATTTTCTCAGAAATGTAACTGCAAGCATTAAAAAGCAAGACTGCTATTCAATTAATGGGGTAAGTAGAATATTAGGATAATTATTCTAATGTTCTAGTAATATTGGTAAAGATTAAGTTGTAATGATTGATCCATTGTTGAAGGCAATTTTTCTAAAATTATTTTAGAAATGTAGATATGCTGACAAATGCAGGGTAATTATTCACAATAGCATTCAGGAAGAAAATGCATAAGGTAATAGCAAAGTTAAGTATTTTAAGCATATATGATCTAGGCAAGGTCACCTTAGGAAAGAAAAGCTGCTGCATGGTCCAAGGAACCTGAATAGGCTGGATACTTAGTCAAAGACTTGAGTCCTTCACATAAAGTCCTTTTATTCTAACTTAAACAGTAACTAATATTTCAGGGAAAGGGCTTCAGATTTTGTGAACTAGCTTTTTAGCATGCCTAGCAGACAGTCTTTGGTCATTTAAGAAGATGAGGGTGAGCACCTTGCACTGTGTGATCTTCAATTTTCTACCCTCCTCCTCCTCCAAGACTGATCAGGGGAAGAGGTGGGGGTAAAGCTTAGAATCAAGTCAATTACCAAGAGGTTCTGAGGACTGGGAAAGGCCTAAAGCTACCTTCGGCCATGACTCTTTTAAAATAGTCAGAATCTATTTAAATAACTCCACAGTGGTGGCCCCTTTTAAGTAAAGCTAAAAAGTTTTTCCAGTAATTCCACCCAATGTATGGTGTTATAGACAAAATTTGTTTCTCCCAAATTCATATATTAAAGCTCTAACACCAATGTGATTCTATTTGGAAATGGGGCCTCTAAGGAAGTAATCAAGATTCAATCAGGTCATAAGAGTGGGGCTTTGATCTGATAGGATTAGTGACCTTATAAGAAAAGACAACTAGCCTGGGCACAGGGGCTCATGCCTGTAATCCCAGCACTTTGGGAAGCCAAGGCGGGTGGATCACCTGAGCTAACGAGTTCAAGACCAGACTGGTGAAACCCCGGGGGTCTCTACTAAAAATACAAAAATTAGCCTGCATGGTGACACATGCCTGTAATCCCAGCTACTCGGGAGGCTGAGTCAGGAGAATTACTTGAACCCAGGAGCTGGAGGTTGCAGTGAGCTGAGATCGTACCATTGCACCAGCCTGGGCAACAAGAGCAAAAGTACATCTCAAAAAAAAAAAAAAAAAAAAAGAAAAGAAAAGAAAAGAAAAGAAAAGAAAGAAAGAAGAAAAGAAAAGAAAGGAAAAAGAAAAGACAACTAAGGGATCTCCTCTATGGGCATGAATGGCAGAAAGGCCATCCAAGGACATAGTGAGATGGCAGCTGTCTACAAGCCAGAAAGAGAGCCCTCGCCAGAAATTGAATTGGCTGGCACCTTGATCATGGACTTCTATAGCCTCCAGAATTGTGAGAAAATGCATGCCTGTTGTTTAAGCTATCCAGTCTGTGGTATATTGCTGTTACAGCATCTCGAGCAGACTAATACAGATGGCATGAATGCAGGGCATTGGAAAAATGTGAGAATATTTTTATAGTTTCCTTAAACATTGTGATACTTGTTTGGGGGAATTGTTGGTGAAAATAACAATTTCTTTTTGACTAGTTGTTACTTGGTACATTGGGCATATCTCAGAACAGCTACAATTTTAGACTTAAATTTATGGTGCCATTCATTCTTGTAAAAATTTCTCATCTTTGTGGTATTCCTTTCTGCTTCTTCATTTTCAGGTGTTTGACCTCTAGAACTCAGAAAATCTTCAACTTCTTTACTATTGCCGTGAGTTACTATGCAATAAGACAAAATATTAAATAGATCTTCTTTTCATGCTTGCTGGTAATCTGTAAATATACCTAAAAGGCATCAAGAGATTAACACCGCATTATTTTATATGACTACGCCAACAATTTGCCTCTATAAGATATATATGGTAGAGTGCAATTTTTACAGTGCAATTTTGTAACCTTTCTTATTTCAGTATAAATTAGTATAATCCACAATTTAACATCCAAATATACAGTTACTTTGTCTATGAAATATTTTTTAGATATAAACTAAAAAGCTCAGGTTAAGAGGTAAATACAGCTTCAAATATATGGGGTGTTACCTGAAAAAAACACATATTTAGGAAGTTATTTTCTTTTTATTTATCTAAGCCTAAATTTTTAAATTATAAATTAAAGGTAGTCAGGATGCTGGAAAGAAATTAATTCTGCATCAACACTTTTAAAATTGCATAAGAAATTAAGTAGAGATATTTCTAATTCTAATATCGGTGATAAATTTACAAGGAAACTTGTCAGAAAATGGATAGGCTGGTAAGGGAGATGTGATTATGCACATTATTTAGAATTTTTTAATGAAATAATAAAATGTTTCTTATATGAGAATGTCTGATTATTATCAAAAAGGAAAAATGTCTGAGTCATAAATCTGTCTGTCTATTTATTCACAATCATGAACCACTGTAACTTGTTTGGGTTGTAATGGTTGGAGTACTTTTCATATTTCCCAACTGGAGTTTATGTTCCCTGATGGCAGAAATCACAAATGTATGGTTCTCAGTTTTAGCCAATTATTGTTTTGCTCAGCTCTTCCCTTTCTTTTTTTGGTTAATTCCCTTTGCATTTTCCTCTAGAATTATGCCATTACTTATCTAATCTTAAATCTTCTATTTGTGCTTGCCTCCCTTCACTCTCAGCAGGTATCTTGTTTCCTACTTCACAGAAAAAAAAAAGTAGAAGCCATGAGGCAAGAACTCCCTAAACTTGCTTCTTCTAGTCTTTACTACAAAGATTAATGAAAAAAAAAGGTGAAATTAAATGTACTTCGAGAATACTAATAATCACAATAGTTCAGAATAAGTGTTTATAAAGAAAACTCTTGAAAGACCACCAAGATGAGAACAAATTACATAAAGAAATAGAAAACAACAAAAGATGAAATAATAGAAGACATATCATAAAAGTCCAGGTTACAAAATATAGAGATGCTGAAAAACAATGCAAATAGCTTAGAAACAACAATCCACTGTATGGGCACAAATAACTTTCTTAATCACAAAAAGAGCTGATTTGAGAGCCCTAGAGATTGCCAAAATGTTCAAGCAAAACCAGTGTATTAAGTTCAATTGCATACACACATACACAAATGCCCCCAGAAAAAATTATTAAATTTCAAGATTAAAGAATTTTTCTAGCATCCAGAAGGAAGAAAAGAGGTTACTTTCAAAGAAGTAAAATCTAATCAGTCTCATATTTCTTCTTCATGACAATAAACATTTCACAATGCAATGAAAAATTGTCTTCAAAGATTTGACAGGGGAGAGAATTACACCCTAACGATTTTATTTTATTATAAAACATCCTCAGATTTACAAGGTTTTGGAAAATGAAACAACACAATAGTTTTTTCTTCCAAAGATTTCTATGTGGTCAGATGACTCAAACAAGAACAAGCCCAAGAACTGAGGAGTCACAGTGGAAACAGACTGACACTGAATATGAAAGCGAGCTAAAGATCACAAATAAGGTGAAGGGAGAAAATAAACACTCACTTGAGTCAGAAACGTTCCAGTTTTACAAAACACCACATGGAATTTATCCAGTTTCTTAAGCTCACACTATTAATATAAGATGGAGCTAGTATTTATATCCAGATCTATCAGCTTCCAGAAGGCAAAGGAAATGAAATTACTATTTTTGAGAGGGTGTGTGAACCAATTCCTAAATAACTGTCACCATGCTATCAAAACAGTACAAATGAGAAAACAGAAATGTTGATAGTAATTTAGTATACATATAGATGTATAATTTAGTATGTATATATGTTGCATGTATATACATATATATACACACATATATATAGGATTTGCAGTGCTAGGTTGAATAAATGAAGATAAGCAAAAGAAAAAAAATGCAGGCCAAGAAAATTTATAATCGTTTCTTACAAAATGGGTTTTAAATTATTTTTATTTGTAATTTAATTATATAATTGGGCATTATGTACATTTACCCATAATTATATCATTAAAATAATTAAAATCACAATAAATTTCTGACAAATCAGTGCAAAAGATAAAGGAAGCAGTCTGTATAACAAAAAAGAAAACGAGAAAAAGATGGCAGCCTGAATAACCTATTTGTGACTGAATTTATTGTATTCGTGTATCCTTATTTTACTTGATGTCTCATTTAGAAGTTTGAGCTCTCCTATCTCTTTGGTTGCCCTTTCTCAACTTCCTTTGCCAATTTTGCTTCTTATACCAAATTAAATGTTGAATGTTTTAGTCCATCCAGGCTGCTATAACAAAATACCACAGTCTGGGAGGCTTATAAACAGAAATTTATTTGTCATAGTTCTAGAAGCTGAGAAGACCATGATTAAGGCAGGTTTGATGTTTGGAGAAAGCCCGCTTTCTGGTTTCTAAATAGCACTTTCTTGCTATGCTCTCCCATGATGGAAGAGGCTAGCTAGATCTGTGGTGTCTCTTTCTTAAGGGTGCTAATTCTATTCATGAGAGCTCTATCTTCATGACCTAATTACCGCCCCAAAGTCACACCTCCTAATACCATCACCTTGAGAGTCAGGATTTCAACATACAAATTTTGGGGAAAACAAACATTCTCGCCATAGCTTTTGAGAACATCAAGGCTTGGCCCAAGGCCCTTTTACCTCCTTGACAGTTTTATCTTTAAAAAATTATTCTTTTCCACCTACTGTATCTGTCAATGACCACCAGTTTTATATCTCCTAATATAAATTTATCTACTCAAAATTTATTAAGATTTTCCAGCCCTCTCAAACTCAGTATGATAAAAACTGAACATCTTCTATCCTTACCTCCCCAGATCAGGATTCTCATCCAATGTTTCTAACCTCATTAAAACTCATCACTATACCCCCTCAGCTGCTCAAGTCATAACTTAAGAATGGTCCCGGGCCTCTGTCTCTTCTTCAGCACAATCCCTTTACCCCATCTATTCCAATTAGTCTTACTGATTCTTTTTCCTCTAAATCTAGGTGTATCCATTTAACTCCAAATTGCCAAAACTGTTTTAGTGCAGGTCATGATCGTCAGTCATTCCACGTCATCTAAACCTTTCCAGCTGGTCTCCCTTTGCCCATCTTTATTTCCTTCCAAACCATTCTCTATTAAAGTTGAATTTTTATAAAGGCTAGTATCAGAATGTCATCCTTTTCTTTAAAATTCTCTGTACTTTTAAAATAGAATCACCATATGTCGCCATTTATGCTCATGTCCAGGCATAATTATTAATAGCGCCTCCTGTCTTTCTCAAAAGTATCCCAGCTTATGTGAGAAATAACATATCACTGTTCTTCTGAGGGCTTTCCTGACCTGCACAGCTTCTCTGACTTCCTCTCCAGACTCACGTCATCTACTCCCCACCTTGCCACCTATACTTTCAACATGGCAAACTCTCTCTTTCTCTTCTTTTCTCCCCTACCCATCTTTTCTTTCCTTTTGCCTCTAGCCAGTTACCTATAAACAGATAAGAAACAAAAAGCAAAACCAAAAATTTAATCTTGTTTTTTACTGGATGACTCATACTCACCCTCCATATTTTAGAAAAACAATGTACTTGCTTTAACTTCCCCTAGTCCTTAGACTTAGAATTTCCTGCTATGTCTTTCATAACACATATTACCTCCCTACTATGAACAACAGTTTATTGTATCATAACAATTTATTGTGATTTTTTTCTATAATCCTCAGTGGAATATAAAAGTTATCAAGACTGGGTCATCTTTTTTATCATTTTATCCTCAGTTCTCAGTCACCAACAGTTAATAAATATTCCTAAAAGTCATAAAAATGTTAGTACATTCTTGAAAGTCATAAAAGAATTAAAAGAATACCAGTCATAACAACTTAGACCATCTTTCAAAACTCTTCCTCATACATAAGTAATTTTTTCCCATTGGCTTAGAGCATTTTAACTATAAAGTCTGTATCATTTGAAGGAGAATATTTAAAGAAAAGGCAACACATTATGTGCTTGGAGCATGCCAAAAGTTTTGCTTCTCTCCCATTGGCTATATTTTTATAGTTAAATATCTTCTAAGGTAAATTGCCTTCGTAGCAGATCTCTAAATCTTGAAAGGCTTTAAAAGAAGCCTTCCTATTTTCCTTCTTAGAAAATTGCAGCTGCATAGTGTTGGCAACCAGGCACACTACATTCTTCATCTCTTCCCATTTTCTCTCAAGCAGCTGTGGGTATTTTCTCACAGGACTTCCTTTCATTCCCTTCTCCTTTCATGATCACCCTTCTGAAATTCTGTTGCTGGTAACAATCACAGGCTGCAAGTACTTTGTGGAGATATGTGTACTTGTCCATTGGCAAGGCTTCCGAAGCACATGAGGACCTGCCAAATGTGTAGATTGGGAGGCTAATTATGGCCAGTGGGTAGCTATGAAACCCTTTCTTCCTCTGTGTCTCAATTCAGTCTCTCGTCTGGTTCAGATTTCAGTGTGATATTTCACCCTCCTGCCCCTTCATTCTGTGGCTGGAGTGTTAAGTGTTGATGAGATAATTCTTGGATCAAATCCAAGGAGTGCTTTAAAAATTTAATGTATGTGGGTAATGAATAATGATCTCACACTGTGCATGACCCAGAGTACTTGAGTGTGTCGTGTTACTAAATTACCCTTAGGTAACCATGACTGTGTCTGGGTGGTCACCAGTAGCAAAGGAAGGTGAAGGGTGTCTCTGAGTGTATGTGGTGGAGGTAGATGAGGGCAGAAGGGAGTGGTCTGTCGCATCAGTCTCAACATATTCATACTCTTAATTGGCCTGTCACTTACACAATTTTTATATATCTTTGTGAAAGCATTTGATTTTATAGGTATGTATTTTACTGTTCCTGAAACTACTATAATTTCTATTAAAAGTCTGAAATAGGTTTAGTACTTGTGCGGCTTTCAAAACAAAAAGGTCTATAAAATATCCAATATTTTTCAAGCTTATCCAAATATCTGCAATGTTCATTTGAAAAGGAATTTCATTAATAATTCATTATTTTCTTGAATGGAATGTACATATAAGATGAACTCTTTATGGGAAAGCAATACTGAAAAACAGAGTTAATATAATAGAAAGCTTCCATAACAATAACTGAAGATTTTTCCACCTTCTAAATGGTTCTACAAGTCCAAGGGATTAGGAGAGGCCTGCAGAAAAAATGTAAATGGAAACGTTTTTATACTTTTACAGTGTATACAGAATCCTCAAAATATAAATCACTGAGTCTGATCCCTTTGAGTTTGGGTACACTCCTACATGAAAATTAAAATAGCAAATCTACCCAAGGAAACATTTATGCCTGATACACAGATAGAACTCAAACCTAAGACTCTTGAATATTAACTTAACACACTTGTTAAGTTAACTGAACACACTTGTGTTGTCTACTCTGACATAGGAACTCTTAACAACGATGAATAGGAGACAGTTCTTGTCTGAAAGAACTCACCTTCTCTTGAGGGAGACAGACATAAATAGTGATGTGCCAGTAGGGCATATGTAGGATTAGGCATAAATTTTGAGAATAGGAAGACAGAGGAGATACAACAAAACCAGTCTGGGTGTTCAGGGAAGGTTTCCTGTTAGAGGAAACACATGCATGAGCAAAGACTTAAGAGGTGTAAACAAGACATGGCACATAAGCAATTAGCAGTGATGGGCTGAAGAAAGTAAAAGATAACAGAGGATCTTTCATGACATGAAGAAAAGCTAGGACTTGATTCTGTACTGATTGAGTACCATTGATAGATTTTTTTATTATTATTATGCTTTAAGTTCTAGGGTACATGTGCATAACGTGCAGGTTTGTTACAGAGGTATACATGAGCCAGGTTGGTGTGCTGCACCCATTAACTCGTCATTTACATTAGGTATATCTCCTAATGCTATCCCTCCCCCTTCCCCCCAACCCCACAACAGGCCCCAGTGTGTGATGTTCCCCTTCCTGTGTCCATGTGTTCTCATTGTTCAATTCCCACCTATGAGTGAAAACAAACGGTGTTTGTTTTTCTGTCCCTGAGATAGTTTGCTGAGAATGATGGTTTCCAGCTTCATCTATGTCCCTACAAAGGACACGAACTCATGGTTTTTTATGGCTGCATAGTATTCCATGGTGTATATATGGTACATTTTCTTAATCTAGTCTATCATTGATAGACGTTTAGGTTAGTTCCAAGTCTTTGCTATTGTAAATATTGCTGCAACAAACATACGTGTGCATGTGTCTTCATAGCAGCATGACTTATAATCCTTTGGGTATATACCCAGTAATGGGATGGCTGGGTCAAATGGTATTTCTAGTTCTAGATACTTGAGGAATCGCCACACTGTCTTCCACAATGGTTGAACTAATTTACACTCCCACCAACAGTGTAAAAGTGTTCCTATTTCCCCACATCCTCTCCAGCACCTGTTGTTTCCTGACTTTTTAATGATCACCATTCTAACTGGTGTGAGATGGTATCTCATTGTGGTTTTGATTTGCATTTCTGATGGCCAGTGATGATGAGCATTTTTTCACGTGTCTTGGTTGCATAAATGTCTTCTTTTGAGAAGTGTCTGTTCATATCCTTTGCCCACTTTTTGATGGGGTTGTTTTTTTCTTGTAAATTTTTTTAAGTTCTTTGTAGATTCTGGATATGAGCCCGTTGTCAGATGAGGAGATTGCAAAAATTGTCTCCCATTCTGTAGGCTGCCTGTTCACTCTGATGGTAGTTTCTTTTGCTGTGCAGAAGCTCTTTAGTTTAATTAGATCCCATTTATGAATTTTGGCTTTTGTTGCCATTGCTTTTGGTGTTTTAAACATGAAGTCCTTGCCCATGCCTATGTCCTGAATGGTATTGCCTAGGTTTTCTTATAGGGTTTTTATGGTTTTAGGTCTAACATGATAGATTTTAAGCAGAAGGAGGCGGACTGTGAGGTCGTGTTACAGTCTATCAGCCACCCAAGTAGCACTGAATTAAGAGATTACTGTAATGATCCAGGTGACAGATGATAAGGGCTAGAACGAGGCTGATGATAGCAAGGATGTAGAAGATAGAGAAGACTGAATAAAGACTTCGGGGAAAGAATAGGTAGGACTTGAAATTGGCCATGAGGCTGAGAATGATGGGGAAGTAAGGATGACTCCAAATTGGTGATGTGATGGATAGTAAAAATATGAACTGGGATGGAAGATACCAAAATAGGAGTATACATATTTAGAAGGAGCTACTGAATTCAGGCTTATTCATATTGAGTTTCAGGTGCTTATGGAAATGTCCAGTTAAGAATATAACAAAAATGCTGAGTGAAACTATCCAATAAGTAGTTAGTTTAGTTCATCTGATACAGGCTAGAGAGTTGGGAGTCATGGGCCTATGAGTGACTTCCAAATCTTAAATTATATAGGATCACTAGAGACAGAATTCTGAACTTCAACACATAAGAAACAGATGGAAGAAAAAGAAGCTGAGACTAACATGAAAAGAAAACCATATTGCCACTTTTCTGGGATTACTTCGTAAATACATGGATAAATATGAAGTCAATTACCCAACTTTAGACTTTATTTAAAATATGTTTAATCCACATGTCTCTGTTCTAAAATGTGTAATACAATAGCAAATTACTGGCTTTATAAAGGGTTTTAAGCTCATGTGGAAGTCTGAACTGAGAACACTTTTGATAGAATTACTTGCTGCTACCATTTAAGAGACAGATACCTCACGTTCAAGCAAGTCTGAGTGCATGGATCTAACAGCTCCTGGCTTTAGAAAGAGTTCTCTATGTGTGTAAAAACCTAAGAACTAGTTTGTTTTCCATTAAAAGTTGTGCTTTCTTCTCTTTACAGCAAAGTCCAAAATGAGATTTAGAAGACTACTGCTGTGCGAAGAAGCCAAGTTATCACTAAAATAGATGGAGCAAAAGAATTTAACAATGCTTTCACAGCTGAGTATTTAATCCTGTAGAAAGATGATGGCTCTGATTATAAAGAGATAATGATGCAGAATGTACGAGAAGGGAATTTGAATTTCTAAGAAAAAATGTTTGAGAAGGAGAAAACTGCAAATTCTGTGAGAAACAATGTTTTAAGTGCCTTCTAATAAGGTGTTTCTTAAGATGAGATGGAAAGGACATACTTCCTCCTTATCTAGGTACAGATGTTACTCACTTGTGTAAGACTGAGATATTAATTAAATTTGAGCATGCTAGGTAGAGCAAAGGCCAAGAAGATACCTCACAGATAGCCATAAATTACCCCTAGAATCTGAGCTAGAATCTGAGGTTAGAAATTTTGTCTGTTTTGTTCTCTGATATATCCCACGCACTTAAAACAGTATGATACCTACACCAGGCACTCAATGAATTTTTATTGACTAAGTGGTCAGTTTAACAAAGTCTAAAGTCTTAACTTTATCAGCACATCTAAAGTTTATCCACGTCTTAGGGGTTCACTTCAGCAATTCAAGAGAGAGTGGTATCAAAGAAGAATGATCATTTATTAATTTTGAAGAGAAAAATCATCGTAGGAATAATCAAATGTGCAACATTAACATAAATAACTTTGTGGTCTAGCTAAGTACAAAGCTAAGTCATACCCAGCAAGAAATTTTAAAATTTACAATGAGAAATATAACTTTCCTAGGAATCACAATGTTAATGTGTGTCAGAAGAGCAAATTAAACCCCTGTAAAAATCAAATGGGAAACAACATTAAATGAAAATAAACATGTAATCCTTAAAAGGAAAAAACTTTAAAAGTACAATCTTAGTGGATCCTGATAAGAAAGGCTGTTGTAGTCATCTCAAAACAGGACAGAATACTAAAGTTCAGTGTCTATAATCTCCTTCATTCTGCAACACATATGTTAGCTTTGCCAAGGATACAGAATGCAGAAAGTGCATTTACAAAAGTTTCCCTCAACCATGGGCTTCCTTGAAGAACAGACTTCAGTCTATATGCCTATTCCTTTTAAATTCCTAGCTGAAAAATCTCCAACCACTGCACCGCCCTCTAATAAACCTCTTCTTTGTTTAGATAACTTGATAAATTAAATTATGTAAAAGCAAACTATTAAATCTTTTTCTAATTTTACTTTGCACATTCTACTCTGATTAATTATGTGCTGATCTTACCTTTTAACCTTCAAAACCAATTCCTATTATTCCCAATTATAAAGTTTGGTGGAATACCTCACTAACAAAAATAATTTATTATATGTGTCTATATAATCATATTTTAGTTAGTTCTTTGATATCCATACAAGATAGGTATTGCACAGCCTGATATGTAAAATTCTAAGTAGTTACGAAGTAACAGAAGCATTGGGTGGCCACACAAAGCCAACAACTTCTGAGCAATGGAGAAAGTTTTTTTATTAAAGTACTCATATATTTTGTTTTTGCAAAAAAAATCAAAATGGTCCATTTTACTAGTCTCAGGATTGCTACTCAGTGCAAAGAGAGAGTTCAAAGAGGAAACACTGTTGCATAGCGTGTACTTGAGAATCCCGTAGTTGTGTCATGGCTGGGCATTTATTTGCAAAGGCAGATTGAGAACAATACCAACAATGAAAGCAATAGACAAAGATATGAATTGATGTATGTCTTAACCTGACTGACTGTACAGAGTAATTGACTGCTCTGCAGTTCATTAAAAAATAAAATTATTTCAATAATTAATTCTGAAAGGCAGAACAAATAATTGAATTGTACAAAATGAAGATGATGAAAAGGAAAACAGAATCTATGGCAGCAAGGTAGAAAAATTTCCTTCAGTCAAATCAAATTAAGGGGTTCAGCAAGAGACAAAGATGATTATTGAATTTTTTAATTATGTTCTTATATATTGTTATAAACTTTAGAAGGTTCATTCCACATTCCAACTACTAAAAACTGTAACATCAGCCAAAATATTCAGAAATCTCATTCATAAAGAGAAAAGACAAGATAATTTGGCTAGTTCATTTCCTTTCAAAAATTCAAAATATTACTTGTGAGTGAAATAAAATAATGAGATAAGAATTATGTAACTAACAGCGGGGTAATGTTTTTCCTCATTGCTAGGCCTTGATCTGAGCTATGTGGACACAAGGCAGAATAATTATGCAAATACCACCACAAAGTCCATGCTATATTTCTAAGCACTGTGCTTTACTTGTAGATGAAGCTTTGGAAACTTGGTTTAGAAAAATAGGTAGTCACATTTATTATTTTAGAAAAATACCAGAAGCTATTATAACAGAGTTTCAAAAACTGAAAATGCAAAATGAAAGATACAGCAGCTCGGCTGCTGACTTTGAAGCTAGAGAAAGGGGCTGTGAACCAAGGAATGCAGGCAACATTTAGAGGCTGGAAAAAGGTAAGCAGATATAGTCTTTCCTAGTGCATCCAGAAGAAATGCAGACCTGCCCACAACTTGATTTTGATCCAGTAAAACTCATTGCAGAATTATGACTTTCATAACCATAAGATAATTTGTGTTGTTTTAAGCCACTATATTTGTGATGATTTGTTATGGCTGCAATAAAAAATTAATAATCTGTAATTTTATTTACAAGTATCTTTTGCAGTTTGACATTTTAATTTTACTAATTGTGCCACTTTTCTATGACAAAGTATTACAATTTTTATATAATCCAGCAGATCACTGTTATCCCATACACTAATAGAGTTTGAATGATATGAAAGTTTTCCCCATGCTCCAAATATAGGGGAATTCACACATGATTTTATTTTCTAGTACTTGTATGGCTCTCTTCTTAAGTTTAAACTACTAATCCATGCCAAATTTATCTTGGTATATGGTATAAAGAATGAATCCAATATTTTCTTTGTCTATAAGGCTATTCCTTTTTTATATTTAATATTTTTTTCTTCTCCTTGATTTGTTTTGCTACCTATAGCATATTCAAAATTTCCATAGATAATTGGTTCTGTTTCTGGATTTTATATTTTTTGTTCCATTCGTCTGCTTAGCATGAGCCAATACCAAATGGTTTTAATTACATAGGTTTTTACATGAGATTTTTTAATGCCTGTATGGCCAGATCCCTTCATAACCCTTTTGTATTACTGCTTTCTTAGCTATTTATATTTATTCTTCCAAACAAATTTCATAGTCTACACTTACATTTAAAAAATGAATAATATTTCTATTCGGATTGCATTTTATTTTTAAATTAGCTTGGGGAGAACTGACATTTTTATGATGCTAGATATTACTATCCAAGAACATGGTGCATCTTTCCACTTCTCCAAGTCTACTCATAATTTTCAGGAATGTGACTTAGTTTCTTGACAGATATACTGGATTTTCCTTAAGTTTACATACAGATTTTTTTCTTATTATGGTAAATCAAACATTCAGTTTCATATTTTCTATCTTGTATTTGTGTGTAACTTGTATGTTTTCATATATAATTTTCTAAATTGCTACTTTATTCAATTGTTTTTATTTTTCCATTAGTTCTTTTGGGGTTTCCAAGCATATATTCATGTGTCTGTAAATAGAATTAGAACTTTTTTAGAAACTACTAATTGCTTTACCTAATAGGCAAATACTTCCAAAGGTATGCTAAATAGTACAGATAATGAACATTCTTGTCTTTTTCTTTAGTGCGGAAATATCTATTGATTCCATGTCAAGTAAGAAACTAGCTTTGGGGCTAGTTTTTTTGGGGGCTGAGATTATTTTTATATTCCAAACTACATGCTCTAGCCATCTATCTCTAGCTATTTATGTTTATCTATCTATCTAGTCACATAAGAAATGATATACCCCAATTCCTGTCTTATGGAGTGTTTTTAAGATGACTGGGTGCTGAATTTTGTCAAATATACTTTCTTCAAATGTGAAGATGAGCATGTGATTCTGAATTTCTCAAATAAATCTTATTTAGTCATGATGTACTATTTTTTAGATTTGCTAATAGACTATATATTAATATTTAAGTTTTTTACATTTATATGCACAAGAGACATTGGCCAATAGGTTTTTTTCATTGGTGAGTTTTGATTAATGTATTTACTTCATGAAATTAGCTGGAATGTATTTTTGCTTTTCCTATTCTCTGCAATTGTTTGAACAGCATTCATATTATTTAATCTTGTAAGGTTTTATAGAATACTGCAGTAAAGTCACATGACTCTGGTGCTTTTATGTGGAATAACTCTAAATACATTCTCTATTTATTCTATTGCCATTGATCTGTTTTAGATTGGTTATCCTTACTGGGATCAATTTTGGTGTGTCTGAAATAACAATTTAATTTAGGTTTTCAAATAGAGTTATAGAATGTCTCTTAAGACTTGCTTAAATTAACTCTTTTGATGACTATGTCCCACTTTGTGGTTGCTAATTTTGTGTATCTGGTTTTTTTTTCCTTTTATTTGTTCGAAGTTTAGCCAATGGTTTTTCAATTTTGTTGCTTTTCTAGTTTACTGATTCTCCATTTCCTAACTAGTTAACTACTGTTTTTTTAACCTTTATTAAACTGTCTTCTACTTTTCTTTGCTTTACTCACTGTTTTTCTAGATTTTGAGTTGAGGATTTAACTTATTTTATAGTTTTTATTGGTACAATTATTTCATTTAAAAAATTTACTAATTTTTTTAGCTGTATCCCCAAAATTCTGATGTCATATTGTTCTTACCTTTGTTTCTAAAAATATCCTTCATTTTTCACTTTGAAATTGCCCTTTAGTCATTGACAATGTATTTCTTCCTCTAGGTAGAGAAAATTTTAATTTTTTGTTAGTAATTTTTAGATTTACTGTCTTATAGTAAGTGACTGCCTTTGGGTTGTTTCTGTTGTTTTAATTGGTTGAGGTTTTCTGTGAAAGGAAGATATATTATTTATTAACACAGTTCAGTATTTGTATTTATCTATTAGAAGTATTTTATTTTGTCATCATTATCTTGGTTTCTTT
The DNA here is from genome assembly GCF_000001405.40 of Homo sapiens. Classification (NCBI taxonomy): domain Eukaryota; kingdom Metazoa; phylum Chordata; class Mammalia; order Primates; family Hominidae; genus Homo; species Homo sapiens. Next base: position 19,511,221 of record NC_000007.14, on the reverse strand, counting down.
GTCCATTCGACCCATCTTTGAAGGAGTTACTTAAGTTAAAATCTCCCTTTATTGGTGTGTCTTTCTATGTGCATCTTCTGTTGCTTCTGCTTTAGGAAGTTTGCTAGAATATTACATAATTTTTTTAAATTTTTATTCGTACCCCAGACATTAAAAAGTATTCTTTCTTATGTCTTTTAAACCATTTTGGACTGGATTCTACCTAATTTGATATCAATTTCATGAGCCTTGCTTTCATTTCATTTGCAATTGCCTTTCATGTATTATTGTCCTCTCATTTTAATTCTTTATAATCTCTGTTTTTTGTGTTTGTCTCATACAAGCATATTTAAGCAGTTAATCAGTTAAATGTTAATTTTTGGACAATCTAAAACTGTCTTTTAATAGATTTAGATTTTTTGAGATTCGATTAAAACTTATTGGTATGATTGATGTTTTATTCTTAATTTTCTCACATTCTGTTATATTTGAATATGTCTCCAAAGATATATCCTTTCCCTGTGTGCTCTTTTATGTTTGCTTCTGTTTTTCTTTTTACTCCTTCTTGCCATCACCCTCCTTTCTCCTTTTCTTTTACTCTTCCTTTCCCCCATTCTTCCTTCTTGTCAATATCATTATATAATAATCTTTTTTAGGCTACCATCTATTTATGCCATTCTATGGGCAAAATTGTCAATAATAACTTCTACTCCTTTTACTTTTTCTCCCCCAGCATCCTATGTTAAGTATATTCTTTTACTACCATTAATACTGATTAGTGATTAGAAAGTCTGTTTAAATTTTCTTGTTTTTTCTCCTCACCCTCTAGTTTTGATAGTTATATTACAGCTGTGTAATTAAAGCAAACCACCATTACATACCGTGATATATTATCTTCCTTATAACCATCATGTAGCATTGATTTACAGAATAATATAGATTTAACATTTATAACTATCTTAATTTTGATGTCTCTCCAGGCTTTTTTGTTGTGTAAAGTTTACTATTATTATATTTTCCAGGAAATACTCATAGGAGCAATAATTTCTGAATCTTTATATATTCACAAAATTTGAGTGGTTTATTTGCTTGCTATTGAGTGGTTTTACTTCTGTAAATATTTTGATTATTAATCTTTTATCAGATGTGTGGTTTGCAAATATTTTCTTCCACTCCGTAGGTTGTCTCTTCTGAGTCTTAATATGTATTGCACATGTTCCTAAACCATTCCAAACTCGCACTCTAAGCAGAATCAGATTACACAGCAGAATACAGAACTTTTCATAGGTTCAGGCCACAAATAGTATTTCTAGTTACAAAAAGCCACTGCTTCTGTATTGCAAAAGAAAATAACAGATTGGCTGCATAGACTACCAGGTATGTCTGCTTTACCTTGATAATTGAAACCCTGCTGTCAAGCAAAACTATATCCTTTGGTGTTACACTGGTTTGGGATCTGGTCAATTAAAATTTGTGTGTTTAATTCCCTTAACATACACCTGCAATATCATGAAGGCTACACAGGTGTAACTTCGGAAGTTTGATTGATATTTGCAGGTCACCTCTCAAAGCTCAGTTAAAGCATTTCAGGCCGGGCGCGGTGGCTCACGCCTGTAATCCCAGCACTTTGGGAGGCCGAGGCGGGCAGATCACGAGGTCAGGAGATTGAGACCATCCTGGCTAACACGGTGAAACCCCGTCTCTACTAAAAATACATAAAAAGTGAGCCGGGCGTGGTGGCGGGCGCCCGTAGTCCCAGCTACTCGGGAGGCTGAGGCAGGAGGATGGCGTGAACTCCGGAGGCGGAGCTTGCAGTAAGCCGAGATCACGCCACTGCACCTCAGCCTGGGCGAGAGAGCAAGACTCCAAATCAAAAAAAAAAAAAAAAAAGCATTTCAAATTAGACATTTTTTTGCACTCCCGACTGCCTCTTTCAGTCTGAAGAAGAACAACGTGCACAGGAGTTAGAATGATTTTTACAAAGGACGCCAGTAGTGTTGTGGATTGGGGAGGAAAGTGAACAGTAGAGAAACAAAACCAAAAAAATGATTTGTTACCATTTAAAAATGCTGCTGGATTTGCCATCAGAGTTGCAGTGCAGCTTCATATACGCAAACACAAGCCTCTTTTAAGAAGAATCTTTGTGTCTGAACAGAAAGTATTTTGTCTTCGCAGGCAGGAAAACTAATGCAGGGCTTACCCAGAGATATGTTTTTCACCATGTGGCCAGGACAATAAACATGGGGCTTTTGATCTGTGTGGCAATAGTGGCTGAGCTGGAGTTCTAAAAAGAGAAAAATGGGAAACAAATCTGCCAGGGGTGAGTGTGTGCCCTTGGGGTACTTTTGCATGTCTAAAGTTCACCAAGGAAAGCAAGAGAGATTTCAAATAAACATGTCTAAAGGGGTCATAAAGAACTTAACCAGTGTGATTGCTTAAATCTCAATGTCAAAACACAGAAATGCATGGCCTACATCACATGAAACTTCTTTGGCCCCAGGTTTATAAATTAAACCTCTTTCAAACTCCTGTTTTTACAAACATAAATTTATAAATGCCTTTCCTCCTTACCACCATCTTCAAACTATGAATAACAGCAAAATTTTCTGTTACTGCAGGTGAAATAGTTTTGTAACTAACATGGGGGCAACAAGGATACTCATAATGAATCTTTTCTAATTTTCACGAGGACACAATTGTACACCATTGTCATAATATCGGTGTCCTTTTAACTTGTTCTTTAAAAGGTTATCCAAGAAATCATTGCAATCTATTATGTTACATACTACCTTCATTTTCAAATCAAAATGCCAAAGTGAAGCACAGTTTATTTCAGCAATGTTGAAATAGAGTGCTGTTATTAGAAAATGTGAGTGGGTTGAAGTGGGACTCCCTGCGAAGTTAACTTGGCAGAGTTAGAGTTCCTGGCTCAACCTAATATTAAAAGTGAGTCATCAGTTTACCCTCACAGCAGGGTCTTCACTTTGTACTTCTCAATCTGAGCGACTCAACAGTGGGGCCAAATATTCAAGGTTAGTTTCTATAATTAGTAATCAAGTGAAGAAAATCCCTTGAGATTTTATTATTCATAAATTCCTAAATATTACTGTCTAATAAATAATATGACAAATAAGAATCTACCTCATAGAAACTTAGTTTGCACATTCAGTACGACTTATCTCTAGTAGAGGCCAAAGTTGTCTCTGTTCACATGAAAGAGTTTTTACCCTTTATGTCCATTAAGATAAATTTGAAATGCAACAGTTTCATGCATTTCTGCTCCTATGTAAGCCAACATTTTTGGAAGAAAAAATTCAGTAATTATTGTGTGCTCATATAAAGATACATATTAGAACTATCATGACTTTGTAATACTTCTGGTTTTAATAAAGAACAAAGAAAAAATGTTTTAAAGATTATTTTCTTACTTTAAGAATTTGAGTGCAATTTACTTTACCTTTTATTTAATACACTAAATGTAAGAGATACAGCATGGTATTTAATCCAAACTCAGTAAATACTTATTTTTCAATATAGCCTTAAAATGTCTTGGTAAAACAACGTATTTCCTACTCCTTACCAGAGCATGCCTATTCAAAAGTGAAATAACATGTATTATCTTAAAAAATATATAACATTGACAATTTTTAAAAGGTTAGTATAAGTTCCCTGGTAGCATTTTAAAAAGATCGTGCATTTTAAGTTTTTGTTCACACATTATGTATACCTATAATCTCCCATAGCCATACACATGTATATTTGAAACATACTTTCTTAGAATAGCAGAGAAAACCCTTCATAAGTTAGACCTCATCTGAATTTCCAGCATGGCCCAAATGATTTGCAGTCATGAACTCCAGCTACAGAAATCTAATCTGCAACAGGCTTTCTCAGGCTTTGCATCTGTGCACACACTGGCTCACCTTCCAGGACTACCTTCATCACTCTTCTACCTGGGACCCTGATACGTATCTTTAAAACCCTGTTCAAGTATTATCATGACGCTTTTTGGATCCATTAACACATATTATAATATTAATTACAATGTGTTTTAATTAGTTGCTAAAACTTTTTTTTTTTTTTTTTTTTTTTTTTTGAGACGGAGTCTCCCCCTGTTGCCCAGGCTGGAGTGCAGTGGCGCGATCTCGGCTCACTGCAAGCTCCGCCTCCCGGGTTCACGCCATTCTCCTACCTCAACCTCCTGAGTAGCTGGGACTACAGGCGCCCGCCACCACGCCCGGCTAATTTTTTGTATTTTTAGTAGAGACGGGGTTTCACCGTGTTAGCCAGGATGCTCTCGATCTCCTGACCTCCTGATCCGCCCGCCTCGGCCTCCCAAAGTGCTGGGATTATGCGTCCGGCGAGTTGCTAAAACTTCTGCCTCCAGCACACTACTTCTAGAATAAATGGCTTCAATATGTCCTTGTCTCTGTCCATTCTATTTCCTGCCCTTCACCATTAAGAAACACTGAATATCCCATAAGAGATGTTCCATGCTGGTACATGGGGACAGTAAGCTTATACATCACTCAGTTTCCTGTGAGACATCTCGCAGTGCTTCATTTTGCACTCCACCTATTCCTTGCTATCTAACTGAACATCTCATATGATCCCCTACCAACTTTTTAAATTCCCACCATCAAAAAAAAAAAATCCTATTGGCCCTTTTATGGAGACTGCGTTAAATATATAAATTTTAAGTGGAACCTGATATCTTTACTTGGTAACACTTGTCAATCAGTAAGTTCTGTTTCCGTTCATTCTAGTCTTCCTAGAATTTCATTAAAGTTTTGAAGTTTCTTCATATAGGGCCTATGTATTTCTTGTTAAAATTATTCCTAGTTATTTTATATTTTTATTTTCATTTTGAATTGTATCTTGTTAGCTTTATATTTTTAGTCAAGTTTTGGCAGTTGATGGTTGAATGTTGAGTATTTTAACTTATATGTAATTTTTATTAGTTCTGACAGATTGTTAGCTTATTTGATTGCATTATCTAAGTAGACAACCCTATACATCACGATGATTTTGTGTACTCTTTTTCTATATGTATGCCTCTTTTTGTCTGCTATATTGTATTACTTATAAATTCTAATACTATTAAAATTAGGTTTGATATTAAATGGCCTAAACTTTTAATATGTTTTTATTTGGAATTTATATTTTCGTAGAAATAATTTTATTGTAATTACCAAACTAGTATTCATATTACATGTTACAGTACTTTCAGATATATTTAAAAATCTCTTTGAATATGAAAGTTCTGTGTTATTTTTCTGAAGTTTTTCTTTTATGTCATTAGCTCAGTTTTTCTGTCAGTCATTCCAATATTTATCAATTTATAGTTAATTTCCATCTTTATCTTAATAATCCTTCTTCCCATTCAGTCTAGTTTGTTCTGCTGTTCTTGTTCCATCTTCTTGAGTTTAACGTTTAGTTTATTTTTACTTTTTTCTTATTTGTGGAAGAAAAGATTTAGAGTTAAGATTTTTTAAGATTTTAACTCTGATGAGAGGTAGTCTAATAGCTCCTATGGCTTTGATACAGTAGGTTCTAAATGTTGCGAATTCCTAATTGTTCTCTAACTGATTTTTATTTGTTCTAAAATTTATGAAGGAGAGTGTTTTTGTTTTGTTTACAATCTGAAGTGACAGCGACACTTATATTTGTTATTCATAGTTTATTTCATTTAATGTTTTTGATCAGGTAAGAGCTGGAAAATCTCTGCATATTTTGATGTATTGTCTATGACTCAAAACATGATCTTTTTTTTCAAACTTCTCCACGACTGGGAACAACGTGAACACTATTTATAATACATAGAATACATATACATATATACATATACACATATGTATACATACATATATCTGTACATGTATATAAAACATGTAATTTACATATGTCTGATATATAACATCATAATTTTTATATATACACATACATAATTAATAGCAATACCCATTATGGCTTGCTGTTATAAACAAGGGCTCTGGACTTATACTGCCTGACTTTAGATCTCCATCCATATTTTTATAACAGCATAACCCTCAGTTAATACTAGGGTTGTTTGAGTAATAAATATTAAACTATGTGAAGGATATAACCTACTGTGTGATATGTAAGAGGTCAGTAAATATTGCCAGTAATTACTATTACTGTTTTCTGCACAATTGACTTGTCAAAGTTCAGAAGATGTGAGTTTCAATTCTCCTGAGTTGACATCAATTCGCATTTACAAATGCATAAAAAAAGAATTTGTCCTTAAGGTTTAAATGATTTAAGTTTTGATATTTTGGGATTTTGAAATTATATAACTCAGTTTTTAAATATCATTGAACATTTGAGTGTACCTATATTAAAATACGTCAAGTGCGGAACATTTCTAGAAATTGTGTTAATAAATAGCTTGGTTTGTTGAGGTTACGTTTATTGAAAAAAAGGAGATTAAATGGACAACCAACATCTACAATTTCCTATGACTTAAGCTCTGTCTTGGAAAAAAGATTTAAACAGACATCTGCATAATTTTAGTTTTCGTTTTTTATATTAATAGTTCACCAGCATCAAGAACAATTTTTATTTTATGAAATTATCTAGTTTAATGAAGTCACACCAGAACCTATGGGTAAAAGTCAGACTTCTGACTGAATATCTAATCCCATGTGACAGTTTCTTTCAGGAAACAACACTACATTCTGTAGAGTTTCTGGCAAGCCTTCAGTAAAGGTCATAGAAGTTAAGTGTTCCAGCAGTGAACCTAACTTTTAGTAGCCTTCAAAGGACTTCCCCAGGTTTCGTCCTGTACATTACAACAGAGAATATCAAAGGCATCCCTTAAAATATTTTTGCAGTTAATTTTGACCACCTTTCCATTTTAGTCATTCAAATATTACTAAACTTTAGGCTAGTTTAAGCTGTACTGAGTATAAAAAGATAAACGCATAAATGGTAACAAATTGTATTTCTTCCTTTTTCCTCTACCAACTATACCCTTTCTTCCAACTTTAGTCTGAGAAAGAATAAGAGCCTTATTTGTTCTAATCTATTTCATATTTTTTCAAAGTATAGTTTTTCAAAGTATATTTTTTAACTTGAAATTTTTTGAAATGTAGCAGACTTACAGATAAACTCACTTCTCACAAGTGTATAACTTGATATATTTTAATAAACCATACACACCCATTTAATCAGTAGCCAGGTCAATAAACATTTCCAGGACCTTTAAGCTCTTTTGTGCCTCTTCCAGTCACGGTCCATGACCTATCCCCCAAGAGTATCCACTTTCTCCACTTTTACCAGGATAGATTAGTTCTGTTTTATAACTTTAAATTTTCCATGTAATCAAATGGTATGTACTCTTTTGCTCTTCATTATGTTGGTGAGATTGAAAATATTCTCCAAGTACTTGTAGAATATACATTTTCATTGCTATATAGTCTTCTGCTGTATGACTATAGTAAATTATTTACCCATTTTGCAAAAATCAATTATCCACATAAATGTAAGTGTATATGGGTATGGTATTCTGGCCCAATCATCCCTGTGTGTATCCTTTTCCAATTCCATATTGCCTTCATTAATATAGACTTATAATAAATCCTGCTATAAGTGTTAATGTCCCTTTTCTAATTGTTTTTGTTGTACAAGATTGTCTTGAATGTCTGAGTTTTTGAACTTCCATATACATTTCTGAAAATCTTTCTCTCCCTTCTAAAAGATTATCTTAACTGAAATTGTTTGGAGTGTCTTGGAATTTATGGATGAATTTGAGAGAAAATTGGGGAGTATCTTTATGATAATTAGTCTTTCAATCTGTGATTATGTTTTCTCTCTCAATTTTGGTATTCGTTAATTTTCTCAATAATATTTGGTAGTTTACAGTGTAGGGATATTTCCTTAGATGTATTCATAGGCGTTTGATATTTCTTAATGTACTTTTAAATTGTATTAATATTAAATTTTTTTATATAAATATAACTGATTTTGGAATATATAATTATATACCTTAATCATGAATTTGTTTATTAAAACTTCTATCTTTTCTATAGATTTATGTAAAGAAAAATATCAAGAGCTCTACGAATAGTGCTTTATTTCTGCCAGAAATTATACATTTTTTAAAGAAAATCCTATCTTCATATTTGAAACATAAGAACAAGAAAATTATAAGTGTAACATGAGCCTAGTAGAGTAACACCCAGTACACCCTTTGCCCAATCCACTGTTTACATTTTGTCCCAAATGCTTTATCATTCTCTCCTCTCTTTTCTCCTTTCCTCTTCTCTTCACTCTATCTTGTGTTTGTACGTGCATATATGTATACATATATTGACATACATGTATAGACATTTACATTTATACATATAGACTTATATATATGGTCAGAAACATGTCCCTATAACAACAAATACTTTAGTACATATTTTCTGAAAACAATAACTCTTTTTTTAAGTTCCAGGGTACCTCTGCAGGATGTGTGGGTTTGTTACATAATTAAACGTGTACTATGGTGATTTGCTACACCTGTCAACTCATCAGCTAGCTATTAAGCCCAGCATGCATTAGCTAGTTTTTCTGATTCTCTCCCTCCCCTCAACCCTCTTGACAGGCCCCAGTGTGTGTTGTTCACCTTCCTGTGTCTATATGTTCACATTGTTCAGCTCCCACTTACATAACTCAGAACATGGAGTGTTTGCTTCTCTGTTCCTGTGTTAATTTGCTGAGATAATAGCTTCCAGCTCCAACCATGACCCTGCAAAGGATCATGATCTCCTTCCTTTTTATGGCTGCATAGTATTCCGTGGTGTACATATACCACATTTTTTTAATCCCATGTATCATTAATGGGCATTTGGGTGGATTCTAACAAGGACATTTCCTTAATGACCACAGGAAAATAATCAACATCAGGAACCTTAATATAGTAATTACAATATTATCTAGTAAATAGGACATATTCAAATGTCAATTGTCCTAATAATGTCCTTTATAGTTCATTTTTCCATTGTCCAGAATCAAAAGTTGTTATTCATTGCCTCTGGTTATCATGTATTTTATTGAAAGTCAAGTTTACTGGGGAATAATTTACATATAGTAAAATTCATTGATATCAGACATCCAGCTTTATGAGTTTTAATAACTGAATACAGTTGTTTAACAACCACAAATATCAATGTTTATTTCCAGAACTGTAAAATGTTTCCCTATAATATTTTATATGAAATCATCTTCCCCATCTCCAGCCTCTCATAACCACTGATTTTATTCTTGTCTCTATAGTTTTTTCATTTTTAGAATTTCTTATAAAATGAATTGTACATTATTGTATCTGAGTTCTTTCAGGAAAAAAGCTATACATTGAAAAGCATAAGGTATTGATGAAAGTAATTGTAGGAGACACAAATATAAAGATATCCTATATCCATGGATTCGAAGAATTAATATTGTCAAAATGTTCATACTGCTCAAAGTGATCTGCAGATTCAGTACAATCCCTATCAAAATCCCAGTGTCATTTTCACAGACACAAGTTCTTTTGTAGATTATTTGAAATTTCCTACATAGACAATTATGTCATCTGTGAATAAAGATGTTTTTATTTCTCCCTTCCAATTTTTATGCTGTTCTTTTTTATTGCACTGACTAGATATCTAGCATAACGATTCACAATGATAAAACATCTTGCCTTATTCTTGGTCTTAGAAGGAAAGCATTGTCGTTCACCATTAAGTGGATATTAGCTATAGATTTTCGGTAGATCCTCTTTATCAAGTCAAAGATCCCTTCAATTAGTTGAGAGTTTTTGTCATGAATGGACACGGAATTTTTACAACTGTTTGTCTGAATCTGTTGAAATAATTATGTGGGTTTTTGTCTTTAGTTTGTTGATATGATAAATTGCATTGATTGATTTCTTACTGTTGAAACATCCTTGCATTTTGGGGGATAAATCCCATTTGGTCATGCCATGCCTTTTTAATCTCCTTTAAACTGGAAGAGTTCTGAATTCTTTGTTTTTTCTTGACATTTCAAGTTTTGACAAAGACAAAAGCCAGTTATTCTGTAGAAATCCTATTCATTTGGGGGTTTCTAATATTTCCTCATGATTAGATTCAGGCTACTCATTTTTAGAATGCCATTGATGTAACACTGTTGCTTCTCAGTGATTCAAATTAGAATGCACATATTTTCTTTCTGATTTTGGTGAGATTAACACTATCACTTGATTTAGGTAACATCTACCAGATCTCTTCTTGATTAAATTATGTTAACTTATAATAACTAATTTGGGTGATAAATCTTGAGGCTATGTAAATATCTTACTCCTCAAATTTTAATCAACTACTTTAATCGTCCACTTTTGAATTTCGAACCCCATTCTTCCTTCCATCTTAATTAAAATTTTACAATATAAAAGAACTTTCCTTTCTTCTTTATTCACTTATTTAATCAATGCATTTATAGATTCAAGTATCATTCAGTTGTTTATAATCTATTACTGTTACTTGGCTTCTGTGTCCTTTTAATATATACTCTTAGTTCTTTGAACATTTCCTTAATTTATTATAGTGCAAAAAATATTTTCAGGCTCATCCTGTACTTTTCCTTTCTCAGCCCTGTAATCAGGTATTTCTCTAAGAAGCCTTGGTTCTTTTTAATGATAATAGTATTTAGAACAGGTACTGCACAATAGCTGTACTCTGATTGGCTAGTAAATCATTGATTCCACGCTATCTTAGTATATACATACACATGTACATATATACATACCTATGAGATACACGTATTTATCTACATCTTCATATATACTTGCACATATATATACACATATATATACACATGTACATATAGGTGTGTACATATATATATGTAATTAGTTAATTCAATTAAAATCCAACAGGACAGGATTATTCTAGTCTCTCCATTTTTATATTTGTAACTTCCTTCTTTGAGTGAGAAAACTGTCTCCCGTTATCAATATATGTATACATTTTTTAAGCCTAGAATATACAATGATTTTAAGATTGCAAACCCACAGTAATGTAAGCACATCAACCAATTAGTAAGCCTTTTTGAGGTTTAATTTTCATACACTGAAAGGCACAATTGCTGTGTGCAATTTGATGATTTTATGAGAAAACTCTAAACTCAGTAATATCCTGGAGCTAGCTCATACTGGCTTGTAAGAGCTGATTACTAATTTTCCAGAATTTAATTGTTTTAAACACAGTTATTCTTAAAAATGAAATGATGTAAACTTACAACTATGTGTATAATATTGACCATAAAGACAATAAATACTCTAATGTTTCCTTCTTACTTATTATATATTACTATTGTTTATACCCTTGAGGTTATTTATGTCTATTGTATCTCTGTTGTGAGAATACTTTAATAATGTGTTATTGTGCATTTCTTCCCAATTTGTGTTCAGTGATGTCATGTTAGCAGCTTGAAATTGTCCATCATAGGAGTATTTATACCACAGAAATGGACAAATGCTAAAAATTAGCACTTGATTCATTATTTGCTCATTGTCTAGACTTAGAAAGTAATGGAAAAATGTTAATATAACAAACTAAATTTAAAATAGGGTTGTACCCATATCCTTTACATAGCAAATAGCACAAAAATTTGAGGTAATGCTATTTGGTATTCAAAAATGCTACTCTTATTCAGCAAATAAAATACTCTCGTCATTGATGAACAAATAAAAATGGATGATCAAAATAAAAAACGGAGGTAATTGAAGACCAGATTTTCCTTACTCTCATCCATATCCTGGTTTCCTTCACAACTGTCATTCTTGCTAGACTGCAAGATCAACATAAGATGCAGAGGTACTTCCCCAAATTTCATAAGGCTGGACCTTCTAAACCCTGGAGGAAATCATTTGGTCTGTCATCTATAGTTGTTCTAATTCTCTGATTAAATACCAACTGGTATGTTAGGTTATGATTTTCATCCATTTTAATGGCAACATTTTTCTGATGAGTTGTTACCTATAGGAAACTTATGCCAATTATTTTCATCTTTAAAAAAAATAGATAGGGTCTCACTCAGTAGCCCAGGCTGAAGTGCAGTGCTACTATCATAGCTCACGGTAGCCTCAAACTCCTGGGCTCAAATGATCCTCCTGCCTCAGCATCCCAAGAGGCTGGGAATATGGTCATGTGACATCACATGTGTATACATATCTTTTAAATTTTTGTAGAAATGGGGGGTCTCGCCACATTGCCCATGCTGGTCTTGAACTCCTGATCTCAAGCGATCCTCTCATGTCCGCATCCCAAGTAGCTGGGATTACACACGTGAGTCTATGCTGTGCTAGACTTCACGTTTTCTTACATAGTATCTTAGCATGTTGTTGAATGTATCCTTTTTTCATTACTATTTTTTAATAAATTATATTTCCCAGAATTATTTTCCAGTGCTTTCTCTAAGGATTGGAGTTAGATTAAGATATCTGTCCAAACTACACAAATATAAGAGCTCTCTTCTGTTGCTACAAGATGACCCATGGTCTTAAATTGAGGTTCCTCTATGTAACCATTTCTCCTCTGAACCTCATAACTTAGGCTAGTAGAGGAGAGTTTATACCACCAGTTTTAAGTTTTACTATTTTCTTTACAAACTGCATCTCAGGTTACTGTTATCAAGGGACACACAGCCTTTGTCTTCCAAGATGATGGCATCACGGTTACGTGTATTTGGCTAGTGCTTTTGAAATTAGCAACTTCCTTGCCCCACCGAATACTTTCTAGGCCTTCTTCCTCAAACTCGCTGTGCCAGGGTCATGTTAGGTCTCAGCCTTGCTGCTAGCATCTCTACCCTAGAGTGGGTTCTCTTTTTCTAGAAATGAATACTTGTTAAACTTTCTCAGCTGTGCCACTGACCAATCTGATAATTAATGAAAACGGAGCAATTTGGCAACTAATAAAGAGGGAGGATTAAGACATTAAACTAGTCAGCCCTAGATTAGGAAAATACTATCAGCTCTCTCAAAAGTCTTCATAGTGTAAACTAAAAGCCTGCTAGATTTTGTTGTAATTAATTTAAAATTTAACCTTTAAAACTATTTCTAAACTCTATCCCATTAAAATGTACTAGGGAGTGAACTGATCATATAATATACCTTGTGTTCTGAGTTTCTGTCTCCATTCCAGTGCTTCCATTTCAATGTGGCCCCTTACTTAAGGCTCTATGTCTATTCCCCGACACCACACATAAAGGTGTCACATTCATTTAGATCTTAGTTGCATGCCAGTTGTTCTAATTAGGAATAGAAACTTGTAGAAGTGCCCCCCTCCTGGCTTTTTCTACTGTGCCCTAGCACCCCATCTCCCTATCCACTGCCAACCCTACCCACCCACATCTGTAAAATTATGTTGTCCCTAAGCTCCATCTTCCACGCATAAAAAGAGAATGCTACTTTAAGCAAAATAGGATGGTTTCTGTGTTAGAACTGAGAAATTCCACACTTGGTCAAATTTTATATATTGGTAGACCCCGTTACTAACGATAATGATAATACAAATAGTAATGTTAAATTAGCTTTGGATTGACTTGGTAGACTTTTCTGAAAAATATCATGAAATATGTGCAATTTTACTAATTTAATGACAGCTTTCTAAGCATGCCATGGTAGAATTTCTTTAAGCTTATATTTTGAAAGTATCTAGAGAATAAGTAAAAAGTAACATTTAACTCATGTGAGTAAAACATTCTTTGTGTTACAACTATTAAGTACAAAATGAATTCAGTTTAAATGGGAGATTAAGTGATTTTCAAATAATTCAAGCCCAGTTTTTCTTGCTGCAAGGCATTTTAACATTTAGTTTTTTTCAAGTTCCAAAATATGCCTGATTTTAAGCTTACTTTGGTATGTATGTTCAAAACACACTTGACAAATAATAAAAGTCGAAACAACAACCATTTTACTGTGCCATATTCAAAAAGCTATTATGTTAGACTTGGCTGGATAAAAAGTATGAGAATTTCACAGTCAGTACCTTCTGTATCAAATATACTATTATTTTTAAGTAATTTCAATTTTAAATGCCAAATTAGAACATGTGATATTTATTTTGAGAAGCTGACAAATTAGCTAAATGAGAAAGAGTGAGTTCTTCACCAATTTGAGAATAATCAGCAGAGTCCTGGAGAATTCTGACACTTCTTGCTCTAAACATACTCTTACCTCTCAAAGTGAGCTGTGTGAACTTGGATTTTGTTTGCTATTATAAACCTTTGAGTCAGGAATGTGCAGTTTCTCAGATCCCCAAAGAGTCATTTCAAAAGATTAGGAATCATAGTTTTTCTTCTCCAAAAATGTGTTATAAAATGACAGGTTAAAAATCTGAACATTGTGATGGTTTATGAATAACTATTCTGGCTCTAGACAAGAAGCAGGACACTTCTGTTCTGAATAAATTTCAGTCCCAAGGGGTTGTGAACTTAAAAGAGTTAGAATCATCTGTTTCTCAGGTGCATAAAAATAAGAACAAATAGATTATCTTTTTTCCACAGTGGAACAGAAAAATGCGTGTACTTGTCTGCACCTACTATTGGTGATCAACCAAAATAAAAATAGTTACCCCATCAACAGAACTCAGAGGGTAGAGATAAATCATGTATGATAAAATACTTGAATTTTTAATCAAATTGGCAAGAATGTTCCACACAAAGGTCACTTTCTCCAGGGGACTTTCCCTTTGTCTTTTGATTTGACTTAGTCTGTGTTCTCTATCCTTGTAAGCAATCGATGCATTCCTTTACTATTACAATCTTCCATTATAGAAACAATGTCGTTTATTTCTATACTTTTAATGATATCAACCATTAAAACTGAAACTTCATCAAGCAATACATTGCTGCATCTCAACACCTAAAACGGTTTCTAACACATAATAGGCACTAATAATTATTAGTTGGCATAATAAGTAGGCATTTAATAATTATTAGTTGCATAAACGATTTGGATTTCAATAAACAATATATCTAATTAGTCAGCACTGATGCCAGAGGAAGATTACAGGTCAAGCTGTATTGTAAAAATAAAAAGCACCACATTATAAAGATTTTCAAGTTGTAGCCATAAACTAAAATGCTACAAGTCACTTTTGTTGCAGTTAAATTTTAATTTGCTCACTAATATATAGCAACTATTGATGCAGACGATTCCACAAGAGAGGCCAGAGATAGTGAGGAGACCCCAGAATATTAACCAAACCATATGTAAGTAAAAGCTCGTGAGGGGAAAACTGAAAATATATCTTGGTGAGAGGGAACCCAAACTCATCCACCCACAGGAAACCCCAGCATTTTTTTTCCCAGCAGAAATATATTTCTTAGAGAAGTCATCAGAAGTATATTTTAAAATTGTCCTCTGATATTTTAGTTAACTAATTGTGTATGTATGTGAATATATATATGTGCGTGTGTATATACATATGTATGTACATATGTGTATATATACATATATACACATATATGTATATATGTGTATATATGTGTATATATACACACATATACACATATACACACATATATGCATATGTGTGTATATATGTATATACACACACATATATACACATATATGTATAAACATATGTGTATATATGTGTGTGTATATATATCTGTAGAAAATAGAAGTAGAATCTATAAATGTTGATGCATGATATACACTGGTCAGTATATGGAATCAGCATCCAATCTATAAGATGATATACACACATACACACACATACACACATATACACATATATACACATATACACATACACACATATATACACATACACATATATACACACATACACACATACATATACACACATATACACACATATACACACATATACACATACATATACATATATACACACATATATACATATACACACACATATACATATATACACATACACACATGTTTATATATGTACGTGTGAACACACACGCGTATATGTATGTACCTGTGTGTACACACACGCGTATATGTGCGTGTGTGTACACACGTGTACATGTACGTGTGTATATACATGTGTACGTGTACGTGTGTACACACGTGTATATGTATGTACGTGTGTACACACGTGTATATGTATGTACGTGTGTACACACGTGTATATGTATGTACGTGTGTACACACGTGTATATGTATGTACGTGTGTGTACACACACGTGTATATGTATGTACGTGTGTGTACACACACGTGTATGTACGTGTGTGTACACACACGTGTATGTACGTGTGTACACATATGTGTACACACGTAAATACGTGTGTGTGTACACACGTAAATACGTGTGTGTGTACACACGTAAATACGTGTGTGTGTGTACACACGTAAATACGTCTGGGTGTGTACACACGTAAATACGTCTGGGTGTATACACACGTAAATACGTCTGGGTGTATACACACGTAAATACCTCTGGGTGTATACACACGTAAATACCTCTGGGTGTATACACACGTAAATACGTGTGCGTGTATATATCTCTCTCTCTGTGGAAAATAGAAGTAGAATCTATAAATGTTGATGCATGATATACACTGGTCAGTATATGGAATCAGCATCCAATCTATAAGATTCAATCACAGAGAACAAAAAACAGGCATACTTATTACTTTTCACTTCAAATGTTAATGAGAGCATAAACAAATTTCTAAATTTTTGCTATACATTATAGTGTATATTTATTACCCAAGCAAACGCTTAAGATTAGCTTGAGACTTACTATATTCGAACTAAACTACACACAACTAGTTTCATGAGAGCTCACAGTCACGCTGATCTTGAGAGTATAAAGTAACCGCGAAATGTTGGCCATCTTGCCAAGAAATGGTGTAACTGCCATTCACAGAGAAACTGATGCAGAAATAAAAATCTTTGCTCAGAGAGGTGAAAGGAGAAAGATGTTTATCATCTCAAAACTACTGTGCTTCAGGGAATGCCATAATCACTCGCACATGCAAGGTATGTGCATGCAAAATAAAAATGGTAAAGTACTAGAAAACGCTGGGTGAAGACGAAGTTCTAGGTATTTCCAGTCGGATAACTGAGAATCTGGAGTTACTTAGTGCCGTTTGAATTCTCTCAGAACAATTGAAAGTTTGAGCTATGTCCAAAATTGACAAATGGAATCTAATTCAACTAAAGAGCTTCTGCACAGCAAAAGAAACTACCATCGGAGTGATCAGGCAGCCCACAGAATGGGAGAAGAATTTTACAATCTACCCATCTGACAAAGGGCTAATATCCAGAATCTACAAAGAACTTAAACAAATTTACAAAAAAAAAAAATCAAACAACCCCATCAAAAAGTGGGCAAAGGATATGAACAGACACTTCTCAAAGGAAGACATTTATGCAGCAACAGACACATGAAAAAATCCTCATCATCACTGGCCAGAGAAATGCAAATCAAAATCACAATGAGATACCATCTCACACCAGTTAGAATGGCGATCATTAAAGAGTCAGGATACAACAGGTGCTGGAGAGGATGTGGAGAAATAGGAACACTTTTACACTGTTGGTGGGACTGTAAACTAGTTCAACCATTGTGGAAGACAGTGTGGCGATTTCCTCAAGGATCTAGAACTAGAAATACCATTTGACCCAGCCATCCCATTACTGGGTATATACCCAAAGGATTATAAATCATGATGCTATGAATACACATACACACGTATGTTTATTGAGGCACTATTCACAATAGGAAAGACTTGGAACCAACCTAAATGTATATCAATGATAGACTGGATTAAGAAAATGTGGCATATATACACCATGGAATACTATGCAGCCACAGAAAAGGATGAGTTCATGTCCTTTGTAGGGACATGGATGAAGCTGGAAACCAGCATTCTCAGCAAACTATCACAAGGACAGAAAACCAAACACCACATGTTCTCAGTCATAGATGGGAACTGAACAATGAGAACACTTGGACAGAGGGTGGGGAACATCACACACTGGGGCCTGTCGTGGGGTGGGGGGAGGGGGGAGGGATAGCATTAGGAGATACAACTAATGTAAATGATGAGTTAATGGCTGCAGCACACCAACATGGCACATGTATACATATGTAACTAACCTGCACGTTGTGCACATGTACCCTAGAACTTAAAGTATACTAAAAAAAATAAGAAAAGAAAGTTTGAGCTATGTACATCCACATCCTCGTCTTAAAAAAAAAAAATAAAGCCTTTGCTACCAAGGCTCTAATTGCTATTATACGCTAAAAATGGTTATGACAAATCTATTCCAAGATAACTCCTTTTATTTTAATAACTTTAAAATTAACTTTCACATCTGCCATAATTTTTTTTATATTTATGAATATCCCATTCTATCAAAATTTTATTTTATTCCACATGCCATGCCTCTCAAGTTTTCTGTTTTCGTTTTGCTTTTTCTATCCAATTCTTAGAAGACCACTTGGCAAAGATAATGAGACATTCATCACCCAGTTGTGTGGAAGATGGTGGCAGGTTTGAGTGAAAGGAGCCTACCCTCATAGAACTTGCCATTTGACTGGGAATTTTCAAGAAGCCTACTGGTTTATCACAGTAAAAACATATTTGGAAATAATTTAGATTTGTGTTGCTCGTATACGTCAGTTTTCTTTTACCACTTACAGGTGAACACACTAAAAGCATAAATATACAAGCACAATTACATGAAGAAATGGAGTGTAGCCCTTGGTAAAACAGCAGCACAAGTTAATTTAAAATAACATTACGTATAAATATTTTCTATTTTTACGTTTACCTTTTTATATAAACTCACACAAAGGACTTCACCTTCTACAGCAAGACTTATGCTTTCCTTTTATGTGATCGAAGCTTAAAACGAAACTATTTTTGGACATTAGCTTTTCCCTAAGTATTTTTAAGGAGTACGAAGAGGAATTTCACTCTAAATGATATAAAACAGCTCCAGTTTCTTACTTTGAAAGCTAATTCCTACCACCAGTAGCTATCGCTCATTATTTGCCTTCTGCAGAAATATTTTCCAGTCAATAATATTTTAAAAAGTAAAAGGTCCAATTCAATAAATTGGAAGTTAAATAGCTCTGCAGAAACCTTATCACTGATATTCAGAATATAGTTTTACTGCTACATAAACAAGCCCATATTTAAGGGAAGTTTCTTCTGCTCAGCAGGATGTGTAATATTTAAGCTCGTGGCTAGAGGGAGCTCTTTTGTATCAGAAGCAATTACCTAAAAGCAAAATCAAATCTATGGAAAAAAAAAAAAAAAAAATCAAACTAATTTTTTTAAAAATTCAAGGCAACAAGTGATGAAAGTACAATGGATACCCGACATTTGATTTAAAGCTTGTATTCTTATCTATGTTTTTCCCTTGTATTAACAGCAACAACAACAAGAACCGATAAAGACAAAACCAAGTCAAGTTTAATACTTCCAAAGGGCAAGAGCCAAGGTCTGATGCAGCAGGTACCTCGAATTTATTTTCTACAAGTTGCCAGTCAGTTTATGCCAACTTAAAGGCTTGCTATCAAAAGCACATGAACTCACTTTAGAAAAAAGGGAAAGTGGAAGGAGATCAGCCCTCTCGTTTAGAAGTACAAGGGTCCGCCTCATGTGGCTAGAGAACACATGGAACATTTGTCAGACCTCTGGCCCTGGCAGCAGGACTTCAAAGCTGTGCTGCCACCTGCCACACTTTGCTTCCTTTCAACTGTTGCGTGGGAAAATGAGAGGCACATGTGAGAGGAACTCTTACAAAAAAGGGATGAGGAGGGAAAAAAGCTTACCCTTTTACCAATCAGTTTGCTTACTTTTGCCTTTTCTGTTTCAGACCACCGGGTGTCTGGAATTAATATATCTAGGGCCAAATCCACTTCAACTCAGCCACAGTTTTGGCAAACTGAGCTTCCACTGTGTGGTTTGGTGTGCCTTTGGCCTCTTCTGTCTGCTGGTCAGGTAGTTCGTTCTCTCTAACCATGAAATTTGTGGGCGAGATTCCTAAGCCTTTTCTTTTACTCTTTCCAAAGCACAGAAATTGGAGCATTAATATTTATTTAAAAATCAGAATTCTTGAGCATTGGAAAAATTTGTGGGGCTTCATGTCCCTACACTGGTGGTAGGTAGCTCAAGGGACTGACTGCTTGGGCTTGGGATATTTGCCAGAGGAGAGTTTCAACTTAATTATAAAAAGCCATCAATACCATCAAGTCCATCCTGGGTATGAACTTTTAACTGCAAGCCTAGAGGTCTTGACCACACACTAGGCCTTCTATAAACCCTGAGGTAGGCTCTGAGGGTGTTGTCTGTACTTTGCAGACTCCAGTGTCCGGGTTAGAAAAACAGGCAGCAGCTTTCTCAGAATGTTACAGTCATTTAAAATATTTACCTCTTTCTAAAGTAAAGGGCAATATTTTTATTATTTTATATGCTGCACATTTCAAATACTAACCAAGACACTAATGTGTAGAAAAAAGTACACTTTACAGCAAAAGGAGAATGACTTTAAAAGAGAACAATAAACTGGCTTCTGATATTTATTTGGGGATCTCAAAGCACCATCAGTAGTAACCTAATGAAGCATCCTGCCATCTTTCACAATGTAGCTTTTGGATCACTGGAATTCACGAAGGTGTTCCAGGTGGTCTGGGGACAAGCCCAAAATGCAAGTTACTCACACGCAACAACATATTTTTATAAATGTATTTTCCACTGCAAAGCTGATCCTGTGCTGGAAAGCATGAAAATGAGCTTTTTAAAAAAATCTAACCACAATAATGATTACAGAGCCAAGCAATAACACCACAAAATTGTACTGAAGCCTTTGTGATATGAAGGAAAGGAATACACTTGAGTAGGTGGTCCTCAGGGCCTTATGCCCTAAGGGGTCTGGGAAACTGTCCCAGGGCAGTGGAACCAGCAGAATTTTCTCAACGTCTCTTGCAGGTGAATATTTATCTTAGAGAATGGCTCACATTTTCCAAAGTTTGGGGCTTCTTGTTATTCTATTCTTAATATATACTTCTACATGAATTAAACATTGATTATATAATACTCGAAGTTTATCTTTTGAAATCTCTCTAAACTCAGGAGTAAACAGAAGTAAAATGTTTTTAGTTAGGGGAGCCACACACTTATGTAAACATAATCCTTATTCGGGATCACGCATTTATTTATCATGTACACAGTCAAGCTAAATTTGAAGCTGATTTTCAGAGGAAGCCTATGGCACAGTGGTGGTATTTAATAATGGTACCTATTACTATTTAGTGGACATTTTGGAGTGCGGGATGGAAGCTGCAATGTTCTATCATATCAAGGTAAGTTCATGCCAGATTGCTTTTTATTTGGATATATTTTGAGTTAAGTAGAAGCGGGAATGATGGAGAAACCTGTGGGATTTGTACTCTATAGCAAATATAATGCTACTAGCTTTATAGGAATTATCTTATTTACTTCTCACAATAAATCTGTAAGATAGATATTACTGATGGCAGCAATGGCCCATCTGGAGGGGCCACTGTGAAGACTCTGGCTGCAGCAGGGGAGGTGCAGTAGGGACCACATGCTCCACGGAGCTGGCAGGGGCCAGGAACAGGTGGGAGCCCTGTCCTTTTCTGAGTTGGCAGGGCAGGAGCCCCACCCTCCCAGGTGCAGTTGCAGCTGCCCAGCCACAGCTGTGGACCTGGACATTCCTGCACTCTCAAGGGCCTGGGAACACCCTTTGCCCCTGCAGGCTTGAAGGTGTCTGCTCCTGCTGCCTGGCCTCTCTGAACTCCTAGCACCGACTCTGATTTTGGAACAAAGCTGAGGCTGAGCCAGGTACTGTTGTGACCTGGCAGGTGTGCACATTCTTGAGGCAGCACTGACACACCAAACCCCTGCCAACTTGGCCCCCCTCTGGTCTTTAGACATTGATGATCATGGGAGGGAGGCTGAGGGGGACTGAGGGTGCTTGGCACAGGTCTGCAAGCACCCTTTGGCATGAACAGCCTGGGCACTGTGGACAGCAGGTTGATGGCAGCAGGAGGCAGACTGACTCCTAGGTGGAAACGGGTAGATCCCTGGTGAAGCACACCTTCAAGCTAGGGACAGCCTGAAGCATGGGGTCCAGGCTGTCAGTTCTGGGTGGAGTTCCTGGCCCAGAGCAAGAACTTATGGCGCTTTTTCTAGGCCCAATGATGGCCGTCCATGGACCAATCAGCATGCACATCTCCCTTCTGAAGTCCATAAAAACCCCGGACTCAGCTAGACCCACAGAGACATCAAGATGACCTGCCTGTGGATAGGAGCTACCTGCTCTGGGTTTCCTCTCCCCTAAGGACTGCGGAGATGTTGGAATGACCTGCCTGCAGATAGGAGCTACCCACTCTGGGTCTCCTGTCCACTACTGAGAGCTGCAGAGATGTTGCATGACCTGCCTGCAAATATGAGTTACCTGCTCTGGGTCTCCTCTCTGCTGAGAGCAGCAGAGACGTTGCGATGACCTGCCTGCGGATAGGAGCTACCCATTTTGGGTCTCCTGAGAGCTGTTCTGTCACTCAGTCAAGCACCTCTTCACCTTGATCACCCTCTGGTTGTCAGCATACCTCATTCTTCCTGGATGCAGGAAAGGAACTCGGCACCTGCTGAATGGTGAGACTGAAAAAGCTGTAACACAAGCAGGGCTGAAACACTGCCCTCCCCCGCTCACCATGTTGTGGGCAACAAGGAGAGAAGAGCTGAGGCCATTCTGGGAGCCCAGACCTAGGGGCTCCCTGAGCCAGGGCTGTAAGACCCTCTTTGGGGCTCTGTGGTTTCTGGTGTCTCCAAGCTTCCAGGCACCACTATGTTCCTCTCATCCAGAGACAGGTGCCTACAGCAGAAGCCACCCACAATGCATCTGATCCAGCTGAAGACTTTCATGGAGCCAGCACCTGTGGTGGTGCCTGTAGCTGCCCACCCCACCACAGCAGCCAGTGTGGCACACTGCATAGACCCCACACTCACTTGCTCACATGCCCCTTGCCTCTCTGCACCTGGCTTGCCCTTGGCAGTCATGGGATCCAGGCCAGTAGCATGAGGTGAGTGCAGTCTGCCAGGCTGAGTGGGTGGAATGAGCCCAGCAGGCCCAAATAAAAATGGGCAAAGGTGCCATGGGCCACCGAGGCTTCCAACTAGAAATGCGACACCCCAAGAGTTTCAGGACATTATTACCTAGGTTTTCAATAGACATGAAAACAAAAGCTCAGAGAAATTAAGTGATTAGTCTAAAGTCACATGTCAATAGAGGTAAGGTGCAAACTGCAACTCCCATGATAATATATCAAGGGTATTTCCATTACATCTTTTTAATCTGCCATCCTAAGCTTCCTCACAGGTTGGCTTCATTCTTGCCTGTTGCTGTCACTTATCTAAATGGTAGAGACTACCCCTTATCCACCAATAGTGCATAGAATTTAACAGTTGGCTTCATTTTTGCCTTCCACACCCACACTTCTGGGAATTTTACTACATTCTGGGAATGTACTTTTCAAGGTAAGTGAAAGCCTGATCTGGAAGAAATATTTTTACTTGGTTAAGAATAATCTGTGTATTTAGAGATTAAAGGTCAAATTCTCATTTGGAGTTTTTCAAGAACTTTGGGAGTATGTTGGGAGAGACAGTATTTTATGAGTCTCTTGCTTCCTGCAAGTCTTACTAACTTAACTGTGTCAAGAAGGTGAGGCCCTGACTGTTCTTTACACTAGTAATTCCTGAGGATTTTGTTTATGCAGTTGGTAACGCTGAGAGATAAAATATCTTTCTACTAAACAAATAGCAGGCTTTCTTACTGCTTGCTATAAAAGTAGTAGATTCTCCAAGGTTAGAATTTCTCTACTGGGATGCCAAACTGCTGCATGTGAGCATTCATCTGGACCATGCTTTATCATGGGACGTACAAATAAAAAAAAACTTTGGTAGGCAGAATTATAACTCCAAGAAGATTCCATACCTAATCCCTGAGAGAGTGAGTATAATGAGATACCATGCTTCTGAATACATTGCCTTACACAACACAAGGCATTTGCAGAGGTAATTAAGGTTACCAAATAGTTGACCTTAAAATAGAGGAATTATGCTGGATTATCAGTTTAAGCATAACATAACATGTTCATATCAGGCCTTATAAGAACAGGCCAAAGAGAAAGTCAAGGAAGTACAGGAGGAGAGGAAGTCAAAGAGATTCAGAGAAAAAGTATTTGATGTGCCATTGATCTTGAAAATGGAAGATCCCACAGGCCCGTGAATACAGGTGACCTCACAAAACTGAAAATAAGCCCTGCCCAACAGCAGCCAACAATCAAGGTCCTTAGTCCAACAACCACGTTATTTGAATTTAATTCTGCCAACAAATTTTTGAATGTGCTGCAAAATGTATTCTTTCCTGGAGCTTGCAGAAAAGACCCCAAGCCCACTGACACCTTGATTTTGACCTTGTAAGACTTTAAACAGATTATCAGCCAAGCCTCTGGACTTCTGATCTACAGAACTGAGAGATAATAATTGAGTGTTGTTTTAAGCTGCTAAATCTGTGGTAGCTTGTTACATTAGTACAAGACAACTAATACAGAAACCAATGCATATCTACTAATGCCCAAGTTGCTTGATAAGTTGTGAGTAACACATTCTTTGTCATTGACCCAGAAGTTCTGTGTCCTCTGCAAGCATCCATCAAACAGTAACAGGCCAACTAATTAGCTAACAACTAGAGGAAAATAAAATTGCAGACTCATCAGTGTCCAGAATTAGTAGATATTAGTGATAATGCCCCGTTGCGCTAATAGAGGCTGTATGGCAGAATGAAAAAAATATTAGAGGGGAGAAGACCCGGGATTTAATCCAGGTTCTAACACTTAATAGCTATATGATCTTAGACAACTTAATTGACCTTACTGAACTTCCATTTTTAAAAATTTAATATATATTAAATTGCTGTCAACATTAAATGAAATTATAAATATTTCATTATTCTACAGTATCTGACATATCATAAAGTCATCCCCCTTCTTGCTTCTTGCAACTTGCCTGTATGCCTGCCAAAATGATAGTTTAGTGATCAGGGCCAAAAAAGTGAGTGAAGTTTCTGGAGTAAAAGAGAAAATCTCCCTTAGAAACTTATTTCTTTAATTAATGATCCAGTGTGTATGTTAAGAATTTCAGTGGGAAAACACAAACACACAAAGATTAACTCCAACAGCTGATCTCATACAAACATAGATATTGACTGATTCTAACTTTAGATAATCTTCATGTAAAGATTTATTTAGTGCCACAATTATATTGATGACTTTCAGGTATTCTTATTCTAGATTAATTTTTACCCTCTCAGTATCCTGCTCCCCCTACTCTTGTCTTCTTGTCCATGAAAAGCAACATCAGAGGCTACCTTTATTCCTGTTTCTTTCCAATGTCTTGAATTTTCTGCAAATATTCACTCAGAGTTTTCAGGCAAAATCTACAGCCACTAGTTGGAACAGCTTTAGCTTCTCAGTCATTAAGGTGATATCTGGAACAAACATTCATTAGAGGACATCAACTAGAAAATGTTTGAAATACATGGGATTCTGGCTTTGTCACACCTTAGTCAACAAAGATTTATAAAATAAGAAGGGATCTTAGACATGGGCTGATAGCCTCCAATTTATACATGAGGAAATCTCATGCACCAATATTTAAGGATACAATAGTGAAAGGTCACACTCAGATCAGAACCCAGTTCTCTGGCTTCCCAAAACAGTGGGCTTTTTATTCTACCCCACCTCTAAACATATGGGCAGTCAATGCCTCTCCTTTATGATAAACACTACACAAAAAGACACAGATTCAGAAATGAGTGGGATTCTCTTTCTACTTTTCCATTGCTCTTTTATTTACATCTTCCTTTTTTACTTGTTTAAAACAACAGTTACAACAAATATATATTCATGGCAACTGACTCCCAAGGATCACTTTTTCTGGCAGTCTTGGAATTATCGACCCAGCAAGTGGTTGAGGAGGAAACAAAGGCAAGAAAGGGAAAAAAATAAATTTGAACATTGAGGACTTTGGCGGGTCACAGTTTGAAGAACCACTGTAGCTCGTTTTTCTTGTTTTCTTTTTTTTTTTTTTTTTGTACATAGACTAGGTAAGAAAAAAATTTAGTCTTCTACTGACATGACTTTTCTCCATTTGCTCAACCACTTTGGTGGTTAGGAAACTCTAAGTCTTATTTGAAGATTTCAGGCAACTGACCAGCACATAGTTGACCTTGAGTTATTTAGAATAACTAAACTAATGTGTCATGGAAGAAGTGAAAGAAATGTATTAGAAATTCTGCTAGTGGAGAACCATTCTGAAGGTTGAAACAGCCCAGGATGCAGTGCGTATTTCTCACCTCATTAACTTACACAAAAACATGCCATTGTCTACTACTTTTCAAATTAAGCAGCCTGGACAACTCTTAAAAATGGTTAATTTGACCCACTCCATGAAACAGTCAGGTTCACCTCTGCAGTTGTAAATATAAATCTTGCTTGATTTGATAATCTGCAGTGATTGAAAACATTTTTGTGAAAATGTAGAACACATAGGTAAAAAAGAAATGAAATAAAAATGAAGAAACCCAATGCATGGAAAGTTGGCTCCCGAGGCAGTTTTGCAGAAGGTTTTGGAAGTGAAGGCATACCAGCATTCCTATCCCTTTCTTTTCAAAGTTCTTCTATTTTCATTGACCCCCACATCTTTTGTTCTTTGTATCATTTTGATTTCTTAACCATATGAATTTTTTCTGAACATTCCAGACTAGCAAATTAACAATGAAATTATCTGCAAAAATAGTTTGCTAAATATCACTTCTAAGACATCTAGACATATGCGTCAGTCAAGAGCAGAAATGTCTGTATTTTTAAATCATTTGCCCTTTTCTTTTTGAGCCTTATTTAAAAGTAGCACATCTTGGTCTTCTTTGCTGAAAACATTGAAGAGTTTTAAGGTACTTTTCTGCTTATTCTAATTCTAACTCATATCTTTTCTTCGATAAGACTTATCTGGATATGCAACAGAATTTTTTAAATATATAAAACATTTTAGGTGTTATATTAAAAAATCATTTGTCTAAGCTAAGCCACTTTTATTTCTTACATTTTTTTGTCCTAGGAAATAATTTCCTGTGTTTTGGGACCTTTGCTTCTTTTCTTTGGACTGTCTTTTAAGGACATTAAAATGTAATTGAGTTTATCAGACCCAATGCTAAAATAAAAGGAATTCAAAAGTTCTAACATTTGATACATTTAAAAAGGTATGATTTTTAAAAGGTATAATTTCTGAGCTAAAGGAGTGTAGGAGAGCTAGGCCTTGTGCCTTAGCAAATTGAACAGTGGCTGTTGTGACGTGGTTGTTGATAAAGGAAATCATACAGACTCACTCAGCTTAGTGTTTTCTGAGATAGCAGATGAACCTATAACAAATACGGCACCAAAAAATACAGCAAAATGGATATTGCCATTAGAAAGATCTAATGACTCTATCAACAGTGGGCAATGTATTCTCTTCTTTTATGAAAGTAATGAATAACTGATTCACAGCTTTACTCCTTTAAAAGCATATATTCAGGGCTCTACTATATGTCTGATGATAGACGTATATTATTATCCTTTCCTTGTTTTTTCACTGCTCTCCCCTTCGTCCTATTCTTATAATTTTATAAATGATTTAACTGAATTCCATGATTATGTTGGCACTTATTGTCAAATCTGAATTACTCACATATCGGGAGTTTCTTTACTTTCATATCCCTATTATCCATAATTGTTCATCTGTTGTTACTTTGTATCATTAACTCAGGAGAGAATGATTAGAAGAAATAAAATTACATTTATTGGCTGGTAACATGAACAAGGTATTTGGTATTTTAATATCTGACTTAATTTTCACGAAAATCTCTGAGCCACACAAATCTTTTCACATTATTTAACAGATTAGTTAACTAAGGCTGGAGTACATAAGTAAATTGCCAAAGTCACATAACTACTAAAGAAACAAGTGATAAATCTAAGGGTCAAACAATGATATGTATCACCTAATTAAGTTAGTAATTACAAGTAACTAATTATTAATGCCTTAAGTGAAAGATATAGGAAGTTGGAACTAAATTTTCTTAACCAACATATTCATAAGTTTATCAAATAAAAATAATATCAGAAACCATTTGACCATTTGATAGAAATGTAGTTAAAATATATTAAGAATTTAAGATATAAAATGTGTACTTCAACTTCCCCTTCTGCTTATGATGTTGTCATTTTTGGCAAACAGCTAACAACACTCCCATTGAGAATACTTAGCAAAGTTGAAAAACACCCATTCCTTCATCCCTGCCCCCACACCTTCCTGCCAACACACATACAGGGAGAAGTGATGACGCGGGCAAAATTGGAGGAGCCAATATCTGAGGGAACTTCAGAGTGATGAGCAGACTTTCTACCTACTTTTGCCTTTAGAATATTTGCTGATTCTTGGCACTGTGACAGGTTCAGAATGCAAGTAGAGGACCACTGCTAAAATAAAGAGAAGCCAGTAGGTGTTGGAAATTCCACAAGCTTGGGGGGAAAAAACAAGAGATTATGCATCTGTCAAGGCAGTCAGTACTTTTGGGACCAAGATTTCAGAGAGAAAATAAAGATATAAACAGAACATTCAATGGATTTCTTCTTAAAACACTAGACACACTTTCCAGTTTCACTGGATAAAAGGCTGAGAAGACTGACAAATTTAATGAATAGCAGAGTGAAGTTTTAGCAGTCTCATAGTGCTAAGGAGATTAAAAGAGGAGCTCAATACCCATTGAGGAGGTGGAGCACTAGCAGACATCCCAGGCTTCTAGTTAGGAATGATAGAGGGCTATGCCTGGTGTGGGGCTGGAACAGAGGTGGATCAAGCCTTATAAATTAACTCCACTCTGATTATCAAAAGAATGGCTATCCTTCCTTTGAAGATAGGTAAAATAATTATAATCCTCTCTAATGTTTTATACAGAACATATGGCATTTGCTTGATAGCTACAGACAAGACAATCCCAAGACACAAAAGAACAAGATGATGGAAATGGACATATAGATTATTTAGTTAGTAGACTGATCATATGTAAATCTTAGATCTAAAGTAGATAACAATAACTTAAACTTCTCCAGAGAACTGCAAAACATAAAAATGAAATAAATGGAAATTAAAGGCTAAAAATATAATAATGTTATGAACTAAATTGATGAATTTAATAGCAGACTACACACAGCAAAAGAGAAATCAGTAGAAAACATCCAGGTAAATATGAGAATAAAACTGGAAAATGAGAACAAAATACTTATTAGAAAATATGAAAAATAATTAAATCATCTAAGGTGTGTGTAATTAGTTATGTAAAAGAATGGTACAAAAAAATGTGAATATAGGCTGAAAATTTTCTTAACAGAAATATATTGAGCCAATGATTCAGAAAGCATTATAAACACTAAGCAAGAAATATATAAAGAAAAACACACCTTGGCATGTTGTATTACATAATAACTGGTAAAAACAAAACTGAAAATATTGCAAGTAGCCAGACGAAAAAGATACATCATTTGCATATTGAGTTAGATATTCAGTGGACATTTCAACAGACATGATAGAAAACAAAAGACAATGAAATAGCTTCTTGAACCTATAGAAGGAAATTAATTTCTATTTTAGTCTGTTCAGGCCATTGTAACAAAAGTGCCATAAACTCTGTGGCTTATAAACAACCAAAATTGATTTCTCATAGTTCTGGAGGCTGCAGAGTCCAAGATCAAGACACTGGCAGACTTGACATCTGGTGAGTACTGCTTTCTGCTTACCAGACAGACGACTCTTTATTGCATCCTTACATGGAAGAAGGAGAAAAATAGCTCTCTGGGGCCTCTTTTATAAGGGCTCTATCTCTAATCATAAGGGCTCCATCTTCATGATCTAATAATCTCCCAAAGGCCTCACCTCCAAATGCCAATATACTGTGAGTTAGATCTCAGCATGTGGATTTGAGGGACACACAAATATTCAGTCTATAACATTTCACCTGTGACTCCCCCCCAGTTCATGTCCTCACATACAAAACACATTTATTCCATCCCAATAGCCCCACAATTCTTAACTCTTTCTGGCATCAACTGTAAGTTCTAAGTTCAAAGTCACATCTAAACATCATGAAAATCAGGTATGGGTTACACTCAAGGTGAAATTCATCTTGAGGCAAATTCCCTTCCAGCTGTGTATATAAAATCAAACAACTTATGTGTTTTCAAAATACAATGGTGGAAAAGCACAGGATGCATTCCCAGTCCTAAAGGAAGAAATAGCAAAGAAGAAAGAAGTGAGAGACTGAAAGCAAGTCCCAACCCAATAGGTCAAACAACATTAAACTTTAAGGCTTGAGAATAATGATTTATGACTAAACGCTCTGCCCTCCAGGCCTACTTGGGCATAGGTCTCACCTTGAGAACCCCCTGGGGTGGGGGTACTGCCTTCTGGATTCACTGGGGAAGTGGTCCTCCCTCCACAGCTTTGCCAGGCAGGGGTTGAGCCCCCATGGCCATTTTCTGTGGTAACTCTACCTCCATAGCAGCTGTTCCTGGGTCACGTACCTGAGGCTCTCCCAGCCTGGAATTGCATGCCAGTAAGCTTTACCAGTCTGGCGTCATGGGGACAGCACTGCATCTGCTGTTCCACTGGCACTGCCCTGTCAGGGGCTCTCTGTGGTGGCCCCACACTCACTGGGCTCTTGAACTCTAAATCTGTGTTGGGAAGGGCAGCCCTGATGATTTCTATCTTTGGGGTCATTATTCCATTATCTTGGATAATAGGTCCTAATTCCTGTTAGCTGACTAAACTTAGCTGATGGTTGGTTGGCCACACCCTTCCTGTTCTCTTCCAAATAGGTTCTCTCATTCTTTTCAATGTAAATAGGCTGAAAATGTTTCAAATCTTCAACTTCTGATTCCTTTTTGATTCACAATTTCATCATTATGTTATTTCTCTCTTCTCATGTTTTACTATAAGGAGTCTTAAAAAACCAGACTGTCAAGATGGCCAAATAGGAACAGCTCCACTCGACAGCTTCCAGTGTGAGTGACACAGAAGATGGGTGATTTCTGCATTTCCAACTGAGGTACTGGGTTCATGTCACTGGGGCTTGTCAGACAGTGGGTGCAGCCCATGTTGCAGGGCGGGGCATCACCTCACCCAGGAAGTGTAACGGGTTGGGGAATTCCCTTTCCTAGCAAAGGGAAGCTGTGACAGATGGTACCTGGAAAGTCGGGACACTCCCACCCTAATACTGTGCTTTTCCAGGGGCCTTAGCAAACGGCACACCAGGAGATTATATCCCGTGCATGGCTAGGAGGGTCCCATGCCCATGGAGCCTTGCTCACTACTAGCACAGCAGTCTGAGATCAAACTGCAAGGCGGCAGCAAGGCTGGGGGAGGGCCGTCTGCCATTGCTGAGGCTTAAGTAGGTAAACAAAGTTCCCAGGAAGCTAGAACTGGGTGGAGACCACTGCAGCTCAAGGAGGCCAGCTTGCATCTGTAGACTCCACCTCTGGGGGCAGGGCATAGCTGAACAAAAGGCAGCAGAAACTTCTGCAGACAAACATCCCTGTCTGACAGCTTTGAAGAGAGCAGTGGTTCTCCCAACACAGAGTTTGAGATCTGAGAACGGACAGACTGCCCCCTCAACTGGTTCCCTGACTCCCGAGTGGCCTAACTGAGAGACACCTCCCAGTAGGGGCCGACTGATACCTCATACAGCCAGGTGCCCCTCTGAGACAAAGCTTCCAGAGGAAGGATCAGGCAGCAACATCTGCCATTCTGCAATATTTGCTGCCCTGCAGCCTCTGCTGGTGATACTCAGGCAAAAAGGGTCTGGAGTGGACCTCCAGGAAATTCCAACAGACCCGAAGCTGAGGGACCTGACTGTTAGATGGAAAACTAACAAACAGAAAGGACATGCACACCAAAACCCTATCATCAAAGACCAAAGGTAGATAAAACCACAAAGATGGGGAGAAACCAGAGTAGAAAAGCTGAAAATCCTAAAAATCAGAGCACCTCTTTTCCTCCAAAGGAATGCAGCTCCTTGCCAGCAACAGAACAAAGCTGGATGGAGAATGACTTCAACAAGTTGAGAGAAGAAGGCTTCGGATAACTGGTAATCACAAACTTCTCTGAGCTAAAGAAGGATGTTTGAACCCATTGCAAAGAAGCTAAAAATCTTGAAAAAAAAATTAGATGAATGGCTAACTAGAATAAACAGTGTAGAGGAGTCCTTAAATGACCTGATGGAGCTGGAAACCATGGCACGAGAACTATGTGATACAGGCACAAGCTTCAGTAGCTGATTTGATCAAGCGGAAGAAGGGGTATCAGTGGTTGAAGATCAAATGAATGAAATGAAGCAAGAAGAGAAGTTTAGAGAAAAAAGAGTAAAAAGAAATGAACAAAGCCTCCAAGAAATATGGGACAGTTGCAGCAGTGCAACTGTCTGACAAGAGCTTTGGCTTCTACCCCACCTCTATAGTGAGGAAGTAGCTTTGTCTCCTGTCTGGTAGGCATTTGCAGAGGCTGTGCGTATGAGCAGAGCCTGGCTACCATCCCAAGGTGACAGTAGGGAGACAGTTCCCCTCCTGACACTGGTAGGCATCTGCAGAGTTTGTTTGAGTAAAGCCTTACTATCATCTCACACAAGCAGTTAAAAGCCCTTCCTGGCTCCTAGATATCTGCAGAGATTATGCGTGTGAACACACCCCTGACTACCACCCTAGCTTGACTGTCATGACATTTAAATAGGAAACTGAGTCATATCATAATACCTCAAATTTCTAAAATGCAATACAAAATAACTCTTCGTAACTAGAAACATTAACTCAAATGAGGAACAATCAATCTGACACTGACAGAGCAGAGAAAAAGCGTCAGTAAATTTGAATATATATCAATAAAAAGGTATTGTCTGAACAACAAAGAGAAGATTGAAAACAAATGAATACAGCCGAGCCTCAGGGACCTGTAGGACAATACAAACATCTTATCTCTGTGTCATGAGACTCCCAGAAGGACAGGAATTCATATAGTTTCAATTAAAAAATAAAATAAAATAAAACGAAGGCTGAAAACTGCTCAAATTTGGTGAAAGACATAAAATTCCAGAATCAAGAGGCTCAGTGAACCCACAAAGAGGATAAAGCAAAACAACCCATCCCCAGGCACATCAAAATCAAACTTCTGAAAACCAAGAACAAAAAAAATCTTAAAATCATCCAGAGAAAAACAATGTATTACTTATAAAAACAACATTCTGATGACAAATTTCTTTTCAAAAACCATGGGAACCAAAAGAAAGTGGCATATTTTCCAAATGCTGAAAAAAAAGCCCCTGCCAAGAGTCAGAATCTTATATCCATGGAGAGTGAAATAAATACTTTTTCAGATTAAGAAAATGAGAAATTGATATCAGAAAACCTATCTGAAAAGAACCGTTGCAGACGGCTATTCAAATAAAGGAACTAACAACAGAAAGAAGTTTGGAACATCAGGAATGAAGAAAGAGTAAAGGAGCAGATAACCACATGAGTGAATATAATAAGATATTCTCCTGAGTTTTAAAAACTGTGTTTGTGTGTCTCTAACAAAAATATTTTATCTAAAAAAATAGAAACTCATCCAAATCAACAAAAATTATAGATAACTTTTAGGAAAGATATCCTGAAATTTGAATTGGCATGTCAAAAATGTTTTAAAGATGATATAGAAATGTCCAATAATTATGTGAAAAGATATTTATGTTGAGTGGTGACTAGGAAAATGCCAATTTGCAATAACATGGGATACCGACATGCATCTATTAACCTGGCTAAAATTAAAGATTGAAAATACTAAGTATTGGCAAGACTGCAGAGCAATTTGAACTTCATATACTGTTGGTGCTATGTTCATTATTCACTATAGTATATTTTTTGGTGCCCAAACAGAAGATGCATTCAGTTAACATCTATCTATTAACTCACATTTATGGTCTTTGCCGTTATATTTTAAATTAATTTCTAAAATTTCACTGTATTTCATAAATGTTCCATGGGCAGAAATTTTTAACAAAATAAATTCAGTATTTGTTAAAGAAAGAAGAGTGAACTACATATGCTGAAGCCAAAATTGCTCATGGTGAAGGCAACATGTGTTATTTTCTCTGGATGGAGTTGCAGCTTAACAAATTTTCTCTGATGTTTTTCTATATTTCCGTATTAATGCTAAAATACAGCCAAATGTTCCTCTCAAATTTGTTCAATTTTCACTTAGGTCACGGAAATACTGTTTTTTACTTTCTTGCCAATACTATTCTTTTTTTTTTTCAAAAATTGCACGTATACATGGTTCAAACAAGCAAAGAGTGCCGGAGATATTACAAGGAAAAATAGCAGCCTCCTGTGCCACTTTATATTACCCCAATTCCTACATTCAACTCTGTTATTTGGCATTTATTTCCATGTTTCCAAATAACACAATACTGTTATGTATTGTTTTCATTTCAGCTAAAACTTGACTTCTTAGTATGGAAAATCTTCATTTAGTTCTTGCCCTAAACTCAGCACACTTTTCCTCTAGTATGATATAACAATTTGTAATTAAACTTCTCTCTCGGTCCAGCATATGAAGAAATCCAGGGGTTTGGCTATTATGCTTGTCAGCATTATCATGCACCCTTGTTTCTTCTTTTTGCTTCATCCCATGCAGATGCTGATATCATTAAGATCTTTCTAGTTTTGGTAGGTTTTGATGGGTTATCCCCACCTGCTTGTATTTTGGGATTTGCAGGGAAACCTTGTCAATTAGTTTCATTGTAA
Source organism: Homo sapiens (assembly GCF_000001405.40). NCBI lineage: Eukaryota > Metazoa > Chordata > Mammalia > Primates > Hominidae > Homo > Homo sapiens. Next base: position 19,476,328 of record NC_000007.14, on the reverse strand, counting down.
ATGCGCATGGATTTGGGGCCTTGCTGTCTTATTGCTCTGCTTCTGTGTAGGGATTTGCCATCTCCACTGTCATGACACCTTTCTGATATCCCTACATTTGAACATAATACTGAGATAATAACACATGTACTTATTTTATAAGTGTATAAGAATTAACTTAGAAGAACACCAATAAAAAATACTGTAAGGAAATGTGATGAATCACTGAAATGGAGCTTTATATAGCAAAAGGGGTATTTCCCAATGAAGACTTAGGTGATCATCACAGCCCAAGAAAAAAAAATCATAATTTCTCTTCTGGCATTTACATAATGATGGCTTGAATAATTCTCACATGTGGACACAATTTATCTTCTCTTCTCAATTGTGTGATTGTGTAGGACAATGGCTGAATGCTCATTATTATTGAATAGACTCTAGAACGAAACAGAAGTGGTGCTAATGATGATCAGTGAAGGTTTGTTAAATGAGCAAGTAAATGAAAATGTGAATTGATGAAAAATTATTTTTCTTTGATTTAGAGTAAATCCTTACATATTCGTGGGCAGGTTATCTTACTTCTTGCACTATCTTGTGTGGCGGTACAAAAACATTTCACTGAACTCTTTGCTTTATTCACAAGTGAACTTCTATTCTCTCTGAGCGTGGAGATTTCCAAACAACTATGTAGGTTTTGTGTTACAGAGAATAAACAAGAGAGGATAGAACTTAGACCACTCTATTTTCTTCCCGGAGGAAATTACAGAACAAATTTTAGTTTGGAATTAGATTGTGGGAGTGGGCTCCTGTCCAGTTCCTGCCATGTCAGACCTTCAAACTGTGGCTTTATTATTCTGTTCAAAGTGAATTCTCAACCTATCAAACACACATGTAGTAACATATATGTCTAAAAATGTTAGCACTACTGGATGAGATAAATCAATTTTACATTATTTAATATTTTAATCGCTTCTTCCTCATTATGATTAACAGAAGAATGACTGTTAGTGGCATTAGGAATTGGAAAAATTTTTATTTTCTTATTATTCTGTCATAGTCACTCAGCATATTTTTAAAAAGGGAAGTCCTGGTCAATATGTCACCTAGAATCCTAGGGAAAGAAAGAAGCTGGCTGTGTTGGGAGGGATATGGTATCTAAGTTACCCCATGTCATCACCTAAAAATTTCAAGGAATTTGGTCTTACAGTATATGACAACCAGAACCGGCCTTATAATTTGTTAATAGCATTATTTACAGTTCATATTTCAAAGCTAAAAAAGATTAATTAAGCTAAAATTTCACAGAGAGGCAGAACTGGAACTAGAATCTGGATTTCCTGGCTCCCTGTTCAGTGCTTTTTCTTCCTCATCTCCCAAATCTGCCCCAGCGCAAGTTTGTTTTGATTAGCCTTCTTCAGATCTAAATTATTAATTCCTGAAAATCAGACACAGAATATTCCAGAAAAAAAGTTCTATAGTGGCCAGATTAAAAAGTGTGATAAACCCCACTGAATTTGAGAAGAGTGCTAAGTAACTGAGACATGCCATGACATAAGCCTCTGCCATCAGGGCTTCCCACTTTGTTCTGAATTGTAAAACTCAATACCTCCCTAAAATGGTCCAAACGCTGAATGGAAAATTCTATTAATTATAATTGAAAATGGCATCACTTACAACCATCTTAATAATGCACACACCCCAAAGACAATATGTAATGATTAGCCTTGAGTCCAGCACACACCTAGATAACAGTATTGGGTTACAGTTCATATGATTTTCTTTTTTGTTTCATTTAAAAATATTTTATATGGCATAAGGCTATTGGATTTTTGGAATCTTAAATCTACAAAGATGTTCTTTCAGCTTTAAAAACATTTTCTATTTCATTCATAAAGATCATGTTTATTTGGCCTACTTATGGCCACTCAAAAATGCTGTTTTAAAGGAAAATATTTTTAAAGTTGACTAGAGTTTAGAATTTACAACACAGATAAAATATTCTCTATCTTAATATGTTACTAAACTGGATAATTTATGCAATTAAAATATTGTACAAAGGAATTGCTCTATGCCTCATCATGGTTTTATTTTTCTTAACACGATCTTAAAATGCTTCTTTAACTCATTTCAATTCTAGAAGTAATAAGGATCAACCACATTTTTAAAGACATTAATCTTCCTGAAGGTGATTACAGAACAAATTTGAGTTTGGAATTTGATTGTGGGAGTGAGTTCCTGTCTAGTTCCTCCTGTGTCAGAACTAAAAAACTGTGGCTTTATTATTCTGTTCAAAGTGAATTCTCACCTTATCAAACACATGCATAATAATATCTATGCCTAAAAATGTTACCACTACTGGATGAGATAAATCAATTTTATATTATTTAATATTTTAATCACTTCTTCCTCATTATGATTAGCAGAGTAATGACTTTGGATAACAGTGCTTTATCAGATGTGTATGTTGCAAATACATCCTCCAAGTTTGTGCTTCTCTTCTCATTCTCTTGATATTGTCTTTCACAGAGCGTAAGTTTTTAATTTTAATGAATTACAACTTCTGAATTACTTCTTTCATGAATCATGCCTTTGGTGTTGTATCTACAAACATCACTATATCCTAACTCATCTAGGCTTTCTTCTGTGTTATTGTCTAAAACTTTCTATGACTTTTGTAGTTTGTATATTGCATTTAGGTCTGTGATTCATTTTTAATTTTTTTATTCCACTGTAAGATCTATGTCTAGATTTTATTTGAACATGTGGTTGTTGAGTTGTTCCAGCACCATTTGTTGAAAAGGCATGTTTTCTCCATTGTATTGCCTTTGTTCCTTTAACAAAGATTAGTTGATGATATTTATTGGGTCTATTTCTGGGCTATTTTTTCAATTGACCTATTTGTTTATTCTTTCAACAATACCACAGTCTCAATGACTGTAGCTTTATGATAAGCATTGAAGTCATGTAGTGTCAGTCCTCCAACTTTGTCCTTCACCTTCAATATTGTGTTGACTATTCTGGGTGTTTCTCCTCCCCATCTAAATGCTAGAATCTGTTTGTCAATATCTGCAAAATAACTGTCTGGGATTTTGACTAGGATTGCATTGAATCTGTAGATCAAGTTAGAAAGAACTTACAACTTGGTAATATTGGGTCTTCCTTTTCATCAAAGTATTTCTATTTATTTAGTTCTTCCTTGATTTCATTCAGATTTTTTGTCGTCTTCCTCATATAGATCTTGAACATATTTTGTTAGATTTGTTTCTGTTTAATCTTTGGGGTGCTAATGTAAATGGTAACGTGTCTTAATTTCAACTTCCGATTGGTCATTGCTGGTATATAGGGCAATAATTGACTTTTGTGTATTAACCTTGTTTCCTACAACCTTGCTATAATTGCTCATTAGTTCCTGAAGTTATTTTTGTCAATTCTTTCAGATTTTCTACATAGGCAACCATGTCATTTGTGAAGAAACTAAGTTTTATTTCTTCTTTCCCAATCTTTACAGTTTTTACTTTATTTTCTTGTCTCACTATATTAAGTAGGACATCCATTACAATGTGGAAAAGCTGTGGTAGGAAGAGACATCCTTGCCTTGTTCCTAATCTTGGTGAGAAAGATTCTATTTTGTCATCATTAAGTATAATGTAAGCTGTAATTTTTATGTAGATATTTTCATTTACCTCTATTTCTATTTCATCATGAATGGACATTAAACTTTATCAGATGCTTTTTCTGCATCTATTTGTATAATTATGTGATTTTTCTTCTTTTGCCTTTTGATGAAATAGATTATATTAATTGATTTTTGAATGCTGACCCAGCCGTGCATACCTGGGGTATATCCCCACTTGTTCATGGTGTGCAATACTTTATTACATTGTTGGATGCAATTACTAGGATGTTGAGGATTTTAGAATCAATATTTGTTAGATATTTGTCTGTAGTTTCCTTGTAATGTCTTCTGTTTTGGCATTAGGGTAATGCTGGCCTCAAAGTATGAGTTAGGAAGCATTTCTTATGCTTCTGTCTTCTGGAAGAGATTAGAGAATTTGTAAAATTTTTTTCTTAAAAGTTTGGTAGAATTCTCCAGTGAACTCATCTGGTACTGGTGCTTTCTACAGAATATTATTTATTTATTCAATTTATATAATATAGGCCTATTCAGATTATCTAGTTCTTCTACTGTGAGTTTTGGCTAATTGTGTTTTTCAATAAATTGGTCAATTTCGTCTATGTTATCAAATTTGAGGGAATAGAGTTGCTCATAGTATCATCTTTTGAATGAACATGGAATTTGAAGTGATCGCTCTTCTTTCGTGCCTAATACTAGTAATTTGTGTCTCCTCTCTTCTTAGCCTTGCTTAGTGATTTAATTAAACTTTTTTTTAAAAACCTGCATTTGGTTTTATTGATTTTTGGTTTTTAATTTCATAATATCAGCTCTAATCCATCATATCTAATTTAATTAATCAATTTCAATGTAAAAACTTTACAGCAGTTTTAAGTTCATAGAAAAATTGAAAGGAAGGTAAAAAGATTTTCCATTTGCCCTCCTGGCCCCAGGCATGCATAGCCTCTCCCAATATCAAATCCCCAACCAGAATACTACATTTGTTACAATTCATGAACCTGTATTAACACATTGTAATCACCCAAGATATTTTTATAGATGGAAATTTTTTAAAAAAATATAGCTCTGATAATGATTAACACTGAATGAAATCACATCGATTTTATCTGGTTTTTGTTGTTTTTAAGTTTTTCTCTATCAAAACTATACCTGATTATTCTAAAATTCAAATTGTACAAAAAGTGTAAGGTGAACATTACAACTTAAACTATTCTCACTTTCCAACTTCCCAGTCCAGAAATAACCACAATTAATATTTTGTAGGTATCCATTAATATTGTAAGCATAAACATATGTACATGAATTTCTTACAAATAGGATTCTGCTATCTATATAAATCTGTAACTTGAAAATCTACTTAATCTCTATCATCAGAAAATCTTTACTGGAGTAACATCATTGTTCATGTCAATAGAATGCATAACAAACTTTAATTTAGCTGATGCTCAGTTCCCCACAGCTAAATTTTAGCTACTAAAGATACTTCAGAAGAACCTAGTATTGAGGATAGTAGGTGAGCCAATTTGAAACTTTAATTTAGTTGGTCACGCCTAGAATATTGGAAAATTTGTTGACTGGCTTTGGAATGATGATGTTAAATCAGATCACTGAATTATCACAAATGCAAAATCTCAAACTATTCTTCCCCAAATCTAAAATGATGTATTTTACGTTAAATCTAAGTTCCCTTTTGAAAAATTCCCTCTGGTTTTTCAGACTACCTTAACTTCACCATTAGAATCTGAGATTCAGTCAATGGTTTAGGACAGTCAGAGACAGAGCTCGCAAGAAAATAGGACACTGTGTCGTTGATGAAGGAAGATCCAGTAAAGAACACCATTAACTTTTAGAGCTGTGAAATAATATTTGAGGGTCTATTTATATGTCACCAAAGAAATGGAGGTAAAAGATCAGATTAGTACATTTAGAAATTAGTCTGTGGGCAAACTTATGCACTCTTTTCATTTTTATTTTGAGAGGAATGTGCCTAGGGAAAGAAACACCGGCATCTACATAATGGATGGCACCGTGGAAATGCTGGGCTTCTTTCTGGTGATTATTTAACTTTGAAGAGCAGTGGAGGAACTGTGAAATGAGTTTCATGGCTAGGAGCTCGCCACTCTCATTTAAAAGGCCACTCCATATTTTTTTCAAATATAACTAAACTATTATCTTTTGTGAATAGATCCTTTCACATGATTCAGCCAAAAAATGGATCAAGAGGTTAAACAGTAAAATTAAGGAAAAGCATATTTTCTCATCATATACATGTCCTCAGACTGCCCAAATTCATTTGGAAGGTTTTTAGCATTTGCAAAAATGTACTCTAGGCCATTGTTTTTAAAAGATAGAAACATTCCAGAAATCCCCTGGTAGAGATCATGTTATTAACCAATTGGCGAAATGTTTACAAGAGACGTGGGATTATTTGTATAAAAACTTACAGCCCAAAAATTTATGGCAGTAATATAAACTCATGAACGTCCAGTGCTGCTTGGGGGAATTCTCTGCAGTAGCTAGATGACTGATGATGTGGCAGAGTGTGATAACAAGTACAGCTGTTTCTATAAAAATGTGATCATAACAAGCTAAAGAATAAATCCTCCATAAGAAATCTCTTAAAGTGACAATCTAGTTTACTTGTTTTACTGTAATAGAATTCTATCATCTACTCTTTCCACCCAATGTACAAATTAAGTTTATAATATTTCTTATTCTGGTTCTTCAAATGCCATAAACAAGATAATTTTTCAAGTGTAATATTTTAAAGTAAACCATTTTACAAAGAAATAACAAACGAAATACAACTGTCACAAGTCACAACTCACTCAAGGAAAATATTTTCAGACACTATTACATCATCTTTAGTGATGGAAGTGTCCATGTTTCTTGGGTTTATCTTAAGGTTTGATGATTCCACATCAATTTTGGGAATCCCAGGATATGAAATGTTTTGAACGTTTAAAATTTATGGGTAAAAATTATCTTCATGCTGTGAAACAACCTATAAACAGAATACTAGAGAATATTTTATATATATATGAATTCTAGCTTTTGCTGACACACTTAGACTGGCCATAAGTATGCCCCATACTTAAGCATGCTCCGGAAAATTTGAGTTCTAGTATATGACTTCCCATAGTAAGCAGTGAAAATTCCATCTCTTCAAGTATACTCAAGTTAAAATTAACACATAAATTTAGTTTAATCCTAAAAGAGACTTCTACTAATATTTTCTTTATGAGGGTCAAAATAGGTTTGGCTAGTGTGAGAATTAAACGGCTAATTATTAATTTTATCTGTTATGACACAATAATTTTTGGGACTCAGACAAAGTAATGCAATATTGCCTAATCCATGGGAAGAAATGATAGAGGTTCTGTCAGATGATGCTGGAGTACATAGTGGGGGTGCTAACTTCCAAAGAGAAAGGGTGGTTTTTGATGCTTACTTTAGCCACAGATTTGCCAGTAGGAGCAGTATCAGAGTGGTTGTAACCCTCTGGTTAAAAAAAGGCCCATCACCTACATATCCTGTACTAGTTATAAATGATCTTCATATTGTATAAAATATACTCCTTTACTTCCAAAAATGTTTTAAAAAGTATATACACAACTATTTGTTAACACTAAATTTTAATTTTACATCATTTCCCAGCACCATAATAAATATAAAGGCTATCCTATTCAAATAATTGAATTTTATTATAGCACACATTAGTTTGACACCTGCATGTGCGTGCAGATATTTTTTAACTCAACACATATGTAATAAGCTGGGTCACCATACATCCCAGTTTGACCAGGTCTTGGTTTTTAAATGTTGTGCCAACATAATTATTAAGAGTATCCCTTTTACTCTCAAAAAAACTTTGGATGATAAATCATGTGGCCTCCCTAGTATAAATACATACTTGGATATTTTTGGTTCAATTATATTTACCTGGATTCTCATTTCGGAACTCAAGCACCTTGCTTGTAAGGATGAGGTCTTTGTTATATACATAAAGCAATATAATTATGTAATTTATATTGAAACTTGAAATAACTTGAAAACAATAGACTCCTGTAAGCCATGATGGCACACAGTATTCATTCCATGTAAATTATGATACTATTACTGCTGCTAGTAAAAAAGACAACTGAAAATATTATATTAAATTAGATAATAGTGAAATCTCAGTTACAGGGTGTACAAGCTGCCAGATTATCACACAGGTATGCACACACATAGTTATGAGACTAGAAACTAATCCTTTCCCCAAGCATCAACCCCAACAAGGTTAACTTAGGTAGAGAGACTTTAAGAAGGTCCATTGTGATGGATTGTACAGATTCAGGAAATTGGACCAATGGACCTCAAAAATCACGAGGTTCCTCTATTACTCATAGGAAAAGAGAATTTGGGGATTTCTCATTTTCCTGAAGCACTACAGTTTCTGAACACAATGATTGTGCACACTGCTCATATATAGTTTGTGCTCAATATGTGACGAATGAGTACATGAATGAGTTTGCTGAGTAAAGATAGTATTTATATCCTATACCTCCCCTTGAATCATAATTACTTCCAACAAAAATAGTATAAACGTTAGACTGATTCCATATTTCTAGTTGTAATATGAATTAAATAAACTTCATCTTTTGAATTAACACTGTATATTAACCTTAAAATTATCATACTTAGAATGCTTGAGAATGAGTTACAGAATACAGGAAAAACATGAGAAGATAGATTACCATAATCAAATGCTTAGAGTAAAATACCATCTTAAGTACAAATAGCTAAAATTAAAATTAAAGAAAATACATATAATGAATATTCTATTTTTGCCGATGTAATATTATTCCCTTTAAATTAATACAGTATTTTTTACCCTTAATTTTCTGTAAGTAGTCTTCTAGCATCAGTTTAAAAGTTGACCTACTTTAGTAGTGGCTGTGTTAGTATGAGTTGCATGTCAAGTCATTTAATCTGCCTTCAATATATAAAATAACTTAATTTACCATAAGAATTGAAACCAAGAAGCTAGTACTAATATATACATTATATATAATATATATATTTATGTGTGTGTATATATATGGCAAATAACAAATTACAGTCATATTAATGCAAACTTAAAACCACATCAATATTTCATTATATTGTATTAATATCAGCAAATGTAGCATCATACCTTACAGTCAAATTTTACAAATAGGCTAACTATATAGGGTATGAGTTCCCTCCTATATTTTATATTTGAGGGGGAAGAGAAACAATTGTTCCCATGCTCTCTGGCTCTTTCTCTTTGTGGATTAGGGATATTCTGTATCTTAAATAAATGACCATGTTTGAATAAAAGTAGGCTGCTTCTTTCCAATAAAGTGAGTGTCATTATGGGATAGGAGATTTAGACTGCTTTTTGGTTTATGAAGTTTGGCTTAAGACTTTTCACCTTTGCTTTACTTATTTTTTTTTTTATTATACTTTAAGTTTTAGGGTACATGTGCACATTGTGCAGGTTATTATGTTTTCATTTGTAGTGTTGGGCTTTTTCATGCTTAATTTTTCTGCATTTACAAGCTGAAAGGCTCAATTCATAATGAAATATTTGTAAGCAATATGCACAGTTTCAAAGGCTTTACTAGGTGGCTGCCAAGGAAGCATGTAAAATGGTCAAAGAAAATAAGCCTTTTGGAGAATATTTGTTGGTATGGAAGTAGAGGTTAATGAGGAAATGTGTTTCTATAATAATAATATTAATGCTTTTCATTTATATAGCTGCTTTCCTTAGAATGCTTGAACACTTCACCTCTGCCTTCATTTTCTGATACTTGTCATACATTTTGAATGGTTTTTACAAAGCCATGCTAGGTAAAAGAGAAATGCTACAAATTTATTGCTTCTCAGACATCAAAAAGAGCAATCAGCCTCAGGGTCTAGGTAGCTATTAGGTATGACATATAAATTAGTATGTGCATTCAGACTTTTTCCACTTACAGACAGAACCCTTGGACTTCTGCTCAAACTATAAATCCTAGTTTAGGTATGATCATGTTGGGTGAGTTAGGATAGGAGGCCTCCCAAAAAGGCTGATGCCTGAAAAGCAGAGAGATACAGGCTTTGTTACATTGTCCAAGATTCACCAGTGGGAGCCCCAGTTTCCTTATCTATGTTTTTGGTAACCTTTCTTTGTTCTCAACCCCAAATAGAGAAGTCTTTTTATAATGTTTCACATATGTGTGCATCAAGGCTACATAAATAGTTTCAAGAAACAGGACTTACACCTCAGCCAAATTCCCCAGAAACCATGAGCCCATAAAGAGCAATCGTTTGCAGCCAAAAGAAAATCCACCCAGCCTCTAAATTAACTATTATTCAGTTATCCATTTTTCTTTTTGTGCCACAGAATATTTCATGAAATAAAATTTATATATTTTTTCCACTTACTACTTAGAAAAACCTGATCAAAACCTTGAAAATGAAGGGAACCCATTTAAGTAGATATTTTTTAAAAGATGCTTTGTAAAATCACAAAAAAATCATTAAAAAACATTCATAATGCTTCCCGAGACTTCTGAGTAAGGCTCTTGCAAAGTCATCACCTAAAATAGAAAAGGTTACAGTAATTTCACAGGAGCACACTGTGAAATGATGATAAGACGAGAGGGGAAACAGGCATCACATTCCCCAAGCTTGCATCTCAACAGAGTCATGCTTTCTCTCAAGGGTACAGGAAAAAGCATCTGACCATTATCGTTCTTTCCAGAAACCTGTATTACATTATTCTGTGCTTTTTAAATAATTGAAATGAAAGATATTTTCTACCAAGGACAACTCTGCTTATAATTAACCCTAGGGGCTTATATTTTTCGACTCCATGGATAAAGTTATTACAATGTTGAAATATTGTGCCAAGTGATCACAGGAATATAAAAGCTGGAGGGAATTTCCACCTAGCCAATCTGAATGTAAGTCAGATTTGTTTCTCTTGGGGAAAAGAGATGCACTATTGCCATGACCCAAAATCTCCTACTTTAACTTTCTCTAGGTAACTCCATACATGATTCATGTGCGTAATATAGATAGACTGGGAATACAGGGCTGATGTTTATTAGCATTAGATCCATAAAAGGAAAAATGTACATTGGTTGTTTTTTCATATTCTCAACCACATTTCTAATTATTAAGTAGAAAATAAAATTTTTTTGATGTGACATTAGATTTATTTTGAAATTACTTCATCTTATGCTAATTTAGTTCCATAGATTCTGTCCTTATGATATCACCAGACTAAAACCAATTGAAATTTTGATTATAGTAATAAAATGGAAGCTTAAGTTTGAGGAATGTCTGAAAATACTGCTGGTGCAAACCATAGCTTATAAAATATCAGAAAGCCTTGGACAGAATGATCTGTGGGAAGCAGCACTGAAGTGCATTGATCTTCCATCTACAGCAGGGGTCATCACACTGTGAGGCAAGAGACAAATATGTCCCACCTGCTTGTTTTTGTAAATAAAGTGTTACTAGAACACAATTATGCCCATTTGTTTATGTATTTATGTCTGTATTCATCCTTACAGGAGTAGCGTTTAGTAGTTACAACAGACCATACGATACACACAGCCAAGCAATTTCACAGGAACACATTGTGAAGTTACGATGAGAGAGAAAAAGGCATCTCAATTCCCAGGCTTACTTCTCAACGGAGTCATACTTTCTCTCAAGGGTACAGGAACTATCTGACCCTGATAGTACAGAGTACTATCAGATCCTTTCCAGCCTAAGCTTGCCAACCTCTGCTCTAAAGCAACTGTTCCCAACCAGACACATTCCCTGGATATCTACTGACCAAACTCCAATGCAGGCCAGGGATGATAAATGTCCAGTGCCAGAGAATCCCACAGAATGAAGAACCATCTTCATCAGAATAAAAACAGCATCCCCTATGGAGAACTTTTGCCACTGCCATTAAAAAGTTTGCATTGATGTGGGAAAGAGTATGGATACAAGCAAACCACAAAAAGATGGAAAAAGCAGAAGATGGAATAAACAAGATGAAGTGTATGTGTGTGTGTATCTTAGCATTGGAAAATATGATCAAAGTCATGCAAGTTCCCAAAAGGGATGTTAAAAAATGTTTTTTCTTGTTTTTCACAATGTGAAGCATACATCTGAAAAGCATATAAATCTTCAGTATCTACAAATTATAATGTGTACACATCCAAGTAACCACCACTTAGATGTAGATACAGATGACTAACACACTACAGTCCTCTCTAGCATTCCCTTCTAGTCATTACTCAACTTGCAACATCAACTACCGTATTAGTCCGTCCTCATGCTGCTAATAAAGACATACCCAAGACTGAGTAATTTATAAAGGAAAGAAGTTTAGTTAACTCGGTTCAGCATGGCTGGGGAAGCCTCAGGAAACTTACAATCATGGCAGAAGGGGAAGAGAACACATCCTTCTTTACATGACAACAAGCAAGAAGTGCCAAGCAAGAGGGGGAAAAGCTCCTTATGAAACCATCAAATGTCATAAGAACTCATCACAAGAACAGCAGCATGAGGGTGACCGCCCCCATGATTCAATTACCTCCCACTAAGTCCCTCCTGTGAAACATGCGGATTATGGGAACTACCATTCATGATGAGATTTGGGTGGGGACAAAGGCAAAAGGTATCAACCACCATTTTGATTTGTATTGTATGCTAGGTACCCTCTCAGGTGGCTCCCATTGATCCCTGCCTCCAGATATCCACACTCTTGTATAGTTACCTCCTTCATTATACCAGGGTTGCTTTTGTGTGATCAATTTTATATAGCGTAAGTGTTCATATGTCACTTCTGACATTCAGTTATTAAAAGACTGTGGCTGTATCTTGGATTCTCTCTCACATACATTAGTCACTCCCCTGGGGAAAAGCTATGTCATAAGCAGCCTTACGGATGGTTCAATATGATGAGGAACTGAGGCCTCCAGCCAACTAAACTGAGTGAGCTTAGAATATCCTTTAGCTCATCAATACTTTAGAAACTGTGGTCCTGGCTGATAGCTTGACCGCACTCATGAGGGACCCTGAGCCAGAACCACACTGTTAAGCCACTCCCAGATTCCCAACCCCTAAAAACTGCATGTGATAATAAATCATTTTCCCATTTTAAGTTTTTTTTTTTTTTTTTTTGAGATGGACTCTTGATCTGCTGCCTAGACTGGAGTGCAGTGGCATAATCTTGGCTCACTGCAACCTCTGCCTCCTGGGTTCAAGCAATTCTCCTGCCTCAGCCTCCCTAGTAGCAGGTATTATAGGCACATGCCACCAGGCCTGGCTAATTTTTGTTATTTTTAGTAGAGAGGGGGTTTTGCTATATTGGTCAGGCTGGTTTCGAATTCCTGCCCTCAGGTGATCCACCCGCCTCGGCCTCCCAAAGTGCTGGGATTACAGGCGTGAGCCACGGCGCCTGGCCCTAATTTTTTTAGTTAATTTGTTATGTAGCAATAAATAAACAACACATATCACCATAGATTTGTTTTGCCTGTTCTTAAAAGATTTTAATTTTATAGAGCAATTTTAGGTTCAAAGCAAAATTAAAAGGAAGATACAGAGATTTCCTATATACTCATGCATAGCCTCCCCCATTATCAACATCCCCCACCAGAGGGGTGCATTGGTTAATGACTGATGAAGCAACAATGATACATCATAATCACTCAAAGGTAATAATTTAGAGCTCATTCTTGCTGTTGTACATTCCATGGGTTTGGACAAATGTATAAAACATGGATTATTATAACATCATCCGGAGTGTTTTTACTGCCCAAGGTTTGACTCCTTTGAGTACATAACAAGGAGCACAATTTCTAGATCACATAGAGTATGTTTAGTTTCATAAGCAATTTGGACCCTTCTTTTATGCTATACATGAAAATCAACTCAAAGTGGACTAAAGACTTAAACGTAAGACTTGAAATTGTAAAACGCCTAGAAGAAAACATAGGAATAAAAGCTCCTAAACTTTGATCTTGACAATGATTTTTTTCGATATGCCATAAAAGCATAGGCAAAAAAAGCCAAAATAAAATACTACCATATCAAACTAAAAAGCTTATGCACAACTAAAGAAAAAAAATTAAATATCACAGAAAAACTGAATAGCAAACAAAACAACAAATAACTAGATGAAAAAATAAGCAGAGGACCTGAATAGACATTTCTCCAAGGAAGACATACACATGGCCAACAGGTATATGAAAAGGTGCTAAACATTACTGCTCATCAGATAAATGCTAATTAAAACCACAATGAGATAGTACCTAACACCTGTGAGGATGGCTTTTTTTTTTTTTTTAAAACATTAAGTGTTGGCAAGGATGTGGAGGGAAAAAAAAAAGCCCTGTATACTGTTGATGGAAATGTAAAATTGTACAGCCACTATGGAAAACAGTATTTTGGTTCCTCAAAAAAAAAACAGAAAATAGAACTACTGCCATATGATCCAGCAATCCCACTTCTGGGTATATATCCAAAGGAATTGATACCAGAATCTCAAAGAGATTATCAGCACCCCATGTATATTGCTGCCTTATTAACAATAGCCAAGATATGGAAACAACGGGGCTATTGACAATAGCCAAGTTAATAGGGGGCTATTAACAACAGCCAAGATATGGGAACAATCTAAATGTCCATCAGTTAATGTATTGGTAAGAAACTCTTCTGTACATACAATGGAGTATTATTCCACCTTAAAAAAGCAATAGCATGGATTCACCTGGGTGTTGTTCAGTGAGATAAGTCAGATATAAACACATACTATGAGCTCACTTATATGTGAAATCAAAAATAAACTGAAAAACAGAGTAGAATGGAGGTTACCAGAGGACTGGGGTGGGGTATGGGGATGGTCATAAGGTACAAAGTTTCAGTTATAAAAAAAAAAATTAGTTCTGGAGACCTACTATATAGCACAGGGCCTATCACTAACAATATAGCTACAATTAAAATTTGCTAAGAGCGTAAATATTAAGTGTTCTTTACACACACACACACACACACACACACACACACAGATAATAATAATAAAGGGGGCAGAGGGAAACTTTGGGAGTTGATGGATGTGTTTATGTATGGCCTTGGTGGTAGTGATACTTCTCCACGTGTACACTTGTCCCGAAACTCATTGAGATGTATGCATTAAATGTGTACAGCTTTTTATATGTCAATCATACCTCAATAAAGTGGTTTTAAAAAGAAAACTTTGTATACCACAAGATTACAAAGCTATTTTCCTTTGCTATCTTTTATTAATTTTATTGATTTTACCTTCCGTTCTAGTTTTGTGATTTATCTAATTTTGATAGTTGTACATTATGAGAAATTGGGGTAATTTTTAATTCCATATAAACATCTAATTGAGCCAAGCCATTTTTGTGAAGATCACTTTTTTTATATTGCACTGTAGCTCCAACTTAGAAATAAATCAGATGATTCTATATATGTAAATATTTTTCTAGTTTTTCTATTTTATTCAATTGATCCAGTTTGCTATCCTCATGTCATGCTAATACCACAGTTTAATTTGTATAACTTTATAAGTATGAAAGATTACCAACTTCATTCTTCAAGATTTTAATAGTTATTCTTGGCCTTTTGCATTTGCAAGTAAATTTTTTTTTTAATGCGTTTCTTTTTTTTTATTATTATTTTATTTTTTTTTAATTATACTTTAAGTTTTAGGGTACATGTGCACATTGTGCAGGTTAGTTACATATGTATACATGTGCCATGCTGGTGCGCTGCACCCACTAACTCATCATCTAGCATTAGGTATATCTCCCAATGCTATCCCTCCCCCCTCCCCACTCCCCACCACAGTCCCCAGAGTGTGATATTCCCCTTCCTGTGTCCATGTGATCTCATTGTTCAATTCCCACCTATGAGTGAGAATATGCGGTGTTTGGTTTTTTGTTCTTGCGATAGTTTACTGAGAATGATGGTTTCCAATTTCATCCATGTCCCTACAAAGGACATGAACTCATCCTTTTTTATGGCTGCATAGTATTCCATGGTGTATATGTGCCACATTTTCTTAATCCAGTCTATCATTGTTGGACATTTGGGTTGGTTCCAAGTCTTTGTTATTGTGAATAATGCCGCAATAAAAATACGTGTGCATGTGTCTTTATAGCAGCATGATTTACAGTCCTTTGGGTATATACCCAGTAATGGGATGGCTGGGTCAAATGGTATTTCTAGTTCTAGATCCCTGAGAAATCGCCACACTGACTTCCACAATGGTTGAACTACTTTACAGTCCCACCAACAGTGTAAAGGTGCTCCTATTTCTCCACATCCTCTCCAGCACCTGTTGTTTCCTGACTTTTTAATGATTGCCATTCTAACTGGTGTGAGATGGTATCTCATTGTGGTTTTGATTTGCATTTCTCTGATGGCCAGTGATGATGAGCATTTTTTCATGTGTTTTTTGGCTGCATAAATGTCTTCTTTTGAGAAGTGTCTGTTCATGTCCCTCGCCCACTCTCAATAAATTAGGTATTGATGGGACGTATTTCAAAATAATAAGAGCTATCTATGACAAACCCACAGCCAATATCATACTGAATGGGCAAAAACTGGAAGCATTCCCTTTGAAAACTGGCACAAGACAGGGATGCCCTCTCTCACCGCTCCTATTCAACATAGTGTTGGAAGTTCTGGCCAGGGCAATCAGGCAGGAGAAGGAAATAAAGGGTATTCAATTAGGAAAAGAGGAAGTCAAATTGTCCCTGTTTGCAGACAACATGACTGTTTATCTAGAAAACCCCATTGTCTCAGCCCAAAATCTCCTTAAGCTGATAAGCAACTTCAGCAAAGTCTCAGGATACAAAATCAATGTACAAAAATCACAAGCATTCCTATACACCAACAACAGACAAACAGAGAGCCAAATCATGAGTGAACTCCCATTCACAATTGCTTCAAAGAGAATAAAATACCTAGGAATCCAACTTACAAGGGATGTGAAGGACCTCTTCAAGGAGAACTACAAACCACTGCTCAAGGAAATAAAAGAGGATACAAACAAATGGAAGAACATTCCATGCTCATGGGTAGGAAGAATCAATATCGTGAAAATGGTCATACTGCCCAAGGTAATTTACAGATTCAATGCCATCCCCATCAAGCTACCAATGACTTTCTTCACAGAATTGGAAAAAACTACTTTCAAGTTCATATGGAACCAAAAAAGAGCCCGCATCGCCAAGGCAATCCTAAGCCAAAAGAACAAAGCTGGAGGCATCACACTACCTGACTTCAAACTATACTACAAGGCTACAGTAACCAAAACAGCATGGTACTGGTACCAAAACAGAGATATAGATCAATGGAACAGAACAGAGCCCTCAGAAATAACGCCGCATACCTACAACTATCTGATCTTTGACAAACCTGAGAAAAACAAGCAATGGGGAAAGGATTCCCTATTTAATAAATGGTGCTGGGAAAACTGGCTAGCCATATGTAGAAAGCTGAAACTGGATCCCTTCCTTACACCTTATACAAAAATCAATTCAAGATGGATTAAAGATTTAAATGTTAGACCTAAAACCATAAAAACCCTAGAAGAAAACCTAGGCATTACCATTCAGGACATAGGCGTGGGCAAGGACTTCATGTCCAAAACACCAAAAGCAATGGCAACCAAAGCCAAAATTGACAAATGGGATCTAATTAAACTAAAGAGCTTCTGCACAGCAAAAGAAACTACCATCAGAGTGAACAGGCAACCTACAACATGGGAGAAAATTTTCGCAACCTACTCATCTGACAAAGGGCTAATATCCAGAATCTACAATGAACTCAAACAAATTTACAAGAAAAAAGCAAGTAAATTTTAAAATCAGGTCTGAGAGCCAGGAGAGGCTCCTGGGTGGGGAAAACAGTAAGAGAAAAACCCCAAGGGCTACCTGACAGGCTTTTACCATCTTAGCTGTGGAAGAAATCCTTTACCCACTAGGGCCCCAGGCCTGACTTGAAGTGCTGCCTAATGATTGCACAGAAACGTCGCTCCAGAAAGGGAACCCACACAGGATCCCACAAGACATCTGAGCCTGGAGAAGCTTCAGCTAGGAGCCATTTTGAGATTGTAGATACCAGGGACCTACAGATACGGCTGTAGCCACTGCGCTGCTCCAAGAAGGGAGAAGGGAGATGGGATGCTCCTGTACCCCTGTGGGGGTCCCTGCCACCCTGCTGTGGGCTGCCAAGACTGAGACAGGAGCAGACTGTACTGCCCACAGCTTCTTGCTCATGCTGCTTGCCTGAGAGGGATCCCACCCTCTCAGTTTCCAAGCCAAAGGCACTATTTTGAGAGTTTAATGCTGAGCTGTACCCCACCCTCTGCCTGAGATCTGGCTGATTTGGCTGCAGCAGCTGCCCAGCCAAGGAGGAAAAGGGAATCAAGATTATTCTGTGCATATATAGGACAAGACCCATTACTCTGCAATGGGCTCCTGTGAGACTGAGATGCGAGTGGACCACACCCTCCACAGCTTCTTCCTATACTACTTGCTTTAAAGGTGCCATGCTCCCTCTGATCCTTGGCCCAAGGTGCCATTTTGAGAGTTTACCTGTGGGCTGCACCCCACCCTTGGACTGAGATCAGACTGACATGGCTGCAGCCACCATTGAGCCATGGAGCATCAGGGAAACCAGGCTACCCTATGCACATCTAGGAAAACACCCACTGCTCTCCAATGAGCTGCTGTTGATACTGAGATGTGAGCAGACTGCAGTCCACACAGCTTCTTGCCCACACTGTCTGCCTGGGAGGTGCTTTGCCCTCCGTGGTTGTAGGGTCAATGTGCCATTTTGAGATTTCAACACCATGCTGTGTCCAGACCTCAGGCCAAGTTCAAGTTGACATGGCTGTAGCCACCACAGCATCAAGGACAGGGAAACCTGGTTCTCCTATGCATATCTAGGACAATATCTAATGCCTTGTTATGAGCTGCCATGAGAACAAGACTAGAGCATACTGCACTCCCCACAGTTTCCTGCCCATGCTGCTCACCTGACATGGGCCCACCTTATGTGGTCACAAGCCCCAGCTGGCACCATTTTGAGAGTTTAAGGTTGGGGTGTGCCCCACCTGCAGGCAGTTTGAGTCAATGTAGCTGTAAATGGTATCTAGTCAGGGGACAAACAGGGGAGAACAGGCTCTCTTAAGCATGCTTAGTACAATAACCTTCACCCTGCTATGGGCAGCTGTGGGACTGGGAACTAGCCCACCCAACCCATCAGAGCTTCCAACAACAGCAACACAGACTGCTTGGGTCCCAGGAGTTGCTCCACCACCACTACTACCATCGCCCACACCACGCCAGCTACCCAGTGGCCTGAGAAGCTACCTACATACCTGGTCCACCATTTCCATTACTAGCTTCTAAGCCGGCCAACTGGAGGCCCAGGAATCAGCTCTCCAGGACCCACTCACACCAGGGGCAGTGAAAGCTGCTCTGGGGCCTAAGAACAGGCATGCTCACCCTACTTCTGCCACCACTGGGGCCTGAAGACTGGGCTCAGTTGGTGTCCTAAGTCCCCAGCAAAACTTCACCACAACCTCAACTAACAACTGTACCCTAAGTCACTCAGGAAATCACAGAAACAACTGACCCTGTGTACTGCCAAAGATGACATACAAAGAAAAAACTACCCTAGGGACCCAAAATCAAAGCCAAAGTATTAAATTCAATAAACAGGATACATGATCCTCAGGAAAAAAACTCGCCTACAAAAGCAATTTCAAAATTTTGGAACAAGTGACTGCTACACCAGGTACACAAATATCATCAGGACACAGGAAACATGAAAAAGTAGGGAAATATGACACCAAAGGACCAAAACAATTGTCCAGCAACAGATCTTAATCAAAAAGAATTCCCTGATTTGCCAGATAAATAATTCAAAATATTGGTTTTAATGAAGCTTAATGAGATGCAAGGGAAATTTGAAAATCAACACAAATGAAATCAGAAAATCAGATCAAGATATGAAGGAGAAATTTAGAAAGGAGATAGATACATAAATAAATAAACAAATCAACAAGCAGAAATTCAGGAGCTAAAAAATTCATTGAAGAAAATTCAAAACACATTCTAAAGCTTCAGTAATCTGCTAGAGCAAGCAGAAGAAAGAATGTGAGAACTTGAAGACAGGTATTTTGAAACAAGCCAGTGAGACAAAACTAAAGAAAAAATAAAAAAGGATGAACAAAGCCTTTGGGACACCTGGGAATACATAAAGCAACGAAATTTATAAATTATTCTATAATAGATTTCATGTCTATCAAGGGAGTTAGACATCCAAATAGAGAAGGCCCAGTAATCCCCAGGCAAATACATTGCTAAAAGGCCTTTACTATAGCATATTATATTCAGAATGTCTAAAGTCAAGGTGAAAGAAATAATTTTAAAGTTAGCAAGAGGGAAAATGGCAAACAGGAGGTAGGACTAACTTGCAGCTCCCATTTGGACGGACAGAATAGTGCGTGGAGACTCATATTGTGAACTTTTGCTCTAAGAGCTACCACAGGAACATACCAGGAAAGCCAAGAGAATCCACAGACCCTTTGAAGGAGGCAGATTGCTACTGAAGCCTCCATGGGACAGCCAAGGAATTGTGAGTCTGTGAGTCCGCTTGCTTTCTCAGCTGGGAGGCTTGCAGCCAGGGGCAAGTTTTCAGCCCTGCTCACTGGCTGCCTGAGAAATAAACCCAGTGCAGTTGGTGGGGGCACAGTGAGAGTGAGATCAGCCTTTCTGGCTGTTGACTGCAAGGGAGCTGGGTGAGCCTGTGGCTACCGGCTTTCCCCCATTCCCTGGCAACCTGTATGACACAGCAAAGGCAGCCATAATCCTCCCTGGAAACCTTCCCTTGCAGCAGACAAACCAAGCCCCACCCAAGGAGAGTCTGAGTTCAGACAAGCCTAACCCTGCCCCCACCTGATGGTCTTTCTCTATTCATCCCGGTAGGCAAAGACAAAAGACATCATCCCTTGGGAGCCCTATGGCCCTGCCCATCTCTTGACCCTAGGGCAATCTTGAATCCTCCCTATACAAGTGCAGCTGATGCACCTTTGAAAGTACCCACCTCCTGGCTGGAGGCCAACCAACACAAAACCAGCACACTTAACAAAAATTTAACCAAGGATCTTCACAAAGTCCACTTCACTCCCCTGCTACCTCCACTGGAGCAGGTGCTGGTATCCATGGCTGAGACACCTGAAGATGAATCACATCACAGGACTCTTTGCAAACACTCTCCAGTACCAGCCCAGAACCAGGTAGCTCTGCTGTGTGGCTAGATCCAAAGAGAAATAACAATCATTGCAATTTGGCTCTCAGGAAGCCCCGTCCCTAGGGGAGAGGGGAGAGCGCCACATAAAGAGAGCACCCCATGGGATAAAAGAATCTCAACAGCAGCGCTGGAGTCCCAGATCTTCCCTCTGACACAGTCTACCCACATGAGAAGGAACGAGAAAAACATTTCTGGTAATGTGACAAAACGAGATTCTTTAACACCCCCAAAAGATCACACTAGTTCACCAGCAATGGATCCAAACCAAGACAAAATCTCTGAATCGTCAGAAAAAGAATTCAGAATGTCAACTATTAAGCTAATCAAGAAGGCACCAGAAAAAGTGAATTCCAACTTAAAGAAATTTAAAAAAAGATACAGAATATGATATGAATGGAAAAATCTCCAGTAAAATAAATAGCATTAAAACAAAAAATAATTATGAGTTCTGGAAATTAAGGACACAGAGAATTGCAAAATTTGCTGAAAAGTCTCAGCAGTAGAATCAAGCATGAAGAAGAAAGAACTTCAGAGCTCAAAGGCGAGGCTTTTGAATTAACCCAATCTGACAAAGACAAAGAAAAAAGAATTTTAAAAAAATGAACAAAGCCTCCAAGAAGTTAGGAATTATGTTAAATGAACAAACGTTAGAATAACTGGTGTTCCCAAGGAAGAAATCTGAAAGTTTGGAAAATGATATGGTTTGGCTGTGTTCTCTCCCAAAATTCATTTTGAATTGTAGCTCCCACAATCCCCATGTGTAGTGGGAGGGACCCAGTGGGAGGTAATTGAATCATGGGGGTGGGTTTTTCCCATGCTGTTCTCATGATAGTGAATAAGTCTCATCAGATCTGATGGCATTTTAGAGGGCAGTTTCCCTGCACATGCCCTCTCTTGTCTGCCACCACAGAAGATGTGCCTTTGCTCCTCCTTTGCCTTCTGCCATGATTGTGAGGCCTCTCCAGCCATGTGGAACTGGGAGTCCATTAAACCTCTTTTTCTTTACAAATTACCCAGTCTTGGGTATTTCTTCATAGCAGCATGAAAATAGAGTAATATAGAAAACATATTTGAGAGAATAATCGAAAACTTCTCTGGCCTTGCTAGATATCTAGGCATCCAAATACAAGAAGCTCAAAGAACACCTGAGAAATTCACCACAAAAAGATCATTGCCTAGGCACATAGCCATCAGGTTATCTCTCTCAGACCACAGTGGAATAAAATTAGAAATTAACTCCAAAAGGAACCCTCAAAACCATGCAAATACATGGAAATGAAGTAATTGCTCCTGAATGATTGTTGGGTCAACAATGAAATCAAGATGGAAATTAAAAAAATCTTTTAACTGAATGATAATAGTGACAAAACCTATCAAAACTTCTGGGATACAGCACGGGTGGTGCTAATCGGAAAGTTTATAGCATTAAATGCCTACATCAAAAAGTCTGAAAGAGTACAAATAGACATTATAAGGTCACACCTCAGCGAGCAAGAGAAACAAGAACCAACCAAACCCAAACCCAAGCAGAAGAAAATAAATCACAAAGATCAGAGCAGAACTAAATGAATTTGAAAAAAAATACAAAAAATAAATAAAACAAAAAGCTGGTTCTTTGAAAAGGTAAATAAAATTGATAGACCATGAGTGACATTAACCAAGAAAAAGAAGAGAGAAGATCCAAATAGACTCAATTAGAAAAAAAACGGTAAATATTACAGCTGATACCACAGAAATGCAAAAGAGCATTGAAGGCTACTATGAACACTTTTACATGCATAAGCTAGAAAACCTAGAGAAGATGGATAAATTCCTGGAAATATATAACCTTCCTAGATTAAAACAGGAAGAAATAGAAACTCTGAACAGACAAATGACAAACAGTGATATTGAGATGGTAATTAAACAGTTACCAACAAACAAAGTTCAGGACCAAACAAATTCACAGTTAAATTTTATCAGGCATTCACAGAATTGGTACCAATCCTATTGACACTATTCCAAAAGATAGAGAAATAGGGAAACCTCCCCAAATTATTCTATGTAGCCAGTGTCACCCTGATACCAAAGCCAGGAAAGGACATAACAAAGAAAACTACAGACCAATATCCCTGATGAACATAGATGCAAAAATCCTCAACAAAATTCTAGCTAACCAAATTCAATAGCATATCAAAAAGATAATCCACCATGATCAAGTGGGATTCATACCAGGGATGGAGAGATGAGTAATATCTGCAAGTCAATAAAATTGATAAACCACATAAACGTAATTAAAAACAAAAATCACATGATCATCTCAATAGACATAGAAAAAGCATTTGACAAAATCCAACATCACTTTATGATTAAAACCCTCAGCAAAACTGGCATAAGAGGAACATACCTTAAGGTAATAAAAGCCGTCTATGACAAACCCACAGCCAACATTATACTGAATGGAGATAAATGGAAAGCATTCCCCCTTGGAACTGGTACAAGACAAGAATGCCCACTTTTACCACTTCTATTCAACATAGTACTGGAAGTCCTAGCCAGAGCAATCAAACCAGAGAAAGAAATAAAGGGCATTAAAATTGGTTAAAGAGAAGCCAAACTGTTGCTGTTTGCTGATGACATAATTATATACCTGCCAAAAAGTTTCTAGAACTGGTATATTAATTCATCAACGTTTCAAGTTACAAAATTACTGTACACAAATCAGTAGATGTGCTGTACACCAACAATGACCAAGCTGATAATCAAGAACTCAGCCTTTTACAATGAATGCAAAACATAAAATATATAGGAATATACTTAACCAAGAAAGTGAAAGCCTTCTACAAGGAAAACTACAAAACACTGTTAAAAGAAATCATAGATGACACAAATAAATGGAACACATTCCATGCTCATGGATTGGGTAGAATATTGTGAAATTAACCATACTGCCAAAAGCAATCTACAAATTCCATGCAATTCCCATCAAAATACCAACATCTTTCTTCATAGAACTGGAAAAAACAATCCTAAAATTCATATGGAACCAAAAAAAGCCCACACAGCCAAGGCAAGACTAAGCAAAAAGAATATATCTAGAGGTGTAATATTACTTGACTTCAAACTATATTAAAAGGCCATAGTCACTAAAACAGCATGGTACTTGTATAAAAATAGGCATGTAGACCAACGGAACAGAATAGAGAACACAGAAATACGGCCAAATACTTACAGTCAACTGATCTTTGACAAAGAAAACAAAACGTAAAGCAGAAAAAGGACACCCTATTCAACAAATGGTGCTGGGATAACTGGCAAGCCACACGTAGAAGAATGAAACTGGATCCTCATCTCTCACCTTATACAAAAATCAACCAAAGATGGATCAAAGACTTAAATCTAAGACCTAAAACCATACAAATTCCAGAAGGTAACATCAGGAAAACCCTTCTAGACATTGGCTTAGGCAAAGACTTCATGACCAAGAACCCAAAAGCAAATGCTACAAAAACAAAGATAAATAGATGGGATTTTATTAAACTAAAAAGCTTCTGTACAGAAAAAGAAATAATCAGCAGGATAAACAGACAACCCACAGAGTGGGAGAAAATTTTCACGATTTGTAAATCTGACAAAGGACTAATATTCAGAACCTACAAAGAACTCAAACAAATCAGCAAGAAAAAAACAATCCCATCAAAAAGTGGGATAAGGACATGAATAGACAGTTCTCAAAAGAAGATCTACAATGGCCAAGAAACATATGAACAAATGCTCAACATCACTAATTATCAGGAAAATGCAAATCAAAAACCACAGTGCAATACCACCTTACTCTTGCAAGAATGTCCATAATAAAAAATAATAGATGTTGGTGTGGATGTGGTAAAAAGGGAACACTTTTACACTGTTGGTGGGAATGTAAACTAGTACACTATGTAAAACAGTGTGGAGATTTCATAAAGAACTAAAAGGCGATCTACCATTCAATCCAGCAATCCCACTCCTGGGTATCTATCCAGGGGAAAATAAATTATATGAAAAAGATACTTACACATGCATGTTTATAGCAGCACAATTCGCAACTGCAAAAATATGGAACCAACCCTAATGCCCATCAATTAATAAGTGGATAAAGCAAATGTGGAATATATATATCCCATATTATATATATAAATAATATTATATATACGTATACATACCATGGAATACCACTCAGCCATAAAAAGGAATGAAATGTGACATTTGCAGCAACTTGGATGGAATTGGAGACCATTATTCTAAATGAAGTAATGCAGGAATAAAAAACCAAACATCATATGTTCTCACTCATAAGTGGAAGCTAAGCTATAAGAATGCAAAGGCATAACAATGATACAATGAACTCTGAGGACTTGCGGGAAAGGGTGGGAGTAGGGGTGAGAGATAAAAGACTACACATTGGGTACAGTGTACACTGCTCAGGTGCTGGGTACACCAAAATCTCAGAAATCACCACTAAAGACCTTAATTCATGGACCCAAATATGATCTGTTCCCCAAAAACCTATTGAAATAAAATGAAATTAGCAAGAGAAATGTGTAGTCATCAATAAAAGAAACCCCCTCAAGATAACAGTGGACTTTTCAATGAAAACATTACAGGCTAGAATATAATTGGATGGCATTTTCAAGTTGCTGAAAGAAAAACCTCTGCCAGTCAAGGCTTTTGTATCCTGGCAAAATAAGCTTCAAAAATGAAGGAGAAATAAAGTCCTTCCCAGAAAAGCAAATGCTGAGAAAATGTGTCACCACTAGACTGGTCCTACAGGAATAACACAAAGGGTTATTAAACATAAAAATGAAAGCTCCAAATTCACCATCACGAAAGCACAGGGAAATATGAAACTCATCATTCATATTAAACAATTCCACAAAGGAGGAAAACAAAGGAATGAAAGGGCAACATGATTGAATTTCATCAAACCACATGACAAGAAAAAAAGAAAGAAATGGAGAATTTATCAAACAACTTGAAAATCATCAATAATATGACAGGGAAAAAGCCTCCCATATCATTGTTAACTTTGAGTGTAAACGGATTAAATGCTCCACTTAAAAGATACAGATTGGGGAAATGAATTAAAAATTTTTAAAAAACCGTGATCCAACTACATCATGCCTACAAGAAACTCTCCTTACCCATAACACATATAGACTAACGGTAAAGGTGTGAAAGAAGATTTTCCACACAAATGAAAACCAAAAGTGAACAGGAGTCGTTATATTCATATCAAATAAAACAGATTTTAATCAAAACAATAAAAAAGACAAGGTAATTATATGACAAAAGTTTTATTTCACAAGAGGATATAACAATCCAAAATATGCATGCACCCAACTTCAGAACACCCACATTCCCAAAACAAATATTACTATACTAAGAAAGAGATAATATAAAAATACCACAATAGTGGGGGACTTTAACATCCCACTCACAGCACTAGACAGATCATTAAGACAGAAAATTTAAACTAGACTTTAAACAAAATGGACTTAACAGACATTTACAGAACATTCTACCCAACAAGTACAGAATATACATTCTCTTCATCAGCACACAGTACATTCTCCAAGATAGACTACATATTAGGCCACAAAACAAGACAACACATTAATAACAATTAAAATTATATCATGTATATTCTCAGACCACAGTGGAATAAAGCTAGAAATCAATACCAAGAGGAACTCAGGAAACCATACATATACATGAAATTAAATAGCATGTTCCTGTACAATTACTGGGTCAATGAGGAAATTAAGACAGAAATTAAATTTTTTTTTAAATTAATGAAAATTAAAAACTAGATCAATGAAGAAATTAAAATAAAAATTAAAAAATTGTTGAAACAAATGAAAATGAAAATACAACATACCAAAATCTGTGGGATATACAAAATGCAGTGCTAAAAGGAAAGTTTATAGCATTGAATGCCTACATCAAAAAATTAGAAAAATCACAAGTTATCAACCTAACATCACATATCAAAGAACTAGAAAAACAAGGGCAGACCAAACTTAAAGTTGGCAGAAGAAAAGAAATAAAGATCAGATCTGAGCTAAATGAAATATAGACCAAAAATACAAATGATCAATGAAATGAAGTTGACTTTTTGAAAAGATAAATAAAATTGATTAATCACTAGCTAGACTAACCAAAAAAAGAAAAAAGTAGAACACAATCATATATGAAAAAGGGGGCATTACAACCGAATAGTCACCACAGAAATACAAAAGATCAGAGGCTATCAGGAACTACCATACACTCACAAACTAGAAAACCTAGAGGAAATGGATAAATTCCTGGAAATACACCACCGCCTGAGAACAAACCAGCAAAAAATAGAATTCTTAAACACACCAATAATGAGTGACGAAACTGAATCAGTAATTTAAAAAATCAACTTAAAAACAAGCTCAGGACCAGATGCATTCACAGCCAATTTCTACCAAATATACAAAGAAGAACTAATACCAATCCTGCTGAAACTATTCTAAAAATTTAGAAGGGAATTCTCCCTAATTCATTATACAAGCCGGCATCACCCTGTTACCAAAACCAGACAAAACTACAAAAAAGAAAACTATTAACTAATATCCTGGAAGAACATGGATTCAAAATCCTCAACAGAGTATCAGCAAATCAAATACAATAGCATATCAAAATTATCATATACCATGATCAGGTAGGGTTTACCCCAGGAATCTAAGAATGATTCAACCTATGCAAATTACCAAATATGATACATCACATAAACAGAATAAAGGACAAAAAACCATATAGTCATCTCAACAGATGCATAAAAAGCATTCAATAAAATTCAGTATCCCTTCATAAGAATCCTCAACAAACTAGGCATAGAAGGAACATACCTCAACATAATAAAGGCCATATATGAAAACCCCACAGTGAACATCCTACTTAATGGGGAGAAGTTGAAAACATTCTAAGAACCGGAATAAAACAAGGATGCCCCATTTTACCACTTTTATTCAACATTATACTGGGAGTCCTAGCCAGAACAATTAAGCAAGAGAAAAAAAAGTATCTAAATTGGAAAAGAGGAAGTGAAATTACCTTGTTCACTGATGATATGATCTTACGTCTAGAAAATGCTAAATATTCCATCAAAAATGCCCTTAGATTTGATAAATGAATTTAGTATACTTTCAGGATACAAAAGTAATATATAGAAAACGGTAGAATTACTATACACCAATAACAATCTAGCCAAGGACAAAATCAAGAAGGCAATTTCATTTACAATACCAACAAAACAAAACAAAAATCTAGGAATATATTTAACCAAGGAGGTGAAAGACCTTCATAAGAAGAACTGCAAAACACTGATGAAAGGAATGATAGATGACACAAACAAGTGGGCAAATATCCCATGTTCATGGATTGAAAGAATCAATATCATTAAATTGACTATACTTCCCAAAGCTAGCTACAGGTTCAATGCAATCCCTATGAAATTACCATTATCATTTTTCACAGAATTATAAAAACAATCCTAAAATTCATATGAAAAGAGACCATGTAGCCAAAGCTATCCTAAGCAAAAAGAACAAAACTGAAGGCATCACACTACCTGACTTCAAACTATATTACCAGGCTATAGTAACCAAAACAGCATGACCCTGGTATAAAAATAGATGAATGGGACAGAATAGAGAACCCAGAAATGAAGCCACATACATACAATCAACTGAGTTTAAAGTTTACTAAAATATACACTGAGGGAATGACATTCTCTTTAATAAATGTTGCTGGGATGATTGGATAGCCATATGCAGAAGAATAAAGCTGAACTCATACCTCACACCATCTACAAAAAGTTTACTCAAAATGGATTAAAGACATAGTGTAAGTAAGACCTGAAATTATAAAAATTTTAGAAGAAAACCTAGGATTTTCCAACCTCCTCTGGGCATTGGCCTTGGCAAATAATTTATAATCAAATCCTCAAAAGCAAACACAAAAACAAAAATAGATCAATGGGGCTTAATTATACTAAAAAGCTTCTGCACAGCTAAAGTAACAGAGTAAACAAATAACCTAAAGAATAGGGAGCAAACTATGTATCTGACAAAGAGCTAACATCCAGAATCTATAAGGAACTCAGACAACTCAACAAGAATAAAACAACCCCATTATAAAGTGGGCAAGTGAAATGAACACACATTTTTCGAAAGATGACATACAAGCAGCCTTCGAACTTATTAAAAAAATGCTCAGCATCCTTAATCAGAGAAATACAAGTTAAAACCACAATAAGATACAATCTTACTCTAGTCAGAATGGCTATTATTAGAAAGTCTAAAAACAACAAATGTTGCCAAGGATGTGGAGGAAAAAAGGTAACACTTATATGCTACTAGTGGGAATGTAAATTAATACATTTCTGGAAAGCAGTGTGGAAATTTCCTGAAGAACCAAAAATAGAACTACCATTGGATCCAGCAATCCCACTACTGTGTATATACCCGGAAGGAAATCTTTATATCAAAAGGATAACTATACTTATATGTTTACTGCAGCACTATTCAAAATAGCAAAGATATGGAAGCGTCCATCAACAGATGATTGGATAAAGAAAAACTAGTATATATACCATGAAATACTACTCAGTCATAAACAGAATGAAATCATGTATTTTGCAGCAACATGGTTAGAACTGGGGCTATTAGTCTCAATGAGGTAACTCAGAAACAAAGTCAAATACTGCATTTTCTTACTCATAAGTGAGAGCTAAACAATGTTTCTCTTTTTGTCTCTGTATGTCCAATGTATACAATGTCTACATACAGAGTATAATAATAGACATTGAAGACTACAAAAGGTGGGAGGGTGGGAAGAGGATGAGGGTTGAAAAATTACCTGTTGGATTCAGTGGATTCAGTGTTCACTATTCAGGTGATTGGTACACTAAAAGCTCAGATTTCTCCATGACGCAGTACATACATGCAAGAAATCTGCACTTCTACTCCCTAAATACATAAAAGTTAAGAATTCTTTAAAATAATTTTAAATCAACTTGTCAATTTCTATGAAATGTCCTACTGACACTGAGTATGCATTAACTCTATAGATCATTTTGGTGAGAACTGAAATATTTAACATATTGAGTCTTTTAAACAATGAACATGGGATATATCTCCCTTGCCTAAGTCTCTTAAAAATTCCTTCAATAATATCATTTTATGTATGGAGGTTTGGTATAACTTTTCTTTGATGTATTCCTAGGAATTTGATATTTTTGATTCTATTATAAATTGTATCAATTATAAAATTTTTAAGTAGGTTGTCAGAAAAACAATTATAATTGCTTTGCATATTTGTGCTACATGAAGTAACCATGCAAAATTCAATAATTCTAATGTTTTATATAATTTTTTTAAATTTTCAATTTTTTACATACCATCATATCATTTGCAAATAACGAAAATGTTTTTCTTCCTTTTTAAATCACTCTTTTTTTTTGCCATATTACACTGGCAAAGAACTCCAGTATAATGTTGAATAGATATAATTTTAATAAATATCCTTACCTTGTTCCCAACATCACAATGGGAGCTTTTAATATTTTATCATGAAGTATTAAATTTCCTGCATGTTTCTATAGATATTCTTTATCTCACTAAGGAGGTCAAATCATAATTCTACTTTGCTAAGAACTGTGTTTTTAACCATGGATGGGTGTTGAATTTTATCAAATACTGCTTACCTGCTTGGGTGAGGTTATATGGTTTTTCTCCTTTTGTTGTTAACGTGGCTCATTACATTAAATAATTTGTTTAGTATGTTAAATTAACCATATATTCTTAAACTTCTATTGGTTTTGAGTTCCTTTCAATATATTCTTGGGTTCTATTTATTAATATTTTGCCAGCCCTCCAATTTTTATTTTTTGTACTCTCCATAATAGGCTGTGGTATCAATATAATGCTACTCTCACAAAACACATTGAAAAAATCTTCAATATTCTACTCTCTAGATTGGAAAATTAAACACACATCCCTCTATTCAGATGTTTTGCTTCTCATGGCCATATTAGTAAGTTGTGTTTTTCAAGCACATTGTTAATTATATTTAAGTTTATTAATGTAAAGGTTATAACAGCTTTTTACTACCTTTTTAATAGCTGAAGGAACCAAACTGATGTTCCATTTATTATTCCTGATATTAGCCATTTGTGCCTTTTTATCACTATTACTAGAGGTCTGACTCTTTTATTACTATTCTCAGATAAAAATAATTTTTTGACTGTTGATTCTTTTTACAGTATTTATTTCTATTTCATTAATCTTTGCTTTTTTTTCACTTTTGTTCTTTGATTTTGTGCTTAATATGTTATTCTAATGTTAGCTTTTTCAAATGGATAGTTAGGTTACTGATATTCAGTCTTTTTGAATATTGACATTTAAAGCATTAAAATTTTCTCAAGTCAGGATTTCTTAACCTAGTCACTATTGACATTTGGGGACAGGCAAGTCTTTGTGGTAAGGAATTATGTATACTGCAGTACGTTTAGCGGCATCCTTGGCTTCTATTCACTAGATGGCAGTTGTACCCCCTCCCTCCATTGTGACAACCAAAACCATCTACAGACATTACCGCATGTTCCCTTGCAGGCAAAAGTCACCCAGATGAGAACCACTGTTCTAATCAGATTTGGTTCTGTCCCACAAGTATGATGTATTTTCATTATCAATCAGTTCAAATTACTTTCTAATTTCCAATATGATATCTTATTTGGCATGTGTGTTATTAAATATATAACACTAATTTTCAAACATTGAATTTTAAAATTTTTGTAATGATATTCTAATTTCATTCCACTCAAATCAGAAAATACATTGCATTTGAATTCAGCCCTTTGAGCTTTACTTAGACGGTGTATTACTCTGCTCTCAAACTGCTATAAAGAACCGCCTAAGACTGGGTAATTTATAAAGAAAAGAGGTTTAATTGACTCAGTTCCAGGAAGGCTTAACAGGAAGCTGACAAGGAAGCCTCAGGAAACTTACAATTATGGTGGGAGGTGAAGAGGAAGCAAACACCTTCACAAGGTGGCAGGAGAGAGAGAGAATGCCAGCAAGGGGGCAAGTGCCACACACTTTTAGACCATCAGATCTCGTGAGAACCCACTTTCACAAAAACAGCATGGTTAAAACCCACCCCCATGACCTAATCACCGCCCACCAGGTCACTCCCCCAACATTGGGAATTACAATTCAACATGAGATTTGGGTGGGAACACAAAGCAAAAACATATCAGATGGCTCTATATTTTGTTAAGTTCTCCATGTGCACTTTTTAAAAAATGTATATTTTGGCAATTATTTAATCAAACGTTCTATATATGTCAATTAGAATTTGTTAATTGTGTTCAAATTTTCTATAGATAGCCTTACTGATTTCCAAAAAGCTCATTCTGTTGGCTTCTAATATTAGTGTTACATTTCCAACTATAATTATGAATCTGTCTCTTTCGATTGTTTAAGGATGTTAAGTTCATATTAATATAGAATTGTTATGTTTTCCTCTTGCTTGTCTCATTTATTTTAATGTAGTGATGTTCTTAATCCTGGTATTCTCTTAAACTCTATTTAACCTGATATTAGAAAAGCTATATCATCTTTCTGTTATTTATGGTTTTTATATATTATGTCTGTATATTTAAGTATGTCTCCTGAAAGCAACATGTTTTTTATTCCTATCTGAAAATATCTAACTGATGTGTTCAGTCCATTTATATTTAATGTAATTTCTGATATATATAAATTTAAACCTACATTTCAATATTTACTTTCTATTTGCCCTTTTACTAATTTTTTCTTTTCATCTCCTTTCCTGATTTCTTTTAAAATAATCAACACTTTTCCAATTTTCCCCTTTATTAGGCGTTTAATGTTACATTATTTTATTTTTATTTAGTAGTTGTTCTAGAGATGTCAACACATATCTTGGAATTATCGCAATCTCTTTTATATTTTAAGTATTTCTAGAACAGATAAGGAATTAACCAAATTTCAATGTGTGCTCCCTTTTGTGTTATTATTGTCATTTATTTTAATGCCAAATATGCTTAAAGCTCAAAAGATTATTTTAAAACCAAAACAACCTATTTATCATTTAACATTTTCAAGGCTTTTTATTGCCTTATTACCAAGCTGCTATATAAAAATCCATGCATATCACTACTAAAAAATAGTACTAAAACTGTTGTCATAGTAGTCATTATCTGATATATGTCAACTCAAATACAATCGATGACCCTCACTTTCTATAATAAAGTCCAAATGCTCTAGCCTGACATTCGTTGTCTTTCTACTAAACTAATTTCCAACCTTATCAACTTTCTTAGCAAAAATCTTTGAGTTCACTGAAATTATCTTGATCACCCAAATATATGTAACTGATACATTGACCAAGAAGGACTCATGAGATGTAATTTTCAAATCTTTATTTCTGTTTCCCATTAATAATTGAAACTTTATTTCATGATGGTCACCTTGGATGAAAACCTAGGTACGTCCTATGGTCATTTTTTTTTTTACATGTACACAGTATAAATTCAGGAGTGTGAATATGAGAATAGTATATTAATCTACAATCAATCTTCATGGAAAGCTGAGAATTCTTTGCCATCTCCCAGACAGGAACTTCTGGTAGCTATTGCATGCTGTAGGAGAAGGGTTGGCGGGAGGCAGTGCAACTGGCTTTCTCATGTCTTTCTGTACACACTTCCCTCACTCCTAGCTGCTATTTTGGACACCTTCTGGACAGAGATTGGGAGTGGCATAAAGGATATTTAAAGTTGACCTCTTCCTTCAAGGGCCACTTTCACGGGTTCTGTGAAGACCCCAATGACTAATGATCTCACCTGCAGGCTTCCTGACCATTTTACTCTACAGTGATCCTCAGCCCCACAGAACTCCCTCTCCATCTTCAGGATCCCCTCTAGGTGGCCCTATTGGACAAGTTCTAAGATGGCCTATAATGCACTATCTCTGGTCCTCAGGAAGCACTCATTTATTCTATGCCTGTACAAAATCTAAAAGTGCAGCCCATTCACAACACAGTAAGCACACTCCCCACACCACCACCAAGTCGCTGGCTGGCCTTCTCTGCCTTAGATATTTTCCCAGCAGGAGTCAGATAGCAATGTAACTAACTACAGGAGGCCCAGAATGCTCAGAAATCCCACTAAAACCCTCTCTCGTCTTGACAGGAAGAGGATCTTACCTCCTACCTTACACCTTTAGTTCTCTCTAAAGAAATCCTCATCACCAACTTCCCTATGCTTCAACTGCCTTATGTATATAAGATGTGTAAGGTATGTAACAAGTTTCTGATAAGTCGTTTGTAACTTGCCTATGGTGTAGCACTTTCCTTGGAATCAGCTTTGATTGTATCTAGTGTTTAAGCGGAAACTTTCAACATTTGGTAATATACATTTAGCCCTTGTTCATTACCAAGCTTTTTGAAATACACTTTCAGAAAGAACATTTCAGTTTCTTTCAAAAGAAACTGTTTCCCAATCCATATTCTATCCATATTTACAAGTTGTAATTATAGTTTTCGTTTAAATGCAACACCAGGATTTAAAGAATCTTTGAAAAAATGCTAAACACTTGCAGTTTATCAATTTCTAATCACTAAAAAAATGTATTTCACTATTTTTCTAGAAACATCACAGCTTGGCGGCTATTTTGGTTCTTAAATGTAAAATGGTTGGACACAAACCTTGTTTGAACAAAATTTAGAATCTTCACAGTTCACCCAATCCAAATGCATATGATACTATATAACTAGAACAAGTTCTGACTATCGATTTAGAAATCCGTTTATCAGGTTTTCTTCCTCTGATGCTAATTAAAAAAAAAAACAGAACAAGCATCTTCACTGGGCTGCAATTGAAATTACCATGTACACATGTTTCTGTCTTTTTCAGCATGTTTTATATGATTTTTATGTAATTTAAAGAGAAAAAAACAGTCAGAATGAATTAGTCTCAATCCACTATGAATAGCTGTGTATCACTAACTATAGTATTTGACCTCCCTATACACACCTGTTCCCTAATTTGTAAAGTGGGAAACACCAAACCCACCTCGCAGAGTTAATAATGAAATGATTAACAGATGTAAAGTGCTTAAAAAGACCCCTAGCAACAGAAGGCGCTAAATAAAAGTTAGCGTTTCTTCTCTCAGTTCTCTTTTTATTCTCACTCCTGCCTTCAATTACCCCCAAAGTGATTTTATATACATGACTTTGAAATCACCTGAGGAAAAGCAGTTTGGGGGAAAAAAAGGCATTTCCTTTAAAAGTACCCTCATTTTTCCCTTCCATGATCATCTTGTTCCACACTGTGAAGTTTCTTCACTACCCTTTAGGCACTTTATATTTATTAGAAGCATTAGCTTCCCTTTAATTTGTCTAATCTCTAGAACTGAATTTTAATAGCAACTTCCTTAACATGACTAGGAACTTTTAACAGGAACTGAATTTTCCTGTGAAAAAGAAACTTGGTCTTATATTTACTTCTTTTGTTCCCTAATATTCCACAAAGTCCCTTTCCAAAATAGAAACTCACTGAAGATTTATTTATTGTCTCTTCTGGTGAAGATTAAAAACTTTCAAGATTGGTGGGGCAAGGTCTTAGTGGCCCTCAACATTAGTAATTAGGAGGTGCTTATTCTAGGAATTGTGAGAACTGTAAAAACATAGTGATGTAAATAGTGAGCAATTAGTATGGTTACCAATTTTAACCAACTGCAATAGGGGAGTGTTTTGGGAAGTCAAAAGGAACCCACATGGGCTCTGATAAGAGGATAGCTTTCAAAATCATACTTCATAAGGCTAGCCTGTATGAGATTAGCTCAAGGTAGAAAAACCTCGAATGGATATCATTTAAATTACTATCTTCATAATGAGTAAAAATACCACCTTAGTCCATTCTGTGCTGCTATAAAACAACACCCAAGACTGGGTAATTTACAAAAAAACAAGAATTTATATTCTCACAGTTCAGGAGTCCGAGATCAGGGCCCTGGTAGATTCGATTCCGTTGTCTTGTGAGGGCTGTTCTCTGCTTTAAAGATGGTGCCTTACTGCCGCATTCTCTAGAAGGAAGAACACCACATCCGCAGAAGGGAAAGCTAGCTGAACCCTGCATGATGCCACTTTAATAAGGGCCTTAATTTGGGGAGGAGCCCTCATGACCTAATCGCCTCTTAAGGGCCCTACCTCTTAATACTATCACATTGGCAACACCTGAATTTCACAGCGGCCACACTCAAACCGTAGCAAATATTCTTCTTGTTGTAGGTTGCTGTTGCAGGTTGCATTCACTGGAAAGTAGACTCTGTGACAGATACTAGAATGCAGGAGGATTATTAGTGGGTTGTATTAGTCCATTTTCACACTGCTGTAAAGATACTACCTGAAACTGAGTAATTTATAAACAAAAGAAGTTTAATTGACTCACAGTTCAGCATTGCTGGGGAGGCCTCAGGAAATCATGGCAAAAGGCAAAGAGGAAGCAGGGACCTTCACATGGTAGCAGGAGAGAGAGCACAGAGGAAACTGCCATTTTAAACCATCAGATCTTGTAAGAACTCCCTCACTATCACGAGAACAGCAGGGGTAAAACTGCCTCCGTGATCTAATCACCTCCCACCAGTTCCCTCCTTTGACAACTAGAGATTTACAATTTAAGATGAGATTTGGGTGGGACACAAAGCCAAACTATATCAGGAGTCCTTTGAAATCAAAATTTAGGGAAGAAGATTTGAGAAGAGACGGGTTAGCTGTAATTCAGTCTCAATGAAGACCTCAGCTAGGAACTCTGAAGCTAAAATGACCTTCAGACTTGTCCTGAGTTAGAATAAAGACATCAGCCTTATCCCTCATGTTGATCTGTCACTGGAAACAGGGTGTCCTGGGAAGGAGACACGGCCTTAGAAGAGGTTGCTCTCTTGACCCTAAGTAATTTCTAAGGGTTTTCAGCTGAGGGCTGTCTACCAGCAGCACTCTTAGCGTTAAAGGTAGGAAGCCCATTGTTCTTGTTCTTAAGGGAGGAACTGGGTCCACCACACCTAGGAATGCTGACTCTATTTTAAATAGCATGTTAATGCCTATTTGAATAATGACCAACTTATATGGAGCAACTAGCAAGTGCCAGAACATTGTTAGGTACTGAAGTTCAAAATGAAACAAGACAGGCCGGGCACAGTGGCTCATGCCTGTAATCCCAGCACTTTGGGAGGCCGAGGTGGGCGGATCACAAGGTCAGGAGATCGAGACCATCCTGGCTAACACAGTGAAACCCCGTCTCTATTAAAAATACAAAAAAAAAAAAAAAAAATTAGCCAGGCGTGGTCGTGTATGCCTGTAGTCCCAGCTGCTGGGGAGGCTAAGGCAGGAGAATGGCGTGAACCCGGGAGGCGGAGCTTGCAGTGAGCGGAGATTGCACGACTGCACTCCAGCCTGGGCGACAGAGCGAGACTCTGTCTCAAAAAAAAAAAAAAAAAAAAGAAAAAAGAAACAAGACAGTTCTGGCTCTTGAAAACCTAGTATATGAAATTTTTAAAATATTAAATATACACTATGGGAATATTGTAATATTGTAATATATTCATCTATATGTGAGTCCACATGCCCACTTTGTGGGCCTTGTATAGACCATCTTCTAAAAACAGTTGGACAAACTAGAGCCTATGGGCCAAATCTGGCCTGCCACATATATTTACAAGTCAAGTTTTATGGGAACAATCATTTCCACTCATATATGTATTGTCTATGGCTGCTTTTTCTCTACAAGGGCAGAGTTAGGTATTTCCAAGAG
The DNA here is from genome assembly GCF_000001405.40 of Homo sapiens. Taxonomy (NCBI): domain Eukaryota; kingdom Metazoa; phylum Chordata; class Mammalia; order Primates; family Hominidae; genus Homo; species Homo sapiens. Next base: position 19,438,484 of record NC_000007.14, on the reverse strand, counting down.
AAAGCACATGGAATGCAAAGTCAAAATATTTACTATCTGGTCTTTCACAGAAAATGTTTGCTGTTTGCTCTGAGATTTATAGTAATATGATATTATGACAGGTCTACAAAGTATACATGATAGTAATCTGGGATTTATAATTTTATTTTTTAAGAATATATTGTCCACACATTGGAGAATATGTTATCTTTGATTATTAATCACATCCTACTTCCTTATTGCATAATGCTTATACCATAAAGAAATTTTCTTTTAAATATCTTTCATGTGTCCCTTTGCATCATCATCATCATCATCATAATGCAAACTAAAAAAAGAACACATTTTGAACATAACTCTAGATAAATTTAGTCAATGGCTTGAAATATGAATTAATGGTTCGATTCCACCGTGGATGAAAATATTGTGTGGTATCCCACAGTGTTTTATATGTATTATATTATTTTCAGCATTTTTATCAGGAATTTGGACTAAAACCAAAAGCATGTTTATCCAGTACGTGTATAATACAAAGCTGTGTAGCAGTAGTTACTATATTGGATGATAGAGACAGTATTCAAAAAGATTGAAAAATATTGGAAAGATGGGCCAAAACTAACAAAGTGAAATGTAACAGGGCTAATTATGAAGTTCTATATTTGGGTTAAAAAATCAAGCCACAAATGTACAAATGCAGGATGGGAGAACACATGATGAAACAGCAGTAAAAGATGACGGAGTTTTAGGGTTATAGTTAACTGAAAGCTTAATTGTGAACCAACCCTTTGATGTGGATATGAAAATCACTCATATAATCTTAGCATGTGCTTCAATATAATTATGCATTCTGTTCAGACCAAGGTGGCTAATTGCATTGCATACTGCATTGGTCAGAAGCCATCTGGAATGATGCATTCAGTTTCAGAAGCTATGTTGTAATAGAGATCTTGACAAATGTAGTGGATGTTTGACAGTTTTTTTTCCTACCATAGATATCAGATACCTGCTTTCTCAGACCCTTGGAGCTAGATGCAGGCATAAAGCTAGGGTCTAATCAGCAGCACCTGCAGTATGAGCCAGAGATGCAAAGTAGCAGAGAATACTTGGAATTCATTCTAGTGAGGATAAAATCAGGGCTATAGATCCAATTTCTCGAAGCACTGGAGTTAAGTCAAGCACTGAATGTTGTCGGCAGTGAAAGTCATTGTGTTTGTGGAGAAGTGATGTCTTCTAGATCAGTTCTGAGTGTAATTTTATACACTGTTTCTGGCTATATATAAGGCATTATAAGGGATGGTAATCCAGACGACCTCCAGGGGCTTTCTCAACTCTAAATTTCTCGATTTGCTGTTTTTAAATGGCTTACTCTTTACAGCCTGAGAAATGTATGGGAGTATACACAGAAAGGTTATAATGCCAAGAACAAAGAAAAAATTAATGAAAGTGGATTAGGGAAGGGAAGTGGCTACAGCCTGCCTCTGTTAAATGGCTGATATCAAGTCCTTATTCTATAAGAGAAAATAAATTCAGGTTCTTAAATAGCTTGCTAATAAAATATTTCATAGGAAAGACCATGTATTATAAGCAATAGAGAGACAGGATGATTCGGCATTAAAAAAACCAAGTATATAACGTAGAAGCAGTGGCGTTTATGCTATTTGTATCATAAAATGTAATATGCCTGATGAAATTCCCTATAGAATATAAGTGGAAAATGTGCTTGTTTGAATTTTTTTCCATTTTATTTGCGCTTAATATTTATATTTTATTACTCTGTTCTATTACCCATAGTGCATTACCTGGTATTCTTTCCCTATGCAATCAATGGTTTCTGAATGGCAGAGTGCATTATGAAGAGAACATGGGCTTTGGAGTCAGGCTAGGACTGAGTTCAAGTCCCAGGCCTTCGTAACTAAGTCTATGATTGTGACTTTTGGAAATTTACTCTAGCATCCTGGGCCTGTATTTTCTGATCTGTAAAATAACAAAGAATGTATCTCACAATGTTGTCCTGAAGTATACGTAAGTTGCAGCATAGAAATGTGCACTGGTAATATTAGATCTCACACCCAGCTTTATATTTTTTTGTTACTGTCTTCATTTTCTTTGCTTGCCCAAAGAAGATGAGAATCCAATAAACTTTGGATAAAATAATTTTTTTTTGAAAATTTGTGTTCCCATTCAGCTATCTCATCCCCAAAACCCATGCCATCCCCACCCTACCCCACCCCGAAAATGACTTCCCTACTTTGAGTAATTTCTGTGATAATATTCTATCTGGAATTGTACAGAAACCAGTTACTGATTTCTAAAATTATAGTTTTATAAAGCTTATCTCATAAAGGAAGGTGCAAGAGTCCATGGTTTTTGGATATAATAAATGTGTGAGGAATGAACAGAAAAGTGGTAAATATCATATTAAGTGCTTCATAACTCAACCATAAAAGTTCTTATTTCTAGGATTAGCACTAAAATAACAGAATCTGGTTTTTGAAAGGTTTGTATGAAAACAATTGTTGATAGGAGGGAAAAAATGTATTTAAGTAAGTATTGTGTTCCTTAGATTATCATAAGGCATGTTGTCACAGAATTAGATTGTCACTATTTAAAAGACTGGAAAATGATATTTCTAGAAATAAGATTAACATATATATTACTTAAATTTTGAAACTTCAAACCCTTCTAAGAGACATAAATGAGAAATAAAGCTATATTTCTTAACAGAAAAAATATTTTAAAGATATCACTGCTCTCTAAATTATTTCATAATCACAATATGATACTAAGTTTCAATTGTAACAAATATACTACACGAATGCAAAATGTTAATAATAGGAGAAACTGTGTTTTATTGTGACTATTGTTGTCAAGTTCATCTGGAAAATATCCTAAAAGAATCAGGAAAATATTAAAAACTAATGAGGGAGTCTAGCTGTACAAGTAGAAATATAAAAGGAACTTGAAATGATTCGTTATAAAAAATACAATAATTTAATAAATATGAAGGAACAATATGATTCATAATTATATAAACACAAATGAAAATTAAATAAAATATGCTTTCTCACCCATGGGAATGGCAAAAATAGATGTGGGAAAATTGATATTATCAATTGCTACAAAATTAGGAGGGTAATTTGGCAATATTTACTGACATTTAAAATGTGCATGCCTTTGGCCTAATAATTCTACAGATAGAAATTTTTGCTGTGGATACAACAACAAAAAACAAGGACAACACAAAAATTTTAGAATTCATCAATATTTGGCAAATACTACTCAATTTTTTAAAATAATGAGATATATATCTATGTGCCAATATAGATCTCCAAGCAATGTTATCAAAATAAATCACTATGAAAATTGTGTAAATAAAAGGAGTATAGGTATGCACATATATAAGTGCACATATAAATATGCACGTATGGCCAGGTGCAGTGGCTCACACCTGTAATCCTAGCACTTTGGGAGGCGGGGGCGGGTGGATCACGAGGTCAGGAGTTCGAGACCAGCCTGACCAACATGGTGAAACCCCGTCTTTACTAAAAATACAAAAATTAGCCAGGCATGGTGGTGCGTGCCTGTAATCCCAGCTACTCAGGAGGCTGAGGCTGGAGAATCACTTGAACCCAGGAGGAGGAGGTTGCAGTGAGCCAAGATCAGACCACTGCACTCCAGCCTGGGTGACAGAGCAAGACTCCATTTCTAAATAAATAAATAAATAAATATGCACATATATTTATGTTAGTAAACAGATAATGTTCTACAAGGAAGTATAAGAACATTGCAACAATAGGAAGTAGAGTTGTAAGTCTAAGGGGAACATACTTCAATTTAATTTCTTTTTATAATGAATGCATCTTTTATCCTGTGCATTTATTACTTTTTTATTAATATATTTTATTTTTAGGGAAATGTTAGGGCATAACCATCCATGAAATGCAATATCTTTCCATTTATTTAGGTCTTCTTTGAACCTCTTCGTTAGAGTTTTATAGTTCTCTTCATATAGGTTTTGCACATATTTTATTAGCTTTACACCAATTCAGGTTTTTTGGTGGCAATATTGGTGCTAAGATAATGTTAACATAAATGAAACAAATTCTAATTGTTAATTGCTGATATGTAAGAATGCAATTGACATGCATATTAATCTTGTATTCTAGTACTTTGCTATAATTACTTATTAGTTCTAGGAGGTTTTATGTCCACTCTTTGGGATTTTTTTTTTTTTTTTTTTTTTTTTTTTTGAGATGGAGTCTCGCTCTGTCACCCAGGCTGGAGTGCAATGGCACAATCTCAGCTCACTGTAACTTCCACCTCCCAGGTTCAAGCGATTCTCCTGCCTCAGCCTCCCGAGTAGCTGGGATTACAGGTACCTGCCATCATGCCTGGCTAATTTTTGTGTTTTTGTAGAGACGGGGTTTCACCATGTTGACCAGGCTGGTCTTGAATTCCTGATCTCAAGTGATCTGCCCGCCTCAGCTTCCCAAAGTGCTGGGATTACAGGTGTAAGCCACCGCACCCGGCCAGGATTTTTTTTTATATGGACCATGTATTAAGGTTCTCCAAAGGGACAGAGTGAATAGAATATTTGTATATATAAAAGTGAGTTTATTAGGGAGAACTGGCTCACATGATTCCACCGCGAAGTCCCATGATAGGCTGTCTGCAAGCAGGGGAAAGGAGAAACCATAGTGGCTCAGTCCAACCACAAAAACCTCAAACCAAGGAAGGTGACAGTACAACCTTTGGTCCTGAGAGCTCCCAGGAAGCTGCTGGTCAAGTACCAGAGTCCAAAAGCTGAAGAACCTGGAGTCTGATGTCCAAGAGCAGGAGGAGCAGAACCAAGCGTCTAGCATGGGAAGAAGAAAAAAGAAAGCCAGAAGAGTAGCCAAGCAAACTTAACCCACCTTCTTCCTCCTGCGTTGTTTTAGCAGGAGCTGATTTGATCCGGCAGCTGATTGAATGGTGCCCACCAATTGAGGGTGGATCTTCCTCCCCCAGTCCACGGACTCTCCTCTTGCAACACTCCCACAAACATACGCAGAAACAATACTTTACCAGCCATCCAGGCATCCCTCAATCCAACCAAGTTGACACCTAATATTAACCACCATAGACAGTTTTATCACCTGTAAACAAGGAGTTTTATTTATTCTGTCTCAAATTGTATACATTTTGTTTCCTTTTCTGATCTTATTGCATTAGTTAAGACTTCCTGAGCAATGCTGAATAAGACTGGTGAGAGGTGATGTCATATTTTACTTGTCCCAAATCTTAGGGAGAAAGCATCTAGTTTCTCATCAATAAGTATGATGCTAATTCTTTTCCTAGGCTGCTGACAGTCTTTATCATGAATGCCTGCTGGGTTTTATCAAATGCTTCTTTCTACACTTATTGACATGACCACATATTTTTTTCTTCTTTAGCCTATTGATATGATGGGCCATATTAACTGATTTTCAAACGTTGAACCAGCTTTGTACATAAAAATAATGTACCAAAAAAATGACCAAATAAACTACTCGGTCATTGTATTAGTCTTTTTTCACACTGCTGTAAAAAATACCCAAGACTGGGTAATTTGTAAAGAAAAGACGTTTAATTGACTCACAGTTCCACATGGCTGGGAAGGCCTCAGGAAACTTACAATTATGGCTGAAGGGGAAGCAGGCACATCTTACATGGTGGCAGGTGAGAAAGAACATATGAAGGAGGAATGGTCAAACACTTATAAAACCATCAGATCTCCTGAGAACTTACTCACTATCATGAGAACAGCATGGGGGAAACCACCCCCATGATCCAATCACCTCCCACCAGGCCCCTTCCCTGACACATGGGGATTGTGGGCATTACAATTCGCGATGAGATTTGGGTGGGGACGCAGAGCCAAACCGTATCAGTCATGGTGTATAATTATTTTTATGAATTGTTTTGCTAATATTTTGTTGAAGATTATATATATTTTTGTGAGAGATATTGGTCTATAATTTCCTTTCCAGTAACATATTTGTTTCATTTTCATATGAAGGTAATTCCAGCCTCATAGAATAAGGTAGAAAGTATTTCTTCAGTTTTTAGATTGTGAAAAAGATTGTAGAGAATTATTTAAAGTTTGTTAGAACTTACCAGTGAAACTATCTAGGCCTGGACTTCCCGGTTTTGAAAATTTATTAGTTATTGACTCAAATTCTTTAATTGATATAGACCTATTTAAATTATATATTTCTCTAACAGATATATAATCTTGACTTTTGGTAGATTGTGTCTTTCTAGAATTGACTCATTTCATCTAAATTTTCAAATTCTGGGTAATAGAATTGTGCTCGCTTCAGCAGCACACACACTAATAGAATTGATAATAATATTCCTTTATTGTCCTTTTAATGTCTGTGCTATCAGCTGTGATAACCCCTCTTTTATTTTTGATATGAGTAATTTGTGTCTTCTTGTTTTTGGTTAACCTAGCAAGAGGTTTAGTTATTTTATTGATCTTTTCAAAGGACTATCTTTTGGTTTTATTGATTTCTGTACTAATTTTCTGCTTTCAGTTTTATCAATTTATATTGTAATTTATTATTATTTATTTTCTCCTTGGATTTAATGTGCTCTCCTTTACTAGTTTTGTAAGGCAGAAACTTAGTTAGGGACTTCAGATCCTTTATCTTTTCTAATACGTGTATTTAGTGCTATAAATTTCTCTCCAAGCACTGCTTTTGCTGCATATCACAATTATTTTTATCTTTTTTTTTTTTTTTTTTTTTTGAGACAGGTACTCACTCACAGAGTGAGTGCACACAGGCTGGAGTGCAGTGGCATGTTTTTGGCTCACTGCAACCTCTGTTTCTTGGGCTCAAGCAATCCTCCTGCCTCAGCCTTCTAAGTAGCTGGGACTACAGCTACATGTGCCACCATGCCTGGCTAGTTTCTTTTTTTTTTTTCTTGGTAGAGATGAGGTTTCACCATGTTGCCCAGGCTTGTCTTGAACTCCTCAGCTCAAGTGATCCACCTGACTTGGCCTCCCAAACTGCTGGGATTACAGACGTAGGCCACCATATCTGGCCACAAATTTTGATAGTTGATATTTTTATTTTCATTTAGTTTGAAATATTTTATAATTTATCTTAAGACTTCTTTGAATCACATATTATTTAGAAGTGTGTTGTTAAATCTCCAATTATTTTGTGATTTTGTAACTTTTTTCTGTTAGTAATTTCTAGTTTAATTCTATTGTAATTTTGAGGACAGACGTTGTATTATTTTTATTATTTTTAATTTGTTCAGGGTATTTCACTGCCAGGAATGTAGTTTATCTTGGCGAATGTTCTGTGAACCTGAAAAGAATATATATTATTACGTTGATGGGTGAAGTCTTCCGTAAATGTCAAATAGATAGTTGATAGATGGTGTTATTCAGTTTCATTATATAAGTGTTATCTTTCTATCTGCTGAATCTGTTTAATTCCTGCAAATTGAATTCTCCAAATATAATAGTGGATTTTCCCATTTCTCTTTGCTGTTCTAACAGTTTTTGCCCCATGTATTTTAATATACTTTTGTTAAACATATACACATCCAGGATTATTATGTCTTCTGGGAGAACTGACACTTTTGTGATTACATAAAGCCTGTCTTTATTTCTGATCATTTTTCTTGCTCTGAAGTCTGCTTTCCCTGAAGTGAACATAACTACCCCATCTTTCTTCTGATTAACGTTAGCATGGCATATCTTTCTTCACACCTTGGTTTCTCATATATTAATGTTTATATATTTAAAGTGGGTTTTTTGTAGGTGAAATATAATTGGGTTTTGATATCCACTCTGACAGCCTGTTTTTAATTGTTGTATTTAGATCATTGACATTTAAAGTGATTATTGATAGTGCCGGGTTATTATTGGCTACATTTGTTGCTGTTTTCTATTTGTTTCCCCTGTTCTTTCTTTGTTTTTGTCTTCCACTCTCTTTTTTCCTTTTCTGGTTGTGAGCATTTTATATGATTCTATTTCCTCTCCCCTCTTAGTTTATCAATTATACTTATTTCTTTAGTTTTTTAAATGATTGTCTTAAAGTTTACAATATACATATACAACTAATCTAGGTCCACTTTTTATTACAGGTACTGTACAACAAAGTATTTCCAATTTCTCCATCTCTTAGAACGTTACTGTCTTACATTTCACTTATATATAAGCTGTATTTGTTCAATACATTGTTGCTATTAATGTTTTTAACTGTTACGTTTTAGATCATTAAAATACAAAATAGAAACAATTTTATTTTATCCCCTTTTATTTAATTTGAATGCTCTTCCTTTATATAAATCCAATTTTAATATCTATATCATATTCCTCTCCTCTGGAGGAATTCTTTTAACATTTTGTGTGTTTGTGTGTGTGTGTTTAAATTTAAGGGGTACAGGCCGGGTGAGGTGGATGATGCCTGTAATCACAGCACTTTGGGAGCCTGAGGCGGGCAGATTGCAAGGTCAGGAGTTTGAGACCAGCCTAACCAACATGGTGAAACCCCGTCTCTACAAAAATACAAAAATTAGCCGGGTGTGGTGGCACGTGTCTCTAATCCCAGCTACTCAGGAGGCTGAGGCAGGAGAACTGCTTGAAGGCGACAGGTGGAGCTTGCAGTGAGCCGAGATTGTGCCACTGTACTCTAGCCTGGGCAACAGGGAGAGACTCTGTCTCAACAACAACAACAAAAATTAAGGGGAAATGCAGTTTTGCTACAGGGATATATTGCACAGTAGTGCAGTCGGGGCTTTTAGTGTAACCAGCACTCAAATAGTGTACCTTGTACCCATTAGGTAATTTCTCATCCTTCACCCCCTTCCCACCCTCCTACTCTTCCAAGTCTCCAGTGACTACTATTCCACACCCTATGTCCATGTGTCCACATTATTTAGCTCTCATTTATAAGTGAGAATATGCAATATGACTTTCTGTTTCTGAATTGTTTCACTTCAGTCTATTCATAACAAATTCCTTCAACTTTTTTGTCTGAGAAAATCTTTATTTCTCTTTCCTTTTTGAAGAATAATTCACTGAACACAGAATTCTAGGTCATTGGGTTTTTTTTATTTAAATACTTTCTTTGTATTGCATTCTCTCCTTGCTTACATGGTTTCTGATGAGAAGTCTGATATATTCTTATTCTTGTTCCTCTATAGGTAAGGTGTTTTTTTTTCTCTGACTTGTCAAAATACTTCTTTGTGTTTGATTTCCTGAAGTTTAAATATAATATGCATAGGTATACATTTTTGATACTTATCTGAGCTTTCTGGATCTGAGATTTGGTGTCTGCCAATAATTTGGGGAGATTCTCAGATGTTATTTCTTAAAATATATCTTCTTTTCCTTCTTTTTTTCTTTTTGTATTCCCATTGCACATACATTACACGTTTTGAAATTGACTCATGGTTCTTGGATATTTTGTTCTCAAATATTTTTATTTACTTTTTAGTTTTGAAAGTTTCTATCATCTTCATCCTCACTGATTCTTTCCACAGCTATGTCCAGTCTAGTGATGAGCCCATCAATGACATCCTTCATTCGTGTTGCATTATGATTTCTAGTATTTCCTTATGACTCTTCTTTAGAATTTTCATTTCTCTGCTTATATTCTCTACCTGTTCTTTCATGTTGTCCACTACTTTTCATTAGACCTCTTAGTATATTAGTCACAGTTATAATTTCCCAATCGGATAATTCCAAAATCTGCCATATATGAGACTAGTTCTCACTCTGTCTCTTTAGACTATGTTTATTTTTGTTTTGTTTTGATTTTTTCTATTTTACCATGCCTTATAAATTTTTTGTTGAAAGTTAGAAATGATATGTTATGTAAAAGGAACCAAGATAAATAGGCTATAGGGTGGGGTGTTGTTTACCTGGCTAGGATTTAGGCATGCTTACTGTTTGCTATAGTTGTATATTTCACAGGTTAAAATTTTCTCTGATGTCCTTGTTTTTGTCTCTCCTGTCGTGTTCAGGTTTCCCTAGAGACCACTTTTTAAACAGCATCTGAACCTCACAGATTTTTTCAGCTGCAATCACTTGCTATTATACAAGTTCCTTATTGTCATGGTAGTAAAATGTCAGAAGAAAAGTGCTGTGTACTCCTGTGGGTAGGTCTCAGTCTTTTAGTGAGCTTCTGCCCCAGGTTATGACTTTTACCAGGGTTTCTCAGCTTTTATGTTCAATCCCTTAGGTGAGATAGAAAGGCTGGAGTAGGCTGGAGTTGGGTATTTCCTTTTACCCAGGTCAGTTAAACTCAGGTACAGTTGAACTTGGTTAGGCTCTGGTAAAATAGTGTCCTTTGAGGGCAGGCCTTTGTTAAGGAGAAGGGAGTGCTATGGATACATCTGCAAGTGGTTACTCTTCCTCTCTTACTGCTGGAAGCAGGAGGGGATTTTTCATGGATCTTCACAGTGAGAACATGTTGGCGCTCTTAGAGGTAAAACTCACAAAAGTATGAGGAACCCCCTAATTCCGGGATTTCAGGAGTTTTTATCTCTTAAGCTAGTCCACACTCAGTCTTCGGCATTTAGTCAGTTAAGTATTCTTTAACTGTTCTCACCAGATGCTCCTGGTGAGATCCTGGTGAGGAAATGCTCCTGTGGCATTTCCTGCTCAGTACGCTGTGACTGTTTGTTCATACCTGACTCTCTAGTTTTGGGGATGGTGGTTTACCTTGTGAACTCACTTCTCTGATGTATCCAAGAAAAGCTGTTAACTTTCAGTTATTCAGCTTTTTTTTTCCTTATTATGTGGATGGGAGAGATGGCTTCCAAGCCATTTTTATATAGTATCCGAAACCAGAAGTTCATGTATTACTTTTTAATTCATTAAAGATTGTGAGTATACAATGTCTGTGAAGTTAAAGGTGTTTTCTCTCCCTCTTCCCTTGCCTTGTTTTCCCTTCCCTTCCCTTTCTTGAAAAATCAGTTTTAAAAACATCAGTGGCCAGAACAAGTCAGGCTGAATAAGATGCACCTGTGGAGAGGTGGCGCACTATGGGTTGTCAGCCAAAGCGGATTAGAGGTTCATGCACACTGTGAGGTGGGTGGCCAGTATAGGCAATCAGCTAGAGTGGTTAACATCATTAATAAGTAGAACCTGTGAACCACCTGATAGGCTGCAACAAGAAGACCTAGCATCCTTGAGATATTCTTGACAATGATGCATAACGCGAATCTAATCATGAGGCCATACTGGAAAGACACAAATTAAATAATATTCTATAAAATACGTGTCCTGTAATCCTCAAAAGTATCAAGGTCATGAAAGTCAAGGCAATAATTGGAACTACTCTAGACCAAAGGAGATTAAAGAGACATAACACCTAAATGCAACTCATGATTCTGACCTGAATTTTTTTCTATAAAAAAACATTATTTACAAAATTGGAAAAACTTGAGTAGGGTCTGAGGCTGAGTTGATAATAATATATTAATGTTATTTTCCTGATTTTGATGGCTGTATGGTGGTTATGTAGGAGATTGACTATGTTTATAATAAATCTCACAAGATTAAGGTATTTAAGTTGTATATCAGGTCAACAACTTACTTTCAAAATCAATACTTTGAATTGTGTTTGCAAGTTTTACGGGATTATTTCAGAATAAAAATACATTTAAAATAGATGATTCCAGCAAGGGATAAAAGATACAAAATTAACTGTTTGAGTGACTCTAAATGAGTTCCTTCTTTTGTGATCTAACACCTTATACCTTAGCATCTGTTTCTTGTTTATTTGCTACTTTGTTTTAGTGCACTTTTTTTGCACATATTCTTCCCTCACTTTCCTTAGAGATAAGGTACTTAACAGACACACACAATTTAAGACCATTGGAGACATGATGAACATCTTGTTAATCATATATTCGTGGCTTAGAATACTTTATCTCTTATTTATAGCTAAAAAAAACTTTATGTAATAAGCTGCTTGGTCTTAATCATATTGTAAATAATATTAACAATGCAAACAAATCAAAACAGTATAAAAGATACTAACTCCAGAAAAATTCAGCTTTAATTTTTCTTCATTTTTTACTTTGGCCTTGGTGGAAAAGCAACATTTGTCTTCATAAGGTTCTTTAAAACAGTTCAATTTGAATAAACTCTGCAAATACATTTATTTATTATGCCTCTCAAATTGCAACTACAGCAAGAATATAATTTAGAAAGTATATAAATTATTTTTAATATTTAAAAGATAAAGCATAATCTATTTTTTCTCTCATGTGTTAGCATTATTATTTGCAATGCCAACAGTCATATTCCAAAAGAGTATTGTTTCATAAAAAGCTAATTTTTAAGTGTAGCTTTCAAAGCAGGGAGCAAGTTTGGTCTGCCAGCTCTAGAAACAGCTTCTTGGCCTAACTATCAATTTTATGTCTGGTCAGCTAGCATATTTATGGTAGTTTTATCTTGCATAAATACAATTATCAAAGTAATGTTTCTGAAAATAAAATATATAAATTTTTAATTTCCCAAATGTCTTACCACTTCTCACTGTAAGAAGGAGTCTAAAACCCTTTTTCTTTTTCTTTTTCTTTTTTTTTTTTTTTTTTTTGAGATGAAGTCTTGCTCTGTCGCCCAGGCTGGAATGCAGTGCTGTGAACCTGGCTCACTGCAAACTCCACCTGCCGGGTTCAAGTGATCCTTCTGCCTCAGCCTCCTGAGTAGCTGGAATTACAGGCATATGCCACCACGCCCGGCTACTTTTTGTATTTTTAGTAGAGACAGGGTTTCACCATGTTGGTCAGGCTGGTCTGAACTCCTGACCTCGGGATCTGCTCGCCTCGGCTTCCCAAAGTGCTGGGATTTGAAACCCATTTTAGAGATGTGAAAACAGGCCCAGAAACAGTAACTGGTAGGTGACGTTTAGATACTTATAAGATTATACCAAATAACTAGCAGCTTAAGGAAAAGCACAGTAGTCACAGAGCCAAATGGTAACATATATTCATGCATATACACATATATCTGTTTTTCACTCATTGTATCAATAAATATGCATTAAGCACGCAATATAAACTCTGAACTATAGTGTAATACAGTTTGGTTTTTGTTTGTTTGAAACCTTGTCTTCACCCAGTTTTGCAGCAATAGCTAGAGGCAACCAGATCCCCTTCTTGGGCTGCTATTTATGTCTATACACCAGCCACTCCCTTTATCAGGTTCTTACACTCCTAGATAATTATGAACCCTCCTGCTTGCCCCAGAGCTAGACACCAGACAACTAGAAGCAGCCTCAAAGCCCCGGACCCTGCAAAAGTATTCAAACTTGCCAATAAACTAGCAGTCCAGTAACCTATCTAAACCCACCCCACTTGCCATACATAAGCTGTCCCCTACAGCTCCAGCTTGTTGTTATTCTTCCCTGTGTGGTCCTGCATAGCAGCCTTTTCTCCTCTGGAGCTATAAGTGACAAAGAGTTCTGCCTTTCATCTTTCTGTCATTGTGTTTTGTCCTACCATCAAAAGCATATTTTAATCTTATAAAATAGATATAATGGTGAACAAAACCCAGTCCCAAATCTAACAGCTTTCCTACTTATTGGAAAGACAGACAAATAAGCTATCATGCAAAAGCCAGGAGATTCCTCAGTTCCAAATCATGACCTCGGACACTATTAGAAGTTTGTCAGATGACAGGTATGGAAGGTAGTGGGGGAATACTACAGGAGGAGTCTAAAAATACTGCAAAGAATAGGAGATAAATCTCAGAAGATTCATAGAGCATAATTTGGGTGAGTGGAAAAATCAGAAGAGGTAGTAAAGGATGACCTTAGTTGAACAGAAGCAGACACTACAGAGCATTTTATACAGTAAAGAATGTTGGCCCATCTTGTTGGCCCATCTTGAGGCCAATAGAGAGCTATGAAAGGGGATTATGCAGAAAACTGGCCATGATCAAGATATTTTGAAAGAGTGTTTTGATTTTAACATGAAAAATGAACTGGAAATTTTTAAGGGGGAGTGCAAACTGTACACAGGGAACGCTAGCCAGGAAAGCAGTAATACTGGCTACAGTGGCTGAAAGAATGACTTGGAGTAATGGGAGCAGGGCATAAATGTATGGCCATGAACAAACTGTGGCAGGTGAGGGTTGACTACAACACACACACACACACACACACACACACACACAGACAAACACACATGTCTGTATCCTGATTAAAGGTTTTCAGGGACTTTATTTTTAAACTTCTACCATGGCTTTAATCTATCCTGTTATCTTTTAGCTGGTATTGGCTCCAGTTCAGAGTTTTATAAAACTGATCTTATTGAAACCCTTCAGCCTAAACCAAACCTTAATCAAAAACATGGTTCCTTCTGATTCTTCCAATGCTAATTTATACAGTAGTAAAAATGCTGTCCTAAATTAGCTTTAATCTTCATTTGTATCATATCATTTACAATTGAGTTAACTTGTTAAATATAACTGATTACAGATTAAGCTTTCTAGGGAATAAAATATACCCTCTCATGTAAAATGACCAGAGGGAAAATCAAAGCACTTGAGGCAAGCATATCCTGAGCAGTCTATTTGAGCAAAAGGAAGAGTTTCTCTTTTCTTATATATTCTGTCTATCATTAGGAAAGATCTTTATTTGTGCTTAAATGACCAAAAATGACTGTATTCAACTACCAACAACTGGTAGATTGGCATTCAACTCACAGAACAAGAGCTCACCCAAATAACATGTCTTTAAAAACATTCCATATGCTTGGAAACTCATTGATTGCAATTAAATTTTTAGCAGCATATTGTACTTATTTCTCTTAAGTGAGCAATGGGTTAAGACATTGTAAAAGGACAAGATAGTCTTCTGGGAGTATGGCAGAACTTTTATTGACTAGGAGTTTCTTTTTTGTAAAGTTGACCTTCATCCTGATTTTTTCATCTGTTTTTAACAAATCACATCCCTAAACATTACACAGAAACAAAAAGTCACACTGTTCCTCACTGTCTCCTGCCGTTATGAGGTCCTCAGATGGCCTTGGAAATAATCCTATAATCCCATGGACACAAAAGTATTCTAGTGACTCTCGGCTAGATCATTAATCATAATGCAGAATCCACAAATAGAATCATCATTAATCTGTTTCAGTATCCCTTGAGAAATCTGAAATATAAAGTGAGTCACACATAATTAGAAAAATCATATTGCATTTCAGGAGAGGAGGGTAAAGTGCTCTCAATGACAAAGCTACATGTAAAATGAAGAAACTCACTGAGTGCAAGTTTAGCAGTGAAAGAGTACTCGCTTGACTACCCTGCCATGTGCCTGTTTTTGTATAGGATGTCAAACAACAGCCTACAACTATATTTGATAATTAACCAGTAAAAATATTTTTTTATTTATCTGCTCAAAACTTTGAATAACCAAAGAACCAGAATACAGAAGAAAAATCTTCTTAAAGTTACCTATAACATTTATGCATGCATCTATAATATGGTGAAAATAGAATTTATGCTTAAATGAATACTATTGACGTGAATTCTGTACTTGGATCAAGATACATTTAAAAACATTTTTTAAAATTTGAGACAATTATACGTTTACAGCTGGTGCAGTTGTAAGAAATAATAAAGAGATTTGTGTACCTTTTACCCAGTTTCATCAATTATAACATTTGCAAAACTATAATAAAATATTACAGCCAGGATATTCACATTGATACAACCCACTAATGTTGTAAGAATTATGTTATTAATGCCTGGTCAACATACCCCAAATTGAGCTAAATATCTCCCTCTCTCCTCATATTGTTCTTCACACTATACTCCCACATTTATGTTTTGGATTCATGGGCAAATAATTTGCCATTTGCTGAGATGATGAATAAAAGAGAAAAATTAGGTACTTGAAGGTGGTGATTAGACAGAAGAGTCTGAAGACGTTGGGCTGGGGTTCCTGCAAGACCTCCAGCTTGAGGTGTCTAGCAGGTATTTGGCTTGACAACTCTGCAACTCGAATCTGAACTCTGCCACACCTAGCTAGAAAGTAGGCATTATAATTAGGCTAAAGAAGCCAAGAAAAACTTGGCCACCTTTAAAAAAACACACACACACATCAACAATAGTGGACACATCTCTTCCAGAATACCCCTCTAGAACAACTACTTCCTTTATTTCTCAGGGCTTCTATTTACACCTCTTATTGGCCTCGAGAGTGAAATGTCAAGAATACAAAGATTGATTTGGTTTTGTCTGGGAGTAGAGTTTATTTTAAAGATGCTAACAAATTCAAGTAGTGGCAGAGTATAGTTTCTATAATATAAAATTTCAAACAGCCAGTTACTGTTCTTCCATCCCTTTGAAGGGGCCCAAACTAAACAGCTCCATATTCATTACAAAAGACCTCTGTGGAGTACCTTATTATGCATCATTTAAAGAGTGTAGAAGAACACAAATCCAGGAATCCTTTGGAATTTCAGACTATATAAATAGCCCGTCAGTGAATGACAGCTTAAGCTGTGCTATGCAAAAAGCATGGCAGAGACAATAAATTATTTGAACTGAGTTGGTTTTTCCATATTATTCTAACCCTTGAGCATCATAGGGACAATTTCCCTTTGCTATATTTCTATACTAAAGTCCAAGGGTAATATTTGGAGTGATTTCCCATGAGCTCCTGTGATGATCTGCATTATTAAAAACGATTATTCCCAACCAGAGGCCATATCTGCCAGCAGCAAGACAGGGGGGAAGCATTGTGTGAGCTCCTGGCTCCAGGAACACTGCTGTAGATCCCGGGACAAAGTGCCAGTGACTTTTTTCACCTGACTGGAGGGTTTGGAAATGGTTTTCCTTTGTGTCTGCAATCCATTTTAACAAAATAGTTTCTGTATTTAGTTAAAACCAGGATAACAGAGAAGATGAGGCCTTTGAGAATGGTTGTTTCATCAACTAAGGATTCCTGACAGACTTTAAACAATGCTGAATTACATTCCTTCTTGATTTTTCTGGCCAAAATAGCATAATGGGCGATACAACATCAGGTAGACTCACCGCTGGATATGGAGTAAATACGTGCAACTAAGATTAGGGAAATTAAATGTGCTTTATTAAATGTTAGTTAATACTCATCAGTGCCTCCATCTTTGCTGGGCCTTTCACACTGTTAGATAAATGTGAAACACCCTTTGGCATTTTCATATTTATCTAAGGCTTTTCCCAGAACATTTTTTACCTGAACCTGGTGTCTAGACTGTGAATGTAATTGGAAGGAAACGTCTAAAGCTGAGAAGAACAGAGAAAGCTTCCTCCAGAAATCCACTAAGAACCTTAGTTTCACAATAATAACACCCTGATGTCAACTGCTTCCTTCTATTGACTATGTTTCCGCCAACGCCAATCTTGACCTGAAACACTAACTCCCTTCCCCCTCTTTCATAAGAAATGCAAGCATATTTAATATACTATTTTTGATATGAGATTGCAGGTTGGGGAAGGTAGGTAGGTAACAGCCCACAGCCTACAATATTTCACTTTAAAAAAGTCTCTTTGCCAAGCCACAAGGTCATATGACTTCCTACTGCCAGCCACAAGGTCACAATGCTCTAACCATTCTTCCCACACACTGTTCAGAAGGGTCCCTTCTTCCTTTCACCAACACTGGGTACCAGTCCTAGCAATTCTCCTGCCTCAGCCTCCCAAGTAGCTGGGATTACAGGCACACGCCACCACACCCAGCTAATTTTTTTGTATTTTAATAGAGATGGGGATTCACTGTGTTTCCCAGGCTGGTCTCAAACTCCTGAGCTCAGGCAGTCCATCCGCCTTGGCCTCCCAAAGTGCTAGGATTACAGGAGTGATCCTAGGGTAACTTTTCAAAAGATCTTTTGATCAAATCTTATCTTGCCCTACAAAAATATCCTCACATCAGTGTTCAGAAATTCGACTTTTTCTGTATCATTGGATTAATAATAATGACAATGACCTCAAGCAAAAGAAGGAGAAGAGTATGTCTCCTATTTCATCTTAGAAAGTATTCTATGAAGAAAGTAATATTGCACAGACAGAAAGTAATATGCTCTGGGTTGGGGAAGGAGGCAAGAGTTAGGTTCAGCCAAGATAAATACAGTTAATGACTCCACAAACAATTGACTAGATCGGACCCTTTCTTGTCACTTTCTGTTACATAGCATTGGGGTATGTTTAAAAAGTTCAGGGAGAGCGGCTATTTATAGAAATTATACAGGAGGTATCTTTATGTTTTCCAATTACCAGTATTTCAAAATGTATACTGCACTTCCCTAAATTAACACTTCTTCACTCCAAATTGATGTATCCATTCCCATAAGGATGTCGTTTTTTAGGTCTTCTATGAAATCCTCTTCATATTCATAAAATAAATATAGGTTATCTTCAGAAAAAGAAAAATTTATAAATACTGAATGTCCATGCTAATTTGAGAAAAACCCTCAATTAGAGACCAAACTACAATATGTAAAGAGAAATATTGCTACAGAGTATTACTTGACAAATATCTCAGGGCACAGTGTACTATATTTTTATTCTTTCCTTCCTTCTTTCCTTTCTTCCTTCCTTCCTTTCCTTCTTTTCTTGAAATGGATTTTTATTCCGTCCTTCCTTCTTTCCTTCCTTCCTTCCTTTCCTTCTTTCTTTTTTTGAAATGGAGTTTCACTCTTGTTGCCCAGGCTGCAGTGCAATGGCACGATCTTGGCTCACTGCAACCTCCACCTCCTGGGTTCAAGCGATTCTCCTGCCGGAGCCTCCCAGGTAGCTGAAGTTACAGGCATGCGCCACCACACCCAGTTAATTTTCTTTTTGTATTTTTAGTAGAGACAAGGTTTCACCGTGTTGGCCCAGTTGGTCTCGAACTCCTGACCTCAGGTGATCCACCCACCTCAGCCTCCCAAAGTGCTGGGATTACAGGCGTGAGCCACAATGTCCGAACTCTCTTTTTTTTTCTTCTATTTACCTTCTTCTGAACCTCCCCTCTCTTCCATCCACACAATGAATAAAATAAATTTCTATCAACCTGGACATCAGGATTATTTTTTGAGAGTTTCATCTCCAGTTTCTAAACATTAATAATTTGTCCAGAAACTACTGATGAAGTTCATAGC
Organism: Homo sapiens; assembly: GCF_000001405.40. Classification (NCBI taxonomy): domain Eukaryota; kingdom Metazoa; phylum Chordata; class Mammalia; order Primates; family Hominidae; genus Homo; species Homo sapiens. The sequence goes on along the minus strand of NC_000007.14, from coordinate 19,419,380 downwards.
TGATTCATCTCCCATCAACATTTCTCATCTCCTCTGTCAGGCTAAAAGTGCCCTTTAGAGAAAATGGCGACTACTCTAAGCGTGACTGTGCCTCAGTTTGGGAAGAAACAGCAGGTAGGGTCTACAGGAGCTTTCGGCGTCTTCTTTGAAGATCTGTTTTGGGGATGGGATGTAAGCGGAGACACAGTAATGAAACATTTTGGAATCGGACAAGAAATGAACAGGAAGTCGTTTTAGTCCTGGTTTGCTTAATTACTGCAAGGAGCAAAAAAGGAAAGGAGAAACAGAGAGAAAGTTGGATAGCCATCAAAGGATGATTGCTTAAAAGTTCCTTCCTCCTCTGCCTTTTTATTTCGATTAACTAGCGTGGAGCTGCCAGCTTTTCCCTGAAATTAACCCTCTGTTACACTCCCAAGAACATAGAAGTTCTGTTTAGAGAAGTCGCTGTATGAAGAGTCACTGTTATTTCAGAGAAGGAAAGTGATAAAGGGTAGAGTAGCTAAACGGAGTCAAATAGGGAAAAATGAATGGCAAGAAACAAAGAAGCAAATGAGCTACGTACCAGATTTCAAAATCTGTAGTTTTATTTGAGCACGCAACTAAGATTTTTGAAAAATTTAATTAAAAATTTTATAGAACTTTGGAGTTATAAATTACCTTAAAAACAACAAAATATGACCATTCTCTTTTTTCACTTACATGAAGAAACTGAATTCCTCAGGGATGAAGACATTTGTCCATACATGTCATAATAGTGGTAAGTTTAGACCCTCAACCAGGTCACCTGAATTTTTGAACTTTTTTTTTTTTTTTTTTTAAGATAGAGTCTCGCTCTGTCATCCAGGCTGGAGTGCAGTGGTGCGATCTGGGCTCACTGCAAGCTCCGCCTCCCAGGTTCACACCATTCTCCTACCTCTGCCTCTTGAGTAGCTGGGACAACAGGTGCCCGCCACCATGCCTGGCTTTTTTTTTTTTTTTTGTATTTTTAGTAGAGATGGGGTGAATATTTTTATGTACTAGAATCATATAAACAAGTTACCATGTACAAGACATCTGTCAGTTGACAATATTTATTATGATCACTAATTATTTGAACATTATTCTTAGACTTACTAAAAAACGAAATATAGTAAGCTATAAATAATATTGTGATATATTTTAAAATTTAAGTTGCATACATGCAAATAGAAGAAAACAAAGGAAGCCATAATACAAATCAGTGTTCTGACTTCTACAAGATGAGCATTCATTTAAAAAATTGAATAATTGCCATCTCTGTTTTCTTCATGTTTCAATATTGTTTAAATATCTGAATTTCTAGCAAACTTGAAGCACCACATTTTTTTAGTTCAATTAATAGCCAGGAAACCGTGGGTAAGTTCCTTAACCTGTTGTGATGATCACATGAGGTATTTTATGTTGAAGTACTTACCCTGGCATCTGGTATATAATCAGTGCAGTGTTAGCTTTTATTAGTAGTAAGCATTTTTTAATGAAAAGAGTAAAAAGGAAAGGGTCACCTATATCCGAAAAAATGTAGGATTTGGCTATAAGCGTCAGTTCACTGTAAGCAACAGCTGGTCTCTTTACAGGGCTTAGGATACAGATTACATAAAATATATATATATAGGAAGAGGAAAAGGGTAAAAACTTTCAAAGTTCACCAGTTGTAGCCTACAGCATTTCACTCAAGCTCATTAGGAAGTTTACATTTATAATGTAATCTCTTTGAAACAGATTTGATTTTTTTTTTTCAGTAAGGATCTTGTAAATTAAAATTTTCCCAGGGGGCTAACCTAGTACAAGTTGTTCCAGAGGTGGAATTCCTTCTGATCAAATATCTCCAAGCAGAAGAAAAATGGTTCACTAAGACTAGTGTACTGGCTTATATAATTAGCAGTGAATATCGGAATACCAGGGGGCAGCACCAGCAGTTAATAATACCCTTGCCTTCAGAACTGCATTTAGCAAAAGAAAGACATTTAGCCTACATAAAAGAACTGCGCAAATTAGCAGTACATTGTCTCAGTCCAGCTGTTGTAAAGTATTACCATATGGCTTTATAGTACACCTTTATTTTACCTTGGAGGTTAAAAGGCCTTTTAAAAAATACTACTTCCTAAGGTTGTTCTCTGCTACACAAAAAATACCAGTACATCTATACATTTTGGGGAAAATGGCTAATGTATGAAGGTTACAGTTTACACCCTTACCTTTTCCTACTACCTCACCTAGCCAAGATTCCTGTGAATGAAGTCATACTTACATCAAGCAAAGTAATTCAGAAGTGAATTAAATTCTGCTTCCAAACGACAATGCATGCAGAGACACTAGCTGTGGAAAGTGCCATGCAGGGAACAAGAGAGTTCCTGCAGGAGTTGGTTCTTTAGTTCAACTCGATATGAAAATGGGGCCCCTTAACAGAGACAGACTGAGGGTCTTATCAAACAGTGACCAAGCATATTGCCTGGCACCGAATTGACAGTTATAGATGATACATGCACCAATGAGTACCTTTTTTAAATGACACTGGGATAGAGTCTCATAGTTTTGCTATCATTTGTAAGGACTATTCAACACCACAGGAGCAAAACACTATTCAGGAAGCCTGGTGATTAAAAAATGTGAGATCTGGCAATAAAGCCTTTAGAATCCTGCCACTAAAGGGAGGTGAACTGACTGGAAGCCAATAAGGTAAATGAACAATAAGAGAGTAAGTATTTTGTATGCACTTCTACTAGTGGAAAATTTTATATCCAATGTGATCAAATTTACTGAGCAATATTTTAAAAATCAGCCGAAGCTAATTATCTTCTTTTTAAACAAGGACATACATATCTGGAATATTTTAATTTAAAGCATAAATAGATGTATATTCTAGCTATATGCTGCTAATATGGGACAACATCCTTTTCATTGTATAAAGTGGAGTTCCAAATTTTTTTCTGTAAAGGACTATATATTAAATATTTTAGGTTTTGAGAGCCCCGTTTGGCCTCTGTTGCTGGGCTGCTGCAGATCCTCCTCCTCCACCCCCTTCTGCGTCTTCTTTTTCTCTTTCTTCTTTTTACAACCTTTTAAAATGTAAAAATCATTCTAAGGTCATAGTTCATACAAATACAGGCCTCAGGCCATTTTTGACATAAGCCATAGTTGCTGGCTCTCAGGACATAAGTTCACTGTTGGTGTTCTGTTTTCATCCCTGCATAAATCACATTGATAATCAAGTGTAACTTCCAAATTATTTCTCTTTTGACTGCAAATAAATCATTTAAAGACAAAGGCACAGCACTATAAATGTAATACACATTTTTTTCTGATTAAAATTTCCTCTACAATATTCAACTTAGTTTTCCTAGAAACAATTCTGTTACTTCTTAAATTCCTATTTTATAGGTTTGCCTAGTACTCAAATTGCAAGGATAACCAAAACAGGAATATACAGGTTGGAAACAAACCTATTGTCTCTGGGAAAAAAAAAAAAAATCAAAGAGAGTAAGCGGAAGCAGCAGTGTGGCAATACACTAGTGTGTTAGCTGTGAAGCTTCCGCATGCCCTGGGCATTGATAAGTATGTTTTAGAAAGAGAATAGAAAGCACTGGTAATCCCATGGATCAGTTTAACTGCAAGTGATTCTGGAAACTTATATGGAATTGCTTGGGCACTATGTTAAATCTTTGCATATGTTTAATGGCCAGAGAGATACCATCCCAAAGGATAATAAAAAACTAGCTAAGATATATTGCACACTTCATTTGTACCAAGCAGTTTTACATCCATTCTTATTTAATCCTCACCATACCTCTAAGATGTAGGTGCAAGTATTAATATCTGACTTCTGATATTTAGTAGCCATGTGACCTTAGCCAAGTTTAGTTTCCTCATCACTTAATAGAGTAACAGCACCTACATAATACAGTTTCTATTCTTTTTCAAAGGCTTGCTGAATGCTGACTACATCAGTTAGGCATGGAAGATAAAATAGTATTTAGAACACCGGCTCTCAGTGTAATCACTGGCCCAGCAACATCAGCAGCACCTGGAACTTGTTAAAAATGCAAATTATCAGGCTCCACCCTTGATCTACAGAGTAAGAAACTCTGGAGTTGGCACTTGGCAATCTGTTTTCACAAGCCCTCCAGAGAGCTGTGATACAGGTTAAAGTTTGAGATTCACTGGTTTCAAATGGACGGCCCATCATCTTGGACCTTAGATTGTAATACACTGTTGTGAGCATTTTTCCAGTTAATACATATATAAGCACTCAGAATTCTTCCAGGTACAAACTTAGCAATCATTAAATGTTTGCTATTATTTTTATTATTGACTACTACTAGTACTGATATAACTATGAAGTAGGAAATACTAAAAATTTACTTTCATTAGACATAACTTCTATGATATTTAGTAGATATTTACATTATTAATATGGAGGAACATTCATCATAAATAAATGTCTCAGTACAAACTTTAAAATATGGTTTTGTAAATTTCAGAGAAGAAAGAGATCATTTAGAAGTTAAAACTCCAAGTGCAACAGGTAACGTAAATGACTCTTAAAAGTCCTATACTAAAGAGGGAATTGCACGCATTATATAAGGGGCCACGGCTACTCACCTGCACCCAATTGTTGCTGCGTGGAAATGCAAGCCCAGCAGTGCCAGATTTTATGATTTTTCAAGTGAAGCTGGAAATCTGGAGTTTTATATAAAGTGTCCTGCCTTTTTAGTATTTAAACCTAATTCAATCTGTGGATCCAATTAAATGTTTCTGTAGGCCACACTTGGCTGTAGAGCCATCAGTTTGGAACTTTTATTTCACCTATTCCTTTTCATTTTACATGCATACAAACGAGGGCCCAGAGAACTTCAGAAACTTATTTAAGATCACAGTGTCAATGAGGAATAGAAACGGGAATTTATGACTCTCTTTTCATAATCACAGAGCCTCGTTCAGCCTTTTCCTATTCTGAATGACATTTACCAAAATTGGGTGGGGTAGAGGGGAGGAGGATCAGAGATGAAATTGTATGAAATGAGAAATTACCGCACAATGTAGGATTTAAAAAGCGCTTATGAGTTAAATTCCAACATGAATTAGAGTCTTTCAAAGATCTAATATTTCAAGTACTCAAGTTCACAGGAGAGTAGCTTTGTTTTTTTTCTTTTACTACACCAACCTGGTCTGCTTCTTGGAATAGAGTTTCTGTTTTGTTGAGGAAAATTCATATTGCTTCTTTTTGTCTCTGAATGTTTTCACCATCTTTATTCCTTTTCATTGTCCCTGGTGGCTCAGGCCTTAACACAAAACTTTAAGAATTTTGATTTGTAAATCCTGTGTTTGCATGCAATTGAGAAGAGGCCACTTCATTTGTATGAAAAGAGTTGAAAGACTAGCAGATCAATACAAGGCCAGATTCCATATGAGGCACCTCACACTGCACCCAATATGGCATTTCCAGGCCCCAAGTGAAGCTAAAGTTAGCCATACTATACACCATCATTCAAACTTGTTTAGATTTTTTCTTTTGATTCATGCCTTTGCTGCATTTTGTACATCCTCCTGACCATTCTTAGCAGCTGTAACAACACTTGTGGTATTACCAGTAATTTGCAACTTATCAAACATGATTGAACCTTGTTCTTTTGTGTAAACGAAACAGAACTCTTTGGTTGGCTTTCTTTATACTTTGGACATAGTGTAAAGGAAACGGAGACTATATTTGCATGCCAGACAATGAAACATAACACACAGTGTATACATGCCTTTGACACTGTAATTACTAGCTGTTGTTTAGATTCCATGTATGGTCACTGGCTTTGGCTGTGTTGAAATCAGCTGTATCAACATTTAATCAAAGTCTTATAGATTTTGGTTGTATATTTTTCTAACGTCAAAATAGAAATGCTGAGACTAAAAAATAGGTTGGAAGGAATGGAAATGTGTGTGCGATACATTGCAAAAATAATGAACATTCACGGTATAATAAATGAAGTTTTTCTGATTTTGTCAGTAATGAAATCAAACATCACATGGAGCTCGTTTAAAATTATGATTATTTCTCTAGAAGTCAGCAACTACTAATTAATTTTGCTTCAGTTTACATTCAAAATAGCTCCCTTTGCAACATATTCTATTTAGGTATTTTGTGATTTAACAAGAAAATTTTTTTTAATTGTAGGATTTTTCTTTTGGCAAAACCATAATATATAACTCTTGAAAATAACACAGAATATACAACAAATACCATATCATTTAACAGTATGTTATGTAATGACATTGAGCACCATAATGTCTAGTAGTACTTTGCTCCTGGGATAAATTTTTACAGATTTATACCTGGGACTTCTAAAGCATCAAATGCAATTTTTTTTTTTTTTTTTTTTTTTTTTTTGGTGGCAATGGCTGGGGAGAGAGGTTGGGGGAAAAGGGGAAATGACCTGTGGTGCCAAATCCAGGCCTATTGCTCTATGCAGTTTTAGAAAACTCCCAAGATAATGGTATTCTCCATCCTTTATTACTCAGATTAATGTCCCTTATTGAATATACAGGGCTCCCACAAAATTTAAGGCTATGAAACCATACACCCATAACAAGTGATGAATATATTTATTATCTCTTATACTACATGATGCTATATCCAGAATTATCTTTCATTTACAGGATCATGTAATTTTTATGTACCATATAATGCAACTATGGTATAAATATAATGAATATTAGGTTTTTGTACTCATTAACCAATCATCATGTGCTTTTGATATATAAAGCCCTGGAAGAATCACCATAGAGAATATAAAGGTAACTGAACCTGAAATCTGTCTTTGATGAGTTTATAATACCAGAATACATTGCAATTATACAACATAGAAAGCAAGTCATGCAGAAACATGATTGCATTATGTGCTAGATCAGAAAAGAGAAGAATCTCTTCTAGCCATAGTGATCAGGAATGTCTTTATGGGGAATTATATTGAGGAAAGACAAATATGGGACATGTAGGGCTAGAGGGACTACCACTGATGTTCTCTCAAGAAGACAAGGCTGCAAAGCTGAGTTTCAGGAGATGAGGTTTGTGAGTCTACAAATATGATCAGAAACATGATTTAAAACTAGATGAATGCCAGGCACGGTGGATCACTCTTGTAATTCCAGCACTTTGGGAGGCTGAGGCAGGAGGATCACTCGAGCCTGGGAGTTTGAGACCAGAATGAGCAACATAGCAAGACTTCATTTCTACGTAAAAAAATTATTTAAAAAACCAATAAGGTGGGCATGGTGGCATGGGCCTGTAGTCCCAGCTACTTGAGAGGCTGAAGAGGGAGGATCACTTGAGCCCAGAGACTGAGGCTGCAGTGAGTTATGATACCACCACTGCACTCCAGCCTGGGCAAGAGAGTGAGACCATGTCTCAAAAAATAAAAAATAAAATAAAATAATATAAAAATAGATGAATATATGCGAGCAGGACAAATTTAGGGGTACAAAAGAAAAATGAAGTTGCTGTAATGATTTCTGATAGATTATAAGAGACTGACGTGTGAAAGAGGGGATATAGGAGACAGCAGTAGAATTAACAAAGGAGGCTAGGAAAATATTGTTGATTAAAACATCAAGCTTGCATGAGTTGGGGAGTGGTGGAACAATATTGCAAACACAAAAAGCTGAATGGGGAGGAGAAGTAACTTCAGAAAGAGGTATATGAAATTTACAAATAAAGGAGTCAGCTAGTTGTCATGCTCAGCTAGCACCTGGGAAAAAGAACCGGGCTAGAGATGTACATTCACAAAATACTTTTCCATTGGTTGACGAAATTACCAAAGGGTTATAAGGAGTCAAGAACAGAAACTTGAGTAAAAAGTAGAAGGTCCAAAAACATTTGTTGCTGAACGTGCCAGACCCAGAGAAAGAAAAAGAAGACACATAGAAGTCAACATAAGAGATTTTCAAGGAAAGCTTGGTTTTAACAACATTAAATTTTTTAGAGAATATGGGACTATGTGGACCGAAAACAGTTTGTAAGTAAGACATTATTGCAAGTTTTTGCAAGGTGGCTTAAATTTTTTCCTTAGCTTGCTAGACAGAAACCACTGCAAGAATAAGTAATGGAAAAACAGAAATAGTAAAAATACAAGGATAGACGTTTTAAGGTGAATTGTAGCGTGGAAACACCAAGAAAATCCTTTTGCCATTCTCCATTAATATACTTAAATATCCCCTTTTATAGAAGAGCATGTTAAACCCCCACAACAATTATAAGCTAAATCTGTTTGCCACAGACTGTGTAGGATTCTTCAATAACAAGTGAGCACATGCCTCTATAAGTGATTTTAAAATAAAAAGCGCAATTTCAATCTGTGAATTAGTACTGTCATCATCCTCACAACAAACTGACCCACAAGGCAGCTAGCCTACTTAGGCTGTTCTCTAACTTCAAAGTTAAGTAAATGGGCCTTAAAAGTAGCCCTTAAGACTGCGTAAGGATTAGCAAATTAAACTCAGAGATGACTCAAATGTACTTTAACTATAAAGACATTAAGAGAGGCTTGTCGGTGGCATAAAGGGTCAGTAGGATACAGAAAATGTTGCTGCTTGTTTGCTTTAATTGAACAAGACTCAGTTATATTTTAGACTGAAAAGAAGGATCCTTTAGAAAGACAGCTGGTATAGAGGAATACTTGATGGAACTAAGTCTCTTAGGATATAAGAAAAAGGAACCAATGGGCACTATTTGAAATCTCACATTTGGAAAAGGAGTCTATTTCTTCTTCTGATGCAAGACAGAAAAAACCATGATGGTAAGACAATCTGAAAATGAATACTGAAGTTGCATAATTATATGTGCATACGAAAATTTGGTTTTAGAGTTCAATATAATTCTAGGTAAAATTAAGGAATCCATAGCACACCAATTTTTAAAAAATCAAATCTCTTGGTAACATTTCAAAATATTAAATTCTGTATTTAACTCAACACAATTCTAATCTTAGTATAAAACATAGCCAGCTTTTGTGCTTTGGACTATATATGAATAATGTTAATCACTTGATGCTTAGCCAAAAACCACTATCTGGGGCTGCTGTGGACTGGCTCTTCATGCTGGCAAAGCTCCTCAAAGCAAGGGAGCAATTTAGCAGGAAGCCTGACTTATTATTCATTCTCAATTTTTATATCCTTTTTTTTTTTTAGGGACAGGCAAAGTTTACCAATAGTCTCTAAATACAGAGACAAATATAAATATATAAATTTATACAAATATATAAATATAAACAAAATATACTTCCCTATCAATCCTACTAATGAGAAGTTAAATGCCTGAATTTTATAAAGGCAGATGCTAGCAATAAATTTACAGCTGCTCCATTGGACTCTGAATGAGACATCATTTGTCAATACATAAAAATAACGATGCTGGTGAGGTTGCAGAGAAAAGGAAAGACTTATACACTGTTGGTGGGGGTGTAAATTAGTTCAGCCGTTGCGGAAAGCAGTATAGCGATTCCTTAAAAAACTTAAAACAGAATTACCATTTGACCTGGCATTCCCATTATTGGGTATATCCCAAGGGAATATAAATTGTTCTGCCATAAGGACACATGCATGTGCATGTCCACTGCAGTGCTGTTCACAGTAACAAAAACATGGAATCAGTCTAAATGCCTGTTGACAGTAGATGAGATAAAGAAAATGTGGTATATATACACCATGGAATACTATATGCAGTCACAAAAAAAAGAATGAGATCGTGTTCTTTGCGAGAACATGGATGGAGCAAGAGGGCATTATTCTAAGCAAACTAATGCAGGGACAGAAAACCAAATACCACATGTTCTCACTTGTAAGTATGAGCTAAACCATAGGAACACAAGGACACAAAAAGGGGAAAAACAGACACTGGGGCCTACTTGAGGGTGGAGAGTGGGAGGAGGGAGAGGATAAGAAAAAAATATCTACCTAGTACTATCTTTATTACCTGGGAGACAAAATAATCTGTGCACCAGACCACTGTGACAGGCAGTTTACCTATATAACAAGCCTGCATACGTATTCCTGAACCTAAAAGAAAAGTTTTTACAAATTGGTACAGATTAGAGAGCCCACACATGAGGCAAAATGGAACAGCTATGAGCCCCTTTTGGAGAGCATTAAAACACGACTTTTTAACTTTCAGAGATTTCAAAGGCTATCTTTGTTTTCTGTAAATGGGAAATGATTTTTCAAATCAACAATGCTTCCTTGTAGTAGTAGCAAAACACTTTCTAAAGAGGACTTCTCTATAGGATAAAGTCTTCTTTTTATTTAATCAGAAGACTTGGGGTGTTTTGAGATATGACAGGCGTTGTCCTGGCTAAAGCAACTCAAAGGCAAACACAGAGCTGCACTGGTAACTGTTACTCTAAGACATAAGAAGACGTCTGTGCAGAAAACATTGTAACAGTCCTTGAAGTGTTTTTGAATGATGGCAAAAGTCAGCACTATGTCTTTTTAATCTCGCAGAGAGAGAGAAAAAAAAGAATGACAAGTAACAGCACCCAGATCACTCCTTGAGGAGATAACATTGACTTGAAATTGCTCTAGACAGAGGAACTCTTGTCTAGAAGTTGAAGGTTTTAAGCCTTTAGTTGTATGCTCACAGGAACAAAACCAATCTTTACTTAGTTTGGAAATTATCCATTCATCACATAGTATTGACACCAACTATGTGCCCGATGCAAGAGTTGGGAATATAACAGTAAACAAAATATAGAAATCTCTACTCTCACTGAGGTTACGTTTTAAGACAACAGACTCAATAACCAGAGTAAGCAGGTAGATATTGTCTGGTTGGGGTGCCTAAGTGTTTTGGAGAACATCAAATCAAAGAAGAGAGATGAGGGAGGATGGCCTAACAGAGAAGGAATTGAGACCTGAAGACAATGAAGGAATGAGCCATGTGAAAATCTGGAGGGTTCTCCAGGGGAACAGAACTGAGAGCACAAAGGCTTCAAGGCATAGATGTGCCTGGCAGGTTTGTGAAAAAAGCAGAGGCCAAGGCTGCTGAGGCAGAACAAGCAAGGAGAGAAAGATAAGGAATAAAATCATAGGAACAGTTTGTAGTTCCCTGTGGTCCATTGGAAACACATTGGCTTTTACTCTTTGTGAAATGAAGAGTTACTGAAGAATGTATAAAATGATGTGGTATTCTAGGAATCGCTGGCTGCTCTAGTGAAAATAGGAAAGGAAATCAGGAGCAGAAAGCAGGGAGACCCACGATGAGGCTATTACAATAATCCAGGTGAGAGATGATGGTGGATCAGACTAGGATGGCGGCTGTAGAAATGAAGAAATGTGATTGGGTTCCAGATGTATTTTAAGTAAACTGCTGACAAGATGTCTTGATGGATTTGATATGAGGTATGAAAGAAAGAGGAATCGGGAATGATCCCAATAGTTTTGGTCTAAGCAACTGTAAAAATAAAATTACCATTGGCAGAGCTGAGTAAGACATAAGGAGAAGACGATTTGGAGTGATGGAAAATGTTAATAATTTACTTGTAGGCACATTAAGTTTGAGAGATGCCCATTTTACATCCAAAGGAAGATGGTGTGGGAGTAGTAGGATTTAAGATTTCAGAGTTCAGGAGAGAAGTTTAGGATGGAGATACAAATCCTGAAGCTGTAGGCATACATGTGGTATTACATCCCTTAGCAATGATTTAATAAGGGATTTAGTGTAGATAGAGAAAGGAGGAGGACCCATGATTAGGCTTCAGAGATGAGAAGGAAATAGCAAAAGGGAGTGAAGAGAAAATGGCTACAGTAATTGAAGAGTGTGGGTCTTAGCCAGAGATACATATGTTATAAAACGAGTGTTTCACGACAATGACAAAATCAGTATTGAGAATAACCACCAGAAATGTTAATGGTGAGGTCAGTGGCGGCCTTAGTAAGAGCAGTTTCAGGGGAAGTGGAAGAATTAAAGCTCCGTTAGGGTAAACTAGAGAGAAAATGGATGGAAAGCTGTAGACTAAGTATAGAAAGCTCTTTCAAGTACATTTCCTATCAAAGTAAGGAGAGAAAGAGATGCTCAAAGAGGGATGTGTCAGGAAATTTTAGTTTTTTTTAAGACAAAAAAAAAAAAACATGTTAGTATGCTGATAGAAAAAATCTAGTAGAAAAGCTAAACTTGATGATACAGGAGCAAAACAGAAATGCTGTCACGATGTTCCGGAGTAAGTCAGAGAGGTTGGGATATAGTGCACAAGTGATAGATTTGGCCTTTGTCAAGAGCACAATTTATCTAGTGAAATAGGAAAACCAGAGTAGAGGCCAAGATGCAGGTGGAGAAGGACGTAGTGGTGGAACAAATGGAAATTCTCTTCTGATAGATTTTATTTCCTTAGTAGAAAGGAAGGGGTCATCAGTTAAGATTGAGAATGGGAGATGAGGTGTTGGGGGTTTGGATGGAGAAGAAAAAGCATGGAGAGTCATCTAGAAGGGTAGGGATGGAAATGGGTTAGGGAAATAATTGCTATACTTCATTAACAGTCCAGCTGAGTTTGCTAATCATAAAATTAAAGTGTGACTATTTTTGTCTTTATTTTCCAGCCTCCTTCAGCTGCTTGGGTACATCCACAGAATTTACAGAGTTGGATTCAAGCCAAACTTTACACGTTCAAATGGTTAAAAATATTGACTTCACTTTTATTTTTCAGTTGTATCATCATGAAAAAGTGATACATATGAAATGTTCTTGATCATCAACAGTGCTAAATTACTCCAGTTCTAATCCCTAATTTCTTAAGCTGTACATAGATTTGCCTACGTAGATTGATTTAAATTGTTTCACAATATAGTATGTCTTTAAACCATGGGTCAGCAAATTTTTTTATAAAGGGCTCAATAGTCCACATATTAGGCGTTGTGGGCTATACGGTCTCTGTCAGGTATTCAATAGCTATTAATAAAATATTCAGATAAACTTAAAATTTGTGAAAACATCTACAAGGGTGCCTGGCATTAACAATGATAATTAGAACATTTTCCTTCAGTGGAATGCATAGTTGGAATCCTTGATGTCCAAGGGGTAATATACAAATCAACAGGATCAGCTTTACCTGGGAACTCATTAGAAATGCAGAATCACAGGCTTCACATCCTGTCTTATTAAAGAGTCTGCATTTTAAAAAGAGCCCTATGTGGTTGTATGCACATTAAAGTTTGAGAGCTTTAGTTCAGAAAGCAAGACTAGGATTTTCCATATGTGGAATCAAATAACCTGTAACAAATATCACAAAGTTAACAAAAACTGGAATAATATGAAGCAAAATGAGAGAAATAAGAAAAGAAGAAAAGAGGAAGGAATTCATTTCCTGATCAGATGTCCATCAAACAATAAATGGATAAATAAAATGTGGTATATCCATAAAATAGAAAATTATTCACCCATAGATGAATCTTGAAAATATTATGCCTAGTGAAAGAAGCCAGTCACAAATGGCCACACATTTTATTTCCAATTATATGAAATGTCCAGAATAGGCATATCCATAAAGACAGAAAATAGATTAGGAGTTGCCAGGAGCTAGAAAGAGGGAAGAATGGGAAGTGATGGCTAACGGGTATGGGGTTTCTTTTCTGGGTGACGAACATGTTCTGGAATGAGATAATGATAATGGTTGCACAACTCTGTGAATAAAAGCTAAAAACCACTGACATGTACACTTTAAAACAGTGAATATCATGGTATGCAAATTATATCCCAATTTTTAACATCCAAAGAATTGAAAAATGGAGACAATAATTTAAAAAGTGATGAAAGGTTTCCTTCCATGGCAATTTTGTGGCAATTGTGTTTAAAGAGTTCTAGAATTTCAGGAAGGAGAGATGAGCAGAGACTGCCGTTCCTATAAAACTGATTGAAACAAATATCTATAATCAGAAAGAGTTTTTCTTTAGACTTTAGGTGAGTTTGATAAGGATGAAAAACTGCAGAGAAATTGGTTTTCTAGTGTACCTAAAGTAACCTACCTTGGGCCAAGTTGGCAGGAAGGTTGCTGGCAACTACTCCTGAAAGAAAGAGAGGGAGGGAGACAGAATTTGCAAGTTTGGTATGTTACACTGAATGTAACTTGAGTATCTTCCTGTATTAACTAACACCACAGATCTCTGCCACCAACCCCACAACACCACACCCTGTAGCCACAAACAGCCTTCAGGTTTTTCCTCCCCGCCTTCATAACGGTCTTAAGCCCAACCACATAATCTGAATTGGAAGATTTAAGTTGTTTGTATATGCTCCAAAAGGAATCCCAACTGTTTGAGTGTTTCACATACTTCGGAGTCAGTAATCACACAGCCTGGGTGATGACTGAATGAGTCACACTGAGGAAAACACAGACTGAAGTTGAATCAGGACTACAATTTGCAGATGTGCCCTCACACCCACTCAAAATGGGAATCTCCACTTATTTAAAGCCTCTAACTGTAACTTAGTACCCATTCTCTTATACTGAAAATGTACAAAACCCACAGGTTTTCTGAGTTGAAAATTAGTTTTCAAATAAAGCTGAAAGTTAAGTAGCAAATTCTTTACATTTTGAAAAATATATATAAAGAGAGCAGTGAGTGCATTAGTTACTAATATTTAGCAAGCTGTGATTTTTAAGGTTTTTAAGGATAATTTTCATTTTAAAGTCAATAACACCAAGCTTATCTATTAAGGAGCAAATCTTATTTCTTCTTTTCCTGCACCCACAGTAAAATGATAGTGGTAGGACAGCGTATGATCACTTTCACAAGCAAAACCTAACTTCCTAAAAATTTCCATTTTGGGCTGGGCACGGTGGCTCACGCCTGTAATCCTAGCACTTTGGGAGGCCGAGGCGGGCGGATCAGGAGGTCAGGAGATCGAGAGCATCCTGGCTAACACGGTGAAACCCCGTCTCTACTAAAAAAAAAAAAGAAAAAATTAGCTGGGCTTGGCGGTGGACGCCTGTAATCCCAGCTACTCGGGAGGCTGACGCAGGTGAATGGCATGAACCCAGGAGGCAGAGCTTGCAGTGAGCCGAGATGGTGCCACTGCACTCCAGCCTGGGCAACAGAGCGAGACTCCATCTCAAAAAAAAAAATAAAAAATAAAAAAATTCCATTTTGGATTAACTCAATAATATAGTTAACTCATTTTGTAAGAATGAACGTAGGATGAGCAACGGTGACTTAGAAATAAAACAGATTATAGGCCAGGCGTGGTGGCTCATGCCTGTAATCCCAGCATTTTAGGAGGCTGACGCAGGCAGGATTGAGACCAGGGTTCAAGACCAGTCTGGGAAACATGAGGAAACCCTGTCTCTACAAAAAATATAAAAATTAGCTGGGCCTGGTGGCAAGCACATGTGGTCCTAGCTACTTGGGAGGCTAAAGTGGGAGGACTGCTTGAGCCCGGGAAGTCAAAGCTGCAGTGAGCCAAGATTGTGCTACTGCACTGCACTCTAGCCTAGATGACACAGCAAGCCCCTATCTCAAAAAATAAATAAATAAAAGATTATAATCTCTTAGGGAAATTCTGTTAAAGTCTCTTTTAGTCATAGGATGTTTACCATAGTTCAATAGCTTTAGAAGAAAAAGTTGCACTATACCTCTGTATATTCTTCTCGAGGGCTGGTTCTTATGTCAGTGAAGCAGTAAGTAAATGTTATCATCTCCAATGAAGAGAAGAGAAAGAGTAGATATTAAAGCTTAGAATATAAATCTAATGTGGAATGCCAAATAGATTTCATCATTTGAACCAAGAACTTAATGGTGGCTGCCTTGAACAAGGACTTGTGGAAGATTCTCAAGCTATGTCTAGTTCCCTAATCAATTAGATAAGTCTGCTACGAGCTTTAGAAGTGAAACGTGGGTAGAATTTCTATATGATATTTATTGCTCAGGTTATAATTTCAGTCCTGAATATATAATCCCTCTCAACCTCAGGTCACCATACTAAGTCAGGGTGAAAGCTCAGCCCTCAGTTAAAATGATTTTATGAAAAAAGAGCATTTTCAAGAAAACTAGAAATCATCAAAATGAGAATCTCTTGAGGAAAACTTAACAATCAAATGCCAGTTTGAAAAAAAATGCACACATCTGAAAAGTGGGTGAGCATCCAGAGAATACCTCCCAGGGAAGTTAATTTGTGTAGTCTAAGTATGCATGGTAATGCATCAAAATGCAAGTCCTTAGAAAAATAACCCGCCTTGTTGTTCTTGATTCTTGTCTGCTTTCATTTGTTCCTTGACTTTAGGACTCCCAAGATTAGTAGGGTCTTTGCTTAATGCTTTTGCTGTTTAGGTATTTCCTTATAAATTTGCCCATTTTTCTTAAGGATTTTTGTCATTTCTTCCAGCAAATCAAAATATTTGACATGGGATAATAATCAATCAGAACTACATCTTGAAATACATAATATATAGACATGCATGTTTGGTTTTATGAATAATGTTATATAGCTGTGGTCACTAAAATAACTTAAAATATACATTTTTTTTGTTTTACTTGTGCAGCATTTGCAATTTCAGTCATTAAATGAGCTTTGCAGGTGTGCAAATACCCTGTTAATCCTGGTGTTTTCTGAAAGACTGCTAGCCACATCAACCAATACTTTGGAAGACTGGCAAAATGGAGAAGCTTTTGCAGAACCCAACAATAAATTAATAAGACGAGTTGTATAACAACTGGAACTTTGTTGAGTTAAAAAATAAGACCACCTGAAATTTTATTTTTTAAGCCATCAAGGATTGGATTTTTAAATGCAAAACCAGATATGACCAATCTTGTCTGTCCTTTCCTTTTTCTTACATGTAAACATTATTTTCTTGATGGGGGGAAGTCCCTAACCTGTACTTCTCATTACAAAAATAATAATAATAATAACATTCAGACTGCTTTGTTGAGTTTTGGTCTGGGGTATTTCTTTTAAGGGGCACTTGTGTGCAGTAGAGAGAAACCATCTTTACATCTTCAGGGTGATGTGTGGCTTTTAGAAAATACCAATGAAACTACTTAGATGGCATGCAGAAACAAGTAAAAAAATACCTTTACCTTTTCAGTGTATTTTTAATGGTCTTTCCACACTGTTTTTAGCTGATCACACAAAGAGCTTTATAGTAAGAGTGTTCTTTACTGTTTCTACAATAGAAAAGTAATCTGCACAATGTGCACATGTACCCTAAAACTTAAAGTATAATAATAAAAATAAATAAATAAATAAATAAATAATAAAAAAAAGAAAAGTAATCTGATATGTAATTCCCATTGTAGAGTCAGCCTAAGCTGTGAACTTTAAAAATGTGTCAGTAACAGAAGTCAGGCTTTATATTACTTTGTAGCTGCCAACAATTCAGGTTATATTTTGGGCCCAAATTCTGTAAATTATGAAGGAAAATAATTCACTCAGTTCTACGTAGAGCTTGAGAATACCTCTTACACTTGGATGTCATGAAAATGACTGGAAAAATGGCAAGTTCTCAGGTATTATTGCCACCCCAGTGGCAGCCAGTTATCAATTGTTTTCAAATGATCCCATACATTTTTAGTTCTTATGAATTTGCAATCATTGACTCACTATGAATTTGGTAACCCTTTGTATAAATAATTCTCCTCAAAAGAGAGGACGAACTTAGCACTGAGAAGCATATAGGCATCTTAAACATCCTTTGAAGACTAGCCTAAGAGAATACTGTTTATTTTTTTGCTGCATGTGAAAGTTCATTCTCAGTATCAAGTTTATTTTGTCCACTAACTTTGTTAACCTTTCCAATTTCTTCAGTATTTGGTATCCTTTCACAAAGAGCTGTTAGGATAGAACAGTTGCATCAGGGTTAAAGGCCAGAGCCATTACCACGTTAACCTGAAGCATATATACTATTTCTTGAGCTCCCAATGTGTTTCTGATTACTTTTTTAAAATAAAAAATGCCAAGAGTATTATAGCATTGTACAAGGCATCTATAAAACCTCCTATATCTAGTACATGTTACGTAAATGTTTAAAATATTTCTATTTGTAAGGTCACTAAAAAGAGCAGGAAGAATGCAGTTTTTTTCATTAAAAGAATCAGTTTTGATGATTTTATGTTAGCTAACATAGCTGAATTTGTGATGAAATGAGAAATTTGAACTTTTTCAGAAAGTGATGTATTTCTACCGATCTTTTAAAATAATATTTATCTGAGCATGGTTAATGACTGAAACAATATCCATTCTTATTGAAATCATACCATCATAATGAATAACTAACTGAGAGATATTTTCTTGTAAAGATTTACTGCTAATCCCTTGGTCGTAATTCATTTCATTTAAGAGACATTCAGCCTATCGCTTAGAAACAGTATTTGCAGACTTCACCAGGGTAACAGCTCTAATCCTTAAGGTAATCATCTTTCACCCTCCTCTCCAGTTCTTTCTCCTTTTAAGTCTTCACTGGTCTTTTTAGAAAAACAAAAACTAGAAGACAGCTATTATTCTCCTCCATGGGATAGTCTACTCCATTCAGGCAAGTAATATCGTCTTCTGTTTACCTTCATCTAAAACAAGTGCACAGGGTCACCCTCTTCATGCTGATATTTTCCCAAAGCCAAAAGAAAGACTATGTCAGGAGACAGTCAGATTGCCAACTATAAGAACCTAAGAAGTAAGCTCCATTTGCCTTTTTATTTTTGTATTCAATACCCAAGGGAGAGGAGAAAGAGAAGATGATAAAGAGGGGAAGGAAGAGAAAGAGAAGGAGAAGGAGGAGAAAAGAAAAGCTATGTTTCTACATCAGAACTCATCCTAAATCAGTCTGAATGTCTTCTCTTACTTTTGCTAATATTCATTAACAACATTCCAAAGCATACTATGATCAGCAACAAGGCAAGAATAATTAATACTTCATTATTTTATTTAATACTGGCATTTTCCAATATAATTTCAGGCCAAGAAGTATTAGTACATAAAGAATGGAAAGTACTAGTACATAAAGAATGGATTACATGCTTTCATATACCATAGCAAAGGACAGGCTTTCATAAAGATTTTGTGTGTATGTTTATGTCAAAGAAACAACTGTCAAAAAGGAAAAGTATTTCAGAATTCTGTAGCAGGCATAGGTTCTTTAGGACCCTGAAACTGTTAGTTCCTTTTATTACTTTTTAGTCATCTACCCACATTTATCATCGGCATTGGCTAGAGAAATAAAAGTCATTCATAGCCTTGAACAATAATAGACAGTTGACAAATGCATGCAGTTTGGTAATGAATGCTAGCTTTTTTTCAAACAACTAGCCAAGGTCTCTGACATCAAAAGACCTTCTACATGAGGAAAAGATAAAATGTTGATCCTGAATCTCAAGTTTGTGCTCGGTTCTAGAAGTTATTTAAATTTCTATTTTTCAAAAACATAACTTTAGTCCATATAAATTTAGAAAAAAGCACTATTCTACTACCAGAAAATTTATTTGCAAACCACTTCCATGTGAGGCAATAAGAATTAATCTACATTTTAGACTTAGCATATGCTTCCAAATATTTGCTTTCTCCTATACCTTTTTATTTGAATCTGCCCATGATTCTAAGCTAGAAACCTTCA
The DNA here is from genome assembly GCF_000001405.40 of Homo sapiens. Classification (NCBI taxonomy): domain Eukaryota; kingdom Metazoa; phylum Chordata; class Mammalia; order Primates; family Hominidae; genus Homo; species Homo sapiens. The sequence goes on along the minus strand of NC_000007.14, from coordinate 19,399,794 downwards.
AATCTCTGACCTCCGCTGCCATTCGGTTTCCACATTATCTAAACTCCACCTCCTAATCTCCCTACTGTCCATGAATCTCCACTGCCATTGCCTTAATTCAAATTCTCATGGAATGCTGGGCTCAACTACCTGGTGGGCAAGAAAACCATGTTATTCTGGTGTCAGTAAAGCAAACACAATATAAAATATGAGAAAAGCTTAGGTTCAATGAATGTATGCAGAAATTTGAAATTTGAAGCTCTGGAAAGCAGTTATAATTATATAAATTGTGTGTTATTTTAATTTCAACATTTGTGTATGCTTTGTGTATTATTTTATTTTTATTTATTTATTTTTTTGAGATGGAGTCTTGCTCTGTCTCCCAGGCTGGAGTGCAGTGGCGCAATCTCAGCTCACTGCAAGCTCCTCCTCCCGGGTTCACGCCATTCTCCTGCCTCAGCCTCCCGAGTAGCTGGGACTACAGGCAACCGCCTCCATGCCCGGCTAATTTTTTGTATTTTTAGTAGAGAACCAGGTTTCACCGTGTTAGCCAGGATGGTCTCGATCTCCTGACCTCATGATCTGCCCGTCTCGTCCTCCCGAAGTGCTGGCATCACAGGCATGAGCCACTGCGCCCACCGTGTATTATTTTAAATCGTATAAAAGGGGCCCCTAGAATCTTTTCAGTGTTCAGGTCTTTTAAAATTTCTTTTCAAGCCTTTATCCATCCTTACTATCACCAGTGACATTTTTCCGAAAACTCACCAATTGTGTCACTTACTTGTTTAATGATCTTGATGGGTCGCTAACAACAGAAGGAAGTTTCACATGCCTTAGCTTCACAAACAAGGCCCTCAGTGGAATAGCCAGAGCTTGTCTTTTCAATCTTATCTTCACACATTCATCCTTTATCCATTAATCACACTGAACTGTAAGTTCTTCAGGCATAGATTTCTTTTCTTTAATCTTTCTCTTGAATTTTCCAATAGGATCTTATACATTGCTCTTCCTAAAAGCGCAGTGGCTCATACCTATAATCCCAGAACTTTGGGAGGCCGAGGTGGGCAGATCACTCGAGGTCAGGAGTTCAAGACCAGGCTGCCCAAAATGGCAAAACCCCTTCTCTACTAAAAAAAAATACAAAAATAGTTGGGCTTGGTGGCACATGCCTATATTCCCAGATACTCAGGAGGCTGAGGCAGGAGAATTGCTTGAACCCTGGATGCAGAAGTTGCAGTGAGCTGAGATCACACCACTGCACTCTAGCCTGGGTGACAGAGCAAGACTCCATCTTAAAAAAAAGAATAATAAAAACTAACAACAGGCATATAGTCATTAAGACTTCATTAAATTTAGATTATTTTCCTTTGGACAAGCGCTGACACTTCTTTTGCCTATTCTTCTTTGACACTTTATTCATTCAGGTTCCAAACAATCTTGCCTTTAATATGCTCTACAGATGACATTTCAACTGGCAACATCCTTCCTCAGATATTTTGTTTTTATAAAGGCAGGATGTGGCTTCTTCATTCTGACCTTTGGGCACTTATTATTATGAAAATACATAAGTGAATTATAAAAATCCATTTATTGACTCACATGTTGGTTCACCATATAAAATCAGCAAAAATGTCACCACAACTTCTACATACCACACCCCAAAAGGAGAAACTTCACGTACTACCATACTATTAAGTAGCCTCAGAGATCTCTACCCACTGTTTTAATGCTGAGTTCCACAATGAGGTCATGTGAACAAAACCTCAGGTTCCCACATAGGGTGGCTCACTGTTGAACGAAAGGGAGCTTTCACTTCCTCGAGCTGCAGATAGCCTCATGCACAAACCTTAGGAACAGGGCCAGACCAAGATCCGTGGGTACTCAAGACAAGCTAATAATTTAACATCCTTTTAAACCTATACTTTTCAAAGTCTAGCTAGATCACTATGTATTTAGAAAAGAGGCTGGGAACTCAGTAAGAAACAGAGAAAAAGCAGAAAAGGAGCATTCACACAGCTTCTCTTGTCATGAAAAATCAACATGAAAACAGCAAAACTCTGGGCTTGTAATGGTCACTTTTATGTGTCACCTGGACTGGGTCATGGGGCACTCAGACCTTTGGTCAAACATTTGATTGTTTCTATGAGGGCATTTTTGGATGAAATTAACTAATAAAGCAGTTGCCCTTCCTAATGCGAATGAGCTTCATCCAATCAGTTGAAGGACTGAATAGAACAAAAAGTTTGAACTTCCCCTGAGTAAGAAAGAATTCCTCCTGTCCAATGACCTTCAAACTGGGACATCAGCTTTTTTTCCCTGCCTTTAGACTTGAGCTAAAACATCAGTTCTTCCTGGGTTCCAAGAATACCAAGCTTCAGGCTGGAACTATACCATTAGTTCTCTTGCAAATAACTAATTCAGGAAAAAACAAAACAAAATGCAACATAATATTAAAAGAATATTAAAAGATGTAAAGGATGTTTATTTCCAAAAAGCAAGGATGTTTCCATATTTAAAAAAATCTATTAATTCAACATACAAGTAGATCCAAAGAGAAAAATCACACAATTATGAAAATGCTAAAAGAAGTTTGATAAATCATCTTTAATAATTTCCTATAAGTATGTATGTGTGTATATATACATGTGCATATGTATACACATACACACATATATACACACACCTGTATTTCAGGCTTAATGCAGAAATACCAAGAAGATCTTCAGTAAAGTAAAAATTGAGACAAATATGCCCACTACCTCACAATCATTTAACACTATATAAGAAGTATTAGCATTAGAGTTCAACTAGGAAAATAATCAGAAGCATAAAAATTAGACATACAAGATCAAAAATAGAATTAGCTAAACTGTCATGATTGCATACATAGAAAATCTAAGAGATTAAAATTCTAGAGAAATCAGTAAATTGGCAAGGACAATCTGAAATCAATATCTTTCATATAGACACACAATAGACTAGAAGATATAATGGAGAAAATTCCTTTTTTACAACAATGATTAACTGAAACAATAGAAATATTTTAAAATTTGTCTACTGATAAGCTTGCAAGAAATGCACAAGATCTATAGAAGGCAAATTTTAAAATACTACTATATTTTATAAGAGAGACTGGAAAAAATGAAATTTTTATAAAAGGAAACCCCCCCAAAATTTAAAGTAACTGATAAATTTAATGCTACTTCTATGAAATATTAGAAAGATGTTTCTGTTTCTTACCAGACAAACTGATTTTTGCATTCATATGGAAAACTAAAAACAAAGGATTAAAATAAAATAAATTATGGGAGAGCCTAGTACTACCACATTTTAAAACACATTCAAAAGCAATAGTAGTTAAAAGTGTAAGATAATAGTGCAGGAAGAAATAAACAGATAATTTGAAAAGAACAGAATGTCCAGGAATTAACCCAAATACATTTAGGAAATTGCAGTCCGAAGGTTGGAATTCAATCACTACAGGAAAAAATGAATTACTTAAGAAATTGTGTTGAGAAAGACAAATAGCCACTTAGGATAAAATATTTTTGGTTACATACCTCAAGTCTTATACAAAAGTAAATTTCAAATGTATCAAAGATTTGAATGTGATAAATTAAACTATATAAATGCTAGAAGAAATAATGTTAGCATGTTTTATAATCTCTGACAGTTAAAGACCTTTTTTGACCCCCAAAAAACTACATAAGACACTGATAACATTATTAGATTTTTAGAAAGGTGTGTTGGTTTTATTGATTTGTCAGCTTGGCTAGGCTATGTAAGGTCTCCAGTTGTTCAATCAAGCACTAATCTAGATGTTGCAGGTAGGGTATTTTGCAAACATAAATAAAATTTCTAATCAGTTAACTTTAAGTAAGAGAGATTATCCTGGATATTCTGCATGGACCTGACTGAATCCACTAGAAGGCAAAAACGCAGCAGAGAGATTTCCTGAGAAAAAGAGACCTTCTGCCTATGGACAACAGCCTCTAGCTGTTACTGTGGAGTTCCCTCCTGCTTGGACTCTTCCTTTCCTGACTACCTTGCTGTACAGGCTAATAGCTTAAGCCTCCACCTGTGGGTTTGAGACTGCCCATAATCTCACTCTTCCTGACTGGCTGCCCTGCAGATTCTGGACTTGCTTAGCCAGACCCCACAATCAGGTAAGCCGATAGATAGATAGATAGATAGATAGATAGATAGATAGATAGATAGATAGATAGAAAGAAAAATGTATACTACTACCTCCAACTGCTTCTTTGTTGAACCCTGGTTGATACAGGAGGGTAACTATGTGTTTAGGATGAGAGATCTAGGAGATAAACTTTTGGCTGTATCTACTCTTACATCTTTAAAATTGGAAAAATGTGAATATATTACAAATTCAACAAATAAACCAAATACATTTAGATAGTATGCCCTAAACACAAAGTATTGAAAGCTCTGCATTAATTAATAGAAATGTGTTCTAACGTCTTAAAAGGACTTACAAACCTGCTATTTCACTATTTTCTACCAAAATTAAATTCAGTATTTTCTCAAACCTTTGATAGTTGCTGTTTGCCTACACATGGTTCTACCCCTAATTCTATCTCAAGTACCTGCATTTTTAAAAATGTATATTGAAAACTTAGTATTTACCTTGACACATAAAAATGAGCATTGGCTTATTCCAAGGCTTCAAACTGACCTCCTAGCATGAATTGGCCTTCATTTATCTACTTGGCTTGCTCTCCCCAAAGCCCTACCTCTGCCAACAGCAGTACAGAATGGTAGAGAGCCCTGCTCTTAGAGTGGAGACATCTGGGGTTCAGTCTAACCATAACATTTATTAATTTTGTTATATATAATATCTAACCAAACTGCTCTAAATTCAGAATAATCTTGTGTAATGGTAATAGAAACAGTTGCTCTGTCCACACCACATAGCATAATAAACCTGGAAGCATTTGCCAACTGTGGAGTGCTGAGTAAATGCAAGTGACTGTTTTTATCCCTGTTAATTATTTTAGATTTGAGTCTACTTGCACTTGGACTGATGTAGCTACAAATCAAGAAGGAAAAGAAAAGAAAGGGGTAAGTTATTTGATAAGTTGCCCCGCCTAGGCTGCTTTCTTAACCTCATTTAGTATAGTAACTCCTGAAGGTAGGTTAACTCTGCCAGAGTTCCAGAACAGGTAAGAAGGGAAGCTAAATTTTAAAGAAAAAACTCTCCGGCTTTGAAGTTGGTACTACAATGGAATGGCCACACAAATAACTTTCCTTGTTTATTTATATATCACAAACATAAATATATATGTAAATTAACCCAAATCCTTAAACCCAAAGAACCATCAGATTAAAGTTAGTTAAAACAATGCTCTACATTAGAACCATTCAGTTTTTTTTTCTTTTTAATCTTGCCGTTTCATTTGTGTTGGTGTTTTGTATACTCAACAATAAAAAGAGACTGGTACTTCCTTGAGATTCCATTTGATAAGGAAAGAAAAATTAGACTAGAAGACTGAGATTGCATTAAAATGTCCATTTAGGTGGTTGAAGAGAAACATTGAACACTTTGTTCAAAATCATTCTGTTCACAGCCTTGTGGATTTTCTCAGAAATAAAATTACTTCAGAAAACAAATTTTTAAAAATCCCTCCGATTAACTATAGATTTATTGTAATAGGGCATACATTGGATTATATAAAAAAGGTATTTTTTTCTGAATGTGGGATGATACTATAAACATATGGCTTTTGCCGAATGTTAATTTTCTCTGGATAATCTTACTGTAAAACTAAAAACTATATTTATTTTTAGACTCACTTTATTTTTGAGGCCATGTATTAATATACTATTATAGTAATTATAATTGGATTTGTATTTTAGATCCAGATGAAGCTTAGTCATTTGAGTATCTACTATGTGCCATATCTATTTCTATTATTTCATAATTTTTATAATAATCATTTGTTGTAGTCCTATTTTTCTCAATGAGGTAATAGGCAGAGAGGTTGTGAATAAGTAAAGCCATATTACATATTTGAAATTTGCTAAGAGAGTAGATTTTAAATGTTCTCAAAAAACGGTAACTATGTGAGGTGATGAATGTTCTAGTTAACCTGATAGTAGTCATTTCACAATGTATATATATAACCAATTACAGAACTGTACACATTAAATATGTATGATTTTGTTTGACAATTATACCTCAATAATGCTGAAAAAACAAAACATAAACAACCAAACTGTATATCTAAAATAGGAGCACTTTATTACATACAGATTACACCTTAATAAAGTTGATTTTAAGAAAAACTGACCCTACTTCTTGGGACATGTCTAGAACTTTACAATGTGGTTAGAAAGATCAGTCTTCTTCATACCTTCAAGCTGTGAGACTGGCCTGCTTCTTTTAACTCATTTGTCCTACAAATAAGACAGAAGAGACTTCCTCAAGCAAATTATTTGCATCACTTCCCTGCTCAAATCCTTCTAACTATTCCCAATTATTTTAAAATCAAGTTGATACTTTGAATTGGGAAGCCAACAGTTAATTACTTGATTACTACAATTTGACAGAGCACTTATTTTCCAAACACATCATTCAGAATTCTGTCTTCTAATTACAAAGTGTCTTCCTTGTTTCCTACCAATTCTTCAGAAATTTGTTTCAAGTTCAACTACTTTCTAAAACTAGTCCAACTAAAGGCAAGTGCCTCACTTCTCCATGTTCACACACTCGCTCATGTGCACACACAAATGCCTATGACTGATCATGTATATATTTATGTATCTGTTTTTTGGTTGGTGGTGACTGTGTTGCATGTAACTTATGCTTCAAGCATCCTTTGTAAGTGCATGTAAAATACTGTAAAATTGGAGGCCTTTGTAAATTTTAGTTTCCATCCTTTTTACTTTTTTCTGATTATAAGCACCTTGAGGGCAGTGTTGCCATTTCCGTTTACCACCTGGCTGGCTATAGCTCTTCTAATATGGCAGGTGTTCAATAAATTGCATTGCATAAGGATCTGTGGTTGACTGATTAACTTCTTGGCAAATGAAATTTATTTAATATTCCCCTTGAGTTCACAAATGGTTTATGCACTTCACAAAGCACCTTTACTTAGAATCATTCTGGCCTTGCTTGAATCTGACCAATAACCTCTAAATAAAACACTAAGGTCTCTAAAAAGAAGACTGTCTTTTAGCCACATGGAGTATTTTCATTTTCATTACCCTATTGTTGCACACATATCAGACTGGAATATGGTTTACATACTAGAACCTTCCAACCTCCAACCCAGCAGTCTTGCACTGGTCTTTCTGTGCTCTGTTTTCTTTGTGAATCACGGATTAGTAGTGTAGCCTTTCTGACCTGCAATAAAACTCACACATTCCCTTAAACATATGCTACTCTACAATGAATTTCATTGAAGGAAAAAATACACGTGAATTCTACCTGACTGATTTTTTTTCAGCTTTGGGGTACTGTGGTTAGATCAAATAATGCAAGTTATGTCGGAGAGAGCCAGGAACTTCAGGCCTCCATAAATTCTGATCCTGTAAATCCAATGACAGAATTAGAATATTTTTCTTTGTCAAGGCTTCAACTTCTTTTTGTTTAAACATCAGGGCTTTCTAATCAACTTGCTATTGTTTCTCAGACAAAACAGAATCAAAAGTTATATTCTAAGGAAGGATGTGGCACAAGATAAATGATGGGAAATAAAGCTTACTACTGGAAAATACTCTTTAATAGTTTTCACTTGGATATCACACTTTTGTTTACTCTCTCTCTCTCTCTAGCACTAGACTTTGGAAAATACACATTATCCATACCACACCAGCATAAAATGAAGCCTGATTCTGTATGTATTAATACTTATTTACATTACGAAGTCAAACAATTTTTAAGTCACATTTAAATATGTTCATCATTTCCAAAGCTTTTTAAGAAAAGGGATATTATTTATCTATCACTAGAAAATACTGCTATGAAACTCTCCTCTGCCCTCTCCACACAAAGAAAAGATATATACACACATATTGTTTACCTTTTTCTACACAAAAACTCTGGAAGAATAAATTATTAAATTTTTAACAAAGTATTTCATGTATACTTCAGCCTCATTTTTTAAGGGAAGCGTTTCTATAAGTTATAGCAATTTGTTTCTATTATGAATACACACAAAGCACTTCTAATCTTCTTTTTGAAAGTAGACACTGGGGGGAGTTATTTTATCCCATCATGAATTATGGCTTTAAATTTACTTTGTTTTTAAAAATATTTTTAAAATTAATATACTTTGGGGTTTTTTGAGTAATTTTACATTCCCAGAAAAACTGGGTAGAACATACAGTTTCCATACATTATTATCCAACCCTCCCCACTTATAATTTCCTGTGTTATTAACCATTTGCATTAGCGTGGTACATTTATAATATTCTTTTAATATATACCTTTGGTAGCATTTATATTAATAATAATCTATGCTTAATAGCAGCTGAAAGTACATTTTTAAATGGATATTTTACCTTTATGTTAAAGATAAACATAAAGATCTATACAGAGTTACAACTATATATTTTTATGAGATATAAATAGTACATAATCCATCCCATTTTTATGATACTTTATAAGATTTTAAGCCTACCTTGATGCTTTTTGAAACACACACACACACACACACACACACACACACGCACACACAAAACTGCTTGTTTATTTTCTGAGGCCTGCGTGGGCACTTTACTTCAAAATGTGCTAATTGCTCTGACTTCGGCCAGGGCTCTTTGCTGGGCTGCACACCTCTGCCTGCTACATCTGTGTTTACATAACTTGTGGGATCACTCAGAGTCCTGCTGCAGGTCCCTTTAGCTTCTTTCAGGACCAGGCCTCAGTGAGTCTAACCAAAGTCAAAGTCACCCGGATCAGTTACTCCCGAGAGCTTACTCTGGTCAGAATCTACCTTTCACTAACAGTTTGATGCAAAATCATACACAACATATTCCCTCAACTGAGGACATATGGTTTGTACGACTGTAAATTTAAAAAGTAGTTGATAAATTACTTTGTAAGATCTTTACTATTAATTTCTGTCAGGGGACAGAAAAATAGCAAAGGGCATCTACCATTGTTGCAAAAACAACACTTCCTGCAACAGGATAGAACTCTCTGCAGTGTCATATTGAAATTAATCTTGCTCTCTGCTGGTTACTGAGTGCTATTCAAAATTATCCAGCTGAAGTTAAACAGAAATATTGTTCTTACATAAGAGTATAAAACCAAATTCATATATTTCATATATAATTAACGTCTGCAACACAGGTCTAATAATGTCAGCAACAAGACATGGATGGAAGAAAGACAAATATGTAAATATTAGAAGTCAGACCCACAAATATAATGAAATAAAAACTAGTTGGAAACTTATGCCTACTCTAATACAATGGATATATCATTTGTTGTGCTCTGGGGTGTTTTTTAGGTAAAGCACAAACTAATTTGTCAGTTTAAGTGCCTGACAAAGAATTCAAAATAATTGTATTAAAGTAGCTTATCAAGCTACAAGAGAACACTGTTATACACCTTAATAACATCAAGAAAAAAAATACACAAACAAAATGAAAAAATAAACATAGATATGGGAAAAAAACAACAGGCAGAAACACTGGAATTGAGGAATACAAATGAATGAAATTTAAAAGGCAATAGAGGGTTTCAACAGCAGACTTAATCAAATAAAAGAAAGAATCTGTGAACTCAAGAGAGACATTTGAAAATATCTAGTCAGAAGAGAGAAAATGAACAGTGAAAAGGGATGTACATAAAAAGCCTGTGTGATTCATGGGACACGTTTGCATTACAGGAATTTCATAAGATAAAATGACAAAAGCTTATTTAGCTCAATAATGGCTGAAAACTCCCCAAATCTACTGAAAGATACAACCATCTAGGCACATGAAGATCAAAACTCTCCAATCAGGTTCAGCCCAAAGAAGACTTCACCAAGACATTTTATAAACAAACTGCCAAAAATCAATGACAAAGAGAATCTTAAATCCAGCAAGGGAAAAGTGGTTTGTCACATACGATGGAAACACCATAATGGCTACCAGATTTCTCCGCAGAAACTTTGCAGGCCAGGAGAGGTGTAATAATATTTTTGAAGTACTGAAAAAAAAAAAAAAAAAAAAGGCCGGGTATGGTGAGTCACGCCTGTAATCCCAGCACTTTGGGAGGACAAGGTGGGCAGACCACAAGGTCAGGAGATGGAGACCATCCTGGCTAACACAGTGAAACCCCATCTCTACTAATACAAAAAATTAACCGGGCGTGGTTGCACGCACCTGTAGTCCCAGCTACTCGGGGGGCTGAGGCAGGAGAATCGCTTGAACCCAGGAGGTGGAAGTTGCAGTGAGCCGCCCGCTGCCCTCCAGCCTGGGTGACAGAGAGAGACTTCATCTCAAAAAAAAAAAGGAAAAAAAAAAGAAAAAGAAAAAGAAAAACCTGCCAACCAAAAATAGTTTGCCTGGTAAAGCTGTTCAGCAAGGGAGAGATCAAGACTTTCCCCAACAAACAAAACCTGAGAGAATTCATTATTACTAGACTTGCCTTACAAGAAATGCAACAGGAATACTTCAAGCTGAAAAGATGGATTCTAATTAGTGAAATAAAGTAATATGAAAGCATAAAATGTACTGGTAAAAGTAAGTATAAAGTCAAATTCAGAATATGTAATACAGTAATGGTGGTATGTGTATAACTTATAGCTCTAGCATAAAGGTTAAAAGACAAAACTATTAGAAACAAATAGAGCTACAATAATTTGTTAATCAATACACAATATAAAACTATGTAAACTGTGTCACTGGAAACGTAAAAATTCGGGAAGAGAGTAAGTATGTAGTTTTCATATGCAATCAAATTAAGATATTAGCTTAAGATAGATTGTTAAGATTATAAGATGTTATATGTAAGCCTCATAGTAATCACAAAGCAAAAAGCTACAGTAGATAAAGCAAAGATAAAGAAATCAAACCATGTCATTAAAGAAAAGTATCAAATCACAAAAGAAGAAAAATAAGAGGAGAAAGGAACAAAGGATCTACAAAACAACCAGAAAATAAATAACAAAATGACAATAGTAAGTATTTACCTAAAAATAATTACCTTGAATGTAAATGGATTAAATTATCCAGTAAACAAAACATAGAGTGGCTGAATGGGTTAAAGAAAAATATATACAAGATCCAGCTATATGCTGCCTATCAGACTTACTTCAGCTTTCAGACAAGACTGAAAGCGAAGGATGAAAAATGATATTCCATGCATATGGAAACCAAAAGAAAGCAGAGGTAGCTATACTTACATCAGACAAAGAAGACTGTAAGTCAAAACTGTAAAAAGAGAAAAAGAAGGTAATTATATAATGACAAAGGGGTCAATTCATCACATATATAACAATTATATATATGTGTGCACTTAACAGCAGAGCACCCAAATATGTAAAGCTAATACTAACAGAACTAAATGGAGCGATAAACAGCAATATAATAACAGTAAGGGACTTCAATACCCTACTTTGATCAATGGATAGATTATCCAGACAGAAAATCAATGAGGAGACATTGGACTTGAACGATCTCAACAAATATATACAGAACATTCCATTCCACAACAGCAGAATACGCATTCTTCTCAAGCATAAAACAGAATATTATCTACAATGGATTCTATATCAGGCCACAAAACAAGTCTTAGCAAATTTAAGCAGAGTGAAAGTAGGTATTTTTTTCCAACTATGATAGTATAAAAATAGAAATCAATAACAGGAGAAAAATTGGAAAATTGACAAATATGTGGAAATGAAACATGTCCTTTTACCCAAAGATAACAGTCTTTTATCCAAAGATAACAGCCTTTGGATAAAAGCTATCTTAATTGATGTGAAGTGATATCTCATGGTGGTTTTGATTCGCATTTCTCTGATTGGTGATGCTGAGTACCTTTTTATATACCTATTGGCCATTTGTGTGTCCTCCTTGGAAAAATACCTATTTAGTTCCTTTGCCCACTTTTTTAGATCAAAGATGTTATCACTTTATATTTATTTTCCAAAATCATGGAACCAACCCAAATGCCCATCAATCAACAAGTGGATAAAGAAATTGGTATATATAAATACAATAGAATATTACTCACCCATAAAAAGGAATGAATTAACGGCATTTGCAGTGACCTGAATGAGATTGGAGACCATTATTCTAAGTGAAGTGACTCAGGAATGGAAAACCAGACACCGTATGCTCTCAATGATATGTGGGAACTAAGCATGAGGACACAAAGGTATAAGAATGATACAATGGACTTTGGGGACTTCGGGGGAAGGCTGGGAGGGGGCAAGGAATAAAAGACTACAAATAGGGTGCAGTGTTTACTTCTTGAGTGATGGGTACACCAAAATCTCACAAAGCACCACTAAGGAACATACTCATGTAACCAAATACAACCTGTAACCCAATAATGTATGGAACAACAAAAAAAAATTAAAAAGGCTATTATCAAAAGTTCATGGCAGCATTATTCACTATAACCAAGATACGGAAACCACCTGTCTCTTGATGGATAAATGGATGGATATATCGTGTGTGTGTGTGTGTGTGTGTGTATGTGTGTACACAATGAAATATTAATAAGCCTTAAAAAAAAAGAAGGTCCTCACATTTCCAACAACATGAATGAACCTGGAAGACATTATACTAAGCGAAATAAGCCAGACCCAGAAAGACAAATACTACATAATCTCATTTATGGGTAGAATTTAGAGACGTTGAACTCAGAAAGAGAGAGAATGATGGTTACCAGAGGTTGGAGGTTGAGGAAATGGGGAGATTTTGGTCAAAGGTTAAAAAATTTCAATTAGACAGGTTGAATGAATTTTGGAGACCTAATGTTCAGCATGTTGACTATCAATTTTAAAAATGCACTATATGCTTGAAATTCAGAGACACTAAGAAGGTATGTCTTAAGTATATAGGCATGTTCATTAGCTTCATTGTGAAAATTATTGAACAATGTGTATGTTTATTAAAACACCGTGTTATACTACTTTAAAAGAAAGAACTCATTTGTTCTAGTGTGGGATTCTTTTAGGTAAAGCAAAAGCTGATTTGTCCACAAATTTAGAAGCAACACTTTACATTTAAAGAACTAAGTAAAGCACATACAAATTAATAACATGCATTTCTAATAACATAGGAAAGAATTATAATTAAGAACTTTTAATACAGTTCTAAAAATATTAATAAGTCATTGACTTTGTGGATTGATATGTGTTTATTTTACATTTTTAATCCTTTGAAAGTCTTTATACAAATCAGTGGTCTTTAAAACTGACCTGCTAGTATTATACTCATATAGGTTGACAAATTCATTCCCTACCTATCATGAAGTAGCATTAAGATGAAACATACATTTTGTTAACTGTCTTTTGTTCAAGGCAGTTACTGCTGTTCTATATCACTGCAAGTAATTCAATGACTATATGAGATATTTTCTCTTTAAAATATTGCTCAAAACTCACCTACACAGAATATGTGAGGTTTAAAGAAATATAATATTGATCATCTTGAAAGGAGGCTGTTTAATACTCATTTTAGCAAATATTTTCACCAAAAATGTGTGTTACATGGTAGAAATAGCCTATATTATGTCCTTGCAATAGAATTGAATTCTCTTTTTTTTTTTTAATTATACTTTAAGTTCTAGGGTACATGTGCACAACGTGCAGGTTTGTTACATATGTATACATGTGTCATGTTGGTGTGCTGCACCCATTAACTCGTCATTTACATTAGGTATATCTCCTAATGCTATCCCTCCCCCCTCCCCCCACCCTACAACAGGCCCCGGTGTGTGATGTTCCCCTTCCTGTGTCAAGTGTTCTCATTGTTCAATTCCCACCTATAAGTTAGAATGTGCAGTGTTTGGTTTTTTGTCCTTGTGATAGTTTGCTGAGAATGATGGTTTCCAGCTTCATCCATGTCCCTACAAAGGACATGAACTCATCATTTTTTACGGCTGCATAGTATTCCGTGGTGTATATGTGCCACATTTTCTTAATCCAGACTATCTTTGTTGGACATTTGGGTTGGTTCCAAGTCTTTGCTATTGTGAATAGTGCTGCAATAAACATACGTGTGCATGTGTCTTTATAGCAGCATGATTTATAATCCTTTGGGTATATACCCAGTAATGGGATGGCTGGGTTAAATGGTATTTCTAGTTCTAGATCCTTGAGGAATCGCCACACTGACTTCCACAGTGGTTGAACTAGTTTACAGTCCCACCAACAGTGTAAAATTGTTCCTATTTCTCCAAAACAGCATGGTATTTCTACCAAAACAGAGATATAGACCAATGGAACAGAACAGAGCCCTCAGAAATAATGCCACACATGTACAACCATCTGATCTTTGACAAACCTGACAAAAACAAGAAATGGGGAAAGGATTCCCTATTTAACAAATGGTGCTGGGAAAACTGGCTAGCCATATGTAGAAAGCTGAAACTGGCTCCCTTCCTTACACCTTATACAAAAATTAATTCAAGATGGATTAAAGACTTAAATGTTAGACCTAAAACCATAAAAACCCTAGAAGAAAACCTAGGCAATACCATTCAGGACATAGGCATGGGCAAGGACTTCATGTCTAAAACACCAAAAGCAATGGCAACAAAAGCCAAAATTGACAAATGGGATCTAATTAAACTAAAAAGCTTCTGCACAGCAAAAGAAACTACCATCAGAGTGAACAGGCAACCTACAGAATGGGAGAAAATTTTTGCAATCTACTCATCTGACAAAGGGATAATATCCAGAATCTCCAAAGAACTCAAAAATTTACAAGAAAAAAACAAACAACCCCATCAAAAAGTGGGCAAAGGATATGAACAGACACTTCTCAAAAGAAGACATTTATGCAGCCAAAAGACACATGAAAAAACGCTGATCATCACTGGCCATCAGAGAAATGCAAATCAAAACCACAGTGAGATACCATCTCACACCAGTTAGAATGGCAATCATTAAAAAGTCAGGAAACAACAGGTGCTGGAGTAGAAATGAATTCTGATGAATGTTAGTACTACTTCTTCATTGGCTTTTGGCAATGTTAGTAGCTCAGAGAACAGATTATAAGGGTATCAGAAAGCCCATTTAACCTTGAGGGTGGCTCAGTGAGGTTGGATCCAAGGCTAAAACAGAAGGAAGGATGATGGACCTCTCTGACGTGACACATGGTGGTGCCCTATTTACTGACTAAAAGGCTAAAGCCACGCATGTGACCACCTTACAAGCCATTGTTCCTCTTACTCTCTATGACATGTACTTGGCTTCTCAGCAGAACACATCTACCCTGGCAATACATCCAGCCTTCTGCCGAACTGGCTCAAATTAAAAAATAATCATAAGAATAATAAATAAATAATAAATAAAAAAAATTTATTCTATATCCGAAAGTGCACAAGGTGTTAGGAAACTAAGGTTCATTGCATGTTAATTTTAACTCAACAAATTCTTGTTATAGTGAATGAAATATAATACAGAGAAAAAGTAATAAATGTTTCATATTTTATAAGACCTAAGGATTTTATGTGAGATTTTTTATTTAGTTTTTACTCAAGAGAAAATTTTAAATCTTTAGTTTTATTGACTACCCTCTTAGGAGATTTCTAATATGACTTAGAATTTTTTTCCCAAAAACTTTTGCCTATAATAAGTATTAGATATTAATTTTCAACCATCAGTAGGTAACTTTTTCTTGGTGTCATCGTAAGTTGGAAGATGAGCTATGTGCCTTTTATAGATAATACCAATTACCTATAGCTTACAAGTATTGTGCTTTACTGAAGGCTCTTTAGGACCTCAGGATTATGCTTTCTATCAGCTATTCTATATATACACATGATAAGCATTTTGCTACTTTTTAAGATTTCTTAACACTATACAGAAATGTTTTTTTTTCTTTTATCTTCTTTTCACAACTATTTTCTAATTTGAGGTTATATGCTTTTGTACTTGCCTATGATTTTTCTTTCATACAGCCTTCCCAGGCATTCTGTAACTCTATGTCTACCCACTCAGCCAAAAGCAAGTTCCTAACTCTGAAAGTCTAAGATTTTAATTATTTGGTCATGGCATTATTGACAAGATATAAGAAAACAGGTTTGCAGAGACTTAGGTTGCAACAAAAGTTACATCTACAAACCTTTAAGTAGTATGTGTGCACGTGTGCATGCACACATGCACACATGTATATAAGTGAAGGGAAGCTTTGCTTCATTTACACTTGACCAAAAAAAAAAAAAAAAAGATTATCTAGCGTATTTCATCCACGCACTGTTTTAACAGCTTTTAGAGTCAGTTTTCACTTTTGCACCATTTGGGGTTTATGTCTAGGAAGCATCCTCTGGCAAAGGCTGTGCAATATTTGTGAAAGGAGTAGCACATAAGTTACCAATAAATCAAATGAACTTTACATTTGAAGTCTATAAAGGAAATTAGAGTGGTTTACATCATGGGTGAACCAAGACTGACATTATTTAGAAGCATTAGATTGGAAAGATAAGGAAAATCTACATCCTCTTTTGCAGAGGGACTGTTGATAATGGTAGCAAGAAAAGAAAGTGAGAGAGGCGGGGTTTCATCAATAGTACAGAATGCAAAGGCCACATTGTTTACCTGCACTTTCCAAAAAAAGGAGAGTTTTGTTCCAAACCAGTATCATAATTCTCTTCAGGTAGATGGTGTGGCCATAACAATCTAATCATGGAAAGAAAATAGCAGTCAAAGCTTTGAGAAGAGTACAAAAGTTTGAAGGGAATGAAAACTAAAACTATATGCAGACCAGCATATGCTTTATTGCTGCTAACTTTAGGGCAAGCTCTCAAAGTGTTTTTTAAATTTAATTTTTACTGGTTCTTGATGAAATGAGAGCAGACATGGACTGCTAAAACTTTGTTTTTACAGTAATGAAAAAAAGCTGAAAAGGAAATAAGCAACTACATTCATTTTTTAAGTCAAATGACGAATCCTGCCACATATTTCAAAAGCAGCTAAAGAAGAGAATAAAATAACAGCTAATTTAATCTGATTTATTTGAAAACCTAGATGTGTGTGCAAGCTTTTAAAACCATGGTTTAACTCATGCTGCGTTTTAATTTGATATCTTTTCTTTTGAATTCAAACGCACTAAATTCATAGTATTATCTTCTCTGTAAAACTTACATATATTTATGTTTCCATGCATAATTTAAATTCCCTTGTCCAAAATAATAATCAATTGTTTTATCAGAACTTAGTAGCAACCTAAAGAAAAATAAAAGAATCCAATGGAGCACTTCCAGTTATTATGTATGGACATAGCTCTGAACAAATTCATATTTATCTGTTGGGGGACCAGGTATTTTTTTGCAAGTCTCACGTCACCTGTTAAAATACAGTAATATGATACTTCCAGAATACAACTGCCTAGTGGAGTGAAGTTTATTTGTAGGATGATGTTGTATTTAATTCCTTATTTTTTTTTCTTACTTACTCAAAATGGCCTCTAAATCTGATTTCAACTGTTTTACATAGGTTAATCCTTCTCTGACAGTGGACAAATGTTTGCCACAGAAAGAATCACGATTAAACTTATCAATAAAATAATATAGAAATAAATCATTCAATCTACTTCCTCCTAATTTTTCTATCCAGAGCTCCTTTTCTAAGTCCCTTTGGCCATAAAACTCAGTGAATCTACTAGATAACAGATAGCTGATCTAGAAAGCTGTTCATTCTACCTTGAAAAAAGTACTTCCTGCTAAAGTTTCTAATTTATTTTCAGTCATTAAGGAGACCATAAGAGAAATTGAAAGTCATGCTTAGCTATATTTCTTGTTTTATACTTTTTTATCCACTTTACATTTAATGCATTTTCCTCTTATTTTTATAAAGTGTCTGCATCACTGACCTGTTCTTACTTGCGGTAAAAGTTTGCAATTTTTTTTCCCAAAAGTAATATATGTGTTTGGTAGAATATCAATTGTTGAATTGATAAAGGTATTTTTACTCTTGAGATTTTTTGGTTTACTCTTCTTTTTACTATTACTACAAGAGGGAAAAAAAGGCATATCTACCCTAGGTTTAAAATTTTCCTTGAACTCTGAAAACTTTCCAGCTGTATCTTAAAAGGAGACTTTGGCTTTTGACTCTCTTTCCTGTCTTATGGATAAGAGCCTAGCTGTTTTCATAAACAGTGACCAGCTGTTCAACTTCTAATACTGTTCAACTATCTCCTACTTTTCACAGGAAAAATACATCTTGATTGCATCTTCTTCTCCCGCCTAAGTTAGGAAACTCATTAAAGATTTCAATTTATAAATGCTTCCTTAAGCTGGACATGCAATAAATGTATTCAGCTGCTGGTGTAAACCTAGAAGTTGTCTGTAAGTTTCAACAACCTCCTTGTAGTTATTAAGCAGATTGTTTGGGGATATTTTAGAATCTTTAGAGTAAGACACTATCAGTGTAAGAGGACAGCTGAGGGACAAGTATACGTTGAGCATTTATGAGAAATAGCCTAACCATGTAAATTTGTTTCATGCAATTAGCAAAGTTGGCTACATGGAAATGTTATGGAAGCAACAGATACTGCTTGTCTTTACTGCCTGATCCACCATGTAAGGGCCTTAAGAACAGTAGTACAATTGTATGGGGTGAACAAACTAATTGTCACAGCCATTCTATCTTAATGAATAATCAGAACACAGCGAATATAAAACTCTAAGTTGACCCATCACATAGTAATCTAAATGCTAAATGCTTTATTTATTTTAATTTAATTAATTAATTTATTTATTTATTTTTTGAGACAGAGTCTTGCTCTGTCACCCAGGCTGGAGTGCAGTGGTTCAATCTCGGTTCACTGCAACTTCCACCTCCCGGTTCAAGTGATTCTCGTGTCTCAGCCTCCCGAGTAGCTGGGATTATAGACACTGCTACCATGTCTGGCTAATTTCTTGTGGGTTATTTTTTTGTTTTTTGGTTTTTTTTTGGCTTTTTTTTTTTGAGATGGAGTTTTGCTCTTGTTGCCCAGGCTGGAGAGCAGTGGCGCAATTTCGGCTCACTGCAACCTTCACCTGCCAGGTTAAAGTGATTCTCCTGCCTCAGCTTCCTGAGTAGCTGGGATTACAGGCACGTGCCACTACACCCAGCTAATTTTTTTGTATTGTTAGTAGAGACGGGGTTTCATCATGTTGGTCGGGCTGGTCTCGAACTCCTGACCGCAGGTGATCCACCCGCCTTGGCCTCCCAAAGTGTAGGAATTACAGGTGTGAGCCACTGCGCCCGGCCAATTTCTTGTATTTCTAATGGAAACGGAATTTCACCATGTTGGCCAGGCTGGTCTCAAACTCCTCAAGTGATCCACCCGCCTTGGCCTCTCAAAGTGCTGGGATGACAGGAGTGAGCCACCACACCTGGCCAATGCTTTATTTTTTCACGTGAAGACTTACTATTAAGATTAAAAAGATGGCAGGCAGAAAAGAAGGAGAAAAAATACAGGTAAACTTTTAAAAGCAGATAAAAAATAGACAGTTTTTTTTCATTAAGCTTTTCTAATTGAAGAACATTATTAATTATTCTCAAATAAAATATTTACTTTTGTGCAAAAACTATCAGGTGAAGAAAGTACCACTATCATAATCCAAATGATGAGAGCAGGTATTCTGGGAACACCTCTTATTCTGATTAGATAAAGAATAAATATATATGTCTATATCCATACGATATATGAACTCGAATATAGACATGGACAAGAACATTGTTACAGAGATGCCTACTTCTTGAAATTAGACTGCCATAGGCCAGGATTATAGGGAGATGGAAGGAGGAAGGAGATGAGAGAGGAAACTGGAAAATATTTTCCACACGTGAGTTCAAATATTTGACAAAGAAAATTCCTGTATGAATAATTGTTCAACCATTGTTCCCTCAGAATACTGTGAATTGCAAAGGTGTTACATGAAGTTCAATGTAGCTCAGAGTCTGTTACTTGTGAGGCTATATGTGTATTTTCCTTACTAAACAAGTACCTGTAAGTTTGCAATTCCATGGGACATAGTAATCTAAGGAATGTTAGCAAATGAAAGAATAAATATCAGAAGGTTTCTTGCTAAGTACATTTAAAATGTCAACAGAGTGTGATGTTTAGGCATCTTGGAGAATTCTGAAATAAGATCCTGGGCACTCTGTCTGAATAGTTACGGCTAGATTAATTGGATTGACTACTAAAGTAATACTTTGCTTATTTTTTCATTATATTTCGCGTACCTCTATATTTTATTAAGAGACACAACATAAATGTAACCTTTACAAAAATGAATTTCTGATGTCTGACTTGAATTTTCTTTGAAATTTAGAATTTGTAACTTCTAGCAGCTATGGATTTGCCATGAAAGTATGCCCTCAAGAAGGAAAGGAAAAGCTCATATATCAAGGATAATTTAAAACTTTGGAAAAATAAGGCTATTTTAGATTTATATAAAATGTCTCCATGTATAAAGCACTTTGACAGCCATTATATCATTCCGTTCTCTCAACAACTCTGTAAGGTTGGCAAGGAAATGGTATTTTTCCCATTTCCCAGATGAAGAGGCTGAGGCTCCAAATGCTTTCATGCGTTGCCTTAGAACAATGTGCTAGTTAAGCTGCAAGACTTGAATTCTGACCAGCTTTGTCCAGCTCCAATAATCTTCCTTTCCTACACCATCTGCCAGAACAGCTACACACAGGGGATGAAGGGTGACCAGTTATTTAAAATATCAGAAATTAATAAATACACTACCTTTGCTTTATAAGTAAAACTTTTTTCCTGGTAGGAAAAAAAGATAACTCGGGAATATTAAGCACGCAAAAAACTTTTCTTCATCAGTTTGGTTCTTTTCAAATTAAAGAGATTTAGTGAACTTGCTGTTGGAGATGACAGTAAACAACTCAAAATACAAACACACCAATCAAACCTATAAGTATAGTCATAGTCGTTGATATTCAGAATCGCTGTTCCTTGTCTGGTTAATTAATACAATTTTAAATATTTCATATGAAAGAATTTTTTGGAAAAAAAATGAAATGAACTTAAGATTGACTGGAATTTACAAGCTCATTTAAAGAAAAGTCTCAGCTATTTTTTTCTTAAAAATGTAATACCTCCCCAGATGGCAGTCTTTGTAGTTTGTGGCACTGATTCAAAAGGCATATTAACTGCCACTCTACTAGCTGCATCAAGCATTTACAGGCCTCCCTACAGAATGGGTTCAGCAGTAATTAAAATAACACCCTTCCTCAGGGTGAAGTTACACTTGAAGACTTCGGGGATGTTTTTCTTTCCTTCCTTTGGGTAAATTCCTTCTCCCCGAAATATAAGAAAAAGATGAGAGTGGAGAGAGCTTCAGAGAAAGATGGGGAGAGAGGGAGAGAAGTTTAAAATAGTACACCAAAGCGTGTGTCACATAAACTATTTTAAAATGTTAGTATTTCTTCCATTCCCTAGCAGACATTGATAGACAAACAGGTTAAAAAAAAAGCAAGGGGGAAAAATATCATTTACTCACTGTAGCAGCAGGAAATCAAGGAAAGAAAATAAACAGGGCTTGAATTGTGGGCCTTTAACCTGCTAGTCAGACAGTTTCATTCTGTGTGTATTTGTGTGCTGGTAAATGGCGAAGGGGAGGTACAGGGACGGGAGGGCTGTGGGATTCTCGGGACTCCCACAGCTACCAGTCCAGCTGTACAAACACGCACAAGCTTTGTTAAGGTACGGTGGGCAACAAGCTCAAACTGCTGAGCTATCTGACCTATAAATCCCTCGCAAAAGCTCCACTTGAGGGGAAGCCAGAAGTTATGTGTCAATTTTTTATCCAGCCAGAAGCTAGCTATTGGTCACTTCCGTCTCCCCTGTCTTTTTCTCTCAATGGATCCTCTGCTCTGGCGGGCTACATTTTAAGTATGTGTAGATGCATAAATGGCTATCTTAAATTCTACTTCTCTCTAGGCTAAACAAGAAGGGGGATGACTCAGAAGCACCCCCCCCCCCCACCACTTCATGACACAGCTTAGAGCATATGTTCCAAAATTATGAGCCATAACTTTAGGCAGAGCAATGAAACTTTCTGTTATTCTTTTTATAAATTTCTTTTTCAAACTCAGTAAGCGCATCACTTTAAAATACCATAAATTTACAAATACAATTTTTTTAAACAACGCAAGCACAAGAGACTTGAGATATTCCCTTATATATGACACAACTTACTTTGCTCTGTTTTTAACTTTGCTTTTTTCCTGATTCAAAACAGATAATCTTAGCTTGGCATATTGTATCTTGAATGCAAACAAAGAAGAGGTTCTGAATTGCTAACTCCAAAGAGAACCTTCCTAAGATTTTTTTTCTCTTTTCTAAACATTTCTGAACTCTAAGTGACCTCCTTTTATGAAGCTTCCAAATGGCATCCAAACACCTTAAACATCGTGCAGTTACTAAACTGTATAGACTATTAAAAAGCTGAAGAAATTACATAAAACTATAACACGTGAAGCAGGCTTAATTTAAGTAGAAATGGCTTTTGTAATCATTCAGAAAGCTAGAGATGTCTCTATGTTTAAAATATTTAGAAGCCACTTTGGGCTTTCCAAAATCCTGAGGAAAAAATATAATCCACACTAAAAACAAAAGGCATGTACCCACAGAGAGATGTTTACTCTATGCACCTTCTGTTCTGATAACTTAGAGTTATGTGATTTGGGTAGCATTCAAACAATATTGAATATTGAGAGACATTAAGCAAAAGTTGCATTATACTGAAATAATATTTCATGTTAAAGATTTATTTCAATAATTGTCACTGAATTTCTACAACACACTGAGCACCAGACTAGGACTAAAAAGGGTGGTAAGTGATGAATCATTGCTCTTGCTATCTTATCAGAATGTGCACTCAGGGAAAGAAGATAAAACAAGCACAGCCATAACTACACCACACAACTAAAAGAGAGAAGTACACCAGAAAAGTAAAAACGCAGAACTATGGACGTACAGAAGTGGCAGGAAGGACTTCCAGAAAGAGGAAGTCAATGAAAATTATGCCTTGGACCTTTTCATCTTCTCAAAATATATCATATATATCACATGAAGGATGGATAACTTCCATCACATTAAAATAATGATAAAGAAATAGAGACGACTTGTGGCAAAAGAGTTTGTAAACATTCTCTGACAAGGAATTTGAAGGAAAGAGATTTTGTTTCAGTGAACCAAATCCTGGGAGATGCAGCCTCTAGTGTAAAAATGAAGGTGCACATTCTAGAAAACAAGGAGAGGGTTCAAGTTTTATAGCAAGAAACTCCTGCCTGGGTTGCCAATCAGATCTGTTTATGCAAATGAAAGATTGAATCTTCCTTAGTTCTGATTGGTCAGTGCAGCTGAGCCTTGATTGGCTGGGGCAAGTAAGAGCTGACTGGTTTGTTTCAAAGCCCCAAACCAGAAGTCTCTGTCTTATGTTTCTTTCAAAGGGCAGTGGTGGGTGTGCAAGAGGGCATGTGATGGCATGAAGCTGGGTGAGGTTCTGGCTTTCTGATCCAGGCCTGACAACAGGAACTGGTTTTGCTTGATTGTAGAAAAGAAGGTTTCATGATACTTTCACAACATCTTTCTGAGAACATAGAGTTACTGATGGCTCCCTCACCCAGCTATGGCTGCATAGTTCTGTTTCAACTTTAAGCACTTCTGTTAGCCGTGGGGAAGTCCATTTTGTCTGTTGGCCAGGAACACACTTCAGCAAGTTAAAGGCTAGAGTAAGTGACTTCCAATTGAAAAAGATAGCTCAGCTAGGATAACCAAAAAAGAAGTAGATTCCTGGTCCCTGACTTCCATTCAGAAGGCAATATCTGTTCATCTCTCTGATATAGATTCAGAGAACACAGTTTTATATGATCTCTTGGAACCCAGAAAAGTCTAGTAATGTCAGCATTGATTATGTGCTTTATCAAATTAAATTGATATAAAATAATACAACTTATCTCACCATCATTTCTCCCTAGTTCTAAAGGCCAGTTTTCCAAATGTTCTCTTGATATCTCTAATATTCTAGGAAATGACAAACAAACCCCAATATATGGCGGCTCTAACAATAAATAATGTATACAGCAATTCTCACATTTAAACAAATTTACAAGAAAAAAACAACCCCATCAAAAAGTGGGCGAAGGATATGAACAGACACTTCTCAAAAGAAGACATGTATGCAGCCAAAATACACATGAAAAAATGCTCATCATCACTGGCCATCAGAGAAATGCAAATCAAAACCACAATGAGATACCATCTCACACCAGTTAGAATGGCGATCATTAAAACGTCAGGAAACAACAGGTGCTGGAGAGGATGTGGAGAAATAGGAACACTTTTACACTGTTGGTGGGACTGTAAACTAGTTCAACCATTGTGGAAGTCAGTGTGGCGATTCCTCAGGGATCTAGAACTAGAAATACCATTTGACCCAGCAATCCCATTACTGGGTATATACCCAAAGGGTTATAAATCATGCTGCTATAAAGACACATGCACACCTATGTTTATTGCGGCACCATTCACAACAGCAAAGACTTGGAACCAACCCAAATGTCCAACAATGATAGACTGGATTAAGAAAATGTGGCACATATACACCATGGAATACTATGCAGCCATAAAAAATGATGAGTTCATGTCCTTTGCAGGGACATGGATGAAGCTGGAAACCATCATTCTCAGCAAACTATCGCAAGGACAAAAAACCAAACACCACATGTTCTCACTCATAGGTGGGAACTGAACAATGAGAATGCATGGACACAGGAAGGGGAACATCACACACCGGGGCCTGTTGTGGGGTGGGAGGAGGGGGCAGGGATAGCATTAGGAGATATACCTAATGTTAAATGACGAGTTAATGGGTGCAGCACGCCAACATGGCACATGTATACATATGTAAGAAACCTGCACGTTGTGCACATGTACCCTAAAACTTTAAGTATAATAAAAAAAGAAATTTTCAAACTAAAAAAAATAAATAAATAAAAAGTAAATGCAGATGATGTTTGGGATCACTATTCGTGGTGACCGTGGCCTGACTACAGTTACTATTGCTTCTTGCCTTATTTCTGTGAACTAAGAAACACGTAGGTAATAATACTGACCAGGACCAAGGTAAATTTAGAAAAAAAAAAAAATCATGGCACAAAGTCACAGAAAGTAAAGCTCTGACTGCTGTTACAGTGACTCTGAACTTTAGGTGTACACATAATAGTACATCACCTCACTCTGTCATCTTTTAGCGCACATAAAAGTTTGCCGCTTCAAAACCAAGTATATCACATACAGAATTTTATCTGACTTAAGCCACTTGGCAATTCAAATATAAAGAAAAAGGAACACTCTTAGCTAAACAGAAAGAAGGAAGGAACTAGATTTAAAAGAGAATAGATGTAGCTAAACTAACCATGATCTTCAGTGGAAAAACTACGACCGGAGATTTAGGACACTTAGTTGTTCCACTGAGTCCCTCTGTAATACACAGAAGTTACTCAATTGCTGTTTGCTTTGCTTTGTTCATTTGTAAACTAAAAAAAAAAGAAAAATTGTTTTCCCTCCCTACCTCATATGGATTTGAAAATATTTTTAAACCAATTGCAGTATAATTATTAACAAAATGCCTTAAGACAACAATACCTGAAACAATAATATAAAATGATAGAGCAAATTAAACAGTTATTAGTCATCCATTCATGATCAAATGTAATATTTTTTAAATTTTATAAAATGTATTATTTAGATTCACCAAATATGCCAAATACCAAAGACAAATTATAATTATTGCAAAATTTGTCTCATACTCATTTTTATTATTATTGCAACTTTTTAGTAAAATATTAATACAGTAAAGTGTATTAGAATTATTATTTAATGGCCTTAACATATTTACTTTGCTCATTTTTCTCAACTAATACACTGGACACAAAACAAATTTTCCATTGAACTCTAAGCTTCCATCTTCCTGTTGTATAAACTTAATAAGTGATGTTGTTTTGGATTGTTTAAAGTATTGGAGAGTAGAGATTAATATTTGAATACCATAACTGACAAGATACTCCATAACATCAATGAAAACATTTTCAATGCAAGATGATATATAGGCAATCGTTTTTAAAACTGCTGACCAACCAATATTTATGTCTTCATAAAGCATTTTAAAATGTAATATATTTCAGATGTCAGGAAATATTTTATATAACTTTATTTGGTTATTCTGAGTTTTGATATTAACCCACAGTAATTCTCATAATTTCACAATATAAGATTAATTATTCATCATGATTATCTCATATCCCATCATTATATGTATTTTCTTTGGCGTGTACACCTCCATACACATACACACACACACACACACACACACACACACACACAAAGATATTCAAATGGCAAGTAAAGATCCATGTACTAAATTATAGTTTATAAGGGAATTTGATATTTCTTGAGTGACCATGTGCCATTAAGTTGCAACACTAGACACCTCACACATCACTGAATTCTCCTCCAATCACGTGAAGTAGTATACTTACTCCCTGTTCATTCTACCGATCTACCAAACTAGTGGATATGCATTTATGCTAAGCATGTCCTTCTGGGGCCCTGCTGTAATCAGACCAGTTTTGCTTTTATTTATTTGTTTATGTGGGCATGCAAGATTTCATTTCAACAGATATTTTTCATGGCTAGCAAGAGTTAGAAAATTACAGAGACTCCCAAGCATCTGGGATTAGTCCTTTCCAATCCCATAGATTTATAATTGAGAAGTCAGGAAATCACCACTAGAAATTCATTATAGCCACCTGACTATTTTCAGAAGGAAGCAAATTATTGCTGAAGTTATGTATCCTTGATTTTGAGAATTTAACTTTGCTATGTGATCTACATATAACTTTATGGTAAGCAATGCAGTTAACATCCATGTTTCCAGGAGACCCTTTAACGTGTACTTTTGTGAACATAAACAATATCTGCAGTGTGAAAATGGGAAGGTAGAACAAAACAATTTCCTTTATAAATGTACTTGGCTTCCTCCCCCAAATCTGCAACTCCAGTCTAATCATAAGAAAATATCAGACAAACACAAACTGAGGAACATTTTGCAAAGTACCTAACCAGAACTCCTCAAAACTAGTAAGGTCATCAAAAACGAGGAAAGTGTGAGGAACTGTCACAGCCAAGTGGAGCCTAAGGAAACAGGACAAGTAATCGTAAGATGGTATCTTGGGTGGGACCCTTGGACAGTAAAACAACAACAGGTACAAACTAAGGAATTCTCAATAAATTATAGATTTCAGTTAATAAAAATGTATCAATATTGATTCATTAATTGTGACAAATGTCACAATATACTACAGAAGATACTAATAGGGTAAATTGTGTGGGATGGTATCTTTACTATCTTTGTAATTGTTCCATAAATCCAAAACTATTCTAGAATATAAAATTTTTTAAATGTGAAAAGTGTGCTTGGTGAAAAACATGTATTTTCAAAATTTTGAGTAATCTGGAGGCTGTAGAAGCTATGTACAGTTTTCATAAAGGAGGAGAAATATTTATGCTTAAAAGAGATTAACTGTAAATTACATTTTGTTTCTGAATCCTTTGCTGATGCTTCATTTCACCTGTGTTAACATAGGAGCAAAGGAGATATTACAAGTTTAAATTTGTAAATTAATTAACGGATTGAGTAAATTACCTGCATTTTATTAAAACACATTTTGCCATTGAGGAGCACCAACTTAAAAAAGTATTCCTCAAAATTGACATTTCTTTACAGAAAAGTAGTGGAACAAGAAATCTAAATATAACAATCCAAAGTTTTAGTGGTGCAAAGAAGAAGCTGTTATATACAAATAAAGTATTTTTTTCTAATATGTGCCTTCTGAAGTTGGTATGAGGGTAATAATACCATTATCTTTACCTAAAGTATAAACAGTAAATTATTTTCTGATCACACATTTATGGAATGCTCACACAATTGTACAGCACGGCTCACACATCCTTTAAAATGGCTATCTGGCACCAGAGATGGATGGGGGTGGGGATCTAAATATTCATAAAATGCCTCTAGAGAAGCAACCATTTTTTTCTTGGACCTGAGAGATGGAGTTTATCTATTCAGTACCCATAGTGGGAAGGTCACATTGTAAATTTGCTGTAGATCTGAAACTAAATTTACATCGCTGAACAGACTCAAACCTAGAAGAAGATATCACATCTCTTTTGGATCATCCTCTAGCCTTCATATAAGTTACGTCTAAAACATCAAGGTTAAAGAAACTTATTCTCTAAGGATTTCTATGATTGACAACTCACTCTTTCTTGGAGGATTTATCAACCTCAAAGCATTGCTTCCTTACATCTAACCAACATCTCTTTCAAGTCAAGCCTGCTTCACCCCTTATAGTTCTTTACTGACAGGGAGCAACGTGATTACCACTCCTCCATCTCAAAAAAAAAAAAGAAAGAAAAACTTATTTTAGGCCTTAGCGTGTAGCAACAGTTGTTAATGTTCAATTGCTAATTATAGCATAGATTAGACCACGCAAAGGTAGCACAGAACAGTGTAACATGAGTAACCTGTATGACAGCAGAGACATCATTACTATTATGGTGGCATTATTAACAGAGTTCTTCCTGTATTAGAAGATCATGCATTTCCCCACCTTAGGGACTTAACTCATCAATTTGGTGAAAGTTCTAAATCGTGACCTGACTAGCCTAGACTGAAGCAGCAGAGTTACTAATCTCTCCTCATAATAAGTGCAGAATCTCGAACCACTCATGTCACCTCTGCATTGTCAATAAGCAAAATAATAGTGAGCAATGGCAGATGGAGCTAAAAAGACATCTAAGATCTTGGTCTCCTTGAAAGAGAAAAAAAAGCCCATTCACAGATAGAGTGGTATGTGTGTGTTTGAGGTTGAAGTACTGAGAAAGGAGGAGCAAGGAGAATGAATGACAGATGTGAATATTTTGAAAAAGTAAACTGGATTATTTTTTAAAAATACAATAAGAAGTAACTACAAACTGTTATGATGGAAAGTAAAAAACTATCCATTCATCAAGAGTCAAACACACTTATTTTCTTTCAACCTCAAGAAAACACAGTACTTCTTTTTGTCTGCTCAGGCCCTTCTTAATCATCTTTAGCTACTCTCCTTAATGCAACTGTGTGCATCTACATGGGTAAGACTTTCCTATTTTAAATAAAAAGGAAACATCTGGATTGATGGAAATGACGAGCATGCTTTAGAAAGGTGCTGTTGAACAGCAGATAATAAAGTACTCATAGCCAAAAAAATATTAACATTGTTTCAAGGTCATGTTTTATATAAAAGATAATGCTTTCCTTTTGGAATTTTAGATGTTCCCAACCATTCACACTGTTTGAAGTGCTGAGAACCATCGACCCAACTCAGCTCGTAATCTCCTTCGACTTTGATGTTTCGCCATGACCAGGCTCCAGGAGTTGCTCAAACAAAAAGATGACATATCCTAATGACCTGTGTGTTTTTCTTAATGATAGACTCATAAAAAGATGCTGAAGGTAGAGTAAAAATATATGTGCTTACCTTTCTATATTCCTTCTCATGTGTACTTGTGCATAAGAACATAATTATGTCTGGTTTTGTGCCTCCGGCAGACGCTATTGTTTACTCACCCAGCAGGTACATCTCATCTCCTCCCTATTTGTTGAACTGCTCCAATTTTTTTCAGGTATGTTCTCTCTCATAAGCTTACAGGAAGTTACCCAGCCCCGAAGAGTGAATGCAGATTATTCTTTCTAAGCAATCATGGTCACTCCAGTCCCTTTCATGGTAATTAGTTTAGGGGTAGGCATGAGATGTAAGCAAGACCAATGAAGCATAAGAGAATTTACGGATTTGTGGGGAAGCTTTTCCTTCCTAAATACAAATTGTAAAATATAGCTTGCTCCTGCCTGGATGGCATCCAGCGGTACGTCAGAACCAACTTAGATACTGACTCGTGATGGTGCACATCTCTTCCCAGCTCCACGTTCAGAGACATCATGTTGGACCTGGGAATCGTTTGACCCTGGTGGGAAAATTTACAACATGAAAATCAGCAAATGCTGCAAATTAAAACGCTTTTTATTTTTATTTTCCAGATAAAAGGTGATTAAACATTTACCAGACCATCACTGAGTGGTCTCTGGAAGTGTGATGTTTGGCTCTAGTGACACCATCTCGTTACCAGGAATACAGACATTAGTGGCACACTGAGAGTGCAGATGGTGGAGGTGGGAGTGTGATGGTGATGAGAAATCCTGAGTTCTTTATAGCATTCTTCAGCTGCTTAACCAGCCCTGGAAGCACTTCACCTTCAGATCCTTTCTTATGTTAACTAATAGATCTACATTGTTTAAATATCTACTGCTCAATATCTTGTTACTTGACTTGAAGCTGAAAGTAGCATGTACAGTCTGTGAAAACAGACATAGAATGGACTCAATTTCTCCACTAAAGAAACTCTGAAATTATGTTTCATTTTATTAAAAGAGGTAAGAAAAGAGAGTATTTATTGCAAAGTATTTTCATTTGAAGCTTTAAATTTAAAAGGGGTGGGGGCATTAAGTGAAAACAATAGTGAAACTGCACCCACTATTTCTTTTCTAAGTTAGGAATATGATCACTAACATTTTCCTTAACTACATGATTAGGGATACATTTAGTATGTGTAAAACAAGATGTTCTGAGGGAAATATAAGAGTAATAGCCAGAGCAGCAGGGTGAGCACAGCTAACCACTGCAATAACACTAGACTAATCCTTCTTACCACACAGGGACTACCAGGACACAATCGCATCCAATTCAGACCAGAATTTTAGTGATGGGATTTCCATGAAGCTGGGATTCTGCCCTGAATATGTTATATTACGTCCTTCTGTTCCTCGGGCAGTGGGATGAGGACGGTGTGAAATGAGTTGTTCTGGTTTCATCTGAAACCAATTACCATGAGCGGACCCAAATTGCTAAGACTGCTGCCGAGCAGCCGCATCCCAAGTACAGCTGGGAATCAGCTGGGGAGTGCTGTCAAGAATTCTCCCTATCAATTGATTCCAGGCCAGTTTGTGATTGCCTTTCACCTCTCAAGCATCACTTTTCTGTTCTCCAAAAACTGTTCCAAATGGCAAGAATTTGCGAATAAAATTAAGTAAGGAGGGGGAAGGGAAAGAACGGGAGAGAGAAGACTCTGGAAGTAGGACCAATCAGGAAAGGAAGAACTTGGCATGAGACCGCAGTGAATTTATTTTACTGGTGAATACTCATGTATCTGGGATCAATTTTATAATGAATGTATTCTTTTTCTTCCCCCTGCCAAAACAACTCTTCTTCATAAAAGCAAAAACTTGTTGGTATTTAAATGAATTGTCTAAAAGCAATAATTATTGATTTATTAATTACAAATTTGGGTTTCTAATTTTCTCCCTTATTCTGATTATTTCTTAGTTTAAACAAAGGACCCCTGATTTCATAGAGAACTTGTTTCTACAGTACTCTGTGGCTTTCATGTAACAAGTATAGGTGAAATGTACAATTTATGAGTTTCCCAAAAGGCATTAAGGGACAGTCTTTTTAAGAAACAGTAGATTTTAACATACATTACAGGAAATAATATTTTCAAAAAACAAAACAAAAATGTTTTGTTCTTGTAATCAGCAAGAAAAGAATGAATGAGCTAACAAATGACTGATATTTCCCAGTGGTTTCCAAACTTTGCTGCACATGGGAATTATCTGGTGATTAGAAAATTTCTAATATTCTGATTTAATCATTATGGGCTTGAACTGGACACCAGGATTTTTAAAAGCTCCCTAGGAGATTAGGATGGACAACCAAGTTTGATCTTTATCAATAAGACAGCAATAGCAACAATAATCTTCATTTGCTGGAGAAAAGGTTGTCAATTTCATTATATTTAAT
Organism: Homo sapiens; assembly: GCF_000001405.40. Taxonomy (NCBI): domain Eukaryota; kingdom Metazoa; phylum Chordata; class Mammalia; order Primates; family Hominidae; genus Homo; species Homo sapiens. Next base: position 19,367,707 of record NC_000007.14, on the reverse strand, counting down.
ATTCCATACATGCCATAGGTATTCTTTTATTTCATAATGAAATTAATTTATATAAAGAAAATTTGAAAACATATTCTAAGCACTCAACTTAAGAATACTGAACACCAGGCCAGGCACGGTGGCTCGTGCCTGTAATACCAGCACGTTGGGAGGCTGAGGTGAGAGGATTGCTAGAGCCCAGGAGTTTGAGACCAGCCTGGGCGAGATAATGAGAAAAAGAAAAAAAATTAGCTAGAGGTGGTGGTGTGCACCTGTGGTCCTAGGTACTTGGAGACCTGAGGCAGGAAGATAGCACAAACCCAGGAGTCTGAGGCTGCAGTGAGCTACGATTGCATCACTGCACTCCAACCTGGGTTACAGAGTAAGACTGCATCTCTAAAAAAAAATCAAAATAAAAATTGAAGATAAATATGATCAACACAAAATAAATTTGAGAAAATTAAGATGAAAGCAGAAATTACTAAAATAAAAAACAAATGAAGACCTCAAAAAGAAGAGTTGATCAAAACTCAAACCTGTTTCTTTTAGAATGTTATTTTAAAGGCCTAGTTAAAATTCTTTAAGAAATAAAGGTAAGATAAATATTTTTAAGAAACATAAAAGAATCATCCAAATGAACACATTTGTCAATAAATTTGAACATTTAGTTATAAATATAAGTTTTTTTGGAAAAAATAAATTACAAAAAAAGACTCAACAATATAAACCACCTCATGTTAAAACCTTGGTTTCTAAGTACTATCTCACCTACTAAGAACTATGGTTTTGGGGAATAATTGCTGTTTCCAGGGATGTGGCTAGAAAAGTACAGGACAAGCCTAGCACATCTTGAAGTGCCACAGAATAAGAATGTTCCAGGAGTGAGAGGGACATGTCAAAAGGACCCAGGAGCCAGCTTACAGTGACTCCTACTCACCAAATCTAGGATGAGATCAAACTAGACAAAGGCAGCACTGGACAGTCATATTAAACTAATCTTACTGATGAAAGTGAATGGAAAAAATGTTAAACAAAACTTCAGCAAAAGATCTCAGCAACATTAAAAAATCATAATGATCATCTTCCACTCCTGCTCCTCCATTCCTAAAGAGCAGAGTGACCTTTTAAAAACAGAAGTCAGATCATGTCACTTTCCCTCTTCAAAACACTCCAAAGGCTTAACATGTCCCTTGGAGTAAAAGTCAGTTTTTACAATTTCCTACAAGCCCTCTCCTGATCTGCTCTCCTTCCCTTGACCTCTCTTATCTTTTCTTCTACTCCTTTCCTGTATACTATAACACTACCTGGCTTTCTAGTTGTTTCTTGGTCATTCTAGGCTTTTATGCTGTTAAGGTCAGATCTACTTTGAAACATTTTCTGCTATTAACTCATTTTAAAATTTCTGAGATAAATTGTATTTGTTAGACTCATTAATAATTGCTCTCTCACATTGTAGCTTCTCCCAAGAGCTTGCACTTAGTATTCAGAATCATGCTTTTGTTTCTGTTTTATTGATGTCTCTTTCTCCCTAGTAGACTGCAAGTTCACTATTTTATACTCAGTGGAGAATACAGTGTCTAGCAAGTAATACCAGTTCCTAAGTATTTGTTAATTTTTATCAATCATCACTAGCATAAAAGACTTGACCTTCATAAGACAAGAGCCAAAAGTCCTGAAGAAAAAATAGCATGTGCTGCAAAGGGAAATTGATGATATCAGAAATTTAAAGCTGAAGAGAAAAACCGAAATCTGAACTGAAAATAGGCAAAATTGCCTAAACAAATGGCAAAACATTAAACTTATATCATGTAGAACAAATAAGAAATTCTCTCAGAAAGCAAGAACAAAAAGACAGGATGCTATTTGGAGGGGCTGGGGATTTAGAGGGACAGGGATTGGATACCAAACTTTAGAATTATAGATATAGATATTTTTATTAGAGAAATTATAATCACACATATAAAAATTATTTTAGATAACTTAAGACAACATTTTTGGACTTAAATCAAATTTAAGCATAAGAGGGAAAAGTTTCACTATCTCCCAAACAACTACATCACAAAATCCTTGAATAGATATACCTTAGAATTTTTACATATCAAGAGCAAAGAAAGCATTCCCCAAGTGTTTTGGGAGAAAATAAAATAAGCAGAGAAAAATGCCAGAATAAGACAATGGAGGAAGAACATTTTAAAGATACGTGTTACATAGTAAAATCTTTAATTGGGTGCAGAGGAGGATGATCTGGTTAGAAAGGATACTTTTTTTTTTTTTGGCATATCTCTGCTTTAACACAACCATTTTGTGTTGACTTCTTTTTGACTCTACCCAAAATTGTTTTATTAGACTTCCCTCCAAATACCCTAGAAACCACTGGGTGCAGTAAATAGAAGGGGAATAGCATATTACCATAGCCATTCTTGTGCTAATGATATTCTAAATTGTCTTCAAATTTTGAGAGTTTTGTATACACAAATGAGTGACGAGTCACTCAGGAGATATTTAGTAAATGAAGGACCGAGGGGATTGAAGAAATATTTGTTTAGGGCTAGCTTAGGGAAATATTTGCCCGACCTGTATTGTTTACTCCTCTTCTGTCATCTCTTCTCCTGTTATTTGAAAGCATGCTTTTTTTCCTCGAAACACCACTCTTAAATGTCATTTCTGATTACACACAATCAAATATCTCTAACTACAGTATATTTGTTTTATCTTTCAGCAGGATAAATAAAAACTACCCCACAGGATCTCTAGTTCTGGTAATGCAACAGACTAACTCTCTAACAGCTGACAATGAGAAACCACACACGGACTAATGAAAATAAAACATTTTGAAGTCTCTGGTGTACAGTGAAAATCAGGTAGGGATCACAGAGGATTCACCCTTAAAAGTAAAGAATCTCCCCGGATGAGATCCACATATTTATGACCTTTCCCTTGTGGGAAAACTCTAGTCCTGTGGCACCGGTTGAATAGAACTCGAAAAGAAAGCAACAGTCTCTTGAGTCTGAGAAACCTGATGAGGTATAGAAATTGACTAAATGGAGGCACAAAGTGAATTCCTAGGGATTTGGAAATGTTCTATATTTTGAGTTGACCATTGGTTACATGCATGTCTCCATTTGTCAAGCTCATCAAATTGAACACTTTGGATATGTACATATCTTTCTACGTACAATTCTCTTGGGTTTTTTTTTGTTTAATGAAGGAGAGGCAAAAATATTTGTATTATACAAGCCAAGAGCATTTTTGCCTAAAGATTAAGGCAATCTGAAACCAGATGAAAATTAAGATGCAAAAATAATAGCCATATGTTATGAAGTTTATAACAAATGAAGAAGTAACATATATAAAAATAATAGCAAGAGAGTAAAATATGTAATTATTATAATGCTGTAAGATTCTTACCTTGTACACAAAGGGGTACAGGCCGTAATAAGATAGGCCGTAAGACAGGCCGTAATAAGATAGGAATGTATACTGCAACTCCTGCAATAACCACTATAAAACAATATAAAGAAAGATAGCTAAAAAGGTAATAAAAGAGATAGGATGGAATACATTTAGAATACATAGAAATTTAAAACACAGAACGGAGGCCCAAAGGGAAAAAATAGATGTGGGGCAACTACAATTCTTATACATTACTGGTGTAGACAGAAAATTGTCCAATCACATTGGAAAATAATTCATACATTTCTAATACAAAGTTGAACCCACATTTATCCCAAGTCACAGTAATTCGTCTGTCATAAGACATATCCCTATGTAATTACCCAAGAAAAATGAAAACATGTCCACAAAATTGCTTCTACAAGAATGTTCACAGTAGTTTTAATCATAATCTACAAAAACTGCAAACTATCCAAATTTCTGTAAAAGGAAAGTGGCTAAACAAATTGGTGTATTCATAAAATTGAATATTACTCATGAATAAAAAGATTAAACTGCTGATATATGCAACACTATGGCTGACTATCAATGACATTTTGTTGACCTCAAGCAGTCAGACACAAAAGAAGATGTGCTGTTTGATTTCATTTGTATAAATTTTTCGGTCTGCAGACTATTCTAGACAACTCTATATAAACTATAGCAATGGAAATCACAAGTTACCCTGGGGAAATGTAGATAAATTGGAAAGTGTCTCTGGGAACTTAGTGTAATGGAAAAGTCTTACATGTTTAATTGGTCACAAAGATGCATTCATTTGTCAAAACTCTTCAAACTTTATACCAAGTCTGCTCATTTTGTTATGTACCTTAATAAAAAAGAAACAAAAGCACACTGTACCTTACTGTTTCGACTTTTTCTATTGAAATATTCCATTTACATACACTGTCTACATTACATATTGTTCCATGATAAGTCATCCTTAAAGAAGAAATTTAATTGTTCAATAAGTAAGTAATGTGTTCTCATCCAAGAAACCCTTTTTGTAGAAAGGGACATGGTAAATTTTTGTACATTGTACTTCACATTTAAAACAGACCAGAACATTTGTATAATTTTTGGTCTTTATTTGGATACTTTTAAGTGAATATTATTTCACTGATATGTTAATATATGCCTGATTAAATTAAAATCTCAGGGCAAGGAGGGGTGACTACAGTCATACTCAGAAGTAATTAACATCATTTTTTTAAGGGTCCTACAATGCATATATATCCCTCAATGCTCTGAAAGTAGCAAAACCCAACACTGGCTTACTTAAGCAGAAAAGAAATGTGTTTAAAAAATGTGTGTTCAATCACAGGATCTCTGTGCTAGTTTCTGTCCTCCAAGAAGGAGACACCAGGATTAAAAGTTCAAGTATTTCATTAGGGAAAATATCCCTTTAAATAAAATAGGAAGGGATCTGGGTCAGCTTGGAGAGCCATCAGACCTTGCAGCAATTCCATGCCTGTGAAGGACAGAAGGGGAAAGATCAAATGGGGGATTCTGAATACAGGCTAAAGAAAGCTTGGGCCAACAGACGACCCATTGTTGCTGAGTTCAGTCACTGATTCGATGCAGCCTTTTTGGAAAGCAAGGACAAATTCAGTAATGAATTCAGAGCATATCAGCTATACCCTTGCTCAGTTAAGCTTTTAATAGTTGGAGGTCTGTGAGAAACATTCTCATGGCCACCACAAGCACCAAGCACCAAGTGGACTAACAAACAAGTGTCAGAGTTATAAAACCAGGAATAACTCTCAAAATTATATTTCAGAACTGTCTAGTGAAGACCCGATCAAGTCACCTCTTAGGATGGCATAAGGCAGCTTGCATTACTAATAATGGACAGTACTAGATTTTAGATGCCACCATTAGCAGCACAGACATTGATTCGCTAGGAACTGAATCTTTCTGCAACCTCCAACAGAAAGGAGTTCTGGCACTCCTTGCATCACCAACTCCTGATTTGATGTCTGTGCCAAGTGAGTCAGAAAAGTTGAAGTCTAAGTCATTGGTCCACACCCTACCTAGCATGACATCTGGGAAATCAAGTGTCAGACATCTGGTGAGAGGCATTGCATCTTACCAAAACTCAAAGATGAGAAATATTTGAAAGATAGGTGCCAGGCAGACAAAAGAATGACAAATATCCACAGCAATATGCCACTAAGAAGAGATGAAAATAGTATTTCCAAAATTGTCAGTTATAGGTATACTGTTCAACATTTCTTTATTTCTGAAAATTCTAAATGATCTCTATCCATCATTTGTTAGGTCAAGGTAGTTACTGACGCTAACGTATTTTTTTAAGAGAAATTCTTGGGAAGAATGGACGTATAGCATATGTCTAAAGAGGATTAGAAGGCAACACATTTGTCAAACATCTGGAATTTTCATTGAAAAATCTTTCTGACATGAATATTTTGACTATACCTGTAACCCTAATAATGCCAAAAGAAAATTCCCAGGTGTCAAATATTTCCTAACTTTGCTGACTAAAGGTTACTTGTTAGACTCTATAGCTTTAAGGACTTAATTTTAAAAGCTGCATATAGTTTTGCTCAAGGGCTATTTCCACAGCCATTTGATTAAGCACAACTTAAAAATTTCAGGAAATATATTTGAATGCACTGATTGAACAAGCCACAATGCTTGTACTTATAAAATTAGACATAATTTTTTTTACCCCTGAACTTTAAAGTTGCCTTCTCATTCAACTCCTTCCACCTTATTCATTATTTATATTTTTGACATTAGAAAATAATGCCAATGTTGCTAAACTACAAGAACATTTTCAACTATAACCCGTACTATAAATGGGTTTTCAAATGTAACTACTATATACACACAATGCAGATAACAGGCAGAGAGTGCAGGAAGAAAAAATATCTTCTAGAAATGCAACAAAATATTTCCTAGCCATAATTAATTAATGTAACAAATGTAGAGTGACTCATATACTACATTTTTGAATCCTAAGTGTAAGAAAAGTATAAAAAATACTAATGGATAATTTCACAAAATCTGCTATATTTTTTGAAAACATAGTACAACTACAAGAAAATTATTAAAATTTAGGTGTAATATTTCTAGTTTTGGAAAACTATAATCATTTTATAATTGTATGATATGCTAAATAAATTAAATTTATAATATTTATCTTCTTGTTTTGTTTTCACAACAGGTATATTTTAAGACATGAAAACAACTAAATATTTGGCAAGTCTCAGTTTAATATATAGAGAATTTCTTCTATAGAGTTGAGTGTTCATAATAAGCTACACTAAAAATATTTTTGAAGTACAAAATAAGTTTAATGTGGCTTATTAATATAAGTTCAATTATAATTTATTAAGTTCAATAGTAACTTTAACATATAATTTTTTATTTAAGCCGTAAAAGAATATGTTTAATCATCTTTTAATTTTAAACAACAGAATCATATATGATAATCAAATCTAGGTCAGGCCTTATATCTATTTAATTAGCATCATGAGTTTTAGAGTGAGTTAATTAGAACTCCAGAGATACAACTTATCAATAAGAAACCAAACACCAGGCAGGAAACAGAAGTTGTCCAAAGTCATACCACTCACTAGTGGTGGATATTACAGAATTTTGTATATTTTAACTACTATGCCATTGTTGTTTTTATTGTACTACATTGGTTTTCTGATCATATTAATTCGATGGTTGTTTTATAGTTTTTAGATATTTTCCTTTACATAGCACAGGAGTTATATAAACACAAACATAAAAAAGTTCAAATAGAAAACCAAACACTGCACGTTCTCACTCATAAGAAGGAGATGAACAATGAGAACACATGGACAGAGGGAGGGGAACAACACACACCATGACAGTCGGGGCAGGGGAGGGGGATAGGGGTGAGGGGAGGGAGAGCATTAGGACAAATAACTAATGCATGCGGGACTTAAAACCTAGATGACAGGTTGATGGGTGCAGCAAACCACCATGGCACACATATACCTATGGAACAAACCTACACGTTCTGCACTTGTATCCCAGAACTTACAGTAAAACAAAATTTAAAAATGTTCAAATAAACTCTTACGTTTTAATTCTCTAGACTATGTAAACCAGTACTTTTAAAATGTATTTTATCTCTAACATTATTTTGCATATATTTTAGCTACCTAACAGATTACGTACTACCATGCTTGGCATATATGCCTAAGATTTTGTGTTGAATAAGCATAAAATGACCTTCTACATATAGCGGATATTTGAGGAAACCATGGCATTCTCTTACCTATTCAGCAATATCTCCGTTTTCTCTGCCCTTCCTTGATACCAGAAATTTGGTTATATTCAGAGCAGTAATATACGAAGCCCCTAGCAATGAATTATGATTAATCCAAACTAAGCATGATAATCCTGCTTCCCATTGTCAGACACAAGATATTTCTTTTCTTACAGCTACAACTGATCATGTGACTCAGTTCTAGCTCACCGACATAAGGAAAAGTTCAGTAGGGATATTTCTTGGAAATCTTTAGCTTGCCTACTAAAGGAGATGGGTATGTTTGGGGCAACATGGCTCTCCTTTTTTATATTCTAAATACGGTCATGATTTCTACAGTTGGAGCAGCCATCTTGCCATCATAAGGAAAAGACCAAGAAAATTGTGGAGATACCTCTCCTGATGTCGTTGCACATAGTAACCATTATCACAGCTCTTGTTTTTTTTTTTACCAGAATTCTTTATTATTATTGTTGTTATTATACTTTAAGCTCTAGGTTACATGTGCACAACGTGCAGGTTTGTTACAGAGGTATACATGTGCCAGGTTGGTGTGCTGCACCCATTGACTTGTCATTTACATTAGGTACATCTCATAATGCTATCCCTCCCCCTTCCCCCAACCCCATGGCAGGCCCCAGTGTGTGATGTTCCCCACCCTGGGTCCAAGTGTTCTCACTGTTCAATTCCCACCTGTGAGTAAGAACATGCAGTGTTTGGTTTTCTGTCCTTGTGATAGTTTGCTCAGAATGATGGTTTCCAACTTCATCCATGTCCCTACAAAGGACATGAACTCATCCTTTTTTAAGGCTGCATAGTATTCCATGATGTATATGTGCCACATTTTCTTAATCCAGTCTATCACTGTTGGACATATGGGTTGGTTCCAAGTCTTTGCTATTGTGAATAGTGCCACAATAAACACAAGTGTGCATGTGTCTTTATAGCAGCATGATTTATAATCCTTTGGGTATATACCCAGTAATGGGATGGCTGGGTCAAATGGTATTTCTAGTTCTAGATCCTTGAGGAATCGCCACACTGTCTTCCACAATGGTTGAACTAGTTTACAGTTCCACCAACAGTGTAAAGGTGCTCCTATTTCTCCACATCCTCTCCAGCACCTGTTGTTTCCTGGCGTTTTAATGATCGCCATTCTAACTGGTGTGAGATGGTATCTCATTGTGGTTTTGATTTGCATTTCTCTGATGGCCAGTAATGATGAGCATTTTTTCATGTATCACAGCTCTTATTTTCAGATATAATTGCTACATGAAAAAAATATATAAGCATAAATTCTCTTTTAAGTCACCTTAAGTCAGGATTTCTGACTTTCATCTGAATGTGTTCCTAAGTTATACATGCAAATGTAAGCATTGTTGTAACTGCAACGAAAATATTATTATCATTTAGGGATGTTTGCTGATATGTTGTTTCCACCCACTAGTAAATGTTTGTTTTAGTCTGTTTTCTGTTTATAACAGAATACCTGAACTTGGATAATTTGTAAAGAAAATAAATTTATTTCTTACATTCATAAAGGCTGAGAAGTCCAAGGTGGAGGGATCACATCTAGTGAGAGACTTCTGGCTGGTGGGGACTCTCTGAAGAGTCCTGAAGTGGCACAGAGTACCGCGTGGCAAGGCATCTGAGTATGCCAGAATGCATGATTAGGTCTTTCCTTCTCTGTTTATAAAGACACCACTTTCACACTTTGGGAGGCCAAGTTGGGCAGATCACGAGGTCAGGAGATCAAGACCATCCTGGCTAACACGGTGAAACCCCGTCTCTACTAAAAGTACAAAAAATTAGCCGGGCGTGGTGGCAGGCGCCTGCAGTCCCAGCTACTTGGGAGGCTGAGGCAGGAGAATGGCGTGAACCCGGGAGGCGGAGCTTGCAGTGAGCTGAGATCGTGCCACTGCACTTCAACTTGGGCGACAGAGCAAGACTCCATCTCAAAAAAAAAAAAAAAAAAGAAAGACACCAGTTTCACTCCCGTGAACACCCACTATTCCATTAATCCATGAATGGATGAATCCATTCACGAGAGTGGAGACTTTATAATCCCATCACCTCGTAAAGGCCCCAATTTCAATACTGCCACATTGGGGATTAAGTTTTCAACACATGAAATTGGTGAACACTATCAAACCCTAATAATATTTAATATTCAATGAATTTTATAAAAAATTTCTTTGATCTGTGTTATGCTGTCACAACTAGAAGCACTATAACATAACCAAATCTCTACTTACCTTATATCAGATAGATAAACCAAGTAGAAGTTATTATGGTTATGATTATTGTCAATTCTGTGTATGCTATAATGATTATTCTTTTTCTGAAATTGTGGAGTGGAAGCATTGATCACACTACTTAGCAATTGCTGACTTTGTTGCTGCATGCCAAATACTATTCAATTTGGCCTTTTAAACTTCTTTAGTTTCTAAAGTAAGACTGTAAGCATTGAGATTATATCAATTCAGAGATCCACCATTCAGTAAAACTTCTCACCCTGTTGCAAGGCATGATTAATTACCAAATATTTTCTTCACAGAACCCAGAGGCCTCCTGATTGGTACATACTGTTTTCCTAGGAGGACATTCCTTATATGAGGTCCTCTTTTACAAGTGGGTTGCTCTCAGGACATTCTAAGTACAAGAAATTTATCCATTACACTGTATTTCAGCTCAACTAACACATAGCGCTCAGCTCTAGTGACATCTGCACAGCCTTAGTCCCAAAACAGCACCCTCCCTGACGGAGTGAGGAGGAGTTTACAAAGCCCTTGTCTCTTCTGCTTTTGTTTCTTAATCATTGTTCTCAATCTGACCTCTGTTGAAAACCTCTCATTTTTGAGTAGAATAAAATTTAATTTCTCTTACTCTATCATTTTGTTTGGATGTTTAGGATACTCTTCAGTTCCAAGTTCATTTGTACTTAGGATATCTCTACCTTTAATTTTCAAACCCTGTACCTAGGGTACACTCCATGTAATCTCAGCTCACGGAATCAAGAATAAATAAATACCCAGGCTATTTTTCTCTTTGAATGAAAAGAAAGCCAAGAATTTTCTCTAAGACTAGCCACAGACATTAATTCCAAAAGAAAAATAGCTGAATTTTCCTAAACAGGCTATTATGAAAATGCCACCTGACATGGGGGATAAAGATTTATGGTAAATATTATCTAAACTGGATTGAACAACTTAAAAAAAATCCTCTACTAGATTACAGTGTAATTATGTTTCTAACGCAAATGTACTGGATTAATCTTCACTACATTTATACACATATAAAGTACTTAATAAATACCTTTTGATATTAGGAGTTAAGGAATTTTACAACTAAGTAATAATTTTCTGTACTTTATTTATTAACTTATTACTGCTGTGATGTAATCAGTACTAAAAATATTGACCCTCTACTAAATATCTCTGGTTGTTTCAGTACTTACATAGGGTGCATAGCACTGCCAAATAATTTTTAAAGCTGATTCAATTTAAAAAAAATGGCTGGGTGAGGTGGCTCATGCCTGTAATCCCAGCACCTTGGGAGGCCGAGGTGGGTGGATTACCTGAGGTTGGGAGTTTGAGACCAACCTGACCAACATGGAGAAACCCTGTCTCTACTAAAAATACAAAATTAGCCGGGGGTGGTCGCACATGCCTGTAATCCCAGCTACTCAGGAGGCCGAGGCAGGAGAATCACTTGAACTGGGGAGGCAGAGGTTGCAGTGAGCTGATATTGCGCCATTGCACTCCAGCCTGGGCAACAAGAGTGAAACTCTGTCTCAAAAAAATATATACATATATTTTTTTTCTGAAAGGGGGGATAAGTGTACTTTTGGAGGTGATGGAACTGTTTACTAGCTTGATTATGGTGATGGTTTCACGGGTGTATGCATGTGCCCAAACTTATCAAATTGCATACATTAAATATATATAGGATTTTATGTCAATTATACTTTAATGAAGCTATTTTTAAAAAGAAAAAGTAGTTCTTTTTCAAATGCCAACAATGTTTTATTTCAGTTTACACAAAATCATTCACTACTAGTGTTACAACATTAGTTACCTCCTTGGGATCCTATGAAGATTCTTTGCCAGCTTATGAAAACCTGAGGTGCTAGAAGAGTGGTTTTTAAAGCCAAACTTGACAGAAATTTAATTTGTGGCATACCAAATGTAGCGATTTTCCATTCCTCTTAGAAAAGTCAAAGGGTGATGTAGCCATATGGGTTACAAATATATCAGCAGGCTAAATCTATTCCTGGAGCTCATTCATCATTATAACACCCCTTTGACATGGGAGGGTGACAAGGATTATTGTTCTTATTTTAAATAGGATTGAAAAGTCCTTGACTAAATCCTGGTTTGAGAGTGAAAAGCAATTGGACTAGACTCTTATCCATGATTTTACCTGAATGCAGATCTCTAAATATTAAGGTAAACATCCTTTGCTACTAAAACTCATACTTTCTAGATTATATATAAAGCCTATTCTCATTCAAAAAATTCTAAATAATTAATGCACTATGAAAGGTTATGTATGCCTTTTTTAATTTTACTATCATTTTCAAAAAATTAGATATGAAATAGTATAATGAAACCATATAATTAAAACTGAGATTTAATCATTAATAAATACTATGCCATATTTGCTTCATCAATCTAATTGATATTTTTTGCTTACATGTTTTAATTACATTTATCATGACATTTTATCTTTAAATATTAAGGTACATATATTTAGAAAGTAAGCTATGTTTCTATATGACTGTGACACTTGTATAGATTGGAATTCTCCAGAGAAACCAGGACAATGGGATATATATATACATACACAGAAAAAGACTGATTATGAGAAACTGGCTCACTATTATGAAGGCTGAGAAGTTCCACAATCTGGTATCTACAAGCTGGAGGCCCAGGAAAGCCAGTGGTGAAGTTCCATTCAATCCCCAAGGCCTGAGAAGCAGGTGAGCCAATAGTGTTAAGTCCCAGTGATATAGTTTGGTGTCCCCACCCAAATCTCATGTTGAATTGTAATCCCCAATGTTGGAGGAGGGGCCTGGTGGGAAGTGATTGAATCATGGGGCAGAATTCCCCTTTGCTGTTCTCGTGACAGTGAGTTCTTACAAGATCTGGTTGTTTGTAGTGTGTAGCACCGCCCCTTTCACTGTCTTCCTCCTGCTGTGGCCTTGTAAAGCATGTCTCCTTCCTCTTCACCTTGCACCATGTTTATAAGTTTCATGAGGCCTCCCCAGCCATGCTTCCCATACAGCCTGTGAAACCAAGAGCCAATTAAGCCTCTTTTCTTTATAAATTACTCAGTCTCAGGTAATTCTTTATAGCAATGTGAGAATAGACTAATGCACCCAGACAGAGTCCAAAGGCCTGAGAAATGGAGTTCAAAGGGGCCTGAGAACCAAGAGAACTAATGTCCAAGGACAGGAGAAGACGGATGGCACAGCTCAAGCAGATAGAGCAAATTTGACCTTTCTCCACCTTTTTGTTCTATTCAAGCCCTCAAGGAATTGAGTGACGGCCACCTCCATTGGTAAGGGTGATCTTCCTCACTTAGTTTACACATTCAAATGCTAATATCTTCTGGAATTACCCTCACAGAAACAGAATGTTTTATCAGCTATCCCTTAGCCCAGTCGAGACATAAACTTAATTATCACAACATCTTTATCAAATGTGACAAAATAATAATTTTTAAATATAGTCCTCCCTTACCCATAGGAGATATGTTCTAAGACCTCCAGTGGATGCCTGAAACCAAAGAAGGTAGCAAACCCCATATATACTATGTGTTTTCCTATAAGTACATACATACTTATGTTTAACGTATAAATTAGACACAGTAAGGATTAACAATAATTAACAAAACAGAATTAGAACAATATATTGTAATAAGTTATGGGAATGTGCCCTCTCTCCCTCTCTCAAAATATCTTATTGTACTGTACTTACACTGCTTCTTGTGATGATGTGAGATGATACAATGCCTATCCGATGATATGAAGTGAGGTAAGTGACGTAGTGATGTAGTGTTAGGCTACTACTGACCTTCTGTGTTCCTGAATCTTAGTAACCACCCCTTATGTGAAATAAATCGCTCTGTGTCACTTGTTTCAGGAGATCCCATTGCTAAAGTCTTCCTTTATATAGGATCGATGCTTTCTGGCTCAACACAGTGCCATCAATCAAACATCATTTCTATTCATGTCTTCTACCAACAAATGTAATACCTTTTCCATCTTAACTAAGCACTGATCAAGCACTGTGGCTTCGCCTTTGGAGTCTGAGGTACAACAGCAAAACTAGCATGAATTTCTCCTTCTGCACAATTTCATAGATAGAAAGTTAATTCTTACCTTAGAACTTAGCATCCTCAGCATATGATGTTTTTTCTCTTCTTAATCAGTGCAAAACTTTCACATTTTGACTTAAAGGAAGCATTTTATGGCTTCTCTTTAGCATATCCAAATTGCCAGCATCACTACTCTTGTACTTTGGAGCCATTATGAAGTAACATAAGCATTATTGAACACAAGCACTGAGATACTGCGACAGTTGATCAATAACTGAGAGGACTTATAAGTGACTCAGGGGCATGTGGCATAGAGGGCATGGATTTTCTGGAGAAAGGGGTGATTCATGTCCAGAGCAGGACAAAGTGAGACGCCACAAGATTTCATCAAGCTACTCACAATGGCATGCAACTTAAAACATGAATTGTTTATTTCTCAAATTTTTCATTTAATGTTTTTGGACAATAGTTGATGGCTAGTAACTGAAACTTCAGAAAGCAAAACCAAGGATAAAGGGGAACATCTTTATTGTCTAATATCCAGTACATATTTAAATTTCTGCAATGGCTCCAGAGTTATGTCTTACAGCTAGTTTATTCAAACCAGGATTCATTCAAGGAATATATATTTCATCTGGTTGTTTTGTCTCTAAAATCTTTTTTAATTTGCTAAAGTTTCCCTTCCTCAACTTGTCTTTTATTCAATATATCAGCTTATTGAAAAGACTGGGACTTGTAGGTGGTCTCATTTTCTGTTTTTTTTTTTTTTCTTTTTTAATTGGTTGCTTATTCTGTTGTTTGACTTGTTCCTCTATACCCTGTATTTTCTGTAAACTGGTCCAAAGAAATGACAGGTTTAACATTTTTGGCAAGTGTACTTCTTTAGTGACGCTGGAAAGCCCCTATTTATAATGGAAAAATAGTAGAATAAACCTAAGGTTTCAATTTGTTTTTGCAAGGATAATATAATCGTTTCTGAGTTTATGGCAACTAATGGCTTCAAATGCTAGGAACTTTGGAAGATTTTCTTATTCATTAGGTGACAATCTGGATCAACTGCTAGGCAGTTAAAGGTCTTCAAGAGCTATAATATGGAATAAACTTTGCAAAAATTCTGATGTCAAGAGGTTTCCACTTCAGTTAATAAAATTAAAAGGATCAAAAGGGGCTCTGAGAAATCTACAAACCAGACTGGAAAACATGTTTCTACTCTGGATGACACACACTCAATGGAAGCTTCATCACTAAGAAACATATTCTCAACAGAAAAAAAGACATCTCCTTAGTTTGGATTCGTTTGGGAATTTCTCCTTGGTAAGGATATAGATACTTAAAGCAACAGAAAGGTAACCTCAGCCTCCTCTCCTTCCAGTTGTGTACCTGTTCCTGAAATTATGGTTGTCACTGGTCTTTGTTGCTAGAAAATACTGTTTTAGTTGATTTGAAAAGGTGTAAGGAATTTTTCTCATTTTTAATTTTTGAATTGGGATCAAATACATATAAAAGGAAAGCCTTGGTAATTTTACTCTCTTGAGTGGATAACAGAAGCAACTATGAATATGCAAAGCAGAGTACAGACACAGTAGGAAGGGGTATTGCTGTTTCTCTAAGCTACAAGTAACATTCTTCTATTCTTGATTCTTAGAGTTTAGTTCACACTATAGTTTGCTACTATGTTGGGGCAGAATTAATGAAATATTTATAAAGTCAAGGACTCACCCTTGAGGAATGGCTAAGCTCTGTTGAGCATTTTATTTCTTCCAGACCACACAAGACTCCATTTTAATCATGCTCCTCAGATGTTCTTTAGATCATTTCTACCACTGCATTTTTAAACTAACATCTATGCAGAGTTTATTTATTGCTGTTTCCAATTCCTCCCTCAAGGTATTAACATAATGATGACGTCTGCCTTAAAACTTGTTTCATCATTTTGTTTTAAAAATAGAGATGGGCTTATGCAAAATTGCTAAGTACTTAGATTTAAGTTATTATGAATTTCCGTTTTATACGGAGTCTGTACACACATCTGCCATACAGATACAAGTTTAAGAACTTCAATATCAATCTCCAAAATCCTTTTCA
Source organism: Homo sapiens (assembly GCF_000001405.40). Classification (NCBI taxonomy): domain Eukaryota; kingdom Metazoa; phylum Chordata; class Mammalia; order Primates; family Hominidae; genus Homo; species Homo sapiens. The sequence goes on along the minus strand of NC_000007.14, from coordinate 19,351,620 downwards.
TTTGGCCAGGACCTTCTGCTTTCCTCATTTTAATTCTTACTTGACAGTTAGAGGTGGTTTCCTAGTTATCATAGACCCAGCTTGGTGGGTAACTTGTGGTATTGCAATGGTAACTACATATTAAACCACGCTTTATCTATGCAGTGTTATACTAAATAGTTAGAGGAAAATTATCCAGTAATTTTTTAAAAGTTAGCTATACAAATAAAAACATAATTGTTCCATTGTATTCAACTATTTACTTGAAAAAATATCCATTCAATGTAACAAACTTTAAGAGATTGATTTATTCGGGAATGTTGGCATGAACTATTGCTACATAAATTCTTTAGACAAATTTTATATTAAAATTGGAGTTTCAGCTAAATTTATCAATCATTTTAAAAAACACTTTTTTTAGTACCTAGTACTGTGCCAGGTCTATAGCAAAAATTCTTAAACTCTAGAATTTGTATGAACACTTGCTAAGGAAGAAAATTTCCAAACACATCCCTAGCCTCTGTTTCAGAAGCTCTAAGGTAGATCCAAACATCTGCATTTCAAACATTCTAGTTGTTTCTGATACAGATGGTCAGTGTTACATGCTATGAAAAGCACAGGTCTATATGGAACAAGGATTTTAAATGAAAAATATAAGAAAATCAAAAGAAATATAAGTCAGGTAAACGTTCAACACAAAAGAACTATGGGATATGCCATTTAAGTGGTATAAAATGTTTCACGAGATATTCCAATTGAATAGATTCTATCCAATTCCATGTTACATAAAACAAATAATTTAATAAGTATTTATTATGATGAATAAATATCTAAAGACCTTCAAAACTGAATTACAGTTGACCCTTGAACAACAGGGGTTTGCACTGCATGTGTCCACTTATACAGATTTTTTTTCAACCAAACGTTATACATGAGAATACAACATTTGAAGGATATAGCCTACCTACATGGAGGGCTGACCTTTCCTATTCATGTGCTATGCAGAGCTGACTGCAGAGCCTGAGTATGTGTGGATTTTGGTATACATGAGGGGGTTGAGGAACCAATCCTCCATGTATAACATCTTTTAACATTTTTATTTATTTATTTTTATTTTTATGGTTTTTTTGAGACGAAGTCTTACTCTCTCACCCAGGCTGGAGTGCAGTGGCATGATCTCGGCTCACTGCTACCTCGGCCTCTTGGGTTCAAGAGATTCTCCTGCCTCAGCCTCCAAAGTAGCTGGGACTACAGGCACGTGCCACCACACCTGGCTAATTTTTGTATTTTTAGTAGAGATGGGGTTTCACCACGTTGGCCAGGCTGGTGTTGAACTCCTGACCTCAAGTGATTTGCCCTCCTTGGCCTCCCAAAGTGGTGGGATTACAGGAATGAGCCACCATATCCGGCCTTAAAATTTTAGAATAGTGTTTGTATGACTCTTCACCTCTGAAATAAAATTTCAGTTTGAAGTACATCATATTCAAGCCAACTTAGAAACATTATAAGAACACTATTTTCCACCATATTTCCTTCAACTAATTACTTTCATCACACTTGAAATTTCATCTAGTACTCTACATTTTGGCCTGCAAAATAAAATTTTTATACACTGGACCTAAAGGATTTAATCTATTTTTGCCAGAATAATTACAACTAGTCTTATTCCAATTTATGGCTTTTCCTCTCCCCTTTATTATATACATCTGCATAAAAAACTACTTCAAACTTAGTGACTTAAATCAAAAACACTTTCTTCACTCATAATACTGTGGGTTGTCTAAGCTGCCTCTGTTGTTTGCTAGGGATCTACTCAAGTTGTTGGCTGAAGACTGGATAGTCAAGGAAGGCCTCAGATGGCAGTCTGGAGATTGGCGAGAGGGAAAGCGACAACTTCAACTCGTGTGACCTATGTTAACCAGGTATATACAGAAAGTGGTGTTCTGGGAAAGTATACTTCAGCATAGCCCAGCTGACACTTTACAAAGTAGCATAATGCAACAAAGCCATTGAAATACCAGACAATGGGGCCGGTCATGGTGGCTCACGCGTGTAATCCCAGCACTTTGGAAGGCCAATGTGGACAGATCACATGAGGTCGGGAGTTTGAGACCAGCCTGACCAACATGGAGAAACCCTGTCTCTACTAAAAATACAAAAATTAGCTGGGCATGGTGGCACATGCCTATAATCCCAGCTACTCGGGAGGCTGAGGCAGGAGAATCGCTTGAACCCAGGAGGCAGAGGTTGCAGTGAGCCGAGGTTGCGGTGAGCCTAGATCGCGCCTTGCACCATTGCACTCCAGCCTGTCAACAAGAGCAAAACTCCGTCTCAAAAAAAAAAAGAAAGAAAGAAAGAAAAAAGAAATACCAGACAATGTTAAACATGCACATCCCAGCAATTAGAAATTTGGAGTCCTAACTCAAAAGGATCATGAATCCTAATTATTAAATGCACACAAGTTTTATATACTGAGGGCGTAGCCTCTAAACTGAGGTTATAATCTGGTAGATGTTAGTGTTCTTTTCTATTAAGATCTGCACTTATTATAAAAATTACTGTCACCTCCTTAAAATTTAGTAAAAATATGTTATCTGTGGATAAATGAATGGGCGAATGAGATCTAGAAGTACAGACAGAAGATGAGCTGAGAGAGAATGAGAAAATGGGAGGCCAAGGCAGGGAAATATAAAACATACTACTTACTTATTATCTGGATATGTTTTAATATGTAATATTATTTTTAATCTTAAAAGAAGGTGCTAAAATATCACACGTTATTTTTCTGCATAATCAAAATTTAAGCTCTTTACATTGGGTGTTTTCTCTGTCTTCTATTGACTCTAACCTGGCACATCTTGAAGATTACCATGTTTGATTTCTTCACTTACATAAGTGTGGTGCCTTACACAGTGCCTGGTCCATATTAATGACATAACTCATGAACAAATAAACTCCTTTTTGAAGGTTTTTTTTTTTTTAGAAAACATGGAATTCCTATATAGGAATGAGTGCAAGCAATAGCATTTGCAAAGGAAAAAACAATGAAAGGTTTTGGATAGTTTACAGCAAGAATTAAATCCCCACTTGTTCTTGTCCATATCATTTTACTTTGTTAAATTATTTTCCTTTCTAGTAATTGTCATTTGACCATTGGCAGAAATGATTATAATTGAACAGCATCTTTTTATTACTACCTTTGTGTGAAAGGATTTTTGTTTCAGCTGACATAATAAGAGTATCAAGAGATTCATAAAATTTAAGCTCTCTAATTTTGAAACATAACAGGCAAATTACGTACTGTAAAAAAATAATATGGCTTGCCTTATTACAAAAGGTCTTTCAGAACTGAGAATCTGGCAGATTTATTTATGCATTGCTTTCAGGCATTCCTTAAATACCATCCTGAGACATGTCAATTAGATGACAAAAAAAAATCAGCTTCAAAATTGATAGACCCTGAGTACAATCAGAAACTAACCTAGGCCTCAATAGAATTGTTCCATTTAACATTCTGAAGATATGATATCATCTTTATTAAACTACAAAGGAGTGAGCTTTGAAGTTAGACATCCAAACTTTTCATTCTTTTCCTGATTATAATATAAATTGACTTACAAAGCCATCATTACCTAAACATGTAATTCCTATAAGCATATATTGAGAGCAGGGTGTTTTGTTTGGTTTTCTTTTACACTGTAAAAATTAAGCAAGACTATGATGGTTATAGAGTACTATTTTTACAAAATAAAAATTTTAGGCATTCCTATACCAGTGCAAGAAAAAAAATTATACAGTGATTTGAATTTTTTTTTTTTCAGTGTAGAGCGAAGGGCATGGGATAAGCAAGAAAATGTATTTACATTGGGCCAAACCGTTAGTTGAATTAACACTAAATGATAATATTGAAAGTCTGTTACAGCCCAGAAATAATTCTCAGGTGAGTATTGTTATCCTTCATTTTAAAATGAGGATGTTGAAGCCTCAAAAAGTCAATTAACTTATTTAAGAACATGCTAGCAAAAGTAGTAGGACCTGATATCAATTCTGTCTGATTTGAAAGCAAATTCCACTTCTACTAGTGAGGGAGCAATTGAGAAAAGAGTCTTAAAATTAATCGTGGCCAGTCTGGCATGTAAGGAGCTTGGAAGCGGCTGCTCCACTACAAGTAAAAAGGTGACCTGAAACATCAATAGCTCTTCTTAGACCCATGAGAGAAGTGAGACCACAGGGCAAATGACTGACCCCAAAATTGGAGACACAGACAGGCAGATACAGAGACTCACAACTTAGTAGGGCAGAAACCCATCAACAGGAACCTCCGTGGAAATTTGTTCCAGGGTAGAAAAGCCTGCACTGTGATGAACTGCTGGAGGCTCAGAGGGAACAACTCTTGAGAGTTAAAAATTCAATTCCAGGGAAACCTAGACATGGAGAACCTCACACTCTTGTGAGATTTACCTCCAGGAGCTCTACCAAGTCCTCACAGTGAAAACTGGAGAAAATACCTTTTGCTTCTAGCAGGGATACAGGAAAAGAAACCATTTTGAAATACACCAGAGCACTCTGTTCTTCAAAAAAAAAAAAAGGTCATCTCTTAGGAGAAACTATTTTACTGGAGCCTAACCTACCTTAGGTAAGTTAGGAAAAAACCCAACTCCAACCCCCTCCAGCCATCCTGTCCCATCTAGGGTCAGGGTACTGAGATGCCCCAGTGACGTTCATATTCCAGCTTCACAGGTTTATCAAAAGACTACGACATAATCATAGGACTATAGAACACTTGCCCTGCCCCAACACATTACCACCACAGTACTAAAGGCCTGTGTATTGCAGTTCCTTTTACTCACTACATCCTGTTCGCCATTCAACAAAATATTACAAAGCATGCTAAAAAGCCAATCACAGTTTGAAGAGACTGAACAAGCATCAGAATCAGAGTCAGATACAGTAGGAGAAGTTGGAATTATCAGACTGGGAATTTAAAACAACTATATATATTTTTTTGAGACAGGGGCTTACTCTGTCATCTAGGCTGGAATGTAGAGGCATGACTAAGGATCATTGCAGCTTTTATCTCCTGGACTGAAAGGATCCCCTTGTCTTAGCTCCCCATGTAGCTGGGACCACAGGTACACATCACCAAACCCAAATTTTTAAAATTTTAGTAGAGACAGGGTCTCACTCTGTTTCCTAGACTAATTTTGAACTCCTGGGCTTGAGTGATCCATCCGCCTCAGCTTCCCAAAATGCTGAGCTTACAGATGTGAGCCAATGTGCCTGACCTAAAACAACTATAATTAATATGCTAAGGGATTTAATAGAAAAAGTAAGCAGACAATAAGCAAGAACTGATGAATAATGTAAGCAAAGAGATGGACATTCTAAGAAAGAATAAAAAAGAATTATAATCTCTATAATCTCTTTTATAGAGATTAAAAATACTATAAGAGAAATAGAGAATACCTTTGATTGGCTTGCTTGCTTGCTTATTTATTTTGAGACGGAGTCTCACTCTGTCGCCCAGGCTGGAGTGCAGTGGCATGATCTTGGCTCACTGCAACCTCTGCCTCCCGGTTCAAGCGATTCTCCTGCCTCAGCCTCCCGAGTAGCTGGGATTACAGGCAGGGTGTCATTGTGTTAGCCAGGATTGTCTGGATTTCCTGACCTCGTGATCCGCCTGCCTTGGCCTCCCAAAGTGCTGGGATTACAGGCGAGAGCCACCACACCTGGCCTTTGATGGGCTTATTTACAGACTGCACACAGCTGGGAAAAGATCTCTAGGCTTGAGGAGCTCTGAAGAAAAAACCTCCAAAACTGAAAAGCCAAAAGGAAAATGTCTGAAAAAAAATGAACAGAATATCTAAGAACTGTGGGACAACTACAAAAGGTGTAACATACGTGTAATGAAAATACAAGCAGAAGTAGAAACAGATAAATGAACAGAATATATACGTGAAACAATAATGAGTGAGAATGTCCCCCAAATTAAGGTCAAACAGCAAACTACAAATACACAAATCTCAGAGAACACCAAGCAGGCTAAGGGAAGGAAGGAAGGAAGGGAGGGAAGGAAGGGAAGGAAAGAAAGAGAGAGAAAGACAAGAAAACTGCACCTAGGCATATCATTCTGAAACTATAGACCATCAAAGACAAAAAAAATCAACTTATTTATCAAGTAGGAAAGATAAGAATTACATCTTCTCAGAAACCATGCCAACAATAAGAGAGTAGACTGATTTGAAATGATGAAAGAAAATAACCTTATGTATTCTGTACTTTGAAAAATTATCATTAAAAAGCAAAGGAGAAACAGACTTTCTCAGGCAAACAAAAATTGAGGGAATTTGTTGCCAGTAACTTGCCCAGAAAGAAATGTTAAAAGAAATTTCTTCAGAGAAAGGGAGACTGACATAGATCAGAAATGTGGATTTACAGAAAGAAAGGAAGAACATTAGAGAAGTAATAAGGGTCAAATTAAAATTTATATTTTTCTCATTATTGATTCAACAGATAACACTTGATTCAAAATATTTGCCACAATGTATTAGATTATGTATGCATATAGATATAAATACTTGTATCTTCTTATGTATAGTGAAAGGAATGACAGCAATGATACACAGGATGACAGGGAAGAATTAGGAATGTTTTGTTATAAGATACTTCCACTATCTGTGAAGCAGTATAGTGTTATTTGAAAGTTAACTTTGATTAGTTTTCAACGTATATTGCAAATTATAGATAAACCACTGAGAAAAAGCATTACATATCGAGGAGGAAGAAATAATGCTGTTTTTGCAGATGATATGATTACTTAGGAAACCTGAGATAACTGACCAAAAAAAACCCTCCTGGAGTTAATAAACAATGATAGAAGGTTGCAAGAAACAAAGTTAATATACAAAAGTCAATCACATTCCTATATACCAGCAATGAAAAAGTGAACTTTAAAATTAAATATACATTACCATTTACTTTAGCAGCTAAAAAATGAAATATTAAGGTATAAATATAAAAAAACGGCCAGGCACAGCGGCTCACGCCTGTAATCCCAGCACTTTGGGAGGCCGAGGTGGGTGGATCACGAGGTCAGGAGATTGAGACCACCCTGGCTAACACGGTGAAACCCCGTCTCTACTAAAAATACAAAAAATTAGCTGGGCGTGGTGGCGTGCGCCTGTAGTCCCAGCTACTCTGGAGGCTGAGGCAGGAGAATGGCGTGAACCCGGGAGGTGGAGCTTGCAAGTGAGCCAAGATCGCGCTGCTGCACTCCAGACTGGGAGAGAGAGCGAGACTCCGTCTCAAAAAAAAAAAAAAAAAAAAAAAGTTCAACATCTATGAGGAAAACTATAAAACACTGATAAAAGATATCAAAAAAGAAATAAAGAGATACTTCATGTTCATAGATAGGAAGACTCAATATTGTCAAGATATCAGTTCTTCCCAGCTTAATCTACACATTCAACACAATCCTAATACAAATCTCAACAAATGATTTCGTGGATATTGACAAAATGTAAACCGTATGTACAGATGACTTCCTCAGGGATATAAGTATGGGAGTTAATAGAGAAGCCCAGTACTATGCACTAGGGGATACATACACTTAATGGGAGAAAGAAGGATTGGCACAGGAGAATCAAAACTTTCCCCAATACTTCCTGTTTAATACCACATTTAATATTTATAATTAACATTAAATGACTATATTCTTCATTTGCCTCATAATTTTTTCTAGTTGAACTGAATAATTCCTAAGACTTTCACATATGTGATAATATTGTACATAATAAACAAAAAGTTGTAATTGCCAGATACTTTGGTCATTATTAGCATGATCAAGTCGATTTTTCCTTTATTATCAGATCCAAAAACATGTGATTTCTTTTGTAAATGGAATCTCTAAGTTAATATATTTAGGATAAAATGTCTAATTGTTAACAAAGTACACACCAAAATGGAAGAATCTTTCCCCACATTCTGGAATAACTACTTCTCCAAAAGTTCCTTTGCAAATACTCCTCTAAGGAGGAGGGTTTTCTAAACCAACAGTGGTCAATTATTTTTTCGACATTCTTTCAACCACGCTCACCTGTGCTGTGCCTTTTAACCTCTGTTGCCATCTTCCTGTGGATTTCTAGGATCCAGTTTTCTTTCTAGGGCTTTGACCAGAAGCCTGGAATTGACCTCTGGGACAAAAATATGTCTCTGGGTGGGGGTTGCATTAACTCCTTATAAGCTAAATGCTAACTCCTTATAAACCAAATGCTAAGGTGAAACTGTGGAACTGAGTCCTCCTCCAAAAAGGGAGAAGAAAGGATGTCTTGTGACACACCAGGTAACTGGTAGCTACAGTTATGCTTGCTAGGATTTGGGTGTATGGTGCTTGGCTTTGGTTAGTTCCCTTGGTCTTACTTTCCCAAAAAGGAAACCTTTGCATGATGGGCATCCCATTTATTCCCTGTTTATTCCATCATATGGCAGACTTTGCAGGATAACTGCTCAGAACTAAAATATTAATCCAGATTTCTACATTATCCATCCCTTTTGTTCTTTCTGAGCTGCAGCCAGAGATTCTCGGTAGGTTCACAGGAACAAGCAGGGTTAGTCTAAAATGCAGGCAAAAACTTAAAAACAACTAGTGGGTTTAGAATTTAATGACAACTATATAAGTTTTTAAACATAATTTCTCTCTCTCTAGTCCTCTATTTCGTTAAGAAACAAATGATCCTAGGACTGAGTTGTTTAATAGACTTTAGTCTTATACTTGACCTCATTACTTGCATAAAGTATAGCAAGAATAATTATTTCTACATAAGCCTTTTGGATTGGCTTTGATGGACATGTGTTCCACAAGGAATCACTGATAAGACCTTTTAAAGCTCAGCCCAGCCAAGGGTTTGCATCCTCAAATACCAGCAAGTTGGGTGATCCTCTCCTCCTAAGGCCCCAAGATAAACCTGGAGCTCCTGCACCTGTAAGAAAGTGACAGTCTTTACTGACCACAGTCAGGAACCCTGTTCAGGACTGTGTAGGAAAGGGTATGAGGCCAGTTTCCCCATTAACTTTAGTCTAGTTAAATAAAGTCTATTTAAACAACTCAGTCCTATGAGGTTTTATTGGCTCTATGAGTCGAGCTTGACTCCTTAAAGGGAAGCATACCCTTCCAGTCAAAGCCTTGGTAAAATAACCACTTTCTCCAATGTGTCCTGTTGCAAAACAAAAATGGATTCTTACCGCACTGATGCAAACAACTATATTGCCATAAGAATAAGAATATTCACAGAGGCCAGGGGTGGTGGCTCACGCCCGTAATCCCAGCACTTTGGGAGGTGGCCAGATCACCTGAGGTCAGGAGTTTGAGACCAACCTGGTCAACATAGCAAAACCCTGTCTCTACTAAAAATACAAAAATTAGCTGGGCATGGTGGCGTGCGCTTGTAATCCCAGCTACCCAGGAGGCTGAGGCAGGAGAAGCATTGGAACCCAGGAGGCAGAAGCTACAGTGAGCAGAGATAGCGCCACTGTACTCCAGCCTGGGCGACAGAGCAAGACTCCGTCTCAAAAAAAAATAAAAAGAATACTCACAGATATTTTCCAAATTCTAGAAGAATGAGGCAGACAGAACAAACGTGCTCCAAATTTTGATCACATTAGTATATACCTTACTTAATTATTAAGGCTGTAATCAGTTCAAAATCCGTTTCCTTGACTCTGAAAAACAAAACATGGATCAGCGATATTCTAAGCAAGTCAGAAATGTTGCTTCAGCTTTCTGAGGTCAGTCCATTAGTTAATTCTTGTTTTGCTTGATATTCATGAGCATTTCAGCTCTTTATGTCCTATACATTTTCCTTTATTCCAATGTTACAGTCTCTAAAGTTATCAGAAGCCTGTATTTGAGAGCACCTGTTAAAAGTTCTATAGCTCATTATAAACCGTCTTTGAAAAGGATTAAAACAAGACGACAATTGTCTGTGAATAGCATAATGTCCAGGGTAGTTACAGTTAGAAACACAACTGACAAAGAAGTTTGGTTATCTCTGTGGTCTACAATAACTTAACAACCCTAATTATTATTGATGGCATATACTTAGCCATTAGAATTTTATAAATCCCGTACAATTTTGGAACATATATTAGCATTATTCACAAAAATATACCTAAAGAAGATTGAACATCATTTTGGCAATCTCATGTATCTAAACACGTCAATCCTGTTTACCTCTCTTTTCTGGACACTTCACGGGCTCTCTGAAGTATGCGAAAAGCCAGGTGCCAGGGAAGACAATTTTGAAACTTCAGTTTGATTTTGGGAAGGCTGTCAAATATGTTCGAGGTTTAAAACACTTGATATTATGAAACTGAATTCCAGATTACCATGTTATTTATTTTGCCAAAACAATTACTCAGAAATTTTAAAGAAGCAAAAATCTTTTAAATCCCCTTCGAATTTAGTCAATATGTCCACACAAAGAAGCTCTTCTGCAAGATTAATTTCCACAATTCTTCTACCACTTCTTTGAACCTTCAGCTTTTCCTGTCTAACTCAAAACAATCCTTTAACCCTAGGCCAAAGTTTACATTTCCATGTCTCCTTATAACCTTTTACTATAAAACACATTTTACTGTTCTTATACCCCTTGCATGTAAATCTATTTTCAGTAGTTTCAATTATAACTAGGAGTTGTAATAGTAATTTCCGCAAGTTTTAATTTTAAGGTAAAACTTGGTAAATTGCTTTAATTGTGTGCTAAGTGGAGCCAAGGTTTACCTTCTTAGTTAAGGGTGTGTTTTAGTTCATATGCCCCGGGGCCTTACCAATAGTGAAGCCAGAAAGTCAAATAGTTCTCAAAACCTAAAAAGCAGTTTGTAGCCTCAAAACAGTTAGCCAACCTAGCATCTGACCTGCATTTTACCAAGTCTTTAGGGCTGTTTTTATTTCTCAAAGATTGAAGTCACAGTCACGTGAAATGAAAGGTACCATAGCTTTTAACTTCCCTTAACAAAATACTTGATCCCAGCGCTTTTCTTCTGGCCAAATTATTTAAAGCTCTTTTTAGAGACATCGCACACAGTGCACACACATTCAGGCAGAAGAAAACCCAGTCACTGGGTGGGGCCCTTTAAGAGACAGGGCTAGGAAAACATGCAGATATTGAACCTGAGAGGGCTCATCCCCTCAAGCAGGATTGCTAAACAAAGCCTTGCCACCGGAGTTACAAGCCATGCCCTCAGGGTGTAAAATAAGATGGAGGCTTGATTTCACAACCACAACTTTGCAGAAAATATAAACAGTGCTAGTTGGGTCGGGGGTGAGGGGGTCCTGCCCTAGTAAAACAGCTTCTAGGCCGGGCGTGGTGGCTCACGCCTGTAATCCCAGCACTTTGGGAGGCTGAGGCGGGCAGATCACGAGGTCAGGAAATCGAGACCATTCTGGCTAATGCGGTGAAACCCCGTCTCTACTAAAAATACAAAAAAATTAGCCGGGGGTGGTGGCATGTGCCTGTAGTCCCAGCTACTCAAGAGGCTGAGGCAGGAGAATCTCTTGAACCCGGGAGGCCGAGGTTGCAGTGAGCTGAGACGGCGCCACTGCACTCCAGCCTGGGGACAGAGCGAGACTCCATCTCAAAACAAAACAAAACAAAACAAAATCTTCTAGAAAGAAAATAAAATTTTAAAAGTTAACTTGCTGACAGGGTACAGAAGGGGAAAGAAAAGAAACAGTTTAAAAGTGCATGGGGAAGAACCTCTTATTGTTATGCAAGTGGTTCCTCCACCAGGAAGATAAGTTTAAGCTTACTGTCCGATAGAGTTAAACCCCTTGGCCATGGAAGGGGAAGGCTGGGGCAGCCTCCAGTAGCTGGGAACCAGCCAGCCACCTGTGCAGGACCCTTGGGGTCATGCGTCCCAGCCCCAGCAGCGAGTGGGGAACGGTGGGAGCCGCTGCTCACCGGTGGGTCTCCAAAAAGGAAGGAAAAGGCCATGAAAAGGCCCGGGAGCTACGGGGGTTGGGGGCATGGTTTCCCCCACCCTCTGAAGTCCGAGGATGAAAAGACTTAGAAGCAACAGCGAGAAGTTTTGAGTCCCCATTTCACTCACCGCTTCTCCAGCCCCCATGTTGTGCGCCAAAAATGTTTCAGGACTTTTCCTTAGTTCAGCTAAAGACGGGGTTCTTTGTCCCACGTCCATGAAAATTTTGGCTCGCAGACAATTTGAATGGTAAGACAGGGTTTGATTGGGTGAAACGGAAGAAAAGGAGAAACAGGGAGTCTCAGTAGGCCAAAGTCCCTGCTAGAGTGCTTACCCACCACAGCTTGAATCCCAGGTTCCACGCAGGAAGAGGAGGGGCCAGCCTCCTCCCTGCTGCAAACCTGAGGCTCCACCTCAGTGGGCAGGGTGGTTAGAGTTTCCCCAGGGACCCCCTCCCACCTGGCTGTCTCATTACTAAGACATCTTGAACAAGGAATTTACTTTCTTCCAGCTTCAGTTTCATTGTCCAAAGAAATGAGGATAAATAATGTCTTCTTATAGGTTTATTATTAGAATTAAATTAAATGAGATGCTTGTGTAATGCTATCCCAATATCTAGCATACATTATTAAATATTACTACTTAAATATTTACTATATTTACATATTTAATATTTAATAATTGGTAACTATTACTATTTCTTAAATAAGTTCAATATATAGTTCTTACTTCCCAAATTGGATTTCAATGTAATTAAGAATAAAGTTTATATCTCTTACTTATTAACAATAATAGTCATCACTTATTGACTACTGACCACTTTATATGAAGTGTCTCATTAAAATTAGTAACAATCTTATGATGAAGTTATTGTGAACCCAGTGAACAGATGAAAAGGAAAATGTGACTTCGAAAGATTGAGGAATTTGCTCCAGGTTACAAGTTATTAAAAAGAGGAAGTGGGCTGGGCATGGTGGCTCACGCCTGTAATCCCAGTACTTTGGGAGGCTGAGGAGGGTGGATCACCTGAAGTCAGAGTTCAAGACCAGCCTGACCAACATGGAGAAACCATGTCTTTACTAAAAATACAAAAATTAGCTGGGTGTGGTGGCATGTGCCTGTGGTCTCAGCTACTCGGGAGGCTGAGGCAGGAGAATACTTGAACCTGGGAGGTGGAGGTTGCAGTGAGCTGAGATCACACCACCGCACTCCAGACTGGGTGACAGAGAAAGACTCCGTCTCAAAAAAAAAAAAAAAAAAAAAGGAACTGGGAATAAAGAATAAATTTTAAAGCCTGTGCAACTAATAGCAAAACATAAAACAAGCAGCAGAACATAACCTTAATTGTATATGGAGGTAGACATTCAGTAGATCTTTGAGAACCTGATCAAAACAATGTGAACCAACAAAATGTGACCTCTTCTGTTGAAGATAAAATAAGCAACGATTGGTTGTTAAAGAAGCAGCAGTAAGACTCTCAAAACTAACTAGTAGAATAAAACCAGAGTCCAGATTTCCAACTCCTATTCTGTCATCAAGAACAGTGACCTCAAGCAAAGCCAGTATCTTCATAGCCCTCCGTGATCTTAGCAGTAAGAGGAGCAGTAGAATGGCACAGTCATGTGGAGATGAATATGATGAAAATGATACGGTGTACGTATATTTCATGCAGAGTAGTGAATGCCAATCAAATCATTGTGATACAAATTTAAACAATAACTCATCAAAAGACATTTAGATTCATATGTAATAAAACCTTGCTTTGCTTAAAAAAAGAGAGATAGAGAAAGGGTATTAACAAATGAAGTGTTGAAAGTTGAATTCTGAAGAAGAATAATTTAGGGAGGTACTAAGAGGGTCTAGATCTCATAGAAGCCCCTTGGGCATTTCCCACGTTTCAGTTTGACAAGTCTTAAATGTGAAGATAGTATAACGTGGAGTACAAGAGCCAAAAAGCAAGAAAACTTGAACTATGATAAGGGGACCCAAGAACAATTAAATACAGAAATAAAGTGGTTGTGTGATATTTTATTTGTAAACATATTTTGTTAACTTTTTCACAAAGTTTAGTTGTTTGCAAAGACTTCTTTAAATGTCAGTGTATATATGAATAACAAAGGAGAGAATGTAAAAAGAACACTAGAAATAGAAATAATTCCTATTAAAAGGTACATGTTTCTACTTTTCTGAGGGAATGATATTCCATCTACTTAATTGTGTGGATAGGCACATCCTTCTGAAGAATGAAGAAATTGCTGTATCGTATCAAGTATAATTTTGACTTGTGTCTTGTCCTGACCAAAGAGAGAGAGAAAAAAAAAAAAAAAACAAGGGGTGGGAAAAAGGAAATAGAAAGCCAATTATATGCTGATTTGCTAATGTTATTTTTCGGATTAAATGCCACTTCAAATTACAAAACCTCTGGTACTTGAAGCTGTCAGTTTTCTGAGCACTTTCTTGAGAAGTCTTGTCTTAGCAAAGAGAATGTTGAAAAACAGGGCCCCTCAGGGGGCCAAGGAAACTTTGACAGAGGTTTAACAGTCCTTGAAATTATATCCCCAAACCTTAGAGAGCCTGCTGATTCAGTGGGAAAGGACATAAACTGAGCAAGTTATAAATAAACTCTTTTATCAGAGGCGATGGTGTCATGGTGACTTCAAAGACCAAACCATGGATAGTAAGTTCTCTGATGTTCTGAAGACAGTAAGAACTTTATTATATTGGACAGGTCATTCTTGGACCTAAGCTGAAATTTGATAACAGTAGTGGGTTTTTTCCTCTATTTGTACAATTTTGAATTAATTTCTAGTCAATCAAGGTCACTAATGTGTATCATTAAATTTTAAAGTAACATGATAATGTATATTTTATGATATATCATTACTGTTTCTGTCTCACAAGAGTCAAGATTTTTCCAGTGTACAATATCATCTTACATAATACTCTCCATAGTAAAAATTTATTTTGGGTAGCAAGTTTTTGAAGAGGCACTGAATAGATTACCTCAAGTCTGTCCTGTATAACTTATAATCTACAATGTGCCTTTCTGTGTCCCATAGTAACCATGAAGGAAATAAGACAAAAGTGGGGATCTTGCTAGTTACATTGAGTTAGTGGATTCAATTCCTGTGCAGTGACTTTAGAGTCTAAGAGAAGAATGAAGATAAATGTAATAGTAGCCAAAAAATGTGTTATTGGAAAGATAAATACGGATAGTTATCCCTTGGTTAAGACAGATTTTTAAATGTTACTGGGAAAATAACATTCAAAGAACTTTTTGAAAAATATTCAAAATACAATTTAAAAAGCACTTGTAGAAAAATTTGAAGTCCAGCTACCTCAAAATACACTGTGAGGGAATTAAGCAGTTCAACACACAGAAAATACGTCATGCTATACTGAAATTGCTAGCACATAAGCAATCAGATATGAGCTGTGGCCCTCGTGTATAAGTTTATAGACTTTATAAAAGTGATACCAATAACCACTTAAAACGTAAGACTTTAGGCTTTTGTATCTACTAACATATATTAGAGAAGTAATAGGAATAAATTTATGATGACATGGCTATAACAAATATAGCAAAGATCTGTGTAGCATCTGCTTTGACTCTATTGCCAATTGGAGCCAAGTACATGGGTCTCACGAACACTTAGTGTGTGTGTGTGTGTGTGTGTGTGTGTGCGCGCGCATGTGCATTTGTTGCAAGGTAAACCTTGTAAGACGGATATTCAAAGGAACTAAAAAATTGAGAATATTGTCATTGGCAAAGGAAAAGAAATAAGTTGAAGTCTTGCCAGCATCTGAGGAAACTAGCGGAAGGGGCTTCACTCCAAAGGATACAGAGCTTCTAGTGCAGAGGTGTTAGGATCATCTATGTCAGACAAAAAAGTAAAGGAAAATAAAGTAAAATAAGTAGAAAGGTTGCACCTGTGCCTTATACCAAGGAAGCCCTTAATTTAGGCATACGGAATGGTTAAATGTTGGGCATATACTCATTAATGCTGTCCTTTGCACATTTCTAGGAGATACACACACTTTCTGCTAAAACATATAAACATCATGTCACAGCTCTCCACAGAAAAGCAGAATGGACAGAATAGCAACATTCTCACAGAAAGCATGTGAGTTTTTGACACATATTTGTTACTGCTTTAGTGTACTGAACGAAGCATGTGAGCCACTGTTCTCTGTAATTCCTTCATGGCTTTACAATGAAGCCAATGCTCTTTGTGGGCTAACAAGATGGCAGGCCAAAATTTCCAAAGAGAAGACCCACAATGTAAGTAAATAAATGAATAAAATGGTGGCAAATGTGAAGTGATCTGAAGGAAACTAAGCAAGAAGCAGAGGTAGAAAATAGCAGGGTTTAATCAATAAACTTCTTCCTAATTAAGTAATTCTTGGTCTGAGACCTTAGTGAGAAGGACGGAAGGGGAGAAGGGGAAACAGTGCAAGGGAGCAGGGGGCAAATTCCAAGAGAAAACAAGAACATTTACAAAGACTCTAAGGAAGAAGGATTGAGGAACAGAAAGACTTGTTTGGCTGGAGTAATTGAGCTTGGTGAGAGCAGCTCCAGACGACACAGGTTGGAGAACTCGATAGAGCCAGATGGAGAGAAGTGAGAATTGTATTCTAGCTGATAAAGCCATGGGAGGATTTCATGCAGAAAAATCCTGATGGAGTTTATATTGTAAAATCACGCTGATGCTCCACCAAAGAGAGCAAGCAGGGACACAAAGTCTGAGTTGCGAGTCACCTAGGGGCAAGAAGTGCTCCTTTGCCATTGCCCAGTTCTGGACCTTGTCTCCTCTCCCTTAGCCTCCTCACTTCCCAACCTATCTCTTGTCTTTTACCCATTTAGATGATTCTACACGTAAGGGCCAACTTGATCTTTCTAAGGATGGAAATTTCCTGATGTTCGGTTTTCTTTTGAGTAAAGTCAGTCATCAGCCTCACACAGAGTATCTCAAGGATATGACTGCAGCAGCCTAACTTACTAACATGGCTTGCCCAGGTGAATACAGTTTAAGGTGCTAGTGATTTGGTGTCCCAATTCAGTGTTTGGTTTTATTAAATTTTATCATGAGAGGAAAGGGAAAGCAAGAATAAGAAATTTTCCATTTAATGATAACTTGTAAATAAATTTTAAGAAAAAAATGTTCTCTCTGATTTAATATTTAAATACTATATTTTCAATTTTTCGTTATTGCCAATTATCACAACTATAAAGATGAAGGTTGATAAATCCAGAGTCATGAGACAGATAGAAATGCATTGCTATAATTAAGAACTCTGTATTCTGGGACATTGCAATATCATTTATTTCTAGGTAAATTCTCCGTCTACCTTCTAAAAATCTGAAGGCAACAGTGCTCACACCACCGCAGCATTGATGCTCACGTCTCATGTCCTTTACAATCACTCAAATTTAACCTTAAGGATTTCAATCATTAGTACGTTTACTCATACCTAATAATCTAATGAAATTTTGAAATACTTCTGGAAAAATCAGTATGTGATCAAATAGAAACATTTTCTAAGATATCCTTGAGAAAGTGACTTACTTTTATTGAAATTATTTTTTGTGGTTATGTATGTAGGAGTGAAGTGTTTTAGTTGTCTGTGTTTAAAGGTCCTACTTTCCGCACCTAGGAGTCAGTGAGCTCTCACTCTTCCCCTCACTGGGAGCCTCTCTGATCCATCTGGAATAGAAGCCCTATCAGCCCCTCCTCTTTTCAACCCAGCTTGCTGAAGGCCTCATAATATCATCAGCAATCCCAGCTGTGGCTTTCTGAACAATACTTTCTTTTGTGGTAGTTGTCAACTCTGCTTACAGTAACCAAACAGAAAAAAAAAAGAGTCCCAGATAATCTAAAAGTCTTCACTCTAAAGCAGCTCTCCTCAGCACCTGATAGACTACAGAGAAGTGGTCTACGCTGATAAATTTGAGTTGAAATAAAATGGATAAATTGTAATACCAATGTAAACAACGTGATCTTAGGTGATATTCATGTATAAATAAGGCATTTACAGTAAAATTAAAACAAAATCAGGAGCACACAAATTTTCCTTTTGACCATAATTAAATCATCTCTTCTGAATATGTATATTGTATGTAGAGGGGGACCCTGAATTAATATTTTTAGTACATTCATTATATAGAAGGTGCTTTATATTTCTAGTTAAATTTAGTTCATACAGCACTATTTTAAAGTTATCTTCTTTTTATAAACAAGGAGTAAGACTTAAATAAGAAATTAAAAGAGTTTGAAGCCAAGGCCTGTAGCATATTTTCACTTCTGTGTAGAATAAGAAAAGATTTCCAAAAACCTTCTCATTGATATTTTTGAATAGGTCAAAGGAAGAGAGTATTCTTTGCGCAATATTAATCTTCAATCTTTGTCATGGTATAAGCCCATCATACATTACAATATGCAAAAAAATGTATAAGAAGATAAGCTTGCAGACTGTCATAAATGGATCCAAACATCCTAGAAGTTAGGGTAAAATGATTCTCCTTTTACATTCAAGTAAACAAAAACATAAGCATTCATATTCTTCCTTTTTAACTTTACTGTGATACAATTAATCCTGACTAAAGCATCTATTTAATTGACTTTAACATATCATAGGAAAAATGCCAGCTAATTACTAGGTAAATTTGAGGGACAACAAAATAAGCTTTGGTGGCTAGTTTTTCACTTTTTTAAAAAATTATTTATCCTCTGTGCCCATTTATTTAAGAGCTTAAGCACATTGAAGGATTAATGACTTAGTTATTCAATCATTGGTTAGTGGTTCCAGAAATAGATACTGCCCATTGAAAACCCATAGTACAACTTATTCATTATTATTTTTCTCTAAAATTAATTAAGAGTCTAATAAATAAGTTTCTGCTTTAATCTTTATTTTAACAATGAAATACATATTTCTGAATTGCACATGTATTTCTATAAATAGTACTCACTATATGCAGATATATATAAGAATCAATAGTAAAAGAATGAAATACCTGGTTTTGATTTTTAAAAAATAAGCACAAAGCCTTAAACTTACATTAAGTAGGGGAAAAAAAATCCACTCCGGTATCCAGTGCTGGGTAGAATACTCCAGGCTCTACACAATACACTATTAATGGGGGACGAAAGGGAATAAATGGTGGAAATTTCAAGAAGATATCCTAATATTGACATCTATAAAACAAACAAACTCAAGCTTCCTAATCTTCTCAACATTAATTGAGTCCTATTATTGCAATTGTTATATTGTTTATGTAATAACTAGAATTTAGGACAATGATACAAACCTAACAATTGTGAAATAAAAATTTTAGTTACTAGTTTGTGATAATTTCATTCCATTGTTGCCATGTGAACACCAGTGAGTCCTTAGGTATTTAGAATTATCTCCCCAATGTTTTGCTGTGATTTTTACAAACTAACAATGACAGTAGATTCAGAGTATGTTTAACAGTCACTTTCTATAACAAATGACAAACAGATCCTCAAAGATCTCTTATATTAAAAATAAAAGGTTTCAACCACCTCAAATCCATTAGGATGACTACTATCAAAAAAAAAAACCCACTGGAAAATAATAATGTTGGTGAGGATGTAAAGAAATTGGAAGCCTGAACCCTGTTAGTGGGAATATAAAATGATGTAGACACTTAGGAAAACAATATGGCAATTCTCCAAAAAAAAGAAAATAAATGTACTATGTAATCAAGAAATTTCACTTCTGGATATATACCCAAAATAATTGAAAGTAGGGTCTCAAAATGTTATTTATGTAGCTATGTTCATGGTATCATAATTCACGATAATCAAAAGGTAAAAACAACCCACATGTCCATCAATGTATGAATGTATACACAAAATGTGGCATACATATGCAATGGAATATTATTTAGTCTTACAAGGAAGGAAATTCTAACACACGCTACATCATGGATGACCCTCAAGGATGTTACACTAAGTGAAATAAGCCAGTATAAATAATACATGATTCCATTTATATGAAACACCTAGAGTAGTGAAATTCATAGAAATGCAAAATAGAATGTTGGTTGTTAGGGGCTAGTGGGAGGAAGGAATGGAGAGTTGTTGTTTAATGAGTACAGAGTTTTAGTTCTGCAAAATGAAGAATTCTGCAAATAGAGAATAGTGATGGTTGTACAACAATAAGAATGTACTTAACACTGCTGATCTGTATACTTAAAAATGGACAAGATGGTAAATTTTGTATTAAATGTATTTTGCCACAATTAAACATAATAATAAATAGAAAATAACAGATTTCAAAATTCAGGACTACTTGCTATACCATGCATTGTACATCGTTATGGGTATCTTCAGGTTGCTAATAATAGTGAACATTCTTTGAGTGCTTTCTACGTTCATCAGTTACATACATCATCTTCTTTAGTTCTCACTCCAGAAATGGGTACTATTATTATCCCAAGTTACGGTAGAGAAACTAAATGACAGAAAGGGGAGTTGCCTGCCCAAGCTCACACCCATTGATGGTGAAGAATAGATTTGCATCCAAGCCTATTGGCCTCCCAAACCCATACCACTAAGGAAATTCTGATTTACTCAGGTAATTGGGGTTTTTTTTTTAAGTGTAGAAAGAAAAGTATACAGAGACATGCACTTTCCTTAATAAAATCATTTATACCAAATCTTCCATGAGAGACTTTATGTATTCATTTGTTGATAAATGTATAAGAATTTTACTCAGTATTATTCATGACACTCACAAATGAACATTTGGAAATGCAGGCCTTGCTGATCCAGTGCTGGGCTGGCAATCTGGTGGTCTGGGTAGTTGATATTTGTGCTTCTATTGCTGACATCACAGCTTTGGATATTTCTGAATCTCAAATTTTTCATTAGTAACATGGGATACTTTCATCTTTCACCTACAGTATTGTGTATTGGAAAGTGCACTGCCGTCAGAATCAAAATACTTCATTTTAATTTTAATCGATATTAGTTATGTTACTTTGGAAATATCACTTCTTCAAGTCTTGCTTTGTTACTACAAATTGAGGGCTGTGTACAATCCTTTAAGGTGCATGTTCATAATGTTATTTCAACAAAATAATATAAGGATTGATTATAGTCACTATCTTGAGTTACTTATTATGGTTTGATATAAATTAGAATTCAATATATTTCAAAATTAATACTGAGATATATAGGTGAATAAATACTGCTTCCCAAAATAAAACCTAAACAGTTTTACCAGAAAACATTTTTACCATGTTGATTTTTTAATAGGATAATTTTTATATTTATTTCTATCCTTAGAAATACCACCAGGAAAGAGAAGGAATTTATTAGCATGGTATTCACTTTCTTTCTTTTCCCCTTGCATATCACGATGACGTTCCTCATTCCATCATTCTATCACCATCTTGACAGTCTCCAAGCAATATTTCATCCTTCCCTTTTCATCACCATCCTTATTTTGTACATTCCTTCAAGAAGCAAAAACAACTCTCTCCTCTCAAACACAAATAACTTAAGAAATTCCTATATTTACACAAAGTACAGCCTGTTCCACTTCTCATCTTGACATCTTGCATTTCCATGCAGTTCCATTTTTCTTGTTGAATGTGGGAAACTTGGTTGCCCCCTGTTTCAGGACACATTTCTACTTAGTGTCTTCTTCATCCTCTGTTTGCAGTGAACATGATATTCGCTAATCAGTGAAGAGACATTAAACTATAAAAGGATGGTCCTCTCAAGTCTTCTGCAGGCATTTCCTCAGAGAGCTAAGGAAAATATCATGATGACTTTGATGAAGACGTAATTTGTTAGAGTCTTTAGAATTTGCAAATGGTCAATTCAGTTCAATATGTGTAATGTCTCTTGAATTCCTCCAAGTTTTCTCTATACAGTGCATGGCTTTATTTTTAATTAAATATAATCCTAGTTCAACTTTTTGACCAATATTACTTGTTATTTAAATTAAACCTTAAAAAACAAACAAAAATCCTTCCATAAGAAATTCATTCTCTTATACAGTTAAGTACACACATATATATACACACATATATACATATGTACATATCTATATCTTGCCATTAAATCAAACATTTTAGCTAATTTAATGTTGGCCATCTATTTATACAAGTTCAAAAGTGCAATTTTGAGGGCAAATTAAAGATTTGTGAGTAGATCCTTGCAAATTCAGAAGACAATCTATGGTTCGCCCTACCCAGAGAAAAGTTACTAATTCATAGAGTGAGCTCTTGTGGAAGCATGTTAGTTGCCTGCACAATTGCATAAAAAGCTGTCCCTGCCACTGTTACTCTCACTTGCAATCTTCCCTCCCACAAAAGAATGAGATTGGTAGAAATTTTTCTTCAAAGGTGAAAACATTGGACCAATGGCTTCAACTACTCTCTCAAATTCTTTTTTCTAAACTGCTATAACCAAATTCTCTTCAATTTTAAGCAGTACACATAAGCACATAAGTTAGAAAATTTGTTATGTAAAACAAGACATGGGAATTGTTTGGAAGCAGTTTGACTAAATTTTATATTACAACCCATGTTATTCTGTTAGAAGGTCAAAAAAAGAGTCTTGGTATATTTATATTAAATATGTATTAGATTATGTAATGATTGCACGAATAAGATTTGAACAAAATGGCTTCTGATATTCTACCTTCTTTAATAGAAGAATTAAGCAAATTAGTGAAATTGCCAGAAACATATAAGGATGCTTTTGATCCTTGCACAATCTCAAAAATGACCTCAATGTCAGCAGTGTGAGAGTTCAGAAAACATAGGGTTCAAGCAGCTTAGGAATTGGTAACACTAACAATTAGGAAGTACTGTAAAAATAGTTTCCTTCATTTCAGTTGTAAAACTTTGTAAAAGATATGTATCAGAGTATCCATGAGTATGTTCAGTTAATAAGAAAATCTTAAAAAGAAATGAAGACATCTATCTTATAAGAGCCTGCACAATGTCTCCAATTAGGTAAATCCTCTCATTACATTTCTATTCTTTAAAACCTATTATACAGTCACTTAGATAATTATTATCAAAACAGGCCTCTCAACTGATTTATCTAGAAGAATGGTTCTTATCTTCTTTTGGAAACATAGTACTTCATATTTTAACTTTTCTCAAGGACCTTAATTGTCAGCAATTTGTCACTAAATCATCTGCAAAGGACACCACAAAAAAAGTACAGATAGGAATTCTGGGCAGATTAAGCATTTTAATTAGTCATTCACTTCTGCTTTCAATGATTTCATAGCCAGAGGATTTGGCTTTCAAATGTTTCAGTCTGATATCCTCCATGTCAGAATACTTACTCCATGAAGAAGAAAAAGAATACTTAAAACATTAAGGTGCAGAAAAAGATTGTTTTGAGGTGAAACAATTAATCTCACTTTCTGCCTGGACTAGATATCACAGTGTGAACTGACACTAATAAACACTTGATTACAAAACAGAGAAGTAATTGTTTCCCATGTTTGCCTGCATGCAAATATTTTCCCATATTAAAGTATTGTTCCTTAGTTTTACTGATTTTTTTTCTCCTTTCACCTCATCAGTAACCCTACAGCTAACAGAACCATTTATAATGTTTTTCAAATTGATAACTGCTTTACGTTTAGGCTTACAAAGTCATTTTCTCTCTGTGGTTCCTGAGAAAAGTCACATATTCTCTACAAACTCCAAGGAATATTTATTGTAGAATCATGTAGAAAGAGTAGTTGTTTTCTTGTTATACAAATAAGTTTAAGAACTAAAAATATAATCCATTGCATAGGTAAAAAGGGTTTAACTTAAGAACAATTGTTTTCTGAGAACACACTGCATTTTCTGTAAGTGCTTTGATGGCCACCAGTCTCTCATTCTGGGTGGGTTGCATTCCACTGCTGATGTACTTAAGTTTTGTATTTCATTCAAATGTCACTATTAGGGTTGTTGGTTTTTCAATGTTTTAGTCTTGGAGACCCAACAAATCTGCAGCCAATGAAAACTCATTTTTTTAGTTTCGTGCCCAAAATATATCATCATGTAACTTAAAAAGATCATACTTTTATTGCAATATCAGATGGGCTAAGTTTGTTACCTCCCAGCAGATTAACCTCCAAGTCTGTACCAATTCATTAAACATGCACATCAGTCACCGTACTGCAGCATAATTTATTGCTATTAAGCACTTCTGTGTTGGGGAACCCAAATGAGATTGACCATTATCAGTGCTGTTAATGGTTTTCTGAACAGTTGCCAGTTCATTCACCCCACCAACCCTTCAATAATAAAATAATTTTGACAAAGGGCCCATGTTTCAACATTTTTAATAAAAACAAAATAGAAAAACCATCAGTAACTGTGCAGTAAAGTTTCCTCTCTCTTTCTTCCTTGCCAAAACTAACAGAAAAGAAAATGTCAGTCTGGCTCCTTGCCAGAAAAAGAGGAAATTGAATGGTCTCAGTTCTTATTCTTTGACTAGTAGCATTGTGTACATGGAATGCTTGGCTCTTGGGTTCATTTTGACAGAACTGAAATAGAGATAAGAAGTTTTGAGGACTCCATTCTGCAATTTATAGACCTTCATTCTGTTTAAGATCTTTCAATACCACATAACTAATCAATGTGATTTAGAAAATAACGTTGTGTCTGCCACTGACATAAGCCATATGTGAACTGCTAAGCTACTATGCAAGCCACAGCTATAAATTTTGGTCACTTGCAGGAGAATCCTCATTATTTGGGGCATCAAAATAATTCAAACCATTATCGTCATCTTGAATGATGTCTCACTAAATTGCTGTCTGGTAATGAGCTGAAAGGTTTCTCACACTAAGGGAAGATAAAGCTCTTTTGAAATAAATTTCCCAGGTATTTTATTCAGAATGATAGGACCATGGCCTCTGTTTAAAAAAAACAGACTCTGATATATTAAAATCATTAATGTCCCATTCACATATACAGTGACTATAATCTAAGGAATACAAATATTAGATACAGACAATGTTCTTTTCAGACAGTAGAGCTATTAATTACAAAGACGCCAAAAACATACATATATATGTGTCTATATATATATATGTATATACATGTGTGTATATATATATATTAAGTGTGGAAATTTGTTCTTCTATAAAAAACAAAATGGGTTCTTCCTAAGCTGTTAAACTTACTCCAAATATCCTACTGAGAAGAAATCAGAACTGCCATCATTTTTGCTGGAAATAGCTAAAATAATGTATGTGGCAAAAAGGGTACATGAAATAGTGACTTTGTCTGTAATTTTCTACTTGTTACCCTCGTTTTACAGTGCATACAAACCATAGTACTGGTATGGCTTAGCCAGTGGGAATCTAATCTCACATAAAAAGAAATCTAAATTTTTAGACCCTCTTCAGATTTAGTCAATTATTCTATGTTTCTGGTATATGTATAGATATTTTTTAAACTGTATAGAATCAGAAAGTATTTTTAACATAATTCACTATTAAGCTTCATTTGTAAATATGGGAGGGGAGGAAGCTGTGAGATTAGACAAATAAAATGAGATTAGAATAATGAATCAAATTCAAGACTCCAAAGAATACTCAAGGGCTATATTCTCAAAAGCCATCTTAATTGGAGTTCTAGTCTCTCTCCATTTCTTCTTTTCTTCTCTTAAAAGTGCAGCTACACCCAAAACTGGTCGGTTCTTTTCCATTTGCACAGAAAGTCATTCAATTCAGCCAATTTCTAAAGTCAGTCCAAATCCACCTTCATAATAACTACAAAAGATGTATTTAATTTTTCATAGAAATTATTTTTATTCCCACATTGTAGGAATGTTGGGTTCAAAATACACATTCAATTAAGTTTAAATATCCATATAATCATCATAAGGCTAACAATAATCAATAAATTATCTGTTTTAAGATTTTTTATTTTTCAAAATTAAATACTTTCAGATGATTGGGTATTTAAAGATAATTCCTTATTTAATATGAAATACCAAATATGGTGGTCCAGAATTCTTGGTTTGAAAAATAAATATTGTCAAAAACTAACCTTATGAAATACAAAATAGATACTGAACTGGGATTTTAAATTAATGTCTATCCTTTTATCTAAAAAAAGATTTTTCAAATTTAAAAATTGCATAGAACACAATTCAAAATGTCATTTGCCCCAGTTTAAAAATAATAGAGAAAAAAGTTAATTTTGTCTACTAATTTCATATAATACATAATGTAAAACACATATATAATGTTTGTATTTATTTTTATTTATTTATTTATTTTTTTCATATAATACCTTGCATTAGGAATGGAAGAAGAAATTTATTAGAAGCCTAAGACATAGATCACTAGATGAAAGCATTTACAATACATTAAAGAAAATAAAAGAAATATCCATTAAGAGTCCTTGTGACATTTGTCAAATGGGAAATTTTAAGGTTAGTTATGAATTGGATTTAAGGTAAGAAAGAAAAGGATTCAGCTGTCAAAGGTGGAGTAGTTTTCTAGAGTGGAATGTGTGCAATAAAAAGCAGAAGGTTTGAAGGTGCACCCCACAGGTGGAAGGGAGAGAAGCCAGACAGAGTAGTCATCACAGCGGAAGCTGAGTCAAGTTACCAATTAAGAGAAGTTGAAATAAAACCTGAGTGGGAAGTGGTAGTTTTCTAATTATAAATATCCTCAGTTAGGATATATTATAGAGGGTAATGCCACCAAATAGAGATGAAGTGGTATATGATTGGTGTGGATTATATTATCATCTCATTTTTAAATGAATGGTCTCGTGCTAATGTTGGGTTTGAGAATCAGAAAAAAAAGTGGGGACAATACTTGATTAACTTCTAGTTTGGGGGAGAAAATGTAAATAATGCTGAAATTATTACCATGAGATTTTTTACATGGCACTGAATGACATATAGATTAGAAACAATTTACGAAGAAAGGAACCCCTTAATGAAAGGACTGCAGTTTAAAACCAATTATCTATGAGTTCGTAGTGCTTACATGCCTCCCTCTCTCTCTCTCTCTCTCTCTCTCTCTATATATATATATATATATATATGTAAAATTTCATTTAAAATATCCCATTGAGCTATATAATATATAACATATACACATATATATGTATATACACTTACATACATATATACTATGTATGTATATGTATGTGTGTGTATGAATATAATATATATTATATATCTTAATGGGTTATTTTAAATGAGATACTAATACAGGTTGCTAGATTACAGTAGAATAAAGAAAACACAATCCCATGATGAGGCAGGATCCTGCAAAACATCATTCATGCCTCATTTGCTCATTCATGCCTCTGGAAACAGAGAGTTGGTTTCCCTAATCCCTGTTTTTCCAACCCTATCCAATCATGTTCTAAGCATAAGAGTACTACAATGTCAATCCCAAGATAATGGTAGTTGCAAGACCCGCTTCAGAGCTGCATGAAGGAGCTGGCATGGTGAGCTGGTTACAGAGAATACAGACTTTGCTGAAAGGGTCTATCTGAAATTTGGCTGACAGGTGGCAAATGAACTTCTAAGAGAAGCAAGACGGTGATGAAAAATTAATTAGATGCTAACATGTTTGATTTTCCTTCCTCCTCCCCTCCCTCCTCCCTCCTTCCCTCCCTCCCTTCTACCTTCCTTCCTTCCTTCCTCCCTTCTTACCTGACTTTCTTTCTTCCTTTAAAATTTCTTTTTTCTTCTGTCCCTCCCTCCCTCCCTTTGTTCCATTTCTGATAGGAGACGTACCTTTAGCCACCAATAAATTTTCAAGAAAAAATTTGAAGCTGCTGACATTGAAGATTACCAGATTCTCCCCTGAACCTTCAGTATACTTAACTGAACTGACAAACATTTTGCCTATGATCAAATTAGACAAAAGGATCAAGACCACTGTCATTACAGTTTTTCCCTTCTGTTTAATTTTAACATAACTTCTACACAAATGAGATGAGGTGAAGAGAGCATTTGTTTTCATTACCCTGTACCTAACTGAAGTTCTCAGTATTCCCTCGCATTTTGTCTGCCTCACAGATGTTTAGGCCAAGGACAGCAGAGTGGATCTGTGATGTTCACAATATCCATGAAATCACAAATACACTGTAGCACCAATGAGATTTCAAATCACGAATGCACTGTAGTATCAATGAGATCTAAAAAATTAAATGTGTGAAACTTAATTTATCCACCCCAGAAGGATTAAGAGCAGAGTTTAGTCTGCCAGGGTGCAAGACTTTGATTCCGCAGAGTCTAGGTACGAAAGACTTGTGCTGAACTCTCCCTCCAGATACAATTATGCAAGTTGTTTATGGGGAAAAAAAAGCTATCATAAGAGTCACAATTTTTAATCATTATTCTCTTTTATGGGTGTATAATTTTCTGGGTAAAAATGCTCTGGTTTGTCTGAAATTTTCTTCTTTGGTATTTCACCATTCTTTAAAAAGACTTGGATAAATAATGGATCAGCTTCCTTAGAACTAAGATTCTATTTTTTAATTACAAAATACTTAAAGGTTTAACATTTTTATTTTGAGGCTGAAATTTGTATTGCCATTGTATCTCACCTCTCCCCGGCTAAACTATTTCCTCTTCCAAGGTAAGTCCCCTTGAAAAGTTACCACAGTCTTTTCTCGTTACTAGACTATTTTAACTTTAAAAAAAAATTTAAGCATTTTAAGAGAGAATGTGGGGAAAAAATAACTCACAAACTATTAACCTGAAAACTTTACTCCAAAGGAGCATTCTTTCTTATATTCAGTGAATTCGGTATGTGTATGTGTCTTTCCCCAGTTTAATTCTAATTTCGTGATGCCAAGGTCCATCTGTGATGTCACTGTTTCTCCCATGACACCAGGAACAGTATCCAGCATGTGTTAGGTCCTCAACAAATATTACTGATTCCCTCAAATCCAGGAAGATATCTTACTTTCTTGAAATTGTTTATCATTTATAAGTTGACTTCAATTTTACTAAACTAAATAACATTTATGGGATCTGAAAAAATAAACTTAAAACACATGGGACACGTGAGACTGGAATTTTATTGCAGATTTTGCAAGTAAAAGATAAGCAAATAAAACCATGCAATTAATTAAGAGGAAAAATTGTCATAAGTCTTATATAGGTGCAAGTAACTGTCGGTTGTTGTTATAAATGGAAGCAAACGGAAAAGAAAATAACCCAAGCTGGCAAATCATCCTAGGAAAGCTTGTACTTTGAATCAAGCAATTGTGTTTTTACACTGACATTTGACTAAGATGGAATCTGCTGCGCTGGGGATCCACTCCAAGGGAAATAATAATGTCCTACTGTAAAGACACCACACAGGAGGCTCAATAAAGTTGTTCAATGTCTTCAACCTTTTTCCTTCTTCGCATTCCACCCCATGCTGGGCATATATCATTATGGAACAAATTCACATAAAATTTTTCCTCTTGCACTTGGCCCCCAGAGTATTGCAAGTAGCTCAGTTTTCAAGTTTCAAAAAACTTTTGGTAAAAGCTAAGGCAGAAATGACAACAAAAATGTCACTCAAACACATAATACACAGTCAATAATTTTTGCCTGAGGAGTCACTAGCAAATATAATGGTTAGTTATGACTGTAATGCATATATTTATCCCAGATAATATGAGATTTGTGTGTGTGTCCTAGTCTTGGATGTTCACTGGAATGAAAGTATTTTTTTCTCACAGAATCTTTTTTGGAAAGCTCATTTCACAATCCTATGCCAAATATATTCTTTTCAATATCTTAAAGGTTTTACTTATTATCACTGGAATTAATAATCACAGAAGCTGCAAGTAATTAAAAATAATTTTCACAATAAAATTAAACTATACTCCAAAATTTCTTGACAGCCTCTGAAACACAACAAAGGAATTTATTCATTTTAATGTTCTTATAAAAATAGAAATTAAATTAGTCCCATAGAAATATGAACAAATTTTAAACAACCCCCCATGACACACATTGATCTATGTAACAAACCTGCACATCCTGCACATATAACCCTGAACTTCAAAGTTAAAAAAAAATGAACAAATTTTAAATTAGACATTTCAACCTGTGCTATTTAGACCTGTGCTATTTAGACAAACTTTACGAGATGCAAATGATAAAAAATAGGCTACCTTCTCTTTGAATCAACAGACAGTGCAAATACCAAGAAGGTAGAGGACAAGTCTGTTCATTTCTCTTCTCCACACTCCAAGCCCAGAACAGTGTTGAATGAATTTTAGAAGTATTTATTACATGAATGAATGAATATTCCACAAACACATCAATAGGTTTTTCAGGGAGGCAGAGATGAGATGAAGGAAGTTAAAAAATCTGAAGACCTTATCTCAATATTAAATATTCTCTCAGTTACTAAAGCCAATCTCTGGAACCTTGAACTAACATGCATTTGAGTGTGTGTGTGTGTATAAATGATATCAGTCAAGCTGATTGTGACCCAATCACAACTTCTCACCCTTATTTTACAGGCAGAGAACAGAGATTATTTATTATTGAATATATTGTTCTCTTTATAACATTTGTATATATAGGTTGAGTATGTCTTATCCGAAATAGCTAGGACCAAAAGTGTTTCAGAGTTTAAAAATTTTTTAATTTTAGATTATTTGCAAATGCATAATGAGATACCTTGGGGATAGGATCCGAGTCTAAACACAAAATTTATTTATGTTTTACATACATCTTATGCACAGAGCCTGTAGGTAATTTTATTCAATAGGCTTAATAATTTTGTGCATGAAACCGCGTTTGTAAACATTAAACCCTCAGAAACAAAGGTGTGACTATCTCAGCCACCCATGAGGCAATCTGTGGTTATTTGGCATGACCATCATTCCTGACTCTGAATTTGTATGCTACCTATAAGCCATCATTTTCTTATACTTATTCACACATAAGTACTTAACAGTTAAAAAATGACATACTATTAATACAATGATAAAAACAATGTGTTCAGGATAATGAAGCAGCCCAGTAGTATGACCAGAATACCTGTATCAGCTATCAAACAACAGCAACAACAAACAATGGCAGGCTTTCAGTCCCCACCTACAGTGCTGTGCTTTGATGAAAAGGTTGCTGTGCACTGTATTTTTTTTTTTTGTTTTTTTTTTTAGGTGAGAAGAAACATCAGAAGCAGTTGAGGGACCAGGAAGTGGGTCCTGCAGGGATGAGGAAGCATCCTCCCGGATGGCTTTTTTAAATGTTTCCTCCAGAGTCATCTGCCTCATTAACAATGGTTTTGTTTTAGAGAGCTCTTTGATTTTATCCGCTTACATCATTTATTTTTCTGTTACAAACGCACACTGCTCTAGTCCTTCAAAAAGACCACCACCACACATTTTCACATTTCACCATGCCATTTATAGACTCTTTTTCTACAGTTAACAATGTCATTTTCATTGTCACTGTTATCTCAATCACCTTGATTCAGAACCATTCCCTGGCTATTTCGCCATCTGTTAAGGAATTAACAACCGGAGCTTGATTATTGATGTTAAAAACTTCTTCAATATTGACTTCTGCCAGCTTACTGATGGACTTCGAAGGTACATTTTTTTTGCCTATTTAAGGAGGTCAGACAGTATTTCTTTCTCACTTGGCATATGAAATCCTTCTACATCGCCACCTTTTTCATCATCATCACTGAATACAGTTTCAGGCCAGATATTGTGCCAGGCATGCACAACTGTGTCTTTAGTCACTGTGTTCCCAGCATTTGCAACAGCATATACAGCACCCTTCATGCTAAACTTTTTTGAAAACCTTCCACATGCTCTCCTCTGTTCACTGCTACTAGCGTGCTGTTTGAGAAGGTGTTTTTATGTTTACTCTTCAAGGTATTTATATTTACTCTTCAAGGTATTCTTCTAAGAATATGTTGGTCACATTGTTGAATTAATACAGTCACATTTGGAGGAAAGTACATGGGATAAACGTTATTTTTGATGAGAATTTCAGCTGGAGGATGAGTGGAAAAGTTGTCGAGGAATAAGAAAATCTTGCAGTTGTCATCCAGTCCAGCTTCCTTGCAGTAAGCACAAGCCACTGGTATAAAATGCTTGTGAAACCCACCAGCAAAATGGTCTCTGATGATCCATACCTTTGGGTTAGCATAATAACGGGCTAGTAAGACATTCCCTCCTTGAGAACAGCAAGGGTGCAAAAGTCTGTCTATCACAGCCAGTTTACACTTATGAGTGCCTACTGCATTAACACATCTCAGCACAATTATTTTGTCCATGGCATCCTCAATTTCTATAAAGGCTGTCTCACCTGTTGTAATCAGTGTCTTTCTGCGGTAAAAAAGCCAAAAGCGTGATGTAGTCAGTGTCTTTCTGGGGTAATAAAGCCAAAAGCATGAAGTCTTATCAGCATTATATTTTCATTATATGTTCTGGTGTCATATTTTCATCATCAATGGCCTTGGCACACTCATCAATGAATTTCTCTGGTGTTTTATGATGAGCAGCTGCTATATACCTAATGTCCTTAAAATTTTCATGTCATGTCTTTTAAAAAAAATTCTGTGGCCAGTCTGTTGAATATTCACAGTCCCTTTCAATTTTCAGTTTATTGTGATAGATCTTTTCTTGTTTTACCATCAGTATGCAAGAAAGTGGATGTGTTCACTGCAACACTTAGGGTTTACTCTTTCAATACATGATTGAGATCTTCATTTTTAACTTTATGTAGTGTTTCTCTATCTTTCACTAACTTCTGTTCATCACTTTCAGAAGAACTTCAACGGTGTATCCTTCTGTTTCTTCAGGTTATATACAGGAGTCAGTCCAACACCATACTCTTCTGTAAGACATTTCACACTATACCATTGTCTAGTTTCTTCAACAGTGTGACCTTCTGTGCCATAGATCAACATAAGTTCTTCCTCTTTTTCTTATTCCTGTTAGCCATTGGGGTATGTACACACCTTTTTGACATTTTTAACAATATATTTACACCACAGAGCAGAGAATAAGCAAAAAGTACAGTGAGCAATGTCTGTAGGTCTTGGCCCCATGTGGGGCATGAAGAAGACCCTGCTGTTGGCTTACCCGGCCTGCACACGTGCCATTTTATTACCCTTTGTGGGTGTGCTTGCATGGAGGAATCTGGGCGTGTGGGAAACAGATCTATCACGGCTGATGCGGGCTGGGAGGGTGTTTTCTCCCTTGGAGATGCTGAATAAATTGTGTGTTGTGTGCCTGCATTTTAATATGACCCAGCACATGAGGTATAGTGTGAAATTTTTCACTTCTGGTATCATGTCAACACTCAAAAAGTTTCAGATTTTGGAGCATCTCAGATTTCAGATTTTTGGATGATTCAGATTTTGGATGAGAAATGCTCAACTTGTAATGCTGTAATATTGACCATCTTATAAAATAAACAAGCAAACAAAAAATTCTCCAGGCCCTAAGTATCCCCCACAGAACTTCTCCATTGCTGTTTTCCTTTCTAAAGAAACTCCTGCCTGCTCAAAATATACCTATATTCACTCTCTCCAGTTTCTCACCTCTCCTTCTTTATTCCACCAACTCCTGTTGGGTGCTCATCCCCACTCATTATGGAAACCATTCTTTTAAAGATCTCCATGGATGTTCTTCTGGCCAAAGCAACTGATCAATGTTCAATATTCATTTTAAATGATCTCTCTGCAGTGCTGAACACGGAAGATCATCCCCTTCTTCTTGGACACTTTGTGCTCCAAGGGTTCATAGTCCCTAATTTTACTTCTTCCTCAGTGGCCAAGGC
Organism: Homo sapiens; assembly: GCF_000001405.40. Taxonomy (NCBI): domain Eukaryota; kingdom Metazoa; phylum Chordata; class Mammalia; order Primates; family Hominidae; genus Homo; species Homo sapiens. The sequence goes on along the minus strand of NC_000007.14, from coordinate 19,317,874 downwards.
ATCGCAGGCTCCTTTGCTGGCTCCTTCTCATTAGAGTTGCCTGTGTAACATTCAAGTGGATATGCCCAGGTAGATAATCCAGTCCTCTGTCTCATTCACATGAGCTCACCACATTGGCTATTTTGCTCATCCTTGAACTGGCCAATTTCATTCTGGCCTAAGAACTTGTTTATTTGCTGTCCTCTCTGCTTAAACCATTGTTCTACCAAATAGCTACATGACTCATTCCTTTGCTTCATGCATATCTCTACTTAAATATCACTGTGGAGAGGCCTGATTTGATGTAGCCCTTTTCTTCATGGTCACTGCAAGGACCCTGTTTCATTTTCTTTATAGCATGTTATTAATAATGGCATGTCACATATTTATTCATCTCTTTGTTTATTGTCTCTCTACTAGAATATAAGACCTATGAAGTCAGAAACTCCATCTATTTCATTCACCACCACTGTGTTGGTATCAGAAACAATGTGTGGCATACTATGGAACTCCCTAAATGTTTGTTGAATGAATAAATAAAAAAGAATAGCATCACATTTAAGATGTGGTGTCAGTATATTCCATGTTTTGATATGCCACTAACCTACCTTGACATACATATTCAATATAAACATTTTGACATCTACAATCTACCTTGGAAATATTCTGAGCAAGGTACTGTGTATATGTATGTGGGTGTGCACACTTATAAGTGTGGAGGAGGGGATGTATTTCTACATTATATCCCTCAAGGAACTTACAGTTTATTTGTACACAATTTAATTACAACATGAGGCAATATATGGTAGATGTAACAGATGAATTTGTTTATTTGTTCATTTATTCAACAAATATTTGCTGATTATCTCCAAAGAGCCTACACTAAGAAAGGCAATAAAAAGTGGGAAGAAACAAAAAAGCAAAGAAGAGAAATGATAGGAAATAGGTGGCAGTATTTTAGATAGGTTAAGACTTATGCAAGCAGCAGGTTGAAATTAAAAGAGTTCATAATAGACATGACACAAAGGAGATTTTACTACATTAAAAATACAGTAAGGAGTAAAAATGAACTGAGTGACATTTCTAAACAAAAGCACCTGAAGAAGTATAGGTGGTGAAATACCCCATGTAAAGAAGCATTTGCTTCACTCACTCCGTAGAGAAGGATGATATTTTTGTTCAGACTACATAGTATGTAGCAAAGATGTAAACTGCAGAAAATTCATTTCAGGCATGAGGGGGAAAAAGCCAAACACCAGGGAAAATACATTCCAGACTACGACAAGCAGATCAAATCGCATAATTTTATGAAATAGTATGTGGAAGCATCCCACATATCTTTTTATCCTAGATTTTTTTTAGGACCAAACTAGTAAAGTTTTCATATAGAATTATTGTCTTGTTTTGAATCTGTAATGGTAGACATTACAGAATTGTCAAAAGAGGTTAACTTCAATTTTTGGCTATTTACATTCTTACGCATTTTAAGAATCACTCCACATGAATAACTGACTTTAACTTTGAAAAGCTTCTCACTTTGAGAAAAGTGTTAGGTATCTTAGAAAACCACAAAATTTATTTGTGACTGTATGAGAAATACAGTGCTCAGTATTTTTTTCACTGGGAATGTTTGTTTGTTTGTTTGAGTGCTAAATAAAGTTTCATAAAATGGTTGCCATATGGGTCTGGGATAATGTCTACTGCTTAATTCTTTCTGAATATTTTAGATCAATTATCAGTCTTTATAAATAAATATGCAGACAATTATCAAGACAAAAGTTTTTTTCAGAACTAACTAAAACATTTTAAAAATTTAAGGAAGCTGTTTATACTTTATTCAAATACATGGCCAAACACTGTCTCAGAGATTGTTCGACTGGGGCTTTGGTTCTTCTTAATTCACCTGAGCACTGATTTGTTTGCCTTCAGTGGCTATGAATGCCAGAATCCTAATATTATCTTAGAACACACTTTTGTAGTTAATATTCAATAACTATATAAAAAGAAGAGCAGCACCTGTCTGCAGTGGGGAAGGATTAGGAAGACCTGGACTTAACAGACACAGAAAGTGGGTTCAGAAGCAGAACGCCCATAAATTCACATTTTATTAGCCTGGTTCACATCCTGCTGGACTCCTCTTTCACTCCACAAGAGAAAATTCCTGTTTACATCTATAATCTCCTTGGGACCATGGAGGAGTATGAATTGTGCTCTATGGAAAGAACCAAAGTCATATTTGGGAATAATAAGCTTAATATGACCTGTGAGGGCTGTACATTTACTAATCTAAATTCCTCTTAAGAGATTTATCATCCTCAGTCCAATGAACTTCAACAGGAACCTCCTGTGATCATCAGTTACTTTAGTATTCTACAGTTAATAAACCAACAAAACTGATAGTGGAGTATGGCTTAAATTCTTATTTTAAAAATAAAGATAGACCAGCATGGCTAGAGCATGAAGTTATCTCTATTCTCTCAATGTAACTGGGTCTCTGAAACTTAGATATAGAGTGTTGTTAAAATATGTCTTTGTTAAATAAGCAAATACTTCTATTCATATGAATTCTATTTCGTAGGAGACTGAAATTAAACAACTTGGAAAAGTAATCTAATTAGAGGAAGCATAGAATGTAAAACTCAGTGTAAATGTCAAAATATTCTATCCAAGCTCTTATCAGAAATAAAGACTCTGTCTTACACTGAGTTATAAGAATATGTGGTCCTTAAAGATGTAGATGGTATAATTCAAATAAAATATTATAAACATATCATCCAACTTTATCTTTAGTTGTTTAAATTCTTGTTTCAGGTAAACTGTTTTCTTTGAGCCACCCTATACAGAAATGGAAAGCCCTGAGAACAGCAAACCACAGGGTGCTAGCGTAGGGGCAAGAATCTGAAGACAGTTTAAGGGATTTTCTGGGGCTGATTTTGCAACAGTTTTTAAAAAATGGTGAGCAGTCACCTTACAGGGTTAATTTACACTATTATGGTACATTTGTTATGACTTTTGTTATGACGCTGGGGGTTAGAGTTTTTACTTCTCCAATCTCTCCTAGCTCTTATTATACTTATTTCATTAATAACCACGTAGCCTGCCTTGTTCTCAAAAGTATTTGTAGTTGCTTATAAAAATTCACATAGTAAAATAAAACTTTTTAAATTAGGAAAATCAGGACACAGAGAAAATGAAGCTCATATTTTATGAAGATGCCAGAGAGTAAGAACTCGGAAATAAATGTGTATATTTCTGCAAAAGAATTTAAAATGGATCATAAATTCAGCTCTGACTCCCCTATCAGACAAAATAAATTGAGAAATATGATCAGTTATAAGTTATCATTGTGCGTAAGATAAAAAAATACCAGCTGTTCCAGAGAAACACACATTTTGCTACACTGAAGTCTACACAAAACTCTCCTACGGTTCATCACAGAAGGGACACTGAGGAAATTTTGGGGAGCGTCATCCTCTATAATAAACCTGCAATACACAGAGAGCTCCATAGAGTTGTTTCTCACTGTGGCTGCCCCACCTTATTCACCAACTTCATGCCAAAGCACAATTTAATGTACAGAATTCGAAAGGACTGCCAAAACCACACAATCTAAGCAGGCAGCTTTCTGATTGCCTAACTTTATTCAGGGATACATTTTTATGCTATTTAGCAGACTAGATGGATCAGGATGCATATACTTCAGGCTATTTTTTTAGTATTAATTTTCAAAAAACGAGCTTTAATAAGAGTTGGATCACCAAGGCTACATTCTATGGCAATACCCTAGAGTTTAGGCATTGCATACAGCTGATCCTGATTGACAATTTATCCAATCCAAACTTCCAAAATCGCCTCTGTCAGAACCTTACAGGATTCTAGTCTGAATCATTTCCCACTCTAACTCTACAAAAAAGGTTAGCAAGGCAATATCTTCATGTCGGGCCAAGATTATTTTAGAAAACAGTTCTGGCTGTGCTACAACATATACATTATAACATAATATACATGACACCAAAATTTAAGCTCCTCAAAAGTGGGGATCTTTGTCCATTTTCTTTACTGCTACTAGAAATAATGTCTGGCATATGGTTGATGTTCAACCAGAATTTAATTACTGAATGAATGAATGTACAATGAATGATATGAGTAAAAGTAGTCCAAATCATTACCCCACAAAATGGCAGTTCTTAGGATTTTCAAGAACAAGAACCCCTTTTGAAAGTAAAAAATCATAACAATAACTTTGCTAACCCCACATGTTTAGAATTATTCCTTTTTGACAAAATTGCTTAGGAAAATTATAAAGAACAAAGCTCCTAAAAATCAATGGTGATTAATAATTGGATTTATATCTTATTATTTATATGCATATATTTACATTTAATAAATGTAGGATGTAACAGCTTCATTGCATATAGATAATGCTTGATGTATATTTGGATTTACGGATGCATTATATTAACTTGGGTATCTCCCAAGGGTACATAATCCATAGGTTGGGAAACACTAGATAAAAGCTTTGTCTTTATTATGTTGACGTTGAAATTGGTCTCAAAGGATATTTCAAATTGCTCACCAAAGCTATAGAAAATGGTGTGGTTAAGTGCATGTTTTGTGAACTCTGCAGTCCTACATTTGAATCGTGGCTTCACTGTGTTCTAGCTAAATGGCCTTAAGAAATACACTTTACTTCTCTGAAGTATCTGAAAAGAACATAATTATACCCACATCAAGAAAGTATTGTGGCTGAGTGTGGTGGTTCATGCCTGTAATCCCAGCACTTTGGGAAGCCAAGGCGGGTGGATCACTTGAGGTCAGGAGCTCGAGACAAGCCTGGACAACATGGTGAAACCCCGTCTCTACTAAAAATACTAAAATTAGCCAGGCATGCTGGTGGGTGCCTGTTATTCCAGCTACCTTGGAGGCTGAGGCAGGAGAATCACTTGAACCCAGGAGGTGGAGGTTGCAGTGAGCCAAGATTGCACCACTGCACGCTCCAGCCTGGGTGACAGAGCAAGATCCTGTCTCAAAAAAAAAAAAAAAAAAAAAAAAAGGAAAGAAAGTATTGTAAGGACAAGTGAAACAATATGTGCAAAGGGTTTCACAAATAGTAAGAGCTCTGCAAAGTGCTCCCTTTTTTCCAATAGATACTAGATGGATAACGAAAATTAATTCATGAGAATACTCTTAGTTCCTTGCAATACATTCATTTCACTAGCACAAAGAGGCCTATAAACACTGCATTTGAAAGGATTACCTCATCTGCCAGGGACCTCCTGTTGCCCCTCACTCTTGCAATGTCATTATGATAGAGGTTCTAAACAAATTCAATATCTAGATTAGATACAGCTCTTGAAACTTATGCTATAAGCAGTGCCCTGAACTCAGGGGTGGAAAGCAAAGGAAGAATCAATAAAAGATCTCAATGTTCTTCTATGCTGCTGTCACATTTCTCCACAAATATTATATACTGAATGAGCTAATTTCATACCAGGCTAAAAGGGCAAATAGTAGCCCCGACAATTCCCTGGTAAACATTGACAATCAATATGATACTAATGAATGAATATTGCTTTAATATTTTTTTACTCAATATTTTGTTTTGGTTTATCCAAAAGAAAATCTCAATATTCAACGTGCCTTTAGTGTGTCTGTAACAGGGACTCAGGGATCCTTTCATCTCCTTTTCTCCCAGCAACAGACAATAGTCTCTTTATTGTAGTTATTACTGACATTAATGCAAATATTTCTGACAAGTGGAAAATCTTCTTGTAATTAAATTTCTGTTGTACTTTAATGTTTGTTCCCTAAAGAAAGTTCCTGTTAACAGATTTCAAGCTGTGATAATAATATTTTCTTCCTATGTTATCAAAAGTTGTAATCTGTTTTCTTTCCTGGACAGCACTCAAAGTAGCTTTAAGATTTTTTTTTTAAACTGGAAATGGTACTTTTTTTCAAAGTTTGCATGAATTGTTCTTAAATATCAACTTAGAGTTTCAACAGAGTGAAGGAGAGCACTGGGAAACCTAGTATAATAACTTGATTTAGAATATTAAGTCTCAGCAAAGGTCACAGTCTAGAAACTACGGAGTTTTTTAGAGGTGGATGGGGAAGTAGGAAAGAGATACATTAACGGAAGGGAATTTACATGTGCTTTTAGACTCATAGTCTTTGATAAATAAGTTACTACTTTTGAATATCATATAAATCAACTCTGAAATGCTTTCATTGATTTAACTCCTCATTTTCTTCAGCTTTTGACTAATTTACATATGAATAGTCCATCTTAGCATAAATATACAATGACTAATAATATTTATCACAATAAAATTTCAGCTTCGCCAGATAATTACCTTTGAGCCAACTATGTATACTACCAAATTTATTCATGAATAAGACTGAGTTCAACATAGCGAAAAGTCAGCTTTTTAAATTCTCTTATTTGATGTTATCATATACCTATTTTGAGCTTTTTTTTGGTGGGGGGGACCGAGTCTTGCTCTGTTGTGCAGGCTGGAGTGCAATGGTACGATCTCGGCTCACTGCAACTGCCTCCTGAGTTCAAGTGATTCTCCTGCCTCAGCCTCCTGAGTAGCTGGAATTACAGGCACCCGTCACCATGCCCACCTAATTTTTGAATTTTTAGTGGAGACGGGGGTCTCACCATGTTGATCAGGCTGATCTCGAACTCCTGACCTCAGGTGATCCACCTGCCTCAGGCTCCCAAAGTGCTGGAATTGCAGGCATGAACCACTGCACCCGGCCCTATTTCGAACTTTTTAAGATTACTTTTAACTTCTTTAAAAACTGGAGCCCCTCAAATAAAACAAATCCTTTTTAAAATGTTCCAATTAAATAACTGATTTTTTTAAAAAATAGGATTATAGTATATAAAACATTCATAGAAAAAAATCTGTCATCTCCTCTATATTAATCAGTACTTATAAAACCTAGATGTGATAATAAAAAGTGCTGCCGAAACAACGAAACCTACAGCAGCTTCATAAACTTTAGGCTTCATCTAGTGTCACTAAACAAGCCAAATACTCATTTCTCAGGATGTATCAAAGTGACAAGCGCTCACAGCCACAGGAATGGCAATGGGCACACTCTGGTCCCAAACAAAACTGGAGGGAACACGTAGTCATTAATTGAGTTGGAGTAAGGAGAGTCCCCAGAAACTGAAGTTTTTGTTTAACAAATGAAAAGAATGGCGTCGGGGAAATTAAGCGATGTAACCAAGGTGTCAGGGTGGTTCGACATTACACAAGAACAAGAATTTAAAGCTGTTGACTTCTGATCCAATAGTCTTTATCCCAGACTCCTCCTCAATAGAGATCTCATGCTAGAAAATTTTTATTCATAGATATTTTACAGCCTTGTGAATGGAGAATCCATATTGCCCAGATGGAAATCAAATTTTAGTTTTTAAAAAAATATATTGGAAATTCTTCCTTCTACTAGATCTGCAAAACTAAATCATGGCTCCTGCAGAGATAAGCTATCAACTGACTAAGGACGTCAGGAAAATGTATCTCTAGAACATTTCATGAAAGGAAGATGTATTGGTTATCACAAACCACTTACATAGCCAAGTAGTAGAATAGTTCAGACTTCTAGTTTTCATTAATAAAGTTATACAACTTGTTCTCATTTCAAAGATGAAGTGCCTATTTGTAATAGTTAAACAAATAAAAATAACCATGGAATAGACTCCGAGGTTTCACAGTCTTAAAATTGACCTGAGTTATTAATATTTTAGGCAACAGGTGTTTCCTTCAGTGAAAACAGAGCATTAGCAGCATTGGAGGTTCCTGATCAAGGTAAAAATGAGGCAGGAATTGGCACAGACTTTGTCATAAATATTTGACAAATTAATTTTGCTACCACTGTTATGAAATAATTGATTTTTCAAGAAAATATTTACAGGTACTCACCACTAAAATTTTGCTATGCTAGTACTAATTCTAGGCATTTGGTTATTCTCTTTTGAAAACAAAAATGTAAATTCCCCATCCACTAATGCCATCAGAGAGATGCTGAAGCATGCTAAAGATAGACTTCAGTGTGCACCAACCAGTTAATCACAGTCAGAAGTCCCAACTCCCAAGTTATCAAACTGAACAATGATCTAAACCCAAAGGCTTGTTTCTGGTGCCATATACTTCTTCCCTAGAACCCTAAAGGAATTATTACCAGGGCAAGGAGATCATACTCAGCAGTATTCAGCATCCTTCAGTCTGGTGAAGAACTCACTCTCAATGAAATCCTTTCTCCCTTACCTGTCCTGCACACACACACACACACACACACACACACACACACACCCTCATTGTTAGCCTTCAGCAAATTGGGAAATATGACAGACAACTGGTATTGAGGAATATCCAATGGCAGAAAATTAATCTCTCAGTGGCAGAACTAACCAAAATTGTAGGCCATAAGCACTATAGCTAATGCCAGTATACATGAAAATTATCTTGTTTTCTGAGAATTCTGTTTTACAAACATGTGGAGCTCAAGATTTTCAATTACAGTCCCACCATTTACAATGTACCTTCATTCTAGTTACTTGCTTTCAAACCTCTTTTTTAATATTAAAATGAGGATAAAAATAGTTTCCATCTTTATAAGGTTATTATATGAGCAAAAATGACATTCTGTGTGTGTGTGTATGTGTGTGTGTGTGTGTGTGTGTGTGTGTGTGTATGGCTTAGCCCAGTGCTCAATAAGTATTACCTATTCACATTGTATCCCTTTAAAAAAAATCCAACAATATTAAGATTATTGTATTTGAGAACACATTTACAGATCAGGACCCCCTACGCACACACACACACACACACACACACACACACACACACACACAAAATAAAAGCTTTGTGGCTATTGCCAACATACTTCTTAAAATGCATGTTCTTTATATGGTAGATGTTATTAGGAGTGCATAGTATTAAATATGCATGACATTAAATGTGTAGTTACATACACAAATCTGGTTACAAAGTGAATTTCCAAAAACATAAAATATAACTAAGAGTAAGAGTGTAAGGGAACATGAGAATATGAGAAGCAAGGTTAATACATGAAAAAAAAGGACAGCAATAAGTAATAGGAATTTACCCAGGCATAAATAAAAATATGCTTGGGAAAAGATATGGCACCATACTATGGGATTTCATAAAACAACTTATATTATTTCTCTCACCACTGTTAACTAGCATATTTATTAGGTGATGCAAAAGTAATTGCTGTCTTTACCATTAAAAGTAATGGCCAGGCCGGGCACAGTGGCTCATGCCTGTAACCCCAGCACTTCTGGAGGCCAGTGGATCATGAGGTCAGGAGACTGAGACCACCCTGACTCACATGGTGAAACCCCGTCTCTACTAAAAATACAAAAATTAGCCGGGCGTGGTGGCGGGCGCCCGTAGTCCCAGCTACTCAGAGGCTGAGGCAGGAGAATTGCTTGAACCCGGGAGGCGGAGGCTGCAGTGAGCAGAGATCATGCCACTGCACTCTAGCCTGGTCAACAGAGCCAAACTCCGTCTTAAAAAAAAAAAAAAAGTAATGGTCAAAACGGCTATTACTTTTGTACCAACCTATATGAAATCTAATATGAAAATGATTGTATAGTACTGTAGTATTTTGGTCACTGTATAGTGATAAGTTTCTTTAATTTTTATGTTATATGCATTTAATCAAAAAATTGATGTAGGCTTCTGACAGTTTTGTAAATCCTGATTTTTTTCTAGGTGAGCCACATTATATCGTGATTTTCAGAAAGCATTTTCTAAAAGAGCAACTTCTGAGAAGTGAATAATTTAAATCTCTATTTAAATTATTAAATCTCTATTAAATCTTAAATCTCTATTTAAGAAGTGAATAATTTAAATCTCTATTTAAATTATTAAATCTCTATTAAATCTTAAATCTCTATTCTTAAATTCTGTCTCTCTTCTTCTCTTTCTCTCCCTCCCCCTCCATCTCCCTCTCTCTGTTCTCCTTTTAAAACTGAGTCCTAAAATCTAGAGTTGACTGCTGATACATAAAGGTTGAAGGCGGTTACTAAAGTCTTAGGAAGCCTATTGGCTTTACGATATCAACCAATATAATGATGGAGGGTCCAATCGACCATATGATGACTCAGCATTAAACAGATCTTTTATTATAACATTGTATATTTTTTAAAAATTGAGCTAAAAAACATGAAAATTTTATATAGTGAGGGTTTCTATTAAAGACATAAAGGCTGAGGTAATGAAATAAAAAGATTCTTCCATGTCATTTTTGATCTAAATTCACGTGAAGAAATGTCAATATATGTGAATCACTTTAACCAAATTCTCTGTTACCTAACATAGAACATAACATTAGGTTGTTTAGGGAAAATTCATCTTTTCATCATGTACCTCCTTCTTTAATGCTTGTTTAGGCTTTGACCAATCAGGATAACTTAAGGACATCTTAAAATAGAGATACTGTCCCTTGATCTTTTACTGCCTAAATTCTCCTTCTATTTACTTATTTTGAGTGAAAGGTTTGGAGAAAAGGACTAATCATTGCTAATGAATTTGGTGCTGGTGAAAAATGCCAGATGGGCAGTCACGGGGACTGAAGTTCTTTTATTCAGAGGCTAAACCAGAACATTTCCCCCCGTTCTTTGCTTTCCGATGCAACCTAGAGTGCTGGGCTATCTGGCATTTCCAGACCTATACGATCTCTCCTTCATTAATCAGCATTTTCACATTTCATCAGGCATCATTTCTGATAGACATATTCTAGCTACATAGAAATGACCACTTCTCATTACTCGTTTCTTAGACAGCTTTTACAAAAATAGGAGATTCAAATTAGCAATATCCTTTGGGATATGTTATACAGTATTTTAGGAAGATGAACTTAGAAAAAGCGAAGTTATTCATATAATGATGTTTTGTCCTTTCAGGCATCTAATTGAGAAAAGATTTCTCCACACAAATCGATACTTTTGCATGTGTTAGGCCAAAGTACCCATGTTAGCACATTCCTGACTTAAAAAAAATCATATTAACTCATGATGGTGTTCTCAACTAGTATGCCAAGGACAAACTTCAATTAAAGTGAAACAGCAATGGAGATGCCATAATAAATTTTTTGATAATGATTATTTCTTCAGAATAACTAACATTTCAATTGTGCCTACAAAGTGCTAGTCACCAAAATTTTGAAAGACAATTTTTATTTTCAAAAAATCTAAGACTCCAAGGATTAGATGACTTAGGTGAGGTCACCCAGATGACAAAGAGAAAGGATCAGAATAAGCCCTAAATTTGTATGAACATTAACTCACTATGTCATAGTGTTTCCCTGTTGTCAAATCTCCATCTTCAGAACAGACCACTAGTCTCCCGTGCTCAGCTATTTCTGAGATATTTTCAATTTACTGCCACTATGTTCAAAATGGAATTTTAATATCCGCTCACTACCCAGCTCCCATTCTGTTATTTGTACCACTGTTACAAATGCCTTTTGGAGTCACATTTAATGTTTCTATCATTTACAGCCATACTATTCAGGTATTTAAGCTCCTATTTTTTCCTTCAAAATTCCTTTTGGTTTTCAACAATAACAGGACTTTTTAAAATATATATACTAAAACAAGAAAAAAATGAAAATTCAATACCTCTTTGAATACCATTATACATAGAAGAAATAAGTTCTGGTGTTCTATTATGTCGCTGGGTGACTACAGTTAATAATAATGTATATTTCAAAATAGCTAAAAGAGAGGATTTGGAATGTTCTCACCACAAGGAAATGATAAATGTTTGACGTGACTGATACTACATTTTTTTTCCAAGTCATTCTGCAAAACTTCATCCAGTTGATCTATAACAAAGCTTTTTAAGAATAGTTCTTACCTTAAAAACCTTCAGCAAGTTGTTCTAAGTCTAAAACACTGCTACGAAAATAAAGCTGTCTGTAATCTTGGCTTACTTTCTGTCTTCAGTATCACTTCTCCAAAATGAGCACATCACTCTGGCTAGCCATGACATAGTTTTCCTTCCATTCTTTGTTTATGTCTGACAAGCTGTTGCCACTTTTCCTTAAATAATACCTTTTTGTTGAGCATTCATTGAACATGCCAGCTCCTTTATAAACCCATCTCCAAGCCTCACTTTCTGCTTCCTTCATGTCTTGGATTGAAAGTATCTATTTAAATACTCGTTTACTTAACTCTACCTTAGAGTATTCTCTTTGTATTTTTTGTATGTTTTTCTTGAGAGCAAAACCAGGTCTTATTCGCCCTTCTCTTGGTTGTACAACAGCATCCAGGAAGTAGAAAAGGATGAATAAACTCTGGCTGATTGATTGATTGGGACTGATGCTGCCTTCTACAGCAGACGTTTATTTTAAAACATAAAGCTGTGACTTTTAAAATATTTTATAGGCCAGGCACGGTGGCTCACGCCTGTAATCCCAGCACTTTGGGAGGTTGAGGCGGGCGGTTCACGAGGTCAGGTGATCGAGACCATCCTGGCTAACACGGTGAAACCCCGTCTCTACTAAAAACACGAAAAATTAGCCAGGCGTCATGGTGGCCGGCGCCTGTAGTCCCAGCTACTCGGGAGGGTGAGGCAGGAGAATGGCGTGAACCCGGGAGGCAGAGCTTGCGGTGAGCCGAGATTGCTCCACTGCACTCCAGCCTGGGTGACAGAGCGAGACTCTGTCTCAAAAAAAAAAAATTTTTCTAAATTTTCTCTAAATTCAAATATTAGCATATTAGAAAAGTTTTAAAACAGCAAGGATTGGATAAAGGGTGAGTTCCTAATCCACATAGGTTAGGTTTTAGATGTGTGAACAGTTCAATAATTTACTATACGGACAACTAATTTCAAAAAATTATAATTATATTTTAATTCTATATCTTTAATAAAACAGAACCTCAGTAATTTAGCTCATGTTTGTGTGTTGCTTAAACAAAACCTGAAATCATATCATTTAGTTATCCCAAAGTCATAGATTCTTGGTAAACTTATGCTACTATTTGAAGTCATTGTTAAAAATACTCACTGCATCATAAAGGTAAGCTCTGTTTTCATATATTTAATTCTACTAAGGTTATTAAACTTGATGTTAGAAAATTTAAACATATATTGCCAAATATTAGCACTTCAGATATTTCTAGCAAAGTTTACAAAGCTAGAAGAAAAAACCCAGCAAATGAAAATACAAAAACATGAAAAATGAGCAAAACAACTGTATAATTTCACAAATGTTACAGAAAGCACCGACACTTTGTAGTTAATTATCTGATTCTCTATTCTGGATCACAGAAATTATAATGCAATAAAATATAAAGCAATAAAATAAAAGGGAGGAAATTTTCTAACATTTATTACAAGCAGATAGTTCAAATTTAATTCTATCGTTAATAAGTACATACCTTGGACAAGCTAACACCTCTGAATTTCCAGTTTCTTCATCTGAAAAATGGTGCAATAATTCTTATCTGTAATTATAATGAGAATTAAGTGTGACAATATATATGAAGTCTCTAGAACAGTAAGCAGATGCGTATGAGTCATTTACTTATTTTCTTTACCAGCTCCATGCAATTCTGAATGACGAATGACCTAGAACTGGCATCAACTTTTACTGCTCTGTCTTCCCTTTCAGATATTTTTTATTCACTTGCCTGATCTCATTGTTCAACTCTAGAAGCATGAATATCATTTCTAAGTGGGAAGAACATGGCCTCTGTTTCCAAGTTATCTATCAACTGCATACATTGACTTCCTTGCTTAATGTTTGGCTTCTTCGCCCACTCTGTCTGGGTTCCTGACCAGCTCTGGGTTCCTCAGGCCTCAGTGCTTACCTTTCCTGTTACCTCGAACTCTATGTATATGTATGGATGTTGTTTGTTTGTTTGTCTTCCCTTCAGTGTGATAATGCATCTGCCTACAGCCTCTGCTGAATCCCTTGGAACTAGAATCCAACTCGACTTTTATCCTTACAGTGCTATCAGTTTTTCTAATCGTCACAGCAACATACCACTTTTTTAAGTGATAAATGTCCCAGAAGCTGGGGCCTCATCATCCCCAGGACAGCTAAGTGAAGTCTATATCCAAGTGAGTGAAAAATGCTAGCGTCTAAGAAGCTCTATACAATCAATTCAATATAATTTAGAGCTTGTTTCTCTCTTATCTCCCATGGCATGGCTGTAGGGATTAACAGGAGAAATGAGAGTGATCAGAGTTTGTAGATATCCAGGAGCTTATCTCTTAGTGGAATCATCATTGTGATTTCTATCCTGCTTGAAAAATCCAGTCACTAACGTATTGGTAACATCGCTTTAATGGCTAGAAATAGGTAAAAGAATCCAAACCAGATCACAGTGAATATCAGATTCACCTAGGGAGATTGTATAAGATGCTTCTGCCTGGTCCCTACCCAAGCAATTAAATCAGAATCAGTTGGGATATGATGTCCTGAAAGAAGTCGAACACACACATTTGCTTCCTGGGACTTCTGTGCATGACCACCTCTCTGGCTTCTAACTGAGCAGGCTAGGGTTTCAGGTTTGTAGTATATTAATAGATTTAAAAGTTCCCGAGCAATACAATTGTATTTGCACATTTTCTCAGCTGGGAGGAAAATTTCATGGCAATGGCTGTGGCAGATACATGGAAAACACACAAAGTAAAACTTTACAAGTTTCATTGACTTTTATTTCCAGAAAACATGACCCAAGAAAATGCATTTTGGAAGATTAATTTTTATCTATAGTTTGTTGTCTTTGATGATAAAACCTTATCTGAGAATTGCTGTGAAACTTTTATGAGTTCCTCTGACCATTTTGAAACATCAGTAAAGTAGAAAATGAAACCACTTATTTACCAGAGTGATAAAGCATACAAGATTTACATGTAGTCTCTACACAGTTTTTCTTTAAACAATCTGGTTTCTTTAAGGCGCAATGTAAGGGGCTGATATCAGTTCATGTTGGTTGAGTTGTGTTTACCATGAGATTTAGTTTCTTTCTTAAGTACTTTAAACTTAGTAGGTTCAAGGATGCTCAGTGAGTCCAGACACTCAATAAATGCTGTTTGATGATGATAATGCTGAAGTTGCAACATGAGTGTTCTTGTATTCACTCACACTGAATGTCTTACTAAGGTTCAGACTGGCCTGGCGCGGTAGCTCATGCCTGTAATCCCAGGACTTTGGGAGGCTGAGGCAGGTGGATCACGAGGTCAGGAGATCAAGACCATCCTGGCCAACATGGTGAAACCCTGTCTCTACTAAAAGTACAAAAATTAGCCACGTATGGTGGTGCAAGCCTGTAGTACAGCTACTCGGGAGGCTGCGGCAGCAGAATTGCTTGAACCCGGGAGGTGGAGGCTGCAGTGAGCTGACATCTAGCCACTGCACTGCAGCCTGGGTGACAGAGCAAGACTCCATCTCAAAAAAATAAAAATAAATAAATAAATAAATAAATAAATAAAGTTCAGACTTTTTTCTTAAGGTTATACAATGTCATTGTTTCTTAAGGTTATATAATGTCAATGTATTAGTCCACTGCTTCCATGTCTTCATTTTCTTAGTGCAGAATCCAAAAACACAAGAAAGGAAATAATGGCTGTGTTTTCTTAAAACAAGCTGGGATCTTCTATCCATAAGACAGGTAAAACAGAAAAACTCCAACATGCTGTTTCGATGCTGTTATTTTTCTCTAGTACCTCCACCTTTTTTTTTTTTTTTTTTTTTTTTGCCTCCCTTCCCTGATCTTCCTAAATACTGCTCTTCAGGCAGTGTTCCCACAGGTAATGCTGTGAAGTAGGGGTTCAGGGTCAGGGGCCAGTGGGCTCGCTTTCATGTATGTAGCTCTAACTGTAACCCAATGCATCTCTTTCCCCTGAGCAAAGCATTTGTCTTCTCAGCATGAATTGCTACATGCAGAGCAGGATAGGATCCTGCAGACTGTTTGAGGATCAACATTTGGAGACTTAAGACTCACACAAGGTTTAATTGTATTACAGTTGATGAGAAAATAAATATTGAACCATTGCTAGCACCTCATCATGCTTTGAAAATTTAAAATTCCTGATTGGCCTAAGTATCAAGAAGTTGGTCTCTAACATCTGACTCGACTAGAGACTGCATGCTGAAAGAGTCATGCATAGCTAGTTGTTGTAGTGGCTTCTCTATAAAACAAAGAATAGCCAAAAACACTACGCAGACCCCTTCCAATCAAAGAGACTGAACTTTAAAAGCTAACTTTACTGACTGATTCTGAAGTTTTTATTTTCTTTGCCAGACAGGTTCAAAAAGAATGTCTGTTTTCATTTCATCAAGCTTAATCCATACATAACATCCTTTCCCACTATTTACTAGACTGCAGCTATCAAATGAAGATATGATGTCTGTGTTTGGGTTAGTTACTTTAAATTCTAATGACCATGATGTAATCACTGTAATCAAGAAAAGCTTGTCTGTCTTTAGATTTAGGTCCTTTGCCATTGGCCTGGCACACTTTTGAGCCTTTTCATTAAGCTAACCACAATTTTGCCTAATTTGTAATTATCTGAGCTTGCTTTACACAATCTGTGGTCCTAAATTAAAGCTTATTCCATTGTGTGTGTGTGTGTGTGTGTTTTGTGGTAATTGTTGTTCTGGCAAAACCGTTAACAAATATTTAGATAAGAAAGCTTTATCAGCAGTGTATTTTTTTACTCGACTTATGTGTTTGTGCATTTGAGTGTTTCCTTCTAATTATGCATTTTTTGGTAATTATATCTAAAGTGCAGATTCTTCTTTGCTCAAGCAAATGTTTAGAGAAACTTTAAAGTTTAAAAACATTGAAGTTGAAAAAAGATGAAAATTGCAATGAGTATACACGTGAATATAAAATGTTCTTTCAATCTTTATTTCTTTGTGTTTTTTAAACAATAAAGGTTTATATGAATAAAATAGAACCCATACACATATTCCTAATATGGGGAAAGTTAAACTATTGTAATGAAAACCCCACTATGTTCCCATTCTACACACCAGCTTTTAAGAATTACAGAATTGGCCGGGCGTGGTGGTTCACACCTGTGATCCCAGCACTTTGGGTGGCCGAGGCAGGTGGATCACCTGAAGTTGGGAGTTTGAGACCAGCCTGACCAACATGGAGAAATCCCATCTCTACTAAAAATACAAAATTAGCCAGGTATGGAGGCGCATACCTGTAATCCCAGCTACTCAGGAGGTTGAGGCCGGAGAGTTGCCTGAACCCGGGAGGCAGAGGTTGCAGTGAGCCGAGATCATCCATTCCACTCCAGCCTGGTCAACAAGGGTGAAACTCAATCTCAAAAAAAAGAAATTATTACAGAATTATCCTTTCGGTCGGTTGTTCACTAAAAAGGAGCCCTAAGAACCCCTCCACTCTTTTTACTAAGGAAAAATACTTGCTTATAAATTTGGAAAGCACAGATCATTAAATAAATTATTTTGGTAAAAATATCCCATTCTATCTGATAAAGTTTTGCTACTCAAGCACACTTAAATCCCATTTCATCAGAGATACCCTAGATAACATTAGCATTTAGCTACATTCCTGACATCCCTTAATGTATGAAAATCTACTGAATTTGAATGCCTGCGTATTTAATTTACACATCTGGGATAAATATTTTTCATCTTTTAGGTTGCAAGGTGAGTAGAACAAATGGGGAAAGGGAGAATGATTTAGTTGCTAAGTAGCAGACTGCCAAGGAACAGAGATTATTAAACCAAGGCCTGATAAGCTTTCAGTAGTGACCTGGGAAAGCTATGGAAAGGGAGGGAGCATTGTCGCCTCTCTCTGCCTCTTTTCTACTATTTTAAAGCTGGGAATAATGGTCTATTCAAATAGGAACGTGTATAATTTTTGCTATGCCATATGTAGGTATGACTGTGGAAGATTGTAAATCTTCCAGTTCCTAGTGATGCCTTACTCCTTTGCCTCAGCAATGGCAGAAGTATATAGATGGATGGTTAGCATTAACCCCACAGGATGCCATACAGCAAGGTTAATTAATTAACCTACATTAATTAATCACCGAGTTGGTTGAGATAAATGAATTGCCATATATATTCTAGTTCAATAATCTTTAGCTATACGCTATTTTATTTTGACCAACTAAAATAATTCATGAAAATCAATAAAAAGAAAGAGGCAGCAGCATTAATTCAGTTTAAGCAAAACTCCATTTAGACCTTATTTATTATATTAAATAATCATTTAAATGCCTGATGTCAATATGACCAATAGAGGAACTAATTTTAACATGATAATAATGACTGACTCCCAGGAATATTAGGGAAACAGCAATTTACTTAGGTGGGAATGCTGAAAATTGAAATAAAATCAATCAAATATGATTAATATAATAGGGTGTTTAGGTTAATTGGTGTGATGCATGTTTATTATAAAAAGTTGTTGCTGAATGCATGCCTGTTAACCTTTAACCCTAGAGCCTTATTTAACAGTTAACTTACTTACCAGCAGGATATCTTCAGGATTTCTCTGCTAGGTCTAAGCATGGAGAGGCAAGTCCTGACAGTGACAGAAATGAGAAAAAAACAATTTCTCTTGTTTCCTAGAACATATTTTTTCATGGCAATAAATTCTTCTGGGGAAATTCTAATATAGTGAGAAAAATACCGTGTTCTTACTTAGATGAACTAATAGAAAACAACTATAAATGTTTTCATAGTATTAAGTTTAAAATTGCAAAACTTTGAAGAACCACTGACCAAGAAATTGGAAGAAACATGAACTACAGATGCATGCTTTTAATCTTCATTAACTTGTAGTAAATGTGCATTATGTATTCTTTATGTGCATATGTATACATGAAATTGAGATGTACATTGTGTTCTTAGATTTTTAAAATTTAAATGCATATATTTTTAACATTGAGATTTTAGTGAGACCTTGAAATAAAGCTGCTCTTCCATGACAAAAACCAGGATTTAGAGTCTCTGCTTAAAGGAAATGCAGATGATGTGGGCAACTCATGAAGGTTTTCATGGTGCCATTGGTTATACTGCCTCATTACACCATTCTGTCACTCTCGTGATCTGTTATCCAATGCACTATATGTTTAATTTAATGTTTATGTGTTATATCCCCAAAATATTGTAATCTCCTCATGGGAACGGATTCCAGCAATGTCCAACACAATGGCTCCCACACAGTGGCATTTAAGAAAGTGTCTGTTGTCTTGCTTTGACTTAACTCTTTTATTTGGAAGGTTTGATTAGACTAAAAAGAGGCAGGGGGACCTCAAACATCATAAGGAAAGAAAATAATGCGATCAGGCAAACACAAATGAAGAGTTCTCTGCTGTGTTTGAAGAGTAGAGAACTTATAGAGAGAGACAGAGAGACGAAGCTAAAAATATAGGTTCAGTGGGCATTGTCAGGGGCTGGGTATAGGATTAAAGAAGAAATTTATCCTTTGGATATACAAGTCACATATCCAACGTCAAAGAATGCCAGGGAGTTAGAGGTATAGGTGAAGCATGCCTGGTAGAGGCAATAATAGGAACAGTGGCAAAGTGAAACACTATCACTCAGAGGAAATGGACAGCCAATACTCAGCTCTAGCAATCAGTGATGTTTAGAAATGCAGGCACAGTGACGCCAGACCTCCAGATACCATCAACAGTAACCAGAAATCCATGATTTTGTAAAATATTCTAATTCTTTTTTGTGAAATTTGTTGGTATGAATCTTTTTGTCATATTTTTATGGCATTAAGTTTGAACATTTTTATTGTAAATTGACAATTTATAATTGTATATATTTATGGGGTACAAAGTGATGTTATGATTTATGAATACAATGTGTAATCATTGAATCTAGCTAATTAATATATGCACCAACCCAAATATTTAACATCTTTTGTGGTGAGAACATTTGAAATTTATTCTCTTAGCAATTCTGCAATGTGCAGTACATTTTTCTTAACTTTAATTTTAGGTTCAGGGTACATATGCAGGTTTGTTATGTAGGTAAACTTTTGTCACAAGGGTTTGTTGTGCAGATTATGTCATGACCCAGGTACTAAGCTTAGTACCCAATAGTTATTTTTTCTGCCCCTCTCCCTCCTCCCACTCTCTACCCTCAGGTAGGCCCCGGTGTCTGTTGTTTACCCCTTTGTGTCTATGTGTTCCCATCATGTAGCTCCCATTTATAAGTGAGAACATGCAGTATTTGGTTTTCTGTTCCTGCATTAGTTTGCTAAGGATAATGGCCTCCAGTTCTATCCAAGTTCTTTCAAAGGGCATGATCCATTCTTTTTATTGCTGCATAGTATTCTGTGGAGTACATGTACCACATTTTCTTTATTTAGTCTACCATTAATGAACATTTAGGTTGAAATCCATGTCTTGGCTATTGTGAATAGTGCTGCAATGATTATCTTTATTTTTAAAAACACTGCTTGGGTCAAGTAAAACATATGTACAGCATGTTGTGACCGGTAGAGCATTAGTTTATGACTTCTAGCATTGGCAAAGAACTAAGAAATAATTTTGATTTTTTTAAGCATAAGGAGTAAAGGTTTTACTGCCACTTTCTGAGTATAATAAAAGTTTTGATATGACATCACATGACACAGGTGTAGTGATGCTTCTCAATAGACAACCAGAAATTTTAATAATGAGTCCAGAGCTTTGCTGAAAGTATAGATGGGTCAATGTACTCAAACATGCTAAAAAAAATGTAGCTCTTCTTTTAAACTTATAAATAAGCTAATTTTCTTCTTGAGCCATCACCTACTGGTTAGTGGAGGGAAAAATTAAAACTTTAACTTTATCCAGTTTAAAACTCAGCCTGGTACACTTATGCAAATAGTCTCTTTAGGTAATACTGCTTCTTATCTGACAATCCCTATCCCAATTCTTATTTTAAACAGACCTCCACATGTTTACTGGCTGTATCCATTTGTTTCTAGCATAATGATCCCCATCCACCTAATTCCTGGGCACCTGCTGGCATCTATCTCTAAACTGTTTCTAAACTCCACAGCTGATTAGCTCATTGCCCATTGCTTGGGTGAAGGGGATTCCCCTGGCACATCCACCATCTGTCCTTTGCTGACTTTCCCCACAGTTATCACAGGTTTCATAGCCAAGTCTCTGCTGGGTCTCCATCGGTCCCCAAGCCTGATGGCCCACTGCAATCTTGGCCATGGCTCACCAACCCCCAACGCCTGCACCCCACAGGCCCCCTGGATCTCATCTCAGCAACCAAACACAGGAGGTGAAGGAGGCTGATGTGTGCCAGCCCGACCTATCCTCTGTAACTATGCTGCTCTGTCCTGTTGGCTAGACCAAACAAACTGCCCTATATTGGAACCCCCTCCCTCCTTGTTTCTTACAGATGGGGAGTTAGCAGATGCCAACCCGTTCTCAATGTCCTACCCTAATTATATAACATACCTCGTGGGCAGATGAATTAGAGACACACCATGAATTAGAGACACATGAATTAAAGACACACATCTGACTACTTTTCTCTCTTCCTTTCCCTCTTTCTCCAATGCTTCTCATGTTTTCCTGAGGCTAGAGAGAGGAAGTTGCCTTTTACTTTCTATATGTCCTGTTTTCTACCATGAAAGTGCCTCACTGGGGGAAGCAGAGGGGACATTCTATCCACACAGAGGCCTAACTCTGTGTATGGCTCCTTCAGGCTGGATCTTTGATATCTTAATGTGAGTGAAAGAAATTTGGACAATTCTTTCCCTTCCCCTAAACCTGGCTTTCAAGTTTATTGTCTTCTGTGCAAACATAGCTAAATATTAAGTCTCTCTCTCTTCAGAAACATGTCCAATGTATTAATCTATACAACACTACCCAACCCCAAATCCCATCCCCAGAGGCAGGGAAATGCTCAAGTCCAATAAGCAGGAAAGTCATGTAGTCAGAAATGCAAAAGAGAAAAACATATCAAAACCCTCAAAATATTACTTGCGTTACTTAAATTTTATAGAGAGTTATAATAATGAAAATTAAATAAAGCTACAACTCCCTTCATCCCAAACTTACTTAAATCTTTTTGCAAATTTTGCTTCTCCAGTTGCATTCCAAGGCAACTTCTAAACATTCAAGGCTTCTACATTGCAGGTCTGATATAAATATGCCATGAACTTTTTTGATACTGGGAACATGGGTTCTGAGGCTTTTGGACATATTGAACGATTTATCTTTTCATTCTAACTAATTTTTACTCTCTGAATCTAGAAAGCCCTCAAAACACAAAATGATTTAATACAAATGATGTAATGCTGTGTATATATTTTAGGCTTTTCCTTGCCAAATTTCCATTTAAAAAAAAAAGAAAAGAAAGAAAAAAATTATTCTCCGAAGACACTGCGCACGACGAAAGCTATTTATATCCTTCCACTCCTCCATTGCACAAAATGAAAACCTCTTTTTAAAAGCTTGTCAACAAATGCTTCAGTATAGTAAAATACAGTAAAGCATCCTTTTTTAGTGTGTCACAATTAATAACAATGACTAAATATATTGCCTCCATAAAAAACAAATATTCTCTGATCATGTAAACAGAATCAACATTTAAACCCCAGGGTTTTTATGTTACTTCAGGAATACAACAGCAAACTAAAATTATGTGTTAATGGATTTGAAGTTAATGTACTGCTTTCAAGTCTATTCATCTACAGATTTTGATTAGGTGGAGAAATTAGTATATAATCTGTACTAATTTAAGGATGTAGATTTTTCTGCACAGCATTATGAGAAATTAATTTTATTTTTATAGGCAAAAAGAAAACATGTACAATTTCTATTAATATCTATCTCTCAAATTTTAACAAACTGCCATCGAAATGAAAACTGTGAAGAATTGTAACTATTGAATGAACATAAAAATAGAAAATAGCAATGTTTAAGACACGCGCTGTTCTTATTTTAGAAGATGACTACACAAAGCCAGCCTAAAGAGAGGGATAAGATTTCACATTTTATTGGCGTTTAGGGAAACTTTATACCCTGTCTCTGGAAAATCAGAAAGGGAAGTGGTTATAAGGAATCCACATAATAATGTATGGGAAAGCCAACTAGAATTTACAAGGGAGGGGACTCTGCTGGTGAATCAAAGAGCTGCCAAATCACATATTGCACAATTTATTAATCGTGGGCTGTTCCACCAGCCAGCAGTTTCGCCATTTTCTCCTCATTTATGACTCTATTCCCACTAACCCACTAAATTATTTTTGGTGCAAAATATGTGTCATGAGTGAAAACACAACACAGGACAAAATTAGAAGAAAGTAAACATTTGGCAGCTTTCAAAAGCTTTTTTCAAAAGCAGGTGGAATGGGTCCAGATTGTACATTGTCTACAAGTGGAGCATTAGATTTTGGCCAGGGAATATTATTTGTTGTTAAATGCTACATAATTCTCAGTTTGGTTTTTAAGAAACAAGGACTCAGCATGGTTTTGAAGTCCAATTACTGTGGATCTGTTGGTGCTAAGAAATGCTATGTGCCCTTGACCCTGCTCCAGTTTCCCAGCTGCGACTCCAAGCCAGGGAATTTTACAGATGACTACTGACAGAAAAGATTTTTCTAAGAGTTCACTTGAAGACTCTCTTTACTCACTTTGAAAATGTCCAAACATCACATGTTACCACTGCTATGTTCTACATGTGTATAAATTTTCTCATTAAAAAATATTAAGCTATCTTTGTAATCCCTTTCTTTGATCTTTGTATGTAGCCAATATTTTAAAACATTGCATTTCTATGTACCCTAGATTCTCTAAGGCAGGATCAAATCAGACAAGAGGTTTGGCTCAGTACTTCTCACCCTGCTTTCCTTTCTACCTTCTATCAAAAGCTAAGAAACTGTCGACTATGATAATTTGGGCTCAGCGGATGTAAAATTGTGGTGAGGAAAATCCTCTCTAACAATCTATGTATACCACTTACTTAAAATGAAGGGCAATGGATCACAGAAACATCATCTCCCTTTCAGGTCATATCAAATGCCTTTTGTCCCATGTCAGGCCTGCATGTCACTGGACTTTTTAGCCTCAATTAACCTCACCAAAGAGGGCTACAGGACGAGTACGTTCATCTATGAATATCTTTTTAAACATTTTAGATTAACACTCTCTGCTTAAGGAAATCATACAGAGAGGCCATGCAGACAAAGGAATGTGTAGACACAAAGGAATCTGCTCCTCACTGCTGTTTGGCAATTTTCAGTGCATCTCTTGTCTATTACACTCCTGATAGCAGATGTTACTGATCCCTCCAGTTCCCTCTCCATACCCCTTCATTCCCAGAAGGGAAATGTCACTTGTTAATTTACTACTTGGGCTGAGCCCAATGAAATGCACTTCTTCAAATCCCTTCTCTAGCCTTCTTCCATCTTTACCCAACTCCTTTTTCGCCAGTGCTCCTGTGGAGCTGCATCAGCTTGCCATAGCAGATATCCTCATCTCCGCTTTAGCTCTCATCCAGGGATCTTGCTCCATCATTACCATTTTTTTTTTCCTTTGTCACTGTCTGCTCCCTTGCTGACCATTGCCTTTTATTGACAAATAAAAGCAAGCCTTCCTTATACACAACACCTCTACTTATCCGCTTTCCAATCTCTCAAGAAGACCTAAGATTCACAGAATCTTAGACTTCCAGAATATTAAAGCTGGAAAATAACTTGTGGAACTTTATTTAAACTAAACCATTTTGTAAAATAAAGGAAAAATCCCATGTCCCTTTGTAGTCTTTCCTCTATGCCCATAATTTTGAAAAATCTATTCGTCCAAAGGTAAGAAATGACTTTTTTTTTTTTTTTTTTTTTTTTGAGACAGCATCTCACTCTGTTACCCAGGCTGGAGTTCAGTGGCATGATCATGGCTCACTGCAGCCTCAACTACTCAGGTTCAGGCGATTCTTCTACCACAGCCTTCTGACTAAGCTGCAACTACAAGCACCCACCACCATATCCAGTGAATTTTTTTCGATTTTTTGTAAACACAGGGTCTTACCATGCTGCCCAAGCTAGTCTTAAATGACTTAAATTGTTCTTAGTGTTTATCTTTCCTGGCTTTGCTATTTTTGGTAGTTGTTTCTTCTCAGATAAATTACTTCTTCCCAGTTACCTGGACCCATAAAGTTGTTCCAACACATAGTCATCGGGGATGATCCCAGG
Source organism: Homo sapiens (assembly GCF_000001405.40). Taxonomy (NCBI): domain Eukaryota; kingdom Metazoa; phylum Chordata; class Mammalia; order Primates; family Hominidae; genus Homo; species Homo sapiens. The sequence continues at coordinate 19,292,694 of NC_000007.14, read as the reverse complement.
CCCACATAGCTGTCATCAAACTTCCCAGAAAGTGCCTGACCCAAATTCTTAGAACCGTCCTTGGCTCCTTCCTTCCTTTCATCTTTAATTTGAAAAATTTGAAAATAATATGAAATCACATCCATTCTATTCCTTCTTTTCTGCTGTCCTTTATAGCTTCCATTTTCTCTTTATTGATCATTATAATAGGGTTCTAAACAGGGTCCTCACAAGCATTTTCTGTCCTCCTCAGTTCACCTCATATATTTGTATCTCATTAATTTTCTTCAAGTGAAACTCTGATATGATCATTTTACCCTTAAAACCATATTTAGGCTTATAGCTCCAACCCCCAAGGAGGTTGCCAACTAAGTAAACTACAATTCCTAGCATTCAACATTCTTCCGAACCTGTTCCCAATTTTTATTACAGATTATTATTCACTAGTCTCCTTTTTGAACCTCAAATTGTAGTCAGAATGAAGGACTGGAATAGCTATAAATGTATTCCACACACCCTGCCTCTATACCATGCTGCTTTCTGTTATATCTTTCTCTAGCCTCTGTTTCTTCCTTCCTTCCTTCCTTCCTTCACCACCATTTCTGCTAACCAAAGCACTCATGATCCAGCATGGCAAACCTCAAGGAATATCTCACTCATGCTGCCCATCCTGATCACACAAACAGAAGAGAGTTTTCTCTTTGGTAAATCACAGCACTCTTTGTTCCTGTTTGATGTCACCTAGAAATCTGAAAGATACTTGGGTGTTTGCATTATTCCTTTCCAGAGAGAAAAATTGCTGAGGCTCAGAGCTGTTTGATTTTGAATTTTTCAGAACTCTTAGTATAACGCCTTGTGTTTCTGTGCTCAACTATATGTTTAGCTGTTATCCTATAGGTTCTAGGAAATTCAACAGGTCCAAGACTAAACTCCTTCCTCACACTCTCATATGATCCCTCATTAAACCTTTTTTCACAGAATTCTCTAGACCAGGCTAATGGTTTTACCAGTGACTCAGTAATCAAATCTGGAAATCTGGAAATCTTAAATTTCTCACCTTTCAGCATAATTCTTATTGATCATTCACATTTGTAAACAAGTCTTGTTATTCTCATCTAAAGTCCTTATAAATTTCTCACTTTTTTCCATCAACACAGTCTCTGTCTGAGATCAATCCTCAACATTTCTTACTTGGATTATTGTCATAGTCTGGTGGCCACATTTGACTTCTTTGTTACCTATCCTCCAGGCTGCTATTAGGATGATTTCTCTAAACAGCAAAACAGACCATTTAATCCATCTTTTTTAAATTTTCCCAGACTTCTTATAACCTACAAAGAAACACCTTAACACTGTGTATGGTTTGCAAAGCTCTTCACCATCTGGCTTCTGCCTCCTTTCCAGCTTTCTTTTATACTACCAGTTTACATATATCATGCAAACATAAAAAAACCTTGGAATGCCATTATCCCTTGTTGCTTAAGTAAATCCTGCTCATTCTTCAAGGCTCAACTCAGTCCACTTACTAGTATGTATCATAAAGCATTAGGAGTCCTTTCTCTGTCAAATCACATAATAACTATAAGTTTACTTGTCTGTGTTCACCAAAAGAATGAGAACCCCTGCAAAACTGGAAGATTGCCAAATTTTGATTCATTTCATAGAGCCTAATAAAATGTCTGGAATATAATACACTATTTGTAGAATTTTGTAAGTATGAATTAATTAATTCTAAGCATACACTTATTCAGTTCTGATTCATATTAAACTACATTTATAAAACCCCTTTTGTAAGTTCAGAAACTAATAACTAAATAACACATTTTTAGGCATGCATATTTGAGTTAAAAGGAAATTACAAACACAAATGTCAAGATAATTCTGTGAGAGGTACAATAGAGGAGCAAAACCAGGCAAATATTAGTTACCGTTCATCTAGTTCTTTGTCCAGGTGGTAAGTTCACTAATGTTCATTCTATGGCTAGTTAATTACGTTTTTTAAAATATGGCCATTCATGGGTGAACAATGATAGCATATCATGAATCAAGATGTGGGATTAATCTAATTATCTGGGGAGTTGGGAAATCATATTGGGCATCAGATTTATTTCGTTCTAATTGACAAAACTACTGAACTCATCATTTTATTAGATTAATAATAATCTTACTTTTCTAAAAAGTGATGTTTTATAGGTCCATGTACCTTTTTACTACATTCGTTTTGATCTGAAAACAATTAGAAAAATATGATAGAACGGATAAACCACTACAGGTCTGAACATAACCAAATATATCTACTCTAATATTCACATGTATCTATTTTGTGATGTAGGCTCCACAAAATAGATATCTTCCCTAAGGAAAAAGCAACTGCACTGGAAAGAATAACCACAATTGAGTATTCTCCTGGATACCCTGAAGATATACAGGCACTCAGTCATGAGGAATTTACTGAGCAACCACCATATTTCAGGATACTGGATGCTGAGGACACAGAGATAAATAAAATATTGTTTCTGCCAACAAAGAGCCTACAGAGGCAGGAGGCTCCTCTTTGTATCACATTTATACCTTGGAAAATTGACTTAGCAACTTGAGAGACTGCAATTCAGAAATAACTGTCTCTTTAATCTAGTTCAAAGAAAATTCTTAAAAAATTTGTGAAATGTTTCTTTATATCAGTTTAATATAATGTATTATTTATACTCAGAAGATAAAATGTGTTTTTTTCATTTTCTACCACAGAATTCAATACTTTATAAACTATAATTATAGACAAATTTCTCAGAAAATGAAAAGTAATTGTAATAATAGCAGTTAGATAGTTACATTACTTTTTAAAGCCTTATTGTTCAACAGTTTATAAGGGGGCAATATGTAATTTTATTTTAAATGAAGTAATAAATTTGGTTCACTTTATAATGATTTTGCAATTGTCTAATATGAAACTAAAATAGTAAGTTCCGACTTCTTACTTCTTTTCAGAATTTTATAATAAAGATTTATAGACCTTCTTTTTGAGACATGTACACTATTCATTCACTGATTATTGATTATATTTTCTATAAGAAACAAAAAGTTATGCAAAATTTCCATTAAATAACAGTGGAAAGAACACATGCACTTTTAGAAAGCAAATTCAATTCACATTTTCTTATGGTAAGTAAGAAAACTGATGGATGCTGTGACAAAGTAGAAAGGTGATAGATTTAAAATGGTCTGATTCTTTTTACTTTCATTTCAGTAGTATTTAACATATATTTTACAATTACCATGTGATTATCATGTGACATGCTTTAGAAGGGGAAATCCATGTTTAATGGATGAAAAACTACTGTATGTATAACATTACTCTTAGAAGTGCCATGTGTAGTCTAAGTTATCTAAGTCATCAAAACTTTATAGAAGAAATGAAAATTTAAACAAGGAAAGAAAGGAGTGATAGGCTTGCTGTAAGGATAAGCTTTGTGATTTTAGTGATTTATCATAATGGAAAGGTAGTGAGCAAAGCAGAGGAAAATGAAAGCTTTAGCAGAAAGTACTTAGCATAAAACTTCAAAGAGGCTTTCCATAATGTCTGTGATCCTGGTTATAAAGAGAAAATAAAAGAAAATATCTGTCCACTTAAATGTAAAACAAATGGTCAATTATATGGCATAAGTATCTTTTGTCCAGGCAGGAGGATCAAACCTTAGAAAAGAAAGAAGGTAACTATTCCTTCTTTAGGACGCAAAACAAACTAGATTGCATGGTTACATTTTATAGTGTTAGCTACAGAATTTTAAGCTTCATTATTCTAGATTTTCTACACGATCAGTTTTACAAACTGAACAGGCCATATCTATACACATCCTTATTTACATTCATATATTTGTTTCTATTCCCAACCATAGTACATCACTAATTATTAAAACATTGGAAGGTAAGAAAGGATAGTTTTGCTTTTCTTCAACATATTAATGGGTTTATAGCCACAAAAAGTGACTTGTAATGATTTATGAGAAGTTGAATATTATTTTAAATGTGAAATGCTAATTTTATGCTTATTTTTTCAAAGCATGTTATCTCTAGTAAACTCTTTTGATCATCTCAACAATGCAGTGATGGTGCTTTGTTACAGCACAAAAAAAAACACAAAGACAAAATCATCAAATGACTAATAGGAATCCAAATGTGTCCAACCTCTTCAATCATATTTTCTGACACGAATTCTAAATCATTTCCTAGAAATTATCTATGCTGGTTTACACAGTCTTTGAATCATTAGGCCCAAAAGCCTATGATTACTATGGAAGCCTAGTTCTAGACACATCCTGTTGCCTTCAAAGAATACATTTTGAAAGTACCAAATAGCTCAAATAGCTTCTCTCATTACTATTAGGGAAAATTCAGATGACCATGAAGACTTTCATTGCTTATTTGGGGGCTATGTATTAGCAGGTCACATCTATATTCTATATATCTCCATGTACCATTTCAGGTCAACCTTTTAGTATTTGGGTTCTCCCTCATCCTAGTATCAAATGATCACACAATTGTAAAATTACAGATTGTGTATACTGGTTACTAAAAGATGAAAGGCAAAATAGACCAAAAGTCACGATGCCTAAAATTTACTTTGAAACTCTTTGGTATAAGCAATCTGACATATTGTGCATATATATAACATATTAAACCAACACCCTAGTACCTATTAAAAAAGCATATGTGAGCAGTGGTCAGCTGGCATGTTAATCACGAATGCACAGTCCTGATGCAATCTAGCTGCAGTATGCTATCAGAAAGGGTTATACTTGAGCAGTGACTAACAGAGCTCTTCTGAAATTTTTGTCTTTGATCAATAACCAATATTTTGCTAATAGGTTACTGGATACCTAAAATGGGTTTTTGTTGGTGAAACTAGTTATATACCTTGCTAACTTGAGTAATGAAATGGGTTTTTTTCTTGATGAGATTAGAGGTCATCAAGACATGGATTGCTTAAATTAACTTTACAACTTTATTACTCAAGTAAAGTTGAGGTCCAAGGTCCAACAGCATCAGCATCACCTGGGAGTTTGTCAGAAATGTAAAATCCCAGGCTCCATTTTGGCCTTACTGTATCAGAATCCCCATTTTAACAAAATCCCCAGGTGATTCACATACACTAGTTAAAAAGCATTCTAACTCTAGCAAGACCTGTGACTTATAGCCTTAATGCTTGAGGCTTAACCTTAAGGGGTCTATCCAATCATATCTTTGAATGCTGTTGGTCAAAAGGTGACCTAATGCTAGGACTGGGCATGGTAGTCCATATCTGTAATCTTAGGAACTCTAGAGCTGAGGTGGAAGGATTGCTTGAAGCCAGGAGTTCAAGGCCACAGTGTGCTATGATCTGGCCTGTGAATAGCCACTCCAATCCAGCTGGGCAACATGTGAGACCCCATTTCTAAATCTGAAAAAAAAAATTAAAAAAAGGCATAATGTTGCTCTGGAATTTTGCATTTGCTTTGAATAAACCTTTTATTCAAAGTGCTGATGTGAACACATAACAGGGCAAAGAGTTTCGATTCATTGAACTTTGCTGTAAGTTGATTGTATATCTAAGACAGTATCAATTTAAGCCTATTGTCTCAGTGTAATTATGCCCTATTTAACTCTCAAAGGTTTCTGGGTTTAGACAATAAACTATATGATCAGTCTATGGACAAGTCATATGCATTTTTACTTTCATATGTTTATTTGTTGAAAATAGACCCCCACATTGACAGTTTTTACAGAGATGAGATGGGAAATTTTTCTTTTGGGAGCCTCTGGCATCTATGATGTCTCAAGGTTACCAGCTTATTCTGCCATCCTGATATGTCATCCAATATTTAAAAAAATATTATATAATAATGAAATTGGTATTGATAATTGATGGAAGAAATCAAATATATTTTCAAACCTATAATCTGTGGCCCATCATCTCTAAGTCTTAGCTTCTCTACACGATTATCTTGTAATTTAATAAAGAAGAGGATAGAAGATGCTCCAGTTCTAAAAATCAAAGTATTGTTGATGCAGAAGTGAATCAAAACTAAATTTTAAAGTGCCTTGATTCAAAAACTTAATCCAAAAAATATGTTAATTTAAAAAATCAAAATAACTCGCTTTTTATCCAGTCACATCTATGGTAGTATTTAATCAATCATCAAAATCAAACATATTTTAGCCAATATTAAATCTTAATCAACATTTTGAATCCCTATCACAATTTTTTTTGCAATTAATAGTTACATTGATGGAATTTTAATGCTTCCTAAATGCCAAAAATTCAACTATATTATCTACACCAAAATGTGTTAGTAGCAATATGATTCAAGGTCATCATTTAGTTCTAAGTTACTGTTTTCTGAAAGTAAATAAAAAGATTTAGAGCTCTCATTTGAATAGATAGTAGATCTGTGGTACAGTTTTGGCAATGATGTGTTTTCTTAGTACATCATTGTTACCATAATGGCTAAGGATCCTATGAACATAACATTTGTGGTAAGTAGATTACAATTGAAAATGAAAAGATGCATTTTCAAGATCATAAATAAAGCTAAATACCCTCTTATTCAAGGGCAGGAATATCTAAAACCTGACCAATTGTACAAGGATCCCAATTAACTAAGACATTTCTTACTAGTGTGCAGAACAACGTGTGATTACCCTACAATTATGGAAGCAGATTGCTGTGGATTTACTATCTCAGAAAATGCCCCTTTTATTTTCAATTGGTTTTAATTATTCTTATATCAAATGTGGCAGATCAACTTAAATATTAAGAAATAACCCAGAAATGTATTTATCAGATAAATTTGCCAAGAAAAAATGATAAATTGATTAAAATATTGTATCAATAGATCTCAAATCTTTGTTAAAAAGATCATATTTTCTGAGAATGCTGATAATCAACAAGGAAAGCCCACAATGTACCCAGTTACAATGTTGCAACTGAATGAAATGCAAAAAAACATTGATTTCTCATTTTAATTCATGGCATACTCATCACTGAATGGTTCTGTGTTAGTTTCTACTGGAAATTTATAAAGCACTGCTTTCAGATTTTTGACAGGGTACTGATACATGTTTGTAATTGATGAAATATGGACATGAAATATCATAAAAGAAATCCATCTAGGAAATTCAGCATTCATACTAAAACCTAGAGAAAAAGGAACACGGACAATGAAGAATTAAAAAACTTATAATGAACAAACCACATTTCTTTGCTTTCCCAGCAATTAATACAGAGTGCAAGAGTGCAAGAGTCTACAAAATGAATTACAATTTAATTCTCAGCACTCTCAATATAACTGGCATGTTCAGTGTATTAAAGCTTAAGTGCTAGTATTGCCTTCCAACCCCCAAATATTTAAGTGTAAATTATTTTACCTTTCAATTTAGCAAAATGAAACGAATGGACATCAACAACTCATACTTGGTATGCACAGGAAATAGATGCCATAGAAAATGCAATAAATCAAGTGTTAGGACATGTCACTGAAGTCTCACCTCTATTTGATTATTCTTATTCTATTCTTAAATAGTGAGAGTCCAGTATTTAACCGTGTTTATATCCCAGCTCAAATATTTACTGGTCATGTGACTTGGGTAAGTTACTCCCCCTCCTTTTGCATCAGATTGCTCATCTGTAATAAGGGTATAATTTTTAAGTGTGTTTTAAATATATAACATATTAATTCATTTAAAGGGATTTAAAGCAATGCTTGGCAAAAAGAACTACTGAATAAATACTATGAGTGGTTCTTTCACTCTGTAATGTAATTTGTTCTACAAAGATTTTAAGACAAAAAACTTTACAAGTTCTGGACTGTGTCTCCTTACCCTTAAATTCTCACTTAAGTTGGTCAATTTCCCTTAAACTTCTAAGAATGTGCACATTCCTTTAAACTTCTAAAAAGACATGAATAACAAGGTAGTCATCTCCAAAGATTATATCTTACTCAATACTGCATTGCTGAGGTATTCATAAAGTGTTTTATCTAAACTCGTATTTTCCAAAAAGAATTATATGTACCTACAAGGAAATTCCAAGAGAATGTATAAAGTCACAGAATAACTGCAACAAATCTATGTAAAACTTTAATTATAGAAAAATATTTGGAATATATTTTCTAAAAAAACCCAATTGATTAAATGATTTAAACACACACTGCTATGAAGTAGAAAGTGTCACTATATATATTTTTTAAAGCATGATAGGCTACTTCCATAGAACAATTTGAGGCTTATTGCTCAAAACTATTGAAAAGAGTGGCTATTTTAACATTTATATCTCTGTGATTTGTGCTAGTAAACATAGGCCATGGGTACTACCACTGACGTGGCTGTTGACTTGATTTCAGTCAACTCTGCCACTAAAGGCTAAGAAATTTCAGCTGTCATTCTTGACAAACTACTTCTTTTATTGAGAGGTTCTTCTCTAGGGTTGTCCTTATGCTAGCTGAGACATATCAATTTTAACATAACTTAAGACTCAAACTCACAGAATTGTTTTGTAAAGCAGTCTAAAAGTCACATATATCAGTTTTATTTTTGTGATGAAATTACTACTAAAACCATGTACTTTGGAAAGCTCACAGTGGTTTGAACCAAGAGAAAAACATTGCTTTTGTCACCACACTAAAAGCAAAAGTACCTTTAAAAAAAACTTCAAAACAAAAAGTCATATATTAAGTTTATCTTAGAAACTAGTCATGAGCTGTCTGGCAATGTGAAATTCCGAACTAAGACAGATGAACTCTTTCCTACTTCAATACATTAAAATTTTGTATAAAAATAATCATATTAAAATTAAAAAAATACATACTAGATTTTAAAAGAAAGGGAAATACCAGGTTCTACAATTATGGAGATAGATAAATCAAACTTAGAGTGGTAAGAAGTAGGAGCACACGAGAATTTCAACACACTTGGACATTCACGGGTCTGATGGGAAATTCTGTTTTTACGTGTATATGGCAGATGAGAAACATGACCACACCATTCCAAGGAGAGCATCTTTAATGAAGCCTGAAAGCGTATTTTCTCCTTGAAAAGAGAACACAATTGTTGACTCTGGTCTATGGAAGGATCATAAAAAACAAAATAAAGGAAAACAAAAAACAGAAAACCAAAAATTTTAAGAAGTCAAGTATGAGTATGAAGTCTGAATTTACACTGTTTTATTTTAATTTTATTATTCTTATATAGTTGTTTTTTCTTGTATTGGCTTTGGTTAAAATCCCTTTTATCTTAAATTGTTAAGTCTATATATTCCTAAAATACTGTTAACATAATTTTATATTTTACTATACATTTTACTTCACATCATGTTATTCCCCATCAGAAAAATGTATGAGTAAACACAGAAGAAAGGAGTGCTATGCAATGGTGAACAAAGCAATTGTGAAAACATTAGCAACACTAAATAATTATTTGCTAAAAATGAAAAAAACAATAATAGTAACTAATTTGGATGATTTAAATATAAAAGGTTAACTAATATGCTTGACAAAAATAGGAAAATAAGATGGAGGAAATCAAAATTAAGGCATTCTTGAATTATTTTATTGTCCCAGGGAAGAATAAAAAGGGTAATTAAGTTTAGACTTGTTAATTCCAATACAAATGCTTAACTCTCATACCAGTAGAGAGAAATAAAAGTAAGAAGGAATTATAAGGGATAGGCAAATAGCATCTACAAAGTAAAGTGGTTGAAATTATTCCAAATACATCAGTAATTATAAGCATAAAGAAATAAATCCTACCCATTAAAAGATACAGTTTCAGCCTAGATGTATAAAAGAAAGAAAATCTATGTGTACGCTGTTAAAAAAAAAGTCTCAACATTTAATAGCAAACACACATACACAGTGTAGGACAAGAAAATCAAATAAAATTATAGAAAATTAAAAGAATTGAACTAAACTGCTATTTATTGCACACAGTGTGATTTTATGAATAAATGATGTGTAGACATCTAAAGAAAAATTATGACAAACAATAAGAAAGTTCATCAAGTTTTCTGAATTAAAGGTTAACATATAAAAATAAGCTGCACTCTTATACAGGAGAAACAAGTAATTTGAAAAAGATAATTTAAAAACATTTGAAATTCATAAAAAGTTTGCTGTGAGATTTCTCTATGAGGAAAGTAATAAATGAAAGGTTTTTTTTAAGTATTAAATAACTGCAGTATTATACCATGTCCATTGTGGAGAAATTTTGTATATAAAAGACCTCAATTTTCCTTAAATTAATCCTCAAATAGGATGAATTTCAATTGTAACAACAAAAGGGTGTGGGAGGTGATATGCAACCTAATAAGCTTATATTTAAATGTATATGGAACCATGACAGGAAAAAAAACAACCAAAAAAAAAAGCATGAAGAAAAAGTAAAAGGAGTTATTTGCTTTACGTTTATAAGTTTATTAAACCTTGTTATAAAGCTAACGTATAGTTGTCCCTCCTTATGTGTAGGTTCACTTTCTATGGTTTCAGTTACCCATGGTCAACCATGGTCTACAAATACTAAATGGAAATTTCAAAAATAAACATTCATACATTTTAAATTGCATGCCATTCTGAGTAGCATGATGACATCTTACACTGCCCCACTCTGTCCCACCTGGGGCCATGAATAATTCCTATCACGAGTGTTTCTATGCTGTATTTGTTACTTGTCTGTTAGCAATAAACATTGTTTGTCTCTGACACCCAATCATCTACATTTTCAAGGCTCTAAGATCCAAGATCTCATGAAGCAGATGAACCTTCTTCTGACATGTCATCAGAAGGTCAATCATAGCCCAATACTACATCACAAAGGCTAGGTGTAGTACAGTACAATGTTTTGAAACAGAGAGAGAGAGAGAGAAAGAGATCACATTCACATAACTTTTATTACAGCATCTTGTTATAATTGTTCTATTTTGTTATTAGTTACTGTTAATCTCTTACTGTACATAATTTATAAATTGAACTTTATCATAAATATGTATATATGTACGGGAAAAACCATAGTGTATATAGTAGATATAGGGTTCGGTAGTTAGTATACACGGCTTAAAGCATCCACTGGGAGTCTTGGAATTTGTCCCCTGTAGATAAAGGGGCACTATCATCAATGAAAAGGCCTGGTAATAATTCATGTTTTAAGAAAATTGATCAGAACAGAGAATTCAGAAAGGTACTTATTCAAACATAAGAACTTATTATATCACAGAGATATTAATAGCATTATAAATCAACAAAGAAAAGCATCTATATTCAACAAATAAAGATCAGAAAATTGGCTACCCATAGGGAAAATAGTTAGATGCTTTCCACATATCTTCCACAAAATAAACTCCAGTTGATTTAAATACAAATCGAAATATTAAAAATAGAGCATTAAACTTTTTTTAAAAAAGAAGATATATTTATGATAGCCATATAAGTATTATTATCACCATTTTCCAAATAAGGCCCAGAGAGGTAAATAAAGCTACATAAGGATTTAGGACTTACATGTAGCCAGGACTTGATTCGAACTCCATATGTTTTAATAATCATTTTATTTTCTCTATTTGACTCAATAAAATGAAACTCTTCAATATATCACAAACTTATTTTTAACACAAGCAAGAAACTGAGAGTAGATTGTCAAGCTCTAACATGCAAATGATTACTGAAATTTCATAAAGAAATCTCACAAATCAATAAGAAAAATATTTCTGTAAAGGATCTTTGATATATCAGTAATCAGAGATATGCAGATTAAATCTACAATGATACACCCTTGTATGTCCAGTGAATTGACAAAAACTTTTAAATATGGCAATACCAAACATTTTTAGGGTGTGAAGAAACATTCTTATAGGCTGCTGGTAGGAATAAAATTGAAGCATCTCTTCTGAAGAGTAATTTTTCATCTAGTAATATTCCAAGTCCAACTATTTATAGTATTAAAGAACTTAGGGAAACTTCTTACACAAGGAGATATATACAAGGCTTATTATCAGATTGCTAATAATATCAAAGACTTTTAAAAGTTAAAAGTCCACCAGTATAAGAAGAGTAATGTCAACAAGATGGTGGGACAGTAAGTCCCCATCCTTAGGCTCTGCATAAAAACACTGATAAAATAACAATAACTGGGCCAAATATCTTTATGAGAGCTCCAGAATCCAATTAAGAAGTTGACACAACTCAGACAAGCACAAAACCAAGAAAAATCTTTTTGAAATGAGTAAAAAGAGTAGTTTCACTTTACCTGTGCCAACCTCTCCTCAAGCTAGCACAGCTCAGTGCTGAGAGAGATCCACTTGGCCGACAATTTCTCCTTCTGGAAAAAGAGTGAGTGAAGTATGCATTCAACATCCCCAGTCTTTGGGGGGCACTGCCCAAAGACCTATTTCTGTCTTACCTTACTGAGAGTACTCTGGCAACTGGCACAGTTAGAACACTTGGAAGCAGCTAGGAAAAAAGAATAAGGTCAGAGGCTCTCAGCAGCCTGCACAACTCAGCATAACTGAGAAGAGTATACAATTCTGAGATCTATCCTTTTGGAAAGAGGAAGAAAGTGAAGTTAGCACCCAACATTCTGGCATTCGGCCGCATTGCTCTAGGTAAAACAGATGGGTAATTCTCAGCATACAGCACAGTTCTGCAGGATAGGGAGAAAGCATAAAACCCAGAACTTTTTCTTTCGGAGGAAGGGAAAGGAATCGAATTTGCCACAAATGCTTCAGCATTTCAGTGCACTACCTTAGAGAAAGGGGCAGAAGGTTTACCATGGTCCACACAGCTATGTAAGGTTGTGACCTTACATAGAAAGAGAAAAATCTTGAAACTTCTTCCCCAGGAAAGAGGAAGAGAAATAGAGTGTGCATCTTATGTCCAATCCTTTTGCTGTTCTGCTCTACGGGGGAAAAAAGGATGAACTGCAGAGACCACTACAGTCCCATGAGATAAAGAGAGGTTATACACCCTTAAAATCCTCCCCCAAGAGGGAGAGAAAGAAGTTGAGCATGCACTTCCATAGAAGACGTTTGAGAGGCTCTTGGAATCTCTACTCAGGCTGGTTGGTGAAGGTCTTTCTCTGCCTATACCATTCCGTAAAGACTGGAAGAGGTGGCTACATCTTCAAATGCACAGACATCAATGCAAAGCTACAAGGAACATGAAGAATCTGGGAAAAAGGACAATACCAAAAATAAATAAATCACTAGTAACCAACCCTTAATAAATTGAGATCTATGAAACACCTGACAAAATATTTGAAATTATAATCTGAAAGAAACTCAGTGAGCTACAAGAGAACACAGACAACTAAACAGATAGTCCAGAAAACAATAAATGAATAAAAATAGAATTTCAGCAAAGAGATAGAACCAAACAGATATTCTGGAGCTAAAGAACACAACAATTAAATTGGAAATTTTAATAGAAAACTTTGCAAGTAGACAAGATCCGGCAGAGAAAAAAAATTAATAAACTCGAAGACAGATCATTTGAAATTACCTAGTAGGAAAAGCAAATAATAATAATAATAATAATGAAAAAAGTGAACAATACATATGAGACTTATGATAAATAATCAAGTATCCCAATATACACATCATGAGAATTACAGGAAAGGGGAGAATAAAGAGCAAGACTGCTTATTTAAAGATATAACAGCTGGAAAATTTTCAAATCCAAGAAAGAAAATGAACATACAAATTGATGATGTCCAAGGGATCCAACATAGAATGAACCCTCAGAAGTCTACATAAAAACACATAATTTAAAAGCAGCAAGAGAAAAACAACTCATGACATGCCAGGGAGCTTCCATAAGACTATAAGCAGATTTCTCAGCAGAAACCTTGCAAGTCAGAAGGAATACAATGATATATTCAAAGTGCTGAAATAAAAAAAAAAAAAACTTTTAACCAAGAATATCATACCCAGCAAAACTTAGCTTTGAAAATGTGAGATAAAGACTTTTCCACACAAACAAAAGCTGAAGGAGTACAACAGCACTCAACCTGCTTTATAAGAAATGCTTAAGACAGTTCCTCATATTAAAATGAAAGCTGTTAAACAGCAACATGAAAATATACAAACATATAAAACTAACAGGTAAATGAAAATGTGTAAACAAATATAGACTACTATAATAATGTAAGAATAGTGGGTAAATCACTTTTGATTTTAGTTAAAACAAGAAAAATATTTAAAAATATAGCTAGAAGATTTGTTAATGGATTCACAGCATAAAAAGATGTAAATTGTGATGCCAATAATATAACGTATGAGGGGATAGAAAGTAAATATGCGGAGTTACTGTATGTAATAAAAGGTAAGTTGCTATCAGCTTAAAACAGAATGTTATGTTTTATGTAAGCTGAATGTTAACCACAAAAAATATATGAGAAGCTACATAAAAGAAAAAGAGAAAGAAATAAAAGAACATCACTATGAAAAAAATCAACAAAAGAAAAACAGCAAGAAAGGAAAAAAGGACCAAAATAACTATGAAACAGCCAAAAAAAAAAAGAACAAAATGGCAAAGGTGGGTTCTTCCCTGTCAATAATGACTTTAAATGTAAAATGTAAACAGGAGTAAACATTTAACCTCCTCAATCAAAAGACATAGAGTGGCTGAATGAATAAACAAAATTCAGCTATATTCTGAAAGCAAAGTGAAGAAAAAATATATTCCATGAAAATGATAAACTAAAGGGTAGAAATGGCTATATTTATTTTAGAAAAATAGACATTAAATAAAAAACTGTCATGAGGGTTAAAGAGGGACATCATATGATAATAAATTCATCAGGAAGATATAGCAATTATAAATATATATGCGACCAACATCAGAACACCTAAGTATATAAAGCAAATATTAATAGAACTGAAGGGAATAATAGAAAGCAGTATAATATTAGTAGGGGACTTCAAAACCCCACTTTCAACAAGGAATAAAATATCCAAACAGAGAATCAGTAAGGAAACACATGACTTGAAACAAACTGTAGACTAAATACGCCTATCAGATACATACAAAACATTCCACCCAGCAACAGCAACATATACATTCTTTTCAACTGCACATAAAACTTTCTCCAGAAATGATCACATGAGAAATGATCACATATTAGGCCATAAAACAAATATTAAAATATTTACAAAGATTGAAATCACATCAAATGTCTCTTCTAACCACAAGTGTATGAAACTAAAAATAATAAAAGGAAAATCAGAAAATTTACAAATATTTGGAAATTAAACAACACACTCCTAAACAACCAGTGGACCAAAGATGAAACAAAGGGAAATCAGAAAATATCGTGGGACAAATGCAAATAAAAACACAGTATACCAAAACTTATAAGATGCAGCAACAGCAGTACTAAGAAGGAAGTTTATAATTATAAATACTTACATTAAAAATGAAGAGCCTTCTCAAATAAGCATTCTAACATTAACTTCAAGGGACTAAAGAAAGAACAGACTATGTCCCAAGTTAGTAGAAGAAAGGAAATGATGATGATTAGAGAAGGAATAAATAAAATGGACGCTAGGAAAACAATAGAAAAAAAATCAACTAAACCAAAATTGTTTTTTCAAAAGATAAACAAAATTGACAAAGCTTTAGCTGGAATAACTAAGAAAAAGGAAACAAGATCCAAATTAATAAATTAATTAATAAACAGGATCCAAATAAAATTAGAATTGAATTTATAAATAAATTAATAAACAAGATCCAAATAAAATCAGAATAGAAGGAGACTCTACAAGTGATGCCACATAAATACAAAGTATCATAAGAGACTACCATAAACAATTACACCAACATGATAAAAATGTTCAACAAACTATGTGAAGAAGGATGTACCTTAACATAATGAAGTCCCTATATGACAAACCCACAGCTAACATCATACATTAGTCACCCCTTATTTGCAGTTTTACTTCCTACAGTTTCAGTAGAAAGTTTCAGTAGAGTGTGGCCAACGACAGTCCAAAATATTAAATGGAAAATTCCAGAAATAAATAATGAATAAGTTTCCAATTGTGTGCCATTCTTAGTATGATGAAATATCTTGCTGTCCTATTCCATCCCAGCCAGGATGTGAACCATCCCTTTTTCCAGCACATCCTTATTGAACATATACTAACCACCCATTAGTCACTTAGTAGCTGTATCAGTTATCCAATTGACTGTTATGGTATTACAGTGTTGGTGTTCAGGTAACCCTTATTTTACTTAATAAGGTCCCAAAACATAAGAGTACTGTGTCTAGTTTAGAAATTAAACTTTATCATAGTTATATATTTATAGAAAAATACATAGTATACATGAGACTTAGTACTATCTATTGTTTCTTACATCTACTGGGGGTTTTGAAATATATTCTCCAGGATAAGAGAAAGATAATGCACTCAACTATGAAAAATTGAAAGCTTTACCTCTAATATCAGGAGGAAGACTAGGATTCTTACTCTTGCCACTTCTATTCTGCATTATACTGGAAGTCTTAGCAAAACAATTAGACAAAGAAAAGAAATAAAAGAATCTAAATCAGAAATAAAAAGCAAAAGTATCCCTGAGGACATGATCCTATGTGTAGGAAACCTTAAAGACCATACCCCCACACACACATAGTATTAGATCTAATAAATAAATTCAGCAAACTTGTAGAACACATAATCAACATACAAAATTCAGTTGTGCTTATATAGACTGAAAACAAGCCATTCAAAAAGAAAATTATTAAAACAACTACATTTACAATTGCATCAGAAAAGTAATAGACTCAAGATTAATCAAGGAGATAAAAGATTTGTACACTGAAAAAAACGAAATTTGTAACAAATGAAATTAAAGTGGATGTAAATAAATGGAAAGACATCCCATGTTCATGGATTGGAAGACTTAATATTATTAAATGGTCCACATTATCCAAAGGAATCTACAGATTCATTCTTATCTCGCCAAAATCTCAGTGGCAAGATTTTGAGTGGTTTTTTACAGAAACATAAAAAGTCCTAAAATTTGTGTATAACCACAAACTAAAAAATCCAGATAGCTAAAGAGATTTTGAGCCAGAACAAAGCTGAAGATATCAAATTCCTTAATTTCAATTATGCCACAATTATTCAGTAAAACCTGAAGTATGGGTGCAGCATAAAGACAAACATATACACCAATAGAACAGAATAAAGAGCTAAAATAATAAATCCACACATATTTGTCTTTGACAAGGACTTCCCGAATACAGATGGGAAAAAGATAATCTCATCAATAAATTATGCTGGAAAAACTGGATATCCAAAAGAAAACTGACAGCAAAGTAAATAAAATTGAATCCCTAATTTACCTTATACATAGAAAAACTCAAAATAGATTAAAGAATTAAATGTAAGACCTGAAACTGTAAAACTCCTAGAAAAAAAACACAGTGAAGAGGTGGACACTGATTTTTGCAATGACTTCTTGGATGTAACACCAAAAGCACAGGCAGCAAAAGCAAAAATAGAGAAGTGAAACTACATCAAACTAAAAATTTTCTGCCCAGCAAAGGAATCAACTAAAAAAGGCAACCTACTCAATGGAAAAGAAAATACTTTCAAACCATATACCTGATAAAAGGTTAATTTTCAAAATATGTAAGAAACTCCTATAATTCAATAGCAAAAAAATTAAAATAAAAAACCCAATTAAAAATGGGCCAAGTATTTGAATATACATTTTTTCAAAGAAGACATACAAATGTCCTAAAGGTGTATAAAACATGCTCAACTCATTAATTATCAGAAAAATGCAAATTGAAATTATAATGAGATATCACCTCATATCTGTTAAGATGGGTATTATTAAAAAATGAAAACAAATATTGGCAAGAATGTGTATTTATTGGAACCCTTCTACACTCTTCGTAAGAATGTAAAATAGTTCTGTACCTATGAAAAACAGTGTAGTGATTGCTCAAAAACTTGAAAACAGAACTACTAGATGATCCAGCAACCTCATTTCTACATATATATTTAAAAGAATTGAAAAGAGGATATTGAAGAGATACCTGCATTCTCATTGTCATGGCAGCATTAATCACAATAGCCAAGACACAGAAGCAACCCAAGAATTCATAGACCAATGAATGGATTAAAAATGTGCTATATATTAATACATACCATGGAATATTATATAAACTTAGAGAAGAAGAAAATCCTGCCTTTTGCAACAACATGGATGATCCTGAAATTTGGAACTCTAAGTGAAATAAGCACGTCACAGAAGGAATTATACTATATTATTCCTCTTGTGTGAGGTATCTATAATAGCCAAACTCTTAGAAGCAGAAAATACAATAACAGTTTATGAGGGCTAGCAGATGGGCATGGAGAGTTGTTTAATGGGTATAAAAGTTTCATTTATGCTAGATGAGTAAGTTCTAAAGATCTGCTGTATAACATACTGCTTATAGTTAACAATATGGTAGTATACACTACAGAATTTTGTAAGAGGGTAGATTTCATGTTAAGTACTCTTACAATAAAACGTATAATGGTATTTGTATATGCCCAAATTCATCAACTTGTAGACATTAAATATGTTTAGTCCATTGTATATCAGTTATACCTCAAAAAAGCTGTTTAAAAATGTCTGTCAATACAAGAAAATATTAAATATTTGGTTACTTCATACAATGCAATGTTATATAACAGCAAAAGTAAATGCAAAATTTGACAGCATAAAGAACATAAAGGTTCAGAAAATTTGCAGCTTGATAATGCGTAGAAAAGAAAAACCCATTTTCTGAGGAGGAATTCAAGTTGCCTGCATAAATTTGCATAAGTAATGAGAAGCCAAATGTTAATTGCCAAGACAATGAGGAAAATGTCTCCAGGGCATGTCAGAGACCTTTGCAGCAGCCCCACCCATCACAGGCCTGGAAGCCTAGGAGGAAAAATGGTTCACTGGCAAGGGCCCAGGGCCCTCCTGCTGTGTGCAGCCTAGGGACTTGGTGCCCTGCATCCCAGCTGCTCCATCAATGGCTAAAAGGGGCCAAGGTATAGCTCTGGCCATGGCTTCAGAGGGTGCAAGCCCCATGCCTTGACAGCTTCCATGTGGTGTTGAGCCTGCAGGTGGATAGAAGTCAAGAATTGAGGTTTGAGAACCTCCACCTAGATTTCAGAGGATGTATGAAAATGCCTGCTTGTTCAAGCAGAAGTTTTCTGCAGGAGCAGGGGCCTCATGGAGAACTTCTGTTAGGTCAGTATGGAAGGGAAATGTGGGGTTGGAGCCCCCCCAGCAGAGTCCCCACTGGGGCGCACTTCCTAATGGAGCTGTGAAAAGAGAGCCACCATTCTCCAGACACCTTAATGGTAGATCCACTGACAGCTTGAACTATGCACCTAGAAAAGCTGCAGATACTCAATGCCAGCCCATGAAAGCAGCTTGGAGGGGGGCTGTACCCTGCAAAGCCACAGGGGTGGAGCTGCCCGAGACAATGGGAGCCCACCTCTTGCAGTGTGACCAAGGATCTGTGAGACCTGTGTAAAAACAAAGAGTGTTTGAATGCCAGCAGGCTGGAGGAGGTGTTCAAACACCAACAGAACCTCTACCTTAGCCAGTATCCCGGCTCTTGACACCATTGCAAGAAAGAATTCAAGGATGAGTTACAAAATAGTGAAAGTATGGAGATTTATTGCAAAGTAAGAAGTATACCTTACTCAGGAAAGGGAAGACTGGGCATACTCAAGAGAAAGTCCTAAAATGGAGTTTGGAGCTTCTACCTTTATGAGTTTTTTTAACCAAAGGGTAGAATATTCATGTAGACTCCTGGGAACTGTGGTGCCACCCATTTTTACACCAAATGTTGGTGTTTCTGGAACTGTCATTTTGCTGGTGGGTATGTCATTTCATTTTAGTTATAGTTTAAGTTTTTGAGACAGAGTTTTGCTCTGTCATCCAGGCTGGAGTGCAGTGGTGTGACCATGGCTCACTGCAAACTTCATCTCCCAGGTTCAAGTGATTCTCCTACCTCAGCCTCCCAAGTAGCTGGGATTACAGGGATGCGCCACCACACCAAGCTAATTTTTGTACTTTTAGTAGAGACGGGATTTCACCATGTTGGCCAGACTGGTCGCAAACTCCTGACCTCAAGTGATCCACCTGCCTCAGCCTCCCAAAGGGCTGGGATTACAGGCATGAGCCACCGCGCCCGGCCAGTTGTGTTATTTGGTATGTTAATGAGCATATAATGAAGTACTAGGTGAAACCTAGGTCAAATCCAGTAACATGTTGGGTCCAGTTAGTCTCAGCCAGCTTGTTCTCCATTCTGGTTATTCAGATTCTTATCAGCCTGTGGCTTCTTCAGCTATTACAACAGTTTTCTTTTGCTAGTCATGTAAAACAGTTGCCTGAAATTTTCTATTCTCCTGTGACCATTTACTGTCTCTTTTTCTGTTATTACTTCTGGAATAATATAAAAGCATTAATTTTTATAGTATGTATCTCAATATTATTTAGACATTGGGTTCACATCCTTTTGAGAGGAAAAATAAGAATAAGCCAGTTAGTAATTAAGGAATAGTTTAGCTAATTAAATTGGTAAGAGAATGAGGATACCAAAAGATAAAATTACATATTTGAGCTAATGCCACTAACTTTGACCAGTATCTTGAAAAGTGGTTCTCTAAGAAATACATACAGCTTTTCTTGCTTTTTTATTCAATTTGGCAGTCTTCGTCTTTCAAATGGAGTTATTAGAACATTAGCATTTAGTGTAGTTCTGGAAATGATTAGGATCTTACAACTGATTTTCCATTTATCCCAATTGTTGCTTTTGTTTCCCTCTTTTTCTGTTCTTTTTGCAATTAACTGAAATTTTTTAATGTGGAATTCCACATCATTAACATTATCTGCTTATCACCTAAACACTTAATTTGCTTTCTTATTGGTTGCTTATTTAACTTATCACAGTCTACCTTTAAATTATATTATACCACCTTACATATATTGAAAGAATTCTAGAACATACTTTTTACTTCCTCCCATCCTTCATGCTATTTTTGTCATGTATTTCACTGCTACATATTTTATAATTTTCAAAATACATTCTTATTAGTTATGCTTTAAGTCATCAGTTTTATTTATAGTTTTTTAAAAGTAGGAGAAATATTTTGTATTTTATACTTAAATTTTATATTTAATGAATATTTATTATTTCCGGTGTTCTTCAGTCCCTTGTGAAGTTACGAATTTTCATCCATTGTCATATTTTACCTGAATTTAATATTTAGCATATTACAACTTTTTATAGTATAGGTTTGCTGATGAGTTTTGTGTGTGTTTATCTGAAAAAGTCCTTATTTTTTTTTATTTTTAGGGAGACAGTTTTGCTGCATATACAATTCTAGGGTGAAAATTGCACTTTTGTTTTACCTTCATTACTTTAAACATGTTTCTCCACTGTCTTCTTACTTCCCTAATTCATGATGACAAATCTGCTGTTATTTTTAAATTTATTTTTTGTATGTAATACCCTTTTATCTCTACCTATCTAAGTTTTTCTCTTTATCGCTGTTTTTTGCTATTTTACTATCATATGGCTTGGTGTCGTTTTCTTCACATTTTTACTTCTTGGTGTTTATTGAGCTTTGTGGATCTATGCTTATACAGTTGTCAACAAATTTGAAAAAATTATGGTCATTAATTCTTCCATTATCATTTCTGTTCCTCCACATTTTTATCAGGGTTCTTATTACACGTGTTAGAACACTTAGTATGGTCGCACAAGCAAATTTTTAACTTTTTTAGGCTTCTTTTTTACGTTCATTGTGGATAGTATTCATTGCTGTTCCTTCAATTTCAATGAACTTTTCTGCAATGTTTAATCTGTTATTAATCAAATACAGTGTATTTCTCATTTCAAATATTATACTTTTTATCTCTAGAAATTCACTTGGGTCTTTCTATATCTCTTTTCTATGCCAATAATGTTCATTTTTTCTTTATCTTCTTGAACATATGGAGTGCATTTATAAAAACAGTTCTTACATCCTTATTTGCTAATAATGTAATTGAGCTCATTTCTTGGTCTACTTCTATTTACAATTTTTTTTAGTTCTCATGAATTCTATTTCTCAGTTTATTTGCACAAAGATGCAGATAACTTAAATAGATCAATTTTAACCTTTGAAGCTTCCTTTTAATCATTTTTTAAGCTCAGATCCAGAAATTCTTCTAATTGAAGATAATTTTGTTTCACCACTAAGACAATACTCTTCAACAGATTCTACCCAAAGTCTTGTATACTAGATAGTTGCACTTTTCCTCAGGGCAATATGGATTATTACTGGCCCTGTGTGAGCTACAGAGATTGCCCTGCCTCACATGTGTGTGCACAGCGATACTGAGCTAGAACCTCAAAGGGATCCCTGCAAATATTTGGAACCCTGTATCGGTGCTGTTCCCTCATATCTAGCATTTTGTTCTAAAAATCCTAGGTGCCTTGGCCTCCTCAATTTCTATCTCCTCAGCTTCACAAGCTCTTTGAATATCATTCAGACTTCTCTCTTTCTTATGTCTCCTCCTGGATGCTCCAGGCCATGAATTGGGACAGCTGTAGGACTCATCTCCATTGTTTTCCTTCTCTCAGGGATCAATGTTCTATGCTTCTTTTTGGCCAATGTCTAAAAACTGATGTTTCATGTTTTGTCTGGTTTTCTAGTTGTTTTTAATGTTTTAGAATAAATCTGGCCCCATTATTCTACCATAGAGAAAAAAGAAAGTCTATATTATTTGTGAGTGTGTTATTGAATGTTCAAAAAATATCTTAAAATTTAATTATTTTATTTCTATTTAAAGATCTTGTCAATGCACAGTAAAATTTCAAATAAAGTCTTCCAGGAAAATAAGTGTATTTGAAACTTTGTTTTCATTGTATATTTTAATCATACGTCTTAATATGTAATCAAATTGCTACATAACAGTGGGATTTTTAGAGCAAAAAGTGTTCTTAAATTCAACTCTATTTTCCTTTTCTAGTGGAAATTGAGATTTTAAAGTTCTAAAGATATTTTCAATAATTTTATCTTCCTAAAATGTAAGCAGAATTAGAAATTATGACACTTTTTAAAAAGAATTCCCCCATGTAGGATTGCATTTTTGAAATTCCATGCCTACTCAGCATGAGCACTCTTCAAAGCTTTTATGTTTGTTATTTTATTTATGGCAGGACTTGAAGGGCAAATGCAACATCTCTGCCTATGTTGGGTCTCTCTGTTCTTGGTTATTTATAGATAAGGGTTAAAATAATTTTCTATTCATCTCACAGTTTAAGAGTAAGAGAGGTTATATGCTATGAAAAACAATTCACAGCTTAAAGGAGCTGTTTTTGTGAAGACAATTTTATTTACAAATAAAACTATTCATCTCTCTGGGACTTCTCTGTCAATCTCCAATGCAGCTTCAGAGACAACAATAGAATTTTTAGTTTTTTGCAACAGAATATAAAATGAAAGTTACTCTTGGTATCGTATTCAAAAGGGAATGCTTATTTCGTCACATTTTGTTTATTTTCATTTTATTTTTTTAAGCAAGCATAGAAGCTTTTCTTTGTTCAGAAAATTGAAATAAATCCACCGAGTCATCTAAAAAATTGAAAAAAAAAGTGACTGGAGGTAGACTCACAATGATTGTTCTTTGGGTTTTAAATCCCCATAGCTCAATCTAGCTCAGCTAAGCCTTAATCTTTCATGTACAGGGTAAGTGCTTTTGAAACACATGTACTAAGAAAAGATTCGCTGGCAAAGAATGACATGTTCAGTGGTTGAGTAATATGCAGTAATAACATTTTGATTGTGTACTACAAAGAACTATTATGTCATTATGAAAGCACTAGGTAACATTTGTCAAATCTAAGAGGAGAAATTACAAAGTTGCACCTATAATTAGCACAGTGTGAAATTTAACATTCTTTCATTTTTTACTTCCAAAACCAGATTTTTGAAAGTGGTCAGAGTGTGTCTTCCAAGGTTTTGAATTAAATTAGAGGGCACAAACATTTTCTTCCTCTTAAAATGACAGCAAAGAGAAACAACTTCTCAATTAGGACAGAACTTAGATATTGACTATTGACAATGGCTCCAAGAGAGTTACTTGCCAGTCCCAGTGATTGTCAAATCCCTTGATGTATGAGCCTTGACTAAAATTATAGTAGGTCCATTGCATTTGAGCAACAATTGATATTTCCAATTTAAACTCAAAAGAAAACTTTAACCATTCCTAAAAGTCTCTGAAACTACAATATATTTTTTCTGAGCAAAATATTTAAATTTTGTGGGCTTAGAGGCTGAGGTGGTAGAGTGAGCTTCAATGCTCACCCACAGTGTGTGTGTGTGTGTGTGTGTATATATATATATATATATATATATATATATATATATATATATATATGTCTTCAGTGCACTGATTTCAAAGTTTTATCTTTTTCCCTTGAGATTTTTAATAAATCTTGTCAATGAATAAAGCATTGTCTCTGTTGCAAATACCAAAGAATGCCAAGAGCAAGTCTTGTTGATAAAAGTGAAAAGAAAATAGAGCGGTCTAAGAAAGCAATGATTCCTGAGGCAGAAAATAAACATGTAGACAAATTAGAGCATACAAATCAAATGTGATGGTTGTATTAATGATTTCACCATGCATTATGAAGAAAAACCAAAAATCCAACTAAGAAAACTACCTTGGCAAATACTTCCTTCAGTACAAAAGTGATCATTAAATGAGATAAAACTTTAAAAGAAAACTTGTGGTGTGACGTTATACATAGGCCACACATAATTCTAAATGGAAATGTGATTCAGGAAAAAGCCAGCCTGTATAAGTATCCTATAAAGCAACAGGTGGCACAGACCCTGGTATGTTTTAGAAATGTAAAAAATTGGAGGCTGTTTCATAAAGTCAGGAGTAGCCCATGTGAAAATAAAGTGTCTTTGCCTACATGAATCCCTCCAGTGCTTAACCTATGATCCATCAACACCATTCAGAGTTAGTATTTTAATTTTGCATATTCAGGTAAGTTCATGGTTAATGTTTTCTCAGAAATGATGTAATGTAGCATAGAGTGTGTTTTACTGACATTTATTGTAATAGCTTTTATAAATGACTTTAGCTCTTTTATTTATAGAATCATTAGGCATCTGAGGCGCTTCCTTATATTTTTCAGTTTTATGTTGCTGCTTTTCTTGAGGGCTTTATAAGCTATGGTGATATTTTCAGACTTTTTATTTACTGGGAATGATGGGATAAGTTTTTTGGAAACAGATGAGTTTCACAGAAAACTTTCCTTAAAGTTTAAAAATAATTTTACAAGTCTACCCAGGTTCAAGATGAAAGAACATAAACTCACTTCTCAAAGTAACAATGTAACGGAAATACAGGATGGGAGATATCATTGTGGCTGTCTTTGGAAAATACAAACTATCACACATGTTTATTTATCTATTCTATATTTCCCTCAAGTCTTCTTAACATACAGCATCAAAAGTAATACTTGCATAAATGTATTATTATTTCATTTATTGCTATTATAAGTAGACTTTTTAGTCACTATATTTACAGTTTGTGAAACAAACAGAAATGCATTATTTTACAAAGTTAGTAGCATTATTAACATGTCTCCCAGGTGAGATTGATACAGCTACTGAAGGTTTTGTTGAAAGCATGGCAATGCTACTAGGGGTGTGGAATCTGTGGGTGGATCTACTAGTAGAGGATGATGGCTTGAGTTCTGTTGTGATCTCTGTCTCCAACATAGCCCTGAGAAAGACATTTAAAATTCCTGGGTCTTTTATTTTGATCCTCAGTAAAAAGTCTTTTTTAAAAAATTATATACTTGAATGATGTTGTATTCTCTCTCTTTGACTGCAGAGAAGATATTTCTTCTTTAGAGATGAAGCAAAAAAAATTCAAGGAGATATTGTATTTGTTTATAATAAAAAAAAACCAGCATTAAAGTTAAGACCTGAACTTAACTCCAAGCGTGCTACTCTCAACTGCACAACCTATTCAATCAAAAAACCAAAAGTCAACATGGTTGTATCTAGAATAACTATATCTAGAGTGACTACAAAACTGATTGCAAATTCACATCTGTGTTACTGAGAAGGTCAGTAATTACTCTGTTTCTGTCACACTGATGATACGATTGATCTAGGCCTATCCTGCTTGCCCATGTTTGCCAGATTCATGTCTGAAGGATGCCAGCAGGCCACTCTAGAAATTTACTTCCATGTCTGTTTCACACAAGATCTACTAAACTAGACTGCCATAGGTCCACTCTATTGTATTTTTGGTATATCCCATTGTATTTCATGTTCTCTCTTTTTTTTTTTTTTTTTTTTTTTTTTGAGATGGAGTCTCGCTCTGTTGTCCAGGCTGGAGTGCAATGGTGCCATCTCGGCTCACTGCAAGCTCCGCCTCCCGGGTTCACGCCATTCTCCTGCCTCAGCCTCCCGAGTAGCTGGCACTACAGGCGCCCGCCCCCACGCCCGGCTAATTTTTTTGTATTTTTAGTAGAGACGGGGTTTCACCGGGTTAGCCAGGATGGTCTTGATCTCCTGACCTCGTGATCCGCCCGTCTTGGCTTTCCTGTTCCCTCTTAATCTTTCCATTCCCCATCATCCTAAAATTAGATACACATATGTTTATAGAGCCTATTAATTTCACAGTTACTACGTTAACTTATTTGGAAGATAATATGCCAACATAAATCTGCCTCAATTAGTATAGGGGTTGTTCATTTTTCAAAAATCACGTTTTAATATTTTGTAAAGTAAAAACATGAACAAATGCCAAAAAGGTAACGGTTTACATTCTTTGAACGATTTTTACATACATTAGCCTTCTTAAACAAAGAATAAAAAGGAAAATCCTTTTTGGCATATGATTGAACAATTGCGTACTATTTTTCTTTTCTCTTATTTTAAGAGCATTTTTGAGATTCCATCTGTCACCCAAACACATCATTCTAAGAGTAGATCTATCCAGAATATTATAACACTTTCTTGAAATTAAAATTCAGAAGGTTTGTTCAATGTAATTATGAGATTCTTGATTGTATTGACAATTTTCTAGGGGGAAACAGCAGTTATCAACATTAGCCCAAGGAAAAACAAATAACTTGAATAGAACACTTAACCATAGAGAAGATTGCAAATAAAATCAACTAATTATTTTCACAAAGCTTTCAAAGACAGAAAGCTTTACCAGTGACCTTTTTAGAACTGCGAAAACATTTAATAATTTGTTGTAAAATTATTGAGGTTTCTAAGTGTATAACCGTATCTCTGCAAATAAAGATAACTTTGTTTTCCTTTTTTTTTTTTTAGTTTTTTCCTTTTTTTTTTTTTTTTGAGACATTCTCACTCTGTTGCCAGGCTGGAGTGCAGTGGCACAATCTCAGCTCACTGCAACCTCCACCTCCTGGGTTCAAGCTATTCTTATATCTCAGCCTCCTGAGTAGCTGAGTTTACAAGCATGCACCAACACACCTGGTTAATTTTTGTATTTTTAGTAGAGATGGGGTTTCACCATGTTGACTAGGCTGGTCTCTAACTCCTGGCCTCAAGTGATCTGCCCACCTCAGCCTATCAAAGTTCTAGGACTGTAAGTGTGAGCCACCAAGCCCAGCCATTTTCCATTTTTTAAAATATATTATATTGTAGATAATCGTTATGAATACTGTTACTGGTGTCAGACTGGCCCATGTTTACATGCTGGCTCCACCATGTGCAAGATGTGCAACTTTGATCAAGTAATTGGACTTCTCTAAGCCTCAGTTTCTTTGTCAGCAAAACAAGAAAAATAAAAACAGCACATTAAATAAGATAATTTCCATTAATTTCTGACAGCATCTGACACATGGTGTCAGTAGGTATCAGGTACCAGCACATTCATTGTGTGTTGGACATTCTGACCAATTCTATAAGATGTCAAATGGAAATAAAAGGTATGATGAGAAATGAATGGATTAAATGACTATCATTATTGACAATTATATGATTTATGTACCCAAAATTTAAGAGAACTACAAATTTATTTGAATTATCCTAGACTAGAAAAGTGGTCAACTATAAGATAAATAAGTAAAGTACTTTATTTTCTAAATAAATTATAATAGTAATTATAAAAATATTTCATTCCCATATTTAACAAAATTTTCCTGGAAGAATAAATGAAAGGATAGATAACAAATTTGAAGAGAAGAATAATAAATATAAATTTATCTTACTATAATAATGGTAATAAAAATTGTTCTAATAACTGACAAAGTGACTAATGTATTAGGAAATCTTAGTGGAGCAATATACACACTTATGAGTTTAACATAAGACAAAGCAAATATTATAAATTAGTAAAGAAATGATAGAGCACCAATACTTTTTGTGAGGAAAGCTATTTGAAAAATAATCAGGTTAGGTCTGCATCTCTAATGACCACTCACCTATTGATCATCTCCCCAGCTCAAAAGATTTTTCCTCCTCTGGTAACTATCCTTCCCTGATTCATTGGGATATGGAATATGATCCTCAGAGAATGGGCTCCTAGCAGCCAGGATTTATCCAACGTGACCTTGTTTCAGAGTGATATTTAGCACCGTATCCAAATTAGAAAAACAGAGTCACTTTGCTAAGAATTTGGATTGGGAGCGAAAGCCAGATTTAATCTTGTTTTGGATGATTGGATGGTACCTACTGGGACAGGGAAGTAGAGAAAACAAGCGAGATGGTTGAGGAAGTACACTGAGAACACAAGCCAAAGAAAAAGATACAGAGACACGGAGTACCAGTGAATGGCATGCCTGCCCTGTTTCCCTATATCTCCCTGAGCTGTGGCTGCATCCAGAACATGGGTTCTGTGAAACTCTTTGTCCTTTTCATAAGAATACCCCCACCTTTGACAGCTCCAGAATTCCTGTGACTTGCAAGCAGAATATTCCAAAATGAAATTGTAAATTCCAAAAGCAGTAGAGGTTACATTTTAAAATGAAGCATAATGTGACTATAAAAATATTGGCAAATATTTTAGTTCATTTTGGGAACATAAAGAACATCCTGATAGTAAAAACTGTGTGACAATAAAAAAGAAACGACCTATTTAATATATCACACATGAAGCATTACTCCAGTAAATAAACAAATGACAAACAGGAAATATTTCTGCACCAAATATGACACAAATACATATAAGACTTATTTGCATGTTTAAGGGAAAAAGATCTCTAAAAAATGAAGAAATATACTAGCATCCTTCGAATTCAAAGCAGACAAAGGTCATGAACAGACAAATCACAGAAGAAATATAAAAGGTTCCTAAGCATGTGAAAAGAATTCCATAAATGTAAAGGAATATTTTCACATATAAAAATACATATTACTTGTGTCAATATTGGTGCGCAGATTTAAGTACTACATGGCTGGTAGTGCTGTCTGGAAATTAATGTTAAAACATGTGTAAAGATCTTCAAACATATTAATACCCTTTTGAGTCAATGCACTAAAACAGCTCCCCTGCTTCCAAGTGCAAAAACCCAACTCAAAATGCTCTAATGAGAAAAGCGATGGGTTGGCTCACTCATAGGGAAAAATTCCAGCAGTGCTTGTGTTGGATACCACTGCTCCAATATGTGATTATGGCTCTTTCTCTTCATGTCACTTCTGTTTTCAACAGGCAGATGGCTCTCCTTCAAGATGAAAGATGGCAAGCTAAACTTTAGGCTTACATTCTACCAGTTTAATAAGCTGACTGAAAAGTGGACTTCAACTTCTCAATGATTTTCTGTAAAATCACAAGATAATACCTCATTATATCTTATTGGCAAAACTTTGGTCACGTGTGTCTCTCTGAAACAATCACTATAGTCAGAGAATGAGTTCAACTCCTCAGCAAAGAGCAGGGTATGAGAATCATACTGCCTGAATCAAAGTGATGGACAGTAGATGGAGATGGATCACAAACGAAAATTCAGGTGCTGTTTCCAGAAGAAGGAAAATGCATGCTGTGCACATAAAAATAATAAATGTCCACCATACTCTCCTACCCGCTCTTTTAACTTTTAGGAATCTTGTCTGAGAAAACAATTGGAAAGGAAGTAAAAATTATGGTATACAGTATTTAAATAACAGCTGTATTTCTTCCTATAGTACAAAAAATGAAAACATTGATAGGGAAATGGTTAAATAAACTATAATAGAAACATAATACTAAAACTATATACAGTTTTATAATGTTCATAATATTTACCACATACAGTTGGCCCTTGAATAACACGTTCAAACTGCATGGATCCACTTATACGTGGATTTCCTTCTGCCTCTGCCACCTCCAAGACAGCAAAATCAATCCCTTCTCTTCCTCTCCCTCCTCAACCTATTCAACTTTAAGACAAGGAGGATGACCCACTTCTACTTAATGAATATAAATATATTTTATCTTCCTTATAATTTTCTTAATAATATCTTCTTTCCTTTAGTTTACATTATTGTAAGAATACAGCATATGATATATATAACGTGTAAAATATGCATTGATTGACTGTTTATACTATTGGTAAGTCTTCTGGTAAACAGTAGGCAATTATCAGTTAAGTTTTTGAGGAGTCAAAAGTTATATGTGCATTTTCAGCTGTGGCACCTCTAGCCCCCACATTGTTCAAGGGTCAACTGTTTATTATATTTATATTTATATATGTATATATACACATATTAATATCAATATTAACATATATACACATATTAATATCAATATTAACACCATATTATTTACATTATTTATACATATATTACATACACATTATATATATAAAATATATATATTATATATATAATATAGATATATATATAATATATATATATATTGCAGCCCCTGGAAAAACACAACAGTATATTAAAAGGTAGGATAAAAATCTAATTACATTGTATGATCCCAGTTTTATTCAATTTGCATTTGTATAGAAAAAAAACTGAAAGGAAATAGACCATAAAGATAATCTAATGTGGTGGAATTTAGGGTATTTTCTGTATGGACAATGACTAGTTCTTAACAAATAAAAACTCTCTTATATGGTTTCAAAATGCAAGAATTTGGTAGATAATTATTAAGATGCTCAACACCTACTGTGCTTAGGCAACCTGAAGTTATGAAATATCTGAGTGCTAGTTGACCTCTTAACTATAAACCTGAACATTACTTGAAATCTTTAAACTTTAGTATCTACATCAGAAAAATTGGAATAAGAATGTCTTCTTTGTGCATCTCATATGAATATTATGAAAGTCATGTAATATAAATAAAAGCACCTTTATTGATAATATTACAATGTGCTGTAAAAAGTGATAACATTATCATTTTTAAAAAAATAATTTCACATTTTACTTTACATTCAGGGTGCACATGTCCAGATTTGTTACAAGGGTATATTGTGTGATACTGAGGTTTGGGATACAAATGATACTAATGATACCGTCATCCAGGGAGTGGAGTACCCAATAGGTAGTTTTTCAGCTATTAACCTTCTCCTCCTCTCCCCTCTCTAGCAATCCCCTGTGTCTATTGTTCTATCTTGACATCCAAGTCTACCCATTGATCAGCTCTCACTTGTGAATAAAAGCATGCAATATTTGGTTTTCTGTTCCTCATTTGTTTATGGTAAAGGCCTCCAGCTGCAGCCATATTGCAACAAAGGAAAGAGTTTTATACATTTTTTATGACTGTGTAGTGTTCCATTGTGCACAAGCACCACATTTTCTTTATCCACTCCACCATTGATGGGCACCTGGGTTGATTCCATGTTTTTGCTATTGTGAATTAGTGCTGTAATGGACATGTGAGTACATGTGTCTTTTTAGCTGAATGATTTGTTTTCCTTTTGGATATATACCTAGAAATGGGATTGTTGCATTGAATGGTAGTTCCATTTTAAGTTGCTTGAGAAATCTACAAACTGCTTTCCACAGCAGCTGAACTAATTTACCAACAGTGTATGAGTGTTCCCCTTTCTCCACAGCCTAACCAGCATCTGTTATTATTTGACTTTTTACTAATAGCCACTCTGACATTTGGAGGTTGATATCTCATTGTGGTTTTGATCTGAATTTCTCTAATGATTAGGGATATTGGGCATTTTTTCATATTTGTTGTCTACATGTATGTCTTCTTCTGAGAAGTGTCTGTTCATGACTTTTGCCAGCTTTTCATGAGGTTATTCGTCTTTTGCTTGTTAAGTTGCTTAAGTTACCTATAAATTCTGAATAATAGACCCTTGATGAATGCATAGTTTGCAAATATTTTCTCCCATTCTGTACATGTCAGCTTATTCTATTGACAGTCTTTTTTGATGTGCAGAAGCTCTTCAATTTAATTAAGTCCCACTTGTCAATTTTTGTTTTTGTTGCAATTGCTATTGAAGACTTAGTCATGAATTACTTGCAAGACCAATGTCCAGAATGGTATTGCCTAGGTTTTCTTCTAGGATTTTTATAGTTGGAGATATTCATATTATATTTACATCTTTCATCTATCTTGAGTTAAATTTTGTACATTTTGAAAGGAGGGATCAAAGACTACACATTGGGTACAGTGTATACTGCTTAGGTGACAGGTGCACCAAAATCACAGAAATTACCACTAAACAACTTATCCATGTAACAAAAATCCATCTATCCCCCAGAAATTATTGAAATAAAATAAAATTAATGAAAAAGAAAGGTAGGGGTCTAGTTTTATTTTTCTGCATATGGCTAGCCAATTATCCCAGCACCATTTACTGAAAAAAAAAAGTTCTTTCCCCATTGCTTACTTTTGTCAACTTTGTTAAAGATCAGATGATTTTAGATGTGAGGCGTTATTTCTTGGTTCTCTTTTCTGTCCCAGTGGTATGTGTCTGTTTTTGTACCAGTACCATGTTGCTTTGGTTACTATAGCCGTATAGTACAGTTTGAAGTTGGGAAATGTGATGCCCATGGCTTGTTCTTTTTGCTCCAGATCTCTCTGGCTATTTGGGCTTTTTTTTTTTTTTTTTTTTTTTAGTCCATAAAACGTTTAGAATACTTTTTTTTTATTCTGTGAAAAATGACATTGGTAGTTTGATAGGAATAATGTTGAATATGTAGATTGCTTTGGGCAGTACAGTCATTTTAACAATATTGGTTTTTCCAGTCCATAAACATGCAATGTTTTTCCATTTGTTTGTGTCATCTATAATTTCTTTTAGCAGTGTTTTGTAGCTATCTTTGTGGAGATCATTCATCTTTTTGGTTAGGTGTATTCCTAGATGTCTTATATTTGTTTGTGGCCATTGTAAATGGAATTGTGTTCTTGATTTAGCTCTCAGCTTGGACATTATTGATGTATAGGAATGCTACTGATTTTTCAACATTGATTTGGTATCCTGAATTTTACTGAAGTTGTTTATCAGTTCTAGGAGTCTTTTGGGTGAGTCTTTAGGGTTTTCTAGATACAGAATCAGATTGTCAGCAAGGAGAGATAATTTGATGTCTTCTTTTTTATTTGGATTTATTTTATTTCTTCCTCTTGCCTGATTGCTGTAGCTAGGAATTCCAGGTCTATGTTGAATGCAAGTGGTGAGAATGGCCATTTTTATCTTCTTCCTGTTCTTATGGGAAATGCTTCCAACTTTTGCTCATTTAGTGTGATGTTGACTGTGGTTTTGTCATAGATGCTTGTATTAGTCCATTCTCACATTGCTATCAGGAAATACTCAAGACTGGGTAATTTATAAAAGAAAGAGGTTTAATTGACTCACAGTTCTGCATGGCTGGAGAAGCCTCAGGAAACTTACAATTATGGTGGAAGTCACCTCCTCACAGGGCAGCAGGAGAGAGAATGAGTTTCGGCAGGGGAAATGTCAGACACTTATAAAGCCATCAGATCTCCTGAGAACTCACTCGCTATCATGAGAACAGCATGGGGGAAACCACCCCCATGATTCAATTACCTCCACTGGGTCCCTCCCATAACACGTAGGGATTATGGGGATTACAATGCAAGATGAGATTTGGGTGGGGACACAGCCAAACCATATCAATGCTATTATTATTTTGAGATATGTTCCTTCAATGCCTAAATTGCTGGATTTTGTTGAAAGCTTTTTCTATCTATTGAGATAGAAAAAGGAGCCTCTGTACCTAATTTTTTTAGAAAAAATAATTTCAGTAGAACTGGTACCAGCTCTACTTTGTAGGTCTGGTAGAACCTGTCTGAGAATCTTTCTGGTCCGGGGCTATTTTGTTAGATAGAATTTTTTATTAACGATTCCATTTTGGAACTCAAAATTTGGCTGTTCAGGGTTTTTAATTTTTTCCTGATTCAGTCTTGGAAGGTTTTTATCATACAGGGAGGTTGGATTTTGTTGAAAGCTTTTTCTATCTATTGAGATAATCGTATAGTTTTTGTTTCTAATTGTTTATGTGGTGAATCACATTTATTGATCTTTGTATGTTAAACCAAACTTTCAACCCACAAGGAAAGCCTGCTTGATCATGGTTAATTAACTTTTTGATGTCCTGTTGGATTCACTTTGCTAGTATTTTGGTGATGATTTTTATGTCCATATTCATCAGGGTATTGGCTTGCTGTTTTCTTTTTTCATTGTGTCTTTGCCAGATTTTAGTGTAAGGGAGATCTTGGCTTTATAAAATGAGTTAGGGAGGAGCCTCTCTACCTAATTTTTTTAGAAAAAATAATTTCAGTAGAACTGGTACCAGCTGTACTTTGTAGGTCTGGTAGAACCTGTCTGAGAATCTTTCTGGTCCAGGGCTATTTTGTTAGATAGAATTTTTTATTAATGATTCCATTTTGGAACTCAAAATTTGGCTGTTCAGGGTTTTTAATTTTTTCCTGATTCAATCTTGGAAGGTTGTGCATTTCTATAAATTTATTCATTTCCTGTAGTTTCTGGTCTTCTTTGGACTTTATTTTTAATTAACAAATGGGGATAATACAACCTCCTTGTTCGATCCTCTGTGAGTTAAACCTAATTGATGTGAGGCAACATTGAACACCTACTAGTGCCTGGCGCATAGAAGGCATATAACAAATGTAAATTATCTGTCTGCCATCTTCTTATATCATGCCTATTGCCTCATCTATAAAATTTGTAAGACATAAATGCACAGAGTTGGTGAGAAGTAGGTAGACGATATCCAAGAATGCTTTCCACCTTTTGGTTTGGATTTTTCCATGAAAGACAAATCTCTTTCACATAGTAGGGTAGTGGATTATACCATACAAATGGCCAAATCAGTGGCTTCACACATTAAACACTATCTCTGCCTAGGGTTTGAGGATAAAGAAGACAACACACAGAGCTGCTGTGCCCGTGTGCCCAGCAGATAGTAATTCTTATATAAAGGACCACTGAAATTCAGGTCCTCCCAATATACCTCTGCCAGGATTTCTCCCCTAAGAAAACTGGGAACCTTAAACACACATGGATTCTATATGGAGTCATAGTGAGGATATAGGCTACTGGCCGCATTCCCACAGTTTGCCAAATATGCAAGTTTGGCTCACTAAAGAGTGGTCAAGAATAATAAAACAAACTACTTGGGAAAGACATAGAACTTTCTGAATTTAAACTATAACTTTCCCTCTTCTCCCATAAAATTCAGACTACCCCTACAACCTTGTGAACTCCTCATTACCTAGTCTCTCTGCCCCTCCCTTCTCCTGCAACAGCTAGAAAAGCATGTATACAATGGGGATTCACTGGGGCCACCCTCCGTTGCTCTCATCTTGACCCTGTGGCAGTTTTTCAACACTCAAGACAAGAGTCTGCTTCTTTACTGAAATTGCTAGAGAGTGCCTAAAATCTTGGGCAACTGAGAACCTAGCTTGTCCCCACAGGGTAGGAATGTATTAACCACCCTATATAAGTTATTTTTAAAGTTGTATTTAAGGAACAGCAGCTGGAGAATAAAAAAAGGAAAGGTGAAACACGATTCCTGTACAGCCAGGCTACAATCCCTCTCACGTTCAATCCCCCATGGCTTTCTGTGGGAATTGCCTCCATGTAAATCTTTAAATCTGACCCCAAAAACTGGAAACTGAAGAATTCAGAGATAAAGCAAAAAGGAAATACAAAAGGGCCATGTTTGATCAGGCCCTTGCTGAATTATATTAGGGGAGTTTGACAACAAGCTTGGAATTCTTTCATTAGATTTGGAGGTAATTACCAGAAAAATTATAACGACATTAAAATACCATCACATATAATGAGCTCACTACCATTTGGAAATTATCTCCAATCAATGCATTGTAAATGTTAGCAATGGGAGGTTTTCTAGCAGTTTCTGTGCTGTGGTTGACAGAATAATCATTTGAGTAATGGGGAAAAGAGATTTAACAAATTGCAGAGTCATGAAATGAATAAATACTGATGCAGCCCATATTCCATTAATCTCTAAATTATGTTGAGAATTTATTCTAATTTTTATTGTTGTTCGAATAATGCTACATTTGAATTATATGACTGCTGTATCTTTTTTCTTTAAGAAAACAATGCCTTGCCAAGTTGGAATTTATCTCAGTTCAACAAGAATTATTGAGAGCACCTACTGTATGTGAAAGGCCGTTCCTACCTCAAGATATTTATGCTACTGCAGAAATAAAATATATATGTGCATGCAGAAAACTGAATGCATGCGATGCAAAGAATAGGAAGGAACAGTAAAAGCAGGGGCAAAATGTGGGAAAACACTGTTTAGTCCAGAAAATAGCAAGTAACCCCTCAGCAGCACGAGATGAGCAAAGATTTCAAAGGAAAATCAGGCTCCAAGCCTAGTTCCACACTTGCTAGCTTTTGACTTTTGGCAAGTTACGTAACTGTTCTAAGCCTCTGTTTCCTCTGTTTAAAACTGAGCCACTAATAAGTATGCTATCAGAGTAAGATCATGCATGGGAAATACCTATCATGATGAGTAGTATATAGGGAATACTCAATAAACGTTTAAAGCCAAAGAAGAAGAAAGACAGGGAAGGAGTAAGAAAGGAAGAAAAAGAGGGAGGAAGGAAAAGAAGGAAAGACATAGGGAGGGAGGGAGGGAGAAAGGAAGGAAGAAAGAAAGAGAGAGAGAAAGAGAGAGAAGAAAGAAAAGAAAGAGAGGAAGGAAAGGAAGGAGGGAAGGAGGGAGGGAAGAAGAAAGGCAGGAAAATAAGTCAGAGATTTCTGAGAGACTTAGGCTTAAGATATGTATTTTGTATCAATGAGCATATAGGCCTAAGACATGAAGACAAATACCATAAGCTAACCAGGGCAGAGGATAGAACTTTTGTGGTGGAAGATATGTAAGTGATATTGTTTGGCTGTGTCCCCACCCAAATCTCGTCTTGAATTGTAGCTCCCATAATTCCCATGTGTTGTGGAAGGGACACGGTGGGAGATAATCGAATCATAGGGGCAGTTTCCCTCATACTGTTCTCATGGAAGTGAGTAAGTCTCATGAGATCTGATGATTTTATAAGGGGAAACGCCTTTTGCTTGGTTGTCGTTCTCTCTCTTGCCTGACGCCATGTAAGATGTGCCTGTTACCTTCCGCCATGATTGTGAGGCCTTCCCAGCCATGTGAAACTGTGAGTCCATTCAACCTCTTTTTTTTTTTTTTTTTTTATAAATTCCCCAGTCTTGGGTATGTCTTTATCAGTAGCATGAAAACAGACTAATACAATAAGGTCATGTGATACTATGAAATAAGAATGGAATGTAGGTTCAGATTTGGGTACCACCAAGGTTTGTTTGGCTTTGAAAAAGTTTCTAGAACTTCTTGAGTGGAAAATATCTTTCTCACAAAATCATTCTGAACAATACAAGTGATAAGATCTATAAAAGCCTGTAACGCCATGCCTGACATTATAGAAAAACATTGATAACTATTAGGTCCCTCTTCACTCTTTTGCTTTCCTCCCCTACAGACAGAAGAAAGGAGTAGTAAATTGAAAGAAGAAGAAAAAGCTGGTAGAATACAAAGGAGTTAAAGTGACTATAATGGAATAAAAGAAGACAGGGAATAATAAAGGAATGTTGTGAGGGTTGTTGTATACAGTTACTATTCATCTTTAAGATTTTGGTTTCAGTGGAGGGTTTGGAGAAAGAAGCCAGATCATATATTGAAAATATGAAATGAGTGATGAACTCCTGCGGCAGAAGTATTACCATTTGGTGCGTTCCCAACTCCTGTCAGACCACGAAACATTAAGA
Organism: Homo sapiens; assembly: GCF_000001405.40. Taxonomy (NCBI): domain Eukaryota; kingdom Metazoa; phylum Chordata; class Mammalia; order Primates; family Hominidae; genus Homo; species Homo sapiens. The sequence continues at coordinate 19,254,447 of NC_000007.14, read as the reverse complement.
GAAAATAATAGCATGCATGAGTGTTAAGGTTAAGTGAGTTGTGTTTTATCTAGCCAGTTATTTTTAGGGAATGGACAATATAAAACCAAAGGAAAACATAAGGAAAGAAGAGATTGAGGTTGAAGACAAAAGTGATGGCATGTTCTAGTAGATTGAGTTAAGTCTAAAACTTGGGTTAAAAGTTAGTCTCCTGGTAAGTCAAAGATATTCATAGTTGGTAGAAATACACAAATTTCTTCAGGGGGTGAGGAAAATGGCTGAGAAAGGTCATGCCAGAAAGAGTCTATCTTCTGAATTAACAGGGTTCCAAGAATGACTTCTGTAAATGCTTGACACTCTAGAATTGGTGTGCTGCCAGTCATTAAGGATTCACAAATACTAATGAGAGCCTTATAAAAATTGCTATCATGTGGTCTCAGAAAAACGCATGGAAACAAAATAAGAGTGATGGACCAAATTGTTGAGTGTGTGGAATCAAGCCTTGAAAGATCTGTGATCAAAGTGTACAAATAAAAGTGCAAAAGGCAGAACACTGAGAACAGAGAGGGCCATTTAGAATTCAAAGGGTGTAACTATAAGTCTAGAATTTTGATTGGGCCTTCTCTTGCTCAAGGGTGTCAGAGAGTTAGTAAAATTAGAAGGATTCCCTTGAGTTTAGAGATTCTTCTCACCTGAAGCTTCAGGGGGATGCTAACATCAAGAAAGCAGAGAGAAGGCTGATTAACTAGGAATGGGTTAATGTTTTCATGGTTAATGTTTAGAGGGTTTTAGTTTAGATGGCTAAAACTAAGGATACCGAAAGCAAATACTGAATGCTGAGGAATAAGCCAGTGTCCAGAGAACCAATAGAGAAAACAATCAGGGGTAGGAAGTATTCCTGGGTACCTTCCAGCAGGAAGGAGCAGCTGCAGCACAGCTCAAAGGTAGGCCTGCCAAAGGGACAAATGAACTTGGCAAAAGCTTTTCTATCTTCTTGGGTGGCTGAAGTGAAAGGAACACAAAGGGTTTGGGAGAGGTGAGAAGCTGTACAATCAGAATGATATAAAGCTCACTATTAAGTTTCACGAAGTATTCAAAATGATGATAAGTGCATGATAATAAATGATAATGCTAGAAAGCTCACTAATAAGTTTATAATTATTCAAAATATTGGTTTCTTCTGAGGGCTGTGAGAACAAATCGGTTCCATGTCTCCTCCTCTTCTGGCGGTTTCCTGACAATTTTTGGTGCTCCTCAGCTTAAAGACTCATCTCCCTGATCTCTTCACCTGGCATTATTTCTGTGTACCCATCTGTCACCATATTTCTTTTTAATCATCTTAGATTAAGTCATAGATATATTAGATTAAGGCCCACCCTTGATGACCTCCTTTTAACTTGAGTACAACTTTAAAGACTCTATATCCAAATAAAGTCACAAGGACTTCCACATATGAATGGAGGGGGTCATAATTCAACTCATAGCTCTTTACTGTATTCAACACAAGGAAATTGGGAAGTCATTTCAAGACTGTATGCCTAGAAATCCACACAACACCATACCTACTCTCTTACTTACAACCCTTGCTGGACCTGTTGCTTGTTGCAGGGTTTAGTAATTTCCCAGCTTCTCTCCATAAGTGACACACTTTCCTTCTGCTTTCAAACCCCCAAATGCTGTATGTCTTGATCACAATCAATCAGGGGGCATGACTCTACTCAGAAACATACTACTACCTCAAATCATTTTGCTTTCCATGTCAGGACTCTTCTCCTCAGAGCAGGAAAAACTTACTGTAAGACATCAATGCCCAGCCTTTCTAGTCTCCTATTCACAGTGTAAGCTGGAAACACTGATGCTTTCAGGGCTAAGTGCTTCATCTGAAAAGCTTTAACTTCTGAAATTCAAAATTATTTGTCTTGTTTTTTGACATTATTATGTCTCTCCTGTGGCAATGAATGGAGGAAATGGAGGAAAGGTCCTGGAACAAAAAGAACTACCAGGAATTAAACTTGCACCAGTTCACATGGTCATACCTAACATGCTGATATTTTTTCCTACTAGAACCGATATTCTCCAAAGTGGGTTTCTCAAAGAGCTGTCTTTCAGTGTCAAAATCAGGTTATCAGAAAGTGCAAAAAAAGAAGAAAAGTTTTATATTAAAATATATTTCAGAAATGCTGAACTAAACAAATGAATTTAGATAAGAAAGAGACCTTAGGTTTAGTCTAACTTTCTTTTTTGGCAGTTGAAATACCTGATCACAGAGGGGAGAAATAACTTATCCAAGACTGCAGCTACTGATACAAATTAGAATGCAGCTACTAATACAAAGTAGATTATAGCTACTAATAAAAAACTCAGTATTTGTACTGAATACTATATTGCACACACAGATAAAATGTATAATAGAAAATAATAACATAAGTATTATTTAATTCAACCAACATCATTGACACCTAAAATATACTGTCAATAGCCTAGACACTAAAGATAATAGTAAAGAACAAGACATGAATATTGAGTTTCAGGCATTCATCAGGTAGATGTAGTATAACCCTACAATTTCACTCGGATGACATCCATAATCACCACACATTAAGAGGACACAACTATGCTATAGTATAGAAAGAATTGCACAATATCTATTATAATGACTTGCCACTCAAACAACTTAGATATACTTTATAATGTGAAAACAACGTTAGTTACTGGAAATCATACCAAATTAACCTGTTAATATGCTTATAAAAATTCTTAGAAAATATGCCAACCCAAAGACTATTGATAAGAAACCCCTTTGTTGCATATATGGAATTGTTTTTAGAAGGGTAGATAAAAGTTTAGAATAAATAAAAATTTACCTCCATGAAAACGGAGAAATAATAACTTCAGAGAACTGTCAATTCCAATTTTAAGAAAACCACACACATTCAGAATTAGATGGGATCTTAGGCATTAACTAGTCCATCCAACTCTTTCATTGATGATATAACTGAGGTGAGAGGAATTAAGGTACTTATACATGTTTATAATTATCTTGAAATAGTGTGAGAATACATAGCAAAACCTTCAAGTTTTGTAAATAAAATGATATACTAAAAAAACCAAATAAGAGAAGGGGAAAGAAATGTAAGCAGGATTTTTTGATGCTGCATGAGTAGAGATAATGACAAATATATGTCAATGTGAACAAGTACATTAGTGTATTTAAGATAAGTAACACAAACTACTACCACAAAGTATTTGATTAAAACATTAATTGTGATTTGAAATGAGATCTAGAAGATATTATAATCTCTTCCTTATGGAAGTTAACATACTATTACAACAGAAAAAGCCTACTAAAGGCCAATCAACAAGATCTGTGAAAGACAAACCTTGTAATTCTCATATAATATTTTATCAACCTAAGGGATTGATACCAAGGGGTATCTTCACCTATATCATTTTGTGTAATTTAGGTGAAATTTGTGATAACTCGAAGAAAATTAAAATTCACCCCAGGAATCATGATCACCATATGTAGAAAAACAGAAGAAGAATCATATTTCTTTTTTGTTTGTTTTGTTTGTTGTTGTTGTTGTTGTTTGTTTGCTTTTTTAAATTATTATTATACTTTAAGTTCTAGGGTACATGTGCACAACGTGCAGGTTTGTTACATATGTATACATGTGCCATGTTTGTAGGGACATGGATGAAGCTGGAAACCATCATTCTCAGCAAACTATCGCAAGGACAAGAATCATATTTCTGAGACAAGAAAGGAAAAGACAGAGAGAAAATATCATGTAAGTGCATTTTTCACATATGTCATGGATTGTGTATGAAGTGGCTTTCTGTGATGGTGACATGATGAAAGCAGAAACGCTCTGTAACTTGATCAATGTAATAAGATATATAAAACAAGGTTATCCATTCAGCAAATAGTAATGTGTGAGGTCCATTGTTATAAGGTGTGACAGTCTGATAATACTCAGACCTCACTCAACAGGTAGTTTAGGTAAAAAGAGTTAAAATATTATATTTCATGACATAGCTGTTTAAAAGGTATATACCTAATTACTTACCACCATATCATGTGGTACTACTACGTAGTACATAGTGCTTTTACCACAGAGATGTTGTCTGTGAATAAGACATATTAACAAAAATCCCATGCTCTTTTGTAAGATTCCAAAAATTCTCACATAAGTAATTCAGAGGCCTAGAATACATGAATCTTTGAAATGAGAATAAAAGACAAAATTTTCCAAACACCTTGGTTTTCACCGTTTGTACTAAATGAATTGGCAACAGCCTGTGATTGTAGAATGAGTAAGATCACTACAGTATTAGTTGAAGACAGCTGCTACCGTAATGGGAAAAGGAAGAATAATGTATAGCCTGTGGCCTAATCTTGTGGGAACAAATCTAGATTCAGTAATAACAAGGCAGTGTTACTAGGAGCAATCTTCTTTAAAATTACACCATAGGTTCTGGTAAATTCATGGTAAATCTATGTTTGTGTATCCTATTTTTTTGTAATTGATTGCAAGGACGCAAGAGATTTTGGGTTTAATAAGTATGTATCTTCACTCAAAATGAAATAAAAATTGCATAGGTGATACAGAAAATTTGGCCAAAACTTAGACATCATCATTTTTTAAATGAATAGGAGAAAATGAATATTTGTAAAAGATATACTACCACCATTTATTCTGCCTTCAGCTCTAAAGCCACCAGCCTGAATCAAAGAATTTGAGACTTTGTCTCTCAGCTCAAACTATGTATTTTCTATCTTAGTACTCCTACACATTTAACTTTGTTTTACTCTCAATCTCATGTTATTTTAGAAACTACTGAAATTAATACTAGTAGAAAGCTGATGGAAACTCTCTGTGGATAAAATACGTATTTTTATTAAGCCACTTTACTCCTGGCAACTGCTCTCATGGTGTCGTGGTGGTAGCATTCTTAAAATGCCAACATTCCACTGGTACTGAACGCTGGCACTTCTCACAAATAACTGAGAACTCAAGTCTAACCCATATGAATTTCACACCTCACGCCTAGAAAAGTACATGATTTCAGGGTGGAGGAATAAAATGATAGAACCTCATGATGAATGTACTGATTAAAAGGTAGGTTATCACTCTCTGTCTTTACTCACACCTGATAAAATTTGAACAGATAAATTTTTAAAAACCTATTAATGGAATCTTAGTCCCTCAGCTTCTTCTTGTTGGTAAGTTAGCTGTTAGTTAAATCGGTCTCTTTCATGAGAGTGTCCTGGTCTTTCAGATTTCTCTTTTCTAATGCCTTTCTTCATAATGCCACCTGGGTGTGTTATACATTTGACTCTCTAGCATCAGCCTCTACAGCTCCCCCTTCTACCCCACAAGCACCCAGAAATGTGTGGATCTTTTGCACGGGATAAACAGGCTGTGGAGAACCAGGAGGTAGTTTTTTTTGGTTCATACATCTAGCTGCCCTCTTCCTCCAAGAGTGGCCAAGTCTCAGCAGAAAGTTATGTTTCTGCTACAGTCTGAAGCTTCTCTGAATCATGTCTAAATGAGCATGTTTCAAATGCCAATACATATTCTTCAGTATCTCCATACATATCTACATGTTTACACAACCCCTTCAAAGTTTAACCACAATAATATAAGAACTTTTGCATCTGACTTCCTCTCCCGACTGCCTATGTGTTCTGTTCTATGTATGGTATTTAGCAACCTAGATATGTTGATATAAGTTTAAAGTAAAAACTCTTTAACTCCTTTAATACTATTTTCTGACATGGATTTAAAAAAAGAAACATTCCTTTAGTCAAGGTGACATCTACTTTTCTCTTGATGAGAAGAAAATTGAGAAGAGAGTCAAAAGAAAGTAGGATTTCACAGCACGAAAATGCATTTGAAAATATTTTGTATTGCATCCCCAACAAATAGCTATACTATACCATCTACTTTCTCAATATTGATAAATTTCCCAAACTCAAGGAGAAAAAAGGCCTTTGTGGGTGATTGGTTTCAGAATGTTACAGCACATCTTTTAAAGCTGTTTGAAGGGAAACACTATACAGTTAATGATGACCAATAGTGAGTGATCACACAGAGCATAAAAGAGAGTGTACACACTGTCTGTGGACTCCAATATTTTCAAGACTAGGGTATGTACACACCCTAGGGCAGTTTTTAAGAGTGTAGTCCAAGATTTGCTTACGTCAATACGCTAATGTGAGGCAGATTTCATGGCCCCAGCTTAGATCAATTGAATCAGAATATTTTAGGTTGGGAGTTGGTATTATCCATTTTCAACAAGTTTCAAGGATGACTCCTATGCACATTTGTGACTGAGATACTCTAAAATTTGATGTCTCACAAAGGGCTATCGACATTTTTTTCTCCTTTGGAAAAGTTGGTGAAGCCTAAACGTCACCAGTCTATAATGATACAATTAATTAATACTAGCTTGCTTGTCAGAGATTAGAAAGAAAGGAATGTGTATATTGGATTCTAACAAGTGATAGAAAAAACACAAGGCAAAATATACTATTTCTAATATTCCTCGTTTCATTGCTGCTTGACATGTCGCAAATCTTACTAATCCTTCATAAATTATCACCTATGAAATTTACATTTAATTAGTTTATGAAAACTTCACAAAGTTGTTATAATTTCAGACTTTATAAACTTAAAATTTATCAAATACATATATGGATTGAATGGCATAAACAACAGTATTTTCTTCCATGTATGCAGACCACAAAGGGCTTCAGCAATATTACCATAATTTTTGACAAACCCGTGCACGCACACAAGCGCACACACACACACACACACCTGTGGTATACATTTCTTGTCCTTTTTCTTCATACTTCCTCAAACATTATTTCTAATATCCTATGCTCTAGTTTAGTTATTTATTTTACTCATAAAAAGACATACAGTCACTAAGTTTCCCCAGCAATGAGTTTTAAGTTATGCACTGTTAGAAAGAAATATTTATTCCCCACTTTTCAAATTTCCTTGCAGAGGGATTTCCCCTGAGCATTTTTGATCTCTCTCCATTTCACTGGGAGAAGAGAAAGAGGCAGAGAAATATATCTGATTGACAAAATGTGGAACAAGGAATGGAATCTGCATGGCTCATCCCTTACATGTTTCCCCCTTCTGAGAAGTTCACTGCCATGATGGTTAACATTAAGTGTCAACTTGATTGGACTGAAGGATGCAAATTATTGTTTCTGTTTGTATCTGGGTGTTTCTGGGTGTTGCCAGAACAGATTAACATTTGAGTCAGTGCAGCTAGAAATAAAGCAGGCAAAAGAAGGTGGAAATAGCTAACTTGCTGAGTCTTCTGGCCTCCATCTTTCTCCTGTGCTGGATGCTTCCGGCTCTCAAACATCAGACTCCAAGTTCTTCAGCTTTTATACTCTTAGACTTACACCAGTGGTTTGCTAGGGGTTCTCCACCCTTTGGCCCCCTACTGAAGGCTGCATTGTCTGTTTCCCTACTATGTCCGGAACTGGTGGGTTCTTGATCTCACTGACTTCAAGAATGAAGCCGCAGACCCTCGCGGTGAGTGTCACAGCTCTTAAGGTGGCGCGTCTGGAGTCTGTCCCTTCTGATGTTCAGATGTGTTCAGAGTTTCTTCCTTCTGGTGGGTTCGTGGTCTCGCTGGCTCAGGAGTGAAGCTGCAGACCTTCGTGGTGAGTGTTACAGCTCTTAAGGCAGCGCGTCTGGAGTTGTTCATTCCTCCCGGTGGGCTCGTGGTCTCCCTGGGCTCAGGAGTGAAGCTGCAGATCTTTGCGGTGAGTGTTACAGCTCATAAAAGCAGCGAGGACCCAAAGAGTGAGCAGTAGCAAGATTTATTGCAAAGAGCGAAAGAACAAAGCTTCCACGTTGTGGAAGGGGACCCGAGCGGGTTGCCAATGCTGGCTCGGGCAGCCTGCTTTTATTCTTTTATCTGGCCCCACCCACATCCTGCTGATTGGTAGAGCCCAGTGGCCTGTTTTGTCAGGGCCAGATTGGTGTCTTTACAATCCCTGAGCTAGTTACAAAGGTTCTCCACGTCCCCATCAGATTAGTTAGATGCAGAGTTTTGACACACTGGTTCTCCAAGGCCCCACCAGAGCAGCTAGATACAGAGTGTCCATTGGTGCATTCACAAACCTTGAGCTAAACACAGGGTGCTGATTGGTGTGTTTACAAACCTTGAGCTAGATACAGAGTGCCGATTGGTGTATTTACAATCCCTGAGCTAGACATAAAGGTTCTCCACGTCCCCACCACAGCAGCTAGATACAGAGTGTCGATTGGTGCACTCACAAATCTTGAGCTAAACACAGGGTGCTGATTGGTGTATTTACAATCCCTGAGCTAGACATAAAGGTTCTCCAAGGCCCCACCAGAGCAGCTAGATAGAGTGTCGATTGGTGCACTCACAAACCTTGAGCTAAATACAGGGTGCTGATTGCTGTGTTTACAATCCCTGAGCTAGACATAAAGACTGTCCACGTCCCCACTAGACTCAGGAGCCCAGCTGGCTTCACCTAGTGGATCCCGCACCTGGGCTGCAGGTGGAGCTGCCTGCCAGTCCTGGGCCGTGCGCTCGCATTCCTCAGCCCTTCAGTGATCGATGGGACTGGGCGCCATGGAGCAGGGGGTGGTGCTCGCTGGGGAGGCTCGGGCCGCACAGGAGCCCATGGAGTGGGTGGGAGGCTCAGGCATGGCGGGCTGCAGGTCCCGAGCCCTGCCCCGTGGGAAGGCAGCTAAGGCCCGGCGAGAAATCGAGCGCAGCGCAGGTGGGCCGGCACTGCTGGGGGACCCAGTACACCCTCCGCAGCCACTGGCCCCGGTGCTAAGTCCCTCATTGCCCGGGGCCAGCAGGGCTGGCTGGCTGCTCCGAGTGCGGGGCCCGCCAAGCCCACGCCCACCCGGAACTCCAGCTGGCCGGCAAGCGCCGCACGCAGCCCCGGTTCCCGCTCGTGCCTCTCCCTCCACACCTCCCTGCGAGCTGAGAGAGTGGGCTCCAGCCCTGGCCAGCCCAGAAAGGGGCTCCCACAGTGCAGTGGGGGGCTGAAGGGCTCCTCAAATGCCGCCAAAGTGGGAGCGCAGGCAGGGGAGGTGCCGAGAGCAAGCGAGGGCTCTGAGGACTGCCAGCACGCTGTCACCTCTCACTACTATTGAGGTTTTGGGACTCGGACTTGCCCCTCAGCTTGCAGACGGCCTATCATGGGACTTCACCTTGTGACTGTGTGAGTTAATTCTTCCTAATTAACTCCCCTTCATATATACACGTATCCTATTAGTTCTGTCTCTCTAGAGAACCCTGACTAATACACCGGCCTGCCGAGAGTATGCATTCTGGTTTACTCCTCCAAGCCACAAATTTTACAAAACAAGCACTCTCATCTGAAGAAGTGCTGTTTAATGCTGTCTGTAACTTGATAGGTAAGCCTAATTCCAATGTTCAGTATTAGAAATCTCATTGTTGCCATATCCTGCAATACACCATTTGTCTGCAGTAAGCTCATATTTTGATATCCATCTGCTTGAAAGTTTTTTGTCTATCTCTAAATTGGTTTCAAACTCAGAAGGAAAATAAGAGTAATATTTATTGTACTTCTCCAATCCCCAAAACTATTACATAATTTAAGTAAATATATGTATAATTTGTAACATATGGCTACTCTTATTGTATTTCTTCATATTCCTCTTTGTCAACCTCCAAAGTAGGCCTTGTATTTGTATTTAAGAAAAAACTATGTCATCTACAAATAGTGACAATATTCCAGAATAGAAGCCATATAACCATATAACAGATTGAAGGGTTAAATGTGGCAGCATCATTTCAACTTTTTTTTAACCTTAGTGTAAAATAATTGATAACAATAATTGGAGAATTTTCATTCCTCAGTCCTTCTATTTCTCTGTGAGGGAGGTTTCTTCAGACTAAAATCCAGGCCTCTTTCCTGGTCCAATCATTATTCCCCCTTTTTTTCTGGAGGATGAAGTTATGAAGAACCTAGGAATGTGTGCCCCAGCATTTCAGAATCTAATCTTTGGAACATGCCTACCTCACAGAGCATATGCACCAGCAGTTTCCGATAAGCAGTATTTTGTGTGGCCTGTGCCTTTCTGGCATTTCTTGTGCCCATGCAGATAATTCTGCTTGTAAGTAGGTATAGTATTACGAAGCTTATTATTTCCACTAACCTGAGCCATATTCTACAAACAGTTTTGTCAGCCATTAGGGATCTGTTTCCATCTACAGTTTTCTAGTGCCTATCAGTTGTTTTCAAATCACCTTGGAGATAAGGGAGTGTTATTTATTAGGTTCCCCGAAACAAAATGCCCCAAATCACTGGAATGTAAGCTGCACTGAAGCAGAAGCTTTATTGTTTTTAATTATTGCTATAGCATCAGCAACTAGAATAGTGTTTGTCACCTATTAGGCAGTCAACAAATATTTGCTGAGTTTGTTAAAGGAATCGGAATTTTATCACTTTTTTACTTGATTCAGTAGCAGTTATATGTGTCTTTGGTTTTTCAGGGAAGACTCAGAAAATAGGAGGAACTGAAATTCTTCTTTAGATATTTACATAACTTCTGGTACAAAAATCTTTTTTTAAGATTCCTTCAATCTTCAAAATTCACTGAAGATTTGAATGATTTCATCTTATAGAGAGACAAAGAATCCTCAAAGCGAGAATTTGTAATGAGTTTTGTTTCATCACATAACCTTAAAAACACACTGAGTACCTATAATAATGGCTGAAACAACAACAACAACAACAAAATAGTGCCCATACCAAATGCTAAAAGAAAGCGAAGAAACTATATTACCCGTACATTGCTGGTAAGAATGCAACATGATACAGTCACTCTGGAAAACAGTCTGAAATTCTTTCTAAAAAAAACTAAGGAGACATCTAACATGTCACCCAGCAATTGCACTCCCAGACATTTATCACAGAGAAATAAAAACTTGTGATCACACAAAAACCTGTACACAAATGTTCATAGCTGCTTTATTAATAATAGGCAAAAACTGAAAACTATCCATATGTCCTTCAATACCATGGAATACTACTCAACAATAAAAACAGATAAACTACTGATACAATGAATATCTTTAATTAATCTTTAGATAATTATGCTAAGAAGAAAAGGCCAATCCCAAATGGTTACATAATAGATGTTTCCATTTGTATAACATTCTTGAGATGACAAAATTATAGACGCGAATAAGAGAACAGTAGTTGCCAGCGGTTAGGGACAAGGCAGGTGAGAGAGGTAAATGCTGTTATAAAAGAGCCATAAGGGATACTTGAGCAGTTGAAACTCCTTTGTATTTTGACTGCAGAGATAGACAAAGGAATCTACATAAGTGATAAAATTGCACAGAAATAAATACACACACATCTACATAGGTACATGTATAGCTGTGGAATTCTGAAAAAATGTTATTTGACCTCACCTGGAGCTGAGACAAATTTAGTGAAAGTGAAATATAGGGGTAGAGAAAACAGCAGGAAAAGCCCTGTGGGTACTCTTGGTCCCCAAGAAGCCATTCTGACTTTGTCTCACAGAGGTACTTGGGGGTGAGGGGAGGGGGTCTGCCATTGAAACTGGGGAAAGACCACAGGGAGATGGAAACTTCCAGCTGAACTTTGTAACAATTTTGATTGAACACGAAGTTTCCTGGATAGAACCTGGGGGAGGGGGCAAACCTGGAGTTTGATATGAGCACAGAAGGCATGGCAGGCAGGGAGGTACAAAATGTAAAAGCTTTGCTTGCTTTCTCAGAGAGGAGGCTTGTAGCCTGAGGTAGGTTCTCAGCCCTGCTCACCAGCTGCCTGAAAATAAACGTGGTGCCATTGGGCTGTGGTGGAGCATGATGGCAGTGCAACTAGCCTTTCAGACTGCATGTGAGCTGGGTGAGACCTGTCACTGCCAGATTTCCCCACTTTCCTGGTGGCCTGTATGACACAGCAGAGGCAGCCATAATCCCACTGGGAACATAACTCCATTGACCTGGGAGCCACACCCCCATTCCTCACAGCAGCTGCAGCAAGCCCCGCTCAAGGAGAGTCTGAGCTCAGACACATCTAACCCAGACCCCACCTGATGGTCTTTCTCTGCCTGTCCTGGTAGCCAAAGACAAAGAACATAATCTTTTGGGAGCTCTATGGCCCTGTCCACTACATGAGAAACCCAAATACTTATTCAGATGACCTAGGGCAAGCTGGTATCCTCCCTATACCACCACAGCTGATGTTCTTTTGAAAGTGCCACATCCTTGCTGGAGGCCAGCTAACACAAAACTAGCATACTAAACAAAGATACAACCAAGAACCCTAACAGAGTCCACTTCACTCCCCTGCTACCTCTGCAGGAGCAGGTGCTGGTATCCATGGCTGACAGACCTGAAGACAGATCACATCACAGGACTCTTTGCAGACACTCCACAGTCCCAACCCAGAGCGTGGTAGCTCCATTGGGTAGCTAGATCCTGAAGAGAAATAACAGTCACTGTGATTCAACTCTCAGGAAGCCCCATCCCTAGGGAACAGGAAAGAGCAGCACATCGAGGGACCACCCCATGGGACAAAAGAATCTGAACAGCAGCCCTTGAGCTCTAGATCTTAGCTCTGACATAGTCTACCCAAATGAGGAGGAACCAGAGAAACAACGCTGGTAATATGACAAAACAAGGCTTATTAACACCCCCAAAAGATCACACTAGTTCACCAGCAATGGATCCAAACAAAGCAGTCTCTAAATTGCCAGAAAGAGAATTCAGAGGGTTGATTATTAAGCTTCTCAAGGAGGCACCAGAGAAAGATGAATACCAACTTAAAGAAATTAGTTTAAAAATGTTACAGGATATAGATGAAAAAATCTCTGGAGAAATAGAGACCATAAATAAAAAACGATCACAACATCTATAAATTCAGGACACATTTCGAGAAATGCAAAATACACTGGAAAGTCTCAGGAATATAATTGAACAAGTAGAAGAAAGAAATTCAGAGATCAAAGACAAGGCTTTCAAATTAACCCAATCCAACAAGACAAAGAAAAAAGAATTTTAAAAAAATGAACAAAGTCTCCAAGAATTTTGGGATTATGTTAAGCGACCAAACTTAAGAATAATTGGTGTGCTCAAGGAAGAAGAGAAATCTAAAAGTTTGGAAAACGTATTTGAGGAAATAATTGAGAAAAATGTCCCTGGGCATGCCAGAGATCTAGACATCCAAATACAAGAAGCTCAAAGAACACCTGGGAAACTCATCACAAAAAAGATCGTCACCTAGGCACATAGTCATCAGGTTATCTAATGTCAGGATGAAGGAAAGAATCTTAAGAACTATGAGGCAAAAGCATTACCTATAAAGGAAAACCTGGCTGGGTGCAGTGGCTCACACCCGTAATTCCAGCACTTTGGGAGACTGAGGTGGGCAGATCACTTGAGCTCGGGAGTTTGAGATGAGCCTGGCCAACATGGTGAAACCCCATCTCTACTAACAATACAAAAATTAGCTCAGCATGGTGGCACATGCCTGCAATCCCAGCTACTTAGGAGGCTGAGGCATGAGAATTGCTTGAACCTGGGAGGCAGAGATTGCAGTGAGCTGAGATTGTGCCACTGCACTCCAGCCTGGGTGATGAAGCAAGACTCTGTCTCAAAAAAAAAAAAAAAAGGAAACATATCAGATTAACAGCAGATTTCTCAGCACAAAACTTACCAACTAGAAGGGATTGTGGTCCTTTCTTTAGCCTTAAATGAAACAATTAGCAGCCAAGAATTTTGTATCCAGCAAAACTAAGCTTCATAAATGAAGGAAAAATACAGTCTTTTTCAAATAAATGCTGAGAGATTCACCACTACCAAGCCAGCCCTACAAGAAGTGCTAAAAGGAGCTGTAAATCTGAAAACCCATCCTGGAAATACACCAAAATAGAACCTCCCTAAAGCATAAATCTCACAGAACCTATAAAACAATAACACAATGAAAAAAAGGTATTTAGGCAATAACTAGCATGAGAAATTGAATAGTACCTCACATCTCAATACCAACATTGAATGTAAATGGCCTAAATGCTCCATTTAAAAGATATGAAATGGCGGAATGGATAAGAATTCACCAACTGATATGGTTTGGCTGTGTCTTCACCCAAAAATCTCATCTTGAATTATAGTCCCCAAACCCCCATATGTCGAGGGTGGGATCATGGGTGTGCATTTCCCCATTCTGTCTCTTGACAGTGAGTAAGTCTCATGGGATTTGATGGTTTTATAAGCATCTGGCATTTCCTCTGCTTGCACTCACTCCATCTTGCGGCAATGAAAGACAATGGAAAAAGAATGTCCCCAGGGCATGTCAGAGACCTCCACAGCAGCCTTCCCATCACAGGGGCCTAGGAGGGAAAAATGGATTCCTGTGCCAGGTCTAGAGCCCCCCTGCTATGTGCAGCCTCAGGACTTGGTGCCCTGTGTCCCAGCTTCTCCAGCTGTGGCTAAAAGGGGCCAGGGTACAGCTCAGATCATTGCTTCAAAGGGTGCAAATCCCAAACCTTGGCAGCTTCCACATGGTGTTGGTCCTGCAGGTGTACAGAAGACCAGAATTAAGGTTCGGGACCTTCTCCTAGATTTCAGAGGATGTATGGAAATGCCTGGATGTGGAGGCAGAGGTGTGCTGCAGGGGCAGAGCCCTCATAGAGAACCTCTGCTAGGGCAATGAGAAAGGGAAATGTAGGGTTGTATCCCCCACACAGAGTCCCCACATGAGCACTGCCTAGTGGAGCTGTGAAAAGAAGGCCACAATCCTCCAGACCCCAGGATGGTAGATGCACCAACAGCTTGCACCATGCCCCTTGAAAACCTGCAGATACTCAATGCCAGCCTGTGAAAGCAGCCAGGAGGGGGACTGTACCCTGCGAAGCTAAAGGGATGGAGCTGCCCAGGGCCATGGGGAGGCCACCTCTTACAACAGCATCACCTGACTGTGAGACATGGAGTCAAAGGAAATCATTTTGGAGCTTTAAGATTTGACTGCCCTGTTGGATTTTGGAATTGCTTGTGGGGCCTATAGCACCTTTGTTTTGATAAATTTCTCCCCTTTGGAAGGGTGCATTTATGCAATGCCTGTATCCCCATTGTATCTAGGAAGTAACTAACTTGCTTTTGATTTTACAGGCTCATAAGTGAAAGGGACTTGCCTCGTCTTATATGAGATTTTGGACTTGGACTTTTGGTTTATTGCTAGAATGAATGAAGACTTCATGGGACTGTTGGGAAGGCAAGATTGATTTTGAAATGTGAAAGGGACATGAGATTGGTGGGGGGAGTAGGGACTGAATAATATGGTTAGGCTTTGTGTCCCCACCCAAATCTCATCTTGAATTGTAATTCCCAAAATCATGGGAAGAGATAACTGAATCATGGGGGTGGTTCCCCCATGCCATTCTCATGATAGTGAGTGAGTTCTCAAGAGATATGATGGTTTTATAAGTGGCTCTTCCTCCTTTGCTCAGAGCTTTTCCTTTCTGCGGCCTTGTGAAGAAGGTGCCAGCTTCCCCTTCACCTTCTGCCATGATTGTAAGTTTCCTGAGGCCTCCCCAGTCACACCGAACTGTGAGTCAATTAAACTTCTTTCCTTTATAAATTATCCAGTCTCAGCCAGTTCTTTATAACAGTATGAAAACAGACTAATACACCAACTAAGCATTTGGTATCTTCAAGAGATTCAACTATCACATAATGACTGATATAAAGTAGTATAAGGTAAAATGGTGAAAAAAGATATTGCATGCAAATGGACACCAAAGGTGAGCAGGGGTAAGTATTCTTATATCAGACAAAACCAACTTTAAAGCAACAGATGTTACAAAAAAAAAAAGGGACATTATATAAAGATTAAGGAACTTCTCCAAGAGAAAAATATCAAAATCCTAAATATATTTGCACCTAACACTGGATCACCCAAATTTATAAAACAATTAGTACTAGACCTAAGAAATGGAATAGACAGCCGTACAATAATAGTGGGGGGACTTCAATACTCTACTGACAGCACTAGACAGATCATCAAGACAGAAAGTCAACAAAGAAACAATGGACTATTACCTAGAATAAGTGAACTTAAGAGATATTTATAGAACGTTCTACCCAACAACTGCAGAATACACATTCTATTCATCAGCACTTGGAACATTCTCCATGATAGACCATATGATAGGCCACAAAAATCTCTCAATAAATTTAAGAGAATTAAAATTCTATCAAATACTCTCTCAGACTACAGTGAAATAAAATTTGAAATGAACTCCAAAAGGAACCCTCAAAACTATGCAAATACATGAAAATTAAATAACCTGCTCCTGCATGATCACTGGGTCAACAATGAAATCAAGGTGGACATTTAAAAATTTTTTGAACTGAATGATAATCATGATACAACCCTTGTGATAAAGCAAAAGCAGTGCTAAGAGGAAACTTCATAGCATTAAATGCCTACATCAAAAAGTCTGAGAGAGCACAAATAGACAATCTAAGGTCACACCTCAAGGAACTAGAGAAACAAGAACAAACCAAAGCCAAACCCAGCAGAAGAAAAGAAATAAAAAAGATCAGAGCAGAATTAAATGAAATTGAAACAAAAAATCAAAGAAACAATGAGCAGGTTATTTGAAGAGATAAGTAAAATCAATAGATCATTAGTAAGATTAACCAAGAAAAGAAGAGAGAAGATCCAAATAAGCTCAATTAGAAATGAAATGGGAGATATTACAACCGATACTACAGAAATACAAAAGATCATTCAAGGCTACTATGAACACCTTGATGTGCATAAACTAGAAAACCTAGAGGAGATGGGTACATTCCTGGAAATACACAACCCTCCTAGATTAAACCAGGAAGAAATAGAAACTCTGAACAGACCAGTAACAAGCAGCAAGATTAAAATGGTAATAAAAAAAAATGCCAACAAAAAAGTCCATGATCAGACAGATACACAACTGAATTTTGTCAGACATTCAAAGAAGAATTGGTACCAATCCTACTGACACTATTTCAAAAGATAGAGAAAGATGGACACTATTCCAAAAGATAGAGAAAGATGGAATCCTCCCTAAATCATTCTATGAAGCCAGTATCACACCAATACCAAAACCTGGGAAGGACATTACAAAAAGAAAACTATTGACCAATATCCCTGATGAACACAGATGCAAAATCCTCAACAAAATACTAGTTAACCGAATCCAACAGCATGTCAAAAAGATAATCCACCATGATCAAGTGGGTTTCATACCAGGGATGCAAGGATGGTTTAACATCCATAAGTCAATAAATGTGATACACCACATAAACAGAGTCAAAAACAAAAATCACATGATCATCTCAATAGGTGCAGAAAAGACATTTAACAAAATCCAGCATCCCATTGTGATTAAAATCCTCAGCAAAATCAGCATAGAAGGGACATATCTTAAGGTAATAAAAGCTATGTATGACAAACCCACAGCTAACCTTATACTGAATGGGGAAAAGTTGAAAGCATTCCCCCTGAGAATTGGAACAAGACAAGGATGGCCACTATTACCACTTCTATTGAGCATAGTACTGAAAGTCCTAGCCAGAGCAATCAGACAACAGAAACAAACAAAAGGCACCCAGTTTGGTAAAGAGGAAGTCAGACTGTCACTGTTTGCTGATGATATGATTGTATACCTAGAAAACCCTAAAGACTCATCCAAAAACCTCCTAGAAGTGATAAATGAATTCAGCAAAGTTTCAAGATAGAAAACACATTGAAATTAAAATAAAAGATGTTACCATTGGGAGAAACTGTGTAAAGAGTTCACAGGATCTCTGCATTTTCTTACAGCTTCATGTGAATCTGCAATTATCTCAAAATGAAACTAATTTAATGTCTAATCCTTAGGATGGGGGAGGGGGAATTAACAGCAACTACCAGATAAGAAGCTTCTATATTTTTCCTGAAGTAAGTAGTTAATGGTAACTTCATTATTTCTTTTTTTTCTCTTTCTTTCAATTTTTTAAAAAGGTTTCTTTAGTTACAAAACAGTTATGCATATTGTGAACAAGTAAATAAAGAAGTGTGTAAAAACATGTTTGTAATCTCTTGCTTTCTGACTCCCATCCCCTTGACCCCCAAGTAACAGTAACAGGTTTTAATACTTTTGGATATATCCTTCAACACACGTATCTATGCTCATACAAGCATGTATACACACATGTACTTATATGTAGCACTTTATAAACAGATTTAACAACATAATATTCCTTAGTAGAGATGTACCATAATTCTGGTACATAAATAGTAGTTTTCCCATTTTCCTGTAGATACTTGGTTAAAAAAATATGCTGTAACAAATATGCTTTTATCTTTGTCCTTACATCTCAGTAGTTTCATTTTTATAGAACAGTTTCCCAAGGAGGTTATTTTGTCAATACATTCATTTTTTTTTAATGGTTATTGGTCATATTTTGAAAAGCTAGTTACACAACACTGAACACTACTTACGAGGATATCCCTCTTGTGCGTGAGGTCTTTATAACTATCTAAGAAAAATTAGAATGGCTGGGCATGTTGGTTCATGCCTGTAATCGCAGCACTTTGGGAGGCTGAGGTGGGCGGATCACTTGAGCTCAGGAGTTTGAGAACAGCCTGGACAACATGGGCCCCGTCTCTACAAAAAATACAAAAAACTCACTCAGAATAGTGGCACATGCCAGTAGTTCCAGTTACCTGGGAGGCTGAGGTGGGAGTATCACCTGAGCCTGGGAAGTCGAGGCTGCAGTGAGCTGTGATAATACCGACAATACCAGTGCAGTCCAGCCTGGGTGAGATACAGTAAAACCCTGTCCCCCGGCCTGCTAAAAAAAAAAAAAGTAAAGAAAAAAGAAAATGTAGAATGACCAAACTATAGTCAGGTACTTATAAGTGTGATTTCTGTCCACTCAGAGAAAAAAAGACCTGAATTTCAGCATTTTATCTCAATAGTACATTTAAAAATATGCCTATACTTGCTTTTAATTCTTTACAAGACTGCGTTATGATAAATTATTGGTTTCTTTTACATCTAATATTATGGGGTTCAATCCTTCTTATAAAAACTTACAGATTTATGACAGGCATAGTGGTTTATGCCTTAATCCTAGCAGTTTGGGAGGCCAAGCCAGGGGGATCTCTTGGGCCTAGGAGTTTGAGATCAGCTCAGGAAACATAGGGAGACCCCATCTCTACAAAAAATTTAAAAATTAGCTGGGCATGGTGCCATGTGCCTGTGGTTCCAGCTACTTGGGAGGCTAAGGTGGGAGGATCTCCTGAGCCGGGAGGTCCAGGCTGCAGTAAGCCATGATCACACCACTGTACTCCAGCCTGGGCAACAGAGTGAGACCCAGTCTCAAAAAGAAAAAAACAAACAAACAAAAATGTACAGATTTAATATTTTTAATAAAATTTAATTTTAATTCATAAGTACTCTAAAAAGCTAAGAAATTTGAGTATGGTACACTATTTCCATTATTATTATGTTTTAAGATATATTTGTTGTTCACTTGAACTTTCCATTTAAAATAGCTTTTATCGATAGTACCCAGTATTAGCAAAAGTGCAAGGAATTTCATTGCTTGGTAGATACTTCTAGAAAATAATTCATAAATTATTTGACAAAAAATAGCCGTGCAAATGTTCATATTTTAACACAGTAACTCTACTTCTGAAACTTTTATAAGTGAATAGTTACAATGTAAAAGTAAATTTTAGAAAAAAAATTAATGAGATGGGGAAATGTCCATGATACATTGCTAAATGAAACAACAGTTTTTAAAGATATATTAATTAAGCTTCTTTTGATATTGAAGTAAATAAAACCCACTCCCATTCAATTAAGCAAATTGGAAATATACCAAAAGAATGAAAGTCAGGAATTTAGCCAAGCCTTGTAAATACACTAATTGTGGCTGCACAGTAGTGAAGACATTTTCCCTGTTTCTGTATCTCCTCCTTTCTTCTGGCCTGTCTTACTTTTCTCCCCTGCTGCATCCTGCCTTCTTCCACCTTCTACTGTACATGTCAGAAAATGTTGGTTTTTCCTCTATCCAATAGACCAAGGAGTGTGAAGCTGGAATCTGTTCTTTCCAAATCCAAATCCCCTAGAGAAAGATCTCATTCAGCTTTCTTGGATCAGTTGCTAATCTGTGTGAGTATGGGGGTGGGGGAATAAAGAAAAGTTATATGAATATAGATACATAGAGTCTTGCCTCAAGATTTTTATGAATAGAAAAAATATATGTATATGTTTATAGAGGACATCTACGGAGTGCTGCCCAGCACTTCCGTAATGCATAATATGTATATCAATACAGAGAAATCTATAGATATTAATAAAGATTATGCTACATATGAATATATATAAAACATCTAAACGCTAAGCAAATATTATCTATTATTAAAGTGATGTGATTTTAATTTCTTCTTTATTCCCTATACTTTCAATTTTATCAATAAATATGAATCACTTTTAGGATCAAAGCAAATATATTCAAATATGTATCAAGTAAAATTAAATAGGTATAGAAAATACATAAGATTCACAATGTTATGGTCATTTATTGTTTCATAAATAGATGTTCTGAAACCATGCTTGCAAACTTTAAATTAAACCAATTCAAAATATGCAAAAATTTTTAAAGTAAATGCCAATTTAATGAAATGCAAAATTTCATAAACACAAAGGGTTATTATATATGGTAAAACAAAAGTGGACCGGGCGCAGTGGCTCCCGCCTGTAATCCCAGCACTTTGGGAGGCCGAGGCAGGCAGATCACAAGGTCAGGAGATTGAGACCATCCTGGCTAACACGGTGAAACCCCGTCTCTACTAAAAATACAAAAAAAAATTAGCTGGGCATGGTGGCAGGCGCCTGTAGTCCCAGCTACTCGGGAGGCTGAGGCAGGAGAAAGGCATGAACCCAGGAGGCGGAGCTTGCAGTCAGCCGAGATCGCGCCACTGCACTCCAGCCTGGGTGACAGCGCAAGACTCTGTCTCAAAACAAAAAACAAAAACAAAAAAACACAAAAGTGTTCTTCAGTTAACATTCACTTTGTTAATATGCAGAAATAGGAAATAATTTTAATTACTGAAAATTACTAAATTATGCTGAAAAATAAACTTAATAAAGCATTTTAGAGATGTAAGTGCTATATATTTTCCTAGGATTATAAGTACTAATCGTATCTAGAAAATTAACATAACAATTATTTTTTGGCTTATTTCCACCCACGTTTTAGAAAGAAAATATAATATTTCTTTTAAAATCTTTAAAAGGCTTTCAAAAGCCACATGTGTGTATATATATATATATACGTATATATATATATATATATATATACGTATATATATATATATATACATATATATATTTTTTATACTTTAAGTTCTGGGACACATATGCAGAATGTGCACATTTGTTGCATAGGTATACACGTGCCATGGTGGTTTGCTGCACCAAGCAACCCATCATCTACATTAGGTATTTCTCCTAATGCTATCCCTCCCCTAAACCCCCACCCCCTGACAGGCCATGATGTGAGGTGTTCCCCACTCTGCATCCATGTGTTCTCATTATTCAACTCCCACATGCGGTGTTTGGTTTTCTGTTCTTGTGATAGTTTGCTGAGAATCATGGTTTCTGGCTTCATCCATGTGTTTCAAAGGACATGAATGCATCCTTTTTTATGTCTGCATAGTATTCTATGGTGTATATGTGCTACATTTTCTTTATCCAGTGTATCACTGATGGACATCTGGGTTGATTCCAAGTCTTTGCTATTGTGAACAGTGCTGCAATAAACATACGTGTGCATGTGTCTTTAGATTAGAATGATTTATAATTCTTTGGGTATTATACCCAGTATATACTTGGGTATATACCCAGTAATGGGATTGCTGGGTCAAATGGTATTTCTAGTTCTAGATACTTGAGGAATCGCCACACTGTCTTCCACAATGGTTGAACTAATTTACATTCCCCCCCAACAGTGTAAAAGCATTCCTATTTCTCCACGTCCTCTCCAGTCCTCTGTTCTTTCCTGACTTTTTAATGATTGCCATTCTAATTGGCATGAGATGGTATCTCATCATGGATTTGATTTTCATTTCTCTAATGACCAGTGATGATGAGCTTTTTTTCATATCTTTGTTGGCCGCATAAATGTCTCCTTTTGAGAAGTGTCTGTTCGTAGCCTTCGCCCACTTTTTGATGGAATTGTTTGTTTTTTTCTTGTAAAATTGTTTAAGTTCTTTGTAGATTCTGGTATCAGTCCTTTGTCAGAGAGTTAGATTGCAAAAATTTTCTCCCATTCTGTAGGTTGCCTGTTCACTCTGATAATAGTTACTTTTGCTGTGCAGAAGCCCTTTAGTTTAATTAGATCTCATTTGTCTATTTTGGCTTTTGTTGCCATTGCTTTTGGTGTTTTAGCAATGAAGTCCTTGCCCATGCCTACGTCCTGAATGGTATTGCCTAGGTTTTCTTCTAGGGTTTTTATGGTTTTAGGTCTTACGTTTAAGTCCTTAATCTGTCTTGAGTTAATTTTTGTATAAGGTGTAATGAACGGGGTCCCTTTTCAGTTTTCTGCATATGGCTAACCAGTTTTCCAAACACCATTTATTAAATAGGGAATCCTTTCCCCATTGTTTGTTTTTGCCAGGTTTGTCAAAGACCAGATTGTTGTAGATGTGTGGTGTTATTTCTGAGGCCTCTGTTCTATTCCATTGGTCTATATAGCTGTTTTGGTACCAGTGCCATGCTGTTTTGGTTACTGTAGCCTTGTAGTACAGTTTGAAGTAAGGTTGCGTGCTGCCTTCAATTTTGTTCTTTTCGCCTAGGACTGTCTTGGCTACCCTGGCTCTTTTTTGGTTCCATATGAAATTTAAAGTAGTTATTTTCTAATTCTGTGAAGAAAGTCAATGGTAGCTTGATGGGATAGCATTGAATCTATAAATTACTTTGGGCAGTATAGCCATTTTCATGATATTGATTCTTCCTATCCATGAGCATGTAATGTTTTCCCATTTGTTTCTGTCCTCTCTTATTTCCTTGAGCAGTGATTTGTAGATCTCCTTGAAGAGGTCCTTCACATCCCTTGTGGGTTGTATTCCTATGTATTTTATTCTCTTTGTAGAAGCAATTGTGAATGGGAGTTCACGCATGATTTGGCTCTCTATTATTGATGTATAGGAGTGCGTGCAATTTTTGCACATTGATTTTGTATCCTGAGACTTTGCTGAAGTTGTTTAACAGCTTAAGGAGATTTTGGGAAGAGACAATGGGATTTTCTAAATATACAATCATGTCATCTGAAAACAGAGACAATTTGACTTCTTCTCTTCCTATTTGAACACCCTTTATTTCTTTCTCTTGCCTCATTGCCCTGGCCAGAACTTACAATACTATGTTGAATACAAGTGGTGAGAGAGGGTATCCTTGTCTTGTGCCAGTTTTCAAAGGGAATGCTTCCAGTTTTTGCCCATTCGGCTGTGGGTTTGTCATAAATAGCTCTTATTGTTTTGAGATACGTTCCATGAATACCTAGTTTATTGAGAGTTTTTAGCATGACAGGCTGTTGAATTTTTTCTAAGGCCTATTCTGTGTCAATTGAGATAATCATGTGGTTTTTGTCATTGGTTCTGTTTATGCAATTGATTACATTTATTGATTTGCGTATGTTGAACCAGCCTTGCATCCAAGGCATGAAGCCAACTTGATCATGGTGGATAAGCTTTTTGATGTGCTGCTGGATTCAGTTTGCCAGTATTTTATTGAGGATTTTTGCATCGATGTTCATCATGGATATTGGTCTGAAATTTTCTTTTTTTTTGTTGTGTCTCTGCCAGGTTTTGGTATCAGGATGATGCTGGCCTCATAAAATGAGTTAGGGAGGAGACCCTCTTTTTCTATTGATTGAAAGATAGTTTCAGAAGGAATGGTACCAGCTCCTCTTTGTACCTCTGGTAGAATTCAGCTGTGAATCTGTCTTGTCCTGGGCTTTTTTTTGATTGGTAGGCTATTAATTACTGCCTCAATTTCAGAACTTGTTATTGTTCTATTCAGGGATTCGACTTCTTCCTGGTTTAGTCTTGGGAGGGTGTATGTATCCAGGAATTTATCCATTTCGTCTAGATTTTCTAGTTTATTTGCATAGAGGTGTTTATAGTATTCTTTGATGGTAGTTTGTATTTCTCTGGGATCAGTGGTGATATCCCCTTTATCATTTTTTATTGTGTCTTTTTTATTCTTCTCTCTCTTCTTCTTTGTTAGTCTGGCTAGCGGTCTATTTTGTTGATCTTTTCAGAAAACCAACTCCTGGATTCACTGATTTTTTGAAGGGTTTTCCGTGTCTCTATCTCCCTCAGTTCTGCTCTGATCCTAGTTATCTCTTGTCTTCTGCTAGCTTTTGAATTTGTTTCCTCCCGCTTCTCTAGTTCTTTTCATTGTTATGTTTGGGTGTCGATTTTAGATCTTTCCTGCTTTCTCCTGTGGGCACTTATTGCCATACATTTCCCTCTATAAACAGTGCTTTAGCTGTATCCCAGAGATTCTGGTACATTGTGCCTTTGTTGTCATTGGTTTCAAATAACTTATTTGTTTCTGCCTTAATTTTGTTATTTACCCAGTAGTCATTCCGGAGCAGGATGTTCAGTTTCCATGTAGTTGTGTGATTTTCAGTGAGTTTCTTAATCCTGAGTTCAAATTTGATTGCACTGTGGTCTGAGAGACTGTTATGGTTTACATTCTTGTGCATTTGCTGAGGAGTGTTTTACTTCCAATTATGTGATCAATTTTAGAATAAGTGCAATGTGTTGCTGAGAAGAATGTATATTCTGTTGATTTGGAGTGGAGAGTTCTGTAGATGTCTATTAGGTCAGCCTGGTCCAGAGCTGAGCTCGAGTCCTGAATGTCCTTGTTAATTTTCTGTCTCATTGATCTGTCTAATATCGACAGTGGGGTGTTAACATCTCCCACTATTATTGTGTAAGTGTAAGTCTGTTTGTAGGTCTCTAAGAACTTCCTTTATGAATCCGGTTGCTCCTGTAAGGGATGCATATATATTTAGGATAGTTAGCTCTTCTTGTTGCATTGATCCCTTTACCATTATGTAATGGCCTTCTTTGTCTTTTTTGATCTTTGTTGGTTTAAAGTCTGTTTTATCAGAGACTAGGACTGCAACCCCTGGGGTTTTTTTTTGTTTGTTTCCCATTTGCTTGGTAAATATTATTCCATCCCTTTATTTTGAGCCTATGTATGTCTTTGCACATGAGATGGGTCTCCTGAATACAGCACACCAATGGGTCTTGACTCTTTGTCCAATTTTCCAGTCTGTGTCTTTTAATTGGGGCATTTAGCCCATTTACATTTAAGGTTAATATTGTTATGTGTGAATTTTATCCTGTCATTATGACGCTAGCTCATTATTTTGCCCACTAGTTGATGCAGTTTCATCATAGCATCAATGTTCTTTACAATTTGGTATGTTTCTGCAGTGGCTGGTACCAGTTTTTCCTTTCCATGTTTAGTGCTTCCTTTAGGAGCTCTTGTAAGCAGGCCTGGTGGTGACAAAATCTCTCAGCATTTGCTTGTCTGTAAAGGATTTTATTTCTCCTTTGCTTATGAAGCTTAGTTTGGCTGGATATAAAACTCTGGGCTGAAAATTCTTTTCTTTAAGAGTTTTGAATATTGGCCCCCAATCTCTTCTGACTTGTAGAGTTTCTGCAGAGAGATCTGTTGTTAGTCTGATGTGCTTCCCTTTGTGGGTAACCTGACCTTTCTCTCTGGCTGCCCTTAATATTTTTCCCTTCATTTCAACCTTGGTGAATCTGATGATTATGTGTTTTGGGGTTGCTCTTCTTGAGGAGTATCTTTGTGGTATTCTCTGTATTTCTTGAATTTGAGTGTTGGCCTGTCTTGCTAAGTTGGGGAAGTTCTCCTGGATAATATCCTGCAGAGTGTTTTCCAACTTGGTTCCATTCTCCCTGTCACTTTCAGGTACACCAATCAAACGTAGGTTTGGTCTTTTCACATAGCCCCATATTTATTGGAGGCTTTGTTTGTTCCTTTTCATTCTTTTTTCTCTCATCTTGTCTTCATGCTTTATTTCATTAAGTTAATCTTCAATCTTTGATATCCTTTCTTCTGCTTGATTGATTTGGCTATTGATATTTGGGTATTCTTCATGAACTTCTCATGCTGTGTTTTTCACCTCCATTAGGTCATTTGTGTTCTTCTCTAACCTGGTTATTCTTGTTAGCAATTCCTCTAACCCTTTTTTCAAGGTTCTTAGCTTCCTTGCATTGGGTTCAAACATGCTCCTTTAGCTCGGAGGACTTTGTTATTACCCACCTTCTGAAGCCTACTTTTGTCAATTTGCCAAACTCATTCTCCATCCAGTTTTGCTCCCTTGCTGGCAAGGAGTTGTGATCCTTTGGAGGAGAAGAGATGTTCTTGTTTTTTTAATTTTCAGCCTTTTTGCACTGGTTTTTCCTCATCTTCATGGATTTATCTACTTTTGGTCTTTGATGCTGGCGACCTTTGGATGGGGATTTTGTGTGGACTTCCTTTTTGTTGATGTTGATGCTATTCCTTTCTGTTTGTTAGTTTTCCTTCTAACAGTCAGGCCCCTCTGCTGCAGGTCTACTGGAGTTTGCTGGAGGTCCACTCCAGACGCTGTTTGCCTGGTTATCACCAGCGGAGGCTGCAGAACAGCACAGAATGCTTCATCCCAGATGGGCACCTGTCAGATGCCAGCCGGAGCTCTCCTGTATGAGGTGTCTGTTGACCCCTGCTGGGAGGTGTCTCCCAGTCATGAGACATGGGGGTCAGGGACCCAACTTGAGGAGGCAGTCTGTCCCTTAGCAGAGCTCGAGTGCTGTGCTGGGAGATCTGCTGCTCTCTTTAGAGCTGGCAGGCAGGAACATTTAAGTCTGCTGAAGCTGTGCCCACAGCCACCCCTTTCCCCAGGTGCTCTGTCCCAGGGAGATGGGAGTTTTATCTATAAGGCCCTAACTGGGGCTGCTGCTTTTCTTTCATAGATGCCCTGAGGCAGTCTGGCTACAGCAGCATTGCTGAGCTGTCATGGGCTCTGCCCAGTTTGAACTTCCCAGTAGCTTTGATTACACTGTGAGGGGAAAACTGCCTACTCAAGCCTCAGTAATGGCGGATGCCACTTCCCCCACCAAGCTCAAGCATCCCAGGTTGACTTCAGACTGCTGTACTGGCAGGGAGAATTTCAAGCCAGTGGATCTTAGCTTGCTTGGCTCTGTGGGGGTGGGATCCACTGAGCTAGACCACTTGGCTCCCTGGCTTCAGCCCCCTTTTCAGGGGAGTGAATGTTTCTGTCTCGCTGGTGTTCCAGGTGCCACTGGGGTATGAAAAGAAACTCCTGCAGCTTGCTCACTGTCTGCCCATAAGCCCTCCCTGTTTTGTGCTTGAAACCCAGGGCCCTGGTGATATAGGCACCTGAGGGAATCTCCTGGTCTGCAGGTTGTGAAGACTGTGGGAAAAGCATAGTATCTGTGGCTGGAGTGCACTGTCTCTCATGGCACAGTCCCTTGGGGCTTCCCTTGGCTAGAGGAAGGAGTTCCCCGACCCTTTGCACTTCCCGGGTGAGGTGACACCCTACCTTGCTTCGGCTCACCCTCCATGGGCTGCACCCACTGTCTAACCAGTCCCAATGAGATGAGCTGGGTACTTTAGCTGGAAATGCAGAATTCACCTGCCTTCTGCGTCAATCTCACTGGGAGCTGCAGACTGGAGCTGTTCCTATTTGGCCATCTTGCCAGCCACTTCTCCAATGCCTTTTAGACAGTAAGTACAAAGTATTTAGGCAGTATTTAGTAAACAGACAGTAAATACAAAGTATAATTTGGAAAATCTGTGCATTGCACTATAGCTTCTTTTGCTCATTTTCAGTAAGTCTTCATTAAAGTTTAAACTGAATGTTCTCTAACTGTTAGAGTTCTCTAAGTAATAGAGGCCAAAAGTCAGCTGAAATAAGAAGATTGACTCCCAGAATGGGAAATTATTCAAGACGTCTGATGATCTTGACTAATGATTTCAGTTATTTAAAAATACTTTGATAATTTTAGTCATTGATTTTGAAAATATAAAATGCTGTTTTTTATACCCGTAGCAATATATTGCAATAAGAAGTATGTAAACTGACTTCTTGATTGATACAACCATAATTGAATTACATTCGGTGAAATCACCAGTTTAATAACTCATTGCTTTTGTGACTTCCCTTTTGATAAAATGGAGATCCTACCTCTTGGTCACCCATGTAATATAACATTAAGTTTCCCCTAAGAGCCTGTGATTGCCCTTAGAATGCCTGTGCCAAGCAGGCTTGATAAGGCCCTCACTATAAAGGAATAGATTACATTTTGCCAAATTTTGCCTGCATCCATGAATAAAGAACTGCATAATTTTGTCTTGGAATTGTCAAGGATCATATAGATGTTTGAGTAGTTTTGAGATCATCTAAGGACTGTGATTATCTCAGAAAAGCACTTAAGTCTTTTGAAGGAAAATAAAACTGATAAAATCTCTCCATAGAATATTTTGAGTTAGAGGTAGGAGGAAGGAAGACAGAGTCTGAAAATACAACCCCCAAAAGATGTAGCATGTAGAATGTAGGAAATTTCCCATTCCATCCACCAATCCCCTTCACCATGTGCATCCCCTCTAACATTCTGATATATCTACACAAAAAATGTAATAGAACCAGGAGCTGGATAAAGTCATCTATGCACACTCTAAAATATAAAGCATGGTTTGATTCTATATGATATGCTATATGTTGCTAGTTTTCCTTCAAATTGGAAATTAAAGTAAAATTACAAACTGTATCTCATGAAAGACATACTGTTACCATCTTCACAAGTGTTTTCTACACTCTACTGTGCCTTTTTTTCATCCTATCTTCTGCCTCTTCCCCAGAATACTTTCCTTTTCTGAGGCTGGAGAACAGGAGTGGCTGTGGGTGATTTTTGTACCTTTTTACCTCTAGTGAAGGGATATCTACACAGAAGTACCCAAAGCTTTTACTCTGATATCTGAATAACAGGAAAAGCTAAAAAGTCGTATAGGGACACATGAAGCTAGAGGAAGGGATTATACAGGTATTGAATTCAGATTTCTTTTCTGTACCACAAAAGACAGATTGATGGCAGAATCCCGGAAGTCACTGGCCTTGAGCCCAGAGTTGAGCTTAGCCAAGGGGCCCAACAGTGACCTTGACTACAGGTCTAAAATCAAGTAGGTCTGAGAATGGAAAAACACTGAATCTCCTCAGCAGGATCATATGTTTTCACAAACTCTCAGCACATAGTTTGAGTTCTTCTTCCTATTAGCTACAAAATCCTGGGTAGGTGTGATCACTAGACAGTTTCTTTCAAGGAGCCTATTAGAGAAATAACATTTTGTCCATCAATGCTACTGGGAAAAAGTAAAAATATGCCATTGCCCTACATCAATGGTTAAAAAAAATTAAAAATAACTCAGTAAGATGGAAATGCTAGAAATAGAAAACCTTTCTATGAAGTTTAATGCCTGCAGTGCTTAAAATTACTCATTAATCCAATTTGCAGAGTTGGTAATCTGATTAAATAAAGCTCTTATTTAGATATGAACTAAATTCCTCCATCTGCTAGAAAACAACTATCATTTAAGTTGCTTTTTCATTGAAATGTGTCTATTTCAGGTCTTATAACCACTAATATGCTTGAATCATAAAATGAAAAAGCCTAACATTTCATGTAAGATAACATTTCCCCAACACGCAAAATATTTTGCAATGTGATCCTCTTCTTAGTTGAAAAATCAAACTTTGGTTTACATCAGAAGAAGTATGAATAATGAAATTGCTATATAGTAAGCTTGAAAACAGATCAGAACAGAAAAAGGCAAATTGGGAAGAGAGGATGCCCTAACTAGACTACTTCAATCCAATCCTATTGCCTGCATAAGTGTTCATTAGTCTTAGAGTTCAGAGCACCAGGACCACGTATGGCCTCCCTCCTTCCCCTGCTCTTAATCTTTATTTCTATCTTTCTCATCCAGATACAATAAAAATAACTAAAATGCATTATTAGGTGATTATTTCATGCAAGTTATTACATTAAATACTTATTAACTAATTTAATTCTCACAAAATCCCCATGAGGTAGATGCTCCTATTATCTCTACTTTAAAGATAAGCAAACTGAATACACCCATGTTAGTAGCAACATTATTTGCAATAGACAAAAGGTAGATGCAACCTAAGTGTTCATCAAGTGATGAAAGGATAAACAAAATGTAGATATGGACAACGGAATATTATTCAGCCTTGAAAAAGAAGGAAATTCTGACACATGCATGAAACTTAAGGACATTATGTTAAGTGAAATAAGCCAGTCACACACCAAAAAAACTACTATATGATCCCACTTGTATGAAGTATCTAGAACAGTCAAATTCATAGGACTGAAATTAGAAGGGTGGTTTCCAGGGGCTGGGGAGAGTAAGGAAGGGAGATTTATTGTTTAATGGATATAGAGTTTCAGCTTTGCAAGATGAAAAGAGATCAGAAAATTCGTTGCACAACAATGTGAATGTACTTCACGCTACTCAATGATACACTTAAACATGATTAAGGTCATAAATTCTATGTTATATGTATTTCTATGTTATATGTATTTGTTTTTTTGAGATGGAGTTTTGCTCTTGTTGCCGAGGCTGGGGTGCAATGGTGTGATCTCAGCTCACTGCAACCTCCACTGCCTTGGTTCAAGTGATTCTCCTGCCTCAGCCTCCAGAGTAGCTGGGATTACAGGTGCCCACCAGCATGCCTGGCTAATTTTTATATTTTTAGTAGAGACGGGGTTTCACCACGTTGGCCAAACTGAGTTTGAACTCCTTACCTCAGGCACTCTGCCCGCCTCAGCCTCTCGAAGTGTTGGGATTATAGGTGTAAGCCACTGTGCCCAGCCTGTTATATGTAATTTTAAAATAAGCAAACTGAGACACAAAGAGGTTAAGCAACTTAACTTCACTCAGTTCTGTGTTTCACATGGAATACTACACAGCCATAAAAAAGAACAAAATTGTGTCCTTTCAGCAATATGGATGTAGCTGGAGGCCATTATCCTAAGTGAATTAAAGCAATAACAGTAAACCAAATATTGCCTTTTCTCACTTAAAAGAGGGAGCTAAACCTTAGGTATGCAAGGACATAAAGTTGTGAAGAAGAGACACTGGGAGACACTGGGGGCTCCAAAAGGAGAAAGGGAGGGAGGGCAGCAAGGGCTTAAAAACTTCCTACTGGGGCCAGGTGCAGGGGTTCACGCCTTTAATCCCAGCATTTTGGGAGGCAGAGGCAGGCAGATCAGCTGAGGTCAGGAGTTCGAGACCAGACTAGCCAACATAGTGAAACCCCATCTCTACTAAAAATACAAAAATTAAACAGGTGTGGTGGTGCCTGACTGTAATCCTAGCTACTTGGGAGGCTGAGGCAGGAGAATCTCTTTAACCTGGGAGGCAGAGGTTGCAGTGAGCCAAGATCGCGCCACTGCACTCCAGTCTGGGCTACAGAGTGAGACTCCATCTCAAAACAAAACAAAACAAAACAAAACAAAAACTTCCTACTGGATATTATGTTCACTATCTTGCTTATGAGATTAATAGAAGCTCAAACCTCAGCATCACACAATAGACCCTTATAACAAACCTGCATATGTACCCCAAAATCTAAAATTAAAATTGAAATTGAAAAAATAAAATAAAACAAAGGAATTCTGTGTTTCTACAGATGGCATATTAAAATGGCTTTAATATAAAAATTGATTTTTAAAAGTTTAAAAGAATTATGGTTGTACAAGGAGTCACTCCTGTAGAACATAACTTTCATTCAGACACCGAAGCCATAATCTGGACGTTTTCTTCTTTTTTTAAAATTTTGTTTTGTGGGGGGACATTTTCTTAACATCAACATAATTTCCTCTCCTTCATGCCCAACTTCCAGTCAGTCACTGATTCTTATTAATTTAACCAATAAAAATATCTCTTATTTCTGTCTCTTCCTTTCTTTTCACTACTTCCACTGCTTTAGTCAACAGGGACCATTGCAATCACTCTAACCTGTCTCTCTGTATCCACCAAGACTCTTCATTATAGAAGTATCTCATCATTCCCCAGTCTAATATCCTGCAAAGCCACCCCCTTTGAATGAATGAAACAAAAAAGTCCTTCACATGACATATACGGTCTTGCAAAGAACTTATTTTGTGTCTACCATCTCATCTCATGCCACTGTCTCTGTTCCATAAGCTCTGGACATAACCAACACTTTAGAGGTGACAAATAGACCAGGTTGCTATTAAATTTCTCAATCTTTGAACAAGCTGTTTCCTCTAGCTGTAATTGCTCCCTTGCTCTCTCCACCACAAAATATTTCTACTCATTCTTTAAAAATTATTTCACAAGTGTCTAGGCCGGGAAGCCAAACTTGATAACCAGGATTGCAAACGACTCCCTCAAAATGATTTAATAGTATTTATAGAATGTCATTATAATTATTTGTTTTTGTGTTTGTCCCATGAGTTTATGGCTCCTTAAAAGTGGTCAAAATGTCTTTTTCTGTCACTATGGCTGCCATCTAGCCCAGTGACTACCATATAAAATAAGTGCTTGAATGCATGAGTGAACACAAAATCAATGAATTAATAAATTAATGGTTATTCAGCATGAGTCCCAGCACTATAGTCAACAAAAGAGCCACATCTTCCTGTTGGAATGTGGGTCACTGATTATATAGGCTAGTCCCTGGATTGCAGAAGAAAGTGGATAATATTGAATAATTCTTCTATATTTTCCATCTCATTAAGGAGACTAGAGACTTGCTCAAAAGAATGGAAGACTTATTTAGCCCCAAAAGCATAAAAAGAAACAGAATCTAGGAATAAGATAATTCACAGCCAGACTCAAGGGTTGGTCACTAGAAAAAATAGTTTGACAGACTAGAAAAAGTGAAAAAAATTCTACATTGAACTACTGGAGCAACACAACATATTTGAGACTGTTTCCACAGAGGTTACAGCTAGATTCTTCACAATAGAACAAATGATACCCCATTCTTCAAAAAAATCATTAAAAGGATGCTGGGCCCCTGAAAATTCTGAATATCATTACTGATCTAAAAAGGAAGAGGTGTACCTTAGTAACTTACAGCTTCCTGCTGAGAAACACAAAAACAGCAGAACAAAAAACTGCTGTGGCCAATCAGGAGGTGAGATATGTTGCTGTACCACATATAAGAAGTATGAATAAAAACCATTATTATTAAGCAAACCCGCCAACGGCTATCAATTGCTGCTGATGCCAGCTCACATGGGAAGGTTTAACTCAAACAAAATAGAGGATGCATCTCTATAAAGTCCCTGCTGGAAAAACTGGAGGACTTGAGGGCATATGCAGCATTTTCTTTTTTTCCATTTGAAGGTCATGACTTTAGAAAGAAACTAATAATGAGGTTGAAAAGTAGCTTGGGTCAGAGCATGGAGCAAAGAAGTCCGACAGATTTGGAATTTACCCAATAAGCAATTAGGAGTCATTGAAGTTCTTTGTGAAGGGAAGTAAATTTGCATTCCAATGTTTAAATTAGACTCATGTACATCGAATTTATGGAATCAATTAAGTGTGACATAATGCACCTAGAATCTACTAAAACTAAATCATGTTCTAAGACTTGAAAGACAAAGTACTAAATTTTGAATAATAATAACTGTACTAAGCTTCATTGAACCTTGGAATCATTGGCCAAATGTTCTTTAGTTCACTGTCCATCACATTTTGTATTTTTTTAATCCACAGTGCCTAAAGGGTACTTATAAATAGCAAATGTACATCAAATTTCTGGCAAGAGTGATGTAGGAGGGTGAGAATGGTGCTCAGTACCCCTCTGAAAAGTTACATCTAAATCTCCAGTCCATTGTTCCTACTAATAAGGGTACTAAAATAGTAGCAATAATAATAATAGGGTTATAACACATGTGGGCACATATCTACATGTCTTTTACGAATTACATATTGTAATAAGGATGAATATGGTTTCTCAGATTTGGAGAATACATTTGGGGTATTCTTAGGGTCGGGCACAGTGGCTCACACCTGTAATCCCAACACTTTGGGAGGCTGAGGCGGGCGGATCACCTGAGGTCAGGAGTTTGAGACCAGCATGCCCAACATGGCGAAACCCTATCTCTACAAAAAATGCAAAAATTAGCCGGGCATGGTGACATGTGCCTGTAGTCCTAGCTATTTGGGAGGCTGAGGCAGGAGAATTGCTTGAACCCGGGAGGCAGAGGGTTGCAGTGAGCTGAGACTGTGCCACTGTGCTCCAGCCTGGACAACAGATTGAGACTCTGTCTCAAAAAAAAAAAGTATATATACATATATACAAACATATATATATATACACACACATATATACAAACATATATATACGCATATATGTATATATAACCATATATATATACATATATATGTATATATATAAACACATATATGTTTATATATAAACATATATATGTATATATATACATATATGTATATATAAACATATATGTATATATAAACATATATGTATATATAAACATATATAAAATATATAAACATATATATAGAAACTATATATATATATGTTTATACCACGAAGTTTTCTTTAGGGGGACCTCAAAGTAATACCAAGGCATAACAAGATGTTTATATGCCTGTCAGCTGGAAAAAAATGCCATTTTTTTTTTTTTACTATACTTTAAGTTCTAGGGTACATGTGCACAACGTGCAGGTTTGTTACATAGGTACGCATGTGCCATGTTGGTTTGCTGCACCCATTAACTTGTCATTTACATTAGGTATTTCTCCTAATGCTATCCCTCCCCCTGTCCCCCACCCCATGACAGGCCCCAGTGTCTGATGTTCCCCACCCTGTGTCCAAGTGTTCACATTGTTCAATTCCCACCTATGAGTGAAAACATGCAGTGTTTGGTTTTCTGTCCTTGTGATAGTTTGCTCAGGATGATGGTTTCCAGCTGCATCCATGTCCCTGCAAAGGACATGAACTCATCCTTTTTTATGGCCTCATAGTATTCCATGGTGTATATATGATGCATTTTCTTAATCCAGTCTATCATTGATGGATATTTGGGTTGGTTCCAAGTCTTTGCTATTGTAAACAGTGCCGCAATAAATATATGTGTGCATGTGTCTTTATAGTAGCATGATTTATAATCCTTTGGGTATATACCCAGTAATGGGACGGCTGGGTCAAATGGTATTTCTAATTCTAGATCCTTGAGGAATCACCACACTGTCTTCTACAATGGTTGAACTAGTTTGCACTCCCACCAACACTATAAAAGCATTCCTATTTCTCCACATCCTCTCCAGCATCTGTTGTTTCCTGACTTTTTAATGATCGCCATTCTAACTGGTGTGAGATGGTGTCTCATTGTGGCTTTGATTTGCATTTCTCTGATGACCAGTGATGATGAGCATTTTTTCCTGTGTCTCTTGGTTGCATAAGTGTCTTCTTTTGAGAAGTGTCTGTTCATATCCTTTGCCCACATTTTGATGGGGTTGTTTGGTTTTTTTCTTGTAAATTTGTTTAAGTTCCTTGTAGATTCTGGATATTAGCCCTTTGTCAGATGGGTAGACTGCAAAAATCTTCTCCCATTCTGTAGGTTGCCTGTTCACTCTGATGGTAGTTTCTTTTGCTGTGCAGAAGCTCTTTAGTTTAATTAGGTCTCATCTGTCAATTTTGGCTTTTGTTGCCATTGCTTTTGGTGTTTTAGACATGAAGTCCTTGCCCATGCCTATGTCCTGAATGGTATTGCCTAGGTTTTCTTCTGGGGTTTTTATGGTTTTAGGTCTAATATTTAAGTTGTTAATCCATCTTGAATTAATTTTTGTATAAGGTGTAAGGAAGGGATCCAGTTTCAGCTTTCTACATATGGCTAGCCAGTTTTCCCAGCACCATTTATTAAATAGGGAATCCTTTCCCCATTTCTTGTTTTTGTCAGGTTTGTCAAAGATCAGATGGTTGTAGATGTGTGGTAATATTTCTGAGGCCTCTGTTCTATTCCGTTGGTCTACATATCTGTTTTGGTACCAGTACCATGCTGTTTTGGTTACTGTAGCCTTGTAGTATAGTTTGAAGTCAGGTAGCGCGATGCCTCCAGCTTTCTTCTTTTTTCTTTGGATTGTCTTGGCAATGAGGGCTCTTTGTTACTTCCATATGAACTTTAAAGTAGTTTTTTCTAATTCTGTGAAGAAAGTCATTGGTAGCTTGATGGGGATGGCATTGAATCTTTAAATTACCTTGGGCAGAATGGCCATTTTCACGATTTGATTCTTCCTATCCATGAGCATGGAATGTTCTTCCATTTGTTTGTATCCTCTTTTATTTTGTTGAGCAGTGGTTTGTAGTTCTCCTTGAAGAGGTCCTTCACTTCCCTTGTAAGTTGGATTCCTAGGTATTTTATTCTCTTTGAAGCAATTGTGAATGGGAGTTCACTCATGATTTGGCTCTCTGTTTGTCTGTTACTGGTGTATAAGAATGCTTGTGATTTTTGCACGTTGATTTTGTGTCCTGAGACTTTGCTGAAGTTGCTTATCGGCTTAAGGAGATTTGGGGCTGAGACTATGGGGTTTTCTAAATATACAATCATGTCATCTGCCAACAGGGACAATTTGAATTCCTCTTTTCCTAATTGAATACCCTTTCTTTCTCTTGCCGATTGCCCTGGCCAGAACTTCCAACACTGTGGTGAATAGGAGTGGTGAGAGAGGGTATCCCTGTCTTGTGCCAGTGTTCAAAGGGAATGCTTCCAGTTTTTGCCCATTCAGTATGATATTGGCTGTGGGTTTGTCATAAATAGCTCTTATTATTTTGAGATATGTCCCATCAATACCTAGTTTATTGAGAGTTTTTAGCATGAAGGCTGTTGAATTTTGTCAAAGGCCTTTACTTCATCTATTGAGATAATCATGTTGTTTTTGTCGTTGGTTCTGTTTATGTGATGGATTATGTTTGTTGATTTGTGTATGCTGAACCAGCCTTGGGAAATGCCATATCTTTCAAAGATATTCTAGATATAAATAAATATGAGTTCATATTTCAAATTGAAAGTCTCAACAGTAAGCATTCTTAATAGCAAAAACTATATTTGATTGATCTGCTTGTTATTCATACAATTCCATATAGTTTGATCCAGAGATCCAGGATTTTGAGTGCATGTTTGTTTTTTTATTTTACAGCATTTAATGAGTCTCCAAAGCAACCTCAGTGAGATTAGAGTAATATGTGTTTAACACACTGCTTCCAGAAAAGATGCTTATCATAGGAACTCTGAATTTTTATGTTTCGGAAACATTGCCCAGTGAAGCCAAGGGACCAGAAGGGCCAGGATTGTGGTATAAGATAAACCATTTGACAGCGGAAGTATTACTGCCCAACATTTATCACAATAACAGTTCATAGGTATACAGCACCTGCTATATGCCAGGTACTATTCTAATAAAGAGAATAGATAGATAGTTAGATAGACAGATAGATAGATAGGCATTTATTTAATCTCCACAGATAGCAAATGTGATTTTCATAAGACCGTATAAACTAGAGACTTACCACTTACGCTTTACAGAAGAGGAAATAGAGGCACAACATTCTCTTCTACCAAACTTCGATGCCACTTCTATAAAACATAAACCCCTTTTCCCCTTGTTTTTACTTGTGTAGCACCCTCTAACTGCCTCTATTATAGGGTTTCTCATAGTACAGTAAAATTTTACATATGTATATGACCACGTGTTACTCTGTGTATGTGTACAGTAATATAACCCAAAACTCTCTATGAGCCCACCCTGCACAAGAATAAAGAATACTCTATATATTTTTGCCCCCATCACTCCTAACAGAGGGACTCAATATATGGTAAACACTCAATAAATGTGTGCTAGTGAAAACTCACCTGAACTCCCTGGCTGCTGTTCACTACTATTGGGTACACCTGCCTGCTCAGCTGGCATTTGTTCTGTCTTTACAACAGTTGACTTTCACCTTCAACTTCTGAACCTTGGTCTTCAAACTCCTTTCAGATTGCTAGGCCTGGATCATAATTATTAATAATATAATGTCTGCTAGCACAAACACAACAAAAATAATTATAATAACAATAATGACAGGAGCTAATATTTATTGAGCATCAACAAAGATTTCAGTCTTTGTTAACCTGGGCTATCCTAGTGCCTGGGTTGTATGCAATGCAGATGATTTTGGTCTTAGGCAAGCTCCATATGCTGTGGAATTGTCTAAAGAAGAAATCTAAAATGAAATATTTATTCGGTAAAATATTTAATCTAAAAACACCTAAAACTGTAGTTCTTTGCTTTATAAGAGAAACTACAACTTTTTAAAATTTTTATCAAACCACAGATTCTTCTTTTGCATCTTAGAATATCAGCTGTGGCCAGAAATTCATTAAATTGAATGCAAAATCCTACTGTGTATAATTTTAGTTAACATTTCAACCTACCTTTGGAATGCAATTAAGGGGCAGTAACAATTTATCTCAATATAATGACTTCTGGCTCTTATAAAAAAACTATTAAAGAATGAGAACAAGAGCTTTCTTCTTCACAATTAATATTTACTAAGTCTCCAGGGCTGAAATGACCTCAGTCTTTTTCTTCAAGTCTACAATCACAGCTGCAGTTTTTTTCCATTACTATAGCAACCACAGGAATGCAAGCATTGTACTTCCTTCTCTGTCCAAAACATATAAAAGGGGCCAGAGTAGCAACAACCACCAGGAGACAGATAAATGCCCTTAAAATGATCATAATTAAGAATTTACATTTATGGGAGTATTTTGAAAGCACATCTGACTTCAGAGTACTTATATCATTCAACTATGACCAAATACATATTCATTTAGGTTTATTGAATCAAGATTCATTAGTTTCAATTACAGAAACTTTCTACAAAGGAATTCTAAATTTACCAGTTTTGTCTTTTCATCTAAACAAATGATAGAAAAAGTTCTCCTCCATTAAGGTTATAGAGAACTTTTTAAATTACATAAAAATGATGTCTTATTTATACCTAAAGGGAGCTAGAAAAGGACCAAAATATAAGAAGTTAGTGGTTTAATCCCTAATTTGTTGGTTATACTTCAAAATCATAGTAATAGTAAGGACATGTCTGTATGCCTATATTTGTGTCTTTAATCTAAGTAATTACAAAGTAACACCAGCACAGTATTCTAAAAAGATGTCAGTGGAACTTTCAAACACATGACTCCCATTCTGTATATCTACAGTTAGATAACTTTGGAAGTCCCAGGCCCAATTTTGCTATATTAGAACACACTTTAAGGTGAAAGACCCGCGGAACAAGTAATAGCATTCTTCATTATAAATACAATGACTTTAAGCTTTGGACATAGACACATCTCTAGAATTGGTTGGTATATTATACATATGGGGAAACAGAGGAGGAAAAGATTTCGAATATTTCCCTCCACCATCTATTCGAACCTCTTTTTGAAAAAAGAAGACACTGATTCAAAGATAAAATAATGAATACATAGACAATTAGATGACAGACAGACCAGATAGATAGATAGATAGATAGACAGACAGACAGACAGACAGATAGATCCCCGTAGATCCCAGTTGACACAAAGGGAGGTTTCTATTACTTAGCAATTTTTTCCTTTTAAATTTGAAAAATGAGACTGCTACTCTATTCCTTTTCTAAAGAAACACATACTAACTACTTGCATTTGTCCTGTCAAATTTTTCAAGGGCTCTTTCTTGGGAGCTGGGCTCCTACCTCAATGTGTAAAACTTGCTGGGATATGTGCTACATTAGACGTATTAAGAGCGCACAGTGGAAACACATAGGATGAGTCTCATTTTTCCGGGAGCAGTTGCACAGAGCAAGGACTGTTTTTGTTTAGGATTAAACATATTTCATTCAGCCGCACAGGGAGCAGTGTGGAGGAAATATGCTGGAAGATGGAATCAGAAGAGTGAGCATGAGATCATTTTGCAAAGGGCCTTGAATGCCATCCTAAAGAGTCTGGACTCCTGAGGGTAACAGGAGGACTCTCTTTAAGCAAGACAGTGGCTCTATTAAAAGGATAAATGGGGAGATGACGTGCAGTGCGGAGAGATGATTAAACAGGAAGTCTGTTGCATTAAACAAAGAAATTAAATAGAAAAGTTACGGTGAAATAGAGGAGATGGATTAGAAAGGTATTTAGAAAAAAGACTTCACAGGACTCAATAATATCTAACACATCTAAGAGTGAATGACATAACTAGTTGAAGATAACTGTGCCAAATTCTAATTAGAGAAACACGTAGGGCAGAAACAGTGAGTCATATTTAAACTTATCGATGTGTCAACACAATTGTGCAGGTGTTAGCTTCTCTACTTTGAAGTATCCTCCAATCTATGCCCTGTCTTTGCCAACTAGATCATCACGATAGTTGTAAAAAGCAGAGTTAGTTTAACATCTCTGCTCGTCTTCTCTCAATTTTTATAGAAAGTTAAAAACACTTAACGAAGTAGTCCATGTAAAAATACCATGAAAAAAGAAAAGAATTGATCTCTTGATTTCTTAAATAAACCAATAATTTTAAACACTTTATAATTACTTCTCCTTAAACCTTTAACCTCCATCCCCTCCTCAGAGAACAAGAAAAAGAAACTTTAAAATAGGAAGCAATCCAACAAATATAGCTATAAATTTTAAGAAAAGAATAGCAATCTTCTTTCTAAAACTTTTTTTTTCTCATATTCATACACTGTAGGGGAAAAAAATCTACCTTTACTTGCTAAATAAATGCATTTTAATATCTAGCTTCCTAAGAAATAGCTATAGCTTTGGAATATGTTACATAACTCTGTAACATTACTATAGATAATTACACTTTGCTAGCAGCACAAGAAGAAACTGTAATTCTGTTATTTCATTGCTATAAATGCATGAGAAAGAAAATGGTGTATTAGAAAGTATACGTTGCATTTTATTTCTTACTTCTTTTTACTCAATATTATGTATTATGATTTGTACACATTGTTGTATGCCAATCAATTCTTTTGCTTCTAACTGCTGCATTATGCTCCAGAAATTGCATTCACTACATTTCTGATCCAGTTTGCTTGCACTGAACCTCTAGGCTGCCTTTATCTCCCTGCTACCACAAACAATACGGCAGGAAATAGGATTAATTTTGCTAAGTACTGTAAGATTTCTTTCCAGAACGACTGCATGGTCTACACTTTGACTAGCAGTGCAAAAAAATTATATCTTTCCACATCTTTCTCATCACTTGATATTAACCATTTTCCTTAATTTTTGCTGCTGTTATTAAAGTAAGTGCTGTCTTATTGATATTTTAGTTTGCCTCTCTTGCATTGAGTTGAGTTTCTCTTCCAGTGAGTTGGAATTTCTCTTTATATACTTGAAAGCCATTCATAGTTCCCTTTCTGTGAATTGCCTAGTCATGCTGTTTGCCCATTTTGCTATTTAGCTTCCTGCCTTATACACTTGTGATATAAATTAAAGTTACATATGCATACAAATTACATAACATGTTTTACACAGATAACCGAGTATTTAATTACTCCCCTAGTATACACAACACCTGCCTGCAAATAGCCTCGCTAATGTACTATTTTTAATTCTAATTTAAGCTAACAATTATAGGGCGTTATTTATTAGAAATTTTATTCTAGAATATTTACATTTCCTGAGAATTTATACTACTTGAAAAGTTCAATTGAAATAAAAATCTACATGCAGAATGATTGGAAATCTCCAAATCTTCCACAGTAACAGAATGATAAAGTAAATTCGACTGGAGAAATATGGTAGAATATACTGTTGCAAAAAAATTATAGTTATAAAGGTTGTATAATAATTCATTCCAGAAACATTCATTGGGGTCTTATAGAATACTAAGTACCACATTCAGTTCAGGAACTACACACGTTATATTTCAGGCT
This sequence comes from Homo sapiens, assembly GCF_000001405.40. NCBI lineage: Eukaryota > Metazoa > Chordata > Mammalia > Primates > Hominidae > Homo > Homo sapiens. Next base: position 19,212,324 of record NC_000007.14, on the reverse strand, counting down.
ACATACAAACAGCACATCATCTAGTTCACAAAAGTACATGCAGACAGTGATTATGGGTTATCTGTGTACTGTGCAGATATGCTTACATGGAATGGGCTGTGGGGGTTCAGAGGACAGGAACCCTCTGCCCAGAGTCAAGAAAGTGAAGTGCTTTGAAGAGGAGTCTAATGTGAAGCTGAGTTGTAAGAAATAAACACCGAGTGCTCCAGTGGAGTACGGAGGCAGCCTTCAGTTGAAGAATAGGAAAGCATATGCAAAGGCACTGGGGTGTGAAAGAGCATAGCCTGTTTCAGGAATTCCTGATTGATTTTTATGGTTAAAGTCCTGGAGAGATGTCCAAGACCTGCTGGAATGAAACTGGAGACTAGGAAGATAGGAGGAGGCATGTGATGAAGATTCTTCTATGCCTTTCCCGAGAGGTCCCCAGATGTTGAATATAAACCTATCAAAGGCACATATGCACAGTTATAAGGCACTGGGCTGGGAGTTGAGGATGTGGTAGTGGATAAGACTGACAAGCCTCTGTTGCAGGGTCTGAAGTGAAGAACTGACATCCTATTTTATGTTTTCAATCGTTAGTCTGGATGAAGTGTAGAATAAAAAGTAGGAATTGAACCAGGGAGGCTAGTTACGTTGCTTTGGCAATAATCCAGACCCGAACTAAAGCAAAAATCATTTATGGCATATTCATGGGAAGTAAAAAATATGGAATAAAAATTTGCAATAATTAGCATAATCTTATTTTGAAGATGACTTCATAGTATTAAAACTTTTAAATGCAAAGTCTAATTAACTCTTGCAGTAGACTCTGAGAATGATGTTATCATCACCTCCACATTCTAGATGGAGCCTCAGTGAGCGTCACATCCAAGGAAGACAACCAGGAAATGGCAGAACAGAACTGCTGTCTCCATTCACTAGATACTAATTCATTTATTCACCAAACATCTAATGAATAACTTGTATGTGCCAGGCACTTTTCTATAAGCTGGGGTAAAAATCCTAACAAAATAAAACCCTCTTCCTCGCAAGAGTTTGCTGTGTAGAGGAGACCAATAAGTGAATAGCCAGTTAGAATGCACTTCAAAGGGCAGTCTGATAGGGTGTGTGAGTCCGACCGGCCTGTTCATTCAGAGTCCTGTAAAGTATAAGGAAGTGTAACGTCAAACTGGGAAGGAAAATCTGTTGCCCGAGGGTGGCAGGAATGAAATGTATGTGTTTCCTCCTAATTCATTGAATGTTATCATGGCAGTTTTACAATTTAAAAGGCTAAAGGAAGATAAACAAGAGAGAATAAGCATCCAACACAGAACAACCATGACTTCATGGCAGCTATTTTATCTCTTTCTATTAACAGAGTGCATAGAAACAATATATGTGCCAAATTCATAAGCAAGTGCTTGAAACATGAGATAGCTATAGAGAATTTCCTTAATTTAAAGAGCTAAGTGTTTAATAATCAATGCCAGCAAATAGACTGAAGAGGTAAAGGATAGTAAAATAGAACTAAGGAAACTGGATCAGATAACATTGTTTGCACTAAATGATAAACATGTCAAAGTGGACGTAATTAGCAATGAAGCCTGCAGTTTTGCCAGCAGCATTATAATTCAAATCATTCGTCCATTTCTTTGTCAAAATATGTTTGAGAATTTGTTTTGTGATATATGAGAACATCATGTAAGAAGTATCAATTCTAGACTGAGTGTTTTTTAAAAACCACAAATGCATTTTTTAATGCATGAGGGCATATTACCCACAAAAAGTGCTCAAGTAAATTAAGAAGGGTGTTTGGCTATTAAAGATCGATATAAAGGTGTAAGGTTTGTGGAACTAAGATTAACAGGTTGGAAGGATTGCCTCTGGTGATCAAACCACTCGTTTTATCATTAATTTCACCATATAGGTTTTGTTATAGGCAGTATCGTACATATTGATCATAATGTTCATCAGATGTAACTCTGCGGGATAATGATTATCTTTCTCTTTGATGAGGCTGTAGTGGATACTGGAAAGAGGATGGGATTTGAAGCTGGAAAGTCTAAGTTTTGGTTTCACTTCTTGTCAGTTGTGTGTCCTTGGGCAAGCCTTTTAATAGCTCTGAAATCTGAATTCCTCAGGCAATTTCACAAAAAGTTTTTGTGATGTTTAAGTGAGATAACATGTGCCGGCATTTGCAAAACAATAAAATGCCACATAAATATCAGTTATTTATTACTCTACATATAATTTTAAAGGAAATTATTAAGCTTTAATCAAAACCAAAACAGAGCTAAGTTACAAAAAAGAAAGAAACTCTGACCAGAAGCAGACTTTATCTGCTTTCATTACCTTGTCACCTCATAATATTCATTTCAAAACATTTTTTTGGAAGATGGAGGGTCATAATTGATGGGCTCCAACAGAACACAGTCCAGAACTTTGGAGGAAAAGGAAAAGATTAACATCTTTCAAATACTATAGAGAAAATGTAGTAAAGAATATGTTCTTTGAGAATCTCAATACTCAAAATCCCTACCTAATTAACCATTCCTCTTTCTCTTATTGGTTTGGGTTAGTAATCATCTCTTCTTTTTAAGGGAAAAGAAACAAAGGTTAAATGACTGATACAAAGCTCAAGCTAGTAGCAGTCCTTAGATCCTCAGACTCTGAAATCCGGCCTGTATTAGCTAAGTCACCAATAAACCTTTCAAGTTGCCATTGACTTAAATAAAACCTTCACATCAACCCATTTGTGTCATTGTTGCTTTATCTGCTGTACCCACTTGAAATATTACCCTCTTTTCTAATGGATAGAGCTGTGACCTCAAACAGGCACATATTCCTTCTGCTACCACTTCTAAACCTTGAGAGGCACAAACCACATCTAAAAAGCCTCAATGAGAAAGTTCCTGTGAAGAAAAATGACAGAGTGCTTGGAAGCATTAAATAGAAAAAAAAATTCAGTAGAAGTTTCTTATGATTGTATAGAGTCATAATTGGCAAGTTGGAGTTTTGGCAGAGGTAGCACTAACTGCTTTTCTGAGTTCTTCTATGCCAAGACTGTTTTAGGGAAAAGTTCATTTTCTCTACATCAGTAGCACCATTGTAGTCTCAAAGAGAGTAAAAACAGCAATAATAACAATAGTACCTGACAATTACATGGCATTTACTTTGTGTCAAACACTGTCCTATGCGCTTTTTATATTAAGTCATTGTCCCTACATATCATCAACAATATCTCCAGGGTACAAAAAAGCTGATATTTTATCCAACTGTTAGCCTTTAGGTAAACAATAATTTAGGAAACTGAAGCAGTTTATAATGACCAGTTTCCCAACAGAGATATACACACATCCCATCTTCTTAGCAAAACCTCTATGAAGAAAGCAAGTAAAACAATTTTAATCCCCTGTACTTGTAGTTCAGTACATTTGCTAGTAAGAGGCAGAAAGATATTCTGAGAAGCAAAAGATTTGTTAAATAGTCTAAGAGAGGGATTGTCTTCCAGGTAACATAAAAATGAACTTTTTTGTATAACTTTTCTCTGGCTAAATTGAGAGAAGTCAATAAAATCCTACTTACCCCTGATGCAGAAGGCCTTCTGTAGCAGACAGATTTTTACAAAGTGTTAGCAGAATAATTCACATTGAAAAAACATCTGTTTTCCAAAAATTGCACTTATTTGTGCCATCGAAAATAGGAAGAGAAATAACTGAAGCCAGTAGAAATACAGGCACAACAGCTCGATGCTTCACAGATGGCATTTGAGCAATTGCAGACATAAACAAAGCTCTCTGCAAAGAGTATATGGGATTGGGTTCAAGGAAGTGATCAGTAGGATGTGGGTCTGTGAGATGTGTGGGCCAGTACAAATCATGGAATTGAAGACCGAAAACCATGATGATGTGATGATGACCAGGGGAGACCTTGAGTGACCACATGCTCCACTGATATTTTAGTGGGTGAGCAGGTAGTAAACACTATACTGTTTGCTCTTTTGTTCTGTTTTGTTTTTAACCTAAAACCTGAATTTGGCTGTTTAGGAAACTACATAGGATGAATTCAGCTCATTTTAACCAGTCTTTTTTCAAATTTATATAATCTTCTATCATGTGTTGCCTTTATGTATTGTAAGAAAGGAGTTTCCCAGCCTGTTGTGACCAACCAAAATTGTGAACACTATGTTTGGAGTCCCATATGGAGCAGGGCAGGCAGCAACCTTTTTGACAAAATGCTTTCTTTGAATTATCACACTCTTCTTGTTTGTATCCAGAGCAGAGCATGAAAAAAGAGTGTAAGGAATTACTTCCACTAAGCCCATAACCCTTCACTCAGAAGCAGAAATGACTGCACAAAAGCAAATGTGTACTAGGCAGCTTAATTCTGATGTAATTTAACTTTTACAGTACTTTTAAACTAAATCTGAAATAACACCCAACCTCAGTAGTATTAACATTCAATACTGTTGGCTGGGCATGGTGGCTCACGCCTGTAATCCCAGCACTTTGGGAGGCTGAGGCATGTGGATCACAAGGTCAGGAGTTCAAGACCAGCCTGGCCAACATGGTGAAACTCTGTCTCTACTAAAGATACAAAAATTAGCCGGGTGTGGTGGTGAGCACCTGTAATCTCAGCTACTTGGGAGGCTGAGGCAGAAAATTGCTTGAACCCAGGAGGTGGAGGTTGCAGTGAACCGAGATTGCACCACTGCACTCTAGCCTGGGCGATAGAGCAAGACTCCGTCTCAAAAAAAATAAATAAATAAAATCAAAACTGTTTTATTCCGAAACAGTGTTGATTCTAGAAAGAATGAGATAAAGGCATAGGTTGTCTTTGCACTGGTCAAATACTACCGATAGGAAAGTAAACATTATTCCCAAAAAAAGCAATTATTAGCAGGGCACAGTGGCATGCACTTGTAGGCCCAGCTGCTCAGAAAGCTGTGACAGGAGGATAGCTTGAAACCAAGAGTTCAAACCTAGTCTGGGCAATGTATCCAGACCCCTTCTCTAAAATAAGTAAATAAATAAAAATACAAAGTTTCCAACACATGAGTTTAAGAGAAGAAAATAAAACAGATATCTATTTATTGAAAAAGTAATTATGATGCTCTTTATAACTATTAAAGGCTGTATCAGAACACACGGCCCCAGTTATTTAATTCCATTAACTATCTACTTTATATTGCTAAATGCAAGCAAAGCACATTATTGTTGCTGGATAAAATAAGATGAAATGTTAAGCTCTTTAGAGAATTACAAAGCAGTGATGCCAGATTTTCATACTTATAACTCAATATGACTATTCCCATAGAATAAATATCTGGCTTAACTTGTGTAATCATTTAAAAGGTCCCAAAGTCTCCTTCCTGGCTCTCTTCTCACCTCTCAAATGTTAAAAACACATTTCCTGACACAGCTATGGTGCATGCCAGCTCCCTGTCAATGTAGAGTAAGAATGAGAACTTTGACACAGAGGCCATCAACAACTCTCCATGGACCGCCACTGTTTGGAGTCTGTTTCTCTCTTTGGAGATGAGGCATCTTCTTGGTCCAGCGCCTCTACTCTTCGTTCTACATCATTTTCCAGCTACGGTCTCTTTGTAGGAATTCTCAAGATTCCAAATAAGCCCTACTCTTGGCCAAACTTGGTTTTGGAACACAAAATCATTTCTTAAGATGATCAGGCACCAAAATAATCAAACCGTTAATTTTCTAGCATTCCTGTAATTCTGCAGTGACTGGAAACTTAAAAGAAAATACACACCCCAGGAATTAATTCCACAAATAAATGTTAAGCTTAGAGGAGGTTTAGGAATAAAATGATAAATAATAGAAAATAATAAAAAATATAAAACTAATGTCAGAGATGAGTAGAATTAGACAATTCTGATTTGCCATTTTATTCAATAAACTCAATGTTTATTTATTTACAATAATGAGCATATAGGTATTCAATAACCACTTCATGTTAGCCTTTATAGTAGTGAATGGGCATCTATGTATCTATAAATAGCTGTGAAAATGAAAGCAGAAAAATGGAAAAATATATAGCATTTTATATATATAGTATTAATTCAAAAAATATTTAGACCATAATAGTAAATATTCCTGGGAGATATTCCTTGGAAAAAGAATACGTCAAAAGATAATTCCATGGAGAAGACTCAGACTTCTTATTCACTGCTTATCTATTATGTGCAGAATACAGAACTGAAACATACAAGCACAATTGTATCCTCAAAGAAGGCAAGTTCCATGGGTAATATTGATATGTAAACAGCTCATTGCAATGAAGCCAAACCATAATGAAGATGTTATATTTATTATCATAAATATTTAAAATACGTTAAAACATACCTATCTCTTTTATATACTATATTACCATAAATGTTATAATATATTAATAAATATTGTACTTTATGTTATAATCTATAATAAACATGTTATTTTGTGATTGTATAACAAGGTATATTGCCATAATAAAATAGAAATTTTATTGAGGGCTAGAGGCTCTTGTAATAAAACCATACTTACGGAAAGATAGTCAAGGTAACTGGAGCAATTTTTTAAAATCTATTCTTAGTTTAGCATAAGATTTTAATAGATTAGATATGTGAAAATGAAATATTCTCCTTTCTCTTCTAAATCTTCTCGCTTTTCCATTGTATATAAAGCCACTGAGAAATCAGATTATTGAAAGAATATTTTGCCATGTTAGAGTCATAGCATCTTATTTTTAAGTCCGTCAGAAGGATAGCCATCAGTTATTATAAATTCTTTTTCTCAGGACGACCAAAGAAACACCTGTTGAATTATTTTTCTGTTTCTTTCCTCATGTTTTACATAACATTGTTCCAAAAAATAATTAAAGAAAGCTTACAAAAATATATATCCTCCAACGTGCATTGGTACTCAGAAGTAAAGCTGAAGTTAAAAGTCTGTGGCATTCTAACAGCCAAGGACTCTTCTGATATTCATAAAAAGACATAGCATGTCCCAATCATACACAACCTCTAAATGTGTTACTCTATCTTAGTTTTTTAAATATCTTTTGAAAGCCCTAATAGAATGAGGCAGGAGAATAGGGTCTGGCGGCAGGGAACCTAAGGACTTTCTAGAACTAAATCAAACAGAAAAACTCCAACTTTCTACAACGACGTAAATAACTTTGTGACTTCATTTCAGCTATGGCAGGAAACATCATCTTCATTTGCATAGAGTGTACACCAAGTAACCGATGGGAAACCTCCAGAGGGTATTTAAACCCCAGACAATTCTGTAACCAGACCTTGAGCCACTTGCTTGAGCCCTTTCCCACTCTGTGGAGTGTGTTTTTGTTTTCAATAAATCTCTGCTTTTGTTGCTTCATTATTTCCTTGCTTTGTTTGTGCGCTTTGTCCAGTACTTTGTTCAAAGCGCCAAGAACTTGGACACCTTCCACCGGTAACAAGAATAGCATCTCACTCTATAAATAAGAATTAGGGCTTGGACTTGGCCAGAAGTGGAAAGCAGAATATCTATTATTACTATAGGTAATAATGACAGGTGGCAGTTATTAAGTCAATTCAGTTTACATGTAATATAAGTCCCATGTATTACATCAATTGGTTCTCAAGAAGTCTCTTACCAGATAGAATAAAACTAATAATTTGTTTATCTAATGAACAATATTCTACAAGGAGTGCTTGAAACTTTACATCTATTATATACCATGTAGTCGCCAATAACATATACAGGTTGGTAAAATATCTTTATTAAAAATATAAACCTTGGAGGTTTGGAGAACACTGCTGACTATTTTCAAAGATTCTCATCATTTTCCCAAAACAAAAAGATCTAGAAAGATAAGAATTCATCCACACAAGACCCATGACTTCAGCATTAGATAGACAACACTCCAAGTTCTAATTATCTGTAAGCTGAAGAAAGAAAAAAACATCCCAACAGAGTTTCCACCACTGGCCTACCCCTGCAACCAGCCTGTGGATACAGACAGCAATGGAGAGGAAACTGAAAAGACTCCATCAAAAAGCAGAGGATATACCTAGAAGAAACAAGCAAAACATCCACAGAAAAAAAAAAGTGAAACAATAAATGCAAAACTGATGTAAACAGGTCTGGATTTGGTAGTTCATAGGCCTGGCTATGGGGAAGGAGGTGGGAAGTGTAGGGTACCAGAAGTGATGAAATGGTTATGTAGTAACATTTCTGAAATTATTTAGGTGGGGGATTCGATGTGGGGGGATGAAGGGTTAGGGCTTGTTTAACTAAATTTCATAGTGTGTGTCTTAAGGGTCCTCCAAAGGCAGATGCATTTTTCAACTCTGGAGCTAATTACAAAGAGCAGGACATTCTGAAGCCTTCCTCTTTCCAGTCACCACAGCACTAGATGACCAGAGGACATGATACTCTGGTTAGAATGTTCACCCACAGTACCAAACACACAGCAAAGTCAATGCTGGAGTATTAAATGACTCATAATATTCCGCAGTGCTTACTGAGAAAAAAAAATTCCATAGTAATGGTACTAACAAATATGTAGACGTCCTAGAGGCATTACAGTAGTAAAGACAAAGAATTTTTCTGCAAATAGAAAGAAGGCCGCTGAAACAAAGAAACAATTAGGCACGCAAGAACATGAGATAAGAAAAGTTGGGACACACAGAAAAATATCAGAGATACCTGTGACTGTTCAGAATGTACAATTCTCTTATCCATACTCTCTCTTACCCATATCCATTTTAGCCAGTTCCTGAATAAAATGATTTAAGATCTTCAGTATTTCCTCTGTGAGTTGTTGTATAATAATATTTAGGTTAACTGAATAGAAATCTGTATTATTTCTGGCTGCATTCTCATCAATTATGCATATCCCTTCATAAAGTCCTGAATTAAAGACTATTTCCAGCTATTTACATTCAAATGTCTCTGGTGTGTAAATTTACCTAATTACTATAATCATTAGGGTCCAAAGTCAGGCAAGCCAGTTTAGTTATAACCTTTAGAAAATGTGCCTTAGCCACATTTATTTCTATTCCCATGTGCTAGATGTAACACCTTTACTTGTTAAGAACTTCAACCAAAATGGAGAGAAGCTAGTTTTGCAGAAAAACAGGTAATTGTGTGAACAAATTCATTTCCATGTGTTTGTTGTGGATCCAATTACAGACACCTACTTTAAGTTGGTAAGATAAAGATACTCCTTTGCTTTCATCCAGTGAAGTTTCATGCAAGGGACTGAAAAAAGGGTTTATTTCCAGGAGACTGTTTTTGCCATTGAAAACTCTGTCCTCTTCAGACATTTGGCAAATGATACATTAGCAGCGGCCACAAGGATCACATTGTTTCACACCGAATAGCTCCTACACTTTGATTCATATATCACACTTGTTCTGTTTCTTGCATTTCTGTTTCACACCCACTGCCTAAGTGCAAAGGGATTTGAAGACAAGCAACACAGTTTTCTAACTTTCAGCTGCTTGGTTGTATTGATGGAGGAAGTTATGGAACATGCAGAAAATAGAATCAAGATTAAGGAGATCATATTTCTGTTTTATGCCCTGTGATACAGTGAAGGTCACTGAGTAACAATTACTCAGAACATTCATTTCGGATCCTTTAGTTTCACTGAAAATCCCATAAATTGGCAAAAACAATAAAAGAAAAGATTATTCTAGAGAAGAGAGAGCCAGAGGTGTGACTTCATAGAATGTAAAGGAGGCTATAAATAACAATAAATTGTTGTTTTATAAAATAAATTGACAAGCAGTTCTCCGTACCTTTTGAGAAATTTAAAACAAGGAAGTGAAATGAAATGACTCCAGGAATGTTTGTTTCTTACAGATAACAACAAATAACAATAATACTGAGATATAATAATGAGGATGATTACCGTAATTTCCTTATGATGTTTTAAAATGCACAAATAGTCTATTAATGAGTCTTGAAATTTTGAGTAGTTATACTTCTGGTGATTCCAGGAGACTTAAAAAATGAATTCAACAAATAGCCTTAGGAAATCCTATCTGATCCTATTAATTCACACTTTTCAAATAAATTTAAATAAGTTATTGATCTACCAGATGAGTAGCTAATAGATGTTCAACTCCCAAGACATTATTCTTGAAATAATATAATTAATTTTACAATTAATGGGACCGTGTGACCATACATCTAACTAAACCCTTTTTTTGGTATATATAAAGGTGTTATAGAGGAGACAAGTGAGTCTGGAAGATAGGACAGACTTGTTCAGTACCACATAGTGAATTCTGTAGCTCAGGAATCCTGATTTCCAAGTCAACGTTTTTGCCACTGTATCTCATTTCACACACAATCTGCAATGACAAATCTATATGGATGTACTGCTATTCCTCAGGTCCACCTTCTATGCAGCCTAGTTAACTTCCAGAGGGACTGGAAAGAGATTTAAACATCAGTTCTTCCACCACTGCAGAAAGATCTTTTGCATAATTTCTTAATTACCATCATGGAGAATGTAGAGTGAAACAATAAGAGCAGTACTGTCAACATTAACAAAATGAGAAGGAGGAAAATTGAATAGGAAGGGTAAGGGGTGACTTAGCCACAAATTAGATCAAGTTTATGAAGGAAGAGGTGAGAGTGTTTATTGCTGACAAGAAAGCACCATGCTTCAAACATAGAAGGCACTTAATAAATATTTTTAATAAATTAAGAAAATGATACAGTGTGGCTGGTAATAAAGGATAAATATATGGATTCTTGCCCACATCCTTTTATCTATCATGATTCACAATTCTTCCTTAGCAAGTTTGCCATCCACTGAACACCACTAACAATGCTACTCTGCTGTAGAAATTCAATGTTCATTTTTCCTCCTTTGTAGAAATATTCATGAAATACAGCTTAGCACAAATATCTTTATTCATTACATTCTGACTAATATTTTTTAACTCTATGAAAGCTCAGAGAAGCTTTTGAAGTACTATCTACTAGACCCTAAAACAGACTGTCTAAAATATTCTTTTGAAAACGTAACTACAGCAAGGTAAAAAAATCCATATATATTCATTGTATGTATGTGTATATATATATATGTTTATGTATATATGTGTGTGTTAATATGCATTTATACCCACACATACACACACACACACACACACACAACACAAAAATTTGGCCAAGCTGCTGTGATGAAGAAAATACTAAATATAATGTTACTTAGTACACAATGACTTTTAATGACACATCGCCGTTCCACATGGTTCTAAACATATATTTCTAGAAACAAAAAGCTAACAAATAAACAAAAAAGTTCTAATTCTTTCCAAACAAGATCTTATTAAAATGGAAATTTGGTCTTCAAAACTCATTGGCAGCATATACCAGGAGTACTGATGGCAAAAACACATTGCCTTTGAAGAAATATAAATTCTACATAGAAACACTTCAATGTCTTTAAAAAACAAATTTAAAACCCCACTGTTATGATTCATGAAATCCTTATTTTTTACACATTAGAGCTATAGATACCCATGGTGTCCTCAACAAGTAATCACTGTCCATTAAAGCACTTGAAAAAGCAGGAAGACAGTCACGCTAAAAAATAAGAACCCTGACTATGATGAATATCATAGTCATATATCAATATCATATATATGGAATTTTTTAACCTTACAGCAGTTATGTTTTCAAAAGAATATTTTGGACAGCCTGAGAGGCCCAGCAGGGCTATATCTAGAAGTCAACTTCAACAGGATGGACCTGCCCAGGATAAGCTGATTCAAATGAGCTATGTTGTTGCATCTTTCTTCGGTTCTTTGTAATATGATTTTCCATTTTTAATTGATACTTAATAATTGTACATATATACATACAATATGTAATAATCAAATCAGGGTATTTATGATATCCATAATCTCAAACATGTATCATTTCTATGTGTTGGGACTATTTCAAATCTTCTCTTCAAGCCACTTTGAAATAAACATGAAATTATTATTCACTATAGTCACCCTATTGTGCTATACAGTATCAGAACTTATTCCTTCCAACTAGTTGTATGTTTGCACCCAGCTTCTCTTCACTCCCCACATCCACTCTTCCCATCTTCTGGTAACCATCATCCTACTCTTCACTTCCATGAGATCAACTATTTTTACTTCCATAGATTAGTGAAAATATGTGATATTTGTGTTTCTGTGCCTGGCTTATTTCACCTAACATAATGTCCTCCAGCTTTATCCATGGTGCTGCAAATAACAGAGTTTCCTTCTTTCCTATGGCCAAATAGCATTCCACTGTGTAACTATACAACATTTTCTTTATCCATTCATCCATTGATGGACACTAAGATTAATTCCATATCTTGGCTATTGTGAACAATGCTGCCATAAACCTGAGGCTGCATGCATCCCTTTATATACTGATTTCCTTTCCTTTAGATAAATACCCAATAGTGGGATTGCTGGATTATATGGTAGTTCTATTTTTAGTTTTTTTTTCTAATATCTTTTTTTTTATTATACTTTAAGTTTTAGGGTACATGTGCACAATGTGTAGGTTAGTTACATATATATACATGTGCCATGCTGGTGCGCTGCACCCACTAACCCATCATCTAGCATTGGGTATCTCTCCCAATGCTATCCCTCCACCCTCCCCCAACCCCACAACAGTCCCCAGAGTGTGATGTTCCCCTTCCTGTGTCCATGTGTTCTCATTGTTCAATTCCCATCTATGACTGAGAATATGCGGTGTTTGGTTTCTTGTTCTTGCAATAGTTTACTGAGAATGATGATTTCCAATTTCATCCATGTCCCTACAAAGGACATGAAGTCATCCTTTTTTATGGCTGCATAGTATTCCACGGTGTATATGTGCCACATTTTCTTAATCCAGTCTATCATTGTTGGACATTTGCGTTGGTTCCAAGTTTTTGCTACTGTGAATAGTGCCGCAATAAACATACGTGTGCATGTGTCTTTATAGCAGCATGATTTATAGTCCTTTGGGTATATACCCACTAATGGGATGGCTGGGTCAAATGGTATTTCTAGCTCTAGATCCCTGAGGAATCACCACACTGACTTCCACAATGGTTGAACTAGTTTACGGTCCCACCAACAGTGTAAAACTGTTCCTATTTCTCCACGTCCTCTCCAGCACCTGTTGTTTCCTGACTTTTTAATGATTGCCATTCTAACTGGTGTGAGATGGTATCTCATTGTGGTTTTGATTTGCATTTCTCTGATGGCCAGTGATGATGAGCGTTTTTTCATGTGTTTTTTGGCTGCATAAATGTCTTCTTTTGAGAAGTGTCTGTTCATGTCCTTCGCCCACTTTTTGATGGTGTTGTTTGTTTTTTTCTTGTAAATTTGTTTGAGTTCATTGTAGATTCTGGATATTAGCCCTTTCTCAGATGAGTAGGTTGCGAAAATTTTCTCCCATTTTGTAGGTTGTCTGTTCACTCTGATGGTAGTTTCTTTTGCTGTGCAGAAGCTCTTTAGTTTAATTAGATCCCATTTGTCAATTCTGGCTTTTGTTGCCATTGCTTTTGGTGTTTTAGACATGAAGCCCGTGCCCATGCCTATGTCCTGAATGGTAATGCCTAGGTTTTCTTCTAGGGTTTTTATGGTTTTAGGTCTAACGTTTAAGTCTTTAATCCATCTTGAATTGATTTTTGTATAAGGTGTAAGGAAGGGATCCAGTTTCAGCTTTCTACATATGGCTAGCCAGTTTTCCCAGCACCATTTATTAAATAGGGAATCCTTTCCCCATTGCTTGTTTTTCTCAGGTTTGTCAAAGATCAGATAGTTGTAGATATGCGGCGTTATTTCTGAGGGCTCTGTTCTGTTCCATTGATCTATATCTCTGTTTTGGTACCAGTACCATGCTGTTTTGGTTACTGTAGCCTTGTAGCATAGTTTGAAGACAGGTAGTGTGATGCCTCCAGCTTTGTTCTTTTGGCTTAGGATTGACTTCGCGATGCGGACTCTTTTTTGGTTCCATATGAGCTTTAAAGTAGTTTTTTCCAATTCTGTGAAGAAAGTCATTGGTAGCTTGATGGGGATGGCATTGAATCTATAAATTACCTTGGGCAGTATGGCCATTTTCATGATACTGATTCTTCCTACCCATGAGCATGGAATGTTCTTCCATTTGTTTGTATCCTCTTTTATTTCCTTGAGCAGTGGTTTGTAGTTCTCCTTGAAGAGGTCCTTCACATCCCTTGTAAGTTGGATTCCTAGGTATTTTATTCTCTTTGAAGCAATTGTGAATGGGAGTTCACTCAAGATTTGGCTCTCTGTTTGTCTGTTGTTGGTGTATAAGAATGCTTGTGATTTTTGTACATTGATTTTGTATCCTGAGACTTTGCTGAAGTTGCTTATCAGCTTAAGGAGATTTTGGGCTGAGACAATGGGGTTTTCTAGATATACAATCATGTCATCTGCAAACAGGGACAATTTGACTTCCTCTTTTCCTAATTGAATACCCTTTATTTCCTTCTCCTGCCTAATTGCCCTGGCCAGAACTTCCAACACTATGTTGAATAGGAGTGGTGAGAGAGGGCATCCCTCTCTTGTGCCAGTGTTCAAAGGGAACGCTTCCAGTTTTTGCCCATTCAGTATGATATTGGCTGTGGGTTTGTCATAGATAGCTCTTATTATTTTGAAATACATCCCATCAATACCTAATTTATTGAGAGTTTTTAGCATGAAGAGTTGTTGAATTTTTTCAAAGGCCTTTTCTGCATCTATTGAGATAATCATGTGGTTTTTGTCTTTGGTTCTGTTTATATGCTGGAATACATTTATTGATTTGCATATATTGAACCAGCCTTGCATCCCAGGGATGAAGCTCACTTGATCATGGTGGATAAGCTTTTTGATGTGCTGCTGGATTCTGCTTGCCGGTCTTATATTGAGGATTTTTGCATCAATGTTCATCAAGGATATTGGTCTAAAATTCTCTTTCTTGGTTGTGTCTCTGCCTGGCTTTTGTATCAGGATGATGCTGGCCTCATAAAATGAGTTAGGGAGGATTCCCTCTTTTTTTATTGATTGGGATAGTTTCAGAAGGAATGGTACCAGTTCCTCCTTGTAACTCTGATAGAATTCGGCTGTGAATCCATCTGGTCCTGGACTCTTTTTTGTTGGTAAGCTATTGATTATTGCCACAATTTCAGAGCCTGTTATTGGTCTATTCAGAGATTCAACTTCTTCCTGGTTTAGTCTTGGGAGAGTGTATGTGTCGAGGAATTTATCCATTTCTTCTAGATTTTCTAGTTTATTTGCATAGAGGTGTTTGTAGTATTCTCTGATGGTAGTTCGTATTTCTGTGGGATCAGTGATGATATCCCCTTTATCATTTTTTTTGCGTCTATTTGATTCTTCTGTCTTTTTTTCTTTATTAGTCTTGCTAGTGGTCTATCAATTTTGTTGATCCTTTCAAAAAACCAGCTCCTGGATTCATTAATTTTTTGAAGGGTTTTTTGTGTCTCTATTTCCTTCAGTTCTGCTCTGATTTTCGTTATTTCTTGCCTTCTGCTAGCTTTTGAATGTGTCTGCTCTTGCTTTTCTAGTTCTTTTAATTGTGATGTTAGGGTGTCAATTTTGGATCTTTCCTGCTTTCTCTTGTGGGTATTTAGAAAGGGTATCAGTGATCGAAGATGAAATGAATGAAATGAAGCAAGAAGGGAAGTTTAGAGAAAAAAGAAGAAAAAGAAACGAGCAAAGCCTCCAAGAAATGTGGGACTATGTGAAAAGACCAAATCTACGTCTGATCGGTGTACCTGAATGTGATGGAGAGAATGGAACCAAGTTGGAAAACACTCTGCAGGATATTATCCAGGAGAACTTCCCCAATCTAGCAAGACAGGCAAACATTCAGATTCAGGAAATACAGAGAACGCCACAAAGGTGCTCCTCGAGAAGAGCAACTCCAAGACACATAATTGTCAGATTCACCAAAGTTGAAATGAAGGAAAAAATGTTAAGGGTAGCCAGAGAGAAAGGTCAGGTTACCCTCAAAGGGAAGCCCCTCAGACTAACAGTAGATCTCTCAGCAGAAACTCTACAAGACAGAAGAGAGTGGGGGCCAATATTCAACATTCTTAAAGAAAAGAATTTTCAACCCAGAATTTCATATCCAGCCAAACTAAGCTTCATACGTGAAGGAGAAATAAAATCCTTTACAGACAAGCAAATGCTGAGAGATTTTGTCACCACCAGACCTGTCCTAAAAGAGCTCCTGAAGGAAGCACTAAACATGGAAAGGAACAACCGGTACCAGCCGCTGCAAAATCATGCCAAAATGTAAAGACCATCGAGACTAGGAAGAAACTGCATCAACTAACGAGCAAAATAACCAGCTAACATCATAATGACAGGATCAAATTCACACATAACAATATTAACTTTAAATGTAAATGCACTAAATGCTCCAATTAAAAGACACAGACTGGCAAATTGGATAAAGAGTCAAGACCCATCAGTGTGCCGTATTCAGGAAACCCATCTCACGTGCAGAGACACACATAGGCTCAAAATAAAAGGATGGAGGAAGATCTACCAAGCAAATGGAAAACAAAAAAAAGGCAGGGGTTGCAATCCTAGTCTCTGATAAAAGAGACTTTAAACCAACAAAGATCAAAAGAGACAAAGAAGGCCATTACATAATGGTAAAGGGATCAATTCAACAAGAAGAGCTAACTATCCTAAATATATATGCACCCAACACAGGAGCACCCAGATTCATAAAGCAAGTCCTGGGTGAACTGCAAAGAGACTTAGACTCCCACATATTAATAATGGGAGACTTTAACACCCCACTGTCAACATTAGACAGATAAACGAGACAGAAAGTCAACAAGGATACCCAGAAATTGAACTCAGCTCTGCACCAAGCGGACCTAATAGACATCTACAGAACTCTCTACCCCAAATCAACAGAATATACATTTTTTCAGCACCACACCACATCTATTCCAAAATTGACTACATAGTTGGAAGTAAAGCTCTCCTCAGCAAATGTAAAAGAACAGAAATTATAACAAACTATCTCTCAGACCACAGTGCAATCAAACTAGAACTCAGGATTAAGAATCTCACTCAAAACCACTCAACTACATGGAAACTGAACAACCTGCTCCTGAATGACTACTGGGTACATAACAAAATGAAGGCAGAAATAAAGATGTCCTTTGAAACCAACGAAAACGACACAACATACCAGAATCTCTGGGACGCATTAAAAGCAGTGTGTAGAGGGAAATTTATAGCAATATTTTTAGTTTTTAAAGAAATTTCTAGAACAGCTCCGGTCTACAGCTCCCAAGGTGAGCGACGCAGAAGACGGGTGATTTCTGCATTTCCATCTGAGGTACCGGGTTCATCTCACTAGGGAGTGCCAGACAGTGTGCACAGGTCAGTGGGTGCACGCACCGTGCGCGAGCCGAAGCAGGGCGAGGCATTGCCTCACTCGCGAAGCATAAGGGGTCAGGGGGTTCCCTTTCCGAGTCAAAGAAAGGGGTGACGGACTCACCTGGAAAATCGGGTCACTCCCACCTGAATATTGCGCTTTTCGGACCGGCTTAAAAAATGGCGCACCACGAGATTATACCCCGCACCTGGCTCAGAGGGTCCTATGCCCACGGAGTCTCGCTGATTGCTAGCACAGCAGTTTGAGATCAAACTGCAAGGCGGCAGCGAGGCTTGGGGAGGGGCGCCCGCCATTGCCCGGGCTTGCTTAGGTAAACAAAGCAGCCTGGAAGCTCTAACTGGGTGGAGCCCACCACAGCTCAAGTAGGCCTGCCTGCCTCTGTAGGCTCCACCTCTGGGGGCAGGGCACAGACAAACAAAAAGACAGCAGTAACCTCTGCAGACTTAAATGTCCCTGTCTGACAGTTTGAAGAGAGCAGTTGTTCTCCCAGCATGCAGCTGGAGATCTGAGAACCGGCAGACTGCCTCCTCAAGTGGGTCCCTGACCCCTGACCCCTGAGCAGCCTAACTGGGAGGCACCCTCCAGCAGGGGCACACTGACACCTCACACGGCAGGGTATTCCAACAGACCTGCAGCTGAGGTTCCTGTCTGTTAGAAGGAAAACTAACAAACAGAAAGGACATCCACACCAAAAACCCATCTGTACATCACCATCATCAAAGACCAAAAGTAGATAAAACCACAAAGATGGGGAAAAAACAGAACAGAAAAACTGGAAACTCTAAAACGCAGAGCACCTCTCCTCCTCCAAAGGAACGCAGTTCCTCACCAGCAAGGGAACAAAGCTGGATGGAGAATGACTTTGACGAGCTGAGAGAAGAAGGCTTCAGATGATCAAATTACTCTGAGCTACGGGAGGACATTCAAACCAAAGGCAAAGAAGTTGAAAACTTTGAAAAAAATTTAGAAGAATGTATAACTAGAATAACCAATACAGAGAAGTGCTTAAAGGAGCTGATGGAGCTGAAAACCAAAGCTCAAGAACTACGTGAGGAATGCAGAAGCCTCAGGAGCCGATGCGATCAACTGGAAGAAAGGGTATCAGCAATGGAAGATGAAATGAATGAAATGAAGCGAGAAGGGAAGTTTAGAGAAAAAAGCATAAGAAGAAATGAGCAAAGCCTCCAAGAAGTATGGGATTATGTGAAAAGACCAAATCTACATCTCATTGGTGTACCTGAAAGTGATGGGGAGAATGGAACCAAGTTGGAAAACACTCTGCAGGATATTATCCAGGAGAACTTCCCCAATCTAGCAAGGCAGGCCAACGTTCAGATTCAGGAAATACAGAGAACGCCACAAAGATACTCCTCGAGAAGAGCAACTCCAAGACACATAATTGTCAGATTCACCAAAGTTGAAATGAAGGAAAAAACGTTAAGGGCAGCCAGAGAGAAAGGTCAGGTTACCCTCAAAGGGAAGCCCCTCAGACTAACAGCGAATCTCTTGGCAGAAACCCTACAAGACAGAAGAGAGTGGGGGCCAATATTCAACATTCTTAAAGAAAAGAATTTTCAACCCAGAATTTCATATCCAGCCAAACTAAGCTTCATAAGTGAAGGAGAAATAAAATCCTTTACAGACAAGCAAATGCTGAGAGATTTTGTCACCACCAGGCCTGCCCTAAAAGAGCTCCTGAAGGAAGCACTAAACATGGAAAGGAACAACCGGTACCAGCCGCTGCAAAATCATGCCAAAATGTAAAGACCATCGAGACTAGGAAGAAACTGCATCAACTAACAAGCAAAATAACCAGCTAACATCATAATGACAGGATCAAATTCACACATAACAATATTAACTTTAAATGTAAATGCACTAAATGCTCCAATTAAAAGACACAGACTGGCAAATTGGATAAAGAGTCAAGACCCATCAGTGTGCCGTATTCAGGAAACCCATCTCACGTGCAGAGACACACATAGGCTCAAAATAAAAGGATGGAGGAAGATCTACCAAGCAAATGGAAAACAAAAAAAGGCAGGGGTTGCAATCCTAGTCTCTGATAAAAGAGACTTTAAACCAACAAAGATCAAAAGAGACAAAGAAGGCCATTACATAATGGTAAAGGGATCAATTCAACAAGAAGAGCTAACTATCCTAAATATATATGCACCCAACACAGGAGCACCCAGAATCATAAAGCAAGTCCTGGGTGAACTGCAAAGAGACTTAGATTCCCACATATTAATAATGGGAGACTTTAACACCCCACTGTCAACATTAGACAGATAAACGAGACAGAAAGTCAACAAGGATACCCAGGAATTGAACTCAGCTCTGCACCAAGTGGACCTAATAGACATCTACAGAACTCTCCACCCCAAATCAACAGAATATACATTTTTTTCAGCACCACACCACACCTATTCCAAAATTGACCACATACATGGAAGTAAAGCTCTCCTCAGCAAATGTAAAAGAACAGAGATTATAACAAACTATCTCTCAGACCACAGTGCAATCAAACTAGAACTCAGGATTCAGAAGCTCACTCAAAACCGCTCAACTACATGGAAACTGAACAACCTGCTCCTGAATGACTACTGGATACATAACGAAATGAAGGCAGAAATAAAGATGTTCTTTGAAACCAACGAGAACAAAGACACAATGTACCAGAATCTCTGGGACGCATTCAAAGCAGTGTGTAGAGGGAAATTTATAGCACTAAATGCCCACAAGAGAAAGCAGGAAAGATCCAAAATTGACACCCTAACATCACAATTAAAAGAACTAGAAAAGCAAGAGCAAACACATTCAAAAGCTAGCAGAAAGCAAGAAATAACTAAAATCAGAGCAGAACTGAAGGAAATAGAGACACAAAAAACCCTTCAAAAAATTAATGAACCCAGGAGCTGGTTTTTTGAAAGGATCAACAAGATTGATAGACTGCTAGCAAGACTAATAAAGAAAAAAAGAGAGAAGAATCAAATAGACGCAATAAAAAATGATAAAGGGGATATCACCACCGATCCCTCAGAAATACGAACTAACATCAGAGAATACTACAAACACCTCTACGCAAATAAACTAGAAAATCTAGAAGAAATGGATAAATTCCTCGACATATACACTCTCCCAAGACTAAACCAGGAAGAAGTTGAATCTCTGAATAGACCAATAACAGGAGCTGAAATTGTGGCAATAATTAATAGTTTACCAACCAAAAAGAGTCCAGGACCAGATGGATTCACAGCCGAATTCTACCAGAGGTACAAGGAGGAACTGGTACCATTCCTTCTGAAACTATTCCAATCAATAGAAAAAGAGGGAATCCTCTGTAACTCATTTTATGAGGCCAGCATCATTCTGATACCAAAGCCGGGCAGAGACACAACAAAAAAAGAGAATTTTAGACCAATATCCTTGATGAACATTGATGCAAAAATCCTCAATAAAATACTGGCAAACCGAATCCAGCAGCACATCAAAAAGCTTATCCACCATGATCAAGTGGGCTTCATCCCTGGGATGCAAGGCTGGTTCAATATATGCAAATCAATAAATGTAATCCATCATATAAACAGAGCCAAAGACAAAAACCACATGATTATCTCAATAGATGCAGAAAAAGCCTTTGACAAAATTCAACAACCGTTCATGCTAAAAACTCTCAATAAATTAGGTACTGATGGGACGTATTTCAAAATAATAAGAGCTATCTATGACAAACCCACAGCCAATATCATACTGAATGGGCAAAAACTGGAAGCATTCCCTTTGAAAACTGGCACAAGACAGGGATGCCCTCTCTCACCACTCCTATTCAACATAGTGTTGGAAGTTCTGGCCAGGGCAATTAGGCAGGGGAAGGAAATAAAGGGTATTCAATTAGGAAAAGAGGAAGTCAAATTGTCCCTGTTTGCAGATGACATGATTGTATATCTAGAAAACCCCATTGTCTCAGCCCAAAATCTCCTTAAGCTGATAAGCAACTTCAGCAAAGTCTCAGGATACAAAATCAATGTACAAAAATCACAAGCATTCTTATACACCAATAACAGACAAACAGAGAGCCAAATCATGAGTGAACTCCCATTTACAATTGCTTCAAAGAGAATAAAATACCTAGGAATCCAACTTACAAGGGATGTGAAGGACCTCTTCGAGGAGAACTACAAACCACTCCTCAAGGAAATAAAAGAGGATACAAACAAATGGAAGAACATTCCATGCTCATGGGTAGGAAGAATCAAAATCGTGATAATGGCCATACTGCCCAAGGCAATTTACAGATTGAATGCCATCCCCATCAAGCTACCAATGACTTTCTTCACAGAATTGGAAAAAACTACTTTAAAGTTCATATGGAACCAAAAAAGAGCCCACACCGCCAAGGCAATCCTAAGCCAAAAGAACAAAGCTGGAGGCATCACACTACCTGACTTCAAACTATACTACAAGGCTACAGTAACCAAAACAGCATGGTACTGGTACCAAAACAGAGATATAGATCAATGGAACAGAACAGAGCCCTCAGAAATAATGCCGCATATCTACAACTATCTGATGTTTGACAAACCTGAGAAAAACAAGCAATGGGGAAAGGATTCCCTATTTAATAAATGGTGCTGGGAAAACTGGCTAGCCATATGTAGAAAGCTGAAACTGGATCCCTTCCTTACACCTTATACAAAAATCAATTCAAGATGGATTAAAGACTTAAACGTTAGACCTAAAACCATAAAAACCCTAGAAGAAAACCTAGGCATTACCATTCAGGACATAGGCATGGGCAAGGACTTCATGTCCAAAACACCAAAAGCAATGGCAGCAAAAGCCAGAATTGACAAATGGGATCTAATTAAACTAAAGAGCTTCTGCACAGCAAAAGAAACTACCATCAGAGTGAACAGACAACCTACAAAATGGGAGAAAATTTTCGCAACCTACTCATCTGAGAAAGGGCTAATATCCAGAATCTACAATGAACTCAAACAAATTTACAAGAAAAAAACAAACAACCCCATCAAAAAGTGGGCGAAGGACATGAACAGACACTTCTCAAAAGAAGACATTTATGCAGCCAAAAAACACATGAAAAAACGCTCATCATCACTGGCCATCAGAGAAATGCAAATCAAAACCACAATGAGATACCATCTCACACCAGTTAGAATGGCAATCATTAAAAAGTCAGGAAACAACAGGTGCTGGAGAGGATGTGGAGAAATAGGAACACTTTTACACTGTTGGTGGAACCGTAAACTAGTTCAACCATTGTGGAAGTCAGTGTGGCGATTCCTCAGGGATCTAGAACTAGAAATACCATTTGACCCAGCCATCCCATTACTGGGTATATACCCAAAGGACTATAAATCGTGCTGCTATAAAGACACATGCACACATATGTTTATTGCGGCATTATTCACAATAGCAAAGACTTGGAACCAACCCAAATGTCCAACAATGATAGACTGGATTAAGAAAATGTGACACATATACACCGTGGAATACTATGCAGCCATAAAAAATGATGGGTTCATGTCCTTTGTAGGGACATGGATGAAATTGGAAGTCATCATTCTGAGTAAACTATCACAAGAACAAAAAACCAAACACCGCATATTCTCACTCATAGGTGGGAATTGAACAATGAGATCACATGGACACAGGAAGGGGAATATCACACTCTGGGGACTGTGGTGGGGTGGGGGGAGGGGGGAGGGGGGAGGGATAGCATTGGGAGATATACCTAATGCTAGATGATGAGTTAGTGGGTGCAGCGCACCAGCATGGCACATGTATACATATGTAACTAACATGCACAATGTGCACATGTACCCTAAAACTTAAAGCATAATAAAAAAAATTTAAAAAAAAAGAAATTTCTATATTGTTTTCCATAATTACTGTAGTAATCTACATTACCATGAAGAATGTATGAGAGTTCCCTTTTCTCTACATCCTTGCCAGAATCTTTTTTTGTTTTTTTGTTTTTATAATAGCCATTCTAACAGGGATAAGATAATATTTCATTGTAAATTTGATTTGCATTTCCTTGGTGATTAGTAATATTGAGCATTTTTCATATACCTGTTGGCCCCATGTATATTGTTTTTTCAGAAACATCTATTTAGATCCTTTGCCCATTTTTTAATGGGATTGTGTTTTTTATTTGTTTGTTTTGTTTTTTGTTGAGTTGTTTGAGTTTTTTGTATTTTCTAGATATTAATCCCTTATCAAATGACTAAAAATACCATCTCCCATTCAAGAGGTTGTCTCTTCACTCCATTGATTATTTCCTTTGCTGTGTAGAAGCTTGTTAGTTTAACATAATTCCATTTGTCTATTTTTTGTTTTTCTTGCCTGTGCTTCCAGAGTGTTAGCCACAAAGTGTTCTCCTAGACCAATGTCTTGGAGTATTTTCTCTATTTATTCCTCTAGTAGTATAACAGTTTTAACTCTTATATTTAAGTGTTTCATCCAATTTAAGTTGATTTGTGTACATGGTGAGAGATAGAGGTCCAGCTCATTATTCTGCATAGGGACATACAATTTTCTCAGCACATCATTTATTAAGAAAGGTGTCCTTCCCCAGTGTATGTTCTTGACACCTTTGTCAAAAATCAGTTGGTTGTAAATATATGGGTTTATTTCTGGGTCTCTATTCTCTTCCATTGGCCTATGGGTCTGTTTTTTGTTTTGTTTTATTTTAGAGACAGTTTCTCACTGTCACCCAGGCTGGAGTACAGTGGTGCAATCTTTGCTCACAGCAACCTCACTCTCCCAGACTCAAGCGATCCTCCTGCCTAAGCTCCCCAACCAGTAGCTAGCACTACAGCTGTGTGCTACTATGCCTGGCTAATTTTTACTTTTTTTTTTTTTTTTTTTTTTTTTTGGAGAGACTGGGATTTGCTATATTGTCCAGGCTGGTCTCAAGCTCCTGGGCCCATGATCTGACCACCTCACCTCCCAGACTGCTGGGATTACAGGTGTGAACCACCATGCACAGCCTATGTGTTTGTTTTTATACAAACAGCAAGAAGTTTTATTTACTCTAGGATTGCAATGTATTTTAAAGTCAGATATTTTGTGCATCCAGCTTTGTTCTTTTTTTTTTTTTTTTTTTTTTTTTTTTTTTTTTTTTTTGAGATGGAGCCTCCCTCTGCCGCCAGGCTGGAGTGCAGTGGGCAATCTCGGCTCACTGCAACCTCTGCCTCCTGGGTTCAAGCAATTCTCCTGCTCAGCTTCCAAAGTAGCAGGGGCTACAGGCACGCGCCACCACACCCAGCTAATTTTTGCATTTTTAGGAGAGATGGGATTTCACCATGTTTGCTGGGATGGTCTTGATCTCTTGACCTTGTGATCCGCCCGCCTCGGCCTCCCAAAGTGCTGGGATTAGAGGCGTGAGCCACCGTGCCAGCCTTTGTTCTTGTTCTTTAGGATTGCTTTGGCCATTTAGGCTCTTCTTTGGTTCCATACACATTTTAGGATTTTTTTTTCTATTTTTGTGACAAATGCTATTGAAATTTTAATAAAGCTTGCAATGAATCTGTAGATTGCTTTGGGTATTATGATCATTTTGACAATATTAGTTTTTCCAATCCAAGAGCATAGGATGTCTTTTCATTTGTTTGTGTTCTCTCCAATTTCTTTCATCAGTGTTTTGTAATTTTTCTTCTGGAAGTCTTCTACTTCCTTAATTAAATTTATCCCTAGAGTTTTTTTGTTTTTTTTTTTGTAGCATTTGTAAATGGAGTTTTTTTTTTATTTCCTTTCCAGCTAGTTCATTATTGGTGTGTAGTAACACTACTGACGTTGTGATGATATTGCGTCCTGCAACTTTACTGAATTTGTGAGATTTCAGAGATTTTAGTGGAGTCTAGGTTTTTCTAAATGTAAAGTTATGTCAGGTAGGCGTGGTGGTTCCTGCCTGTAATCCCAACACTGTGGGAGTCTGAGGCAGGAAGATTACTTAAACCCAGAATTTCGATACCAGCCTGAGCAACATAGTGAGGCTTTGTTTCTATTTAAAGTAAAAAAAAAATTAGCCAGGACTGGTGGCACATGCCTGTGGTCCCAACTACTTGGGAGGGTAAGGCAGGGGGATTGCTTTAGCCCAGGAGGTTGAAGTTTCAGTGAGCTATGATTATGCCACTGCACTTCAGCCTAGGCAACAGAGCAAGATCCTGCCTCAAAAATAAAAAAGGGACAACTTGACTTCCTCCTTTCCAATTTGAGTATCTTTCATTTCTTTTTCTTGCCTGATTACTGTGGCTAAGAGTTCCAGTACAATGTTGAATAGGAGTGGTGAAAGTGGGCATCTTTGTCTAGTTCCACTTCTTACAGAAAGGTTTTCAGATTTTCCCTTCATTATGATGTTAGCAGTGGGTTTGCTATAGATGGCCTTTACCATGTTGAAGTATATTTCTTTTATGCCTAGAATGTTGAGCATTTTTATCAGGAAGGGGTGTTAAATTTTATCAAATGCTTTTTCTGTATCTGTTGCAATGATCATATGGTTTTTGATTTTTGTCCTTCATTCTGTTGATATGATGTATCACATTTATTAACTTACATATGTCGAACCATCTTTGTATCCCTGAGATAAATCCCACTTGCTTATGGTGTTTTATTTTATTTTTGGATTTGCTGTTGAATTTGGCTTGCCAGTATTTGTTTAGGATTTTTGCATCTATGTTCCTCATGGATACTGGCCTGCGGTTTTCTATTTTGTTGTGACCTTGTCTGGTTTTGGCATCAAAGTAAGGCTGTGTCTGGGTTCAGTGGCTCACATCCGTAAGCCAAGCACTTAGTGAGGCTGACACAGGCAGACTGCTTGAGCCTAGGAGTTCGAGACCAGTTTGGGCAACATAGTGAGATGCCCATCTATACTTTAAAAACAATTGTAAAAATTAGCTAGGAATGGTGGCACACACCAGTAGTCCCAGCTACTCAAGAAGCAGAGGTGTGAGAATCACTTGATCCCAGGAGGTCAAGGCTGCAGTAAGCCATGATCGTGCCACCACACTCTAGCCTAGGCAACAGAATGAGACCGTGTCTCAAAAACAAGCTAAGTAACTTAAAATCAAAGTAATGCTGGCCCTGTAGAGTGACTTAGGAAGAATTGTATCCTCCTTCATTTTTTGGAATAGGTTGAGAAAAGTTGGTGCTAGTTCTTTATAAATTTGATAGAATTCAGCAGTAAAGCTGTTCAGTCTTAAGTTTTTCTTTGATAGGAGACTTTTTATTGCCAATTCACTCTTGCTACTTGTTATTGGTCTGTTCAGGTTTTCTATTTCTTCCTCGTTCAATCTTAATAGGTTACATGTGTCCAGAAATTTATTAATTTTCTTTAGTTTTTCTAATTTGTTACTGTATAGGTGTTCATAATAGTCTCTAATGATCCTTTTTCATTTCTGGTTTTATATATTTCAGTCTTCTCCCTTTTGTGAGAGGGGTAGTCTAGGTAGCAGTTTATCACTTTTGTTTGTCTCTTCAAAAAACCAAGTTTCCGTTTCATTGTGTTTTGTTCACGTTTTCTTTTTTCTTGTCTCTATTTTGGTTAGTTCTGCTCTGATCTTTATTATTTCATCCCTCCTACTAGTTTTGAGTTTTGTTTGTTCTGGCTTTTCTAGTTCCTTGAGGTGCATCATTAGGTTGTTTATTTGAAATCTTTCTACTTTTTTGATGTAGATGTTTGTTACTATAAACCTTCCTCTTGGCACTGCTTTTGCTGTATTGCACAGGTTTTGTTACATTGTGTTTCCATTTTCATTTACTTCTTGAAATTTTTAATGCTTCCTCAATTATTTTATTGACCCATTGGTCATTCAGGACCATGTTGTTTAATTTTTATGTATTTGTACAGTTTTCAAAGTTCTACTTGTTACTGATTTCTAGTTTTATTCCATTGTGGTCTGGGAAGGTACTTGATATTATTTTAATTTTTAAAACTTTGTTGAGACTTCTTTTGTGGCCTAACACATGGTCTATCCTGGAGAATTTTCCATGTGTTAATGAGAAGAATGTGTATTCTGCAACTGTTGCATAAGATGTTCTGTAACTGTCTGTTAGGTCCATTTGGCCTAAAGTGCAGTTTAAATCCAATGTTTCTTTGTTGATTTTCTGTCTAGATGTTCTTTCCAATGCCATAGTGGGGTTTTGAAGTCCCAAATTATTATTGATTTAGATTCTACCTGTTCCTTTAGATCTAAGAATATCTGCTTTATATATCTGGGTGCTTCAGTGTTGCATGTATATATATTTAAACTGGTTATACCCTCTTGTTGGATTGATTCCTTTTTCATTATATAATGACCTTCTTTATCTGTTTTTATAGTGTTTGACTTAAAATCTGTTTTATCTGATGTAAGTACACCTATTTCTGTTCACTTTTGACTTCCATTTGAGGGGAAAATCTTTTTCCATCCCTTCACTTTCACTCTATGTGTGTCTTCACTGATGAACTGAGTTTCTTGAAGACAGCATATCATTGGGTCATGTTTGTTTATCTGTTGTCAGTCTACATCTTTTAAGCAGAGAATTTAATCCATTTGCATTCAAGGTTTTTACTGATAGGTGAGAACTTACTCCAGTCATTTTGGTAATTGCTTTTTGATTGTTTCTCTATCATTTGTTCCATTCTTTTTCTCTCGTTCTTTATCATTATAGTTTGGTCATTGTCTTTTTTTTTTTTTTTTTTTTTTTTTTGATGGAGTTTTGTTCTGTTCCCCAGGCTGGAGTGCAGTGGTGCAATCTCGTCTCACTGCAATCTTCATCTCGCAGGTTCAAATGATTCTCCTGCCTCAGCCTCCTGAGTAGCTGGGATTACAGGTGCCTGCCACAATGCCTGGTTAATTTTTGCATATTTAGTAGAGACAAGATTTCACCATGTTAGCCAGCTGGTCTCAAACTCCTGAACACAGATGATCCACCCATCTCAGCCTCCCAAAGTGTTGGGATTACAGGCATGAGCCACCATGTCTGGCCAGTTTGGTCATTTTCAACAGTGGTAATGTTCGACTTCTTCCTCTTTCTCATTTGTGTACCTGCTTTAACAGTGTGTTTTATACTTTCCTGTGTATTCATGATGGTAGATAATGTCATTTTGCTTCCAGATATGGGGCTTCTTTAAGCATTTCTTGTAGCACCAGTCTAGTGGTGATGAATTCCATTAGTTCTTGATTTTCTGTGAAAGCCTATATTTCTCTTTCATTTTTAAAGGAATGCTTTGCTAGGTATAGTATTCTTTGCTGACAAGGTTCTTCTCTCCCCCTAAACACTTTGAATATATCATTCCATTCTCTCCTGGCCTGTGAAGTTTTTCTCAGAACTCTGTTGTTAACTTGAAAAGTATTCTCTTACATTTTACCTAACTCTTTTGCTAGTTTTAGAATTGTCTCTTTGTCTTTGACTTCTGACAGTTTGACTATAATGTGCCTTGGAGAAGACCTTTTTGCACTGAATCTACTTGGGGAATCTCTGAGCTTCCTGTATCCAGGTGTCTATATTTTCTACAAGACTTGGGAAGTTTTCAGCTATTATTTCACCAAATGGATTTTCATGCCTTTGCTCAATTCTTCTTCTGGAATTCCCATAATTAAATAACTTATTTGCTTTATGGTGTCCCATATGTGAGGTAAAGTTTCTTCAGTTTTTTAAATTCTTTAATTTTTTTAATCTGACTGGGTTATTTCAAAAGAACTGTCTTCAAGATTACAAATTCCTTCTCACATGATCTAGTCTGTTGTTGAAGCTCTCAATTGTATTTTTAAATTTTATTTATTGAATTCTTAACTTTCAAGATTTCTGTTTGGTTCTTTTTTATGATACATGTCTCCTTATTGTATTTCTCATTTAGACTGTGAATTACTTTCCTGATTTCTTTGTACTGTTTATCTGTGTTTATCTGCATTGTATATCACTGAGTTTCTTTAATAGAGTAATTTTGAATTCTTTTTCAGCCATTTCACAGATTTTCTTTTCATTGGTATTTATTACTAGAGAATTATTATATTCTTTTGGAGGCCTCATGCTTCCTTACTTCATATTTCTTGTGTCCTTATGTTGATATCCCTACATATGCTGTAATAGTCATTTCTTCCAATTTTATGGATTGGCTTTCATAAAGAAAGACTTTTCTATAGATATACATAGTGTTGGTTCAGTAGGGTGCTTTGGCTTTGATTATGAGTGGGCACAGTAATATAGTCTCCATATGAGTTCTTCAGCTGTAATCAGTATCAGTGTATTCTTTGAGTTTTTCAATGGTAGGCTGTGGGTATTAGTGGAGGCTATGGAGAGGCTTTTCTGGGAATGAGGAAACTAGGTAGGGTAGTTCTTGTGCCCTAGGCAGCATTTGTGAGCAGCGGTGATGGCAGGGTCAGGTGGGTCAGTCCTTGGGCTTTCAGGTGGTTTGTTTGAATGCCAATGATGGCAGTAGTAAGACAGGTGGGTGAGTAGATTCTTGGGTCCCTGGGTGGTATGTGGGGTGCCGGGGGTGGTAGTAGCAGCATGGATCAATACTCAAGTCCCAGGATGATGTCCATAGGAGCTGGCAGCAGTGGCAGTGATGGAAGGGGCAGACCTGTTGCTAGGCTCCTGGATGGTACATGTAGATACCCAAGGCAGTTTGTAGGACAAGTCAACCCCCAGGCTCCCTGATGACATGCACAGGTGCTGGCAGTGGTGAGTAGTGCAGGTGTGTCCTCGAGTCTCCTGATGGTTTGTATGGACACTGGCTGTGATGGCTGAGGCAGATCGATTCTCCAGGCTTCCAGATGGTACACTCAGTGCTGGTGCCAGTGGGTGTGGTGGCTCTCCTCAGACTCTGGAATGGTTCCCTGAGAGTCTGGTTTCCAGGCTCATGGAAGGCCTATCCTGGTGCATTGTGGCCGTGCCACTGGAGGGGGCATAGTTGCTCTCAGTGGCAGTGGCTTGGTCCCTCATATTATTAAAATAAAATTTTGAAATTGAATTTTAATGATGCTCAGAAAAGCAAAGCACAGTCATTCCTTTACACCTCACCCTGAGCAAGCCCCATCCAGACTGGCTTCTGCAGTTGCCAGATGCAACAGATGAATATATGTTTAATCAACTAACCACAAAGGAAGAGGGGTCAATGTTAGATCTTCTTGGATGTCTTCAGAGGGAATTAACATACCAACATTTGTGTTTTCTTTTGTGAATGACCAGCACATCTAAACATACATGAAGTAATTGCAAGCCTCTTTAAATTTATTTATTTTAATTAAAGATAAATTTATTAGCTTCTGGATCATTTATATTAACTCATATGTATATTTCCATATTTAGATTTCACCAAAAAGACACATAGGAGCAAAAAATCTCACTCCTGTGACTTGAAAAATCTAAAGGCCATTGGGTTAGAGCCATAATTTTTCTTTACATAGGGGCTACATATAAAATTAGTAGTTGATGAAGAATTATAAAGAGACACATCTAGTCTTAAAAGCTACAGAGAGAAAGAATATATTAATATTTGCAAACCATATTATCCAATAAAGGACTAGTATCTATAATATATGCATATTCTCAAAACTCAACAGTAACAAACAAAACCAACTGATTAGAGAATGGGCAAAACATACGAAGAGACATTTCACCAAGGAGGATATACAGACAGCAAACAAGTACATGAAAAGATGTTCAACTTCACTAGCTATTAGCGAATTGCAAATTAAAGCCACCACGACATATTTATATACACTTATATAAGTGGCTAAAATAAAAAATAGTGGCAACACCAAGTGCTGACAAGGATGAGCAACAATGGCTCTCTAAGAAACAGGCTGGCAGTTGCTTAAAAACCAAGCATGCAAGCACCGCACAACCCTGCAATTACACTCCTGGCATTTATCCCAGAGAAACAAAAATGTATGTTCACATAAAAACTTGTAAAACAATATTTATAGCAGCTTTATTCCTGATAGCCCCAAACTGAAAACAACCCAGATGTCCTTCAATAAATGAATAGTTAAAGAAATAGTGGTATATCCATACAATAGAATAAAAAGCAACCAAAATAATCTATCCAAACACACAACAATCGGCATGTGTCTCCAAAGAAATATGTTGAGTCAAAATAACTTTCTTGAAATGACAAAAATGAAAGAAATAAATAACAAATTAGAGGTTTCGAGGAGATGGGACAGAAGTGGGTTTGGCTACAAAAGGACAGCATGATAGATCCTGTGGTGACATAAATTTTCTGTATCTAAACTGTATCAATGTCAATATCCTGGTTGTGCTATTGTACTATGATTTAGCCAGATGTTACCACTGGGGAAACCAGACAAAAGGTACATGTATTCTCTCTGTATCAATTCTTATCACTGCATGTGAATCTATAGTTATCTCAAAAGAGAAAAATAATTTTAAAAAGTTTCACACCCACTGTTTCAATTGACTAGCCTTAAAAAATAGTTTCAGTGTTAACTTCCTCAAAACAATTAGTCTCCACCTCTTCTACAACCCTACTATCCAGCATTTATCCCAAACATATTCAGAAAAGTGATATTAATTATAAAACACTTCATAGTCTATTGTAATTATTATTTTAACCATCTACTTCCACAAATCTTTGAGGCATCTATACTCACTAGCTATAGTTACCATTGTAAGCAAAGATGTTTATTTCTGTTTCTCTCGTTGGATTACAATCTTTTTGTGAGCAAGAATAGATCTAGTGTATTTTTAGGTCTCCAAGATTAAATTTTTCTTAATAAGCTAAAAAAAGAGATATATCTAATCTGAAAGATAATTTTTTCCTGTGGTCTTTCCACATTTTATATGCCACCACCATATTTCCTTGTGCATAAAATGCTTTTACTTATTGGAAAAAAAGGGCATAATTCTCCATGAAAAAAAATTAGTCTAATCTAAAACAATGTATAAATCCTCTATATTAGAGGCCATATGATTCATAGAAGTCCTAATGATTTGCCACAATACATATACCAGCTGAATATCCAACAAACAGGTAACATTGCCTAAATTCTTTATTAAGGGGCTCCTAAACTGACTTTTAAAAGGTGTGGCCTCAAACTGTCTTACAGGTAGTAAAGGCTACAACAATCTCCTACAAAAAGACACAGCAAATATTGCTAAACACTACCTAAAAATCAAATATTTGCATTTTATATACATACTCTTGTCAGTGGCTGTTCAGTTTGACACACATAATCTAACTGGAATTCAGACAACTAATAACATACTTCCAGAGAAAAACCTGTATAAATGCAGAAGACAGTGCCTGAGAAGCCACCTTAATGTAATTGCTTAAATTTCCATCTTTTTGCTTTAATAGCATACATAAAAGTTTTAAAAATCTGACAGTGGAAGGCATTATGGTTCTTATACCGCCTGTAGCCTAACGTTGTTCAGTTGTGCACAGCAGCCAGACGTAAAGAGCGAAAACTGACAAAGTGAGAAGAACAGATAGAATCAAGAAAATATAAAGTCTTAATTCTCTCTCTCTGGAATTCCAGGGCCTCATATGGTTCTACATCCTGACGGTTTTTGGTTTGCAAAAAAGAAATGCGTATCTTACTATATATCCTCTCTTATAGACATGCACAAAATTATGATTTCCCTGTGATTTATTTAGGTTTTCTCTTAATTTGAAAATACCTGGAATAATGACATATTACGGTTTTATGTTCGCTTTTAATTTTTTCTAGTTTTTTTAAGTAGGAAAATAAATTTTTGCTTTCTTACTGATGTGCTAAGGATTTAGCTGTAGCTACACAGACCTCATATTCCCTCATATCAGTAAGTGGAGAGAATTGACGTAGTAGCTGCACAGTTTACTAGGAATGAGTGCTTTCTTTTGTCCCTAATTTTCAATAGGACACTTTTACCCATTCACTACTACTCAGTCCCTGTGAACCATTAGTGTGTGACCTAAATAAAAAGGTAAAATAATGTTTTAAAATAAAATAATCTAGACGTTGGCAGATACAGAATAAACGGGTGGAAAGATTGTCAACCAAAAAGCAAAGGGGTAACATTTTGTCACTGATAATCTCCGTGAAGTCATATTCATTTTTTTCGCACACTTCTGTTCTATCCACTATTATTATGACATCATAGTTTTAATTTTTTTAGGTAAAGCATACACATATCTCCAAACATAGCTCAGTCACCACCTCCCTATTTTGGATCTTTTAACCTTATTTTGATATATTCCACCTCTTTATCCTACTTTCTAATCTTAAATATGCTTCTATCCTTTACCTATAACTACTTTTCCAGCTTTTACTTATCTTTAAAATGAGAATAGACAAGGAAATACCATGGAAAAAAGTGTGAAAAGTTATGCTGATGTTATGGTTAAGCCTATTACAACTTTGAATATGTGGTCATGGTTTCCTTTATTTTAAACATTTCATACACAAAGAAATTCTACATAACTTCTTGGGAGAATCTAAAGAAGAATATGAACCCAAAAATACAACATAGGGCAATTTATTCAAGACTTTATGCTAAAACAGAGAGTTATGCTCCCAAACCCTTAAAAGCAATAAAGAGTAGCCACATTCTGATGGAATAGCATATCTGAATGTAAAATATGAAGTGAAAATAAACTGGGAGGATCAACACATGTTAGAAACAGTATAAAATGCAGCTTGAACTAATAAGTGCTTGAATCTATTTAGTTATGCCACCTTGAAATATATCTACAAAGTGACTCTGGTTTCCTAAGGTCTAGATGCATTAAATATTTAAGCAGATCTCACACTTTAATCACTTTAAATCATGCTCTTTTGGCCTAAGGCTACTGACACTTTTGGGCACATGCACGAGACAGTGAAGTTAGGAATAATACACACTTAAATTTTTAAATCAAATTTAAAATTATGAAAAGTAACTTTCCAAAAATTTTTTCCTATAATTTCTCCTTGTTATTGTTGTTTATCTATCTAAATTATGAGAACCTTAAGGCACTTTGTATGATTTGCTGCCAATTTAAGGCCCAGAAACAACGCCGACTATTAGATCAATAGTATAGCCTTGAATAACCAAATCTTGTCTAATATATATATATAAAATATATCGTATATGTAACATTTATATATATGTGTGTATATATATTACTGAGAGTGATCCATGTTGCTTTAAGCACATCACAATCTATAACATGCTCACCTTTCTGGTAGCACATGTCTGGGGTGGAAAGTCCTCTGTAACAGGTCATTTTCTATAATAATCACTTATGTTGGTTTAGTCAGAACACTAACATTTGTTTCGCATGTCTTTTCTTTTACCAGCTGAACCTCAAGCTGAATGTGTTTTTTCTAGAAAACGCTAAATTGCCTCAGAGAGACTTGGTGGTTACACACAGGGTGGTTCCTGCCGCCAAAATTATGTGCGTTGTAATTCTTGCATGCCACATCATGTTGCTGCAAAAGCAACCAGAAGTCACAGTTGTCCCTAGAAAACCACAGTGACTGGACACATTCCCTTTGTGGCTGTGCCAGAATGAGTTCCTGTCATCTGTTCCCACCTCATTTATGAGGCATCACCTTCCACCTTGAGTCGAAGCTTCACTGTAGTGTGATGTGACTGCAAAGAAGAAAGTAAGTGTCCTTAAATGAATGTCATCCTGAGCTTTACACACAAACCTTTCTCTAGTTATCAGAGCTTGCTATTTACACAGGGATAACTTCTTATGCCTCTAGTATTTCACAAGCACTCACTGAAAGGTTGATAAATTGAAAAGATGGCATCTCCTTCTCTGTGTAGTCTTTGCCAGTGTCCCCAAAATTGCTGTGCTCTATTACATAATACTTCCTTAGCCAGATTCCAAGAATTCTATAGGCTGTAATTTTATCCTAGGAAAACCAGAGGATATTAAATGATCTAAACTGTCTTAGGCAGAAATCTCTGACTTGGCTGCCCTTTGAAGTTTGTATCTGAAACTTTTTGATGTCTTAATATTGTTTTAGAAATTGGGGGGTGAGGAGTTGACTTTGTAAATCATTTTAGGATTGCAAAAATGACATTATGATGATGAATGGCACAAGGCTTTAAAAAAAGTTTCTCTGAATATTAAATTAATCACAAACCGAGGCTGTCTAACATTAGCTCCTGATAACTTAGAGATCCTGTGGCATTCCAGATGCTCTATGAAACAGAAATATTCTGTCTTTATTATGAGCACCTTTCCACATCTGCAATTCTGTTATACAATAAAGTCTTGTTCTTTTGTTGCAAGATTGCCCTGGCTCATTTTTTTATTATTAATTTAAACCATGTGGGTAAAGGGTAATCCAGTAAGCCATAGGATTTCAGATCAGAGCTTTCATACAACCATAGGTAACATCAAACATCTGGATATCTAGATGAATAGGGGTAGGGGGGAAATTAACAGGAACTAAAGCATTGTATGAATTAATAAATTTTAATTGTATATAATTTTATTCACTTTGAATATATTTTCTTAATGTGTCTTCTTTAAAGATAGAAGGAAATAGAAATAAAAATTCATAACTCAATTGGATCAATCACATATGAATGCCTAATAACCAAATAGCTTTCAATGAAAAAACCTATGGCTATTAATATGTTATAAATTGCTTGACTAGCCTAAAGTCACTTTTATTATACTGATTTTATTACATTTTTATTATATTTTAAAGGCATGTTTAATAATCCACTTAAAGAGAGCATGATCTACTAGCTTTCTTAGAACGCTAAGGCACAGGGTTGTCTATTTAACATAAAACGGTCTCAGAAATATTTTGCCTCAAAGTACTGAGATATATTGTGGATTTAAATATCCACATTACTTAATTATAAATAATAAATTAATATTTGTCTTTCTCTGTTTTTGTTTTCGTTTTATTGCCAATTCCTGTATTTTTCCTAACTCCTCTTCCATGAAAGCTTTGGGAAAATAAGTCATGATGATGTACAATTAAAAAAACAGTCTTTCTCCGGGTTTCAAATTTTTACATTTTCCCAAAGGACATAAAATTTCCAGACAATAAATAGCATAAAGAAAATATTTAGATATCTTGCTAATTAATAATTCTCTCCTGCCTTTATAAATCTGTTTGAAGCAGAAAGTTACACGGAAACTTTAAGAAGCAAAACTCGTCATTCTTACAAATAAACTAGGCTAATAACACTCTTTAGTATTAAAAGTTGAGAATAGTAAATGATCCTACTCAGTACCAAAAAAGGAGGAATAATAGGTCCATCTAAAAAAGAAAGTTAAGGTTGACCCCAAAAATCATGGAAAGTTTTTCCTGCAGTCCAAATCAATTTATTTTCAAGCAGTTATTCTTAAAGATGTGCCTGAATGGATGTTATTTGCATTCTTTAATCCAGATGCTGTGCATTTTACTGCAGGTGCCAGGTGTGGACATTCAAAGGTAAAAATTTAAAGATCAAAGAAGCAAAGGTTGATCCTGTTGAAATATTTAGCCACAAGTCATTCATATGACTAGAGACTTTTTGTTTCATGAGGTGTTTACGTCCTTTGTTGTTAAAACTATTTATTACCTTTGAAAACAGGTCACCTTCCTTTTTGCAATACTATAGAGTGTGATATGGTCTTAATGTGTGTTAAGGAAACATCCACGTTTGCAATGAAAATCGCCACCATTATTCCTTCAAATGTAAAGTCAATCTTTTTGATTAAAAAATAAAAACAGGTCAATGTTTTACTTAGAGAGAAAACTCAAGCCCTTAAATAAAGTGTGATGAAAAGTAGAAAAATATAACAATGCAAAAGCTAAAGTAAATAAAAAGAAGGAAATAATGTAAAATTCAGTTATCTCCAAAAGGTCACTGGATGAGGGTCATTGGGCAAAAGTCAGAGTCACCATGCAGCATGCTCTCTTTCCTCAACAGATTTGACCCTCTGACTTTAGCATGTCTTTAATCATTAATTAACAAACATTTTTTAAGTACCTTCTGTATGCCAAGCAATGTACATACCAATGAAAACAAAAGAGTTACTTCTTTTTAGCAGCTTACAGTCTATTTGAAAGAGACAAATATACCAAATTTTTCAGTATACTGTAAGACGTATTAGTTTGAACAAAGTTCAGGTAGCCACAGAAACATTAAGAAAGAGGACACCTATTTTAGTGGATCAGAGCAGACATCCCAGAGTGATTTCTACTCTGAGACTAGAAAAATGAACATTAGGCTTAGTCAGAGAAGGGGAAAGAAGTGAGTGATCCTGGGAGAAAGATGTGTGACTTCCCGGAGATGAGAAAGTACAGCAAGTATATATATGCACATGCAGAAAATGAGGGCTCTAAGGCAATAAATGGAAAAAATTAATAATGAGAGGTAAAAAATCTCCAGATCATGAAGAATTGTTTTTATTTCTTCTCATTTCCACTGCTCCAAGAAGGAAATATTATCACAGCTCAACTCGCACTATTCATTACTTAGCTCCATCTTAGGCAAGGAATTATTTATCCTCCTCTAGTCTATATTGCATGGCATATGTTCTTCTGAAATGTAGACTTAATGTATTTTTTAAAAATAGAAATCCAGAATGGACATTTTACATTGTTGTCTCAACAGTCACTTACTTATGAAAATATTATGCCAGATCTTCAGGACAAATAGCAATGGGGAAGGAGTAGGGTTCCGCTGGAACTTTTGCCCTGCTGAAGTTTGCTTGAAAATAGAGAAACAGTGAACTTAGCCATTTTCTAAACAATCTGCCTTGCTGCTACTTTTCATTATCTATTATCATTTAAATGGGCATAATAGTAATATTAATCATAGTAATAACTTTGAGAATTGAGTGCCTGCTAGACATTCTCCTGAGTTTTTCATGCCGTCTTTCATGTGTTCTTCACAATAAAGACTTCTGAATTGGTTTCAGTCATTATCTTCATTTACAGATTAAAATACTGAAGGTCAGTGATCTAGGTTGTTTGCTGGAGATTACAAGTCTCGTAAGTACAGATCCAGGACTCAAAGATAGAACGTGGAAAATATACAAATATTCAGAGATAAATTTTCATATACTCTGATAACATATCCACAGTTCCAAATAGATAGGAGTGTAGATTCAATTACAAAATAATAATTTCCCAAGTCTGTATAGTCCCTCAGAGAAATGCTAAATGTTCTCTGTGGGGACGACGAAAGAGTTTCTGGGAAAAAAAACACTCTTTAGCGCTCTAACAATCTCTCATTACTCTTAATCACTTTCAGACTCATTAACCTTATCCTCAGTTGCAAACATATGTGTCTCTTTTTCTTTCTTGTCTTCTTTGGCCAATAGATCACTGCAGTAGTAAGTTTCAAACACAGTCCAATCTTTAAACATTCAGAAACTACACACCATTTCCTGTTTCCTCCTGCTTTTCATCTCAGTATCACAGATAGACACAAACTCTTAGTGAAAAAGATCACATGACCCCCATTGATAGATTTTATTTTTGCATAATTACCATAACATCTTATAATCCTGAGTAACAATGTGGAGATGAAGTGTACCTGTTGTCAAATGCTTCATATCAATCACCCCAAAACTTAATGGCATAAAACAACAATTCATTATCTCACATCATTCTATGCGTCAACTGAGCTCAGCTGACTCATTCTTGTTTGGGGTCTCTCATTTGATTACAGTCAGATAGTGGCTGGGTCTAGGTTCATCTGAAGTCTTTTTTACCCACACGTCTGATGCCTGTACTGAAATGGTTGGAACAGCAAGGAGTTGACTAGACATCTTTCTCCAAGTGGCTATCCATGTGACTGGCCTAGGCTTTTCCATAGCATGGCCCTCCCAGCATAGTCAGATTTCTTACCTGGAAGCTGGCTGCCCTCAGAATGAGCATTCCAAGAGGTTAGAATTGAAAACTAACTGCCACTAATTCTTAATAGGTGGGCTTAGAAACATACACAATGTCACACTATCATATTCTATTGACCAAAGATATCAGAAACTCCTCAGATTCAAGAGGTAAGGCATAGACACTACCTCTCCATGAGAAGTACGTTAAATAATTTGTGGGCACCTCTAATTGACCATACATAGCTCTCAGCTGGAAATAAAAACAATCTTAAATTTTATTTTGAAAAACAATTTTTTTAACATTCCAAATTTCTAAAGCAGTGAAGTAAAAAAGTGTCATCATTCAATATGCTTAATCATTGTTCATAAGGAGAAAGTAATTTATATTCTGTTAGAAATTTAAACTTTAGTTAGGTTACAACTAGTACATAATGTTGACCAGTGTCCAAGTTGGTTATTCATGTTAGCCATGAGACTGAAAATTTGATAGATGGTATTATTTATGATTCATAATTTCAACTCAAATGAGATGAATTGTCAAAGATGCCAAGATTCATGATGACAGGGCAGAAAATGGTAATTCTTTCATAGTACTTACAAGTATTTTTTAGGTAAGAAGTTATGACAGACTGCAAGCAAATAATACGCTACTTTCAAATGAGTTCATAACAATATCAACAATTTTCATATACTTGCATGGGAGAATTTTTCTTTCCATAAGTACTTTTTAACGACTACATAAACAACACTCAATATTCACACAGAATTTAAAATACACCATAATGGCTTGATTCACTTCATTAGTAAGTCTGTGGGAAAATCAGTGGCCCCTTAATTTGGGATTAAAAGGTTTCTTCCTATGGCCTTTAATTTAAATTGTCAGGGAGAGAAAAAGGACATGAGTCTTTAAAGTTACATATACTAATGTAGCCTATCTCAAATACAGCGTTTACTGACCTGTTTCATGCTGAATAAAATTTATGACCCTATCTACAAGGGAAGTGGTAAAATGATTGTTTGTTATGATGAGAAGCTGGAGATCTGTGAGTCCACCACTGGGAAAGGAGATAGATAAAAATGTGGATTTGCACACTATAAACTACATGCAGAAACAGGGAAAATATTGTATGCATATAAAAATAGTAACATACATATGTCTTAAAAAACATAATGCTAAGTAGAGAAACCTAAGAAACAACCAGATCTGTGCAAAATAGACGTTTTATAAAATTAATCAAAGACCAAGAAAAAGTACAAATGATAATGGAACCAAAATCCATGTACATGCCAAATATTAAATGTTTCATGTTTGTTTCAGATTTGCAAATTAAAACCTAAAGCTAAGGTGAAATTCTTTATATTCCCCTCCTACTCCTTTCTTCCCATTTATTTCGTCAAAAAAAAAAGCTATGGTAAAATCATAAATCTGATATGCATCTAATCAATGTTTTTAAGTAAATTGAGTAGATATAGATATACAGGTATTGTTGAAGGTTGGGTCCTGTGAAGGCAAATGTTGAGACAGAATATTGGATGTAAAATATTTTTTAAGGACCAATGTCTATCAAGGGAGTGGAGAGAGAGTAGGGTTGGGCAGAGGAAGAAGTCACTGGGGTGCAGGCTCAACAAAGGCTAGGTCAACCCGGCAGGGAGTTCTGGATGGAATATTATCCAAAAGAATATCCTTCATTGGGCTAAAATAACCTGGCCCTCCTCATTCAATCACTAGGTGTGGGATGCCACAGAAAGAGCATAACCTCAAGCAAGATGGGCCCCTGCACTATGGAAAACTCTAAAGCAGGGTGTCCCTAACCTCTGGGCCATGGACTAGTACTGGCCATGGCCTATTAGGTACCAGGCTGCACAGCAGGAGGTGAGCAGTGGGTGAGCGAGCAAAGCTTCACCTGTATTTACAGCCATTCATCATCACTTGCATTACCTGAGCTCTGCCGCCTCTCAAATCACTGGCAGCATTAGATTCTCATAGGAGCGCAAACTCTATTGTGAACTGTGCATGCAAAGGATTTAGGTTGCGTGCTCCTTAGGAGAATCTAATGCCTGGTGATTTGTCACTGTCTCCCATTGTCCCCACATTAGACAATCTAGCTGCAGAAAAACAAGATCAGGGCTCTCAGTGATTCTACATTATGGTGAGTTGCATAACTGTTTCATTATATATGATGATGTAATAATAATAGAAATAGAGTAGCAGAATATAATAGAACAATATAGAAATCTCATTATATATTACAATGTAATAATAATAGAAATAATGTGCACAATAAATGTAAAGTGCTTGAATCATCCCAAAACCATCTGTCCTATGCC
Source organism: Homo sapiens (assembly GCF_000001405.40). Lineage (NCBI taxonomy): Eukaryota > Metazoa > Chordata > Mammalia > Primates > Hominidae > Homo > Homo sapiens. The sequence continues at coordinate 19,170,783 of NC_000007.14, read as the reverse complement.
TGGTCCACAGAAAAGCTGCGTTCCATGAAACTGGTCCCTGGTACCAAAAAGGTTGGAGACCACTGCTGTGAAGGATCTAACAACTGGAGGCTCTCTGCTGATATTCCTTGCAGTTGGGCAGCAAAATCTCTTTAAAGTGGAATCTGGGTGGCATCTCTCTGTGTCTATTACATATAGATAGATATATAAATAGATATATATAAATATAGATACAGACATAGACAGAGACATGGATGGATATAGATATAGATATTACAGATCTATAGATATAGATATATACAGATACACATATAACTGTTGTATGAGGGTATATATCCAAAAAATAATATATAGCATTGTGTTTGGTTATTTATTATTGCTTTAAAAATTACACCAAAGTTTGGTGAATTAAAAAGAACTCAATTGTTCGCTCATGAGTTTGCAATTTGGGCAGACCTCAGAGAAGACAACTTGCCTCCACTCCATGGGGCATCAGCTGGGGTGTCTTAACTAAGGCTTGAGTATTTACTTCAATATTGGTTCACTCACATAACCAACAAATTGGTGCCAACCATCTCCTGGAACATCAGCTGGGCTCAATTACACTCAAATTGTGTATCTTGATGTAACAGCATGGGCTTGCTCACAGCATTGAAGCTGAATTTTAAGAAGGAAAAAGAAGCTCTCAGGCCTTTTATATCCTGGTCTTTGCAATCTAGACCATCACTTCTTCTACATTCCATTGGAATTATGTCCCAACCCAAGTTCAATGGGAAGGGAACATAAGCTCCACCTCTTAATGGGAAGAGAGGCATGTACATCCAGGGAGGAGAATAATAATTTGTGGATCTCTGGAGACTAACTATCACAGCCTAGCTACTGGCCACAGAAACTCACATCCCTCCATGTACAAAAGAATTTCACCCATTTCAAGACCCCTAACAGCCTCCTTTCATTATTGCATCAACTACAAGTTGAGAATTTCATTTACATCAGGTCTAAGTAGAGATGAGTCTAGGCACAGTTCCTTGGAAGAAGTTCCTTGAGAATGGTTCTCCTCAATATGAGGAAACAAGGCATCTGTTCACATACAATGGTGGAAAAGAGACAGGAAAACTTCAACGGGTGCTCCAATTCAAAAAGGGAGAAGGAGGGAAGGAAGGTTCATAGTAATGACAAATCTATTACAAAGCTAAACACATTAAAGTTACTTAATTAAAGCCGACTGAGTTGCCTGAGAGTGGCTTACCATGACACATGGCTCTATCTTCACCTGTGTGTAGAGCTAAATAACTTTGTCTGCTTCATGTCTACAGAAAGTTAAGGACCTAGATACATCTTGTTATAAAATTCCTCTGTTCCTTTTAATTCAAGCTAACATAATTTATTTAAAATTCTGATGGGCTTCTTTTTTATCAAATTATAAGCCATATTAAATGGCATACGAATAAGCTAAATTTGAACCTCCAAGGAAAGGAAAAGCTTATTTGTGACTTAGCTAAACAGATATGATAATTCATGTTAAAATTCAGACTTCATCTTATAATCAAAAATAATGCTTTTATTCACTTATCTAACATGGATCTAAATGCAAAACTTTAATTGTGTTTGATAGCATTATGTAAATTGAAAAACTGCAAGAAATTTTGAAGAACATTTTGTCGATATTGATAAATTCATAATTTTCAATTTTACCAAACCCTTTTGAATTTAATGTTAATAATGTGAAGTTATTGAAGATTTAGTGAATTTACTTAACTTGGACAGATACCATCTTGAAATTAATATACTTTTGTTTTAAAGTTCTATCAATTCCTCCAATAACTGAATCAGTTTTATCAATATGCATTTGAATGTTAATAAAAATGATTTGGGGTTCTCAATTAAGTTATTGGAAAACTGGTAAGTAAATGTGACATAATTTGAGTATATGAATCTACCTTTTCAACTATACATTTTATGAAATTTAAATATACATCAAATATATACAATGAAAATTTGGTGTCCAAGTTATGTTGTAGGTGTAAAATATACATTGAATTTTGAATACTTAGTATTAAAAAAGTAAAATATCTCATTAACAATTCTGTATTGGTTAAATGCTGAAATAATGCATTGTGAAATTGCATTCAATATTATATTTATTTATTTCACCTGAGTTTTTCTAATATGGCTGTGTCCATTATCAATTTATTGCATCTGAGTCCCAAAGTCACCCTTATGTACATGCTCTGTGATAATGAACTGTATTCTTAAACATTTCTCCTTCATAGGCAATATGATTTTAAGCTTTGTCAGTTGCAGGTGCTAGAGGGACATTGCAGGATGCAGAAGACTTCTCTTCCCGGTTCTTACTGCTGAGCTTTGGGGTTTTATCTTGTTCCTGATAAACAATCACTCCACATGTGGGTGCTTGAGGACATTTATTTGTTGGTGCTCATCCCTAACTATGTATCCAGGGTGCACAGGCCCTCATCACCTTCCCATAACCCTTCTGATACAGACACCACACCCACAAGAGTGCCCCAACCCTTTCTGAATACCCACCTACTAGCCTCAGCTTGTCACAATTGCACCCTCGAGGATTGTTCCTTGCTGCTCAGCAACTGTAGACCATCACTCTTGCCCAGGTAATCTAGCAAATTGTCTGCTGTCCAGTGAGCTGAAATTATAATTTTTTCCAGGGAGTATGGACCTCAGCCTGAAAGAGGTCCCCCACTTTCAAGGTTATCCTTCCTTGACTACTCTTCCTCAGCTCTAGGATACCTTTTAGAGTTCTTTTTAAATCTTCCTAGTTTTATCTTAGCTTAATAATTCTTTATATTAAACTTCCCCTATTTAAGTTACTGTGTGATTTCTGTACTTGATTAGACTCAGATTATTACAGGGTATATGTGAAGAAAAACTTTAATTACATATATGACTTACATTATATTTTTATTAGATAGTGCTGCTAAAGAGTATATACCTAGAGAAGATAGGGAGAGTGCAAGTAGTTGGAAACCTTGAAAACAATGACAAAACATTAAATTATATTTTAATAAAATTAAGAATTAAAAATCAGGTCAAGCTTCAAGAGACAGATGAAGTATTTGAACTGGCACATCAAAATGGCATTGAAATATGATTCTTTCTACCATGACTCAAATATTTTTCTGGGAAAAGTCTGAAAGTCTACCTGAGAGGTTAGCATTCTTGTCCCATTGAAAGATAGTTTAAGTGCCAAACTACAGCTGTAGAAAAGAATGGAGAGGAAGAGATAGATATGACAAAAACAAAAACAAACAAAAGTTAGGAGTAAAATTGGCAAACTAGTCTTTAGACGAAATAGATATGTCTGGCAAAGGCCAATGTGATATTAACGATAACACCAAAGTGTACAGTTTAGTCATTATTAGAATAGTGATATCTGAAAACAAAGTTTGTTCCTAACAAACTGCTAGTCTAGATCTCCAGTAGCATGAATGAGTACAAGCTAACCTACAAAATAGAAGCATATTTTAACCTTATCACTTGAATTTAGGTAAGCAATGTTATTCAATTAAAAATCACCTGCTTAACAAATCTGTAAAAAAGATTTTAAAAGGGCTTTAAAAGGGGTCTTTTTAAAAAGGGCTAACAATTATAGACTAGTAAGAACTGCCCCACCAAACTGTTAAAAGTTAGATAGAATCTCACTATTGATTGTTAAGGCCTAATACTGTCTATGTGAGCAAGGTTATATAATAATATTGATTTCATGTTTAATGTGAAATAAATATATTATTACTTTTCAATTTTTAAAAATCGTAATTAATTTTGTTCTATGTGGCTTAAAATACGATTATTTATGTACTTTATATATAATAACTGAATAATCTTTATAACATTAGGAAAACTAAAAGCCATCAGCTAATTAAAAGCCATACCCATTGAACAGCAAAGGAAGGGAATTTTACTGCAATGTAAATTCCAGTACTCCAACTATAATTTCAGTCATGCAAAGACCAGACTATTAAGCCATCAGAAAAAATAATCCATGGAAAAACTGCTGATTCCATGTATTTTTTACTGAATATAGCCCTAAAAATATGTTTCAGAAAGTTTGTTTAGTATTATATAACTACTTGGGTTATGTGGTTTTCATATTTTTTAGTCTATTTACTAAAACCATTGGTCCTACATTTAATTGTTCACCACAAATAGAGACTTTCCAAGCTTTCAAAATAATGGAATTACATTAAATATCATCAATATTTAGGATGAGAATTGCATTACATTTCATATTGATGATAAATGTAATCAAGATATTTTTAAAAACATGTTCAGTATGTGTAATTCACTATAAAATTTTATTTAAAATTTTTCTTTGAAAGCCTTTTTCAGAGTTACCAAAATCAATTAAGGCAAGTACAAACTGGATTCCACAAAATTCTATCTGCATTGGGTGTTACAAACATAATCTAAACAACAGGGTCCAAAGCAATCTTACTGAATTGCAGGTGACACAAAACTAGACAATATAAGAAATGCATAATTAGATCATGGGCCAGATAACTAAACTGATAACAGCTTATAAGGTTTTGAGAATTTCCAGGTTTAGACTTCAAGAACCCAGATCCATTCTCAAGTCAATAGAAGTCACATTCTCCAAACCTTTCAGTTAGCAACTATTAATCTTGGTAGCACCCCACACATTCTGCTGAGTAATTTCACCTCTCATCAACTCAGGAGAGCTACAGAAGTAGCTTAAGGGAAGCTTTGCCTATCAGACACATTCTTTTCTTTTTTAAGATAAAACAGCTTTATTGAGGTATAACTGACATATAATAAACTACACATTTAAATACAATTTGATAAGTTTTGATATATGGATCCACCTATGGAATCATCACCACAATCAAAATAATAAGTACATCCTTTGCCACCAAAAGTTTCCTCATCTCCCTTAAGAATTCCTCTCGGTAAAGCATGTACCCCTAGTTCACTGGCCACTGACCTGCTTTCAGTTACGATAGATTAGTTTGCACTTACTAGAACTTTACACAAATGAAATAATAGAATATGTACTTTTATCTATTTTCTTTCAGCATATTTAAGATTGATTTCTTTTTATAATGTGTACTAATAATTCATTCCTTTTTACTGCTGAGTGGTACTCCATTCTTCAGATGTATCACAGTTTGTCCATTCATTTGTTGATGAACATTTGGATGGTGTACCACAAAATTATAAGAAAGGTTGCAGCTATTACAAGTAAATCTGCTAGAAACATTTGTGTGCCACATATATACTTTTATTTCTCTTGTCAAAATAACTAGGAGTAAACAGCTAGATCATAGGGCAGGTATATGTTTAACTTATTTAAAAACTGATAAAATTTTTATTGTGCAGTCATAACATTTTACATTCCAACTAGCAGTGCATAAGAAGTCCAATTTCTCCACATATTTGCCGACACTTAGTATAATTAGTCTCTTTAATTTATCCACTTTTGATAGGTGTACAATGATATCTCGTTGTGGTTTTAATTTATATTTCCCTGTTGACTAATGATGTTGAGCCTTTCTTCATGTACTTATTATTACAAGTATTTTTTCTTTGCTGAATTTTTGCAATATTTGTTCAAAAATTTGCACAGCTTTTTACTGGATGGTTTATTTTCTAATAATTATGTTTTCAAAGTATTTTCAATATAATTTAAATACACTTCCTAAGTATTTGAATATGCAATTTGAAAATCGTTTCTCCTAGACTTTGACTTTTCTTAACCATGCTTTGAAAAGGAAAAGTTTTAATTTTGATGAAGTCTAATTTATCAATTTCGTATTTTTATGGATCATGCATTTGAAATCAAGATCACATAGTTTTTTTCTTGTTTTTTTTTCTAGGAGTTTTGTAGTTTTATGTTTACATTTATGGCTTTGATTCTTTTTGAGGAGAATTTTATTTGATTTTAATATACATAAAATTAAATTTACTGATATGGCATTACAGAAGAAAGGCATAGTGGCTCGTTAAGTGACCAAAAGTTACAACCACAGGTTAGGTGATGGGAAGATTTTGCAGACTGTTTGAAAATCCGACCACCTGAGAAGTTTTTCATATTTTTTTCCATTGTCTCTTTTTTTCAGGTAGTAGGGTAAATTCAGTGCCTTTTCATATACACCATGGAATACTATGCAGTCATAAAAAATGATGAGTTCATGTCCTTTGTAGGGACATGGATGAAATTGGAAATCATCATTCTCAGTAAACTATCACAAGAACAAAAAACCAAACACCGCATATTCTCACTCATAGGTGGGAATTGAACAATGAAATCACATGGACACAGGAAGGGGAATATCACACTCTGGGGACTGTTGTGGGGTGGGGGGAGGGGGGAGGGATAGCATTGGGAGATACACCTAATGCTAGATGACGAGTTAGTGGGTGCAGCGCACCAGCATGGCACATGTATACATATGTAACTAACCTGCACAATGTGCACATGTACCCTAAAACTTAAAGTATAATAAAAAAAAAATCAGTGCCTTTTGCTCCACCTTGCCTAAAAATGGAAGTCACTTGTTTTTTATTTTATTAAAAGCATACCAACACTAGAATCTCTGTATTTCCTACCTGAAGAACTGGAAAAAATCAGAAGGATGTGGTGGCAGAGGGCAGGGAAAATGTTTTATATGTCAGATGTCCTTTTAGGTATTATGGCCTATCCCTGGAATTCAAAAAGCATAAACATGTCTAAAGCAAAGAGAAAAACTGAGAGATGGTTACAGGGAAGTTGGCAGTGATCAGATTACTGGAGGCTTTGTTAGTCATATCAGAGATTTCTTAATATATCCTAAGAATGATTAAAATCATTTAAAGGTTATAAGCAGGGTGGTGGTGATCAGATTTCCCATGTTAAAATAATCACATTTAGCTATTGAATGAAATATATGTTACAGCAGGGCAAGATATTCAGAGACCAATTAGGAAATGGGAAACATTTTGGGCAGAGGAGTGAAATAATGTAAGTCAGGGGTGTAGAATGAGAAGAGTAGGGAGTACCAGGGCGAATAATCAGGAATGAGAAAATGTATTCTTGGGATGGCTAAGAGAGATGAAAGAGGGCAGGTGAGGGTAAAAGGTAAGTAAAAATACAGGGTGAGTCTGAAGGGTCTTTAATAGTACTCAAAGGATTTGAGGATTTTATATCTATACGATTTTATATATACATATAATAGTTTAATAATTTTGTTATATAGACACAGTATTTTGTTATTTATTTTGTTATATAAATATATTTGGGTGTGTAGCTATACAACAAAATAAATAAACTATTAAGAAATTGAAGGTTTTGTGTGAAAGCGTGTCAGAGAAGTTCTTTATTGATAATAATATGTCACATGGATTAAGAGATAGAGATAACCTTCAAAGACATTTGGAGATAACTGCAGATAGCAAATCAAAATAATCTGGGATTCAAGTAGATTTGAGAAAATGGAAATTGATATTAGGGCAGAAATTTATTTAGATGGTTTTAAAGCTTATATAATTTATTCACACTCCCTCATTAAACCAAGCTCATTTCCCAAGTCTGCCTTAGATGTAGATGATTGTGTCTTATAAACCTAAAATATTATTTAGCTACCGAAAATGTTTTATGAGCTTTAAGATACCCTAAACATAGTATTTTGTAACTGTTTTTGTAGTATGCAAACTTTTTACCAAGTTTAGCATTATTTCAACCTACACAATTTTTCTTAGAATTAGCATCTTAACCATAAAAACCATATCCTTTTATTGATTTCTACCCTAATCTACTTAAGCATTTAGTAGAATAATGGCAGTAAAATGATTTAAAACTGAAATGAAACAAATTAACATCTTTACAATTATCATTATTTATCAATAAAGGCAATGTGATAATGGATCGATGCATATACATTTTTCCTTCCCTTTATGGATGAATATTCTTAGCAAATTCAGCTCTCTGATGAACAAAATATATCCAGTGTGCTGTAATTTGAGATTTGGGTTTTAACCATTTGATTCAAACATTGCATTACACAAATCACTGCTGATTTTTCTGTTCGTTTAAATTACCATTACTGTTTTCAAAACAAGAAAACTAAGTCACATCAATGAAATGAATGCTCAGATTCACTAAAATTATTATCACCAAAGAAATAAAATTTATAAATGGCAACTTCAGTAACTATACAGACAAATATACATATTTCAGAGCACTGTGTGTCTGTGTGTGTGTGTGTGTGTGTGTGTGTGTGTGTTACATTTGAATATAGAATCCTTTAAGAAAATATGCCCCATACCTAAGAACCCTGGGAAGCCATATAGGAGATCACCTGACACACAAACATAAAACATTAATCTGAGTACTGATTTATGCCTTAGCAATATAATGGTGATTTAAAAACCCAGCAGCAGTTGCAGTAATTGGGACTTCATGCATCAGATTACTATCACCTATAGGAAGAATAAGACAGAGAAGGTTTTTCTTTTCATTTTAAATGATACTCTGATTATTATCTTTCAAACCTCAGAGGAGAATTATTGGTTTAATATGCTTAAAAATCTATTCCATTTTTTAGTAAACAATGTATGTAACTTGAATTTACCTCATGATTGTATTTTTAGGTTTATAACTTATTATAATAAAGTTTCCCAGGCTAATAGCTCAATACAAATATTCTAGTTCATGTTTGTTATTATTAATTCCAAATATATCTCATCTTTCTTCCTGTTGGAAGTGTTGACCGCACTGGTTGTATAAGAATCCAGCTTTGATTGGACCTTATACCACAGGGTCAGAAAGAAAGCAAAGCAAGTCAAAGATAAGATTGTACTATTCAGGTAACACTATTTTCCTAACCCATGGCTTTCAAATCTCACTGCATTTTAGAATTCTTTGGAGAAATTCAGCTTAAACGCTGATTTAATTTCTTAGGAATGTGGCTCCACTATCAACAGTTGTCGATTCACAGGAAATTCTAATATGCAGCCAGGATGAAGAATCACTGCTAAACTAAACCTCAATTCTTAAGCATACATAACAATCTCCTAAACAGGGTAATCTCTGTATGCCATTAGATATTCTGATTCTTTGTCTTTGAGTTGGGTCCAGGAATCAACTCTTTAGCTAACTGGTCATTCTGAGACAGGCGGTCTTCGGTTCAAATGAGAGTCATCGCCTTATGTTCAAAGCTGCGCTTTGCATTTTTCTGATCTGTGTTCATTAAGGCTTGTCTAAAGAATACCCCCACTTCCGTAGAATAAAAAGACTCACAGACTCAGAAAGGAGGAAAATGAAATCAGAGGACAGGTTGACATGTGAGGACTCCAGAAACCTTATTACTTTCATACAATGGAATAAAGAACAAGAAGAAGAAAGAAAAACCAGTAGGTGGTCAGAAGCTTCACCTTTGCAAGTTCTGCCCACTAGGACGATGACCCAATAAAATGTCCTAGAATCTCCATGAGAAATTACTTATCTTCCTTGGAAATGAAGTAAGAGAAGGACTAGAGAGAGGACTTGTGCTCTTCCTAAAAGCCAGTGTTCTCTCCATTACTGTTACTTAGAAATATATCTTGATTGATTTCTTCAGGACTATCACTGTCACATTATGAACCTAATTCTCCATAACGTTAAACAAATTAAGATCCTAAAGATAGCATACTTTAAATGATTGGATATGTGATATATAAAACTTCATCCTACAATCACACAAATATGCATCAAAATTACTCTGCTCTTCTTAGAGAACGCTGCAGTGGAATATTCCAGGCCAATATTTAACCTAGGTAATTAAACTAATCCACCAAAGCTTTAATCAAGTTATTAACCATAGTCATATCATACTGGAAAAAGACTAATTCCTTCTGGAGATACACGATAAAGAATGAAACTGATCATTCAAATACAAGAAAATTTCTCAGTCTAGATAGGATGCATGTCATGGTTGAAGACAAGGCAGAATCAGAGGTAAACAGACTGCACATGCACTGTGCCAAATACATAGTAAGTGCTCAGTAGTTTTAAAAATTATTTTAGTATTATAATATCAGTCATGGTGGAGCCCCTAGCCTAGTGGAAAAAGAGAGTATTATGAGATCTGAGGATCACTGAATGAAAATATGAGGTGAGAAAAATGGGAAAAGAGAAAAGATACAATATGGAAACCAAAAAATTCTAAGGACCCAGGGTCCCACTCCACTATAATAGTGTGTGTGTAGAGTGTTTCTTCTCAGATGACAGAAAGTAAATTGACAATGGCTAACAACATTATGGTATTTCGTTATGTTGTTAGTTTCTTAATTCCAAGGGTATTACTGAACCAGCTCATACTTGCCCTACACAGTTTTTGCCTTCCATAGAACATCAAGTTCAAACTTGATATTCAAGCAAGGTCAAGGTCACCAGATTATGAGCTAGAGTTAGAACAAAACTAACCTTGCAAGTCTTTATCTATAAAGTACAGATAAATTCTCAAAAATTTTTTAACCATTTGATCATTTTTTCTCTAATATCTTAAAAAGCTTTTTTAATATCTAATTATCTCTACCATCTTGACTTATGTCTACCATCTTATAACTTTACCCTATAATGAACATAAAAAATTGATCACAGAATCCCTAATGCATTCACAGAGAGAAAGAGAGAGACAGAGAGAGAGATCAGTTAGCCTATAACAACCATCAGATTAGAATTATGTAAAGAACCTCAAGCAGAGATTCCTACTGAAGATAACCCATCTGCTGCTAATGGTTCCAAGAGCCACTTCAAAGTCATCTAACCATGGAGGAGAATAACAGATCAAATCTAGAGTATAATAATCCAGGTGGGAGTAACATACTAAATTCTGAAGTCTGGGAAGATAGGGAGAAAGACTGAGACTGCATACATAGATGGGACAAAAAGGGAGTGAAAGACTCCAGAACAGTTCTATTTATCCAGCAGCCATTCTTGAGTGTGGGCACTTCGCTTTTAAAGGGTCTTTAAGTTAATGCTGTGTAGGAGGGCCAGTGTGGCTCTCACATAAAGAAACAGGATAAGCTCAAAATTCAATCTGAATACTGCATGAAATCCCAAGGGAATGTATTGAAACAAGTCTTCTTGAGTCTGTACTCTAGGAAGACGATAAAAAGAGTATATCAAATCACTTTGCTAAACAAGATGATTGATATAAATTTAAGGCTACTTGGATAAAGTGAAGGGAGATTTGTTTTAAAATTTTGAATTTTCTCTTGGCACAGAGCAGCACTTGTGAACATGCTCCTGAAGGTCATCATCTTTCAGGACCCATAGGGATCAAGAAGTAATAGCTTCCACCATGTTAATGGTTTTCTCCATCCATGATACTAACCAAAAGGAGATTCTGTAATCCTTAAATGATAGCTATCAGAAGCCACAAAGAAGTTAAAGACAGTGGCAGGATAACCAGAAAACCCTGCCCGAAGTTTGGTGAGTCAAGAAGCAGGAAAATGGTTAGGAAGCCTTCCATTTCAAAGTTGTTAGTTCTGATACAACCAGCATTTTTAAGCTTAAGTAAATCCGTTACATTTAGAAGAGATAATATAAGACAGAAATAAGTACAAATAATACCCTTAGTATCATTGCTTGAAATTATTTAATGGAAATATCTAATGAACTTATTGCAATATTCTTCCTTGAAAAAATGACACTTGGGCATTTGCACATTGTAAACTCAATCTATTGGAGACTTGCTTAAAAAATGAGGAAAGGAGAAACCCTTCTATACAGGGTTAAGGTAAGTATTAAACGAGGTAATGTAAGCACAGCACTTAACACATAGTAAGTGCTCAGTAACTATTACTATTATTATTATTATTATCATATCAGTCTTGAGAGAGCTTACAAACTAATGAGAAGGGAGATAATTATCATGTGTAACTCAGGATGCAATTTTCAAAATTTGCTTATTTAATGCCTGTAACTTGGAATATACTGTTCAAAACACTGGAAATTTCGTTCAGAATTAAAAAGATAACTCTTGCCCTCATACTGAGAACAGTTAGGAATGCAAGAGGCAAATACATGTGGTGGGGTAAGGGTAAGTGAACTATGAACTATAAAGAGGAAATATGCAGAATTTGGCAAGAAAGGCTTCAGACTGTCATAAAGGTATAACATCTGTGAAAAGAAAGAGGGGAGGAAGTAAAACTGGGCAGAAAGAGCACTAGACTGTGCTGCAGATACAGCGCTGTCTCAGCCAATTCAAGAAACAGCTACAGCACAGAGCTTTTCTATTAGAAGAGTCTCATACTGGGCAAAAATGGTCAGGCTTTACTAATATCACCATGTTCAGTCATTGGCTGGAGACTCAGTGAGAAGAGCATGTCTTCAGCTTGAAAGTTGCAGCAGATTCGGTAGATGTTGCAGTTGAAGGCAGTCAGCTAAGTGCACTCCTTAGAGCTGAACAATTTCTTCCTAGAATAGAGATCTGAGCATCGCACCTCTACAGATGCCACACTTCACTCTTTGTGCCATGTGATTCACCTCTCTATACATGAGTTGGGTGTTGGACCCTTCAAAGTTCAGTTAGTCTCTCTTCCTGAGCAAAAATTTAGAAGACAGGGATTAGTGGAACCAACTATAATCCCATTACTGCAGTTCTTGAAGTTATAATTGGTACTCCTTGTCTTCCTTTTCCACTCCATATTCTAAATTTTCCCCACCTCAGGCATCATCTCTGATGGTCTTGGGAACTTACCTAGTGATGTAGCTCAAACTAGCTTTCCTGAGAAGTCTGAGTCTGGTGTAACCATATCCTCCTCAGTCACGATTGAGCAAGGGAGGGCCAAGAGGCACCAAAGTGGATCATCGGAGTTCGCTACATTTTCCTCCTACCTCCTCCTGCTTATCAGAGGATGACGGCTCCTCTTCCTGCCTGCTATCCCTGGAAACAACACTCCAAAATGTCCAGCTGGCACCCATAGCTTATGATTCAACAGGACCTTTGCTCTCTTGGTGGATCATTTAATCGTTTTTGAAACTCAACAACTCTAACTATTAAGTCCTAAATTTGGTTTTCAGCTTTTTCTCTTCTCCCATTGCAGGAGATAAAACTTTGGCCTTCACACTTTTTAGAAATTATTTGTTAACTGATTGCAACTTTTCACTATTTTTCATTAGGACATCATTGTGGTTTATTAACAATCAGTCAATATCATTATCCTTTGTGTCCTCCACACTTTTATTACACCACCTAGTATAATTCCCTCCACTCAAACATCCTTTCCAGTCACCCTAGTGAAATTTTTAGCAAATGTACCACATCTTTGTGCCAGGGACTATCTGCATTCTACCCACCATCCAGGATGAGATTCTCAGTGTCAGCCATGGGCGGGGTGGAGGGCGGATAACCCAATCCCTAACCCCAAACTACTACTTACTTAGAATGCTCCCAGTAACAACTGTCTCCATTCAGATACTTCATGAATAAGATACTAAGACTTAAGAGCAAGTCAGGAATACAAGAGATTTGGGAAGGGTGGGAGGTGGGATGGTAAATCTTGTGAAATATAAAGGGGAAAGAAACGGAATTGATGTGGGTGAAGCTTGAGGCCAGAATACGAATCTGATATTTATGAAAGCAAAAAGGGAAGGAATCAGGACTAGGCAAGAAGAAAGTCAGACTGTGTTGCAGAGCTGAAAAAAGTCTCATCAAAGACAATGGGGAGATCTGGAGCAAATGTGGGACTTTGGACAAGTCCCACATTGGGCAGGAATGACCAAGCCCTAATATTCCTTTTCTGTTGGGGCTGTCCAAAGAGAACATGGTCTAGGCTTGAGTACTGTATTGGCTCTCTAAGGCACTGGAATAGAAACATGTTAGCTAACTGCAATCCTTGAAGCTGAAAGAAAAATCTGAGCTGCGCAGCTCCATGGCTACCATTTGGAACTCATATTCTAGTGAAGAAAATCAAAACTAAACAAGTAAATACGAAAACATATATTGTGCCAGGTGGTTTGTGTGCTATGGAGAAAAAAGCAAGGTAAGAGTGTTAGGGAAGGCAAGACAGAGGAGGAGAGTACTAGTTTATATAGGGTGGTAAGGGATCACCCGATATAATATAGAGTGCTTCTCTGATAAACTGGGATTATCGAGGGACCCGTTTATCAGAGTGATGGAAATGATAGAGTGAGATATGTGAATATCTGAGAAAGAGTATTACAGTCAGAGGAAGCAGAAATGCAAAGGCATTGAGTCAGATAATATTTGAGAAACAATTGGCTGGGCACAGTGGCTCACACCTGTAATACCAGCACTTTGGGAGCCTAAGGCAGGAGAATTGCTTGAGTCCAAGAGTTGCAAGCATTGCTTCAGTCCAAGAGGTTGAGACCAGCCTAGGAAACATGGCGAGACCTCGTCTCAATAAAAAATAAAATATTAGCTGGATGTTGTGGTTCGTGCCTGTGGTACCAGCTACTGGGGAGGCCGAGTGAGAGGATTGCTTGAACACAGGAGGTTGAGGCTGTAGTGAGCCGTGTTCATGCCACTCCAGCCTGGGTGACAGGGTGAGACCATGTCTAGAGAGAGAGAGAGAAAGAGGAAGAGAAAGACAAAGGGAAAAGAAACCAACACAGCTAAAAATGAGTGAGGGAGAAGGGAAAAAATGAAATGTGTTCTCATAGGTATTAGGGTGTAAAAACAGTGTAATATGTAGCACCCTATAAGACATGAAGATTTCTTTTACCCTGAGAGAGACAGAAACTTACTCAGAGTTTCCACTTGTCTGTCAAATAAACATATTAAACTTAAGGTGATTGAAATGGATCTCCTGATCTTTGCCATGCCCTAGATCTCCTCTTCCTGGGGTTTTTCTTAGGTTAGTTGATCACAACTCTTCTTTCCAGGTACACAGGCCAAAACTTTGAGATCATTCTTGACTCTTGTCTTGTCTTCACAATCTACATACAATCCATCAACACATCTTGTTGAACTTTCTTCAAATTACATCCAGAAAACAATCCCTTGATATCACTGCACCCACTACCAATATGGGTTACTGCATAGCCCCTCGTCAGGTTTCCCTCTCCCTCCTTGTCTCCCGTAGATTCTATTCTCAACACATTAGCCAGAGGGAATCCTTTCAAACTGCAAGTAAATCGTCAAAAGTTTCCAATGGATTACATCTTACTCAAAGTAAAAGCCAAGATCCTTAAATGGCTAAAAATGTCCTTCATTGTATAATCCTGACTCCTGTTACCAAACTGACCTCATCACCTAGTATCCTTCTTTCCCTTCACTTCTTTCTGTCATAGTGGCCTTTGTGATGTTCCTCCAATATCCCCAGCATCTTTCTACCTTATCTTCTTTGAAATGTCAGTTCTTTCTGCCTGGAAACTTCTCACCTGATATGCACTTAACTAACTCCCTATTGCCTTCAAGTATTTATTCGAATATCATACTTCTTCTTAATAACCCTAATTAAAGTAGCAACTTGCCCCCAAATTGCAGCACTCCTGATCACCCGTATACTGAACAATTTCTCCCATAGCAGTCGCCACCTTCAACACAATAACGATTTTTTAAATTCAGATACCTATCTTGTTCACTGATTTATACCCAACTCTTAGATCAATTTCTGGATCAAGGCTTAAATCAAGCATTTCATAAGCATTCAATAAAAGTGTTTTAAAAAAAATTGTATAATATATTGTCAAATTTACTTTGCAATACACTTACTGTGCAATAGGATAACATTATTCTAATCTGTTATATGTTAATGCAAGTGTATATTAATGTATAATATGAATTATATTTTAAAATTTTACTTTTTCATTAAGTGGGAGTACCTCTTAATAAACTAGGCTCAATCAAATGAAACTGCCCATTTTTTAGGTTAAAAATAGATTGATTTTTGTCAGTTTCATGTGTTTCAACTTATACTAATACTTTCTTCCCATCATAAATGAATAGTATAATAGCAAAAACATTTGAAAAAAATATTAAATTACAAAATCACACATATAGCATTTAGTCCCCAAATATACAAATAACTTATAGATTTAAGGATTAATGTAAAACCTATAACATTTATTACAAAGAAAATCACTTTTAAAAATAATATTCCAAGATGTAGTATAAGAAATGAGAAAAAAATTATTTGAGCATAGTAGTTTATAGCATCCTGGGGGATTTTTTTCCTTTATACCTCTCTAATTTTCCACATTTACAAAAAGGAACAAAGATTTTGGAGAGGGTTCAAACAACAACTAATGTAAGAAATAATATAACTGAAAATTTGAAAGATAGATTTACCCCAAAGGCTAACTGAAATGGAATTATTTCATAGGAAGAGAAAAAACCTGAGATGAAAAAAGTAATGACAGATTTTAAGCAGTTTTTATAAATTATACTTTAAAAATAGATGTAAAGAAGCATATCTATCTGCTTAATCTTCAAATCATCTTCTGGATTTTTAGGTGCCAGCAGAAAGCATACCACTTTAATAAAGAGATATGAGATGCGCTAGAAGTATACTCCCACCTTTGCTCTCTATTTGAGAGCTACAGCTGTACTCTGCAGGTCATATTAAGTCCCAGTTTTCTGTTGCTCTGCCATTCCCTAAGGCAGGTGTAAGCAACCTATTACCTGAGAACCACATTCTGCCTTCCTTCCACTTTTGTAAAGAAAGTTCTTAATAGCTACACCCATTCAGTTATGTATTGTCTATGCCACTACAATGGCAGACTTGAGTAGTTGTGGCAGAGACCATACAGCCTGCAAAACCTAAAATATGTACTATCTGGCCCTTTACAGAAAAAAAGTTTCCAAATCTTGCCATACAGTGATATCCTTTGCTACGTGGCTAATTCTAGCTCACTACCAACATTCCCACATTTTAGGCAATGAGAAGAAGGCAACAAAACCAAGCAGAGGGCACATCATTTGCTATCCAAAAGACCAACTTTAAGTTGCACATATCAATGCTACTCATTATCCCATTGGCATCAAGGTAGTGGGGTAAAAATATGCCATCTAAAATATGTGTGGGTGGTTCTATTACCAAAAGGCAGAAAGAGCAAGTAGATGTTGAGGAACAACGTGCAGTCTCTGCCAGATTATCTATGGCACAAAGAAGGTAATGTAGGTGGACAGGATCAGCAGTTGTTGCCTACATCATTTAATTTGGCAACATTAGACAATGAGATTAGTTCATCTTAACAAAGAGAAGCACTTCACACAGTAAAAGACTGTTCTGTCCAGTAACTTTACCTCTTCCTTCCTTATTCCTAGTTGAATGTAATTTACCTACAGCCTGCTAATACTAATATTTGAAAGAGTAGATCATCAGATTTGGTGTTTCTTGTCAGTGATTAAAAATAAGCATTCAATCTCTGCAATGGTAACTTTAAGGCGGTATGCACACCTCCTGTGCAGAGCTGCTTCTTGTTACTCTCTAACACCTCAGTGTAACTTCAAAGACAGAAGCTACAGATTCAGTTGTTTCAGGAGCATTTTTATATTCTCTTTTCACCTCCCCCAACCCATGTGAGATACATATATACGCATAAATCTAATATACACTCAACAAATTCATATTCACTTATATTTCTGATGGCCTTATCTTGGCAAGTATACATATTAGGTGTACCAGGGTACCAGGGAATATGGAGATAGGCTCAATAAATGGAGCAGGAGTGAGAAAACTATAACCCAAGGGCCAAGTCCAGCCCCACTGCCTAATTTTGTAAGTGAAGTTTTAGAGAACACAGCGATGCTTATTCATTTGCACATTGTCTATGGCTCCTTTTGTACTACAAAACTGGAGTTGAGTAGTTGCAACAGGACTCATGACCTGTACAATCTAAATTATTTACTCTTTCATCCATTAAAGAAAATGTTAGCCAATCCCTAAACTACAGCATTCTAGAGTCCTTATTTTTATTTGAACCTAGATTATAATCAAAATGGCAAGAAATTCGTTGGACTATAAGCAAGAATTTTTTAACTATAAATATAGTTAAAAATATAGACAAATCCTAGAATTGATTTCCTTTTATATTTGAATTCTTTTCCTAGCACTCCTAAGAACAGAAAAAGTTCTTATTTAGTTTAGAAATTTTTTCATAAAATGAGTAAGTTTAATAAAATATGATAGTCTTTTCAATAAATGTTTCTGGGTCAATTGAAAACCAAATAAATTTTGACCACCGCCTTCATTACTCATACCATACAGAAATCATTTCTAGGTTGGTTACAGTTCTAAATGTTAAAGAAAAAACAGGCTTTTAGAAGAAAGCATAAAATAATATCTTCATGATGGTAAAATATGTTAAGATTTCTTAAACATGACATAAACAACACTAAGGAGTAAAAAAGCATGGTTTTGACTACACTAAAAATAAGAACTTCTTTTCATCTAAAGATATTAAATGATTCATACTTCCTGATTTCAAAATTTACTACAAAGCTACAGTAAACAAAACAATGAGATTCTTACATAAAGACAGGCAAATAAACCAATGAAATAGAATAGAATGCCCAGAAATAAACCCTCACATATATGGTCAAATGATTTTTGACAAGGATACCAAGATCATTCAATAGAGAAAAGATACTTTTTTGTTTTTGTTTTTTAACAAACGGCATCAGGAAAACTGAATATCCTCATGTAAAAGAATGAAGCTGGACCCTTACCTAACACCATATACAAAAACTAAGTTGAAACGGATCAAGGACCTAAACATAAGAACATAAGGCCTAAAACTAAAATCTCTTAGAAAAAAAGAAAAAGATTTACAACATAGGATTTGGCAGTGATTTCTTAGATATGATACCAAAGGCCCAAGCAAAAAGAAAATATAGACAAATTGGACTTCATGAAAATGTAAAACTTTTGCGCATCAAAAGACACCATTAATAGAGTAAAAAGACAACTTATAGAGTGAGAAAAGTATTTGCAAATCATGTATCTGATAAAAGATTGATATCCAGGATATATAGAGAACATTTTCACTTACATATACATAAAGAAACAATTATTATTTTTCTCAGAATACTTTTCAGATGTATACAAGGTTTCAAAATGTATAACACATAGAATGAGTCATAGAAAATTTTTATCCAGTAAAGTTCTTGGAAAAAAAAGACACAACCCAATTCAAAAATGAGTGGAAGACCTGAAGAGACATTTCTCAAAAAAAAGATATACAAATAGCCAACAGGCATATAAAAAGATCCTCAACATCACTAATCATTAGGGAAAAGCAAATCAAAGCTGTAATAGGATACAAACTCACACCCATAAAGGTGGCTACTATCTAAACAAACAAACATAAAACAAGTGTTGGTGAGGATATGGAGTAACGGGAGCCTTTGCACAGTGTTGGTGGGAATGTAAAATGGTAGAGCCACTGTGAAAAACAGTTCAGTGGTTCCTCAAAAAATTAAAACTAGACAGCAGCACAAATGAGCCTGAAGGACATTATGTTAAATGAAATAAATCAGGCACAGAAAAATACCACATGGTCTTATTCACATGTAGGTGCCAAAAATGTGGAGCTCATGAAGCAGATAATGGAATTGTGGGTTTTCAGAGTCTTGGAAGGGTAGTGGGAAGGGAGGATAGAAAGAGGTTGGTTAAAGAATACAAAATTATTTTTAAAATTAAAAACAGAGTTACCAAATTATTAGCAATTCCACTTCTGGGGACACATCCAAAAAAATTGAAAGCAGGGTCTCAAAATGATTTGTAGATATCCATGTTTATAGCAGCATTATTCACAATAACTAAAATCTGGAAGCAACCCAAGTGTCCATCATCAGAGGAATGGATAAACAAAGTGTGGCATATACATACAGTGGAATATCATTCAACCCTAAAAAGAAAGGAAATTCTAATGTGTGTTAAAATATAGATGGCTCTTTAGGACATTATGCTAAGTGAAATAAGCCAGTCACAAAAAGACAAATACTGTATAATTCCACTTGTATGAGCTACCCAGAGTAGTCAAATTTAAAGAGACGGAAAGTAGAATGGTGGTTGCCAGGGGCTGAGGAAAGGAGAGAACGAGGAGTTACTTTTTTAATGAATATGGAGTTTTCATTTTATAAAATTAAAAGAGTTCTTGAGATGGATGATGGTGATGCACAATATGATGAATGTATTTAATACCACCGAACTGTACACTTACAAATAGGTAAAGTGATAAATTTTATGTTATATGTATTTTACCGCCATAAAAATTGGAAAAAATATAAATGAATTTTTTCTTTTTTTTGAGACGGAGTCTCACTCTCACCTAGACTGGTGTGCAGTGGTGTGATCTCGGCTCACTGCAAGCTCCGCCTCCCAGGTTCACGCCATTCTCCTGCCTCAGCCTCACGAGTAGCTGGGACTACAGGCGCCCGCTACCATGCCAGGCTAATTTTTTTGTATTTTTAGTAGAGACGGAGTTTCACCGTGTTAGCCAGGATGGTCTCGATCCCTGACCTCGTGATCCGCCCGCCTCGGCCTCCCAAAGTGCTCGGTTTACAGGCGTGAGCCACCGCGCCCGGCCTGAAATTTTTAAATATACCATAAAGAGAGTCAAAAGGAAAGCCACAGAGTTGGGAGAAGATATTTACATTACATACGTCTGACATGGAACTTATACCCAGAATATTCGTACAAATCAATTTTTTAAATTAGAAAAATCCAATAAACAGTGGAGCAGTACTTTATTAAAGAGTCAGTAACTAATCGGCTAACAAGAAATGGTGCTCAATTTTACTTATCATCAGGGAAATGTAAATTAAAACTGAAATGTGATACCCATACACATCTTTAAAACAGCTTAAATTAAAAAGATAGAAAATGGCAAGTATTGGCGAGGATGTGAAGAAATTGGAACTCCAATATATCATTTGTGACAGTGTAAATTATTACAACCATTTTGGAAAACAATTTTATAGTAACCACTAAAACTGAACATATGCATAATCTATTCCAATTCCAGGTGTATCCCAAACAGGAAAGGATAAATGTACTCACAAAAAGATATGTACAATAACCTCTATGACACTGCTATTTGTAGTAACTAAAAATTGGAAACTATCCAAATGTCCACCAACAAGAAAAGGAAAGAACAAATAAATAGTGGTATATTTACACAGTGAAATATTATTCAACAATGAGAATATGCACAAATTGCATAAATAAAATATTGACTGAAAGACACAATAGTATACAGAATATAATTTATTTTTATAGATTATGCATATGCTCACTTTGTGAAACAGTCTCAAGCTATAAACTTAACTGTTCTTACATTACCTCAAACTTCAAAAAGGCATTCCATTTCTTGATTTGGGCACTGGTTTCATGGATACATTCACTTTGAAAATTCATGAAGCTGCATGTATATAATTTGCGAATTTTAAAGTACATACACTGAGCTTCAAAAAAGTTTACCTAAAATATGAAATGAAAAAAGCAAAATAAATGGATATATATTCTTCTATCTCTAAAACCAGCCGTGGTCACAACCATACATAATTTGAAATTGAATAGGAAGAAGACACTGGTCCCTTCTCCAGGTCAGCGGAAGGAGTACTTCTTATGCCTTTCTCCTACAATCATCACAGACATCTAGCTTCGTCATATCTTTATCATTTGCCCTAAAAGTTAATGTTTCTGGAATAAAAGAGGAAGGGACATGAGGAAGGAAAGGTAGGGTTTTTTTAATTGGGGGGATTTATATATTTGCTTTACTCCCTGGATGCTTTATTTATCTACCTTTCTCCCCTTTGCACCATTAAACCCAGGCTTCAGCTCATTCAAGAATTACTGCTTAAGTTATTCTTGGTCATTTTTTTTTCTTTTTGCTTTGATTCTGAACAGTTTAATAGTATAAACAAAATGTTTTATGTCTAATAGGAATGGTCAATAGAAATAAACTAGATAATCAAATAAGCAAAACTGATTGTCATTTCATAATCATTTCTTGAAATATTTTGAGTAAAATTTGTGAGGAGTTATCAAACTTTTTATAAATGCCTCCCTATAGGTCACTGAATAACTGTAAACTATAGGCCTAGAACACAGAGGAATCAAGGTTGAACTTAGCTTCTTTTAATCCTCAATTGAGTTTTTAAAAAACATCTCTCTCTTAACTTTCAAATCTAGAAATGAAAATAATGATTCCTTCCAATAGGATGAACTGTAACATCACTTGGTACTTTATAAATTTACTGCTTTTGCCATATATATTTACTGTGGAACCAAATACCCACAAAAGTCTTCTAAAAATAAAATGACCATTTCACAATAAGCAGAGAAAAAGAATTTCAGTTATTCCTATAATTAATTATAATTATAAATGAAATAACTGTAACTGTTAATTTATATAACTAATTATAATTATAAATAAAAACACTCATAACTTAGATTTTAACATTTTTTGCTTTAATTATATTAGCATGATTATAACCTTGTAAGATAAACAGAAATTAAGGTGGTATAAACAGAAGTGTTTATCCTGGGATTTTTATGATGAAATAAAAAAGAAAATATTTTAAAATAATTGCTGTAGGTGTACCTATTAGGACATTTAAAAAATTCCTAATACTTTAATACAAGTATTTCAACCCAGTTCTAGGCACTGGTTCCATTACTTTTGCTACAGTTCCTTTTGTGATATGATTATTGAAATCTCCATTCTCTGCCAGCTGCAGTGGCTCAGGCCAGTAATCTCAGCACTTTGGGAGGTCAAGGTGAGAGGACTGGTTGAGGCCTGAGCAAAATAGTTAGACCTCCTCTCTAAAGAACAAAACCTTTAGCTTGATGAGGTGGCCAGTGCCTGCAGTCCTAGGTACTCGGGAGGCTGAGGCAGGAGAGTTGCTTGGGCCCAGGAGTTTGAGGCACAGTAAGCTATGATTGTAGCACTGCGCTCCAGCCTCGATGACTGAGTGAGGCTCTGTTGAAAGAGAGAAGGAGGAAAGAAAAAGAAAGAAAGAAAGAAAGAGAGAAAGAAGAAAGAAAGAAAGAAAGAGAAAGAAAGAAGAAAGAAAGAAAAAGAAAGAAAGAAAGAAAGAAAGAAAGAAAGAAAGAAAGAAAGAAAGAAAGAAAGAAAGAAAGAAAGAAAAAGGAGTAAGGGGGAGGGAGGGAGAGAGGAAGGAAGGAAAGAAAGAAGGAAGGAAGGAAGGAAGGAAGGCAAGCAAGAAAGGTACATTGCCTTGGCTAAAATCATAAAGGAGTTCAGTCCAATGAAACTATCTCTTTAGTCTCATGAAGGCTTCTGACCCCCATTTTATGAAATTTTAAATTTAAATATCAACCATGTTTTCCTTCATTGTTTTCCAGTGTATTATATTGCGAAACTAGATTCTCAATTGACTGAGGTGTTTAATCCACTTGCAAATAGATTGTAAATGAATACAAAATAAGTCACTGAGAAGCATTTAACATAATTTAAAAATCAACAAGAAATTTGTCCAAATATTTAATAACATATTAATTTAAACGAGGGTTAGCAAGCATGTTACTACTTTTTTGAAACAAAAATCAGTTCTCCCATTTACTAGCTTCATAGCCACTGTTGACAATCCTATTATTTATTTTTCAGCCTTCCCTTTGAAAGATGCTTAGCAAAAATCAACTAAGTAACAACCAAAGATCTCATTCTCTTTAACATCTTCCAGGATCACAAATTTCAATTATTCTCTGCCTGAGTTATCACAATTCAAACTGGAGAATGAAGAGTAAACACAAGCAAAAGAAGATAAAATCTATTAAAAGATCGAGAGACACCAGACACAAATGGGTTAAAAGAAGAAGAAGAATTAAAGGTTATACTGTTTTGATTACACACATAGAGGCTAGGAAGAAGAAAATGAATTGAGATTACCTGTTAGAAATAGGCGGTTTCTGGTTTCTGGGAGCTGTCCAATGTACTGAGTGAACCATCATAACCACAACTTACCCCCTTAATAGGGACTGACGTCCTGGGCAGTTCTCTTTTGAACCGGGATGTTTCTACATTCATCTTTTTAGGCTATTTCTTCCAATCTACCTTTAAAATTATCTTCTAATCTGTCACTTTGACACAATGGGTCTTTTAAATAAATCTTTACACAGTACTGAATAATTAAGTAAATATAGTTATTGGCAAACAAAGAAAAAGAACCTTTTTGTTAAAATATTTGGGATACTCGAGATAATATAAAATGAGTAATCTCTTATTTTTCTTATGCCAAATTTAAAATCTCTTTCTTTTCTCAAAAATAACGATCTAACGATAGCCAAAAACTCCCTTAAATATATTTCAATAAATCATTGTTTCTGCACTTAAGTCTTACTGTAGGACAATACAAATCAATGAGGAAAATACGCCAGATGGAAGTGTTAGGTTTTTTTCTTTGTTCGGGAACAAATACTCGATCCGCAATTTAAAAGTCCGAAGACTCCTCAGCAGAGGGTGAGCTGATTGACTCTTTGGCTTATCAAGGGCAAATCGCATTTCTGAAAAGAGCTTGAAGTGGTTTTGTTTGTGAGGAGAGTTTGCTTTGTCCCCCACACTGAAAAGTATACAGCAAAGCCCGAGCATAGAAAATATCCTGAGCTTAAATTTCTCATTTTATTGCCATCATAACTTTTCCTCTTGGAATAAAATCCTCTATTTTATATGAGTAGGAGGTAAAGGTAGGGAAAGGAAAGTCAAGTATCTCAATTGTTACGCTGATTGCATCCAAACAGACTTTAGAAGTCAGGGTTTGTAACGTGGCAGGAGAGCTGTTTGCGATGCCCTGGAAAGAAAAGAAAGCCGGTTCCAACAGCGACTCTGGGGAATGCACTCTCGGTCCCCCTGCCATGCTTACTTAAGCTAATTGAAGGTCTTGCCTTTCAGCAGCCGCTGCACTGGGATACCAGACAAACAGCTCCCCTTGATGCCAGGCAGGCAGGGCCCCTCTTCAGGACATCATTAAAAGCACATGCACTTGCTCCACATCCATTGGCAGATGGTGGCAAGATTCAAGACTCCTACCCTGAAGTCAAGGAGAAGCCATCGCGGTGGAAAACATCCTCGCTTTGAAAATCCAACACGAAATTAAAGAACTACACGAGATAAGGAGCCTGGAGAACATTAGTTGGCTGCAGGGGTGAAGACAGACACAAAAAGCACAGCAGGTAAGAGCTGGGGGTTGTTGCCAACAAGGAACTGTCCCGGGTGGCGCAGAGAAAAGGATCTCAGAACTGGAGCCCTGTCCCTTTGAGTCTTCCATGCGTGCTCAAGCTTGTCATCTTCCATAAGCTTCGAGAGAAGGGACGTTGTCAGAGCATTCCTTATCGGTGCGACTAATCCTGTTATCAGCTTGGTTATAAATATTTAATGTTCCCTGGCCTTTCGGTGATGGTGCCCCATCAGATTCAAGGCTGTTAAGAATCCCCACCAGCAACCTCGCCCCTCCCTGCGGAAAACCGATGAGAGGCAGGGCCAAGCCGAAGCGATGGCGGCCTATCCGGAGAGCTGCGTGGACACTACGGTGCTGGACTTCGTCGCAGACCTGTCCCTGGCCTCCCCGAGACGCCCTCTCCTCTGCGACTTCGCACCCGGGGTCTCCTTGGGGGACCCAGCCCTTGCGCTCCGAGAGGGAAGACCCAGGAGGATGGCGCGGTTTGAAGAGGGGGACCCAGAAGAAGAGGAGTGCGAAGTGGACCAGGGGGACGGAGAAGAGGAGGAGGAAGAGGAGCGCGGAAGAGGTGTCTCCCTATTAGGCCGCCCCAAGAGGAAAAGGGTGATCACCTACGCCCAGCGCCAGGCCGCCAACATCCGCGAAAGGAAGCGGATGTTCAACCTCAACGAGGCCTTTGACCAGCTGCGGAGGAAGGTGCCCACGTTTGCTTACGAGAAAAGGCTGTCCCGGATCGAGACCCTCCGCCTGGCCATCGTCTATATCTCCTTCATGACCGAGCTCTTGGAGAGCTGTGAGAAGAAGGAAAGCGGCTGAGCCTGGTGTGGAGAGTCTGCCCTTCCTCGTCTGGTAGTGCTGGGGTGTGTCAGGACCGGGCACTGGGTGAGGCTAAAGGGCCGGGAGGGAGGCCCCAAGACAGAACGTCTGGTCTTCTGGAGGTCGGGGTCGAGATTGTAAGATCCCCACATGCGCTGAGCAGAGTGGCTGCTGTAGAGTTCATATCTACGCGACCGCCCTAAGTGAAGTCGGGGTCAGGGGCGAGCGGGGAAGTCAGAGAGCGTGAGGCTGAGTCGGGGCCGTTCAGGCTGCTCCTAAGAGCTTCCGTGGGCTGGGTGGGTGGGAAGTGAACCCTCCTCGCAAATGGCAGACTTTGGAGCTTCTATAAAATCTAACCTCTCTTCTTTACATTTTTTTTTTCATAGAGATAATAAAGTAGAAATTCTTACGTTTTTAAAAAGCCTGAAGGGTCGGTGGTACGCCATCCCCAGCAGGCGCTCCAGCGGGCGCCTGCGTGGAGGGTCTGAAGCAGACGCCGCAAGGGTGCGGGGGTGCGAGCTTTTCTGCTAGCCAGAGGGTTCTGCCTGGTCCTCCGAGGCTTGTCCAGGAACTGAGGAAAGGAAAAATGGAAGGCAGAGCAGTCGAGAGGAACTGCTGACAAAGTGCGACCTCTGAGAAGGGACACCCTTCCTGTCTTCCATTCCCTCTCCCTCCCGTCCCTTCCTCTCTCCCGCGCGCAAGCCCTCTCTCTTCCTTTCTCCCTCCCCTTCGCCACCTAGTTGATCCCAGACGGACCACAGCTCCTTGTCCCAGGGCCACAGTGGTGTTCATTCAGTGCCTTAGCCAGAGTGCAAATCTACGCTTTGCATCTAAAGTGCAGCATCAGCTTCCGTGTTCCAGTGCCTTCTTCAGGCCCCAGGCCAGAGTAAGGGGCGAGTGCACTCGGGTCACTCCTGGGCCGCAGGGGGCCTTGGGCGCCCTGCAGCTTCGCCACCAGCCACCGCTACCAACTGTCCCCGGCCAGGGGTTGGGGTATGAAGGGGCCTGGATCTTTCTAGGAGCAGGGCCGCCTGAGCGCGCTCACTTTTACATTTTTAGCTGTAGGTAGGAAAGATAGCTTTCACTCTAATGGCTTCTAGAGACTACCAGGGGAGACAAAAAGTCCAAAGAGGAGATGCCTTCTGACGCCTTGCAAAACGCCTGCCATGCAGATGAGGTTGAAGCGGGTCCATGCTGAGAGGCCGCCTCTAGTTTGGACCCGTGCCATTCCAGGATTCTTCCTTCTAGGTGACGTGCTAGTACCAGAACTGGGGTCTTTCAGAAAGGAGTGGGTAACTGAGGCGAGGAACCCGATTGAATAATGCCAACCTAAACATAAATTCAGTAATCCTAAAGGATAATCCCCAGTGATTATTCCAACACTTTATTTCGCCCCTCATTGCACACAGAAATAGGCGGGAGCCTGTGCGAACACACAATTCTCTTAATCATGCTTTCGGAAATAGAATTCATTTCATTAATAAGTAACATATACTCATCCTAGAAATTTTGGAAAAAAAAATTTCAAAAAAGAGAAAATTCGAATCACTCCACGTTACCATACTGTTAGCATTTTCATCTATTTCTTTCCAGTCTTTTTTTCCCTGTGCAGTTATAAATTCAATATATTTTACTAATTCGAGATACTTTGGGATACTGATATTTTTCCACTTGGCATTATAGAAGGTGCAATGTTTTCCCTTAACTTTAATATTATTCAAATGTGATTTTGATTACCATATCTTATTGTCTTATCCATGTATCACACCACCACCAGCCCTTTCCAGATAGATAGCTATTTCCTTTTTAAAAAATAAATGATGCTGCTAAGAGCATTCTTGTAAATGCCTTCTCTGTCTATTATTACTTCCTAACATTTGATACCTAGAAGTGAAATTTCTGGATTCAAGTTTGTGGATATAAATGGCCAGATTCCCTTCTTGGTGGGTTCTGCCAGTTCACTCTCCCACCCTCTAGCATTGCAGGGATTTGCCTGTTTCCCAGCCCCTTCATTAGTACTTCGAATATTTAAAACTTTTCTTAGTTTTCCTTTTCATAGGACCTGGATTAGTTCTGAAACGAGCCCCCACTCCCAAGATGTTTTTTTACTTTTACTGTGTCTTTCCACCAAGAATTTTTTCAACTGCACCGTAAGAACATCAGGATAAACAGGTAAACAAAAAAAAAATACATAAACAGCTAACACCAAACAACAACAAAGCCCCATAGAGTGTTGTTTTTTCTTATTCTTCCACCAATTCAATTTCTCCTGGAAATTAAACATCATTCTTTTTTAAAAAATCATCTGAAAGTGTTGAATAAATAAAAAGAAAAAAAAGTAATTCCAATCTAGGAATTCTTAATATTTTGCTGAAAGAACAAGTTTTGAAAACCAGAAATAAAGCAAAATTGTGTAGACCAGGGACCATCAACATTCCTAAGTCGTGAGGAGTCAGCACAGCCACCCGTTTTCGTTAGTCTTCTCCATCATATTCTAATACATTTTGTTCCTAGAAAGCAAATAATATTCCTCCAGTGAATACCTCTTCATCATAGTAAATGATACCTAAAAAACTTCTAAATTAAAAGTTATTTTCTTATTATCAACAGAGGAATTATCCACCCTTCTTAAAAAAAAAAACTTTAATCGTTTATAAATGCTTTGCTATTTGTAAGTTTACATGTTTAGGAACTGCCTCAAATGTAGTCTTTTAAGATATTTTCATAATAATTTTACTCAGAGTAATTTGAACCCAGGTAAGGATCAGAGTCACATAGAAAGGGATTGACATTCCTTTCATCAAATGCCAATAGAGGTAAGACAAAATGATCCACGTCCTGAACTTAAATCGAGTATACCTCCATATTTTGACCCTCAACTTTTCTAAGCATTATTTTAATTTTAGTTTTCCTCATGTTAGATGCATAAAATCAGTGCACCTTTAACACAAGTTTTTTGTTTGTTTGTTTGTTTGAGATGGAGTCTCGCTCTGTCGCCAGGCTGGAGTGCAGTGGTGCGATCTCAGCTCACTGCAACCTCCAACTCCCTGGTTCAAGCGATTCTCCTGCCTCAGACTCCCAAGTAGCTGGGATTACAGGCACGCGCAACCACACCCAGCTAATTTTTAATACAAGGGTTTTTGAATGTAACACCCACTACATTAAAATAGTTTTACTGTTTATTATCTCCTAAACTACCATTGATAGAAATATGAGTAGATATTGCCTTTTCAGTAACTTCAGCCAGGCTTTTTTTAAGACCTAATGGTGTCAGTTACTTCTGGAAAATTAAAATAATTTGTTTTTGAAATCTTAAAGTCATTTGAACATTTAGAATCTAAATACCATCTGAGATGTTGCTTGGAGGTGATTTATTTATATACTCTCTACTGATGGAACACTGCCTTTTGGTCTCAAACTAAGTTCCCCATAGCTATCAGATTACTATTAGTATTCAGACAAGTAAGCCATAAAAAGATCTAAATGAAATCATATTTGAAAGACATAATTAGGCTTTCTGAGGAATCTAAAAATAATCAGAAGCCCTTACCATCAACAGGGAGTCATTTAGGCTGATCATCTTTTACAGTTAGTTGCCCAGCGTTAAAGCAGATTTTGGCAAAATTAAGTGCTGGAAACTGAACCAAATATTCTGCTAGTATGCATAATTCCTACATGCAGACATATGATACAATTAAGACCCTTGGATTAGTGTTTATTATCACATTTGTCAGCATTTCCATTATAAAATAATCTTTTGGGAGGTTGATAACATAGCTGTAAAAATCCTGAGACGAAACTTGATAAGCATGATTTTAGGATACATTTTTTTCTTAATTACAGATCTTCAAAGGAAACTTCTAAAGTAACGAAGCCACAAGTACATTTTACATGTGCATTTCCAAAATATACCTGATACTTTAAAAAAACAAGAGAATCTATTTAATACAAAATACAAATTAGACTATTATTTTATTTTTATCAAAAAGAGCTAGCAGATTAGTATTGAATGTTAAGTATGAACTTGACTTTTTATAGGATGATATTATTTCATGAAATTAAATTTTAAATGTTTTTGGAAAACTGGTGAAGTTGGCTATATATCATTAACTTGGCACAAGTTCACTCAAAGGTTCCTGAACTTTGCCAACATTTTGGGTGAAGTTAGGCCCAATTTCTGGTCAGCACCCTCTCTTCCTGTGAATACTGGACTAAAAAAAGATTACAAAACAAGAGTCAGCAGTTCTGACCATTTTGTTTTGACTTTGGGGTTTCTTTGAATCCAAAGCTTAAAACCAAACCTGGCGGAGGAGAAGAAGGAAAGAAAAGAAGCAATGCAAACTGACAGGAATAAAATACCAGAAAGGTGGAAAAACTTCCTCAAGTCTCTATAAACCAAAGCCTATAAATTTTCACAACATTTTCTGTGACACCAGATTGTCAGTTCTGTGTCTATACCACATTTCTTAAAGGAGTATGAGGAAATGCAAAGAAAAATATGAATGTGTTTTCAAACACTCTTCATGGCAAATATGTGGTAGAATCCCACCCTTAATCTGGCAGAAGGCATGGAACATTCGATATGCTGTGAAATAAAGAATTTGACAAATACGACACGATGGAAATGATTACAATAAACTGCTTTAGGTTTACTTAGTGCTTTATTGGTTTCAAGGCACCATTCACATACTTTATCTCACTTGATCTTCACAATTGGATTTCAGCAAGTTCTAGAGTCTCTCTATTAAACTGAGTCATCAGTGTAGCATCTTAAAAATTCCTTCACTCACTATTGAAATCAGCAAGATATTGGGACTCCCAAAAAGGACCAATGGTCACACATAAGCACCACAGCACTTTGAAAGATATTGCCTTCAAAGATCAAAAGCACCTTAACATGTTCTGTGGATGATAAATTATACAAAAGGCTGGTTTGGTCTGGCTCCCTCAAAGGCCAAATTTTACAACCTTCTATTTCAGGCTGTGTGAAGGAGATTTCCACCTGCAGCCAACAAATGTAGATGACCTCAAAGCAGCTGTTATGGACAGTTTTTTTTATGATTTCCAGTCTTCAAAAGAGAAGAAAAATGTCTATGAGAATTTGGAAATAGATCAAACAGTTGGTGAACAATAGAAGAAAAAACATCATCTAAACGTGTTTGAATGAGTGAACGAATGAATGATAGCACTATTACTTTACTGCAGATAATTTTGT
This sequence comes from Homo sapiens, assembly GCF_000001405.40. Taxonomy (NCBI): domain Eukaryota; kingdom Metazoa; phylum Chordata; class Mammalia; order Primates; family Hominidae; genus Homo; species Homo sapiens. The sequence continues at coordinate 19,139,646 of NC_000007.14, read as the reverse complement.
AACTTCTTCAAAAGATAGTAATACAAATCTATATTTGGTACTGGCTAGATCTTGAACTGATTGGCTATATTGAATACCAGAGTTCAGTGAAATATTGGAGAAACCAGAAAGGGTCTCAAAGAGAACAACAAAATAATTGGATTATTGGATCTGAATGAAGTAATATTATCCATAATAAGAAGTAGTAATATCTGTAATAATATAACAACTGTATTGAAAGCTTATGACAGCATGTGTTCTAAACACTGTGTTGAGTTCTTTATATGTACTAAACACTGTGTTAAACTTGTAAAGTTCTCATAAAAATTTTAGGATATACACACTATTGTTATTTCCATAGTGATGAGGACACTAAAGAATATGGAAGTTAAATAATTTTTCCAAGCTCAATCAGCTAACAAATACTGAAGCTAAGATTTCCACCCAGACAAGGATTTCAGAGACCAAACTCTGAGGGATTAAGATTAATTGGTGATGATTATATGATCATTATATTTAAGTAGAAATATTGTAAAAAATGAAAATTGTCCATCATCTTTGCATAGTCTTGTGAATCTATAATTACTTCAAAATAAAATTTAAAAATTAAAATAATCAGATAATTACTATGACAATCCTTTGAACCTATAAAACACCATAGAAATATAAATTATCATTAGCTTTAATGAGCCATTCCCAGATACTTAACTTATGTCTTGTTCTACTGTAATTTTTCTTCACATGTTTCATGAAAGTGAAACCAACATTTTGTGCCTGGCATTATGTGGTTTCTGGAAGAGAAATCGAGACTTGTTTTTTCACTCTGACCCAAAAGAATATAGACGAGCACTAAGTGCTTGACTCTGGGTTCCTTGGTCTGTGCTGATATTCTTGGTCAGCTACATTCTAAATATGGATTTGTAGTATTTGCACATCCTAATTCTGTTGCTTGCTAAATTAGATTACTAACTTAAAACTTAAACCTACTCATCCTGATTTGTAAAGTGGAAATCATGAACACAAAACTATTTAAAGACTCAGAAGAGATCATATAAGTGCTCATATAAGACTCAGAAGAGATCATATAAATACAGTGCCTCACACAATATAAAAATTTAGCCAATGCCGCTATTGTTGTTTACGTTATTTCAATGTTGAATGTGTGTGTAGGACAAAATGATAATTCAGCCTTTTAGAAAGGCTCATGATAACACACAGAATAGGAATATGAAATACCTGTCCTGTTTCTCCTAAGTATAATCAAAGTTTTTTAAGTAGTAAGACATTTTGTGCCCAATCTAAGTTGCTGCCTTGAACTCTTTTATGTTTTTAAACATATAAATTTAAAGGTAAGGCTTCTGGTCCATGGCATATGTAATCACAATCTTCGATCTGCCAGGAAGGTCACTGTAAAGTCTACACTCCTGAAATATCGGCCGGGCATGGTGGCTCAGGCCTGTAATCCCAGCACTTTCGGAGGCAGAGGCAGGTAGATCACCTGACGTCTGGGGTTCAAGACCATCTTGGCCAACATGGTGAAACACCATCTCTGCTAAAAATACAAACATTAGCCAGGCCCAGTGGAGTAAGCCTGTAGTTCCAACTACTCGGGAGGCTGAGGCAGGAGAATCACTTGAACCGGTGAGGCAGAGGTTGCAGTGAGCCAAGATGGCGCCATTCCACTCCAACCTGGGCAACAGAACAAGACTCCATCAAAAACAACAACAACAACCAAAAAAAACTCTTAAATTTGCAAATAAAGCTTTTTATATGAAAAAGTTACCACACGTTTGGCAAATCCTCCGGGAATTTACTTTCAAGTAAATAAACTACCTGATCTAGGCTGATACGAAATCTAAAAACCTAGAACCCACTCAGCCTGTTCAACTGGAAATGAGGTGGTGTGCCATGCTTTTTTGTAGGTTCCCTGAGACATATGCCTCTGTCTACCCAAAAAAGGGACGCTTCTCCCTGCCTCCCATAGAAAGGAATCAGAGAGGAAAAAAGAAAGGGCCTCTTCTTGGTGCATCAGAGAGGCAATGTGAGTCTTGAAGTGGTCTTTGGACATCCTCTGTTGTATGTGCCATTTACACAGTCTTTAAAAATTTGTCACCTAACCTATCCTCTTTATACAAACAGATTTTTTGTTTTTTGCACTTTAACATTAGTGGCTTTATACAATATCATGGCAAAAGCTTTGTATTCTTTGGCCTAGATTTACCTGCATCTAAGTAACAGTTTTTGCAAAGATAAAATTGGCCTTCACTTGTACATAATCTGTCAACATTTAAAAATGCATAGCTCTTTTTACATATGTAGCATGTTATATAATAAATTTTCCTCCTTGCCTAGAAAGTTAAAAGGAGAATTATTAAATATCCCATTTCTTTTAAAAGCTTTGATTCAACTTCAACTGGCTCATTTGAGGGTTGATGGGAAAGAGCTTTCTGAAATGTACTAAAATGTTTCCAATTTGGGAAACATACCCAATTTCAAATATTCTGACCATCGTTTCATATTTTTGGCCAAAAAATGTGGTGAGTATAGTTAACAAGCATTTGACAAGTAGTGGTTTTGTTAATTGTAGATCTTATTGAACAAGCCAGGCCATTTCTTTCATCACTATTTATTTGCCTAATCTCACCAAAGCCCATTGAAATTAAAGCATATGAGTTCAGTTAAAAAACATATATTGGATGCCATTTTGTTTCAGATGACAGAACCACAAAGTAAACTTCATACGCTTTATTAGTATACTACATTTTATCAAATTCAGTCAACTGCTTCTAAAGTTAACATAAAACAGGCTGAAAAGGGCCCAAACTCAAAGCATTACATAACAAAACACAACAACTTCTTCCCAAATTACACGCACACGAATATATGCATCATACTTCAATCCAAACCTCAGGGTCCTTACACTGAACACCCTCAGAACTTCTGCTTCTCAACTCCACAATTCCCCTGCTCCCTGCTGATTTTATGATTCACACACATTCAAACATACCTACGTGCAAAACCAAAGTATTTCAATCAGAGTGACTTCGCGTGTATTTTAGAATGAATTTTGCATATGTAAAGTCTTTTTTGTTTGTTTGTTTTTTGCTTTTTGTTTTTTTTTTTTTTTTTTTGAGACAGAGTCTCACTCTGTTGCCCAGGCTGGAGTGCAGTGGCAAGATCTCAGCTCACTGCTACCTGTGCCTCCCGGGTTCAAACGATTCTCCCACCTCAGCCTCCCAAGTAGCTTGGATTACAGGCACCTGCCACTACGGCGAGCTAATTTTGTATTTTTAGTACAGAGGAAGTTTCACCATGTTGGCCAGACTGTTCTCAAACTCCTAACCTCAAGTGATCCACCCACCTCGGCCTCCCAAAGTGCTGGGATTACAGGAGTGAGCTACTGCACCTGGCCTGTAAATTGTTTTTATTCCTAGCTCAAACCTTAAAAAGGATTGACTTTTCTTCCTTTTCCTCCATGATTTGGTAGGCAGTTTTACTCTTTTTTCATAATAGATGTCTCTTTCTTGAATAATTTATGTCTTAATAATAAGGATTATTGAATATTTCTATCTATTGTAACCAAAACAGGTATTTAAGTGAGCATCAGTATTTTTCTATGCATTGAAAACAAGCCCAGGAATTTTGCTAGTTCTTCACCAAACATTGGCCCCACATATGTATACCAGGTCTAAATTTAACTACTAAGACCAACAGCCAGACAATGGTAGAAAAGAAAGTGTCTGGAATTGCTATTCTGAAAACCTACAGAACACTCATTGATTAGATGAGGGTCATTGACTCAATGAGAAAAACAGAATTTTCCTTGGGATTAAGACTGTTTCTTCTTGGGGAGATTCAAGAGTATCTGAAGTTCAAATAATTTACCGTATCAAGAAAGGAGTTAGAAGGGATTCAAGAATGCTCTCTGAACCTTGGCTCTGATTGGGAAGATCTAAGTCATATCTATAACATTATGACCTTTTGTGTATTCTTACAACTTGCCTACAAAAATTTCACTTGCAGGAATTTAGCCTAAGGAAATAATCAAGACCATGCACAAAGATGGCACTACAAAGTATGCACCTCAGTATTGTTTATAATATGAAAATATGGAAAATAGCCTAGATGTCCAAAAAAGTAAGTCCTTAATTAAAATTGTTCCATCCATTAAAAGGATGAGTTATCAAAAAAGTTTGTAGTGCAGAAAGATAATTCCAAAAATTGATCAGAAAAAAGTATTTTATAAAGCAGTGTGTAAGGCATAATTTTATTTCTGCTTCATATGAGAACATGTATATTTGTGTATGTGCATATTTTTATATCTATAAATATACATGTTCATTTTATTTATGCTAGAGGGGGACTGATCATTTTTTGTGCTTGTTTGTATTTTCCTGGTTTGTAATCAGGTCATCCTTTTGTAATCAGAAAAATAATAAAGTTATTTTAAACTAAAAAGAGCAACACAACAATACAATTTATGATATCTACTCTTAGTTGAAGAGCAGGATCTAGTTATCTAGGTGAGAACTCTTGTCTTTTTAACTCTAAAACATTTGAAGTAGGTATTTAAGATGTTTAGCAGTTATATTGTATAACTTTTTTTTTGGATGCTTGGGAGTAGAACCTTCCCAGCACACTACAGGCCCCCTTCCAATCATTGCCCCTCTCTTCTTGCAAGAATATTCAGTATCCTGACTTCTAACAGACTAGTTTCCCAGTTTTTATATTGTTTTACATAAAAGGGATCATTGGTTTTGGGAAAACATTGATTTTCATTTATAAATCTGTCTTCAACAAAACATGTATTCTGACAGCCTTCCCCAAAAAAGGAAGTTAAAATTAATTAGAAAGATAAGGATTAAATTTACCATTAAATACTCAGAGTTTAAAATTTTAAAGGAAAACCATTTAACAAACATGCTCTTTCATTCTACTGACACTTAAATGGAAAATTTGATTAAACTTTAAGGGATTTCATCTAAAACACAGCTCAGTTTATCTATAATTTACATACCCACAAACACCTTCCCCAAAACAAACAGGTAACAATAATCTATACTAACACTAAGGCATTTATTGACTAGTCAGGAATACACTTAACATTTCTAATGAAATTCCAGACTTTTAAACAATTAGTAAACAGTTTTTCTTCCTACTTAGCCCCAGTGTGTGTGTGTGTGTGTGTGTGTTCTGTGTGTGTGTGTGTGTGTGTGAAGGTGCATATAAATTGTGTAAAATTTAATATTTACTTTCTAAAAGAATATATTAGAACCTGATAAATGTGACCTCCAAGAGCTTTTACAAATTCATAGTCACATGTTCCTATGCATATTCATTTTAACATATTTTGCATATTCATGTTTTGAAAACTCTGCCACAGAACAAAAGAAAAAACATCAACTTTTCTAGCATAATTTCAAAATATTTAAAATCCGAACTGCTTTTAATAACTTGTATTGTTTTTAACATGTGACATTTTATCCCCATTAGTAATAACAGATGTCTAATGCATTAAAAAGGAAAATCCTGCACATGTGTTGAAATAGAGGACTTTACTGAAAGGAAAGCATGTGCTTTGATTTATATTAGTCAAAATTTAGATACTGTACTTGGCGCTATTTCAGGAAATGAAAAGCTGAGGAAACAGTTATATACCAGTAAACCAGAACAAAAAATCTCCTCAGAAACCAAAACAGTTTGCCACTTACGCTAAATTAATACCTAGAATATGGTCATATTAGCCCCGAGAGAGAGCTAATTCTAACAAAACAAAACCCTATCCATTGATTCATGTGAATTATGTTGTATTTACAATTATTCTTTGCTCACATTTAATTGTCAAAAATTAATCAGTTAATTACATAATCAGAGATTATGAAAACTTGGGTGAATTCTAAAAAGAAAAAGGTCACGAAAAACAAGTGTTTACTTACTGTTCTCTGACTCCATTATCTTCACTACTGGTGTAAAGGTACACAAAGGGCAAATTCAAAAATAATGAGCCATAAATCCACTATTATTTGTCTGGCTGGTTTTTGCATCTGATTTTAAAGGCACCTTCTCTCCTGCGGACTGTTCCAGTGAGCTGTTGCCACTCCCACTGCAGCTAGTGCAGAGAAAGGCACCTCAAAGCCAGGGGGCAGAGCAATTAATTCAAGGGACAACTACTGGGCGCCAGCTGTTTACGTAAGTTATGCCATTCAAACCTCACAAAGACTTACTAAAAAGGATATTAATATATCCACCTTACACAGAGAAAAATAAATTCAAATTGGTTAAAATACCTTGTTCATGCAGAGACAAAGGTGGAGCCATATTTTGACTCAATTGTTACCTTCTCTAGAGGTAAATTTGACAAATGTTGGTATAATGAAAGCTCCATGTCCATAACACTTAGGCATAGGTTTGCATACAATCTACAATCCTTGCAAATATGGACCAGAATTGCTGGAGTGGCCAGCACTTTACAAGCATAAACAGAAGGACTCCTTTACAAAGTTGCTGTTAGCTCCTCTGCTTTCTATTTATACTACTTTTCAAATAGTATATCTGTTGCTACTGAGATGATTTCTACTTCATACAATTTGTATGATGTTTCCCTACTCTCATTTTATATATTAGTACTGCTTCGTGTTCACAGAGTGAGAAAGAAATAATTCCTTTAATCTGAGTTGGGCTATTTCTTAAGTGCTTCAGAAATACATCTACGTTTATGTGTGTCTATATGTGTTTGCTATATATATATGTATATATAGCAAACATATGTGTGTGTGTGTGTGTGTGTATATATATATATATATATATATATATATGCAGCGTCCCCCTGCCTGTGCTATAATAAAAAGATTATTACTGCAAGACCATATAACACTTGTTATTTCCTTTAGGTGATACATTTTATTAGAGTACTTCATTATTAATAATAAATATGATAAATAGGGTACTTTAGCTGACAACATAACATTATCATATTAATGCCTGGAGCATGAATATGAGAGAGAGGAAAAAATATGACTATTAGATAAACCCATTCTGTGTTTTAGGCCACGTCTGGCCCACTGCAGTCAAATTTGATATCAATACCTTTGTACAATTTAATTGAGATGAATTTCTAAAGGTTAAATTTGAGCATTATAACAAAGAACATTTGTGTGAAATGTTTGTTTCATTATCTCAACAAAAGAGAAACACAACTTCTGAGTGAAAAACTAAGATTGTTTTATGTCATATGCAGTGCTAGTATAAAAAAAAATTGCTAAGTTATACTGTCATACCCAAGAAGCCCAAATCAATGACAAGAGCAGCACTGAGGTCAGAGATGCTAAAGAGTCCTGGCCGAGAGGACAGTGTGAACACCACCTAAGTAAACACCTTTTAAGAGGAAAGGACACTACTCAGACAAACAGTAATTTTCAGTCTAAGGTCGGGGGGACACCCTTTATGGAGGCTCATATAAAATGTATTACCAAATGGATCAAGTGACAAAAGTGAATACAATTCTCAAATTTATGGCATTTAATTCAGAAATAGAGGTTCTCTTGAAATAAAGTTCCAAGCATGGGGAGAATTTCCAAGTCAGATGATGTGATTTATAACATTTTCTTCATCAGCTTGAAGTATAATGCCATTATTACATCTATGATTTTGCAGATGTTCTTTAAGAGTACTTCACTCTTTCATAAATCTAATATTTTTAATACTCTGACTGATTTGCTACAATTTAGCTGTAGTTGTTTTTTAATGCTCCTATATCATTAGTAATTGGCTTTCAATGTATTATACTGTATTACCATTCTACTAGTTGTTCATTTATCATTCATGGCAAAAGATAAGTAGCTATGAATAATAATAACTTTTTTAAAATCATAGCTCTCTTCCTCTCTCTCTGTCTCTCCCCCCTCCCTCTTGTCTTCAGTCTTTTTTCATTTTATTGACTACGTTTCCTATGCTGCCATATAAAATTAAAAGTTTCTTTTCAAGATTCTTTTCTTCTATAAAAATGAATGAAAATTATATGTTTTCTACAGAAATTATATACAAAGAAAACATGAAGATATGTTTTATTTCAGCTTAAGAAAGTCGTTGGGCTACATAAATGTCTCCTTTGGGAAAGAGGAGTTGACAAAATGATCAAGAAGGTGAACAATTTCCTGATTCCCCTTTCCCAAGTCAAATGTTCATGGTCATTCTTATGTGTAGCCCTAAACTAAACAAGCATATAAATGTCATAGTGAGGAGAGAGTGAAAAGCAGAAATAATGTAGGCTCAGTTTACATTTAAATTGGACAGGATCAGATTGAGTTTTCTTGCTCTGTTCAGCATCCAATTCTTGTGCTAACTTTCATTACCAATTTAATAAAAATCTATCAAATATTTATTGGATGCTTACTGTGAACTTGGCTCTGCTCACCACAGTTTTCTAGTTTGGTTAGGAGTTCACAGCAGAATGAGGGACATGCACTTGGCCAACTTGAGTAGATATCGGTTGAGGTATGTGGGGGAATTAGTAACATGAGCCACTAGGATGGGATAGAAGAAATATAGTCAACATATTGTAAATTCTATACTATTTTATATTTAAATGCCCATAAATTGAGATTGCAGGGGAGAGCAGCATTGGCAGGCTAAGTAAAATGGTGTATAACTAGCATGAAGAATATTAACAGAATTAAAAGAGTAAATTCTAACTTTTGAGCCAAATTTAAGCCAAGGATCATGCCTACTTCCTTCTCCACATGAGAAAGGGCCTGTTTTAATTATCTGACAATATTTATTCTCCCCGTCTTTGTCAGCAATAGAACCCGCAGAGGTTATGCTAAACATGGCCATCCAGCCACGGGTACATTTCACAGCCTCACTTGCAGTTAGCTACGGCCATGTGACTAAGATCTAGCAATAGGAAATGAGCAGAAGTCACATATGTAATTTTTAGATAGTTCCCCTTAAAAAAGCAAGGGGACATGTCTTCCCCTTGTTTTTCTCCTTTCCCATTGGCTAGAATGCAAAATTGACATGAGACCTGGAGTGGTCTCTTGGTCCATGAAATTGAAGACACATTCTGAGAATGGCAGAGCAAGAAGTTAAATCTCCAACATGGCTGAGCCACTGCTACACCAAGCCTGTAGCACCTATCCAAATTTTAAAATAAATAATCGCCTTGTTTAAGCCACTATACTTTGGGATCTCTTTGTTATAGTCCCATATCCTACCTAATGTATCTCTTCATCCCAGGTGCCTTGAGGTAGTGCCTGACACATAATAAGGTCTCATTTAATACTGTGAAGCACCAAGGAACAGAATGGTTCCAAAATACACACAAGATTTTTAAGCCTATGGCTAGGATACAAATAGGCAAAGACCAAGCTGAAATTCTTATGAGCATATTAGGCTGACATGAGAGAGGGGATGCTATACACAATGCGTTTTTCCCACTCCAGCTTATAACACATAAGCTGTTCCTCACCCCCTCACTTCATCTCACAAGGTACTATTCTGATGTTTCAGACCAGAAAATCAATCTAACTACATAAAATGAAAGAGAACATGACATGTGATGGAATAGAACGCAGCTGTATACATTATGAAATACAATTCAAAGTTACGTTTATTCCATGACAGTAAGAACAGTATAAATTTAAATGCAATAATGTTTTCCAAAGATATAGTAAAATATATCTTACCTAAATTCAAATTTTAAAATTATAAGAAATGTTGCCTACTTTTATATCATGTCTGATGTGACTTTCTCTCTTTGACAATTCAATTCAATACTATTAGATTTGAACTAATAGTTCAACTATTTGAACTATTTGAACTAATAGTATTGAATTATACCATTAGTTCTATACTATTGAATTGTACTATTAGTTCAAATCTAATAGTATTGAATTATAGATGATGATGATGATTGAATGGTTAATTATTATGTCCTTACCTCCAATGAGTGGCAAGAAAGCATTCCAGTTAAACATGCCTTCCATTTAAGATTTTGTTGAGTTCAGTGATTCTCTCAAAAGAATATCACCTCACTGGTAACCTAGATTATAGCATTTTATTATCAAATTTCAGGAAGCACAATCTCAAATCACTTCTCAACACTTTCAATGTATCAGCTAAGAAAGACAATATTTACAAATGATGACTAGAAGAATATATATAACTCTAGACACTCAAAAATCTATAGCAAGATTAAACCACACAATCAGAAAGAATTAGCCTTTGGTAAAAATTACTTGGAGTAAATCATTTTTGCCACTATATCATAAACCTATATTAAGTGACATTATTAAAAAAAAAACCAATTCTGGCCAGATATGGTCGTTCACACTTGTATTCCCAGCATTTTGGGAGGCTGAGGTGAGTGAAATGCTTGAGAGTCCAGTTCAAGACTAGCCTGGGCAACATGGCAAGACCCTGCCTCTGCAAAAAAAAAAAAAAAAAAAAAAAGCCAGTATTATGAAACTTAGTGGATATTTAATATGCATGTGTTGTCAAGGAGTCAAGGATACTGTCCTTGATGATATTCAGTGTTTATTTCTCCATGAACTTAAGTGAATAAACTTTTTTTCGGGTCACAATACCAGGAATAGTTGGGATTCTTCTGGACAGTCCATGTGTGTATGTACACATATTTCCTTAGAGGCCCTATGAATCTTGACAATTGCTTGTAAAAGCTGTTCACATTATTTACTAGACTTTCTTAGAGCTAGTTGTCTGACCCACCACTACAAAATACATGACATTAAATATACATTCTGAGGCTAATTCAGCTAAGTTTTATATTCTTCATGTTCTTCTCTTCTTGATTAAATTATCTCACTTGTCTTTAATGTGTCTTCTTGCTGATTTTTTTAAAATTCATGTCATCTATCTCAAGTCTGTTTCTGGAATTAAGTTTATATTTACAAATACATGAATACTTTTATAACATATGCTTCTTGTTTAAGAATGTGTTGTTTCTTTTTGTACTTACTCTTGTTGTCTTTGTTTTGTAACAATTGACTAGATTTAAATCTCTATGTTTATTTGTACCATTGCTCACCACGGTTCTTGGAAGTGAGATTCTCAATAAGTAAAAAAATACTTGACTTTGTTTTTGTAAGGGAACAAAATGGTATTTCCGTAGTCCTTTCACACTTCATATAGTAAAACGCAATCTTAGGTGGGTATATGAACTGCCTGGACAACATCCTTTTGACAATTTTTCTTTATGGAGAAAACCTAAAAAGCCTGTTTTTATTCCTTTATAGATAAATTTTTCTCTGCATGCTTATAGGATGGCTTCTTTGTCTTTAATGGTCAACATTTCTCTGAGAATATTTATAGATATGAGTCTACTTTCATTAACTTTGCTCAGAATACAATGTGCTATTCTACTTTATAAACTCTGGGGTTTTTTTTCCTACTCTGGAGAATTTTTTCTATTATGTCTTGCACTATTGCTTCTTCTCAATTTGTCTTAGTCTTTTCTTAAGAAAAGTAATTATCTCTGATTTCACAAATATTACTGTTGTTAAAATTATACTTTCTCCATTAATCCCTACGTCCCTTCCTTGTTTTATTTTTTTTTTCTTCATAGCAGTATTCACCATCTTTTTCAGTTTCAGTCCTCATCTCTTCCTCACACAGACTTACTCCCATAGTGATCTCCAATTACATAGCTTCAAATGCTATCCATACTGATTAATTCCAAATTCTATCCTGGAGCTCCCAACCCAGAGTTCTCTCACAAACTTGAGATGCACATATCCAACTGCCTGCCCAACAATTCTACTTGAATTTTTCTAGCTGACAACTCAAAGTTTACATATCTAAAACTGAACTCTCTATCTCCCTTGAAGTGTGTTGCATTCACAACCTTCTCCATCTCAGTGGTTGCCAACATACCCTTTATTTTGCATAGATCAAAAGACTTAGTGTCACCCTTCATTCCTCTCTCTCACACCTCATGTCTTACCTTTAACGAATCCTGTTGGCTACTTCAAAATATATTTGCAATCTTATCATTTCTTTCCAATTCCAGTTCCACTACTACCACTCAAGTTCAGGTCACAATCCCCTGTTATCTAGATTATTGCAATGGCCTCCTAACTTGTTTCTCTTTTCCCCCAAAGAAAAGCCCATACATGCCATAGACACTGACGAGTTTCCAGGTCAGCACTATTCCTGCTGCACGAGAATGGTGTGGTCAAGTGAATACTCATGAGTTCTGAGACTGCTGATGGAGTGACATTGACATATTATGACCAGAATGCACCACTCCTTAAATGTTTGTACCATCCTGAGAAATCAGAAGAGGATAGAATTGATGTTTTCCTCAGTCAAAGAAAAACTCCTTTCCTATTCTAATTACTACAGCCACTGATTGGGAACTCCCTTGGTATTTTCTCCCTACTATTTTATTACACAAATCTTTGGCTTTTGATACTACACAAGTGAAAGGTTCTTCTCCTCTTCCAGTTCAGGGTCAACTAATTTAATTTATTCTCTGCAAAGAACATAAATCAAATAATTTACAGATGGTCTCTGCTTTATTGTAGTTCTTTTTACTTCTCATCAATACTTGTACTGTGTCACATCCTTCTGGTTCTATGATACAAAATACAAAATTGTCCCGATTATTCATTATTGTACTTGGGCAAGCAGGGCCAGATATGTTCACTGGGTAATTCCAGAATCCAGAAAGAAATATTCTCTAAATTAATATTTCTAAAGAAGTGTTTTTAATCTCTGATTTTAAGTAACAGATACTACTTGGTTTTATTATTTTTGTATATTAGCTAAAATGCAGGTTTAAGGTAACACTGAGGTAAACTAAGAAATACTTAACCTATGGAAGACTGAACTTCTTGTAATTCTCCAAAGAGAATAATAATCAATACACAAGAATTTATGAAGTATCTATTTTGCACATTATGGAGTCCGTGAGTAATATGAGAAGGGTCTGTGTTCTTGTGGCAATTAGGCTACTTGGGAAAAAAATCCTAACACAAATGAAACAGACTCCAGTTATGAGCCACTGTATGCCAAATTGTGCCACAGAGAATCTTAGTGCCACAAACTCTGGCAATGTCATCTCTGTTAGTTTTGTGAACTGTCCTGCATGCAAACCAACTTCCTACTATTGGTGAATGTCCAGTCTGTCAGTCTTGGTGGGAGACTGCTCTCCTCTCATAATCACTTGGATGAAGGAGATAGTGGGCTAAGAAAAACAGAGGAATTGATGATAGCTCTTAGGCTTTTAGGCTAAACAGATAAACAATTTACCAAAATTTATTGATTTGCAGGGGTAGAAGCAATAGGTTATGTGAAAGTGACAGTAGTGAGATGTCTGTGAGAATCCCACATTGTGGTATCAAGTAGACAGTTTAATATGATAGTCTTTACCTCAGCAAAGATGTGGCCCAGTATAGAAGCTGAAGAAGTCATATGTGTCCTGTTACCATTCTTTGACAGGCAGGGCATAGATAAATTATAAAACTTGCAGTTGATGTCCCCAGTGTGCACTTTGTGGCTTCGGGTGGTAATAGATGGATATAGAAATAGTTGCTCTTCAAACAGAAATGGCTCATCAATTAATTTCCTCATTTACCCTTTAAAGTGCAACTTTTGCATTCAGAATTGAGGGTAAATGCTTCATTTCAGTCTACAAGGTCTTGCATAACTTAGCTCTCAGTTAAAACAATAATATAAAACATGTACCAAGTACCAGGCACCATCTTAAGGGGTTAGCACTTAGGAATTTAATCATCACAACAACCTAATGATGTACATTATTTTCTCCCTTTCACAGGAAGCATGGAGGGGTAAGTAACTTATCTAAGGTTAAACAGGTAGTGAGAAGTTGAGCCATATTTGAACCCAGGCTGACTGCCTCTAGAATCCAGGCTACAATCCACTACTCTACTCTCTACAGCCACTCTGCCTTGCCAGAAAAGGAAGAGTTGCTCTGGACTTCTGAAACCTCTTCTAGTTCCAGTATTCTACGATTTTATTCAAGTGCATTTTGTAAGCAGTTCCTCCAGTCCTCAATTGTGATGTGTTAAGAATTTGACAATAAGTTAAAGTTGAATTAGATTCCTTTTTGTTCTATTTTTATTCTGCTTTCATTCTATCAAATTATTCCAACAATATGAACTTCTGCTATACCTAGTAACCCATGGGAATGATACAAGATAAAGCAGTTGTGATTGCTACTGTACTCACATGTAAAATTGAATAATCTTTCTGCTAAATTTTCTCTTAAAATTCTTTCTCTTCCATTTAAAATATGTGTTAAAATTTCTACAAAATTACCATGGAATATTTTAATGAATCTCTATTTAAAATCTGGGTGCCCAACATTCATATAAGAATCAACATAATGAAAATAACACTGAATTAATGTTACATAAATCTAGAAGAAGAGTTTGTTCTTTCTCATAATTAAATCAGATTGTAGTATATTTTAGAGGATGTCCCAGTTAAAACAAAATAAGTTAAGTATAATTCATTTATAGTATCTACTTGCTCATCAGATAGTCCAAGCCTGCTCATGTTGTTCAGAATTAATATCTTTGTCTTTTTTTTTTTATTTTTTTTTTGGGGATGGAGTCTCGCTCTGTCGCCCAGGCTGGAGTGCAGTGGCACAATCTTGGCTCACTGCAATCTCTGCCTCCAGGGTTCACACCATTCTCCTGCCTCAGCCTCTCAAATAGCTGGGTCTACAGGAGCCCGCCACCAGGCCCGGCTAATTTTCTGTATTTTTAGTAGAGTCGGTGTTTCACCGTGTTAGCCAGGGTGGTCTCGATCTCCTGACCTCGTGATCCACCCACCTCGGCCTCCCAAAGTGTTAGGATTACAGGTGTGAGCCGCTGCGCCCGGCCCTTTGTCTTTCTTTTAATTTATACATAACTGTTACTTTCTTCCTGTCCAAAATTTGGCTGTAAAGTTAAAATTGCATTAAGGTTGCTTAAGACCGTTAGTGGATATTTTTGTTTTCCCGGTCTTCATTATATGCACTTCATATTTCCTGGAAATATTCCTACTCTTGATGACAACTATGTCTCTACAGCCCATTACAGTTAAAACAAAGAGCCTATGCAATACTTTTTGTTACTAGCTCACAACTGAGAGTGAAGTAGAAGAGTATGTCTTATTTGATAGACATAATTCTAGGTTTCAAGACCTTTCAATTGACAGAAATCAAGACAGTGAGACAAGACCAGGCGGGTTCTCATTTCTTCATTTTCTCACTATGCTCTATCTATCTAGAGCTGGTCCCAAAAGACAGAACTAACAGTTTCAGCCACGCTGTTCAGTCCCAGCCATGAACAAGAGCTTCTGCCCTGTGTCTCTCCATTCATCCTCCATTCATGCTTATCCTTAACTTTGGACCTCTTAAGCACAGCATCAGCAGGGAAGATTGATATAGGGAAATAGAAAAAAAACCTAGGATAGGTTAACATCATATACAACAGGATCTGGGGAGCATGGTCCTTCCTGCCTGTTTGCAACCTATCCCAGTATATTAAACTAGGCTATAGATTTTCCTTTTTTTTTTTTGCTGTATGTTTCAGATTGACTCAATAAACGATGTGACATGTCATCTGTATCTTAATTTGGTCTGTGAGCCTTTCTGTGCCTTTCTGTCTGGGATAGCTATAGCATTCCTGGCCACCACCATGGCATTAAGGTAATTCTCCAATGCACAAAGGCACTCATCACCTCAGTCCAGGTTTGATGTCCTTCCTTGGCATTCTGTGCACACATATATCATAATATTTATCTCCCTATGTTACAAAATTATTTTCATATTTTGTTTCCCAAAATACTGTTACATATTTGTCAGGGACTAAACCTTCTTACTCAGAGAACCCAAGAGACATTGACACATTTCTGTTAAATTACCAAAGAATCAATAAATCCATTGCAGTTAATTAGTGCCAGTTGAAACCAGATTTCAGATCTCCCAAATGCACCATTAGGCAGAACCAGAACCTTACAATGTCTCAAGGTCTTGAATAGAGTGAGTGAGAACAAGAATCGTCATTTGCATTGCTTTTACTAAGGTATCTGTGGTGGGAAGGGCAAAGACATTGACCCTAGCGAACCACTAGGAAAAATACAGTCTGACTTCTAATGTGCAGGTCAAATGGAAAATAATATCATGTCCAGGGAAAAATGATGACATCTGTCTTCCCCCGGATGAGATCCACCCTAAGATCCAGTAATGACAATATATTGCCATCTTTACTCTAATTTGGCACAGAGCTCACCCATTAGATGAACACCAACCTTAATTATAAATTGAATGGCTCTCCACCTGTCTCAACTTTGTTATGACTTGGGCAACAATTACAGAAATTTTCGAATCTAAATGTCTGTACCAAGGGACAGGCAGTGTCTTTGATCAGAAACAGAGACAAATAATCCTGGAGCTTTTATATTTCTCTCAAATGCATCAATTTCTTTCTCTTGTTATTTAGGCCTTTTATTCCTCCTATATATAAAGTCTCATTCTCTTGTTCTCTATCACTCTTGTCCACTTGTTCCAGCTCTCTCGTTCACCTTCTCTCTCCAGATTCTGATCTATCTCTTGACCTCCTTATTTTTCTTATTTTCTCTTACTCTTTCTGCTTTCTTTCCTTTTTTTTTTTTTTTTTCAGAGTCTTTGGTCTACTGCTCACTCACTCCAGCAGGGTCTCAGAGAGAGTAATTAGGGATATATCTGCATAAAGATACAAACGCAAAGCAAAACATTTAGTTCCAAGGAAAGCAGGATTCCACAGCCTGATCATGGTAGCAATCCACCAGAACCATGAAAGTCTTCAGAAAAGTATCAAGCTATAATCCAATTTAATGTACAAAGTAATCAAATATTCTAAAATGTTTTTGAAAGAAGGTACTAGAAAAGAGGAAGGATCTCTAAAATCAGAGATTGTGTATAATAATTCTGAGGAAGTGCTGAGAGTCAGTACCTTAAGATATCGCATTTTTTCCATGTATCTGCAAAATAATTTATTATCCTAAAATTTGCATTAAAATATAAGTGGAAAACTATAAAACATAGTTTTCATATAGTTTTCAATGTAAAGACAACCCAAATGCCTGAAGTAGAAATTCAAACTGTTAATGGCATTTTGAAAAATCTTTTAGAAAAAAAAAATAAACTGTTTTTCATTGCCAAACATGGAATTAAGTAAAATTCAAAGTCACCAAGAGTTTTCTACAAAATTATGTCAACGTAAAATAAACATTTTCCCTTAACTACATTAGTATATTTAGTATATTTTCTTTATGTTCTAAGAAAGTACAAATTATAAAATCTTCAAAAGTTTGAATGCTAACTCATGTTTTTTTAATTAATAAAAATGGCATAAATCAAATAGACATCTCCAAATGATATTCATTAATTGTGTGTTATTTTTGCTGTTTTGTTAGCTTTCCTCTTCTCTGAGCTTCTTTCTAAACAAAGTTATCTGGGAAATTGTGTCCTCTTGTGGTGACTGGCAAAAACAACATGTTTTCTGCAGAAAGAACCAAACCAAACAATAGCAGCAGGACATAAGGCTTCAGGAAAACCCATTTGTGAAAAACGGAAATCCCTTCCAGTGAAGAAAGGTGAAAGTTATGAGTAATCAGAAAGAGAAATTGAATTGAAAAAACATAGAATGTAAATCATTCCATTTATATTTAAATTACTGGTCATCGGATGATTAAAAAGAAGACACATAATGCTATGTAGAAAGACTGAGACCATGATAATAGTTCCTATGAATAACTATTTATTTCTTGCATTCTTTCATCAGTTATTCCAGCAACTCTTTGATACAAGTGAAGTGAGTGTGTTTTCCAACAAGGTTAATGGGCAGCTAAGACACCAACTCTCCAGCCTGCACAACCCCTGAAAAAAAAAATGAAAAAAAAAAATGCTCTTCAAGACTCCATACTTTTCCATATTCTGATCCTGCACTTTCTACAGGTTAGACCTATGTCTCCTCATCCCATCCTTAAGCTGAGTTCAGAATGTCAGCTATTTTAAAGATTAACATTTATTTGAAAATTTCACTTGCGGTACTGTTCGCACCCTAATTTATTGTGTTTTTTACTTTTTCGTTTTATTTCTGGATTGAAAACTTCACATTTTATAACTTTAGTTTGTTTTTTTTACTTTTAAAGATATTCAGATAGAAAAATGTAGAATCAGTTGAGTTTATGAATCAAATCATCATTTAAAGAGAAAGAGAATGAGTTTTTATATAGGGAAAGGTGTTCAAACATCATTAAGGCTACCAGGGTCATGAAAGAAGAATAAGCTTTTACACAGTTATTGTGTTGACATACATGACTTTATATTCCACCTTACTAAAATTCTCTCATTTAAACAGCAGTCCCTCTGGAGTGTTCAAAGCAAGATGAAATCTAAGATATACAACCTCATCTGATATTCACTCAATTGCAGCCTTTCTAATTTTCACTCCCTTCCGTGCGAATGCTCCTGTGCACTATTTATGCAATTCAGATAAATTATTTCTCAGAACTCGGAGCCAACAAACAGGTGATAGGCCATCTAAGGTCTGAGGAGAAAGAAGAGTAGGAACAGATTGAGGTACTCACCTTTTATGCAAGCCCAAACTCCAGAATTTACCAGTTGGCTAACCATTCTATAGTGTGTGTTTCTTTTCCGTATCTAAAAGTATTTATAATTGGTTGTTGCTAAGAGAATGTCACAGCATATTCAAACTGCCAGGATACTTAATACTTATTGTATATGTTCAATGTGAGATTTCTAACTCTGTTACTTTTAACAGTATTTTTTGTTTCAATTTTTAACACAGCACACATTCCTCAGGCAGGATTGCAAACATGCCAAGTTTGCAGTTTGAAAACAAAGATCGTTTTGAACTATCCAAGTACAAAAGAAATTTTTTTTTTCAGTTAAATTTTTTTGGGGAGGACTTTACTTTAGAAGGAGGCAAAATGACTGAATTCCAGTTAATCTAGCATTCCCAAAGAAGGTAGTCCCCACTGACATACTTCCAGTTAGGCTAACTTCAGCCTCAAAAGAAAATTTCTAAGATTGTTTTCATGATCTCAAGATTGGGATTTTAGAAAGAAGCTTTCAAATTTAAACTAAACATTGCAGAAGTTGCAATTATTGTTGCATATATAAGAGAATCCAGAATTATACCTGACCTGTCAACAAGTAAAAAGGGAGCCATCCTTGCAAATGTGGAAAAGAAAATTGTTAGGTAAAATGTTAGATAAGAAAGAGCTGTATATGAGCAGACTGGACTCGTCAGCCAGGGCGTGTTGCAGTTTGCAAAGCAGGGAGTATCTAGCTCCAGCCATTTTTTGAGAGGTACCTCCTGGACTACTTTTGCTCCAAAAGTAACATTCAAGCCCCACTTAAGAACTCAAAAGTCGTCTCATCCTCCACTCCCCGGAACAGTTCAAGAGCCATTTCTTCTTAGAACTAGTCATCAATTGTGACTGTGGCTGAAAGAGTCCATGGGCAGGATGGTTCTGGTTAGGTGTTCATTTTGAATTCCCCTCTCAGTATTCTGGCATCAGAGCGTCGCCTGAGCCTTGCGGGGATCCCTGTACCCAATGGCCAGGAGCTCTTCATCAGCTAGAAGTTTAGTGCCGGGAAAAGGGCTGGGCTCACTTGTTTAAGAACCAGTCTTTGAGACTGATGACTTTGCAAGATGGACTGGCTAATGACCCCTGGCTGCTGCGCTGCTGTGGACTTGGTTTCTCCTCTAGCTTGTCCGCTCCCCTCCCCTTCCCAAATTCCCCTTGGTCAGGTAAGATTTCCTTTACACTTTACCCACACTTTCCTGTCTTACTTATCCGTGGCCACAAAGGAAAGAGTCCAATCATTCGATCTCTTTATTTATTTTTGAGAAAAGAGAAAAAAAGAACAAAACAAAAATAAGATTTATCTTTAAAAAAATAGCTGAAGTGGAAAAGGTTTCGAGATTTCTGCAGCCACGTTCTAAATAAGAATTGCAGAATACTGTAAATTCAGATTTACAAAAAGAACACTTGGTGGAGAGTGGGGCAGAATTTCTGCCGCATTCTCTAAGCGCTTCCAAGAGATAAAATCCTGTAGCGGAAGATGCAAACGCAAGGGTGCAGGGGTGACTGTTTTGAGAACTGCTAGAGTGCTACTGAAATTAAGTGGAGGTCAAGTCGAATCTGATTTTCAGACAATTTTACAGTAAGGCAGCGGCTCACTAAACAGGCCAGTTGACAAGCTGTAGTCACTTTCTGAGTATTTCTGTAAAAATGGTAAGGGATCAACTCTGCAATTTGTCCCTCCCATGAAAGCACAGTCTTGTTTACACCTCGCTGGAGAAATAACACTCGCCCTCACTTCTCCCAAAAAGCTGAACCCTTCAGTCGGCCCAAGCAGCTCCACACCCTGAGGTTTCCAAGACCAAAGCTGCGAGTCTCAGCAGGGAACAGCCACGTGGCCTGCCTGCGCCTCGCCTGGGCTCTTGCCTTCAGCTTGAGATATCTGCAGCCGCGAACCTTGCTCCAGCCCAGAAAGGGGCGCTTTGCTCAATTAATTGTTCCCGCCGGCGAGTCCGTACTGAGAAGCCCATGAGCGGACCTTATGTGCAGGGTACTCCAGCGCGGTGCACAAAACTCGTCGCCCCCAAACGCTGCCCCCACCCCAACACTGTGTACTGACTCCAGCTTTTTACTTTGCCATGTAAGGGATGGACCTGAAACGGTTATTTTACCTCAATTCATTTCAAAAAGGAAACAAGTATGGCATTGCAAAAGATGGGCTTCTTATCCAAGGCGACTTCCTTTCTGGTTCACCAACTTTGCTGCTTCCAGTTTGCCAGGATCTACATTAACACCCTCTTTGGGGCTCTTCGTTTTAACTTACAGACAGAAATGCTTAAAATGTTAGCGTATCCAAGCATTTGGAATTGGGGCTCACGAAGCCTAATTGTCCACTGGATGCCCTAGATAGTGGGGGCTGGGGCGGGGGGGGTCTCAGAGCGGGCAGCCCCTATGTCTAGGCGCTATCAAATTCCCACTTCACTCTCTTACAAGCTGGCCTTTCAAGGTCACAATGCGGAGCCTAATTTGGGGGTGGGGATGAAATGGCCACAGGGTCTCTCCCTTGGGTTGGCATTGCCAGCTGTTAGGGCCGCAGCAAAGGCGCTGCGCTGCCCCCCTCTGGCTCTGCTGCCTTTCCCATGGACTGGGTTTCCTTCCACCGAAGAGTGAACTTCTGCCTCTTTCGAGCACCTTCCGAGGCGTAGTCCTTTGGATGTTGGGGAGCGTCAGACTGGGTCGTTGTAGAGGGGAAAGGAGGGCCCAGAAGGGCGAGAGAGCAGGCCGGGACGCAAATCCTCAGCCCCCGCGGCGCGGCCACGTCTTCAGAAACGCCCAGGACCTCCGGGCTGGGCCGCCGCGGTTTGGCCTTTGGAACTCCAAGGGGTTCGTCTACCTGACCATTGGGTGGGCTCCGCGGTTGACACTTTTCTTGGCATGCCCCCCCACCCCGCGCCACACCACCCCCCCAGCCCCAGCAATCCCAAATCGGCCCCACGGACCTAGAGGGCTCTTGGGCGAGATGAGACATCACCCACTGTGTAGAAGCTGTTGCCATTGCTGCTGTCACAGCCACTCCGGATGGGGCTGCCACCGCGGCCAGGACAGTCTCCTCCGACCGCTTCCTGGGCTGCGCTAGGGTTCGGGGGCGCTGCCCGCACGCTCCGGCGGGGAAGGAAATCGCCCCGCGCCCGCCGGAGGAAGGCGACGGGGAGGGAAGGGGGAGGGCGGCTAGGAGGCGGGTGGAGGGGCCGGCCGCCCGGGCCAGGTCGTTTTTGAATGGTTTGGGAGGACGAATTGTTAGACCCCGAGGAAGGGAGGTGGGACGGGGGAGGGGGACTGGAAAGCGGAAACTTTCCTATAAAACTTCGAAAAGTCCCTCCTCCTCACGTCAGGCCAATGACACTGCTGCC
Organism: Homo sapiens; assembly: GCF_000001405.40. Taxonomy (NCBI): domain Eukaryota; kingdom Metazoa; phylum Chordata; class Mammalia; order Primates; family Hominidae; genus Homo; species Homo sapiens. The sequence goes on along the minus strand of NC_000007.14, from coordinate 19,117,693 downwards.
CCCAAACTTTCCGCCTGCACGGAGGTATAAGAGCCTCCAAGTCTGCAGCTCTCGCCCAACTCCCAGACACCTCGCGGGCTCTGCAGCACCGGCACCGTTTCCAGGAGGCCTGGCGGGGTGTGCGTCCAGCCGTTGGGCGCTTTCTTTTTGGACCTCGGGGCCATCCACACCGTCCCCTCCCCCTCCCGCCTCCCTCCCCGCCTCCCCCGCGCGCCCTCCCCGCGGAGGTCCCTCCCGTCCGTCCTCCTGCTCTCTCCTCCGCGGGCCGCATCGCCCGGGCCGGCGCCGCGCGCGGGGGAAGCTGGCGGGCTGAGGCGCCCCGCTCTTCTCCTCTGCCCCGGGCCCGCGAGGCCACGCGTCGCCGCTCGAGAGATGATGCAGGACGTGTCCAGCTCGCCAGTCTCGCCGGCCGACGACAGCCTGAGCAACAGCGAGGAAGAGCCAGACCGGCAGCAGCCGCCGAGCGGCAAGCGCGGGGGACGCAAGCGGCGCAGCAGCAGGCGCAGCGCGGGCGGCGGCGCGGGGCCCGGCGGAGCCGCGGGTGGGGGCGTCGGAGGCGGCGACGAGCCGGGCAGCCCGGCCCAGGGCAAGCGCGGCAAGAAGTCTGCGGGCTGTGGCGGCGGCGGCGGCGCGGGCGGCGGCGGCGGCAGCAGCAGCGGCGGCGGGAGTCCGCAGTCTTACGAGGAGCTGCAGACGCAGCGGGTCATGGCCAACGTGCGGGAGCGCCAGCGCACCCAGTCGCTGAACGAGGCGTTCGCCGCGCTGCGGAAGATCATCCCCACGCTGCCCTCGGACAAGCTGAGCAAGATTCAGACCCTCAAGCTGGCGGCCAGGTACATCGACTTCCTCTACCAGGTCCTCCAGAGCGACGAGCTGGACTCCAAGATGGCAAGCTGCAGCTATGTGGCTCACGAGCGGCTCAGCTACGCCTTCTCGGTCTGGAGGATGGAGGGGGCCTGGTCCATGTCCGCGTCCCACTAGCAGGCGGAGCCCCCCACCCCCTCAGCAGGGCCGGAGACCTAGGTAAGGACCGCGCCGCTGCACCCCTTCGCCTCTCAGGTGGCAGACGGCAGGCCGGCCAGGCCGCGGTTCCCAGTCCACCTCGATTTCCTCCCCTCTCCCACTCTCCGCTCAGCCTTCCCACCTCACTTGGCACCGTTGCCTCGCGCCCCCAGCGTCCCCGGAAGGCCGGTCTGACCCCGCTAGGGAGAGCAGTCTCCAGGGGGATGCGCCCTGGTGAGGGGTGTGTGTGCGCGTGAGTGTGCGTGACAGGAGGGGAGACAGAGACACCCAGGGTCACGGGTAAGGACCGTTTTGTCAGCGCCACCCTTTCTTTCGGCTTTCAATTTTTGTTCTCCTTAAAACAAATGTTTTAAAACAAATTCCACCTCCTCCTCCTTTCCACCCACCCACTTCCTCTTGCCCTTGGGCTGAAATCCTTCCAGGTTGTTCAGCTTAATTTCTCAGTGGTGGTGATAAGAACAGTGCTCACTAGTCTTAGAAAACAGCCGCAGAGACCTAAACAATAACCGACTCCCCCCCCCCCCTCTGGGTTTTTGCAGATGTCATTGTTTCCAGAGAAGGAGAAAATGGACAGTCTAGAGACTCTGGAGCTGGATAACTAAAAATAAAAATATATGCCAAAGATTTTCTTGGAAATTAGAAGAGCAAAATCCAAATTCAAAGAAACAGGGCGTGGGGCGCACTTTTAAAAGAGAAAGCGAGACAGGCCCGTGGACAGTGATTCCCAGACGGGCAGCGGCACCATCCTCACACCTCTGCATTCTGATAGAAGTCTGAACAGTTGTTTGTGTTTTTTTTTTTTTTTTTTTTGACGAAGAATGTTTTTATTTTTATTTTTTTCATGCATGCATTCTCAAGAGGTCGTGCCAATCAGCCACTGAAAGGAAAGGCATCACTATGGACTTTCTCTATTTTAAAATGGTAACAATCAGAGGAACTATAAGAACACCTTTAGAAATAAAAATACTGGGATCAAACTGGCCTGCAAAACCATAGTCAGTTAATTCTTTTTTTCATCCTTCCTCTGAGGGGAAAAACAAAAAAAAACTTAAAATACAAAAAACAACATTCTATTTATTTATTGAGGACCCATGGTAAAATGCAAATAGATCCGGTGTCTAAATGCATTCATATTTTTATGATTGTTTTGTAAATATCTTTGTATATTTTTCTGCAATAAATAAATATAAAAAATTTAGAGAACCTTAGAGTTTGGTCTATATTTTTAAAACTAAAGATTAAGTTGGTGGTAAATACCTGCTTGTTTAATTCTAGAGGCACCCAGGAGGGAGGGGGCACTAATATAAACAAAGCAATGAAAAACTCAAATAAAGCAGCTACTGACAGGCACAAGCATGTTATTTTAAAAGACAGCTTTATTATTATTCCAGTTTGGTATTCAGAGGGCTTAGTAGCATCTCTTCATCTCTTACTGTCTCCAAACAGCAAAAACTTAACAAATTTGCTATTCACCTCCTTTTTATTTTGAGGTGATAGTTGTTAAAACAGTTAAATGCAAATAAGGAGTATAAAACCTGCACTATTCTCTTATTATGTACTTTTTGTCATGCTCTTCACTCTTTGTGAAGATTCCTAAATAACAGGTTCTTTTCAGTGAAAACATATATAGTGTTATGAAAATTATCTATACACATATAGAAATGACCAGAAATGCATAGAAAATAAAGTGTAAATCAGCAGAAAAGAGAAAATTCCATTTGTAATTTGCTTAACTCTTCTCTCATGAATGAATATGACGTTTAGTGTCATGTTTGCTAAAAAGAAAAGTTAATATATCGCTATATTGACGCTATTTGGGAAGCATCATTCTTTTTTTATGTGTAAAGAATATAAGGCTGTGGAATAATATACAAAAATGAAGATCCTGAACTTTCAGTATCCTTGGTAACTGGATATAATCACAGTTGGAATAATCACAGTTTTAAATACTACAGCTATGCAGTTACTAGTCAGTTCATTAGCGTTATATTTTATCCAGAATTACACAGAATTTTTCCCTGGTGAGATCATACATACACACACACACAATCTGAAGTTAAGTAAAACAATAATGGGCAAACGGGGGTGTTTGATTTTTTATTTCATTCTGATTATTTGTGGGCCAGGAACATACTGGCTTTTATAATTAACATTATTAGAAATAGTGATTTTGTATCAGTTCTTAGCTTTTACATCCGATTTACTGCATCCAAGTGTAACTGGGGAAGCTTTCAAACTGGAAAATCATTTTGGTGCCTGTTTCAAACAATGACTAATAAGTGTATGTATCCAAACAGATCGTTTTTGCTTAGCTCAGGTCAAAGTTATTTTATTGCCTGAAGGTTTTTGTTTTCTTCTTCACACAGCACCATAGAATGCTGACATAAGAATATTATGAATTTATTGTTAATATTTCAGACTATATTTTACAATAAGGAGTCTGCAGCATTGACTTGTATTAAAAGGTTAGTGAAAGCTTGGAGAAGTATTATTATTTTTTTATTTTGATAGTCCTTTAGCAAATAACAGAAAGGGAAGGCGATTATGTGTTGGTGTATTTGTTGGGGGTGTGTGTGTGTTGTGTGTAAGGCAGGTTAGAAATGTAAGGAGGGTGCCCTAGGAGGATGAGGGAAAGCATTAGGTTGGTAATTCTTTTTTGTATGTATCATCCAACCACCTCCATTTTCTAAATTATTCATGGGGAGTCTCCTTGTTCACTAGCTTGGTCTGACTATTTGATATTTCAGATTTCTTAAGGTACACCAGGATGGAGCTGGCCATGACTGCTGAGAAGGTAATTGTTATCTTAACTCTGGATATAAGAACTAGATGTGTCAAAGAAAGGTAGCTCTCCATTTGCCTTTCTTTTATTTCTTTCTTTTTTTAATGTGTTTTGCTTTTTCTACTTTTTTCATAAGGGGAAACACTTTGGAGAAAAGCAAATGCCATATTTATAGTAATATTAAATACTAATCTGAAGGTAATGTTTCCCCCCAGATTTTCAGAGAAATAAATGAATGAAAAAGGTGGTAATTTTATTTTGAATGAGGCGACTGCACAATGAAAAATATTAACTACTGGAATGCAGTTTCCAGCTTGCAGATTCTAATCCCTACCCCTGTATACACAAGACATAAATCGTGAAATTCTTTTTTAGAATAGAAATGAAGCCACCTGTTTCTTTTCCTCCACCATTATATCTTCTTTTGATTTTATGTTATTTCATTTTATTTTTGCTACCTACCCTTATTTAAAGAACACATAGAATGAATTACCTCTTGTTTTCGGAAATAAGAAGCTAAGGCTTTCCAATTAATGTGTTGGTTCACTTGGGATCTTTTTCCTTCAGAATGCATTTGCTAGGGGAAAGTATTGTATTAAATTGTCTTGGGTAAATTGTAGAAAATTTAATGTTTCCTTTACTGTGCTATTGATTACTTTTATTTATAAGTTGGTCAGATTGATAGCCTTTAGTTATAAGAAAGCAGTAATTTTTTTACCCATATGCACATTTCCCCTTTTGTTCACAGAAGCACATGTCCAGATGATAATTCACGCACAGTTACAGGTTCCCCTCCCCAAAGTGGAACGTATTATTAATAAAATAATGTTAAGGAGCAGAAACTTGCACGATGTGTGTAAATTTTTTCCCACACTCAACAACGGCACAAGCTTCTTGACCCTTCGGTCTTAAGGTTCATATTCATAATGGAGCTTTTTAAGGGACATTTGGCCTCTTGCAAAAAAGTAGAGCATTTTGCACATTCCATGGTTTGGCAAAGTCAGAACTGGTTATTTTCTCTAGACCGGTATCAAGTTCTTCTCAGGCATATGATTTCACTTGAAGTCCTGCCCAGGAATCCTTCAAAGTGAGCGTTTGTCCCGCTCTCATGATGTCAGGCGGTTTTCCCTGCATCTGTAATTTGAAGAAAAATAAACAAACCTGCGGGGAACAAACGCCACGGAAACCCAAACAGAACTCCGTGGGGAGCGAGGGTCTCACCTGCGGCAGGCGCGGGAGAGGGGCACGGGCACGGTCTCCCCTGCGTGGGTGGCGGGCCCGGCTCGCGCGGTGGGGAGAATGACGATGTCCGTATCTCCTTCGGTTTGCGTGGAAGGCCCCCAGCCCCGCGTCTGGCCGCTGCTAGGAGGCGGCGGTGCCAAGTGTCAGCGGTAGCAAGGGGAGCAATAGCAACAGATTCAGGCAAAGGCCCAACCTCGAATTTCCGGAGACAGGCCCACATTAGCGACAGACAGGGGTCGGGCGGGGATCCCCGGGGGCCACTTTTGCAGAATTTTCCGCTTATATGTCGTAAAGAGTGCGCCGCCCCCAGCACCAGTGAAAGTGGAAGGAAAGTGCACTGGCAAAGTGGAAGGAGAAATCGGTTTCTTCATATTTTCTCAAAGCCGGCAATCCCACTATTTCTCAGAAACCTTCCAACTCTTTGAGAGCCCACGAATGTGCAAATAGGAGGATTATTAACTATCTTTATTTACTGGACAGCAAAGGATAGACCCAGTTTAAATTAAAAAAAAAAAAAAAACGACATGGGATACATTTTCCATTTTCCCCTCGCTTTTGTCTCAAGGCCTAAGGACGTGAGCCCACTTAATGTTCTTAGCAAATCAAAGCACGTGTCCTTTGAAGAAGGTGTGTAATTGGAGTTTAAGGCATGTATGGAATTCCCAGATGTCTATAAAGTAAGAAGGAGCATGTGGCAGGTCACTGGAAGGTGGAGCAGGTTAAAATCACTGGCACAGAGGAGCCCCCTTTAGATTCTCCTTCTTTGTAAGGACCAACGAGATAAGCCTTCTGAAAGGTTGGGATGGGATCATGATGAATATTCAGCTTCTGGAATCAGAGTCATAGTAACCATGGTAAAAAGCACATGGTCAGAAAACCTCAAAGAAAACACTCAATTATAGCCGGGATTTTGTGGGCGCCCTGCAACGAGATCGTTTGGGGTTTGCTGCAGGGAGAGCCTGCAACAGCCTCCTTTCTTGTTTACGTGGACTCTTTTCTTTTCCTTCTATTTTTTTTTTCTCTCACCCGCTCTCAAGTTTGTGGATGTGTCCTCCTCCTTCGTGCGATTTAGGCTGAAGTCAGAGGAACAAAATTCTAGATTAGGAAAAGAAAAAACAACTCTAAAAGCATTCATTCCAGAAGGCAGCCTTCTTGGGGGAGGGGAGATTTCCAGCAAGTGAAATTAAGTTTCTGTAAAACATGAAGTTTGCGTATCTACCAGAGAGGGAAATCTCACGAAATGACTACCACCAAAATCAGCTGCTCTTTTATTTCACTTTATTGAGGAATATATAGATGTATAAGGGACTATCGAACCTAAGTGTGAGTTTGTATGGAGTAGTCGGCAGTTTTCCTTTTGGTTTGGTTTTGGTCTGAAGACAGAATCGAAATATGACTTTTTTTCTGGGGTTCAAAATGCTACCCTCATTTACCTGCACAGTCAGGCCTGAAGTGGGAGACTAAGGATCGGGAGTCTCTCAAAGAACCTGGCCACGGCAAAGGTTGGCACTGGGAGGGGGTGATATTGTGGGAAGCTGGAACTGGGGCCAGCGACATGGGGGTGGGAGGTGGGAGGACTGGAACAAAGTGCACCCCCACAGAGGCCACCACTGAGGCAGGCGGGAGAGAGAAAGGGATGCCTTGGGGGGTGATGTGAGTGTGACAAGTGAAAAGTTAAGCAGGTACCTGAAGGAAGTTTATCTTGCCCAGATGTTAGGGCTTTTATGAAATGTCACGTGAAAGGAACAGACGTACAACTTGCAAATGGGGACACGCCTGTAAATACAAGGAAGGCAAATGCTTGGAGAGAAATCCAGGCATAAATCATCAACCTCCTTTTCTAGATATCTATTTTCTTCTTTAAACATTTGCTTTCAGAAAGGGAAGACACATCTCAAGTTGTTAAGTGCATCTTCCAGAAGTCACAATTCCATCTCCTGCCCAAAATGCGCATCCCCTAGGTTCCTTTGGAGAGTTAGGGTGAGAGATGAATTTCACCATCCCCCTCCTGTTTTCCTTCTTCACATTCCCCACTTCCCACATTGCTCTCTGGACTTCTCAAAGACGTTTGATCCTGAAAAACATATCGGATCTCGGTTTGGAAAAGCTGAAACTAATCAATTGCCTTTTTGAAGGGGTAGAGAGTGATAAGAAGAGCGAAGGAATGCCAGGCCTGACAGATTCTAAACCTCCAAGATGCTTGGATGGGCTGAAAGATGAGCGGGTGATCCCTTACTCATGGGGCCAGGACCCAGCACTCTGAAATCCCCGAGCCCATGCGGAAGGGCTTTTACCAAGATACATGATCAGTTTGATTGAAAAGGATTTTTAAAAATGACTTGTAAACAGAGGAAGCATTTTTTTTATGCAAGAAGAAAGCTTGTAAACAAAATTAAAACGAATTAGCAGTTCGCCAGATGTGGAAGAGAGTCCAATTACTTTCTCCATGTTGAATAGGAATGTTCTTAGAGGTTACTGTGAATGCTAACATGTGGCTCAGGCCAGGGTCTTGGCATACAATAAGGTTTTAAATATTTGTTACCCATATATTAAGACGATATATTCAATGAACTGTGCTGTGGCTCTTCTTTTAGATGCAACACTATCCCTAAATCTCTGTTAAATTGACATTATATCTGGCTTATGTTATTATATAGCCACCCATATAGCTCTCTACTTTAAACAAAATTTAAAAGTCAGGGTATTTTCTTCCACAATATTAAATCCAATTTTACTGTGAGGGTTTATCTTATTCCTTTTTGGGCTTCCTACAGGCATAATCAGAAATGAAATATAGTCAGTGATCATATTAGCTTTAAGGATTGACAATTTTTAAAATTTCCAGACCAGATAAACAGGCTCTTTCTCTCTATAGCATTTAATCTCAATACCCATCCAGTCATTCCTAGCCTTGATTTATTGTTACCTTTGGGTGCATATCATATTATTTGGTTGTAGCTCACAGAGGTCCTGGTCACTGAGGAGCATCAGATCCTGCCTCTCTAGGTTTTCCCGTCCTTGTAGAAATACTCGGTCAAACCCCAACACCCAGATTTGGCTGTGCGAAGCTCTCCTTTGGGACTGCTATGCCTCCATTTTCTAAACATAGTACTGGACAAAAACAGCCCACATTTCTCTTCTTTTGTTCCTGAAACTTAACACCAATCAAAGAATTGTTACTATTATTGAAAGCAAACTTGAAGCAGAAACCATCTTCCTACCACAAATTTAGCAATGACAAACAAGTCCTTCAGAGAGGTCTGTGGATGCACCCCTAATGGAGTCAGCACTCCATTCCTGGGGAAGAATCCTGACATCCAGAGCAATATTTACAAAGTGTTCTTATAAATCTCGTTTGCACATTATGATGGAGGAAATTTCTATTAGCTTCTTGCTAAGGTTGCCTTTTGCCTCATTCCGCCACTGACTTCTCTCCCTACCCTTCATCAACGCACACCTTTTGAAACTTCTAACTTTGTAACCTAGAGACTCCCTTCTTCCTCTTCCTTCTCTCCCCGCCGTACTACGTGAAACTTAAAACACATCTCATAGATCAGTTTTCCTTCTCTGATGTTAGGCACAGTCCACGACCCGGATTTTCAAATAGCCCAGGCTGGAGTCTGCAACATTTAATCCAATCAGCTATTAAATGTCCTCTGGCTAAATCAAGAGTATAAGAAAGAATCCATAGCGGGATAATGATACCAAGAGCAGTTTGGTGGAGGGAAAGGAGGCTAGGAGGGGGCAGATAACTCCAGGGATCCTTTGATTGGAAAAATCCTGTTTTTAGAACTCCTGTCAGAGTAACAACAAAGCAAAGAAACATGAAAGAACAACTCTTTGTTCCAGGATATGGTTTTAATGAAATACTACTAACACACACACACACACACACACACACACACACACACACACACCCCTACTATTAATAACCGCTTCAGAGACTCCGCTTTCCTTTACCTATTAGGGACTAGGAGGCTCTGTAACGTGATCCTCTCCCCTCTCCCCCTTTCCAGCTGCCTCCTTCCCTCCCCAATTAAGCCAAAGTGGTTGTTCTGATGAGCCCCGGCCCGCACAGAACCGCAGGCTGAGGCTTCCCCCGGTGTACTGGCTCCCTACCCCAGCACGAGCCTTTTCTGGGCAGAGCCAGGCCCATGGGACTTGGCTGTGAGGACCTCATCTTCTAGTTTCCGAAGGCAGGCAACCCCCACCTTAAGAGCAAGCTCTTCTGGTCTCCGGCTAGGGGCCTTCTTAAGACCCTAACAAATGTGGCATCAGGAGGATGGCGTGCCCAAAGTATGCCTGCCTTGGCTTCCTACTGACCCTGCTCTGCGCTTTTTTGTTGACTTAACCACCCAGAGGGATTGCAACTAAGACAGCAAACGGGGTTGGGGGTAGGGAAGGAGAACGAAGAAGCAGGGGGTGGGGACCGCCAGAGAAAAAGCAACAGCATTTGGGAAGGGGGGGAGCAACCTTTTAGGCAGCGGGGACCAGGCATTTTAGCAGCCGCATCTGTCATCTGTAGCAGTGGACAGATAAAACCGTCCCTGATCAAAGAGATTCGTTCATAAATCACCCGTAAGAAATGGATTGTGAGGAATAAAAGACACGTGTCGAATAATCTCGACCCTGGAGTCTGCTCGCCGCCAGCGCGGTTCCCAGCGCCCCCTCTTTCCATAAACGCGCTGCGAGCGAGCTCGTGTCCCAGCTGGGAATGTCTGTGGGGGAAGGACTCTTCTTTCCGATCCTCTCTGCCCCCCATTCCTGCCATTCCCCGGCCTCGGTTTCAGAAGCCGACTGGGCCAATCCCTGTTCGGGATTTCAGGAGATTTCAATACAATCGGTTGATTCTGAGTTGACCAAGGAAAGAGCAGGAGGGAAGTTGGCGTGTTTTCTGAGGCGACAAAGTTGCTCTCTTGGGATCGAGGATATCTGCCCTCCAGGTCCCCTCTTAATGTTCTCGTCGCCCTAACGATCTTTCCTCCGAGAGGACTCGGACATTTACAAAGAGTTGCTGTGCAAACGTAACGCAGGCGGGAGAGTTCAGCGAGAGCTAAAATTGGCTGGGCGGGAGTTTTCTGTTCCGGGTTTTGCAAGTTTCGAAGGAACAGCGGTTTGCAATCAGGTTTCCGTCCTGGAGTAATATCTAAGGAGCGACTGTTGTTCTCTACACGAGGACCTAGTGGATTCTCTTTCCCCGCCTTCCACCTCCTAAGCCCCAGACTCTCGCACCTGCTTCTCCTGGTCGAAAAAAAAACAGGCAAAGGCGAAGGTCCCGTCCCGTGTGCTAAAAGCCCCGGCCAGCTGTTCCGAGGACTCCAGAAAAGCGTATTGGGTTTAGAAGCGCTGTAGCCTGTCTCCAAGAAGGTAGTTGACAATGCTAAGAAAAATTTTGAGATTTGTATAGGAAATTTACAGCGAAAAGTGCCCCTTACCCCTTACTTTACTCTCAGTTTTGGCATCCTCCAGATAAGTAGGATTTTGCATATAATAGGTGTTTATGGTTCCAGGAACTGCACTTTGATCTAGGATTTTGGGGGTGGAGTGTCTAAAGGGTCTCTAGACGCTTGTCTGATTTGAATGCTTTTCAGGATGATTTATGGCAAAAGGCTCATTTCTGACACTTCCAGATGTCAAAGCTCTTACCTTCCAAGAAGGGATGAGGGAAACTTGCTTCCCATAGCCATGAGGATGGGAGCCCGCGCGCCTAATACGCCTGCCTGCCGGTCTTCCTAAACTGACCCTGCCTACGGGCGTCCATCTGGAGCCGCTGATAACCTTTCCCCGCCTTCCAGCTCAGGAGAGGGGAGGGACTTGCTTTTTATGACGGCAAAGCTACAGAGGGAAACTAAGTCACTCGCCTGCAAAACGAGGTTTTTTCTGTAACTTTATTTTGTGCAGTTAACCACCTGCTCCCTGCCCCGTTGGTGGTTTGGCTTTAATGCGATTTGACCCCCAGATGTGAAGCTGGGCAGAATAAACCCTCCGTTGGGTCCCTGGTGGTGTCAGCCTCCGGCCTCAACCTCTAGCCGCCGAGGAACGGATCGCAATCCTGGTTCCCGCGGGGCGGAGACCCGCGCAGCGTTCAGAAGCTGCCGGGGACTCAGGGGGAGGGGGCGATGTCTTTCCGAAAGCTCCCTGCAGGCTCAGGACCGCGAGGTGAGGCCAGGAAAAATAACCCTCGCGACTCAATTACTGCGAGCTCCACCGTGAAGCTGAAAAGCTGAAATGTGCGCCGCGGCAGGGGGGCAGGTCAGACAGGGCGGACGCTCGGGCGATTTTAGGGGACCCATAGGGCCAGCTGAGCTGAGAACGCGCTGAAGGCAGTTGTCAACCTGAAGCTAAAGGTGGGGCAGACCCTCAGTAGCTGCCGCGGACGCGTTTCTCAAAGGAAACGGGGTTTTCCAGTTCTTTCTCCTCCTTTGAAATGTAATAGATTGGGAACGGGGAATGGGGGGATTTTGTTTTCTTTTTTCTTTCTCAAAGTGAAGGCAAATTAAGGAAGGAATTGGCTGCGGAGACTTGGAGAGCAGCTGTTAGGAGGGTCTAGTCCAGGGCATTGCTTATACAGGAAGGTGTACCCCGGAGTGATATTCTGGTTATTTGCTTAGAATCCTATAAGACAGGAAATCTGTAATATTTGGGGAACAGTATCTGACTGTTTCAGTCTTTTCTGATGAGGTTACAGACTCCCTTCTCTTTTCAAGTCCTGTAGATGTTAGTAACTTGAAGGTCAGCCGTTTGCCTTCCCAGTTGAAAAATAAGTGCGATTTCCCAGGTGAAATAAATTAATTAATTCGAGACCCTTTAAACAAATTTATTTTCCAATGCACAAGTTTTCCTCATTCTTTATAATGTTACAAAACAAGGAACCAGATCAGAGCTTATTGGTGTGTGTAGAACCGATCCTGATTTGATAAGCTTAATCATATGACAAAGGTCTACTAATTATTCCCTCCTCTCTCTCAAAAGACACCCAGAAAGGTTTTTGAAAGTCTCTGCCTTTTTCCTAAAGTTTGATTACTACTTCAAAAGACTCAGGTCACCTCTTGCCTTTTCTGTATGTACATCTTCAAGAGCATAAAAATATTAAATAAAAAAAACTTTCCCAACTTCAAACCTATCAAATGTTTAACAGCTGAAGGATATCATCTTTAGGAGGCAGGCCAAAATGTCAATAAAAAATTTAATTGTTTCTGAAACATATGTGAGCACTTACAAGACCCAAAATGTGATACTAAGTATTGATATTAAGAGGAAACCTTACAATATACTTTCATATTTGCTGGTCAAGACCTTATACCCCCAAAATGTTCCAGAAACCACAGAAATTTTTATTCTTCCTGACAGGGTTTCTAAAACTAGCTTGAGCAACAGGTTGGTGGCCAAAGGGGTCACCTGTATTTTGTGTAAGGAGAAATTAGTGTTGAACTTCTATATCTTTGTCACTTGTTTTCTGTATAAAACTGTGATATCTGTAGTAGCAAATAATATTTCATTGTGGAATGGGGAGATGGTATACATTGGTGTGGCCATTTTTGTTAACAGCAAACACCGACTGCCTTCCAAAATGTTTCTTCCAAGTATTCTTCCTGACCTATTGGGAAGTGACACTGGTAGTGTTATTTCCATAGTTGGCTGTGACAAACAAGAATGATATGTGACCTAAAATGAACTCCAAAATATAGGTAGAGTCTTCTGGTAGCCACTTCTTCTATTCATAAGCTACAGTTTCGTTTTTACATGTAGCTTCCAGAAGACGTTTGATTTTATAAATATGCCACTCAAACTTCAACTGTTGAATTTCAGGTTAGTTGGCCGGTCAGGTCAGGTACTGCTTTGGGACCGTTCTTCTGATAAACTCTGACAACCGGTTTGACTTTATTGTCGTTATTTCCGATTTTCACTGAGGTTGTCTTCACAAGGCTTTCAGAAGTTGCTTTGGCTGCCTCTTTCTCCCTCCTAAGACAAGTGGTTTCCAATGCCAACTTTCACCTGATGGTGATTTCCATACCTTCTTTGTTTGGTTATTAATAGGCCTCCAACATTGGAATAAAATTTCTATTTCTCCTAGTGTTTAGATTCATTTAATTTAACTATTTAATTTACATGAAGGACTCGAAGCCCAATATGTTTGAGACATTTGCCCAAGAATAATTTGGCCTAGTCTAGCATTCTTTTCTCTACTTGGAACCATGATTTTTGTACTTTAAGTACGATAGTAAAATCTAAAATTGGCCTGGGTACCAGAACTACTCATTTTCTTCAGCTGAACAAGGATTCCCCAAGGCTCAGTATCATTTTCTTTTACTGCAAAGTTTTAGATAAACAAAGCAGATAACAAGAACACGACTGTCTCTTAAATAATGAGACTGGACACTACTCTATGTATAGACTTAACACCTGGTAAGTTGTAAAGGCCAAGTTATAGGAATAAGAATTACTATTTGGCTATTATATCATTTTGCTTCCTGACTGAAAATAAGTGTCTTTATTTAAATTAAAAATTCTAATAGTAGTATTTTGAATACATGTAACTTTCTAAATACTTCTGATTTCATTTTGATTTTTACCATTTCTGATACAAAGCCTTGCTTGTGGAAAAATGCCCTGAGACCGTTATTTTTGCCTTTTATAAGGATAATTACCACTAACAATACTCATATGAATTCAAGACTGATGGAAAAGGAAAGATAATTTTTTTTTTTTTTTTTTTTTTTTTTTTTTTTTTGAGACGGAGTCTCGCTCTGTCGTCCAGGCTGGAGTGCAGTGGCGCGATCTCGGCTCACTGCAAGCTCTGCCTCCCGGGTTCACGCCATTCTCCTGCCTCAGCGTCCCTAATAGCTGGGACTACAGGCGCCCGCCACCACACCTGGCTAATTTTTTGTATTTTTAGTAGAGATGGGGTTTCACCGTGTTAGCCAGGATGGTCTTGATCTCCTGACCTCGTGATCTGCCCACCTCGGCCTCCCAAAGTGCTGGGATTACAGGCGTGAGCCACCGTGCCCGGCCGGAAAGATAATTTAACTAGCCTGTGCAGAACTGTTTGTTGGTCAGAAAAACCAGGAGTGCAGTTTGCCCCATGGAGTGATTACAGATGAGGCAGAACCAAAGGAGAGTGATCATGAGTGGTTTTTCCTACTCTGTGCAGATGATCCCAGAGGTCTTTTCAATCTGTGATCTGTGGTGCCATTCTTATATCTGACATGCTCTCCTAGTGGGTTTTCATGAGTTATTGATGTAAAGAACAACCTGTAACCAGAGTGTAGGTAGCACAATTCATAAATATAACAACCTACGTAAAAAGTATGTGGACTTACACAAACGTACAGCCACAGGTGACTCTCATTTATTCCTGTAAATCATGTACTCAGTTATCTGGCTGTACAAATAGAGTTAAAATTGTAGATCAGCAAGAAGTAATGTCGAAATGTTCATTCTTCCTCAAGCACTTTTCTTCAAGTGACAGGCTGCATGGCTGGCCACTATGACACTGCCTTCAGTTGAACAAATGAAAGATTATTCAGTCAGCAAACATTTCTTGGAGTTCTGATTACGATCTAAGGACTATGCATAAGTGACCATGTTATGCTCATGACAGTGAAGGAAGAAGCCTCTAATCGCAGAAGCATGGTCTCACTTGTGTATGTTTAGCTACATGTGCACTGGAGGTCCTTGCGGTGGCTACCACACCCCAGTTTTCTTTGATATTTTGAGGTGGTGCAGAAAATTAGAGACCCCTTACCTGTGGGAGAATAGGAGTGGAGAGGGAAAATAAGTTCCTCTGCATTAAGCATTCTGAGAGTATAAACTTTAGAACAGAACTAATGGAAGTGAGCCCAAGAACTTTCTCTTTTGCATTTGCTATTTTATCTTTTCATCAATCTGTAGGAAAAATTAAGTGATTAGTAGTCACTTATTAGACTATATGTTTTTGGTATACAGATGCCTGTCCAGCTTAGTGATGTGTAATTCTAACACTTTGCTTTGTGCCTGGCACATGACATTTTTGTTAATTTGAACTAAATATACTAATTATCAACATTATACCAATAGGAAAACCTGGGCAGAAATGACTGAAAAATGACAATACTGACAGTCCCATTCTATCATGGGCAGGGGGGCGGGGTAGGAGGATTAATACTCTTATCTTTCATTTTTAGAATAAAAGCCCAGGTAAGCAAAAAGATGTTCAAAAACATTTATTGAAACATTATGATTCAGACACTTATTTTAAATGTTTTAAATTTAAAATAGCTGTGGAGCCCATAGTTGCTATTTGCTTATATGAGCTCCCTGTCTAAATAGTAAAGGGAGCCCTTTTTTTCAGGGCTTATATCTTATTGTGCAGAGTGGGACTTATTTCAGGCCCCTTTGCACTGTGGACCAAGTGCCCTTGTTCAGTGACCATCCCTCACAACCATATGTGGCAGCCATAGTATTCTGAAAGTAATAAGTATTAAGTCTAATAAGAAATTTGGCTAGCATATTAGTGTGTTGTAATGTCTGTGAAATCAACTCCATTTGTTTCGTGTGAGAGCTCCACATATACTGTCCACATGTGATTCTTGTCCAAACTGGAGCAGCCTGTCCAGAAGGGTCTGTCTTTTCTCCTGATTCGGCCAATTAGGGCTCTATTTTCATATATTCCTGTGCAATAAACAGCTCCACATTGTTCTTTCACCTTCTAAAACAGCATAATCACTGATGATTAAACAGTACATGCCAATCAGTATCTGCTGAGAAACTGAAACTTCAAGTTACTTTTTTACTGCACATATCCACACATTATTCCAAACCCAAGAGTGGTGGTTTAGAGACTCAAATGTAATTGATTGTGAATTGAAAAGAGGCATTCTAAAAAGATTTTACCATTTGTGTGATTAGTATGAATGGAGAAAGTTGCTTCTCCACCCCCATTCTTCTCCTGCCTTCCCCTTCACTCCAGGGATGCGGTGAACTTGTGTAATTTAAGGCAGGTGGTCCACATAGTAGGCTGACCACAGAGGATGAAAGAGTGTGCATTTGATACCCTGACTGCTGCTCTTTAATAGACTTTAAATATACTCTGACTATTATTTGGCTTTGGCTATTACATTTATTTTCACTTTCTTTCAAAGGCTTTTCTCTTTCATTTCATCATTTTTCCACATACTGAAATGTAACCCTGGTCCAATGGCACCAAATGGAGGATTTATCTATATTGTCGTCAAACTAAATGCAAACGAAAAATCAAAGGAGAGCAGAGGGCACCACTGTATTGGTCTCTTGAATGCTGAAAGAAAATGTGTGCATTTTTCTCTGCCTAGGTAGTAGCAACACTTTATTTTTACATAAAGCCTTTCATCTGAGAATCTCAAAGGCCTTCAAGATGTCATTTGGGTCTGGCATTCTTCAATTGGCTGCCTTTTGTCTCTTTCAGTAAGGAAATATTGCTGTTGGATGTAGTTTTATAACTGAGCTTGCACTTGGGTCTGCACATTCAAAGGTCCAAGGGCATTGGGTGTTTCTTTTTTTTTTTTTTTTTTTTTGAGACGGAGTCTCGCTCTGTCGCCCAGGCTGGAGTGCAGTGGCGCGATCTCGGCTCACTGCAAGCTCCGCCTCCCAGGTTCACGCCATTCTCCTGCCTCAGCCTCCCGAATAGCTGGGACTACAGGCTCCCGCCAACACGCCCGGCTAATTTTTTGTATTTTTAGTAGAGACGGGGTTTCACCGTGTTAGCCAGGATGGTCTCGATCTCCTGACCTCGTGATCCGCCCGCCTCGGCCTCCCAAAGTGCTGGGATTACAGGCGTGAGCCACCGCGCCCGGCCGGGTGTTTCTTGAATGGATCAAATAAATGACCAGTTACGACATACTCAAAACAACCCCAAGAGGAAGATGAGTGGCAAAGGTGATTACTGAATTTGCAGGTGGAGCAGTTGTGACACAGCAGGGTTAAGTGACTCACCTGAGGGCACACAGTGGAGTCTTTGTTACTGCTGGAAACAGAAGCCCATGTACCATTCACATGGCTGTGCTTCTGTGACATAAAACACTTATCTGCTCCTTCTTTCAAAAGGAAAATCTGGAAGAAAAGGCACTCTTATGCATATAAGAAAAAGATTCCAATGCAAGGGAGAAAAGAGTAATAACTTTGGAAATGTCAAAGATAAAGAAACCTGTGGACCTTGCTTTTCCAGAAAAGCACACAGCTTCTAGTGAAATTATTGCATATAAATATAAAAAGAATATTGCTTGCACATAGAAAGTGGCAGTGTGATTTTTAAAGTTTACTTCCTTATAAGTACAAAAGCATGTGTTGATCTCAGCTAGGAAGCAAAGGCATAATGCTATATGTTATATACATATACACACATACATACATGTGTATAACTATACATACACATTTATAGCTGGATATATATGTATACTTTTAAGCCACTTGCACATTTTCAAACTTAAAGGCATTTTTCTTTTCTATCTT
The DNA here is from genome assembly GCF_000001405.40 of Homo sapiens. Classification (NCBI taxonomy): domain Eukaryota; kingdom Metazoa; phylum Chordata; class Mammalia; order Primates; family Hominidae; genus Homo; species Homo sapiens. The sequence continues at coordinate 19,100,181 of NC_000007.14, read as the reverse complement.
ATTTATAGCTATTTTATTCTGTCCTGGAATTTTGTTTTGGCTCATTATCTACAAGCATAGGCATCTGCTTCAAGATCGTAGTTATTAGTCTGAAGAGCTTCGAATTAAATGTAGATTATGCCTCCTTGGCATCATTATACAATTTACTATTAACTCTGTGTGACAGTTTTGACTGTGTTATTCCACTTAACATTTATGTTTTAATATCCTCTTGAGACACCATTTCACAATTTACATTTACTTTTAAAGCCCATTGTCAAGTTTGGGCAGGAATCTCAACTCTGCTTTCAGATGTAAAACAACTTGAGTATTTTATTCCAACGAGGGAGCAGATAGAAGTACTATGTATATAATTTTAGCAGAGAGGATGTCATAAAAAAGAAGACTATAGTTTGTATTCGAGAATAATTATACATTTGAAACAAAACAATTTATTAAATAAAAGTTTATTTTAGTTTCCCTTTCTTTTACTTTATATTCAAGGTGAGTTTTTAAATTGCAACCTGTCTTTCATAGTGAAAGATTCTTACACAAAGCCAGAAACGTTCTGGAATCATTCTAATATCATACATACTAAAGCTGACCTTAGTCCATCTTACTTGTAATTGTTTACGTAAAAAAAAAAAAAAAAAAATCCTAGATCTATGTCCTCTAATTTTCTAAGCTTAGAAATTCTCAGATCCAAGCTATGTAATTTAGAAAGTTTAGAAAAAGCTGTTCCATATATAACATTGGTTTTACCATATCGGGGTAGAAATCTTGACGTGATATGCCCATTTCTTTATCTGTGCATACCATCTAGGTTCTCAGCTTAGTTTTGATCTGCTCCAGAAGAAATATGCACAAACAAGCAGGAGTAATGATTTTTTAAAAAAGTTAAAAACTTATTTATGTTATTTCACCTGAATTTGAGAGTCTAGAATCTGCACTACATTTTGTCATTATTAGTCTCTCTTGTCCATGAAATCTCTGCTGCTTTGTGCTGTCTTTGGCGAAGTTTGAGAGAGGTAAAAGTTTAGCAACATAAAACAATGTTTTAAGAATGTTTCTGCTTCATGATTGCTTTATGAGCAATATGCATTTTGCTCTTCTTTTTCTTATATACAGTAATCAGACCATTAATATTGCCCTTCTCCTTGGCATATGTGTCTTTATTTTGAGGTTATGAGGTTTCTTTTTCTTATATACAGTAATCAAACCATTAATGTTGCCCTTCTCATTGGCATATGTATCTTTATTTTGAGGTTATGAGGTCTTCTTGCATTGTTAATTTTGCCCTAAATGAAAGTACTCTTTCTGATGTGTAGTTGGATTAGCTTGGGGTATAAATGGAAAAAGAAAGAGTCTAAGCTCTGCCAATTATTAGCTGTGTTCCTCAGCCACTTAAATGAATTTATCTGAGCATCTAGGTGTCTATAGTTGTATAGCAAAATGGATGTATCCCCAGCACTATCATTCTGGTAATTGAATATGTCAGACAATGCCTCAGTAAAATACAATTTTCAATTACTGCTCTAAATCATTTATGCTGTAGTGTTCCATTATTTGAATGATAAGCTTGTGGGAGTTATTTGTATCCTACTGCTCAAGGTCATCGCCAAGGTCTGATTTTTCACAAAAAATTTGCAACCTCCATCATAAATGGGTTAAGTTGTCAAGAAATGTTTTCTGTCAGATGCAAAATTTTAAATCTATAGAATCTTTTAAAATGTTATGTTTTTAAAAATCATAACTAAAGCCTGCAAAGTGAAGCATTATTTTAAAAATTCAAAAATTATTTTTGAATCTCAAATTACTATAGTGCAAAAACAAAAAGAAAAACTTGAGATCCAAGAGCAAAAACAAAAACAGTGATCAACTAATAACATGTTCTTGCTATCAGAAGTCATTTGCTAATAGTTTTACTTCACTATTTTCTTGTTAAAGAAAGTGTTTGTTAGTAATTCACTGAATCAAAAATTAAGAGTCTACCATAAGTCATTCATAAGGTATCTTTACTAGTCAATATTAGTCTTATTCAACAGCTCGTAGCTATGTTATATGCCTATGAGAGACAATGAGTGTGTATGCTTATGTAATGATTAGCACTCTTGCTACTGATGATGGAAATAATAGATACAGGAACGAATATTGGCAAGAAGTCTTTAAAATATCAGTTCAAAATTCTGCATCAAAATTTTCTTTTTCACCTATGATCTTAAAGTAAGGTTTAGAATTTGAAACTTTTCTTAGGATCTACGCTCTGGAGTATTTCTGTTTCTTGTTTTGTTTTGTGGTCACTAACCACAGAGAAATTTGTCTTTTTTACATACGCTGGAAATAATTTACTGCTTTTAGAAATATTAAACCACAGTAAAAAGCCAATACTAAAGAAACATTATGGGTCTGCCGAATCCCTCAAAAAGCCAGGAAATTGAGAGTTAATGCAGAAGCTCTGATCTGGCTCTGTGTCCTAGGGGCTTTAGAACTCTGAAGTATGACAGGTAGTACCCAGCCCACATATGTGCAAAAATTAAGACAAAAACAAAAACTATTTCGGCAGGATGTGTGGTAGAGGGCATGCGTAGTTAGTGCAAATTATCTGAGACACTAACATTTACACTTACTTGATATAAAATAATGCTTTTCATAAACACCAATTCTTGTCTAACACTTAGATAAAAATTATAAATTCAAAGGCTTCCAATGTGACAATGTAGATTGTGATCTGTGGTATAGATATACTTAATGGTGTAGACTTAACAAATATGAAATTCTCAAAGTTTTAGGAGTAATATTCACTTGTATTATCTCTGCATGTGGTTTACAGTAGAAGCGATGCTTCTAATCTATTCTGCTAATCTCACTTAAGAAACCAGAAATTCAGGCTGTTCCCACAGATTCGGTCTTGAAAATAAAGTCTCATTTATGTACACGGCACAAAAGCAAAAGTTCAATGTTTGTAGACTACGCTTTTTAAGTGTTATTTTCCAAACATTATTTTACATATATATATATATACAAATTGAAATTTATAAATTACTCAATAAAGCAAATTTCAATTGACAAAAACATTTAATCTGATTAGCTATTATATTGTATTGAATTTATTTAAATTACATAACACTTTTCCTCAAGACCTTATAGTTACCTGTTTTCATTTTAATATTTAATTATTACATAATACACAAATGATACTTGGGATTTTTAATAACAAGGTTTATATCGAAAGTGGTTTTATTTTTAAAGAAATTATTCAACACATAATTTATTATAATAAAGCTTAGTTTATATCAAAATATTTTCTTGAATTGAGCACAATGCTTTAAATGTTTTAAATCTATAAAAATAGAAAGACTGACAATCCTTAAGTTACAGATATACTCCTGATAATATTATTCAAAGTGCATTGTCTCATAATGGATAGGATATAGTATACTTTAAACATATTTCCCTTGAGCTGAAGTTTTGTCCGAATAATTAAACAATGATAATTAATCTATGAATAATGTATTGCTTCACTTACAGCCATATTATTTGCTTTCTTTGTAAATGAAAGAGAAAGGTAGTAATATACAAATGTGTGAGTTATTTAAAGTAAGCATGTTTGGAATCAGAAAGCTGAAGATGAATTGGCATAAAGCAGAGAGCATAGACTGCTTCTAATTTTAAAGGAAAAAGTATTTTTTGTTGTTTTTGACATAGACTTTACCTCCCCAAAAGCAATTTTTGTTTTTAAAAAAAGCTCTGTTTTGAAAGAAATTTTATCCTAAAAATTAGGCATGATAGATGATGTATTTAAGAAACAGTTATTATTCAACATAGAATTAAATTGGTTGAAAACTGATAATTTGCCTGTTTGTGCTAGTGATTTCAGTAAATACTGGTACAATAACAAGTATATAGTGAGAAATATTTAACAACCCATTAAGCTAGGAGTTAAAATATTTTTATAGTTTGGAAAGGATTAATTGCTGCATTCCAGAAATACTTTCTATACTTACTGAATTTTTATATATTAGTTTAGATCTAAATTATTGTTTTCTACACTTCAACATAGAAACGTTTAAAACGTATTGTTGAATGAAGGTTATACAATGAAGTATTTCCAGATTCAGGAATACAATTATAATTTTTCACATTACATATTACAAATTAGAGATTTTATTGGGTTGCAGTTTTGTGTCAATAAATGAATTTATTAATCCTACTATTTAACATATTTTCCCCATAAACATGGGAAGCACATTACCAGGGAGAAAAATGAGTACGTGAACAAAAATTGTCATTAACACACTTCTGAAAATTAAACTTTGTAAGTTTAAAAATCACAGCTTCACAAATAAGAGACAGTTTGCCTTTCTACTCTGGGCTGAAAGAAGGATATTTGACACATTTACATAGCAAACTTAGTCAATGTTTGGAAATCCTTTGTAGTGGCCAAAAGCTATGCATTTCCTTCTGTTGACCTGATTTTTTTCCCTTCCAATAAAGTAAATTAATAGAAGATGCATCAAACAGGATTATTGCAGATGTGCACATACTGCAGTACTAATTGCTCTTTTATTTTTACAATCCAATCCTGCACGTGCTTTAATTTATATTTGCCTGAGTTAGTTTTTTAGTGAATTAGCAGTATCTGCCACACACTGAATAGTAATGTGCTTGCATCACGCGATTATCTCAGATACATTATTGTCTAGAATCCATGATCCTAATTTCCTTACCACCCACGCCCATCCCTTTACTCTGTTTGGAAGGCTGATTTGTGTTAAGAGGGACCACCAAGCTATTAACCCTAGGACACAACTAGCATTGTGCATAGAGAGTAGGGCGTATGATCATATCCCATTTTAACTCTTCCACCAGCATTATCCTTGTTTCCCCCAATGCTTTCACGAGGTAATAACTCCAAATGCCTTGCATGGAAATGATAAACTGCCTGTTGTGCCTTTTCTTTGAAGGAGTTCTCCTGCAGAGTATCATATTTAAATAAATTGCCATTGAGTTTAGCAAGCAGCACAATCATGCCCATTGAGGTAGATTCTTTTGATCATATTTTGTAATGCAATCAAGGATCACATGAGGATGCTCAAACGGGCCAGCCTTGCTGTGTGCTAAATAGGGAACAGGAGAAAGAGAACATTAATTGCCCTGAATCCCAAGGACATAACAAAGCACACCTGTGTTCCATGTCCCACAGACCCTAAGGCAGTGGGTACATAGGCAACCAAAGTAATTCTTTTCACGTGATTGATTAGTAATTTTAATAAAACTATTAGATTTTTTAAAAGAAATAGCTGATATCTTCAGATTTTCAAAAAATCTCAAATGTGAGCACATAAGCACAGCATTTTTGTACTTTTATGTAAGGGAATGTACTGGATGGCATCCAGAGACCTAGGCTTCTGGTCTGCCTATTGGTTGAGCTGGTTAATGTCCCTGCCACTGATCTCCCCTTCCTTCACACCCTATGTACAAGAACAATAACTGCCCACTTACTGGCACAGTTCTTTTGAGTATTGCAGGAGACCATGATTAAGAAGAATTTTAGTAATAAAGTACCTTACAAATGTATTTTTCTAATAGCTGTGTGGATATATGTGTGGCACAGACTATATATGAAGTGTTCCATTCCCATTAACTCTTTGCAAACATTTTTGCAGTGTGAATCTTTCTGAAAAAATGAAGGGCTTGGGGCCTTTCATCTACCAAAAATATCAGTCTACTAGCAAGGAATTGCCTACTGAAAAATTAATTGAGGAAATCTGGGGACACTATTGAACTTCAGCAGATGGACTTAAAAAGAGGCAGCAGATGTGGAAGTGGGGGCTTGTAAAGAATTTCCTGCTTTACTGGTCCAGCATTCCAACTTTCTGTTAAACTCTGAAATGTGAATGAGAAAGAACTAACCCATACCATCCCAAATCATTTCCTGCCGACAGCTACTGTTTAGTAACCTGTTACCCTGTCCACCCCCTGCCTTTGATGGTGCAAGAAAGATAAGTGAGAGAGAAAAACTAAAAATTGAGAAAGTAAGAAACAGTTTTTTTCTATCCCTACCAAGATCATTTTAGTGGAAATGTAATTTGTTTTTCAGAATGGTTCAACTTAGAATAGAGAATTGTATAGTGGAAAGAATATTGCTCTTTCATAAAGAAGAAATGTGGAGGTCCAGTCATAGTCTAATACCTTACCTTTGTGCCAAAACGGAAGCAGCCAAAAATATTAGGGGTGGGAAAGGCACACCTTTGTTCCTAGAGGGTGGTGACTGAGGTTCTTTCATAAATGTTAAACAATGTTTATAATTCTATATTCTTATTATGAGCTAAAGTCAAATAACCTGAAAAATAAATTACTGGGAAGACAAACGGGCTGAATGGCTTTTATATGACTTTGGAGTCTGAATTAATTACCTAGAGCTGCTATAACAGAGGACCACAAACTGCATGGCTTAAACAACAATAATTTATCTCACAATTCTGGAGGCTGGAAATTTGTGAGCATGGTGTCTGCAGGGTTGGTTTCTTCTGAAGACTCTCCTTGGCTTGCAGAATTTCACCTCCCCGTGTCTTCACATGGCCTTCCCTCTGTGTCGGCCTCCTAATCTCCTTTTCTTATGAGGACACCAGTCATATTAAATGACGGCCTGCCCTAATGACCTCATTTAACTGTATTTACCTTTTTAAAGATTCTATCTCCAAATATAGTCACATTGTGAGGTACTACTGGGGATGAAGAGTTTCACATATGCATTTTTAGGGAACACAATTGGCCCCACAACAGAGTCCTTTTTTTCTGTCCAAGCAGTATTGAAAAGATGCTGCCTCAAGTACCCTAGGGGTAAAATTTCTTCCCTCAATTCCTACTGATATTATAGAAAACTTACAATGTATTTTACGGTCCTGACAATTACAGGTGGGATTCATAGGAGATATATTGACGTGACTTTTGGATTCTAAACAGTGCTGAGATAATTAAGCAGAATCTGAATTAAGATTGGAAGTGGCCACCCAGGATATGATAACAGTTAAATAATCTAGAAACTACTTTTTTAATTGCGTTAGGAGAGAGCAAGTATTCTCATGGCTGTTCTTTCTCACATAGATTCACATAAACCATCCACAACCCATCCATAAACCTGCCTTATGTTTCCCCATAGCCTTTGTTTCTCACCTTTCCAACCAAGTAGCTCTGGCCCTCTCACTCCCACCTTATCCTATAAATGTAAACTTTATAGGGACAGGGCATTGTGTTTTTCAGTCACCTCTGTAATGTCAATGTTAAGCATGCAGTGAAAGCTACATACATATTTGATAAATAAGTATTAAGGTTGTTGTTTTATATAAGAGGCTAAAGTTTGGACACCAAATTCCTCTTTATTTCATCTTGTACTTTGCCGATCACAGGAGCAATAAGAATATCAGGGTTTCTTACGAGTCCAACATGTTTAGTAAAGCTAAAGCACTTAAATGAAGCTAAAGCATGGAAACTATGGTAGAAGTTGCAGTCAGATCAAAGAACATCTTGGTAGCAGCCATACCTGCGAGCCAATTGGCTCATCAGATTAAGAATCAGATGTTTATAATGGGAATTAGTACTAGTAACTAGGCATATATATGCGTTATCTCTAATCCTTAAAGTAACTCATAGTGTAATATATATAACCTCCATTTCACAAATAAGGTAGTGAAGTTCAGAGAGGTTTGAATAACTTATCCAGGAGTCCACAGTCATTTAACTGACAGACCCATGAGTTCTATTTAAGTCTCTCAGGTTCCAAACACCATGACTTTACCTCTTACTCAACGTTGTATCTCTCTAGTCAAAATGACCCCCCTAGTGGGGCTGGGGAGATCTAGCCAATTACAACCTAATAATATTTTTATATATTCTGCTTAAAAATTTTTCCAAATACTATTTTTCTTGTTAGTAAAGTTGAACAAACTATTGACTTCTTGTTGTAAATACAACATGTGTAATTAAAAGCTGGGTGGTATTTTCCGAAAAGAAAGGAGAATGATTTGTCTGTGCTCGACTGGTTTTCTCATAACTTGACTTCAACTAACCTTATTAATCAGGACAATGAAGAAAAATTCACAAGGCTCATGAGTCAGCCCATTTTAGATTCTCAGTGTCAGCATATGGTCTCAAAGCCCAAATGCGTTATTTTCACACGGTGCATCTTTGACTGTTTATTACAGGGGAGGTAGAAGAAGAGGAAAGCATTCTTTTTTGTTATACATTTAGGAACACAGTTAAATGTCTTTATCCCCAAAGGCAACTTGGCAGTTTTGGGCTTGGTGCCCACATTGTTAAAGCTGCGTTTGTTCTCAAGCCCCTAGAAGGACTTTTTAATATTTTAAATATTCTAGTTTCTTCATGTCCCCTCCCTATCCTCCAGAGGAATTGTTTAAATCATATGATTGATCTATTTTTAAGCAGCAATTCTGTCACGACTGTTCAGCAGGGAGACTTGTTTTCTTTTAACTTTATGGTACTTTATATAGGACCTCTTAGTCATGTTCATAGAATATCAATCAATCTGTAATCCCAGTCTCATGGGTTTTTTTAATGCTTTATGAATTAAACATTGTATTGTATGCATATGACTGAAAACCCTTCTTTTCAACCACAGGAATAATAAGTTCTAAATATAAATTAAGTAAAAATTTCCCCTCCTTATTTAATTCTAGTGATTTAATTTTAATACGGGATAGGAAGAAATGTATTTGGATTTCATGATTCTTATTGTACATAGAAGATTTTAAATTAAATGGTTGGTGACTTGAACTAATATGCAGGCCATGTGTTTTGTTCACTTACCCAAGACCCCCATTTACTGCTACACATAGGTGAGGCCATTGGCATCCAAGGTCAGTGCTTTTGATTCAAATCTCCCTTGTGCCAGCTCAGCAATGTGATACTGTGCAAGGTGCCCAATCTCTGTATACCGGTCTCACATTTGCTAAGTGATGTTACCTATCCATAAACGTGTGTCGGTTAAATGAGATTATCTATGTAAAAGATTTAGACTAGCATCTGGCACTTCATACTTCCTAAAAACTACTCAATCTTGTTATAATTGTGGTCATTATTATCATAGAAAACATGAAAATATCACCCTTTGCTTTTGTGGAAAAGAAGAAAAGCTAATTTCTCTGACCTTTTCTCCTCCTTTCCAATTCTGTGCCTGTTGAAAACAGATTTTCTCAGCTTTCTGTCTGATGCCAGCATGGCTGCGGTAAAACTAAGAGCACCAACTCACTACCTCAAATCTGAATTTGTTGCTAGCATTGGGGACACTTAAGTTCTTTCCAAGCTACAGTGAAAAGTGCAAAAGAGTGTGTGTGTGTCTGTGTGTGTGTGTGTGTGTGTGTGTGTGTGTTAGAGAGAGAGAGATGAGGGTTTGGAGGCTGGACTCCTAAATAATATTATTTCGGTGGGATAAATTGTTTTCATCTTCAGCTCCTCCCTTTCTCTTGGTAAATCTAATTTACTTGCAGTGACTCACTGCAAGTGCAGCTGGAATAAGGATGGCTCTTCCCCAGCAATGAGAAGGGTTTTAAAGCTGTTTCTGTCTTAAAAATAATAGGTGGGTTTCTATTGGGTCGGAAGAAGGTGTAGGCACTAACAAGTTAATATCTGATTTAATATTAAAATGAAATATCTTGGCACATTTTTGCAAAAATTTTGGGATTATTGCCACTAGGTATAGACATGGAGGAATGGAAAAATAGAAAGATGTGAAATAGATCTTGTATGTCACTCTTTGCAAGCCATGACACTTCCTTTGGCAATAGTCCTGCTACTTGTGTGCATTGAAACCAAACAATCAACAACCAGAAAAACCTAGAAAACATAGTAAACTTCTTAGGGTGAGGACAGTTAGCACATAATTTAATGTCTTGGGGGCAATACCATGCTTGCTACTCCAACAAATGGCACATGTTCCGTGCTGTCAGCCTTGAGGATTTGAAGCTGCCAGTGTCTCCTAAATAATTGTGAGTCAGTGTCTCTGCAGCACTTCAATTCTACAATTAAATATCTGATAAATAGCCATACTATCTCTTTTCTCTTCCCCACTATCCCCCTTTCACAGAAAATTTCACTTTTATTCTTCTTTCACAGACATAACTTGCATAGGAGAGCTAGCAGAAAGTCACTGCATGAGAGTAAGTCAGGGGAAGCCCTCGCCAGGACTGTTCTTCCTGCCTCTTCTTGGCAGTACCCGCACAGCACCCCTCCTCATTTCCACTAATGTGTCAGCCACAGGAATAAGAACTTCTGCAAAGCACGTTTTAGGCTTTGCTATGTATTAATTTATATACAGCTATGTATTAATTTATATATGTCTAAAAACTCTGGGCTTTTGAATTTGCTATCTTGCTCATCAGTGTCACATGAAATCTACTTTATCATTCAAATTAGAGGAAATAATATGTTCTGCATTTTTACAAAATGTAAGACTCCCTCACAGTTCCTGAGATCTGAGTTTGGAACTGGAAATGGACCTTCCCAGAGCTAAGTTAAGTCTAATGTTGTCAAGCACAGCATCACGGTTCAGAGGGAAAAGAGAAAAGCATCTAACCAAGGTTCACTAAGTAAAAAATTTATCAGTTCCCTTAGTCAGCAAATGCTGCCTCAGAAGCCACGCTAATGAATTGCATGTTAATGAATCAGAAACAGAGGTGTAATTAACACAAGACTTCAAAGGGAAAAAAATACTTGGTCATATGCTTTTTCAAATTTTGTAAATATTGTTCAGTTCTACAACTGATATGTTAAAAAGCAGATTTTTTACAGCTTACTCAGGCATAGTACACATAGCATACAGTTCACCCATTTAAAGCATACAAACCAATGATTTTTAATATATTTACAGTGCAAAAACCAATACAGTACATTTTATAACATTTTTGTTATTTCAAAAATAAACTGATACTACTTAACTGTCACCTTTCTATGCTCCTATCCCCAACTCTTCCTAAACAATCACTAATCTACTTTTTATCTTTGTTGATCTGCCTATTTTGGACATTTTATATAAATGGAATTACACAACAGGTGGTCTTTTGTGACTTTTTTCACTTAGCCTAGTGTTTTCAAGGTTTATCAATATTGCAGCACATATCAGTGCTTCAGTTCTCTTTATGACCGTATATGAGTATACATTTTGCTTATCCATTCATCAGCTGATGGAAATTTGAGTTCTTTCCACTTTTTCACTGTTATAATTAATGCTGCTATAGACATTCATGTGCAAGTTTTAGTTTGGATGTGGGTTTTCATTCCCCCTGAGTGTATGTAGCCAGGAGTGAGTTGCTGAGCCATATGATAGCTCTATGCTTAACCATTTGAGGAACTACCAGAGTATCTTCCATAGTGAATGCACCATTTTACATTCCCACCAGTAGTGTATGAGTATTCCAATTTTTCCACATCCTTTTTAACACATGTTATCATCTGACTTTTTTATTCTAGCCATCTTAGTGGGTGAGAAGTGGAATCTTGTGGTTTCCATTTACGTTTCTCTGATGGCTAATGATGTCAAGCATCTTTTCATGTGCATCTCTCATGGCCATTAATACATCTTCTTTGGAGAGCTGCATATTTTAATCATATGTATCTTTATAAATTGGGTTATTTTTCTTCCTATTGTTGAGTTGTACGAGATATGTATGTTCTAGACAAAAGTTTGTTACTATATATATGATTTGCAGATGTTTTATCCCATTCTGTGGGTTTTCTCTTCCTTTCTTGATATTGCTCTTTAAGCACAAAAGTTTTTGATTTTGATAATGTCCAATTTATCTATTTTTCTTAATTGTTCATATTTTTGCTTTCATGTCTAAGAATTTATTGCCAAATCCAAGGTCATGAAGACTTATACCTAAGGTTTCTTCTAAGGGTCTTATACTTTTGTACTTATATTGAGGTCTTTGACTCAATTTAAGTTAATTTTGATGTATGATATGAAGTATATGCCTAACTTTATTCTTTTGCATGTGATTATCAATGTGTGCCAACACCAGTTGTCCAAATAATTATTATTTCTCCATTGAAATGACTTGGAATCCTTGTTAAAAATCAGTTGACCATAGATATGTAAGTTTAGGTTCTTAATTCTGTTCATTTGATCTATATGTCTACGTCTATCCTTATATCAGCATCATACTGTTTGATCAATGTTGCTTTCCAGTTAAGTTTTGGAATTGGGCATTGTGAGTCTTTCCAATATAATCTTTATTTCAAGACTGTTTTGTCTATACTAATCTCTTGAATTTCCACAGAGATTTTAGAATCAGCTTGCCAATTTCTACAAAGAAGTGAGCTGGAATTCCAATAGGGAGTGCAGGGAAATCTGTACATCCTTGGGCAGTATTGTCATCTTAAAAATATTAGGTCTTCCAATCCATGAATACAGTACATTTTTCCATTTACATAGATATTCTTTAATTTATTTCAACTATGTTTTGTAGTTTTCACAGTATGTCTTACTCTTCTTTTAAAATTTTTATTTCTAGTTATCTTATGTTTATGCTACTGTAAATCAAATATTTTGCTTAATTTCATTTTCATATTGTTCATCACAAGTATACAGAAAGACTGAATTTTTAATATTGATCCTGCAATCTTACAGAACTCATTTATTAGTTCTGCTAATTATTTCTAAAGTGCATTTATATTTAGACATTTTTCCAAGATCAAGGCAGAATTCAAAAATTAAAAATAAAAATTAAAATAAATTTAAAGATATGTATAGATGGCCAAGCATGGTGGCTCATGCCTGTAATCCCAGTACTTTGGGAGGCCGAGGCTGGCAGATCACTGGAGCCCAGGAGTTCAAGACCAGCTTGGCCAACATGGTGAAACCTCATCTCTACTAAAAACACAAAAATTAGCCAGGTGTGGAGGTGTGCACGTGTAGTGCCAGCTACTTGAGAGGCTGAGGTACAAGAATCACTTGAACCCAGGAGGTGGAGGCGAAAGTTGCAGTGAGCCAAGATTGTGCCAGTGCACTCTAGCTTGGGTGACAGAGTGAGACTCTGTCTCCAAAAAAAAAATGTATAGATAAGCTCTAGATGACTTTTCTTTCTTTATGTTACTTAATTGCTATGGCTAGAACTTCCAGTAGAATATGGAATAGAAGTGTGAGAGTGGACATCCTTGTCTTACTTCTGATCTTAGGTAGAAAAACCTCTAGTCTTTCACCATGAAATGTTAGCTGTGGGTTTTTTGTAGATGCCCTTTATGAGGTTGAGAAGATTACCTTCTATTCCTAGTTGGTTGAGTATATTTATTATGAAACAGTGTTGGAGTTTGTAAAATGCTTTTTCTGAGTCTATTGAGATGCTAATGTGGCTTTTGTATTTTATTCTGTTGATACGGTGTATTAACATTAATTGATTTCCAGATATTATACCAACCTTGCATTCCTGAGATATATTCCACTATTTCATTGTGTATAATCCTTTTTCCATGTTGTTGGATTTGTTGGATTCACATGGCTAGAATTTTGTTGAACATTTTTGTATCAATTTTTATGAGACATTGATCCATAGTTTTCTTTTGATGTCTTTGTCTTGTTTTGGTATCAAGATAACACTAACCTTGTAGACTGAGTTGGGAAGTATTCTTTCATCTTTAATTTTTTGAAAGAGTTTGTGAATAACTTGTATCCTTTAAATGTTTGGTAAAATTTAGCTGTGAAGCCAATGGGCCTGGGCTTTTCTTGTGGATACATTTTGGATTATGAATTCATTTTCTTTACTTCTTATAGTGCTATTCAGGTGGTATATTCTTGTGTTAATTCTAGTAGTTTGTGTTATTCTAAAAATTTGTCTTTTTTATCTATATTATTTGATATATTTGTAGATGATTCTCTTATTTATCTATTGAGAAAGGGTCTTGCTGTATCACCCTGGCTGGAGTGCAGTGGTGGGCTCACAGCTTACTGCAGCCTAAACCTCCTCAGGCAAGGTGATCCTCCCATCTTAGCCACCTGAGTAGCTGGGACCACAGGCACAAGCCACCACCCCCTGCTAATTTTTTTTTTTTTTTTTTTGGGTAGAGACAGGGTTTTGCCATGTCACCTAGGCTGGTCTTGAACTCCTGGCAGTTTGCCCATCTCAGCCTTCCAAAGTGCTGGGATTACATACAGGCATGAGCCACTGCACCTGGCCTGTATATGATTCTTTGTCATGTTCTTTATAATTAATTTTCTTTCTCTAAGGTTAGTCAATATGTCCTCTCTTTCATTTCTGATTCTATTAATTTAAGCCCCATCCATTTTTTCTTGGTCATTCTAGCTAAAGTTTCATCAGTTTTTGTTGATTCGTTCAAGAAACATTTGATTTCACTGATTCTTAGCTCTTATTTTTATATTATTGTTGTCAATTTCTGTTCTAATTTTTATTATTTCCTTTCTTCCATTTCAGGTTTACTTCGCTCTTATTTTTTTCAGCATTTTAAGGTACAAGGTTAGATTATTCATATGGTATATTTCTTTCTTTATTTAACATAGGCACATACAGGTAACTTTCCCAGTAAGTACTGCTTTAATTGTATTTTGTAAATTTTGGTATGTTGTGTTTTTATTTGTTTTCATTACAAAGTATTTTCTAATTTCCCTTTTGTTTTTTTCTTTGACTCATTAGTTATTTAGGAATATATTGTTTAATTTTCACATATTTGTGAGTTTTTTTTAAATATCTGTAATTGACTTCAATTTAATCCCATTGTGATTAGAGAACATACTTTATATTATTTCTACATTTTCAAATTTATTTTGAAAGTGTAGGTTTGTTTTATGGCCTAATGTACGTCTAACCTGAGGAGTGTTTCATGCAAATCGGCAAGAATGAATGTTCTGTCATTGTTGAGTGGAGTGGAGTGTCCTATAAATGTCTGTTAAGTCTAATTTGTTTACAGTTTTGTTTAAGTCTTCTATTTCCTTGTTGATCTTCTGCCTAGTTGTTCTATCCATTATTGAAAGTGGGGTATTGAAGTCCCCAACTGTTATTGTTGTTTTCTATTTCTCCCTTCATTTCTGTCAAGTTTTCCTTCATGTATTTTGGTACATTCATATTAGTTGTTTATAATTGTTATATCTTCCCAGTGAATTCACCCTTTTGTAATTATAAAATTTATATCTTTATCATTAATAAAACTTCCTGTTTTAAAGTTTATTTCATCTCATATTAGTATAGCCACTCCAGCTTTCTTGTGGGTGCTGTTTACATTATATATCTTTTTTCATCCTTTTACTTTCAGTCTGTTTTTATCTTTGACTCTAATGTGTATATACTGTAAACAGCATATAGTTGAATCTATCCGTTTTAAAAATCTGTCAGTTGGTTGGGATATTTAATCTATTCACATTTAATGTTATTGATACAGTTGAATTTACATCTGCCAATTAACTTTTTGTTTTCTGTATCTGTCATGTCTTTTTTGCTCTTCTATTCCTGCTTTAGGGCATATTTTTCATTAAGTGAATATATTCTAATGTAATATTTTAATTTAATACTTTTTTTCATCATATATTTTTAGAATTATTTTCTGGTGGGTTACTCTAAGGCTTATTATATATAGCTTAACTTCTCAGAATCAGCTTTAGATTTATGCTAACCCAATCCATTAATACATAGAAAAGTTACTGTTATACAGCTGTATTCTCTTTTTCCCTCTTTGTGCTATTATTATTTTACATATTACATCTATAAATATTGCAAACTCAACAATCCATTATTATAATTATTATTTTATATGTTATAATTTTTAAATACTGTGAGAGAAGAAAGGATAGCAAGTATGTATTTACAGCTTTTGTTATTTAAATCTTATTTATTATTTCTGGTCCTCTTTATTTGTTCCTGTAGGTTAGAGTTATTATCTAGAGTCATTCCAATACATCTTTGTTTCCACCCATCTCCTTTGTGCTGTCAGGGTTAAATATATTATCTTTCTTTATGTTATAGACCCAATAATACACTATATATACACACACACACACATACACGCGTATATAGTTTTATGCAAATTTATTTAAATCATTTAAAAGAACTAAGGAGAAATATTTATTTATACTTTATTTAATAATTACAAAATTACCTTTACTGGCACTGTTTTTTCATGTGGACTCAAATTATCACCTGGAGTCACATCCTATCAGCCTGAAGAAACTTCTTTAGTATTTCTAGTGAAAGGGAGATTTGCTAGTCAAAAATTCTCTCAATTTTTTTTATCTGTGAATATCTCTATTTCATCATGTATTTTATCCCACTACTTTTCAGCTTCTTTTTTTTTTTTTTTTTTGAGATGGAGTCTAGCTCTGTCACCAGGCTTGAATACAGTGGCGCGATCTTGGCTGACTGCAACTTCCGCCTTCCAGGTTCAAGGGATTCTCTTGCCTCAGCCTCCCGAGTAGTTGGGACTACAGGTGGCCACCACCATGCCCAGTTAATTTTTGTATTTTTAGTAGAGACAGTTTCACCGTGTTGGCCAGGATGGTCTCAGTCTCTTGACCTTGTGATCTACCGACCTTGGCCTCCCAAAGTGCTGGGTCTAGTCTATTTTTTTTTTTTTTTTTTAATGAGAATTCAGATGTTAATCTTACTGGGTTTTCCTTATAAGTGACATACTTTTTTTTCCTCTTGACGTTTTTAAGATTTTCTTTTTGTCTTTGGCATTCAGCATTTTTTCACCTGTATGTTGAAAAGTTTTTTTTTAACATTTTTATGTTTTTCTTTTTAATAATTGGACTCAGCCTAATGCACCCCATGTTTATCCATTTTGGGGAAGTAAAACAACATGTATTAATGAATATTCTCCCAAATGTTTAATATGGCAAAGCTTTACTCAAATAATAAAAGCATTAAGTTTTCTCTGAGTTTTTGTTCTTATAAAACACATTTGAATAAAATGCATAACTTTGTAAACTCATGAGGTACCTTAAGAGTATCCCCAGAAATAGGCCAGTGCACAGTGGGCAGGAAGCCAGGGCTGACTCTTGAAATAAAACTGACACTCTTGAAATCCCTTTTAGGGTCCCGTTCTTGAAAAACATCCCCTTTATACACAGTTGCTTTGTGTTCTCCCAGCAATGGTGCATCCCTTGGGCCTATGTTATTGTATTATATTTATTTTTCCCATCCCACATATTTGTGAGTTCTTTGGAAGTGGGTGCTTTGACAAGATCAGCTTCACACTCCCCAAGCATAATACTTGGCACTAATCCAATCCCAAGTAATAGACCACTAATTCCAAACGTAACATATTCAGGTGAATTCATCCCTACTGACATAATTTATTGCCTCAGCACAGTACTGTTGATTATTTATTTATTCCTTTATTTATTTATTCACAACCTGGGTGCCTTTAAGGGGGTCCTAAACTTCCAGTTACCACCATGGCTCTCCCAAAGCCTTTGACCTTGATGTTCTCCAACTCCTGCTGCCTGGATGGTCCCTGGAAGTCCTGGGGTTTTTTATCCTTTTCAAAAATAATTTATGCAAACTAAATGACTGAGTAAATATTTAATTATGTAGATCAAGTTTCTTAATCAAATATTCATGAATTGGCTTCTGGTAGTTAATTTTTGTTCCTTTGGCATTTATAAATAATATTATTGATACACATATATAAATGTATTTTCATGGAAAGAAGATCCACAGTTTTATCAATGATGAGTATAGGTAGCCACCGTATTTCCTCAATTGTAATATGCACCATTGATTTAGTAACAGTCTTTTGGAAAAATTAAAAATTAAATGTATGCAGTGTTTTTCAATTGATTTTACAATTCAATAACATTTTCTTCAATAGCACAATCAAATTTGATTATGAGACTTTTACAAATTTAAAATCTAGATAATATTTCTGGCACCAATACATAACTAACTGAGTTGAAAAAGTCAATGGTAGGCAGAAGTATTTCTCTTATGCATGGCTACATTTGTAACTGTATAGGGAGAAACTACAATTGGTGTTTCATTGGTTATTTTTCTACTTAGCAACTGGCAAAGTTTCTTTTGACAGTGATTACAAAATACATATAATCTTCATAAAGGTTAAAATTTTAATATGTTTTTGGAAATATGGTGTTTATGTAGTTGTAATTGAAGTTCTTTAGTCAGGAAATTAACCCATATTTATAATGAAAACTGTATATGGTTTAATATACAGACTCTTAGGAAACAAACTGTAAAGGTTACATTGCTAATTTTGAGACAGTTTTCCAGTTTTTCCTTCCTAAAAGAGACTGGTAATTATTAGTTTGGCTGAGGGATGGCCTTTGCTAACTATAACTGTTTATTCTATTTTGCTCTCCTTTCACAAATTCTGATCAGTGCTGGAACTTTAGCTTCCTAACTCAGGGACACGATTCCCAAGTCTCAATCTTTCCTCTTGCAGTTTCTCCAAGTATAATCTTTGAATACGTATTCTTGGCTGCAATGCTCTAACTCATTGATTGTGCTGTGTTGGCAATAGCATGGTCTATGTAATGCTAAGACTGTGATACAGTGATGATGAAAAGAGTTTTCAAGGGCTCTATAGAGATGAGTCTCTTTTCTTACTTTGATTATGAAGTGAAATATGGATCACCAATTAGTAGAGTGTGATTGAATCATTTGGGCAGAACTACTATGGTTGCCTCAATACTATTACCATTGAATTGCTTCATATCTCAATGTGTGGCTTTCAATAGCAAGAATTTAGTTGACAAGAAGGACTTGATCTATTTAAAAGCATCCTAATAATGATAGGTTCAAATCTATAGTGCACCTAATTACAAAGATGTAAGTTAGTTCCTCAACCATGTTATCATTTGTGGATAAAAATAGAACAGCAATTGAGATATTAGAGGAAGTTTTGGTTTTTCTTTTTTGTGTTTGATGGAATGAGAATATTATGCAAAGTATGAGGTTTATCTTATGCCTTTTTCAAGTAGCATAAAAAGGTAAAACGCATCTTCTGTTTTCCAATTTCATGTGCTTTTTCTCTTAACTAACTGTGCAATTTATGATGCCTTCCATGTATGACTGTTTTGATTCCTCATCTTTGATATTCTAGAGTCAAGAGTAATTACTAGCACATGGTAGATGCTTAGAAATTGCATGTTGAATATTATGAGCACTTAGATATTGATTCTTAAATATGTAGTTTTTTTTTCCCTCAAGAGGTTTTGTGAACTTCCAAATTTTATACTGAGTGACTTTATTTGAGAAAGTGTGCTAGTATGTATTTATTTCACAGTTTCCAGTAATCTCGATTATCATAAAGAAGTCAAGTGAACCTTCACAAAATTAGTTCTGTTTATATTTGGTGTCCACGTATATTAAGAAATTCAAATGTACAGAACTATCTTCTCAGGCTTCTCTTTAGGAGAAAATGATGTTATAGGTGAATTTCAAGGTAAGAATGTTGCCAGAAAGTGGTCCCAATTCAGACCCAAAGAGAGGAAGGTAAGAATGTTGCCAGAAAGTGGTCCCAATTCAGACCCAAAGAGAGGGTTCTTGGATCTCACACAAGAAAGAATTTGGGGATTCTTTCCCCAAGTCCACGGAACAAAGTGAAAGGAAGTTTATTAAGCAAGTGAAAGATGCCTACTCCATAGGCAGAGCAGCAGCGTGGGCTGCTTGATTGAGTATACTTATGGTTATTTCTTGGCTATATGCTAAACAAGGGGTGAATTATTCATGAGTTTTCTGGGACAGGGATGGGGAGTTCCTGGAACTGAGAATTCTTCCCCGTTTTAGACTATATAGGGTAACTTCCAGACATTGCCATGGCATTTGCAAACTGTGCTGATGCTGGTGAAAGTCTCTTTTACTATGTTAATGCATTATAATTAGCATATAATGAGGTCACTTTTGTTGCCATATTGGTTTTGGCTGGCTTCTTTATTGTACCATGTTTATCAGCAGGGCCTTTGTGACCTGTATCTTGTGACCTCCTATCTCATCTTGTGACTATGAATGCCTAACCTCCTGGGAATGCAGCCCAGCAGGTCTCAGCCTCATTTTACCCAGCCCCTATTCAGTTGTGATTTGGAGTAGCTCTGGTTTGAATGCCTCTGACAGGAAAAATGATCAAACTAGGAATGTTTCATGGGGTTCTATACTTAGATCAGATAATCAGACAGAAAGGTTAATAACTAAGGTTAGGAAAATGTGGTGTTGATGATGATGTGTGCAGATAGCAAGTGGTGAAGTCCACAACGGGGAAAATTGATAACAGGAGAGATGGGAGCTTATGAACAGACGGAAGCAACTGGTTGAATACAGAGGTCGAAAAGAGGCATGAATTTAGGATATAGGTTTAATTAGTACTTAGCATGTGTTTTGAAGACATGGATGGGAGCCCACAGAAACCGTTTTTATTATAGATATCACAAAATTTTGCTTTTAATATTTTGGGTATTTAATGAAATTGTCTTATTTTATAGTCTTTTCTCTTGAAAGAAGGAGGAGAATCAACCTTTAGATACTCCTTCTAGATGTGTTTATACCATATTTAACTAATTAGTGAACTGAACAATCTAGTGGTATATATTTTTATGCCCATTTTACAGATAAGGAAAAGGAAATTCAATAAATTTAAATCCATCTAGTTAGGCAGTAGTAGAGGTGGGATTTATACCACTCTGTTACAGTACAGGTGACAAAAATAGAAAATTCAAAGACTTCAGCTTCTACCATGAAAAAGTAATCAGTTCCAGTTTTGCCTTACTGCTATAAACAACTAGAGAACAGGACGAAAATATATGAAGCAATCATTTTTACAAATTGGACAGTAGGCAGTACAGGACTGTGATCTTTGAGAGAAGAGAAATAAACAAAGTGAGCTTTATGATTGCATCATCTTTCTGCCTAAAGGAATTTTCCCGACCATAAGACAGGGATGGGACCCAATGAAAGCACGATGGTCTTGCTGGGTAAAAAAAGAGATTATTGTTCTGGGAGGCAAAGCCAACTGAACTCACAAAATCCCTCAGAGGAGAAAGGTGACTAGAAAAGGAGCATTCGAGTTTGCATAGAGGTGACCTGAGTCTGTGACTGATTACTAAACTATGCATTTATAGGCTGGAACATGAGGTCAGTCTCAGAACTACTAGGGAGCTGTAAGTTGAAAAATTCTTAGAGCTCACCTGCAAATGGCAGATATTTGTGTTCCAACTAGTCAGAGGGAAGAATTGTTGAACATCTGGGGCATTCAATATTAAGTAATAAAATACAATGTGTTAATAGTAAAACTAAGCTAAATGTAGAATAAAGGATACTCTAGACCTGCTCTAATATGATTTATTTGTATTGGTACATACTATTTATGCATATTTAAGGGGTATATGTGATATTTTGTTGCATGCAGATATGTGTGATGATGAAGTCAGGGTATTTAGAATATCCATCACCATTAGCATGTATCATTTCTGTGTTGAAAACATTTCAAGTCCTTACTTCTAGCTATTTTGAAGTGAACAATACATTGTTGTTAACTATAATCGCTTGCTATAGTATCAAACCTTAGAACTTATTCCTTCTAGCTAACGGTAATTTTGTACCCATTAACCAACCTCTCTTCATTCCCCCTCTCCCTACACACCCACAGCCTCTGATAACTATTATTCTACCCTCTACCTCCATGAGATCAACTGTTTTAGCTTCCACATATTTGCCTTTCTGTGTCTAATTTCACTTAGCACATTGACCTCCAATTCCATCCCATGCTGCTACAAATGACAGAATTTTATTCTTTTTTAATAGCCAAATAATATTCCATTGCATAAATATACCACATTGTCTTTATCCAATCACCTATTTATGAATACTTGGGTTGATTTTGTATCTTGGCTATTGTGAACAGTGCTGCAATAAACATGGAGCTGTTTGTATCCCTTAGATATACTAATTTCCTTTCCTTGGATAAATACCCAGTAGTAGGATGGCTGGATTGTATGGTAGTTCTGATTTTAGTTTTATGAGAAGTCTTCATATTGTTTTCCATAATGGCTATACTAATTTACATTTCCACTAATGGCGTATGAGAGTTTTTTTTCCTCTGCATCCTTGCCAGCATTTGTTATTTTTTTAGTAATAGCCATTTTAACTGGGGTAAGACAATATTTCATTGTGATTTGATTTGTATTTCCTTGGTGATTCTTTTGAATGCTCAATACACTGTCAGCCACGTGTTTTGTTTTTTTTGTTTTGTTTTGTTTTTGAGAGATGTCTATTTAGATCCTTTGCCCACTTTTTAATGGGATTGTTTGGTGTTTTTTGTTAGTTTGTTTTATATGCTGTTGAATTGAGTTTTTGTATATTCTAGATATTACTCCCTTGTCAGATGACTATTTTGCAAGTATTTTCTCTATTCCATTGGTTGTCTTTTTATTCTTGATTAGTTCTTTTGCTGTGCAGAAGCTTTTTAGTTTAATATAATCCCATTTGTCTATTTTTGGTTTTGTTGCCTGTGCTTCTACGGTGTTAGCCATAAAATATTTTCCTAGACCAATGGCCTGGCATGCTTCCCCTTTATTTTCTTCCAATAGTTTTATATTTTCAGGCCTTATGTTTAAGTATTTAATCCAATTTGAGTTGATTTATGTATATGGTGAGAGATAGGTGTTTAGTTTCATTCTTCTGCATATGGGTATCTAATTTTCCCAGCACCGTTTACTGAAGAGGGTATCTTTTCCCTAGTGTATATTCTTGGCTCCTTTATCAAAAGTCATATGGCTGTAAATACATGAGTTTCTTTCTGGGTCTCTATTCTTTTCCATTGACCTATGTGTCTGTTTTGGCACAAATATTGTGATGTTTTGTTGACTCTAACATTGTAATATATGTTAAAGTCCGGTAGTGTGGTGCTTTTGTCTTTGTTCATTTTGTTCAGGATCACTTTGGCCATTTAGACTCTTCTCTGGTTCCATACATATTTTAGGATTGTTTTTTCTCTTTCTGTGAAAAGTACTATTGGTATTTTGATAGAGCTGGCAATGAATCTGTAGATTGCTTTGGGTATTATTATCATTTTAACAATATTAGTTTTTGCAATCCAAGAGCATAGGATGTCTTTTCATTTGTTTATGTTCTCTCCAGTTTCTTTCATCAGTGTTTTGTAATTTTTTTTTCTGAAGGTTTTCATGTACGTGGTTAAACTTATTCCTAGTTTTTTTTTTCTGCTAGCAATTGTAAATGGGATTGCTTTCTTGATTTCTTTTTCAGCTAGTTCATTATTAGTGTTTATAAACATTACTGATATTTGCATGTTGATTTTGTATCCTATAACTACTGAGTTATCTGTCTGATTTTTGATGGAGTCTTGAGGTTTTTCTCAATATACAATAAGGTTATCTGAAAAGAGGATCTATGTGATTTCCTCTTTTCTAATTTGAGTGCCTTTTATTTTTTTCTGTTACCTGAGTACTGTGGCTAGGACTTTCAGTACAAGGTTGAATAGAAGTGGTGAAAGTGGGCATCCTTGTCTAATTCTACTTCTTAGAGTAAAAGCTTTCAGATTTTCCCCATTCGTTATGATGTTAGCTATGGGTTTGACACATACGGCCTTTTTTTAGGTTGAGGTATGTTTCTTCTCTGGCTAGTTTGTTGAGCATTTTTATCATGAAGGAATGTTGAATTTTATCAAATGCTTTTTCTGTATCTATTGAGACAATCATATGGTTTTTGTCCTTCATTCTATTGATATGATGTATCACATTAATTGATTTGCACATGTTGAGCCATCCTTGCATCCCTGAGATAAATCTCACTTGATCATGGTGTTCTGGGTTTTTCTGATTTGTATTGAATTTGGCTTGCTAGTACTTACTGAGGATTTTTACGTATGTGTTCATCAGGGATATTGGCCTGTAGTTTTTTTTGTTGTTGTGACCTTGCCTGGTTTTGGTTTCAAAGTAATACCAGTTTTGTAGGATGAGTTAGGAAGAATTCCATTCTCTTCAATTTTTTGGAATACTTTAAGAAAAATTGGTGTTAGTTCTTCTTTATAAGTTTGGTAAAACTTGGACTTTTCTTTTTTGGTAGACTTTTTCTACTATTTCAATATTATTACTCATTATTGGCCTGTACAGGTTTTCTGTTTCTTTATGGTTCAATATGGTAGGATGTATGTGTCCAGGAATTTATTCATTTTCTCTAGGTTTTCCAGCTTATTAGCATATAGTTGTTCACAGTAGTCTCTGATGATTTTTTGTATTTCTGTGGTGTCAGTTGTAATGTCTCCTTTTTCTTTTCTGATTTCATCTGAGTGTTCTCTTTTTGTCTTGGTTAGTCTAGCTAGCAGTTTGTCAATTTTATTTATCTTTTCAAAAAATCAACTTTTTGTTTTGTCGATCCTTTGTATTTGTTTTTGGTCTTTGTTTGGTTTTGCTCTGATCTTTATTATTTCTTTTAATAATTTTGGGTTTTGTTTCCTCTTGCTTTCCTATTTCCTTGAGGTGCATCTTTAGGTTATTTATTTGAAGTCTTTCTACTTTTTTGTTATAGGTGTTTATTGTTGTAAACCTCCCTCTTAGCACTGCTTTTGCTGTATTCCACAGGTTTTGGTATGCTATGTTTCCTTTTTCATTTGTTTCAAAGACATTTTTTTTTCATTCTTAATTTCCTCACTGACTCAATGGTCATTCAAGAGCATATTGTTTAATTTCCATATATTTGTACAGTTTCCAGTGTTTTATTGTTATTGATTTCTGGTTTTATTCTATTGTGGTCTGGAAAGATACTAGATATGATTTTGATTTTTAAAAATTTGTTGAGACTTGTTTTGTGGCCTAATATATCATTTATCCTAGAGAATATTCCATGTGCTGATGAGAAAAATATGTATTCTGAAGTTGTTGTATAAAACGTTCTGAAAATGTCTATTAGGCCCACTGGTCTAAACTGCAAATTAAATTCAGTCTTTCTTTGCTCATTTTCATATAGATAGCCTAACTATTGCTGAGAGTGGGGTGTCAAAATTCTCAACTATCACCGTATTGGGTTTATATCTCCCTTTACACCTAATAATGTCTGCTTTATATATCTGGGTGTTCTGATGCTGGGTGCATATATGTTTAGAATTGTTATATCCTTTTGTTGAATTGATGCCTTTATCATTATATAATGACCTGTTTGGTCTCTTTTTACTATTTTTGACTTAAAGTTACTTTTTGAAGATATAAGTATAGCTACTCCTGTGAGCTTTATTTCCATTTGCATGTATTTTTTTTTTTTATTCCTTTACTTTCCTCCTATATGTGTCTTTGCAGGTGAAGTGAGTTTCTTCTTGGGGGCATACAATAGGGCCATGTTTTCTTATTCATTTAGACAGTTTATATCTTTTAGGTGAAAAATTTAATCTGTTGACATTCAAGCTCATTATTTATATGAGAGGACTTATTCCTGCCATTTTATTAATTGTTTTCTGGTGTTTTTTTTTTGTATATTTCATTTTCTTTTCTTTCTGTCTTATTGTTTGATTTCTTTTTTTTTTTTTTTTTTTGTAGTGGGGACATTTGTGTCCTTTCTTGTTCTCATTTGTGTGTTTACTCTACCAGTTAGTTTCATACTTTCACACATTTTCATGATGGCAGATATAGTCCTTTCACTTCCAGGTGTAGAATTCCCTTAAGCATTTCATGTAGGTCTAGTTTAGTGGTGATGAATTTCTTCTGTTTTTACTTACCTGAGAAAGTTTTTATTCCTCCATCTTTATGAAGTATAACTTTGCTGAGTATAGTATTCTGGAATGACAGTTGTTTCCTTTTAGCACTTTGAATATATCATCATATTATCTCCTGGCCTGTAAGGTTTCTCCTGAGAAATTCACTTTTACTCTAATGGGAGTTTCTTTATATGTGACTAGGTATTTATCTCTTACTTTTTTTTTTTTTAAGAAATTTCTCTTGGTCTTTGACTTTTGACAGTTAAACTGTAATGTGCCTAGGAGAAGACCTTTCTGGGTTGTATCCCTTTGGGTTTATCTGAGCTTCTCATATCTGAATGTTTAAACCTCTTGCTAGATTTGGGAAGTTTTTGGGTATTATTTTGTTAAATAGGTTTTCTCTGCCAGTACATTTCTCTTCACCTTCTGGTTAGTGGGTTCAAGCAAGCCTATTCTTGGGGCTCCAGATGGCTTATGTGGGTGCCTGTAGTGACAGTGGTGGGTCAGGCATGAGGGTGAGTTCTTGAGCCCCTGAGCAGCATGTATGTTATGGGTGATCGTAGTAGCGGTGGCTGGACGTTCCTTGGGCTTCCAGGCGGTACTTGCTCATGTTAGTGGTGGCAGTGTGACACAAGTGGGCCAGTCCCCAGGCCTCCATGTAGCATGCGTATATGGATATCAGCAGTGTTGGTTGTGGCATGCTGCTCAGGTTGATCCTCAGACCCCCAGGAGAACTGCCCATATTCCAGTGGTGGTGGATGGGGCAGAGTAATCTCCAGGCCTCCAGATGGCATGCTTGGACAACAGCAGCAGGTTTTCTGGACCTGTTGTTAGGCCTTCTGGTGGTGCGCATGTGCCACTGGGGTGACTGATGAGGTGGGCAATCCCCAGGCCTCCAGATAGTGAGCCCAAGAACTAGGAGAGGGTGGTCCCAGGTAGGCAAGAACCTATTCTCAGGTTCCCCCAATGGTGTATATAGGCATCTCTGTTAGGCAGGGCAGAGCAAGCTCCAGACACATTAGGTGCCAGCTGTGGCAGGCATTCTGAGGCTGTAATTAGAATGCATAAATAGAAGATGAGAAAAATGGATAAATCGAAGATGAGAAAAATGGATAAATCAAAGATGAGAAAAATAGAAAAAATGAGACAAACTCCATCATGTCAGTGCTTGCATTAATTAAATATAATCTAAACGTTCTAGTTAAGAGGCAGAGATTATGGAATATTTTATATATACAGGCCCAAATATATGCAATCTATTAAAAGATTTTACAATATATGAAATCATAATATATAAATATATGTTTTATTGTATATACATCGTACAAATGTTAAAAGTAAAAGGATGGGAAAGATATACCATGCAAACATGTTATATGATAACTCTGAAATGATTATATTAATATCTTACAAAGTAGACTTAACAAGAAATATCGGGGATAAATAGAGATTATTTAATAATAATAAAAAGCCAATCCATCAAGAAGACATAAAAATTTAAAATATGTTTGCACCCAGTAACACAGCTTCAACATGGCTGCTTCAAGTATTGACAGAACTGAAAAGAGGAATAAACAGTTCCACAATTATAGTTAAGATTCCAGTAACTGATAGAAAATGTACCCAGCAAATCAGTAAGGATACAAAAGACTTGAAAATAGTATCAACTAACTTGAACTAATTGGTGATTATAACATATAGTAAGCAGAATATATACATTCTTTACAAGAGCACATGGAACATTCACAAATATATACATAACTCTTGGCCATAGTCTCAAAAATGTAAAAGAATTGAAATTATACAGATTATCTGTGCTTAACTCTGATCACAATGAAATTAAATTGAAAATGGATAGCCAATAGTTACTGTATAAATATTCAAATATTTAAAAATTAAATAACCCTCTTCTAAATAACCACAGTTAAAGAAGTCACAAATTAGAAAATATTACAAATTAAATAGACATGAAAACACAACATATTAAAATTTGTGAGATGTCACTAAAGCATTGCTTACAGGGAAACTTAAGATTTAAATGCTTATTTTAGTAAAGAAACAAGTTCTAAAATACATGATCAAGGCTTCTTCTAAACAAAATAGATAAAGAAAAGTAAACTAAACCCAAATTAAGTAGAAGAAAGAAAATAGAAATAAGACAAATATTAACAATATAAACATCAATGAACTAAAAGGCATATGATGTTTCTAATTTCTAGCATTTCTTGTTCTTTCTTAGAGTTTCCTTCTCTTTAGTGGCATTACCCATAAGTCATTGAATGCTATCTAATTTCCCATTAGAGACCTTACGTATTAGAGTTATTTTTAAACCTCGATTAATACAAAATCTGTGCCATATCTGGGTTGCATTCTGATGCTTGCTTTGTTTCTTCATACTGTGGATTTTTAGCTTTTTAGTCTTTAGTTGTTTAACATGCTTTGTAATTACATTTGTTAAAAGCCGGACATGTTGTATCTAATAATAGGCCTTTAATGTAGAGTTTTATGTTAACTGTAGATGTAGATGACAGAGCATTCGAATTCCTCTAGTGTCTTCCCTGTTGACTTTGGACTTCCCTGAGGACTCCTCCCCACAGAGAGCCTGTGCCTTGCAGCTTGTTCATCCATAGCAGACTATCTGGAAAACAGAGCCCTCTTGTGTGGTGGTAAAGTCTAGTGGGAAGAGGGGAAGTCTTACGATTAAATATTAATCATTTAGTGTGTCTGTGTTCCGGAGCTATGACTTCACAAGTGTTTCTTAGCTATTTTCCCCCATCCCCTTAGGTGAAACAGGAAGTCTAAAGGGGCCTAGGGTGGGAGAAATGTCATTCACTCAGTGGGATAATGCTCTGGTAAAGTCTTTCATGTTAAAAGTAAAAGGATGGGAAAGCTATACCATGCAAACATGTTACATGATAACTCTGAAATGATTATATTAATATCTTACAAAGTAGACTTAATAACAAGAAATATTGGGGATAAATAGGGATTATTTCATAATAATAAAAAAGCCAATCCATCAAGAAGGCATAAAAATTTAAAATATGTTTGCACCCAGTAACAGCTTCAACATGGCTGCTTCAAGTATTGACAAAACTGAAAAGAGGAGTAAACAAATCCATGATTATAGTTAAGATTCCAGTAATTGATAGAAAGGAGTGGGGAGACAATTGATAGAAGAGAGTAGGGAGAGTAGGCCTTTGTTATGGAGAACATTCTAAGTGCATTTCAAAATGATAACTCTTCCTTTACCCTGCCAGAGCCACAAGGGTACCTTTCTCTACTCTTCACCATAAGAATTTGATGGGGTTCCTGGGGACAAACATACAGAAATGCAGAGACCCTCTAAGACTGCAGCCCCTAATGGATTCCTACTCTCACATTAGTCCAAATTCAGCCTCCAACAATTTATCAAAATTGTAATTTAATTTTTCCTACCCATTTATGGCTCCAACGGCTTTGGCTTCCAATGCATAGATCTCAGCAGTGAACTTCTAAATTCTCTTGTCTCCAGATTCATTGTGCTCATTTGCTCTTAGAACTTACCTTTCCAGTGGGCCCAAAAAAGTCATTGACTTTTGTTTCATTCAGTTTATTGTTTCTTGTTTTAAGGATGAAAATAACGACATCCAATCTCTTTGCATATTGGAGATAAATTCAGAGTCCCATCCATTGAGTTTTTAAATTTCAGTTATTATAATCTTTAGTTCTAAGACATCTCTTTGGTTCCTTTTCATATCTTCTATTTCTTCTTTGAGACTTCCTAAATTGCATTTGTTCCAAGTGTATTTGTAATTGCTCATAGAAGTATTTTTATGATGGCAGCTATAAAATTCTGGTCAGATAATTCCAACAACTATCATCTTGTTGTTGACATCTCCTGATTGTCTTTTCTCATCAGTTTGAGCTGTCCCGGATTCTTTTCATGACAAGTGAGTTTTTCATTGATACCTGGATATTTTGTGTATTATGTTACAGAATTTTGGATCTTATCTAATCTTCCATTTCAACAAGCTTCTTCTGACCCCACTCCATTGAGTGCAGGAAGGTGCCACATCATTACTGCCAAATTACAGTGAAAGTCCAGGTTTTTCACTTGGCCTCCACTGACATTAGGGGTCAGGAGTAGGGGACCCCCATAGGTCTTTGCTGACACTACTCTGGCCACTTCTTGGGTCCTGATGTTAGTAGCTTGCCTATCTTCTTTCTATCTTTTATGTTTGTTTTTTATATGACATACAGGCTTTTAAATGTATTTTATTTTTCCCAAAAATCAATGATGCTACACACACAAAGAAGGCATAAAAAGATTATTACTCATGTAATGAAACTTTTTGAGGAGAGCTGTGGACAAGGGCTTGAGAAAACAAGGGAAGAAGATGGGCTTTCAGCTTTATGGCAGTTGGGAGTGGGGCTGAGGGAAGAGTTCCTGTCTGTGAGCCCAGGCTTACACAGTTTGAAATTCCCACTGGCACCAAAGGAGGGAGCACCTAAGCTTTCTTATCAGCATCCCTATATAATGGAGCAAGAGGGGTAGGAGGAGGAGTGAAACTTAAAAAATGTCAAAAATTAAACATTAAAGTGGAGTCCAGACTCTTTATTACACAACCCAAATATCCATCACGGTGACTATATAAAGCAATTGTGACATATGTATACAATGGAGTAGTGTTCAAAAATAAAAATTAATGGACTGCTCACATACGGAAAAACATGGGTAAATCTCAACAAGATTTTTTGACAAAAGAAGTAAGACAGAAAAGAAAACATCCTATGTGATACTATTTGCATGAAATTCTAGAACGGGTAAAACTAATCCAAATTGACAAAAGAATTGTGCCTTTGTTTACTTGGGCTTGGGGAAGGGGTTATTGACTTCAAAGGGACAAGAAGGAACTTTTTTGGATGATGGAAATATTCTATATCTTGATTGTAATGTTGATCATATGTTTGAATATGTTTCCCAAAACATGTGGAACCTGACACTTGACATAGCTAGAATTTTTTATATGTAAATTATACATCAATAAAGTTGAATAGAAAAAGAGGAACCTTACAAATGAAGAAATAAAAATGAAGTATAGACATGTGAAAATGTCTAGCCTTGCAAATCATACTAGCAATTAATTTGTATTTTGATTAAATTTTAAAAAATGGTATAGATCAAAGTGATTCAGTATAAATTCTGATAACCACTTATTAGCTAATAGATTAATTTGGGAAAATTACTTGATCTCTTTGTGTCTTTTTTCCTACCTCAGTAAATGGGACAAATATTAGTTAATACCTCAAGAGTTATTTTGAGTACTAAATGAGTAAATATACCATAGTGCTTAGAACAGGGCCTGGGAAAAAATAAGCCAATGTTAAATATTAGCTTTACTATGTTTTTACAAGCCTCTAGGGAAATGGATACTTTCATGCACAGTTGCTGGAAATGTATATTATTGCGTTTTTTTGAGGTCACTTCATATAAAATCCCTTTAAAATGTGCATTAATTTGGCCACCATTTCCATCCCTGGGAATGCATACTACACAATTAATTGTGTGCAACTGCAAATTTTCTTCAAGGATATATAATTATATCATTGTTTATAGAAAGAATAAAAGGAAGTAGCACAAATATCCACATTTCCAAATATAGGAAATTAAGTTATGGTGTAGTCATATATGACTTTCTTGAATTTCCATAAAAACATGTAGCAACATGCAACAACACTATAAATCAGTGTAGAAAAAATTTCAGGTTAATAATTAATGATAAATCAATGCAAAAACATTGGATACATAACAGCAGGAAAAAAGTAAAATGCTAAAATAACCTATGTAAAAAATTTTAGCACTAAAAGGGAGAACTTATACAGAAAAAAATAGTCATATCTAGCTGTGATTTCCTAGCTTTATGATCATCAATAATTCACATAACTTTTTAGAGCTTCAGTATTTCTAAGGGTTAAAATAGGGACAAGTATACAAGGATATATATATATATATATATATATAAATTTCTTAGATTTTGTGAATATATTAATTGAGTTGTCACATATTAATAAAACATGTTAAGTGATGAAAAATTGTGGTTATTATTATTCAAATCAATTTAATAAGACACATGAGTAGATTAACATGCCATTTTTGGGGGATAGTAAAACTAAATATTATAAAGATGCACAGCCTAGCAAAAATTTAAGAAGCATCACAAAAATCCATTTATAACTCTAATAAGATATTTACTGAAATACTTGCTACATTCATTTGGCAAAACAAACAGTAAACATATCTAAGAACATTAACAAAAGGACAAAGTGATGAGTCTTAAAAAGTGTTTTAAAGCTACAATAATTAAAGCAATGTGGCTATGAAGAAATCATAGTCAAGTCAGTAAAATGGGAAATTATAACAAAAATATATTTTTATCTATTCATATTGATTTAGATCTATATATGGATATAAGAATTATATACAGTATAAAAGTAAAATTAAAAATCAATGGTAAATAGATTTCTCAATATTTTATATCAGAAAAGTTGAATAAATATTTGAAAAAATTAGGTCTTCACCTCACACCATAACCACAAAATACATTTTAGATTAAGAAACTACTTAAATTTTAGAAAGAAAAAAAACAGAAAATGAATATCTATCTGATCTCTAAAAACTTTTTAATTTAAATAAATGCAAGTAATCACAAAATAAAATATCAGCAGATATAAGTACATAGAAGTGTCTGTTCCTGAAACACAGAAATCTTAAGTGAAATTAAGAGGCAAAAAATTGAAAAACATCTGCAACAAATAAGACAGTCTTGATATTCTTAATGTACATATTTTTTGCTTTAAAAATCATTTTTGTCTGGGTGTGGTGGCTCATGCCTGTAATCTCAGCACTTTGGTAGGCCAAGGTGGGTGGATCATTTGAGGTCAGGAGTTCAAGATCA
Source organism: Homo sapiens (assembly GCF_000001405.40). Taxonomy (NCBI): domain Eukaryota; kingdom Metazoa; phylum Chordata; class Mammalia; order Primates; family Hominidae; genus Homo; species Homo sapiens. The sequence continues at coordinate 19,067,593 of NC_000007.14, read as the reverse complement.
GCCTGGCCAACATGGTGAAACCCGTCTCTACTACAAAATACAAAAATTCGCTGGGAGGTTGAGGCAGGAGAATCGCTTGAACCCAGGAAGTGTAGGTTGCAGTGAGCCAAGATCACGTCCCTGCACTCCAGCCTGGGCGACAGAGCGAGACTCTGTCTCAAAAAAAAAAAAAAAAAAAAAAACATTTAAAATTATTTTAAACACTTTTATAACATTTCATTTTTCTTAAAATTTTAACTAGAAGATTTTGTGATTTTATAAGAAAAAATAATTTTACGAACAATAAATGGCAAGATTTATTCATGAAAACTGGGTGATTTTGTGGAGGTGACAAAATTTAAACTTATTCTTGACTTGAATGGCAAAACTTCTAAGTAAGGAATCTTATTTAAATAGAGCCATTCATCAAAATTGCTTACTGTGAATATAAGTATTTTTAAATGCATGTAAATAGAAAGAAAAGGGAATCAGGGGTAGTGGATGTAAGCAACGGGATAGTAGACGTAAAGCAAAAGTAAGCAAAGGCATAATAGATGTAAGCAATTAATTGTTGATAAATACAACTGGTATTGAAAATAATCTGGCCTCATTTGTAATTAAATGAAATTCAAATTTTAAAAAATTCCAATCTTGTATCTTATATTAGCAAATCTATCCTGGTTCCTGTATCATAATGACAGGTAAGTCAATGATGTTCACTCATTCCCTTTTCTGCCAATAATGATAGTTATTAGATTCTGTCCTGAGCAAATGCAAATAAAAATGTATGTGTCAAGATATTTGGAATAGAATTAATTATAAGATATAGAACGTAATTATCATTAATGTCTTATATTAGAAAATAAATTGCAGCATTCATCCTTATGTTGAAATGTTGTCTACCAATTAAACTATTTTTTAGAAAGAATTGTTAATGATAATGAAAATAGGAGTGAAAATACCAAGATGTGAAATTATTGGCTATGTATTCTTAACTATGAATCATTAAGTCATTCACAGACAAAAGCCTAAAAAGAAATATGGGTATGATTATGATTATTATATTCTTCATTTTTTTGTGTTATTCCAAATGTATTACTCTGCATTCCAATACAAGTTATTTTTATATGAATTGCCTTATAGCAATACAAAATATGCTCTGTATAAAATTCTTTTGCTATGACCATCAAATTTAGAGTTGGTATATTATAAAAATATTTTTAAACGTTTGTGTAAGTAAATTCCTTTGTTTTGGGCTTGTAAAAGAATGAATTTCATGAATGTATTAACTACTTGGTTAGTTGAAGAATTCCAACAATTCCTCATCTTACTTTTAAAAAGTGTGGTTTGTACTTAGACATGCTTATCATTAAAAACAAAATTCCTGTTTTACTCTTATCTGCTAACGCTGGAGAATACAATGTGAAGGAGATAGAAAACTCTAGAATTACCTTTTCAAAATGACAGAATTCATTGTTTTAAAAATGTTATTTTATAAAACACTTCATTGGGTGGATACTGTTTAAATGCTAATATATTGCCAAATATCAATTGTTGACCTTACTCTTTTTGGTCATTTTAAAATTTGTGTTAATTATATAAACCAAAATATTGAACAGTTTTATCTCCGTATAGTCAGTCGGAAGGCAGTTTTGTTTAGTTTGTATGTTGTATCATGGATTTTCAGTATGTTGGGACAGTTCTCTAAAATGCCATTATCCAGAATGATTTTAAATAATATTCAATTTTCTGACTGACGAAAACATTCAGAATAAATGACAGAAAGGTCTTAAAACATATACTTTTCTTATAAAGTCTTATAACACCATCTTTAAATAGCATTTTAAAATAAAGGCAATATAAAAAGTAATTCTTAAAAAAATAAAATAAAGAGTTCGAAAGATATCATGTTAGAGTTTCAAATGGTGAGTCCTGTTTCCTTTGAGCCACTGCTGCTCCAGAAGCCTATAAATATTATTGTTTATACAAGTGGAGTATCCCTAATCCAAAACTCCAAAATTCGAAGTACTCAAAAATGTGAAGCTTCTTGAGAACCAACATGATGCTCAAAGGAAACTCTCACTGGAGCATCACAATTTTCAGATACTTGGATTTAGGGTGTTCAACTAGTAAGTATAATACAAATATTCCAAAATTTGAAAAACAACATTGAAATCTGAAACTCTTCTGGTCCCAAGCATTTCAGATAAGGGATACTCAACCTTTATGTAAAACAGTATTAATTATGAATTCACATACTTTTTTTCATATTTATTAGGGATAGTGGATGTTTTCTACAGACATGTCAATTCATGTGCTACTTAAAGCACTCTAAAGGATTCCTATCATATTCCTTAATATTTTATCTACATAGATCTCTTCTCTATTTTAGGATTAATTTGATTTTAGTTCTATGTTTCACATATTTACCCAAACAAGAAATGCTCCCTGAGGAAAAATATTGCCATAATCTTCTTCCTAGAAAGCAGAGAAGTTTCCAGTCAAAGATACGAAACTAGAAATTAGAAACAAGAAATCTAGACCAACAATAATTGTATTCACTTAGCATTCATCATTTGCCTGTCACTATGTTAACTGGTTTATATACATTTATTTGTTTAATCTTAAAATCAATTCTGTGGAATAGAAAATTGAGAAAATGGATGCCCACAGAGGTTATGAAACTGGCTTAAGGTAACGTGGCCAATAAATGAAACATCTGAGCCTGGAACCCAACTCTGGCTTCAGAGCCCACACTGTTAATCACTATTCTATATGATTAACAAAGTCTGAAGTCAGCTGCATCTAGAAACTACTCAGTGCCTTGATTATTTTATCAGCGAAGTTGGACCTATCACAATTATTTTTTCATTCAGTAAGTATATTAGCATTATATTCTGGCTGGTAAATAGGATCCCTATATTAAAATTTCAGAACACACCCAGTTCCCATGCTGAAGAGCAAGTATTCATCATGTAGAAGACATTTGAAAGTAGCCTGTTTCACTATCTATTTAATAGTGGAATTAATTGGGATGGTTACAAAGAACATACGTGGCAGTCACATTAGGGACCAGTAGAAGTCATGTGCTTGGTAGAAAGCCAATGTACTCAGTAGAATGAGATGGTAGAAAGATGATGGCCTGTGGGATACAAATCACAGCTCTTCTTTACTTACATTGCAAGCTTGTGCAAGGTCCTCCCCATAACCTTTAGTTTTCCCATGTGCAACATGCTCTCATAAGGCCTATTTGGGAGAGTTTTTATGAGGATTAGTGACACTAGTGAAAGTATCCAGTCCAGCCTCTAACACGCAATAAATTTTGGCTATTATTACTGTGTATACTATGACTAATAGGTACAACTTAGAGACTAAAGAGGGTCTTCTTCTGCTCTGTATGGGAGTACTAACATCAAGAGAAGGCATGCATCATATAAGATAAAGAGATAGAAATGCAAATGCCGATCTACTTGTAAACAGTGAACATACATATCTTAAGAGCATTTTATCAGTATGGAAGGGTGTGTTGAAATTATGTAAGTAAAAAATGACAGCATTCATTTTATCATTCATTCCACGGGCAGTTATCCAGAGCCTACTCTATTCTAGGTGGTAGAGTAGAGACAGACTCAATCTATCCATTGGTGAGAATGTAAATTAGTACAACCACTATGGAGAACAGTTTGGTGGTCCCTAAAAAACCTAAAAATAGAGCTGCCATATGATCCAGCAAACCTACTGCTGGGTACATATCTAAAAGAAAGGAAATCAGTATATTGAAGAGATACCTGCACTCCTATGTTTGTTGCAGCACTGTTCACAATAGCTAAGACTTGGAAGCAACCTAAATGTCCATCAGTAGATGAATGGATACAGAAAATGTGGTACTTATACACAATGGAGTACTATTCAGCCATAAAGAAGAAAAAGATCCTGTAATTTGCAACAACATGGATGGAACTGGAGGTCATTATGTTTAGTGAAATAAGCCAGGCACAGAAAGACAAACATCACATGCTCTCACTTCTTTGTGGAATCTAAGATTCAAGCAGTTGAACTCATGAAGATAGAGAATAGCAGGATGGTTACCAGCAGTTGGGAAGGGTAGTTGAGGAGGTGGAAGGAGGTGGGGATGGTTAGTTAGCACACAAAACAATAGAAAGAATGAATAAGACCTGGTATTTGATAGCATAACAGGGGGACTATAGTCAATAATAATTTATTTGTATATTTTAAAATAACTAAAAGGGTATAATTTGGTTGTTTGTAACACAAAGTATAAATGTTCGAGGGGGTGGATACCCCATTATACATGATGTGATTATTACGCATTGCATACCTGTAGCAAAATATCTCATGTACCCCGTAAATATATACACCTATTGTGTACCTACAAAAATTAAAAATAAAAAAAATTAAGTATGTTCCATGAATGGACTGCCCATCTAAATTACTAATCTTTGATGAGAAGGAACTTGCTCTAGATGTAAACCAAATATGTTACTAAGGACACAGATGAATTCAGTAACAACTTTCTTGATGAAGGAAGCCATTTGTTGATTTACACTCTGGTGCAAGCTTCTAGTAGTGGATCAGCACTTTGAGTAACATTAGATTAGCTGTGTGTCCAAGGGAAAGAAACAGACTGGGATATCAATTAGCCAATTTCTACTATACCAAATGTGTAATTTAGATAGACCTATATTGTTAAGCAGGTGTATTGTGCACTGGTTACCAACTTGTCTCAGTTCAGTGAGAAAGAATACCCTCATACACAAGTTACATGAAGCAGATTTATTACTTATAGATAGGCAGCAAGGGATGACAGATGCCCAGGATTCATTGTGATGCAGTTGCCCAAGGCTCAGGAAAGCTGCCTGGGATACATGGAATCTCTACTGCATACGCCCCACTTGCACTACAGTTGAGGGACCTCGAAAAGCAGTCTGCCCTTAATTTTATATCTCAAGGGGTCACATGATTTCCTGGGCTAAAGCATTTGAGGGACAAGTATTCATCATTTAGAAGACATTTGAAAGTAGCCTGTTTCTCTATCTATTTAATAGTGGAATTAAGTGGGATGGTTACAAATAACTTATGTGGCAGTCACATTAGGGACCAGTAGAAGTCATGTGCTTGGTAGAAAGCCAAGTTTCTGCTGGGCAGGGCAGGGGAGACTGCAACAGAGCTTGGGCTATTCTAGCCAGTCCCTCCCTATCACAGAGTGTTGCATTCCCAGCACATTCTGCAGAACTTTAAAAGAAAAGGGTGGGGGATGGGGAATTGAATCAATCCAACGCCACCCAGAGAACTGTCCTGCATATGTGTGTGAGTGATGATTGTTTGGATTTTAAATATCTTTAAGGAGTTATCAATATTAAAATGTGAGTTACTTAGGCCGGGTGTGGTGGCTCATGCCTGTAATCCCAGCACTTTGGGAGGCCGAGCTGGGCAGATCACTTGAAGTAAGGAGTTTGAGACCAGCCTGGCCAACATGACGAAACCCTGTTTCTACTAAAAATACAAAAATTAGCTGGGCATGGAGGCATGTTCCTCCATACCATGCTCAGGAGACTGAGACATGAGAATTGCTTGGACTGGGAGGCGGAAGTTGCAGTGAGGTGAGATAAAGCCACTGCACTCCAGCCTGGGCAACAGAGCAAGACTCCATCTCAAAAAAACAAAAAAGAAACAAAAAAAGTAAGTTACTTAAAAAAAATTGCAAGAAATGAGTCTCTATAGTGTTCTTTTAAAATACGTGTATGAATATATTAATACATTGAGAATGAATAAATGATAATATAGGTTAACTGTAATCTACATGGTAAGTTTTGGGAATCAAATTGTACTGTCATTTTAAGATGTAAAAATTATATAGCATATACTCATGTAACCCAAATGAGTTTACTCAGTTAACTCATATTATATCTAAAGAAATGAGATTTTTGATAGTAAAAGGGGCTACAAAAGCATAACAGACTTGAAATTAGGAGTTTTGCATTCTAGACTTAGCTGTGTAGCTAACCATCTGTGTGTCATTGGATAAGGAGTGAGCATTGTTAGGAAAGTTTGACTAGATTAGGGGTGTCAAATTAGTCTTGCTTCTTGCATCATTGCAACACAACTACAGGGAGAAGGATTCTGAAGCAGAATTTAGGCCCTTTGGTCAAGAATACCATGAACAATAACAAATTTCTACTAAGGGTGAAAGATAAGAAAATAGCCACATAAGAAGTAAATATTTGCTATATTTCAACTCTCTTATTTATCAGGTTCTTTATGTCTCTAAAATAAGTGTTCCTTTGGAAGTTGTAGACATAACTATCATAAAGTATACAAAAGGAAGGGTGTGCAATAGGGTATGGATAATTAAACAGCAAAAACAAGAAAACACAGATGTTTAGAAAGTGACTTCATTTGTTTGAAGAAAACTTTCAAAACATAATTGTCCATGTTTATTGTTAGCACAAAGCACATTACAAATGTAAATGTCTTTTGGATTACTCACCATTTTGTATTATCCACGCCCTGTTTCTTTTTTTTAATGTGGAGAATCAAGAGTTTTCTGGATGGCACATTGTACCATTATTGTGACATATTCACTTGAGCATAGAAATAGACTCACATGGTAATACTGAGATATAGTACCGTACACATCATTAACAAGGGTGATGCAATACATTTAAGGAGGGAAATGTGACCCCTACTATACAGGATAAAGCAAATGTAGATGCAGATGGAATTAATGAAATAGGATTTAAGCTGTGCTTGCAGATGTTTGACATTCCTCTTTAAAACATCTCATATGGAAAAACCAGTCTATTTTGGTCGATCTAGCTTTGACATACGCAGTGAATTGGAATCTAGATTACAGAGCATTTACATTGGTCAAAGATATTCTGAACATTTAGAATGAAATGGATCTCTTGATCTATCTGGGATAATTTAAGGGTTTTTTTATATTTATAAATGCTGCTGATTCAAAAGTCAGGAAGGTAGGATTCTAGTGCTAGCTCTGCCATTATGGGGGCAAATCATTTTGCCACTCAAGATTTTGGTTTCTTCTGTAAAATAAGCTGGTTCAAACAGATGCTCTCTGATACTCATGGTATCTTATGTTTTAATCACAGAACACCAAGAGTTCCCTGGCTTGTGATTTACAGGTAGGAATCTTGAGAACCACATGAAGGCAGAAAGCCAGACCTTGGTGTCAATAATCTTCTACAAAACACCTAGCCATTGTTCCAGAAATCCCAGAGTCATCCTGTATATTCCTTCCTCAAATGAAATCCATTTTCTTTTTTACAACCCTTTTTCTTTTTCTTTTTTTTTTTTATTATACTTTAAGTTTTAGGGTACATGTGCACATTGTGCAGGTTAGTTACATACGTATACATGTGCCGTGCTGGTGCGCTGCACCCACTAACTCGTCATCTAGCATTAGGTATATCTCCCAATGCTATCCCTCCCCCCTCCCCCCACCCCACAACAGTCCCCAGAGTGTGATATTCCCCTTCCTGTGTCCATGTGATCTCATTGTTCAATTCCCACCTATGAGTGAGAATATGCGGTGTTTGGTTTTTTGTTCTTGCGATAGTTTACTGAGAATGATGATTTCCAATTTCATCCATGTCCCTACAAAGGACATGAACTCTTCTTCTTAACATCTGTTGGGTTCACTCCATACCATGCTTCAACTCTATTGCTGGGGTTGAATGAAATCTGGCATGAAACAAAAGATCACTTACTTCCTTTCCTTCAGGGCTCCCATGCACTTTTCCACCCTCCAAAACCAGTTCTTACTCTTACTCTTTTTTTTATCTCAGTTCTTTGTAATATATGTCTGCTTTCCTTTTCTCTCCGAAACAATGCAAAGCTAAAAGGTTCATCCTTAGCCATTCCTGCTCCCTGAACATTGAGATTTTAAAGTAATTATGACAGAATTTTAAGGACTCAAAATGCAACTATTTCATGAATGACATAGTTCATTGATTTCCAGCCTTTCTTCTTTCCTAAAATGCCCCAGTGGGGGTCCAACTCCCTTCGTGGCCTCTTTTGGATAGCTATGGTATTGTATGTATTGATATTTACTTTATTATAAATAAAAACTTGAAAAATATTTTCTAAAAGAATATATTTTCTAAGACTAAGAAATATGAGAAAAGTGACATTGTGTTACAGTTTTGCAAATCTCTTGATTTCTGATTCTGCTTCAGCATTTAATCTTTTGCAACATGCTGTTTTGATTGTCATATGTAGCAAAATTTTGGCCTCACTAAAAAATGTTGTGGGACAAAGGACTATTTTGCTAGCCTTTTTAAGGTAATCATAAATATTCTTCTTTGATATTATACCAAAACTCAGCAACAGTAGTTTCTTAAAGATGAGTTTTGATGGGGGATTTGAAACTATATCAGTGCATTTTTTCCTTCTCTGTTACATGAAAATCTATTAGTCTATGTCATATGTTGAATATAACTTTTAACCATGCATAACTTTGTAACAATATGCATTTATATTTGAAAATTATTGGTTAACTGAGTTACCTAGAACTTCCAAATCTTGACACATTTTATTATGTAATATCATAATTCCAAAATCATTAATATCACCAATATCTTCCAAAAAGTATTAAGTATTGGGAAGCTTTCGAGCTCAGGGCAGTTGATGTAAGTTTTCCAAAATTTGAAATTTTTGTTTGAAAGATTAAATTTTATCATTAGCAACGAACATTTTCAGTTATTGCTTTGGAGTAACAAGCTTATTTTGGTCATTTTCAAGAAAATGTCTGCCAAATACCCATGTCTAAATAATCATAGTTTGACAGTCATTCTTTCATGTAAAAAATGACACTCACTCACCTTTCCTGTCTCCTCTTGAACCCCACATACTCATCAGCAAGGAAGAGGTTTTTTTACACTTATTATCATAAACAAAGATGGGCACAACACACAGGTTCAATATGTTTTTGGATAAATACTGATTAGATCTCATTTCTCCAGAGTGAGCCAGTCAGTTATCCTTTTGCCTAGTGCTAAAGTATCGATTTCAGCAAGTCAATTACCCTTCTATTTTAATATGCCTAAATGGATAAAGGAGTTTCTGATGTATACATATTCATATACACACATTTACATATATTGCAAGCACCTATATCCATTTAGGTGTATCAAACTTTGGCTCTTTCATGCATACATATACCGTGCTCATTTATTTAAAAGAGAAAAATTACTAAAAAAAATATTTTTTTTTAACAAGAATCTCTGTTTGCTAAAGTTATAAAGATACCTCAAGCATGACCGTGATATAAATATTCATGTTCAGCATTACAGAAAAGTGTGCCTTCTAGTATTTAAGTCTCACAATTCCTATAAACTCTTAGGGTCTGTGTCACTTTTTAAATCAGGAAAAAATAGTAAGAAGAAATGATCACTTGAATAATGAGAAACAACCTAAAGTAGTCTATTGCTTCCAAGTTGAGATAATTGATAAATAAAATAATTTGAGCCAATTTGTATTAGTTCTTCTTTTTAAATTTACAGAAAACTGTTTTGACTTAGTTTCAAAAATATGCAAATATTAGACTAACTATTATTTTTTCTTGGCATTATTCTAGATACACCTATACAGGTAGAGCAAAACACAGAGCAAGCACTCAGCTGGAGAATTTAATCAATGCAGACAAGCAAATCATTTATTTTGTTTTGTTTTGTTTTTCCTAAACAGAAGATTTGGATGCCCAATTTGTAAAATTGTCTCCACTCTCTTTACTTCATTCCACTATATGTACAAAGCACACATGTCTAATAGTAGTTATTGCTTTGGGATAAAAGAGTATAGAGTGGTGATGGTGGAGAGGATGTGTATATGTGTTTGTGAAGTTTCTCTCAAAGCCAACATAAAGCAACATTTGCCTGGAAGGTTTGTAGATACATCCTAGAATACCATTACATGCATCCAGAAAGGGGGGCTGGGATAAAGATTGCTAGCCTCAGTAAAACTTAAAAAACATTCCCTAGGTTAAGAATGTGCCTTTTAGGTCTTAGGTAAATGATACTTTTGACTCTATCTATCTTATCTTTCTTAGAAAATATAGTTTTAGTGGTGGCAGCAGGATAGTTCTTAACCTGCTTGTCATATTTTTCTGATTTTACTTTCACCTACTGGAACTGAGTTGAATATGGGAAAATACAAACTGTTTCTGCAAATAAATGAATCATCAACTGGACTTGGTACTGATAAGTGAAAGAGTTTGGAAGAAGCGTTCAAACTGATTTCCATTTATTAATCACAGGTGTTTTTAAAAAGTGGCTCAATGCTAACATCATATTAAAACTTGTTATAAAACAAGGAACCCATAGCTACAAAGAGGCAGAAAATAGATTAAGGCTTGAAACTTATTTGGATATTTTATCATATTTATTTTATTTTTAAAATTATAAATTGACAAATTATAGCTATATGTATAGCTAAATTATAGCTATATGTATAGCTAAATTATAGCTATATGTATAGCTAAATTATAGCTATATGTATACATATATACAAAATGATGTCATGATTTGTGAATACAGTGTAGAATTAGATCAAGCTAATTAACATATCCATCATCTCACCTGGACTTTTGTTTGTTATAGAACCTCAATCTAGTTGCTTAAACCTTTTGAGCTTCAAGTTCTCCATTTGTAAAATAGGAGCAGTAATATCTTTCAAAGATCAAAGGAGATATTATATGTTCACATATGTAAAATGACCCATGACATAGCATAAGCGCTTGATGAATGCTCATTATTTTCCCTTATATTTTCCAAGATAATAGTCCTAGTAAAAATAGTCCTAATTAAATTGATTGACCATTTTTAATTGGAATTTCAGGATAGCAATAGGGCTAAAATACTAGGAAGTATTCCCAATATCATAGGAATTTAGACATTAGAAAAGTAACAGTATAATTTTTGAGTCTATAAGAAATTTACCTCTTTAATAGGAAAGCAACATCATTCAGTACTTTGGTTACTTTCTGATGTAGTAGAATTAGTCTTCTAATTAAGTTGCAGTTAATGCTATTATACATCATTATGTTTAAATGGAGTATCTGGAAGATGTCTCAATTAGACAGTCCTCCCAATGAAGTGTGTCCTGTAGGTTAATAGAAATCACTTCCTTTACCTTGGATAGTGCTGTTTGGAAAAAATACCAAAGGCCTACTCATTAAAAGGTCAAAATTGTGCTTCTCAGTTAACACTCCATTAAGTCAAACTGGGAGACTTTGCCATGACTGCTGTGATTTTTGTCAGTCTGGCTGCAAATCAATCAAGACGTTACATTCTGAATTACAGTATGATGTACAGTTTGAGGCAGAATAATGCACAGTGAGATCAATAAAACTCTTCAAAAGAACCAAAATCTGGCACTTGTCAGAATAATTCACCATTTTATTATTATGCAGGTGTGATACAATTCAGAAAATAATTTGTAATTAAGAAAAATCAGACAAGATGGAGAACAAGAACAAATGTGGAGATGACTTCCAGAGGCAAGAAAAAACACTTCACAGAAGAATGGTAAGTTTAAAAGAGTAACATTATCTGCTGTACAAAGCATTTTGCACTATGACAGTAAATATCAAGACACTGGAAAATCTTTTTTTGTCCATGAAGTACAAGATTGTGAATACTTCTTAACTGCTACTGCTGTGACAAATGTCTGCAGATAGTTAAGTTACTGGAAACCTGGAACTGGGTGTAAAATGTATACAATACTAATGTCTAGGGTAAAAATTTTGGGTAAGGCCAGTGTTTCACCTGACTTTGACTACCTGGAGCATGCTGCCTTATTCTACTTATAGTCTGGGAAGGAGTCACAGAAGGCAAATGCATCTTGCTCTTTCGGACTTAAGCTGCACACAGCCTCCCATTTCTTTGGCTAAGAGAATTGAAAATTTTCAAAGACAAAGATTGATGAGAAACATTTTAGAAGATGAATCTTTGTATTTCTTGTTTTTGCTGGAAATGACTTTCTTCAGGGCACACACACAAGGAAATATAAAGGAAGAACTTTTCTCAAGAATATTATTAATGTAGTCTTGTCGAATATTCTAGAAAATCATAGGATATTTTTATATTTTAAATATCAGTACATAGCCAGGAATGAAAAATATTACCAACAAATTTTTTTAGATAGCCATTCATTTATTATGGACTCAACATTATGTTTTACTTTTTTTTTTTTTTTTTTTTGAGACAGGGTCTCTCTGTCACCCAGGCTGGAGTGCAGTGGCACAATCTCGGCCCACTGCAACCTCTGCCTCCTACGTTCAAGCAATCCTTCTGCCTCAGCCCTGCAAGTAACTGGGACCACAGGTGTGTGCCACCACGCCCTGCTAATTTTTGTACTTTTTGTAGAGACGGGGTTTCACCACATTGGCTAAGCTAGTTTCGAACTCATGGGCTCAAAGTAATCTGCCCACCTTAACTTCCCAAAGTGCTAGGATTACAGGCATGAGCCACCGTGCGAGGCATAAAAGGAATGCACTAACATTACATGTGGCACCAGTATTTTTAATCTCCTCCTTATTTACCTCTCTGGAGTTCAGTCTTATTCCTTGAATTCATTTGTATGCATCCTTAATATGCTTGTGATAATACTTTGTATAAACTATAATTTTCTTTTCTCCAAAAGTGGATGTCATTTTTCAGAGTTAAGAAATGTGAGAAAATCTTTGTTTCTTCACTGGGCAAATCTAACCTTTTCTAATTCACTAAGTGGTTATGATCTTTTACTGGCATGTAGTTTTTTTGTGGGGGTTCAGGATACACATATACACATAGTTGAATAGGAGACCCTAAATAAATAATAACATTGCAAGACTTGTCAATCAAACTGAACCAGTTTATTGGTGAACTGGAGATTCCAACAACTAAATAAGGCTGAAAGTTGGCACCCAGTGTGAAGCATTATAGTGGGTGGCTTCATTAGGAGCTTCTGGTATGTAAAAATTGATCCAAAGCCTAAGTCCTCATCATCTAACTTAGAATGGCATTCTAAAAATTGTGCCCAATGGCACCATCCATAGAGGCTAACATGGTGGCAGGAATCAAATTGGAGCACTGTGGTGGACAAGATGTGCCTCTCAGACCTCACTTCATAGGAGGACATGTTCCCCTGTCTATCAGCAGGCAGCCTCCATCTGTCAGCCCCTTCAGGGTTTGCCTCAGCTGCAGTGTACTGTCTGGCCAAGGATCACTATTTCCCAGGGCAGACCACCTCCAGTGACTAGTCAAGACGGGATTAGAAAAGCTTGGCCATTTTAGCTGCATGCTGCATAACTCTAGCATAATTCTAATTCCAGATCTTGCTGTGAGGATGACAGAGGTTTTATAGGGCTTGAATCCAGACTTCCCCTTTGACCCTTTCTGCTTCTTCTGTTTCCCTTCCATAGGTGTTAATCTCTAAAAACTTCACCTCAGCCTCCGCTTTCAGAAAAGCTTATTGGCAGCAAGCACAATATGAATTTGTTGAATTTCTGGGCTTCCATATCTCTATTTGCTCCTTTTCTTTGATTGTTTATGTTGTGTATAATGACTTTCATTAGATACTACCTTAAGTGCCTAACAATATTTGTCCTTCTCTTTAAATCAAGCTTGTCTAACCCATGGCCCATGGGCTGCATGCAGCCCGGAATGGCTTTGAATGTGGCCCAACATATTTCTTAAAACATTATGAGATCTTACCAATTTTTTTAGCTCATGAGCTGTTGTTAGTGTCAGTATATTTTATGTGTGGCCCAAGACAATTCTTCCAATGTCGCCCAGGAAAGCCAAAAGATTGGATACCTCTGCTTTAAATCATGTGACAAATCCTGTGTTCTACGGCTAGACATTTTTTGGTTCTACAGTGCTATTCTGACTATTACTGTGTAGTTGTCTAAGTCTTTTCTTAGGCCTGGAAGTACTTGTTTTATGAATCTGAGTGCTCCAATGTTAGATGCATATATATTTAGGATAATTTTTTCTTGTTGAATTAAACCCTTTATCATTAAGTAATGCCCTTCCTTGTCCTTTTTTTTTTTTTTTTTTTTTTACTGTTGTTGGTTCAAAGTCTGTTTTGTCTGATATAATAGTGACCTCTGCTCTTTTTTGTTTTCTGTTGGTGTGATAGATCTTTCTACAACACTTTACTTTGAGCCTGTTGGTGTCATTACATGTGAGATGGGTCTCCTGAAGACAGCAGATGGATGAGTCTTGTTTTTTTTATTCAACTTGCAATTCTGTGCCTTTTAACTGGGGCATTTAGATCACTTACATTCAAGGTTAATATTGATATGTGAGGTTTTGATCCTATCTTGAAGTTGTTAGCTGGTTGCTTTGTAGTTTCTATTTTGTGGTTGCTTTATAAGGTCTGTGGGTTATATATCTCAGTGTGTTTTTGTGGTAGTATGTATCATTCTTTTGTTTCCATGCTTAGAACTACCTTAAGGATCTCTGCTAAGGGTGGTCTAGTAGTAACAAATTCCCTTAGTGCTTGCCTTTCTGGAAAAATATTATTTATCCACTGTTTATCAAGCTTAGTTGGTGGGATATGAAGATCTTGATTGGAATTTTTTTTTCTTTAAAATGCTAAAAATAGGTCCTCAATCTCTCCTTACTTGTAAGGTTTCTATTTGGAAGTCTACTCTTGATGGGGTTCCCTTTGTAAGTGATACGACCTTTTCCTTTAAATGCCTTTGATTTTTTTCTTTAGTGTTGCCCATGGAGAGTCTGGTAATGATATGCCTTGGTGATGTTTATTTTGTATAGGGTCTTGCGGGTGTTCCCTGGATGTCTTGTATCTGCATGTATCTCTCTCAAGCAAGATTAGGGAATTTTTCTTGAATTACTCTGACAAATGTGTTTTCCAGGTCATTTGCTTTTTTTGCTTCTCTCTCAGGAATGCCAATAAATTATAGGTTTGATAGTTTACATAAGTCCATATTTGTTGAAAACTTTATTCATTCTTTAAAATTCTTTTTTCTTACTTTTATCTGACAGGGTTAATTTGAAAGACTTGTTCTTCAAGTTCTGAAATTACTTCTCTGCTTTGTCCAGTCTATTGCTATAGCATTCCATTCTATTTTGAAATTCCTTAAGTCAGTTTTTCAATTCCAGAAGCTCTGATTGATTTCTTTTTAAGATGTTTATCTCTTTCTTCATTTCCTGGATTGCTTTAGATCACTTGTTGTTGTTGTTGTTGATGATGATTTTCAATCTTGGATCTCATTCAGCTTCTTTGCAATCCATGCTTTGAATTCTTTATCTTTCATTTCTCAGTTTCCATTTTGGTTAGGAACCATTGTTGGAGAGCTACTGTGATCCTCTGGTAGTGTCAGTACATTCGGATTTCTCAAGAATTTTTATGATGGTTCCTTCTCATCTGAAGAAGATGGCACTTTTAATTTTTGTAATTATTTTCATGTGGGTAGGATTTCTCTTCTTTCTTCTTTCCCTATATTATTGTATTTATTTCTCCTTCCCTTCCTCCCATTACTCCAGGGGTTGTGACTATAGAGGATGTTGGATAGGGTCTTTGGGCTTTGCTTCTATAGACCTATGCCCTTCTCTCCACGGGTTATATACTGGGATGTGCAGTTCAAGGGAATGGCCAGTAGGTGGCGATTATGGGTAAAAGCCAGCTCCAGCCAATGTGGTTGGGTATATGCTTATTTATTTAATTTTTTATTTATTTATTTTATTATTTTTTATTACACTTTAAGTTCTAGGGTACAGGTGCGCAACGTGCAGGTTTGTTAAATAAGTATACATGGGCCGTGTTGGTTTGCTGCACCCATTAACTCGTCATTTACATTAGGTATTTCTCCTAATGCTATCCCTCCGCCACTCCCCCACCCCAAGACAGGCCCTGGTGTGCGATGTTCCCCGTCCTGTGTCCAGGTGTTCTAATTGTTCAGTTCCCACTTATGAGTGAGAACATGCGATGTTTGGTTTTCTGTCCTTGCGATAGTTTGCTGAGAATGATGGTTTCCAGCTTCATCCATGTCCCTGCAAAGGAGATGAACTCATCCTTTGTTATGGCTGCATAGTATTCCATGGTGTATATGTGCCACATTTTCTTAATCCAGTCTATCACTGATGGACATTTGGGTTGGTTCCAAGTCTCTTCTATTGTGAACAGTGCCACAATAAACATACATGTGCATGTGTCTTTATAGCAGCATGATTTATAATCCTTTGGGTTTATACCCCGTAATGAGATCGCTGGGTCAAATGGTATTTCTAGTTCTAGATCCCTTAGGCATCGCCACACTGTCTTCCACAATGGTTGAACTAGTTTACAGTCCCACCAGCAGTGTAAAAGTGTTCCTATTTCTCCACATCCTCTCCAGCACCTGTTGTTTCCTGACTTTTTAATGATTGCCATTCTAACCGGTGTGAGATGATATCTCATGCGGTTTTGATTTGCATTTCTCTGATGGCCAGTGATGATGAGCATTTTTTCATGTGTCTGTTGGCTGCATAAATGTCTTCTTTTGAAAAGTGTCCGTTCATATCCTTTGCCCACTTTTTGATGGGGTTGTTTGTTTTTTTCTTATAAATTTATCTAAGTTCTTTGTAGATTCTTGATATTAGCCCTTTGTCAAATGGGTAGATTGCAAAAATCTTCTCCCATTCTGTAGGCTGCCTGTTCACTCTGATGGTAGTTTCTTTTGCTTTGCAGAAGCTCTTTAGTTTAATTAGATCCCATTTGTCTATTTTGGCTTTTGTCACCATTGCTTTTGGTGTTTTAGTCATTAAGTCCTTGCCCACGCCTATGTCCTGAATGATATTGCCTAGGTTTTCTTCTAGGGTTCTTAAGGTTTTAGGTCTAACATTTAAGTCTTTAATCCATCTTGAATTAATTTTTGTATAAGGTGTAAGGAAGGGATCCAGTTTCAGCTTTCTTCTTATGGCTAGCCAATTTTCCCAGCACCATTTATTAAATAGGGAATCCTTTCCCCATTTCTTGTTTTTGTCAGGTTTGTCAAAGATCAGATGGTTGTAGATGTGTGATGTTATTTCTTAGGCCTCTGTTCTATTCCACTGGTCTGTATATCTATTTTGGTACCAGTACCATGCTGTTTTGGTTATTGTAGCCTTGTAGTATAGTTTGAAGTCAGGTACCATGTTGCCTCCAGCTTTGTTCTTTTTGCTTAGGAATGTCTTGGCAATGTGGGCTCTTTTTTGATTTCATATGAACTTTAGTTTTTTCCAATTCTGTGTAATATTGGATAGGGATGGCATTGAATCTTTAAATTACCTTGGGCAGTAAGGCCATTTTCACGAGATTGATTCTTCCTATCTATGAGCATAGAATGTTCTTCCATTTGTTTGTGTCCTCTTTTATTTCATTGAGCAGTGGTTTGTAGTTCTCCTTGAAGAGGTCCTTCAAATCCCTTGTAAGTTGGATTCCTAGGTATTTTATTCTCTTTGTAGTAATTGTGAATGGGAGTTCACTCACAATTTGGCTCTCTGTTTGTCTGTTATTGGTTTCTAGGAATGCGTGTGATTTTTGCACATTGATTTTGTATCCTGAGATTTTGCTGAAGTTGCTTATCAGCTTAAGAAGATTTAGGGCTGAGACAATGGGGTTTTCTAAATATACAATCATGTCATCTGCAAACAGGGACAATTTGACCTCCTCTTTTCCTAATGAATACCCTTTGTTTCTTTCTCTTGCCTGATTGTCCTGGTCAGAAGTTCCAACACTGTGTTGAATAGGAGTGGTGAGAGAGGGCATCCCTGTCTTGTACCAGTTTTCAAAGGGAATTCTTCCAGTTTTTGCCCATTCAGTATGATACTGGCTGTGGGTTTGTCATAAACAGTGCTTATTATTTTGAGATAACGTTCCATCAATACCTAGCTGATTGAGAGTTTTTAGCATGAAGCGCTGTTAAATTTTGTTGAAGTCCTTTTCTGCATCTGTTGAGATAATCATGTGGTTTTTGTCATTGGTTCTTTCTATGTGATGGATTACGTTTATTGATTTGCATATGTTGAACCAGCCTTGCGTCCCAGGGATGAAGCCAACTTGATCTTGGTGGATAAGCTTTTTGATGTGCTGCTGGATTCGGTGTGCCAGTATTTTATTGAGGATTTTCGCATTGATGTTTATCAGGGATATTGGTCTAAAATTCTCTTTTTTTTTGTTGTGTTTCTGCCGGACTTTGGTATTAGGATGATGCTGGTCTCATAAAATGAGTTAGGGAGGATTCCCTCTTTTTCTATTGATTGGAATAGTTTCAGAAGGAATGGTACCAGCTCCTCCTTGTACCTCTGGTAGAATTCGGCTGTGAATCCATCTGGTCC
Organism: Homo sapiens; assembly: GCF_000001405.40. NCBI lineage: Eukaryota > Metazoa > Chordata > Mammalia > Primates > Hominidae > Homo > Homo sapiens. The sequence goes on along the minus strand of NC_000007.14, from coordinate 19,049,273 downwards.
TGGACTTTTTTTGGTTGGTAAGCTCTTAATTATTGCCTCAATTTCAGAGACTGTTATTGGTATATTCAGAGATTCAACTTCTTCCTGGTTTAGTCTTGTGAGGGTATATGTGTCCAGGAATTTATCCATTTCTTCTAGATTTTCTAGTTTATTTGCATAGAGGTGTTTATAGTATTCTCTGATGGTGGTTTGTATTTCTGTGGGATTGGTGGTGATATCTCCTTTATCATTTTTTATTGTGTCTATTTGATTCTTCTCTCTTTTCTTCTTTATTAGTTTTGCTAGCGGTCTATCAATTTTGTTGATCTTTTCAAAAAACCAGCTCCTGGATTCATTGATTTTTTGAAGGGTTTTTTCTGTCTCTATCTCCTTCAGTTCTGCTCTTATCTTAGTTATTTCTTGCCTTCTGCTAGCTTTTGAACTTGTTTGCTCTTGCTTCTCTAGTTCTTTTCATTGTGATGTTAGGGTGTCCATTTTAGATCTTTCCTGCTTTCTCTTGTAGGCATTTAGTGCTGTAAATTTCCTTCTACACACTGCTTTAAATGTGTGCTAGAGATTCTGGTACATTGTGTCTTTGTTCTCATTGGTTTCAAAAAGCATCTTTATTTCTGCCTTCATTTTATTATTTACCCAGTAGTCATTCCGGAGCAGATTGTTCAATTTCCATGTTGTTGTGCGGTTTTGAGTGAGTTTCTTAATCCTGAGTTCTAATTTCATTGCACTGTGGTCTATGAGACAGTTTGTTATGATGTCTGTTCTTTTACATTTGCTGAGGAGTGCTTTACTTCTAACTATGTGGTCAATTTTGGAATAAGTGCAATGTGGTGCTGAGAAGAATGTATATTCTGTTGATTTGGGTTGGAGAGTTCTGTAGATTGCTATTAGGTCTGCTTGGTGCAGAGCTGAGTTCAAGTCCTGGATACCCTTGTTAAGCTTCTGTCTCATTGATCGTGTAATATTGACAGTGGGGTGTTAAAGTCTCCCATTATTATTGTGTGGGAGTGTAAGTCTCTTTGTAGGTCTCTAAGGACTTGCTTTATGAATCTGGGTGCTCCTGTATTGGGTGCATGTATATTTAGGATAGTTAGCCCTTCTTGTTGAATTGAATTGATCCCTTTAGCATTATGTAATGGCGTTTTTTGTCTCTTTTGATCTTTGTTGGTTTAAAGTATGTTTTATCACAGACTAAGTTTGCAACCTCTGCTTTTCTTGCTTTCCATTTGCTTGGTAGATCTTCCTCCATCCCTTTATTTTGAGCCTATGTGTGTCTCTACACATGAGTTGGGTCTCCTGAATACAGCACACTGATGGGTTTTGACTTTTTATCGAATTTGCCAGTCTGTGTCTTTTAATTGGGGCATTACCTCATTTACATTTAAGGTTTATAATATTATGTGTGAATTTGATCCTATCATTGTGATGTTAGCTGGTTATTTTTCTGGTTAGTTGATGCAGTTTCTTCCTAGCATTAATGGTCTTTACAATTTGACATGTTTTTGCAGTGGCTGGTAATGGTTGTTACTTTCCATGTTTAGTGCTTCCTTTAGGAGCTCTTGTAAAGCAGGTCTGGTGGTGACAAAATCTCTGAGCATTTGCTTGTCTGTAAAGGATTATATTCTTCCTTCACTTATGAAGCTTAGTTTGGCTGGATATGAAATCCTGGGTTGAAAATTCTTTTCTTTAAGAATGTTGAATATTGGCCCCCACTCTCTTCTGGCTTGTAGAGTTTCTGCTGAAAGATCTGCTGTTAGTCTGATGGGCTTCCCGTTGCAGGTAACCTGACCTTTCTCTCTGGCTGCCCTTAACATTTTTTCCTTCATTTCAACCTTGGTGAATCTGACAATTATGTGTCTTGGGGTTGCTCTTCTTGAGGAGTATCTTTGTGGTGTTCTCTGTATTTCCTGAATTTGAATGTTGGCCTGCCTTGCTAGGTTGGGGAAGTTCTACTGTATAATATCCTGAAGAGTATTTTCCAACTCGGTTCCATTCTCCCGGTCACTTTCAGGTACACCAATCAAACGTAGATTTGATCTTTTCACATAGTCCCATATTTCTTGGAGGCTTTGTTCATTTCTTTTTACTCTTTTTCCTCTAAACTTCTCTTCTCATTTCATTTCATTAATTTGATCTTCAATCACTGATACCCTTTCTTCCACTTGATCTAATTGGCTACTGAATCCTGTGCATGCATCATGTAAGTCTCATGCCATGGTTTTCCGCTCCTTCAGGTCATTTAAGCTCTTCTCTACACTGTTTATTCTAGTTAGACATTTGTCTAATCTTTTTTCAAGGTTTTTAGTTTCCTTGTGATGGGTTCGAACATCCTCTTTTAGCTCAGAGAAGTTTGTTATTACCGACTTTCTGGAGCCACTTCTCTCAAGTCATCAAAGTCATCCTCCATCCAGCTTTGTTCCATTGCTGGCGAGGAGCTGTGATCCTTTGGAGGAGAAGGGGCACTATGGTTTTTAGAGTTTTCAGCTTTTCTGCTCTTCTCCCCATATTATGGTTTTATCTACCTTTACTCTTTGATGATGGTGACCTACAGATGGCGTTTTGGTGTGGATGTCCTTTTTGTTGATGTTGATGCTATTCCTTTCCATTTGTTAGTTTTCCTTCTAACAGTCAGGTCCCTCAGCTCCAGGTCTGTTGGAGTTTGCTGGAGGTCCACTCCAGACCCTGTTTGCCTAGGTATCACCAGTGGAGGCTGCAGAATAGCAAATATTGCAGAACAGCAAATATTGCTGCCTGATCCTTCCTCTGGAAGCTTAGTCTCAGACTGGCACCTGGCTGTGTGAGGTGTCAGTGGGCCCCTACTGGGACGTGTCTCCATGTTAGGCTACACGGGGGTCAGGGACCCACATGAGGAGGCAGTCTGTCCGTTCTCAGAGCTCAAATGCTTCGCTCGGAGAACCACTGCTCTTTTCAGAGCTGTCATACAGGGACATTTAAGTCTGCAGAAATTTCTGGTGCCTTTTGTTCAGCTATGCCCTACCCACAGAGGTGGAGTCTACAGAGGCAGGTGGGCCTCTTGAGCTGCGGTGGTCTCCACTCAGTTCGAGCTTCCTGGCCACTTTGCTTACCTACTCAAGCCTCAGCAATGGCAGACGCCCCTCCCCCAACCAGGCTTGCCACCTTGCAGTTTGATCTCAGACTGCTGCGCTGGCAGTGAGCAAGGCTCCGTGGGTGTGGGACCCACCAAGCCAGGCACGGGATATAATCTCCTGGTGTGCCATTTGCTAAGACCATTGGAAAAGCACAGTATTCAGGTGGGAGTGTCCCGATTTTCCAGGTACCGTCTGTCACGGCTTCCCTTGGCTAGGAAAGGGAAATCCCCCGACCTCTTGCATTTCCTGGGTGAGGTGATGCCCCACTCTGCTTTGGCTCTGCCTCCATGGGTTGCACCCGCTGTCTGACCAGTCCCAATGAGATGAACCAGGTACCTCAGTTGGAAATGCAGAAATCACCTGTCTTCTGCATAGATCATGCTGGGAGCTGCAGACCGGAGCTGTTCCTATTTGGCCATCTTGGAGTGGATCCCCTGAATGATTATTTTTCACTCAGAGAAGCTCTCCTGTTGCCTCTGTCAATGGGTTAATCTGTGGGATGCACAGCAGTTTGAACTCCCTGCTTAGCCTCAGAGGGGCAGGGGAAAAGATGGGCAGGGCCAGACCAGGTAGGTTCCCTGATGGTAAGTGTAAGCTCCAGTGCTGAGGGTGAATCCAGTGGGCAGCCACCAAGCACCCAGAGGTGGGCCTAGGTGTGGAGCTGGCAAACATTCTCTGCTGGAGTGGGTGGGACAGTGGAGGCAGCCTAAACTAATAATCCAGAAGAGTGGATGCTCCAGTTGCTTGCAGTTCTGTCTGGAAATGAAATTGAGAGGCCCTCCCAGTACCAGGGTCTCTGCATAGGAAGGCTGGGTGTACTCAAGCTGCTGATCCAGGTGAGGGTGTGCTCTGAATGTCTGGAGATCTGCCTGGTCTTGGAGTGGAGAGGGCCTCACTTCACCACAGTCTCTGCACAGGAAGGGTAGGGTGGCTCAGGCTCCTAATCCTGGCAAGCAGCTTCTCTGATTGCCTGGAGATCTGCCTGAGATAGTTTATTTTCAGTGCAAAATTGAGCTAGAAGAGCAAAGAAAATGTTAAGTATTTGGAGAAATCTAAGGAAACATTGATTTTGCAAATTAATAGTATGGGGTGAAATTATGAGTAAAATACGTAATAATGACATGGAAGTTGAAGGTCATAACTGAAGTTAGAGTGTTCTAAAGACCTAAGATTGCTTTGGAGTCAGGTAATAAATACTGATCAAATTTGTATACAACAAATTAGGTATACATATTAAAATTCTAAGGCAGCCATTAAAAGAATAAAAATAGAATATATAACTTAAAAGCAGGATAGAAAAAAAGAACAATTAAAAGATCAATTTAAAAAACGAAATGAAGAAAAGAAAACAGAAAACAGAAAATGCAGAATAGCTGTAAGTACAGAATACATATTAAAATAAATCCAAGTTTAAGTCATAGATATTTATGCCACAAGGAAAATATAAATTTATATTTTCTTATCGCATAGCCTCTAATATAGTATATATATCAAGAATTAGACAAATCCACTATCATATTGGGAGGTTATAATTCACCTCTCTCCTTAATTGATAGATCAAGTAGACAGAATTTTTTTTTTTTTTTTTTTTCTCTGAGATGGAGTCTCGCTCTGAGATGGAGTCTCACTACACTCGCTCCAGCCTGGAGTGTAGTGGTGTGAGCTCACCTCACTGCAACCTCTGCCTTCTGGGTTTAAGTGATTCTCCTGCCTCAGCCTCCGGAGTAGCTGGGACTAGAGTCATACACCACCATGCCCAGCTAATTTTTGTATTTGTAGTAAAGACAGGGATTCACTATGTTGGTCAAGCTGGTCTCAAACTCCTGACCTCAGGTGATCTACCCGCCTTGGTTGCCCAAAGTGCTGGGATTACAGGTGTGAGCCACCATGCCCAGCCCAGAAGAGGATTTAAAACAATATAATTAGCACACAATATTAGAGTCATTATAGAACTCTGTATCTAACAAAGCAGAAGAATTATAGTTTGCATATTCACATAAAGAATAATGAAAATTGATCACAAAACGAGACACAAAGAAAGATGCCGTAACATTCACAGAATATATTCTTGGATCATAATGAAATTAATTTTGAGGTAAAAGACAAAATAATATTTTAAAATTTGGAAATGGAACATATGTCTAATCAATTCAGGTGCTAAAGAGGAAATTAAAAAGTCTGGAAAATATTGAGAAAATAGACAAAGTTGGAGGCATCACACTACCCTGCTTCAAACTATAAGGCTACCATAAATGAAGCAGCATGATGTTGGTACGAAAACAGACACATAGACCAATGGAACACAACAGATAACCTAGAAATAAAGCCACACACATACAACCATCTAATCTTCAACAAAGCTGATAGAAACAAGTGATGAGGAAAGGACTCCTTTTATTCAGTAAATGGAGCTGGGATAGCTGGCTAGCTATGTATAGAGGAATGAAATGGACCTCTGTTTCACCACATACAAAAATTAACTCAAGAAGGATTAAATATTTAAGTGTGAAACCTAAAAGTATAAAAATCCTGTAAGAAAGCCTCAGAAACACCATTCTGGATGTAGGCCTTGGGAAATAATTTATCTATAAGCCCTCAAAAGCAATTGCATCACAACTAAAAATTGGTAAGTGGGACCTAATTAGACTAAAGAGCTTCTGCACAGCAAAAGAAACTATCAACTGAGTAAACTGACAACCTACAGAATGGGAAAGAAATTTGCAAACTACGCATCCAACAAATGTCTAATATCCAGAATCTATAAGAAACCTAAACAATTTAGCAAGTGAAAACCAAATAACCCCATTAAAAAATGGGCAAAAGACATGAACAGACACTTCTCAAAAGAAGACATACATGCAGCCAACAAACATAAAAAAATGCTCAGCATCACTAATCATCAGAGAAATGCAAATCAAAATCACAATGAGATATCATCTCACACTAGTCCGAATGGCTATTATTAAAAAGTCAAAATGGCTATTATTTTTAAAAGTCAAAAAATAACATGTTGGTGAGGTTGTGGGAAAGGGTACACTTATACACTGTTGGTGGGAATGTAAATTAGTTCAGCTACTGTGGAAAGCATTTTGGAGATTTCTCAAAGGACTTAAAACAGACCTACCATCCAACCCAACAATCCTATTATTGGATATATACCCAAAGGAAAATACATTGTTCTACCGAAAAGACACATGTACTTATATGTTCACCATCATGCTATTCACAACAGCAAAGACATGGAGTCAACCCAGGTACCTATCAATGGTGGATTGGATTAAGAAAATGTGGTACATATATCCCATGGAATACTATGCAGCCATAAAAAATGAAATCATGTTTTTTGCAGCAACATGGATGCAGCCAGAGGCCATAATCCTATGCAAATTAATGCAGGAGTAGAAAACCAAATACTGCATGTTCTCATTTGTGAGACAGTCGGTACTCACAGATATAAAGATAGAAACATCTTTAGACATAGATACTGTCTAAACATTGCAGACTACTAGAGGAGTAGGGAGGGGGTTGTGGACTGAAAAACTACCTATTCACTACCTTACAGCTCACTACCTGAGTGTCAGGATGTGCACCCCAAACTTCAGCAGCATGTAATATATGCCTATGTAACAAACTTGTACATGCATCCCCTGTACCTAAAATAAAAGTTGAAATTATTTTTAAAAGTCTACTTATAAAAAGTTAGAAAACAAAGGAATAAGATCATAATAACTAATTCTATTTGGCAAATTTCAAGAAACCATTAGGATCAAAAATATAGCAAAAGTTACTAAAGATAAAATATGCAGAAATCAACTGTATACAGATCAGAAAAACAAAATGTAATTTTAAAATACGATTTCAACACTATAAAATATGAAATCTAAGAACAGATTTACTAAAAGAAGTGCATGATGTCTACAGAGGAAACAAATTAGAAAACTTTATCTAAAGCCACTAAATGTGACTTTAAAAATTGTGTATAGTAAGTTTATGAATTGGAAGTTTCAATGCTATAAAAATTTCAGTTTACTCTGATTATAGTTTCAATTTAATTACAAATCAAAGTTTCAATGAACTTTTTGTAGAACTTGACAAGTTGATATTTAAATATTTATATGAAAATGCAAATGACCATGTAATGGTACAGCTGAAGAAGGAAAAATTGGTATAACTTGATTTTAAAGATATTAAAAGTTATTGTAAAGCTATAGTAATTAAGATGGTGTGATGTTTGTGCAAGACTAGAAAGAGATCGATGGACCAGATACATATATGAGGAGACCAGTAAGAATGTTCCCAGAAATACTGTTCACAATAGCAAAATTCTGCAAACAACTCAAAGATGCATCAATATGAGATTGATTTAATGGAATCCATTTACACAATGGAATATTATATAGCAGTGAAGATAAATGAACTACTCAAATATAATACATACAATGACTCTCAGCAAATAATATATAAAAATCTGAGAATATTAAATGTTTTACCCTTTTTTAAAATTAAAAAACCTAAAAGTGAAAAATACGTTTAAAGAAATACATAGGCATGCACTAAGTCTAGAAAAAAAAAAAGAAATAAAGCTAGGGAAGAATAATAAACATAACACTCAGGGGGATGATTATCTTGTGTAGAGGGATCCAGGAAAAGGTGATGGAAGGCATACTGGTTAGATAAGGTAATTTTCAATATCCTACCTTTTGTTTTTGATACTGGGTTTTAGGTGGGGGGTTTGGGGTGTTAAATATAAATATCTAAATAGCTATTAAGTAAAAGCACATCATACAATGCTAAAAGTGTATTATGAATCAGGGATTATGATTCAATTTTGTGTGTCCAAAGCATCAAAAAATCAAAATTCAAGTTCTGATTTGATAGTGGAATCTCTAATAAAAGACCTCAGATTCCTTTTTGAGCTGAATGCAAAGCAAATTATAATCATTAAAATAGATGGCTTTTTGATCATTACTATGGTAAAGGCTATTACTGCCAACTAAACATAATTTTATTAGAATGTTAATTCTATAGTTTTCAATCCTAGACACTACCTATTTAGGATGAGCAAAAACTTACTATGAAGAAAAGCACTTGCATAAGAAAAGATATTAAATCCATATTCGATATACTTTCTTCACATCTTTTCTTTTAGCTTTTACCCCACTTTATTACTCCTTTTCACTTTCCCTTTTGATTCTGTCTCTTCTCTCCAACCTGTAAGTGTTGAAATGCTCCACAACTCAGTTATTGGTTCTCACCCATCTATACTTACCTCCTTGGTATTTTCCTCCAATTGTATGGTTTTAAATAGCATTCATATTTGGTGACTCCAAATTGTATATCCCTAACCCAGACCTCCCTCCCAAAGTCTAAATTCATATTTCAATATGTCTTCTTGATATCTCTGCTTATATGTCTAATAGACATCTCAAACGCAAGCTGTTAGAAACTGAACTCCTGATCTAAACCTGCTCCACTACAGCCTTCTCTATCTAGTTCAAAGGCAATTCCATTGCTCTCCTTCTCAGCTGCCAAACTTGGGAGTCATTCCTGACTCTTCCATTTCCCTCTCATCATACATCCAATCTATTAGTAAAGTTGCTTGGTTCAGTCTTCAAAATCTATATAGAGCTTGCTCCTTCTCTACTGCCATCCGAATCTGAGCTAACACCACCCTCTGGATCAGTGGCTTAACTGCCAAACTGATGCATTCTAAATTTGTTCTACTGAAATCTATTCCTGACAAAACAGACAAACTGGTCCTTTGAAAATATAAGTCAGATCGGTCTGTTCCAAGATGGCCAAATAGGAAGAGCTCTGGTCTGCAGCTCCTAGCATGATCGACACAGAAGACAAGTGATTTCTGCATTTCCAACTGAGGTACCTGGTTCTTCTCATTGGGACTAGTTGGACAGTGGGTGCAGCCCACGGAGGGCTAGCTGAAGCAGGGTGGGGTATTGCCTCACCCAGGAAGTGCAAGGGTCGGGGGATTTCCCTTTCCTAGCCAAGGGAAGCTGTAACAGACTGTACCTGGAAAAACAGGACATTCCTGGCCAAATACTGTGCTTTTCCCATGGTCTTAGCAACCAGCAGACCAGGAGATTCTGTCCCATGCCTGGCTCGGTGGGTCCCATGCCCACAGAGCCTTGCTCACTGCTAGCACTGCAGTCTGAGATCGATCTCTGAGGCTGCAGCCTGGCAGGGGGAGGGTCGTCTGCCATTGCTGAGGCTTGAGTAGGTAAACAAAATGGCCAGGAAACTCCAACTGGGTGGAGCCCACCGCAACTCCGCAACGCCTACTGCCTATATAGACTCCACCTCTGTGGGTAGGGCATAGCTGAACAAAAGGCATCAGAAACATCTGCAGACTTAAATGTCCCTGCCTGACAGCTCTGAAGAGAGCAGAGGTTCTCCCAGTATGGTGTTTGAGCTCTGAGAACAGACAGACTGCCTCCTCAAGTGAGTCCCTGACCCCCGTGCAACCCAACTGGGAGACACCTCCCAGTAGGGGCCGAGAGACATCTCATACAGGTGGGTGCCCCTCTGAGACAAAGCTTCCAGAGGAAGGATCAGACAGCAATATTTTCTGTTCCACAATATTTGCTGTTCTGCAGCCTCCACTGGTGATACCCAGGCAAACAGGGTCTGGAGTGGACCCCTAACAAACTCCAACAGACCTGCAGCTGAGGGAACTGACTATTAAAAGGAAAACTAACAAATGGAAAGGAATAGCATCAACATCAACAAAAAGGACATCCACACCAAAACCCCATCTGTAGGTCACCATCATCAAAGAGTAAAGGTAGATAAAACCACAAAGATGGGGAGAAACCAGAGCAGAAAACCTGAAAATTCTAAAAACCAGGGTGCCTCTTCTCCTCCACAGGATCGCAGCTCCTCACCAGCAATGGAACAAAGCTGGATGGAGAATGACTTTGATGAGTTGACAGAAGTAGGCTTCAGAAGGTCGTTAATAACAAACTTCTCTGAACTAACCCATCTCAGAGAATGTTCTAACCGATCGCAAGGAAGTTCAAAACCTTGAAAAAAGGTTAGACAAATGGCTAACTAAAATAAACAGTGTAGAGAAGTCCTTAAATGACCTGATGGAGCTGAAAACGAGAACTTCATGATGCATGAACAAGCTTCAATAGCTGATTCGATCAAGTGGAAGAAAGGATATCAGTGATTGAAGATCAAATTAATGAATTAAAGCAAGAAGACAAGATTAGAGAAAAAAGAGTAAAAAGAAAAGAACAAAGCCTCCAAGAAATATGGGACTATGTGAACAGACCAAATCTACATTTGATTGATGTACGTGAAAGTGATGAGGAGAATGGAAACAAGTTAGAAAACACTCTTCAGGATATTATCTGGGAGAACTTCCCCAACCTAGAGAGGCAGGCCAACATTCAAATTCAGGAAATATAGAGAACACCACAAAGACATTACTTGAGAAGAGCGACCCCAAGGCACATAATTGTCAGATTCGTCAAAGTAGAAATGAAGAAAAAAATGCTAAAGGCAGCTAGAGAGAAAGGTCGGGTTACTCACAAAGGAAAGCCCCTCAGACTAACAGCGGATCTCTTAGCAGAAACCCTACAAGCCAGAAGAGAGTGGGGGCCAATATTCAACACTCTTAAAGAAAAGAATTTTCAACCCAGGATTTCATATCCAGCCAAACTAAGCTTCAAAAGTGAAGGAGAAATATAATCCTTTACAGACAAGCAAATGCTGAGAAATTTTGTCACCACCAGGCTTGCCTTATGAGAGCTCCTGAAGGAAGCACTAAACATGGAAAGTAACAACCAGTAACAGCCACTGCAAAAACATGCAAATTGTAAACACCATCGATGCCATGAAGAAACTGCATCAATTAATGGGCAAAATAACCAGCTAACATCATAATGACAGGATCAAATTCACACATAAAAATATTAAGCTTAAATGTAAATGCCCCAATTAAAAGACACAGACTGGCAAATCGGTTAAAGAGTCAAGACCCGTAAGTGTGCTGTATTCAGGAGACCCAGCTCACATGCAGAGACACACAAAGGCTCAAAATAAAGGGATGGAGGAAGATCTACCAAGCAAATGGAAAGCAAAAAAAGCAGGGGTTGCAATCTTAGTCTCTGATAAAACATACTTTAAACCAACAAAGATCAAAAGAGACAAAGAACACCATTACATAATGGTAAAGGAATCAATACAAAAAGAAGAACTAACTATCCTAAATATATATGCACCCAATACAGGAGCACCCAGATTCATAAAGCAAGTCCTTAGAGACCTACAAAGAAACTTACACTCCCACACAATAATAATGGGAGACTTTAACACCCCACTGTCAATATTACACAGATCAACGAGACAGGAGGTTAACAAGGATATCCAGGATTTGAACTCCGCTCTGCACCAAGCTGACCTAATGGAAATCTACAGAACTCTCCGCCCCAAATCAACAGAATATACATTCTTCTCAGCACCACATCACACTTTATTCTCAAGTTGACCACGTAGTTGGAAGTAAAGCACTCCTCAGCAAATGTAAAAGAACAGAAATCACAACAAACAGTCTCTCAGATCACAGTGCAATCAAATTAGAACTCAGGATTAAGAAATTCTCTCAAAACCACACAACTACATGGAAATTGAACAACCTGCTCCTGAATGACCAGTGAGTAAATAATGAAATGAAGGCAGAAATAAAGATGCTTTTTGAAACCAATGAGAAAAAAGATACAATGTACCAGAATCTCTGGGACACAGTTGAAGCAGTGTGTAGAGGGCAATTTATACCACTAAATGCCCACAAGAGAAAGCAGGAAAGATCTAAAATCGACATCCTAACATCACAACGAAAAGAACTAGAGAAGCAAGAGCAAACAAATTCAAAAGCTAGCAGAAGGCAAGAAATAACTAAGATAAGAGTAGAACTGAAGGAGATAGAGACAGAAAAAACCCTTCAAAAAATCAATGAATCCAGGAGCTGGTTTTTTGAAAAGATCAACAAAATTGATAGACCGCTAGCAAGACTAATAAAGAAGAAAAGAGAGAAGAATCAAATAGACGCAATAAAAAATGATATAGGGGATATCACCACCGATCCCAGAGAAATACAAACTACCATCACAGAGTACTATTAACACCTCTCTGCAAATAAACTAGAAAACCTAGAAGAAATGGATAAATTCCTGGACACAAACACCCCCCAAGAGTAAACCTGGAAGATGCTGAATCTCTGAGTAGACCAATAACAGTCTCTGAAATTGAGGCAATAATTAATAACCTACCAACCAAAAAAAGTCCATGACCACACAGATTCACAGTGGATTTCTACTGCAGGTACAAAGAGGAGCTGGTACCATTCCTTCTGAAACTATTCCAATCAGTAGAAAAAGGGGCAATCCTCCCTAACTCATTTTATGAGGCCAGCATCATCCTGATACCAAAGCCTGGCAGAGACACAACAAAAAAAAAGAATTTTAGACCAATATCCCTGATGAACATCAATGCGAAAATCCTCAATAAAATACTGGCACACCGAATCCAGCAGCACATCAAAAAGCTTATCCACCATGATCAAGTGGGCTTCATCCCTGGGATGTAAGGCTGGTTCAACATATGCAAATCAATAAATGTAATCCATCACGTAAACAGAACCAACGACAAAAACCACATGATTATCTCAATAGATGCAGAAAAGGCCTTTGACAAAATTCAACAACCCTTCATGCTAAAAACTCTCAATAAACTAGGTATTGATGGAATGTATCTCAAAATAATAAGAGCTATTTATGACAAACCCACAGCCAAGATCATACTGAATGGGCAAAAACTGGAAGCATTCCCTTTCAAAACTGGCACGAAACAGGGATGCCCTTTCTCATCACTCCTATTCAACATTGTGTTGGAACTTCTGGCCAGGGCAAGCAGGCAAGAGAAAGAAATAAAGGGTATTTGATTAGGAAAAGAAGAAGTCAAATTGTCCCTGTTTGCAGATGACATGATTGTATATTTAGAAAACCCCAAAATCTCCTTAAGCTGATAAGCAACTTCAGCAGTCTCAGGATACAAAATCAATGTGCAAAAATCATAAGCGTTCTTATAGAGCAATAACAGAGAAACAGAGAGCCAAATCATGAATGTGCTCCCATTCACAATTACGATAAAGAAAATAAAATACCTAGGAATCCAACTTACAAGGAATTTGAAGGACCTCTTCAAGGAGAACTACAAACCACTGCTCGATGAAATAAAAGAGGACACAAACAAATGGAAGAATATTCTATGCTCATAGATAGGAAGAATCAATCTTGTGAAAATGGCCATACTGCCCAAGGTAATTTATAGATTCAGTGCCATCGCCATCAAGTTACCAATGACTTTCTTCACAGTATTGGAAAAAACGTCTTTAAAGTTCATATGGAGCCAAAAAAGAGCCCACATTGCCAAGACATTCCTAAGCAAAAAGAACAAAGCTGGAGGCATCATGCTACCTGACTTCAAACTATACTACAAGGCTACAGTAATCAAAACAGCATGGTACTGGTACCAAAATAGATATATAGACCAATGGAACAGAACAGAGGCCTAAGAAATAACACCACACATCTACAACCATCTGATATTTGATAAACCTGACAAAAACAAGAAATGGAGAAAGCATTCCCTATTTAATAAATGATGCTGGGAAAACTGGCTAGCCATATGTAGAAAGCTCAAACTGGATCCCTTCCTTACACCTTATACAAAAATTAATTCAAGATGGATTAAAGACTTACATGTTAGACCTAAAACCATAAAAACCCTAGAAGAAAACCTAGGCAATATCATTGAGGACTAGGCATGGGCAAAGACTTCATGACCAAAACTCCAAAAGCAATGGCAACAAAAGCCAAAATAGACAAATGGGTCTAGTTAATCTAAAGAGCTTCTGCACAGCAAAAGAAACTACCATCAGAGTGGCAGGCAACCTATGGAATGGGAGAAAATTTTTGCAATCTACTCATCTGACAAAGGGCTAATATCCAGAATCTACAAAGAACTTAAACAAATTTACAGGAAAAAAACAAACAATCCCATCAAAAAGTGGACAAAGGATTTGAAAAGACACTTCTCTAAAGAAGACATTTATGCAGCCAAGAGACACATGAAAAAATGCTCATCATCACTGGCCATCAGAGAAATGCAAATCAAAACCACAATGAGATACCATCTCACACCAGTTAGAATGGCAATCATTAAAAAGTCAGGAAACAACAGATGCCGGAGAGGATGTGGAGAAATAGGAATGTTTTTACACTGTTGGTGGCAGTGTAAATTAGTTCAACCATTTTGTAGAAGACAGTGTGGGGATTCCTCAAGGATCTAGAACTAGGAATACCATTTGACGCAGCCATCCCATTACTGGGTATATACCCAAAGGGTTATAAATCATGCTACTATAAAGACACATGCACACGTATGTTTACTGGGGCACCATTCACAATAGCAAAGACTTGGAGCCAACCCAAATGTCCATCAATGATAGACTGGATAAAGAAAATGTGGCACATATACACCATGGAATACTATGCAGCCATCAAAATGATGAGTTCAAGTCTTTTTCAGGGAAATGGATGCGGCTGGAAACCATCATTCTCAGCAAACTATCACAAGGACGGAAAACCAAACACTGCGTGTTCTCACTCATAGGTGGGAATTGAACAATAAGAACACATGGACACAGGGTGGGGAACATCACACACTGGTGCCTGCAGCGGGGTTGTGGGGAGTGCTGGGGGTATGGGGGAGGGATAGCATTAGGAGAAATACCTAATGTAAATGACGAGTTGATGGTTGCAGCAAACCAACATGGCACATGTATACCTATGTAACAAACCTGCACGTTGTGCACATGTACCCTAGAACTTAAAGTATAATAAAAAAGAAAAAAAAGGAAAATGTAAGTCAGATCATGTCACTCCTCTACTCAGTACATTTCAGTGGATTCTTTTTCACTCAGGGTGAAAATGAAAGCCTTTGCAAAGTCCTAAAAGGTCCTTCAGAATCTGATTGCTTCTCCTATTCCCCATCGCTTCTTGCCCTGGGCTGACCTATCTGCTGCTCCTCAAACCTTCCAGGTACTGCCTTTGCTCTAACTGCTGCCTCTGGAAGGGTCTTCCCCCAGATGTTTGTTTGGCTAACACCTTCCATTTCTTAAAGTCTGTGCTCAAATTTTGTGCTGAGCCCCCTTTTTACCAATAAGAACCAATTGTTAAATATTCAAGAATTTTGTAAGCTATTTTTCAAACCTTTGGTAGCTTGAAATTAACCAGAGCGGAAGTATTTACACCACAGGAAATAAGGCATACCCTGAAAATTTCATTTAAAATTGTGATTTTTCACATTCTGCCTCTTTAACTCAATTTTTTCTGATTCCAGTCTACTTTTTCTTTCTCTAATAGCACATGCCATCTAATAACTTACTGTTTAATGTGCTTATTTATTGCCTTTATTATTTATTGACTATCTGCAAGCTCTAGAGTTCAAGGTTAACTAGGGTAAGGTTTTTGTTTAGTTTACTGATGTAACTGAAGATACAATATCTAACACATGGTAAGGACTCAATAAATATGTATTTATTGAAAAATAAAATAAAAGGTGGTTTTATTTTTTATTGTACTTTAAGTTCTGTGATACATGTGCAGAACATGCAGGTTTGTTACATAGGTATACATGTGCCATGGTGGTTTGCTGCACCCATCAACCTGTCATCTCTGTTTTAAGCCCTGCATGCATTAGCTATTTGTTATAATGCTATCCCTCCCCTTGCCCCCGACCCCTCGACAGGCCCCAGTGTGTGATGTTCCCCTCTCTGTGTCCATGTGTTCTCATTGTTCAACTCACACTTTTGAGTGAGAACATGTGGTGTTTGGTTTTCTGTTCCTGGGTTAGTTTGCATAGAATGATGGTTTGCAGCTTCATCCATGTCGCTGCAAAGGAAATGAACTCATCCTTTTTGATGGCTGCATACTATTCTATGGTGTATACGTGCCACATTTCCTTTATCCAATCTATCATTGATAGGCATTTGGTTTGGTTCCAAGTCTTTGCTATTGTGAATAGTGCCACAATAAACATACGTGTTTATTGTTATAATCCTTTGAATATATACACCCAGTAATGGGATTGCTGGGTCAAATGGTATTTCTAGTTCTAGATCCTTGAGGAATTGCCAAACTCTCTTCCACATGGTTGAACTAATTTACACTCCCATCAACAGTATAAATGTGTTTCTATTTCTCCACATCCTCTCCAGCATCTGTTGTTTTCTGACTTTTTAATGATTGCCATTCTAACTGGCATGAGATGGTATTTCATTGTGGTTTTGATTTGTATTTCTCTAATGAAAAGTGATGATGAGTTTTTTTCATGTGTCTGTTGGCTGCATAAATGTCTTCTTTAGAGAAGTGTCTGTTCATATCCTTTGCCCACTTTTTGATGGGGTTGTTGGTTTTTTTCTTGTAAATTTGAACAAGGTGTTTTATCTTCCTGTGAGATAGGAACAAGTAAAACTTATAAGTAACTTTCAGTATTTTTATATCAATCACTTTAACTTGTTCTTTGAATTGACTAATAATAGACTAAATGGCAAAGCAGGGGCAGTGACTTTTCAAATTTCAAATAATTTTCTCTGAATGACAAAACAAGTTATCTTTAGTAAGAAATGTTTACCAATTGAATGTATATGAAAGCAGCTGAGAAATGTTAGAGATGGCTTCATAAAGGAGATATTTTGAATAAAATTTGATGGATATTTTCCATTCTTGCCCAAATGCTAGACAGCCTACATAACTTAAATTTCTTTTAAGTGCTTATTCCACAAACAGAATAATACACCCAGTTCATAAAGCAATGATGCATGGTGAAGTTAATTTTTGATAGCTATATGTTATTTTTATATTTACTTTTCAATTAAGGAAATTGACTTTCAATTGTTAGAAAGCAGTTAGCTACCCTGTCTTTGACCATTCCAAAATTGTAGAGAATATTAGAGTTGAAATAAAGTAAATTATTTCATATTTATATTTTTTTTTCATTGCTAAGATTTCCATAAGCAAAGATTGGACTAAATTTAGTGTTAACTACCAACAATTTCACTTCGTGGCTACTGAAAGGAAAATGAGTGTGTGTATACACATGTGTACACACACATATCTGGAAATCACATACTTCATTTTAACAATCTCTTTTTTGAAATTATATGTTTAATTTATTGACTGCCCAAAACATTCACCTTCAATTTGCCTGGGTATTACCACTTAACATAGGATTTAGGCTGGGCGTGGTGGCTCACGCCTATATTGCCAGCACTTTGGGAGGCTGAGGTGGGTGGATCACCTGAGGTCAGGCATTTGAGACCAGCTTGGCTCACATGGCGAAACCCCATCTCTACTAAAAATAGAAAATTAGCCAGGCGTGGTGGTGCACACCTGTAATCCTAGCTACTCAGGAGGCTGAGGCAGAAGAATCGCTTGAACCTGGAAGGTGGAGGTTGCAGTGAGCCGAGATCATGCCACTGCACTCCAGCCTGGGCAACAGAGAGAAACGCTCTCTCTCAAAAAAAAAAAAAAAAAAAAAAAAAAAAAAAAAAAAAGTACGATTTAATTGACTTCTGACTCTCAATATTCCCAACAGGTAAGTTAGCTTTCAAATGACTTCAGCATGTAAACATGATAAAAATATTTGAAATTTAATGAGATGGCAAAATTCACACACGCTAAAAAAAGCGGACCAGAAACCTCCATATTTATTCAACTGTTTATTGATCAGATGTTATTAAGATATCTTATATACTAGTGGAAGTGTCTTCTCTTTGCAATGTGCTTTTAAATATTGCCTTATTGGTTTCTCTTGTACTTGCTAGCAAAAGTGTAAAGTCATTTTCATGCTGTGATTCGAGAAATGTCAAAGCATTAAATTATAGCCACTTAAAATAATTACATTTCTCTAGCTACAAATGATAAAATAAACATCTGAAGTTTGGTGCATGTGCTTTGCTTGTGTTGACACACTAGTATCTTCTCCAAGGTGTGGAAACCAATAACAGTTTGGAAATTTTAAGCATAATATTAATATTTTCCATTATAGGAAACAATAGTTTATATAAACCAAAAGTTTTACACAAAAGTAAATCAAATGGGAAGAAGCTCTTTTAAAAAGACAAATCTCTACAAATGAACCTTATACTTATTTCCAGTCACTTTAAAATTCAGTGAAATACTAGAGGCCTTTTAGGAATCTTAAATATGCTTCCCAGAAAGGTTTCACTTTCTTAACTTTTCTAAATATAGAGAAGCTCCCCCAGATTGTTATTTCCTTGGCTTATTACAGTTACTATAGAGAAATATTACAGATTAATAAAGTAAATCCTGGAGTGTAGAAGGATTTATACAAATTAGATTGCACATGAGAAATAAATTTGAAAATGTTTTTGTGATAAAGATACTAAAGCTGTGAACGCTCCTATAAATCTAACATTTACATTTTATAATGATTATGGGACCTCACTTCAATAAGTCTCATGCTTACAGAATTCTAACACTCCAAGTTCTTTTTCAAATTACTCACAGTCATTTCTGCCAATGTTACCATGGACTCATTTCAAAATTCTAGGTATTTATTGCTCTAAAGTGTGTCATAAAATGTTAAATCAACCTGCTAGCCTGAGGTCTACAAGATATTTTATGACTTAAACAGATACCACACGGTTGCTTGAAGTCATTGCCCTGGCCTTTCTTTCCTCTGAATCCAAAGGCATTGAGTCTAGCACAAGGCAGTCTAGGTGACAGAGAGCTTGCTGGTACCCAGTAGTTGGGTCAGCAAAGGTGGTTTGGGAGTTTGTGATTTTTAGTGTGATAAATATATCAACAAAAATTGTCCAGCAACTGCACATATTGTAGGTCATGTTTTAAAGCTTTTATCATTTAAAATCATATTCTGCTGCAGATCAATGAAAACCTATCATGGATGAAAAATTAAGGGTTATTTTTCCTTTTTTTCCCACCTCATAACATGAATGTTGATGATAGGCTGCCCAGGGCTGATGCAGGTGCTCAACCATAGTGTCAGAGACCCAAGATCTTTTTGCATCCTTTGTACACTGCCATGCTTAGTATATTGTCTTTCACTCTCATCCTTGTCATTTCTTAGTCACAGCATGGCTGATGTAGCAACAAGCATTATATCTGCATTCCAGGCAAGAAGAAAGAAAAAGAAGCAAAGATCTACATGGGCCATATCTTTTCTTTTTTTTTTTAATTGAGAATGTAATGCCTTTCTAGAAGCTCACTCCAGAAGACTTTCTGTTATATCTTTTGGGTTAAAAGTAACTCACATGACCACTTCCAGACCAATAATTGACCAAAGACAATTAGATAACTACAATGGTTTATACCAATGGAGCTTTGCTTCCTAGCCTATGGTGAGAACTGAAAGTCTCTGAAATCAAGGTACTGTAGGCACCACCTGAATAATATCTAGCAGCAGGGAAAGGTTATTGAATGTTGTGTAGGCAATGAAGAGATATTTTCATATACACCATTCTGCCTCATTCCTCTTCTCTTTTTTTTTTTTTTTTTGACAGTGCTGGCAATTTTATTTAAAATCTGATCAATTTCTTTTTTTATTTTATTATTATTATACTTTAAGTTTTAGGGTCCATGTGCACAATGTGCATGTTAGTTACATATGTATACATGTGCCATGCTGGTGTGCTGCGCGCATTAACTCGTCATTTAGCATTAGATATATCTCCTAAAGCTATCCCTCCCCCCTCCCCCCACCCCACAACAGTCCCCAGAGTGTGATGTTCCCCTTCCTGTGTCCCTGTGTTCTCATTGTTCAATTCCCATCTATGAGTGACAACATGTGGTGTTTGGTTTTTTGTCCTTGGATAGTTTACTGAGAATGATGATTTCCAATTTCATCCATGTCCCTACAAAGGACACGAACTCATCCTTTTTTATGGCTGCATAGTATTCCATGGTGTATATGTGCCATATTTTCTTAATACAGTCTATCATTGTTGGACATTTGAGTTGGTTCCAAGTCTTTCCTATTGTGAATAGTGCCGCAGTAAACATACGTGTGCATGTGTCTTTATAGCAGCATGATTTATAATCCTTTGGGTATATACCCAGTAATGGGATTGCTGGGTCAAATGGTATTTCTAGTTCTAGATCCCTGAGGAATCGCCACACTGACTTCCACAATGGTTGAACTAGTTTACAGTCCCACCAACAGTGTAAAAGTGTTCCTATTTCTCCACATCCTCTCCAGCACCTGTTGTTTCCTGACTTTTTAATGATTGCCATTCTAACTGTTGTGAGATGGTATCTCATTGTGGTTTTGATTTGCATTTCTCTGATGGCCAGTGATGGTGAGCATTTTTTCATGTGTTCTTTGGCTACATAAATGTCTTCTTCAGAGAAGTGTCTGTTCATGTCCTTCGCCCACTTTTTGATGGGGTTGTTTGTTTTTTTCTTGTAAATTTGTTTGAGTTCATTGTAGATTCTGGATATTAGCCCTTTGTCAGATAAGTAGGTTGCGAAAATTTTCTCCCATTTTGTAAGTTGCCTGTTCACTCTGATGGTAGTTTCTTTTGCTGTGCAGAAGCTCTTTAGTTTAATTAGATCCCGTTTGTCAATTTTGGCTTTTGTTGCCATTGCTTTTGGTGTTTTAGACATGAAGTCCTTGCCCATACCTATGTCCTGAATGGTAATGCCTAGGTTTTCTTCCAGGGTTTTTATGGTTTTAGGTCTAACGTTTAAGTCTTTAATCCACCTTGAATTAATTTAATTCTTAGCTTTAGCAAATAGCACACAAAGCCAAAGTATAAAGTACAGCAGCAATTGTCTGGCAACATGCTTTGACTTTCACCTTCATTTGCTACCTAGTTTTTAGGTATAAATGGTTATAAATGACATCCAGACTTCTTAATATGCTGATTTGTAAGTTAGCCTTAGTCCCATGATATAAGTGAAGGATAATATTCAAGACTTGGCTTTGATTCTTAGTTTTGGCACTTACAAGCTATGGGACTATTTGAGGGATGTTAACTAAAGTTCAATATTCTAATTTGTAAAATAGGAGTACTATCAGTTATTGTGGGGATATATGCCACAGTGTGGTTGTACAGATTACAAAGTTGAATTGCTTAGCATGGAGCGTGATATTTTCCAAGTGTTCAATAAATGTTTGCAGTTAGGATTGTTCATTGTCATTACTATTCCTATGCCCAGGGCTTATTGAACCACTAAAAATGACCTCCACTTATATTTATTGTGTAGTATATAAGGTGGGAGGTGGGGGAGAATCCACAGTGTGTCCAGTGCAGAAATTCTAGCCTCAGGATAATAACTAAACTTTCAGCATATATATATAATAGTTTGTATAAACTATATGTATGTGTGTGTGTATATATATATATATATATATATATATATACCCTATTTTAATACCCTATTTACCCTATTATTCACATATCATGTGATTACAAACCTTAGAATCAAAGGAACACTTCTTTCTCCAAAACTGGGGACCTCACAGGAATCAAGACTGTTCCAGGAATTTTTAGAATTCAAGAGAGAAGTGGGTTCTGCTTGGATACTTCATCAAGGCCATTGCAATGTAATTTCATTTAAACTTTTAATGTTAAGCCAAACTTCTACAAATAAATAAGTTTATATCAGATTCTGAGCTATTGTCTATTTTAATATTTTAAATTAATTGTCCAATTTTAATAATAGTTTTAGACATCCATGTTTACATAGAGCAGATCTCACCCTCTGTTCATTAAAACAAGTCACTTATTAGATTCATTTTTAACTTTACTTTGCAAAAGTTAGCACTGTTGACCCTGTCATAAAATCAAATGGCATAAAGTGACAATAGATGTAAAATGTAAAGAAATATAAAATTCTTTAAAAAGCAAAAGAAATCACATTCGAAGCACAGAGATTCAGAGAGCCTTGTAGTGATTTAAACTGAGTGACCTAGGATGGTACAAGCATTACTCATGGCTCTGTCAGTTTCTCTTAGCCTCTTTTTCAAGTATAATAAAAATAAGCCTCCCAGCTGAACATGTCTGGTCATGGGGATTTTACTCAATACCACCAAAAGATCACTAAGAGGGTAGCCTTAGACCTCCAAGGCCATTATCTAACAAACTTTATTGAACACCTACTATGTAAACACAGTGCAAAACTTGTTGGAAGTATTTGATTTTGAGTCTTTTTTTTTTAAGATAGTATTGGAAATTGCTAAGTAATTGCCTTTTTTTCTTTGATGCTAAAATGTAAAATCTGTTATAGTTTTTCTACAAATTTTCCAAGGGATTAAAAAGGGAAAACATTTGAAGCTCCAGAATATTCTAAGGGTAGAAGATCGCTTGCTGGGACTTTCTCTAAAACTTGAAAAATTAAATTATTACATGCGGGGAAATACATGGAAATAGTAGGACAGTGCTCTACTATGTTCCTTACTTAGCAAAAAATACACGTTTATATAAAATATGTTCCTCTTTCTGTTCACTACAGTGTTCGTGTAATTTCTATGTCCTCTAACTGAAAACCTTTCAATTTACCATCGTTCTAGATCAGTTTCCAGTTCAGAATCCAGTTTTTTGGTGTAGTTTTAGTTGCATCCATTATGTCAAGAGAAGTTATTGCCACTTTATTTTCTGTGTCATCGTTCCTCTTCATCCTTAGTTTCTCTAAACCCACAGGTTGCAAATCCTTTGGGGATAAAGAGTGCTGACAATTTGGGCTAACTCTAGTCAAAAGTTGGTCTTCTAATCCCTCCCATATCCAGCAGTTATTGCCTTCCCACCCAATACCCTGAGCAACTCCAGTCAATCTGTCCACCCATGCCTGTCCACAACCATGCTTTCTTACCTCCTCTTCCATTATTGTGCTGCAACATTAAGGTTTTTTTTCTGATCAGTGTTAATAACCAATGCCTCAAATATCTATCTTTTATGCCAACATTTGGTAGATTTGAGAACTTGAAGTCTTAGGGGAGCAGGTTGGAGAAAGCTTTTCGTAGCATCATGGGCTCTTTTCTCTTTAGGTAACTCGAGAGCATATACAGTGGCCCTCCAAAGACCATTTCTACCTTTG
Organism: Homo sapiens; assembly: GCF_000001405.40. Classification (NCBI taxonomy): domain Eukaryota; kingdom Metazoa; phylum Chordata; class Mammalia; order Primates; family Hominidae; genus Homo; species Homo sapiens. The sequence goes on along the minus strand of NC_000007.14, from coordinate 19,026,007 downwards.
CCATCCAACCTGGGGAACAAATAATCCCTATATAATTTGCTAAATTCTTACTGACCTACTCATCAGCTCTAGCTTATTTGTTCTTGTCTTCCATATAAAAGGTTTTATAATTTTTTTTTCTTTTTATTGATTTGCTATAGCTTAAGCAAAAGTTATCCATACACTAGATACTTAGAAAATCATTCAGCTATAAAATAGCAGTAGGATAAGTAGTAGCCTGGTAGCCAGGTTGTAATCCCACTTCTAAAATCTCTAACAAAATAGCAAAGTCACTATGCAAGAAGGATATGAATTATCTGTTTCCTAGTCACATTCTAATTGTGATCAGCTACCATTATTGCGTTAATATACATTGAATAAAGATATTTTATAACATCAGTTCTCACAACCAGGGCTAGACTGACATTGTAGGCATCCTAAATTGATTATTGAGGGCCACTTCATGCTGATTTAAAGTATTAAACTGTTTAATTTGATTTATTTAATTTAGTATTTTTGGTTTTATTTAATATTTTGATTCAAATATTTTGAATATTTCCTTAGGAGAGTTTAAGGTAAACCAACTTTCTATTAATTTTGTTCTCATAATTGGAAATATAATACTTGGACAGAATGCAGTACAACATTTTAAATTATTTGAGATTGTATTTATTGCAAAAATTTTCCATTACTGATTATCATATAGCATCAGTCACTCACACTTACTGAAGATAGAGATCATGTTTTAATGTTCTTTCCCACCATCTTGCCACTTCTCCACCCCAAATTTTTTTTTTTTTTTTTGAGACAGAGTCTCGCTCTGTCACCCAGGCTGGAGTGCAGTGGCATAATCTCCGCTCACTGCAAGCTCCACCTCCCAGGTTCACGTCATTCTCCTGCCTCAGCCTCCCCAGTAGCTGGGACTACAGGCACCCACCACCATGCCCAGCTAATTTTTTGTATTTTTAGTAGAGATGGGGTTTCACTGTGTTAGCCAGGATGGTCTCGATCTCCTGACCTCATGATCCGCCCCCATCGGCCTCCCAAAGTGCTGGGATTACAGGCATGAACCACTGCACCCAGGCTCTCCACCCCAAATTTCAACATATTATTCCATTTTTTGTCTTCATTTTTTTGTGTGTGATTTTCAGAACTAAATAACTTCTTTGGATACCAAGTAAATGGTTTCTATTTATAGATAGAACTTTACATCACCTGTTCTGGTAATCTGCCCTGTGGCTGCCAACTTCAGGCAAGTGTGGCTTTGTAGGTCCCAGGGATCGAGCCCTGCAGTTGCACCACATAACCTACACATGTCTGTGACAAAACTTTTCAATAAAGTCAGGCTAGTCCAGATGATGACTGTGTTTTATTTCCACTCTGGGGTGCTATCTTTTTCAGGGAAATCAGGGCTAATTGACCTTTTGCCAGTTATATAAAAAGTCTCATGTGGAAACCTGAGTTAGCTGGCCCCGTTTTCCAATGATATTTTAGTACATTTTACAGTTGGCTTCCAAGGCAGCAACACAGTTAGACTTACCCCACAGACATAGCATGATTCAGCTCACAACAATCATAGTTATCAAGTTAACATTCCGAATAGTACTTCCTTCTGAAGGCAAGAAAACTCCGCTGTGGCAACTGCCGAGTGCAGAAGCTATTTGTTAATGATGCCCAAGCTAATAGGCTATGGTATTATATCTGTCATATACTAATCAGCAGAGGCTTCACAATTTCTTAGAGCCTTGAAAAATAAGACTATTTCTTTTCAGTCTGGTCAGATTTTAATGAAACCAGTCAATAATCCACATACTTTTTTTTCCTATGTGAATAGATGAATATAAAGAAAGTTTTTTTTCTACAAAAAATTTTTGTCGGTGTAGATGAACAGGAAAGACAGAGATTCCAGTTTCTACTTGAAGCAAAATTGTTAATCATAGTAAAGGGCAATGTGTAACTCTTCCTTTTGAAGATTTTCCTACAGTATCAGTGTAAAGTAGTTCGTACTTAGCTCCTGAAGCACTTTCCTGCTTTCCCGGTGAGATGCTTTTCTTTGAAATGTTCAGTTATCTCTACCATCCACGTTCTGCTTTTACTTACTGCTCTGTGGATAAATGCGTTTTAATCTAATGCATGGCCTTTCCTAACAGTATTTGTAGTTCTCCTTGTAAAGTTAATGACTTTCCTAATGGTAAATACATGTTTGCTGTACGATAAAGCGGGAGATCCATCAGGGCAGAGAGCTGAATGGCCCTGATGATCTAGTGTAGGAATTGCTTTGGCACACACAGTCCTATGTAACAGTTTATCAGATGTGCCTAGCACATTTTCACAGTAACCTCCAGGGGGGACATTGGGTCAGCTAATCAAAGTCCCACATTTGTTCCCTGACCTGTGAAGTGAGGGCTATTATGGTGGGAAAAGGCAAGGGGGAGCCGCTAGAACTGTGTCTACCTAGGAAGATAGTAAACTAAGAGCAATGCCACATTCCTGGGGCATTATAGAAATTGGTACCACCATGAAGGACTTGAAAGATGCAGAGGTGGTGATTCCCCCTGCATCCCCTTTCAATTCACCTCTTTGGCCTGTGCAAAGCACAAATGGATGTTAGAGACTGATAGTACCATCAGCTCGACCAGGTGGTAACTCCAATTGCAGCTGCTGAAACATATGGTTTCATTGCTTGTGGAAACTGATACATCAATTTATACCTGGTATGCAGCTATTGATGTGGCAAATGCCTTATAAGAATAATCAGGAGTTTTCTTCTAGCTGACCAGCAATAAACCTTCACTGTCATACCTCAGGGATATATTAACTCTCTAGCCCTATGTTATAATTTAGATTGTAGGGGTTTTGACTGCTTTTTCCTTCTACATCACACTGGTCCATTATATTTATGTAATAACATTATGCTGATTGGAACTAGTGAGAAATATATAACAACTACTCTACACTTATTGGTAAGAAATTTGTGTGTCAGAGAGTGGCAAATAAATTTGACAAAAATTCAAGAGGCAGGGAAATTCTGAGGGTCCAGTGGTGTGGGGCATGTGGAGATATCCCCTCTAAGGTCAAGGATAATTTGTTCTTATCCTTATCATATCCTGGCCTTATCTTATCCTGGCCTCTCCTGCAACCAAAAAGGAGGCACAATGCCTAGTGGCCCTTTTTTGATTTTAGAGGAATATATTTCTCATTTGGGTGTGAAACTCTGACCTATTTACCCAATAACCTCAATAGCTGCTGGTTTTGAGCTGGGGCCAGAACAAGAGAAGGCTCTACAGCAGGTCCAGGTTGCTATGCAGGCTGCTCTGCCACTTGGGCTATAAGATCCAACAGATCCAATGGTACTCACAGTACCAGTAGCAGACAGGGATTTTGTTTGGAGTATTTGGAAGACCCCTACAGGTTAATTTTCGTGCAGGCCCTTAGGATTTTGAAGCCGTGCTCAGCCATCCTCTGCAGATAACTACACTCCTTTTGAGAAATAGCTCTTGGACTGCTACTGGGCCTTCGTACAGACTGACCACTTAACCATGGATCACCAAGTTACCATGTGCCCTACCTGAACAGCTCATTATGAACTGGATGTTATCTGGCTTGCCAAGCCATCAAGTTGAGTATGCACAGCACACCTCATTATCAAACGGAAGTGATATTTATATGATTAGGCTTGAGTAGACCCTGAAGGCACAGTAATTTACAGGAAGAAGTGATTCCAATGTCCGTGTTCCCCACTCCTACTACACTGTCTTCTCGCTCAGCTTGCACCCATGGCCTCAAGGAGCGTCCTCTGCAATTGACAGAGGAAGAGAGAGTTTGGGCTTAGTTAACAGATGGTTCTGCATGATAGGCAGGCACCAACGAAAGGCAGTTGCATTACAGCCTCTTACTGGGACATACTTGGAACATAATGGGGGAGTGAAATTCTTCTAGTGGGCAAAACTTCAAGCAGGGAACCTGGTTGTTTACTTTGCTTGGAAGGATAAATGACCAGACATATGATTATATAGCAATTCATAGGCTGTAGCCAATAGCCATGATGATCAGGCAACTGGAAAAAACATGGTTAGAAAATTGGTGACAAGGAAATTCGGGGAAGAGATATAGATAAACCTCTCTGAATGGGCAAAAACTGTCAAGATATTTGTATTCCATGTGAATGCCTACCAAAGGGTGACTTCAGCCAAGGGAGATTTGAATAATCAAGGGTACAGAATGACTTGTTCTATAGATACCAGTCAGCCTCTTTCCCCAGCTACTCTTCTTATCACCCAGTGGGCTTCTGAGCAAAGTGACCATGGTGGTGAGAATGGAAGTTATGCATGAGCTCAGCAAAATGGGCTTCCACTCTTCAAGGGTGCCTGGCCACCTCCACTGTTGAATGCCCAATCTGTCGTCAGTGGAGGCCAATGCTGAATTCTCTATGCAACCATTTTCTGGTGGAAGGTTGATTCCACTGAGCTACTTCCATCATAGAAGGGGCAGCATTTTATTCTTACCGGAATAGACGCTCTGGACATAGATTTGCCTTCCTGTCATGCAGTGCTTTTGGCAAAACTCTCTTCTGTGGATTTACAGAATGCCTTGTGCAGCAAAGGGCCCATGCTCGTGAAATTCACTGGTCTTACCAGGTTTATTCTTATCCTGAAGCAAATGCTTGATAGAAAAGTGGAACGGCCTTTAGGAGACTCTCTTACAGTAACAGTTATGTGGCAATACCTTGCAGGGCTGGAACAAGGTTCTACATAGGATTATACGTTCTGCATCAATGTCCAATAGAGGAGTTATTTCTCCATAGCCAGGACTTACAGGTCTAGGAATCAAGGGTGGAAATGGGAATGGCACCACTCAAAATTATCCTTAGTGACTGACCAGCAAACTTTGTTTCTGTTTCCCTTGGTCTTATGCTCTGCTGGCCTAGAGGTTTTATTCCCAAAAGAAAGAATGCTTCCATCAGAAGACATAATAATGATTCCATTGAACTGGAAATTAAGATGGTTACCTGACCAATTTGGGATTCTTATGCTTCTGAATCACCAGGAATGAAGAGAATCACTTTGCTGGCTAGGGTGACTAATCCTGAATATCAAGGGAAAGTTGGAGTACTACTCCACAATGGAGGTAAGAACGAGTATGTCTGGAATACAAAAGAATTCATAGGGAGTCTCTTAGTATTACCAAGCCCTGTGATTAAGATCGATGGGAAACTATAGCAATCCAGGCAGAAGATTTGGATCACTTCATCAGGTAAAGAATTATGACCAGCTGAGACTCTTGCTGAAGGCAAGGGAATGCAGAATGGATAGTAGAAGGTAGTTATAAACACCAGCTATGACTACAGAACCAGTTACAGAAATGAGGACTGTAAATGTCATAAATATTTCCTCCTTATTTTGTTATAAATATGCTTAGGGCATGTGTGTGTATCTATCTATCTATCTATCTGTCTGTCTGTCTGTCTGTCTGTCTATGTATCTATCTCTATCAATACCTCAAATATATTTTTCTTCCCTCTCTTATTCATTTGTCATATAACATAAGATACATTGACTTTATATCATAGTACAGCAGGTTGTAAAATGAAGTCATTTTGTTAAACATTGTTTTGTTACAATGTTAATGAGAAAAGAAATAAAATCCCAGCAGGGGCCACTGTCTGTGTGGAGTTCTCAAGATTTCCCCTTGTCTGCATTGAGTTTTCTCTGGAGACTCTGGTTTCCTGCCACATCCCAAAGATGTGCATATTAGGTTAATAGGTGTGTTCAAATTGTTCCAGTATGAGTGAGTGCGGGTGTGTGTGTGAGTGTACCTTGTGATGAAATGACATCCTGTTCAGTGTTGGTTACTGCTTTGTTCTTTGAGCTGCCAGATTAGGCTCCAGCCACCCACAACCCTGAACTGGAATATGCAAATTAGAAAGTGAATGAACACACGAATATAAATTATTGTAAAATAAACATTTATAATGTATATGATAATCATACTAATGCATGACAATAAATGATGTGGCACTTAGGCATGCAGTGACTTTGCCGTATTTGCTCTTATTGGTTTTTAAACTTTATGGTGGGAGGAGATGCTCCTTATAATTTTCACTTCATAGACACTTATTCCTTCGTTTAAGCCACCATCACTATGGCCACCATCACTCATGGATTCACCAAAAATTGGAAAAAATAATTATCTTACTTATTTTTTAATATTAATCTTTCTTAAATGTATGATAGCTCACATTTATTTCAGTGTTTAAGATTAAAAGTTTTTGGGGTCTTAGAAATTTGATGATGTTTTTGTAATCAGAAATTTGCCATAGGAACTTAACTCTTGTTTATATTAATAGCAATTAGCCTATGTAAAACTGGTTTTATTATACATCATTTTGCTTACTCACAGTCTCCAAGAACCTATGGACAATGTTTAGTGAGGACATATTATGTGTTAACTTTACATCATAGTATTTAACATATGGGATATGAAGGAGAAGAGTAGACATCACTCAAGAACTTTACCTCCTCTTTAGGGGAAGAGGTAGTGCTTTTTTAGTGATATGCAGAATACTTGTATCATGTCAGGTGGATATGGGAGATTAGATTTGCTTTAAGGAGATGGGTATAGACTCTAAATTGACAAGGGGTGTACTTATGAGGGTTAATTTTATGTGTCTATTTGACTGGACCATAGGGCTCCCAGACATTTGGACAAACATTATTCTGGATGTGTCTGTGAGGGTGTTTTTGGGTAGGAGTAACATTTCAATCTATAGATGGAGTAAAACAGATTGTTTTCCTCAATGTGGATGACTGTCATCCAACCAGTTGAAAGTCTGAATAGAACAAAACAGCTGACTGTCCTAAAGTAAGGGGATTCCACCCTACATTTGGGCTGGGAAATCAGTTTTTGTTGTTGTTGTGGTTGTTGTTTGTTTGTTTCCTGCCTTCAGATTCAAACTGGAACATCAGTTTTTCCTGGGTCTCAAGCCCACTGGCCCTTGGACTGTAACTACACCTTCAACTTTCCGGGTTCTCAGGCTTTCGGACATAGACTGGCACTGTACCATCAACTCTCCTCAGTCTCCAGCTTGCCAACTACAGATCTTAGGGCTCCTCTGCCTACATAATCCTTTCTGTTTCAATAAAATCAGTAGTAATGCCCCTTCTTTCATTTCTGATTTTAGTTATTTGGGTCTTTTCTCTTTTTTTCTTAGTCAATCTAGGTAAAGTTTTGTGAATTCTGTCGATGTATTTGAAAACCCAACTCTTGGTTTCATTGACGTTCTCTGCTTTTCTATTCTCGATTTAATTCATCTCTGCTCTAATCTTTGCAATTTCCTTTCTTCTACTAGCTTGGGTTTAGTTTGTTCTTAATTTTCTAATGTCTTAACTAGATGTGTAAACTTAAGTTATTGATTTGAGACCATTCTTTCTTTTGAATGTGTTTACAGCTATCAACTTCCGTCTTAGCACTGTTTTCACAGCATATCATGTGTTTTGGTATGTTGTGTTTTCATTTTTTTTTTCTCTCAAAGACATTTTCCAATTTTCCTTGTGATTTCTTTTTTAAGCCATTGGTTGTATAAGTGTATTATTTAATTTCCATATATTTGTAAATTTTCTAGTTTTTCTTCTGCTATTGATTTCTAGTTTTATTCTCTTGTGGCCAGAAAAGGTACTTGCTACGATTTCAGTCTTCTTATATTCACTGAGACTTGTTTTGTGACCTAACATATGATCTATCCTAGAGAATGTTCTAGGTGTGCTTGAAACAAATATATACTCTGCTGGCATTGTATGCAATGTTTTTTACCTTCGTCTATAGTGTTATTCACATCTACAATTTCTTTGTTGAATTTCCATCTGATTGTTCTACCATTATTGAAAGTCATATTAAAGTCTTTAATTATTATCATATTGCTGCCTATTTCTCCCTTTATTACCCTCAATGTTTGCTTTATATATTTTAGGGGCTCTGGCGTTGAGTGTCTGTATATTGGCAATTGTTATATCTTTCTATTGAATTGACCCTTTTATCATTATATAATATCCTTGTTTGTTTCTTGTGACAGTTTTTGACTTATTTTTTTCTGATGTAAGTATAGCCACCCTGTTCCCTTTTTATTACCATTTCTATGAAACACCTTTTTTATCCTTTCACTTTCTACCTAAGTGTGTCCTTAAAGCTAAAGCATGTTTCTTGTAAACAGCATACAGTTTAATCCTTTTGTGTAAGAACATCAATTCTGACAATCTGTCTTTTTATTGAGAAGTTTAATTATTTACAAAGTGATTACTGATAGAAAAGCATTTACTTTTGCCATTTTATCAATTCTTCCAATACTTTTTTTGTGTTTAGTTCTCTCTCTTTTTTTTTTTTTTTTTAGTGAAAATATCTGATCTTTTCTCCTTTACTTTTCAGTATATTCTATAGGTAGTATCCTTGTGGTTACTATAGGGATTACACCTAATATCTTAAGATTATGATAATCAGTTTTATACTGATACCAATTTAACTTCCAGTGCATACAAAGCTCTGTTCTTTCACAGCTTAAGAAACTCCTTATTTATGTAAATGATACCAAAAGTTACATTTTCATATTTTATTCTCGTAAGCATAGAATTAAGTTCATTTTCTATTCATTTGTCTTTTAAATCCTGTTGAAAATAAAAGTGGTTTCAAACCAAAATTACAATAACACCGTTTTGTATATTGGTCCATATATCTACCTTTACTGGAGAACTTCATCTTTCTCTATGGCTTTGATTTATGATCTAGTTCCATTTTGTGTATTCTTGAATGACTCTCTTTAACATTACTCATAGAGCAGGTTTAATGATAATAAACACACTTAGCTTGTTTATCTGTGAATGTCTAAAAATTTTCCACATTTTTGAAGGACAGTTTTGCCAGACATAGAATTCTCTTTAAAAAGTTGTGGGTTTTTTTTTTCAGCATTTAAAATATGTCATTCCACTATCTTCTGGCTTGCAATGTTTCTGCCAAAAGTCTGCTGAGTCTTATTGAGAATCTCTTGTACATGAGGGGGTACTGCTTTTCTCTTGATGCTTTCAAGATTTCCTCTTTGTCTTTTTCTACGGCTTGATTATAATGTGTCTCAGTGTCAGTCTCTTTTCCTTCATTCTACTTGGAGTATATGGAGCTTCGTGAGTTTGTATATCCATGCCTTTCCTCAAATTTGGAAGATTTTCAGCTAACATTTCTTAAATTAACTGATTTTGCCCTTTCTCTACATCTTTCACTTCTATGACTCCCATAATGTACATATTGACCCACTTGGTGGTATCCTGTAAGTCCTTTCAGCTCTGTTCACTTTTCATTGTTTTTTCTTTTTGCACTTTAGACTTAATAATTTGCAATGGCCTACCTTCAAGTATGTTGGTCATTTTCTCTGTCCATTCACGTTTTTTGTTGAAATTGTCTAGTAAACTTTTATTTTGATGTGGTATTTTTCAGCTCCAGAATTTGTGTTTGATTTATTACAATAAATTCTATATTTTGTTGGCATCCTCATTTTGTTCAAAATTTTTTTTCTTTTCCCTGCCACAATGATGGATTAGAGGCTTTTGGCATACCACTGCCACTTAAAAATAGCAAGATAGCACATAAAGATCAACTCTGTGAACTTCAATTCAAGAAGGAAAACATGACTCAGCTGGAATTGTGAGAGACACCCAGATCCTGGTGAATAGCACACTAGCAAAACTGCGTGTGATGGCATCTAGCTGATAAAGATGAGAGAAGCCCTGGGACATGAGAGCAGCAGAGAGCTTCCCTTTGTGATTCATCTTTCCACTGAATAACTGAGAAAATAGGGCCAAGGGAAACCACTATGTTTCTCCCAAGTCCTAGAGTTAACTTGGGAAGAGGCTTGGAGATGCTGTGAGAGGAATACAGTGGGAAAAACTGCAGACATTTTCCCAGATTGGGGACTGAGAGCAGGATGCCACTTTTAATCTGGGTGCATACAAAATCAGTCATTCACCTCTTAGGGAGGGGGAGAAGGAGAAAGCAAAAAAATTATTATAGGGAAAGACAGAAGAAAAACTACTACCCACATGAAAGTAATACAAACATTAGAAGTGCCAGCATCTCCAGATGAGAGGGAACCAACGCAGGATTTCTGGCACCATTAAAAAATCTGAATGTAGTGATATAACCAAAGGATCACACTATCTCTCCAGCAATGGTCCCTAACCAAAATGGAAACTCAGAAATGACAGAAAAAGAATTCAAAGTACAGGTTTCAAGGAGGCTCAGTGAAATTCAAGACGAGATTGAAAATCAACACAAAGAAGCATCTAAAGCAATCCAGGAAATGAAGGAAGAGATAAGCATCTTCAAAATAAATCAATCAGAGCTTCTGGAATTGAAAAACTCACTTAAGAAATTTTAAAATAGAATTGAAACGTTTATCAATAGACTGGACAAAGCAAAAAAAGAATTTCAGAGCTTGAAGACCGGTCTTTCAAAATAATGCAGTCAGACAAAAATAAAGAAAAAAGAATTTAAAAAATTAACAGCGTCTTTGAGAAACATGGGATTTTGTAAAGGGACCAAACTTATGAATTACTGGCATTCCTGAGAGAAAAGCAGAAAAAGTTAACAACCTAGAAACCATATTTGAGGGAATAATTTAAATTCTTTTTCTAATCTTGGTAGAGAGGTATGTTTCGAGATACAAGAAATCCGGAGAACATCTACAAGAGCCTATACAAAATGAACATCAGCAAGCATATCACCACCAGGCTGTCCAAGGTCAACACTAAAGAAAAATATCAAGGGCAGCTAGAGAAAAAGCTCTGACCACAAATAAAGGAGACCTCATCAAGTTAACAGCAGACTTCTCAGCAAAAAAAACCTTACAAGCCAGGAGAGACTGGGGCCTATTTTCAGCACTAAAAAAATTTCAACCTAGAACTTCATATTCTGCTAAACTAAGCTTCAGAAGTGAAGGAGAAATAAAATCTTCTCTGAATTAGCAAACATTAAGGGAATTGGCTACCAACAGACCAGCCTTATAAGAGATCCTTAAGAGTGTTAATAAAATTTAAGAACTATATCTGCTATATCTACCTGCTACTACAAAAATACACTGAAGTACATAGACCAAAGACCCTATAAAGCAACCACATAATAGAAACTACAAAGCAAGCATCTAGCAACTTCAATATAGGATCAAAACCTCACCTATCAATGTTAACCTTGACTCTAAAGAATTTAAACACCCCCATTTAAAATGTACAGATTGGCAAGTTGGATAAAATAAAAACAAAAGAAAACAAGCAAGAGAAAGAAGTTAAAATTATCCAAATAATAAATTAAAGAAATTAAAAAGATCCAGATAAGAAGATGATAAGTTGAACTATCTCTCTTTACTGATTATATGTTTCCATACCTAGAAAACCCTAAGGACTCTGTCAAAAGCTTCTAGAAATGATAAACAACTTCAGCAGTGTTTCAGGATACAAATTAAATGTACCAATATTAGTAGCATTCAAGATGGGAACCAAATCAAGAATGCAATCTCATTTACAATAGCCACAAGAAAATAAAATAAAATAAAATACATCTAACCAAGAAGATGAAAGATCTCTGCAAGGAGAACCACAAAACATTGCTGAAAGAAATCACAGATGACACTAACAAATAGAAAATCATTACATGCCCATGGGTTGGAAGAATCAATATAATTAAAATGGTCATACTGCTCAATGTACTCTACAAATTCAGTGCAGTATTCCTATCAAAATACCAAGGACTTTTTTCATAGAAGTAGAAAAAATATTCTAAAATTCAAATGGAACCATAAAAGAACTAGAATTGTCCAAGCAATCCTAAGCAAAAAGAACCAAGTCAGAGGCATCACATTACCTGACTTCAAACTATACCATAAGGCCACAGTAACCAAAACAGCATAGTACTGGTGCAAAACAGACACATAGACCAGTGAAACATAACAGAGAACCCAGAAATAAAGCTTCACTCCTACAGCCATCTGATCTTCCACAAAGTCAACAAAAATAAGCAATGGGGAAAGAACTTCCTATTCAATAAATGGTGCTGGGATAGCTGACTAACCATATGCAGAAGAATGAAACTAGACCCCTACCTTTGTCACCATATACAATAACTAATTCAAGATGGATTAAAGATTTAAATGTAAGACCTCAAACTATAAGAATCCTAGAAGAAAGCCTCAGAAACATCATTCTGAACATAGACCTTGGGAAAAAAATTATCCATGAAAAGCAATTGCAACAAAAACAAAAATTGACAAGTGGGACCTAATTAAACTGAAGAGCCTTTACACAGCAAAAGAAACTATCAACAGAGTAAACAGACAACCTACAGAATGGGAGAAAATATTCACAAACTGTAAATCCAGCAAAGGTCTAACATCCAGAATCTACAGAAACTAAAGCAGCTGAACAAGCAAAAAACAAGTGATCCCATTTTTAAAAACAGGCCAAAGATATGAACAAACACTTCTCAAAAGAAGACATACATGTGGCCAACAAACATGAAAAAAATGTTCCACATCACTAGTTATCAGTTAAATGCAAATCATAACTACGATGAGATGCCATCTCCTACCAGTCAGAACGGCTATTATTAAAAAGTCAAAAAAAACAAGAGCTGCTTAGTGAGGCTGCAGAGATGAGAATACTTATACACTGTAGGTGGGAATGTAAATTATTTCAGCCACTGTGGAAAGCAGCTCAGAGATTTCTGTTAATAAAAGAACTTTAGGTTCTAGATAACTTAATAAACAAAGTTACCATTCAACCCTGCCATCCTATTATTAGGTATATATCCAAAAGAAAACGAGTCATTCTACTGATAGACACAAGGACTCGCATATTCATCGCAGCACTATTTATTATACAATAACAAAGACGTGGAATCAATCTGGGTGCCCATCAAGGTGGATTGGATAAAGAAAATGTGGTACAGATACACCAGGGAATACTATGCAGACATACAAAAAGTAAAAATATATCGTTTGCATCAATGTGGATGCAGCTGGAGGTCATTATCCTAAGTCAGTTGGGTGAGGAACAGAAAATCAAATACCATATGTTTTCACTTTTTTTTTTTTTTTTTGAGACGAAGTCTCACCCTTCACCCCCAGGCTGGAGTGCAATGGCACAATCTCAGCTCACTGCAACCTCCGCCTCCTGGGTTCAAGTGATTCTCCTACCTCAGCCTCCCGAGTAGCTGGGATTACAGGCTCCTGCCACCATGGCCAGCTAATTTTTGTATTTTTAGTAGAGACAGGGTTTCACCATGTTGGCCAGGCTAGTCTTGAACTCCTGATCTCAAGTGATCCGCCCGCCTCGGCCTCCCAGAGTACTGGGATTACAGGCATGAGCCACTGTGCCCAGCCATGTTTTCACTTTTAAGTGGGAGCTAAACATTGGGTACTTATGGACATAAAGATGGCAACAATAGAAACTGTGGACTATGGTAAGGGAGAGAGGGAAAGGAGAGAAGGTTGGAACACTAATTATTCGGCACTATGCTTAATACCTGAGTGATGGAATCATTCATACTCCAAACCTCAGAATTACACAATATACCCATGTAATAAACCTGCATATGTACCCCTGATTTTAAAATGAAAATTTAAAAATAAATAAATAAATAATCTGAAAATGATGTAAAATTTTAAAAAAAAGAAAATTATTTTATTTCTACCTAGCAGCCTTGCATCACTTATTTCCTCTTTGATCCCTTTCATTTCTTATCTAGCATGCAGATTTACTGCTGAAAATGCTTTAAATCATATGAATTTATATGAAGTCTTTAATGTAGCAAAACTTTTAGCTGGGTCACCTAAAGAATAGGAATGAAAAAAGAGACCCTTAACTAAATGACCTTTAAATGAAAATCATACTCTATGATTACAATATTGTCTAAATCTTAAATTACATGTAAAATATCAAACAAAACACTTAAATAGCCAAAAAATCCACCCAATTTGTTTTACTGATTTTCTTTAGTCCTTGTCCCTGTTTCATTTATTTGTTTGTCTCTATTTCTTTTAGCCTTTTAAGCATATTTAAGACAGATGTCTTAAAGTCTTTGTCTAGGAACCCTGATGCATGTTTCTTTGGAGACTGTTTCTGGAGATTGATTTTGTTCCTTTACACTGGCTATATTTCCCTGTTTCTTTGTATGACTTGTGAGTTTTTGTTGACTATTGGACATTTCATCAAATAGCCGCTTTCTCCAGTCTTTAAAATTGGCATGGAAGTCTTTTACTGATTAACAGGACCCTGAACCTTGAGGTTAGCCCAAGGTAGTCTTATCAGGTCTTTGGCAGCATGCATTTGTTTGGGTCTATATGTGTGCTTTTTAAAATTTTTTCCCCTGAATTCTCCTGGCTGCTTTTAAGTGTCTTAATTTCCCAAAGAGTCTTAACTCCAGCTTCTTCTTGGGGCCTTAGATGCTCTATTATATTCCTTTGCCCATAATCAATCATTTGCCCCGGGTGGGTACAAGTGTGTAGTCTTCCTGCAGTTTTCACATGTCATTGTCCATCACTATCATCCACGGCTTCTAGCCTCAGATCTAAACTATGCTACCATTTCCTGTCTGTGCCGTGAGACAGATACCAGTCCCTGAGCAACCCACAGACAGGACCGAACTACTTTGCCAACAATTTACTCTGCTGTTTCTGGCCTGAGGTAGAGAACCAGACATTGTGCCATACCGTAGACCGAATGTTTGTCCCTCTTCAATTCATACCTTGAAGCCTTAACCCTCGATGTCATAGTATTAGGAGTTAGGGCATTTGGTAGATAATTAGGTTTAGATCTGGTCATCAGATCAAAGCCCCCATGATGTGATTAGTGCCCCTATAAGAAGAGAAATAAATGCCATAGCTTCCTGTCTCCACCATGTGAGGATACAGCAAGAAGGCAGATATTTGCAATCCAGGAAGATGGCCCTCACCCTAACCTGCCCATGCTGGAGACTTATTCTCTGATTTTCCTGCCTCCAGTACTGTGATAAATAAATGTCAGTTGCTTATGTCACCCAATTTATGAAATTTTGTTACAGCGGCCAAGTAGATTAAGATAGGCCGCTTCCTCCTGATCCCAGTGCAAAGAGTGAGGCAAAGATGGATGAAAAAAACTTGAAATTTCCTACCATTTGAATATGGCTTTTTCTTTATTGGGTATTTACTTGGTTAATGTAGATCTTTAACTAGTTTCCAGAGTGTGCATAAAGTTATTTTTATCAGCATTTCGTTGTTAACCTGGTATTTCTGTAAGGGAACAAGATCCTGGGGCACCCTATTCCACCATCTTGCTGATGGTACTTTCCTTTATAATTTAGAATGTTTACTTTAATAAATGGTGAGTAATATACCATGAATCCAGGTATGCTGCATCAATGTTAGAATATTTCCTTTACCTAGGAGTTTTGAAAGTTGGCCAAGGCCAGACGTGGTGGCTCATGCCTGTAATCCCAGCACTTTGGGAGGCCGAGGTGGAGTTCAAGAGGTCAAGAATTCAAGAGCAGCCTGGCCAAGATGGTGAAACCCCATCTTTACTAAAAATAGAAAAAAATTAGCCAGGTATGGTAGCGTGCACCTGTAATCCCAGCTACTTGGGAGGCTGAGGCAGAGAATTGCTTGAACCCGGGAGGCAGAGGTTGCAGTGAGCTGAGATTGTGCCACTGCACTCCAGCCTGGCGACGTGTCGAGCAAGACTCCATCTCAAAAAAAAAAAAAAAGTTGGCCAAATATTTACTTAACATATTTAATATTTCAATATCATAATTTGTATTTGTATAAAAATGCTTAGTTTCTAGAAATTCATTAATATGATTCCATAGTTCACTATGTGCACTGTAAAATATTCTGAAGTATACATGATAAATAGCCAAGTTTCATGCCTAAGTACACACACTGTACATATATACAGAGACATTCCTGAGCAATTACAAAATATGGTTTCATAACAAACACTGTGTTTTTTCATATATAACAAATGCATTATTTTCTTCTGCCCAAAATGCAAATTTGCAAATTGCATCCAGGAACTCATCAAATCTGCTAGATGAATTATGTAATTCAATTTGGCAAAATTTTTGCACACAGCACAAATAGTTTACTTTGGTTTTCTTGGATTCTGTTCTGAGAAGGAGGTAGCTGGAAAAAAAGTGAAAAATTACAGGATATGATTCATAAAAATCCCACATCTTTTTTGTGTGCTTGTACATTCTTTTTTGCGGGAAAATGTTTTTGTCCCACAGTAATGGCTCCTCATCCTTCTCAATGAGTACTTTTTAGTCAGAAAGATAGCCACACACAATATTTCCAAGATACTCAAAAAAAAGTAGTCATAAGGAGAAGACGCATGTCATTTAGCAGCTAAAAGAAACATGTAGCATGTTCATTAAATCTCTTTTTCACCAGAAAGGAATGTGAAGACTGAACTTTAACATGGCCACAGTACGTACAAAGAAATGAAACCTCAGCTATGTATGTTCCTGCCAAGCATTAGCTCAAATCTTTCACTCTTCAACATGTAACGAGTATCTGTTTTCCTGTCATGTTTTGACAGTGAAGAAAATGAACCTCATTTCTAAGGTTCAGACAAGTGGCACTCACTACTATTCCCTTCTCTTTTTATTTGATGCGAACAATAAGATTAAACACATACCACCAAAGAAAGGACTACCAGCACCCATTGTCAGAGACAGTTTTCAGTGGGTGCATTAAACATCAAATCTCTGCAGATGATCTATGTGTTTCTAATTTGTAATTTCTCTCCGGAAGCAGCCTGCAAACTTTTTAATCATTTTCAGTTTGTCAAAAACTGTTAAGGCACTGGCTGCCCATTATCCACAATGAGGAGCTCTTTCAAGTAATGGAATGACTAGCAGTTTCAGAAGCTAAAGTGTCAATTTTATACATATGAAGAATTCGCAAAATAACAGAGCTAAAGAGAACCCTAGAGATGTCCTTTCATGGCTGGAGACTGAGGCCACTTCCAATTCTCATCAATGTGAAAGACCAGGTAAACTGCAACACCCCTGCCATAAGGTTCAAGAGATGCTGAGTGGAATATTCTTTTAAATGCATAGCTAAATTCAGTGCTAGAAATACCAGGAAGGAAGAAGGCACTGAAAAAGAAAGTGGCACGTGGGAGAGCTGATGGTGTCATTGGCTTGGGATGGGGTTGTGGAGTATAAGTTGCCAGTATAAGTAACCCAAGGGTTTATGTTTTAATACCTGCATAAAGACAGAAGATGAACTCTTGGACTTCTTGAGACAGATAATTGAAAATGAGAAGCTCATCCTATCACAGGCATTCACAATTGATCAGGAACCTTGAAAGGCTGCTCCCAGGTGGGAGAGTAGAATGAAAAAATGTCTTCCCACTGATGACAGAATGATGAGGAAGTTGGTTGTTTCTTTGTGCAGACTAGGTGGGTATAAAAAGTTTCTTCTGAGATTGTTAAGCCTGGACATAGATTTTTAAATTTAAATTTATATTAGTCATATGGCCAAATAATCCATAAGCAAAATAGTAGTAATAAGCATTAAAGGGGTCCTAGGTAGTAAAACTACTGAAATGCCTGTCAGAAGGAAATAAAAAACTACCTGAGAGGGATATGTCTTCAATCCAGATAACATGTAATTCTCACAGATAAAAGCCCTACCAAAAATTAGCTCATGATAAAATAGTTTTAGAGGAGTAACCAAATTAATGTAAGCAAGTACTTAAGTATGAGATCACAGAGAACTCTGATAGAGACTATAAACTAAATGTGTAGAAAATTATTAAAATATAAAGTAAGAAATCTAAGCAATAAAGAAATAAGACTAGAATAGTGGAATATTTAAAAATTAAGTACGTCTTTAAAAATGAATAATGTTTTTGAAAGTTAAAATTTATAGTATAAAAATGCATAAAATTAGATCTGCAGTTTTAGAGGAAATTATTCAAAGACAGCATAAAGAAACAATGCAGTGGAAAATGTAAAAGACAAGTTGAATGACATAAAGTATAGAATAAGGCTTATCAGTATATATCTAACAAGAGTTCTATCTAACAAGAATTAGGAAAAAATGGAATAGAAGACTAGGGGAGCTATTATCAATCATAGATAACTTAGAATTTTCCGGAATACAGGAAATAATGGAATTTTTACATTTAGGAAACACAGTCAGTCCCTTGCAGCTTACACACACATACACACACACACAATCACACTTGCTCACAGAGAGGATCTTAAAATGCCAAAAGAAAAAAGATTATTTTCAAAGGAACAATTATTAAGCAATTACAGACACCTTGGCAGTGAAAGTAGAGGCAAGAATACAATAAAATGATGTTATCACAGTGCTGAGAAAAAGATAATTGGCGATCTAGAATTCTATACCCAGCCACGATCATTCAAGAGTGAGGCCAAAAAATAAAAAATAAATTCATCTCAGACAGGCAAGCTAGAAGAAAGTTAATCACTCCCATCCTGAAAGAAGAAAGAAATGAAGTGTGAGGCATAACCAAAATTATTGAGCAAAGATATTAGCAATAATTATTGACAACCTTTGTATTATAACTGGATTTATATAAATAGTCATACACATGTATCAATAATTGCTCTAAATAAAATCAAGGTTTAAAAATAAAGTGAAACTAAATGCTAGGCAATAATGATATGTAGGATAAAATAGAATATGTAGGACTCAATACAGTTTTTGGTCCTTGTTTTCTGCAAGTGGAGAGTAGACGTGTAGTTAAGAGAAATGACTTTTAAGTCAATTCTGCATTTGACTAGTTTGAGTAAAATAATAGACATATAATGTATATTTTTAAATAATAAAAGTTGGATGTATAACTTTCAAATCATTAAATAGGAAATAATAAAGAAATGAAGGCTATGAGAAGGTAATGAACTTGCCAAATGTCACAAGCAGGGTTGTTGCAGAAATAGGGCTGGAAACTAAAAGTCTGGATTCCCAGGCCTTCATTCTCTTTTCTGGAAATACTCTGGGAATACATCTACTAAACTTGAATATTGTTAAGAGTATAAACAAGATTTGTACATTTATCTGCTTTTAAAATTGTTTCTTTTTTTTGAGATGGAGTTTCTTTTTATTATCATTATTATTATACTTTAAGTTTTAGGGTACATGTGCACAATGTGCAGGTTAGTTACATATGTATACATGTGCCATGCTGGTGTGCTGCACCCATTAACTCGTCATTTAACATTAGGTGTATCTCCTAATGCTATCCCTCCCCCTTCCCCCACCCCACAACAGGCCCCAGAGTGTGATGTTCCCCTTCCTGTGTCCATGTGTTCTCATTGTTCAATTCCCATCTATGAGTGACAACATGCGGTGTTTGGTTTTTTGTCCTTGCGATAGTTTACTGAGAATGATGATTTCCAATTTCATCCATGTCCCTACAAAGGACAGGAACCCATCATTTTTTATGGCTGCATAGTATTCCATGGTGTATATGTGCCACATTTTCTTAATCCAGTCTATCATTGTTGGACATTTGAGTTGGTTCCAAGTCTTTGCTATTGTGAATAATGCCACAATAAACATACGTGTGCACGTGCCTTTATAGCAGCATGATTTATAGTCCTTTGGGTATATACCCAGTAATGGGATGGCTGGGTCAAATGGTATTTCTAGTTCTAGATCCCTGAGGAATCGCCACACTGACTTCCACAATGGTTGAACTAGTTTACAGTCCCACCAACAGTGTAAAAGTGTTCCTATTTCTCCACATCCTCTCCAGCACGTGTTGTTTCCTGACTTTTTAATGATCGCCAGTCTAACTGATGTGAGATGGTATCTCATTGTGGTTTTGATTTGCATTTCTCTGATGGCCAGTGATGATGAGCATTTTTTCATGTGTCTTTTGGCTGCATAAATGTCTTCTTTTGAGAAGTGTCTGTTCATATCCTTCACCCACTTTTTGATGGGGTTGTTTGTTTTTTTCTTGTAAATTTGTTTGAGTTCATTGTAGATTCTGGATATTAGCCCTTTGTCAGATGAGTAGGTTGTGAAAATTTTCTCCCATTTTGTAGGTTGCCTGTTCACTCTGATGGTAGTTTCTTTTGCTGTGCAGAAGCTCTTTAGTTTAATTAGATCCCATTTGTCAATTTTGGCTTTTGTTGCCATTGCTTTTGGTGGTTTAGACATGAAGTCCTTGCCCATGCCTATGTCCTGAATGGTAATGCCTAGGTTTAGAGATGGAGTTTCACTCTTGTTGCCCAGGCTCGAGTGCAATGGCATGATCTTGGCTCACTGCAACCTCTGCCTCCCGGTTTCAAGCAATTCTCCTGCCTCAGCCTCCCAAGGAGCTGGGATTACAGGCATGCACCACCACGCCCGGCTAATTTTTTGTATTTTTAGTAAAGATGGGGTTTCTCCATATTGGTCAGGCTGTTCTCGAACTCCTGACCTGGTGATCCACCCACCTTGGCCTCCCAAAGTGCTGGGATTACAGGTGCAAGCCACTGTGCCTGGCCAAAATTGTTTCTTAAAGTTGTAAACATCTGACTTGGTTTGATCTCAACACCAAGGACACTGATTTTTTAACACAGATTATTATATGGGGCACCATATACTTTTCCATCCACTTTCCATTGAGCTTAAAAGAAGTGGTGACAAGAAATGACTACTTTATAGCCTGTAGCCATCCTTTATAAATATGTACTAATTGCAAAGCAGTGTTTTTGGTTGTTTGGGACTTCTGAGCTAAATTTAATAGTCTAGTGGGAGAAAGGGCACTCTATGTAACCATGAAAAAGAAGTCAGAATGTATCTGGTTAAATACAGGCTGGATTTTAAAATAGGAAAACTAAAACTTCAAAATGGTAGCACAGCATTAATGGCCCAGAGAACACCTCTAAGTACAATCTGCCTGATTGAGGGTGTTACAGTCTGTCAGGATTTGGGGTCCGATGAAACAATTAAAAAAACTGCTTATTAAGATCAGTGTTTGAAAAGTAAAAGAGTTTGGAAATTATGCTTTATTAAGGGGCAATGGAGTAAAGCCAAAATGGTTATTAACAAATTTGACTGTTGGGGACGTGTCTCTCCAGAAATTATAATCAACTAATTTTTTTAAAACAAAATAATGGGAGAAAAGCAAATGACTGGAATTTAGAAAGCAATTTCTAAGGTTTTTTTTTTTTTTTAAGGATTTCTACAAAATTAATCTCCTGTCTTTATACATCTTAACATTACATGCTTTTAAATTGAATGTTGATCTGGTAGACCTTAGGGATGAAAGGGACTTGAACAGATACTCTTATCATATCTACTTTCTTGATAGGGCTGTGCCCAAATCTTTCCATGAATATAATTATATGTAATTTAGACCACACATATTTCTTAAATCTATTGTATCTCTGCGTCTATATTATAATTCTATGAAGAAAAAAGAGAAGTCATATTTTTTAGAAAGTCTTAGTGTCACACAATTCTAAAGCCAAACCTATTTTGTGGTAATATTTCTTTTGTAGTTATATCAGATGGAGATTTAATGAAATTTTCATTTCCTTTATATGTATTGCCAATTTTCTTGCTATTTTTCATGCTATTCTGAGAACAAGTACTGAATACTTGTGACATATTGTAGGCCGTCAGTGAATGTTGATTACATTGTATGCACTAATTGGTTAGCAGTAAATAAGATGAGCTTTGTTCTGGTATTTATATTGTAATTTACTCATCATTAAATTACCCCTCTCATGGGTTTGTTGTGAGATTTAAATAAGAGCACAGGGTAAGTGGTAAATAGCTATTAATATTTTTATTTTTAGAATAAATAAGACAACCAAAACAAAACCTGTTTAACAAAGGAGAAAAAATAAAAATTGTGCACTAAAAATACACATTCTTAAAAGAAACCACCTCATTTTACATGGATGTAAAGTCTTCACATTTGGTTAAGAATAAATCTTCATAAATACATAATTTATTAAAAGATTTACTTTTTAGTATACCATTAAATTGATTCACTTTATCACATCTTAAGTTTTTAAACCTTACTTTTTTGGAAAAAAATATTTTTTAGGAAAAAATATATATGGGATTATATTATATTTTAAATGTATAAGCTTTCATTATGGAGTTAATACCTTTTCTAGATACACTAAGACCTTTAAATTTGATTTGATCTGAGGTGAATGCAATCTTTTAAAAAATCCTCTTATTTCTCCAGTTTTTTTTTAAAGATTACAGAAGGAATTCATTCATCTTTTCATCTATTTTCCTGAATCTTACTTTGCTTTTCGTAGGACATTTGAAAGAACAGCTGTCAGTCTTTTCCAAAGTAATTATTAGGACATGTGGGGAATTATCTATTTATGGTCAACCTGGAAGACCATAGGAATTTGTATAGCCTATTGATATTACAAATTTGAGGGGTAATTACAATATTTGGAAATATTTTGGGTTCAATAACCCTAAAGCACCACAAAAGTGTTAAGTAGTGAAAGATATTCTTTAGGCTTCCTTTTTCAACTACAAACTACTCTTTTAAAATAACAATATGACATTCATTCTTAATTTTTAAACATAGGCTCCACTTTTTCAACTGTTCGCTTTTTACCATGGAAACTTAAATGAAACAAAGAACCACAAAGTAACATTTGCCATTTGACAAATCTGATTAAATCAAAGGTGTTTACCATTGAAACTCAGTCTACCCACCCACTCCATCTCATTTACCTTTTGTTAGACAAAATATTACTATCTTTTCCCAGAAGGAACCCAAACCATTGTCCATTAGAAACAGTTATATTTTAGAATGTTAAACATTGCAGGGGGTTATAAAATACAAAAATAAGTATTGGTCTTGGAATATTTAAACAGTTTTTGGAGTATGTGCTCTAAAGATATCTTAGGGTTCTTGGCTAGATTAGAGAAAGTTGTTGATATAGGAATAGAAACAACCATTTTTAAACTTGTACTTACTGTACAAATCTAGCCACAATTACCAGATCGATTTAAATAACTTAATAAAACTTAGCAAAGACTGAGCATACAGTCTGTTCTGAAGGTTAATCATAGTTTTTTAGTCAAAGAATATCTTTAGTATGCCATCTTTGATGTGTCATATATACATTTGGAGAGGATAGACTTCAAAGATAGATACATGCAGATAAGGGTCAAAT
Source organism: Homo sapiens (assembly GCF_000001405.40). Classification (NCBI taxonomy): domain Eukaryota; kingdom Metazoa; phylum Chordata; class Mammalia; order Primates; family Hominidae; genus Homo; species Homo sapiens. Next base: position 19,002,841 of record NC_000007.14, on the reverse strand, counting down.
CCCGTCTGTCACTGTAACAGTGCGTTAACCTTTTCAGTGCTTGATGTTCTCATCTCTAAATGAGACTAATAACACCTATGAGGCAGGGTTCGTGTGATGGTTAAATATCATTCAGGTACAGTGTTCAGCAGAGTGACAGGCACATGGAAGGTACTTAATCAGTGGTAGTTATTATTGTTCTTTATTCTAACCATCAAGCTACAATCAAATAGCAACTGTGTTTTAATTTACTTCTTCTTTTGTGAATTTTCACATTATTTTAAGGGAGATTTACTCACAAGTAAATCTTTTTTTTTGAAAATGGAATAGTACATTTTGTGGTAATTCATATTTCATAATATTGTATTTATCCAACAAATATTCGTCAAATATCTGCTATCCAGAGTCTAATGGTAGGCACCAAGGACATAGAAAAATAAGAACACTTTTATTTCAAATAGCTTTTTATTCACATAGGACTAGAGGAAAATCTAATTCAGTAGAAAACACAAAACAAAAGGGGTTATTTTATTCTATTCAAAGGAGAGTCATGACATTAACAACACCAACAATAATTTGGAACACACCATTGCATTTTCAAATACAAAAAAGGAATCAGAAGAAGGTGGACATTCCATGAGCATGTTCAACAATGGTATTGTTATTAGATATTAATCCTTTATTAGATTATTATTTTTCACATCTGGGAAAATACCACTGGCAGCACAATTTTAAGAAAAGTTTGGCAACATGTATTTTTCTCAGCAGCTCTGGATGACAGATCTTGGTGATGCTAGCCAAAAAAAATTAAGGGCAAAACCACTGGTGCACAGAGGACAACAAACTGATCTTATTACAGAAACGGATATCAGACCACAATAGAAAAGACATTTTTATTTTACACTAAGCCAAAAATTCTAGGCTATTGGCATACATATCAACAAGCCTGGTCTAGAATGTTTAATCACAAAAGTACTAAATATTGGTTTCCTGCCTGCCCTGCTCACCTTATTTAAAAATATCAGGATATTTGCTTTCAAATGACACAGATTGCTGAGGCTGTAACCTACAAAATGGTCACTCATTTTTAACGGCTTGTTTGTTATACCTAGAAACCACTGAAAGGACAATTTCCTATATCATAGTTACTGTGGAGGTAGACACTGACGTTGCTTCCCCAGAAAGAATTTGAGACTATTAAAGTGTAGGAAGAACAAATCGGGAGTTTTATCTAAAAACAACCCTTACATACCCAAGGAAGTGCCATTCCACTTCAGATTTTGCAATTCTTCTCTGTTTTTTGTTTTTTTTTTTAATTACTCCATTTCTGTTGAATTTTAAGTTAATAAAACCAATAGCCAAATATTGCTGCAAGATCTCTATGAATTGTCACAAAATGCCAACTCCAAGAAGGGGCATCACAATGAAGGATTAAGGACATGACCACAATGTCCCAGGAAACAGTGAACTCTCCCTATTATATTTAATATTGCAACATTTGCTTCTATTGTGCCTAAGGCCCAAACAAAAAAATAAAACGATTCCAATTTGCTTTAAAAAGTCTGGAAATCTCTTCCTTTCAAAACATACTGATTTAAAGTTTCTCCTTTTCCAGTTTTCTTTCAGGTGAGAGTTCATGCTTGTGGGTTTGACTCAAAGACATCTCCCAAAGGACAAGGAAATGTATGTACAATTTTCTTTCCACAATAACTAGTACAACATGATTAGGTAGTAGCCAGATGATGGCAAACTATGTTTGAAACAAAAAGAATAATTCTGCATTAGTAAAACAAACTGCCAAGTCCAAAATTGTAGACCAAAATACAATAACTAAATCTATCTTTTAAGAATATTTGAAAAAGTCAAGTGACTCTTGAAAAGAGAAGAGATAAAAAACAAAAGACAGAGTATCTATCAAAATGTTTATATAAAATGGCATGAAAGACAGTAGGCCTAGTGGTATCTCAGAAAATAAGTTGTCAAGGTCATTTCTACTAAGGAAACAGAGATTTCAGAAACTTTTGATTGCTTAGATATTGGCAATTTCGTATAGATTGTTAGGCAGAAAAAGAGAAGAGTTGAAAGAAAATTATTTGTTAGATTGTAAGTTTACACCAGATTCACCATGTATTTGCTAAATGTTTCAGTTTGAGAATTAAGATGCTTTGAGAAATTGCAACAACCTTATTACCTTATCATTGGATCAAGTCCAAACAGCCCCAATCAAAAGTCTAAGGTTTCATTGTCTGACCTAGTTATTTCCAGCATAGTAATAACGGACTTAATTGTATTTAATGTATTTTACAAAACCATTATACGAAGCCAGGAATATCATAGATAAAACGGACTGCAGTTGATTTGGAGAAACTAAGTTATGTAGTATGAGTATAGCATGTGTGAGTATACCACGTTCACTTACAAATGTCATCCTCTGGTCACTTGACAATCATGCTCTGCTTCATGAAGCGTTTCATGGAGTAAAAGCAAGCAAGGAGGCAAGGACTGTGATTTTTGATGCAAATATGCCCAGAAAAAGTCACATATAGGAACTTACATATTTAATGGTGGTGTTGATGAAGGTGACAAGATACATTATAATACTTTATTCCAAAGGCAGCACATGGTACAAAATCCTGCTGGAGACTGTACTACAATAGTGGCCTTTGGAAACAAGAAATTTGATGATGATCATGACCATGTTGATCAGTTCTGAAGACAACAAAATGCCTTCACTTCTTAGCATAGACCATCTGGTTTTCATTTCTTTTGAAAGTGAAAACGCCATCTTTATGAAAATAGTTCAACAGGTGTGTTGTTTTTTACTTCTATCTTGTTTTCCCCTTATTTTCTCAGCAGGACAAGTGATTTCATTCCTGAAGCAGGAAAAGAATGTTAAGATACATGCCACTAGAAATGACAATGTCAAACACTGACAGAGTCGTTTCAAGCTCAGAATGAATCACTTTTAAGACAGTACAGTTTGGCTTGTTTCTTTTGGGGCCATAAGACTTTTAATACTTCTTTCATTGAGATAAGATGAGAGTAAACATTCGACAGAGAAATAGTAAGAAATATTTAAATTAATTCTTCTAAACATAAATGCTGGGATTAAAACAATAAGTTTGGCCGGGTGCAGTGGCTCACACCTGTAATTTCAGCACTTTGGGAGGCCGAGGCGGGCGGATCACCTGAGGTCGGGAGTTTGAGACCAGCCTGACCAACATGGAGAAACCCCGTCTCTACTAAAAATACAAAAATTAGCCAGACGTGGTGGCGCATGCCCAGCTACTCGTCAGGAGAATTGCTTGAACCCGGGAGGCGGAGGTTGCAGTGAGTCGAGATTGCGCCATTGCACTCCAGCCTGGGCACCAAGAGCAAAACTCTGACTCAAAAATAAAAAAGTTTTAAAATGCTGATTGAAGAGGAATTTTTTCCCAGGAGACTTTCCAAATGATCATTCTATTTTACTTCCATATGGAGTCTGTAAAGAAACCCAGTAAATCCACGAGGCTTTATAATTGCCCTTTGGAAATAAAGCAGGACTAAACTATTAAGAGAGACCAGTCCTGTAATTTCTGAAGCCTTTGTGGGAGGAGATCCCTGCTTTCAAGGCCATGATGTTGTCAGTGAAAGGTTAGTGAGAGTGTCGTATAGGGCTGGAGTAAAAACTGAAGGCAATATTTCCATCCCCAGGATTGGTAATGGAAATGTGATTTGTAGTAGTTTTTTCATAAATATCTCTATTTTCTCCAAAGCTGACTTCTGTCTCCACTATTGATGTTATAAACTTGTTACAATATTTAAAGATAGTTCATCTCACAATGTTCTTTCCATTTACTAAGCAATGGTAACATAGCCTCTGGTTTTATTTGAGTCCATTTTGGTTACTATTTAATAAAACTGTCTGTGTTTTTTAGTTTAATATACAGCCCCAAATTATACAATTGGGAAAATTAATTTTTAAGCCTTCTTTTTATACCTACGTTTGACAGCTTATTAAATTCCTAGTATTATTTACTAGTAGATTTATCAAAAATCATTTTTATTCACCCTGTATGAGATACCATGAGACCATGAGAGAGCGTATGTGATTTTCCTTCAAAGTAAGTATCACAAGGAGATGCAAAATTGATAATACTCTTCTAGCCTCTCATTCAGAACAACTGCGAGCAATAAAATTTAAACGGGTAAGTGAAGAAAAACTATACCAAGTGAAACTACCCTTTCAAAAAGTGCTGGTCTATTTCAAAAGAAGTGTTGATATTTTCGGAAAGCCTCCATTCTGTCCCTCAGGGCTATGCTCCATCTTGTAATGGTATAATCAAAAAGCAATGGCATTCTGTTCTTACAACTACATGCTGTGGATAATCCTCTCCACAGTTCATTTGCTTCTCCAGGTATTTTAAAGACTCTAAGTGCAACCAATTGGGTATGGTGTCATATGGGAGTATGTGTGATTAACTCATTAATGTGTCAAGTTTTAAATCTAAATAACCATGGAGATGTCCTAGTGATTTGGCTTTATCAGATTAATGGCTTGGCATAAACATGTGGCTAAACTGTTGTAGGAAACTTTAGTAAATTAGCATGTTTGCATTACACTGTTTTATTTTCTTATTCAACAACTAAAAAAATATCTGGGAGGACTAAAAAGTAATGACAGAGATTTATAATTATGAAGTTGATTTTAAAACTACACAATTATTTTTCTAATTAAAACATGAGTTTCCTTTTTAAAATGGGGGAGAGTCTTTTGTTAAGCCTTTGGCTCTACTATTTTTTTAAGTAAATATCCTCAAGCAATCACTGCAAAATAACATAAGCTAGCAAATATGATTGGTATGAATTTCTCATGAAAATAAAATTTATAAAAAATTGATTACTACTATGAATCTAGACTGAATTTGCCCTTACGCAATGAAAGCAATTTTTACCTAATACTAAGTTACATTCCATTTCAGATTTCCTATTTCAAAGGGTGTCTCAAATTTCTAAGAAGTTAAACCAAGTATTGAGCCATTTTTGTATATGTAATAAAAGTCTTTAAAATTAAAATGGTAATCCTAAAAAAACCAAATGCATGAAAAATATGGTCTGACTGTATAACAAAGGGAGTTATATAATTCTACTTGAGTGAAATCTTTCATCTTTGATTTACAGGTTAGAGTCCTCTCTAACTAAAACCATATTGTTCCATATCTTTCATATCATGGCCTTCCCTAAAACCTTGTTTTAATTAAGGTTTCTTTCAGATTTCTGAATAAAAGCATGACAATCTTCACTTATGGCTTTAATATATCCTTTGAGTTAGAAAAATATATAAAAAGAAACATCAACTCTTTCAAAAGCATTGTCAGATATTAAATACTGTGAGATATTCTACCTCAATATGTTTAGGTGTTTGAGTTATATGTTGAAATCGAATTTTAGGAGGTAGGAGGATAACCTACTTATATTTAGTAAGTTACTTTTTATCTCAGAAATAAATGTCCTTTATTTTTAACTTTTGACACTAAGGAAACTTGTTTAAAGGCTGTTTTTTGTTTTTGTTTTTTTTTTTTTTCACAAGAAGGCACAGCTTCTAGGTTAAGTCAGTTCAAGGTGACTACAAATAAGCAGTGCCTTCATTAACACATTTCAAACACATAGAAATTTAGCAACGTTGCTTAAGTGATATTCATTTCAACGGCTTCACAGTTAATAAAATGCAATCAGACAAAACAACTGTGTTAACCTGTAAAGTAAACAAAATAAACTAAATAGTCAAGGCCCTCAAGTAATAAGAGGAGATTATGGGTAATCTTCAGTTTTTCTAAAGGAAGGAATGAATGATGAAAGGTAAGAAGAAATCAATTGATAGAGGGCAGAAAAGGAAAGGTGAGTGAATAAGTCCTTGATAGATATGCAACAAATTAAGACCACCTTTGAAAAGTTACGTGCTTTTCAAAGACACTGAAAATGCTTGGTGGAACATTTGCTCAGACCTACTGTCATGAGAACAAAGGATGTGTGTGTGGCTGGGAGGTGGGGGGACTTCATTCTCCAACACAATTGCAACATTGCAAATTGCCTGTGTGTGAGAACACAAAGATGTTGGGGATGTTTAAAAAAAAGTGATATAAAATATTGCACCATTACAAACAGTGTGTGAGGTTCCTTTGGCATTTGGACTTCGAGATACTGAAAAAAGCCTCATGCTAGTTCCTCCATCTTGAACTTTTACTAGGAACAGTTGAACTGTGTGTTAAAGTTGAGAAAAAAACCCTAACAAAACAAAACAAACAAACAAGAAACATTACATTCTGGGTGGAATTACGATCCGTTCATAGCTAAAAGCAAATCTTGTAAACAAGTTAAGACTGTTTGAAAAACAAATTACCCCAAAAAAAGCTGATCAGAATGTCAGGAATGACTATGTCTCAGGTTTTGCCCAAAATTTCACTGGCTGTCATAGCTTCTGAAATTAACAATATCTAGTGCTGTACTGAATGTTTCTAGTTCAAACTTGGTGTCTAGGAGTGGGTCACCCAGCATATTAAAAGCATGCTGGAAGCAGTTTCTTCCAATCGTGGTTTACTGTAACTCTAGAATCACAGCGGTTACGTTTAAGGAATCTTTAATGCCCTTTCAAGTCCATCCAAAGAACAAGTGAAGCTGCTGTTCAGAATTTTGTGCCCAGTGTTTATGTTCCATTGAATCTGTGCCACCCAGGCAGCAGACAAGACATGTCTGAGGGTACTGGGGTGGGGGGATACACAATGATGTCACACACAGGAAATATCAGAGGGGGACTTGGCACTTCACAAGGCTGGCTCCTCTTCCATAGGCTCACCAGCAGTTCTGTAAAAATAAACAGGCAATCAGAATACGGCATAAGAGTACACAATGACATTGTAGATTTTCATGCATAATCAAAGCTGATTTTTCAGCTCTCTCTGATGTTTATTTGTGTTATTCAGTTATCCATAAATAGAATTTCTTTCCTAGGAAGTATAAACAAATGTCAAGGGGAAAAACATTTTCGATCCAAGCAATCACTGGAAATGTTCCTGTTTATATTAAAACATGTCAGAATATTTTATAACTCTAGATTCCAAAATGTACATGTTTGGTGTCTAGTACAGTTCAATAATTTATTGAAAAAATTAACTATGATATTTTATTTTAGGAGCAACTGCAGTGATTTCCTATGGAACCAGTTTGCTAATGAGAGCAAAGGACCCAGCTAGCTTCTGGAGGAGACTCACTAGGGCTCTGGTTTTTGCTTCTGTTCTTTCATAACTGGATTGGCTGCCTGCCGGAGGCATTTCAAATCAAATTCTGAATTTGATTAGCAAATTGTTGCTACAGACCCAATATTTTTACAAGAAATGCACTATGGTAGTGTGTAAATAGTTTTTATTCGGCATCATCTGCAGGGTATTCTGCGCAGGCAAAACCAAAACTAATTGCTTGAAAATTTATACTTGAGATTTAACCTTAATTTAGTAACCCTTTCAGGGTGCTTTAAGGCAAACTTTTAGAATGACTTTTAATTTACTCAAAAGAATAAATTGTAGGAGGAATCCAAATACATGAGGTAGTTGGATTGTCATGGGAAGATTACTGGGATATGAGATGCCGGGTGAATTGAGTTTGCGTCTGAGCTCTGCCATTTGTTAATTTTGCAACTGCTGATTTAAATACGCTTTTGTGAAGCTCTGGTTTCAGGTGTAAACCATGAACAAAATGATGTTCCTTATAAAATTAGCAAAGGTTAAAAAATAAAGGAGGTAAAATTGACCTGTAAATAATAAACACTATGAGACATTACTTAATACTTTAGATTTGTCCCTTTGCTGTCTAACATGCATAAACTCATGTTGCCACACAAATGCAGAGTTATGCCTTTGCTACCAGAAGGAAAAAATATTTGGATGATGCTTCTCTCTAGGTAGCGGAATAATAGAGGGGTGGTTTTCATTTTCTTCTTCATAATGTTTACCTACTTGCCAGGATTCTATAATGAATTACTTTCATATTAGGAAAACATGCTATGTTTAAACCAGAGCTGTTTATGCAAACAAATGAAATGTTTGGCCATGTTATTTTACAGATTTATAAGAAAAAAAGCCAAGATTTCAATGCATCTCTAAAGGTGCTGACAAATAAAGTAGTAGCTTAGCATTTGTATAACAAATCTAAAACATTAAAAGAAAGATTTTAACCATAGGAGGGTAATCAAAAATTTTTAAAGCATCCTTTTAAAAATAAAGAATGATAATCATTAAGTCTTCATTATTTATTGTTACCAAAAAAGAAAATTCTAAAAGAGTCTGTGTGGAATATTTAAAAAGTTGCTTCTTAAGAAGTTATAGCCTGTCCTAGAGTGTCTGGGATAAGGAGGTTGTGAGAGAGAGTTTAGAGGTGGTACATAAGATAAATGAGTCATACTTCAGAAAAGTCTTTTCTATCAAAAATAATCAGCATTCAAAGAAGAAAGATTTTAAATTAAGGAAGACATTTAAGTTTTGAAACTAATTCATACATAAATATATAGCCTTATTTACATCTGAGAATATGTGAATAATACAGTTATAGAACTCAAACTGGATATTCTAATGGAGACCGATTTTTCCAATTTCTAACTCAAGCTGCAGCAGGATAATCTTTTCCCCCGAATCCAGGATTCAGTGTGGCTGGAATTCCAGAGACAGTCACGTGTGGGAAATGTCTCAGAGGTCACAGATGTAAGGAATCCACATGTCTCTGTGGTGGAGGATCTGTGAATTCTCCACATGTCCAACCTAGGCTTAAAGGATGTGAGTAGGCTGTCTACACTGCAACCCACTCACTGCCAAAAATTAAGCCTCTTTGGTTGAAACAGGGCAACTTGCAGGTACAATAGAAAGCTTTCCATCAGATGCTTCTCTGCCTTTTCCTCTCTTTGAAATCATTTTATATTGACCTCTTTTTTTTGGAATAAACCACTTATAGCTGCCCACCTTCTATTGAACCATCTACACATATGCATAATTAACCAATTCTCTCTCTCGCTCTTTCATTTATTTATGTATTTTTGAGACAGGGTCTCACTCTGTTGCCCAGGCTGGAGTGCAGTGGCATAGTCACAGCTAACTGCAGCCTCAACCTCCCGGGCTCAAGCCATTCTCCTACCTCAGTATCCCGAATAGCTGAGACTACAGGCATGTGCCACCATGCTGGGCTAATTAAAAAAAAAATAATTATAGATGGGGTCTTGCTATGTTGCCCAGGCTGGTTTTGAACTCCTGGGCTCAAGAGATCCTCCTGCTTTAGCCTTCCAAAATGCTGGGACTACAGGGGTACGCCACCATGTCTAGCCTCAATTCTCCCCAGCGTCTTGCAGCATAGAAGTGTTAGTAGCATAGTAAGTTGGAAAATATCCTGGATTTCAAGGTAGATGTTCTGGGTTCAAGTCCCAGCTGTTTTACTTTCGAAAATTTGACTTTGAATCAGTCAGTCAGTGTCTCTAGATTGTCAATTTTATCTTTAAAATAGAAATAATAATCCCTTACTTGCCCTCACGGTTATGAGAATTGAAACGAGTTAATGTAAGAAAACATGATTTATACACTGTGAAGTGTGAAACAATTGTAAAATAACTGGATTATTTATATCTGCCATTGGGACAATTTATAGTATCTCTCTTCTCATAGCCCTAGCTCTCAGTAGAGGTGGCATTATCTTCATATAATCAAAAAATATGTCTACATTTTTAAAAAAGATGATTTCTTTATGGAACATTTAGAAAGATATCTGGTGAGTGATGACCCTTTAATGGCTGTGTTTGGAGGAATGAGAAGCAGTGCTCTGAAAATCTGGGGGCTTCCCACTTCAGCCATCCCTAGATACATGTCTACTTCACCTTGATTAACAAAGACACAAGCTGGGGGAAGGAAAGACATGCAGGGAGCTGAAGACAGTAAGTTCGGAGATAACTATAAAATCAACCCAGCAAAGATAAATTTTAGTATAATGGTTTAACGAATTGAAAGACATAAGCTTCCCTCCAGCAAGTCAATGTCACAGTGAACACTGATAGTTTTCTGTCATTGATAATCAAAGATTTCATATCCTAAAGAAGGATCAATTCACTCCAACAGCCATAAGATAATTTACAAAAGTAAAAAAAAAAGGAAGTAATTTCACTTGAGACAAGATGTAGTATTAAATTAAATTCTTGTATTCTCTCTTAAATCTTATTTCTTGTGGTTTTAAAAATAGCATTTGTTTAATTTATATTAACACTGTTACGTAGTAAAACATTTTCTCATTTTACTGATTTAATTTAATTCTTATTTCTTACTTCTACTCCTCTTCCTCCTGAAAGGCAAGCAATACAATGCCTGTTACATTATTTTGTTTGCAAGTGTTCTTTAAAGCTGTGTATTATTGTTTTGTGGGTATATATTTTTATTTTATGTAAATTTTAACTTTATACACATGTGCATAATTTTCTCACTCAGTACTGTATTTACTAGATCTGTCATGCACTTATATTTATCTAGTTTGAAGCTGGTAACTTCTACGTGGCATCTCCATACAGTGCATCCACCACATTTTAACTATTCATTCTCCCAATAATGGACACTGGGCTTGACTCCAACTCTCTATTCACCATGAATAAAGCTGTAGTGAACTTCCTAGTATACGTACTCTAAAGACTTATGCTGAGAATGTCTTTGGTATACATTCCCAAGAGCAAAATTACCAGGTCATATATTTTGTGTATATAAAATGGTACTAAATTAGTATGCAGCATGGCTGCCATAGTTTATCTTCCCAAAGCAGTGAGGCTCTAAAGCCCCACATCTCCACCCATGCTAGCAATACTTAGTTTACTCATATTTTTCATTGATTCTAGAAAAAGTTGCTGACTGTGTACTGTGTGCCCTGGTTCTGTTCTAGGCACTAGGAACATAGCAATGAACAAAATAGACAAACATCCCTGCTCTCATAGAACTCACATTCTCCATTGACCTTATATTCTAATTGAATGTTTACCATCTAATATATGTAAAACAATACCTTCTTGTTATTCAAATTTGCATTTATTTGATAACTAATCAGTTTGGACAAAGATTTGAATTTTAGTAAGCCACAAAAGCTAAAGTAAAAGACAGAGAATCAAATGACTTTCATAAGTATGTGTCATAAGTAAGTCTGTTTATCTCACTGATGACTTCTTTTTTTTTTTTTTCTTTTGAGACGGAGTCTCTCACTGTCACCCAGGCTGGAGTGCAATGGCACCATCTCCGCTCACTGCAAGCTCCGCCTCCTGAGTTAACACCATTCTCCTGCTTCAGCCTCCTGAGCAGCTGGGACTACAGGTGCCTGCCACCACACCTGGCTAATTTTTTGTATTTTTAGTAGAGACAGGGTTTCACCGTGTTAGCCAGGATGGTCTTGATCTGACCTCGTGATCTGCCCGCCTCGGCCTCCCAAAGCACTGGGATTACAGGCATGAGCCACTGTGCCCAGCCTGATGACTTCTTTATCTTTCCAGTATTCACAAACTGATTTTATATATAACTAATTCATATATTAGTTCGTATTTTGTGAATTTTGTTTTATGTTCTTTCATTTCCTCATTCATTTTTCTTTTTCATCTCCCCCCTCCAATGTTATACCATTTTGTATACATACTAGACATCCCATAAATACTTTTTGAAATGTTTATATACATATGTTGGAATGATTTCAGTGCTCTTTACAAGTATGATAATTTAAATCAAGAACAAAATAAGAATTTGCAACAAAAGAATAAAGATCGAGAGGAGCCAAGATGGCCGAATAGGAACAGCTCCGGTCTACAGCTCCCAGCATGGGCAACGCAGAAGACGGGTGATTTCTGCATTTCCATCTGAGGTACCGGGTTCATCTCACTAGGGAGTGCCAGACAGTGGGCGCAGGTCAGTGGGTGCGCGCTCCATGCGCGAGCCCAAGCAGGGCGAGACATTGCCTCACTTGGGAAGCACAAGGGGCCAGGGAGTTCTCTTTCCTAGTCAAAGGGGTGACAGACGGCACCTGGAAAATCAGGTCACTCCCACCCAAATACTGCGCTTTTCCTACGGGCTTAAAAAACGGCGCACCAGGAGATTATATCCCGCACATGGCTCGGAGGGTCCTACGCCCACAGAATCTCGCTGACTGCTAGCTCAGCAGTCTGAGATCAAACTGCAAGGCGGCAGCCAGGCTGGGGGAGGGGCGCCCGCCATTGCCCAGCCTTGCTTAGGTAAACAAAGCAGCCTGGAAGCTCAAACTGGGTGGAGCCCACCACAGCTCAAGGAGGCCTGCCTGCCTCTATAGGCTCCACCTCTGGGGGCAGGGCACAGACAAACAAAAAGACAGCAGTAACCTCTGCAGACTTAAATGTCCCTGTCTGACAGCATTGAAGAGAGCAGTGGCTCTCCCAGCACGCAGCTGGAGATCTGAAAACGGGCAGACTGCCTCCTCAAGTGGGTCCCTGACCCCTGACCCACGAGCAGCCTAACTGGGAGGCACCCCTCAGCAGGGGCACACTGACACCTCACATGGCCAGGTACTCCAACAGACCTGCAGCTGAGGGTCCTGTCTGTCTGTCCTAACAAACAGAAAGGACATCCACACCAGAAACCCATCTGTACATCACCATCATCAAAGACCAAAAGTAGATAAAACCACAAAGATGGGGAAAAAACAGAGCAGAAAAACTGGAAACTCTAAAACGCAGAGTGCCTCTCCTCCTCCAAAGGAACTCAGTTCCTCACCAGCAATGGAACAAAGCTGGACGGAGAATGACTTTGATGAGCTGAGAGAAGAAGGCTTCAGACGATCAAATTACTCTGAGCTACGGGAGGACATTCAAACGAAAGGCAAAGAAGTTGAAAACTTTGAAAAAAATTTAGAAGAATGTATAACTAGAATAACCAACACAGAGAAGTGCTTAAAGGAGCTGATGGAGCTGAAAACCAAGGCTCAAGAACTACGTGAAGAATGCAGAAGCCTCAGGAGCCGATGCGATCAACTGGAAGAAAGGGTATCAGCAATGGAAGATGAAATCAATGAAATGAAGCGAGAAGGGAAGTTTAGAGAAAAAAGCATAAGAAGAAATGAGCAAAGCCTCCAAGAAATATGGGACTATGTGAAAAGACCAAATCTACGTCTGATTGGTGTACCTGAAAGTGACAGGGAGAATGGAATCAAGTTGGAAAACACTCTGCAGGATATTATCCAGGAGAACTTCCCCAATCTAGCAAGGCAGGCCAACATTCAGATTCAGGAAATACAGAGAACGCCACAAAGATACTCCTCAAGAAGAGCAACTCCAAGACACATAATTGTCAGATTCACCAAAGTTGAAATGAAGGAAAAAATGTTAAGGGCAGCCAGAGAGAAAGGTCGGGTTACCCTCAAAGGGAAGCCCATCAGACTAAGAGCGGATCTCTTGGCAGAAACTCTACAAGCCAGAAGACAGTGGGGGTCAATATTAAAGAAAAGAATTTTCAACCCAGAATTTCATATCCAGCCAAACTAAGCTTCATAAGTGAAGGAGAAATTAAATACTTTACAGACAAGCAAATGCTGAGAGATTTTGTCACCACCAGGCCTGCCCTAAAAGAGCTCCTGAAGGAAGTGCTAAACATGGAAAGGAACAACCGGTACCAGCCACTGCAAAATCATGCCAAAATGTAAAGACCATCGAGACTAGGAAGAAACTGCATCAACGAACGAGCAAAATCACCAGCTAACATCATAATGACAGGATCAAATTCACACATAACAATATTAACTTTAAATGTAAATGGACTAAATGCTCCAATTAAAAGACACAGACTGGCAAATTGGATAGAGAGTCAAGACCCATCAGTGTGCCGTATTCAGGAAACCCATCTCACGTGCAGAGACACACATAGGCTCAAAATAAAAGGATGGAGGAAGATCTACCAAGCAAATGGAAAACAAAAAAAGGCAGGGGTTGCAATCCTAGTCTCTGATAAAAGAGACTTTAAACCAACAAAGATCAAAAGAGACAAAGAAGGCCATTACATAATGGTAAAGGGGTCAATTCAACAAGAAGAGCTAACTATCCTAAATATATATGCACCCAATACAGGGGCACCCAGATTCATAAAGCAAGTCCTGAGTGACCTACAAAGAGACTTAGACTCCCACACATTAATAATGGGAGACTTTAACACCCCACTGTCAACATTAGACAGATCAATGAGACAGAAAGTAAACAAGGATACTCAGGAATTGAACTCAGCTCTGCACCAAGCGGACCTGATAGACATCTACAGAACTCTCCACCCCAAATCAACAGAATATACATTTTTTTCAGCACCACACCACACCTATTCCAAAATTGACCACATACTTGGAAGTAAAGCTCTCCTCAGCAAATGTAAAAGAACAGAAATTATAACAAACTATCTCTCAGACCACAGTGCAATCAAACTAGAACTCAGGATTAAGAAGCTCACTCAAAACCGCTCAACTACATGGAAACTGAACAACCTGCTCCTGAATGACTACTGGGTACATAACGAAATGAAGGCAGAAATAAAGATGTTCTTTGAAACCAACGAGAACAAAGACACAACATACCCGAATCTCTGGGAAGCATTCAAAGCAGTATGTAGAGGAAAATTTACAGCACTAAATGCCCACAAGAGAAAGCAGGAAAGATCCAAAATTGACACCCTAACATCACAATTAAAAGAACTAGAAAAGCAAGAGCAAACACATTCAAAAGCTAGCAGAAGGCAAGAAATAACTAAAATCAGAGCAGAACTGAATAGAGACACAAAAAACCCTTCAAAAAATTAATGAATCCAGGAGCTGGTTTTTTGAAAGGATCAACAAAATTGCTAGACCGCTAGCAAGACTAATAAAGAAGAAAAGGGAGAAGAATCAAATAGATGCGATAAAAAATGATAAAGAGGATATCACCACCGATCCCACAGAAATACAAACTACCATCAGAGAATACTACAAACACCTCTACGCCAATAAACTAGAAAATCTAGAAGAAATGGATAAATTCCTGGACACATACACTCTCCCAAGACTAAACCAGGAAGAAGTTGAATCTCTGAATAGACCAATAACAGGAGCTGAAATTGTGGCAATAATCAATAGCTTACCAACCAAAAAGAGTCCAGGACCAGATGGATTCACAGCCGAATTCTACCAGAGGTACAAGGAGGAACTGGTACCATTCCTTCTGAAACTATGCCAATCAATAGAAAAAGAGGGAATCCTCCCTAACTCATTTTATGAGGCCAGCATCATCCTGATACCAAAGCCTGGCAGAGACACAACCAAAAAAGAGAATTTTAGACCAATAGCCTTGATGAACATTGATGCAAAAATCCTCAATAAAATACTGGCAAACCAAATCCAGCAGCACATCAAAAAGCTTATCCACCATGATCAAGTGGGCTTCATTCCTGGGATGCAAGGCTGGTTCAATATATGCAAATCAATAAATGTAATCCAGCATATAAACAGAACCAAAGACAAAAGCCACATGATAATCTCAATAGATGCAGAAAAGGCCTCTGACAAAATTCAACAACCTTCATGCTAAAAACTCCCAATAAATTAGGTATTGATGGGACGTATTCCAAATTAATAAGAGCTATCTATGACAAACCCACAGCCAATATCATACTGAATGGGCAAAAACTGGAAGCATTCCCTTTGAACACTGGCACAAGCCAGGGATGCCCTCTCTCACCACTCCTCTTCAACATAGTGTTGGAA
Source organism: Homo sapiens (assembly GCF_000001405.40). NCBI lineage: Eukaryota > Metazoa > Chordata > Mammalia > Primates > Hominidae > Homo > Homo sapiens. The sequence goes on along the minus strand of NC_000007.14, from coordinate 18,987,091 downwards.
GTTCTGGCCAGGGCAATTAGGCAGGAGAAGGAAATAAAGGGTATTCAATTAGGAAAAGAGGAAGTCAAATTGTCCCTGTTTGCAGATGACATGATTGTATATCTAGAAAACCCCATTCTCTCAGCCCAAAATCTCCTTAAGCTGATAAGCAACTTCAGCAAAGTCTCAGGATACAAAATCAATGTACAAAAATCACAAGCATTCTTATACACCAACAACAGACAAACAGCCAAATCATGAGTGAACTCCCATTCACAGTTGCTTCAAAGAGAATAAAATACCTAGGAATCCAACTTACAAGGGATGTGAAGGACCTCTTCAAGGAGAACTACAAACCACTGCTCAAGGAAATAAAAGAGGATACAAACAAATGGGAGAATATTCCATGCTCATGGGTAGGAAGAATCAATCTTCTGAAAATGGCCATACTGCCCAAGGTAATTTACAGATTCAATGCCATCCCCATCAAGCTACCAATGACTTTCTTCACAGAATTGGAAAAAAATACTTTAAAGTTCATATGGAACCAAAAAAGAGCCCGCATTGCCAAGTCAATCCTAAGCCAAAAGAACAAAGCTGGAGGCATCACACTACCTGACTTCAAACTATACTACAAGGCTACAGTAACCAAAACAGCATGGTACTGGTACCAAAACAGAGATATAGATCAATGGAACAGAACAGAGCCCTCAGAAATAATGCCACATATCTACAACTATCTGATCTTTGACAAACCTGAGAAAAACAAGCAATGGGGAAAGGATTCCCTATTTAATAAATGGTGCTGGGAAAACTGGCTAGCCATATGTAGAAAGCTGAAACTGGATCCCTTCCTTACACCTTATACAAAAATCAATTCAAGATGGATTAAAGACTTAAACGTTAGACCTAAAACCATAAAAACCCTAGAAGAAAACCTAGGCATTACCATTCAGGACATAGGCATGGGCAAGGACTTCATGTCTAAAACACCAAAAGCAATGGCAACAAAAGCCAAAATTGACAAATGGGATCTAATTAAACTAAAGAGCTTCTGCACAGCAAAAGAAACTACCATCAGAGTGAACAGGCAACCTACAAAATGGGAGAAAATTTTCACAACCTACTCATCTGACAAAGGGCTAATATCCAGAATCTACAATGAACTCAAACAAATTTACAAGAAAAAAACAAACAACCCCATCAAAAAGTGGGCGAAGGACATGAACAGACACTTCTCAAAAGAAGACATTTATGCAGCCAAAAAACACATGAAAAAATGCTCACCATCACTGGCCATCAGAGAAATGCAAATCAAAACCACAATGAGATACCATCTCACACCAGTTAGAATGGTGATCACTAAAAAGTCAGGAAACAACAGGTGCTGGAGAGGATGTGGAGAAATAGGAACACTTTTACACTGTTGGTGGGACTGTAAACTAGTTCAACCATTGTGGAAGTCAGTGTGGCGATTCCTCAGGGATCTAGAACTAGAAATACCATTTGACCCAGCCATCCCATTACTGGGTATATACCCAAAGGACTATAAATCATGCTGCTCTAAAGACACACGCACACGTACGTTTATTGCGGCACTATTCACAATAGGAAAGACTTGGAACCAACCCAAATGTCCAACAATGATAGACTGGATTAAGAAAATGTGGCACATATGCACCATGGAATACCATGCAGCCATAAAAAATGATGAGTTCATGTCCTTTGTATGGACATGGATGAAATTGGAAAACATCATTCTCAGTAAACTATCGCAAGAACAAAAAACCAAACACCGCATATTCTCACTCATAGGTGGGAATTGAACAATGAGAACACATGGACACAGGAAGGGGAACATCGCACTCTGGGGTCTGTTGTGGGGTTGGGGGGGTAGGGATAGCATTGGGAGATATACCTAATGCTAGATGACGAATTAGTGGGTGCAGCGCACCAGCATGGCACATGTATACATATGTAACTAACCTGCACATTGTGCACATGTACCCTAAAACTTAAAGTATAATAATAATAAATAAATAGAAAAAGAATTAAAAAAAAATAAAGATCCAGAAATATTCTCAGTACAGACTTCCTGTGTAACAATTCTACACCTAAATGTGTGATTGGGAATATATTCCCTCATATCACAAGGCTGTGCAGAAATAAAAGCCCAACAAAAGCAAACATATGTATACACACACACACAAACTCACACCTACCATAACAATACAACTGGCAGCAAGTTTTTGTGGGGAATTGACATAGATTTTCTAACAGTACCATTACTCAACCCTAGTTTGCCTTATTGCTTCCTTTTGTCCATGTTCGCCTCTTAATTCTACAATACATAGTCACCTTCAACCAACGTCTTCCTTTTTTCTCTCTCAGCTAATGGCATTATCATCCAGACTATTAATTTGGACTTCTTTCTCTCCCATTTCATTGATATTTCATGAATTGCCAACTACTCACTATTTCTCAACAATTTATCTACACTAGGTTTTCTTCCTCTCCATTTCCTCTACCATGATTAATTGGCTTCTTTACCACAATTACCATAAGGGTTTCTTGGCTGTCCCTTTAGTAGTATGCTGGCCCCTCCTCCATGACACTCTCTGTTCAATGTATAGACCTAAGTTATCTCTCTCTCTCTCTGTGAAAGCTTAATACTGAAAACAGGATTAACTCAAATTCGAATGGTAATAAATATTTTAATTCCCTTCCATTAAATTTTGTGCCATGATCCCTTTCTACCCAGCCAGCTTACTCAACTCTGTGGCACCCCCAACTGCCCCGAGAGTCCTTTCCTTTCCCAAAGTTTGCACTCATATACTCTCTGAACTTTTGCTCGTCTTTTACTACCAAAATGGATCTTGAGTACCTAATTTGTGTCAGGTAATATACTGCTATTAAAAAAATAATGCTAAGCCAAAGGGATGCAGATTCTATTCATAAGGAGCTTACAGGAGAAAACATAAAGGAATCAAATAAGCACACAAATGTATCTAATTTTCACTTATGTCCTGTGGAGTAATGCAGAAGTGTAAGGGAGACATGAGAAAGCATGGAGGACCTGATCTAATTTGGGGGTTAGTGGTCGGTGAATATTTTTCAAGAAGAAGAAGTGATATTTGATCTGAAATCTACAGGATATGATGAAAAGAATGGGAAGGCCAATAAAGGGTTGGTGGAAGAAGGTAGAGGACAGGATAAACATTCCAAACAGAAGAGAAGGCATGTGCCAAGGAAGCCCTGATGTGGACATGAGTATGGCTTTTTGGAGGAAAACTGAATCCACAATGAAATATCACTCCACACCCACAATAAAAGGCTAAAATTATAAAGACTGATTTTACCAAGTGTAGGTGAGGCTATGATGCAATTGGAACTGTCATTCATTGCTAGTGGGAATGAAAAATGGTACAGCCACTTTGGAAAACAGTTTGGAAGATTTTTATGAAGTAAAACATATGACTTCCCTACAACCCAGCAATTCTAATTTTAGCTATCTTAGCTATCTATCCAAAAAAACTGAGTGCTGTGACCACAAAAAGAAAACTTGTATGAAAATTTCATAGAGATTTAGATTCCTCAAGAAATTAAAAATAAAATTTCCATATGATCCAGAAATATCACTTCTGGGTATATATCATCCAAAAAAACTGAAAATAGGAACTTAAAGAGTTATTTGCACATCCATGTTCACAGCAGCATTCATTCACAATAGTCAAGAGGTGGAAGCAATCCAAGAATCTATCAGTGGGTGAGTGGATAAAGAAAATGTGGCATATACATGCAATGGAATATTATTCAGCCTTAAAAAAGAAGGAAATGTTTTCATATGTTACCACATGGAGAAACCTTAAGGACATTACACTAAGTGAAGTAAGCCAGTAGAAAAAGACAAAAGTTGCATGGTTCCAATTATATGAAGTATCTAAAGTAGTCAAACTCTGAAACAGAAAGCAGAATGATGGTTGATAGGGGCTGGAAGGATGAGGCGGGAAGATGAAGGAGCTGGTCAATGGCTACAAGGTTTCCATTTTGCAAGATCAAGTTCCAGAAACCTGTTGCACAACAATACACATATAAACACTGCTGTACTGAACACTTAACATGGTTAAGACGGTAAGTTTTACATGTGTTTTTAAACCACAATAATAATTAATTGATCAGCTTTATTCATAATAGCCCTCAAAGTGTAAGCAAGCCAAACATCCATCCGTAGGTATACGGATAAACAAATTAGGGTGTATTAATACACTGGAGTAATGTACAATAATAAAAATGAAGAAACTCCGGATTGTCAATGGCATAAATAGATCTCAAAAACATGCTTAATGAGGTGAAATAAGTCAGATTAAGAAATACAGTACACACGCATGATTCCATTTAAATGAAATTCAAGAGCAGGCAAACATAATTGACGGTGTTAAAAGTAAAACGGTAGTTACCTCTGGAGGGAGTGGCACCGACTGGGAAGTGGCAGAAGCAAACTTTTTGGAGGTAATAAAAATGTTCTTGAACTTGTTCTGGGTGGTGTTTATATGAGGGTGGCATTGGTAAAAATCTTAGAACGTGTGCATGTTATTATATGTAAGATATACCTCCATTAAAAATTAATTAAGGTCATTGTTGGAAACCACATCAGAAAAGAAAGAGGAAGAATGTTAGAAGTAAGGCAGGAATTATAGGTATGAGTCTACTAATACAGACCTTATGGAGCCTATTGAAGATGATGATCTTTATGTTAATGGAAATGGAAAAGTATTGAAGGGTTTCAAGCAGAGGCATGACCAGATATGCTTTCCAGTTGTTTTGTTTTGTTTTTGATTGAGGTGTATAAAATGGATTAGAAAGAAGGTAAAACTGGATATGAAAACCAGTAAGGAAACTACTGTAAAAGTTTGGATGAGAGATGATGATACTTTGGACTGAGTGTCAGCAGTAGAAGTTAAAAATATATATATTGTCTCAAGTTATTGTCTTGTAAAGTAAGGGCTTCTTAAATTGTCTTGTCAAAGTAAAGACATCTTGAATGCCTTTTGTCCTATTTACTGTGTGAAATCTACACATTCTTCCACCCTGATTCTCTTCTCCCTGGTTCTGTGATTTGCTCCCCAGTCCTTGGCCTATAAGGCGTTTTGTTTTGCTTTTTTTTTCATTTTGCAGGACCCTATTTCAATCTTATCAAAGACTTGTCATTTATTATAGTTGATTGTTCATGTTTGTTTCTGTGGTAGGAAGAATAATAGTCCCCAAAGCTATCCACTTCCTAATCCTTGGAACGTGTGAATATGTTACCTTACATGGCAAAAGTGATTTTGTAGTTGTGATTAAAGTTAGGGGTGATAAGGTGGAGAAATTAATCCTAAATTATCCTGGTGAGTCTAATCTAATTATATGAGCCCTTAATAGCAGAAACCCTTTCTCAGCTGAAGGCAGAGAGAGATATGATGACTGAAGAAAGGTCAGATAGATGTGAAGTTGCTGGCTTTAAAGATGGAAGAAGGGGTCATGAGCCAAGGAATGCAGGCAACCTCCAGAAGATGGAAAAGGCAAGGAAACCAATTTTTCCCCAGAGCCTCCACAAATGAAGGCAGCCTTGCCAATACATTGCTTTTAGCTCAGTGAGACCTGGGTTAGTTAGATTTCTGACTGACAAACTTTGTGTGTTTTAAGCCATTAAATTTGCAGTATTCTACTGCTGCTGTAAAAAGGTATGTGAACGTTTTGAGGAGTACAAGGCAGCTTTGTGATCCTGGCCCCTAACACTTTATCTGGCTCCTAGAAATAATCAGAAAGTGTTGAAAGAGTGAATGAACTTGATATTTTCACATGTTCTTCTTCCTCATTCTGCTGGTTGGAGGATAGTCCTGATTGATTTAACCTATGAACAGCTAAAGGTATAGATGCCCAAGTATAGGCTCTATATTCTTATATTATAGATTACTGAATGATGGCCAATATATTAAAAGAAGAAACAGGCCGGGCACGGTGGCTCACACCTGTAATTCCAGCACTTTGGGAGGCAGAAGTGGGCTGATCATGAGGTCAGGAGATTGAGACCATCTGACTAACACGGTAAAACCCCATCTCTACTAAAAATACAAAAAAAATTAGCTGGCCATGGTGGCACGTGCCTGTAGTCCCAGATACTCGAGAGGCTGAGGCAAGAGAATTGCTTGAACCCGGGAGGTGGAGGTTGCAGTGAGCTGAGATCACACCACTGCATTCTAGCCTGGGTGACAGAGTGAGACTCCATCTCAAAAAAAAAAGAAGAAGAAGGAGACGGAGGAGAAGGAAGAAGGAAGAAGGAAGAAGAAGAAGAGGAAGAAGAAGAAGAAGAAGGAAGAAGAAGAAGGAAGAAGAAGAAGAAGAAGGAAGAAGAAGAGGAAGAAGGAAGAAGAAGGAAGAAGAACAAGAAGAACAAGAACAAGAAGAACAAGAAAAAGTGTAACAAATCGAGGAAGAAGAAAAGTGATAGAAAAATAATAAAAATAATAAACCTTTATCAAGTTTTATCAAGTATTTACTACATGCCAGGTATTGTTTTAAGTTCTTGTGATGTGTTGTTTCATTTGATTCTCACAACTCTATGAAATTTTTCTCTCATTTTAAAGATGAGGAAAATTAAACTCAGAGAGATTAAGTAACTTGCCCTTGAGCAAACAACTGTGAAGTGTGGAGACTCTAGAGGCAAGCTCTACTCTTCCTCTGTAGTGGTAAGAGGATAGGATTGAAGGAGTGAAGAAAAAGATGAGATGGGAAGCTAAATTATGCATCTTATTTTATATACGTTTCTATTCAATTTTGTTTCTTTTTTCAAAGTAAACACTGTTTTGTAAATAATACAGAACTGAACCCCAAAATACATAACTGGGCATTGGAGGATTAGAACATCCCTAATGTTCTAAGTCAGACTTCACATGCACCTCAAGACCACATGTTAGACACGTTGGGAAAATAGAGATAAAATGATGGCCCTGGGAAGAGGAGGAAAGATAAATGAAGAGGGGGCAGATTTTTCTTTTTACCAGGAGCTTCCAAATCTCACCTCAATTTTCAGCTAAGGCTTTGTTGACACTGGATGAAAATTAAAAACAAAATTTATATTGAAAAATTTGCCTGCTAATATAGTTTGGATAAATGTTCCTGCCCAAATCTCATTTTGAAATATAATCCCCAGTGTGGGAGGTGGGGCCTCATGAGAGGTGTTTGGATCATGGAGGCAGATCCCTCATGAATGGCTTGCACCATCTCCATGGTGATAAGTAAGCTCTTGCTCTGAGCTCACATGGGATCTGGCTGTTTAAAAGTGTGTGGCACCTTCCCCTCCACTCTCTCTCTTGTTTGCTTCTGCTTTTGCCATGTGATGTACCCGCTCCCCAATCACCTTCCTCCATGATTTTAAGCTTCCTGAGGCCTCTGGAGAAGCCAAGCAGATGCCAGGAACTTGCTTCCTGAAAGTCCTGTGGAACTGTGAGCTAATTAAATCTCTTTTCTTTATAAATTACCCATTCGCAGCTATTTATATAATAGCAATGCAAGAACAGCCTAACGCACATACTTAGTTATCTAAGTTGTCTAAATAAGTTCTTAGTTACCTAAACAAGTACTTAACATAATGGTATCATAGAATAAAATAAGAGGGGTGAATAATTTGTGCAACATTTAGCTTCTAGAAGCCTTTGGAGACACAATCCCATTGGGATGGGCTATTTGAGGAAAATCATGTTTCTAAGTACATTAGATATGAATGTATATTTAATAATGGTCTATATTTCTATATAAATCTTAAGATTCAGGAAAATGGGGTTTTTGATGTCATTGGAACTATTGATAAGCCATTCAAAGCTCAGGTAGATGATACTTGGATTTAGCTGATTATTACACTGTTATATTCACAAACTAGATAGTTACCCAAAAAACAAAGTGGTCAGACTTTGAATAATATGTTTTCTCATGTTTCTGTATTATCTAATGACATGAAACCATCACGTTCATGAGAAAGGTTGCCAAAAGTTGAAAGTTAAATGATTAAAGAGACAACTATTCTGGATTTTGTTAAAAAAAAATGTAACACGATTTACAGGTCAAAATGACAACTGCAAATCTAACTTTCAAGTTTGTTTGGTTTTTGTGTTAGTTAAAAAAAAAACACACACACACAAAGTCACCAAGTTAGGCATTCTAGAGTGCAAATGTGCTCCTAAAAACCTAACAGTTGATCATCTTGAAGTCTTGATTGCCTTTCCAAATCTTTTCTTGATCTTCAGCAGAGCCTGAACTGATATCCAAGAGTAAACCTGAGTACTGTACTGACCTTTCCAAAGTAGAAGCATTTTGAAACAGATAGTCAACAAATGCAAACTACAATTGTTTAAAGGTACACATTCCTAGCAAACAATAAGAAAACTTCTTGCTTCTAAGTAGTATGCTATATGTGACCAGACGTATATATTTAATTTTCTTTGACTATATAACTTGGATCCCTTCAAGATTTTTTGTGTTGTTTTGTTTTGTTGACCCATCAATCATTTTTTTGATCAAGTCTTTTGCCCCCAGAAAAGTATGTGTTATGTTTGAAAATTAACTATCCCCAAAAGGAATTCCCACATATCAGCCTTTTCCTAGTAATTTATTCTTCAAGGCCCATCAATGTAGTTATAAAAACGAAATGACTATCTGCACTGTGTTGTCATCCCCTCCCCCATCCAAGAAAAACGAACAAAAAATACTTACAATGGTTCTTAGCCAGGAGCATTTTATCCCTTATTCACTAGTGGTAAATGAGTCAGATATGAGTTGGCCAGGAAAAGAGCTGCTTTACCCAAAATCTTAGTATGAAATGAGTCATCTCACTCCAAACACCAATATGTTCTCCAAAATAACTGGCAAGAATTTCCTATAAAAGGAATCTTGCCTTCACTCTTTTCCATCCATTTAGCTCTCTGATTTTTCTAATTTTTCAATTTCCTGTGTGCTTATAATATTGCATTCATAAGAAAAGCCCAGAAACGTTTCCGCCACTTTATCTCATTTTGAAAGCCATCTTTCCTGTTTGAGTAGGGGGACAATACTGATAGTATTCCCCTGAAAAGAGTAAATGCTCTGTGGCTTTTCAGAGCATTCTCTCTCTCTCTTTCTGTGTGTGTGTGTGTGTGTGTGTGTGTGTGTGTGTGTGTGTCTGTCTGTCTGTCTCTGAGGAAATTCATGCATGGTTCAATTGAAATGCAAGAGCCAGTTCTAGAAGAATTCTTCTTTTCCTCTGCTGAAAAAGGGAGTTCAGTTCAAAGCCATCAGAAATATTTCAAGCAAAACTATTTTTCTTCCCACAAGAAAAATCAATCACAATAGATATAATCTGTCTAAAAGTGATAAATGAACATGAAACCAGGCTACACTCTTTGACTCTGCTTTCCTGCACATCAGAACATTCACATTCTCTCTCTGCCATCAGATGAAGCTTAAAATAAAAATCACTGTGGACTGAAGCCAAGGTTAAATCTCTATAGACTACCATGAGTCAAGCACACTATTTACCTGAGGATAAACAACTTTGCCTACAGGGCCAATTCCTGCCAAACTGCTGAGATTTTTATATTACTTGAGGCTCATAACATCACTTATTATTGTTAATTATTCTAAGCTCTGCAATTTAACAGGCAAAAATATTTACAATTCATTTCACTCAGGTTGGAATTTAGCTTCGTTTTTCTATATTAAATTCTAAAGAATAGCTATGCTCCTTTTATATCCAACACTAACAGATGTTAGTTTCCTCAGTTTTATGGCTCTCAGATGACAGACAACTAACTGTTTTTGGCCTTCGGAATAATTGCAACACCTTTGGATTATGAACTTGGTTCAGTTCTTAGCTGGGAACGGCAGGGGGTTAGTTCTTATTATCAAAGATGTAAAGTAAGTTTTCCCTTATGCTCTAGATATTCATATAAAGTTATCTTTCAATAGAGTAATATACAACTTTTCCCCCTTATTGCTAATCTGCTGTTTAAGTGGTTATGGTAAGAGAAAATAATTGCATAAAAATAAAATCTCTTATTCATTTTATCTCCTGTTCTTGGCCAAAACAAGATGTTAAATCCATTAAACTCTGAGTATCCAGTAAAAGCAAGAAAGTAGAACTGTTCGTATTTGTGCATTCTTGGGAAAATTGCCAACCTGTGCACTAGTAGCAGGATCTGCGTAATTAATGGTGATGTTATTGACGGAGGGAGTCTGATTTCCTTCTCAGGAGCAATTTAAGAGTGCAAGCTGGCAGAGCTTTAGTAAAGCCTCACCTGATTTATTTTTAAATTGAGGAAATGTGACCTTGAAGTCAGCCATAGAAATCACCAATATTTATGTACATTTATGGTGGCTTTGGTAGACTTCAAAGAAATTCTGAATGTACCATTTTCTGTAGAACTGAATGATGAACACCAAATGCACAAACTGACAAACATTCCTTAAAAAGAGAACAAGTGAATCAAATCTTAGTTTCACTGTATTTTTTCTCCAGAAATCTATATTCATAAGAAGATACATTAAAACCAATTCTGTCCTATCCCAAAATGAAATAAAATCAGCCCCAAGTTCACACAGTCCTTTACACACAGTCTCTTGTCTCCTTTGCAGGCAACTTCCCCCTTTATCCAGTTGTTGGACCTCAAGGACAGCCACGTAAGGAGTGTGTATGTATTTTGGCTATCCAACGGTCTAGCATTATTTCCATCTTCTACTCTCCTCTTTCTCTTTGTTATATCAGCAATTTCAAAATGATTAGAGAAAGAAAAAGAACATCTGGAAAAACAGAGATAACTAGGAAAAGGAGTTAAGCCCACAAGCAGCTCTTTCCATAACGATCTGCACTCAATTATCTGATAAGGCGTGATTTTTCTCACCATTTATCTCATCCCCTCTATTTCTCTGTGAACTGCAACCACATGCTCCAGCTCTGCATTTCACATGAAGAATGAAGCAATGAATTCTCGATAGCCTAAAGCATGTGCTGTGGCATCTGTGGCTTTGGAGAGGACAGGTGGTGGAAGTGGAGGAGACAGGTGAAGGAAAGCCAGGAGGAAGATTCACAAATATCAACGATGAGCCTGGATATGACTGACCCGGATTATTCCCGCACGTTGGATTCATACCTGCTGTCTTCCTGAGCAAAGGGCTGTTCCACATCCACTGTTAGGGAGGCCAGGGCAGAAACGGTCTCTGTCTCCTCTTGCAACTGAGCACCAGCCAGAGCACAGCCCCTTGGCACAGCCACCATCCTTACTGACTTCCAATACTTGCCTAGGAAAAACATCCATCATACTTCATAAGAATTGTAATTACAGCAGTAATAATCAGAATACTCACATACGTCCAACTCAGAGCAGTTGTTAAGTTAAAATTCCCCATGTTATACACAGTTGTAATTTGGTTTCTTAACTGTTATGATTGGGTCTTTTTCTCAATATAAGAATGCCAAGTTGTGAAGTGCCCATATTCCCAAGCTGAGTCTCCCTCTTGCTTACACAGCAATAAAGTGAGGAATAATCCATGGCCTACTGAACTCACCCTCAGACTGACAGCTGTCTCTGCAACTAAGTAAGCAAACTCCGGGCTTCACGCTCCCTGGGAAACCCACAAGAGACCAGGAGGCAGCACTCTTACAGAGAACATGAATGGAATCGTACTGTTAAACATTGCTACTTGAATCATTAACTTTAAGAAAATGAAGTTGGAATATTAAAGAAAAAGAAAAGCCCAGAAATGCCAGCATGAATTGAATGGCAACTTTGCCAGAACAATCAGGTTTGTTAGTCCTGGATGTTCTTTCTTTCTCAACCTCAGGGTGTGTACTAGAACAATAATTGACTTAAAACTTTAATATATATACTGGCTGATGTTGGAGCCCATCCATATGTCATACTGATGTTTCTTTTTTTGAGGCAGGAAAGGAGAAAGAGAGGAAAATAGAAGGTCATTTCATGAGAACATGCCAATGGGATAAATATGAAAGAGCATAGTTAATGGCTTTCTTGCAGCCCTTAGGCTATTTTTTTGTGAAATGATGAGTAGCCCCAAATCAAAGCAGGAGAATCTCCCTAGGTGCTGACATGACTCACCAGGTTAGTACTATCTCTGCAGCCTGACTAGTTGGCAAGAACTTTGGTATGCAGTGTTTGCTTACTTCTTGGAAGAAAAAGCCTTGTTTGAGTGGAAAAGGCAAATGGATGAACGCTGGATTGGGCAGTAAGATAACAGGGTTCTGGACCCAGCACTGCCATCCCAATGACATTAGTGAGGCTTTTCAGGACTTTATTTCTGTCTCTGAAATAGGGAGATGCCTCAAGTCTCTTGCAGCTCTAACATTTTATGAGTGGCCTTTATTTCTTACTGTTTCATAGAGGAACAGATGTCACATTAGGAGAGGATACTAAGTCTCCCCATCTGTTCCCCATGCCAACAAGACCATCTGACATAGGTGTCCATTACTATTTAACTTGCTGTGATCCCTTATTCTGACCAAAGTCTGAGAATCATAAAGTTTTTAATTTGAACCAAACAATAACAATTCTGTCAATGAATCCAAAAACTAACATTTTGTAGAAGCTAAGGCTTTTCCACATGTCGAGGACACAAAGATGCTTCCCTAACACCAAGAAATGCATGGTCCAGTTGAGACAGCCCTGTTAGTTAAGAATTACAATTCTGTGTGTAAAATGCCCACAGTGACCTTGAACGGGAATAAGTAGAACACGTATTTAAGATGATGGAAAAGTATGGGAAGACTTGCCAGGAAAAATAACACTTGACTGAGTATTTGAAAGATCATTAGAAATTAGAGTGCAAATGTGCTCCTAAAAACCTAATAGTTGATCATCCTGATGTCTTGATTGCCTTTCCAAATCTTTTCTTGATCTTCAGCAGAGTGAGGTCATGGGATATCCCTGGAAGGGGAAACAGCACATACAAATATACAGAGACTGGAGTCTCTGTGTTTTACTGGGTGACCGTCAACTGCTGGGAATGACTAGAACATAGGAAGAGTCTGGAGTGGGATGGATGAGACTGCTATGGTAGGCAAGGGCTAATTAATACACACTCTTGAATGACACTCTGATGATCCTGGACTTCAACCTGAGGATGATCAGGGGGCATTTTAGGCAGACAAGGTATAGAATCAGGCTTATGTTTTTAAAAGATCCCTTTGGAGAGATTATGGGTGATGGATTGGAAGGTGATAACAGTGGGGGCAGGAAGACCAATTTCACATCTTGGCAAAAGTCCAAGTGGGAAACCATGATGTCTAATCCAAAACGAAGTAACAGAATCGAAACGAGAAGACACTAAGAGAGATTTGGGAGGTTGAAAATGTATCTTTGGCCTACCCTACATCTCTCAACTTTGAAAGTTATTTCTGAATTGACAGTTCCATTCCCAGGGCCTAGTTTCGCTAGATCACAATGCCAAATACTATCCAGCTCTAATATTTCATGATTGGCCTTTCTTTATCTTACTGTTTCACGAAGGAACAGATGTCACATTAGGGGAGGAAATTCAGTCTCACCACCCACTTTCCATGTCAACAAGACCTGTTGACATGGGTGTCCGCTACTATTAAACTTACTTTCAAGTTAATGTTATTGTAGTATTACCCAAGTTGAAAATTCCATATACCATCTATAAGTACATATATTGTAATGAGTTACATAAAATATTATTATTAAACGTTATTTTAGCAGATGACATTTACAAAGCTAGTGATGCCTTATGACATCCTTTTCTTGTTTTCTATGGTGGCTAACATGGGGACTCTGACAAACACACTACATGTGGCTAGTGGCTTATGGGTCAAATTATAAAGACTAGAGGAAAGACAAACTAGCATTATTGAGAACTAAATATGTGCCAAGACTGTGCTCGGTGTTTCTACATTTATAATTTGTAATTTTATTTAACCCTGGTGACAACTATTTAGGCAATGTCTGGTAGTGTTTTTGAAGATCACATGGCTAATAGGCAGAGGAGCTAAAATCCTTACTCAGCACTAATTTTAAATTGCCTCTTCCTCTGCACTCTGCTGTCCTCCACCCACCTTCCAGTAGACATGAAAATACCAAAAAGCTCAATTATAAAATTCTCAGCTTAAAAGAATTATGTATATTGCAGATTACTTACTAAAGAAATAATCTTTGGAAATGATACATTACCCTTGTACTTTAAGATATGTGATTCAGTTGACACACATTTTCTAGACTTTGTGGTTTATTTGGACAGTGTGAGACAATCATGTTGAAACTAGTTCACTCTACTCTTAATTTCTCATAAAATTGCACTATTGCAAGTACCTTTTACCAGGTAAATTATTGAGGCTATCATAAAACTGGAGACACGGCTAATTGAAGAGTATGAATAAGAACCTCATCAAAGGCTGGGTGTGGTGGCTCATGCCTGTAATCCCAGCACTTTGGGAGGCTGAAGGGGGTGGATCACTTGAGGTCAGGAATTTGAGACCAGCCTGGCCAACACGGTGAAATCCCGTCTCTACTGAAAATACAAAAAATATCCAGGCGTGGTGGTGCATGCCTATAATCCTGGCTACTCCGGAGGCTGAGGCAGGAGAATCCTTTGAACCCGGGAGGCCCAACTTGCAGTGAGCTAAGATTGTGCCACTGCACTCCAGACTGGGTGACAGGGCAAGACTCCATCTCAAAAAAAAAAAAAAAAAAAAAAAAAAAAAGAGAAGTTCATCGAAAATTGAGCTAACTAAAAGTATTTCCAGCTTGGAGATCCCACACTAATCCGGAAGAAGTCACTGGATCACAATGGAGCACAACTTCCACATTTATAAATAATAGTGGTAGGCTTAATGCTATGAAAGTTTTATTCCTGCTCTCATTCTCACTTATCGTGGTCCTTCTGATCTCATGTTACATATCAATCTTGGATGTTACAATAAATTTGCTATGGCAGAAAACCTTTTCTTTTCTATGAGCCTATGAACTCTTGAAGAGGTCAGCAAACATTCTTTGCACATAATATGCACATTTAGAATAAGCAAGGGCTTTAATTACCAAGCATTGGGTCTTATTTCTCAACAGGAGAGGTCTAGGCCACAAACAAACATCTTTACTTCCATAACACAATCAGGACAGAAGGTATGCATGGTTAATAGCAGTCTTTAAGAAGAATGACTGACAATGATCCTTTAAATTTTGGCCCATATGTATGTCAGTACTAGGAAGGATTTAAAATAGTTGAGACCTTTTTGGATAAAATTGAATGTGTATAAAATATCCTGCTAAGTTAAGATTAAATATTAGAAGTTTGGCTTTTATCCACATGTATGAGTTTCCTGACTCAGAAATAACCCAAAACTTTAAATTATATTTGGCCTCTGGCAAAGTCTATAAAAACAAGGGAAATATTCTACATTAATAATGCATTTATAGACGACTATCTCTATTCATAGAGGAGAATAATTGAAATGGAAGTGGGTACAGCACCGTCTGTGCAATATGCAGACAATTCAAACCCCATAATTTATGGGTTATATTTTCATGTGATGTGTAGGGTCTTTTCTTCCATTACAGAAACAGATGTGCAAGAAAGTCATATCTATTGGCATAGGAATAATATCACCATTATCACATACGAGAAATGAACAAAGGTTGACTGCTAGGGTTTTCAGGAGCTGTTATTCATAAAGTCAAATATTAGTAATGAGCCACAACTGGGTTGCTCTCCTATGGCTATGCAACTGGCAAAAGAGAAGAGTTTTCCATTAAAATTGGACATGCACACTCCCTCTTCAGTCATATCCTCTATCCTTATTCATTTTTCCCACTATGTAAATTGTCCCACTTTTCAGGACTTTTTAAGGACTATCCAGCCTTCACCATTCTGTGTTTTTGTTTTTTTCTGGCAAAAGTAACACAAATAATGAATCTACAATAAAGATAAAAAGTATAGAATGGAATGTAGAGAGTCAAGAGTTAGAGGTGAGGGCCATAGATGGGGTTTCACTGGGTTACACAAGACCCAGGAGAGGGCATCCTGCAGGTACTCTGTAAACAGACTTCAGTATAAACCAGATTGTTCTTGGAAATGGACAATTTGGAAAAATAGGCAGTTGTTGACTCATGAAAATCTGTGTTACACAAGTCACCTATCTACCAAAAGTTTTCTCAATTCAAACCCCTTTGCTACTTTGAAAACTTCCTGACCCCAGAAATCCCTCATTCCATCATCATTTTGGAGCCTTAGAGCTGTCACTCCTTCTCAAATTTGCTTTTTTTTACCTTTTTTCCATTTGAATGATGTTGCCTTTCATCTTTACACACCGGGTTCTCATAGGAAAATAAGCTGCTGCTAATCTTAACCTCTTGCTATCTCCTTCAACCACAGAAATTATTAACACCTGGGGCTTACAAGGAGGTCTATGGATTTTCTAAAACTTAATACGTTTTTAAGATAAATTTTTTAGTTAAATAGAGAACTTTGGCATGATCCAAAACATTGTTTAAATGCAAAAATAAAGACACATTGAAAATTGGTGCATAAATTGAGTGACCAGGTAATTTTTCATCTAAATTGGGGCTATTTTGAGGCTAAATGGGGATAAAAATAAAAATTATATGTTTTGGAAATATTTGTTGGCCAAGAAATTATTTTTATCAGTTGGCCTATAAAATAGTCCTATTCAAAATTTATTGTTACAACTAAAATTCATTTCAAAAAATAAAAATTGCATAATTCATGTTTGTCAAAGCATAGCTACCAGCTTCTTCTTTATATTGATTATCTGAACCTTAGAAAATAACACAAGCAGAATTATTATTCCTGCTGAATATCACACATGTTAATCAGTTTTGTAGCTCTATCACTCACTGATACAATATACTGATATTCTTATGAAAAATGTATTTTTTGTTTCAACGGGGTCTAAATACTTTAGGCTTTTTGATAGAATTGCCTATAATCTTGAAAACTTAATTGTATGGTTAATAAGTTTGAAATTTTTAGCATTTTTAATTTATCCTTCTCAAGATACTGCAATATTTTTCATTGAGAAATAGTCTCTACAACTATGGTGCTACCTGGTAAGCTCAGAACAATTTCTGCTAAAAGCAGAATATCTTCACTTTTAATTTTTAAAATACTGAAATGAGTAACTATTTTATTCCAAATGTCTCATGGTTACTGTCTTTTATCTCCTTTCAGCATACTCCACTTTGGCAAACATTTTATGTAACACAAATAAGTTAAATGTCAAAAAGTTTTCGTTGTTTTTGACTCTTCAAAATTTTACCAAATTCAGATGCTGCTATGTCTTCAACTTCACTAATTTTCTTCTTCTGTACTGCATAATATGCCATTAATCCATCCAAAGTTCGGACTTTTAAAAATATCAAATGCTGTATTTTTTTTTCTCTAAAATGTCAATTTGCATGGTTTTTATCTTTTTAATTTATCTCTTCATTATGTTTACTCTTTCCTCTTCATATTGGAAGTACATTTTTAACATTCTGAGTCAGTTTCTGTTTATTGATTTGCCTTGTGATCCCTTTCCTACATTTTTGCATGCCTAGTAATTTTCATTTGGATGCCTGACATTGGTAATTTGAACATTTTTTGGCTATTGGATTTTGTCATATTATTTGAGAGAGTATTGGACTTTGTTTTAGCATGAAGTTAAGTTACTCACAATTAGCAAAGTACTTTTGAGGCTCACTTGTACACTGTGTTAGGATGGCTAAAATGTAGCCTTTAATGTAAGGCTAATTTAGTCCTATAACTAAGATGATACCATTTTGATGTCTCTGTTTGATGCCTTGTGTATTATAAGATCTCTCCACTCCGGCTAATGCAAACTATTCCCAGTTCTGTGAACTCCTTGAATTGTTTAACCTGCTACTTTTCGTTGGTTAGTTCCTCAGCTTTATGGAGTTTCACCTTATATATGTAAAGAAAATTATTCAAATGAAACATTAAGGAAACTCCTGTACATGCAGCACTCTGTGCACGCGCGCACGTGTGTGTGTGTGTGTGGCAACTTCATCTCCAATATTTTGCCTCACAAATTCTAGCCACTTTATCCTCCTTTATTTAGAGGATAAAGTGATTCTTTTTTTTTTTTTTTTTTTTTTTTGAGAGGGAGGCTCGCTCTGTCGTCCAGGCTGGAGTGCAATGGCGAGATCTCGGCTCACTGCAAGCTCTGCCTCCCGGGTTCACACCATTCTCCTGGCTCAGCCTCCTGAGTAGCTGGGACTACAGGCGCCCGCCACCACGCCCAGCTAATTTTTTGTATGTTTAGTAGAGACGGGGTTTCACCCTGTTAGCCAGGATGGTCTCGATCTCCTGACCTCCTGATCCGCCCGCCTCGGCCTCCCAAAGTGCTGGGATTACAGGCGTGAGCCACTGCGTCCAGGGATAAAGTGATTCTGTAACTTTGATGGCTTTATTCTCAACTCAGTAATACCACTGGACCCTATTTGGGTTCTTCTTCTCTATGCTGCAGCCTGGAAACTTCCTCTAGTCAGTTACCCTGGAATCTGCGGTACTCATTTTGTTTCTTCATTGCCTGCAGGCCAATGTCTGAAAGAAAGACAGTGTTCCATATATGTATGGAACATTAGATATCTTTTTCTCTCTCTCTGTATCATATATCTCTCTATCTCTATCTGTATATAGTTTTCTCTTGTTTCTGATCAAAGGGCAACTTCGATAGCAGTTACTCTTTCATACATGGGGTCAGAGGTCCACTTATTGAATATTTTTGATTTCTAACTAATTGGAAAAATATAAAAATTCAGAAAGCTAATTTGCAAAATGGTTCAATATTACTATAGATGTTCAAACATTCCTAAAGTATGGTTGATAAGGGGAAGCTAAGAGAGAAATTTTGAACTGTCTTGCTGAAGTTTCTTTTTTCTTTCTTTCTTTTTTAGGTGGAGTTTTGCTCTTGTTGCTCAGGCTGGAGTGCAATGGCGCGATCTCGGCTCTCTGCATCCTCCGCCTCCCGGGTTCAAGCGATTCTCTTGCCTCGGCCTCCCGAGAAGCTGGGATTACGGGCATATGCCACCACGCCTGGCTAATTTTGTATTTTTAGTAGAGACCGGGTTTCTCCAAGTTGGTCAGGCTGGTCTCACACTCCCAACCCCAGGTGATCCGCCCGCCTCGGCCTCCGAAAGTGCTGGGATTACAGGCATGAGCCACTGTGCCCGGCCTGAAGTTTCTTTTTTGTTTTTTAACTGTCCTCACCTGTCACATATCTAAAACAGTGTATTTTATTTACTCTATGTTTATGTAAAGAGTTTTAAAATTTTGACAGTAGCTTAGATTTTCATTGGTAGAATATCAAGCTTGTTTAGGTTTTTAAGAGTTATTAAATGTCATTAACTTCATAATTAAATCTTAAGCTATTTATAAAAATTGTGTGCTCCATACGTAATGCTAAGTACATTCCTGCTCTATAAGATGTTCCACCGAACTTTAGATTTGTATATCAATGCAAAACCAAATGATTTTATTATCAGTGTTACACTTTTACCAAAATTTATAACAAATAGCTTTCACAATAACACCCTGCTTTTTTTTTTTTGGGGGGGGGGCAACTTTATTTACAAAAATTTTGCTTTGATTCCATAAATTGAATGAAAAATATAGAATAATCATTAGAATTTAGTGATTTTTCTGTTTGAAGCAATTAAGGACACTGTATCATTAGCAAGAAATGATACTAATGGAGTCAAGAAAGAAGAATTATTACGTCACTCCTGAACTTTTAAAAGTAATACCAGAAACTGAAAATTGATTTACAAAATTTTTAATCGTAGTCATTTTATCTAAATAAAAAGTAATGCTTCATGGAGTGTTACATAAATGCACCCTCTGCAACTGCACTTCTTAAATTGTTCCTTTTGGTTTTAGTTTTTATTTTTGTTTTGTTTTGGTCAATAATAACTAAATTTTAAAGTAGAAACTGCTGCTTCTTTAACAGCATTGTGTCTTCAGTGTTCGTCTGTGATTTTACTCTGTCCCCCTGATGAATAATGAATATCGACAAACATTTTGTTCAAGTTACATATTCATTATCAATTCGCTTGGGAGACAGAAGTAGAGCACTCATTTTTAAAATTCACATTCACACTTGTTTGTGAGCTCATTTCAGCTAATAATGTTGATAGCGAAATTAAAATATGTAACAAAACATAAAACAAATATACACATAGTGAAGTTGCAATGTATAATAATTGACAAAATCTCTGTAGCAAAAGTATTGAGAGTGTAAATGCTGTATGGAAGGCTGGTCCTTTCTATTTCCTGAACATACTTTATTCACACCTAACTGCTGATTTCTCAAATTTTCCCCTAACTCTATCTTTTTTTTGGTCTGTTTGTTTTTTTGAGTCGGAGTCTCGCTCTGTCACCCAGGCTGGAGCGCGGTGGTGCAATCTCCATTCATGGTAACCTCTGCCTCCCGGGTTCAAGCAATTCTCCTGCCTCAGCCTCGTGAGTAGCTGCGATTACAGGTGCACATCACCATGCCCAGCTAATTTTTGTATTTTTTAGTAGAGACAGGGTTTCATCATGGTGGCAGGCTGGTCTTGAACTCCTGACCTCATGATCTGCCTGCCACGGCCTCACAAAGTGCTAGGATTACAGGCGTGAGCCACCGGCTCCCGACCCCTAACTCTATCTTCTAACAGCTTGGTAGCTTCATGCACGTCACAAGCTACAGCAACCATGACTGGTGTGCCAAGTGGCAGCAATGTTGAGTATTTCTTCCTTTAACTCCCAGATCAGAAATTTAAATGTCATTTACAACTGGTATTCGTGAGGACCCTACACGCTTTTCTTAAAAGGGAAGCGCTAGTTATATCACAAAAGGACCAGGAAAAGAGAGATGGGTTATCAATTGTATTTTGTATAGATTTAACCATGTGTTCAAAGTAAAAATTATATTTACTTTCCACGCATTTCTCATACAACCAGAGGAAACAATGATAGAAGCTAAAGCAAAGTACAGGTGTAACACATCCATCCTTACTCACTTAATAAAACTATAGATAATAATACTTCATTCAGAATGAAAAATCTGAAACAAACAGTATCTGGATGAGATGTTGAGACAACAGACATAAACCAAGACTGTCTGTGGCTGACAAGAAAGAACCGTCATTGTAGCAGCCACTGTCAGGGCCTCATCCACATGTCCCGCCCCTTACTAATTGAGTGCACACAACCTCATTTCCATTCACCAGAACCAGCATGTCTTTTCAGGACAGCTTTCAGTGCCCCTGGAGAGTTTTTGCTCTATGATTGGCCAGAAATGTCAGGGTCATATTGTCCCCCAGGAGCAGTATTCAGGCAATAACTGTTTGGAGTTGGAGCATAAATTTCTCTGCTCCCTCGCAGCTCACATGAAATAACTCTGAGCTATGTGTTTTACATCAGCTCTCAGAATTTCCCCAGAGGAATTAAACTCTAGATACCTACAAGGATAGTTGAACAAATGACACTTCATTTCTTTTCTCGTCACACTTCACTATTCCTCTTCCTTTTCTCCCTATGCCTGCACCTGCAAATAAATTACTTGTACATGACTCCTTGTGTATCAGGATCTGTTTCTGGTAGAAGCCAAACCAAGATAATCTCCCAACATGTAACAGACGTAAGGAAAACCTGGTAGGAACTGTTCCTTTCATACATCTCAAGCGTCCTCTCTGTCAATGTTTTGATATATTCAAGCCCTGAGACACATATTACTAAAATGCATTGAATGTTGCATTAGAAACCAACCTTTTTTTGAAAATTAACTTTTATTGAGTAATAAACTATCCCATGTCCTGGAAATAATAGTGCCAACATGAATAGTGAATTATCTCCCTGTACATAGACAAACATGGATATTCCAGTTTTCTTAGCAAGCATGAAGCCAGATTAAGGGGTAATAGATGAAATGAATACTCATCTTCTGGGAAAGAGTCAGTCTCTTGGATACGGAGCTGTGAGTGCATTAATCAGAAGCTATTTATGAATAAACTGCAAAGCTAATTTGTTAACTCACCAAAGAAGTATAGCTTTTATGAGGGCTATACTATTACTGTCAGGATGACCAGTCCATTTTATCTCAATTTCCCTACATGGGAAACCAAATTGCATTCAAAGGATTGTTTCTATCACTCAGTGATATGGTTAGGCTTTGTGCCCCCACCCAAATCTCATCTTGAATTGTAATCCTCATAATCCCCACAGGTTGAAGGAGAGACCTGGTGGGAGGTGATTGAATCATGAGGGTGGTGTCCCCCATGCTGTTCTCATGATAGTCAGTGAGTTCTCAGGAGATCTGATGGTTTTATGTCTCTGACAGTTCCTCCTTCACACATTTGCTCTCTCTCACCTGCCACCATGTAAGATATGTCTCTTTCCCTTCCATCATGATTACAAGTTTCCTGAGGCCTTCCCAGCCCTATGGAACTCTGAGTCAATTAAATCTCTTTTCTTTATAAATTGCCCAGTGTTGGGCAGTTGTTTAAAACAGTGTGTGAATGGAGTAATATACTCTTACTTTTCGATTTTATTACCTACCAAGCATTCTGATATTGGAAATACAGGAATGTGGATACTTTCATAGATCTTACAGGTTGCCATTAATCAAATGATCATGCTCTATGAGTACATGTCTCACAGTGAAATAAGCTACTAAAATGAACGTACTGCATTCTATGAAATTAAAAAAAAATCTGATCTTAACTGATAATCAGAAGGTGTATATCTGATCAAGGGACAATTAAGCTGAGATATGAAGTATGTATAGGAGTTAAGTAGTCAAAGAGGAATAGCAGGAAAAAATATATGAAGGTCTTGAGGAAGGTGGAAAAATAGCACACTAGAGGAACTGAAAGAAGGTAAGTTGGGTCAAGAGTAGAAAGCAGTAGAATGGTAATGGGCCCATTTAGGTTTGGTAATTGTAAGTTTCTAAGAGGTCAAACTGCTATACATCATGACAATCTCTTGAAGACCTGCATTGGGGAAATCTCTGGAAGACCAGTGTTAGGGAAAGTTGTTTGTCCTGTATATCCAGGGTTGAGATTTTCTTAGATGGGTAAAGTTGAAGGGCAGGATTGTTGGTAAGGTAGATTGAAACGTAGAAGGGCAAATGAATGTTATAATTTTAATGCTGAATGGAAAAAGAAGTGAAGACAGGAAAGGGCAATGAATGAGGAGAAATGAGGAATTAAAAACTAGACAATAAAACAGTGCCTTAGGTGTGCAAGTCAACAATTCTATGACATATGGGTACAATAGCCTGATGTATCCATCCCGTCAGAGATAACGCTTGCTAGTGTTGCTTTAAGATTCACCTTTTTTAGGTCTGCTAAGACAGTAACAGATGGTTTCCTTTTTCATTCTTTATCCATAGGAGTTTATGTCTTTAGAAAAAAAGAAAACTCTGTTATTGTTTTAGTGGGTTTCCATGAAGAAGTGAAAATAAATGAATACTCTTTATCTATTATCATTATTTGAAAGTAATCCTCCTTCTCCATTTTTAACTCCACAAATAAGTCTTATTATTCTAATATATCTCATTTCTGCCAACTCTCCCTAGTGCCTTGTGTTATTGTGCATTGGATTTTATTCATTTATTTAAATATGTATGTATTTATGTATTTGAGTTCATATTTTGTTGGGCTTAATCTCTGCATATATTGAGGGTCTAAATTAGAAATACATTCCTCCAGGAAGGAATTTTACTGGCTTCCTCCTGAACCCAGGAGTGGACAAAGATCAAAACTCTTTAGTATCTATCAAATTCATATCCCTTTGATGCGGATCTTAAGATTTCTTGTGCATTATAGCACTGATGCCATTATTTGCTTCAGAGATATTCCCCATTTTTGTGTTGCTTACTGCTCCTTATTAAATTTCAGCTTATGTTTTTTCCCCTCTCCTATTTGCTGACATTCTAGCAAGCCCACTAATGTATTTCAATAGATTGTTTTAATGCATGCAAACTCTATTACATTTTAGCAGAGTCCTGTTATAGTGTCTATACTTGGGAAGAGGCAATCTGGTAGAACATTGTTCTCATTTTTGAAATGGAGTGGGAACAGGAAGGTCATATAGATCCTTTAATCGAAACAAAGTGGGCTTTGACATCACAGTAAGACCAGGATTAAAATCTTAGTTTTCCTTCTTACCAGTAGAAGGAACTTGAACAAGCTACCTAAACTTGATAAGTCTCAAGTTATTCATGAACAAAATGAGGAAAGAACTGTGTATTGCAGAATTATGTGAGGACTAGAGATAATATATGTAAATACTTAGGAAACGATCTTCCCTCAAACCTGACTTTCTTCTAGTACGTCCTAGTCTCAGTGAATGGTATCATGGTATCATGTGTATGTGTGAGATTGATCTGGGTGCTAACACCTGAGTATGTGATCACAAAGTATTCCTACTCTTTCATAATCCACAAAGAGTTTTCAGTCCTAGAAGCATGCATAGTTTTATTTTCTTGGTTTAATTGGTTTTCCCTTGGTAGATGTGTGAGTGAAAAAAAAATTGCAGACGCAGTTGGAATAAAAAATACCCCCCAAAACTGTGTCTCATAGCAGATGGCAGACTTTTCTTTTTTATTCTGATACATTCTAGTATTAGGGCGCCACCAACACAACAACCAGACTTTGAACATTTGAAGAGAATGGTTAATTAGAAGTTCAAAGTCAACTTTCACAAAGCCATGTGTACAAGTCTGACCTGGCTGTGATACAAGCGAGGGTTGGCAGGGTTAATAGTGGGAAAATGCCTAACGCTGCTTTTCTTCAATGAAGGTCTGCCTGGCCCAGGACTCTAACGTCAAGGCCTCTGTCTAAAGCCAAAGAATATATGACAAATAGCAGCTCCCACCTGACAACAGTCAGGGCTTTAAACTCAACAGGGCAGGGATTTGAAATTCTGCCAATCCTTGCATTTTTTTCTGATTAGAAGTATTTTACAAGTTTATAAGGGGCTCAAAAGTGGACGCACAGCTCCATGGCTTCTTGTACTTTGGCACTGAGCTTCCAGAACTGACTGTGGCTAAATCTCAATTAGCCAGAACTTCCCAAATTCCTAATTTTAACTTAACTTAAATTTTGTCTAAATATGTCACTTTGGGAAGAAATGGGAAAAACTCAACCCAAAAATTGCAAAAGGAATGAACTTATTTGTGACATAGTGTAACTTAGAGGCTAAGAGGGAAGACTGGATCTAGACTGCTTGGTTTATGATCTTGCTTTTGCCCACTCATTAGCTGTGTAACCTTGGGGAATACAATGAACCTTGATGTGCCTCAGTTTACTTCACTATAAAATGGGAATGAAAATAGTAACTACTTTACAGGGTAGAGAAGATTAAACAAATTAATTTTTAATAGTACCTCACACACTGTAAGCACTCAATTATTATTACATTATTTTATTATTTGCTATCATCTTACAGGGTTTGTATTGTGTAAATAATTTCATCCAATGTTCCTCCGTAACTTCAATACAGTGAAAATGTATATTCCGGAGGATACTGCCTTCTCCCCAAATTGTTAAGACTTTCTATCAGCAAAGTGTCTTTTTCTTAAGTCTAGTATTTTTCACTTCCTTTCAAATCTTTTCTTTCTTCACAATTTCCTATCGTGGGAGCTGATCACCACCATCATCTCAGTTTTCCAAGCCAGAAAACCCAGACATTATTAATCCTCTCCCTGTCAGTTAATTACCATATTATACCAATTCTACTTCTGAATTAAACAGCTCATATTTGACTATAAGCCCTGCTAATCTCCTGTCTTCAGAGCAAGCACAGTGATCTTTCGATTTGCAGGCTTTATCATGCTTCTTCCCTGCTGGAAATAAAACCTCAAATGGCTATGAGCTAAAAGCTCCTTTCCAATATTGGGAATACCTTCTTGTCCTTCTCCCCTGGATCTCAATAGGATGGAAATGGAAGAGAGAGGAGAAGAGACATACGAAAAAAAGGCAGAAAATCAAAATGAAGTAGATGGGGACAAAAAGAAAGAGGAAAAACTGAGTTTGAGTTAGAATTTTGGTGTGCAGTCAAGAAGCTAGTAAAGTCTGTGAGATAATTTATGCAGCACACGTTGCAATCTGGAGAAACAACGCTTTTAGTTGTGTACATAGCCCCATGAGGTCAAAACATTGGATAACTTCCCCCACCCCCCAACAAGAGATGTATACAAATTCCTTTCAGCTTAGAAACAATTTGGATTTTCTCCTGGATTATCTGATGTAAATGCCCCTTCTCCTTGTACTGGGGTCGGTAGAGGATATTATAATGATGGGAGAGGATGGTATTTCAGATAAAAGAAGACAATGGTTGTTATCTTTACGGTAACATTACATAAAATACGGTCTTATTTTACTTTTATAGCCTTTTCCTTCAATTCATAACCAGTTCTCTTAATCGCCAAGAAAATTAGGTACCACATATTTTGATTATTCATTCTAATACATTGACAGTGTTTATTTAGTATTTTATTTTACCTATGAGTTATCTCCCATTGGAAATATAATAAAAAGTAAAATCAACAAAATCAGCATTCCTTTGTTCTTTTCTAGTATCAGTTGTTACTTCTAAGACCAGTTCCCAGAACTACAGATATAATAATATTAGTAATAATAATAGGAAGAGGAGGACGAATAAGAGTAAAGAATAACAATAACATAGAGGAAGAGGAGGAGAAGCAAGACATCACTCACTCAAAAACACATATACAAAACATAAATCAAGCACAGTTCTGACAAGGAGTAGGTGTCAAATATACTTGCCTCTCATCTCCCAGGGAAAATCTGATTTCATTCTTATTACTCTAGAATGTGTGAGAGTGTGCTCTGTGCATTGCTGGTATGGAACCATGGAGATAACTGATTATGCTTTAGTCAATTACATAGTTACTTGTAACATTCCCCTGCAACAAAGGAAATCATGTCCATTTTCAAATTGTCCTCAAAAGTTGGATAAATTCTGAGGATTATAAATTCACTTCTCATTGCCCTAAATAATACTCTGTGTGTGTGTGTGTGTGTGTGTGTGTGTGTGTTTAAAACAACAGAGGATTAGCTATACTCACAAATTTTATATACAAGAAACATGGAAATTGCTCCTGTATTTATGTAAAACACATTTGACAAGAACATATGGTGAAATTGCAGGCACTGTCCATTCCTCATTCTTGCCTGTGCCACCATTTTGCCTTGGTTGGCATAATAAGAAATTCTAAAAAGACCTCAATTCACTAAGTAAGGGATAATCCCTAGAGTGGGGAAAAGTGAAAGTGGGGCTACAGGGAGAAAATTCTTACTGTTCTTTTAGGATTCTTCTGCCTATTTGCCACTTTGTTGTCACAGTAGCGCCAACGTGGAAAAGCAATTCTAGTGATGTGCCATGTCATTCCTGGTGAAATTCCTCAAACAAGTGGCTTGCTCATTGTCACATGGTTGTGGAGTGGAGGAGAAGATTACGATGGAATTCGTATCATTTTAAAATCTCCTACACTGGTGTTTTTCAACTTATCAGAGGCAAACCACTGCAGGGTTGCAGCAAAATTGTGAAAGAATCCTCAAATCCTTGTGCATGTATATGTTTCCTTGATCCACAAAACAAAAGATGCTATGGTTATGATTATTATCATTCAAGAAGTCTACAAAATTGGTTGACACTTAAAAGGAATACTCTTCTCACTAAGAAATTTAAATAAATAAAAGGAAACTATGGCTCTATACTTGTTCTCATGTTTTGGGGTTTCACAGATTAATATCAATATCATTCATTATTTGTTTTTAGAACTTAAAGTGATAGTCTTTCAAACTAAATAAATTTACTTTTATGGGAAACTCACTTCATGGTTCCTCCCCTCCCAAATCTGTGAAAAAGTTATAATGGGCCAGCACTGGTATAAAGAGTGGTGTTTTAGAACTCTGGCGCCCACCATGCCATGCAGAAAAGTGAACGAATTCAACGGTGCATGGATGCTGTAAATCACTAGGGTGGGTTTCAGGAAAGGAAACATCCATATGAGAGTTATTTATCTCACTCTGGGCTGACTCGTTACTGGCATCACTTGTTGATTATTACAGCCAGTTAGCCAAGTGCTAGATCCAGCTCTGAGAATTGTCACCCCAAGCTTACCCGTGGAAATGGCAACTCACAAAAATAATCCATGTTCTTCCTAACTTAGAAATGACTCATCCTTGTGGGTTGTGAAGAAAGGAGAGGAAATGGACTCTCATGTATTTTGCTTGGTCTTCTTAATCCCTCATTCTGCATGAGTGTGCCAAGGAGTATAAATATGTGAGGTTAGTTACAAAAATCAACGCAGGCTTAGAAGAAAAATGTGGCAAACATTGACAGACTAGCTGATTCATTCATTCAACACACATTTGCAGAGCACCTAATACATGCCAGAGACTGTGCAAAAGATACGGCAATTAAAAACAAGCAGGAACACAGCAGAAATAATATCTGCCATCAAAAGATTGTGCTAAGTTGCCACGTATTGCAGAATTTCCTTTTGTAGGTCTGAATAATATTCTACTTTATGTCTATACAACATTTTCTTTGCCCACTCATCCACTGATGGACACTCAGGTTGCTCCCATCTCTTGGCTATGGTGAATAGTGCCACAAAGTACATGGGAGTGCTAACATCTCTTAGAGATTCTAATTTAAATTCTTTCTGATAAGTCTTCAGAAAGTGAGATGGCTGAATCATATGGTAGTTCTCTTTTTAATTTCTTAAGGAATAACATGAAACTTTTTTTCCATTTTGTCATCTCAAAGATAGTTGACCCTTGCATGCCATCTATCATGTTAAGATGGAACCAGACCCTCTCCTGTCAGGAAGGGTCTTCACCTGTCAGGATAAATCATTGCCCTTCTGTGGCCTGTAAGGCCTTTTCTCTTCAGCTAGATGAGCAACATAAACAAGGACAGGACAACATAAATGATCCTGTTGGAAAATATTCACATACATGTGGCCAGGCAAGGAGCCAACGCACCTCCAGCACCTGCATACCCTCAGCTGGGGGACTCAGTTCTCAAAAAGAAATTCACAGGAGAACTGTCAGCACCTTGCCATGTGCCTTGGGATAAGGCTATCTAGAGACTTGCCTGAATGTTTCCCACATGCTACAAGCCTGCTTCTCAAGAGTAACATAGTTTTCTGATACTGTCGTTGCAAACTGCAGCACAAAAGAACCCTTCAGAACCTGGGCTAGAAGGTGGGCTGAAATCTGAACACCCCCTAAAGTTGAAAGGAGGCACTTGTGTGACACTCAGAGACGTATGTGAAGAGGAAGTGCTCCTGTTGAACAAGGACTACCTTCAGGGGCAGCTTCATAATGGGTTACCTGTGCAGTTGCGAAGCGCCCCACTCTCAGAAAGACCCCATGCTTGGTTCAGTGCTTTGCTGTTACCCTCCAGAAATTATTAATTTTTTTAACAAGGAAGAGTTCACACAGTTTCATCTTGAACTGGGTCTCACAAAATAAGTAACCTGTCCCTACCACTTTCTCTGCCAAAGGGGAAACGAGGAACACAATTAGGGTCCTGGAGTCCCAAAGGAGCAGGTGAAATGGAAGCATTGGTTATAAAACAGTGAGAAGCAAGAGTGCGATTTCATATCTTGTAAGGAAATCAAGCACTGTTTACTAATCAGGGAGCCCATAATTTTAATTTCCCAAGCCATTATGAAGTTTAAGACTCTGAAATACCCACTCGATTTTATTGCTCTGTGGACATTAGAGGGCTCTTTTCTCTTCCTTTAGCATAGAAGAGTGGCCCCTAAGACACATAGTTATAACCACATAAAAATGCACCACACGGTGGTCAAAGCCACAGTGCTGAAACACTTTCTCTCTACCGAGTTTCACTCCACTTCTCAAATGGTGAGAGATCGCTTTCCGATCTTGTGTTTTCTTTCCTTTTACAACCTCAACCCACTATTCAGAGCCCTCTCAACTGACATTTAAGTTGTCCTTGTGGTGATGCTACTATCATTCCTTCTTGGTAAACGTTTTTTCACCTCACCATCACCTTGACTTTCATCAGGACTGGCTACAGAATTTATAGGGCCTGGTACCAAATGAAAATATGGGCTGCTTCTTTAAAACGCAGTAAGAATTTTAGGCAGCAACACCAAGAGCCTTACACTAAGGATGGGGCCCTTCTATGTGTAGGACCTATGTGACCATGCAGGCTGAATGCCCATGAAGCTAGTCCTGATTTTCATTGGCCTGAATTGAGTCACGTACCCATTTCTTAACCAATCACTGTCAAGTGGGTTGACTGCCTTAGACTAAAAACAGCTCCCCTGGAGTTGGAGCTAAGTTGAACTTCCCCCTGAGTTGCACGGTATCTGGTGGCAAAGATTCATGAATAAAACCAGACTCCTTTTGAGTAGATGTGAAGAGTGCATTGTTTCTGGGTATACCAAAATCAGTGTCCACTACACCATATATCCTTGACTCAGAAGGAGGAGCTCTGGTTGCTTATGGCCTTTGTTGTTTATGGTCTTGAAGAGTTATTCAAGTCCTACCTACTCAAATCTGCCTGCTTTTAATGGCCAGGCTCCCAAGCACCTCACACCTGCTGTCAACCCTTCCTGGAGGGACATTCAGAGACAAAAAGATATGATTCCTGTCCTCCTGATGATTATCCTCTAATTTAGCAACCAGAGCTAACAGACATTTAAATATTTGATATTTTTAAGAGAAACATCGAAAATAAATATACCGCTGAACCAACACATATTGGTCTTGAGAAATTATGGCATTATTGGATCATCAGTAATGCTCCAAGCTGGGTGGGGTACTCATTAAGAGTTTAGAAGGAAATGGATTTCACAGACAAGTGATCACTGTTGGGTGGTGTAAAATAGACTTTGGGGCAGAAGAGTGGAATTGACAATCCTTAGTGGCAGGATACTCCTACAGCAAGTTTTGATAGTAGATTGAGTCTTTTTCAAGAGTCAAACAGGTTTGCTTGGCTAGAGCAGACTGTAGAGGTCACTTGAAAACATCAGTAGTGAAAGGAAAAAACTATGCAGTGGAAAATCATTACTAGGAAATTAGATCCAATATAAAAGGCAACAGTAGAGTTTCTAAAGATGTACAGAAATTACGCCTTTTTATACCTATGTGGAAATAGAGTCCTTCACTTCTGTCGTTCCTTTCAAAGCATTTTCACTCTTTCTTCAGTTATTCAACATGCTGTTCAGCCCTTAAGAACCAAGCTCAGGCTATATCACCGTCAAGCAACCTTCCTTACTATCCAGTCCCTCTCACCCCCAGTTGAAAGGGACTGAAGAAACAGACCGCCCCTTGTCTATGACCTCAGTGTACTCTGTGAATACTGTATTGCAATTATTTACTTGGTTGTCTCTCACTCATTGGACTGTTAGCTCCTTGATGCAGAAACTATGTCTTATTCCTCTTCATAACCTCTGTGCCTTGGTAATTGATCAACATGTAATAAGAACTCAAAAATGCCTATTGAAGTGATATGCTCAGAATATACATAGGAACAATCAATTTTAACACTCTGTGTATATAATGGCTAAACAATGCTCAGAAAAAGATAATAATATGTATAAAAACTGAGATATTTTCATTCTATTAATGACCTGAAAGCATACATTGGATTGCATGTGGATGAAGAGAAGAATGCTGTCAAAGATCACTACAAGATTCCTTGCTTTGAAATCTAGAATGACATGTAATAGACCCTCTTTATCTAGCCCCAATGGAAACAAGACAAAGACAGGACAATGACAGGATTTTCTTCTTAAGCTTATGAAATCACCTCCAGCCTTCGCTGCTTTGTCTCTGTCAGTTCCTGTACTTTAGGCTTATATCAGAGACTTGAATAGTGCACCCCAGCATTTGAAGGTTTATTTTTCTATTCCCTAAAAGTCTTCAAAATTCATAGTTTATTTCAGTTATGACATGTAGTCAATAAATGTTTATTGGGTACATATAGCCCTCAGTCACAGCATGAGTGAGATGAAGTGGAGAATTATTTTTAGTTCCTATATGGCCTGATGTGTAAATATTCACAGTATCAAATAAATGGGTAATTTAACTCCAGTCAACCCATATCTCCAAATTGCTACTGAACAAGCAAAGGCAATGACCCAAAGAGATAGCTGGCAAGTGGCTTCTTAAGTGGCACTTAATAAATGCTTCTACAAGACAGTAGCAAACCTAAGGGTTTTCCTGTTCCTCCTGGACACCTAATAGTGCCCTTTGGTTTTCCTCTTCATGCTAATCTTCATGTTAGTTTGTGCTTGATTTCAGCATGTGTGTGCACCCATGTGTGCTTATGTGTATGTATGTGTGTGAAGGGAGTTGGATAATAAAAAAAGTCTATGACTTAACCCTGCTTTGTTAAGTTGGATTTTCCCATACAGAGGCTTTCTCATTAATTTTTTTTTCCTCTCTTGACACATATGAATCAGTAAATGATTGCTGAATTCCAACATCATTAGGAGATAACTACCCTTCATTAAGATTGGATTACAAAATCACAATTTCTGCATTTATTTCATGGTTCTGGGTAAATGCTTAGTGATCATAATGGTAAAAACTCCAAATACCTGAAATACATGAGAAAAACAAGATTCTAAATCTAGAGTCTCTACGTTTTGTCATCAGTGTAAGATAAGATTGCTGCATTAAGAGCAACACATTAAGATATATACTTAAGAACGCATGTGCAAATTATGATAACTCTAAATAAATGTTTCTTTGTACTATAATTTTCAATATAATTTTAGTTAGTTTTACCTGCTTAGAATTTTTAAGAGAACTTTAAAGACATACTTTGAATTTCAATGATCTTCTGTAAAGAAATAACAGCATTCATATTCGGGCTTTGGTGGAGAATATCTTCTGCAAGTGGCTCCAGCTGCAAGAATAGTAGATAATAGTATGAGCAGAATATTATGACTTTATAGTAAGTCTCACAGAAGCAAAGCAAACTGAAACAACCTAATCCTCAGGAAAAGCTTGCTCCGAGAACTAGTTAACATTTTGCTGATATTAGTTCTAGAAGTGTAGCCAGTTTTATTTTCTGTTTTGTATCCATGTAATTGAATTCCAAGGGGCTTTTCCATTGGTCACAAGACTAATCTATGAAGTCCCTGAAGCAGGTGCATGTCTGTGCATTATTCATTAAAAATCTGAGTTATTTGTGTAATTTTTGTAGGTTCCTGACAAACCAAATTCCATCATGTCTGTATATGCAGCTGGGCCCTGCAAACAAAACCTCAGGGAAGTTGCAATAGACAGAAAGTGGGCACTCTATTATCCATACTTTCACAGTGTTTTTACATCCAACCACCTTATACATTTGAACACTTCACGATAGAAAGCCATGAGACACAGCTGCTTTTATTCAAAGGCCATTGAATAAAGTAGTAGAGAAAGGGTTCAAATAACCAAATGTAAAATAACTGTACAGTTTCATTTAACTTCTACTTTATTCATAACTATGCAGATGTCTGTGTGTAAGCACAGGCCAAACTCCTACCTTGCAAATCTATCATAATCTTCTGGAATTACACTAATTTTTCATGGAGAAGCTCAGCAAGCATTGCTTTGCAAGAAATGAAGAGAAGCTTTAAATAATTTACAGAGCCTATCTGTTAGGCCTAAGTCTGATAACACATCCCTCAGAATGCTGTGGTGATTAGTTTGGCATGTTGCAGCAGAAAGCGCATGGCTAGGGCCCTTGCAAATAAAATAGTTGTCCAGCTATTGTGACCCAAAAAGCAAATAAAGTAATAGTAACAAAAGGATTAACAAAAAAGTAGTTTTCCTAGAAACATTAAGGTTAATCATCTCAAATAAGAACTGGTGATCAAACTATAATATGGCACGAATGGGAAGCGATGTCACTAGACGCATCAAAGCATGAACTCATCTATGTCTCTTCATCTGTAGGAAAACCTAAAAAAACACAGGGATTACCAGTTTCCACCACATATGTGAGTGAATCTTCCCCTCAGGGTCCCTCTGAATTGATTATTCTATTCTTCAATCATGAAATCTACAACAATAGCACCTTTATTCCAGATGCCACAGGATAACAGACTAGCTCAGGGATATTTATACACGGGTAAATTCACTAACTATAACTTTCCAGAGTGTTTTTCTTAGCTGCCAAAGAAAAACTTTTAAACATCAAAAGGTTTATTTGCAATACAGTTTGGTGAGAGGAAAAAAAAAAAAAAACATCACCACCACCGCTCTGTGGCAGTACAAGGTTCTGAAATAAACTCTTAAAACTTGTTAAAATCATTTTTTAAAATGTGGTATTTCAAATTGTATCTTCAAGAATATGTTAGTCTAGTAACACTCTCTTAACTCAGAGGAACTACTGAATCATAAACTGAAGCTTACTTGGAAAACTCTTATGCATTAGACAAGGTTCAGAGGGCTACTTTGCTTATAAATAATTTTTCACTCCTTTCTTGGAGCTTAGAGAAAATAATTTTTAATAGAAATCAGGTAGATTTTACTAATAAAATATCTTGAAATGACACTCTATGTTCCAATATTTAAGAACAAAAGCACAAAGCGATGACAGCTTATTTAGCTCTTCAAAAAGCTTCCCTGTGACTTTGGGGTAAAAATCCTGACAAACTGAAAGGTGCTGGCTCCTGGAAAGAAAGCTATAGGCAGATCATATATGTAAAACATCTAACTTCTGGTCTCTTGCACACTGAGGTCTGGGCTATTTTAAAGACTCAGGTTATACAGAAAGCATACGTGATTCAGAGTATTGAGAGTAAAATACAAACACCCCTAAACCCCCAATTTAGAATCTTCAGTTAGATGCAAAAGGGTTGTGTCTATTTTAAAAAGCAATTCAGAGAATTAAGGCAATTAAATTGATCATTTAAACCTCCCAAACCATTTCCCTGCATGTTTTAGTTGAATGTCATTTAGAGGATTTAACCTTCAGTAAATTGCCCCAATTTGTTTCATTTTGAGTGTATACATACAGACAGAGCTGAATTCAGAAATTTCTCAATGTAGGTTCTTTATTTTTTCTCTGGCAGGTATGCAATGGATAATATTCTCTCCGTTGGCAAGAAGGCAAGTGGCATTTAGAGTCTGTTTTTATAAAATTAAAATCTTGTATGGCGGGACCACAGAACTGGATTGTCTTTTCTAGACATTTATTTAATCACTCACAATTATAGGCACTAACAACATCTGATTGAAGCATCCACTTAATAAATATTTATGAGTGTTGTCATTATTCATAATTTAATAACTAATAAAATAATATTAAATATTCATTTTTTATAAATTTGGAGCAGAAAATAAGAATATGTGGTAAAGTTTTGCTATGTATTTAATTTAGGTGATTAGATACAGCAAAAACATTGGTGATGGAGATTAATCAGCATTACTGGAAATTATTAAAAGATAAATAAGGAGTAATTTATACAAACAAGACAACTTTTGCATGCAAAAGTTACAGAAAGATGAAGCAGATGCAAATGTAGGAAATAGTACACACCCGTCATGCCATTTCTGTCAAGCAATTCTGTTAAATAATGGTAATTATCATGGAGTTATAAGATACACTAGATAATTTTAACACAACCTCTTGACACTTAAAGCTCTCATCCAGCTTAATTGTATCTAAAGCTTAATCACAAGCATTACTCATAGCAATTCTTTACACAGATTTTCAGGCTCAGTGACAGGGAAATTTATTTTTCTACATCATTTTCAGAAAGTTGTGATAATGTATTGGCATGATTCAGATGTTTGTTAAGTTGCATATACCATATACATTCTAAGTACTGCAGCTATTTTAAAACACCATAAAATTGTGGCCATTATCATCTTATAAGTAATTTCCAGGTTCTTTAGAATCAGATCATTTAAATCGTCAAAAATCATTTTAGTTGCCTAAGATTCATCTATAGAAAGAGGCGAGGGATATTCTTGGAGAAGCTGTTGAGTAAGATTTTTAAAATTTACGCTGTACTGATGAGCTATGAAAAACAGCTCACTGATTTTTTTTATTTGCATGACTTAGAACAGAACATAAAAGAAGCTAAACAGAGCCTTTGCAAATGTAACAGGTGTGTGAGGATGGATGTATACATCAATCAAGCAAAGGATCTATTAAATAGACTTGTTAGCGTTTTTGTTATGTGTTGACGTTTCCCAAATATGCCAAGTATTTTAATATTTCTGTACTTTTATCTATTCTGTTTCCTCTGAATTCTATTTTTTTCATTCTTCTTTGAATTGGTAAAACCTTACCAAGCATTCAAGGACCACCGCAAATATTGCGTGCTCCTCAAATTCTCCACTAGAGCAAATTTCTTCCCCTCCTATGGCCCTTTCCCCCACAAATATTCTTATTTACTAAATACATTATGTAGTAGAAAGTCATTTTTATCCCACTCTCTATTTTGTTGTGAGCCATTTAAAGACGAAGATGGAGACTGTATATGAAAGACATTTTAAAAATGTTGAATAAATGGAGAAATACTTAATCGAAAAAATAACATGAAGAGGTGGCCTTTATTCTGCTCACCATAGCTAACAAGACAAAATAAAATGGGTTCTTCCTCTTGGTTTCCTGCTGTAATCAGGATATGGTTTTAAGATGAAGAATTAGAACAGCAGTGATAACTCATTTTGTTTTCTAAGGTGAACTGCTCTTGCATAATTTCCACACAATTATTTTCTCCTATGCATTGGCAAGGTTTCCTGACATGCAGGCAGATATTTCTATAGATCAGAAATGCAGGGAAATGCAAAAGAAACAAAGACCCAGGGCAAGTAGAGGCAGAATGGCCATGCCAATAATTAGAGGAGAAAAGGTTGCTTCCAATTGAGCGGAAGAAAAAGCAATAGAATGACAATAAAATGGAATGAAATTTTGAAAGGCATTGAAATTAATCTTTAATCCAATTTGAGGAGAACTGGGATCATCTCAATACCTAGACCTCTAATCCATAACATAATGTATTCTATAATTTATTTAGATGTTTGTTAACTTCTCTAAAAATATTCTACAATTTTATGAATAGGGTCATATTTTCAGATAGATTTATTCTAGGTATTTGGTTTGTTTAATGCTTTTGTAAATTATGTATGTGTATATATTTACACTATATATATAAAATACGTATATTTATAATTTAATTAAAAAATTTTCAATCCTGGTGTGATTCTGTCCTGTGTGTTTGTTCTCTGGAGTAGGAGTCATTTATCTCCATTCGCCTTCTCTCCCACCACAGTGGGTGCCACAAACCCATAGAAGATTTGATGGACGTGGACATGAGCCCTCTAAGGCCTCAAAATTAACTTTTTAATTGTGAACTAAAGCTGACAAATATTATCACTTTAATGTGGATGATGATGAAAATGAGCACCAGTTTTCTTTAAGAATGGCCAGTTCAGGAGCTGGTACCTATGATGAATTGCACATCGTTGAAGCAGAAGCAATGAAATATAAACGCAGTCCAAATAAAAGTAACACTGGCAACTTTGAAAATGTCTGTACAGCCAACAGTTTCCTTTGTGGGCTTTGAAATACCACCACCTATGGTCTTATGGTTGAAGCATAGTTCAGGGCCAGTGCATATTAATGGGCAGCACTTAACAGCTGTGGAGGAAGATGCACAGTGAGAAGATGAAGAGGAGGAGGATGCAAAGCTCTTAAGTATATCTGGAAAGCGAGCTGCCTCTAGAGGTGGTAGTGAGGTTCCACAGAAAAAAAGTAAAAACTTGCTGCTAATGAAGATAATGATGATGACAATGAAGATGACGATGACAAGGGTGAGGAAGATGAAGAAAAAGCTCAGTGAAGAAATCTATATAAGATACTCCAGCCAAAATTGCACAAAAATCAAACCAGACTGAAAAAGACTCAAAACCATCAACATCAAGACCCAAAAGGTCAAGAATCCTTCAAAAAACAGAAAAAAAACCCTCCCAAAACGCTAAAAGGACCTAGTTCTGTAGAAAACATTAAAGCAAAAATGCAAGCAAGTACACAAAAAGGTGGTTCTCTTCCCAAATTGGAAACCAATTTCATCAATTATGTGAAGAACTGCTTCCTAATGACTGACCAAGAGGCTATTCAAGATCTCTGGCAGTGGAGCAAGAAGTCTCCTTAATAGTTTAAACAGCTTGTTAGAAAATTTCTGTCTTATTTCATTTCTCTATCATTTGATATCCACCTGTCTTTTTGTAATGCAGAGTGAGAAATTTACATACCATATCTGATAAATGTTGTCCAGGTTCCATTGCCAAGAATGTGTTGTCCAAAATGTCTGTTCAGTTTTCTAAGATGGAACTCCACCCTTTGCTTGGTTTTAAGTATGTATGGAATGTTATGATAGGATATAGTATAGTAGTGGTCAGACACGGAAATGGTGGGGATACAAAAATGTGTGTGTGAAATAAACTCATTATTAAAATGTTTTTTGAAGTAATTTTATATTTATAGAAAGTTTCAAACATTGTACAAAATTCCCATGTACTCTTCACCCAGTTTCCCTTAACGATAACTGGTTACATAAAACCAGTGTATTCTTAAACTTTTATTTTCTACAGTTATGACAGTTATATAGATATATAATTAATTTTTACTAAACCTTTTAAGTGAGTTTTAAATTTTCACTGATTTTTAATTAACTACCCACTTTGTTAAATTTACATATTAATTCATAATTTAAATGAACATCTTTTAATAGATTTTCTTCATACTCAATTACAAATCATCTGTAAATAGTGAAAGATTTATTTATTTTTCTCCAATACTGATATCTTTTTCTTTTTTTTACAATATCGCACTGTCTAGGATTCCCTGAACAATGCTGAAATGAAGCAGTAAGAGTATCTTCGTCTTGTTTTCGATTTAAAAGAATAATTTCTATATTTCCCCTTTAAACCTGATGTATACTGTGGAATTTATTTTGTAGCTATCCTTTATCAAGTTAATAAACATTTTTTATTTCTATTTGTAAAAATTGTTCATTATGATTGGGTAGTTTATCAGCTGCTTTTAAAACATTTATTGAAATATATTTCTTCCTCATTGTCTTAATGTGATGAATTATAATGAATTAGTTTGGAAAGTTGATATGTTATATTTCTAGAGTAAACCCAATTTTTATGAACATTTAAGATCTTGATGAACTGCTAATATTTTATTTAGGGTTTTAACTACTATGACTATGAGAAATATTCTCTTATAATATTCCTTTCTTGTGATATTCTGTTAAGTTTTTGGTATTGGTATCACATAGGCCTCAAAAAATTATTTGTGATGGATTCTTCCTACCATCCATTCCTTTATTCTAAAACAATTTGTGATTGGTGTTATTTTTTCCTTAAATTCCTGGTAGAATTTCCTGGTGAAGCTATATGGGTTTTGTGTTTTCTCCTGGTAAATTTAGTTTTAAAAACCCAGTTTTGTAAGTAATTAAAGAACCACTCACATTTGCTGTATTTTTATTCAGTCTTGCAAGGTTGCATTTTTATTATAATTTTTCCATTTAATATATTCCATTTCATAAGTTTTTGAAATGTTTACGTAAAGTTTATTTTAATATTTTCTTGTCATCCTTTTAATAACATTAAAATCTGTAGTGAAGTCTCCTTTTCTTTCCCAGTGCTGGGCATGCATGCTTTTTCTTTGTTGGTCAGTCTTACTAGAGTTCGATCAATTTTACTACTTATTTCAAAGAATCAACCTCTGACTTTAAAAATCTTACATATATGCTTGTTTTCTATTTTATCATTTTATTTATATCTTCTTTGGTTTCTTTGCATTTAATTTGCTGCTTTGATTCTCTAATGAGATATATGCTTTTAAACATTAATTTTAAGTTTTCTTCTTTTCTAATATATACATTTAAAAGCATATGTTTCTCTAAGTTCAGCTTTATATATCACACAAGTTTTCACATGTTATATTTTCATAATGCTTTATTTCAGAATACTTTCTAGTATTTCACTGTGATTTCTTTGGACACATGAATTAGAGTATATTTGAAATCTCAAAATATATACGATTTTCTAATTACCTCACTGTGGTAAGAAATTATACTATGTATGAATTCAATTAGTTCAAATTTATTGAAACTTGCTTTATGCTCCATATACGGTCTATTTTTAAAAATGTTAAGAATGTCCTTGAAAAGAATGATATTCTGTCATGTTAGGGGATATATACTCCATTATATATTTAAATTATAGCAAGTTTATCAAGTGTTTAAATCTTCCACATCACCCTTCACTTTTATTTTCTTCATGGTTTATCAGTTACTGAGAGACGTGTACTAAAATTTGTTATGATGATTGTGGTTTTGCCAATTTTTTCATTTGGTTCTTTCCATGTATACTTAATATGTTTTCATGCTGTCTTAGACACAAAAAGTTTGAATTGTTTTATCTTCTTGGTTCATAGAATATTTTATCAGTATGAAACACCTCTTTTGATCTCTATTTTCTCTTTTTTCTTGCCTTAAAGTCCATTTTTATCTGATATTAATATGGTCACATGAATTTTCCTTCAGTTAGTTCTTGTGGATAAATTTTTTTTCATTTCCTTCATTCAAAGTTTCCTTATAATTATATTACAGAAAGCTTCCCTTCAAAGAGCATCTGTTATTACAATGTTATCACCTTTGTCTTAATTGGTGAACTAAATCCATTTATATCCACTTATATGTGATTTGTACAACCACCCAAGCTGATTCTAAAATTTTATATAAAAATGCAGTGGGGCCAAATGTAGCCAAGACTGTCTTGAAGAAGAAAAACAAACAGAAAGATTTGTTCTAGCAGATATCAAGACGTTTTATAAAACTACAGTAGTTAAGACAGTCTGATAATATCACATAAAAAGAGAGAAACCTGTGAAATAGAATAGACTCTCCATGTATACATGGATAAAGTTAACACTACTGAGCCATAATGAATGGATGGTCTTTTTTTTTTTTTTTTTTTTTTTTTTTTTTTTTTTTTTGAGACGGAGTCTTGTACTATCACCCAGGCTGGAGTGCAGTGGTGCTATCTCGGCTCAATGCAACCTCTGCCTCCTGGGTTCAACCGATTCTCCAGCCTCAGCCTCCTGAGTAGCTGGGAATACAGGTGCGCACCACCACGCCCAGCTAATTTTTGTATTTTTAGTAGAGATGGGGTTTCACCATGTTGGTTAGGATGGTCTCAAACTTCTGACCTCGTGATTCGCCCACCTTGGCCTCCCAAAGTGCTGGGATTACAGGCATGAGCCACTGTGCCTGGCTGAATGGATGGTCTTTTCTATAAGTGGTACTTGATCAACTGTATATTCACATTGAAACAAACAAACCTGACCTCTATATTATGCCATATACATATTCAATGCCAGATGAACTATGCATCTAAATGTTGAAGTCAAAAAATAAACCTTTCAGAAAAGAGGAAGGAAAGAATAAAAATAATCTTTTCTTGACTTTGGGAATCCAGAAAGAATACTTAAACAGATTACAAAAAGAACCAATCCTACAGGAAAAGATTGATAAATTATACCACATTAAAAAGTTACTTTCAATTATCAAAGGTCACCTTTAAGACGGTGAAAAGACAAGATATTTCAACACATGAAACTAACACTAGAACCTATAAAGAATTGCTAAATCAGTAAGGAAAAAGACAATATGAAGGTGGACCAAAGTTTTGAATAGATACTTCAAAAACAGTATGTACAAATGATCAATAAATAGATGAAGAACTGCTTTACCGCATTAGCGTCTGGGCAAATCAAAACCATGGTGATATACTACTACACCTCCAACAGAATGGCTAAGATTTTAAAAGACTGACAATATGGAGTATTAGAAGGATACAGAACTGTGTAAACACTTGTATGCCACTGGTAGGAGTACAAATTGTAACTGCCACTATGGAAAACACATTTAAACACATGCATATTTCAGGATTCAGCAATACCACTTGTAGAAATATATTCAACAAAAATGTCGGTACAAGTGCACCAAGAAACACATATAAAATGTCCATCACAACATTAGATACAATAGCCCCCAAACTGGAAAAATTCCCTTTATCTGTCAAAAGCAGAATATGTAAATAAACTGTGACATTTCCCTAAAAGTTATTTTTATAGAATGGAATACTATATGTGAATGGAAATGAATCAAATATAGCTAGCTGCAATAACATGGATAAATCTCTTAAGCAAAATGAGTAAGAATTATATATTGTATGATTTCATGGATATAAAGCTACAAATTAAAATATAGTCTTAGACATCAGAAAATTGGTTACTTTCAGAAAAGAGAAAGGGGATACTAGTTAGAAAAGGAATGTGGGGGCTTTTCATAGAGATAGAGCTGACATTACTCTATCTCTTGGTTGATCATTACATATGTGATCTCTGTGATATTTCATTGAGTTGTACATTTGTGTTTTGCAGTTTTCTGTATAATTGTTATATTTTACAATTAAAAACAGTGTAGCAAAAATTAAAAATCCAAAAAAAATTAAAAGCACTGTGATGTAAGAGAATAGGGAAACAAAGTCTAGATCTTGAGTTCATGTTCTTTCCACTGTATTACTGTCCTTCCAGGAAACAAAGTGAGATTATATATTTTGCATAAGAGCAACATGTTATATTCTTAGGTACAAGGCCACAAATTTACTTACAAAGAAAGCTGAAAGTCCCCCTGCAACATGCAAAGCGACTCAGACAAAATGCAGAAAGGGTTCAGTTGTCAGAGTCAAAGATATTGTGGAACGTTGGAAGAATATGATAATCAAGACCAAGAGGACAAGGGAAGCAGATTGTAATGAAGACCTGACTCTCCATGCTAATGAACTATTATCAATTCCCTAGTGAGGAGGGATTGGTGGTGGAAACTCAACTCTCATTTGAATAATTGTCTTAGAGAAGTCTGCAATTAGTTGTGTATGTTTAATTTGATTGTGTAAGTAAATCTGGTTATAATTTTATCCAAATTGTGATTCATGAGTCATTCTTGAAATAACCTATTTTATTTGTTTGAAGTCATTAAAATTCTTGACCAAATAGATTGGGGGAAATATCAGAATCAGGGTGATTGTATTGACAATCAAGTTACTACACTGACAAACTATTGAAATTATTCAGATTGCGTCTGCCTGCATCCTACCTACATGTGGATGACATAGGGTGATATCAACACAGCAATAAAGAAATATCTCTGGTCAATAGCAGTGACATAAGTCTTATGAGAGTAACAGGAAGACCAAGAGGTAAAGGGAACAGTCATGGTCATCAGCTCACATGAGATATTGCAGGAATTCCTTGAATAAGGTAAGAGGGACCAGTGAGTCAGACTCCGAGATTATTACTGTAGTTATTGTTCTATTAACTGAGTTTTGTCCAAAACTACTATGGCTTAGAGAAATGTAGGTTAAACAATACATCAGCCAATGAATGAAAGGAGGAAGACTATGAGAAGATGCCTCTGTTCCATATCAAACCCAAATAGTATCCCATAATTTCCATGATGCTTAACCATGGACAGTTTGCACATGATATATTTAAACATCTATGGCAGTCACCAACTAAGTAATTAAAAATAAACCTAAAAATAAATGGAAGAAGGCATAGCGGTCAATTGGAAAGAGGATAATAAATACAATTTGTTGGATGATTCAGATTATTGATATTCTTGTTTAATCATTAAGGTAAGTTTGTAGATATACAACATAATGAGAAAACAGTTAGAACCACACAGTAGAGTTAGGAAAATACTACATATGTTGAAAAGTGCATGTCAAACTAAAGTTCTAACAACATTGAAGGGAAGTTCGTTCAGGGCTGTATGTGTAGTTTTCCAACATAATGTCTGTAGTCTGGATATCAATTGTTATGAAGAAGGCTTGGCTCACATTAAATGCCAAAAATCTTGTTTACTTGCCCCTGTTTCTGCAAGTAAGTTTAAATTTGACAGTCAAATTTGTTAAGTCCTGTTTCACTTTGTGTGCCTTAGTATTCTCTTTATTTGCTTTTTTAATCTCTTCTTCCTTTAATCTGCTAATTTTATATTTTTCAATATTTTCTTTAATTTTTTTTATTTTATTAAAGAGATTTTGTATGATACTCTTTTCCAAGTGTTGACTTTTCTGCTAACAAGACCTGTTTCACATTATGTAGCAGTGGTGTGCCGGTAAATGTTGAACTGCTAACTGTCCAAGTAGTAGTCCTAATTTGTAGTATTTGCTGATTTCTGTGGTGTAAATATTCCCACCATGGCCTATTT
The DNA here is from genome assembly GCF_000001405.40 of Homo sapiens. Taxonomy (NCBI): domain Eukaryota; kingdom Metazoa; phylum Chordata; class Mammalia; order Primates; family Hominidae; genus Homo; species Homo sapiens. The sequence continues at coordinate 18,942,756 of NC_000007.14, read as the reverse complement.
CAAGCTACTAACGTGATGTTATTAAACTTAGATTTAAGCAGAGATACACACAATTGGCTTTCACAAGTCATTTACAGTCAGTTCCAGCATATTGTGGTTAGAGTATAATTTTGTTTATTGATTATCTGGGAAAATTGCTAATAGTTATTTTCATAGTAAGCTTTGTTTTCTTCTACAAGCTTCTGCCATCTCCAAAACAAACAAACAAACAAAATGCTGTTTTGTTGCTGTTGTTGTTTTACACCAAAGCTTGGGATTCATTTATTCAAAGCTTCCATATTTTTTCACAGAAATTCTAATTCCTTATGATATTCCATTACCCAGATTCAGCCCCAGTATATACTTTTATTCTACTCAACATACCTCTCCTCTACCAAAAACAAAACGAACAAATCCAAACAGAGCCATCCACAATTCCAAGAAGTCTTAATGTCTTTATCTATGCTTTCCCATTACATGATAATCTTTTCCTTAGACATTAGCTCATATTAGTCTGATTTTTTTATTCAAGACCAATTAAATGTTAAAATATTCCTCGATCTCTGTAGTTAAAAACAATGGTTTTATGTTATATTCCCAAAGCACTTTGTTTTACTTTTACTTATATTGAAACTTTTGGGCACAAAATACATGCCCAATAAAAGACTAATGAATGGTCAGATAAATGAATGTCATTTCATGTTTGTTTCACCATGGCAAAGAACTGCTTTCTTTCTTTTATTGGTTACCACAACCTGTGAAATATCCAGGTCCCTGGCCCATATTCTCCTTAACACCCTCTGAAAAACCTAAAGACTATATAGAAAATTTATATAATGGAGTTTTGAATTATCCAAACAACGTCCACTTCATTTGGCATTTGATAAAAGATATAAACAAAAATAAATCCACAACCAATTTGGCTCTGCCTTGTTGAATATAAGAAATGCAACATCACAGGCCACATCTACACTGAAAAGTATCTTCAAATAATATTTTCCCCAAACAGTTTTATTCTCTTTAGATTACCCACACATTCTCTTTCAGAGTATGGAGAGCCTTCAAAGTTTAAAAGAAAACCATAGAAAAACACTATTCTGACATATCATACATTGTCCCTGTATTCAGTTCCTCCTTCCTTTACTCATGAATGGCAACTATTTAGGAGCTTGTAAGCTTTCCCAGATTCACACCAATTCCCCAATGGACTAAGCTTCAGCCATACATAATCTAAAGGATGAAAAAGATGGCAAAACAACTTCCCTATTCGGAATCCAATGAAAACAAACCCCTGATGAGCAACTTGGACAACAACATCTCAAGAGTTCACCTCAGGGGTGGTTGTCAACACTTACTAGAGTCAATTCAAGAGACTGTTTCAGCAGCTTTAGAGCAAAACGTCATCTTTAAAAGATTATCAACCAACACAATCACTAAGTTTAGCCACTGTTTGTGAAATTCAAGTCAAATAGAAGCAGCTGAGCATACTCAACAGGAGATAGCAGTTATTAAAAAGAAACTGGAGAGAGGGAGGGAGAAAGGGAGAGAGGGTTGAAGGGAGTGAGGAAGTGAAGAATAACGGGAGGGAGGCAGGGAGGGAAAGAAAAGAAAAAAAAAAGAAGAGACAAAAAAAGAAATCAGAATCCAAATTTTAAAAAGAGTGAGGGAAATCAAAACATGCTATATGCTCCAAGTGTAAATGCTGAACTTGCAGTACTAGAGGATTTACCATAATCTCAACAGCTTCCAGACCTATGACAATTTGTTTTGCTTTTTTCCTCTAACAAGCTTAGAAATCATCATTTATTCGGTATTGACAGGTGATCTTCTAATGGCCATGTTCTCAACTCACTACCCAAGGCTTCTACTACTACATGTCCTCTCCTTTCTTTGACTTGCTTGAAGTTTTTCAATGTTTTTGTTTTAGATTCCATAGGAATGGCAACTGCTTAAAGCTTTTCTCACCTCTTGGGAAAATTTCTTTCAGAGGAAGTAACCCGGGGTGCCACTAATTGGCTTTGCATAACAGTAGGCAAATTTGGCCTTAAAGCAACTGTGACACTGTTTGCCAATCAGCTCAAATACAGATTACCAAAATCAGATTTTCTGGGAACCTCACAGATGTTTCTATTATGAATTCTAAAAACTATGTGGTTATTGACACAAGTATCCCTAATGCCTTTCCAAGCAACTTAATGATTCTTCTCATTTAAATATTCACTTCAATTTCTTGCAAACCCCAAGCTGGTGTTTCTAAGTGCTTCATTGAAAAAGATCAAAAATATTCATCATGCACTGATTGGACTGATAAATCTAAGTTCTAAACTTTGCCAAGAAAAAGAAAAAAATGGACTTCTGGTATGTCTTCAATATCAGTTGCCTCCAGGAATTTCCTGTACCATGCTCAAATTAGTTTTAATCCAATAGTATACTATTTTGACTGACCTTGTACATATTTCTGAAAAGAATAGTTAAGAGATGTTTTGCTAAGTAGATCATTTTCATGATAAAGATATTTAAAAAGAAGAAAATGCATGTTTTGGGTGCAACACTCAGATAACTAAAATTTTTAAAAATCAAGTTTTTTGGTACCCCTCTATGTGTCTACACAGATGCACAGCTAACGGTTCCTGCTGATTTTATAATTACTTTGGGTTATGTAATACATATTATTCTGCTGATCATAAGCCCTAAGAAGCAAAATTTTGCTGTATTGACATGGCCTGGCCAAAAACAACAAGGGAAAGAAATAGCATTCAAAAAACTGGCAAAATGTTTATGAATTCTAATCCTCTGCACATGAATAAATACATCTGACAAAGAGCAGAGGCCCTCAGAAAGGCCCCTCTTGACCTTTCTAATGGGAGTTCAATTGCATGTTCAGTGTTGAGAAACTAAAGCGGGTTCTGCCAATGTTTTAAGTTCAAGCTTTACTACATTTTGTTATTTGTAAAAGTGAAATCCCAGATAATGAGTTCTAATTGCTCTATTAATCACTGAATAAAGGGTTTGGAGGGAAACTGGGATTTGAAATCGCAATCTGAAAGACATCCTTTTGTATTTTTTTACCTACAGCTTACCATATAAAACTACTGTGAAAACTACATATATGCACTTTTTAAAAAATGGTGAAGTACATGTAATACGCCTTATATATTACTTTTCTAAAAGAATAAAATTTAAAACTTCAGTGTAGTCATAATGATCTTTGACCTGGAAAAAAATACAGAAAACCAGGCCTTGGATTATAAATTATATTGTCAATGAAAGTGAGAAGAACTCTCCATTCTTTAATGTGTTTTATGTATTATATTTTCATTTCCTTTTTCCAAATGAATTATAATGTACAACACATTTGTATTTTTCTTTAATTTTTCACTTTTAATAATCTTTCTTTTTCTTAACTTTGTTCTTCCATATACTGATAGACCTGACACAACAAAATTTACCTTTCAAAAATTCAATAATCCCATATTCATTGTTACCCTTAAAGTATCTGCTAGGAATTCTATATTCTTATTTATGTTCCCAAGAAAGTTTAATGCAAAAAATATAGAAAAGCATACATTATTTAAACCTCCCTTCCTTTAGTTTATATTGAAAAAATTTTAGGTTGTGCTTATGCAACTGAAGACCACCAACCAAAAGGGACAAGCTGGTATTTAGGGCATCATAATAACTAACTCAAATTTACCATAAGACATACATATTAATTAGTAAGTTCAATAGTCAATATAGCCAAAAATAATCATTTCAGTTAGCACTTACTGGAAATTTTAGCAATCTAAACACTCACATGGTCAGGTTTAATATTGTCCAGCAATACCTTTATTCCTTTCTCTTTCTCAAGCCTGGTCTTTCTAAACATATAGAGAAAAGGCACAGGTCTCACACTTTAAATCAGGTGACATCATTGTCATTCTTTCTGCGTTCTGGTCTCCAATTAAATTCCCTTTCCTTCTTAGGCCCAAGGCTTTGACTATCTTTTGCAATATGCAGTAGATTATTAATGTTCAAACTCTGACCAGTTGGTGATTTTCAAACAGATGCCTCCAAGGTAGCCAACAGTTGCAGTATTCACTCTCCTTTTTCTATCTTTTTGGAAGTCATTCATAAATTTAAAAGGGTGGTTTTAATATTTAATTCAGCATTTTGAGATTTTTTTTTATTATTATTTTTTTTGAGACGGAGTCTCGCCTCTGTCGCCCAGGCTGGAATGCAGTGGTGCCATCTCGGCTCACTGCAAGCTCCACCTCTCGGGTTCATGCCATTCTCCTGACTCAGGCTCCGGAGTAGCTGGGACTACAGGCGCCTGCCAACACGCCCCGCTAATTTTTTGTATTTTTAGTAGAGACAGGGTTTCACAGTGTTAGCCAGGATGGTCTTGATCTCATGACCTCGTGATCCACCCGCCTCGGCCTCCCAAAGTGCTGCGATTACAGGCGTGAGACACCGCGCCCGGCCAGCGAGATACTTTCATATAGGAATATTTAAGAATATGTAATCTCTCATATTGCCATCAATTTTTTTTTTTTTTTTTTTTTTTTGAGACGGAGTCTCGCTCTGTCGCCCAGGCTGGAGTGCAGTGGCGGGATCTCGGCTCATGCCATCAATTTTAAAGTCACTAATTGCTCTACAAAAGCAGTGTATTTCATCTCCACGAAAAGCACGTGTACTAAAATGGCCAGAGTTCTCCCAGTCAAAAGGTCATAGAATGGCAGCAAGGTACAAAACACACTTTGCTTTACAGTAAACACAGATAAATTAAGAAAAACATGTAACTCCACACAGTTGAATCTGTTCTGAAACATAATCATTTCTTAAAGAAAGAGATCATAGGGGAGATCACTCCATCCTCATTGGAAATGTTGGGTTAAGAGCAAAAGATTATGAGTATAGAGACATTTGAATGCATGTGTTCAAAGAAAGCCAGTAAAATCCCTGATTTCCTTCCACATAGGAAGAAAAGTAGTTGGCTTTTGCAATCAGGTAACATTTCTTTCTGGCTAGGTCAATTATCCATGGAGCTACAGATCCACAACCTATTCTGATTGTCTGCACATCTGGTGTAAGCCTTTATAATGCAAATATTAATATTATTATGCTTCTGTAACATATTTCTATAATTAAAATCAAATAAGTGATTTCAGAATACAGGTGACTATGCAAAAAATGTTATCTAGGGGACAAAGAAGCACCCCAACATCAACTTATAAAATAAAAATAGCATTTATTTCTTGCACTCCCTTACTGCCACAAAAAAACACTCAACATCCTGTTTGACATTATTGGTGTACAGGGATCACAGAAAGACACTAACATTTTAGAAAATTTTACACACGTTGAATTGTGCGTGATCTGAAACAGCAGCACTTTGTTGACACTAATCATTAGATAATTACATCCTTTGAGTTACTGTGCTGTCTAAAATTAACAAGACAGCCAGGCACGGTGGTTCAGGCCTGTAATTCCAGCACTTTGGGAGGCCGAGGCGGGCAGATCACGAGGTCAGGAGTTCGAGACCAGCCTAGCCAACATGGTGAAACCCCGTCTCTACTAAAAATACAAAAATTAGCTGGGCGTGATGGTGCACACCTGTAATCCCAGCTACTTGGGTGGCTGAGGCAGGGGAATCACTTCAACCCGGGTGGCGGAGGTTGCAGTGAGCCGAGATCGCGCCACTGCACTCCAGCCTGGGCGACAGAGCGAGACTCTATCTCAGAAAAAAAAAAAAAAAAAAAAAAAAATTAACAAGAGCAAAGTACTTGAGCAATGCTTAAGTTTTCTCTCTCATATTTTTTCTTCAAATTAACAACATACATTTTTACTTCAATATATATGAAAAATAATCATATGGAAACATTACAGGTTTGTAAAATAATGATGACAATAGTAACTATGTGTTCTATGTGCAGAAGAAAAGGTACATTTTGTTTTATAAAATACTACAGGCAAAGGCATGCATTACAGTTAAAAAAATGATATGAATGATAGATTTTTAAAAAGATTTTGTATATGTTTATCTAATAAGCAAAATCATATTGCAAATTCATAAAAGAAAGGCAAAATGCATATGATAGTCTTAACACTACTGTATAATCACTATAGAAAATAGATTAATGGATAATATTAATGAATACATAGAAACTTTGAAATATTTGCTGAATTGCAACTAATTGGTTGAAAATGTTGCCATGAGCTGGAAGTGAACCTCATAGCAATTGGATCTGAATTCTGCAGAGTAGTCAGAAAGTATGTTGCAATGTAGCCATGTGATGTGAAAGAAAATATAATGGTCTTTGGCCATTTAGATTCATGTTCATGTCTTGGATCTTATAATGCATTCTGACTGCATGACTTTGGATGGATTTCTCAACATTTTTGAGACTCATTCTCACCATCTGTAAGATGGAAATACCTACCTCTTAGCATAAAGAATTCTTAAATGGTGACAAAAATAGTTTACCAATTTTTAAAACAGTTTTTTTTTCCCAGAAATAACATAACCCTACAAGAAACCTCCAGACATTTTTTAAAGTTTTATTTCTTATTCAATGTTTCCGTACTCATTGGTTGGGTCAGTAGACAAAATGTTCTTATTTTTGAGCTCCATGGCTAACCTGATTGAAGGGAGTGAGTGCTATGTGGATTCTGTACCTGGGATAACATTGTAGTATACGAGAACATGTAAACTTATCTAAGGCTTACCTTCTTTCTTAATGGTAAGAGCAATGTTAAGCTTTCTGAGTATGCAGAATTTTTTTTTAGTTTAAAAATATGCATGCATACATCCCTGATTCTTTACCCCTGCCCCTTTGTACTTTTACTTTTTTACCTCATTTCCTAGAAGGGCATTTACACAGGCTTCTGATGCATCACAGATGGCTGTGAGATCATGTCCTCCTTCTAGAGCCAACACCACACGTCCATCAGCCAATGTCATCAATTGCTTCGTCAAATGACCAAAACCTACCATAATACAAACAGAACATTTCAAAGTATTAAATCAAGAGAAAGTGATCACTAGAATCTAACATTGAGCATGTATTTTGAGTAAGTCATTACTAAGCATTTTCTGTGTGCTAACTCATCCAATACTTAAAATAACTTTATGGATTAGGTCCTATTATTATCTCTATTTTACAGATAAGGGACCCAAAGCCCAAGATCCCACAGCTAAGAAGTATCACAACCAAGACTGGCACCAATCTAGCTCTTCACCAGTGCACAGGGCTGCTTTTCATAACATGGTCTGTATGTATCTGGATAAAAAAACTGAATACTCTTCAGCAGGTGTTAACAAGGTAAACTCTTCCATTTGCTTACCATATGCTTCCTGTCGCTATCAATGGCCTTTATTATAGAAAGTTTTCTATGCCCCAAATTGCTATATATTACAAATTTACATTATCTAATATAATATTTACATTATCTAATGTAATGTAAAATCTATTACATTAGATTTTATAAGCATTATTTTATTATGAAACATTTGATAAATGCAAAATATGAATAACATCTATACGAGTTATAAAATACAATAATATGACAAATATCTGCTTTTTTACCTTCCAACTTAAGGAAAATTAAGTTAGCAACACTTTTTCAACCCCCATGTGCCTTTCTCTGACAGTAGCTATCCTCCTCCTTGTGGGAGATCAGGATCCTGAGTTTATAATTCCATTGCTTTCCTTTTCTAAATTTCCTTGTTTTTCAACTTTATAAAAATGGTTTTACACTTTTGCAACTTGCTATTTTCATGTATTTTGTTAGCTCATCTTTGTTGATCCCTGTAGCTATAGTTTTTTTGCTGTCTAGTAGGCCATTATATGTCAACAGAGGTTACCCATTCTTCTATTGGCAGAGAGTTGGTTTTCTTGTTATCACCAAATTCCAGTTTTTTTGTCGTTACAAATAACGTCGCCATGAACATTCTTACACGGGTCTTCTGGTGCACATATGCACATGTGAAACAGAATTGTTGAGTCTTAAAAATCTGCTAAATAATGCCAGATTATTTCCAAAGGGCTATTACCAAGCCCCACCCTCAGAAACAGTATATGTAAGAATTCCAGTTAAGTCACATCCTTGCCAACATTTGGTATGGTTTGCCAAGTGGGTGGCAAAAAAATGGCATCTTATTGTGTTTTCATTCAGTGTAAGAGGGGAGTTTTCTATTTCTAATTTAACTTAGAGATTTCATTACAAATGTAATTTAATCTAATTATTTCTTTACACAGATAGACTTTTCCCCATAATTTCACAGTGCTGTTAGTTACATTAATTAATATTTCAAATATGAAGCCATCATTGCATTTAGGAAGTAAAATAAGCTTGGTCATAATGTATTATCTTTTTAGTACACACCTGGATTTGTTTTGCTAATGCTTTAAGATTTTTTTGAGTATGTTCATGAATGGGGTTAATCTGTACTTTTCCATTCCTGTATTGGCCATAATGAATTTTGATGTGGTTGGGACCCTCTGTTTTTATTATCTGATGCCAGAATGTTGGGGACAAATCTCGTATGAAACCATTAGGGTCTTGTGTTCACTTTGAAGAATATTTTTAGTATTGATTGAATTTTTAAAGGGATTATATCACTACACCTGCTTTCTATATCGTCCTAAGTTATATTTTTACAGGCGTTTCCTTCTTTTATTTCATTGTTTAAATTTGCTGAAATAAAATGTTTGTTTACTCTATTACATTATTTTGAAGTTCCACATAGATGTAGGTGGACATTGTCTGTAAATATTTCCTTGATCTAAGTTCTCTTTCATATTTTCCATCTCTCTCTGTCCTGCATTACGTATATTTTTGAATCAGAGCTGTCTTCCAGACTTTCCCTCTTCAGACATCTCTAATCTGCTACATCACATCTTTAGTGATATTTTCATTTCTGTGATTGTATTATTTAACTCTAGAATTCCAATTTTGTTCTATTTCGTGACTTATTGGTCATTATGATACTTTCTTAACTCCTTGTTTATGTTTTTATTTCTTCTTTTATTTCTTTCAGCATAATTATTTTATATTCTGTAACTGACATTTGAAATCTTTTGGTTTAGTTTGCTCTCTGTTGTTTCTGCTGATTCATGTTCATGCTGCCTTAATTATCCCCTTTTTAAAAACTTTTATTAATTTATTTAATTTGTGGAGTACTTTGAGCTTGTATTCATTGTAACTTTATATGTGAAAAATATTTGAAGCTTGGTGCAATGGACTGAATGTGACTACACCCCAAAATTTATATATGGAAATTCTAACCTCCAATGTGATGTTTTTGAGAGGCAGCCTTTGATAATTATGTAGAGTCTTCATGAATGAGATCAGTACCCTTACAAAAGGGACCCCAGAGAGAGTCCTCTAGCTCTCTTGTTGCCTTCTAAGGATCCAAGGAGAAGTTGGCACTCTTTAATCCAGATTAGGTAGAGTCCTCGTAAATTAGATTTGTACCCTTAACAAAAAGGACCCAGAGTCCTCTAGTTCTCTTGTTGCCTTCTAAGGGTCCAAGTCTTTACTTGGCAGTCTTTATTCCAGAAGGCCCTGACCAGAACCTGACCATGCTGGCAAGCTGATCTCAGACTTACAGTAACCAGAACTGTGAGAAATAAATTTCTGTTGTTTATAAGCTATCAGTCTATCGTATTTTGATACAGCAGCCTGAACTAAGACACTGGGGTTGAATATGGTATCTGTCATTCAAGTCTGGCTCAAGTGTGATATTGTTTGCTTTTGCTGGATATCTGGGACACTACCTTCTAGGACCTATTTTAAATTCTTATATGGCAAGACTGGTTGTGGAGTTTGCTGTTTTTGTTTGCACATGTATATTATAAATATGGACCTTAAAACTTTATTACAAATTCTCATGGAGAAGAAAGTCAGGACATCCTTTCTTTCTTTCTTTCTTTCTTTCTTTCTTTTTTTCCTTCCTTCCTTCCTTCCTTCTTTCTTTCTATCTTTCTTTCTTCTTTTTCTCTTTCTCTCTTACGTTCTTTCTCTCTCTTTCTCTGAAACTTTCTTTCGGAAATTCCCTTTATTGGTGGCAAAAGCTAAGATAGATATGATGTTTTATTTAGGAGTATTTTCTTTTCTCCTATTTATTCTCTTCCAAAGTGTTGGCCATTTGTCATTCTTTCTTTATTCTGGTCTCCAGTTAAATTCCCTCCCCTTCTTAGGCCCAAGCCTCTGACCCTCTTTTGCAATATGCAGTAGATTATTAATGTTCCAACTCCGACCGATTGGAGATTTTGGTATAGATGCCCCCAGGGTAGTCAACAACTTCAGGATTTACTCTCCTTTTTCTATCTTTTGGAAGTCAACCACAAATTTAAAAGGATGATTTTAATATTTAATTCAGCATTTTGAGATACTTTCACATAAAAGTGTTTAAGAATATGTAATGTCTCATATTGCCAAATTTGAATGTTTCTCATTCAACATTTAGAAAAAATTATCATGGCATCCGACCTGTCCAATTTCAGGGGCAATTGCCAAAAGGTACGGTAAATAAAAATAAATGAAAACACGTGTTTCAGTAGAACATTTCATTTTTTATATGCTTTGTGAACTTACAGCAAAAAATTTTAATTTTTAAATCAATTGAATTTTTCATAATTCATAGATTTTATTTTTTAGAGCAGTTTTGTATTTACAGAAAAACTGAGCAGGAAGTACAGCAAGTTCCATATCCAGTCTCTTTCTTTCCATATTAACATTTTGCATCATTTTGGTACATTTGTTATGATTGATAAGCCAGTACCGATGCATTATTATTAACTAAAGTATAGTTGAGGTTCACACTTTGTGTTGTACATTCTGTGGGTTTTGACAAATGCATAATGTCACGCATCCACCATTATACTATCAGACAGAATCAATGACTGCCCTGAAAATTTCCTGTGATTTACCTATTCATCCTCCCTCTCTGCCCCTCAACTCCTGGCAACCAATGATCTTTTAATTGTCATAGTCTTTAGTTTGAAAAGAAAATAAATTCTCAGGATGTATTCACTAGAATTTAATGAAAGCCTATAAAATCATCAGATAATGAGAGCCTGAAACTAAATTAGGTTGCTTCTATTTTGAACAATAAAATAATACATTAATCCCGGTAATGCATTAAAATAATCCACTTGGTAAACAACTGCCTAGATTTTCCCTTCTGGTCTAGCACTTGATGTTCACCATGAACAGGATGAGTGAATCTCCTCAATATCTTGAAGCACTTTAATGTTGATTTTAACCACTTAACTACTATTTGGATGGAAGTCAAATTAGTCACTTTACAATTATCACGTTTTAAAATTCTTGACAAAAATACATTTAAAAAGGATTTAAAAATTAGTTAAAAACTGTTATCAAGCATTTTAGTTTTTCTCAATTCCTATGGACCTCATTATGATGCCGATAAGAATCTTTTACCCAGGCCACTTAGGAATGAGGCTGTCCACACTAAACTACCTTATTACCGGGATGACAATAAAAAGAATGATAAACATTCAGAAAAGAAGTAACGCAAAATTTTGATCCCTAATGCTTAGAAATGTTCTTTCCCTGAGCCAAGATTAATAGCACATAGTAATTAGTACCATTCTAGAAAATTTATGTAAAAAACCTAATAGGTAAGGACACATTTCTGTTAATCATATTATTAAATATTCTAGACCGCTTTTTCTGTAACCTAAACCAGGGCTACAGTTATAATTTTAAAAGATATAATAAATCAAGCCAGAAATCTTACTAATAATTTCTAGTAACTGAGAATTCAATTATCTAAAGTCACTACTGAACAAACCAAATCACTGGATTAAAGAAAGAAAGAGACAGAGCGATCCAAATCTGGTTTAAGTTCACTCTTTCCTCTGGCAATGAAAAAAAGTCCCATAAAATGCCAAATTTAGATGGGATAGTAAAAAGTGGAAGGAAAGAGTGGAATGAAGTTAATCTTTGATCTCTATCCAAATTCCTCTTTCTTTTACCTACAGGGTTTATTTCCATTCACATGTTACCCATGTGATCTCTGCAGTCAGAGACTGAGGCAGCTGAACTCTAAGTTATGCATGCACAAAACATTCAAGTGATGTAAGGAAAGTTCTACAAGGCCCATGCCCTTTCTTCAAATCAAAATAAGCAATTCAGTATTTTTTTTTAATTTTATTATCCTGAATTCTGCTGTGTCCACTGTTACTGTACATATTAGAAACATTAAAAATGCCAGCCGAGTGTGGCTACCCAGGTGAAGGTATTATTTTTCAGGACATATTAAAGGTTTCAGTGGCATGTGTACGTGTGTGTGTGTGTGTTTGTGTGTATGTGTGTGTTAGATTAGAGCATATATAACAATTTTAGTAGGCATGATTGCAAGTTTCATGTAATCATATTTACTTCTAGCTTCATTAAAGACACAAAAGCTCATCCTACATTTGACAGTAAACTTAATAACACCTTCAGAGTTGAAAAATTTTAGCACAGACCTTCCTCAAGCGGGGTTGAGTGTTTTGAGTGTGAGGGCTGATGGGCTAAGTGATTAAGTGGAAAACGTGTTCCTATACCATGGTACCTTGTAGGCTCAAGCAATCACTGGACATAGAGATGGAACGGGGTTCTCAACAACCACATAGGGCATCAGTTTCCTAATTGAGTGCAGAGCTGAGGGAGGAGCTTGGATGCCTCGGAGCAGCCACATGTACAGGTTCATATTGGGATGCACTGACTAAAAATCAGCCTTGACAGACATCCCTATTACCTGTATTGACTACAAAAGAATCTGTATACTTTATAGGTGTTGGTTTCTGCTAAGAAATCATATTGTTTCAGATATTTTTTTTTTTGAGGCGGCGTCTTGCTGTGTCACCTGGGCTAGAGTGCAGTGGCGTGATCTCAGCTCACTGCAACCTCCACCTCCCGGGTTCAAGCAATTCTCCTGCCTCAGCCTCCCGAGTAGCTGGACTACAGGCGTGCACCACCACACCCAGCTAATTTTTGTATTTTTAGTAGAGACGCGGTTTCACCATGTTGGTTGGCCAGGATAGTCTCGATCTCTTGACCTCGTGATCCACCAGCCTTTGCCTCCCAAAGTGCTGGAATTACAGGCGTAAGCTACCATGCCCAGCCGTGTCAGATACTTTTTAAAAGAGATTTGGTAACTTAAGCTTTTATTTTAGGAAATATTTTAGAATGAGGCATTAATCAAACACCACATCTACTACTAAAGAATCCTACATGTAGCCTGGTTGTTTTAAAAATTGTCTATCAGCATTAAATTATAAGCATGAGAAGGATTCTACATTGTAACAAATCATTTCTTTTGATGACCAAGTGGAGCTGAACTGGTAATTACCATGACCTTGAAACCACTGAGAAAGAGAATTAGAAGGGCCTTTTCAGAATGAAATCCTCTGTTTGGTTCCATTAATTTAGTAGAAACAAATTTAATATTTTTGATTATAAAAATAGAATTAAATAAGCTATCAATATGGTAATGGTTTCAAATTATCAATTTCAATTTGATTTCCTGATACTTTATAGGGGTTGGTTTCTGCTAAGAAATCATATTGTGTCAGTATTTTCTCTAGTTTAGAAGTTGTTTGAAATGAAAAGTTGCTCTAAGAAGGCTCAAAGATTAAGCCTTATATACGTATTTAATAACCAAGTCAGATGACACAAAAGGATTCATCCTTCAAGGTGACATGTCTCAAATGCTTCTCTCTAACATTTCCAAATAGTTCCCAGAGAATAGTGGTAGTGAAAGGAAACAACCTTAACTAGCTTTATTTTAATTTTCATTAAAAAAAACTATATTAAAAAACCAAAATTATTGCATTCTCGTTGTAAGAAATTTGGAAGATGATAGAAAATAATAAATAAATAGTATAATAATAAACAGGCTCTATGTTGTGATATATCATATAAAGTGTTATCTTTTATTTGATAAATAAATAAAATAAATGATCATCATCAAATAATTATAAATAATAATAAATACATAGTTCCATCGACCAGAAATAGCCAATTCTACCTTTGTGTATTTCATGCTTCTTGTTGTATTTTCTAAATAAAACAAAATCATTCTGGTTTTTTAAAAATACATTTACAAATATCAAATAGTGGATACATTTTTCATGTTCTCTACAATATCATTTAAAATGTACCCATGCACCAAGCAATTCTGTTTTTAGATATTTAAGTGTGCTTTAGGTTTTTAGTTTAATATACAAGATAGCAAATAATAGCCTAGTGTATAATCAAAGTGACCAATGTATGTTAGTGTTTATCTTATTCTAGTGTTATTATGTATTATTAGGGTTGGAAGAAGCCTTGCTCTTTTTATTGCTAACTTATCTGTTTCACCAGAGCATGGGCTAGAACCTAAAGCACATAAAGCCAAAAGGAGAACAAAGTACAGTCAGAACTGTATAAACTTTTTTCTTTTAGAACCCATGTATATTTAGCAATGCCTATTTTGAATAACCTAATGTTTTGATAGAAGCTCAGAGAAATGAGAGATTCTCCCACAAAATCTGTTTCTATTACAAAATTGCAAATGGAATTGGAAGTCTCTATGGAGGCCAAAACTGAGTTAATGCTGTAGTAGGTTGAACAGGGAATTCTCTCCAACCTACAATTTAGTTACTATTGCTATCCTGCCTCCCTGTAGTAAAATAGAACAGACTCTAGAATCAGCAGCCAATTCTCAGAGAAAGATACCTCGATCATGATTCGTTTGGTTAATAAAGAAATGGTGACACATTGTGATCTATTGGATAAGTCATTTTACTTCTACTTAAACATTTGTTGACGTTGCTGATGCCAGTCTCCCATTCATGACAAGTCTCCCCCCAACTATTATTTTCTTTCTATTGAGGAAAGCCTCTAGTTAAAAAAAGAAACAACAAAAATGATTCTGGCAACCTCCATCCTCACTCTGCCATTCAGCAGCAGAGGCACTGGCATCAAGATAAGCAGGAGTGAAAGCTTTTGAAATACTCACTGACACCTATCTCATGATGATTTGTATTAATTTGTAACTCTTCTATGGCTAAAAAGTCTCACTACCAATTTACTCATTTATTAACATGTCAATTACATTTGGGCCTGAAATGTTTATGAAGACTTCACCACACATTTAATATAGTAGGGACCAAAGGAGTCACACATTGTTGCCCTATTTTCATTTGAAATTAAATTTTTCTCATCCATTGGACTACCTTCTGTAGTTATATCCAAAAAGTATTACTGAAGAATGCACATCCAGGGAAGTCTAATTATAAAAACTGTAGCCATTTTCCTCCCTCTCTAAACCCCCTGGTCATTAAGTTACCATGTTATTCTTTAGGAAAATGCAGTCAGGCTCAAGTAGAGAGAGAAATTCGGGTAGCATGTGGCAGTCTCATGTATTGTGAGGCTCTCCAGCAGGACTTCAAAGCAGAATCTGATTGTTGCAGATGGGAGGAATGCTTTCCACAGAAATACCTTTTTAAGACTCATGGTGCTGTAATTCATATGGTAGGCACTTGTGATTCATTCCTGATGATGTTGGGATCATTTAACTCACAGAACCATTGTCGCTACCATAAAGTCCTTTCATCTGTAGCCAAAAAGGTTTATTTCATGCAAATGAAAAATTTTCATTAAAGTATCACCTTAATAACGGGTAAAGATATATATTATCTGGTTATGTTTAAAATGTAAATTTATGAACATATTCTGAAGATTCATTTCATGTTAAGATTTTACTTATTTGATGTCCCAGGACTCTTTCCAAGTTCACTGAATCCGGAAATCAATTTTATAAGAAATATGGAGATTATTACCATTAAATCTTTCAATTGGCTTATTCCAAGCAGCCCTATAAATACTGCATATGTTTTAAAGAAAGCATTTTCAATCACAGTAAAAATCCTTTTACTCTTCTAGTCAGTGATGCTCCAGGAGGTAAGTTTATATTCTCAGCACCTTTTGAAAGCAAATGAATAAATTGTATCCTAAAAAAAGTCTGAAACAACAGAATACTTCAATGCCATTATTTTTTGTAAGACAAAATTGATCCTCAGAAATTCCTGAGAAAATAAATGGCAAGAATGATTGACTGGAACTTTAGTTATCCATCAATCCATCCATCCATCCATTCACCCATCCCTCCATCCATCTACGATCCAACTACAAATCAACTATTATTTACAAAATACCTACTCTGTGCCACAGTTTTATACATAATTCTGATACTTCTATTAGATATGAGTTATTATAAACTCTATTTGAACCTCAGTTATATTACCTATAAATAAAATTAAATACTACTTATTCTACATCACAGGTTTGAAATGAATATTTAATCATTAAAGGCCAACTGCAAAATGGATACACAGTTTATCAAACAGAGTCTGGCATATGGCAGATGCTCAGTATTTATACATTTTTTTGGAGATGAAGTCTCACTCTGTCATCCAGGCTGGAGTGTAGTGGCATCATCATAGCTCACTTAACCTAAAATTACAGGGCCCAAACAATCCTCCCACCTCAGTCTACTGACTAGCTTGGATTACATCCCACTACCACACCCTACTAATTTTTCAATTTTTTTTATAAGGACAGGGTCTTACTATGTTGCCCAGGCTGGTCTAGAACTCCTGGCCTGAAGCAATCCTCCTGCCTCGGCCTCCCAGAGTTCTGGGATTACAGGTGTGAGCCACCATGCTTGGCCAGTATTTATACTTTTAATGAAAGCTTTTCATTTAACAATTACAGATCTAGATATAATTGCAAGTTTACATACTCCAATTCTATCGTTTTAAGAAGTGGATGAGGAAACT
The DNA here is from genome assembly GCF_000001405.40 of Homo sapiens. NCBI lineage: Eukaryota > Metazoa > Chordata > Mammalia > Primates > Hominidae > Homo > Homo sapiens. The sequence continues at coordinate 18,925,957 of NC_000007.14, read as the reverse complement.
AAGGCCCATAGTGATACCAGAGAGCAATTTTTTGAGGAAAAGTAAAGAAGAGCAAGTAAAACATGAAAAATGTTATGCTCTTATGATATATCTGCTATAGAATATCTAGTATCCTTTTTGAACAATGTTTTTAAAAAAGACATTGTGGCCAATATAAGTAGAAAATCATGTTCAAAGATGGGGGTGAGGGTGAGGAGTGAGAGATGTGTGGGGAAGAAGTTCAAGTCCAAATAAATATAACACACCAAATGAAAAAGGCTCAAGTCTTTCTGGCCACAAACTCTTGCTTACATAGGTGTATGGAAAAAAAAAGATGTATTTAACTAAAAAAATTTAACTTATACAAAATTTCATTGATTTAGTTTTACACAGGGTAAAACTAAAACACCATGTATTCAAGAGGACTCAAAAAATAATTGTGGTAGATCCATTCAATTAAGAGATACCTACTAAGAAGCTACTATGTGACCAAGGAACTGTGCTGGCAATGAAGGCATAGTTATGAGCCAAGCAAAGGTGTTCATTACCCTTATATGGTGTATAAACTAATGTTAGTGAGACCTAATATAACCAGGCACCATGCTAAGTGCTGAAATGCATTATCTCATTTATTCACCACACAACTTCCCAAGTTATAAGAACATTAACTTGCCCAAGCAACAAAGGTCAATCAATGACAAAGTTGGGATAAGAGGTTGGGTCAGTTGACTTTAGTGCCTGTCATCCAAGCCACTCTTCTGTGGCTAAATCCAAGTAATATTGAAGTGCAAATTTAATGCATTAGTACTACAATCACAGTGCCAGTTGTGCCTGAAAAATAATCCTCAAACGTTAATGACTGTAACCCATTCTTCTTACTCAAGCTACAACTTACAGTAGTTAAAACTGATCCACTTCGATTTTTTTGCTATTTTTTCAGTTTGAAAAGGAAATATATCACCCCTTCAAAAAACTAATTCCTTTTCAAACTAACCCTTGCATCTAAGCTTGCATTTTAACTTTGAGCACAGCATTAATTCATGGCAGTACTCCCAAAATTCAACTCAGGTTATGATGGCCATGGCAACACTTATAATTGACCATTGCCAAAAAGCTTATGCACTGATTTGCCATAATCATCCTCACGGTTTCTGAATGCCTAGTTGCTTTTTATAAACTGATATTTTCAACTAGCATAGTACCTGACACACAATAAGTTATCTGGTCTTTAAAAAAACAAACAAACAACAACGAAAATATTACTATTGAATCTCAATGTGTATATTCTTCACAAACAGATGATCATTCATCTTTAAAGTGCTAGATAAGTATCAGCTAAATTACACAGATTTGTTAAATGGTAGAAAAACAAAACCGCTGCCTTCTAAGGAAAATGGGGACATGTCTCATTGCCAAAAACATTCCTTGGAATTGCATTTCCCAAATGACCAGGGTTTTTAATTTCAAGACCAAAATACCTGATTTTAAAAGATAAGTATCTACCCTCTGGGCAAAACTGATGACTTCTTATTTTTCCTGCCATAAGTCGAGGTTCAGGAACCCTCCGAATTGTAAGTTACAAGCAACCATTTAATTTAGATTAAATTAGACAGCAATTGTATGTTAACTAAATATGAAATGCCTCTAAATGTGTTTGTTAAAGATTAAGAATTCCATAGTATATAAGCTTCTATTATACATTTGTTATTGATGATTTTTAAAATAAATCACCATTTAATAGAAATACTTAAAGAATATTTGCAAAAGAAAGGATAACATTTAGCAAAATTCATAAGCATCTAATAAGCCCAATAGGATAGTTAGGATAGTTTTTTTTTTTTCCTTCCTTTTTTTTAAAACAGGCAATTCTCCAACATCAGGGCAGAAAATCCGCAGTACAAACATGGCCAAGATCCTACACCATTTTTACAAATGCCATGATTCAACCTGTCAATATGGATAAAATAAAGGCTTCTTTTCAAATACTTATCACAGTGGTTTTGTTCTGTTTTAAGTCTATTCCCACCTGCCATTAAAAAAATCATTAAAAGAAAATAAAGACTGCCTCCAATTTCCATGAAAGATTTCCATATAACTATCATTCTTTGGGGAATAACATTACATATTCCATAGCGTATTGGATCATTGTTTTTATCTTGCATGATTTTCCTACCTTTCCAAGTTGGAGGTGTGGGACATGAAAAGGGAGTCTTTCCTTTATTATGCCAGAGGTCTTTCATCTTAAGCCATGGTCTACTTGTGAGTGAAGCCCAATATCCAACTTATATAAAATGCTATAAAACCTTCATAATGGTAAAGATAGAGTATTTCGGGTAAGGCGGTGACATTTTAGGTCAAACACTTCAAGACACTTAAGGTATCTGAAAGAAGATGACAAGATTGTGGAATTGAATGATGAGAGAGTGAGGTAAGCAGAGGACAGATTCAGGGTGGGGAGATCAAAGATAAAGAGGAGTTGCCAGGACTTTGGGGAATAGCTGGGTATGTACCAGAATAAATAAAAAAGCACTATGCTAGCCATTCTAGAATCGTTCAAACTGAGAGGTCATGGACATCTTTCAACAAGGGTCTATAATGAGATTAGGCAACTACTTTTCAAACCAAAGAAGCTCGCAGATGCATTAGACTGGGAGTCAAGCTGGAATACACTAGGGATACGCAGCTGTTGAGTCTATTGCTCTAACCTTAGAGTGTGAGTTTAGATTTTTCAAAAATAGTTAAAATTTCAGAATCTGGATATTAACGGATAGATGTATAAGATAAAAAAAGTAGCACTTTATTAAAGTGGGACCATCAGCATTTCACTTATCCCAATCACAAGTATTATAGCTTCAGAAAATAATAGCAACTGGGTGTTCAAAATTACCTAATTAATAATAGGTGACAAAAGAAATTCATAGTGACTATTAAAGGAATAAAGCTTTTATCATTATCACCATGTGTCAAAAGAGTTGTGTAACTCATCCTAATAATTTCCAACTTCAAATTCATTGAAGAGACATTACTTCTCTTAGGAGACACCCAGGCGTTCTCTGCCAGCTGCTTAAACCCTCTCTAGACATTTGTCGATTTTTATTACCATAAAAATGTTAACTGCTTAGGAAAATTATCTAGTCTACCTTGGGAAGCATCAGCAACAGAGCCAGGGTGGCACCACTGATTCTGAATTTGGATAAAATTAATCAATAATTTCAAATGATATTAGTAACTAAATCTAACTCAGGTTCTATAGCCTACTGCATAATTGGACCTGCCAATTCCCATCTCTGGACTTTGCTTTGTTTCTCTAAGGGTCAAATATAAGTGTCAGACTAACTCATATTTCTTAAAGTGGAGTTTAACCTTTGGTTAATCAGAATCTCCTGGGTGTTTGTTAAAATGCAGATTTGTGAGCCTCATCCCAGACCAAGTTTGAATCCAAATCTCTGCATTTAAAGTAAGTTCCTCTACTGAGGTTTGAGTTTTTCCACTGAGGTCCTTCTACCTGCATTGAGGTTTGAAGGTCATCTGACTACAAAATCTTGAAGGCTTCCTTCTAGCTGTGTTATTTGAGTTGATCCTCTCACAACATTTTTTATTTTTTTGGGAAAAAGAAATTAGACTATCATTACATTATAAATAATAGGTTTAATTATATAGAAAACATATAGAATTTAAAAATAGGATAATTTAGCACAGTGTCTTGTTATAAAAGCAATTTATAATAATTAATGTTTTTTAATTATTATTATTATAGTTTAAGTTGTAGGGTACATGTGCACAACGTGCAGGTTTGTTACATATATATACATGTGCCATGTTGGTGTGCTGCACCCATTAACTCGTCATTTAGCATTAGGTATATCTCCTAATGCTATCCTTCCCCCCTCCCCCCACCCCACAACAGGCCCCAGTGTGTGATGTTCCCCTTCCTGTGTCCATGTGTTCTCATTATGCAGTTCCAACCTATGAGTGAGAATATGCGGTGTTTGGTTTTTTGTCCTTGTGAGAGTTTGCTGAGAATGATGGTTTCCAGCTTCATCCATGTCCCTACAAAGGACATGAACTCATCCTTTGTTATGGCTGCATAGTATTCCATAGTGCATATGTGCCACATTTTCTTAATCCAGTCTATCATTGTTGGACATTTGGGTTGGTTCCAAGTCTTTGCTATTGTGAATAGTGCCGCAATAAACATACGTGTACATGTGTCTTTATAGCAGCATGATTTATAGTCCTTTGGGTATATACCCAGTAATGGGATGGCTGGGTCAAATGGTATTTCTAGTTCTAGATCCCTAAGGAATTGCCACACTGACTTCCACAATGATTGAACTAGTTAACAGTCCCACCAACAGTGTAAAAGTGTTCCTATTTCTCCACATCCTCTCCAGCACCTGTTGTTTCCTGACTTTTTAATGATTGCCATTCTAACTGGTGTGAGATGGTATCTCATTGCGGTTTTGATTTGCATTTCTCTGATGGCCAGTGATGATGAGCATTTTTTCATGTGTGTTTTGGCTGCATAAATGTCTTCTTTTGAGAAGTGTCTGTTCATATCCTTCACCCACTTTTTGATGGGGTTGTTTTTTTCTTGTAAATTTGTTGAGTTCAGTGTAGATTCTGGATATTAGCCCTTTGTCAGATAAGCAGGTTGCAAAAATTTTCTCCCATTCTGTAGGTTGCCTGTTCACTCTGATGGTGGTTTCGTTTGCTGTGCAGAAGCTCTTTAGTCTAATTAGATCCCATTTGTCAATTTTGGCTTTTGTTGCCATTGCTTTGGTGTTTTAGACATGAAGTCCTTGCCCATGCCTATGTCCTGAATGGTATTGCCTAGGTTTTCTTCTACGGTTTTTATGGTTTTAGGTCTAACATGTAAGTCTTTAATCCATCTTGAATTGATTTTTGTATAAGGTGTAAGGAAGGGATCCAGTTTCAGCTTTCTACATATGGCTAGCCAGTTTTCCCAGCACCATTTATTAAATAGGGAATCCTTTCCCCATTGCTTGTTTTTGTCAGGTTTGTCAAAGATCAGATAGTTGTAGATATGCGGCATTATTTCTGAATCCTCAATAAAATACTGGCAAACCGAATCCAGCAACACATCAAAAAGCTTATCCACCATGATCAAGTGGGCTTCATCCCTGGTATACAAGGCTGGTTCAACATACGAAAATCAATAAATGTAATCCAGCATATAAACAGAACCAAAGACAAAAACCACATGATTATCTCAATAGATGCAGAAAAGGCCTTTGACAAAATTCAACAACGCTTCATGCTAAAAACGCTCAATAAATTAGGTATTGATGGGACATATCTCAAAATAATAAGAGCTATCTATGACAAACCCACAGCCAATATCTTACTGAATGGACAAAAACTGGAAGCATTCCCTTTGAAAACTGGCACAAGACAGGGATGCCCTCTCTCACCACTCCTACTCAACATAGTGTTGGAAGTTCTGGTCAGGGCAATCAGGCAGGAGAAGGAAATAAAGGGCATTCAATTAGGAAAAGAGGAAGTCAAATTGTCCCTGTTTGCAGATGACATGATTGTATATCTAGAAAACCCCATTGTCTCAGCCCAAAATCTCCTTAAGCTGATAAGCAACTTCAGCAAAGTCTCAGGATACAAAATCAATGTGTAAAAATCACAAGCATTCTTATACACCAACAACAGACAGAGAGCCAAATCATGAGTGAACTCCCATTCACAATTGCTTCAAAGAGAATAAAACACCTAGGAATCCAACTTACAAGGGATGTGAAGGACCTCTTCAAGGAGAACTACAAACCACTTTTCAAGGAAATAAAAGAGGATACAAACAAATGGAAGAACATTCCATGCTAATGGGCAGGAAGAATCAATCTTGTGAAAATGGCCATACTGCCCAAGGTAATTTATAGATTCAATGCCATCCCCATCAAGCTACCAATGACTTTCTTCACAGAATTGGAAAAAACCACGTTAAAGTTCATATGGAACCAAAAAAGAGCCCGCATTGCCAAGTCAATCCTAAGCCAAAAGAACAAAGCTGGAGGCATCATGCTACCTGACTTCAAACTATACTACAAGGCTACAGTAACTAAAACAGCATGGTACTGGTACCAAAACAGAGATATAGACCCATGGAACAGAAGAGAGCCTTTGACAACTTTTATTACTTTTTAGTAGTCAACAACTTAAGCATACCAAAACAAAAATAAAAGACAGTCAGATTTTGATTTGCTTATCAACAAGATAAATAATAGTATACATTGTTATTCCAGGTCTAGGACTTCCATGAAATTGTATAGGAGGTGGAATTTCATCCTGGTCTTTTGCTTCTCCCCTGCCTCCCACCTCCCTTTCAAGTGCTCTTTTCTTCTTCCCTTTAATCCCTGTGAAATCTTCTTTGAAACAATGAATTTACATCAATGGGTTGTTTTTATCAGGTGGCTGTAGATTTGGGAGACACATCCCAACATTTAAATACTAATACTTGCAAAACTCATAGAAAAGTGCCTAACATTGTAAGACTTATGTAACTGCTTGTTAATTCTAGAATGATACAACATTTTTTCTTCTCTAGGAAGATTGCTTAAGTGGACTTGTGTCCTGGCTCTCACAAAATATAGTCCTAAAGGAAACTATTTACTCACATTTAACACCAAACTGGTTACCATCATATTGGTTAGCTTTATGATGAAGTATAAACAGTTACATGCCAACATGAAGAAAACCTTCCAAAAATAGTAAATAAATAGTTTAGGTATCACGATAAGGGGCAACTCCTTGGAAATGATAATTTGCAAAATGATACATAAGCGCCCTTCTGACTTTGTGTTTCTGACAATTATAAATTTTCCTTGAAGTGCATTGGCTATTCTTTATAATTAGGCCTTTACATTAATTGTGGCTTATTACTGATTAACTCAAGTATTTATTGCAAAAAGTTTTCTATGTTGTAATTACCTCTTTATTACCAACGACTTAAAAGGGCAAAGACTTGATTTGCACAGGGGATCTGAAACATGTAATATTACTAAACAAAAGCAACTTGGGCTCTATTGAACCAACCAGAGAACTAAATATGAGAGGCCGTGATTCTCAACACAAAACAATTGTTCAGGCCCCTAGGATTAAAACTAAGTTTTTAAACAGGAGAACTCTCATTAATTCCACCGTAATCATTTAACTACAAGGAAAAGCAGGTTCTTTGGATACTTCATCATTTCAGCTAGTTGATTCAATAGAATAATTTCATGTTTTGTTTCTGGTGAAAACAATGGAGGTGGCACAATTTGTAGAGCTATGCGGTCAAACTGTGTTATGAATGCATTACCCAAGAGTATATTAATCTTTTAGTGGAGGAGAGACAGACAATAAGTGTGAAAAGGTAGTAAGACTGTGGTTATTTTGGTGGCTTAACTTAGGAGCAACTTTTAATGATCACCTGAAAAAAGTCTAAAATTCTTATGTCTATTCTTAACCTGAGTAATAAAAGCTATAAAAATCATATATTAAGTGTGCTATATAAAATATTTCTAGAATAATACTCTGTTATTAACAGTTTTATCTCTCTTGCTTTATGAAACACTCTTCTCACCTGGCCTAGTGCCATCACATTCTTGGATTTCCCCCTTTCCCCTCCATCCCCCCCATGTCAAGCTGCCAGCTCCTCTACCTCCTTCCACCTGAGAAACATGGGTACTCCTCAGAGACTGGCCTCAGCACTCCATTCTCCCTCTGCAAACATGGTTCATCAGTGAATGTTTTCATTGTCACAGTTATACCCATTATCACTGAACCAAAGACTGAAATCTCCTTTTCTTCCTGTTCGCCTTTTCTAGCCCTTATCTCCAATCAGAAATGGCCAGAAATGCATTTCTTTGCACATCGACTTGATTTTAATTGAATGTGTTTAAATATTATCCATTATCCGTCATCCTCGGTTTCTCCTCCTGATGTCACTACTTTGGCCAATAGGTAATCAAGATTGTGAAACCTTAATGTCTGTCAACGCTAATGACACACTATCTCAAACTACCCAATGACAAATGAGCTTAAACTGCTCAGTTTGGTAATCAGGGCCCCAATATGCCGTTATTGTCAAAATGACTGCACTGAATAGGCTTTCCATTGCATGTATTAGATAAGAGCATAGATTTGGGGGCCTGAATTTCATCTCTCTCACGGTCATCAGTGTCATCTCAGACATATTTTTAATTTCCCTGAGTCTCCCTTTCTTCTTCAATAAATCGGGGATAGTAACACCCAAAGTTAAGGTGAATACATGAAAAAAATGTACTTATTTACTTTGTCCAATGAAAGGACACAGTAAAAGCAGCAAATGGTTGCTGGAGAACAAATGTGATCTCTTCACTCGTGTCCTTCTTTCCATCTGCTTTTCCTCCTCCTCTCATCTATGTCTAACTTACCACTCAAGAGGAACTCTGCTGCCCCCACCACAACGTTCAGACAAGTGGCTCTGATCACTAGACATTTTGCTTGCAGAATTTGCTCAATCAGATACTGTCTTTTTTCATATATACGTGTCTTTTCTATTTTCAATTTATTTGTGAGATTTTGAAAGAGTAGTTCAACATCCTAATTCTTGGCACATCAACCAATAAATAAACACAGTAGTATTTACTGAAAAAAAAATCCCAGTTTTTTTTCAAATTCATATCCAGAGGTCCAGAGGGATGCTTCAATTGTGCAGTGCCCATGCTTGATCCTGAGTTCTCCCTCATGACTGACTGCAAAAACCATGACAGTGTCTGAGCGGAGAGATCAGTGCTTGGACCTTCTCCTTGCTCTTTCCTAAGTAACATAAGATGATTTCATATTTGCGAGCTTTGAAAGCATTTCAGCTCATGTTTACTATTTTCTGTCTACCACAAATATTCACAGAACTTCTAAGAGCATATTGAAACTGAAGTGTATCATCTCTGATTGGGCACAATATACTCTCAGAATGTATTCTAACATCAATAAAATGTGGACTCTTCCCCAGCAATACTCAGGAAAGCCTCTTAGGTTCCGGAAATAAACATTCTGGGATGCTCTGCAGGCCAGATGTGCAGACTGTTGAGATGGCATTGTGGGAGAGAAAAGAAAGAACCCAAGCCCATTAAACTTAGGATATTCCCAGAGTGGCTTTACTTTTCTCTGCTTTTCTTTGCGAAGACATGGCCAGCAAGTCCTTTACTCCTGTTTTCTATGTATGTACACTTTTTGGTTGTTTGTGAATATTGATTAAATAAGGAAGGCAGAGGTGTTTGGGAGTAATGGCTCTGATAGGCGGGTAGAATGCTGCACTTAAATCCAAAGCATTTGTGTGCCCGTTTCTCTCTGAAGCTCAATAGCTTCTATATCTATCTCATTAGCCACATAATAGAATTCATCAACATTTTACACCACTTTATGTGCCTGTTTCTCTCTGAAGCCCAGTAGCTTCTACCTGAAGTTTCAATAGTTTCTCTCTGAAGCCCAATAGCTTCTATCTCTATCTCATTAGCCACATAACAGAATTCATCAAAATTTTACACCACTTTACTAACTGTATTATTTTGAGCAAAACACTTTGCCACCCTGAGACACAGTGTCCTCACTTTCTCATTTGTAAAACTAAGAAATTATTGCAGATGATATCAAAGTCCCCTTGCATTTATGATTCTACATTAGTCAAAGATTCATCTCTACCACCACATCACAGAGCTCTGTGGGTCAAACTCTAATTACTCTCTTCAATGCTCCAAGAAATGGCTGCCAAATTTCTGGCTAGTGACTGACATTTCATATTCACGCTAGTACACTTTCAAACACAAACCATCCCTGAGCCTTTCTTTGTTCTTTGGAGATGTCTGCTTCCGTCATCCCAAGAAAATGCAAGAACAGCCAAATGCAGGTGTTTGGGTATGGCCTAACGACTAAGGTTCTTTGTCTTTTTCTGTTTTTTTTTTTTTTTTCCAGCGGGGGGTGAGAGGAGGGTCTGTTTTAAAGTACAGAAAAAGTCACAAAGGCTGATGCGAAGCCTTAACATCTACTCTCGTTTCCTGAAATTCCCTCTGAAGTCTACGGGAACTCTGCACTCTAAGGGCCCAGTCCCATAATTGGTAAATGAGAAAATATCCAAAGGAACACAATTTTAAAGTTAACAAAAAAACCATAAATAGAGAAAAAGTGATTTTGTTGTTGTTGTTGTTGTTGTTAGGGAAAAAATTGGAGTTAAAATGGCATATTTATTTCGTTTTAATTTCTGGGCTGTCAGACATCAGCTCTGAAGCCCTGATTCAGAACACATGCGGGGTCGCTTTGAAGTTCCGACTGCTTTTTTTTTTTTTAACAATGGCAGAAAGATATAAAGAAATTAAGCTGCAACATAATCATAAAACAAAACTTCTGGACTCCTGATTTGCAAACTGTCATTCTTTCATTTGTTCAATGCTTCATTTTCAAAGCTTCATTGTGGCACATAATTTTTTGTAATTTTTTCCTTTAAGCTCGACCTTAGCTATTCTTTTCCTCTCCAAAGTGAGGCATTCTACTTTTATTTTATTCAACTTAAAAAAAAAATAGTTTGTTGCGGTTTTCTGAAAACAAGAAAGGAACAGGAAAATCCAGAGCAATATAGTAAATGGAATCTTTTTGATAAAAGCCATAGCAATATAGGGTTTAGCTCTTAAAGTAACCAGTTCTCTTGGCATAAAGACAAAAATGTACCTTAAATTTTCAGGCAATCTAAAGAAAATGTCTACTTGGTTTTCATGCTCTACTTATAAAATATCCTTACAGAAGATTTTAGGATCCTTAATAAAAACTGTGCATTTCAAATATGGCCTGACAGATGCCACATTTGAAAACACACATCCCCTACACATACAGACACATGCACAAATGCGTACAAATTGATTTATTGTTGTCAGTCAGTGGTCATATATCTTTATTTGAACAAGATACACAAGATTTTGTAATCCAACCATCCCTTTTAAATCTTAAGCCCACAAACAAGCTACAAGTTTCTTAGTCCCCAAAATCATGTTTCTCATTCTGCTTTTTTCCTATAATCTCTTCTTGGTTGTATTATGTAAAGTATTCCAATATTTATACTCTTTCCAAATACTGCTATACCAATTCTATAGTGTAACTTCTATTCCAGAGGTTTTTTCTGCTATATCTTTAACGGTCAAAATTTCAAAAAATATGTTTCTCTCCCAGCGTAATGACCTTTAATACACTTACAGTGACTACTAGTCATCTTTTACATCAAGTTCCAACTCAATACATCAAAGTTAAGTGGGAAATTGAAATGACTATCCCATCAATGGTGTGCTAAAGCCAGCTCATACTGACTTGCAAGAACTGACAGCTAAATCTTCAGAAATTTGTGAGCCTGGTTTAAACACCATTATAAATGTTAAATTATATAAACTTACAACTTAAAAATTATATTAGAAACAAAGGCATTATGTACCCCAAATTCATTATTTCTGAATTATTTTACTATATTTGCTATTATTTGTGCTATGGGGGTTACTTATGTCTATTGTACAGATAGAGTTGAAATACTGGACTATGGATTGCTGTTGCATGTCTTGTCTCAGCTGTGCTAGTTACTTCCACATTGAAAACCTGAAACGAATGAATAGCCGGGTGGAATGCCTTCGTCTGTCTGGGCTGCTGTAACAAAATACCATAAACTGGGTAGCTTACAAACAACAAAGACGTATTTCTCATATTTCTGGAGGGTGGGAAGTTCAAGATCAAGCAGAAGAAAATCAGATTGATAGGAGATTCAGTACTGGGTGAAGGCCCACTTTCTGGTGCATAGACAGCACCTTGTCACCACGTCCTCACATGGTGTGAGAGGCAAGACAGCTCTCGATGGCCTCTTAATTGAGGGCACTAATCCCATTTATTTAGGGCTCTGCCACCCTCATGACCTAATTAGCTCTCAAAAGCCCTACCTCCTAACATTATAACATTGGTGATAAGGTTTTAACATATCAATTTTGAGAGGACACAAACATTCAGACCATAGTAGTGTGGATATTTTCCTTGGTTTTGTTTTTTTGTTTTTGTTTTTTAAGAGCTACTTTTTAAATATTTACCTGCAAATTACTAATTGTCTTCTGTACCAGAATTATTGAAAGAGCTAATTTACAATTTACAATGAGTACTTATATTGAATCGTGGATGCTTCATCCTTAACTTCCAACTGTTTTTTAATCCATTCACTGCTAGTCAATATATTATCTTTTTAAATTCTTATCTTCTAGGGTTTTAACTTCTCTTCTGCCTAGAATGAAACTGCATTTTCACATCTACTGAACCACCTCTCAAAGCTTTAATGAAAACTTACATATGCTGTGATGTCAATATTAATTAGGAAGGCTGCTATAAGCGTCCTCTTATTTTCTGGCACAGGGTCAGGCACATGGAGTCCAAAGGAAACAGAAAGAAAATTACGCATATTATTTGTTTAAAGGTGGGTGGAACAAATTGTGTATTGCTATGTCATTACCTTAGAATTTTGGACTGTAAATGTCTAGAAGGGAGGTACCACGTATGTCAAGTAGCCTGATTCCTTAAGTATTAAATAATCATCAGATAGATTGCCAAACATCCTCCCATTCTATTTTGACAACAGCCTACATCTATAAATGAAAAACATTTGTGCATCAAGTAGTTTAAATTCTATTATTCTGACTTGAGTGACTGTCTTGAATACAAACAGATTTTAGACATGGCGAATTAAGATATTTTTATCCAGAAGGGATGTGGAAGATATTTGGATAAGAACTGGAGAAAGTTCAACCGTGGAAATTAGCCACGTGTTGAAAAGTTTGCATTATTTATATATACTTATACAGCCTTTGTTCTAGTACTCAAAAATGCTAGAGTCCTCTCTGACACAAAAGAGAAATAGAAAGTTTTTAAGCAGAGAAAATATCCATTTGTATGTGCTACAACTAAATAGCAACGTTTTCACTGAAAACTCTTTAGTTTTCTAATAGTTAAGATCAGTATTATTTACAGTGCAGTGAATTACTAAACACATTATTTAAGCTCTAGCAGAACATACATTTCAAGGTGCATGAGCATATTCTTGGTGAAATTATAATACCTACCTCTCAAACCTTCTGTAAGTTTAACACAAATCTGTCTTACCCAAACTTCTGAGTAATAGGGGATTACTCTAATTTTTTGTTAGAATCCTTGCGATTTATGCAATTTACAGTTGTCTCATTTTTGTTTTTTAAAATTAAAATCTGACCAATATTTCTTAATGTCCATACTATTGAGATTTCAGAGCAGACGATGCTTTGATATAGAGAACCGTCCAGTGCACTGTAGAATGTTCAGCAATATCCTTGGGCACTACCCACTGGATGCTAGTGGGACCTTCAAGTTGTGGCAACCACAATGTCTCTAGATACTGCCAAATAATCCCCAGGAAAGCAAAATCACCTCCATTTGAGAGCAACTAAATTAGGCTAATTTTCAGAGAAAGTGGTAATTCAATGCATAACATATTTTCAAATGTTTCTTATTTATTGATAAAGAAAACAAATTTAATATTAATACTTATACCCACTTATTGGATACTTTTATAGTTTTCTACAGTTTTAAAATATTATCTCATTTTATTCTGATAAAAACTTAGGGGTAAAGGTTTTTATGTTCATTTTCACAGCTGAGAAAAGTGAACATAAGAGAGGAAATAACTCCCTAAAGCTCGCTCATCTATAGTGCTGGTCATTACATATTGATAATAAGATGAATTGAGCAAGAGTATTTAACAATTGTAAATACCCAACACTGGAGCACCCAGATACGTAAAGCAAATATTATTCTATGTAAAGAGAGAGAGATATCCCAATATGAAAATAGTTAGGGACTTCAATACCCCACTCTTAGCATTGAACGGATTATCTAGATAGAAAATCCACACAGAAACTTTGGATTTAATCTACACTAGACCTAGCAGACGTTTAAAGAATATTTTATCTGACAACTGCAGAATACACATTCTTCTCATTAGTACATGGAACATTCTCTGGAATAGATCATATAGTAGGCTACAAAACAAGCCTCAAAAGATTTTTAAAAATTGAAATCATATCAGATATCTTTTCTGACCACAATGGAATAAAATTAGAAATCAATAACAAGAGGAATTTTGGAAACTGTACAAATACATGGATATTAAACAACATGCTCCTGAATAACCAATGGGTCAATGAAGAATTTAAAAAGGAAATTTAAAAAATTCTTGGAACAAATGAAAATAGAAAAACAACTCACCAAAACCCATGGGATACAGCAAAAACAGTACTAAGAGGGCAGTTTATAGCAATAAACAATAGATTTCAAATAAACAACCTAACAATGCATCTAAAAAAAAACTAGAATAGCAAGAAAAACCAAACCCCAAATTAGTAAAGGTAAAGAAATAATGTTTCAGAGAAGAAATGAACAAAATAGAGACCAAAAAATACAAAAGATGAACAAAATGAAAAGTTTTTAAAAATAAAAGATAAACAAAATTGACAATTAGCTAGACTAAGAAAAGGAGACGAGATCCAAATAAACAAAATCAGAAATGAAGAAGACATTACAACTGACACCGACTATACAACTACATGACAAGACATTACAACTGACACCAACTATACAACTATACAACAACAAGACATTACAACTGACACCAACTGTACAACTATGCAACAACTATAAAACGGACACAAGTATAAACCAACAAATTAGAAAACCTAGAGGAAATAGATACATTTCTGGATACATACAACCTACCATGATTAAACCAGAAAAAAAAAAAAAAGCCTGAACAGACCAATAACAAATAACAAGATAGAATCAGTAATAAAAAGTCTCCCAACAAAGAGAAACCAAGAACTGGAGGTCTTCAAAGCTGAATTCTAACAAATACTGGAAGAATAAATAACACCAAGTCTTCTCAAACTATTCCAAGATATTAAAGGGGAGAAAATTCTTCCAAACTCATTCTATGAGGCCAATATTACCCTGATAATAAAACCAAATAAGGACAAAACAAAATAAGAAAACTATAGGCTCATACCCCCAATGAATATAGATGCAAAAAAATCCTCAACAAAGTACTAGCAAAATGAATACAAAAGCATATTAAAAAGATTATACACCATGATCAAGTGATCATGGATGCAAGGATGGTTCAACTTAGACAAAACAATAATCAAGGTACATCACGTCAACAGAATAAAAGATGAAAGCCATACGATCATCACAATAGACACAGAAAGAGCATTTGAACCCGCAGCCAACTGTGATGAATACTATACTGAATGCTGAAAGCTTTTTCTGTAAGAACTGGAATGATACAAGGATGCTAACTTTCACCATTCTTATTCAACCTAGTACTAGAAGTCCGAGTCAGAGCAATTAGGCAAGAGAAA
The DNA here is from genome assembly GCF_000001405.40 of Homo sapiens. Taxonomy (NCBI): domain Eukaryota; kingdom Metazoa; phylum Chordata; class Mammalia; order Primates; family Hominidae; genus Homo; species Homo sapiens. Next base: position 18,910,535 of record NC_000007.14, on the reverse strand, counting down.
AACATAAAAGGCATTCACATGGGAAAGGAGAAAGTCAAACTCCCTGCTTGCAGATAATATAATCACATATAAAGACCTAAAGAATCCATCAAAGAATTCCTTGAATTGACAAATTCAGTAAAGTTACAAGATACAAAATCAACCTACAAAAAATCAGTAATCTTTCTGTATACCAATAGTGAGCTACCTGAAAAAGAAATCAAGAAAGCAATCCAATGGGCAATAGCTTCAAAAATATATGAGAAAATATTTAACCAAGGAGGTCAAAGATTTCTATGATGAAAACTGTAAAACACTGATGAAATAAATTGAAGAAGACACAGAAAGTAAAAAACATCCCATGTTTATGAATTGGATGAATTAATATTGTTAAAATAGCCTTGTTACCCAAAGCAATCTACAGATTAAATGCAATCCCTATCAAGTTAATGTAAAGATGTAAAGAGAGAGATTGATCCCAATACAACAATAGTTGGGGACTTCAACACCCCACTCTCTCAGCATTGGACAGATCATCTAGGTAGAAATATCATTCTCTGCACAAATAAAAAAAATCCTAAAATTTGTATGAAACCACAAAAGACCCCAAATAGCCAAAGAGTCCTGAGCAAAAAACCCCACAAAAAAAACGAAAGCTAAAAGCATCAAACTACCTGACCTCAAAATATACTACAAGCCTATAATAACCAACATATCTTGGCAGTGGCATAAAAACAGACACATAGATCAGTGGAATAGAAGAGAGGACCCAGAATAAGCCCACATATATAGAGTCAACTGATTTCTGACAAAAGTAGCAAGAACATACGTTGGGGAAGGGACAGTCTCCGCATCATGCAATATATCCATGCAATGAACCTGCACATAGTATGTAATGAATCTAAAATTTAAAAAATAGATAAATAGTGCTGGGAAAACTGAATATCCATATGAAGAACAATGAAACTAGACTCCCATCTCTCACCATATACAAAATTCAACTTAAAATGGATTAATTACTTAAATGGAACACCCACAACTACGAAACTACTAAAAGAAAACATAGGGGAAATGCTTTGGGACATTCAGCTGGGCAAGAACTTTATGGATAAGGCTTCAAACACCAGGCAACAAAAGCAAAAATAAAACAATGAAATAATATCATACTAGAAAGCTGCAGAGCAAAGAAAACAATCAACAAAGTGAAAAGACAACTTGTAGAATGGAAGACAATGTTTGTAAACTATTAATTAATTAATTTCCAGAATATATATACAAGGAACCCAAACAACTCATCAGCAAAATAAAACCAAATAATCTGATTTAAAAATGGACAATTGATCAGAATAATCATTTCTTAAAAGAAGACATACGAATGGCTAACAGGCATATGAAAATATTCTCAACCTCCCTAATCATCAGGAAAATGCAAGTCAAATCCACAATGAGATCTTGCTTCACCCCGGTTAGAATGGCTATTATGAAAAAGACAAACAATAACTAGTGCTGGTGAGGATGTAGAGAAAAATGAACTCTTATACACTGTTCATGGGAATATAAATTAGTACAGCCAGTATGGAGGGTCCTCAAAAAGCCAAAAATAGAATGACTGTATGCTCCAGCCATCTCACAACTGTGTGTATATCCAAAGGAAGGAAATCAATGTGTTGAGGGAATATCTGCACTTTTGTATTTATTGCAGTACTATTCACAATAGCCAAGATATGGAATCAACCTATGTGTCCATTAATGGATGAATGGATAGAGAAAATGTGGTATAAATAGACAATGGAATCTTATACAACCATTAAAACAGAATGAAAGAATGAAATTTTTTTTTGTCATTTGTGGCTCTAGATGAGCCAAGAGAACATTATGTTAAGTAAAATAATGCAGGCACAAAAAAAATAAATACCGCACAATCTCACTTACATGTGGAAGCCAAAAGAGTTGATGTCATGGAAGTAGAGAGTAGAATAGTGTTTACCAGAAGTTGGGAAGTGAGTGGAGAGAGGGAGAAATAGGAAAAGGTTGGTTAATAGATACAAAATTACAGGTAGATAGGAGGAATACCTTCTAGCGTTTTACAACACTGTAGAGTGACTACAGTTAACAACAATTTATTCTGTTTTCCAATAGCTAGAAGAAGGGATTTTGAATGTTCCCATCACAAAGAAATGATAAGCGCTTGAGGTGATGGATATGTTAATTTAATAATCACACATTGATTTAATCATTACACACTGTAGAGATGTATCAAAATATTACTCTGTACCATATAACCATGTACAATTATGTGTCAATTAAAATTTTTTTTAAAGAGTACAAAGAATAAAAAAATTAAGCTCTGAATACATAAAGGCACTATAATTGATGTGGCTGGGAGCTTCTATATTATGCTTATTTCTAGAATATTAATGTTTTTAAAGAATATGCATAATTTGAGACATTTCATGTCTCAAATTAACTAACTATTCCATGTGACATTTAAAAATGGTCCATATAAAGTGTTTTTCTACTATATTGTAAGAGGCAGTATAATAAATGATGCCTTTTCCTTTAGAATAAAACATTCTATCCTGGAAAAATCACTGTAAAAATGGCTAAATACATGATATATACATAGTATGTGTACAGAATAAAATACATTATGATGATACCAGAGGTATAAATTTAATCAGATCCAATTCTAGGGGAGTGGCTCCGTTTCAAACTTCTGCATATGGATAATGCTACAAATGACCAGACATTCTAAGAATTACTCTCAAGATGTCACTACCCTAACAAAAGTAAAGTAAACTGTAAGAATGGCTCATGCTCTCTCAAGTTTGCCCTTTGGTGAGTTTTGTTTTCTTTCCAGAATTATCTGATTGTGCATTATTGGTGGTATGATACAGAGGATTATAGGTCCACCTTTGCCCAAGGAATTATCTAGCTATAGCTCCAAAGCCCTGTGGCCCTTCCCAGAAAGCCTGTGGTCCTTCCTTTGACCTTTTGGCAAATTTTGCTTGTCAAATAATATGACATCACAAAATCTGCAGGGAATTCTTACACTAGCAATAAGGCTCAACTAGGAATAAAGCTAGGTGATATAATCTTGACATGCATCATAGCATCTTATAATGTGCCCCTCTTTAAAAAGTCATTGTAAACAAAACTTCATCACTCGTGAATTAAGTAATTTAGAATTCCCATTCTAGCTCATCTAGTGACAAATGTGTTTAACAGTTGTTCTGGGCATTGTTCTATTTCACTTGGGAAATATTTTTCAAATCACAGAATTCCATTGATTTATGTGAGACTCTCCCTTCTCTTCTACATTGAGCTAAATTGTTTTCCATTCAAACAGAATTATAAAGAAAAAATACACCTTTCCATGCTCTGCATGGGACAACATCCTGCAGGATTGACTCCTACCCTCGAGATCATTTGGGTTTAATTGCAGGTGGTTTCCATAGTGCCTCCTTGTGGTTTCTATGCTTTTGGATGCACTTGCAGCTGGTTTCTTCTTTTCTTGTGAGGGTGCTCCCGATGTGAAAAGAGAGATCTTCCTTCCATCTTGTGTTTTCTCTTTCCCCAAGTATACTTCCAAACTGTTGTACCTCCAGCACAGGAGTTTCTGGAGAATCACAGGTTTAAATCAGGGCTTTCCAGGGCTTAAAAACCTTATGAAAAGTGCAGTGTACTCATGGCCATATCAGCTGTTATCACATTCCTTTTGTCAGTGGTCCTCGAAATTGATTGTGTGTGTATTGAATAAAGAACAGGTGGATTGTAATCTCTAGCTGTTAAGACAAGGAATCTGCATTTTAAACAAGACTGCTCAGGTTAGTTGAATCTATTTGTAGGAGGCCGTCAAACAAGGTCTTCAGAGTCACTGCTGTATATTTTCTGGAGCTGTGAAGGAGCAAATAAACTGGGCTTCCTTTGCCACTGTTGCATCCTGTAATCTCTTTACCATCATTTTCCCCACCATAGATCCTCTACAAACTCTATTTCATGCATTTGTAGCAGGGCAGAAAACTATATTATCTTAACAACTCAAAATGTTTCTTGGCAGAGGAACTATCTGTACTTAGAAAAAGACATTTATATCTGTATTTAGAAAAAGACATTTGGCAACATGGCTCACGTCTGTAATCCCAGCACTTTGGGAGGCCGAGGCAGGTGGATCACCTGAGGTAAGGAGTTTAAGACCAGCTTGCCCAACATGGTGAAACCCTGTCTCTACTAAAAATACAAAAATTAGCCAGGCATGGTGGCAAGTGCCTGTAATCCCAGCTACTTGGGAGGCTAAGGCAGGAGAATCACTTGAGCCTGGGAGGCGTCTAGGTTACAGTGAGTTGAGATTGTGCCACTACACTCCAGCCTGCCTGGGAGATAGAGTGAGACTCCATCTCAAGAAAAAAAATAACGTTAAAAAAAAAAGGAAAAAGACATTTGAAAGTGAAGAATTAGAAGCAGAGGTTATGGGTCAATGAGACAAAGCAAAAGGAGAGAAAAGAAAGGATAGAAAAGAGAGAGAGAAAGAAAGCAAAAAGAAAGAAAAAATAAAGAGAGAGAGAGAAGGAAGGAAGGAGAGAAGGAAGGAAGGAAGGAATGAAGGAAAGAAAGAGGAGAAAGAAAAGAAAGATGAGAAAGAAAAGAAAGAAAAGAAGGAAAAGAAAGGAAAGAAGGAAAAGAAAGGAAAGAAAGAAAGAAAGAAACTATTCAGCATTAGAAATAACTATAAAACTTGATGAGGGAGAAGGAAGAAGGAGTGCGAGTGCTAAGTAATATGTTAAGAGGTTGTAGTTTAAAATGCACAGATGGCTGAAATACTTCTAGAAATTGGAATGTTACATTTCTGTCTCATCTGCAATGGAAATCCCTTCCATTTCCCTGCATACAATAAATGCTTTCATACACAAAAACTTGCAGGTTTGTTTCTTCATGAAAACATTTTAAAAGGGTTTAATTTTACATTAGCATTGATATTATGCAATGTAAAAATGGCACTGTTGAGCTGTGGCAATAATCTTTAACATAAAGTTATTAAGAGGAAGCAGGCACACAGAGCTACAACATTCAAGAAACTATAAGTATCACACTATCCTCACCACCTCACTTGTACAATCTTAAGTAGAAAAATGGACTTTCAAAAATCTACGTGAAGAAGCTTTGAATTTAGCTTATCTAGCTTCTGAGGGACAACATTGTCTTAATGAACATCTACTCTGTATAAAATGCCTTATTAAACCTTCAAGTGCCTGCAGGCTGGTAAGAGATATATGGCAAGGCCACAGCTTACAACAGCAAAAAAAGAAGTGAGCAACAAGAGGGATTCTGACAGTGTCATGAGTGGTTAACAAGAAATGGGGAGGCTGGGCCGGGCGCAGTGGCTCACGCCTGTAATCCCAGCACTTTGGGAGGCCAAGGCGGGTGGATCACTTGAGGCGAAGAGTTTGAGACCAACCTGGCCAACATGGTCAGGTTGCTAAAAAACCAAAAATTAGCCTGGCATGGTGGCTCATGACCGTAGGCCCAGCTACTCAGGAGGCTAAAGCAGTAGAATCCCTTGAACCCTGGAGGCGGATGTTGTAGTGAGTGGACATCCCGCCACTGAACTCCAGCCTGGGCAATAGACCAAGACTTTGAGAAAAAACAAAACAAAACAAACTAGTTAAAAAAAAGAAAAGAAGTGGCCGGGCACGGCGGCTCATGCCTGTAATCCCAGCACTTTGGGAGGCCGAGGCGGGCGGATCACGAGGTCAGGAGATCGAGACCATCCTGGCTAACATGGTGAAACCTCGTCTCTACTAAAAATACAAAAAATTAGCCGGGCGTGGTGGCGGTTGCCTGTAGTCCCAGCTACTCGGAAGGCTGAGGCAGGAGAATGGCGTGAACCCGGGAGGCGGAGCTTGCAGTGAGCGGATCGCGTCACTGCACTTCAGCCTGGGAGACAGCGAGACTCCATCTAAAAAAAAAAAAAAAAAAAAAAAAAAGAAATGGGGAGGGTAGAGGGTTCCCCATTAACTTATGCTGAGGATCTAGCAAGTAGGAAACTCAGATGATAAATAAGCCAATGCAATATTTTATGGATCTAAATGTTTTATAACAAATTCATCCCTGTGACATATTTCCATATAGATTTTAACTTTTATGAGATTTGAGAGCACATCTTATGTCACACACACTTTATCATTACAGTGGCAACGCAGCACCCTGATCATCATAGATAATCTGTGAATTCTTTCACCTGGTAGCAGCATTTTTTTAAATCCTCCTTTTATAACATGGTTGGACTGGGAAGAAGAATGTATCTCTCATAATTATCTTCTACTTTTATTGTATGAATATGTAAAGCAGAAAACCTTACTATTTCAGTAAATTCATACTTGCCACTAAAGTAGAAAGTAAACTTTATCTACTTAAAAGAAATCGGGAAAATACATATTTTTAATCCAAGGAATGCTAAAGCTCGTACTTGTTCCAATTGTTGGGTGTTTGGGGAAGGACAGGAATTGTGTGTATTGTAATTATGACTATCGAAACTACAGACTTCCATCAGAATCTCTGTTCCCAATCGTAGCCAGCATTATTCTCATCCTAGATTTGTTGCCAGTTGTGTAAGGGTCATGTGGAGGTGAACAGAATATGAGGTATCTGGCTCCAATTCCATTTGGAACATTAAAGTGACTCCAGATTGATAAAATAGAGAGAGAGAACAGCATGCTTGACTACAAAGATCCTAAGCCAGAGTGAGCCAAATGGTACATTCTCGACTAACGGTGACTAACAATGAAAGAGAGAAGAGATCTTAGGAGTGGAATTGAAGCTTCATTTTATCAGGGCTTACTTTAGGATGTAGGTAGAATAAATGAGAATGTTTGTCAGAAAGATAGTGAGGAGTAAATGGGCGTAAATAGCTGACACAAAGATAAGAAAGCTGTCAACATTTTCTGCAAGGGTATGAAAATTCACCTTTTCAGGGTCACATGCTGGCTGCCAGTGAAACGATGGTAAAAAAGAGTTAAGGAAGCTAAAAACAGAAACTCTAGGGATGGCCTCAGAATGTGGAAGAGAGGAAATTCCACTGGATGTCTATTTGAAAGATTGACAAGAGGAAGGATATGTAATAAAGAAGTCAAAAAAGATGAAAATGGATTAAAACTTGAAAGGATTATTACCGATTCCCTGATTTTGGTCTAACACCATTGCTTAGGCGCCACACAAGTATTTTACGTAAACTATGAATAAAATGCAGTTGTCATCTATGTTTTACAAATGAGAAAACTGGGATTTAAAAAAATTAACAACTTGCCTAAAGTCATGTTATTGCTTAGAAGGGCCAAGTCAGGACCCAAATGCAGGTTTATTTAGTTCCACAGCCCTTGCTATAGTTAACCATCAGGCTGAAATTCCATCATTTCTCAAAGCACCTCCTTTCTCCTACTCTGATCAAACATGTATTCTCTGGCCTGAACATGTAAAATTGTTTTCAAATTGCTCATGCAAGAAAATTGCTGAATATATTTGTTCATATTCCCCTACATAACTGTGTATCATGCTTTATTATATCAGACTGACTAGCTCTGCACAATTGGTTTTGCTTACCCCTTAGCACAATGCCATATGTAAATAAATACTATTACTATAGATGATTATACTCATTAGAAAACACTCAAAGGAACGAGACTGCAGAGATTCCTGGAATCAGAAAATTTGTACATGTAAACTAGAGACATATTTCACTTATAAATAGTGTGAAATTTCTTTTTCCAAACTTTTCCATTCCTCAGATATTAAAATCAAAAGTGTTCCTTATTTGTTTATGTGCTAATTCAAATACGTAGCTAAATAATTATATTTTAGGAAATCCAACAAGATATCCTGAGGTAAGCATATTTTTATTTATTTCAGTGATGCAGTTCATTCAATCATTTCCCCCTGCCCTTGTCAATTGTTTCAGTTGCTCACAGGCAATTCTATTAGAAATAAAATATTGTTAGAGGGGGTTCTCAAAACTGCTTTATCTTCATTATATTGAAAATTCTATTCCAAACGAATCTTTGGGGAAATCTTTTTTACTCACATACTTTTCTTTCATAGTTTGGTTTCAAACACAGAGAGTTATTCCTGCCAAAGCCTCATTTTTCTCCTTCTTTTTTGGCTAAAAGCAATCTTCTGGAGCCTGTTCATTCCCCTACCCCTCCACAGATCTCACCATGATGACTCTCCTAAGGACACATTAGAGGGCTTTGCCCTAATCCATATTTTACTAAACAGCCCCAGGAGTGAGAAGAACCTTCACTAGGATTTGATTAAACAAATTCTTAAAGCCAATAAAACGTTTTCAAGTTGTAAGAGAAAGCAGCATTAGTGCATGTTCCCAAGCAGGGCAGACATTTCACTGTTGTCATCCTTAAGGAAGACAGTTTGGGATGCAGTACATTCTCCCTGAGACTCATTCCAGAGGCTTCAGCCTCCAGCAACAGTTGCCTGTGAGGGTAGCTTTATTGCATAGCACAATGCAGTTGTGACTGAAGCTGTTTCCAAACACTTTAGGGCAATTTCATGTGTAACTTTTCCTCTGCCACTTTACAGGGTTCCTGAAAGGGTAGAAGAAAATACAGTAGGTAAGGCCAGACAAAACTTGTGACTAAATTGAATCTGGCATAAAATAATAATATGACATACTCTTGGGACAAATAAAAAAGAAAGCTGCTTGTTAAATGCAGTAGATTAGAAATGTATATATGCAGATGTGAACATTTAAAAGATTAAAAATACTGGACTGATATATGGAAACAACTTTTATGATTAAATAAGATAAGTTATGAAAACAATCCTATTGGATGTTCAGGAAATGTTTAAAACGAACCAAGTGGGTTGAGATATAGTTGGTTCATGGCCATATTTATATGTGGTAAAATACCCATACTATACAATGAGGTTAAGTCTAGCAATTATGTGGTTAATTTGGTCACTCTCCATAATCATAGAGATTCATTTGTTGGGGGTGGGATCCCCTACAGGCATTGGATTCTCCCAGTTGACTGGTAATAATAACAAACAGGCTTACCAGAAACAAACAGTTGTAAAGTCTCCACTATATTACGTGTTCAATTGATGCAGTTGAAATATCAAACCTAGCTTTTCTTTTCCCTAATGTCAGCAATGCAGACAAATAACAGGCGTTTGGAAAAAAGAGGATTTTTTTTAACTCTGAGATATTTTAATTCTGTCCCAGCAGAGAGTCAAAGAATCACAGGAACAAAATATATTATTCATACAATTTTATATATATATATATGTATATGTATATATGTGTGTGTGTGTGTGTGTGTGTGTGTATATATATATATATGTATATATAGTATATATACAGAGAGAGAAAGAGAGTCTGATCTGTTGCAGTATTGGAGCCTTGGGAATAAAGTATCTTTTTGGGAATCTCTGTAGTATATTATTAGAAGATCATGATTAATGTCACAGGACTTAAGCAATCTTTGAAAAGAAGTCAAAATGTGCCACAAAAATTCACTTGATTGTGCCAGTGGGAATATTTCCTAACATAGTCCCAAACTTCAAAAACAGTATAAAGCATGCAAATGGAGTAAGGGGCGGGGTCCATCCATTTCTTCCCAAGTATATTTAATCTATTTAACAGAAAAATGTTGGGAAAGTTGTGGCTCTTATTAGCATGAGAAAAGGGCATCCAGTGGTATCTATACACTAGACTGTTCACATGTTGTTTTTCCCAGGGTAGGGGTGGTATTCGTACTTCTTATTGCTTTATGTCACCAGTCTGTAACCCAGATTGTAACTTTAAGATGTTATCTTCTGGCTGCTCAGATAAACAGCCCATTATGTTTTTATGGTGGGCAGTTCTGAATCCTCAGGGAATTAGAAGATATTGGCTAAAGTTTGTGGCTCCCTGCTAGACTATCAAGGGGTCCATGGGATCTTGTCCGGACTATGACTTTAAGCAAACACCTCTCTCATAATGGTATTCTCACACTGCCTTCTTGGCCATGGACTTCAAAAGCTGATTGCAGGGAGGGCCAGAAAGGCAATAACCCTTAATATAGCAGGACTAGCCTAGAGGGGACAGACAGGGCAAAGGTAAGGCGTCTCTGAGGTTGGCATTTGTGTGTTTAGCCACATGGGGTGATTAAGGGCCATCTGTTCTTCAGTGGGCTAAATCATCGTTTTCACAGCATCCCAGGATCAAGTACATTTCATGCTTAGAAAGCATGAAGAAGCACCCTAGAGTTTTCCCAGTCCTAATGAGACATATTTTAAATTTATTTATCTTTGATTTCTAAATAATGATAGTATGCATAGGTGCATTAGTGTGTGTGCACCTGTGTGCGCATGTATAGATTTGAGTTGTTTTTGTAGACTTGAAATTAAGAGTATCACAATTAAAGCAAAATTCTTGTATGTATTCATACATCTTTTGGACAGGGAAAAAAACCTCTGGAATGTTATGCTGATAGAAGTCTTTGTTTTGTTTTGAATATATCGTGTGACCAGTTCATTTTTTTTTAAATTAGAGAAACTCCTTGTTTGAAATCCATGTACAGAGAAATCTATCATCTTTCTGTGTGTGTATTATCAAGTCTTTCAAACAACACTTTATTTCAGAAAATGCACATTATCAATTTGTGAGAATAGAAATTTGAATTTTTCTGATAGTATTTCCACACTGAAGATAATTTTTTTATATTACAGGTCACAGATAGTATGAAGCTTGTTAAAAGTTAGATGTGATTAGTGTGGATATCCATCTTTATCCATACTACTAGGGCTATATAACCCTAGTTATATAACAAATTACACTGATAATTTGTTAAATAACAAATTACATTGAATAGTTCAAGGCTTATAGATTTTTAAAGACTGTATCATTAACTCACTGTATTCACATTATTTATAAGGTAAGCTAACCACCATGTCTTCCAAAGAAATAATTAATATACTATTAATTTTAACTGGACTAAACCAAATGATTAAAATCTGTAGATTCTGAATCTATAAAATTTTTGAAGTACGATCTATTTAATTGTTACATAGTTGAAACTTACTATTGGCAATCGACAGTCTTCCATCATGTCAACATCTTTAACATGATCTAGCCTAGGTTGTCAGATTCTTCATCAATCTCAGAAAAGATAATAAAAAAGAAGACATCAAGTTCATGTTTGGCTATAGGGAGAGCAAGTAACTTTCAGGGAAAAAAAAAATTATACCAGTACATCAGGTGAGTAAACTCAGTCCTACTAATTACTAGTTACCACATAGGAGCTCACTTCAAATCTAAGCACTACAAGAAAAGTGTCCTCTATTGACAAGACACCCAAACAGCATTTTTATTAATAGGGACGACAGTCTAGCTGTCATCCAAAAGTTATGTTTTCAATCAGCCAAACCATAGCAAATATATCCTAACATTAAAACATGTTTTTTCATTAATAACAGTTTGCTTAGTGGAGATTCCAAAACCTAAGCCATACTTTGGAAACTTTCCCTATGCAATAACTTCCTAACTCAGCAATCTTCATACTTTTTGGTAGCATAAGCGTAACAGAATTTGAAAAACTATATACCTTCTTTCGTCTTTTAAGGGGATGTCTAATATTTTTATGAGTTAGTATTTCTTAAAGGATATACTTTTAAGCATATTGTGTAAGTGATTTAAAAACATTTCCTCAAAATATTGGACCTCTGGATTTAGCTGATTCAATTTATGGAAAATGTCCACTATGCAATCAGATAGACAATACCAGTCTTCCTTGTCACACCAATCAACTAAATCAGACTCACTTATAAAAAAAAAGTCTTATCCTTTTTTTCCATTCAAATGTTGTAAATGTGAATTCCAACATAAGCAGACTGATGATCAATGGATAGATAAGTAAGTAGATATATATACAGTAAACACCCTTTCTCTGAGTACATACCCTTTCTCTGAGTTTGTAACTTAGATAAAATGAGATACTGCCTCTCTCAATATTTCTTTATAAAACTCACAGTATTTTGTGGTCAAAGGAAACGCCTTCAGAAATAATATGTTCTCTTAATTACTCTCCTTCACATACCTCAAACACTATTAACATGAGGCCACTCATTATTTTTCTGAAAATATAACATGCTTTTAGAATTTTTAAAATATTTATGTAAAAAATTTTTAGCTATTTGTTCCATTTGGCTGTGTACCACTCATCTTTTTATGCCATATACAAGTTACCTTGTCAGTGAGGTCTTTACTCAACCAGGTAATCTGATGTACTTCTTCATCTATGTTCCCATAGAATATTATTTTACAAATATATTGTCATAATTGTGTATGTGTCTGTCTTAATAGACTATGAATGCTTCCCCAATGTTAAAAACTCAATAAATGTTTTAAAACAAAACAAATAAATCAATGAATGATTCAATCATTAAGAAATAATTCCACCAAGAAATGTCTAAAATGGTGCTTTACAAGGTCAGTTGCCATGTATGACTTTATGGTCCAGAGGAGATGATTAAAGAAATGTGTGAAATATATTTTACTATTCATGCATATACAAAAATGTATTTGTTCCTGAAGAGATTGACTTATAGGGAACATTTTAAAAGTGACAGTAAAAAACTGTGTCTAGAAAGATCACACATGGACACGATATTTAAAAGCATTGGATCCATGCATGGTTCCCTGGTGGCAAAGACCCTTAGCTGAAATGGAGGGATTTTTTTTTTTTTTTTTAAGTAACCATATTTTAAAAGAGCAATTAGATAGAGAAAACATAACATTTGTTTTATAACCACTTTTAAAACTTCATTATACTCATTCTACACATATAATGAGTAGCAAATAAAATCTTTAAGTAGACTCCAATTCTTAAAATATTATGTAGAGAATTATAGCCCATTATTCACCCTTTTAGGTTGCCAAATCAAGCAGTTTAGCAAGATCTTCTCCAGTAAAACATGGTTGAATTGATATGACCTACAAATATGATTATTAGATATTCTGCAGAAAAAGGTAGCAGAGCAAACAGGAAGGATCAGAAACCTCCGCATAGCATTCTTTAAACAATTTTTAGTAAATTGTAACACTGCATTTTAGGAGTCACATTATTTTTATTTATTATCTTATAGCTATATTCTAAGAAAACAAAGGAAAAAGTTATAAAGTCCTAGAGTTTTGACAAATCATAAATTCTTCCAAGTCTTTGTTTAGATTTTCGAGAATTATTCAATAAGCGATCATTTGAAAGGCTTTATTACCTTTTCTTCAAAAGTCATCTTTAAATCAGATGTACACATTTCTTAACCACACTCTGTTACAAATAATTATGTAGAAAAATGTCAGTAAAGCTATTTCTGAAAAATTCAGTCAGACCAGATTTTTTCAGCCATTATTTTCCCCAAATTTAATTAAATTTTTTTTCTATTTTTAAAATTTATTATATTCAGGAAATTCAAGGAAGATATAGGTTGTGGTTTTAAACTAGAAAAAATGAGCATATGCATACTCTAGACTTAATGAATACATATTGCTAAATCCTTTACAATGTCATTGTATGCAGAAGTAGTTCAAAACACCTTATTTTTCTGTGTTCATGTTTATGGTCTCAGGAATTGAGAATGAATTTTCCTCAGTGGAAAATTTAGAGTTTATTTACCTTCACTATTTCTCCATAGATACCCATTGTAGTAAAAGTTTCAACAGTGGAATTTGCAGTGTGAAGGAATTGGGTCTGAGACAATGTTCTTGCTAGTTCTCTAACAAGCCAGGTCCACAGGAGTGGCGTGTGACCCGATGTCACTATCTTTAACAAAATGGCTTTTGCACAAAAAGAAAGACCTTTATACCTAAAAATAAAATCTTATAACACATTGTTAAAATTATTTAGTCTGGCATGGAGTTTTATTAAGCTTTGTGTTATTCATGAGGGACAAAGAAGATCATGCCCAAGAATGAAAAAGAAAACACTTAATGGGGTCTGGGCAGTTTTAACAGCATAAGTGAAATACAACACCAAACAGGATGTCTCTCTTCCTTTGAACTTGAGGCATTCCATAGACCCTAAGCTACTGAATTCTCTGGTTAGTTATGTGGTGCCAGACATTCAGTGGCACTTAATGAAGATAAGTTTCTACCTTGTGCTTTTAAAGGTAATGGTGAATGAATCCTGCCTGACCAAATTGAGTGTTTCTTAAAAGTTACTGTAAAGTTGGAAAAAATATACATATTTTTCTTGGCTCTTAAAGTGATTAGTCTCTTTTCTATGTTTTTATGATCAAATGCTAATAAATCTTCAAATTAGTAAGCAGAAATATTTCTATATTTTTATCTTAAGCATAAATATAAATATTTGTCCATTTTTGAAACATAAATAAGACTCTAATGGAAAATAAAATTTACATTTAAACGTCAACAGATCATATTTCATAAAATAGTTTCTTCCTTCATAAATAACACTTGGAATTTAATGTACATTAGGAAAAGTATCTTCTTGATGTTTCCCTTCGGCATTAATGAAAACTGCAGCTGCTCCTTTTTGAGATTTTCTTGATTATCCAAATAAACAAATGTTTTCTTTATGCTTGTATAGTCAAGGAATACAAAATCCACACCTAAGAAACTGCTACCTCTCCCTTTTGGAAATATGTCCATTTAAAAAGTGGTTAATCATGATTAAATAATGACTTATTGTTACTAAGCTGCATTTCAAGTCTCTAAACAGGAAACTCTTGGAAATTGAGTATAACAAGAAGCTTAAAGCCTCAGATCAAATGCGAACTCCAACTGTCTAACCTTACAAGAGAATAGACAGCCAAAGAGAGCTGTTCGATGCTAAGGGAAACATGCTGCCCTGCTGTTTTTTATTTTTAAATCTCAGCATTAACTGAAAGTATCAAGTCAAAACTTTCTTCTTTCATAAAAAGATAACACTCATATTCAAAGGAGGAGTACACTCACCTAATAAGAATTTAAAGTGACTCACTTCATGAGCTGATCTTTAGAATAGGATTTAGTGACTCACTTTTGTAATCATGCTCTCGTCCTTTTGATTAACAAAAATCAGAACTCTTTCATACTATCAATTCCAAGCATCCTCCTCTCTTATTATCACCTTCTAGCTTTTCAATTTACTCTCTTTACTGCCACACTGCAGTATTTCTAGGATCTACAATCCATTGATCCTACCAATTTTTCATTTCTCTTATAATCTACATTGTCTCACTTTCCTTTTAAACCAGTTTAAAATCCTTAGTACATCAGATAATCACTTGTCTCTTTTACTCTAACTCAATCCTGGTTACATCCAGCTCTCTGCCTAGCGGGGCCTGAGCCCTATCGAATATGGCTGGTGAAATGGTATTGTTATTTGACATAGTTATTCTGACTGGTCTCACTTTAAAGTTATATGTGAAATTTACATGGGCTCATAAGTTGTTCTAAGCTATTTTCCGCTAGTAGATCCCCTTTTTCACTCCTGTAGATAATTATGCCATACCTTCTCTCATGTTTTCAAGCCTCCAAAATGTTCTTGCCCATTCGAATTCTCAGTGATTACCTTTGTTCCTGTTTCACTGAGAAAAAAGTCAGAAGCACACTTCATATATCTCCCACCATTACACCCATCACCTGCCAGCATCTGGACCCACATACTCTGCTTTTTCAACTGCTCCTGTGGATAAATTCTCCTGTATCTAAGCCCAAGCCTTCTACCTGTGTCCTAGAACTCAATTCTTTCACAAATTCAAGAACATTTGTATAGCAATTCTCTCTTCTTTTTACAGCAGCATCAATTTTCCCTCTCTACTAGAAGATGACCAGCATCACATAAATATGCTGTCATTTTATTAAGATTATTTTTTCAAGTACTCATCAGACCCTTTCCTCCCTCTACCTACTGCTCCATTGATCTCTTCCCCGTTAGAATAAAATTCCTCAAGAGCAGCAGTCTATATGTGCAGTCTACAATTTCTCTCCTCCAATTTCTCCTCTAATCAGGCTTTTAACTCATCAAACTCCTTATCTTGTCTAGGTCAGAAGTGGCCTGCATGTTACTGAATCTAGTGGTCAGTTTTTATCTTACTTGACCCTTTAAGGACATTTGATAGAGCTAATGGCTTGTGCTCCTCTTTGAACGGCTTGCCTCCATTGGGCTACAGGACAGCACACTCTGCCAGTGAAAATCAATCAGGCTTCATATGGCTCCCCCTCATGGCTCCAATGTCATAATGTTAGAGTGTCCCAAGCAACAGTCTTTGCATCTCTTTTCTACCTACACTTGTTCCCTAGGTGATCTCATCTGGGCTTACGGCTTTAAATAGCGTCTATATGCTGATAACAACTAAATTTAACTCTCAGCTTAAACCTTTTTCCACATCTTTCCCCATTTCAGTTCAGAGCCACTCATTCCTCTCTGGTGCCCAGACCCAAAACCCTGAAGTCATCCTTTACTCCATTCCCACCTTCTGATCTTCTCTCATACCCAATCCAGCCTGCCAGCAAATCCAGTTCACTCACCTTTAAAATAAATCAAACTATGACTACTTTTCCCCACTTCTATCACCCTTTTCTCTTGAACATCTCATACTTGCCTTCTTCTTCCTTTGGCACTGTGGGCTTGGTCCTGCCTCAGGGCTATTGCCCTTTCTGTTCCCCATGCCTACAATGTTCCTCCCTATGATAGTTTCACAGCTTGCTCCTTTATCACCTTCAGCTCTTCAGGCAAACATCATTTATAAGTGAGGCCATTTCTGATCACCCTTTTAAAAATCACAAACCTCCCTTGTCCCAGCAAAATCTGACCCTTTCCCTGCGTTCATTTTATTCATGAACTCCTAATGTACTCTATGTTTGCTTACTTATTTTGCTTAGGCTTTAACCACTAGACAATGCTCCCCAAAAGAACTTTCAGTGACGATGCAAATGTTCTATATCTGCAATGTCCATTGTGGAAGCTGCTAGCTGTGAATGGCTATTGGGCAGTTGAAATACATAGTTTCATTAAGTTAAATTTAAATAACCATATGGCCAGGGAGTACCATTTTAGACAGCACAGTTTAAATATAAGCCACATGCAAACAGGGAGTTTTGACTTCTTCAGACTGATGTAGCTCCAGCACTAGATGCCTGATGTATACCTGTGAATTGAATTAGTCACTTTCTTTTCTTTCTGGTTTTATTTCTCTGGTTGAATATTGCCCCAGGCCATGGTATTTGGTTGATAAGGAGAGCGAAGGTTATGTTATGTTCCTTCACGCTGCTGCCCCTTGTGTAAAGCACAAACTACACAACTACAGGTTGTGACCCTGAGTAACTTGGTTTTGCAGATCTCCCTGTAGCTTACGGTTTACAGCTTTCTCTCTGCTTTTTGACACTACTGTCACCATCAATATGAAAAGAACGTTAGGGGTACAGTGAGAGAGCTCTAGATATGAAGGTGTTTGCATGTCTGTTCTTCTCACTGCTGTAATGACAAAAGCACTTAGGGTTCTTTTCTTTTCTTTTTTTTTTTTTTTTTTTTTCGGCCTATTACCTACTTGAAACACTGTATAAGCTCTCAACACAGCTGCAGAAGGAAGGCCAAATATGAGAAGCAACAAGTAACAACCTGGGAGGAAAAAAAAATGATCTGACATAAACTTAAGTTCCTTAAACTCAGTATTAATTAATGCTAGAATATAAATCACATCTCTCTATCAAGAAAGAAGTTTCATCAGTCTTACATGGGGTAGATTTAATTGCATTTTATGTCTGGGACAAAAACAAATATACCTTCCTGAGCCTTCAGAATTTATTTCTGGGCAATAATTCTCCTTTTCCCACTTTGTATTGCTTCTTAAAAATTATCCTTTAATAAAGCATCATAAGAGAATAGATACACGAGGAACCAAATTTACCTCTTTCCGTCTTTGCAGGGCAGGGCTCAAGACCTTACAGTGGAAGAGTTATGCTCTCCATAAACAATATGACCTTCCAGGAGAGAAGAAAGAATAGCGGTAAGGACAGAGAGGGAGAGAGACTGCCTCTCTTTGTTTTGAAGGTCAATTTCTGATATAAATGTAGACAGAAAGTATATTCCACTAGCTCTGATGCCAGACCACCTGTGAATTCCATCTCTAGCTCTTTCATAAATTTGACCCTTTCTTATCTTTTTTATGCTTTAGTTTCTTCATCTATAAAATGAGGATCATGTTGATATTGTTTATCTTATAGCATTGTTATAAAGATTAAGTAGTAAATGCAATGTGCTTACTATTGATTATAAACACGTTTTAAATGTTCGTAGCTCTTGATATTCTAGATAGAGAATTTTAAACCATTGTATGAGTTGGTCCAAATACTTCATTTTCCAGATGACGACTGAAGACATCAATTCTTCAAATAGATACTTCGTGTCTGTAGAACGCAGGTCTCCTATTTCCTAGTTTGTGTTTCTTCCAATAAACTCCTTGAAAGCTCACTATTTCCCCTCATTCTTTTTCATTCTTTTCTTGATTGTTACATGGGAGTAAATGAAGTAATCAGAGCTTGGAAATAAGTGGTAATTGTGCCTTTGGTTGCAAGTAAAAAATTACTTATTTTACTCTCCAAGATTTATTTTTTATTTTTATTTTTTACCTACATGGGTGTCATCAAATAGATAAGCTGGATCTAATCAAATAGATCACCCCCAGAGGGAATGAATCCATTCATACAAAGACCTGCCAGGCTGTTTGACACTAGTATCTCTGTCCTATGTGTCCTATGTGGAAGGTGGGTCTAGGGCTGCCCTTAAATAGATGTGAATAGTGTAGACTTTTCAGGTTCCAAGTTGATGAAACTTCCAAACCTTTGGTGATCTATTGGGATTGAAAGTTGATTACAACTTTCCCATTGCTAAATATCTGAACACCACCTCAAGTCAGTCACACAAGGAGCTAGGGCCCCAAGCACCCTGGAAAGACTAAGAAGCCAGACTTGCCACCATCCTTAGGCTATTACTTTGGCCTGGTACTTACTAGCTCTTAAGCCTGGTACTCAATGATTTACTGTTCAAGTGCCTGCAGTGGTTCTTCCTAATTGCTGATCTCATTTTGCACCCAAGTGCCAAATAGTCCCCTGGAGACTACTGAGTAAAACAACAGGAAAAGTTCTAATAACCATCAGGATCCTTAGTAAAATGCAGCTCTTAAAGTAGAGGACCTTCCTGGAACCATCCCAAGTAGCCTGACACTCCTGTTTTCTTTAGGCACTTCATGTGCTTGTCAGTTACTGAAATTAACTACATTTCATAAATGATTCCCTCTGCTGGCTACTTGGGCGACAAAGTGGTTTTAGGGACTCACTTTATTTACATGATTACCCTAAGGCAGGAAGGAAATATTGTGCATAAGGAAAGTGCTGTGGGGAGAAATCTTTGACTAAAGAGTAACAACATCTGAGAAAACTGTTTATAGTAGATCCAGAAAAGTGCAAACAAATGAACAGAGCTGGCAGCTCATTCTGAATCTGAGATAAGCAATTCTAAATGAGACAGCTGGATTTTATATAGCGCACAAATACGTGCTATGAAACCCAGATCAGACAGACTCGCCAAAATATCCTAGACTGCTGGAGGTCAGTACAGGTCAGCTAAATAAATTAAATCCTGAGTACACTACCTTGGTCTAATTGCCTGGTCTCTCTGGGCTTACCTTTGTCTTTTCATCACTAGCTCCACCTATCCTTTCATCTATTTTCTACTTTCGCTTAAAGTTTATATTACGGTGCCATCAAAGATAAGTTTCTATGTTACAGCCCCAAAGTAAATATTAATACTTCTATGTTACACTGTAGTGAATTTCCTTTTTAGTTTAAAAAATCTGCTTTTCAAAAGGTAATCGACCACAATGGATGTGGTATAATTCCAATCATCAACAGAAACGTTCCCTCTGTTTCATTCTTTGTATTTATCTTGAGCAGCATAAACTCTTCTTTCCCACATATGAAAATCTTTGAAATGTTTATGGAAATGCTTACTAAATGAAGAAGTTTGCTAAATGTCCCAAATATTATTAAACCTGTACTATTTACGTGTGCTTGGCTATCAAAACTGACTCCTTGTTACATAGATGTCTGGGAGAGTCATCCTATGGGCAGATCTCCAAAACTCTCCAAAACAAATCTCCAAAACTCTATGACTCGTGTATTGTAGACTTTTGGTGGTTGCTCATTACAGCAGTTTTCATCTGTTAGGTGGTTTGAAGCATTTAAAAGTCAGATAGTTATATGCTGTTATCAAAACACAGATCTAGAACTGTTCAACTGTCATGCATTAAGAGTTGCTATGCAGGCATTAAAGATGTTATAATCCAGAGCTCTTTTGAGGCACATGGACATGATAAGACTATCTAATATTGGCTAACATTTGTTGAGTGCTTGCTAAATGTCAGGCTTTAGGCTGAGATGTTTAAATGAGTTTCTGTATTTACTCTTCATAAATCTATGAGATATAGTCCTATTTGCATATGAGGAAATTAAGGCCCACTAAAAGGGAAAGTAAGTTGCCCAAGGTCACGCAATTAGAAAAGTGGCAGTGGCCAGTGGCGGTGGCTCACGCCTGTAATCCCAACACTTTGGAAGGCTAAGAGGCTCACTTGAGCACAGGAGTTCAAGACCAGCCTGGGCAACATAACAAGATCCTACCTCTACAAAAAATTTTTTACAGGAAAATGAGTTGGGCATGGTATCACAGGCCGGTAGTGCTAGCTATGTAGAAGGCTGAGGTGGGAGGATCACTTGAGCCCAGGAGCTAAAGGCTGCAATGAACCATAATTGCACCACTGCACTTCAGCCTGGGTGACAGAGCAAGACACTATCTCAACGACAAAACAAAGAAGAAAAGTGGCAGACCCATGTGTTGGTCCTATAAAGGTGTATATACTGTGGAGCCTGCTTTTTGAACCACTGCCAAGTACTGGTCTGGCAGGCTGATCATTGTTTCCTTTTCTTTTTTTTATAGCAACAAGCACAATACAACATGGATGCTTATTATGAAAATATCTTGAATAAACACCCATGCAGCAAACTTTTCAAGTAAAAGAAAAAATAAAGAGATTGACTTTAAATATATTTTTAAATAGATCATTTTTTTTTAAATCACTCCATACATGAAAGTCAATAAATATTTCTGGAGCCTAGACAATAGCTGAGGTGATATTTTAGCCCCTGGGGACACATAGTAGTTAACAACACACAGTAACGTCAAAGAAGTGATAGAGCATGATGGAGGATGGGTACACTGGTCAGGAAAATTGACCTGAGAAGGTGATATCTGAGCTGAGAAGATAACCAGGTTATCACTAAAGAAGAGATCCTTTGAATAGGATCTTTTCATGCAAAGACCCTGATGTGAGCCTGGTCTGTTAGAGAGACAGAAAGATTTTCCAGGCTGCAGAATAGTGAAAAAAGGGTTGGCAGAGGAGCATAGAGTAGGGTAGAGAGTACATAGACATCACGTGTGGTAAGAGGTGTACATTATTGTAGTTGCAGGAAAAGAATATAAAGCAGAGGAATGATACGCCACAGATAGTCAATTGTTTGGTAAAATAATTTCTGAAATAGGTAATTTCTGTAGCTTATAGACAAATTTCACCAAGGCAGAGAAAAGAGGAAAACAGCATGGAATAAAGACCTTATCTATAGACTCTATTGTTATATATGACTAGACAAAGTCGTTCCTGAAAAAGGGTTGAACATTACACAAGCATGCAGCAATCAAAGCCAGTATTTACAAAATTCATATTTATAACCCTAGGCATTTCTTTTTCACTTCTATCATTAAAATAAATATGTATTTTACACAGGTGGCTCATTTAGACTAAAAAGTTACATTAACCATGTAAAGAGATGATAGGAGGAGAGAAATAATAGTTTTAATCTGGCTAGATCCACACAATTTCTCATGGAAGAAGCTGATACTAAGATCTGGGGATAGTGTTAAGGTGGGAGGTCGATAGGATATAGACACTTGTAAGACAAGTTTTGCATTTTAAAAACAACTTGGAGGAAAATTAATACATCTCTATTATGTCACTTTTCCTATTGTTTATTGAAAACGTATCAAATCCTGAGAGCCAGTGAAAGCTCATTTCTTATTTTATTTTATTTTTTGAGACGGAGTCTCGCTCTGTCGCCCAGGCTGGAGTGCAGTGACACGCTCTCGGCTCACTGCAAGCTCCGCCTCCCGGGTTCACGCCATTTTCCTGCCTCAGCCTCCCGAGTAGCTGGGACTACAGGCGCCCGCCACCACGCCTGGCTAATTTTATTTTTTTATTTTTAGTAGAGACGGGGTTTCACCGTGTTAGCCAGGATGGTCTCGATCTCCTCACCTCGTGATCCGCCTGCCTCGGCCTCCCAAAGTGCTGGGATTACAGGCGGGAGCCACCGCACCCGGCCCAGTGAAAGCTCATTTCTATAGAGCTCTTTCTATTAATACTGACAGATCAGGAAGAATTTATGGCGCTTTACCAAGTAACAGTTAGGTGACTTGGGATAAGATAAATGAGGGAGTTCATAAAAGTTACTCTTGGTCTGAAACTACGTGGGAGAAATATTGGGTAAAGGTGGCTAAATTTCTATCATTCTGAGGAATTCTAAGAGCTGTTGGCATGAGAACCACTGCAACTCCTGATGACTTCTCTGTGGCCACAAATCTTGGCGTTGCATGGGACAAGTCTAGAGGTTCAGTTGGAAAGGGATTAGGTAGAGGAAGAAAATATATGTGGAATCCTAGCCACTTCCTATAAAAACCAACAAAAATAACTAAATATTTCAAATGTTTTTAGAAATATAAAATAATTATGTTAAACATTTAAAAATAACTAAATAGCTTAGTATTAATTTTCACATAAGATTCCAAATGTATTTTGACATATGAATTCTGACCCCAGCTTATATGTGTGAAAACAATAGTAGATTTCGTGGGGATGATATCATTTATACGTTATTATATGTAGAGTGTCACATTTTGCAAAGCATTTTATTTAGGTCCATTACCTCATTTGATTCTCATAATGGCCCTATATTTAGCCAAAGCACACGTGATTTGTACTATTTCTGTTAGGAATAAAAAGAACATCAAGACACAAAAAAAGAAGTTAGTTGGTAGCCAATTAGACCCAAACTGCAGATCAACCGATTCCAAATCCTGTTTCCTTTTTTTCAATCACTAGCCCAGTGGTTCTCAAAGCCTGGTCCCTAGATCAGGAGTATCAGCATCACCTGAGAGCTTGTTGGAAATGCCAATTGCAGTACCCTCTCCAGACCTACTAAGTCAGAAATTCTGGAAGCGGAACCCAGCATGCCTAACAGGGCCTCCAGGTGATACTGATGCTTGTTAATTTGGAAACCTCTGTAGTAGTCCATAGTGACTCTCCAGCCCATGACAGTAGTGTGAGGAGAACTTCCTATAGAGGGAAGCTGCACGTCCATTCCCCAAGATTTCCTTGATTACTTCATCAGCCACACACGTATTAATAGCTGATTCTTGGTCACATACTATTCCATACACTTAACACTGCTGGCACCAGGCCATGACATTACTTAACAAAGGATTTGACCAACTGATTCTTTTCCGTATTGATTTGATTTGTAAGATGAATCATAAGCCAATTATTTTACTTATAGCAATCATCATAATAAAGGGTCAAAATCTACGGTTATGGAGATGTCAGGCCAAGGAAGAACCATTTTTTGTCTGAGCTCAAAGCAAACTCACAGTAAGAGAATCAACTATTATTTAAAATTTGTCCCTGGCAATATTTTTTGTTCATTTTGTTATTTTAATTTTTGCTTCTTTGGGATTCTATTCAGTCACTGGAAGTCTGTAAAGAAAATATAAAATAGAAATCTAAGCTATTAGATTAGGAAGGCCATTGGCTGGGATTTTACAAACATCTCAAAGAGTAAAATATTATTTTCCATTGAATCTAAGATGCCATCAATTGTGGCACAAAATAAATGTAACCATTATTTTATATACCACTATGAAAATTAAAAAAACAGCCTCAATCTCATGATGAAACACCATCAAGTGTGAGAGACATTCCAATTTCAGATATGTCAAAATATGAAAAAGTATATCTTAGTATTAATGGAATACAGTACACATTAGCTGCAGTTGGCATCTTCCTCTGGGGCAAACTCTGCTTACATATTTTCTTTTCATAAGCAATGTTGAAATGGCCTGTTATGGTACAGTTATAGTAACTGTGTTCTTCAAAGTTAAGCAGCAGTCATCCTAGCCTAAGGATTGTTTCATGACATCAGTAACTAAACAGTGCAGGTGGAAAATATTCTTCTACAATTTGGTATCTGAGTTATCATGTGGTATGAGGAAATAGGCAATTGAGCAAGGAAGTGAATGCAGAGTAAGAGCGAACATGGAGCACTCATTCACTTGAATAAATCTTTTGATTGTAATTTAAAAATAAAATCATTCTCAAATTTGTGTTTTTATATCCTGACAGGTTTGCCTTCTTAATCAGCCATGTTGCTTTTTTTGTTAGCTGTTAAATATATATGAGTGAACTCTATTACATGCAATCATAAATGTCTTGCATATTCCCTTCCTCTGTCCTTGCAGGAAGCCATGTACTTGCTTGAGAATATAACAAAGAGACATACTGGTTTGCAGGAATTTTGAGTCAAAGAGTAAGTCCTTGATTCGTTCTTGTGAAAAATGCTCCATGAGAAATAGGAAACATGGTCTGTAAACTGCTATTATATTATAAAGCTTACTTTTCTGACCTGGAAAATTTTATTTACACAAAAAAGTCATTGTTGGAAAAATTTTCTTTTCGAAAAATATTTTCACAATTCAGAGAAGCTTCTATAGTAATTAAAAAGTGCGTACATATTTATTTGAGATATTTTTAATAACCCATTAAACCTAGTGAAAATAAATGAAGGCGGAAGTCTAGAGACATGAGATCTGGTTGTGGTTTTGTTAGTCTTCATCTCTGTGACTTAAGCATAGTTACTTAATTTTTCTGTTACTTTTAAAATTAGAAATATAAACGGTTGTAAAATTTTGTAATGGTTTCAGAGGGATGAGAACATCTTAAAAAATGATATTAATACAAAAAATACACAAAGGTACTATGTATATATTATCTCATTTAATCATAAAAACAAAATAAGATAGTGCAGAGAAGCATTGAGGCATAGTGCCTAGTGCATGGAAAACGTTCAACATCACTGGCAGGTATTATAATTCTATCATCAATAACAACAACACAGCCAGGATGAAATTAATGTTCCCTTTTCAGTCAAGAATATAATCTTCAAGAGGTTGGGTGGCATTCCTGGGATAATTCTGATGGCCCAGGCCAGAATTATGATGTTTTCTGCTGGACGACCAGGCTGTGCTTTCACCCTTACGACCACATTGCCCTCCGCAGTCCTTGATAACTTAAGCAGAATGTTTCGAGCAGAAAGTCATCTTTTCTATTTAAATTGTAATTCCCAACGTATTGCTTGAAAACACCTCAAAATGGTATTTTACATATCTACTGCATGACTTTTGACCTGCTTTTCCCCTAAAGTTTGGATTAAACTTGAAGAATATCAGTATACAGAACCACCCTTTCTGCCAGTTTTAACTGGAACCGAAGAGGTGTGATATACAGAGTATTAAACAGTAAAGAGAGGAGGAGAGATTTGTTGTGTGGGTGTGTGCATGTGTATTGAGAAACAGGGATGTGGACTGAAGTTTGAGGAATAGGTAAGGAAGGTCGAAGGCATTCTTTCCTTATTTTCCTGCCTCCCTTCATGTTTTCAAGTGCTACATACTAAAGAAGAAACAGAAGCCCCAACTGACTAAAAACATCAGCCTAAGGTAACTTTAACACACATGCAGAGGGAGACTTGTAAAAGGATGTTCACTTCAACATTGTTTATAATAGTAACTATAGCCATAAATCTTTTCTATGTTTTCTTCTATTAATGTTACAATTTCAGGTCTTACACATAAATCTTTGCTCCATTTTGAGTTGATTTTTTTTACATGGTATAAGACGAGGGTCTAATTTCATTCCTCTGCATTTGGATATCTAGTTTTCCCAGCACCAATTATCAAAGACTGTCTTTTCCTCATGGAGTGTTCTCGCCATCGTTGTCAAAGATCAATTGACCATGGTGTATGGATTTATTTCTGGGTCCTCTATTCTGTTCCATTGGTCTATGTGTCTGTTTTTATGCCACTGTCATGCTTTTATGATTGCTACAGTTTCACAGTAGCTGTTAACATTGGAAAGTATGGTACCTCCAGCTTTGTGTTTTTTGATCAAGATTGCTTAGGCTATTCAGGGTCTTTTGTGGTTCCACACAAATTTTTGGGTTGATTCTGCTATTTCTGTGAAAAATGTCATTGGGAATTTGACAGAGATTGAATTGAATCTGAAGATAGCTTTGGGCACTATGTAAACTTTAACAATGTTCATTCTTCCAATTTAGGAACAGGGGATATCTCTCCATTTACTTACATCTTCTTCAATATTTTTCATCAACATTTTATAGTTTTCAGTTTGGAGATCTTTCACCTCCTTGGTTAAATGTATTCCTAAGGTTTTTGCATTTTTTCCTTTTTGTAGCTATTGTACATGGGATTATTTTCTTCATCATTTTTCAGATAGGTCATTGTTAGTATACAGAAATGCTATTGATTTTTGTATGTTAATATTATATTCTGCAAGTTTACTGTATTTAATTATTGGTTTTATCAGGTTTTTTTTGCTGGAACCTTTTGGATTTTCAATATATAAAATCATGTCATTTGGAAACAGAGACAGTTTAACTTCTCCCTTTCCAATTTGGATGCCCTTCATTTCTTTTTCTTGTCTAATTTCTCTGGATAGAACTTCTGTTAGTATGCTGAATAGAAGTGGCGAGAGTGAGCATCCTTATCTTGTTCCTGACCTTAGGAAAAAAACTTTTATTTTTTCACCATTGAGTATGATGTATTTATAGCCTTATCATATATGGCTTTTATTTTGTTGAGGTACATTCCTTCCATACCTAATTTGTTGGGAGTTTTTATTATAAAAGGACATTGAATTTGTCAAATGCCTTTTCTGCATCTATTGAAGTGATCATATAGTTTTTGTCCTTCATACTGTTAATCAGGTATAACACATTTGTGGATTTGCCTATGTTGAATCATCTTTGCATCCCATAGATAAATCCCACTTGATCATGGTGAATGAACCTTTTAATGTGTTTTTGAATTTGATTTGGTAGTATTTTGTTGAGACGTTTTTTTCTGACTCTCAAGTGTGTTTCAGATAGTTAACTGTCAGTTAACTAAAATTGTAGTCAATTGCTAAAAAAGCATCACTGGACTATTTATTCTGCATTGGCATATTCATAATGTTAAGAGCAGAACATACCTCAATGTATCATAACAAAATGCACAGTTTTTAGGCAAGCAATGACTGAGGTATCCTCATCACAAAATAATAATGCTTTATTTTCTTTTAAAAACATTACCACTTTTTCAATTGTCTCTGGATTTATTATAAAGTAGGAATACAAACAGATATAGAAATGTGAAATGCAGGCACTTATTTTGCTAAACTGGCTTTTAATTAAATGGACAATACACTTACTATTTACCTAAAATCCTGCATTGCTTCCAAAGATGTCTGCCCATCCTCCTTCCATTTTCTTCAAACAGGAGTCTGAAACACCTTCAAAAAAGCTACAGAATTTGTGTTGTATATTTTGTGCTCAAATATATCATCTAAACACCCAGACTTTCACTGAATATTTAGAATTGTTGAAATGATATGAACAATAAAATTCAAAACTATTAATTCACAACCTAATCATTTATTACATAGGTTGTAGGTAAAATTATTATCTCCCTTCCCCACCCACTTTTTTTTTTTTTGGCTGATTAGGAAACTAACTTGATTACAAAATTAGTGAGAAACATATTTGAGATCCGAACAAATATTTTCCAATACCAAAATTAGCTATTGTTTACTCTCCTTTAATTCTTACTGTTTATTTCCAGTTTAATAATTAAAGGACCCTATCATCTCCCATGTCCTGGTTTTCTGAGCAGAGATTAAATGAGTTTCTCACCAATTAGATTCAAGCAGGTGTTAACAGCTGGGTCTCCGCACTTTTGCCCAAGGCCCACTGTTACAAGGAGACCATGACTTCCCTGAATACAATTCCTATTAAAGGGAAATATTAAACAAGTGTCCATTGTCAGAAGCAGTTTTCAGAAAAACAAGGTTTTGTTAATTAAAATATTATAGAACACAGGAATATGTGATTCAAAACTAAGAAATGGCAGTGATGGGGAAGATAGCAATGGCAAAAAAGAAAAAAAATTATGAACTCCTATTTCAAGAAACATCGAATATAGTGGAAGAAATCATCTGACTTACTTTAAAAAAATCATGGATTCTTTTTAGCCTTACTCGTTTTTAAAAATGCTATTTAGACTATGTTCCAGGCACTTGGCCAGTTTTTGAAACACGGCACAGAAGCAGATGAAAGAGGTTAATCTGATGGTAGCTGGATAAGACAATACTTCGAAGAATTAATGCTGCATAGTATTCCCCTGTGTTCACCCTAATCTAAAAGAACTGAAGCCCTTCAAGTTTAAGGTTGACCCTTCATGAAGTGGTACCTGGTGGGTAGGTGACTTCTAGACACTCCTTTTCTCCATACATGTTTGCTGTGGCCTGAAATGCCATTATGAGAAGACAAGGCATTGAGTCCCTGATTACAGATAAGTAATAAAAGATACAACTGCTAAACAGAGCTACTACGTTCTGAATAGTTACAGAAATATTACAACCATAACATTAGGTGAAATACACTTACATTTAAAGACCATAGTCAGGTAATTAGTGAAGCATTTAAGTAAATATGATTAGGTTCTTTATAGATTTTGATAATGTGGAAAAAATTAGACACTTAGGAGAGCCATGGACATTTTAAGATAGGTATAGAGTCATTAGTAAAAAGTCATTAGTAAAAAAGAACAAGAAAAAAAGCAGTCAACTTCACCAAAACACACCTAGTTCTGGCTCAATCTATATTCAACTCTGTGGACACAAGAAATGGAAAAGTGGAGGGTATTTGAGCTACATACCCATATATGACCTTTTATTGAGTATCTGCACCTTGATAAAGAATAAATATCCATTGAGAAGAGAGGACCTTAGAATCCAAACAGATTGTAATCAAGGCTATCTAAAAAAGTTTATATGTCTCATAGATGAGGAAACTAATTTATCTTATCCTCTGTAATAACTGGAGTTAAAACTGAAGTGCTTATTCAGAACTTGTAGTTAGATAAAACTTCATGAGGCACTTGGGATAAAGCATGTACACGCATTGTTAGCAGAAGACGTAGACAACATGGCCTTGTGTATTTATCAGTTTGTTTCTTGGCATTTGTTTATCGGATTAGTACTCAAGTTTTTAGAGTCTTACTTTTGGATCATTGACTGACTAAACAAGGAATCTTTGTACTTCCCTAAGAATAACTCACTGTTAAGTCTAAATTCATTTATACAGGTATCTTCCCCCAAATTATGCTTTCTCATTGCTAAACAGGCACTCGGTGGGGGAAAGAGAATCAGAAGATACTGAAAAGAAATACAATTTTCTGTTTAAAAAAAAGATGGTAATTCAAGATGCTAAGCTTTGTTATTTGGTTCCCCCCCCCCCGGCAACTATTAACTATTCTTTTTTAAATCACTTAATTTTTTTTTTAACTTTTACATTTGGGGGTACATGTGAAGGTTTGTTACATAGGTAAATTCATGTCACAGGTTTTTATTGTACAGATTATTTCATCACTTAGGAATTAAGCCCAATAGTTATCTTTTAAGTTCTTCTTCCTCCTTCCACCCTCCTCTCTCAAGTAGACCCCAGTATCTGTTATTTCCTTCTCTGTGTTCAGAAGTTCATCATTTAGCTCCCAATTGAAAGTGAGAACACACAGTATTTGGTTTTACATTCTGGCATTAGTTTGCTGAGGATAATAGCCTCCAGCTCCATCCATGATTCCACAAAAGACATGAGCTTGTTCTTTTTTATGGCTGCATAGTATGGTGTATATGTACCACATTTTCTTTGTTCAGTCAATCATTGATGGGCACTTAAGTTGATTCCAGGTCACTGCTATTGTGAATAGTGCTGCAGTGAACATTTGCGAGCATGTGTCTTTATGGTCAAATGATTTATATTCCTCTGGGTATATGCCCAGTAATGGGATTGCTGGATCAAATGGTGGTTGTACTTTTAGCTCTTTGAGGAATTGCCACACTGCTTTCCACAATGGCTGAACTAATTTACATTCCCACCAACAGTGTCTAAGTGTTCCTTTTTCTCCGCAACCTTGCCAGCACCTGTTATTTTTTGACTTTTTCTTAATAGCCATTCTGACCTGTGTGAGATGGTATCTCATTGTGGCTTTGATCGCATTTCTCTAATGATCAGTGATATTGAGCCTTTTTTCATATGCTTGTTGGCTGCATATATGTCTTCTTTTGAAAAATGTCTGTTCATGTCCTTTCCCCACGTTTTAATGGGGTTGTTTTTCTCTTGTAAATTTGTTTAAGTTCCTTATAGATGCTGAATATTAGACCTTTGTCAGATGCATAGTTTGCAAAAATTTACTCCCATGCTGTAGGCTGTCTGTTAACCCTGTTCATAGTTTCTTTTGCTGTGCAGAGGCTATTTAGCTTAATAAGATCTCACTTGTCAATTTTTGCTTTTGTTGGGATTGCTTTTGTGTCTTTGTCATAAAATCTTTACCAATACCTATGTCCAGGACGGTATTGCCTAGGATGTCTTCTAGGGTTTTTATAGTTTTGGGTTTTATATTTAAGTCTTTAATCCATCTCGAGTTGATTTTTGTGTATGGTGTAAGGAAGGGGTCCAGCTTCAGTCTTCTGCATGTGGCTAGCGAGTTATCTCAGTACCATTTATTGAATAGGGAGTCTTCTCCCCATTGCTTGTTTCTGGCAGTTTTGTCAAAGATCAGTTAGTCATAGGTGTGTGGCCTTATTTCTGGGTTCTCTATTCTGTTCCATTAGTCTATGTGCCTGTTTTTGTACCAGTACCATGCTGTTTTGGCTACTGTAGCCTGGAAGTATAGTTTGAAGTTGGGTAACATGATGCCTCCAGCTATGCTCTTTTCGCTTAGGATTGCCTTAGCTATTTGGGCTCTTTTTTTGGTTTCATATGGATTTTAAAATAGTTTTCTTCTAGTTCTGTGAAGAATGTCATTGGTAGTTTGATAGAAATAGCATTGAATCTGTAAATTGCTTTGGGCAGTGCGGCCATTTTAATTATATTGATTCTTCCTGTCTATGACCACGGGATGATTTTCCATTTGTTTATGTTTCCTCTGATTTCTTTGAGCAGAGTTTTGTAATTCTCATTGTAGAGATGTTTCACCTCCCTGATTAGTTGTATTCCTAGGTGTTTTATTCTTTCTGTGACAGTTGTGAATGGGATTGCCTTTCTCATTTGGCTCTAGGCTTAACTGTTGTTGGTGTGTAGGAATGCTACTGACTTTTGTGCATTAATTTTGCATCTTGAAACTTTGATGAAGTTGTTTGTCAGCCAAAGGAGCTTTTGGGCCAAGACTGTGGGGTTTTCTAACTATAGAATCATGTTGTCTGCAAACAGGGAGTTTGACTTCCTCTCTTCCTATTTGGATGCCCTTTATTTCCTTCTCTTGCCTGATTGCTCTGGCTAGGATTTCTAAAGTGTGTTGAATAGGAGTGGTAGAGAGAAGGCATCTTTGTCTTATGCCAGTTTTCAAGGGGAATGCTTCCAACCTTTGCCCATTCAGTATAATGTTGGCTGTGGGTTTGGCATAGATGGGTCTTATTATTTTGAGATATGTTCCTTCAATACCTAGTTTATTTAGAGTTGTTATCAAGAAGGGGCGTTGAATTTTATCGAAAGCCTTTTCTATGTCTATTGAGATACTCATGTGTTTTTTGTCTTTAGCTCTGTTTATGTGATGAATCACATTTATTGATTTACTTGTCAAAATAACCCTTGTATATTTGCTGAGAGAAATGGTTTCTGTCTCAAGGACTATAAAATGTTTATTAAAGGAATGTATTTCACATGTTTATAAAAGGAACATACTTTTTATCAGATATGGCTATCATCTCACAATGATTTTGCATAATTCCAAAGGAAAAACATATTCTTGTTCACATGACAAAAGCAATTTGAATATATGAATTCACTGCCTGACACCAACAAAAGCAGTGAACGCATGTATGTGTTGAAAGGGAAGAAAAAATATATGTTGTGGCAAAACGAATTTAAACCAAAGAAGCTTTTTTTTAAAAAAAAATGTTAACAACACTATAAAGCCAGGGGGTGGTAGTATATGATGAATTAATTTTATTGTTTGAATACAGCACTTAGTTGTCATGGCAACCTGATTAAGCTGTAACCTGAAGACAACTATATCTGAATCAGCATATTTAGAAAGATAAACTGATAACTTCAAGGTACAGTTTGATGCTGGGTTTAGGGCAGGTTAAAAAGCTATTTAGTCATTTCGGGTTGGGATTTAGCCTTGGTCCTTAAAGAGCAGCACTGATACTAAGTAAGTAATTCAGATTGTTGATTAAAACTTCAGCAGAAACCAATGCCAAAAGTTTTGTAGTTTCATAACAGAAAACACTTAATATATAAAGAAAGGAGAGGAGAAAAGAGGAAGAAAGAAAAACATCACTAGTGAAAAGAATTACCTTTAATTTTAAATCACCTCTATATTTGGGCTGAGATATTGGTGATTACACCAACCTTTTATTATTATTTTTCAATCAGGTAACAATGTTTAAAAACAAACAAAAACCCTAGTTATTTTGACTTCATTTCTCTTTTCCTTTCAGAGATAGCAAACAAAACTATTTTAAAAGATTGACTCAATGTGCTAAGAAAATATAATTTTAGCATCTCTGACATGGATAGCATCCTCAAAACCACTCTCTGTAATTATCAAATATTCTACTTGGAGCAGGAATGAGTTTTGCTAGAATTGGAAAACACGGGGAGAAGAACTTGGTTGTGTATCTTGTTCCTACTTTTTACTTTAGAATCTAGCCCATTTCTAACTTCGTTTTGGGATCACCCTACTCCCACAATAAAGGATGACTTCCTGAACAAGACAGTGAAAGTCCAGTGTTAATTGCCTGTACAGAACTTTTCGACCAAAGCAATATGAATGCATCTGCCAGGTGGTTAGAAAGCAAACAAAGATACCAAGTGGGGAGTGTTTTAGGGAACAACTATTGAGCTATCTAGTAATCCCAGCTTCTACCCACTTGTTGGGGCAGCATCTCTAGAAAGTATAGCTGAGAAACTCAGGCTTCCATGAAATAATATATACAGTTGCCCAGATGTGAGGCTTTGTTGTGTTTCACTTAAGTATCACAAAACTAGTCAATGTCTGTCATAGACTAAGTTTGGGGGATTAAGGGTCATGGGCACTAATATGTTCTCTGTAGTGTGCATCGAAATTCTCTATTCTCAACTGGGTGTGGTGGCTCATGCTTGTAATCCCAGCACTTTGGGAGGCCAAGGCAGGTGCATCACCTGAGGTCAGGAGTTCGAGACCAGCCTGACCAACATGATGAAACCCTGTCTCTACTAAAAATACAAAATGAGCCAGGCATGGTGGCACATGCCTGTAATCCCAGCTACTAGGGAGGCTGAGGGAGGGGAACTGCTTAAACCCGGGAGGCAGAGGTTGTAGTGAGCCGAGATCATCCCACTGTGCTCCAGCCTGGACAACAAGAGTGAAACTCTGTCTTAAAAAAAAAAAAAAAATCTATTCTCATCCATTTTATGAAACATTTTCTTTTTAATGGAAAAAATACAGAAAATGCCTCATGCAATTTCACCTAACTACTGATTCAGGATAAGAACTTTGATTTTAACCCCAGTTATTTCAGATTTTAAAATAAATTAGTTTCCTCATCTATAAGATATGTGAAGAGTTTCAACTACAATCTGTTTAGACTCTAAGGACTTCTCTTCTCATTGTATATATTTTTCCTTATTAAACTGCAAATACGCAAAAGGTAAAGTATGATATCACTTAAAATATGTCTGCTTGATTTTCCTAGGAAATAGGCACCTAGCAGAGAACATATGGTTCTTGAGTAGGAAAGATACACAAGGGGTATGGAGGGACTGGGAACGAGGGGAGGGGAGTTGGAGGCATTCTAGACAAACTGATTCTGAGATGGAACACAATGAAGAGCTTCCTCTCCAATGAATAGATATATGTAAATGGGTAAAGAATATATTGAAGATGCTATTATACTCTACTAAACCTAGAAGTGGTAGAACCCACGTCTCCTATACCTAATGGCCAAAAGAAACCATGCGACTATTTTCAAGGTAACATTTGAGATTTGAACTTGACTTGGCCAAAAATGAAGACACAAGGGAACAAAATGATCAATCCCTTTAACTAGTTCTGACGAAGAGTCTTGTTACAACCTTTCCCTGTGGCAAGGAGAAAGACTAAACATAGACACTCCTCTCTTCTGAGTGAGATTCTTGGATTTAATGGCAAGGAACAACTTTTCCAGAGTTCCTTCTTTCTTCGCTAGGTATTTTGTATTTTTTTGGGTTTATCTCAACTTGATGTACAAACTCTCTTTGTCTTTGTTTATTTAGACAACTGTTTACCAGTTCTGACCCACAAGTGAGGTTTATCTGCGATGGAAAGACTGACTTCCATTGAGTTGAGTTCCATGGATAATAATAACAATTTTTTAAAAAGGCCATACAGACATTTAATCTCAGCAAACACCTCTCTATTCAATTTTACCAAAATCATGAATTATTTTGCTTTGTTTGTCTTTGTAGAGTTTCCTGTTTTAATATGTTTTTAATAGACAACAAGGCACAAAGAATCCTGGGTAAATAATACATGTTAAAAATAGTTACTACCTAACAATGTTACTAGAACAATTAGAGTGCAGAAAACTCTTTCACATGAGAAGCCAGCTAAAAACAAAGGTTGGCATGACGCTATTTCTTTGATTCTTTTTAAATTAATACAGCACATTTGCTCCAAACTCATCTCTCCCACTTAAAAGTATTTGGGTTTTTTGTTGTTGTCTGCTTTGCAATGCTCCCTAAAATACACCACTGTGGGCCCTATTCTTTGTGTAATTTTACTTTTTTCTTCTATTTTTAAATAGATACCCCTGGTGCCAATGTACATTTATATGTGAGCTATATATATATACCTTTTTTCCCACTCAGAGAGCAAGGGAATTATTTTTAAAGAAATCCTCTTTCTAGCCAGATTCCATTAGGTTGTATTATTCAAATGCACTGTAACATAAAATTTATTTCTTCATGTGGTGTCCAGTTGCTAAGGAACACAGCCAAAAAGTCCAACTTTGCAACACAACAGAAGACGAGTAGAGATTATGAGGGTTGCCCATAGACACATACAGAGGCTCTGAGCAAGGGGAATTACACTTTTGTTTTCAAACTTGGAAGTGCATAATATTATTAAGAAATAGTTATTTTTATCCCATGTACAATGGAACTTCCATTCTCCCTGGAAAAGCACAGTAGCTTTTCTAGACTCATGACCTCTCAAGTCATGCAGCATATTTTAAACAGAAGCCCTATCATTTCTGCCTTTAAATGTAAAACAGGTCTCCTGAAAAGCATACGATTTCTGAAATGTGCTGTCATGTCCACCAAACAAAGCACTTTAACTTTGTTTTTCTTAAAGGCAAATTTCTACAGAAACATGAATCCGACAGAGCAATAAACACCACCTGAATCATTTTCAAATGTCTCACCCAAGTTTACTGGACACATGTAAAAGGTGGTGTCTATCATAAAGACCTAAAAGATGGTATGATATCAGAGCCTTTCGTAAAGTCCTGAAAGAGGTACTTACATTTTGCCGTCACTTTGTACCCTCCTAGAGGAGGGGTGTGGCCTTCCAATGCATCAAATCCAGCAGATACTAAGACCATGTCTGGATCAAACTCTTTGGCCACAGGCTTCACGATGGTCCTGCACAGTAAAAATGCAACCGGTCACACGTGGGACTGGTGAATACCTTTAAAAATCGTTCAGTGAAAACGACCTGGCACAACAATAGGAACCTCCCAAGAATAAAGAAAAGGGGAATAAAAACATTATTTGAATGGGACAAAAGCGTATCATTTCCTTAATAATAAATCGCTGTTATTTTAGCATCCCAATTCAGTCTTTTTTGGTTCATCTTTTTTCCTCCAAATGGAAAAAAAAAAAAAACTGCTTTGCAGGTACATTCTAAAGCCCATCATATTACACATACGTCTGTGGCTGTTTTATCCCACTGCCTATAAAAAACTGCTTCTTCCAAGGGAGTGACTAATGTTTTACAGAGGAAAGTCAAAGCTTTAGTGAAAACCCGGCTTGCTCCAGTTAGTGAGAACTTGGTGTAAATTTGAACTATAAATTTCTTTTGGGAAAAGTTTGCTTTCCCAACTTAAAAAAAAAAAAAACATTTTTAAATATTTATCATGGTAGGGGGTGACTCTTGCAAAGGAGAAACACAAAGTTCCCTTAATAGAATCCAGACTACAATGTTAAGTGAGTCCAAAGTCAGACACACCAGGAATGTGGCAGCCTCATCCATGACAGCAACCCCTGCTGGCCCCAGTCAGACACTTCAACACTTCCCTTCTCAACTTCAGGGCTCCGAAACCCCTTTCTCATCATTGCTAGCTTTGAGAAAGAATGACTAATGAATGCAACTGGGCTTTATAAAATTTTTAACATAGGCTTGAAGACCAGTATGCCATCATAAAAATTCAAATTTCAAAAACTATTTACTGAGATGGGGAAACTGCACACTATAATGAATTTAAAAAGTAGTACAATCACTCTTGTGTGGTTGTGAGATATAACTAAAACAAATATTAAAATAGTTATCCTTCAATAATGACATAATTACTTTAATTTTTATGTTGGTAAGTTTTCCAGATTTTCTACAATGATTACGTATGAATTTTATATTTAAAAAATGTTATTGCATATCATAAACAAGAAGTTGTTGCAGTTATGCAATAAAAATATTTAGTTGAAACTTACCTAGAAATGTAAATGATTGAAATATTTTTCCTAAATGAATCCACTGTCATAAAAATTCTATCCTTCAAGTTCATAAATACACATGTAAGTGACTTCCACAGTAGTCCTTCCAACAACTGGTAAACCACATAAATCTGAATTGGCTGATCATAAAACTAAGTGAAAACCTAATTTTATTTACTATACACAATTGTATTATGTTTTTTCTTCAATACAATTAAAAATTTCAAATACAGCTACATTATCAGGAGATATACTGGATTCTTCCCCATCCCAGTAATTACAAACCTTACATTATGGTTGTCATTAAGTGTCACACATAATAAATTCACTATTTTTCCTGAGTGAAATAGTATTGTGGTGTATGTTGGGATATTAGAGATTGAAACAAGTTTTTCCAAAGAATTAGGAGTGCTTTATCAAGATACTCAATTTAATTTTATTAATCCTATGTACTCCTTTAGAGAATGGATGCTTCTACAAAATTCAGTAAGTAGATGATTGAACCAGATTGTCTATGCAATCATAAGCATCGTAGTAATCAATTTTCCATCTCTTTTCCCTCTATCAGAAGGTCATCCTTCCCTCATTTTCCCCCCAGTATTTCCCCATCCTTCAAGGCACAATTCACATACTATCTTCTCCATAAAGGCTTCTCTCTACCCATGGATATTAAATATAGGTGCATACTTTTGAAGTACAAGAAGACAGGAGAGGAGACAAGATTGCCCACATAATTTTAGAACACTGAAAACACAGAGATGATCTACAGAGTATAAGTGCCTACAGAGAAGCCACAAAAAGCAAGTGAATTTTTCTCTCTCTTCTTGGAGAAACTAACTGAAAAAGCAGAAAATACCAACAGTCAGCTTATTTTTCCAATCTTGCTACCGTGAATCAGTGGTCAAAAAGCCCCATTCACCTTTATAGTGCCCTTTTCTTAAATATGATGAATGCAAATATTTTGTTAATAAAGACATCTTACCCACTTACAGGGGAACTATAGCTCTCTATGCCACATATCTCTGAATATACGGAATCTACTGGTTTCTATCTGAAGCAAATTGCACATTTGCTACGTAGGTCACTTCTGAATTCACAAACACAATGTCTTTTCTAATTTCCTGTGGGTTTTCAAATTCCTTCACCTTATAGGCCTAATCCTATATATCTGAACTCATTCCAAAAAGTAAGAAAAAGATGGGAAATTTAGAAAAAGGATACATCACCTGATAGAATCCTTTCAGTTAAAAATATACTTGCCTAGAATTATGTCTGGGTGGAAGCTGTTTGCTGAATCAATTAGTGAAGTATGATGAGAACAGAGGCATCATGCTGCAATGCATGCTGTGTGTTTTCCATTACATTGAAGAACTACATAGCAACAGATGGTTATGGAGGGTGACATTGGTAAGGTTCATTCATTCATTTCAACAAGTATATATTCAGTGTCTACTATGTTGCAAACACCGTCTTGGTCTAAAGATGTGCTCAATTTTGAACTGAATATTATTTATTTTCCTATTGTCAGCATTAAACTCTTGTTCTCCTCTCTGATAAATGAATGAAACTGAGACTCCACAGATCTCTTTATTTTGGCAATGAATTTACGAATGTCCATGGAAGTGTTCACTGTTCTATTTATGCCAGTCTAGATTAATTTGTATTCAAAAAGATCTATTGTGTCTGAAAGATTGAATAATGCATTTGAGGGTACGAAGTAGGAAAAACAATGTAATTTTTATTAAAACAAATCTGTGAAAGCACTGATTTAAAATTTTATCTGAAAAATTGGGATTTCTGATTAAAGTTAGCAAACAAAGAATACATGTTTGCCTCTCATCTTTTCCAATATCCCACTGAAAAGAAAGTATAGGAAGATACATACGAACTCATGGTTCTTAATATATAATAGATGAATCATTTAGATGACTGTATCCATGGGTTAGTATATATTTCCTAAAAGCAATGGCACCCCAGTGACAAGGAGCAGAGTTAATACCCAGATCTTGCTTTCTCATATCAATTTCCAATAAAAGGACCCAGAGATCCTTGGAGAAGTGGTTGATTCCAGCACTGCATCAGGGAAAATACTACATGACTCTGGAATATCTTGTGGTGACAGAAGTCAAAAAAATGCTTTAAAAGAGACATGGACATGTCAACAGGACATGTGAACCAATATGAAAGCACTTTCAATGGCCAAAGCTGAAACAATTTGATGAGCAAAATAAATAATGATAGTATTGGATTATAATCCAAACAATCAAACACCAAGTCCATAGTGAATACATAATAATTGAATAGAAAGGAGAGAAAACAGCTCTTTCTTACAGAAAAATATCATCTAATAAATGTAGAAGAATTGAGGAAAATATATAATTACCATTGGAACAAGGCAGAAATAACTGATGCAGGCAAGATTCAAGGATGGATACCAAAATTAGTGGAGCCAGGCATTGCAGCTCATGGCTACAATCCCAGCACTTTGAGAAGCCAAGGCAGGAGAATTGCTTGAGCCTAGGGGTTCCACCCTGGGTAACACAGAGAGACCCCATCTCTCCAAAAAAGATTAGCCACACATGGTGGTGTGTGCCTGTAGTTCCAATGACTCGGGAGATTGAGACAGGAGGATTGTTTGAGCCTAGGAGTTTGAGGCTGCAATGAGTTATGATCATGCCACTGCACTCCAGCCTAGGTGACGGAGCAAGACCCTGTCTCAAAAAATAGTAATAACAATAATAATGATAATAAATAAGATTAGTGGACAAAAGTTTGCTGTCAATCATTATATTTGCATAATTCCAAAGTATCTTCTCCAAGGTACTAAAAAGGAAAATAACAGAAACTTTGAAATGAAGAAAACTTCAGACACTACCTGAATAAAGTTAACATCTCCTATGATTGGACATATCAGCATCAATACTCCCTGATATGATGCATTAAAGGCAAAGCAGTCCTATGGCGTTTTTACTAAAAACATATAACTTCAAATCTCATAATGAGGAAATATTAAACAAATTTAAATTGAGGAATATTTGACAAAATAAGTGACCAGTATTCTTCAAAAGTAATGGCCATAAAAAACAAGGGAAGATTAAGGACTTGCTACAGATTGGAGGAGATTGAGGAGGCATGATGTCTAAGTGCAATGCAGTATGCTGGATTGGATTCTGGGACAGAAACAGGACATCAGTGGAAAATTTGCAGTGCCATATAAAATCTGTAGTTTAGATAAGAGCATTGTACACATATTACTTTGTTAATTTTGATAACTATACTATGATTAGGTAAGTTTTTAATATTAGGGTACACTGCGTGTTGGCGTACAGGAACTCTGTCCTATTTTGACAGCTTTTTCTGTAATTTCAATATTATTTCAAAATAAAATGCTAACAAGTATCAGAATATCAAAATAAATAAAATTATAGCAATTAAAGAGGGTAAGGACCATTGCTATCAAACAAGTTTCTAACAAATTTCCGGAATAAGGAAATTGACTGGAAGCACACTAAAAAAAAAAAACAAAAAAAACCCAAAAAAGAAAGCTACTGCTTTGCATATGCGTTCATGGGACCACAGAAGAGATGAGAGACACTCCATCCAATTGAGCCTGTGTCAGGAAAACTCTCTAAACCGGTGTTTTTTTCTCTGCTCTCACACCACCACAATAATCTTCAATACAGAAGATGTCTGTGATCAAAGGTGGGTGCTTTTCTCCACACGCCAAGCAGTGGATGTCTGCTGGGTGTCCTCCAATTCAGTTTCAGCGCTATCTACCTGGAGATAGTGTAGATCCCACAAGTTGAGGACTCAGTCTCTTTATTAGTCTGTTCTTGCACTGCTATGAAGAAATACCTGAGACTGGGTAATTTATAAAGAAAAGAGCTTTAATTGGCTCACAGTTATGCAGGCTGTACAGGAAGCATGATGCTGGCATCTGCTAGGCTTCTGGGGAGGCCTCAGGAAACTTACAAACATGGCAGAGTAGGAGGAAGAGAGAGAAGAAGGAGGTGCTACTTTTAAACAACCAGATTTCATGAGAACTCTATCATGAGAACAGCACTAGGTGAGTGGTGCTAAACCATAAGAAACCACCCCCATGATCCAATCAACCTCCCACCAAGCCCCACCTCCAGCATTAAGGATTACATTTTGACATGAGATTTGGTGGGACACAGATCCGGACCAAGACAACTCTCCCAAGGCCCTTCCCCCTACCGCAACACACACACACACACACACACACACACACACACACACACCCCAATTGTGAGTCCAGGAATTTCCCTTCAATTTGGGGTTCCCATGCCCCCCTCTTTGGGTTGGATTAATTTGCTAGAGCTGCTTCACAGAACTCAGAGAAGCACTTACTGACATTAACTTTATTATAAAGGACATTCAAAGGCTACAAATGAAGAGATGCATAAGACAAGGTATGGGGGAAGGCGTATGGAGTCTCCATGCCCTCCCTGGGAATGCCACCCTCCAGGAACCTCTACATTTCTAACTATCTGGAAGCTCTCCAAACCAGTCCTCTTGAGTTTTTATGAAAGCTTCAGGACACTCAGCATTCCTTCATTCCAGAGAGGGTCTTAAGACCTACAATAAGAAGGGTGGGAAGAGTAGAGTCCTGCCTTGGGACAGGTGAAAGGAAAGCAGAAGATCAGAGGCCCGCCTCTGAAGCCTAGCACACCCAACATTATATTACTTTTAATGACATTACTTTTAATGGCAAAAAACACAATTACTTTTGCACCAACCTACTAAGAAAAAAAACTGTAGCAAGAACTATGGGAGTTATGAGCCAGGAACTGTAGAAAAAAACTAATGTATGTCCTAACACCATATACTCCACTGAGGAAATGGGTATGGTGACAGAAAACAGGCAGGACTTAAAACAAGAAATTAAAAAAGTGTCAGTCGGTTAAGAACATCAGACTACATCCCAACGCCTTAATTACCTTTCCTTGATGCCAGCAACCAAGCAACACACTCAGATTGCCTCTTTCTTAAAGAAAAGTATGTATGTGTGTGAACAAAGCTAAGACTTCTAATGTAGATACTGGGACTCTAACACACAGTCCTCCTTATTTTGTCATTTATGGGGATCCAGAGACCAAGAGCTGCTATCTTCTAGAATGCTAACACTAAAGTGGGGTTTGACAGTCCACACACACTCAATTGACCCATTTATACAACCACAGGGAAAGCTGGTACTAGCTACTTTCTTAAATATGAGTGGAAAATCAGGGATTACCTGGCATATAAGAAGACCATGTTGTATGCAAGAAAAAAAAAGATTAAAACAAACATATACATAGAAGACTCTTAACGAAACAGATAAAGTTCAGACAACAAACATAATAATTTCAAAGAAATGCTGGAAAATATTTTAGCCTTGAAACAAAGACATGCTGTTATGAAAAAGAACAATCAAAGAACAAGGGAAGTACTTAAAGATAAAAACTAAAATTGCATAACTTAAAAAATTAGTAGACGATCTGAAGAAATAAAATTGAAGAAATCGCCCAGAAGAGGAAGCAAATAGGTAAAGTATAAAATAGATGGGAAAATATAAGACACAGAGGGTCATTGCAGAAGTCCTATATTTAAATAATAGGAGTCCCTGAGAGACCCAAGAAAAGAGAGGAGAGGAAATGATCAACTTACGACAGAAGATAATTTTTCGGAACTAAAAATACTCAAGTATATGAATTTGATTAGTCCAACCAGTGTGAAGCTCTACGTATTTTTTTAAAAAATACACACTTGTCAGATCCTAAGAGAGCCTTAAAAAGAAAAAACGTGTCCTCAAAGAATCAGAAAATGATATTGACAGCAAAGTCCTAATCAGTAACACTGAATGTTTTTACATTCTGAGGGAAAATTATTTTTAAACTTTAATGCTGCTTGCAGCTATCACATACTAGTATTTAAGTATGTGACTTAAATACTTTAAAACATTTTAGGGCTCAGAAATTTATGTTCAATGCTCCCTTTCCGAATAACTTACTTGACAATGTACTTTTGCAAAGCAAGAAAGTGCATCAAAGAAAGAATGAGGCATGGGACCAAGTACTGGATATGCCATC
The DNA here is from genome assembly GCF_000001405.40 of Homo sapiens. Lineage (NCBI taxonomy): Eukaryota > Metazoa > Chordata > Mammalia > Primates > Hominidae > Homo > Homo sapiens. The sequence goes on along the minus strand of NC_000007.14, from coordinate 18,867,317 downwards.
GTAGGAGAATAAGGAGGATTCACTGGTGATTTGCACCTACGTTGCTTTGCTAGAAAACACATGATTGAAGCAATAACAATGGCATATATGCTTTTTTGTCCTCACCTACCAATGGTTATTCTGTCATGCTCTTCTTGAAGAACAACCCTCTTCCTTCTTCCCTGCATGTCTCCACCCCTGGTGAAACCCATGCTAGTGAGAATAAACCAAACTTATAAAAATAAAAGGAGACAGAAAGAGTACTACCACTAACATAAAGAGATACAAATCATGTGACTAGATGCTAAACACAGTAAGCAGAAAAGAATTCCACTTTAAATTTCTTTCCATGAGATTTGGAACAATTGATTCTGATTCTGAACTTCCTCAGAATCAGATTTCTGGAACTATTTCATCTCTAGTCAATGGCCAAACAATTGGTTGCACTGACATTGAGTCAAGTGTTGTCCTTAAGTTGAACCACACTAGTAATTTCCCATGACTCACCCCAGCATGTGCTGAGTGAACGGCATAAGACGCTACCCACTCATTTGACGTGCTCAGTTGCAAGAAGGGAACTCCCATAGGACCAGAACTTTGGCTTGGTTCCACAGCCTGCAACTCAAAATTATAAAGCAAATTTCACAACATCTTAACTTATAAAGTTACTCAACAATATTTTTATATTCATTTAGAAGTAATTTATTGAGTCCCTGCCATATGGGAAGCACTGGGATGGTGCTGGGATTCAAAAATGCAAATATGTTGTAACTCTGCCTTCAAAAAGGTCATAGGTTAGAAGGAAAGGCAGGTGGAAAACAAACCCAGGCACACACAGTGTACTGAGGGACAGAGGAGAGCGGGCAACCAACAAGGAAGAAACAATGTGAAAGTCCACCAGAGAGGATGTGTAAAGTGAGTTAGGACATCAGTTATAGGCCAGGGTTCACAGCAAAGTCCCTGATCTCTTGCCTTCATGGCAAGACACTATATAAATAAACAAGTAAGCATGTAATAAGGACTAAGGTGAAAAACAAATTGTACAGAAAGTCACGGGGGTGGTGCACGTTGAGACAGGGGTACCTAGAGAAGGCCGTTCTGAGGTGGACATAGCCCTGCAGTGGAAGGGTCTTCCACATATTCAGGGCATCAAAAGAATGTCACTGTGGCTCACACAAAGTGAATGAAAGGAAAGATGGTTGGAAATGGGATGAGAAAGGTGGCATAAAGCCAGTTCATGTAGCATCTCGTAGGCCACTGTGAGGACACTGGATTTCATTCTGAACAAGAGTGGAAACTCAAAAGTTTTGAGTAGGCAGTTATATGATCTTATATGTCACCTCTGAGACAGCAGATTCTGATCCCCTGTATAATTTATAATAGCATATTATAATCATGCAAATGTAAATTATAGGTGAAAATCCAAGCCTACCTTTTTTCTCTATAGTCTAATTGTATGTCATTGCATGAAAGCATCATATTATAAAATTATACCTTTTCAAATGGTACAAAAACTTTTATTTCTTTTAGGTTTTTCTGGCAAAAACAAAAATGCACATTATAGACTGCACATTTTTTCATGCATTCACCTATGTTTGTGCATGAAGTACAAGGAAAAGAGGCTCCCAAAGTGGTGAAGGCAGCACATCAAAGAACTGTCTATACAGATTCCAGGCAGCTGTTGTGGCTGCTAGTGCTGCAGAACAGCCCCCAGTGCCTCACACAACACAGGCCCTGTAGGGTCCTTGTGGGGGGCACTAAATGAAGGTTTACCATGGGCATTTGTGGAAAAGCGTCAGCACTAGGAGCGCTAAGCACACCAGGTATAATTGGTGTTCTCCTCTAGCTCCACCAGCCCAGACCTGAATAAGTCCTGCTCTTCTTCCTTAGCATTCACCCTCCAACTCTTCACACCACCAACACACACACATTGCCCCCTTCTCTCTTTTACCACTCCCTTTTTTATTGCCTCAATTTTTCATCTTTGGCAGCTCCCTGTCTCTTTCTCAAACCCAAAGCCAATCTTCCAAGGAATCCTATTGTCAAACTTTCAAAATATATCCAGAAATGTACCACGTTCCTACACCTCCACTGTTCTCACCCTGGCCTGTGCCAACTTTACTGCTCACCTGGATCACAGCCATGGCCTCCTCAGAGGGGCCCATACTACCTCTTTACCCCTGTACTCTGTTCTCAAAATGGCAGCCGGCCAGCTTAACATGTTTAATCAGATCCTCATCATTTCTCTTCTGGTGGAAGCAAATTTTGTTGTTGTTGTTGTTTTGTTTGTTTTAATGACCCATGAGTCTCTGGTCAGTGAAGCTTGGCCAGGACTCTATTCACAAATATGCCTGACACACTACGGTCAAAGGGATTTTTTTTAACAACTAAAAGTTTTATTGTGGTAAAATGTACATTAAATAAAATGTACTACTTTAACCATTTTAAGTATTTAACCATTTAACTTTGGCAGCATTAAATATATTCTCACTGTTGTGCAACCATCACCACCGTTCCAACTCCAGAACTTTTTCATCTTTCCAGGGAAACTCTGTAACCGTGAAACAGTAACTCAATAACTTCCCATTTCCCCTTCCTCCAAGCCCCTGGCAACCACCATTCCAATTTCTGTCTCTGTAAGTAGAGCATTTTGGGAGGTTCAAGGGTGATAAAATATTTGTTTACTCCCAATCCTCTTAGTTTTTTTTCTTTCCTTTTTTTTTTTTAATTGTGGTAAGAATCCTCAACATGACATCCACCCCCTTAAACAACTGTTAAGGGTATAATACAATGTTACCTGTAGGTACAATGTTAAACAGCAGATCTCTAGAACTTCATCATCCTACATAACTGAAACTTTATATCCTTTGAGCAACTCCCCATTTTCCCCTGGTCAGATCTCTAGAACTTCATCATCCTACATAACTGAAACTTTATATCCTTTGAGCAACTCCCCATTTTCCCCTGGTCCCAGTCCCTGGCAACCATTGCACTGTCTGCTTCTATGAGTTTGACTATTTTAGATACCTCATGTAAGTGAAATCATGCAGTATTTGTCCTGATTCTGCCTTATTTCACTCAGCATAATGTCTCTGGGTTCATCCATGTTGTTACATATGGCAGGATCCCTTCATTTGCAAGGCCGAATAATATTCTATTGTATCTATATACCACATTTTCTTTATCCATTCATCCATCCAGGGACACTTAAGTTGTTTAATATGAAGAAATTGGAACACTTGTACACTGTTGGTGAGAATGTAAAATGGTGCAGTTACTATGTAAAACAGTGCAAGCTTCCTTAAAAAACATATAATACAAATGCCATATGATCCAGCAATCCCACTTCTGGATGTTTATCCAAAAGAATCGAAATCAGAATCTCAAAGAGATATTTGTACTCCCATGCTCATTGTAGCAGTACTCACAGTGGCCATGGAGATTTCACACTGGCTGTTCCCTTCGCCTGAATGATTTTCCCCAGAGGCCTAGCTCCCTTGCCTCATTCAAACCTTTAGTCGTCTATTATCTTTTCAGTAAGACCTTCTCCTGACAACCCTTCCCACGCCTACCCCACCTCTGTCATTCCTAACTCTTCTCTTCTGGTTTTTTTTCACCATAACACTTACCTTCCAAAGTCATACATGATTTACTTATATATTATGTCCAATGTTTATTTTTTCATTGCTTCTTCCCACTAAATTCAAGTTCTCTAGGGAAGAAATGTTTGTCTCTTTGTTCACAGATGTATTTTGGGGACCTAAAAGAGTGTCCAAACAGGGGTGCCCAATCTTTTGGCTTCCCTGGGCCACATTAGAAGACGAAGAATTGCCTTGGGCCACACATAAAATACACTGACACTAACAATAGCTGATGAACTAAAAAATAAAATCCAAAAACAAAAACATTATGTTTTAAGAAAGTTTACGAATTTGTGTTGGGCCACGTTCAAAGCCATCCTGGGCCACGTTCAAAGCCGTCCTGGGCCCCATGTGGCCCATGGGCCATGGGTTGGACAAGCTAAAGTCTAGCACATGGTGGATACTCAATAAATAGTTGTTGAATGTTATACCCAGTGATGCCCTCTCTGGTTTTTCGTGTTTGGAGGTCAGATTTTCTTGGTGCCTCACTCTTCCTCAGCCTCTGCACGTTTCACAAATGTATGTAAAATCCCTCTTTTAGTGAAAGGCCATTCCCATTTCTACTGTGGCTTCACTGTTTATGAGCCTTTGCTTTAAATGCAAACATCAGAAAATCGTCCTTTCCTCTCTTGTCCAGCTGGTTCCAAATCTCTCCAGACACAAAAGCAGAATGGGGATGATAATTACAAGAATATGCAAATGCTCATTTAATTCATTTTTAATCTAGAAATTATACTACTGTAATGAGGAGAAAAGGAAAAAATTGGGCTCAAAAATTTTCACACCTTCAGAAAATGTGACATATATATGATACGGCTTCTATTTTTTCCATGTTTTGTTTATTGCATTCTCCTGAATCTACATAGCTTTTCTCTTTCTGTCTTCATAATTCTTCTCAAAATGAATTTCCTCTTATCTTGCCCTATTTTTATTCATTGATTTAGATATGCTTCTAAGCTAGCTAGGTTTTTTTCTGTATTTTTACAAATTAATTATCCAAATGGGAACTCTGTCAGTATAAAGGAAAACATTCTCTAACCATCTTCCTCTGATGAGCATTGGAACACTGTATGAACCAGATGGAGAGGGGGAAAGGTGAGGTTTCTCCAAAAGTCTTCAAAAAGGGGGTTAAATTCTGCAATGATTTCTACAGTGTGCCATCTCAAAATTGAATTATCTGGCTTCAGTGTACAATTGTAGGGGGTTAGAAAAATCACTTGATTCCAACTCAAGATATTCAATTTCTGTTCTTGGCACTGCCTCCACTTGGGTAACCTTAGTAAATTGTCTTAGTTTCAACTATTATATGAGACTGGGGGGATTCATTTAGATTAACTCTAAAGTCATATGCGGCTCTATTATTCTATGATTTTTCTATGTTCCAGATCTAATACACCAAAGGGACACTTTTTTCCCCCTTCACATTCTCTTTCTCTTGCATTTGATAAGAAAAGTTGTTGCCTGAAGCTCAGCATCCTTGCTGATCAAAATCTTTGCCTACATATCCACTGATTTGCCCCTGGCCTTTCAGAACGATTCTAAAGTGTGTCTTTCCTTTGATGACGCTAGACCCTAGAGTGGAGAGCAAACTATTTCACTGCAAGAACAAAATTTGTATAAGCTATATTTTGGGGGCTAAATTATCACTTCTAAAGAGATTGGAGCTCTAAATGTGACATTGTGAGTCCATATCATTTCACTACATCAAAATAGTAATCCTAATTATAGTACTCTGTGCTTTTAAATGAATCATTGATGAGAATAAGGAAGCTACAAACAAATAGCACATATACATCATAATGTAACGCAATATATCATAATTAGGAATATGCGTGTGTGTGTACACTCACATATATACCTGGTCCAGAAAGTGTATTCTTTTAATTAGAGTTTCAAATATGACATTTAGTAAGTTTATATTGCTTTAGTGCTTAAGAAGCCAATGCTAATTTTAAATGCTATGTGTTTAAAAAATAATGATATTTGAAGGCAATGAGGGACTTTCCTTGCCTAAGATGTGTCACGTAGCCAGTAACATTTCTGACTAATTCTGAGATATTGCCCAATGTGTCTCTGAGCTAAGAGTTGAGAGAGAAATTTTTCTCAACAGTATCTCTTCCTGACTTTGGGACATTGTCTGTGAGAATAGTATTAGTGTATTTATATTATTATATTTGGAACGCCTCTGAATAGAGAATGATGCCACCTCCCTAGGCAAAATCCTATACGCAAGCATAGGGAGCTGGGCAAAATGGTAAGATTGCTAGTTTATCAAAACAGATAAACTGATTCTTATCTAATTACCATATATAAAACAATGACAACAGAATTAACAGATTTTGCTTTCGTTAAACTCTGTACTGAAATCTAGTCTAGAAAGAAACAACAAAATGTTGAAACATGCTTAGTTTGGAGTTGGTAGAAGTCATTAAGAGTTAATATTAAAATTGTACTGAAGTAAACACTCTTTTGCTGAGAAATGTAGAATGTAATTATATATGTCCCTTCCCAGTCATTATTGTATAAAAGCATAGAAATACCGTGAATTTTAATATGCCAAAAATGTGTCTTTAAGTTTGCAACAGTGGTTCTCAAGAAATATTTTATTATGATTTCAAATGTGAGTCCAGTAACATAAAGGGGCTGTTATGTATTTGGTTTCATAAGCATTACTAAATCAGTCTTTCCATATTTGTAAGGACTAGAGCTGGAAAGGATCAGTAGTCCCGACTTTGCTCTGCTACTATCCAATTAACAAAAGACCACATCCTAGAGAACTGAGGCTGAGCTACAAGGGTGTGGAGAGCGGGCAAGGGTCTTTGCCAGCATAATGCACTAGAACTACTGATTCTTCTTGAACCCCTTCAAAATTGCCTGTGATTGCTCAATAAAATACACCCTTCCTTATAGTTCCAGTGGGTGCTGACAAGGAGGTCAGCTCCATAGCAACTTTTAGTTTTATCTTATGCCTACCTTATTACTCCTTCCTCTTTCCTTCCTTCCTTTCTTCCGTCTTCCTTTTTTTCTTTCCTTTATTTCCTTCTAATTTTATCCTCTTTTAGCCCAATTTATTCTTAAAGGACAGGAAAAGAGTTTAAGACATTGAGAAAAATTTGACACAAGTCAGAACAAAGTATTTAACTTTGTTTCCTTATATTAAGACCAACTGGATAACCAAGGAAGAAAGTATATTTAAAGAATAACATAATCCTCATGGTTTAGGCAAGAGAGGCAGAACAAGCCCCTGCAACATGTATCTTTCCAAATCTTTGTTTATTTTCATTTCTATAGCAACCTGGTGGTTGTAAAACATTGCCATAATGAATAGAAAATAGAACACAAATGACAGTAAAATGTTCTTAAAACTTACATAGCAGAGAATTATTTAGAAAATTTGGAAAGGCTGATTTTTTTTTCTCAGTTGGGCACATAGCAGGAAAAATGTCTACCCAAGTCATTAGTAAATTTCCCCTCCAGAGGGACAATAAGATGCTGGTGACACGTGCACTTTGGAAACTTAATTATGTGCCTATTTTTTGTTATTACTTTCTTTATCCAAAAAATCCCTAAAGAGATTATACTACCATCAAATCAGTCATAGGGATTTCTCTCCTTTCGGTGGGGTGCAGTGTGTAGCTTAGTACACATATTGCATTTCCCATTACCCTATGAGCAGCATATTCTTTTTGCAAAGTTTCAAATGAGCCTCTCTTTAGTCTTTGCACAAGTGATTGCATTCCATAAAATATTATTGCATAAAGCCAAAGGACTTTGGCTAAAAATTAAATTCAGTATTCCAATAAAATCATATATATTTCTCTCTCTCTCATTCTCTCACATATATATATATATATATATATATATATATATATATATATATATATATGAGAGCGTTAGCCTTTATATTTCTTCTCAAGAGGAGAGAAAAAGAAGCTTTGTAGGCATAAAAATAAGGAAAAAGAAAGGTCAAACATTACTGTAAGTAAATGTTCTGTGGTTTATAGAATTCACAAAACAAATTACAGCATGACATCCTTTTCAAGGAACTGTTTGTGTCTTTGGAAAAAGTGTGTATTATTTTTGGTTAACTCTACCTTTTGATGTGGCCTTTCTGAGGAAGGCAGCATCATCAAGTTTTTTTTTTTTTTAATTGCGTAGCAATGTGAGATGAACAAGACAAAAGGCAAGCTCATTTAGTAACACATTTTACTTGTTCCCTGAGGCATAGCCAGAAAGAGACTGAGAAGAAAGAAAGAACTTGGGGCCTGAATAGAGTTCTGAAGTGCAGAGTCAGGCTGTCTTCTCAATCAGGAGATCAGCCCAAGATCTAGGAGTGTTACATGTATTCATAGCTAAAATAACAGGAGAGTAGGATTAATTCCAAAACTAAAAAAATAGTTTATGTTGGAGGCAAGGAAACTCTTTTCTTCTAGCAACAACAACAAAATCATCAACCATTTTGACAATGTACTAGGTGCCAGGCATGAAGTTAAGAAGTTTATACATTCCTTCTAATGTTGCAATGATCACAATATACTTGAAATTATGTACTTTGATCCCAATTATAGACAGTAAGACTAAGACTCAATGAAGGTAAGATAATCAGTCAAGTTGTTTCAGCAAATAACTGACTGACTTGGGATTCAAACTCATATCTGTCTGAATCCAAAGATCACGTTCTCGGAAGCTTGACAATTTCACTGCCTTTTAACTGCATTTTTGGATGAAAAAATAGTGTTTCTAAGTGCTCTGATTCAATGAGGCAATGAAGGCATATCATGTGTATTGAAGCAATCACTTCAGTGTTTCTGTGAGTTAGAAGGGAAGTAGGTATGCCACTCAAACTTCACAGGAGATCAGGACATGGTAAAAATGAGACACTGCTGTCAATATTTATTCAGCAGCAACTTATTTCCAGGTACAATTCCAACTGCAATGTTCACTCCACAAAGTACGAAATTTCCATGGTGACATGATAGAGTAGTTTTATTATTTAAGATAAAAATATACTCTGACTAGTTAGACTATGGGTTGTCACTTGGATTAGCATGAAAGCAATTTCTGAGTAAAGTACATTCAAACATTCTAGATAGGAAATGTTAACATAAGCTGATTTGGTTACTTTGGTGTCCCCACCCAAATCTCATATTGAATTGTAGTTCCCATAATCCCCACATGTCATGGGAGGGACTAGGTGGAGATAATTGAATCATGGGGGTGATTTCCCCTATCCTGTTCCTGTGATATTGAGTTCTCATGAGAGCTGACGGTTTTATAAGGGGCTTCCCCCTTTGCTGGGCACTCATTCTCTCTCCTGCTGCCTCGTGAAGAGGTGCCTCCCACCATGATTGTAAGTTTCCTGAGGCTTGCCTAGCCATGCAGAACATGCAGCCACGTGAGTCAATTAAACCTCTTTCCTTTATAAACTACCCAGTCTAGGGTATTTCTTCACAGCAGCCTAAGAATTGAGTAATACATTGATTATCCATTTTTCCAAATATGCAACCATGTGGATCCATATGCACAGATAGCTAGCTTTCTCACTGATTATTTTCATTTTTTGAAAAGGGAATGTTATGGTGGTATTTCGACACTGCTGTCATGATACTGTGACATGCTAAATGAACCACTAAACAGCCGGCAGAATCCAAGATTTCAATGGATAAACATTTGAAAACTAATTTTCTTTTGTGCATGTGTATTTGTTTTAGACCAAATAATACTCCACAGTTATTAGTACATCAGTACTGTACCCTCATATTTAAAAAATTAGCTTGTTTTTAAAAATCTTTTCAAGTAGCAGATATTAGATAAATATTTTCAAATTCCCATTGAAAATGGGAATGTCACATTCCCATTTGAAAACAAAATAGCTGAACCCAACTTTGTCAAGTTTGTCTTTTCATAGATTTTTTCATTTATTAATTTATTCCTGGAACATTCATTGAACATCTACAGTGAATCTCAATGCCAAGGTGCCAAGTGCTAGATTTCATAATGTCAGGACAGATTCCTATGATTCCTATACTTAACAAGTTCAGATGGCATGGATGAAGCAACTCTGTAAACAAATTTCTTCCAGTTCAAAGGGATGCGTTCATTAATACAGATATTGATTTTTTTCTCCCAGTTCAAAACAATAATTACTCTAGAAACTACAGCTATAAATGTGGACATAGAAAATGAACTTATTAATTATTCTGGAGAACAGAGACAAAACTTTATAGATAAAATGATATTTTAATTGGCTGTTTAAACAGTGGCTTTCAAAATTCTCAAACCACAACAAACAAAAAAGTACATTTCACTCCAGGAACTAGTACATACATACATACACACACACACACACACACACACACACAACTAAAACATATTTTGTGAAACAATATGTGACACTCTTTTATCTTCTATTACATTCTATTAAAATGCCAATCTTGACCCTCTGAATTGATTTCATAAACTTTTTATGTGCTGCAACACAGTTAAAAAAAAATAAAAAAAGAGAAGCAATTATTCAGTGAAAGAAAATAAATACTTCCAGACAAAAGGAAAAGCATGTTTTAGTCATAAAATTACCAAAACTATGACACATAGAGAAAAAGATAAAAATTTAAATGAAGTTGAAACATGACATATATGGGAGTGAAGAGTTGAAAGCTGGACTGAAGAAATCGGAGAAAGAAAAAGATAAAGCTGAGAGGTAGGAGAAGAATATATGAACAGACTGAATAACTGCACTGTGATTTCCTTCAAGGCACTTTATGGTTTCACAACAGTGACCCAGCGGTGATCATTCAGGTGGCAAATGAATACTACCTATGCTTCAGGGAAAGACAGTAATGTGGAGAAAAGGCGGGAATGAATTGAGGTGACAGGGAAAATCACAGAGACCCAAATCGATGTTACATTTGATTGTATTGTTCACATTCACCAAAAAAATGTTAATAGAAAGCAATTGATTAAATAAGTTGTGCTATTTCCAAAGATAAATGCACACAAATGTTTTTCTTCCCTGCCATTTATATCACAAACTCATAAACTGAAATTAAGGGAAGCTACTAATGCATTTGCACATTTGTAATGTATTTGTAATATACATTCATAATGTACATTTGCAATGTTTATAATGCATTTGTAGGCTTCTTTTTGCCCACTCCAAGTTCAGTGTAAGAAAAATAGAGGTTCTACCTACATAGTTTATAAAATCAATAATATTAACATCCTTTAGGGGCAATTTCTATGCAGCAGCCATGAGTGGTGGAGAGATAACCATGTGTTCAACTCCCTCTGTTCATTATAGTGACCAAAATAGCAAAATAGATTTTGATTTTTAGGGATAGATTCTTACTTTAGGGGTTTGATTTGCAGTTAAAAAATCTAATCAGTTACTCATGGTTTCTAAATAATACTCATAGTTTCTAAGATAAGAATAGATTCTTATTTTAGGGACTTGATCTGCAGTTATAAAAATCTAATCAGTTACTCATAATTTCTTAGGGGCTGTGAGCCTTAGCGTGAACCTATGATGCCGTATCTCTCAGGACCAAAATATTATAAGAGCATTCTTTTCAAAGCATGCATTTTAAGAGAACAGCAGGATTCATCTCCCATGACTAAATCTCTGCTCCAAAGATCCAACAGATGTTGGGTCTGTGTGCAAAGCAAACACCAGCCTCGCTAATGTGGTCTGTGCTGAATTCTTTGTAATTAGACATCTATCCCAGTGCAGAGTCAAGGTCATTAGAGTAAAAGGCTGTAATGCTTACAATTATTTTGCTCCTTGTGTTTCTCTGCATGAAGTCAAGGAAGATGACGGTGCACAGAAGTAAAAGAAGGAATGTTTCCATTACTGCAAAAGTCTCTTGGTACCATAAAGGCTGGGAAACAGAGACCAAGTTGGTAATAGAATCAGCTACCGTTTGGTTAGACAGCTTGACCTGGATTTGGCTAAGAATCCCTTCTCCCTCTTTTCTTCCCCTCTCCACCTTCTGACCTATGCAAGGGAAACATTAACTGACAGAACGGCAAGCAGAAAAATAAGGGGCTAACAACCACAGCCTAAATAAATTTAACATATTAAGAAGTGGTGAAACCACAGGCAGTTGAAAAGGAGTGCTCAAGTTCAGCACGGCCACCATGCCTAAACACAGTCAGTGCCATGAACTGTGAACAGTGTTCTCAAAGGACAAGCAGGAAAGGCATGCTCATGATGAAGACTTAAAGCAAAAGACTCTAGCAATGATAGAAATGAGGTGGATAGAGCTACTGACCATGGGCCAGGATAAAAAATAATAAAATAACAATTGCAACTATTTTCTGTAAATAGAGGAAATGTGCATTTATGTCAGGTTTACAGAGAATGGCCACTAATCAATCAGTCAATCTTTCCAACTCCCTTCTCTGTAATAACACTACGCTAGGTCACGATAGATCTTTAGGGGGTGTATATTTGGAAAATGTCTGCTGCACGTAATTTAGTGTAAAGCAAGTCCTGAGCTGGAAGTCTTAAAACCAGCCTGTGACATTCATTGGTTGTGTGATAGAGACATGTCCTATTACTGCTCTGGTTTCAGAGACGGCTTCTGGAGAGTAGAGTGCAGTGAGATTAAGGGACGCCTTCTAGCTAATTCATACTACCTCTGAAATCTGACGCCAATCACTTAGCAGCCAATTGCATCCATTTTCCCATTATATTATGAAAGCATTATTTTAAACCTAGGTGATCATCAAAACATTTAACAATAACAACCCAAGCCCTGACCAATTTACGCAGGCACTCACCATGTTGCCTACCTTGGGGGTTTAAGTACGCTGTCAAAATATATAGACCATTAATGCTATAACGTCAATGACCGTGATAAAATCCCATTTTCATAAATTTTAGCATTTATTGAAAATAATGGCATTTACTATTTTTGTTTTTTTTCTTGCTGTAGTGGCTCCTTACTCCCACCCATTTAAAAAATTACCCCAATTTGATTATTTACTCTTCTATTAGACTTTTTATACTTTTCTCTATTCAGTATTTTTTTCTTTTAGCATCCCATACTAGACTAGAGTAGTGTCTTTGTCCTCTATTTCTCTTTGTTTCTTTCTCTTACAGCCATTTCTATATTTTCTCTACCCTCCTATTGACTCTTCTTCTGATTCTCCTTTCTGTTTAATTGGAAATACACCTGAATTACCATAAACTTATTTTTCTTTGCAGTAAGATACACCGACAGACTCTGTATTGATTAAATGACCATTATCAACGTCATTACAATCATGATCACTACCTTGAACCCCATAAGAATATAATTTACATAATATCTGTAGCCAAGACAGCAAAAATAAAATTCAGTTTTTCAGCTGCCAATATATGACAGTAAATGATATATCACCTGGCAGATAGAGCTAAGCATTTCTCAGGAATGTGTTTTAAAAGTACCCTTACATTTCATTTTCTTGTGCTCCATATTAGCAACTATCTGCCAAGTGACATGCTTGCCAAATACCCACAGGTACATCACATTAAGGAAAATTTCTGGTACATTTCTGGTGAAGTCTTCCCACATAGCAATGAACAGAAAGATTTTTAAAATAGAAGTTTTATTGTATTACTTTCTTAACCTTGTTTTTAAAAAGTATTTCAAAAATAGATGTCTATTTATTTATACTAGAGGAATTAAGAGTATGTCACTATGTTCCAAGCAAGTGAACTACATTTTCCTTGGCTAATTCCACTTTTACTAAATATTACAGTCAGCTGGATAAATTACAATTCAATCAACACTTAAGATAACCAGACATGTGAATTATTCTTATGTCTAATGTTTGTCATCAGATAGGTAACTTCTGAGAAAAATGCCAATCAACTAATTTTTTAAAATGTATTCATTTGGCTAATTTAATTTCCTTGAAATTTAATTATATAATCATGTTGTAAAGGTATAGGTAAATGCACGCTAATGAAATCTAAGAGTTGAAAAGATTCTGCTGCCCTTAAGTTCTATTAAAATGACTAGTTCTGTATTAGTAGAACAGTTATGACAAACAATTAAAAGCTGAACTCTTAAATTATAACAGTTTCAAATAGGTACTTTAAAGATGGCACATGCTTAATTCTCATTAACACAGTAAGAAGTCTAGTATTCAATTTATAAAGATGTTCTGAATATATTTTGTGAACCATGATTTGGGGATTAAATTTTCAGAAGCCAAACAAAACAATATTCTAAATTACAGAACAAATTATCTTACAATTGATGCTCATTTTGTAACCATCTATTATATTGCTGAACTTAATGGCTTTAAAAACTTTCTTTTCAGAATTGGTAAGAAACCCCCAAACTCATTTTTTTTTCCTAATGGATTTAACCCTCCCCAGGGTCACCTACAAATTTATTCTGGTATGGATTGAAGTCTTCCATTTGTTTTAATAAATATAATCATGCAAAAGTCCTGGACATATTTATTTAATATTTTTAAGGAGACTAGGATGTAAAGGGTATTTTTTCTGTTTCATTTCATTAACATAAATCACTCTGCTTAAGATGAAACACCATACACGTGAACCACATTAAAGCAACTCTACCCCTTCGGTGGAAAGTCGGAGCCAGGCCGACTCAGGGACTAGCCTCAGTCCACATTCTGAACACTTTCACAAACAGGTGAAGACCCTTCACACCAAACCCAAAAGAAGAGTGTGCGCTCCCCATGTAAATACTGGTTGCTCCCCGCACCCCTACTATGATTTGTTTGGTTTGGATTGACTTCATTATTTTTCCTCGATGGATCCTTTCTTCTTATATATATTTTTAAAAATCTACCTTAACATACACTGGAAAGAAAGAGAGGGAAAAAAAAAAAGCTCCTTTACTTTGATCTCCTCAGCATGTGCCCTCAGATGAAAAATGTATCCCAGTTGAATTTTTATGTCAAGATCATTCCCTGTCAGTGCAGTTTCTCTAAGAAATCCCCCACCTTTGCAGAATTTGTCTGTTTCTCTTCACTACCCAGCATAGCCATTAATTTTACTTAAGGCTCATTCCATGGTGCAGTGTCCATTGTTTCACTCCAATTAATGGCAATACAAGGTGTTAGGACTATATGTACCAAGGCATATTTACCATAAAGCTAATGAATCTTAATTTTCAAAGTCCCTCACTCACATGGACCTTTTCCAAGTCCCTGTACCTATTTTTGAATTTTTGCCTTTGTATTATTTCTTTGAAAGAGAGTTTCTGTAATTGTACAAGATTAACACCCACAAATCAGGCCTGGCCTCAGAATAGGAATGATAGTATGTCTATAATCCTCCGCCTCCTCGCCTGACTCTAATCGTCCTCAAGTTCCTGGACATGCCAGGAGGACACTGGGCTACTCACAAGACTTGGATTAAGAGTCCTTTCCCTTATCTTTGTTCTCCTAGTGCATGGTCAATATATCAGGCTTTGCTCATTCTCTAATTGTCTTGTAGTGATTCTCACTCCCAGCCCCGACTGTTACATGCTTCTGCATTTTTCTCCACAGCAACTAGCTCAGTTAAGCACATGGGAGAAAGTCAGCTACTTGTAAGGCAGCTTTACGCACATGAAAGATACCTCAAAGCACCAAAGGCTAAATTGAGACACTGATCAAGCAGCCAGAACAGAGGTGTACCATTTCTGCACCCCTCAGCAGCCTTGTTAGAAGGACTGTCTCTAAAGACAAGTTTCCAACAATCCTTGGTTCCTAAGGTATTTCCCACACAGGCACCTACCTGCCTGCAAGGAGCGAAGAAGGCATTGCTGAGTAGCTGCTCCTATAGTTTTACAAATGAAGAAAGTCTAATGAATCTAAATATTCAGGAAACCAACTTTGATTGGATGTTTCCGTAAAAGAAAGAAAAACGGAAAATGGTTTGCTTTCATAAATGCAGTTTACAAGACAGGAATAATTAGACATTTGGTGTTAATGGAATTTTAAAAAGTAGATTGGATGATTTAATATAAATCACTATACTAACTAACATTTCAGGAAAAGCACATCGTACAAATGTGTTCTTAACCTTTCAAGTCCACTCTTTGAAAATTAAAAACGCAGTTTCATGGGAAGGCAAATAAAAGACGATAATTACTAAGAGGTAATACGAACGTAGAGCACCTGTATCAGTCCGTTTTGTCACTGCTATACAGAACTACCCGAGACTGGGTAATTTATAAAGAAAAGAGGTTTAATTGACTCACACTTCCACATTGCTGGGGAGGCCTCAGGAAACTTACAATCATGGCGGAACGCGAAGGAGAAGCAAGGCACTTCATACACGGCAGCAGGAGACACAGAGAGCAAAGGAGGAGCTGCCAAACACTTTTAAACCATTAGATCTCGTGAGAGCTCAAGCACTATAATGAGAACAGCGTGGGGAAATCGCCCCCATGATCCAATCACCTCCCACCAGGTCCCTCCCTCGACACATGGGGATTACAATTCGAGATGAGATTCAGGTGGGGACTCAGAGCCAAACCGTATCAGCACCCAAGAAAGTAGAGCGAATAGATACTGCAGCTCAGCTGCTCCTCATGGAAATCTGGTGAGAGCAGAGACCTGCTGCTGCTAGGCAAAGGGAAGCACTGCAACCACAAGAATTGGTTAATTCTCACTACTCTTCAAAATCCACTCATGTTTGTCTTGGCAATTGCTATGGCCTAAATGTGTCCCCTATAAATTCACATGTCAAAATCCTAACCCAGACGGATATTAGGAGGTGGGGCCTTTGGAAGGTGATTAGACCATGGGAGCAGAGCCCTCAAGAACGGGATTAGTGCCCTTGTGAAAGAAAACCTACAGAGTTGCCTCACCCTTCCACCATGTGAGGATTTAGCTAGAAGGTGCCATCTATGAACCAGAAAGCAGCCCTCAACAGACATTGATTCTGCTGACGCCTGAATCTTGGGCTTCTCAGCCTCCAGAAGTGTACAAAATACATTTCTGTTGTTTATGGGCCATCCAGTCCATGATATGTTGTGACAGCAGCCTTAATGAAGCAAGACAGGAATGCACTCGGTTTCCCATTTTGAATTAATGGCGAGGGAAGCCTCTATTCTAGACATGTGAATAATTTCCTGTGTGATTTTCAGAAGTATCATGTCCAATTCATAAGGATATTTGAGGACAAATACAATATGACAATAGATGCAGAGGTTTTGAGCTTTGAGATAAAAAATACTTCTTCATTATGTTTGGCTCAGGAAAAAATCTACTAATGGTCCACAGAAGAAAGCATTCTGTAGGTTTATTCCAGGGAAGAATCCTCCCCTACGCTTTCATTTTTGGAAGGACATTGTCACACTTCTGCCTCTCCTCGAACAAGAAGTACAAGGGTCTGTGCCTCATAAATATTGCATATTTCAGCCACATCATCATTGGCCAAGCACACTCCACATTCAGATCGTTGGAATAAGAATCAATGTGCTAAAGAAAGCTGCATGCTTTTGTGCTATTCAAGGAAAGTATTTTTTCTCTCTCTCGTTTTTGTGAACCTATAAAATGTCATAACTCATTTGTGATAATGCTATTCATGATTTCTGAATGCTTCCATGTAAATAATGCTTCGTGTTTGCTTATTTGTGTTTTCTTTTTTTTTTTTTTTTTTTACTCAGGCTTTTAAAGACATTGGTTGAATACTTACAGA
This sequence comes from Homo sapiens, assembly GCF_000001405.40. NCBI lineage: Eukaryota > Metazoa > Chordata > Mammalia > Primates > Hominidae > Homo > Homo sapiens. Next base: position 18,850,043 of record NC_000007.14, on the reverse strand, counting down.
TACAGTAAAATGAAAGGGCAATTTAAGCAAACTACTAAGGACTTTGCTGACATACTGCTTTGATAGCTGTAATATCTTTTGAATAAATATGTGATAACCACAGCTGTGGTTTAATAAAGTTCAGGACATCTGTACATCTACAAATGTTATCTTTGGAAACAAAATGGCATTGCCACACCATGATACGCATAGGGTCCACTCCCAAAGCCAAGTTCTTTTCTAACCAGGAAAAGTAATACATTCTAACATTTAATGTCTTATTTCGGGGTGTGCTTTCTCATCATGGAGAGTATGAACTTAATGGAAATTCTCCCCTTTTTGACATAAACAAGTATTTTTTTCCTCAGCAAAATGTAGTTATGAATAACAAATGAAGTCTTAAAAGTTTGTAAGTCGACAAATTGATTTACCTATAAAACCAATTATATGTTCACACTGCCATTAGTTGCTAATTGTAAGAGTTTTTAAAAAACCAAAGCCATCTTTTTTATGTGTCATATCTGATCTAAAAAAGTGTGGGAGATATGTGCCCATACTTAAGCTGAAACAAAATATACTCAGCTGAAACAAAAAATATATGACTGTAAAATATTACCAATTTACTATAATTTTGAATGGCAGTAACTTTACCCTAAGAAAATTCACTGAGTCATTTAATAGTCATAGCAAAGGAAACTGACACTCTTTTCCCTCTCTTGTTAATTCTGTTTCTCTTCCTTTCTTTCTTTGTCTTTAGGGTGTGTTATCTAAGAACCACTCACATGTAATCAGTGGAAAAAGGAGAAGACAGTCCGTAGAATATGGATTGTGGTATGCTCAGTTTATGTGATAACACAATATTATAATGACATGTAATATAATGTACTTATTTTACTAAAGTGACTGTGAGAATCTTAGGGGCAGATGTGTTTTACTTACTTTTATCATGTTTACTGAATTAGCGATGGACTGTTTAAAATGCCCACTAAGTTTGCTACTTATATCTATCAGAATTTTTCAAACTGTGTTCTATAGAATGTTAGTTTTCATGATACTTACAGATGTTGGGTGAAGAGATGTGGGGAGCTGGGAGTTTCATGTTCAAATAATTTGAGGAAGAATGCATTAAATAATGTAAAATTACTACTGGAATTCCTGCAGTTGTTAACATGAATTTACATATTATATGTCTTCAATTAGAGATTTTTCCCTATAGGATATTCTTTATTGTTGAGAAACACTTATTAACATTTCTTGTATCCAGTGTTTAGCAAAATATGGTTTGGAAGATACTTTTTTTGGTAATTTAAGTCCATTAGTGGGTTGCTTGGTTTCTCATATTAAAGATCTTTATAGTGTCTGTCTTATTCTGCTCAGGTTGCCATTAAAAAAGAAATACCACCAGGTGAGTAGTTTAAACAACATAAACTTAGTTTCTCACAGTTCTGGTGGCTAGAAGTTTGAGGTCAGTGTGCCAGGATGGTTGGGCCCTGATGAGAGCGCTCTCACCGGATTACAACCAGCCCTATCTCGCTGCGTGCACCCATAGCCTTGCCTCGGTGTGTGTGCATGGAGAGAGAGCAAGGAAGCAAGCTCTCTGGTGTCACTGCTCATAAGGGCACCTACCCTCAAGATTCCATCTAACCCTAATTGCCACCCACAGGCCCCAGCTCCAAACACCATCACATTGAGGGTTAGGGGTTCAACATACATGTTTTGGGGGAACACAAACATTTAGACAATAACAGTGCCTAATGAAAAACATACATACTTAAAACGAGCTGAGTATGATCAGATTCTTCTTCTGATCAGAGCTGATATCATGTTCATCACTGGCAAAAATTTGTATAGGGCCTCCTTAATTCCGCTTAGGAAAGGTTAGGAAGCAGAAGCTCAGTTTTGTCTTCCTAATACTGGTCTCCCTGGGTTCCTAATATGGTTCCTTAGGCCCAGACACACATCATCCTAGTGGAGACCTAGGACCCAGTCCACCTGTGCATAACAATACCCAGAAAAGAGTATTGGATAAATGGTTAGCAGGATCATGGATGAAATTGGATCATATTAATGTCAAGTTTACTTAAATAATGCAAAATATACTCAACTTGTTCTTTCATAACGAGTTAAGTCTGATAGAATCGCTCATGACTTTCCTAACCAGAGGTGATAAATAGGGCAGGAAATAGGACTGGACTCCGTGTCCCTTGGCTTTCATAGCATAACCAGATCTCCTCATCTGAGAGGGGTAAGTGTTGAATAGTTACTAATTCATATGTATGCATAATCCATTTTACCAGTTGGACCAAAGGCAGAGCAGCGGCCAGAATGGGGAGGATGGAATCCTCAGTAACACCACAGCTGACCCCTCAGGGGGAGACTTCCTCGTTTTTGCTTCTTGGCTTCAAACTGGTTTGGGAGCCCTTTTGTGTAACCACTTTGTGAGAGACTCTAGAAGCTGGGATTTAATTTTGTAGAGTCTCCTGAGGCGTCTTTATTCCTCAGGGTGTCAGGACAACTCTCACACCACAGGAGGGTTCCTCACTTATTTCCACTTCAAAGGGGCATTAATAATAATCCTCCTTATTACAGAATCCAACCAGACCTTCTGGTGTGATGATTAATTGGGAGGTGTTGTACTCTTTTTTTTCAGTGTATCATGTGCAATCATTTCAGTCCTTAAAAATAAACGTTCTCTCTAAAAAAAAGAAAGGAAAAAGAAAAAAAGGCACAAACAAAAATGTTTTGAAAAGTAATCACTTGTTTAAAAAATGGAAATTGGGGCTTCTGTGTTGTAAGGAATGTATGTGCGTAACGGTGAAATTCAACACTGGTAAATGATCTGACTACCTCAAAGTGAAGTTTTTGCCTTCCTACAGTGGCCTTTAACCCTGCCCTTTCCTCCAATCTGAGAAGAGCTGATGTTGATGGAACATATAATGGCCCCTTTCCTGTGTAGTAAAGTCAGCAATAAAGCTTAGTAATTAAGGGTACCAGGGAGGCCCAGCCCAGCAGGCTAGTGGTGTGGCGAACACTTTTAGAACTTCAAACAATATCAAAGTCACTGAGAAACGGGCCTAGCTCAGTTCTGGTTTGAATTAAGCCTCACTTCCACACGCACTTTTCAAATCCAAGCTCAAACAAGAAAGCCAAGGCCTTCTGGATTTCATTAGAGCCAATTATCTTATCTGTTTCATCTCAGGCCTGACCCTAAGGCTGGCAAACAGCTATTCAGTGCATTTGTGTGGTTGTTTGAGAAAGCCTCTAGTCAGCCAATGGCCCGAGGACCTGCTAATTAAAACACCGTTGCCCCCCTGCCTCTAGTGATTAAATATTTTCAAGCTTTTGTAAATAATTTTTCCATTCTTTGCCCCAAGCCTCAAAGGTCCAATACATGCAGTAATTTATTTAGTTTGTCAGAGAATACTGTTGGAAATAGGGTTATAATGGAACCTTTGGAAACTTTTATAAGTCTTCGTACTTCTGAAAGTGACAGTTTATAAACCAGCCAAACGTGTATACTGTTTCTGATGTAATTATGTTCTAATGGCCTTTCTCCTTTTGAAGTGATATAGTCTATAATGGGCTTACATTTTGTCAATAACCATATTTCCTCAAATGTCTACATAAGATCTAGAGTCGGAATTTAATGAGGTCATGTAAGTCCTAGAAATTATCTCAAGGTATATTGCCTTTAAGTTTTTTGTCTGAGGGTGGGTCCCAGTCACAAAGACTAGCTTGGGAAGTCATGGACTAATCAAACTCTTGCTTGCTCTTTGTGGCAAGGAACTGCTAGGGAACATTATGAATTCTTTCCAGAGCCAACTTCTGAGGAGTCGGTGAGTGATATGGTGATACTGCTTCAGAAAAGAAAATATTCAGGGAGGAGAAGAACATTGAGAATTAAAATCATTGAATTAAAAACTTTTCCCAGACCTAATTTATATTCAGAATGATCTCAGCTAAGATAATTATCTTGCAATCAAATTGTGGGCAGAGGGAGGACATGAAGAACTTTGTAGTTCTGAGATCCACTAAAGCCTTCGTAGGCTTGGTACACACCCCAGGAAGCCCACTACGGCCCTTGTGACACAGGGGCTTCACTGCCTCCCAGCTCCTGAGGTTTGCTATGGCCTTGTGTACCACAGTGCACGTGACTCCAAGCAAACTCCTCCTGGAACAAAACACAGACAGAGCAGATGCGCACCCACAGATACCTCTCTTCCTTCGAGGCCTGGACACAGCCATGGAGACTCCTAGCTCTTCTAGCCAATCTGGTCATGTTTTATTGAAGGAAAATAAAAATCAAGGGTTTTGCTTGTTGTCGTTGTTGCTCTTTGTGAAGTATTACAAGAACAATTTTCAGCTGGTTCATTAGCTGTATCTAGTATTCACTAACACACCTATGAAAAAGAACTATGAGACCAAACAGCTCTGCTTCTGTTGTTCTTAAAATGACACTTTGGTCTTATCCTAAATAATAAGCTTTTAATAAAAACATCCACCAAAGCAAACAATTAAACAATACATAAAGCACCAGGAGGCAACCTCGTGGTTCAGTTACACTCTGGAGCTATTCCAAAGGAGAACATGTGGGTATTTTATAAGGAACAATACAATTCTCCAAAGTTATTATAAAACAACAAAATTTTAAATTGGGCCACATAAGCCCTTCAAACTTGGTGCAGATTTTATGCTCAGCTCTGACAATGGGAGGATTTCTTTCTCTTCTAAAGTATGTTTAGAGACCTGTGCCAGACTCACCCTCTCTCTCCCCTTCTGTGTGTATCTTAGAAGAGAGACAAAATAATATTAATTTGTTAATTAAAAAAATTGAGACTAGTAAATTAACAGGTGAGTGAGCCTTCCTTCATATTAATTTTTTTATTCTACATACAATCATTTGATTTGTATTAATTGTCACACCCTCAAAAAACCAAACTAAATAGTATATATTAACAAACTTTTGGCAGACTTCAGTTCTTCTAATGATTTAGAATGTAATCAGTTCATTGAAACTGAGTCAGTAAAATATGACACGTCAGATTTTATTATCTCTGTTCCTGTCCGTTTCACCTACTACGACGGTGTCATATTTACCGGAAAGGAAGCCATCACTGAATCATTTCTACAGTGCTGTTTTCATTTTAGAAGTACTGAAACATAAAAGAATCTACAGTGTCAGAAACTTCTACAGGGGAGGCAACATGGGTATATAAAGCAAAATCAGAGGCCTAATGAGGCAGCTCTGGGAGACTTTCTGAAACTAAAAGTACAGAAGGATAAGAAACCCAGATCTCTTTGGGTAATAAAACTTTCAAATTATAAATCTGTGCCTCTTCTATTCTTGCTCTTGGGTTTGAATGAGCTCTTCTTCATTTATTTGCTTTTGGCTTCTGTTCCAGTAAAAATGCTCTTTTGTTTCTGAAATTCAGTCCATTTCGGTAACTCCAGCATCACTTTAATTTTAAAAGAGTTAAGAACCAGCTAAAAATATACATCCTAGGCGAGCCAACATTTTATTTTCAAGTGCAACAATATGTTTCTTTAATGGGAAAGATAATGTGTACATGTTATTTTCTTGATGGCCTTTCATACAAGTGTTTTGGGATGTAAAAATATCTTCAAATTGAGATGCAGATTTACAATTCTGCTGTGCTTAAATGGGGACTGAATAATCTATTTTGTCCTCTTCTCTCCACTTTGAAGTTGAGATATGAGTGATAATGGGACAAATGCCATTTTGGTAAGTCTTTCCCACTAGAAGCTTTGTCGTTCATAAGCTCACCACCCTCCCTATGGCTTTACGACAGTAGTGCTGCTCTTTGGAATAGATGTTTAGATAACCAATACCCAGTACTGCAGTGCCCACAAGAAAGATGGGCAGATTCCTAATGGATACAAGAACAAGCCATTACCCTTCTAGAATAGTGCCAGAAAAGTTTAAATTTCTGCCTAAACGAAAACAGATGTTGATTTATAAGTTCCATCTATATGACACCAAATCATTGGGATGAAATATGGAAAATTGAGTCTATCATCCACATGTTTGATGTCATGCAAAGACTTGAACTACTCTCTGAAAGTCCTGCCCATCAGAAAACAGTGTGAACTTCAGCTCTGCATCTCAGATGTAATATCTGAACAGACCTTCAGTTGAGCAAAGTTTTCACGAGTATGATTCCTCCACGTGGGAAAGTCAATATGTAAATTTTAATACTAGTAAGCCATTATATTTATCTAGCTCTCAAAAAAGGGACTACAAATTTATATTTACAGTATATTAAAACAAACATTCAATCTCTTTTTTCCACATTATTTGTCATCTCAATAAGTCTAGTAGTAGTAAACTTTAGATGTAAAATCATAGAAAAAGAGGGTAATTGCTCAGTTTCAAAAAAAAAAATTCACTCTATGACCCAAAGACATTGAAATTTGGTTGAAAAACAGCTGTTCAATGAAGTAAAGGATAAGTAACTTTTAATTGAGCGAGAGCTTTATCTTACCAGTAAATGAAGCAAATTCTAAAATATTCACTAGAACTATGAAGAAAAGTGTGACTCTATAATTTATTAATTATGTTTACCTTCCATTCTGGCCATCTCATATCAGCATTAACTACACGACAATTCCACTATTACTAGATTAGGTTATTTAAGTCAATGAATTGACGTAAGCTCCTTGACAGTCCAAAATGTCTGCTATTTCTGGCCTTAAAATGCTCCACAATAATATTTCATAAAAAGATTTCATTTCCTGATATTTCAAAGTATTACACATACATTGAGAGGATTTTGTGCAGGCAAGGGTTATATAATTCAGTGTTTCATCTGCAAAACAAAAACAAATCACTTCTAGGCATACAAATTACCTTTTTCTTAGAAAGAACTTCTAGAGAAAAGAATTAAACATAGATATCCTTTTAATTAGTCCCCATTATTTGGAAAATTGTTTAATTGCTATACAGATTCCAGAAAATTTTTGGCTTTAGAACCATTTTAAGGCAGAGAAAAAATATTGTCTTAAAATTTTTATAGCTGATCCGACCTTTTAAAAACAATAAGAAGAAGTAAGTTGTAGCATTTGATCTACTTTAAATAGCTCTTCACTGCAGATATCACTTCCCTTTCAAAACTTCAAGTACTTCAAGATACTTCCTGGACTTTTTACCTGAGCTCTATACTGTCTAATAATATCATATCTCTTTGATGCTTGGCTCAAAAATCAAGTTTGCAAGTTTCCCTAGGAAGACAGGTGTGCATAAGATCAATTTACTCTCAGGGTCAAAGAGCAGAAATTCTAAGGGTATCTAGAGACACACACCTAGAAATTGTAATTTTTTGATGAAAATTGGTACAATATGTTGAACAGATGAGAGAAAAAATGTCCTTAAACTATATTTATTTTTGAAGCTGAAAAGCAGATAGAGCTGACAGCTTTCTCAAATTTATTCCTATGGATTTTTTTTCTTGTGACCCGCTTTGATAAAACTTTTTGAAACATCTCAACATACGGAAAATAGAGAATGGAATCTGGACAGTGAATAATTGTGGTTCACACTAGCAATAAATTCATATGTATTGCTTTTTATTGAAATAAATCATTAATAGATGAAAATCATTACTGCTTTGTTACTAAGATTGATTGACAAGTTCAGATTGAAGCCCACATCTTCTTTATTAGTCAAGTCTTTCAGAAAGAGAAAATGTGGGCTGGATTTGTGAGGTATGATAAATGGTCTGGGAAAGATGGTAGTAGGGCCAATTTGATATGTACAGTATTTCATATTGGCAAATTGTTTCAAGAAACTCCACCCTCTTTCTCAAACTGTCTTCAACATCCTTGGGAAAATACATGATATCATGAGCTTAATATATTTACTTGTCACTAACAATTGAGAATCCATTGCAAGACTGGGAAGCATCAACCACAGCTCTCATTGACAAATTAAGATCCCAAATCATTTGACATTGTTAAGCATGACTTTTAGATGACAACGAAATCATGCTTTATTTCAAAGTTAAATCTAAATGTTCATTTTTCACTATATATTCTATTAAAATTTAATTTGGTATTTTCAAGTTCTATTACATATCCTTTCCACAAAATCTAAATGCATACATAAGAAGAATATTTCTTTTAACAAAGATGAAAACATTTATATCCCCGTTGTAATTAGATCGGTTATTAAAAGGAAAAAAAGAACCAAGGGTTTAATTTGATAGGCTCTCTTACTATGTCAGATGAGGAGAAGACACAAGGAGAAGTGGCTTGGAGATATCAAGGGTAGTGAAAGTCTAAATTTTCAATTTTGGGGCACTTACCAGTTTAGATGTCCAAGCCAAAGTTAAATAGACTAAAATGCATTGCAAAGAATTTTTCGCTATATGATTGTTTTGTTATCCCATACTCTTGACACAGGGACTACAGTTCCTGTATGGTTTGGGACCAACAAAGTACTGTCTCCAAAATCACACTTGCTGCCTCAGAAGCCCTGATCACCATATACCAGCTGTGTGACATCAGGAAACCTACCGAAGCTCAAGAAGCGTGGTAACTGCCTGTGGAAAACAAAAGCACCTAACTCAAGGACTTGAAAAGCTTTTTAAAAAAATGAACAACTAGCAAAAATTAAAGCCTCAACGAATACTCTATATTACTGTGTTATTATTATTATATTGTTGTTTTTACAATGGTATTATTCTACATTCACTTATCATGAAATTATATTAAAATATTAAAAATAAGAACAAGAACAAAAAAAATCCAAACAGTATTTACTTAATTGTCATTACCAAAAGAGTGAATGCAAATATTTACTTGTGGTCCCATTTTATCTCTTAAATAGAATTTAGAAACCTCTTTTTCAGTTTATACATATAACAAGAATATTTAGAAGTTAATCTTCTAAGAATTAGCCAGAATAATGATGATATATTTTATAAAATAAGAATGAGAGAAAAATATATTTAACTTATTTATGTGCCCTGCCCCAAATTATCTACTATAGTTCCAAGGTAAACCCAACCATTCTAAGAAATCTCTAGGCTGACCATTATTGACTTGTCCAAGGAGCACTTGCAGTGTGGATATGACAATAAAAGGTTTTATTTCATTCTGCACTTGAGTTAAATGCCCTTTCTACATTTTTGTCACAAGCAGGGGAGGAATCCCCGGAAGCCATGATTCTTATATTAAAGACTCAGCATCAGGAACAGAATTGCCACTTTGACTGTGAACTAAGAATAGACAGGATATCTGGACAGATTTCCAATCACAATTTTGCATTAATGGACTTTAATTTTGCTTATGTCATTAAAGTAAACAGATATGAACTCAAGACAGGAGAAAGAGATAGACACTGGGCTGCTTGTATGTGCTCAAATGGTTCAATGGCTTTGACTATATAGCAAAAACATTAAGCTTCTAAAAATTCCAGTTAATGATATGTCCAAAATATTTTAGTAATGCCTAAATTTAGAAGCACATAGCATTTCGATTAAATACAGATACTACCTACATAAGTCAATAAAATAAAAATAGGTAGTTTTCAATAATAACCCCCAAAATTTTGACTAAATGTGCACTACCTCTACTAGACAACTCTCTCAAAGTCCCCTTTTCAGTTGGCATACTGACAACCTCAGTGCAAGAGAGTCCTTCTGGGTCAGAGTTTTCCCCTGAGATGAACTTCCCTGAAGAGCTGATATGTACAGATTCACTGTCTATTGAAAATATGCATCAACAACAAATATTAATTAAGGTAGCTACATACTACAACATACTGACATGAAAAGATGATATTTAAAATTAGAACTTGTTTGCATCTAAAGAACCCAGATCAAGAGCTCTATGACCTTTCTTTAGCTAGTCCTCAGTATATGCCAGATGGGTCACTTTAATTATTTCATTAAGACCTGCTAAATTGAAGGGGCTTATATTTCTTTTCTTGAAATTAAAAGGGGCTACAAAGGAATTGTCCTCCATTCACTCATTTGTTTATTTATTTAATAAAACAGGCATAATTTCAAGGACTACTAAATAAAATCTTATTCGTTGGAAATTGCTACTTATTTTTTAAACATTTGAAGATATTTTTCTCAGATTTAAACAGAAGCATGAGATTCATAATTGTCTCTTGCCCACTATAAACAAACCACTTAAATGGTCTGACATAAATAATCACTTTAACATTTGCAGTACTCTTAAAAGAATTAGTCTTTAGAAAAAATAATGTGCCCAATCCTCATCAATGGACTGTAGAGAGTATAAAACCATTGGAACATCCTTTTGAAATGATTGAAACAGAGATTCCTTAGCAGGCATTCAGCAAAAGATTTGTTCAATAAAGACAAGTCTGACATTCTTATAACAAAATGAATAGATGTTCAGAGTTCTTTGTAGAGCATAGTTTTTAAGAAGCCAAGGTAGTTCCCTCAGACTTTTGCTAGGTTCGCTTAATACCTGAGCTTGACAATGCTCCCATTGACAACATTATTCCCTCTTTCTTCTCTGATTCATTCATTCATTCATTCATTGACTCATTCAACCAAATATTATTGAATAGCTCTTCTCTGCCATGTTGTTCACTAGGCATTTGTGCCTTAGGTTGGGAGGCTATGCGGGCATGAAGGTCTTACACTTTGGTAAAAAGTCACTGTGCTTTATTACTCCTGAGTATTTTAAGTCATAAACAGAAGAGAGTAGCAATGTGGTGTGAGAAAAGGAGCATAGATTGTAGAGTCACAAACTAAGTTCAAATTACTGCCCTTCCAATTAGTAGTTCCGTGACTTATATAAAGCACTTAAGAATTAGCCATAATGTCTATAAAGTTTCTAATCTAGGACCTGGCATGTAAGACCCCAATAAAAATAGTCATAATTATTTTATACAATGGTAACCTCGGAAATATATTTTAGTTGAACATAAAAGATATTTGATACTGAATATTTTAAGAATTCTCGTGAAGAATCTTAAGTATACCCTTCAATTATTTCAGAGATGAATGATAACTGCTTGGAAGAAATAACTAGTCATTTGAAATAATTTAGTTATTCTATTATATTTTTTAAATTCTATTTAAAGCTTACAGTAAATGTGAAATCTTTGGTTTGTCTATGATTTTTTTGCTATAGAAAAAGCACATAATAGAAACCATGAAGGCAATATATGTGACAAATTTTGGCTAGTAAAATAAGCAGCGATCTTACATCCCACTATAAATGTAGCTTCACAGGGAGAGAGATTTTCCTTCAAAAGATACTTGTAAGAGTCCAGAAACAATTAAAAACTAAGAGAAAAGAAAAGGCACCATTTACTCTTTCCCCCACCTCCATTTCCTGCACCCACACACAGATGCCAGAAAGATCTTCTGGTTCAATACTAGGAAACAAGAAGTGTATTAAGGATAAGCTTAGAAAATAATACTACATTAAAAATTATTTGGCAGTCTATCTGACTAAGCCCAAATTGACAAAGGAGTATATACATATATAGATGGGCTATCCTTTGCCTGCATAAGAGTTTACAAAATATGATTCATTTTCTTTCTACCAATCCCACCTCATGTCCTTGAGCCAATACAGAAAGATCATTTCATGGCTCCATGCATTTCACAGTTCACTCTCTCTGCCCAGTCAGTATGAATACCCCCGACTCCAACTCCTCTTCTCCCCTTGAAAGTTCCCACTCATCTTTAGAAGCACAGGTTGAACAATACTTGATGAAACCTTTCCTGAAACCATTGAGGACAAGTTAATCATTTTATCTGCTCTGAGCGCTTCTGTTCTCTAGAATAATACGTATGACATATATTATGATCCCTGAAAGTAACAACAGCTCTGAATTCCAAGTGCTTACCACAGTGCCCAGCATATAATATGTGTTCAATGATGGTTTTTGAAATGAATGACTTACCTGTTTGACCTAGCCGTAACAAATTCACAAGTACTTCTGGTCATAAATGATGAATAGCAGACAGGCCATAGTTCAAAATGGCAGGAGTCTTATGAATTAAATCTGGTTCTTAAATAAATATGGACATTGAAAGCCAGAAATTTACATTTCTGCATCCTAGCTAGATAATGCCACTTCTCTAATGAAACTCAAGTAATGGAGATACACTGGGAAGCTTAGAAAAGTTTGCTAATATAAAGTGTCCACCTTCCAGGCAAAGAGAAGGCGCCATTCTGAGAATCGTCAACCCCATTCAGGAGTACTTCATTCATTTACCATTTAAATCACAAAACAATATGTGCACTTAATATCTGCGTTTACATTATGTAATGGAATGGTTGTGTTCAAAGAGGTTCTTTAGAAAAAAATCTCATCCACCGCTCACTTTGTGATGGGAAAACAAAGGCACAAAATAGAAGTTGCCTTTCATTGCTGTGCATACATGATTTATTTTTATATAAAGCTATAGTACCCCAAATGGAATTACGATAATTTAAAAAATCTATGAATTCTGCATCAAAGATAATGGATATGATTATATGAGATAGTAAGGTTGAGAATTTAATGTGTATTTAACATGAATTTAATGTGTATCATGCAAGTTACCAGGTTAACTTGGGAGGCAGACAAATAAATTCATATGTGATATAATATTGAAGTCTATTATCCTGTTAAAGTTCCTACAAGATATTAATAATGTTTGTGAAATTTGCAAATGTAATGGTATTTGTGATGTTGAAAAAGAGAATTCATAACATTAAAACTTCTGTTTTTTAACATAATTTTTTATTTTGCTCCTAATTAAAGCAAAATATCTTCACAATCAACCCAAGTTGACGGTAGAAAATTTTATTCCAGCCATTTTTTTCTACAACATTGTGGATATCTTTGTGTATATTTTTTCCCAAAGTACACATTCCAGAATGTGGGTAGAATTTTCCTTTGTATCTTGAATGCCAAGCCAAACATATTTATTTTAAATGTATTTTTTAAATAGCTATTTTTCTATCATTTTTCCTGGACCTGCTTTCTCATGAGAAATGAACTTCAAATAAGACAACGAAGTATGCATGACACACAGGACAAAAGAAACCCACCAAAACTTCATTAATTAAAAAATTTCCCTATTATTTCCACAAGTTTCAAATATAGGGTATCAACAGGATTTTCTTCATGGGAACTTATAAATGGCAAATTTCAAAACTATGAACACATGTAAGTTTTTTTCATGTGGTTGTTTTGCTTTCAACTAAATAAAAAATTCGAGAAATTATGCATTACCAATAGGCTAAAACCTCTTCCAAAAATCTTGCAAGGGAGGCTCCTCAGGTTGAATTAACTAGACTCACTGGCTTCTGAAGAAAGACTAACGTTTAAACTACAAACTAATATTTTCTTAATTCCAGAGAAGAAATGCTCATTTTTAAAATTCTCTCAAAGAGAAGCCTTTGATTTGCTTTTTCTTATTTATATTAATATTTAGTTATTTGCTTAGACAAAAGCAGAATGCTATGTGAATACACTGTACTTAATGTTACATTTTGTAGATTTTGTTCCAGAGAAAATGGAAGCAACCAATTAATTAGTTAATGTTTTCATGTGAAAGGAAAACTATACAAAAGTCATTTACCCTACCATCAAATGAGATTGCCTTGGCCAATGTCATGAAAATGAGTGAGCTCCCCAGAACTAGGAATGCTAAATGGTGCTATGTAAAAAAGGGATTCTGTAGTCCAATGAAGTTTGAGAAATGCTTGTTCAACAAAATCAAATAGGTAATGAAGGACTTCTCAGGGCAATGAATATGCTAATGTCTACTGTAAAAACCACATCATATGTTAAAATAGGCAGAATTTTCCAGAGAGAACTATTTAATAATAAAATATTTTTTCCTCCTTATTTGGGAGGGAAGGGGGAAAATGGGCCATTGGCCAATATACCTGTATAATCAAAACCAGGTCTTGATAGATCTTTTCTTCTTATACATATTCTTATGTGGCTTTGAGCGATAATTTACCTTAATTAGACATTTACATTTCTCTTCCATATTTGGTGTTATTTCAATGGACATTTATTTTCCAATTTGCCACTTTCAGAGAGAAAGAAGTACCAACCTGAATGCTTCAAGGTACTCAACATCTCCCATGGGAGGATCAAGGCCACCTGTCCAGGCAATATTTATATTGTACCCTTCTCCAAGGCCTGTTCCAACCTGGGAAGAGAAAGACACACCACGGTGGGCAGAGAAGAGAGCAAATGGAAGAAAGCAAGAAGAGAGGAAAACAAGCACATGGGAGCTCTTGAAATAAACATCAAACAACACATCAAATCAGCCCAACCTTCCCTGACAAACAGTGCTCTGGGTTATGCACTTGTTCTGCACTGGTTCTTGGTCCCATGGGACAATTCAGTAATCTCGTGTAATTTAAAACACCAGCAAAGGACAAGAAAATTAGGGGTAATCATGCAATGCAATTACCTGAAAGATACAAATAAAAGTGGGGCTCTAAAGAAATAAACCGAACCTCATTTGGGGCTCCACTGCCAGGGAAAAAGTTCCCTTCATCATAGCGATGGAGTGAAATGTACAGGATGCTGGGGTCAGCATAAAAGGCCTGCTGGGTACCGTTTCCATGGTGAACATCCTACAGGGAAATGAAAACAGACGACAAATACAGTCATGTCTAACTTTGTGTGGAGACAACCTTTCTGATTTCTAGTTCCCTGTCTTTCTACCACTTTCTTTCTCATTTTCTGTCTTCTCACTACGTTCCTCTTTTCTTTCTCCCTTTCAGCCTGCTTCCACACCACCCCCTTTACTTCCTGAACTTTCAGGCAAATTACCCTTTAATGCACTCATTTTTTAAACTGGCTTCTAAAAATCAGGAAACCACAGCGAGCATGCCCTGGAGACTCCAGATGAGCAGTCATTGAGAAAGCCCAGTCCTTTGGTACAATTAGATATTTATACACCGGCTCTTTGTACTCTTTGCTTCAGTGATGGAATCTTGCATCCTGTTTTATGGAGGAATTTTATGACTTATTAACTGCCAACAGTTCATAACCCCTCAGGCTTAATTAACTAGCCTCATTGGCCTCTGAAAAAAGACTAATGTTTAAACTAAACTACAAACTAGTATTTTGCAGAAGGATCTATGGCTTACAGAGCATTTTCGCAATTCTTGACAGAACGCTAAACATACGTGTATGCATTGATTTGCCAAGTCCCACCATTAAGGTCAAAGGCTTTGCAACCAGCTGAATAAATTGGCTTTCTTGAAGCGTTCAGTTCAGTTAGCAATCCCTCCGCAGTTAGAATCACTTCAAAAGAGAAGCCAGATGCAAAAAAACTTCATACTTCATTTTGATAAAACGGTAACACAAGAGTCGAAGACGCAGGAGCATGAGCTCATTAGCTCTTAAATCATTTGGGCCAAAGCAGAAAGATGGCATGGGGTTTTATGCAATCTTGTGCAATCTGCCTAATTTTAATATCATATCATAGCTTTCTTTACAGCCTTCTTCCTGCTCTTTTCTCCTTTCCCTACACCAGTCCTCTTTCCCACTCAAAAAAAAAAAAAAAGCCTGATATAAAACTTGACAGTTCTTTTTTCTCACTGTTTTATGATACAGATACGTGCCAGAATTGATATAAGAAATGAAAAAGTCAATAGAACTAATAGCATTATTTTAAATGTCTTCACTGAAAGACCTCAAGTGTAAAAAAAAAACACCTCAATTAATATGCTTCATAATATCTTCTGACCAAAAAAAAAAGAGCCACTCCAAAAGTGGATAATTTATATATTTGTATTCAATAGAATATTACTGCTATACTTTAAACATACATAGTTTCCGGTTCTGTTATTTAAAAGTTTTAAAACTTGTAACTATATACTTACTTTATATTAGCAAGATATAGAATCATGCTATTTTCAACAATGATTTCTACAATTTTTAAGTCAGGCACTATATAAATATCTGGTATGGATTATTAGGTAAACTGAGGCTCAGAGAGTTTCAGTTACTAAGACTATGCAGGAAATAAGTTGCAAGACTGGGTCTTGAATCTACTTCCTATTCCAAAGGCCAAACTCTTAACAATTACACAGTTAACTGAAACTTACATTCATAATCTGTTTGATCCTCTTGGCAAACCTGTGAGGTGGGTTGTCAGTCATTATTGCTCCATAGGAGACTTATATGACCTGTCTTCATGCCAATCTCCAGCCCAGTACTCCTTCACTAGACACTATCATAGCCTTCTTTTGGTGAATTCTGAAAACCTGCATTGATCTTGCCATCCACGGTGTAGACATACAATAATCCTTTTCCCTTTTTGAATGGTACACATATCCAAAATTAAGAAATCATAATGTTGGGGCACATACACATCATCCCAGAAAGTTGTTTCAGCTAAAGACATACATCATCAGGAAAAAAAATAACTTAGTCAAATTATATCAATTCCTGGATTTCTGAATATCCCAAGGAAAGGAAGGAGGAGACAAAAAAACTATTTTCCTGTATGTAAACAAGGGTGAAACAATTAAAGCCACAATGTCTTTTGTGTTTGTTACTGGATATCTAGAAAATGGACAAATAAAATATTTTGAAAAACAACATTAAGGGGATATTTGTATTTCCCCTATACAATAGTAATTTTAATCAGTTCTAAGACACATTTGGTTTGAGCATAAATGCATCCACAATTTGAACAGCAGAAAAATATTGCTTTGATTACTTTTGTTTCTCTGGGGACACTGTAAATGTTTACTTAAAACAGTCAAATATAAAATGATATGTTCTCTCAGATATAAAATTATTTGTTCTTGAAAAATCTGTTGGGTACTTACTAGTGCATAAATTTCTGAGTAAGAAATAAAATCCTGTTCACAGCATAATAAGATTTTCAACAGACATTATTATTAAAATACATAAATCCATTCTAATGGGGCAATTCTTGATTCTGTATTCATATTCACCAAATATTTAGTGATAAAGGTTAAACTCAATTATGTCTTTTGTTTGGGGGAACAACTCACAGTATAGCCTTAAGAATATCATTTTTTTTAAGGCTGGGCATGGTGACTCATGCCTGTAATCCCAGCACTTTGGGAGGCCGAGGTGGGCAGATCACCTGAGGTTGGGAATTCGAGACCAGCCTGACCTACATGGAGAAACCCCGTCTCTACTAAAAATACAAAAATTAGCTGGGTATGGTGGCGCATGCCTGTAATCCCAGCTACTCGGGAGGCTGAGGCAGGAGAATCGCTTGAACCCGGGAGGTGGAGGTTGCGGTGAGCCGAGATCGTGCCATTGCACTCCAGCCTGGGCAACAAGAGCGAAACTCCGTCTCAAGAAAAAAAAAATATATATATATCATTTTTTTGTTTGTTTTCCTTGCTGTAAAATATTCATACAAAGTACTGATTGGTCAGGTATGATCTAAAGCTTGTTTCTTCATGGCAACACATATATAATAAACTAAGATAAGAAAATTATTGGTGATTGTGAGAAATTACTATAGAAATGAAATAAAATGAAACATTAAAACTCCCAAAATAGACCTTGTATCTAAGATATGTGGGGAAATGCTGAAAAATTGTTTAAATATTTTACTGGTTAAAAAGCATACTGCAAACATTGATGCTGTACAAGGATTTAGAACCTGTATATTTTCACTATTATGTTAAAATAACTTTGAGTAACCTTGAATAAATCATATATTCTAGCAGCTAATGTTATCACTCCTAGTTACTCAGTATAGGGACTTGTAATAAAGATCTAAATGTACTTGATCAACAACGCAATTTCCCAAAATCTAAGGACATTTGAATTAACTTTCCTTTTACAAAGACAGCTTAAAAAGTACTATTGTCAAAATAAAAGTCACATTACCTAAAAGCTACCTGAGTCATACAGTCTTACTTGTAGGACAAGTTAATCCCCTAAACACAATGGTCAGTCTCTTGCAAGTTGAAAAGCAAGTACACCTGCTCCCTGTCCACACTAGTCTGAATATGTTTGGGATCTGCCTCAGAAAGGAACATGGAATAAATGAGCTCCACAGATCAACTAGAATCATTCTTGCCTAAAATACTCAACGCTGCTGAATTTGGCTGTGACCCAAAGTAGTAGGCAAATTAGAACTCTAGCTCTGCATTTACTAAACATATAAAAATGCTGAAACTGCTGGACAAAGGAGTACCTTTGCCATCTATTGGCGCTGTAATTTGTGGAGTTAGTTCACACCCCCCAGCTAACATTAATGACTTTGGATTTGCAGGAATAACTTTTTGTTGTTTTTTTTTTGGCTACGGAAAAGCCATCTATTGGCTTTTTCATTGCTAACTTGCAGAATAGACCTGTCAGCCAGGGAGAACGGATGTCTCAAGGCCACGTGGCACCTTAAAACTTCCTTCTCAGCAGCTGGAAGAAACAGGAATTTCCTCAAAGTAGCCCTGCAGCTGCAGAATTTGGAAGACTTGAAAGTAAGAATATGTGGGCTGGTGGTGATCTCAGAGGCAACCCTTTGGACAGAACTCCATATATTTAGATAATTTGAAACAAAAACTTCTCGTCTACTACAGCCTGTTGGGAAATCAGTATCCTTTCTGATTGGATAATGGAGCAAATACATAATCAAAGGCCAGGAAGCTTACAGGAAACTCCTTGGAGCTACCAAGTAACTTATTTTATAAATCGTATCAGATTTTTCCAGCAGTCTTTTATTCCTATACTGTATTACTGTACAAAAACAAAACTTTACATATACATCCTCTGAAATACAAAGTATCCATTTATCACAAGGGAGGCATTTTAGCTTTCAAGTCTCTTGTACAATTCACTACTTTTGAGTCTAGATATCACAAATGTGTTTTCAAAGGGGACTCCTAACAGTTTTTGACTATCCTCCTAGAACCTTAAAATGGTAGCAGAGAAGATTCTTTAGAAAGTAAACACTAAAAGATCCCTAAGGATAGGACAAACTGTTGACCAATCACCTTCTTACATAATTTTGACAAATTGAGAAAGCTTAGAAAAATTCTTTCCCTACAATCTTTGCTCTTTATCTGCTTTTCTTAAGTTTCTGGCTTATCTCCCTGGCATAGAACTTACAGAAAGAGGAGCATACTATTTTTAAAGTTTTAATATCTTACAAATTATGCAGAACAGCAATTATTAATTACTTTAGCTGTCATTTTGCATATAAATGAGAAAATGGGTACTGATGTCTTGATTTTTGTAAAATTGTAACATCTTGCTGCTGTAGTATATCTAGGCCTTCAACACATTTCTTTAACGGTGAGCTATGCCTGACATTGAGACTCAGGCGTGTATGGAAAATACATGGATAGTTAGGTTTCAATACTCTTCTCTCCAAAGTGCTTGCAGGAATGCTTCAATATAGTGTGTGAAAAATACCCATTGCAACGAAGCACAACAAATGGGTATCGTTCTTCCATTTCTTTTATCTTCGTTTTCACTTAACTAAGCATTTCTTCACATGGCTTTGTTTGTGCTCTCTCAACCCTTTGGTGTGCCTGCTTAACTGGATTCGAAGGCTGGAGGGCGAGGCCGTGACTTCCAATAAGATTTAATTATGAGTGCAGATATGAACAAGATTTAGACTATTAAGGCTTGCACTTCAAAAAAAAACCTTTAGCATATTTTGCCTTTAAATCTTTTATCACCTGCAAAAATTAATTAAGTGCAGATGTACCAGGTTCGGTTTGGATGCCAGGGTTCATTTCCTGTCTATGCTTTGTCAGACAACCTATTACACCTCCTTGAGAACTGGAGGCAAACTGAAAACGGGGCTCATAAATCACCATTCACTTCTCTTTCGCCCTTTCCTGGGTTGGTCCTTTTTGTATGGGGCAGATCTCCAGATCTCCAGCTCATTATTCATGAATATACTGTGGACAATATGCCAAGTGTCATCTGCTTTTAAACAAACCATTTGTTAGACAAATTCTAACTTTACTGTGTAAGAATGCATCACGTTAAAATACAAGACTAATCTAGTGCCTCTAACTTTCAGTCACTCAGGGTTCCTGCAGAGAATCATCCCAAACTGGCATCTGAGATTGGAGATCTTTTCAGTAAGAGTGACATGCCGACTTGTTTTAATAATACCACTGTTGCACAACAAGCAACATGATTTCTAACCAGGGGGAAGTGGCCAATTGGTTACCAAAGCAACAGCATTCTTTCCAGCACATCTGACTATTGAGTCTATATTCTGTAGGGAAAAGTAAATTCAGGTTCTGTTGGGTTATTTTAACTGTGGAAGTATCAATTCATTTAAGGATCATAAAAGTTGCCCTGATCTGCGCCTTCTTCTCATTAAATTGCAGTTAACACCATGAAAGTGAAACGTGAATGTTTATGGTTTCAGAACTGCAATCCTGAGTTTAATGAGTTTCCACATTCAAAGGAAAACACACCCTTCAGTTGTTTGCAAGTGCTAAAAGCAAGACAACCTAACAGAGAAATACAAATCCACTCCCCTTTATCTAGAATCACTGAAAATGCAGCTCTGGCCAGGAATACATACCAGATCTACAATCAATATCTTGCTTATATTTAGTTGGTCTCTCAAGTATTTGGCGGTAATTGCAACTGAATTAAAAAAGCAGAACCCCCTGCGGAATAGAGAAGAACAGAGAAATAAGAAAGCAAATCATCCAGGAAAACCATTATAAATAATGTTCAGAGCATTTTTTTAAATGCTATATGATCTCTGAAGCCATAAATCTGCTTCTGGGAGTACCTCGCAAGATTTTTCAGTCCATCTGCTAACAATTAGAGGCTTCAGAAACATGCACGGGGCAGGTGACCGCCAGGAACCGTGGTGCTTGGAGATGGGCAACAGTCCCTGGTACTTACATGGCTGTGGATTCTTCAGCGTGATGGCCAGGGGGCCTCACAACAGCAAACCCATTCTGTGAAAACAAGACAGGTTTTCAATGGTCAGATATAATGGAGAGGGTAGGAGAGGGATTGCTTGGATCTCCAGGCACAACAGTGCCTCAGGCACACACACACAAAACTGAAGTCTCATACGCTTCCGAGATTGTTTTTGTTCCCCCATTGCCAGTCATAGAATGAAGAGAAACAACACATGTGATCACATTTTCTCAGATCATGTCCCAAAAGAAGGCTCCGAGTCGGGGGAAGGGCAGGATTTGGGGAGGTGCAGCTAGCTGGCAAACATGCATGTCAGCTGTTAAACTAGCATGATTCATTTTCAAGAACAACTCCTTATTTTATGACATCAACATCCTACAGAGGGAGAAGAAATTCACTCTTGGTGCAGGTTTGGGTCAAAGTTTGGAAAGACCAGAGAAGATCCAAAGTGAAAATTCTTTAACTGGATCTCCTTGATGGTTATTTACACTCCAATGTCAGTAAAATGATAAATTTACACTCACACACTCACATAGACACAAAAGAAATCCCAGAAAGGTGAAAAAGAGAACAATGGAAAGCCCATATTTCTTCCAGTCTATAAATTTAGCTTGGATGACCGCCAAGACTTGCAACTTTATTGGATTCCCTAAGTCAATTTCTAGCCTGCATTCTGGAATTTTATAAAGAATTCCAGGGCTGAGAAGCAAGCAGATCTATCCATGATCAAGAAATGCCTTAACCTCCAGATTAGTTGGAATGCATCACGGAAAGCTGAAGTAACTCCGGCATGAAGGCAGGGAACTATAAATCCTTGCAAAGCCAGCATGCTCAGAAAAGTTGGGTTGTTTGACGTGAAGTAATCATTTATCACATGGTTCACACCACCTTTCACTCAACTATGGTTCAAGTAACATGCTCAAAAGAGCATGTTAATGCTGTTTTATACACAATCCTAAAACTTTTGAAATAATTTCAACCTACCCCAAAGACTTTTTTTCAAAACTTTTACTGCATATATAAAAATATTGAGAAAACTAATCTATTCTCTAGGTCTTTAAACATACACATATCTTTCCAGAATGTTATGGTCATTAACACACAATGAGTTAATTTGCTATATATTTTGTTGAATATATATAATAATACACTAATAAACAAATTAGAATCATATAACATAATGTCAATTAGAAATCTAGTAATGGTGATAAACATATTCCCTGTTCTTATTCTTAAGACACTTACTATCGCTCTGATGGTAATATATTAATATGAAAGGAACTATCAATGAACAACACAAGATAATAGAGACTGAAACATTAAGATGGTAGATTGACACTATAGAGTGCTGCAGGACTTCTGAGAATAGAGAATTTGGTAAAGCTTATGACAGATGCACATGGTTCACTGGGAAACCAATAGGATGAAAATAACAATATATAATACAAGAATATAATTAGCATGTAAAGAACTTTTATGATTAGATCAACCACGCTAAAACTTTTGTGATTCAATTAAAAATATGTTTAATGGGTTAAAGGTATGGCATAACAACACAAAGAAGAAAACACCCAGTAACCAGTAGCTATTAAAAAATTCAACTTAATTAGTAATTAAATGAACATAGCTTAGAACCCAGAGAGAAGCCATTTTTCTACCCTGGAAATTAAATTTTTAGAAAATGTTCTATGCTGACAATGGAGGGGGGTACGCTAAATGCTCATATGCTGCTTGTAGAAGGATAATTCATTAGATACTTTCTAGAAAATAATTCATCTCTATATATCCAGAGCCTTAAAAAAATACTTATCTTCTGATTTAGTCATCTAGTTAAAAAATTTCTGCCTTAAGGGTGCCATTAACTATGTACACAAGCAATTATGTAAAAGATAGTGTCTTATTTATAATAGGGAAAACCAAATACCATGGACTATTAGATAGTCTTTAACATTTTGTTATAAATATTTAGTGGAATCAAAAAGACTTTATCATGTAAATTTTTGAAGTGTTAGTATTAATAATATACATAGTATAATATATACGAAGGAAGGTTTAATGTGGGTTATTTTATTTTTAATTTATAATTTCATATATATATAGTTTTTTTTTGAGACGAGGTCTCGCTATGTTGCCCAGGCTTGTCTTGAACTCCTGGGCTCAAGCATTCAACCCACCTTGGAGTCCCAAAGTGCTGGGATTACAGCTGTGCAGCACTGCACCCGGCTAAATTTCACATATTTTTCCAATAGTTTTATAACAAAAATGAATTATCTAATGGGGAAAAAATATATATAACAGATAATATTGAGAGGTAGATGTTAATGGGTCTTACCAGAAAAGTTGTGTTTACAAAGGAAGAAAAAAAAATTTAGGGCATCCTAGGCAGGAGTTAAAGCATGACAACAAAGAAGAAAGGATTTTAGAAAGCATTATGGAAGAAAGTCAACCTGACTCTAGAGTTCATGTTAAGAAACAAAATGGAAATGAAATCTCATAGGTAATTAGTTGGATTATTAAAAAAAAAACAAAACCAAAAAAAAAAAAAAAGACTTGAATTCTCTCTTCCTCCTTTCACTTACAGCCAAATTCCTTGAACGAAGTATCTGCTTTTCACTTCATAATCCTTTGTGGGAACCTCCATCATTCTGCTAAACTATTTCTGAAACTGCTTAATCTTAGGTTGAAAATGATCTTCTTCTCGCCAAAATCAACAAACTTTTTCTCAGTCATCATGATCCACCCAAACCTCGCATTGTGCTCTCAGGAATATCAAACTCCTCTACATTTTCCATATATTTTCTGAGTGCCCCCCTTTCCTTAGCTGAAACCTCAAAACGCTGCTTCTCCCACAATCTGCTCAAGTGGTAGCTGTTTCCTCTCTCATACCTCACAAACCTGCCTGCAGCAGAAGGCAGAGTTGGTGTCCTTGTTTCTTCACTGCTGCTTTGAGAGCACAAAGTCCACTGCACCTACCCCCACAATACTTTCTTGTAAAAATGAATTGTATCACTCAGAAAAAGAGAAGATAGAACACAGTAAGATGCCTGACTCTGAGTCCTAATGCAATCTGGGTTCCTTTATTCTCTGTCACACTAGAGAAGGTGTTAGTCCTTCTAAAATCTGTGTCACTGCCTGCAGTTTGGACCCCAACCTTCCTGCTTTTCTACCATCCCTTATAAAACTTTTCGCACTAACATGTTACATTTGTATAATTCCCCTCCAAATTATAGACATTGTATTGAGATTCAAATAGGCTCAAGCTTCTGATATTAAAAATGTATATTATATAAATATAACATTATATATATTATATAAATATAAATTACATAATATACGATATGTGTGTATATTTATGTGCATATATGTATATATGTGTGTATTTGTTTATATGTGTATATATGTGTATGTGAAGGTTTTATATATCTATATAATTTTGATAATTATATATTTTTATAATTACATACAAATATATATTTTTTATAATTTATATATATATAAAATCTTTGTCCTTAATCCCATCAATCCCTCCAGCTCCCACGTTTTTCTTCTTCTCCTTTTAATAGTCAACATTCTTGAAAAGGTGGTCTGTCCTACTTTCTCCTTTTCCTCATGTCTGCTTCAGTTATCAACCTCTAATTTCTCCTCCAACCTCATTAGTCCACT
This sequence comes from Homo sapiens, assembly GCF_000001405.40. NCBI lineage: Eukaryota > Metazoa > Chordata > Mammalia > Primates > Hominidae > Homo > Homo sapiens. Next base: position 18,825,532 of record NC_000007.14, on the reverse strand, counting down.
AAAGAAGCTCTTACAAAAGTCACCAATGGCCGCCATGCTACTAACTCCAAGGTCATTTTTTTTTCCTCTCAGCCTTCTGGCCCTAAACTTTCAACACTATTGGCTGCATCTTCCTTTTCACAAGACTTTTCTTGGCTTCTATAATTTCATGCTCTCCTGGTTTTCCTCTACTTTTCCCCTTCCTAATCAATCTCCCTTGGAGGCTCATACTAAGTCTTCTCATTTTTAAATACTGAAATTACTCAAGTCCAAGTCTTTGTCTTTTCCTCTGCTCTTTCCATACCTCCTAGGCAAGGCCACCAGTCTTATGAATTCAGCCATCACCCATCTCATACACTTCACAGATTTCTATTTCCAAGATGGACTCTTCTCTGGGAACCAGCCCAATATATATTAGCCCATGTACTCAATATCACTTGGATATATCAAAGTCACTTGAAACTCTATACCAAAATCAAACTTCTGGCCTTCTGCCAGCCTTCTCTAACTTAGAAATGGTACCATGATTGATCCAGTGGCTCAAGTCAGAGACCAATGAGTTCTCTTTAATGGCACCTTCTCCCTATCTTTTCTCCATCCCCTTTTATTTCATGACAAATTCCTGTTGATTTTGTTTTTATATATCACTCAAATGTATGCAGTTATATCTGAATGCATTCATTGAATATGCTGCCTTTTGAATTCCTGCCTTTTGAATTACTCCTCCAGTAATTATTCTTACATCCACACAGTGGATAAGAAACCAGAGCTCACTTTGTGAGTGCTCAGACGAAAGGCACATGAGGGTGGCAGAGAGAAGATGGCTGTCTGCAAGCCACAAAGAGAGCTCTCACTATATGATTCCAACATGCACACAATCCATTCAATATCCTGATTTCTCAGTTCTCTGACTCTTTGCTTTCAATACATTAGTCTTTTTTTACAGTCATATTCCTAGACCCTATAATTACCAATAGCAACATCACTTTCATGATTTCAATGTCAAGCATCCTACTCTCCTATCCTATCATTCCAGTTATAGCTTCATCTGCACTGGGACTTCCAATCCATTCATCTCATTTATGTTTGCTTATCCATCAATCACCCCCACCACCATGTTTGCCTTCCTTCTTATCTGGGTTAAACTTCAGACCCATCATTAAATTTACTTCCTTGCATATACACTTAGTCATCTTGTCTCTTTCTCCCACCAGCATACTTCCTTTGTGTATTCTGCTCAGGTTGCCATAGGTTAGGTGGCTTGCACACAGACATGCCTCTCTCACAGTTCTGGATACTGGAAGTCCCAGATCAGCTCCAGCAGGGTTTGTTCCCTGGTGAGAGCTCTCTTTGCGGCTTGCAGACAGCCGTCTTCCCTCTGCCACCCTCAAGTGCCTTTCATCTGAGCACTCACAAAGCGGGCTCTGGTGTCTCCACCTCTTCTTCTTCTCCTTCTTGTTCTTGTTCTTCTTCTTCTTCTTCTTCTTCTTCTTCTTCTTCTTCTTCTTCCTCTTCCTCTTCCTCTTCCTCTTCTTCCCCTTCCCATTCCCCTTCTCCTTCTTCTTCTTCTTCTTCTTTCACAGGGTCTTGCCCTGTCACCCAGGCTGCAGTGCAGTGGCATCATCTCAGCTCACTGCAGTCTCAACCCGTGGGCTAAAGTCATCCTCCCACCTCAGCCTCCAGAGCAGCTGGGGCTACAGGCACACACCACCACACCTGGCTAATTTTGGTATTTTTAGTGAAGATGGGGTTTTGCTCTGTTGCCCAGGCTGGTCTCAAACTCCTGAGCTCAAGTGATCACTTGCCTTAGCCTCCCAAATTGCTGAGATTACAGGTGTGAGCAACTGTGCCTGGCCTCTTCCACTTCTTACAACAGTACCAGCCTATCTCACTGGGGACCTTAAGACCGCATGTGATCCTTATCATCTCCTCATAGGCCTGTACTGAAATACAGTCACACTGGAGATTAGGGCTTCAACATATGAATTTTGGGGAGGCACAGACATACTTTCAATCACTTTGTCACTTTCTCCCTCCAACATACTCCCATGGTAAAATTGCCATCCTGATTAAACACAAGTCACACCTGCTCTGTCCCCGCACCTAAGCATATCTAAAAGCCACATGACTTGTCTAAATTCACAACCACAAAACCTTAAATAAACTCTACGTGGTGCCCAGCAATCATACTATAGTCCTTAACAATGAACTCTCCCATCCTTTCAGATGAGCATTTCTACCTTCCTTTCGTTCTTCCAATCTCCTACCCTGCTCATTCCTTACCCTTTGCTGATGACTTTTCTTCTTATTTCACTAGATAGTAGCAGCAATTCAAATACAATGTCTACATTCTTCCACCAGAAATTCTACCCACCTACCCCACCATCCCTGATCCTATGTGAGAACAGTTAATTGGCATGTGCACTTAATCTTAGTCCCTCTCACCTATTCAAGGACATCTCACTCACAGCTTTCCTCTCTCCCTCTTTGATAGCCTGTGTTTTCTTTTATTGGGTTATTTCCATCAGAATAAAAAACATATTAAGTCTTAATAAAAACAGAACAAAATGACAAATAAAAGTATTATATCATAATGTTATAGCAGAATATATAATACAAAAATAACAAAATACAAATACTATGATACATAATAAAATCTAATATTTTATTGCCCATTTAATCCTAACAACTTGTGTTAGGCAGATAATATTATTATCCCCATTTCACAAATGAAGAAATTGAGGCACAGAAAGATGAAAGAACTTGCCTAAAGTTCATATCTAGCAAGTGACAGTGCTGGGATCCTATTCCAGGCAATCTGGCACAGAAGAAAAGTCATTTAAGACTAGTCAACTGCCTGATCTGGTCTCTGTTCACCTATGACATAAAAAAGAAATATGTGGCCAGGTGTGCTGGCTCACGCCTGTAATCCCAGCATTTTGGGAGGCCAAGGCAGGTGGATACCTGAGGTCAAGAGTTCAAGACAGCCTGGCCAATGTGGTGAAACCTCATCTCTACTAAAAACACAAAAATGAGCCAGGTGTGCTGGCGGGAACCTGTAATCCCAACTAGTCGGGAGTCTGAGGCAGGAGAATCGCTTGAACCCGGGAGGCGGCAGCTGCAGTGAGCTGTGATCGCCCCATTGCACCCCAGCCTGGGCGACAAGAGTGAGACTCCATCTCAAACAACAACAACAACAACAACAAACAAACAAACAAACAAAAACCAAACCCTTGGACTCTCTGAAGTGAAAGGTGTCTTTTTGTATGTTAATGAGATGACTGGGGGCTGGGGGCTCCTGGATAGCCTCAGGATGGTGGCTCCTTTCCAGAGGAACCAACAATATGATTAGAAGATTGAAATATTTATCCCCACAGCCCAACCTCTGGGGAGGAGAGAGAGGCTGGAGGTAGAGTTGATTATCAAGGGCCAATAATTTGATCAATCTTGCCCATGTGATGGAACCTCCACAAAGAATAAAAAGATAAGGTTCAGAGAGTTTCCAGGCTGGTGAACATGTGGAGAAACTGCAAGGGTGGCACACTTGGAGAGGCAATGGAAGCTTTGTGCCCCTCCTCCATACCTCTTCCCATGCATCTCTTCCATCTGGCTGTTCCTGAGTTGTGTCTCTCATAGTAAAACAGTAATCTAGTAGGTAAACTGATTTCCTGAGTTCTGGAAGTTATCCTAGCATAATCAAACACAAAGAGGGGGTTGTAATAACATCTGATTTATAGCCAACTGGGCAGAGGCACAGATGAAAACCTGGACATGCAACCAGCATCTGAAGTGGGGACAGTCTTGTGGGATTGAGCCCTTAACTTGTGAGATCTGATTCTATCTGCAGGTAGAGAGTGTCAGAATTGAGTTAAACTGTAGGACATCCAGTCAGTGTCTGCAGATAATTGGAGAATTGCTGGCTGTAGGAAAAAACACATACATATGGTGTCTGAAGTGTTCTATGTTAATTGTGAATATACAGAAAAACAGTTGATCTTCCTTTTCCCGCTGCATCAGTTTTATTTTGTATCACCATTCATCTTGCTTTCTCCACCGCAGCCACACTGGCCTTTTGGTTCCTGCAGCCACAAGGCTCTGCCTATGCTCCTAGTTCTATGTGGGATGTCTTCCACTTACCCACTCCCTCCCTTTGCCTGAATAATGCCTCCTTATCCACACATTTCAGCTCCAACATCATTTCACCAGAGAAACCATTCCTAAGCCTCTATCAGTCACCATCAAGTTCCTCTGTGTTCTGGTTTAAATGTGTTCCCTCCAAAATTCAGGTGTTGAAACTTAAGGGTCAATATGATATTATTAAATGGTAGGGCCTTTAAGCAGCGATGAGGTCATGAGAGCATTTCCTATCATAAATCGGATAAGGCCATTATAAAATAGGCTTCTTGCAGCCTTTGGTGGGCTTGCCCTTTCGCCTTCTACCCTGTAAGGACACAGTGTCCCTCCCCTCAGGTGGCTGCAGCAACAAAGTGCCATTTTGGAGGCAGAGAAAGACCTCACAAGACAATCAAATCTGCTGGCACCTTGATCTTGGACTTGATCCCAGCCTCCAGAACTGTGAGTAAATACATTTCTGCTTATCATACATTACTGCATCTGTGGTATTTTGTTACAGCAGTACAAATGGACTAAGACACTCTATAATATGCCCTTAGAGATTTGCCAACCCCGATTTCTGAGAACTCATCTCTATTTCTAATGATACACCTCTTGGTGTGATTATTTAATACATTTGTTGTTATTATGTTTATTACACGATTAATGTCCTCCTCCCCACTCCCCAAAACATCTACTTTTTGCTCACCATTTTAGCTGCTAGATTTACATAGTATCTGACATATAGTGGCCAGTAAAGGATGATAAAATAGATTTATGAGTAGCTACTACCCTAGCTTTTTTCCTCTCCCTCTGGCCATTCCTCTACTCTGGGCTTTGCTAGAAAATTTTCCTTCTCTCAAGGGCCCCCGATTTTGCACCCCAGGTTTTGGGAGAAGGTTGCTGTTTAGACTTGGGAGCACAACACCTTCTTTCTTAAAACACATAAAATATTTTGTGCTTTATAATGAATAAAATCATTGATTTGATGAAACTGTGAAAATGTTTTAAAATAAGATTACTATTCTTACAGTATCTGCTTTTCTCACCGAATTCTGAGTCTCCTAACAGGGAATTTGTATAGTATTTTTCTGACATAAAGATGTGTTCTATATTATACTAGAACCAAGTTTCTCCTTGGCTCAAGAACATGTCTCTCTTCAATGAGAATTTCTCAACAAGTTTTTTAAATAATTAATTTACTGTTTTTCAAAGGACTTGAAAATCTACTAGTCTCACAAAATATAACTATCAGAAGACATATGCAAGAAAGAATTCAGTGACTTAATTTCTTATTTTCTCATTTAATGGTAATAAAAATAGAAAATTTTTTCATTTTATGAAAACAAATCTGTTTCTCGAACTTTGAAGGGAATATATTCATATTTAACCTTTTTAAACTTATGAGCATCTTAGATTGTTGTAGTAAAACCCACAAATGCCATATTATGCAATACAATTTAGATTTTTTTCTACATAATAACATGGAAAAACTCTTTGCTTTATATTTTATTTTAAGTTACAAAGACCAAGCAGTTAATCTAAGCAAATATATCCTATAGTACCTTTCTGTGGATTTCAGTCAACTTAATGGTGACATAGATTTTATTTTAATAAACTGATTTGTAACATTTCTTCTCAAGTTTTACTTTCTCTTCAGGCATGAACATGACTAATAATAGAACTTTGGCAGTATTTTAATGTCACCAAAAGTGACAATTAATCTTTCAAGGACTGAATACTCACATTCCTACTTTCTTGCTGTTGTTTAGATTGGTGTTATGGATGTTTCTCCTTAGTTTAAAGGGAAGAAATGATGTTTTCCGGTGGGACCATATGCGGAAGTACAAGAGAATATTTGATTGCCAAATATAGCCATGTGGTATCCAGGAAAGAAAATCTATGGCATAGTCTATATGCAAAACTGGATTTGAAAAAAAAAGAATCTGATCATTTTAGACTAGTCTATTTTCATAACTGATGAAATTCACATTTTCTGGGCAAATTTATCAAAATGTCAGATTTATTTTTGTGTTCCTTATATACATAGTGAAACTCTGCCTAGGCAAATAAAGGGCAGGCAGTAAGCAAATCACTGGAACCAATTTAAACATTTATTTTTTGTTGGTTTTTAAAATTTATTTATTATTATTATTATTTTTAGATGGAGTCTCGCTCTGTCACCCAGGCTGGAGTACAGTGGTGCTATCTCAGCTCACTGCAACCTCCGCCTCCTGGGTTCAAGTGATTCTCCTGCCTCAGCCACCTGAGTAGCTGGGATTGCAAGTGCGCACCATAAAGCCTGTCTAATTTTTGTATTTTTAGTAGAGACAGAGTTTTGCCATGTTGGCCAGGCTGGTCTTGAACTCCTGACTTCAAGTGATCCACCCACCTCAGTCTCCTAAAGTGCTGGCATTACAGGCATGAGCCACTGTACCTGGCTAGACATTTTTTTTTTTAATTTCATATAAACTAAGTCTATTGCTATGGCAAGGATAGGTACAGAAAATAAGAAAGTGCAAATTAATATGATCATTTTACTTGCTGCATTCATTAAGATTGTCCCATGGGCAACAGAAACGTATATTTCCATTTCTCTAACATCCCCATAGCCAAATAGTATTTGGATGGTAAGAACTGCTACTAATTCCAACCTAGATGGAGTAATTTAGGCTTCAAAATCATGAAAAATAAGGGTCAAATCTCCACTGATGAGAGTAAGAACACATCGTGTACCAGAATCAGCCAATAAATACAGAATGCAGAACAAAACGTCAAGATGATTCAGACTTTAACAAACACTAAGCAATGAGCCAGAACTTAAATTAATACTACCTTTAATACCCAGTAGTCCTGCTAGCTACTTACTAATTTTTATATACTTATTCTTGGTAAAGGTATAGCTGCAGTGCAGAGAATAGTAAGTCTATGTGACATTTATAAACTGACAAGAGATGAGATGATTGTGTTTCTTTGTTGAAAGTAGTTGATCAAATATTAGATTTTTACTTAAGTTTTATAAATATAACTATTTTAGGAAACTATAACAAAATAAAAAATCATACAGAGAAAAATGTTTTATGTATAATATAACTGCCTACTATCCAAAAACTAATTGAGCATATCAGACCAGCTGATCGGGATTCTGTTTTTAAAATTTCTCTTTGAGTGTACTGGTAATTTAGAGTTCAATAATTACCTCCCAGTGCTTAAGTATCAGCACTAAGGTACTTCTAAATGTCCGAAAGTATCAATGCTCAGTAAAATAATATTTATCAAAAGCAAGCACAGTATGGAAAAATTCTACAGCATGTATTTCCAAGTGAAGATGTGATGGTTGAATTACTACTTCCAATACATTTGCTGAATTCAAAATTCGCATGCGATGTTTTATGTGTGTGAACTATTTCACTGGAAGCCAAAATTTCAGCTACCCAAATTCATATCGATGCATTATCAATTTTGAAAATGACTTTAAGAAGCATTTTTTGCTTAAATGTAGGTTGAGGTTTTTGTTTTTATTTTTTAAGAAGAATGACTGAGGATATTTAATCTACCTTGCTACTTAATGATAATTATAATTATTAAATATATTTGTGCATAGGCAATTTGGGTCTTTTAAAAAAGAAGGGTTGAAAGCAGCCAGAACCTGCAGTTTCTATGACTATGCTGGGATAGTACAGTTTTTCTCCGTCAAAAATAGGTTTGCCAGCAAGTGCCCATTCTAACCTCCCAATCATCTTGCTTGCCATGTGTACACGTCTCTTACCTGATGACAGAACAAAAGCATAATGAAAATAAAGTATACATTAGCTAGTTTAACATATTTTAAAATATTTACAGCAATAAACTTCTGATTTTTTATATTAAGTTGTACAGAGGTCAAGAAATCAGAAACATGGTCAGGACATAATGCTTTTGAAAGATTTAACTGGAAAAAAGATCCAAATGTTCTATTACACTAAAATTTTGTTCTGGAAAATCACTGCTTCAAGCATTTGTGTTATTGGTTGAACCCTCTTTGGGTTTTTTTTATTGTTTTTGTTTTGGGGGAATGAGTGTGTGATATTTGTTGTAACAGGCCTTACAATATAAATAATACTTCTCGGCCGGGCGCGGTGGCTCACGCCTGTAAACCCAGCACTTTGGGAGGCCGAGGTGGGCGGATCACGAGGTCAGGAGACAGAGACCATCCTGGCTAACACGGTGAAACCCGTCTCTACTAAAAAATACAAAAAATCAGGCAGGCGTGGTGGCGGGCGCCTGTAGTCTCAGCTACTCAGGAGGCTGAGGCAGAAGAATGGCGTGAACCCCGGAGGCGGAGCTTGCAGTGAGCCCAGATCGCACCACTGTACTCCAGCCTGGGCGACAGCGCGAGACTCCATTTCAAAAAAAAAAAAAACAAAAAACTTCTCACCTAGGTATATTAAGTCGTTTATTTATAAGAATTTTCCCCCTTTTATTCGGGTAAAGTTGAATAGGGCCCAAAAAATTACAATCAAAATTCTTTAGGTCCTTGTGGAATACCTCTGATAGGTCATTTATATGTGACTGCTTCCCCATCCAAAATGGTGTTGATTACACTTAACATAGTGATATGGGATTCCATTTTGTTTTATCTAAAGAAACTGAACATTGTTCCGTGGAAATTAAACACAGTGTCTTTGTTGAAGTCACTGGTACGTTAAAAATTGTTGAGTTAGATCATGCATGAAAATTGGAATGAATGAATACTGCCTTCCCCTGCTCTCACTCTCTGGTAATGGATTGGGGGATTTAGATGACCAGAAACCAATTTAGGAGCAGAGAGAGAAAACGAAGTCTTTCCTCCTGCATCACCTCCCTTGGTTTTGTTGACCTTGTAAGAGCTTGTGCAACAATTGGCTCCGATTCCTCTTTTCAGAAATGGCTCAGATATAGCTACAGTTAATATCCTGTTAAATAACTGGCAATCTCAAATTAACCAGTATGAATATGATACAGTTCATCATTTATTCAATATGCCTATACTAGCTCACATTCAAAGTTGCTGTTCAATAGTAACTATGGATCCTTGATGTGTTCTAAAGTCTTCCTCTTTAGCTACACTAATCTCTGTGATGAAAAATAGTTCCACGTGATTTATATTATGGCAACAATAATATGAAAGTTGAATGCTTCCTTCCTAACTTCAATTTATTGGAATTAAGCTTTACTTAGAAGTAAAAATAAATGCATATGTCTACTAAAGATTGTAGATAGTTGTTTTGCCTTAACACATAAATCTTTATGAGAAAGGGAAAGAGGATCACTCAGTCAATAGGCATCTCTTCATATCTGAACTATTGGTATTGACATTCAAATTAGTAAATCAAGCTCAGTTATTTGTATTGCCTTTGTATTGTATTGCTATGGTTTACCATATGCATAATATTTCCGAATATGCTAACATAGCCCCTAAACCCAGCTAACTTCAGCCTTACAAAAGACCTTATAAAAAGACAGTTTGCTTTAGAATCAATGCTATTAATCTGCAGCCTTTGAGGGAGGGAATTTTCACAAAGAAAATTTGTCTCTCACATGCTGGAATCTGGGAGATTCAGGGAAGTAGGGATATTTGCCAAGAAAACAATAAGGGACATATGGGAATACCATTTTGTTTCTTTGAGCCAGCTCAAGGGAGCCAGGAAAACAAGAGCCCAGCATTAGAAATGTAACTGGATGGTGGATCCCAAAGCCTATGCACAGCTGCCAGCCCTGCTCTGTAAAGAATCTGGAAGGAGGGAGTTTGTTGACAGCACTGGAAAACAGTTCTTAAGAAGCCTGGCATCTGCGGCCCATCATGCCTACAGCCTTCAGCCTGTCAAAACTGGGGCTACAGACAGGACTAAATGCATTCGTGAAAAACCAGGCTTCTGTTAGGAAGGAGACAGGGCACCTGATGATGGTGCTTCTATTGCATGTAATTTAAGTTGAGCCTTTTATGAAAATAATAACAATGGATCCACTATGAAGAAAGTCTTGTTGTGACGGGGGAAATCATCAGGATGTGGTCTTGGTAAGGCAATAATAACCCATTGAAAGCAATTTGTTTAGTTTTCAAGCAGTGGTTTTATTTGACATAAGGCCCAACAATTCAATTGGCCAAATTTTTTGAAACATGACTGATTTTTGGATCACATTGATCAAAAAAAAATCAGATATTTTTTGTCATATAAATATGGCCCAAGTATGCAAAACTTCAAAAAAAAAATAAATTAGGGAAGAAGAAGATTTGTTTTTGTTTTTAAGACACTATTTTTTTAAGACAGAAGTTCATAGCCTTTTTGAAGATCATAACACACAATAAGAGTAATAATCATGACTTGAACAAAGATTATACTGGGCTATAAAGACTGTACCAACGAATGCCCCATTGTAATATCTCTTTCTCTTATACTCATATTTTACTACAATAGATGTGCCTTCAATCAACAGTAATACAAATATTTTCACCATCATTCGTTACCTATAAACATTTTCAATCAGATTTATAAAATTTCAAAAATTTAAAGAGTAACTAATTGCAATGTACATTGTATAACTATTATCAAAATGTCTAGGTTCTTTGGATAGATGATTTTAGTTTTGATTATATTATTCTAATTCTAAATGTTCTTCCTGCATTAAACTCTAATTTTCCAAGGCTATACACTAGTAGAATAGCTACCAACAAGTAAATGTGATCAATTTAGTAAAAACTAGGCAATTGAATACAAATTTTGACCACAGAAATTAAATTATGTGGCATTAGGTACATAATAGCATTATATATAAAGAACATCAAAGCAATTGACCAGCCTTTTCATTTTATAGCAAGTTGGGGTGGGGGGTGAGCATGCACATGTGAATGAAATTTGCTGCCATATAAAATTACAGAGGTGAAAAATACTAATGTTCTCCAAGTGTGTATGATATGTACAATCTGAACACTGGTATCAAAAAAGCCAAACAATGTCTTTTGCAGAGATTGAAACAAAAAAGCAAGGAACATCCGCAATATACATAAACCAGCAGATATCAAATTTAATACTATCAAAGATAAAAACAAACATAAATTACTTGGAAGATATCTTTCATTTTATGTTATTTATTTGTTCTATATTTTAAATATTCAGGTAAAAATATAGCAGTAGAAAACCTTGTAAGTAAATGCTAAAGACTATAATTTATTTCAGGAACCATTATTTCCCATTTATGTTATTTTTAAAATATCAGGACTTTGTTTAAAAGTGCAAAGTAGGTGTCAGGTACTGAGAAAAGCTCAGCAAGGTTTAGAGCGGGGAGTGATGTAGAGTCTGAAGAAAGATGCAGCAATTTTTAGTCAGTATAAGCTAAAGCATATATAAGTAATGAAATCCCGACAGTCTGAAGCCAAGAGCCAGATGAAGAGGCTGGAAATAGGCAGATCCAATTACCATAAAGCAGGCAGTTAAAACTACAAATGAGAAACTGACATTTTAGTCTTCAGAAATGCAGACGGAGGGACTAACATCCTAGAAGGAAATGGACTGTGGTGTGGGAACACCATAGACCAGACAACTAGCTGACAGGTCTTGGTACCTGAACAAAAAATCTTAGTAATAGCTAGACTCTCGCCTTTTACTTCACCCAAAGTTTTTAAGTGTTTATTTGTTTGAAACTTTTCAGAGTTGTAAGTCAGTCCATAATTTGGCTAACTTAAGCTTTCAGAAAGAGTTGGAGCACTGGTACAACAGGAGGCAAGAAGGTTGAAAACAAGGTAGTTTCCCACAAAGTAAATGTATAACTGCCAAGATTTATCCCTTTCTCAGATATTTAGGTAGCTTTTCAGCAGTGGATGTGCAGAAAGTATTTAGTAACATATTTGTCCTATCCTCCATTTAAGTTGAAGAAATAAATAGATAAATAAATAAATGTGCCCCTGTTGTCATCACTTGACTTTGTCCTTTATGAGTATGACCCATAAAATTGGAAACAACAAAGAGCTTCAACACCCCTCTCAAATATGAATCTGTTTTGGAGATCCACACCTGACTAGGAAGAAGAAGGATGTGCAAAACCTTCAGTCTGCCAAAGTAACAATAGATAACCAAAGAAGCCCCAGAGAAGCATGTTTTCCTTTAAATAATTGAATAACTTCACAAACAAAGAAACTTTTAAAAGAATTAAACTCCAAAGAAACAAGCTCTTTTAAGCCTCCACTGTTTCTTTTTCTTTAACACAATGCCTAGAAGATGATCAAATATTACAAGACAGGCAAAGAAGCAGAAAAAAGAGACTCATAATCAAGTGAAAAATAAGATAATAGAAACAGACTCACAAATGACTCAGAAGTATAAGACAAAAATCTGAAAAATAATTATAAGCATGTCAAACAATCTACAGGAAAAGATGAATATAATGGTGAAGTGACAATTTCAAAAGAGAACTGGAAAGTGTAAAAAAGAACTAAATGGGAATCCTAGAAGTAAATAGTACAATGTGTGAAATGAAAAGTTTTTTGGATGATATTAGCAGCAGGTTGAACACAACAGAGGTCAAGGACAAAGAATTTAAAGACAGGGCAAGAAAAACAAAAGTGCAAAGAAGAAAATGAGACTCAAGAAAATGAACAGAGTCCTCAATGTCCAGTGGGCCATACCGAAGTGATGAAATAAACATGTAATAGGACCCTCAGAAACAGAGGACATAAAAAATGGGGCAGAAAATTGTGTTTGAAGAAATATTAGCTAAAAGTCCTCCAATTGTTATTAAAAACAGCAAGCCACACATTAAGCTCAATGTACTTCAACCGGAAAAAAAAAGAGGAATTCTACCTAATCATTAAACTACATAAAGACTCTTAAAAAGAACCAGAGAAAAAATATACATCTTTTCAACAAGCATGACAGCCGATTTCTAATTTTCAAAAAAAGGAAAGACAAAAATAAAAAAATGACATTGAAAATATATCTTTAGAGTGTGAAATAACTGTCAACATAGTTTTATATATCAAATGATAATATTAACCAAAGATTAAAGGAAAATAAAAATATTTTCTTATAAACAAAAGATAAGAGAATTTGTTGCTAGCAGAACAGTGGTGCAAGCGATGTTGAAAGAAATACTTCAGATTGAAAGGAAATGATACCAAATGGAAACCTGGATCGACTCAAATGAATACAGAACACTAGAAAGGTTAAATATGTGAGCAAATATAAAAGACATTCCATAAATTGTCTTTATTTTATACGTATACTGTTGACCCTTGTATCCATGGGTTCTGTATCTGTGGATTATATCAACTGCAGATAAAATAGATTTAGAAAAAATAAAAAAGCAACAATATAACATTTAAAAGTACAAATAGAAAACACAGCATAACAACGATTTACCTGACATTTACATTATATTAAGTATGATAAATAATCTAGAGATGACAAAGTATACGGAGGATTGCATAAGCTACATGTGTATATTACAACATTTTATGTAAGGGATTTGAGCTATTTAAGGGGGGTTCTAAAACCAATCCCCTGTGAATATATCAAGGGATGAATATGTACATATTTTGTCTCTCTCTCTTTCTCTCTCTCCCTCTCCCTCTCCCTTTCTTTCCTTTACTCTCCCCTCCTCTCTCTCTCACACACACACCCACAAACATACAACACAAACACATATAAACATATACCAACATTTAAACTTGTTTAAAATTTTTCAACTTTTTAAGAAAATTAATAATTAAATGTGAGAATCTACATATGCATAAAAGTAAATATACAATAAAGTAATACAAACTGTAGGAAGAGATAAAAAATTATACCATTATAAATATCAATAAATGTAAAAGAATTAAAGCTCTACAGAAAATGTTTTCTGACCCCAGTGGAATTAAATTATGTATCAATTAAAGAGAGATAGCTGAAAAAATGCCCAAGTAATCAGACACTAAATAATATACTTTAAAATAACTCACGTGTCAAAAAAGAACTCAAAGAGAAAATCAGACAAGTGAAAATGAAAATATAACATAGCAAAATTTACAGAATGTAGATAAAGCTGGATTTAGAAGGAAATTTATAGCAATAAATGCTGTATTGGAAAAGAAGAAAAATCTGAAATCTATGACCTCAGCTTCCACTTTGAAAACTAGAAAAATAAGAGCAAATAAAACATATTGTCTGGAGAAAAAAGAGAAATAATAATGATGAAGTCAGTAAAATAGGAAACAGAAAAAAAGTAACGAATATTAACAAAACTAAAGGCTGGTAGAAGATCAATAAAATTGATAAACCTCTAGCCAGACTGATAAGGCAAATAAAATGTAGGCACAAATTACCACTCTCAGGAATAAGAAAGCTGACATTACAGATTCCACAAATAAAGTGGTAATTACTTTGGAAAATAGTTTGTCATTTTCTTATAAAATACACATACAGTTAAGCTGTAACATTGTTTTCTCTGCTAGGCATTTACCCACATGAAATAAAAATATATGTCCAAAAACAAATTTGGAAAAGTTTCTTTATAGCAGTTTTTTTCATCATAGCCCAAAACTAGAATGAATCAACAAATTAGTTCATATTCATAAAATACTACTCAGCAGTAAAAGTTAACAAACTCCCATGCAAGAGCATGGATGTATCACGTAAACATTTTAAGTGAAAGAAGCCACATAGAAAAGACCACATACTCTATACTGCCATTTATATAAAGTTCTATAATAGGAACAAATAGATTATGATGAAAAAACAGATCAGTGTCTGCCTATGATCTAGGTCTACTACCAGGGACATGAAGGAACTTTCTGGGGTGATTTAAATATTTTATAATTTGTGGTGATAGTCAGGTATAGACATTTGTCAAAAGACATTATGTGTGTTTTATGAAAATCTGTGTGTTCTATTCAGTGTACATTACACTGTAATTTAAAAATAAATGATATCATCGATTTCTGAAAAATATCAATGGATTGTTAAACTGCTTATAGCCATATACAGTGAGAATATTAAAGAAGAACTCTACCTTGAATCTTGGGAAACTGGTTGTGGTAAGCAGAATATTTCCCCAAAGGTGCCCACATACTAACTCCCAGAATCTGTGAATGTTACCTTAAATAGCAAAAAAGACTTTGCAGATGTGATTGAGATTAAAGACTTTGAGATGGGAAGAATACTCCGAATTATGCACATGAGCTCAATAAAATCTTGTGTTTTCCTTTCTTTCTTTGTTTTTTGTTATTGTTGTTGTTTTTAATTCCATAACCTCTCCATTTCCTTCTCCCTGCAGTTTCTGGCAACCCCCTGTTTCTATGAGCTCAACTATTTTAGAACCCACATGTAAGTGTCTGGATTATTTCACTTAACATATTGTCTTCCAGGAACATCCACGTTGTTGAAAATGGCAAAATTTCCTTCTTTTTAAAGGCTGAATAAGATTCCATTGTATGTATATGCTATATTTTATTTGTAGTTCATCTGCTAATGCACATTTAGGTTTTTTCCGTATCTTGCCTATTGTGAGTAATGCTTCAAAGAGCATGAGAGGGCAGATGACACTTGAAGATCCTGATTTCAATTCCTCTGTATGAATATTCAGAAGTTGGATTCTGGATCATATGGCAGTTCTATTTTTAATATTTTGTGGAAATTCCATACTGTTTTCCATAATGATAAATTTCCCATTTAGATTCCCATTAACAGTGTAACATTGTTCCCTTTTCTCCACAATTTTGCTAACACTTGTGTTTTGTTTTAAATTACAGCCATCCCAACAGGTGTGAGGTACATCATTTTCATTTTCATTTACATTTCCCTGATAATTAGCGATGTTGAGTATCTTTTCATGTATCTGTTGGCCAGATATATGCCTTCTTTTATCTGGCCAGATATATGTCTGTATAACTTCTTTAAGAAATGTTTATTCAAGTTCTTTGCATGCCTTTTCATCAGGTTATTTTGTTTTTGTTTTTGCCATTGAGTTGTATGAATTTCTTATATAATGTGGACATTAACCTCTTATCATATATATGGTTTGTAACTATTTTCTCCCATTACACAGGTTGCCTTTTAATTTTGTCGATTGTTTTCTTTGCTATGCAGAGGCTTTTTAGTTTAATATAATCCCTTTGTCAACTTTTGCTTTTGTTGCCTGTGCTTTTTGTGTATAACCAAAAAATCATTGCCAAGACCCTGTTAAGGAGGGTTTCCCTAAGTTTTCCTCAAGTAGTTTTATAGTTTCATGTCTTATGTTTAGGATTTTAATAGATTTTGAGTTAAATTTGGTCTATAGTATTAAGTGAGGATCCAATTTTATATTATTCCATGTGGATATCCAGTTTTCCCAATTCATTTGTTGAAGAGATTATCCTTTCCCCATTTTGTATTCTTGATACCCTTATTGAAGATTAGCTAACCACATTTAGGTGGATTTTACTGCTGGGCTCTCCATTCTATTCCATTGGTCTATATGTTCATTTTTATGCCAGGATCATACTGTTCTGATTATTATAGCTCTGCCACAGAATTTGAAATCAAGAAGTGTGATGTCTTCATCTTCGTTTTTGTTGTTGTTGTTGTTGTTTGTTTTGTTTTTTGGGTTTTTGTTGTGTTTCGTTTTTGTTTAACATTACTTTGGCTATTCAGGGTCTTTTTTGGTTCCATATGAATTTTAGGATTTTTTTTCTCTTTCTGTGAAAAATGTCATTGAAATTTTGATAGGATTGAATTGAATCCATAGATTATCTTGTATATTTTACCAATGTTAATTCTTCCAGTCCATGAACATGGGATATCGTTCCATTTATTCAAGTCTTTCAAAATTTCTCCCATCAATGTTTTATAGTTTTCAGTATGCAAATTTTTTATCTCCTTGGTTTAATTTTTTTCTAAGTATTTTCTGTAGCTATTGTAAGTGGGATTTTTTTTTGGACAGTTCATTGTTAGTATGTTGAAACACCACTGATTTTTGTATGTGATTTGTATCCTATAACTTTCCCAAATTTATTAGTTCTAACAGTATTTTGGTGAGTCTTTAGGGTTTTCTATACATAGAACTATGTCGTATTCAAACAGAGACAATTTTACTACTTTCTTTCTAATTTGGATGCCTTTCACTTCTTTTTCTTATCTAATTTCTCTAACTAGGCTTGCAGTACAATATTGGATAGCAATAGAAAGATTGGTATGTGAAAGCAATCTGACTGCAACATCTGTCAACTCATTCATCACCAGGGTTGATTTGGCAGATCACTGGCTATGCAGAGATCCCCTTCCTCCTTCACTGCTTCACGTGCTTTTCTCCTGAAGCTGAGCACTTAGTTGAAGAGGATGACGTTCCTCAATAGAGGAGTACCATTCTGTGATCAAGGGTACACAAGTAGCTGCACTTCCCTGATAGAATCTCCAAACATGATCTCAAGAAGTAGCAAGATTATCCTGTTACTGATCTTACAGAATATAGATCATCCACAAAAAAAGAATCAATAAGAAAACAGTGGACTTGAAAAACACTACAGATCAAATGGACATAAAAGACAGATGGAGAACATTCCATCTAGCAGCAGCAGAATACACATTCTCCTCAAGTGCACACAGAACATTCTCCAGGACAGATTACACATTAGGTCACAAAACAAGTCTTAACAGATTTATGAAGACTGAAATCACACCAAGTATCTTTTCTGACCACAAGAGTATGAAACTAGGAATCAATAACCAGAGGAAAATTGGAAATTCACAAATATGTGACAATTAAGCAACATATTTCTGGGAAACCAATGGGTCAAATAAGAAAACAAACATAAATAAAAAATTAATCTAAATGAAAATGAACACACAATATGCCAAAACAAGGGATGCAGCAAAAGCAGTTCTAGGAAAGAAGTTTATAGCAATAAATGCCTACAGTACCAAAAAAGAAAGATCTCAAATAAACAACAAACCTTTACAAATAACTAAAAAAAAGAAGAGTAAACTAAGCCCAAAGTTAGCACAAAGAAGGAAATAATAAAGATTACAGCAGAAATAAATGAAATAAAAACATTAAAAATTAGAAAAGGTCAACAAAACAGTTGGTTTCAGACAAGATGAATGAAATGACAATCCTTTGACTAGATTAACTAATAAAAAAAGATATCAGACTCAAATAAAATCAGAATTGAACAAGACTTAACAACTGATACCACAGAAATAAAAAGGATCATAAAAGACTATGAATAACTATATGCCAACAAATTGGATAACCTACAGACACAGATAAATTCCTAGCCACATATATCCTGCTGAGAAACAGAGTCTTCATGAAGAAACAGAAAATCTGAAGCAGGCAACAGCAAGGAGATTGAATCAAAAATTTAAAAATCCCAACAAAGTAAAACCCAGGACCAAAAAGCTTCATTGGTAAATTCTACCAAACATTTAAAGAATTAATGCAAATACTTCTCAAACCCTTTCAAAAATTAAAAAAGAAGGGAGCATTTCTAACTAATTTTATGAGGGAAGCATTACTCTGATACCCAAACCAGGCCGGGACACTGCAAAACAAGAAAACTACAGGCCAATATCCCTGATGAACATGGATGTAAAAATCAAAATACTAGCAAACCAAATTGAAAGCACATTATGATAAAGTGGGATTTATCCCTAAGTTGCAAGGTTGTTTCAATATATGCAATTCAATAAACGTGATATAACACAGTAACAGGATGAAGGATAAAAATCATATGATCCTCTCAATAGATGCAGAAAAAGCATTTGACAAAATTCAGCATCCTTTCCTGAATAAAATTCCCAACAAATTAGGTATATAATAAATGTATTTTCATATAATGAAGACCATCTAAGAGCACAGCTAATATCATAATTACATGCATCCTTAAAAGCATAGAGCCTTTTCCAACCGTGGTCACAGAGAGACATAATGACAGAAAGGGTTAGAAAAATGACAACATGAGGATTCCATGCCATATTGTTGGCTCTGAGATGTAGAGGTACAAAGAATGGGGAGAGTACTCTAGGAGCTAAGGGCAGCCTGCAGCTGACAGCTAGCAAGAAAATGGAGACCCAAGTCTCACGACCACAAGGAAAGGAATTCTGCCATCCCCTGAATAAGGAAGGAATGTAGTCCTGCTGACATCTTGATTTGGCCCATTGAGTCCTGTCAAAAGACTTCCAGGACTGAAAAGAATAAATTTGCATTGTTTTAAGCCACCAAATTTGGGGTAATTTGTTATAGCAGCAATAGAAAGTTAATAATGCACTGATATATTGAATGGGGTGAAATGGAAGTGGGATTATTCTTCTCCAAGCCCTAGTCTTTCTTTAGTTTTTATCTGATGTATTCCACAGCTTTTCAGTTACTTTTACTATAGAAATAGTCTCATTTTTAGATGTTAAAAAGTCCAGTTCAGCCTCATTGAAAACCTTAATGTCACATTTTGTTTGAAGCTTCCCCAACTCCTCAGCTGACCCACAGGATCAGGGACCAGCAGTGGGCAAATGTGATGTGTACATCTCTGTGTGTTGGGGAGAGGAGGCTATATAATTTATAGTTTATATTTTTTCCTTCTTACTCCACTTCCTTCCTGCTTACTTTACAGATCCTACAGCTCTGGAGACTGGGAAGAAGGAAAAATCATAAAGACTGGATTAGCAATGCAAGTTGGTGATCTCTCTGGGTTCTTCAAAGGCCTTCAGTCACAGCAGACATCCAAACACTGTTCCTTATGAATGGGAACACTCTCAGGTCCACTGTCAGTGACCTGTATCTGCTAAGTTCACTGAGATGCGTCATGCACTCACTGGCTGACCTTGCAGGCCTTCATCAGCTCTTTCACATGCCTCCAGTCTCATTCTACTGGTGGCTTTTCCCTTGCAGGCAACCATTGTTGGTGAAATCCTTTCATGATTAAAATTGGCTTCTGCGCAGTGTCCACTGGCCCGCAGGGGGAAAAATCCTTGCCCCACCAACAGTTTTTGCATCTGTGCAGCTGCTGACTTCTCTCTCTTGGACCTATCCACATGGGCACGTTCAGCCAGCTCTCCACTTATCTCTTCTCCAGGTGACAAGCCTGAGTATTCCTCGATCTTTACATAAGCTCTCAAACTCCTGACACATTTATCAGGCCTTCTAGTGAACGTCCTACCCCACTCTGGTAACAGTCTAAAGTGAACCTACAAATTCCTATAGCTCAACATGCAACAAGTTAAAGACTGAAAAGCTACTCCTCCTGTTTGTGGACATGAGTGATTTCCTTACTGTCCTTCCCCTTCTCTTGCACATTTAGTTTAAGTGGGACCAAAGCTTAGGAAGGGGACTGAGCAGGATAGTCAGAATACTTAAATTCCTTTTAAGAATCTTCCACTGGGCCAGGCGCAGGGGCTCATGCCTGTAATCCCAGCACTTCGGGAGGCCGAGGCAGGCAGATCTTTTTGAGCTCAGGAGTTCAAGACCAGCCTGGGCAACGTGGCAAAACACCATCTCTTCAAAGAATACAAAAAATTAGCCAGGCGTGATGGCAGGCACCTGTAGTCCCAGCTACTCAGGGGGCTGAGGCTGGAGAATCACTTAAGCCTGGGAAGCAGAGGTTGCAGTGAGCAGAGATTACGCCCCTGCACACCAGCCTGGGTGACAGAGTGAGACCATGTCTCAATAAAAAAGAAAAGAAAAGAATCTTCCATCAATCACATCTATGTTCTCTAGTCTTTTGTAATGTGAACTGGATTAGGTAAGATAATTGCAGTCTTCTTTGGCTGTTTTAAGGAATTCACTGAAGCAGTATATAGTATGCATGGTAAATATCCATTGTCCACAGTTTAGGATTTGGTCATAATTGGAGTCAACACAGGTATTTCAATGCATACCTTACTTGTTGAACCATTTTAGGGTAGACAGCAATATAACATTTTAAGAAAGGCCAAATGTGTGGCAAAATGTATATGAAATGCAATGCAGCTTTCCTTATTCACAATCAGCACTTACCACCGTTGCTATCCTTATGCCCTATTAGAAATAGACCCTTCATTTTTAATATTATTTACGTATGCATACGTGTGTATGAACCACAGCGTGTTTGTGTGTATGTGTGAGGGTGGACGTGTACATGCATCCCATCATGTAGCACTTGACTATCTCTCTAACCTCATCTCACTTTCAGACGCTCAGGCCTTGAAGTTTCTTAAACATGTCAAGACCTGCTTATTTGCCCCACCCTGAGAGAGCTTCTGTATTTGCTTTTTTCCTGTGTGGAATATTCTTTCCCCACATATCTACATAA
This sequence comes from Homo sapiens, assembly GCF_000001405.40. Taxonomy (NCBI): domain Eukaryota; kingdom Metazoa; phylum Chordata; class Mammalia; order Primates; family Hominidae; genus Homo; species Homo sapiens. The sequence goes on along the minus strand of NC_000007.14, from coordinate 18,804,186 downwards.
TGCTTCCCTTAATTCACTCAGCACAAATCTCTCCTTATCAGTAAAGCTTTCTGATAAGCTAACAGAGCTAGCCTTCTTGCTCAGCCTTCCTCTAGCTCTCTTTCATCCTTTACTTTTATCCATAACACATTTTCACATGAACTTGTATCATATGTCCATTTGTTTATCTCTTTATCATTGCTCTTCAGCAGGAAACCTAATTTCCCTGTCTGGATCACCACAGTATTTTCAGTATTTAAAGTAGTTTCTGGCATATGATAGGTACTTGAAACATGTTTTTTTTAAATAAATTAATCATTGATTATTGAAATCAGCAAGGTTGCTTGCAGTCTATTGCAAGGGATATATCACAAAATATCACTGACTGGCTGCATTAAATTTTGATTTTCCTAATACGTATATATTTTAAACAACTTGACTGAGTAAAATCCACTAAAAATACATGGCAAGCAAGACACAGTATAACAAATCCAAAAAGAAGACATTAAAAGAAATCCAAGAGAAAAAAAATAGAAAATCTACAAGAAATGATCATCAGACTATCAGCTGATTTTTCCTCATCAAAATTGGAAGCCAGAAAAGCACAGAAGATATTTAAAGTGCTGAGAGAAACTATCAACTTTGAACTGTGTACTTAGCAAAGCTGTCTTTCAAGAATGAGGGTAAAAGACATCATAGATAAATAAAAACTGAGAAACCGTCAGTAAGGAAAATCCGAAAAAATGTCCTGGAAGAAAGAAAACAATCCCAGAACAGAGGTTTCAGATACAATCATAAATGGTGATAAGAAAAATGGTAAATAGCGAGCAAGTATAGAGAAACACTGATGGTTAAAACAGTACAATCATACCTCGTCAGTGCTACTAGTCTTTTATAAATACAACTAAAGTCCTAAGCATGTAAGTTAGGACATGACTATTGCTTTAAAATAGAAAGAAAACATAAAGTTCTTGTATTGTTGGTGGGAAAAAAAAGATAGTGAAGTTTAGGATGTGTTATAAGTAGGTTAAATTTTTAAAGGTAGTTACTAAAATAATAGAAAAAAAGTGTGCATTTTCTGAAAAAAGAGGTCACATAGAGAAAAAATAAACTAATTTAATTAAAAATAAAGCAAGGGGCGGGTGAAAGTAAGGGGACAAACCAATAATGGAACAAAAAGAAAAAACAAAATAAGATGATAGAGATATGTTTCAGTATATTATAAATCATAACACATATAAGTGAATTGAACTCCCCAATTAAAATACACAGTCATATTAGAAAACAAATCCAGGAATGCTGTTTATAGGAGATAGACCTAGTATGTAATAAAGAGAAAGTCTGAAAGTAAAGGAATGGTAAATGATAAGCCAGGAAAATACTAGAAAAGAAAAAAAGCTGTTTTTGCTATATTAATATCATAAATATAATTGAGGATAAAAATATTTACTTAAGATAATTATTAAATATTAATAAAGGATTTATAAGCATATAATAGTCTTAATTTTACTGTACCTAATAACAGAGTTTTTAAATATCTAAAGCAAAAATTAACAGTTCCATAAAGATAAAAAAATCTATCATGATATGTGGAAACTTCAACACCACATTTTTAAATAGCCATTATAGAATCTTGCAAAAATCCTGCAGCCAAATATGGACTATTTTAACAAAATAATTAATAAGCTTGTGCTAATGGACATATAAAATATTACACTCAATAATATGTGGATGCCGATTCTATTTAAGCACACAAAGAACATTTTACAAATAGCAAGAACACTTGTCAATAAAGCGGGTCTCATAAACTTCCAGGAACTAGTATGATACAGATCAAATTTTATGAATGTCTTATATTTAAATTGAGTCAATAACAAAAATTGTGACTAAAACACTCATACGTTTGGAAATTTAAAAATACACATTTAATACACTAATGGCTCAAAAAAGGAGATAATGGAAATAAGACATTTTAAAAACTAAACTCTTGAGAATTCTTTATAGAAAACAGCATGTAACTCAAATAGTACTTAAAGAAAAATTTATAGCTCTAATAAGTAGAAAAGACTACAGGTTGTAAAATAATGAGCTAAATAATTTAAGAAATTATTAAAAGAAATATATGACCTCCCCCCAAATAAAATAAATAATAAAAATAGAAGAAATTCATAAAATATATGACATCTACAAAGGCCAAAGTTTGCTCTACAGGAATTAGAGAATTGTCAAACTTCTGACAGAGTTGATCAAGAAAAAGAGGAAAAATAAGCGGTATGATAATGAAAAAGATATATTGCTAAAGCTCCTGCAAACATTGAAGTGTTAAAAGAGGATATTATGAACGGATTCATATGACTAATTTTGAAAATTTGGCTCCAATATGTAAATGTCAAGAAAAAATACAACACTCCTAAATTGACTCAAAAAGAAATACAAATTCCAAATAGTTTCATAATAATGAAAGAATTTGAATCAGTAGTTACAAATCTTCCTAAATAACAAGGCTCTGTGACTTTAGAGGAAAGTTTTACCAAACGTTGAGAAAACAAATTTCCCAATTTTTACCGAACTATTACTCTAAAGTAGAGAAATATAGAGACAGTCTCATATTCACTTTATGAAGCCCTGATGCACTAGATTGATGGGTCTTTATAAGAATTACAGACCAATTTCAGTAATTAACTTATATGCAAAAATTCCAACCAAAATATTATTAGCAAACCAAATGTGGAAATGCATAACAATGATAATAAATCATAACCAAGGTAGATGTATCTCAAGAATACAAAAATTTTTAATATTTAATTAATATAACTTATCACATTAAGAAATTAAATAGAATTCACTTCATAATACCAATAGCCACCTATAAAACATTTCATACAATGTAAAATTCTCTCACAGGAGAAAGAAAATTCTTAGAAAAGTAGAAATGAAAGGTAATTTCTTCCACAAAATATAAAATATTTACAATAGCCTGTAGTAAACATAATATTTAATGGTGAAACAGATAATCTAGAAAGACACAAGAATACTCACCATGTTCAATTGTCTTCAGCATTATATCAGAGATTTTAGCCCATGTAATAAGGAAATACAAATTTTAAAATGGCATAATTATTGGAAAAAAAGAAATAAAACTGTCATTATTTGCAGATGATATCAGAAAGAAACCCCAAATGACTTATAAATTGTTACTAGTTTTGCAATAATAATGATGTACAATTAGCAAAAAATAAACAGCCCCTTTGTACATCAGAACAGAGAATGTAATTGTAATAAGATGCCACTAAAATTCTTTTCAAAAACACAAATTACCTACATATATATATTTTTTGTCTTTGGAGAAATTATTATTATTATTATTATTATTTTGAAACAAGGCCTCGCTCTGTCTTCCAGGCTGGAATGAGACAGCACGATCTTGGCTCACTGCAGCTTTGACTTCCCGGGCTCAAGCAATCCTCCCATCTCAGCATCCTGAGTAGCTGGGACAACAGGTACATGCCACCCCACCTGGCTAATTTTTGTATTTTTTGTAGAGACAGGGTTTTGCCATATTGTCCAGGCAGGTCTCAAACTCCTGAGCTCAAGTAATCCACCCACTTCAGCCTCCTTAAGTGCTGGGATTACAGGCATGCACCGCCATCCCTTGCCCAAGAAGAAATTATAAAACTTGATTAAGAAACTTCAAAGAAAGTATAAATAAATGTAAACATATGCTCAGAAACAAATAGACTCAATCATCTAAAAATGTTAATTATTGTCAAACTCATCTGTAGATTCAATGCAAAAAAACCTCTCATGGAATGTTTCATGCAAAATGACACGGTGAGTTTAAACTATACATTTAAGAACAAAGAAAATGTCAAGATCTAGTGAGGAAGAATAAGAAAGTGAAAAAATTTTTCCTATCAGATAGTCAAGACCTCTTATAAAGTTGAAGTAATGAGTAGTATGTGGTACTGATTCAGAGATAGGTGAATGGACTAATGGGGTAAAACAGAGCATGTATTAAATTCACCATCATTTTTGAAGGACAGATTTGTTGGACATAGAATACTTGGTGATGGTCTTTTTCTTTCAGCACTTTGATGATGTCATCCCACTGCCTTCTGGCCTACATAGTTTATGATGAGACCTAAGTTGTTGATTTTATTGAGGATTTTTGGAGGTGATGAGTTGCTTCTCTTTTGCTGTTTTTAAGATTTTTTTCTCATCATTGGATTTCAATGGTTTCATTATGGTGCGTCTAGGTATGGATCTCTGAGTTTATCCTAGTTGGAGCACTGAGCTTCATGAATATGTTGATTAATGTTTTTATTGAATTTGGGAAATATTCAGCCGTAATTTCTTCAAATATTCTTTCTTCCCCTTTCTCTTTTCTTCTCTGAAACTTATTATGCATATGTTGGTACATTTGATCATGTCCTACAGACCTTTGAAACTCTGTTCATTTTTCTTCATTCTCTTTTCTTCCTGGTCTTCAGACTAGATATCTTCAGGTTTGCTGACATTTTCATCTGCCTGCTCACATTTCTACTAAGCCCTTCTAGTAAATTTTTCATTTAAGTTATCGTGTTTTTCAAATCCAGAATTTTCCTTGGTTCTTTTATTTTAACAATGTCTGTGTCTTTATTAGTATTCTGTTTATAGAGTCATACATCCTCATACAATCTTTAGACATGGCTTAACTTACTTCTTTAAATTATTAAAAATATCTAGCTTAGTTTTTGTCTAGTAAGTCTGATAACTGAGCTAACTCAGGGACAGTTATTATTGACTGATTTGTTTTTCCTCTGTGTGGGGCATTCTTTCTTGTTTCTTTGCTTGTCTCAAACATTTCTGTGGAAAACTGGACATTTTAAACAAAACAGTATGGTAAAACTAGAAGTCATATTCTCACCTCTTTCCAGGATTTGTTGTTGTTCCTTTTTGTTATCGTCATTTTCTTAGTGACTTTTGTGAAATCGTTGTGTAAAATCTGTGTTCTATGTTTTATATGCTACTGAAGTCTTTGCATTGTTAGCTTAGTGGTCAGTCAATGATTGGATAAATATATTTCTTTTAATGCTTAAAACCAGCACTCCCCCAGCCTTTGCCGAGGGGCTCTGTGTGTGTGTGTGTGTGTGTGTGTGTGTGTGTGTGTGTGTGTGTGTGTGTGTGTCTTAGGGCACATTTTAAATATTTAGCCAGGCAGCTGACAACTCTACCCGGACCTTCACTTCCTGTTTGAACAGAGCCTCAAAATCAGTTTGACATAAGAGCTTAGGGCCTTTTCAGGTCTTTCCTGAGTAGGAACACAAATCTGAGTATGCATATAGCCCTATCATACATGTGGCTTTCTAGATTCTTAGGAATCTGATGGGGCTTTTCATAGTCCTTATGCACATTCCTCAGGTTTTCTTTGATGCTTTTGGCTAACCTACTGTTTGCCCCATTGTTATCCACCACCTCAAGCAGCCATAAAGTTGAGTGATCGCCACTAATTTTTCACAACAAATACTTCTAAGAAAAAGGCTTTCACACTGTGTGAAAACCTCATGAAGCCAAATAAAGCCTTGCAAGTAAGTTATGCAGGGAAGCACTGGACAGGTCAAATAATGACAATTCTCTAGGATTGAGGCTTTGAAGGAGTTCCAATTCCATTATCCACTCCCTTATCTCCCCATCAGAGGTTGGCAAGTTACTAGTTTATGCTAAGAATGCAGGCTGTGATTTGGTAAGGCTACCATGGACCTAGAAAGGGGAAGATGGAAATACGATGAGTTAAAACACCACAAATCTCTCTGTTCTCACCAAAATTCAGCTGGTTTGTTTTTTGAAACATGCTTCCTGAGTTGTTGGAAGACTTTGATTACTTTCCTGAGTTTTGAAAAATTTCATCCTGACACATTTTGCCTGTTTTATCATTGTTTTTATGGAGAAAAGAATTTTTGAACTCTTAGACTGACACTTTGCTGATGTCATTGTGGTAAAATGACTTTGGAATTCCACTTGGCATTACCTCCTGAAATTTACTGTGAAAGTAGCCTAGGAGCGGACTGTTTTACTCTTTGTTATACTCTAGTGAAAGAGCAGCCATGTTCAAGGGTGTTCATATAGCATTATTCAAAAAAGCAAAAACCTGGAAACAACAACAATGTCTTGCAGAAGAATAAAAATATAAATTATGGTGCAAAGGGAATATTTTATAGCAATGAAAATGAATTAATCATTCATATATATATATATATATCTCCACATGGATAAATCCTCATAATATACCTTTTAGGGGAAATATGCTGAAGAAGAATATATTCGATAAGGTTCCATTTTTATAAAGCAAAAAGCATGTTTAAAGCTATTAACAAGACGAAAGGAATTTTTTTTTTTTTCTGAGATGGAGTCTTACTCTGCCACCCAGGCTGGAGTACAGCAGTGCAATCTCGGCTCACTGTAACCCCTGCCTCCTGGGTTCAAGCGATTCTCATGTCTCAGCCTCCCACATAGCTGGGATTACAGGCGCCTGCCAACACACCTGGCTAATTTTTTGTATTTTTAGTGAGCACGGGGTTTTGCCACGTTGGCCAGGCTGGTCTTGAACACCAGACCTCAAGTCATCCACCCGCCTCAGCCTCCCAAAGTGCTGGGATTACAGGCATGAACCACTGCGCAGGGCCATAATTTAAAAAAATATAATAGATTAATGACTATCTGGTTTTAAAATATAGGAATGAGATAAGTACTGAGAGAATTTTAATATTGTGAGCAAAGTTCAATTCTTAAATTGGATGAGGAGTTCGTGGGTATTTATTTTATTATTATATTTTGTTAGGTAAGAATGTAACTTCTTGTCTTTTTGTATGTCTCAAATGTTTTATAATAATAAAAAAGATAAAATTTTGCTTACTTAAAATAGATAGTTTTAGCCCCTTTTTTAAATGTATATTTGTGCTATCTGTAAAAGAATGTCCTGATAGAGTGGTTGAAAGAAAACAGAGGATTATCAGATTTACATATTTTATTATTTATTAACCTATCTGCAGGATCTTAAAAGGTTACTTAATGTCTTTGAGCCAGTATCCTGTACTTACTTCAAGGGTACATTGTGAGAATAATAGTAAATTACATATAAACTGGCTGCCTATAGAAGGCACTCAATGAGTAGCAGTTATTATTAGCAACATGACATCATAATACACACTCAAACTCATATTCATTCAGTATATGCTCAAATTCATCCATCACTCAGATAACCAGGTGTTTAGGATTTTTTTTGTTTTTGTTTGTTTTGATAAATATGTCCAGAAGCTAAAAGCAACTTTGACTATTTTATGAAGACATGGTAGCATTGTCAAAAGAACACCAAAGTGAATCTTTATATTAAACTTCAATAAGTATCAATCCTTTTTTATTTATGATTACAAAATGTTCACCTTTTAGAGCTATTTCTATGTCTTTGACATACTTTCTAAAATGTCCTATAAAACAATAAAACCATTTTGAGATAATTATTCTTCCAATTATGATTTCCAATACACCAAACATGCCAACAATTTCAGAATATTTTTGTTCCTTTGTAAGAGAATCTGAGAAATAGCCAATTTGAATACCTGTAAATTTGAGGAATTCCTTCTTATGTATTTTTAAAAATGTATTGTTTAAAAACTTGGAAAGTCTGAAAGTCCCCATGATTTTCACTGAGCTCCACTGAGCAGGTCTATGCTGTGCCAAAAAATATACCAATTTGCTGATATAGTTTGCTGCACATGTTCTATTTAAGCATTAACAGGAAACCCACCCCCTGTGCCTGGTTCATTCTTCTAATTCCTTCAGCTCATCAATATCCCCTGGGGGAAGAAAGGAAAGGACCTATCAAAAGTTAGGAGGTTAGCCATGGTCAAGTTCAGCATCAAACAAAATTTCCAAGTCATACAATTTTTTCTGGCATTTTCTTTTTTTGTGCACATTTCTTATCTTTTAGGTCCTCATCCTCTGTGATCTCAGAGACCTCCTCTAGCTAGCTCTCATCTCTTATTTCCACACTATATCCAGGCACATCATATTTCAAATAAAGCTCTTAATTTTACTCTATTTTCCAAGAAAAATTAGTGCAATCTCATACGATGTGGTATCGTAACATGCCAATTTTATTTAATTAAATGTTGATTTACTGGGAGAATGGGATAGAATATGTGAGAACTGAATGTAGATGCAGAAAAATGAATAACAAAATGCTCAAGTCTTTTCTTTTCACATTTCTTATTACTTACCAGTGTCCTTGAATAAGCTTCCCTATTTTCTTCCAAGTTCTGAATGAATCGAATCCACAAACCATGAGTAATAATGCTCCTGGCCTGCAGGTATATCAGCCCCATCATATTTGAGTCTGGGACACGTAGGCACTGGGTAGTTTTTGTGGTTGTTGAATAGCGGTCCACAAACATGGCTGTCTACCTCAGTTACACATGTTCTTTACTATGGCTCCAAATCATTTGTGAGTTCTACTTTTCCCCCATGGCATCTCTGTAGCCTTACCCAAATTATTAGCAACCCAGGGCTTCAGTCTCTTGACCTGTCAGCATAGTACCAGTGCCTCTGTTATGATTCTGCCTATCTTGGACTTTTACAATGGACTTGGCAATCAGAAAGATAACCCAGCTGCACAATCTGGAATGTTCATCAAAGCAAACTGAAATTTCAGAATATCTACCGCTTGGGATGCCATAGTGTTATAATTGAGATTCATATCCACTTTTCATTTGCAAATAGCTCAAAATGCCAGTGCCATGGATGACCTTCAATATTATCAATTCCACCTAGATGATTGTGCAGAACCAGAAATTGAGCCCCAGAAAAGTTACAGATTTGCCACAAATGACACACTATGCAAGTGGTGGAACCTGGACTAAGATTTCTTGATTCTTAGGCTGGCTTTTCTTTTTTTTTTTTTTTTTTTTTTTTTTTTACTGTTTTCTTTTCTTTTTAAACCATGCCTGCTGATTCCTTAACCAGAGGAAGGGAAGAAATTTGTACCAATCGTTGTTCTCAATATAAATACCTGATGTTACTACAGCTGGTGGTCAGCATGCCCATACTATGTGTTGTTGACACATTGTTTGGAACTGGCTATTTTAAATGGATAACTTCTAAACATGGAATTATGTTTTTATTCAACTATCTTCGTGCATATATTTGGCAATTCTGCACACAGTGAAGCTAATAATGATGCTTCTGATGACTGAAACACGTGGGCATTCTACTTGAGAAGGTTTCTGAATTATTGCTTAAACTTACACAAACTTAAAACAATTAGAAATTGTGAAAGCTAACATAATAATTATCTTTGTTATCAAAGAGCTGTGCCAGCATAATCTTTAAAATTATAATATTGTGGCCTGGCTGATTTCTGCCATTTGGATTCTTTTTAAAATAAGATGTTCAAATTTTATTTTAAAGTGTTAATTTATTGCAGTGGTGCAAGTACAACACAAGCACTCAAATAGGAAGAATTTTTCCTCAAGTTCTACTGGGAGATAGCCAAAACCTCTCCACAGGCTGATTCCTTTCCTCTTTTTATTTGCTCATTTTCAAAGGTAAAGACTGAAGAGTAAGCACCACATTAATGACCCCATATATCCCCTGAGATGAGCAATGTCCTAATACTACTTATGTCAAATATATACAGGCACATCTACTTTTTAAATAGAGCTCACCCTATCAAAATTATATTTCCGTAGGCTCTGACTCTTTAAAGAGTTAAGAGTAAAGACTTCTTGGACAAACGTTGCATTGTGAAGTGCACATTCCTACTCCACATTTTTAATCACAACTGGAAGAGTCCCATGTAATTGAATAAAAATTCACTAGACATAAAGAAAAGTAATCCTAATTACATTTTATCTTGGTTTCACAAAACTCACAGTGCATATGTTATTGGTCATAATATATTTCCCTAAGCCCCGCAATTGCTAAAAATACCGAATCAATCACGACCCAGATTGCGTCATGAAGTGTGTGAACTAGTGCATTAAAAGGCCGTGTTAGCACCAACAAAGTTTATTGGGGTAACTGCATTCAAGACGCACATGGCGTACCTTTAAATAGCACTGTTAAAATACCAAATAAAATGTCAACGTCTGTCAGGTCTCTAGCTTTTATAAATTGTTTAGACTGGGAAACGCTGGGGTTTGGACATTGTTCTTTTCATACGATGTAGAAAAGAAGAGACCATAAAAAGAAAAGAACAATAAAGCATAGCTCATTTTTTAAGTTCTTTCATGGAAAAACACACTCTGGATCATTACCCTTCTAATCAACAATTTCCTTCCTCCTCCCAATCCTTCCCGTCTGGTATTTACCTTTCTCTGCCTCCCTCTCTCTGGGTGGTATTCTGAGCTTATACACACTTCTCAGTAATCATATTTTTAAAATTGCCTCAAAAGAGAATCTCAGGATGGCATGACAGACATGTATATACTAAAGGTATTTTTTACCTGAACCATAGCTTTGCTTATTATCTCTGTGCTCTTACATGCACACCGGTGGGCCCTGACTGCAGAGTGTTCTCAGGCAGAAGAAGGCCCTGAGAGCAGGATGAGCTGCTCCCTGCCTACAGATGAGTTATTATCACACCTTAGTGGCCATCTCTACCCTCTTCCTTCTGCCCTTCCTTTTATTACCACGCCACACTCCCCGCAATTCCCACATAACAACATCTCTGTTTCAGTTTCTTCTCTGGATTTCCCACACTTAATGCAACCCGGACCTCACCTTCAGCTCTCCTGAGGCCACTTTGGAAGCCAGCTCGATGACACAGCCAACAGCCATGCGTGCAGCACCGGACGAGTGTAGCTCATTCCAAATGGTGTCACTGTCCACCTGAGCAAACAGTCAGCAGAGTCCGAAGACAGAAGAAGAAAGCGAAAGAGAAGGAAGAGATGAAAGGGGTAAAAGGGGAAGAGGTCGCAGGGGAAGAGGGACAGAGAGAGAAAGCAAATCTGTGAGGAAGGGCTGGCAGGGTAACAGCCTATGTACAATAACATTAGTCTTCCGTCTTGGCCAGCTGAAAAGGCCTTCTGGACATGGCTTTGCTTATACTTTTTCTCTACACTGACTTCTCCAATGGAAACACATTCCTGCCATGCCTCACTGCCATTCCCTGTTTAGATTTCTCATTACAAACAGCATTACATAGGCCGGATCTGGCTTAGTTACAGGCCTGCTAGAAACCAGGCCCCAGTAGTAGATAGAGTAAAAACTAAGAGCACTTAGTTATACATAAAAATCGGATTTGCAAGTGCTAGAGGGGGAAAATTCAAATACCTTTCTGACTGCAGGTTTACAGGGAGCCAAACACAATTATTAGGCAGGTAGCAGCAGCAGTCAGGGAGTAGAAAGTAGCAACCACAAGTCAGGTTCTCCAACTAAATGGAAGGAGTGTGTGGTCCTCACACTTAAAACAATAACAGCAAATTGCAAGGAGAAATGTGATGTTCAAAGTATAAGCTTAAGATTTCTAACTTTCAGTATAATTTGTCAGATTGTTTCAGTTCAAACTGGTATTGTTAAAATTGGATAAGCCAGTAAAATAGATGGTTGCTTATCTACTAGAGAACATTATTATCAAAACAAAGCATGTACCAATATTCTGGATTTCCCTTTATAAAATGCTGTTTACCCTTTTTCATGAATGCAATGAAAACACATAATAATGCATACATGAAAAGAGCAACAATGGTGGTTTATAATTATCATATGTTATATTTTTAATATATAAAATACTTCATAACATAAAAAAACAGTACCAGATGGTAGAAGTCTCTAATTTTAGGACACATAAGTTATTTGAAGCACCAGGAAATAGAATACAAAGTTTGTGACTGTAAATAGCAAGACTTCCCAAATGGATCAAAGGGGAGAAATTCTGCATAAAACAAAGCTTTTTTTTTTTTTTTTAAAAAAAAAAGAGAATTAAATGCAAGGGGCCTAATCACATGGAACAAATACAATAAATAATAACAACACACATTCACAGTGAACTAAGTAGTTTTCTAAGAATATTCACATGCCTTTTTCTCATGAGGTTCTTACACACTTAAATACTACCAAGAACAATGAATACAAAAATAATAAATGAGAACAGTAAATAAGTGCATACATAATAAAAGAAAATCAAGATCCTATAAACAGCAGTATAGTAGTGAAGTTTCTGGAATCAAACTGGTGGGGTAAAATCATGGCTTCATCATTAAAACCTGAGTGACATTGGAGAATTAATTAATTAATGGCTCTGTGCCTTGGTTCCTTTATCTGTGAAAATACCAACTTTTTAAAGTACCATCTGCATACGATTTTAGTGAGGATTAAATGACTAAGTGGTAAACAAAAGCTAGCTACTACCATTTCAGCTACTGTTATACCTGTTTTGTAAAGCCTGGCACATAGTAGAGGCCTACGTGTTGATTGAATGAGTACACTGTGGCTTAGAAAGGCTGTTCTGAAGACCACGGGACTCTCACACAGAACTCTGACCCTGTCAGCACATGCCTTTCCATCACCCTCCTGAAGAAACCCGTGCTTTCTAGGAGCCAGCATCCCCTATCATAGTCGATACCATCATGGTCTGCACTGTCAGCTAAAGAGTGAAGGAATCATTGAAATGGACACTGAGACCTAATCATTTGCCCTCTAAATTGAAGGTTTTATTATTTTACTGAACCAATATAAATAAGTAGTTGTTTAAGCTTTGTGTAGCTATATTCTTAAGGAAGATGACTGCACAAGTTGAAAAATAAAAACCATTATTTACCATGTATTATATAGGTTTTAGTCAGTTTTCCCACCACTACAGAGCTACTAGTACCAAAGAAAAGCCTGCATTAATCAGAATTTAAGTTACTGGGGAAGCAAGCAAAAAAATAAAATAAATAAATTCCAAAAGATGTATTCGGTGACTCAAGAACCATGTAAAATTCCTAAGCCCTTTTTACTCAACTTTGGAGTACATCATAAGCTTTGTTTCTTTCTTTATTTCTTAAAGCAGTGGCAAATTTCCTTCCAAAAAATTATAAATACTGAACTTGATTAGAAAAACATTCCAGCAGCAGAGAGTGCTGTATCTTTGACCATACTAAAGGGCATTAGGTAGCCACAAATACGTTTGCGTGATACCCATATGCCTGTCCATACCTTTCTATCTGCCAAAGATGTTTGTGACATTAATTTTGGTGTCTAAACTTCTACTAATAATGGTAGTTTTGTTTTAATTCAGTTAACATTCATTGAGTACCTACTGTGAGTTGCCGGGTGGGGGTTACTTTTATAATAAAGCTATGTTTATTGATCATAAAGAATGTTGAGCACATAGGTATCCAGTGGATGACTGATATTTTGACTCATAACCAATGTTTAGGCTTATCCCTAAAGAAGTTCTCTTTAGGAAACTATGGGATTTATCATCCATTAATTTATTTATATTTAAACAAAAACAATATTTATCTCAATACCACCTCAACCTATGTTTTACCTACATTTAGTTTATAAATGCTTATAAACGGTAATGGTCAAGTTTTGTGGATATAATCTGTTCATAAATAGGTAATTGTACTTAATTCTGAATTTACAAACAAGTTTGTCTTTGTCCATTCAGGTTGCCATAACAAAATACCAAGGGGTAGGTAGCTTAAACAAAAGAAATTTTATTTCTCACAATTCTGGAGGCTTTGAAGTTCAAGATAAAGGTGCCAACCCATTTGGTGACTGGTGAGGACTCTCCCCTTGGCTTGCAGATGGCCACATCTGCTACATCCTCACATGCCCTTTCCTTGTACTAAAGTTCCTCTTCATGTAAGGATATCAGTCCTATTGGATTAGCACACAGTACCTTATGACCTAATTTAATCTTAATTACTTTCAAAAGGTAGTCAAATATAATCAGATTAGCGATTTGAGCTTCAGTACATAAATTTTGAGGGCACACTCTTCAGTTCATAGTAAGATTAAATCCCAAAATCTTGTTCATAAGTCAAATTACAAGCATACTTTCCTAAGGCATGATGATCCAAATGGGGTTCAGGGCCAAATTAGCTGCCAAAAGCTCCCCACATGTATTTTCCATGTTACAGTTTCATAAGAACTTCAATGATAAAACAGGATACATAACTCATGAATTATGCTATAATCTGTGTCACTAGAAGAACATCCATATCCACTTTCCAATATTCTCAATGGTAAAAATATTTTTCCTCCCTCTTTGTCCCTCTCATTGGTTGTCAATCTCTCCAACCAATTTCCCTATATTAGTGATAGCATCAAGAGGGCCACTTCCTTAAGAGAGCTCTGATTTCAACTGCTGAAGAACATCTTGACAGTAGGAAAAAACTATAGGTAAGAGAAAACAGTTGAGTTCATCAACTGATAGTGGTTCCTTGCATAGAATAAGATATTTTGGAGCTGGAGGGGAAGAAAAAAGGGAAAGAAGGATTTGCTTGGAATGCATACAGATATGCAGGATTAAGGGGCTGAAATGGCAATGCAATAATGATGAAAGTAGAGATCAGAAGGGTTTGGAACTATAAGAAGACAGGCACCCTCACATTTGGAAGTTGAAGGACAGTGGCATAAAGTTGGCTCTGGAAATGGAAAAATAATGCAAGATGTAATAGATGAGGCTGGAAAGGAAATAAATGACAGTGGAGCAGGGAGCCACCCTGAGCACAGTGGCCTACTACTAAGGTCTTGCTAAAGTTGAGAAGACATGCAAGGCAAATTCTTAAAAATAGAACTACTATATTCTGAAAAAATATGCTTTGTCATTTTTCTTTCCATGCACATAAATTCTCCTTTGTCTCTCCAACAACTTATTCTTTTTCCCAGTGAGAGAGAGAAAGGGAGAAAGAGAGAGAGAGAGAGACTGTGTGTGTGTGTGTGTGTGTGTGCGTGTATGTGTCTGCGTGTGCATTAAGGAGTAATAGTACATGAGCTGAAAGGGAGATTAGGATGGATATAGAAGAAAGGTAAAGAAAATGATGACCAAAACAGGATTTTGCTTCAATATACATAAAAATACAGATTTTGTGGTGAGAGATGATATTTTCCCAAATTCCTTTACATATCAAGAACTGAACCTGGTTGTCTCAGATCACGGTCCTGTGTTAGTGATAGCATCGAAAGAATATGATTATTTCTTCTCTGAATGATTCAGAGTAGAGACCCCTTCTACCTGTGACAACCAGGCATGCTTGTTGATTAGGGTACATATAGAATACATTGAGTGGAAGGAAAACCTAAAATCCATCTCTTCTGGTCCTGAAAGACTGCAGAAAGCTGGACTCAAGGGGTGCGGCACAAACAAGGAACACAGAAAGCGACATGTGAGCAAACGAGAGAGAAAAATGTTTCAGGTAAGTTGACAAAATGGTCGGTGAGCCTTCACTTTGGTTGATATTTGGGTCTTTTTTTTTTTTTTTTTAAACAGAGTCTCGCTCTGTCATCCAGGCTGGAGTGCAGTAGCTCGATCTTGGCTCACTGCAACCTCTGCTTCCTGGGTTCAAGCCATTCTTCCGCCTCAGCCTCCCAAGTAGATGGGATTTCAGGCATCCGCCACCACACTGAGTTAATTTTTGTATTTTTAGTAGAGATGGGGTTTCACCATGTTGGCCAGGCTAGTCTTGAACTCCTGACCTCAGGTGATCCGTCTGCCTCAGCCTCCCAAAATGCTGGGATGACAGGTGTGAACCACCGCGTTCAGCCAATATTTGGGACTTTTTGAAGTCATGTCTACACTAAACTGTGGCCACCATATAATAAAGTCTGCAGAGTGGTATGAAAAACTAATGGAAGATTAAGCTACAGCATTCCTGAGATGCTCTTGGTTCCTGTAGAGTGCAGCTGGAAGTCTCAAGTTCTCACAATCCTCCAAGGGGTATGATATGGGAGAGCCTGTGAAATGGTTTAACTATGGGTGGAGCCAAATGGAGTCCACAGAGGGGTTCAGAGGAACCCCATTACCAATGTGAGCCAAAGGGAGGCTACTGGAGCCCGGGAACCCTGCCAAGCTCCAGCTGGCAGAGAAGTCAGTAATCAGGAGTTAATCTGCTGCCGACCTCAGCTTCAACTTCAGGAAGAGTCAGGTGGTGCAGAGAGGTTGCCATGGAACCCTGAGTGTTCAGAGGACAGCAGGAGGATCCAGGTACCCCTTCAGCTCTCCATCCCTCCCTCAGGTGCCCAAATGCCATCTTCAAAGAGGAATCTGAGAGGCTAAGCAATTACCTAAAGACATTAAGTCCAATAATAAGGTGATCTTGAAAAGACAGTATTTCTAAACTGAAAGGAAGTTATTCAAACTGGAAGAGGCTGATAGATTATTAATTATGGAGAGGATCACTATAATTGGGAGAAAAAATAAATAACATATTCATCACACATCTGAGGGAGCATGGGAAATATTGTGTCCCATTTATTTCCAAGGTCAGGAATTTATTTTGCCAAATGGCAGGGATAAAAATCTAGCCAGGATTCTGGGCAGAAGTCTCTAAGGATATGCTGTACACACAGGCTAGTGAGGTTTAACTGTATTTTACAGTATGGAAATCCCTAAATATTCCTACCTTCAGATTCCTCTGGAATCTTTACCAAGCCTTGCTTTATGTACCATTCTAAAAACAGTATGCTTTTAACTTTCAAATGTTTCTAATGATGTAACTAATGTACCAAGCATGAAGGCAGCTTTAGTAGTCTGCTGAGAAATAGGTCCACAGAGGCCTTGTTTTATTGCCAGAATTAAAATCTATCAGTTTTGAAATAGGCATCCCAAAGTTCAACTCACTTTATAAATATGTAGGAGGGTCTGGACCTAACATACATCCAAAACTGGGGTTGAGAAGTGTAAGTGAAGCTATTCCACAAAAAGTCTTTCTGTGTGAGGGAACAAACACACTCGGTGAGATTGAGTAGAACCCCACTTTAGGGTGAGAGTCACAGGAGCTTGGCCCATAAGAAAGATTTAGTCATCAGAGGAGGAGGCACAATCTGAAGTAGTACAGAATCTCTCATTGAGATTCTCTCCCAACCCACACTCCCAGAGTCCTGTCTATCTAATAGGGTAGAAAGGGGTTGAGAAACACAGGAGATTATAAGTAACTAAAATAGGCAAAACATTTTAAACCCTCTAAAAACATGAGAATTACGTAGAACACTTTGGTATCAATTTGAAAAATTATGACCTTAAAAGAGGGAAGGAAGCACATTTTCTGTTTCTCTATAAACCTCATAGAATCCTGAGCACTTGGCAATGTAAAGACCCCAGAATATCGGTAATGTGCATCAGCAGGGGCCAGCAGTACTCACTGGGAACAAAGAAAGAAAAGAGAAGGAAGGAAGGAAGGAATGAAGGAAGGAAGGAATGAAGGAAGGAAGGAAGGAAGGAAAGAAAGAAAGAAAGAAAAGAAAGAAAGAGAGAAAAAAGAAAAGGAAGGAAAGAAAGCTAGACTCAAGAGGCGCATGCAACAGAAACCGAGGACACAGAAAGGGATATGTGAGCAAAAAGGAAGGAAGGGAGGAAGGGAGGAAAGAAGGAGGGAAGAAAGGAAGGAAGGAGGGAGGGAGGGAAGGAAGGAAGGAAGGAAGGAAGGAAGGAAGCCAGCCAGCCATACCCAAGAGGTGTGACAGAAACAGGGGACACAGGAAGTGTATGTGAGCAAAAAGTACATGAGAGAGAGGAAGGAAGGAAGGAAGGAAGAAAGGAAGGAAGGACGAAAGGAAGGAAGGAAAGGGCGATGGGAAAAAACATCTTGCATTCAGAAGCACATGGTACTATTCACATTAGGCATTACCTGAAGCTCCTAAAATAATTAGGAAGATACTCCTCTCTATGGAGGCATGGAGGGACTACAAGAGGATAAAGAGTTAGGGCCAGTAAAGCGCTAGTTATACATCTATTTATTAAAACTTAGCTACTACATAATGCTGTTCACATTTAAAAGAAGAATAACATGTTGCAATCTCTCTTACTAGTGGTGATCCAGAATAAGGGATAAAAAGGATGAGTGCTGAGTTAAACATAACTTAGGGAACATGAATAGCAGAAACATGATTTCGT
This sequence comes from Homo sapiens, assembly GCF_000001405.40. Classification (NCBI taxonomy): domain Eukaryota; kingdom Metazoa; phylum Chordata; class Mammalia; order Primates; family Hominidae; genus Homo; species Homo sapiens. The sequence goes on along the minus strand of NC_000007.14, from coordinate 18,786,125 downwards.
TTACTCAGTCATAGCAGAATGCAATTCAGAAAATACATAGAGAAAGTAATAAAAAACTAAAATTTAACAGTCCATGTTTTCAGTTTTATTATATACTTCCCTACTCTATAAAGTTATTTTCTTTTTATTTAGAAATAATAATGACAATAACAATAATATTATTGTCTAGCAATTATTGAGTATTTACTAAGATCCAGGCACTGTGCAAAGCTTTTGCCCATAGTAACTAATACAATTCTTACAGCGACCATTAATGTAGATGCTATTATTAAGCAGTTTTATATATGAAATTCAGAGGTTATTCAGCTAGTAATTAGAGAAGGTAGAAAAAGAACTGAGAAAACTATGAGCTGTTAGCCCATAGTAATTTTTATGCTAGTAAAATCAAAATCCAAAAAGTAAAATAAATAATAAAATGGTATTTTAAAAAACAGATTCTAATCATATATGCATAAAGAGTTTTCTAATTAAATAAATTAGCTAAGACCTGCAAGAATGTTTTTTCTTTCACGGTATTGAAACCCTACCCTGTTAAAAGTGCTAAAATATTTTTTTTAAATCAAATGTTTCAAGTGGTACCTAGAAGAGTTGAGCTTTTCTTGAGTGTTGTGATTTGTCTGCTATTATGGTAGAGCAGTGGATCTCAATGACAGTGATTTTGCATCTAAGGGGTCATTTGGCACTTTCTGGAGACATTTTTTGTTGTCATGACTGAGTAAGGGAGGTGTGCTACTGGCTTCTAGTGCATAGAGCCAGGAATGCCACTACGCATCCTACGATGCATGGTTTTTTTTTTTGGTATACAACCAAAAATAACTTTAATCAGTGTCCTTTCCCTGAATTTGTCCAAATAATTCTGTCTACTGAACAGAATCAATGCTGTTATATATTTATTTTTAAGCATTGTTCTGCCCTTGGTTTCTTAAGTGTCACAAATGTTAGTGACAGAACCAGTAAAAACTCTTCATAGTTCTTCCCATTCCTTTGCTTCATTCTCACCTTACCACTCCTTAATACGCCAAAGGAAAGTACTGCAATTTTATCTGATGATTTCAAAAAGAAATAATTATATAATATCATTGGCAAAATAAAGGGTCAAGGAACATCATATAATTTATGAGTCTATACAAAACACACACATGCACACACAGACACACACACACACACACACACACACACACAAGCAATTGCTACCTATTAAAAGCCAAGTTTTTGAGAAACTGTTGTTCATGAGAATGTTGGGTTCATACTACACACGTGGCAGGCTGGGAGTACATGGAAAGTCTGCTGCCTTTGAGTGGCCATGATTCATTCTGTTAAGTGAAATATATGTGGGCACTGATTCTGAGTAACCCACCCTTCTAATTGTTCACTATCTTTGAAACAGATTCTGAGCAGCTGAGAGATGGGTATAACATTTCAAAACCGTTGTTTACACCATTTCTTTATTCCACTGTGAGTTAAGAACATGAATTAAATGATAAAAACCCATGACCAACTCAGGATTTTGCAAGAACATAAAGATGCTTCCTCAGTGCTCTCCTATCCAGAAGTCTCTGTGCTTCTGCAAATGTCTGGGGCAAGCACCTGGTGGCCTTCAGTTTTTTTTTTGTTTTTTGTTTTTTGTTTTGTCCTCTTATTGTTCACACTGAGAGCAATAGTAGCAACCTTCTCTTCTAAAATGCCTCCTCGGATTTGAATCAGGAATAAATTAAATGTTTACTAGGTTGTAAAAAAAAAATTCTTGAGCTAGCTTTTGGTGGTGTGTGCCTACAGACCCAGCTACTCAGAAAGCTGAGGCGGGAGGATCACTTGAGTCTAGAAATTTGAGGCCAGTCTGGGTAACAAGGTGAGACACGAAAGAAAAGAAAAGAGAAGAAAAGGAGAGGAGAGGAGAGGATTTCCTTGGTGTTAAAGGGATTAATTGTCTTATATGTATTGGAATCAAGTAGTGTCCATGAGTCCACAGACAGAGACAAAGAACCAAATAATAATAATAATAATAATACCCAGAAAGACTCGAATATAGAAGGGGTACAGATTAGGGCTAAAGAAGTAGCCACGTGTTCAAATGACACCGAAAGCCACAATGGGGACATAGACATAATGTCAGGTAACTGGGGATGAGGGACAGGTTCTCTGGTTGGAACTATGGTTGACTGGAGTGTTTGTGTCCCAGCTAAAAGGACAATGGCTACACAGTTCCAAACAATTTTTGTCTTAAGGAAATGATAGCATGGTATTTATTAGTAGCCCTAAATATTGTATTCTTAGGTGCAATTTTTCTATCTTAAATATTGACAATAATTCACTTAAAAATCCCCAGCCAAGCTAAGAGAAATCTATGTATGTGTTGAATATGGCTTCTGGCCTGGCAGTGCATAACTTCTGCTACCCAGGGTGATTTATTTTCACACAAAGTTTGAAAATTCTAAAGCGGGAAAGGCAAAAAAAAAAAAAAAAAGTCTCAGCAGAACTAGTTGAGTTGATTCCTTGTGTGGTAACCATCAAAGCTTAATTCAAGGAGGTTTCTCAGGGCAGTGCCCTGGGAGAATAGAAGTCCTCTAACTCTTACAGAGGTGTGTTACTGAAGGATTCCAGCCTCTGCCTGAGGACAAGGCCAGACATGATCTGTTGAATCTAATAAAAAATAACTGGAGTTTTTATGTTCTATGTCTTTTGTATCTCACTTTTAGTAATTTGTATTTATTGCCTCATATACAAGTATTTCTTCACAACAGATATAGGAAATGAAATGTAAGTAAACAAAACCTTGCCCCTTACCACATAATAATTTGAGAAGCATTAACTTCATAGAGAAATGCTTTTCTTTGCAAACTGTTTAAAGAAAGAGTTCTATTTGGATAAAAGGATAGAAAGAAAAGGTGAAGCCAGAAGTAAAATTAGAAATGCTTTAGGAATTTGTATTAATAAGTTACACCTATCAACATAAATTGTACCAAGAGAGAATGACTACCAATAATTTGTTTGAGTCATACACCAAAATTTGGTACCTACAGACTGGTTTAACCCCAGGATTTCGAGAAATTGTTAGGCTTTAAATATACTTTTAAACAGACATTAAAAGGAAGCAAGCTTTGGGCAAATCCTCCTCTACTTTATCCTATTCTTTTAGGTGGTAGCATTGGCAAGGACATCATTGACATTTGGTGCAATGGCACCTTATCTATTTTGTTGCCTTAGCGTTAGAGACCTCGTAAACCAGCAGTTCCACTTGCAAACTATTCAAACACGGGCAAGTTCATTCACCGATCCGTGACCTAAGAAAAATGGAATAATACTCCTTCCTCATAGGATTATTGTTAGCATTCAATCAGTCAATACATATAAAGTGCTTAACACAGCACAAGACGATGCTGGAAGCAGTAAGCTCTCAGTCAATGGTAACTAAGAAAAAAAAATCCCCGCATTTTGCTTCTAACATTACTTTCTATTTCGCAGCACATCAAAGGACAAAAATCATCTGTGATAATGCTGGAAGCCAGGAACTACCTCCAATCAGAAAGCTACATGTTTTCTAGCCACATATGGATCTAGTTCAACTGTAGTTTCCTGAGTGAATGTGGGTCTTTGCAGGCTTTTCCAAGCACATCCAGCATAGCTCAATCATTGGAATCTGAAACAAAGCTAATGCTCTGAAAAGCCGCACATGATAGAAATTAAGCTACCTGTCCTGAAAGTGGATGTGAAGGTATTTAAAACGGAAAGGGAATGACTTAAAAGAAAAGGAATTTAGGCACAGTCTCCTTTGTATAATCTAAATGCAGCCTGTTGCTTCCTGGTGGAAATATTCCCAGAGTTAAATATAATACTATTGTGCCCATTAACAAAACAGGTTTCATATGCACTGTGCATGTTTAATGTGGTACACTATCCTTCCTCAGATGCCTTGAACATTTCACCCTGAAAGTTGGGAAATGAAACTCTTCACCCAGTTCTGAGCAGTTTAGTAAGGTCTTGCTGCTATTTTATGCTGACGCTAGGGCCACAGGGCATTTTCTGAATAATTGAGTTTAAGCTTAAATAATGATCAGATGCCCCTGGAAACCTATTGACAGACACCAGACTCAACAAAGAAACAGAGGTTTTTCATTGCAGTATTGATTCTGTGCCATTTTAGCAGGTTGTATTAAAGCTAAACCGCAAAATAAAATAAAAATCATTTTAACTTTTGCACTGTGTCAGGTAAAGTGTATTTTTTAAATGAATCATCTACTGTGGACCAAATATTTCTGCAAACAGCATCTTGATTTGGTAACTTAAAAATTATCTACTTTCATCTTCTAATGCCAAATTTCTTTTTGTGTTTGCCTTGGGAAACAAAATAATTACCTTTTCCCACCTAAGTGGTATTTGATAAGCTCAACATTTTCCTATCCTTGATCCTTTACAATTAGGGCTAAAGCTGATGATTCCAGTAGATATTTTGTTTTTGGAAATGGTAAGAAAAGGGGTGTGAGTTGCGAGGTTCCAAGAAAAAGAAAAGCCTAATTTATTAGTAGATTCACAAGAAAAGGTAATAAAGTCAAATCTATTGCCCAAAGAAAGCAAAAAGTAAATATCTTTGGTCAGTATTTAAAGAACAGCATAGTGGGTAAGATTGGGGCACCTACTAGGTGCTGGACCCTATTAAGCACTTTACAAACACTACCTATTTAATTCCTCATGAGAGCTTTATAAAAGTATTATTAGTCACCTTTACAGAAGAGTAAACTGAACTGTAAAGAGGTTAAGTAACTTGACCAAAGTTATATAGTTGATGAGATGAAGAGCTGGGGTTTCAACCAAAGCCAACCCTGGACATTAATATCGTTATGGACTGAATTGTGTTTCCTCAGAATTCGCATATTGAAGTCCTAAGCCCAATGGGACTGTATTCAGCAATCAATAAGTCCTTTGAAAAGGTAATTAAGGTTAAATGAGATCATAAGGGTGGGGCCCTAATACAAAATGACTGATGTCCTTATAAGAAAAGAAAGAGACAGCAGGGATGCGCATGAACAGAGAAAAGCTTGTGAGGCCACAATGAGAAGAAGGTCATCCAAGGACCCAGGAGAGAAGCCTTAGGAGAAATCAAATCTGCCAACATTTTGATATTGAACTTCTAGGCTCCAGAACTGTGAGAAAATTAATTCCTGTTGCTTAAGCCACCCAATCTGTGGTATTGTGTTATGACAGCCCTAGCTAGCCAAATACAGATGTGAACTTTAAAAAGATATTCTGTGTTGTTGATTCTTTAGAACACAATGGGCTAGTGCAAGTGTCCTAGGCATAGGGTTATGGGTGTCTGTCTTTACTGCTCTTTCTTCAAGGTCTGACACATAATAGATGCTTAACAAATTTTGTCGAGGGAATGAATTAAGGATGAGAACCAAAGAATCCTATAGTGATACTGTTCTTTACAGGGCTTTACTGTGGCTAAACTATCTAAACTCCAAACACCACCCCTGTTTGGGCCCTGCAATACATCCATGATGTAGTGATGACTGCTTCTCTCATCTTCAGTCTGCACCAGGTATAGCCTACTAGCTCTTGCTTGCCAGCATTGGGTGCTTCCTTTGGTGCATCATCCTACAATGATGCTTCTTCACTGAATCATCCAACAACAACTGTGATGTCCCCAGTGCCCTGGATCTCTGTTGTCATGCATCACCCCTGTCTCTCACAGAAGCTTCCCCACTCACTATTTTCCCAAGGGAGACAGACTGTGTAAGACTTAAGTCAACAAGATCCCCAGTGACAAGCTAATGGGAGCCTGCTATCTGATCTCTCAAGAAAAATGAATTTTGTAAAAAGCTGTTTTAAATTTGGATAAAGTACTATCACACAGTAATGACATATTTGATCCCCAGAGAAGACAATAAATCACATTTCATTTATCACCTTACTTCATAGGTGAAGGAACTGAGGCCCAGTCATTTCAATGATTTGTGAGTCCATGGTCTTACAGGATCTTACCACTCAAAATGTGGTCCACGGATGAGTAGCAATGCCATCCCTGAGTGCTATGAGAAATGCAGAATCTCAGCTCGCATTTGGTCCTGCTGAATTGGAATCTGCACTTTAGAGTTGAAAAAGCGCTTTTGGAGCAGTGACAACGTAAAGATTTGAATCCAGATTCCGGAGTTCCTAAATGAAGGCTCTCTGCCTAGATGCCTAATCACTGGGATTTCTGAAAGCAATGTCCTCCCTCCCTTTATTTGTCTCCCTGCAGTGCCTTGATTCTAATGGTAGACTATTAGTTGGATAGGTAGGTCAGGTGGAGACCTCAGGGTTGCAGGGCTTTGGAGAACCTTTAAATCAGGGAGTCTGTTTACCCTCTGCAGACCTGAATCTACTCAAGGTGACCCCACAGGGTGGTGCAGTGCTCATTACCACATATAGCTGCCAGTGATAACCTACATTATCACATTTGATCCTCACAATAATACCATGTGGGAGCCTTGCTTAGCCCTATTTCATAGATAAAGAAACCAAGTCTCAGATAAGTGAAATAATAATTAACAGAGCCTTTGCATTGCTGGTTTCTCAGACTCAGGCTGGGCAGGATACTTCTAAAATAAAACTATTCCGAGCAGTTTTGTGGACGCTTAGGTGTCAACACTTCAAAACTTCTAGAGCCCTCTCTAATTCTGGGTGACTGTCCCTTTTCTCCTCCTGTGGGATAATAATGAGAATCATGATTCTGGTCTGAGAACCTCTGATATTCTTTATTGCATTCTTTTTCAATCAGCTCTGAGGCTGTAACAATGGGTGTTTTCCCTTCTCCCTTGTGATACAACATGCCAGCTCCTTGAATGTATATATTCATTTCGTGTTAGATGTTCTGCTGAAACCCTGAGAGTCTTGAAATGGAGCTGGGATGGATTTATGATAACAATGGGTGGGTGAACCCACATGCATTCTCTCTTTTGTTCAACATTGGAAGGAAGACATGAATGACAGCCCATTCCTTTGGGATCAGTTGTAGGTTATAATGCCCACACCTTAGCTTCTTTAGTCATGGTGAGATGAAAAAGAAACAGAGCAGCTACAGGGAAGACGTTCAGATTCCAAGTAAAGCCATGGATATGATGAATGAATACTGTGACTGATATTCCATATGGAAAGAAGGTGTGAAATATTAATGTGACAGCTGGAGGAGAAAAGGGGCATGCCATGTGCATTAATGCTCTACCACAAACCATCTCCCGGTATGATCAACTGCTTTCTGGCAGCTCCATTGACCTTGCATGTGCAATTTCTAGTCACTCTTTATCTTCAGAAAAATCTGCCTTTTGCTATTTACTTGCCAGTAACAAGAATAAGGAGAGGAATATGTTTGCTCTGGCGAAAGGGCTACATCTTGAGACTCTAAGGATCCTTACTTAAGATCCGGGGGACTCATAGATTTACCAAGTAATATATGGATTCCTGTGGGTTATGTGGCCAGTAAAGACCAGTAAAGGAATTTGAGAGTCCCTATTGTTATCCAATTTCAGTGAACTGCTGGTCAGTTCTACCAAGACTGAGTTAGAGACAGAGCCAAGAAATACCATTTTAGTACTTTCCTACTGTTTCTTCATTTAATCTGATGTCCACACTGTGTAAAGGGTGCTTCAAAATATGCCAATCTTTTTATTCACTGGACAGTGCACATTAGAGCCTCATTCCTACAGAGTGTAGCTTAATAAAATTAACTCTGACTCAGTAGGTGTGTGAAATGAGATTCTCTCTATCTCATCCCACAGTGGTTTGGTCCAAGGACAGAGACTTTTCAGTGTTCTAGTTAGGGTTGAAATACTATGTATAGCTGTGTAATTTTTTTTTTTACCCAGAATTGATGATGTTTGAGTGCATGGATTTAATACTTCATAGGAATTTCAATAAAAAAGAGAATGCTCTTGGCAAAAATAGCAATTGTTTTTTTCTTACGGCTAGGGCTATTCTCACTTGGGAAAGGAGTGTTGACAATCATATGAGGTTGAAATTATGGTGAGTTGTGCTGTGTGTGCATAGTATTGTGGTTAAAAGCTTGGGAATCAGGCCCTCTCTGCTCCATGGCCTACTAATTCTATGACCTGAACAAGATACTCACCTCTCTGAGCCTTTGTTTCCTTTTCTGTAGAATAGGAAACTTCAATTGCATCTTTAGCAATAAAACCTCTGGGATTATTTGGGATTTAAAAGAGATTGAGGCAGGTTATCATTGGAAGGTTTGTGTAAAGAATGGCTAGTCTCTGCTGTGAGGCTGTGAATCAGCCCTCTTGGTTCTGTGAGAATCAGGAGGGTATGTTTTGCAGGATTCTCTATTGCCCAGCCTAATCTAGGGCACCTTACCTGTCCCTTTACTTGATGGATAATCCCATCATTAAGGTCAATCCTCTGAATACCACTGGGGTCAAAGTCGAGAATTATTATTTTGCTAAAATGGTTAAAGCATAATCCTAAAAAATTTAGCCAAGTTTTTTTTCTTGATTCTATTCATTTAATATTGAGGATGCTGAGGATCAGAAACTGATTGTCAATAGTAAAAATACCCTGGAATTCAGACTTTTATCTCTCTTGCACTATATAAATACAACACGAAACTGGGCATATAGAAATTGAGACGTCATCATTATTTGGTCCATTCTATGCACCAACACAATGGGACCAACAAATCAGTTACCCCAAATCTCACAGTTCAGATATAAATCAGGATGGACCAGCCAGAGCAACTGAGGCCATAATGTGACAATGTCATTCAAGAAGACACTAAAATGCACAAGGAAAAAAACCAACCCACTTGCAAAGGTCATGCAAATGTCAGGACATTTTTATTAGACTTGAAAATGGGCAGGTGTTGGAGTACTGTATATAATTTGCAGCTGCCCAATTTAAAAAGAAAAGTATGTCCACATAACATTCCAGGGACTTGGAACCCCAAAGCACACAGTGCTGCTAAGATCTGGAACTACCCAGAGAGATATCTCACAGCCCAGGGCCTGCTACTGAGTCCCAGATCTTTGAGTGCCTGAGTAAGTGTGCCCCCACCCCCAACCTTCTCTATACCTCCATAGCCAGCTCTGAAGAGAAATGTCAGCATCTCAGCGTGTGCCTAGAAATTCAACTTGCCCTCTCATCATCTATTGCCACACCTCAATCCAGTTGTCAGAAGGAAGACCAGAAGCTCTGTGTGTTCTGAATAGAACAACCCTACCTCTAGACACACAGATCTTTAACAGTGAGAGTGAGATGGGGTCCCCAAACTCTGAGCAGTCTTGGCAAGCCTCCTCTCCACCTCCTGAACTTTCCTTGCTTCCCCACCACTCTGCTTTGCACCCTCAGTATGGATCTTATTATTCTCTGTACCCCTCTTTAAGTCAGTCACCACAAGAAACCAGGGCTCCCAGGTCACCCCTCACCTGTCTATCCTAATATCCAAAAAAGCAACACTTCTCATTAACCACTAGTTCTCTGCCCCAACACTACAAGACTCCACACCCCTTCCTTGCTTCCTTTTCTCTATAGCATTCATCATCATCACATACATGCACATATATTTAAAGTCATTCATTCTTGCTTATTTGTCTCCTCAACTGGAATATAAGTTCCAGTAGGATAAAACGTTTTCTGTTTTGTTCAGTACTGTATTTGCAGTTCCAGGCATACAATAGGCATTCAATAAGCATTTGCTGTATAAATAAATTACTAAATAAGTGAGCAAATGAATTCTGTCCCAAGTTGTGAAAATTGGAAATTGTGAGTATAGTAAGTTCAGAAGCACAGAGAATAGTCTGCACCAGTGAGCACTGGTCTTTGAACTTCTTCCACATTTGCTATTAATGGAGTTGTGGATTGATGCTGGATACTGCGCTTCCTAGCTCTTGGAATGAGAATTTGCCAGGCACAGTGGTTCAGGCCTCTAATCCTAGCAGTTTGGGAGGCCAAGGTGGCAGGATTGCTTGAGGCAGGGAGTTTGAGACTAGCCAGAGCAACGTAGTGAGACCACATCTCTACAAAATAAAAGAAAGAAAGCCAAATATGTGTGGTGGTGTGTACCTGTATTCCTACCTCCTAGCTCTTAACAAAGCTCAAGCAAGAGGATCTTTGGAGCCCAGGAGGTTGAGGCTTCAATGAGCTGTGATTGTGCCACTGTACTCCCACCTGAGCAACAGAGCAAGACCCTGTCTCAAACAAACAAACAAAAAATTGGATGCCCCCATCAAAGAAAGCTGAGACAAGAAGGCCATCTCGTAGAACTGTTTCATTAGACTACTGAATTTGAATCTGGTTCAACTGAGTATGGATATTCTGACTATCTTCTGTCCTTAGTCCTATGAACTCCCAGGCCTTTCCTACCAGAGTTGACAATTATGAATAGAAGAAAATCAATGCAGAGTCTAAGTGATAGGTATGACAAGATACATGAGTGGGAATTGAAAAGGAAAAAAAAAAACACAACATAAGAAAAAATGTGAGTCTACATGTTGCTTCACACTTAGCACATAGGATGGTATTGGACAGTACATGCTTATTTAATAATGAATGAATGGATGGTAAATTGTCTTTAGAGGCAATAGATTAAGGAAAGAAAAGTAATCTATTTAGCAGCAAAGAATTTCGCTACTTGTAGGTCTTGGTTTTTATTCCTTAAATGGTCACATCTCAAAATGATACAAGTCATTTTGAGAAGTGCTTACAGATCGTCAGGAAGATACTCGATACAGGCACACCTTGTTTTACTGTGCTTCACTTTATTACACTTTTCAGATACTTTGATTTTTTACAAATTGAAGGTTTGTGGCAACGCCAAGTTAAGCAAGTCTATGGGCGTCATTTTTCCAGCAGCATGTGCTCACTTCCTGTCTCTGTGTCACATTTTGGTAATTCCTGCAATATTTCAAAAGTTTTTCATCATTATTTTATCTTTTATGCCCATCTGTGATCAGTCATCTTTGATAGTACTATTATAATTGTTTTGGGGCACCATGAATCGTGCCCATATAAGACAGTGAACTTAATTGATAAATATCGTGTGTGACTTCTGCTCCACCGATCAGTCTTTCCTCCATCTCTTCTCTTTCTCAGGCCTCCCTATTCCCTAATATTCAGGAATATTGAAATTAGACAAGTTAATAACCCTACGATAGCCTCTAAGTCTTCAAGTAAAAGGAAGAGTTGCACGTCTCTCACTCTCAACACTCTCAATCAAAAGCTAGAAATGATTAAGCTTAGCGAAGAAGGCATGTTGAAAGCTGAGACAGGCCGAAAACTAGACCTGTTGTGCCCAACAGTTAGCCAAGTTGTGAATGCAAAGGAAAAGTTTTTAAAGGAAACTGAAACTGCTACTGCAGTGAACACACAAATGCTAAGAAAGTGAAATAGCCTTACTGCTGATATGGAGAAAGTTTGAGTGGTCTAGACAGAAGATCAACCCAACCACATTCCCTTGAGCCAACGCTTTATCCAGAATAAGGCCCTCAATATTGAAGCAAAACCCTGCACCAGCAAAAAGATTACCACTCACTGAAGGCTCAGATGATCATTAGGATTTTTAAACATAGTTTTAAAATTATGTACATTTTTAAAGATATAATGCTACTGTAAACTTAATAGACTACAGGACAGTATAAACATAAGTTTAGTATACACTGAGAAACAAAACATTTGTGTGACTCACTTTATTGTGCTATTTGCTTTACTGTGTTGCTCTGGAACTGAATCTGCAATATTTCCAAGGTATGTCTGTGTGTATCCATAGTAAATATCAATTAGAGATTATATAAATCATAATATTTAGAATATAACAGAATAAATTCACCAAATGATTTCAGGAGCATAAAAATATCGAATATATTAGTCCTTTAATAGTCTTATCAGTCTTCATAGAAATAATGACTCAATGCATGCTCTATTGCTAAGAGAATCATTGCTTAGTCATTTAATTCCTTTATTTTACTTATTATTTTTTATTTAAAGTTAAGACACTCTATAGCAATAATGATACTGCTAGTCTAAAACTCAGAAGCTATGGGTTTTTCTTGAGTTGGGGAATGATTAAATCCTAGGGATTCTGCTGTGAACTGCCTGCTTATGGCTCAAGCATTCAGTGAGCTAATTTATTTTGGTTTTGAATTTTGAAAAAAAAACTGTTGTTCTCCATTAATGAAAGTTTAGAAGTTATGCTTTACTAAGTTTGTGGTTAAAATACTTCACAAAGACAAATCCAATAATGACACATCAGTTTTACATATTGAATATTAGTTTGTTACGGGGGTGAATATCTGGATCTGGAACTAACTATTCGGAGTGGAAATATGACAGATGAAAAATACAAATGCTGTTACTTCACCTTAAAATGAAAAGCTTAGGTGTGCCTGAATATAGCTGTATTTCAGGCTGCTACAAGAATTATTTTTTTTTAGGTAGTACCATTTCCTTTGTCTACTCTAAATTTTCATTTGATTTAAGCCTAACGTCTCCTTGGCAGTCAGAAGTAGCAATCAGTAGATGATCATATTTTCAAATCTATTCAAGTATGTTTTACTTTCTCAGCTTTTATTTAATCGAGCCACAGATCTTCTAAGTTAGATAGAAATTTAAATTTCATCAAATCCATTTACCTTCAGCAACTGCAGAGCCTAAGGCTGAATTTCTTCTTGTCTCAATGTTCATAATCGTTTTCTTCCTCCCTGTTATTGACATTACTTTGGTGGAAATAGGTGCTTTTGTGTGTGTGTGTGTGTGTGTGTGTGTGTGTGTGTGTGTGTGTGTGTATACAGTTTTTTAAAAAAATAGGTCTTATGGCCCCAGTAATGTAAAAAACACAAATAAAGCTTTGATGATGGCATTTTTTTAGCCATCTCATTTTGGCAACAGAAGAATTTTAACAGCTTTGTGATATTCATGTTTACTTTAAATAAGAAAATGAAGTATTCTTATTTCAAAATGCATCTCGTTGTACTTAGCCATAATGTCAAAGCAATAGAAAGAATTTAATCACAGATGAGATGCTGCAAGTAAGTGAATTAAGGAGGAAATTAAGGTTTTCTTCTCTCATTTTCTTCTTTCCTGCAATGGACATTAGATGCTTAATGATTCTATGTATTTTCACATTTTGTCCCATACACAGAGTAATGTATACATGTGTATCTCTGTAGGGAGTGTTGTCTACATCCCAACAACTATTATTGAGTATACACAATTAGCATAATCTATGCAATACTGGAAACTTCCTTTGCAATTTAGAAGGAATTCCCTGACTTTAATAATATTTCATGCATTTTTTCGAAGTCTGAGGCAACATAATCTTTTTACAGAATTTGCAGCATGAAACTAAATTCTCAGTTTCATTAAGGTGGCTTATCAGTTTTAATTTTGCCAGGTGCCATGGGGTGTTCTTGCTAGTATCAATTGCATCAAGTCTGAAGCTGATGAAAATCCAGATACAGTTAGGAAGAGGAGATATAAAAAAGAGAGATTCTAAATCAGGGTGGATCCTTTTATTGTGCTGGAGGGAAAAAGTTTGTGATACCTCTTTGATAGCAACAGTGGAGGAAATGAAGTACTGATTGCAAGCCAGGTTTGAGTTGAACATTAATAGGAGGGAAATTAACATTACCCTGATTACTGCATGTGAGAAGCAGATGCTACCCCCTCCTCTTTCTGCTGATGTAACAAAAGGCATTGTGCTTGCTCAGGATAATTGGGTTGAAATAACATATGAAGAAAGAGGTTCCTGAGTCAATATCAAAACCTCAGGAACATGCAAAGTTTTGGCATAAACAGAAGGTGGGGTTTTTCCCTCCTTTTTTGGAAGAAAAAAATTCTCTACTAATTGGCAACAGCTTGGTGCAATTGTCAGAAATACGGTGTGTTCTATTGCCTGAACAGTCAATGCCTGGCTGCCTCCCATGACCTGTCCTCATACCACCCCCAACACACAACTCACACATTTATTGCTAATTCTTCTTGAAAATTTAGCTTATAACTGCTTGAGTAACCTCCACACCCTATTCTTTCTTTGCTGTTTTAAAAGCTTCCTTCTCTGTGCTCTCATAGCTTAGCATTTTTCTGAACCAGCCCAATGGCTAGGCTGTGAGCAATTGAGATTGAGAGCAGTGGTCTTGTCTCATTGCTCATTCGTTTTTGCATGCTGCACCTTGTCTAGTCATCAACAACAAGCCTTATCTTATTCTTCCTGCCCTTCATGCCTTATCTGATGGCACACATTATGGCTTTGAAAATATTGGTTTTGTTTCAAAGATGACCATCCTAAATCACAGCAGTAAAATGCATTATTAACCAAGCTTTTGTCGCATTGAGTTTAACTATATGTCCATAGATGTGGTCATAAAACAAAATCCATTCCCTAGTATTATAATGGAGGGAAACACCAGAGCAGCTCTTTGTAGGGCTTGCCACTAGAATACTATTTACTGGTACTGGGGAGAATAAATGTGAAGGACCAATGTGGTGTAATAATTAGAAAAATAATATGAAGATACACATGTGGTGTAAAATAGATTTTTCTCCTGATTATGTATGTGTATATACAATGTTTCTTGTATATATAAACACACACACACACACACACACACACATATCTGTAAATTTATAAATAAGAGGGGAGAGCTTACATTTTAATTCTGACAAGATAAAAGAAAATTTAAGACATTTCATCCAAATCTGCCTCTCGCGTAGTGAGTATAGTTGATATACAACTGAAACGTTTGCAGAAAACCTCAGAGCAATTGAAATGGGCCTTAAATTACTACCCTCTCATAATCACCTAATCCTTCTCCCCATCTCCCCTTCCCCAATCACAAAAATGACATTCCTAAGTGTGTCAGATCTAGGTGTAACCAAACAGAATATGAACAGAGTAAAAGTCGTAATAAAAAGCTAGCTTTGTGTTCACAGATTGACTGAGTCACTGCTGGAGAAGGTGCCTTCATTAAACCTTTTAGAGCCTCTTTTTGCATATCTTCAACCACTTAGTCAGGTCCCAGTTCTGCCCGTGCCCTGCAAATCCTCAGTCCTCTTAGGGGATTGTTCTCCCTCGTCCACAGCTCCTCCTCTTCCAATCAAGGGTCTGACACTACCCATTGACCACGTTTATTTTTCTGCCTTTTGGCCCTGGGAGCTTGTCTGCTGTAGGATAAAAGTGGAATTCTCTGCTGTCTGCAGGGCTTTCCCCAGGGAACAGAGCATGAAACCCAAACTTATATAAAATCATATCCTGTTTGCAAACATCATATTCCCTTTGCTTCTCACTGATCTGGTCCTGTAAACCCCAGCACAGCTTGAGAGCCCATTCCTCATCTAAACAAATGCCATAAGCCCCTTTATACTTTTACAACCATGTCAAAAAATAATATTGCCTGCCAATAGTGATGTGATTGGAGTTGCCTCCTCTGAGCCATAAAAGAAGCGCAGAGTCTGTTATCAATTTCTCTAAGTGTATCAGGGGAATTATGGGTCGATTCAGTTCCAAGTTATAAATGACAACTCAAAAGCCGCAGAAGCGTTTGAAGCTGGGAGCTGATGACGACATTATCATAAAAGCCTGCTCGTCCTTGCTTTTGTGGGTTTTTCTGTGGCCTATCAAGTGAAGAGGGGAAAATGAGGCTGAGAAATGACTTCAAGATTTCTTCACACAGCAGCAGGTCAGATGGCCAGGAAAATGATCACTATTTTTAGTGATATACCCTGAGGAGTGAGAACTGAAGAGATCCTGCACTGGCTCTTGTTTCCAGAGTCCCTTAATTATCTATTTTACTACACCATGACCAAGTCCTGGGATTTGGTCAAATGTTCTTTTCAACTGGTGCATTTTCTTGTAGTGCAATCACACAGGAATCAGAAATGAGTCAGCCATAATAACTGAACAAAAAGAAAAGCAAACACAAAGGAATTCAGAAACCTTGACATTGTTGCTCGAAATGCAGTTCTGGAGAGTACATTTCACAGCACCTTAAATACCATTTATCCACTGAGCTGCTTGACCAACAGTAAATTACCATGTGCAATTTTAGGGGAAATTTTAATGAGAAGTAGAGATGTTCTGATTTCATAATGTCCCAGGTAGGGTCCTCAAAAGCCAATTAACCCATCCGTATTCTGTAGGTATATATCAAACCCCTCTAGAATGAAGTTATATATTCTAAGGAACTGGCGTTTACTTTAACAATTGGGGATCACTGAGTATTTCAGAATGGAAACCAACAGGTCCCTCTTAAGTAATTTGAGACAGAACCATGCCTTAAGACAAAAGTCATTTCGGTAATTTCCAAAATCTCTAGGGTGCTCCCATGCTGCCAAGTTGGGGCCTTCCGGGATCATACTGGGGATCTTGTGTATAGCTAATCTGTCTGGGATTGTCCTGGAGGTGAAAATTTAGACAGGCTTAAATCAAGAGGATCCAGGGTTTCTCCTAGGGCTTGTACCAAAACCAAAAATCTGAGAGGGCAAGAAGACTTTTGAAAGGCTGAGAAAACTATTTCATTCCTGTAAACAAAAATACTGAGTCAAACTAGTTCACAAGAGCATCAGCAAGTGCAAACTTGCACACACACACACACACATTCACACCCACCCTGACCTACATAAGCATCACATCTCTCCAACCTTCTCCAGCACTGATGGAGTCAAACTAACAATGCAGGGCTCCTTCTCCTGCCTCTGCTGGCCTACCCCAGACTTATCCACCACCACTGCTGCCACCATCCAGGTGAGGTCAGCTCTAGGGACATTACTAAGGACTTACTCTATGACCCACACTGTGCATTATGTTTGATATACTGGTCCAGAGGAAGCAGCCAATATTCACTCCTTGGTCATTTTGAAGAGTTTACTAAAGCAGTTCTAGGTGAGAAATAAGAAGTCAATTTGGGTTTAGAGCAGTTGAGTAGAGGAACTTCGCATTGAAGGGATAGTGAATTAAAAGCACGTCCCAGGTCAGATTTGGGAGGTGAGTCCTAGGGAGATGGCCTCAATTCAGTCCTGAGTCATACATTAAATATACAGATGCTCTTTGACTTATGAAGGAGTCCCGATAAACCCACTGTAGTTTGAAAATGTCCTTAGTCAAAAAAGAATTTAATACACCTAACTTACCAAACATCATGGCTTAGCCTAGCCTACCTTATTCATGCCAAACATTTATGTTAGCCTACAGTTTGGCAAAAGCATCTAACACAAAGCCTATTTTATAATAAAGTTTAAACATCTCATGTAGTTTATTGAATACTGTATTGAAAGTGAAAAATAGAATGGCTGTATATTCAAAGTATGGTTTCTACTGAATGTATAACACTTTTGCACCATCATAAAATCAAAAAATCATAAATTGAACCATCATAACTCAGGGATCATCTATATTTCTAAAGAGTGGGGTTTGATGACTGCCACCCTTTTAATAGCTTTGATTTCCTCCACATCACTGTTCCCATTAAGTAGTCATTAGGTTTGTTTCATTTTTTTGCCCCATTTACAGGTAGGCAGCCATTCTCATAAAACAGCCATTTGAGATGTTAGAAAATAAGCACAAAGCCAATGAAACCCATTTTAAAAGTCAGCTTATCCTCTGCTTTCCAGAATGATTTTGCAAGCTCCCAGCTCCACAGGAGGTTGGCTAAAAATAAGCAAGGATTAATGTGGGATTGATGACTGTCCCATGCTGGTGGTCAAAAAGCAAAAGTCACTGGTGAGCTGTCACAAAGGGGTTATACCACATCAGCCACACTGCTGCGCTGCTTACCCAGAGGGAGTGGGGGGAAGCTGAGACTAGATTGTTAAAGATGAAAGCCATGAAAGTGTCTAGAAAGCTCTTTTGGAACTCCTCGACAAGGATGTGTACATCACCCCCATACTTTCAGCTTTTTATCCTTTACTGTGTGACTTCAGGAAAATAACTTAGCTTCTCCCAGCCTTCACTTTCTCATTTGCAAAATGGTGTTAATGACTATTTCACAAGGTTGTTTTGGAACTTGTTTGTCGGCAAACTGTAAGTCCTCACGGAGGCAAATGGATATAGCTACCATTCTGTTTTCCAGAGTAAGCAGAATCACAAGCAAAGGAACAAAAGGCTACAACTCACTAAATCTGGCATCATCAAAATGATAGAATAAACTAAAAATATTCAAGATTTCTTTGCATCAAATTTAGTTCTCACAAAACAATTGTTTAAAACGTGATATACATGTGACTAGTTTTGTTCTTTCCCTTCAAGATCGAGTCAATTTAATTGACTTAAATACCTTAGTCTTTGAAAACTTCACCTAGAATTATGTTGTTCTAACATAACACTTAGTTCTACAGGATGATGGTTTGTTACTGGTAAGGGTTAACTTTAAATAGATTTCAGGTTATAGGATATGTTCTAATCATCTACAAAAATGTAGACATTTTTCTTCATGTGTTGCTGGGTTCTAACAAATTTGTCCTTGAAATGTGGTCTAAATATGTTGAGTCAAAAGGCTTCCTTAATTATTGAAGACAAAAATGTCCCCAAGGGGTTCACAAACAAAATGTCCCATAATGCAAAGCACTTTGTGAAGTTTATGCCATTTTCACCAGGAATATAATGTATGTGCGTACTCAATGTGATTCTATTGAAAATGGAATTCTGCTGCAAATCTGTGTTAAACTCTCTTGAAGCACCTTTTCTCCAGCTATATAAAGGCCTAGCAAAGCTGGCTTCATGAGTGTGTGACCTGTGCAGTCACACGGGAACTTACAGTTAGAAGGGCCTTGCTCTTGGTTTAATTCTGTATTGCCACCATCTTGAAATTCTTAAGAATTTATTTTTAACAAGGGCTGCCACGTTTTTACTTGGCACTTAGCTCTGCAAATTAAGTAGGCAGTCCTGAAGTCTAGCATAACTTTTACTGAGAAATAACCCTAAAACTGAATAGATAAATCAAAAAAGATTTTTTTTTGTAATTTTATGTTATTTAAAGGCAGTAAACCAACTTGTACTTACCCCAAGTCCACCACAAGGTAATGAGGAAAAAAACTTTTGAGAGTCATCACCTATACAGTAAGAAGACATAAAAAATATAGATAAATGGAGGTTATATAATTTTTAAAATGTTGGCATTTATTAACACATAATAATATGTCACATGGTATTTATCGTTTGATGCAAAAATAAATTAATAAAACTTCAGACCAATTATTCAACACAATTTTCAGAATATCATTGTTCTGCCTATCTGTATACACAAATAAGAACTAAAAGCAAATCAATATAAATTTTATTGCATGTAGAGTCTATTGCCCCACATGAATAAACACATGCTCATGAGATTTGGGTCACAAGATTTTTTTCTAAGTTGGTCTCCATGTCTATATTATACATTACAATTTTTAAAATTTAACCAATTCAGCTCTTCACTGAGTATATTCATTCAATGGGATGTTTTGAGCTACAAGGTTTATGCCACCATATACTGTCATTTAAAAAATATTTCAAATATTAACATATCTTCTCAAATGTACAGACTTATTCTTAATTTCTACTTAAGACATAACTAAGTATAGCTGGTTATAAGTAGCTATATCAACTTTAAGATAGAGCTAAAGCCAAGTACACCATAGGCCACTTCTAACATCCACAATTTTTTAAACAGTACACTATGAAAAATAATCCCATTTGGGGATCTATATAACATCAATATCAATATAAAATATCTTCTTTAAAAATATATTCCCAAAACTGAATTGTGAGTATCTCTTAGAACTGGTGTTTCATGGGATTTTTAGTAATTATTTTGTTTACCTGTACTTTTATTTTCTACGTTATCTACTACATGAATAGAGAAAAACAGTAGTAACTGCTCCTACATCTTTAACATTAAAATCTGTCTGTGGAGTAATCATGGGGAAGGGCAGTGAACATTTCTATTTCATAGTCAAATGGTTCTGAAGGGACTCTGACATGTCACTCAGCAGTTCAGTGGTAGAACCAGGTACAAATTTCCAATTCACCTATCCCATTAATTTGTTCTATTGATGCTCAATGAAATGAGAAATTAAAATTGAAAACAGGTTTATAGTAGAATTCATACACCACGTCAGTAAAAGTCTAAATAGCTTTTATTGTCACAGAAGACAGTTTGTTTTGAAAACAATAAATCATATTAGTTGGTTTTTTAAATGTAATTACTAAAAGATGGAAGATGATAAAGAAAAATATATGTACAAATGAAGCCATCTAGTTATAAAGAGAGATCTTCATTTTAACAAAAAGATGAGAAGTCAATAGAATTACAAATAAAAATCATAAAATAATATTAAAACTGCAATATTGGCACCAGTAAAAGGCACATCAAAATTTTGGGGGAGGAGTAAAGTTTTCTTATGTTGTTGTTCCTAACAAAAATATAACTGTATCCTTGAATATTTTGCAAGAGTATATTCATATATCACCTGTGAAATTAAAATATATATGTACATTTTAGTGTCTGAATTCTTAATAGTCAAGAAACAGGAATGAAGATAATATGATAACATAGTAAGTTAATTTTTTTTTGAGATGGAGTCTCACTCTGTTGCTTAGGCTAGAGTGCAGTGGTGCAATCTCGGCTCACTGCAGCCTCCACCGATTCTTCTGCCTCAGCCTCCCGTCAGTTGGGACTACAGGTGCGCATCACCATGCCTGGCTAATTTTTGTATTTTTAGTAGAGACGGGGTTTCACCATGTTTGCCAGCCTGGTCTCCATCTCCTGACCTCGTGATCCTCCTGTCTCGGCCTCCCAAAGTGCTGGGAATACAGGCATGAGCCGCTGTGCCCAGCCAATAAATTAATTTTTAAGAGTAATTGAAAAAAATTATTAACCCCCAAGAGAATTAGCAAAATAAGTATCCTACTTGGGAGAGTTTTATTTAATACTATTATTTAATACCTACTTAGGAGAATGTTTACATAATACAAAACAGGCATATAATTGATACTTTAAATTTAGAAATGGGCAAGAAACTTTTATTTCACCAAACTGACTGGATTTATTTTTAATTATGTTGTCTTATCAATGCACTGAAATTTGGCTAGCCTCAAGACGACTGGAAACTGGTCATAAGAGCGACAGGAATATTAATGCTAAGGAAAGCCTTGCACCAGAAATAATTGGAGAGAATGTCTTCTCCATGTAACCTTACAGGGTCTAGAGTATTTAAAGAGATAAATGATGTTCATTTTCAAATCCAATTATTTTATCATCTATAGATGTCTTTCAAGATACAAAGACTGACAGGTCTCATCATACTGAACTTTTATTTAAACCCTTCCTCCTAACTCTAGAACACAACTATCAAGGGAAATAGCATTAATTTAACTCAGAAAAGACATCTCCCATATGTGTTGGGAGGAACTGGGGGATGTAGTAAGATATATGGAAGTGAAAGGAATGGATAAAAAGAGAGAAAACATCTTGACGATTATGAATTTCTATACATTCACATATGGCAGCTTCAATCCGGTCTTCCAGATACAAACAAACAAACAAACAACAACAACAATAAAAAAAGCCAGAAGAATGCAAATGCCACAAAGAGCAAAAAAAGTATTAAAAGTTAACCTTTAAAAAGAACAGAATTATTCACTTTGAACTGAGATTGAGAAAAATTAGCTAAACTTTTGGATACACTAGGGAAAGAGAAGTAGTTTTGAAGTGTTGATACAGTTGACTTTAGTGCTCGACCTTAAGGCCTGATAGAATGCAACATCCCTGTTTCTGTGTACTTACGTAGCCCACACACAATATTGAAATTGTTGCAATGATCACTGAGAAGTGTATATGAAACTCCACACATGTATAGAATGCTAACTCTAAGATTATCAACTGTAGGAATATTATTTCACATCATATGTTCAAAATTAATGAGATAAATGGCTAATTTATTTAGATTAAAATTTTAAACATTGAATCATAGGTACTTGCTGCTTTCATCACATACATACATGAAAAGAACCTTTGTCCAAGTTAAAATTATAAATGGAATTTCATTTTAAAATCATCAAATTTAAAAATGATATGCACATCAAATATTTTACAAAAAATAGGTTTGTTCAAAAGAGTCAAATTTTTTAAAAAAACATCGCCATGTTTTATGAATAAAAGTTTGATGTTGCAAAAGTTTAAACTTCATTTATCTTATAAATATGCCTTTCTCTTAAAATGTGGAACAATGGTTGTTTTGGAGCACTTCTCAAATATCAAATGTGTGTTTATATTCACAATTTGATCAATCCCAGCCTGTTCCAATAAAGTTGGAAGGTTGATTTATACTTTAGGACCAGAGATTTTTAAAAAGTGGGGGGAGGTTTTCTACTTGTTTTTTCTTAACTCAATTAAAAAATAATGACATGGACACAGTCTCCTATGTTTAAATGCTTGAGTATTATGACCTCATAAAATCATGACAATTAAAATGTCTGGTTTACTTCATCTTGTTGGTTAGTTGGGTAGGGTTATTGATTCATGTTAAAATAAGAACATTTATTATACAATATTTGCAGCAAAAGAGGTATTTTATGTAAAGTATCTGCATGTACAGAGACTGGTTTCTAAAATAGAAAGGAAAAAATGAGCATATATGTTTAGATTGATTTATTTGTATTCATATTAATATACAATGTTAATTCGATAGTATACATTATTTTTTATCATCAAATATTAGCAATGTACTTTCTAAAAATTGGATAATCTTTATGTATTCCCCTCTGGTCTTACTTCTCCCCAAGCTACTGCTACCTATACTGCTACACGCATGTGTGGGCATATTTATGCTCACTCATATGCCTGCACTTCATAAATTTAAGAGATGCTTGCCACTTGTTTAAAAAGGTATATTGTGTTATAATGAGTAACTGTTAATTCTTCCTTACAATTGCTTTCCAAGATACCTACCTACTGTATGTTATCTACTTGCTTTCAAATTGTTTAGGACCAGTTAATATAAAACAATTTTGAAATAATATTGAATTAGGTGAAAGAGTTCAATAACTTAGAGCTGACACAATACATTTATTTGAAGGAAAAACTCCTAAAATGTCTTTTTTAGTTAAAACATTTAAAACATGACCCCATCAGCATCTATTGCCAATGTTAGATATTGTTATTCACTTATAAAAAGTTAATAAAACAATATTATCATTTCAGCTAAAATAAGGATTGTCACTAATTTTTCTTCCAGAAACCTGTTGTTTCTATCACTCATATAAAGCTTATATAAAGTTCTGCAATATAAATTTTATTTTAAAATCTGACGATAAAGTTTCAAAAAATCATACATTAACAAAAAACTGTTTATTAGTTTTCTAGTTTTGCATTTAATGTATTATTTAATTCCAAAGGTAAGGCAATAAATAGATTTGCAATCTTGCTATAGAATGTAGTGTGATGGGCATAGTAATAATGAGTTTTCACTTAATACAAGTTGTACTATTTCCTTTGTTTCTTAAGGTCATAGAACAAAGAACTAAAAGATACAAAAAAATGGGAACGGTGAAGAGAAATTTGCATAAAGCATGTGTAAATCATTTCTACTTTAAGTTTGAAAACACAATAAATTCAGCAATGTAGTTTTTTCTATATGCAAAAACACATTGTACAAATGTTATTCAAATGAAGGTTAATTCTAAAGTAAACACCATGGAACCTACATTGTCATTTTCTAATGCAGGATTTTCTTAATCTACAATGGCTTCTGTTGCAAATGACTCACTCCACAGAGCAAAGCTGTTGGAAAAACTGATTTTTTGTTGCACTACTTGCCAAGTATTTTGAACTGACACCAGCGTTGACTAATGATAGTGCTGGAATGTGCTGTTCCCAGTACAGTGGAGGCCCGTACAGACCTAGGAGTATCCTGGGGTCCAGCTTCTGTCCGTCCAGGGGGTTGGTGCCATACAACAGTGAGTGATGTTCAGAATGAACAAGCTGTATTTCCTCCAGGCTGGCTTTTCGACCTTGAATTCGCTGCAAGAAAATAGCAGAAGCCAACAGTACACCACTGACAACATTTAGAAGAAAATGAGACCCCAAGTCACATTTAAGATGATTAATAATGGGCTGAATTTCATCATGTAGGAATGTGACACTGATTTGCTTAGTAAAGTACCATAATAATATTTGAAAAATGAGTGTATGGAAGGTTCAGATCCAACAGATTGCTTATACCTAAATGGGCAACTGACATAAAGTATATTCTTATTTGGCATGGAAGAGAAAGCTATAACACAGAAATTAATAGTTAACTCTTTTGTAAAGTATCAGCTTAAAAACCAACAGGGCTACTATTTAGCTGATAATTAAATTTATTACAATCTTATTTTACACTTACCCAAAGAAGTTGTTAGAACACACTCTTTATTCCTTCTTGAAGGACATAAATAAATACCATTTCATTTTAATGAACTTGATGATCACAGATACGCTAATGACTTCCCATGTGTGCACCTCACAGTAGTATTAGTTAAAACCAATGTTCCTCAAACTGTGTCCCATGGGATCAATAACACGTCAATATCTGTTTATTAATGGTCTGTAGTGAGGTCAGTACAGAAATTCAGATCAATATTTAGAAACTTTTATGGCAATTTGACAGTATTTTTATGTCTTTTGAATCTACTATAATCTTACCTCTCTTCAATATTTATTTCACTTTTGCCGTATTTCATTTTTAACATTTTTTATGCGTATTAGTCTCTGACAGATTGGAAATTAAACAAAAACAAAACCTGCTGTTTAATCAGACACTGTTTGAGACACTCTAGACTCCATCAATTTTTTCCAAAAAGGCTAGGCAGAGACTTTCACTCCAGCTAACAAATTACAGCCCTTCAACACAGGCAAAACTGTTCATTAGGTCAAACCTCAATTATCCAGTATGCAAAGTGTTCTTTCTGGCTACATTCCTCAGCTGGCACATCTGTGAGCCTGATAAATATTGTGCTGGTGCACGAAGTTAATTAGCCTTAACTTTTGGAAATGGCTGTGCTTTCTAGTATTACAGAGACAGTGTTAATATTTCACTTAAAAATATATATAACCACAAGGCAGCTGTAAGTTAATATTGAAGTACAGAACAACAGTGAAATTCAAGGAGAATCTGTTCAGGGAATGCTGTCCTTTCATGTTCCTGACCAAGGAACCACCAGGTAACCCGGAAACATCAGGTGACAACACCTCTCTCAGGACGAGGACAATTCCACATTCAGCCTCCCTAGTTTAAGGTGATGCAGCTGCTGCCAGACTCTTCAATGTTAATGTGTGGTTCACTGAAGGGGCAGGCCAGGACAACTTCAATATCTGACAATTTCTCAGCATTTACTGGGCCGGAGGCCGAGCTGTGCTTGTCACTGAAAATAAATGATCAGGTCACAGTGAGGGAGGATTGGTGGGGGTCTGCAGGGGTAACAGGAAGGGAGTGATTAAAGCAAAATCTCATTAACACTGCCTTGACGTGCTGAACAAACTCATGAATACTTATGGAACTTTCTTTGTATATCATTGAAGTTCTCTGTTTTTGATGCTATCATTCAGCATTGTCTAACCCAATTCAAATTACTATAAAAATAAAAGTATGATTTAGAGAAATTATTCCAGGTGGGTAAGATCAGAATTCTGATGCTGAAGACTAAGAAAAATTTAATGATGGCCTTCTGGTCAGCCATCTTTCTGATTGATTAGAAAACATCTTGAACCAAGTAGCTTGCTGGGAAACATTCAATATCGGAAAGTTTATGGGAGACCAGAACAACCAAAGAGTAGGATGGCATGTAAAGAGACTAAATAAGCATGAGAAAATTCGAAGGCAACATTAAAGGGAAACGTTTTAACTGTGAGATTTCAGGGGGTGGAGAATCCCTCAAGATAAATAATGGTAAGTCCATGGTTTGAGTCATCTAAAATTGGACTGAGCAGGGCATTGGAAAACAGAATGTGGCAACCAATTCTGGCAGAATAATGAACACTATGAAATAAGAGGGCTTCGAGCTCCTCCTTCTATGGGTCTTTGAAATCCATAGCCACTAACATCGTATATGCTGATACAGTGAAACATCAGTATTTTCAACAATGTCAGCTCTGCAGCTAATGATCAGACCCATGTTTTGATGACTATCATAAACTTTCATTGATTTTTTCCTCCTTTCTTCATGTCTATAAAGATTCGTTTCATCTATAAATTAAATTTTTACTTCCGGTATAACATTAAATACCATTAAGTATATCTTGATGTGTTCATACACTAGTCATGTAAATTTGCATACCATGCACTCTATGCTTGTCCAACACCTTTGCTTATTCACCCACAATCCCACTGATTCTAGCTGAATGCTCAATCACACATTTAAACACTCATCTGCTAACGAGATTCACTGTAATTGACAGTAGCTGAAGTGCTAGTAAGTCATAAGAACAGCGGTTTCCAATCTTTTTGGCACCAGAGACCAGTTTCGTGGAAGACAAAAAAAGTGGAGGAGATGGCTTCAGGATGATTCAAGCACATTACATTTACTGTGCACTTTATTTCTATTATTATTACATTTTAATATGTAATGAAATAATTATACAACTCACCATAATGTAGAATCAGTGGGAGCCCTAAGCTTGCTTTCCTGCAACTAGATGGTCCCCTCTGGGGGTGATAGGAGACAGTGACAGATCGTCAGACATTTGATCCTCATAAGGAGCGCTCAACCTAGATCCCTCACATGCGCAGTTCACAATAGGGTTAGCGCTCCTCTGGGAATCTAATGTCGCTGCTGTTCTCAGACGGTAATGCAAGCAACAGGGAGCAGCTGAAAATACAGATGAAGCTTCACTCACTCACCTGCCACTCACCTCCTGCTGTGCAGCCTGGTTCCTTACAGGCCATGGACCAGTAGTGGTCCGTGGCCCAGGGTTTGGGGACCCCTGATAAGAAGAAACCTGCTGAATCGGTCATCCCCTTGTGTAAGATCAGTCAACTAACAGTAAAGACAGCTCATTTGGCCCAGCTATCTAGCATTGACTTAATCTAACAGTTTTCTCCGCTAGTTATACTCTAGGCCCCATCCTTGCCATTAAAATGTACCACTATTCCTAAGTTTTCACTTTGATTTATCTTTTTCTCCTTCTCCTTATTCTTTCTTTTGACTCTAAGCAACTATTTTACACTGGCTCTTATTATTATTATTAAAAGTATTTTTAAAAAATAATTTCACTAAATATAAGGAAGTACTTATTCTTGGCAATCACCTTCTGCTTCTTTGGTTGCTAGAGAACAGCCCACAAACATAGTGCACATGTTTCTACAGAAAGAGAGCAGTGAAAACTAATTCAGTACCAAAAAAAAAAAAAAATGTTTCTACCTGTAGACAGGATCTGGAAAAAGCATGTTTTGAAATTTGTATCTCACAGAGACACTGCTAGGAGAATTTGGTGGATGATTAAGCTGAAAATTCTGAAAGAGCAACAGCTTTCTTTATTCCTTAACACATAGGATCTCCTGGAGTAATTCCGTTTTGCCTCACTTGTATAAATGCCTTAAATTTGTCACATTCAACTTTTCCTTTCATATTGAGATCTTCACCAGTTCCCATTTTCTGGTATTGCCATCAGTAATTTAGTATTTTATTTGTGTAGGCTTAAATATAGATATTCCCACGTAATCACTTCTCATATTTTCAACTTTCTGCGCACCCTTTATTCTTTCATTTCTCTCTCTCAAGGCTCTCTTGAGTTAAAGGTCAATAGCATAAAGAGTCAAAAAATAGGCTAAAGTTTTCTGATAATCTTAATTTAGGGAGTACTGATTTCTATTCTCAGAGATACTTGGTCCGAAGGATATCTACGTAAAGTTATCTATGATAGCCTGCCCAAAAAGATTTTTAAGAATTCTGAGCATATTGGGGCACACAATGCAAATAAGGAATGGATTTCATCTGGGGATTTCTCACCTGGAGTCAATACGGGTCTTAAATGCCTTACCAACACAGGCCTAGGAATGAAACCTCATAGCTTTTGTCACCTTCTTAATAAAGAAATTTGTGATGTAGGACTGTGTTCATTGTTACCTTATCGTTCCCTGTGACGTGCACTTAGTTTCTTCCCTGAGAGTCTGAAAAGGAGCTATGCTCACTGAGCACTTACTCTGTGGTTAGGAATATGATCATGTTTAGTTCAGAACCCTAAACAGTCTATATTCAGGTTGGGAGTTTGACTAAAGTTATTTAAAATGACCATATCATTGAGTCTCACAACACACCATGGTTCTTTCTTAAAGAAATAGTCTTTCTGAAAGAGAGCCCGTTAATGCATCCCGATTATAGAAGAAATGTTCTGAACATGATCTACAAAGTCATACTGTGACAGGATAAAATGCAGCCTACCCACACCCACCCACACACAGAGCACACACACGATATAGATTCATATTTTTTTCTGCCAAGGAGCAGGGAAAAAAGGAAACAGTTCTATTCCTTTCCCTCCTGTGTTCAAAGCCTGGATTGAGGCCAGTGTCCTAATCAGTTCTCATTGGCCCTGGAGGAATCAGAACCTTTTGTAAAATATAATAAAGGGCAAAAAATCATGATAAAATGCATGAAAAAGCAGTGCCTTTGGTTAGGGAACTAGAAATAATTTAGCAGAACAGATGGGTTGCATTGGTTTGGTATTATTGTGGACATGAAAGGGCTCATTTTGTGGCAGTTCCAAACTAAGAGAAAATGTCCAACTTAAATTTGACAAGTCAGAGTACCTGCCTCCACTGGGGAAAACTCCATTTTCTTTAATCATTTTCAAAGTGGTGACATACCAGGCAAGAATTTCCACTGAAATATCCCATTTTCTGAAAATATTTCATCCATTGTCTCTAAATAAAGGGATGTGGTTTCATTTATTTTCTCCAAAAATCCAGGGCTGAAGAAATTCAAAGGTTAAAAAAATGAAGAAAATAAAGAATCATAAATGACTTCTTAGTGTCAAAGTTACACTCTGCCACAAATACCATACTTAATATTTAATGAGTCAATTCATGGTCTTATTGATTTTTTTATCTATCTGTCTTTCTTAAAAAAAAACATAAAAATATGATCTCATTGCTTATGCCTAAGCACAACTACTGGAGTTTTAAAATGCTCCAACCAACTGCTTCTTAAAATGTTACGTAAGAAATGGTTTTTAACTGCCCCTGCAACTGCACAATCTTCCACACAACCCTCCTCGTGTAATAACCTGTACTTCTCAGAGTTTTTCTCATAAAAAAAAAAAAAGGTTGGGGAGTGAAAGAAGGAAGGAGGCAATCAAGCAGGCAGGTGGCCTAACAGGCTTTTGGTCCTTTCTGTGGGTCACATGGAAAAAAAGAGAATTGCAAGTTGGGAGCCTTGACTTCTGGTCCTGACTCCCACGTGTCCTTAATGTGCCTATAGTCAGCCATGAGATATCTCTATGGGCCTTTGTTTCTTCATCTATGAACATAAAGATGTTTGACTAAATTATGTCAAAGCTCATTTTTAGCCTTAAGATGATAGGATTCTATGTGAAATAACCTTACACGCAATAGAAATGCAATAAAACACGCTTCGCTTTGATTTATGCATTTGCCTTAGGCAAGCAAATAAAATAATTGCAATGATAAATTACTGAGGTTGAGGCCAAACAGGAAACCTGAATAAGGATTTTCAAAAGGAGTCCAGCTATTCCATGATGCTTGTTTCTTATAAGCTTAATCATAATTGAAAAATAAGAGAATTTTTCACAGCTCATATTCCTATCCTGTGACAACTTCAAAATAATAAACGCTTTTAATAATTTTTGAAAATTATGTACGACACTTGTGAGTTAGTGTCATCTTTGTTTCTCAGGTTAATGCTTACTTCTGTTACTTTCCCATCTCCAAATATTTGATTCACTTGCCTATTTGTCTCTATCTCGTTAAGATTATGTTAAGAAGTTGTGTTTCTGTTTCAGTAGTTCTTAACATTGGCTGCACCTTGGAATCAGCTGGGGAAGTTTAAAAGTTACTGATGCCTGGGTCCTACCTTATTACCTTTGTCTGGGTGCAATTTGGGCACCCAGATGTTTCCAACCACCCAGAGGATTCTAATGGGTAGCTTAGGTCAAGAACCACGTGTTAGAGGGAGCTGTCCATACTTACTGCTCATAACTGAGTGCAAGATACTGACACTGTACTGACCAACACTTGGGACTACGGAATGGTTAAAATATTGGTGGACGGAAGGTTGATGAGTAAAAATATTATCAATCTTCAAAATGTTAAGTGCCTTTCATGTGTCTTAATACTGCTTGATTCAGTCACTACGACTTATTTTAAAGTATTTTAGGACATAGAGCCATTTCTAAAGCACTTCAGAAAACAGCAAATCCCAGTTCAATAATAAAGCTCTGAAATGGTGACGAGCATATATACTCTCTATTTTTTTAAGTTTTACTTCCACCTATTTCAAATCACTGTCCTCACCAGAAAGCAAGAAAAAAATGTTATCCCTTAGTCTAACTGCTCAATTTTCACAATCCTTTATGCAACTGAACCCCCTACATTGCAATTATTCTTTCTAAAAATTGTAAATAAATATTTTAATGGTTGAATTTAAAGCTTTGCTTTTTTAAACTGGTCATCATGTATGAAACAAACTTTCAACAAATATTTTTTGTTACTCAAAAACTGCAATTTTCAAATGGGTGAAAATTATATAACTCTTTTTATTAATAAGCTTCAACGCTGCTGTTTCAAAAGCTCTGTATTACTTTCCAAATGGACTCAGAAGAACAGCCTCTCTTATTTCCTTTTGTTGGTTGTTTTCCACATTAATTCTTTCTGTTTAGCAGACATTGTTAAAAGAAATCCTAAATCATTTGACTATAAGGTGTACAATTAGTTTTGGTATATTTATCTGCCTGGGTCCACTCTGTGATATACAAATATCTTTTAGAACAATGACAATGTAGCCTGGTTTACTCATCAAATCTAGATCACTTGTACTTCTTTCCAAGACTGCCATATCCTTTAGAGACAATTCACAGGGTTCCCTGTTTGAGTTTCTCTCTGTTTTGTGGTTAGATTCTAAGGCACAAACACATAAAATTTTTTTTTGCAAACTAAGCAAAACAGTACACTGTTACGTGCTGCCATCTAGTTAGACTACTCTATAAAACAAATGTCTAATTGAATTTCCATTAACTTGCAGTTTTCAGCGCTTTGCAGTCTTGATATCAGAAAACCTGCACATTCCAAAGTGTTTCACCACAGATGAATGTATTTCCTTACTTAGATTTGATTTAAAACAAAGAGGTATTTTACAGTCACCTATGTGTGCAAGAAGATATGCTGGAATCCCTGCTTCTTGGCATCATAAGATTCTGCACTAAACTTGCTCTCCACTTTTCTCATTGGAACTGCCGAGAAGACCCTGAAGGGACAACAGTAGCTTGGTTTTGCGTCCCAGAATTGTTTTGTAATTACTTTGTGTTGGCACTTGAATAAACGAGTTAAACATTTCAGCACTGTATGTTGCTTATGGTTCTTACTTATGAATTAAGCGAAGCAAAGTTATTCAATATTAGTCACAAAAAGGCAACGCAAATTCCACATAATGTGTAATCCAACAAAAGCATTATAAAATGTTATTATTCTCAAAACAAATGTGAGAGCAAGCAAATGTCTGTGGGTGGCTTGGTGGGGCTGGGAGTCATGAGCATTTCTGGAAAAAACAACTGCAAGTGCATTTCTAACAGATGATGGGTCAACCTCCACAATTTTTTTTGACCACAGAAGAGCACATTTCTTTTCTTCAGGAGCATGCACATCTTGGAAACCCAGCTACTTAATCAAATAGCTTGTTTCTGAAGAGGACACCAAATAACCCCTCCAGATCCATTTCTCATGGTGATAAGAAAGCTGCTGGTTTTGCTCTTTGCTCCCAACAGAATCACTAAACTAAGTATGAATGATTCAGTAGGGGAAAAAATTAAGTGGTATTGGCATGAAGGACTACTAACTGCCTCAACTTATTAAAAACAGTGCCACGTCAGGCCAAAAAAAAGTTAACCCATGTAACCACTGTAATCTAATATAATGAGGACTAATGTTTTCTCTGGCTACTAATCAGGATTAGTAAGCAGAGCCAATTTACACTATAGCTTACAAACTAAGAGCAATATGTTTACTGAAACATTCTAAAAATTTAGTCTACTCTTAACCAAAGAGAGTGTTATGTTCCAAAAGAACTGCTTAACACTTCTAGTGTCAGACAGTATTACAGCTGTAAGAGATCCTAGCAAATATCTTGCCTAACACCCTCATCTAAACATAGGAAAACCAAAGATCAGCAAAGTTAAATGGTCTGACAAAAGCACACAGATAATTAATGGCAAAACTAAGGTCGAATCTAATATTGAATGATCATCTTTGAGAGAATACATTTTGATTAATTTGCGACATTGCTAAATGAATTGACATAAACCAAAAGTTTGAGTTGTGGATCAGTCTACTGTTTGGAAATGAAGGAATCCTTTTAGCATTTTCAAAGTGCTATCTCTTCTATTATGTATTTTTTTATTTCATTAATTGTAAAATTGACTGCTCTGTTGGTTGAGGAAAGCTGACCCTTCTCTGTATGTCAGCAGAATTGAGATTCCTTATTTTTTGTCCTGGTCAAATAGTAACCCCAATAAACAAAGAACACAAATGAAAACACAAAGAGGGCAAGTTATTCATCACAAGATCTAGGATATTTTCCTTTTCACACTCTCACATGTAACATTACCTCCTCTGTCTCTTGGTCACAGGGCCCCACTGATGCTGTCAAGACTATAGAGGCAGCTGACCACAATCTTCCTCATTTTTTTCTTGCTCAAGCACAATCAATAAGAGTCTTCAAAATCACAGCAATATAAAATGAATGACTCAAAACCCCTTTGAAATTTGTAATTGTGTATTTATTTGTATGATTGTCTAATTAATGCCTGCTGATCACACCATATAGTAACCTTCTTGAAGACAGGGGATGTATATTTTGTACTCGGTATTGTATCTTCTACTCCTAACAAAGATGCCTGGAAAACTCAAATTCTTGATAAACATCATCGAATGGATACATCACTGTTTTCAACGTGTGGTGTCCAGGCCAAAAGTACCAGAATCACCCAGACACATGTTAGCAACGAGATTCTCTGACCCCACTCCAGACTTACTGAATTAGAAGTTCTGAGTTTAGATCTGAGCAATCTGTGTTTTACCATCCCCTCAGATGATTCTGAAATATGTCAACATTCAAGATACCCTTCTTACCAGAAGTGGCTACACAGACGTGGTGGGAGAATAGTTCCCAAAGACGGCAGACGACTATGTGGATACTGAAAAACAATGCACTGACCTGGCTTGTATGCATTATATTCCTATTTGATTATACCCTTTCCTGTGGAATCTAATAAATCCTCTCTTTTGAAACAACTGAGTTCTTATTTCCCACAACAAAGAGAGGAAATTGTTCATACTGCTTAGGAGAGAATGATAACCTAAGACATCCCGCCTGGTACTCAAATCCTTGGAGTCCCAGTTAGCAGAGATTATACCTCCTCATGTTAGCGTGTTTTAGACACAACTAGGCAAAGGAACAAAAGTTTAACTTCTGATAGCCCCTTCTAGCCTATTTAGAAGTAATGCCCTTGAGCCTTGATTCTCTTTATTTGGGTCCTTGGGGTATCTTGGTAAATAAGTTACTCACACCTGAGCTGGGACCCAACTTCCTCTGTCGAGTGAATAAGTGAACTTCAGTGGGCAGATACTGTCATTATCTTTGATTCCTTTAGAAGGCTCAGAAACACTAACCAGTAGGCTTTTGGGTAGGACCCTTCTTGCGCTTTCAACTAGCCTAAATACCCACCAGGCACACAGATCACTTGCCTCCATGGTGTGCTTTTCTCCTGATTCTTCAACAACTCTGATTCTTAAGACATGTGGCAAATTGCTAAAGTATTTGTTGATAAATTTGTGTTGTATTTTTCACGGCATTCGAAAATAATTTGGCATGAAATAGAAAGTTTAGCATCTTTGTAAGATGGCTTAATAACATAGTAAAATATTTGCATATATACTTAATTTGTCAAATCAAAAATATTAGAAGAAATCTACAAGGAACATATATCAGTTGCTTCCATTGTGTTTAGTAAAAAAAAAATGGACTTGGGAGAGCACTAGGTAGTATTCTACTATTTCTGAGGGGGCTAACCTGGTTTGGAATAATCTCTGTGTGTTCCCTTTTTATTTACTCCCTTACTCTTCTGGTAAAACCAATCAGGAAGAGAAAATAAGTTATGAAAATAGTGTTTCCCTTTTAGTTCTGTTTTATCTCATATTGAACAAAAGGTCTCTACACAAGGGTAACATTTGTTTAGTTAATACTTTCTAAAATTTAATTTTGAATTTTTCTAATATCATTCACACATGGGCAGATGTCCATCTGCCATTAAAGTCCTAGGTATCTTAAAAGTGAATTAATTTTTAGCAGTTTTAGAAGTTCCATTTCATGTTTGGTTTAGGTTAGCATCTCATAATTTCATAAAGTAAATAAATTTATATGGGCAATACTTTCTTCGCTAATATGGGTGTTTTGATAATGTAGGAGCATTATCATATATAATGATAAATAATATCGGCAACATAATCTTCACTTAAGAAAGCAAACACCTGGTGAACTGCCATCAAACTATGTTAGGAAAAGTGGCTTCTATTTGCATTGTTGCCATGTTTTGGATATGATGTTTGTGCTTAATCTTAATTAAGAGCAAATCTGCTGACCTGGGCTTGTGAGTGTATTATTTGTTAATTTTGTGATTAAGTGATACCAAGGAGACTCTATTCTCCTCAAACCCATAGTTGTATGATAGTGTTTCTGACATCTCAACTTGTGTTTGATATTACGTCGGTTAGTGCTATACAAACTGAATTGTATGGTTTCAAATAATAAAGAATGAAAATAATGTAATGTATATAAGCAATTGAAAAAGAAGACTAACCAGAAAAGGATGATAATAGACTTTCTAATTTTTAGACCAGTGTGAATCATATCAAATTCCATTTATTTCTGTACTCTGTTCCTTTCATAAACAGTTCTCCTTCAGGTAATAGGATTTAGGAATACCACTATCTAACAAGGCATTCGAAGGCTATGATCAGCCACTGACAATTTGAAGTAGTTAGGACCAGGCCAGCTGCCGCAGGATATAACACAAACGTGAATGTGAAAAAATGTAAGCAGCAATGCCTCAGCTGGCAAAAGCACACAAAAATTGCAGAGCAGATGAAAAGGTGAGACAGGAATGTTCACATGAATAAATGCATTTTGTCCATTAAGACCAGCCTACCACAAATAATTCTCCTTGCTGGTCTACTTTATGGACTCCATATGGGATTGCATAGAAAAGAGAATGGTTTGGCCTCCAAACTGCAGTATCAGAAACATGAAATCCTTAAAGATAACTCTAAAATTGACCAGAGTATGAAAGCCTTCTGCCATACAATATGAATGCCACTGGCAAAAAAAAATGAGTAATAGACTTGCACTGAGGAAAGGACCAGATAAATAAATCTAGTTCATTTTCCTTCACTTTGGGGTTTCTAGGTAAAGGATACATTTAATCAAAAGCAGAGCTTTAAATATGAAAACTGTTTGATAATTCTACCATAAATATATAATAAAACTTGTGAGACTAAATCTGTACATGGTGTTGTGGTATATTCATTCACAATCTCAACTACTGAGCGATCCATAAGACACTACCAATGTTTTGATGTTTTTAAAAACCAATTAATTTCCCTTGTAACATAGAATATATTATCCACCCTTTAAAGAAACAAATCCATAAAGAAAATTTTTTTATCCATAGAAATGAACAAACTGAATGAATGGCTTTGCATCTTCAAAAGTCAATTATTTTTAGTAGTTTGCAGAGGAAGGGGATCAGATTGATGTAACTCACACTATCATACGTAGGCAAGTGCACTTGACCTGCTGAAAAATTCTGTCTGCTTTGGCATTTCTATTTCAAGTAAAATATTTTACAGACTCAGTTTAAACCTAAGTTGAATTTGAATAGGAATTTTGTTGACTACATTTTGGGACCATATTTGTCTTGTGAAATTTTATAATTCCAGTACTTGAATCATGTTTAGAACCTAACAGAGACCCAGTAAAAGAAATAATTAGTAAATGTTAAAATAATGTGAGAAAACCCATGAAGGGCATTTTTCTTTTAAAAATGCCTTAGATTCAAATGCAGAATGTTACTGGATTTCAGACAACAATGGACATTTATAGCAACTAAATCGAATAGCAGCTGGTTGTTACATATTTTGCACATTTGATGATGGGAGCCTTTCTGAATTGATATGACTGTTGTTTTTAACCTTTGAAAGCATAAAAAGGTATATTTTTCCAAATAAAAATGGTATTCACCAAGCGCCTACTGAAATGAGTTTAAAGAAATAATGATAAAATCAAAGTATTCAAATCCCTTCATCAAGTTATAAACACATCAATCATTTCAATAAAAAGAAATGACTTTTAGTGGTAAGAGGACAGTTGATATTTTAAATTGATTCATTTCCATGTGGCAAAATTGGCATATATCTAAATCCAAAGTTTAGTTTATAACCAAAAATAATAATTACTTAGCAAAGAGTTTCTCAGAAGATCAACTCAATAAATAATGTCTGTTTACAAACAGTGCTACCATGTATATGTAATAATACTGCAGCATTGGAACACACACATCAGGCAGCTGCTCAGCTCATCAACACTGACCAAGTACTTACAGTGTGCCCCGCCCAGAGTCAGGTGGTAAGCTCTGTGCTACCTGAATCTATGATGGTTCATCAATCATGGTGTTTGCACTATATGGTTAATATTTTTCTATTACTCCCCAAATGAATACTGGCCTCTTTACATGATTTATTTAAGTAAGTAAAAGAGTGTGTCCAATTCTGGATTACCTCACATTTATTTAGCAGCCCAGTTTCTTGCAGTCGTGACCAGATACTCTGTATTCGTCCAGCATGCTCAGGGTGGGTGGTGGAATTGCCACAAACGCACTGGTGTTTCAGCATCAAGGGGTCATAGGCAATTCCTTTAAGACAAGGGAAATACAGGACAAGATTGAGTAACAGTACAAGATAATGACACATGTTAGGAGATAATATGATAACTCCAAAAAAGTCATTATTCTTAAAATAAATTTAACAAAGGAGGAAATATCACAAAGCAAATTCTCAGGAGCACATAAGAACTATTGAGACCTGTCTATCTGGATATTTACTCAAAAACACGAACTTACGCATTAACCAGTACTCAGACCCTAGTTTAGTAAATCTGTAAAGTGATGAAGATGATGACATTTTAAGACACTTCAGATTTTAAAATATACATATTGTAATCTTACCAGTATTTTAAATCATTATGAATTGTTTTTAGGCAGATAATTTAATTCAGTAGAGGTTTTAATTTCACCACACCATTGGAGCCACTAAACAAGCTGTCTCTTTAAATCTTCCATGAGTCATTCTAGCCTGACTTCAGATCAAGGTTTCATTTTTGTAATAAAACGGAAGATTTTCCCACTCTGCCTATCCTGTTTAGTAATTTCTTCAAGGTTGTTCAAAAACAGTTTCTTTGTTTATTTGTGTTTCTCCCCATAATTTATGTCATTATGTAACCAATATGGATGTTGTAGATCTTATAATATCGTGGGGCATTTAAAGTGTTTCTTTTAAAAAATAAATGTAAATTACAATGCCACTACTAGAGATTATACAGATACTAATGAATACAATCTTCTTTTAAATTATCAAGTATTAGCATATTTCATTTTCAAGTAAGCCTTATGATGGGAAAGACTGTATAATAACATGATAAGATGAATTATTAGCAGAACTTAAAATAGGACTTTTTAAAGCAACAAGTTAGATGATAATTATAACTCTGGCTCATTTAAAGAAGATTTCTACCCATAAACCTATTCCTTGAGGTGGAAACATGTTACTTGCAAAATTGCCTGACATAAGAAATTATTTAACAAATCAAATGTCTTCCAATAAATGACCATCGAAGTATATTTGTAGATGGGGAGAACACCCATTATAAGAAGTTTTACAACAACAACCAAAAAAAATCTTCAGGAATAGATAAGCACCAGTAATTTATGCTGTAAAAGAAGTTTAATAAAGTACATTTTATTCTCCTTTTGGCTTACATTATTGTGTTAAAGAAATGTTACTCAAGAGAAGAAAATATTTTTCCTTGAGTGTGCTCAAATAATGCAGAAGAATGGCACCTGCATTTTGAAACCATGTGGTAGAAATTATGTCTAACAAAAGAATATAATTTTACCATTCCAAATAATATCTATTCTTAGGACTCAAATGGCTTCAAACTCTATCCTTCTTCCCCTGATTCTCACATTTTCATCCTCAGGACTGACCTCCCTTATGAGCAGCTTACTTACACACTTCCCCATTGAATGATCCATCCAAAATCTCCACTTAGTTGTCTCATGGTTTTCATAAAGTGAAAATGTCTCTGATTTTTAATTCATGATCTTAAACCACACACGATATTACCCATGTTTACAAAAGACATCAAGATCTGCCATTGTTCATACGAGAAACCTTAATGTCCCCTTGACGCTCCCCCTCCAAAGAACCAA
Source organism: Homo sapiens (assembly GCF_000001405.40). Taxonomy (NCBI): domain Eukaryota; kingdom Metazoa; phylum Chordata; class Mammalia; order Primates; family Hominidae; genus Homo; species Homo sapiens. The sequence goes on along the minus strand of NC_000007.14, from coordinate 18,747,429 downwards.
AGCAGTGTCTGTTTTCCCTCCAAAACAGATCTTGAATTATTCATTCTCCTTATCTCCACTGCCAAAACCATACACAATCCAAGGTGTTATTATCTCTAATCTGGACTTCTGAGATTGCCTTGTAATGCAGAACCTGACTTTCACTCTATTCCATTTGCCACACAACAGTCGCCTCTTCTGTTTAAATCCTTCAGGGCCTTCACTAAAGAGACTGAAATTCCTCCAGGCCAGCATACATAGGCCCCTCCCCATCTTTCCAGCTTCAATTCATATATCTCCCTCTTTTGTTCTCTATTTCGCCTACAAAAGCCTTCCTTCCTTTCCTCAAAAAGATCAAAATCCTAGCAGCCTTGTGACATTTATACATGCTATTCCCTCTATGCCGGAAATTCTTCCTTCTTGACCTCCATAACTCCAGTCCTCATTTGGCTAATCTTTTTTCACTCTTCAAGGCTCAGTTTTTAATGTCACCTCCTCTACCAAGCATACCCTGAGATCTCTAAATTAGGTCTCCTACTATATACTCTCTTAGCATCCTCTGGATCTCCTTCAAGCATTTGTCACAATTATATAATTGTTGTATAATTTTGTTAATTGTATATTTTCTTCATTAGATGGTGAGATCTTTGAGAGTGCAGATGATAGTCGTGTTTTTACCTTTGAAATTTCAGTGGCCATAAACAAGCTTAAATAAAGCCGGTCCTCAAAAAATATGTTTTAATGAGTGAATGAAAACTGTAAATGAATGAATGTATCCCAAAAATAGGTCAGATATTTCCACTAAAGCTTTCCTCAATGAATTAATTGGTGGATCTCCTTGGATTCCTGAAGGGTAGTCTTACTTGTTTAATCTTCTACCTTTTATTTTATGTCCCTTATCTTCCTACCCTAAGTGCTTCTAATATAGGCATTTATTTTACTTAGCTTTATATTTCTACATGGAATTTCACAAAGTCCTCTTTTTACATTTTCTATAAAGTCCAATAAGGATAAATATTTTTAAATAAAGTCAGAAGGAAGACATTAAGGAAGGCAGAAAAGGAAGCAGGCAAGCAGGAAGGAAGAATAACATTTAAAATACAGAGATGTGTAAGACGTGTCTTCACAATTTAAATATATCAAGTATTTATGAGTTACTACTATATAAGAAGAACTGTTTAACATTTTTTTCAACTATAGTTTCATAAAATAAAAAGTGATAGTTTAATAACATGGAAACAAAAAGTATAACATCCACCTCATTTTGAAAATATATTTTTGGCCAGGTACGGTGCCTTACACCTGTAAGCCTAGCACTTTGGGAGGCTGAGGCAGGAGGATTGCTTGAGCCCAGGAATTTGAAACCAGCCTGAACAACATAGGGAGACCCTGTCTCCACAAAAATTTTTAAAAACTAGCCAGGAATGGTGGTGTGCCTGCTGCTGGTGGGAGAATTGCTTGAGCCCAGGACGCCAATGCAGCAGTGAGCAGTGATTGAGCCACTGCACTCCAGCCTGGGCCACAGGGTGAGAACTTGCATGGGCAAAAAAAAAAAAAAAAAAAAAAAGAAGAAGAAGAAATATATTCTTCAAGAGTAGAGAGTCGGGCCGGGCACGGTGGCTCACGCCTGTAATCCCAGCACTTTGGGAGGCCGAGGCGGATGGATCATGAGGTCAGCAGATCGAGACCAACCTGGCTAACAAGGTGAAACCCCGTCTCTACTAAAAATACAAAAAATTAGCCAGGCGTGGTGGCGGGCGCCTGTAGTCCCAGCTACTCGGGAGGCTGAGGCAGGAGAATGGTGTGAACCCGGGAGGCGGAGCTTGCAGTGAGCTGAGATTGCGCCACTGCAGTCCGCAGTCCGGCCTGGGCGACAGACCGAGACTCCGTCTCAAAAAAAAAAAAAAAAAAAAAAAAAAGAGTAGAGAGTCTAATCATTACATTGCTTAACTTTTTCACTATTTCATCTCTTGACATATCTAAGCTTACCTCTGTAGTAATGTTTCCCCCTTTTAATGACATTTTCCCCATAATCCACTGCCAAGAAAAATAATTGTGAAACAGGTAATGGTAGCTGGGAATTTTTGCCAGGTACCTAGAGATTATAATTCAAAGTCCAGGGGCTCTTGGAAGGCCATTTGAATTTAAAGGGAAATATATACAATCTGGAACCCCAAACTTCCACTGACTCATCCTAATGATGTATCACTGAGGTGTTAACAGGTAGACTGGAAAATGAAACTTTAACCTCATCCTTCATCTTCATTCCTTCCCTCTCTCTTTCATTCTCTCTCTTTGGCTTCTCAGAAACATGGACTTATAGGGTGAGAAATAAGCCTGCTCTTTTCTTTGCAATTCATATGGAATTCTACTTTTGTTTGACCCTTTCTGGCTCACTGATTACCATTTGCAATATAACATAAGCCAATAGATTAATTAATTTTTCTCCTGATCAGTGGGACAAGAGTTAAAATTAGAATTTGAAAAATACACAAAGGAGCCTTAAAATATTTACCTGCATTTTAAACAACAGTTGTTTGTTTTCCACATATATACGTATATATGTAGAAAATACGTATTATATATATATTTTTTTACATACAAGAAATCCTTAAAATTTCTTGATAAATTTTTTAGATAAACTTGGACTTTGTGCTTTCTCTTTCTCTCAGTCTTATTAAATGAGATAATGTATTTGTAGCATCTAGTGTAGTATCTTTCCTTCTTTATTGCATGTAGTTGTCATTTTTTAGCCATATAATCTATTTCTGTCTTCAAATTTACACTCAGTCTAGTAAGACCTATTAGTCTGAGTCTATAGAGTCTTTATAGACAATTTATCTTGTCTATAAAGAAAGCTGAGTTTAGAACATTTGGACTAAAATTATTGATCCTGATTTGTAGTTCCTAACATTCAACTTCATATTGCATTTCTGGGAACTACCTGAGGTTTCACACCTCCCAAGGTGTTTGCTAAACAACACTTATTAAACTCCTTCTAGGGCAAGGGACTGGACAAAGGACTAGCACAGCACAAATATATATGACATGGCATTCTCCTGGAAGATGCAGAATCAGTAGACAGTTATTGAATGCTCACTATGTTCCAGATTCTAGCAGCTTCATTTTACCACATTTAACTTAAAATCTAGTAGTAAAGGCCGGGCGCGGTGGCTCACGCCTCTAATCCCAGCACTTTGGGAGGCCAAGGCGGGCAGATCACTAGAGGTCAGGAGTTCAAGACCAGCCTGACCAACATGGAGAAACCCCGTCTCTACTAAAAATACAAAAAATTAGCCAGGTGTGGTGGTATATGCCTGCAATCCCAGCTACTCAGGAGGCTGAGGCAGGAGGATCGCTTGAACCTGGGAGTGCTGTTGCACTCCAGCCTGGGTAACAAGAGCGAAACTCCATCTCAAAAAAAAAAAAAAAAAAAAACTAGTAGTAAAAGTGAGATGTAAAAATATGACACTTTTGAAAACTCTGCTAAAGAAAAAATTTGTGAGGCTAGAGAATCAAAGATCTCCTAAAAACACAAAAATTTTTTTAAAGACGGAATGATCTTCAAATGGTAGAATTACTAAAAAAGATAAAAAAAGCTATTCTGAAACAAGGTTCATGTCTAATGACCGTCAAATCTCATGCATAGTGGCTGTTACTATTTCTATCCATAATGCTAATCTATCCATAAGACTTACGGTGTCTTATTTTTTTAATTTATTTTTTAATTGTTTAATTTTAATTTTAATTTTTTTATTTTATGTTTTTAGAGACAGGTTCTCACTCTGTCACCTAGGCTGAAGTGCAGTTTATATTTTACTATCTGCAATTTTTTTTTTTTTTTGAGACGCAGTCTCACTCTGTTGCCCAGGCTGGAGTGTAGTGGTGTGATAACTATCTGCAGCATTTTTTAACAAGAACACAGAACTCAAAGTACCAAACAGTGTAATTTTTAAATTATTTGTGAAACTTGATGTATCCAGCAAGCAAATGATATAATGCCTAAAAATTCTGTTTAAAAAAATTGATAAATTGTATCTCTCACTAGATAAGAAGCATTTTCTAAACCTTACAGCTTTGTGTTTGTCTGTTTGTCTTTTTTTCATGTAAGTCATCTTAACAGAGTATCAGACAGCTAGAAAGGAAGTGGGTAGAAGAAATTCCCAACATAAGCCTTCCAACTAACACTATATGAGTGTCTGTTAAGGCCTAGGAATTAGATTAAGTGTTGCCATTTAACTGTAAAGCCAGGAAGGAGATTCAACCAGCATGTAAGTTGGCAAAAAGTGAAGCCAAACACAATTCACTACACATTTGCTGGCAAAATATCTGGAAAGCTTTTCTACATTCAAGAATGAGTGAGAAAAAAAAACAGGGCCGTTGAGAATATACTACGGATATTATGAAGAAAATATCATTCATACTGCTTCGTTCAGTGAACATGATTTACTATAGGAAGCAAAATAAGATTTTAGAAAATGTTTTGTTCTCTTCAAAAGTCAAAAGACACTGGTCCTATAACATCAGAGACCAAAGCTAAAGGCAGAGATAGAACTAAATTAAAAAGACAATGGAATGAATAAAAATAAAACTGGATATGATAAACAGGGATTGCAAGGAAATTAAAGAGTAGCAAAATTAAAATCTATACTGGAGGCAATAAAGAAAGGAATTTACATTTCAGAAAGCCAGATCAGCGCTATTGAATACAAACTTGAGAAGCCTCCAGAATATAAAGGAAAGGACTACTAGATGTACATAATAAGATGAAAATACAGTGGTCAGAAAAAAAAAATAACCAAATAAAAAGTTGTAATTGCTCCTGAGGAGGAAATCTGACTAACCAAATACAGGAATACCTGGGACATATTGCTGGTTAGATTCCAAATCATCCGAATAAAGCAAATATCACAATAAAGCAAGTCACATGAGTTTTTTGGTTTGCTTATGCTTGTAAAAGTTATGTTTACATTATACTGTAACCTATGAAGTGTGGAATCATTGTGTCAAAGAAACCAATGTACATACCTTAATTAAAAATTAATTTATTGCTAAAGTGCTAATAATCATCTGAGCTTTCAGTGAGTCATAATCTTTTTGCTTGTGGAGGGTCTTGCCTTGATATTGATGGCTGCTAACTGATCAGGGTAGTAGTTACTGAAGGCTGGAGTGGCTGTGGCAATTTCTTCAAACAAGATAACAATGAAGTTTGCAACATCCATGAAATCTTCCTTTCACAAAACATTTCTCTGTAGCATGGAATGCTGCTTAGTATTATAGCATTTAACCGATAGTAGACCTTCTTTCAAAACTGGAGGTAATCCTGTCAAACTCTGCTGCTGCTTTATCAACTAAGTTTATGTAATATTCTAAATCCTTTCTCGTCATTTCAACAATGCCCACTGCATCTTCACCAGGAGTACACTCCATCCCAAGAAAACATTTTTCTTGCTCAACCCCTAAGAAATAACTCCTTATTAATTCAAGTTTTATAATGAGATTGGAGCAATTCAGTGATATATTGAGGTTCCATTTCTAATTCTAGTTCCCTTGCTACTTCTGCAGTTAGTTCCTCCATTGAAGTATTGACCCCCTCGAAGTCATCCATGAGAACTGGAATCAACTTCTTTCAATCACTTGTCAATGTTGATATTCCTCCCATGAATCATGAATGTTCTTAATGGCATCTAGAATGGTGAATCCTTTCCAGAAGGTTTCAATGTACATTGCTCAGACCCATCAAGGGAATCACTGTCTATGGAAGGTATAGCCTTATAGAATGTATTTCTTAAATAATAAGATGTAAAAATTTAAAAGACTCCTTGATCTATGGGCTGCAGAATGGATGCTGTGTTAGCAGGTATGAAAACTTAATCTCATTGCACATGTCCATCAGAGTTCTTGGGTGACCAGGTACACAGTCAATTAGGCAGTCATATTTTGAAAGGGAACTTTTTTTCCCCCCTGAGCAGTAAGTCTAAAAATTGAGCTTAAAATCCTCAATAAACCACACTCTAAACGGATATGCTGTCACCCAGGCTTTGTGGTTCCATTTATAGAGCACAGGTAGAGTAGACTTAGCATAATTCTGAAGGGCACAGTATTTTGAGGAAGGGAAATGAGCACTGGCTTCAACTTAAAGCCACTAGCTGCATTAGCCTCTAACAAGAGAGTCAGCTTATTCTTTGAAGCCAGTCATTGACTATTTCTCTCTATCTCTTAAAGTTTTCTCTCTATCTCTTCTTCCAGTGAAAGGCTCTTTCATCTACAACGAAATTTGTTGTTTAGTGTAGCCATCTTCACCAACGGTCTTAGCTAGACTTTCTGGAAAACGTGTTGTAGCTTCTACATCAACACTTGCTGCTTTACCTTCCACTTTCATGTTACAGAGACGGCTTCTTTCCTTAAACCTCAAGAGCCAACCTCTGCTGGCTTTCAACTTTTCTTCAGCAACTTCCTCACCTCTCTCAGCCCTCATAGAATTGAAGAGTTAGGGACTTGCTCTGGATGAGGTTTTGGCTGAAGGAAATACTGTGGCTGGTTTGATCTACCAAGACCACTAAAACTCTCTCCATATGAGCAATAAGGCTGTTTTGCTTTCTTATCATTTGTCTGTTCACTACAGTAACACTTTTAATTTCCTTCAAGAGCTTTTCTTTTCTATTCACACCTTGGGTAACCAGCACAAGAGGCCCAGCTTTTGCCTATCTCAGCTTTTGACATGACTTCCTCACTAAGCTTAATCATTTCTAGCTTTTGATTGAAATTGGGAGACATGTGACTCTTCCTTTCACTTGAACACAAAGGGACTGTGGGTTTATAAATTGGCCTAATTGGACTGTGGGTTTATAAATTGGTCTAAATTCCCAGTGTCTCTGGGAATAGAGAGGGCCAAAAAGAGAAAGGAAGATGGGGCCATGCCCGCTTAGTGGAGCAGTCAGAACACACACAATATTTATCTACCAAGTTCACTGTCTTGATTGGGTGTGGTTCATGGTTCCCCAAAACAATTACAAGAGTACTATAAAAAGATCACTGATTGGGTCCATTCCAAAATGGCCAAATGGGAACAGCTCTGGTCTGCAGGTCTTCTGTGATTGACACAGAAGATGGGGGATTTCTGCATTTCCAACTGAGGTACCTGGTTCATCTCAATAAGACTGGTTGGAGAGTGGGTGCAGCCCACGGAGGGCGAGCTGAAGCAGGGCAGGGCATCACCTCACCCAGGAAGCACAAGGGGTTGGGGGATTTCCCTTTCCTAGCCAAGGGAAGCCATGACAGACTGTACCTGAAAAACGGGACACTTCTGCCCAAATACTGCACTTTTCCCAAGGTCTTAGCAATCGGCAGACGAGGAGATTCTCTTCCGTGCCTGGCTTGGCAGGTCCCACGCTCATAGAGCCTTGCTCAGTGCTAGCAGAGCAGTCTGAGATGGAACTGTGAGGGAGCAGCCTGGCTGGGGAAGGGGTGTCTGCCATTGCTGAGGCTTGAGTAGCTAAAACAAAGCAGCTGGGAAGCTCAAACTGGGCAGAGCCCACTGCAGCTCAGCAAGGCCTACTGCCTCTACAGACTCCACCTCTGTGGGCAGGGCATAGCTGAACAAAAGGAAGCAGACAACTTCTACAGACTTAAACGTCCCTGTCTGACAGATCTGAAGAGAGAAGTGGTTCTCCCAGCACGGCATTTGAGCTCTGAGAATGGACAGACTGCCTCCTCGAGTGGGTCCCTGACACCCATGTAGCCAAACTGGGAGACATCTCCCAGTAGGGACCGACAGACACCTCATATAGGCAGCTGCCTCTCTGGGAAGAAGCTTCAAGAGGAAGGATCAGGCTGCAATATTTGCTGTTCTGCAGCCTTCACTGGTGATACCCAGGCAAACAGGGTCTGGAGTGGACCTCCAACAAACTCCAACAGACCTGTAGCTGAGGGACCTGATGGTTAGAAGGAAAACTAACAAACAGAAAGGAATAGCATCAACATCAACAAAAAGGACATCTACACCAAAACCCCATCTGTAGGTCACCAACATCAAAGACCAAAGGTAGATAAAACCACAAAGATGGGGAGAAACCAGAGCAGAAAAGCTGAAAATTCTAAAAGCCTGAGTGCCTCTTCTCCTGCAAAGCATTTCAGCCCCTTGCCAGCAATGGAACAAGGCTGGATGGAGAATGATTTGTCAAGTTGACAAAAGTAGGCTTCAGAAGGTTGGTAATAACAAACATCTCTGAGCTAAAGGAGCTTGTTCGAACCCATCTCAAGGAAGCTAAAAACCTTGAAAAAAGATTAGATGAATGGCTAACTAGAATAAACAGTGTAGAGAAGACCTGAAATGGCCTGATGGAGCTGAAAACCATGGCACAAGAATTTCATGACACATGCACAAGCTTCAATAGCTGATTTGATCAAGTGGAAGAAAGGGAATCAGTGATTGAAGATCAAATTAATGAAATGAAGTGAGAAGACAAGGTTAGAGAAAAAAGAGTAAAAAGAAATGAACAAAGCCTGCAAGAAATATGGGACTATGTGAAAAGACCAAATCTACATTTGATTGGTGTACCTGAAAGTGATGAGGAGAAGGGAAACAACTTGGAAAACACTCTTCAGGATACTATCCAGGAGAACATCCCCAACCTCACAAGGCAGGCCAACATTCAAATTCAGGAAGTACAGAGAACACCACAAAGATATTCCTCAAGAAGTGCAACCCCAAGACACATAATCATCAAATACACCAAGGTTGAAATGAAGGAAAAAGTGTTAAGGGCAGCCAGACACAAAGGTCGGGTTACCCACAAAGGGAAGCCCATCAGACTAACAGCGGATCTCTCTGCAGAAACCCTACAAGCCAGAAGAGAGTGGAGGCCAATATTCAACATTCTCAAAGAAAAGAATTTTCAACCCAGAATTTCATATCCAGCCAAACTAAGCTTTATAAGTGAAGGAGAAATAAAATCCATTATACATAAGCAAATGCTGAGTAATGTTGTCAATACCAGGCCTGCCTTACAAGAGCTCCTGAAGGAAGCACTAAACATGGAAAGAAACAACTGGTACCAGCCACTGCAAAAACATGCCAAATTGTAAAGACCATTGATGCTATGAAGAAACTGCATCAATTAATGGGCAAAATAACCAGCTAACATCATAATGACAGGATCAAATTCACACATAACAATATTAACCTTAAATTTAAATGGGCTAACTGCCCCAATTAAAAGACACAGACTGGCAAATTGGACAATGAGTCAAGATCCATCAGTGTGCTGTATTCAGGAGACCCATCTCACCTGCAGAGACACACATAGGCTCAAAATAAAGGGATGGAGGAAGATCTACCAAGCAAATGGAAAGCAAAAAAAAGCAGGGGTTGCAATCCTAGTCTCTGATAAAACAGACTTTAAACCAACAAAGATCAAAAGAGACAAAGAACACCATTACATAATGGTAAAGGGATCAATTCAACAAGAAGAGCTAACTATCCTAAAGATATATGCACCCAATGCAGGAGCACCCAGATTCATACAGCAAGTCCTTAGAGACATACAAAGAGACTTAGACTCCCACACAATAATAATGGGAGACTTTAACACCCCACTGCCAATATTAGACAGATGAATGAGATAGAAGGTTAAGAAGGATATCCAGGACTTGAACTCAGCTCTGCACCAAGCGGACCTAATAGACATCTACAGAACTCTCCACCCCAAATCAACAGAATATACATTCTTCTCAGCACCACATCGCACTTATTCTAAAATTGACCACATCATAGGGAATAAAGCACTCCTCAGCAAATGTAAAAGAACAGAAATCACAATAAACTGTTTGTCAGACAACAGTGCAATCAAATTAGAACTCAGGATTAAGTTCTAATTAATTCTAATGAAAACTATATTCTAATCAAAACTGGACAACTACATGGAAACTGAACAACCTGCTCCTGAATGACTACTGGGTAAATAACGAAAAAAAGGCAGAAATAAAGATGTTCTTTGAAACCAGTGAGAACAAAGACACCACTTACCAGAATCTCTGGGACACATTTAAAGCAGTGTGTAGAGGGAAATGTATAGCACTAAATGCCCACAAGAGAAAGCAGGAAAGATCTAAAATCAAGACCCTAATATCACAGTTAAACGAACTAGAGAAGGAAGAGCAAACAAATTCAAAAGCTAGCGGAAAGCAAGAAATAACTAAGACCAGAGCAGAACTGAAGGAGATAGAGACACAAAAAGCCCTTCAAAAAATCAATGATCCAGGAGCTGGTTTTTTGAAAAGATCAACAAAATTGATAGACTGCTAGCAAGACCAATAAAGAAGAAAAGAGAGAAGAATCAAATAGACGCAATAAAAAATGAAAAAGGGGATATCACCACCAATCCCACAGAAATACAAACTACCATCAGAGAATACTATGAACACCTCTATGCAAATAAACTAGAAAATCTAGAAGAAATGGATAAATTCCTGGACACATAAACCTTCTCAAGACTAAAGCCGGAAGAAGTTGAATCTATGAACAGACCAATAACAGGCTCCGAAATTGAGGCAATAATTAATAGCCTACCAACCAAAAAAAGTCCAATACCAGATGGATTCACACCCGAATTCTACCAGAGTTACAAAGAGGAGCTGATACCATTCCTTCTGAAACTATTCCAATAAATAGAAAAAGAGGGAATTCTCCGTAACTGATTTTATGAGGCCAGCTTCATCCTGATACCAAAGCCTGGCAGAGACACAACAAAAAAAGAGAATTTTAGACCAATATCCCTGATGAACATCAATGTGAATATCCTCAATAAAATCCTGGCAAACCGAATCCAGCAGCATATCAAAAAGTTTATCCACCACGATCAAGTCAGCTTCATCGCTGGGATGCAAGGCTGGTTCAACATACACAAATCAATAAACGTAATCCATCACATAAATGGAACCAACAACAAAACCACATCATTATCTCAATAGATGCAGAAAAGGCCTTAGACAAAATTCAACAGCCCTTCATGCTAAAAACTCTCAATAAATCAGGTATTTATGGAATGTATCTCAAAATAATAAGAGCTATTTATGACAAACCCACAGCCAGTATCATACTGAATGGGCAAAAACTGGAAGCATTCCCTTTGAAAACCAGCACAAGACAAGGATGCCCTCTCTCACCATTCCTATTTAACATAGTGTTGGAACTTCTGGCCAGGGCAATCAGGCAAGAGATAGAAATAAAGGGTATTCAATTAGAAAAAGAGGAAGTGAAATTGTCCCTGTTTGCAGATGACATGATTGTATATTTAGAAAACCCTATCGTCTCAGCCCAAAATCTCCTTAAGCTGATAAGCAACTTCAGCAAAGTCTCAGGATAGAAAATCAATGTGCAAAAATCACAAGCATTCCTGTATACCAATAACAGACAAACAGAGAGTCAAATCGTGAGTGAACTCCCATTCACAATTACTACAAAGAGAATAAAATACCTAGAAATACAACTTACAAGGGATGTGAAACACCTCTTCAAGGAGAGCTACAAACCACTGCTCAAGTAAATAGGAGAGGATGCAAACAAATGGAAAACCTTTCTATGCTCATGGTTAGGAAGAACCAATATCGTGAAAATGGCCATACTGCCCAAAGTAATTTATAGATTCAATGCTATCCCCATCAAGCTACTATTGACTTTCTTCACAGAATTGGAAAAACTACTTTAAATTTTGTATGGAACCAGAAAAGAGCCTGCATAGCCAAGACAATCCTAAGCAAAAAGAACAAACCTGGAGGCATGATGCTACCTGACTTCAAAGTATACTATAAGGCAACAGTAACAAAAACAGCATGGTACTGGTACCAAAACAGTTATGTAGACCAATAGAACAGAACAGAGGCCTCAGAAATAACACCACACATCTACAAACATCTGATCTTTGACAAACCTGACAAAAACAAGAAATGGGGAAGGGAGTCCCTATTTAATAAATGGTGCAGGGAAAACTGGCTAGACATATGTAGAAAGCTGAACTGGATCCCTTCCTTACACCTTATACAAAAATTAACTCAGGATGGATTAAAGACTTAAATGTTAGACCTAAAACCATAAAAACCCTAGAAGAAAACCTAGGCAATACCATTCAGGCCATAGGCATGGGCAAGGACTTCATAACAAAAACACCAAAAGCAATGCCAACAAAAGCCAAAATAGACGAATGGGATCTAATTAAGCTAAAAAGCTTCTGCCTGGCAAAGGAACTACCATCAGAGTGAACAGGCAACCTACAGAATGGAGAAAAATTTTGCAATCTACCCATCTGACAAAGGGCTATTATGCAGAATCTATGAATAACTCAAACAAATTTACAAGAAAAAATCAAACAACCACATCAAAAAGTGGGTGAAGGATATGAACAGACACTTCTCAAAAGAAGACATTTAGGCAGCCAACAGATACATGAAAAAATACTCATCTTCACTGGTCATCAGAGAAATGCAAATCAAAACCACAATGAGATACCATTTCACACCAGTTAGAATAGCAATCACTAAAAAGTCAGGAAACAACAGATGCTGGAGAGGATGTGGAGAAGTAGGAATGCTTTTACACTGTTGGTGGGAGTGCAAACTAGTTCAACCATTGTGGAACACAGTGTGGCGATTCCTCAAGGATCTAGAGCTAGAAATACCATTTGACCTAGTGATCCCATTACTGGGTATATACCCAAAGGATTATAAATCATGCTACTATAAAGACACATGCACATGTATGTTTATTGTAGCACTATTCACAACAGGAAAGACCTGGAATCGACTCAAATGTCCATCAACGATAGACTGGATTAAGAAAATGTGGCGCATATACACCATGGAATACTATGCAGCCATAAAAAAGGATGAGTTCATGTCCTTTGCAGGGACACGGATGAAGCTGGAAGCTGGAAACCACCATTCTCAGCAAACTATCACAAGGACAGAAAACCAACCACCACATGTTCTCACTCACAGGTGGGAATTGAACAGTGAGAACACTTGGACTCAGGGCGGGGATCATCACACACCAGGGCCTGTCTAGAGGTGGAGGGCTGGGGGAGGGGTAGCATTAGGAGAAATACCTAATGTAAATGATAAGTTGATGGGTACGGCAAACCAACATGGCACATGTGTACCTATGTATCAAACCTGCACGTTGTGCTCATGTACCCTAGAACTTAAAGTATAATGAAAAAGATCACTGATCACACATCACTATAATATATAATAATGATGAAAAGTTTTGATATATTGTGAGAAATACCCAAATGTGACTCAGAGACAGGAAGTGAACACATGCTATTGGAAAAGTGGCACCAATAGACTTACTCAATTCAGGATTGCCACAAACCTTAAATTTTTAAAGTAAAATGTAATAAAACAAGGTATACGTGAAATAGGACTAATTGAGGATATTTCCGTAAGTAGAAAAAAATTTGTGCATTGATAAGTAATTGCAAATGTTTATCACAAAGATGATTTTTTTAAATTAACAAGATAACAAAATATGTCTTATCTCCAGAAAAGAAAAACCAGGCTTCCCACAAAGAAACGCATATCAGGTTGGCCTCAGACTTCTACTCTTCAGTGCTAAACCCCTTGAACATTTGATCACATTTCCAGACTTTTCAGACAAAAAACTTGTGTCCCAATAAGTCTGTCTTCAAAACATGTGTGAAGGTAATAGGATGAAATTCTTAGGTATAAAAAGCATACCCCCAAAAAAATATATATGTGTGTGTATGTATGTATACATATGAGATACACATAAATAATATGTATTATATAACTATATTTATAAATATATTTTCTACATTAATGTTTATGTTATGATATGTGATACATGATATATGTGATCAAGTTGAATTAATCTCCTAAATAAAGAAGATAGCTCTTTTTATCTTCTTCAGTGATTATTAGATGAGTAAATTTTGGAAGAGTTTTTTGAAAGAAATTTCAAGCATATATATTTGAGGACAGCAATTTAAAAAATAGATTTCCTGACAAAAGAAAAAATTAGTCTCTCTATTCTAATATGAGTAATAACAGAAGCTACTCTAGAAGGCCTTAACACAGGCATACATACACACACACATACACATATATACATGTGTATATATACATTATATACACATATATACACATATATACACATATATACCTGTGTATATATACATTATATACATATATACACATGTATATATGTGTATATACGTATAGACACATGTATACACGTGTATATATGTATAGACACATATATACATGTGTATACACGTGTATATATGTGTATACATGTGTATATATATACATGTATACACATATATATGTATATATACACATGTATATATGTGTATACATGTGTATATACGTATATACACATGTATATATGTATATCTGTATATATACATATATACACACATACACATGTGTATATACACATACACACACATACACATGTGTATATACACATACACACACATACACGTGTGTATACACATACATACACACGTGTGTATACACATACGCACACGTGTGTGTGTACACATACGCACACGTGTGTGTGTACACATACGCACACATACACACGTGTGTGTACACATACGCACACATACACACGTGTGTGTACACATACGCACACAAACACACGTGTGTGTACACATACGCACACATACACGTGTGTGTACACATACGCACACATACACGTGTGTGTGTGTACACATACGCACACATACACGTGTGTGTGTGTACACATACGCACACATATACACGTGTGTGTGTATATATACACATATGCACACATATACACGTGTGTGTATATACACATATGCACACATATACACGTGTGTGTATATACACATGCACATATATACACGTGTGTATATACATTATATACACATATATACACATACATACAGTGTATATATGTATATACACATATATACACATATATACACTGTATATACACACATACAAATATACACACATACTTTCAGATAGACACATACACACATGCACATAGATATGTATACAAATACAAATCACTTTTCTTTATTCTATTAAAGAGAAGCTTATAGAGTAAAAAGTATTGATTGAAAAATAAGTATAAACATATTTTAATAGAGGTTACCTCTGAGTGGGAGAATAATGAGTGACTTTCCATTATAATATTCTAGATTTACCAAATTGCCTTCAATGAACTTGTATCAATTTTTATAATTCTCAAAAGTATAAATGTTACCACGAAAGTTCAATTAATATATAACAGTTATCTCAGGCCCAGCTCAGTAGCTCACACCTGTAATCCCAGCACTTTGGGAGGCCAAGGCGGGTGGATCACCTGAGGTTGGGAGTTGGAGACCAACCTGACCAACATACAGAAATCCCGTCTCTACTAAAAATACATGTATTCATATTCACCAAATATTTAGTGATAAAGTTTAAATTCAATTATGTCTTTTGTTTGGGGGAAAAACTTACAGTATAGTCTTAAGAATATCATTTTTTTAAGGCTGGGCCTGGTGGCTCATGCCTGTAATCCCAGCACTTTGGGAGGCCGAAATGGGCGGATCACCTGAGGTTGGGAGTTCAAGACCAGCCTGACCAACATGGAGAAACCCCGTCTCTACTAAAAATACAAAAATTAGCTGGGTGTGGTGGTGCATGACTGTAATCCCAGCTACTAGGGAGGCTGAGGCAGGAGAATCACTTGAACCCGGGAGGCGGAGGTTGTGGTGAGCCAAGATCGTTCCATTGCACTCCAGCCTAGGCAACAAGAGCAAAACTCCGTCTCAAAAAAAATTATCTTTAAAAATAATTTTATGCAATTTATGCCTACTTTCTGCTCTCAGGAAATAGAATGAAGACAGCATCTTTCCAAAACTGACTAAACTCAGATAATATTTCTCCCTTGGAACATTTTTTGTTCTTGTCAAAAAGGGAGTTGTGTGCCTAATCCAGTGGGCTGTGGAGGATGCACATGGATGGTGAAGGTTTAAATGATGTGCATTGAAAATTATGTGACTTTTGTGTTAAATAACTTCTTAGTAGCACCAAAAAGTATAGCTCTTAGAGGATAGATTTAAGCCAGCCGCCTAGCTTTATAATGTGTCTGTGTCCGCTACCTTGCTATTTAGTGGAACAGCTATTGAGAATGTGAGATCGTATGAGTTTATTTTAAAAAAAAAATACAAATACAAATAGCCTCTCCCCTCCCCCATCTGCAGTTTCTCTTTCTACAGTTTCAACTATGGTTTGAGAATATTAACTGGAAAATTCCAGAAATACACAATTATATAACAACCAAATTCTAAGTTTTAAATTGCGCATCATTCTGAGCAGCATGTTGAAGTCTTACAGTGCCCCACTCCGGCTTGCCCAGGATGTGAATTATCCCTTTCTCCAGCAGCTCCATGCTCTCTATGTCACCTGCCCATTAGTCATTTAGTAGCTGTCTGGATGACAGGTTGACTGTGGCAGTGTCACCAGTGCATGCTTTTAATTATTTTTTACTTCATAATGGCTCCAAAGTGCAAGAGTAGTGATGCTAACAGTTTGGATGTGCCAAAGACAAGCCTTAAAGGGCTTCCTTTGAATGAAAGGTTTAAGTTCTTGACTTAAGGAAATTTAAAAAAAAATCATATGCTAAAGTTGCTAAGCTCTACAGTAAGAAGGAATCTTCTATCCCTGAAGTTGTGATGAAGAAAAAAGAAATTTGTGATTGTTTTCTGTCCCACCACACCTCACACTACAAAAGCTATGGCCACAGCATGTGAAAAGTGCTTAGTTAAGATGGAAAAGACCATAAATTTATGGGTGGAAGACATGAACAGAAATGGGTTCCTATTGACCTCAACTGGTTCAATACTACTGGCTGTTGTAGGCATTCTCTGGGAGTCTTAGAATAGCCCCCATGCAGATAAGAAGGTCTACTGTATTCCTAAAGAACATAGGTGAATGTTCCTTTAGATTGTTTAACATGTCTGCAACAAATAGATATTAAAAAGTCAAAAGAAAGGAGATTAGTGCTTAAAAGATATATTTTCAATCATACTAGAATGAAAACCTTACAGTTCTCATCTGAAATCAAGATCATTAGAAATACTAAAGTGATTTTTGAGATCATGTGGATTACAGTAGTTTTCAGGCTACAGGGGAAATTTAAGATTGGATTAAAGCCAGAGCAATATGTGGAATAGCAGAGTGAAGATGGTGCATTTCATTTCCTTAGGATTTGGAATAGTACTAAATGAATGTTACATATCAAGTATATATATATTTTAATCCCAATGCCAGTGGAGAAGCTATTATTATAAATTGCATATGTTGCATGATTTTAAAATATTGTGCGTTTTTCTTGTAAGATTTTCAGTGTAAAGATGCAACATTCTTGTAAGTTCAAATGAGCTAACAAATATTCCTCTTAGTTATTGTAACTTGTAAATAACTTAGCTATCCTTTAGCGGAACAATAGTTACAATGTAATTTTTACTTTCAGTGTATTCAAATTTGAACTAGTAAATTCGTGTTTATTATGAAATTAATATTCATTGATTCAACTAAAATGTTTATTGAATGCCTATTAAGTACAAAATCCTGTGTTTTCTAAAATAATTTTATATAATATCTCATGTGGACAAGGAATTGCCTTATCAAATCCATTATATATAAAAAGAATCTTAAGTTCACTTTCCTATTTGTTTTTGGAATACATGCTTTGATAAATACTAAAATGTTGACATTATGAGGGGGAAAAAAACCTAACTCTCTGAAATGACCTAGTCTTTGTTTGAATGATCAGGGTAGGATTATGTCCTGTTTATGTTGCTGGGTTTACAGTCTACCCTTGCATCTGGATTCTTCTAAGGTCTACAAACCCTATCCATTTGGCAACACAGTTTCCTTAAACTCCAGGTTCTCTCTAATATTCAGATGTCTTGCTTCATTCATTCAAAGGAACATATGAAAACTAGAAGACACTGAAGTATGTCAGAAAAGGGCCACCCCTCTTAACCAAGGAAAGAAACTTTATCCATAGGATTACAGTAATATACAGTAGCAAACTTGGGCACATCAACAGGAAACTTTGTAGTTAAGCTTACTTAAGGAATTTATTTTTAATATTATTTTTAATTTTTAATATTATTATAATATTAAGGAAATTATTTCAGTCAATGGAAACAGTTATTTTGATAGAATGGTTGTTACTCTGTATTTTCTGAAATATTAGGGTTGAATAAAAGACACTTTCAGGAGAAAGAATAGAGAGTAAGTAATTCTTAAAGGCTATTGCTCTTTCTACATGCAAAAAATTATTCCTCTGTATCATGTATCTGGTTTTGAGCAAAAACTCGGTGAATCCACAGGGATAGCACCAGGCATGATTGATTCAAAAGGCTGCCACTAACACTGGGCAGTGTTCCTGGGTTTTCCGGAATATCTGGGCAGTTTTGCTATGCTCCTGGAAGTAGAAGAGTCAGAGGCAATGGCTAGTACGGAGAAAGAAATAGACCCAGCTCATAGCTCCTAGTATGGAATGTTTTCTTATGGCATAAAACATTATAAAAAGTCACTTCTATGCATACTTATTAAAGATGCCTACCAAAGGTAATTAACTTGGCTATTTCATTCATTAATTTTTAAACTAAAGATAATATCAAGGCTTGGGAATATGGTTTTAGAAAATAGATTTAACTTTTCCAAGCACGAAGGCTTGCATGAGGTCACAGAAGCCACAAAAACAAGCTCTGAATCCTGAAAATGGATTTTAAAATAAATCAGAGAACTCAAAAGAGCCTTTGGGGAAGGTACATATAAATTCGTTTTCTGCAGTATCCAAGTTATGAGTCTCTTAGGGCTACAATATATTTCATTTGATTAGCCACAGTTTGAGAACACGGAACTAGAATGGAGTAGAGTACACAAAAAGAAATAATTATCCACGCATATATGTACAGCACTGTTCCTTTGCAGAGGGAATAGCACCCTTTGTGTGTGTGTGTGTGTGTGTGTGTGTGTGTGTGTGTGTGTGTGTTCCACACTTAACCTTCCTTTGGCCTTGGAATTATCTGGCTTGTTTTCCTCTGTAGTCAGGTTCTGAAATATCAAACACAGCTGTAGACAAAGGAAGAGGTTGGTCGAAAAGCCCACCCAGAGATTCCATAATGAATAGAAATGAAAGTAACATACATAGAATCAAGTGAAGTTTGCTTTGGTACTATAGAATCCCATGAGTCATTTGCATGGGGAACCAGAAGAAAACAGTGAAATAAAACAAACAAACAAAAAAACAAACTGGTTAAAGGGTACTCTTTGGAGTCAAATGAGGAAGCCAAGCATCATCAATTTCCTAGTGACTGGGCAGAAGGTAAGAGTAGAGATTGAGGAACACTGCTAAAGAATGTTGCAGGGATTTTCATTTCCAAAAAACTCATGCACCTGTTGATGTATTTTCCAGGCCCTTGGATGATAGCAATTTATGAGGCTATTAGTACTAAGCCCAAGATTTATCAGATGTGCTGTTTGTCTTATAGCCAATATAACCTCGTAAAATTTGGGTTGCACTGGGTTAAAATGGAGTGTTCTGCTATTGGAGTTATTCAGAGCATTTAAATCGGTTAATCCTACAAGAACGGGGCATTTAGCCTGCCTATTAGAGAGAGTCTTTAGGGATTCCTACCAGTTGCAGAGCCAGGCTGGAGGGGGCGGTCCATTGCTGGGTGAGGTAAAACAGAGGCAGCAGGGGAAGAGTGAGTCCTGGAGACGAGACGGTGTTTCTCTAATCCATCCATGCCAACCGCAGCCAGCGGAGCTTGGCGCACAGAGAGCGCACGTGTGTGCGTGGGTTCCAGGAAAGGCTGTTGCCAAGAAAAGAGCACAGTAGAAAGAAATGTGAGACAAGGATTGAGGGAGACACTGAGCGACATGTCAACAAATTAAGTTCATCAGGTCAGAGACATAATAAACGGTGTGAAGGAAAAAGAAAAAAAAAATAGAGAAAGGGAGAGAAAAAACAAGATCCAGTCAATAAATCCATTCAACAGATGTTTTCACACTGACGGCCAGGGCCTGTCTGCCTGGCTAAGGAGGAGGTGATGGCAGGAGGCCTGTCAGTTTGAACTGATTGAAAGAAACAGACCTTTAACCTCAAGAGTAACGTCGACTTTGACTCATTTCCTACCTAGATACCAACGTTTTGAATACAGCCCCAGAACTGCCACACAACGTGGGAGAACAATTCAACACTTTCAAACTGCCAGTGAGGCCTAATTCTGAAAATTCTCTCCTGAATTTATTTCAGTGAATATTGTTTATGAATTCTATGGATGTCTCTAAAAATGACCAATTACACAATTATATTTTGACACCTTTCAGTCTTCATATATTGGTATAGAAGAAAATGAATATTTCATAGTTTGTATGGTATAATTTCAACACTATAAAATTATTTGGTTTTTAATATACTATTAAATATATCCTCAGTGATTTAACGCTGTTATTATTCTTCATCCTTCCCAACTTACCGAATCAGTGAATCACAGTTTGGAATTTTATGGAAGATTCAGTTAGTCTCTTCCTCTGTCTCCAAGAAAAGATATTCTCAAACACAGATAGGCAGCTTATTTAATCATCAATGCTACACAGCGAGCTTTGTGCAAAAAAAGGTATGTATTTCAAAATATATATTTTAAATATATATTCTTTCAAAATTTTATTTATTAATAAAGAATTTATTTATTTATTAATAAAAATATTTATCAAAAATATATATACTACACTGAATATTTTATCTTCAACATGAGGGAGTTCATAATCTTTATGCTGTTTTTATTTATCTTTCCTAACGAATGTGAAAAATAGCTGAACAGTGGTAAAAAACATAATACTCTCTTGCCATGGATAAAGAAACTGTTGCTCCAAATGTTACCAAAGTATTTTTAAACGTCTAATTCTAGTAATTTTATAAATGTGTGTGCTCTTCTGCTTCTGCTTCCTATCTGACTAGCATTTGTTCTTTCAAGACTTGAGGCAGACATTACTTCTCCTTAGTTAAGGCCTTGCCTTAACCTTCCTGCTAGACTAGGTGCTCCCCTTCTACCTAATATGTGCCATCACAGGTCATACTCATCCTGTATTTTCACTCAAGGCTTGGTACATGCTAAGTGTACAAATTACACTGGCTGAGAAACTTACTGAGAAAGCTAACAAATCTGTATACAACACAACTGTACTCATTGCGTATTATGTGGTTTTACGTAATTGTAGCTTTCTCTGTACATGATATGAGTTAATGCTGCATATAAATCTATAAATTTGGATTATAAATATAGATTTAATTACAGACCATAAGCAGAGATTTCTGAATTTAGAAAAAAGAATGATTTAAAATCAACTTTAAAATAGGTTATAACTAATGTGTATGTTGTTACTTCTGTTTTGCTCTACAGAATAATCAAACCATCAATCAATTGGAAGGTATATTTCACATATTGAGGCTTTGGGCATTCGCTTCGATGATTGGGATGGATTGGTCAGGGACCTAGTTCTAGCTACAATGGTTTATACACTTTTACAAGAGTCTAACTCTCCTGTTTTCTTGAGTGTCTTGTGTTCAGTGTTCTGAGGACACAGCAGTAAGATTAATATAGTCCTTCCTCATATGGAACTCACTGTTACAGGGAACACAAATATATAATTATGATTTGGGGGGTTATGTCGGGAAAAGGAAGCTTTTCCACATATGATCTACAATTCCTGGGTACATGTTTATCTGATTTTTTGTAATATCCATCTCCTCCCTTTCTTTCTACTATAATTTCTTCAGCTCCCATGTAAGACATGGCAAAAAGCTCCTAACTGATCACCCAACTTCTAATACCAACCAGTCCTATTCCTTCCTGCAAGAATTCTCTTCCTGAAGCCCTGCAGTAAGCAAGACATTAACACAAAAAGACTCCGAAGTCAACCCAAATTTGAAGAATCTCTACAGCCTGTCATTTGTACTCTCCTTTACCTGAGGCTAACCTACATTTTAAGCCTTAGATCATTTATTCTTTTCTAAGTTCTAACCGAATACTATCTACTGAATATCAGATATCATTCCGAGGGCTGCAGTATGACTTTCAGGGGCCCTGTGCAATTTTACCTTTGTGGACTTCAAAAAATAGTATTAAAAACTACATTTTAAGCCTACATTGGCATATATTGGATTCATTATTATATATTCATATGATTAGATTCATTTTTTTCTGATTAAGAAATTAAAATTTAAAATGTTTTGTGGGCCCCTAACAGCAAGCATATCATAGGCTTTGGGCACTGTGTCTGCTGTGTCTCATGGATATGTTGACCATGAACATTCATGCTTCTTCCAAGCCATCCTTTCTAGATCACCCCTCTATGTGTGGCTATGAAGCTCCACATTCAGCACTACACACATCCTCTAAGGTCCACTTAAAATTTCACAGTGTTTTTTGAACACACATTAATTGCGCTTTCCCCTTCTGTTACATTCCCATCACATTTTGTTTTTCTCTCTCCTTTCCCTGCCATAGTCTTTTATATATTAGAGTTATTGCATGCAGTAACTATTTCTTGAGCTCACACTCCATGCTGGACACTTTGCTAGTGTGCAGAACCTTTTTTATGCTTATTCTCTAGTAAGGAGACAGATACTAAAGACAGCCATGCATTCCATAACAACATTTTGGTCAAGGATAGACCACATATATGACACTGGGCCCAGAAGATTATAATGGAACACAAAAATCCCTTTCACCTACTGACGTATGAGCCTTCCTAATGTCATAGCACAATTACTTTATTTTTAATAATTTAGTGTAGCCTAAGTGTACAGTGTTTATGATGTCTACAGTACCATGCAATAATGTCATAGGCCTTCATGTTCACTCATCAGCCAGTCGCTGACTCACCCACAGCAACTTCCAGTTATGCAAGCTCCACTCATTCTAAGTGCCTTATCCAGGTATATTATGTTTTACCTTTTATAATAAACTGTATTTATATTGTACCTTTTCTATGTTTATATACACAAATTGCCTACAGTATTCAGTATAGTAACATGCTGTACAGGTTTGTAGGCTAGGAAAAGTAAGCTATCATATATGGCCTAGGTACATAGTAGGCTATACCATCTAGGTCTGTGTAGGTATACTCTATGATGTTCGTACAACAATGTAATTATAAATACAGTGAGTGCTATACAGGAAAAATTCGGGATGATATGAAAAACTTTTAAGAAAAACCTGTTGAAGAGGTTCAGGGAAATTTTGTTTAAGAAAGTGATGTTTAATTTTAAATATGAAAGACAAATTGGAATTAACCAGGTGACAAATGCAAGGAGAAGCTCTAAATACATTTTGCATGGGTGTGTGCATGCACATTTTTGTGTGTGTGTAACATGATCTTTCCTTGTATAACGTTGAAAGCTCGTTGAACCAGAAACTGGATATAACTCATCTTTTAACTTATTTTCTGCTGCATTTTATATATTTTCTCATACTTTCTAGAAGCCATATTATTTTGTCTGTGCATTAAGAAAATGCAATAGATATTTGGAAATGAAAGGCCATGTTTCTTTTTTTATCACATGGCCATGTTTTAGATGACTGGGGTTACTAAATATTTTTCCTGTTAATGAGTAGTTTGATACCGTAAGGACTCCATTTAAATAACACCACCCGCTACCTTTCTTTTTTTTTAATAGTAAGTAAGTATTGTTCTACTTGAGCTTCACTGAAACCCTGTAAGATAAAACAGTTTGCTAACTCAAAAGCATTTTATAAATGTTACATCATAGTATAAAATTTCACAATTCAGTAAGCAGCATCCTACCTGTCCAGTGTCTACCAGAAGGAATATGGCAATATAAGTAAGAAACAAATAACTACTTGTCTAATATTAATTTGTTCCTTACTTATAACTGTTCATCCAATATCTATTGCTCAACCAAAAGGCAACAGTCCTTGTGCTGCACTGTACAGACAGCAAAGGAGATTAAGGATGTTGTGGGTTGGCAACAAAATTTAGGCACTTGCACCTTAACCGTAGTTAGTAAGTTCCATGAAGAGATGACCTTTGGCTGTTATATATTCCCATGCATATCATTCCCATGCAGTGTTTCACACATAGTGGGCTTTAATAATATATATTTTTCAGTTTTAAATGAATGCATAATAAGGAGAGAGATATATATAAAATCATCCTTAAGATCTTATTATAAGGATAGGATAAAACAAGGAAACATATTATAAGCAATCACAACACAAAATAACCAAGAAATGGCTGAGAAAAAAAATATGAGAAATAGAGTCCAGACAAAATGATTACCAAGGGACGAAATCCTAAAATTATTTTGTGTTGGAGCCAAGAGATAATGTGAGAAAAGGTCCAGTGATTTGAGGATTATTTTTCCTTTGAACTTTCATGTCGTTTCCAAGTTTTCTGCATATTACCTATATTAAAACTGTAATTAAAAAAAATGGTAAATGTTATTTAAACTAAACAGTTAAATCTTCCAAACACTTTATTAGGACAGATTCATAATTATTGGAACTATGAACAGAGATGGGCCAAACATTTTTGAACTTTCTTTCAAAATAGGACTATAGAAGAGAGAAGTTTATTCAAAGAGTTGATTGCAATTATACACTTTTACAAATGAAATATGGCTTTCAATGTATAAGGAGAGTTATAATAATCCAGTAAACCACATGTTATTATACTGCATATTAATCACTGAGTTATCATTAAATGCCAGGTCACTTTTATTTTAGGATAGATACCCAGCCTCATTAACAAAAGCATCCTTCTTGAGCTTGAAAGCTGAAATTACATTTTTCTGTTGTCTCTGGAACTGATTGAAGTGTTTCACTAAGCCAGTTTTTTTACCATTAGTAGTTTTACTGAGATAATTTTATTCATGTTTATACATCTAAGTAAGTATGAAAGAGCATGCTTCTCTCTTACAGTGCTGAAAAATTTAAATGTCAAACAGTTCAGAATCTACTGTTAATAAAAATTAGATAAATACCCAAGTTAACATTTTACTTATTGAGCACCATTAGAAAATGTGTTACCCCCCTTAAATGAATAGTTAACATGCTCTCCACAAAAGCATTTTTTATTAACATTTATTTTACATATTCTCTATTGAGTCTATTTTTTATGCAGTCAAAGTATTCGTCTTTCTTTTTCAGCTGATTCACCTGGGGACTTTGTTTTGATGGGTTATTTTGCCAGATGGTCATTCTGGAAAATACTCTCAGCTAACTGAGATGTGTAAGACAACTTTTCATTATATGGTGTGGTCTAAGGCCACTGTGCTCAAACATCTGTCCACTCCCACTGATAAAATTCATGTAATTACTTTGACAGAAGAGTTGTTATGCAACTATTTTGTAAATTCCTCAATATTGCCTAGTAAAACATCAATGCCTTTGTGGCCCCATCATTCTAAGTGGTAGGGCATAGGCATTGCCATCATTTGAAAGTGGGTAGGGATAGTTCTAGAAGGTCTTTGTATGACAAGCATAATGTTCTGGCTTAGAATTAAATATTTTCTTGGGGGTGGCCTGCTAATGGAGACTACGAAGTGCTAAGGTCCCTGAGTTAAGGAAATTACATGGTTCCGTTTTTTGTAATAACAGATTTTTTTCTGTTTTGTTTTGTTTTGTTTTGTTTTGCTTTGCTTTCTTGTTGCTATCGCACAGGGACCAAATGTATAGCTTCTGGGTTTTCACTTTGCTCTGGATGATCACATTTGCTTCCTGACCTGTGGGTGGTTACTCATGGGCTAGAATCAATATCATCATGGACTTTAGCAAGAGCAAATGACAGAAATCATAAATCATAATGCATACTCTGA
This sequence comes from Homo sapiens, assembly GCF_000001405.40. Taxonomy (NCBI): domain Eukaryota; kingdom Metazoa; phylum Chordata; class Mammalia; order Primates; family Hominidae; genus Homo; species Homo sapiens. The sequence goes on along the minus strand of NC_000007.14, from coordinate 18,721,550 downwards.
AAATACAGAGCAAGAGACACTCATAGACTACTTGGAGGAGAGTAAATTGTTTTAACACTTTAAAGAAGAATTCACGAACATTTAGTACAAATAGTTTATATTTACTATAAACTATCGCAAATATGGTGAGTGAAAAAAAGCAAAAGAATATATGAAAAATTTTTATTTCCAAAATTTGCAAATTAATATCACATATTAAGTATGTTAATGAAATTAATAAAAAGTAAAGACATACATGAAAAAATAAACAGCAAATTCAGAAGGGAAGGAATGAGAGGGGCAATAGGAGAGAGATACATAGGAAACTTGAATTGTACCTGTAGTGTTTTATTTCTTAAGCTGGATGTTATGAGTGTTCATTGTTGTAATATTTATACATATTAATTGTTTAATAATTTTTCAAAAATAGAATTAATGCTTATGGCATGTTTGTCATACATAAAACACCAATATTATTATAATAACTAACCTTCCACATACAGATACCTTTACTGTAAACACTACATTTTTGTAGAAGAAGAAGAAATTAAGAGAGAAAATGTAAAAATAAATGAAAAAAGAAAATAAAAATAGGCTGGGCACAGCGGCTCACACTATAATCGCAGCACTTTGGGAGGCCAAGGCAGAGAAATGCTTGAGCCCAGGAGTTCAAGACCAGCCTGGGCAAAATAGGGAGACCCTATCTCTATAAAAAATTAAACAACAAAAAAATTAGTTGGCGTGTTGTCAAATGCCTGTAGTCCCAGGAGGCTGAGGTGGGAGGATCACTTGAATGCAGCAGGCTGAGACTGCAGTGAGCCACGATCAGGCCACTGGACTCCAGCCTGAGTGACAGAGCGAAACTCTGTCTCAAAAAAAGAAGAAAAGAAAAAAAAAAAAGAAAAGAGCATAAAAATACGTTTGGTAACACATTTTTTTTTTTTACTAAGGTAAAGTATGTGAATTTACTTTCAGGTCATATATTCATAAGATATACATTAATCTGTACCAACTATGAAATAATTTCACTGATAGATAAATGAACACAGTAATATGTATAATTAAGTATATTTTGTCTTTAAAATTTCAACATATTATCATTTTGAATTCACTCAGTAAGAAAGCCGTTAATGACACTAAAGGGACTGAAAAATTAAGAAGACTATAAATTGGGAACTTAATATGATGATTTGAAACAAAAGAATAAATCCATTAAAACATTATTAAAATTAAATGTAATTATAATTAAAATTAAATAAATTAATTAAAATGCAAACTTTAAGAAAATAATTCAATTCAATAGCATGAGCCAGTTTGTTCAGGTGCAGAAGAAAATACCAGAGCTTCTCATATTTAATTTTTAAATTAAAATATAAGAAAGAACATAAATTATACCAGTATTTGATATATGGATAGATACTACCATTTCTACCCATTTCCTGCATCAAAGGTCACATATATAAACTCTATGAAGATATCCTAATATAGGAAGAAGAGTCTAATTTCAAAACTTACTGTACTATACAGGTACAGTAATTAAAACAGTGTGTTCCTTGCTTAAGGATAGACATGTAGATCAATGGAACTGAATTGATAATCCAGAAATAAACTCTTACACTTACGATGAATTGATTTTCAACAAAGGTGCCAAGACAATTCAGCAGGGCAAAATATTTTAAAAATTCTTCCTCCATGAAGGACTTTGTAACAAATAGAACAGGGACAACTGCATAACCACCATCGCATTTTCGCAAAGGAATACAGTAAAACTCCATTCCTCATGCCATACACAAAAGTTAACTCCAAATGGATCATGGAACCAAATGTAAGATCTAAAACTATAATATTCTCAGACGAAATAGAGGAGTACTTTTTTTGCGTATAAGACCAAAGGCAAAAGAGACCCCCTCCCCCAAAAAAATAGGTTACTTAAGTCAGGCAAGGTGGTTCACACCTGTAATCCCAGCACTTTGGGAGACCAAGGTGGGTGGATCACCTGAGGTCAGGAGTTCAAGACAAGCCTGGCCAACGTGGTGAAACCACATCTCAACTAAAAATACAAAAATTAGCTGGGCGTGGTGGTGTGAGCCTGTAATCCCAGCTACTAGGGAGGCTGAGGCAGGAGAATCGTTTGAACCCAGGAAATGGAGGTTGCAGTGAGCCGAGATCGTGCCATTGCACTCCAGCCTGGGCGACAAGACAAAACTCCATCTCAAAAAAAAAAAAAAAAAAAAAAAAAAGGAAGAGAAAAAAATAGGTTAATTAGGCTTCATTGAGGTTAAAAAATGTTGTGCTTCAAAGGACACCATAAAGTAAGTGGAAAGGTAACCCACAAGTTAGAGAAAATATCTGCAAATCATGTATCTGGCAAGAGACTTGTATCCAGAATATGGAAAGAATCCTTAAACACAATAATCAATACTAACAGGCAATCCAATTGAAAATGAGGTGAACAGGTAAAGATAACAGGCAACCCAATTTAAAAATGGGAAAAGTTCTGAACAGACATTTGTCTAAAAAAGATAGGCTTGTGAATAGATGCTCACTTCATTAGCTATCAGGGATTTGTAAATCAAAACCCCAACAATTTACAACTTCACACCAATTAGAATGTTTATTATAAATAAAAAATAAAAAGCAAATGCTGTGGAAGATGCAGAGAAATTGGAATTTTCATACACTGCTGGTGGGGGTGTAAAATGATGCAGCCACTTTGGAAACAGTTTGTGCTCCCTCAAAGGGTTAAATATAAAGTTACCCTATGACCCAGCAATTTCAATAATATGTATACACCTAAGAAAAATGAAAAAATACTTCCACATAAAAACTTGTACTTGAGTGTTCATAGCAGCACTATTCGTGAAAGCCCAAAGTACAAACAATCCAAATGTCCACCAATTGATAAATGGATAAAAAAATTACGCTTTATCCATAAAATAGAATATTATCTAGCCGTAAGAAGGAAAGAAACAGTGATACATGCTACAACATGGATGAACCTTGAAAACATGAGAGAATAGTCACAAAAGACCACACACCTGCCAGGCACGGTGGCTCACACCTGTAATCCTAACACTTTGGGAGGCCGAGGCGGGTGGATTGCCTAACCTCAGGAGTTCGAGACCAGCCTGGGCAACAAGGTGAAACCCCGTCTCTACTAAAATGCAAAAAAATTAGCGAGGCGTGGCACCGTGCACCTGTAATCCCAGTTACTTGGGAGGCCGAGGCAGGAGAATTGCTTGAACCTGGAAGGCGGAGATTGCAGTGAGCCAACATCGCGCCATTGCACTCCAGCCTGGGGGACAGAGCGCGACTCCATCTCAAAAACAAAAAAACAAACAAAAAAACACATACCATACAATACGATTTACATAAAATATGCAGAACACACAAATTTATGGAGGCAAAAAGTGGACTAGTGGTTGCCTAGGGTTGTAGGAGGATGAAGTTACTGCTAATGGGTACAGTTTCTTTTGGGCGGTGATGAAAATGTTCTAACATTGACTCTGGTGATGGTTGCACCAGTCAATTCAGTGACTATACGAAAAACCACTGAATTGTACATAGAAATGAGTAAAGCATATAGCATATATGAATATATTAATAAAGTTGTTAAAAACACTTTTTAAAATCATAGTAAAAAAGTTTCTATCCCACTATCTCAAAATTAATTTTAAAATAATGTTTATTTCATTTTTATCTCCTTTCTTAATTTCTATTGGTGTGCATGTTTTGTAACATATCACATATTTATGTAGTGATACATTATATAGTTTGTATATATATTTTTATATTTGTACATCTGTACAATTATATGTTGTGTGTGTTTATGCTAAAATATTTTTATCCCTTGTGATTTTAAGAAATTGCCCCAGCACTTTGGGAGGCCGAGGCGGGTGGATCACCTGAAGTCAGGAGTTGGAGACCAGTCTGACCAACATGGGGAAATCCCATCTCCACTAAAAATACAGAGTTAGCCAGGCATGATGGCACATGCCTGTAATCCCGGCTACTTGGGAAGCTGAGGCAGGAGAATCACTTGAACCTGGGGGGCGGAGGTTGCAGTGAGCTGAGATCGCGCCACTGTACTCCAGCCTGGGCAACAAGAGCAAAATTCCGTCTCAAAAAAAAAAAAAAAAAGGAAATTGTAAATCAATCCATAAGAGGTGGAAGGTGAAGTGCTCAGTAAAAATTTGGTTAAGGTAGAGGGTATCTTTAACAAACGTGTGAGGATCTTTATTATTCCCCCTTCTCCCTAGCTATGGATAGCATTGCTGAATTCTAGTACGCAAGTGCGGTGCACAGTTCAGGGAAGCTGGATTAACAGGTGTATGCTCACCAGCAACAGAATGCGCTCACTGTTTTCTACCAGTCTTCCCTCTAGGGCCAAGTGGTGGCCCCTTGTAACAGTGGTGAGCCTCTAAGGAGATGAAGTATTGCCCCCAGGTACTCACTGGTCACTTCCAGTGAGGGTAGGTCACTCTCTCCTTCTCACGTTCTTCTCATTTTAAACAGGAGTTTTTGCCTAGCACATTTTTCATGCCAGCGAACAAAATACCAAAAAAAAAAAAAAAAAAAAAAGTGCTAACGAGAGGTAAAATTTTGCAAATCAAATATTCTTGTTTTCAAATCATGAAGAATCCAAAACAATAATGTGACTTATAAGACAGGACTGTTGGTAGCTGAATGCTACAAAGCTTTCAGCTGAAGTATCACCAACAGAAGCAGAGGGAATTGGATTCAAGAGTAACCAGTGTTTGTATGCACACACAATGGGAGAGAGTGTGTATGTTTAGTTAACCCATGATTCTGGATTGAGGTTTAGGGACTTAGTTTAGTGTTGGCATTGACCTATGTGAAGCTGCACCTATTTAACAACACTGTTTCTCAATTGGGTAGAATGTTGGTAAAAGTTACTACCTATATACAGAATATTTAAATTGCTTCTGGTATCCTCAGACATAAAGGTTCCAGGAGAAAATAAATTACTAATTTGGTTGCACTATGCATTTATATATATATATATGAAAACTAGTTGCTTTAGAAATGTTTAAAATTCAACTGCCTTGAAGCATTCTTGGAAAATGACCACTTTAAATCAATAGATATTTTTCTGCAGTACAAAATACAAAAGAAACTATATTCCAATTTTGAAATTAAATAAATAACAAGTCCACAATAAGTAATGTCTTTTGCAATAGAAAAGTAAAGAAAACAAATTATATTTTTCTTCCTTCATTTGCTTTTTAACTTCTATATTTTTACAATTGCCTGTAGAAAAAAATGTTCAAGAGAGCACACTGAAGTTATTTTAATTACATAACAGCCCAGAGAGGGATGAAATTGTACAATGGCCTAGATTAGCATCCCTTGTCTGGTTGGCAGCCAATGGACAGTACAGGATGAACAATAGAGCTCTGGTCTAGAGATAATAGCCTGAAGAGAAGGAGGGGAAAAAGAGGTTTCGTTTGAATAAGATGGATCTCTTGAGCATTTCCTTTATTCCTCCCTTTTGATAATTAGAGTCTGGATATAAAATATCATAACGAGAGACATGACAAGTAACATAAATCATTTCTATTTAAGACACATGAATTGGATAGATTTATCTTGAACAGATATTCTCAGTCTAGGATCTGTGGAAGAATTCTAGTGGATATAAAACTCCTGAAGTTGTGTGTAAAATTATATGAGAGTGTGCATCTCTGAATTTTTCTGAAGATTTAGTCTATAGTTTTCATCAGAGGTCATTAATTTAAAAAATAATATTACGAAACACAGCTTTAAAGAAAAAATGGAGTAAGTGGCCATAATAAAATCTCACTAATTACAACTTTTAGATTTCTCTGTTAATATACTAGATTTAACATTGATAATATGTCATGAATGTATTTTTTAAAACCCATGGGTTCAGACATATCACATGCTGGGTCAAGTAAGTAGGATCCCAATTCTTTCAGGATCAGACATTAATCTTTATACCCTCTCATTCCAAGAAAACATCTTACTAAACATAACATTAGGAGAATCACATTTTTCATCACTGGCGTCTAGACCCAATTGCTTGTGTATAAATTACCAAGCATGTCTAACTCAAGAAAAGTTTGACTTTATCTCTATTTTACCCTTCCTCCCAAAGCATGCATGGGTCAAAGTAAAGATATTCCAAATATCTTTTGTCATTGAACTAGGAGCCAATTACTGACAGTTTATGTTAAGATGTTTGGATAACAAAAAATTTTAAAAATAAAAATAAGACAGAGAGAATATTGTTTAACATGTATTTATTTTGGCATTTAAACAGAAGTATCCGCTTTAAAAAAAAAAAACACTTTCCCCTTAAAATAGATAAGTGTTTGAGGAAGCACACAGCTCAACTCATAGCATGTAAGAAAATGTCTTAAATAGAATGAAAACTTGTCACTGTGGGTCAGAATTGAAAACTGTGGTTGTCTCAACAACCAAACCTTTAAACAATAATACTCTGGTGTATTTGCTGAGATGAATGTAACATAATATCTAAAAATACTTTGGTTTTTGAAAAGAATGTCTTTTCTAAGTATTTCCTCAAACTTAAAAATAAATATCACAAAAAGGCATTGATAATTTAAAACACTTTTGTAATTATTTCTTGGCTTTCATGGAACTCATTCTTTCATTCGTATATCCATTATATTAAGCGCTTACTAGGTGTTAGGAATCATAGTAGAAATTAGAAGATACAATGGTGGACTCAACAGATCCAGTCACTCTTCTTCTGAATTTACAATCTGGTGAGGGAGACAAATATTCACCCAGTTCCACACAAATAATTATAAAAGAGCAATGGAGGTAAGAGTTATGAAGAGTAGTACAGGGTCCTAAATTAGAAGCAACCAAGAAAAGCTCCTCTGAGCCAAGAGATGAAGAATGAGAAGGGTTTAGCTTGGCAAAGAAAGAAAGAAGAATGTTCCATGTAGACAGCATAGCATGTGGAAAGTCACTCTCGTGACAGGGCACCTGGTAAATGCCACAGAGCAGGTGCAGGTCAGCATGGCTATTCATAAGGGTGAATAGCCCTTATTCGTAAGACTCCATAAGACTGCTGGTTATGGAGATTCTGGGGAATGAATAGAATTGTGGAGGCCATGCAGTACTTGCACCCTATCTAAGGAGGCTGACTCTCAAGCCTAACAGCAACAGCAAGTCAGCAAATAGCTTTAGATTCCAGGAGTTTGGGCCTGAGGATTGAATTAGTTTAACAGGGTTGATAAGAACAAATTTGCATTAGAAATGATTATTCCAGCAGAAAAATAACCTATGTTTTGCGTAGAGTAGGCAACTTAATCTTCACACACCTTGCTACGCAAATTAAATGACGTTATTAAAAAGTGCACAGGATTCAGAAAAAAACAAACTCCTTGGTTTGTACTCCAGCTCTACCACTTTACAAAGATGCAAATTAGGAAAACTTTATTTGAACTCTCAGAGCACATCTATAAAATAAAGAAATGACAGTGTATTTGATAAGCACTTTTTCTTCCAGAATAAGTGGTTTATCTGCAAAAAAGACTAATCTAATTAGCATTGTTATTTAAACGTTCATAGTATCAGGTATTTCTCCAAATAGGATAAGGAAATTGATCATTAATATATCATTGTTATCAACGACTTATTTTTTAAAACTCAAATTGACTCTATTACCAAAATACGTTATAACAAGGTGTTATTGAGCCAAACTTCTGCCTTCTTTCTGATATCCATCACCAATGCCACAGTCATCAGTTATGACTAGTCACAACTAGATATTGTTTAACAGTCTTTAACCACTTCATTAACCATCTACTATGGTGCTTCTCAGCCTCCATGATCATTTAGCTCCTTATGCAGAATTATGCACATGTTGATTTTTCTTACATATATTTTTATTATAATTTACTAATATTTTTATATTAATAAATCTTCTTGCATAAATGCCCTACATCCTTATGAGGATGACAAGACAAATCTTTCTAAATCTGTTGTGATGGCTCCATTCTTTTGAAAAATTAATTGTAATTGATAAATAAGAGTGGTATATATTCATGGTGTTAAACATGATGTTTGATCTGTGTATACATTGCGGAATAGCTAAATCAATCTAATTAACATATATGTTACCTCACGTACTTAATTATTTTGTGTCTCTGTTCTTACATATCTTCTAACAATTGGTTTTTGAGATAGTCCCTGTATTTAGTCTCATGGGTCAATAATTTTTATCAACTCATCTGCAATGCTCATCACCAAACTATTATCCTAACAACACTGTTTAATAATTTGGCCTATAGCAACCAAAGGTATGCAGATTCTGCTAAGTGGTCTCATTAGTTGTCATAAATTGTCACATCTATCAACAGTCAAATTTTTTTTTTATGACACTCATTTCTCACAATTATTTTTAGTGGTCACTGCCCACAAAATAGACTTTTCTGTTCTGCTATACAACTTGCATTGCTTTTGCGTCAAGTTATGTTAACTTCAGTTACCTGATTTTAACTATGCTCATCAAACGGAACAAAGAACAAATGGATAATATAATATGATTAGACAAGGCTTAACAATTTGGTTTAAGACCTTGTCTGGTATTATTTGGTTTTAGTGCTACAGATTCAGCTCTAAATAGAATCAATAGAAACAAAGTAAATCTCACTAAAATAGTTCCTGGCTTACATGAATAAACTCTTGCATATAAAAGTTATTTCATCTCCTTGAAAGACATAAAATAATATTATTATGCACATTTATGCACATGCTATTATAATTTGTAAAGTATCAAACATTGCTATTCAAAATTATACTTGTAGGCTCAATAAGCAATATAAATAATATGTTAAAGTGGTTATATTCAATTATTGGCAAGCTTAACTTTATTTGATTTATAACATGTCAATGAACCTGCAATACCTAGGATTTACTGGCATTGTTTATCCTCTGCTTGGTTCTTCAGCAGAGTCATCATCATAATATTTGTTCACAACTTGAGTAAAGGCTAAAACAGTTCTCATCATTCTTAGATGTTAACTAAGCTTGTTATTGCTTATACCTGCAGATTTAAAATCATGCTTTTAGTTATTAGTAGCTATTTATAAATTGACACTGAAACAGGAATTATTGTAAACTTGCAGAATAAGTGACTATGGCATTCTACAATAGCTCTATGCACTGCTGTTTGTTTATCATGCAATAGTCCCACATGCTAGAGCCCATCCCTTCTCTAGAACATGGAGTTTGAAGCAAGGTTGGTAGAGAAGGTTGTTGCCGCTGATGAAAGAGAAAAAACTGAAAGCAGTTAATGAAAAATTTGTCAACATCTTTAGGGATTTTAACTTAATCAGAAAACAATGAGAAGTCGCTGATGTATATTAAAGAATGAAAAAATGTGATTATATTTAAATTTAAGGAAGACTTAAAGTACCCCTATTTATTTAAATTGGAATTCAAAGACTGGCTATGGGCAAACCTGATGAGCCATGACCAGTGCACTACTAAGGGGTTTACTACACATCCTTCATCCTGCACACTGGCCCACTACATCCACTGGGCATTTGCATTGATTGATATGAGTTTGATTTATCTTTGTTTGGTTGACTGTTTTCCCGAAGGAAAAAAAAAAAAAAAGAAGTATGGTGAGAAATGAGAGAAGAGATGGGAAAAGACAGGGAATGGACAGCCCCGAACAAAGTGTGTTCTCTGTTGAGCCTGGTGAATGGCTATTTGAGCTCCAAGAGAAAAGGCCTTCAGGAAGAAGTAGAAAGAACTGTGTCATATGAGATTTATAGCACAAGTGCTGTTCTTTTGTGGCAAAATGAAACAGTTTGGAAGACAGCGTTCCTCTCATTTGTGACAAAAAAGTCATTGAGGGCTAAAAGGAATGAAGAGTCACTTTGCACTCTGAGGATTGTAAAGTTTTGAGAACTGTGAAGCAGCAACCCCAAGTGTGGGCAGGGGTGGTGGGTGTGGCAGACCACAGCTGGTATTGGTGGCTCTCAACTGAGCACAGACTCATTCCTCAACACGTGCAAGACTCCCTCGAGGAAGACCCGGAAGTACCTGAGAGACACTGATTATGGTGTTAGGACTATTGTGACAGCAGGAGGTTAGTAATCAAAACTAATATGAGCTTATTTGTAAACACTAGTCAACCACTTGGGTTATTAAACTCCAGTAGTCAGACTACCAGAGACTTTACATTAACTCAGTTGACAGCAGCCGGAACCAGAGTTGCAGCAGTGGGTTGGAGAGAGGAAGGTGGACCCCTGAGATATTTAGAAGGTGGAATCAATATGATTTGTTGAATTGAGATGTTCTCTCTACTTTGGGGCAATGAGGAGCAATGACGATGACAGATAAGTTACTTAATTCCTTAAAGCCTCAGTTGCCCCATCTTTTGAATTTGTAAATTTTCAATAACAGTAGTATCTACTGCATAGAGATTGTTGTCGAAATTAAATGAGAGGATCCACTTAAAATACTTAGGACACTGCTAAACATATTCTAGGCATCCAGACATACTGAAAATTATTACTACACCTGCAGAAGATATTCAGAAGATGAGTAAATCAAATTGCCAATTTTAGGAAGTACTATTTGTATGCAAATTTGAAATGTATGATATCCTTTGTGACTGTTAGTTTAAAATCTATATTTATTTATATGGGTAAATATACACATGTATATATATATTCCCCACTGGCTAATCTCTGTCACTGAATAATAAAGCAACAAAATGTTCTGCATTAACTTTTTCTCTATCCATGTGCTCTTTTCTGTTATTTAAACTTCAGCGGCTTTCCTTGTTAGGGGAATAGCACGTACATTTTCACTTTGCTTAGCTCATCAAGGAGCATTTGATGTACTTTCAACTCCTAGGTATGAATGCCAACCCTCTGTTAGATGAACGGATACCATTAACATAGACATTATCCCCAATGTGCTGAATGTTAATGAGCTAATATTCTGAATATTTAACCTCCTTTGGGCTTTGATTATGCGTGAAATTTTTTTTACCAGAATATGTATGTGTGTATATATATACGTATGTATGTGTGTATGCATATATGTGTGTTTCTGTACATATCTGTATATGTGTGCATGTGTGTATGATTGATATAAGCATGTGAAAATAATCATTCTGAAGTAAAATTAGGAGCTTGCATTTAAGATTTTGAATAATTAAACCAATATAAATGTAACATAAGATGAAACATTAACAGATTGTGATCACAGATAACCAAAATCCTTCTTCCCTGACTGATATGGTTTAGCTGTGTCCCCACCCAAATCTCACCTTGAATTGTAGCTCTCATAATTCCCACGTGTCATGGGTGGGACTTGGGGAGAGTTAACTGAATCATGGGGGTGGGTTTCTTCCATGCTGTTCTCATGATAGTGAATAAGTCTCATGAGATCTGATGGTTTTATATAGCGCAGTTCCCCTGCACATGCTCTTTTGCCTGCTGCCACCTAAGACGTGACTTTGCTCCTCTTTGCCTTCCACCATGATTGTGAGGCCTCTTCAGCCACGTGGAACTTTAAGTCCATTAAACCTGTTTTTCTTTATAAATTACCCAGTCTCGGGTATGTCTTTTTATCAGCAGCATGAGAACAAACTAATACACTGACATTTCTCAGAAGACACCCCTGAGTGTAGGAGGACCCTGGCAGAACTCTGGCTTAAGTCTTGGAAGAGGGTGAAGCATAGAATCACAGGGCAAGGCTGGGTGTCATGGCTCATGTCTGTGATGCCAACACTTTGGGAGGCCAAGGTGGAAGGATTGCTTGAGGCCAGGACAACACAGGGCAAGAAAGGTGCTTTATTATATGATAATCCCTTAAATTCTCCCATTTGATTCTAAACCTGTAAGGGAGAAGAATGTGTCTGGTTTATTCACAGTCAATTCCCCAAGCACAAATACAAACATGTTGTAGTTCCCAATCAATCTTTGTTGAATAAGTGAATTAAGCTATAATATTTGGGGTTTCAAAAACTCTGAGATATGTTTCTAAATTTTAATCTAGTTCTTAAAAAAATACTTGTTAAATAGATATAATTTAACCCATTTTGCCAATGAGAAAATCAAGTTTTCTGATGTGAAAGTGTCATGTTAAATTATAGAGCAATTAAATATCTGGAATTGAAACAAACTCCATACTATGCAGCCATAAAAAGGAATGAGATCATGTCCTTTTCAGGGACATGGATGAAGCTAGAAGCCATCCTCCTCAGCAAACTAACACAGGAACAGAAAACCAAACACTGCATGTTCTCACTCATAAGTGGGATTTGAACAATGAGAACACATGGACACAGAGAGGGGAACAATACACACACACCAGGGCCTGCTGGGGAGGTAGAGAGTGAGGGGACGAAACATAGAGAATGTGTCAATAGGTGAAGCAAATCACCATGGCACACATATACCTATGTAACAAACCTGCACATTCTGCAATAAAATAAAGAAAAAAAGAAAAAAAAAAAGAAACAAAGTCCAGTGTTCTTTTTTCTTGGTTGGGAATCTGTTGTTAACGTTTATGTTATTTTCTGAATAATATTTCAAGTCATATGTATGAATATATATATGTATGTATACATGTGTGTATGAATTGTGTGTGTGTGTGTGCATGTGTGTGGGTGTGTGTGGAGAGAGGAGAAAGAATGAATGTGATTTAATCTACACAGAGGATTTTGCTTCTTTTTGTGAGTGTTTCTGTGTACCACATATGATAAGAAACTGTGTTTTCACAGTCCAGTAGCCACACTTGCTGGGAGAGTCCATAGAGACATCAGCTAATGAGGCCTCTCCCCTCCACCAAGCACTCTTTCATAACTAGAATCTTGCCGTCCAATATTCCATTCACAGCCCAAACCTTTCACCATTCAAGTTCTCTCACTCCCTGTCTCCCAATACTGGGACTTGTAGACCTCACCTGGCTTCCATTCCCTTCAGCCTTCTTCTGGCTTATTTCTCTCCCTTTCCAGTACAAACTCTATTGTTTATTACTTCAGGCACTCAAAATAATCATGTTTCCACAGGGCCTTATGCAGAAAGCCCTTATGATCAGTCTCATTATTTCTGCAAAAACTGCAAGTTATGATCAGTCTCACTATTTGCTTTGTCTATTTTTAAACATGTGACAGTTAGAGAAAGCCATGTGGACACACAAATACGTGCTGTTTGTTAAAGATCCTGTCTTCAGCCTCAGCTGGCCTTTCAAGGCAGCTGGGCAATCTCTGTGTCCCAAGTCCCCTTCCTCCCTCTTTTTCTCCATAACCACCCTTCCAAATCTCCATCATTCTCCATTCTCTGTAAACCCTTGACCCCACTCAGCAAATGACCTCACCTTCTACTTCACAAAGGAAATAGACGCCAACAAACAGTAACTCCCTCAACTTCCTGCCCCCTCCTCTACACTCTTATCAGCACCCACATCCATCCTTACCTCTTTTCCTCATTTTTCAGTTGAAGCGATGTCTCTCCTCTTAGCCAAGGCTAATCCCACCACCTGTGATCTGGATTTCATCCCCTCCTGCTCCCTTAGGGATGTGCTCCATCAATCATCCATGCTCCTGTATCTTCAGCCTCTCAGCATGTACTGTCTGTCTCCCCTCAATATACAAAAATGCTCTCATCGCTTCCAACTCAAATACAGACACACACATGTATGCACGTGCATACACACACACACACACACACACTCCTTTCCCCTCCCTGTGTTCCCTTCAAGTTACTGCCAAAACTTTCTCTGTTCTTTCTCAGTCAAGTTTCTTCTTTTAAGAAAGTTTTCTTCTCATTTTAAAAGTATGACATGCTCATTTTAGAACATTTGGAGATTAATTTACAAAGAGGAAAATAATAATTGCCCATATCCACCATGCATGAATAAACTGTTAATATTTAATATTTTGGATTTTTTGTAGTTTTGTTCTTCCCTACCTAAAAAAAGAGCAGGTGTCATACTGAATAATGGTTGGCATCTTGATTTTTTCATATATTCCGACTATATTCCCTTCACCTTAAATGCTCCTGAAAAGTATGCCTGTTAGGGGCTGTATATTCCTGCATATATTTATAAATATTTTCATACCTTTTTATTAGACTGTTGGACTGTTTTCAATTTTTCTGCTCTATAAATAATCATAAGCATTCCTCCTGAAGATAAATCCACACTTTTTATCTCCCCACATTGACTTCTCTGCTTAGGACAATCTATCCTCCATCACTTCTAAGACTTCCTTCACTTGTAATTTCTCTCTTTAAAGTGACTAGTGACCTCTTTACCTATGTTAAAGATACTTTTCTGTGTTTATCTCACTCAGCTTCTCTGAGGTATATGACATTGTTAGTGATTCTCTCCTTCTTGAAACAGTCTCCTTCACTGGCTTCCACGCCATCTCGCTGCTTTCCACCCTTCCAGTTCCTCCCTCTCTTTGTGGCTTTTCTTCCTGGGCTTCCTTTTGACAGTTGGCTTCTCTGGGGCTCCACCCCTAGCTCTTGGCTCTATTTCCACACTTTCTTCTTGGGGGTAACCAGTGCCTCATTGTTCACTCCTCTGCTGCTGGTTCCCAAGCTGCATACCCAGCCTCCATAACCTCGTCTGGGGAGCCTTCTCTGTCTCTCAGCCATACACTTGGATTTATTTTTCCTTTTGTGAGCTCTCAAGGCACCCTCGACCTAACTCTATCAAGGCATACATCACTTTCCATTAAGCTGTCATCGGTTGATTTATCCTCCTCTTCCCAAGCTTTCTGAAACTCAGCACTCTTGACATTCTAGTCCAAATAATTATTTGTTGTTGGGCTCTGTCCTATATATTGTAAGATGTTTAGCAGCACCCTTTACCTCTACCCACTAGATGCCAGTAGCAACCCACCCCAACTGTGATAATTAAAAATGTCTCTAGACATGACTAGATGTCTCTCAGGACAAAGTCCTCCCAGGTTGAGAACTACTGCGCTCAACTGTGAGCTTTGCCAAGGGCAGGAGTTCTTTGTTTATCAGTTTTGCCCAGAATCCTGTCCAGTGTCCAGCACATAAATGATGTCAAATAAAGAATCATTTCCCTATTTGAGTGAAATACAAGGTAAAGCTAGGAAAAAGTTAAAATTAGTGGGAACAGCTTGTTGTTTTATGAAAGCATTCAATTTTATTGTCAATCATTAAGCAAATATTTTATTACTAACAAATTTCCTTGATCCATGGTAGGTATTGAAAAAAATCAACGAAGTCTTTAACCTCAGGGTGCTTACAATTTTGCTGGAAAGAAATGAGGCAAACAAGCCATCAGCATCCATATGGAAACTTAATTACGCAAATGAAATGTTTAGGTTTGCTGTGGAAATTTATTGCGGCTCAGGGAGAATAAAGCAAAAAAAAAAAAAAAAAAAAAAAAGGAAAACTTTCAGAGAGGATCAAAATTTTACCACATGTAAACAAACGACCTGGTTAGCATTAAGGCAAGAAAGATGGGACATTTTCTATTCATGTGGGAAAGACTGGGGAAAGGATTCACGTCTGTGGGTCAGTATCTAGGTCTCCTAGGACACAAATCTGCCCAGACATCAATGAAAGGGTTCCTTTCCACTACAGGATTAATTTAGGTCCTGAATATATGTTCTTGTTTTGTTCTTGTGAAACATATCATAATGCCTATGGGTCTGAACCATTTCTTTTATTTTATTTTATTTTATTTTTTTTTTTGAGACAGAGTCTCTCTCTGTCGCCTGGGCTGGAGTGCAATGGTGCCATCTCGGCTCACTGCAGCCTCCACCTCCCAGGTTCAAGCGATTCTCCTGCCTCATCCTCCCAAGCAGCTGGGATTACAGGTACGCGCCACTGCACCCAGCTAATTTTTGTATTTTTTTAGTAGAAACGGGGTTTCGGCATGTTGGCCAGGCTGCTCTTGAACCCCTGACCTCGAGCAATCTGCCCGTTTCGGCCTCCCAAAGTGCTAGGATTACAGGCATGAGCCACTGTGCCCAGCCTAAAACATTTCAAATTAATTCAATTCAGTTACTAAGCATAGGTACAGGGTTCGGTTAATCATTGGAATAGAATATGCACACCCATTTAGATCACCAGGTGTGAGCAAACGGGTGAGATCCTGCTCCACACTCTATCCCAGTGTGTGGCTCGGGTGGGGAGTGGAGGAGAATTTTGCACCACAGAGTACATTTGACAATGTCTAGAGACATTTCTCATTATCTCAATGGGTGTGAGGTAGGGAAGAAGGGTGTTACTAGCACTTAGTAAGGAGGAGTCAGGGACGCTGTTAAAATACCACAATGAACAGAAGAGCTCCCGCAATGGGGAATCAAGGGGCTGACATTTTGGCAAGTCAGTAGTGTCATTAGTGCTTAGGCTGAGAAATCCTACTCTAACCTGTTGATAGATGCACAACACAAATTAGCAAGTTAAGGATCCAGAAGTCCCGCAGGTACATCAGTCAATCCCCATTTAATGTGTTTAAACACAGGAACGCATATTTAATTTAAAAAATCATATATTATTGAAAATAATTTTACTTGTCTCTTTATTTTTAATTGACTACTAGAAAGTTAAAAATCGTATGTGTGGCCCACATATTTCCATTAGACAGTACTGATGTATATCATTTCCTCATATCAATAAAACAAAATATTCCATTTCTTATAAAATGCTGAAAACCATTTTTAACTAATGGCAATGGATGTTTTACTTCAATTTCCTCTTCTTTTTTAGTTTATTAAAGTATAATTTAGTATTTAACTGCTTGTGATATGTAGGCTATGTGACCTATTTTTAAAAATTATTATCAAGTCTGTGTATATGCAAGAGAATACCTTTCCTGCTCCTCAGATGTTTAAAATCAAATTTAATTTTTCATCAGCTACTGAAATCAGCAGTATGTTTAAACTTCAAATTCTTCATTTTATCTTTGCTCCAAATCTTATGTTTGTCCCCATTTTGAAGTACTAAAAGTAAGAGACTATCAAGGTCAAAGTAGATGAGAATGCCATTTGAGAATGTCCATTTGTGACTTAAGGATATGACTATCAAAGGGAAGATGTCAGTCACTTAAGGAGATTCCAAACACACAAATTCAGTTAAGTACCTAGAATGGCTTCTTAAAATATGGGAGGAAAATTGGATTGCAATAAGAGTTTTCTGCAGTACACAGAAGAATGCTGATGCTTAAAGTCACTAAAGGTAAGGAAGAGCCCACAATACTTCTAATATTCCTAAGCAAGGAAAAGTCCCAAATCCTCCAAAGTCAACAAGTCATGGAGGAAGAAGTGTGTAAGCAAAAGTAGAGACAGTATACACACTGCACCTTGGTGAATCCGATACTTTCTTCTTTTGGGTGTCACAAATTAAATCTGGCTAAGGCTATGTTTTGCAGGCAGGCCAGAGTGCCTGGGTGCCACTGGGTCCTGATTATACCAAGAACATTTGTGGGCCCTCAAGAGAATCTAGCAAATGCCAGTTACATGGTAGTAGCAGAGTGTACTTCTTGTTTTTAAGAGCTGTTTTTGATACCATTTTTCTCCAAGCCACCCTCCTCCTCTAGTCCAGGAATGGCAGAGATGCCACATTAGTCAAGGCAGGACAAGGTCAGGGCTTGGCCTAAGATCTGCTTGTGGGAGTATGCAAAAGGAAGCAGCTAAAATTAGTAATGGACTGAATGTGTGCCTGTGTTGTGGTGAAAAAGGAGAAAACAGAGGAGCCAACCCAGTTCACACTTGCATAGTTCTGCCTGGAGGAAGAGGTAGGAATGTGACACTGCCCAGGGCCCTGGGGGACAGGGATGGGGATTGGGGGTTATTTCTGGAAGGAGAGGGGGAAATATCATAATTTTTCTTCCTTTTGTTTTCAGAACTGTGTGTTGATCTCTCTTCATTGTTTTCTAACTCTTCCAATTTGAAATCCTTCATAAACATGCATGCATTAGTTCACTACGTCTAAATAAAATGGAAAATGTTAAAATGATAGAATAGGAAACATGCCAGATTATGCTGCTATGCAGAAAGATAGAGAAGAAAGTCAGACAGAAGTGCAAACCAGATTTACTCTCACATATATTTGTCTTCTTAAAGGTCAGTTATTAATATTAATTCGTACAATCAGAAATTCACCAATGAGATTTTACCCTTATTGCTACTTTTGATATATTTTATTTAATTTAAAAAATTAATTATTTGGGGAAACTGTGCTTTTTGATATATGAATATCTATAATAATTTGATGAAAATAGGAAGTCAGGGATATAATTACAACTTACAAAATACCATAATATCATTAATTTTTTTGTTTCCTTTGAGCACCTGTTCAGAAATGAAACATTCAAAGTATTGTTTTATATAGAAGAAACATTAAAAATAAGAATCGTGTTTCTTTTATAAGGCAACAATATATATACTCAGTGTATCTGTTTTTTTTGATTGGCTTTAAAGTTTCAGGAAAGAATAAAATGAAACAGGTTTGAAGAAATCATTGAAACAGATGTTATTTACCATAAAATATTTAATATTCTCTTGATTCCTTATAGCATTTGCTATTCAAATAAAATGTTTAGGATTCATATAATATGTGTGGATTTCAAAATACACAATTGTCATTCAAATGGAAACAGTGTAGGATTCATATGAGATATGAGAATTCAAAAGATGTAACTCTTTTTTACTCTTGAGGCAGAAAATGCATACCTTACAAAGGATGTTTAAAGTTCAACAACAGCTTACTAAATGTTAAGACAAAACCGCAGTGTTGGTTGCAAAGAGTAAAGTGTGGGCAGAGATTTTTGGTAAAGGCCAGAGGGAAATGGTAATTCTAATTGTTCCGCCGAGTTGTCCTTGAATCGTGACAGGTTTGTTACTATGCAGATTTCCGAGCTGCCACCTCCCATGAGGGGATTTCACCCCATGAAGTTACCCAGATACACCCTCTTCTCCATCTCTCCTCTTTATTCCTAATTAGCTTGTCCCTGGGTTCTCTCAGGATAGCATTATGGTTGTCCCAAAGTGTTTTTGATTCTGATCCACTGACAAATTAAGCCATCTAATGTTTAGCAAAAACACAAATTAAAGTCACAGAAATGGTAAAGCCTTACAGGCCGCATCCCAAAATTATGCAGACTGGACAGTCGCCGACTTTTATCCTCCTCACTCCATCCACTCTCTGGAGGTGCTGCGGACACCAGTGCGTCCATAAATCCACTCAAGGTTTTGGCTTTTGTGCCTTAAGTTCTCCTTACGGCCCCCAAGTGCCTTTTCCTTGAAGTATGATAATAAGCACTAGAGGCAGAACAATTTGGTTGTCAGTAAGCACGGAAATATAGCAGGTCTCCAAAAAGCAGATGCAGGGAAATTGGAGAGAGGAGCAAACAACCATAGAAAGATGGGTCTGGCACAAGCGACAGCCTGTCCCTTTTCACGGGTCAGCGAGATCCGACTAACCTACAGCCACGCTCCCAGCCTGCTTCTTTGCTTCCAAATGGTGCCTGGCTTGCAACTTAGCAGAAAGTGTTCAACTGCTGTTAGTAGCTGAAGTTAAACAGTAAGAAAAAGAGTGAAAGAGAGAAGGCAGGAAACTAACACTCAGGAGACTGTCTCTGTGCCTTATTTGACTCTATGTCATCCCTATGGAAACACAGAAAACTGGAGGATTTTGCTCAAGATTAAACAGTAATTAATAGAGCAAGAATTTTAATCCAAGTGCGTCTCCAATATGGAAGATCCTTAGTCTACACTCTCTCCAGGTGAATTTATGGGAAATCATATGTACAAGACATCACAGATATGTGGGAATCTAGGGTGTCTTTGGACATGTAATGGATGTTCCCTGTTCACTTCATGTGTGAATTAGGCATGACATTGACAGATGATTTTATCTACTAATTATTCAAAGTTCTGTATTCCCATGACGAAATTATTTATAATGGGTTCTGATTTTAAAGACAGAATTTTGAAACAGCATTGTATTTTCTATTAAAAATATGCAACATATGGGTGTGTAGTATATATCTAACGGACATTAACAAAAAATAACTCATCTTTAGGAAATTGCCTTTATCTGAAAATACATGTTAAGACTAACCAGTTGAGTTTCATAGTACTGGTGTACTGTGGTACTATAGTACAGTTGTGTTTTTTTTTTTTGTTTGTTTTGTTTTTTTTTAAATCAGACGCCACAACAGAATCAATGTCTGTATTGGACATGAGAATTTTGAAATGTCTTTTTGGCATGTCAGATTACAGTTTGTAAAACATGCATTTATTATTCTCCTAAATATCTCCAATGACTAGAATGATACACCAAAACTGGGAGAAGATTCACTTATCTCGGAGAGTTGTTTTCTTGTTTGTTTGTTTTGTTTTGCTTAAGAGGAAAAAAACCTCACAGTGGCAAGGTTTTTTTTTTTTATGAACAAGTTTCTATGTATTCAGGTTTATTGATTCTAATATGAATTTTGCAGAAACATAAATTTTGCAGCAACAGTCATGAAAACTTTTTAATTTGGTCCTGTATCTGTCCAACTGAAAGGGATTTCAGAAACTAGGAAGAAAGTGGCAGTAAAGGTAGCAGTACAGGTACCCAGTGAAGCATTCCTCTCTACACACAAGCTTTTAAGTAGCTCCCTCCCATGATAACCCTGAGCTTGGCCGTGGGATGTGATTTGACCAATGAGATAATAGCAGGAGTAACAGAAGCAGACACTTAAAAAGTGCTTGCCAGCTGGGGCCAGCAACTTCTGGCTACTGGGAGCACTTGTGCCATGCCCTGTGAGCACACTAAGGCTAGTCTCCTGGAGATGACAACCATGTGGAGAGAGGCCCTAGCATTCTCAGCCAGGCAAGCTTTCCCAGACGTGTGAGCAAGGCCAGCCTAGACCTAGCAGAGTAGACTCAGAACAGAAGAACCACCAGCTGATCAGTAGATTCCTGGGTAATAATGCGTGTTTATTGTTTTCATTATGTTTTGGGCTGATTTGTTACAGAGCAAAAGGTTGCCAACTCAATACTGTTCCTCCAAAAATGTAAATATAAATCTAGCAAAGGCTCAGAGTGACTGAAAACTGTTACCAACACACAGAGGTGAGAGATAGCCCCACTCCCAAGCGTATCTTGATAAACAGACCAACTACCTCAGTTACTTCTGGGAAACTAAATTCTAGAATGGCAGTCGCATTGTCACCGTTATTCACGCAAAAGGCCACAGGGGGCAGTGAGGGGTTAAAGGGTTGGTCAAGTTAAGACGATAAAGACAACTCATTCATAAGATGCAACTGCATTTCACAGAAATTCTAGGACTTCAAAACTACTTCTCTCCCTCTCCCCATCGCCATACACAAACATATGATTGTTGAAGTAGAGGAAACATCCAAATCTAGTAATTGCTCTAAGATCTCAAAACCTTTAGAATCGTTACCTCTCCAAAAGGGAGACATTTTTTTTTCTTCTTGTAGCTTCCAATGCCAGGACAAGTGTGCCTGTTACTCTATAACCATCATCTATGAGACTAATTTTCGTAAACAGGTATTCCTTTAAGGTATTTTGGCTATTCCACAAAACATGGCTTTGAGGAACATTTAGGAACACAGAACAACGTTAACATGTCAATAGAAAAAAAATCATTTTACAAAATTGTACATCTGATATGAATCAAATTTTTAAAAAATATACATATTTTATATATGAAATACAAAAAAAGGACTTTGAAGAAAATGTACCAAATAGTAAAAGATTTTATGGAATTAGAGGAGATTTCTATTTTCTAGTCTTAATCCTCAGTAGTATTAAAATGCATATAAAATACAAGACAAATTAGCATAAACTGGAATCAATGGGGAATATCTTAATATATAAAGTAGATTTCTAAGAGCCATTTAGGAAAAATCAAGAAATGTAGACCAAATAACAGACAATGAACATTCCTAGGAGTAATTGGGAGGGTGTTCACTATAGCAGGGAAAACATGTTCAGATTTTATATAAATAAATAAATAGATGGAATTGTATGATATACAAGAACCTCTAAAGTTCGTTGTCATGTTCTTCTGTACTGATTTTATACTTCTTACACTTCTTATTTGCACTAAGGAATTCTGATTGGAAACATATTAAATTGCCTCACAGGTTTTGCTAGTATTCTACATTATTTCGACACACACGTACACACACACACAAACACACGTACACGCACACACACACAGACACACCTACAGACTCCCCTGCCCACACTGCTCTCTGTGCTTTTAAGATTCTAAGGCACAGAGAAGGTTTGGAAACGTTACCTATTACCCAAAGTTCCTGTCTAAGCCATGGAAAGATATCCATGGGATCACCCTCTATTGACTGTGCACAAAGCTTAAAACATAATTATGTTGAGAAATGCAAATTTAGAATAAGGTGTGAGTCAGAAGTCTTGGTTCTCAATGGTTGCCCCAGCCAGTTGACACAGTTAGGGAGAGATACTGTGGATTTGAGACCCCAGAATCACTGCTGTGTCACACTTTTTGGTGTGCTTTTGAGGTGCTGAAGAGGAACAGAGTCTGAAGACGAACTATTGTGCATTGCTATAATCTCCCCCATCAAGTGTAAATGAAAAGTCTTTTTCCCAACAAATAGGATGACTTTATGAAGCTTGTTGCTAACCTTTCATGCTTAGAACATGACAGTGTACCATTTTTTGCCAAAATATTTTGCAAACAAAATGTGATGTAGATCTTTGATAACTAATGTGATACAAGAATAATTAATATTGTAAAAGAAAAAAATAGAGAAATCAGAGTTGCCTCCTCCCTGAATGCAATATCCACCTATTACAGACCACTGTGACCTTTCTGGGAAAAGTCACTTCCATTGGACAGGGCAGTGGCCGCAAGGCAGCAAAATACCACTTGGAATAATTCTTTACAGATGCCAGGAACTGGAAGTTTCAAGGGGAAAAATGAAAGCCATTCACTCTTCCAATGACACAGGCCTTTGATACCATAAAGCCATTTAGACTGAGAGCTCCAAGGTCAGGAAGGCACATAAAGATTGGTGATTAGAGAAATACTATATCAGCAAAGTGTGGCAAGCTATTAAAAGAAACTATAGCTTTTATGATTGTGTCGCTGAAGCTCCCCAGGGCTATTTGTATTAGATATTGAGTTAAGCATAACTTATTTAGTCCCAGCATTCCAGAAAACATTTTGATGTCAGCTACTGCAGGAAAGTAAACACAAACCAAAGGAGGAAACAGAACTGATCTCAAACGGATAAAAATGGCGTAATTTAATTTTCTGAACCCGGGCGTTTTAGAGCATTAAGAATGACGAATTTTAGAACGGTCCTTTCAACTTGAAAAATAAAGTTTATTTAGGCATTTGGTGTAGGGGGAGAAAAGTAGCAGAGGGCTTACATAATCAACTCATTGAGCTTATATTAAATTCTGATCAAAAAGAATTTTTGATGTGTTTAGTGAAGCATTTCCAGAGTTATAATCAGTGTTTATGATAACAGATAAGTTTCCTTCTTTTTCTCATAATCACATAATTTTTGTTCATGCGTCTTCTCCTGGTGAGTCTAATTTTAGCATTACTCATGATATCATTGATTCATGAGTAGTTAGAGTTCACTGAACACTTCCATGACTACCATCAAAATTCTTTTTATTAAGTCAAGGCTTTAGTACTGATCACCCTCATCATGCCTCCCTAAAATTCAACCCTAAAATAACATCCAACCCTAAAATAAAAATCTTGGCAGTCATGAGCATAACAAAAAAAAAAATCTACTGTTTACTTCCATTTCGATCCAAAGTAAGAAATGTTTGAACTCTAAACTCTCAGCTCATGCCAAGACCCCTGAAAGGAATTTCCTCACAGGTCCCATGAAGACTGAGCAAACCATGGTGACTCAAGGGATAAGAGCCATTTGAACACTTTAGGAATATCAGTGTCTAAAAGATTAGCCATCTTAAACAGTCTTAACATAGGTGGTATTACAGTTGAAAAGGGAGTGGGACAAAAAGCTTCAGATGTTACCCAAAGGAAGAAATATTTACTGTCTTTCCAAACAGCAAGATAATTTTCAGCAAAAAGAGAGACACAGAGAGAGACAAAGAAAGAGAGATTGAGACTAGGGAAAAAACATGTAATAATGTGAATAGTGCTTGCTCTGGGTGATGGTTTTATGGGTGATGTTTCACCTGTTTTTTATACTTGTCAGCTTTTGCCAAATTTTCTACAAAGATCATGCATTCCTGATTTAAAAAAAATAAAAGGAAGAAAACACATAGGCCATTTTAAAATGTAAAAACAGGCTAATGATCCCATCTCCCATAGGCTGGGCCTCGTCATGATGAGCATCTCATCTGCCAGGATGTGATCCTAGAGAAGCTCATCCAGATTTACTACTGCTGAAGGGAAACTGCTAGGCCATCCTTACAAGGAGAGTCTTCCAAGTTAAGTATTTGGGACTTTGAATGCGTTCCTCAGGCATCGTTTACTCTTAGCTTAACTCTAAGAATTTGCCTCTGTGTTTTCACTAGCAAAGGAAGTCTCTGGGTTACTTTTATTTATTTCTCCGTAATAAGTTGTTTGTGCTTATGTGTGGGAAGAATAATACCTCCAACAGATATCTTTGCAATCATATCTCTTCCTCAGCGCCAATGATGCTCACCGAGAATGTGATGATTGTTATTGCCACTATCTGTTCTGTTCTGTTTGATAAGTGCCAAACCAAATGGTTGTTCAATATTGTGAATCTCACCTGTAATTGTACAGCCATAGATTCCTAAGTCAAGTAATAATAAGAACAACTGGCTGGGCACGGTGGCTCACGCCTGTAATCCCAGCACTTTGGGAGGCCGAGGTGGGCTGATCACAAGGTCAAGAGATGGAGACCATCCTGGCCAACATTGTGAAACCCTGTCTCTACTAAAAACACAAAACAATTAGCTGGGCGTGGTGACGTGCATCTGTAGTCCCAGCTACTCGGGAGGCTGAGGCAAGAGAATCGCTTGAACCCGGAAGGTGGAGGTTGTAGTGAGCCAAGATCGCGCCACTGCACTCCAGCCTGGAGACAGAGCAAGACTCCGTCTCAAAAAAAAAAAAGCAAAAAAAGAAAAGCAACCGCAGATCATTATATAACTATAGCTACATAATGTATAACATACAAGTTTTATACATTATATAGTATAATATGTTATTATACTATATAATTATAACATATATAACTATATAATATATACAAGTATATAATTATAATATAGTTATGTAATTATGCAGCTATAATGTAGTTTTGCATCTTGTGACAACATTTAAGATAATTTAACTATAATTTCACAGCCAATCTATTTCAGTGATTAGTTTGAATTAAACGTCTATTTGGTTTAAAGAAGCCACCATTTTGGAATACTATATAAATGTATCCTATTAGTGATCACTATCTGATTGGCAATACTAAGGAAAAGACAAAAATGATATTAAAAGCAAGAGCATTCTATCACATTTTAACCATGTTTCATACATACAGCATAGTGTTAGTACGAATGATATTACAGATTTCAACTTTCAAAAATAAAGTAACAATTTGAGTTCACTTTGGAAAATAGTCATATGTGAAATAGTTACATAAAACTTTTTACCATCTAGGTCCATTATATTCAAAATACTAGCCAGAAAATAAATAAAAACGTGTGACAAAACTGCATCTAGGTCCATTATATTCAAAATACTAGCCAGAAAATAAATAAAAATGTGTGAGAAAACTGAAAAACTGAGACACTCTTCTCTAGGTATAGATTTTTCTTAAGAAAAAGGAAGAATCCTTCAAGTTGTGCTCTTTTTTTGGTTGTTAAAGAAAGTTCAGGTGAGGATAAGCTCCTGTTGGACACTCATAAACCACCCGTTCATTCTCAATTTAGAATACCAAGGAACACAAACCTGACATCAAGGTCAAACTAAATCCTGTATCTCTAACCTTGGCAACATTTTGAAAACACCAGAGAGATTACCAAGTAAACTATTCATTCTTTAATGATTTCTTGCTAAGTCCCATTCTGGTCACTGATTGGAAGTGTCACTATGCTGTGTTAAGAAACTCCTTCTACTCTTTCAAATCAATCTCCAAAAATGTTGAGTCAACATGGACTGTGTCATATAAACACAGTCCTCATTTATTGTCACATTTATGTTGATATTATTTGTTAAATAATTAGCATCGTAGGAAAGATAGGGAAACACAACATTCCCACATGATTCCAATATTCCCTCCTTGAGCATTATCTCGTGTTCCCTCCCCCAAAGAGTCCCTGAATAGACATAACATAATATTCTTTTCTAACTTGAGTGGCAACCCAAGCTACAACTGCAGATGTCATTGCTAATAGTGTTATCATTTTTGCCCTGTTAGCCTAAGGCACACCTGTTCAGATGCAAAACTGATGCTCCTCCAGTCATCTTGATCCAGTCCCAAGATGTCCTAAAGTGTGTAACTTTAATTGTTTAGAATAATGTTAAGTGTCACTTATGTCCTTACTAATTCCATGCAGCAACCTTCAGACTAAATACAATTTGACTTCCTTAGATAAAGCATGAGGAAAATTTAGGGTTTTAATGAAACAAAATAAAAAATGTCACTCCCACTCCTATGTAAATTAGAGAAAATGAGGAGTAGGAGGGAGGAAATATCCAACACATTTTCTTTTATTAATACTTTTCAATAGTACAGAAATTCTCCCAAGGATATTGTCCCTTTGAAGAAAAAGTTCCATTTGCATAAACTGGAGGGGCCTCTTTAATGTAGTTTTCATTATCTTGACTCCAAAGTGACTGATGTCAAGACCAAGGGAGTCAATCAGGGCAGATACACTCCAGGACACCACAGAGAAATAAATCAGCCCATCCTCTCCACCCAGAAGAGTCCTGCTCCACGAAAGGGATTTGCGAGTCTCTTTTCTGAAGCAGGCAGCCAAGTTCCATTATTATAAGGACTGACTCCCATCTCTTAGAAGTCTCTCATTCTTTGAGATAATTGGGGTGCCCTGCGTCAGTTATCTAATAGGCTAATGAACTTTGGAGATAAACCAGTTCTTGACCATTTCTTGCCCTCTGAACACTCCCGAGACACCAACCCCATTTAGCCATTTATCTCATTACGTTAAGAAGAGAAAATTAACCCTAAAGAAAATGAGATAGCTCCTTGACTGTTGGCTGAATGTGGTATGGGTCATCTTGTGAGGAGAGAGGGACAAAGGAAGGAGAAGAAATCAACACATTCATTAGATCCTTTGTGACAATTAACCCTTTGCCTCTCTCAACCATTTTTTCCCATCTACAATTGCATACAAAAACTATGGAGTTTCTGTCTACTGGTCTTTTCTTTTTTCAGCCTCAGTTATTCCATTTATTGCATGATGAGGCAGGTCTACTGGGTCATCATAGGTGTGGGTGAATTAAAAACGTCATCATTTGGTCTTTATTTCACAAGCTTGACTTAGTGCTGTTTTCACTTGCAAAATACAAATGTGAAAACTATAATTTATTACTGTACTAGCAATTCAAGATGTTTTGCTTGGATCCTGTGTGTACAATCGGTTACCAACATTCCAGCCTGTTTTGCTTTAGTTGGCTACTAGTTTACTACCCTCAATTTCATTCTCTAAATCTGTGTTTAAAAACAATTTAACTACACTTTGATTCTGTTTGGAAAAGCAGTTATGAGCTCCCCTCACTAATGCACAGCAACATATTAAATGTGGTTTGTAAAATGTCATTTTAAGGCAGATGACAAGCTTCAAATGATTTATTTAGCAATTCTTTAATTTCACACATACTATTTTATCCTAATAGATATCAGAGGCTGGGTCACTTCCGGAGTACATAAAGAGGTTATTTCGACTAAGACACTTGAGTGGCCTTGAAATCCCAGTCTACTTGAAGTTGTGAAACTTGTAGCTGGAACAATCAGCCTTCCTGCTCTATGAGCAACCCCTACTGGACAATTGCTCAATTTGTGCTGCTGCACCACCAGAAGCATCTGTTCTCTCCTCGTCTCTCTCCTCCCTATTTGAAAATTTTTTTCGTTAAAAGTAAATTGTGTAACTTCTTTGCTCATATTGAATATTTAGTTAAACAAACACACCAAATATGTCCTCTAAAAATATTTTGACCTTCTTAAAATAGGAAGAGTACTGTGTTTTCTCAATCTATTCTCCCATTCAAGGACATTTTCTGTATCTAATAATTAAAGAATTCCTTTAGCTTTATAAATGTACTCTGAATTTCAATAACTATTACAAAAACATTGCAATAGGCTAAATAGAAATAATGCTATTTTTGTTTGGTTTGGTTATCTCTCCTTTTAACAATTAGGTGTCAAATATAACCTTATCTCAGTGTATTGTTTTCTGTGAGTCCCAGGACTTTAATAATATCTAAGTTGATCTAGTTTTTATTCTCAGCTACTATTTAAATTTTTTTCTTTTTAAAGTTTTATTTTATTTTTAATTAATACAAAATAATTGTCTATATTTATGGGGCACAATTAGTTTTTATGTTATTTAAATTTATCACAATAAAAAATTAAAAAGCCAAAAAATAGCTTAGTCTTTAAAACAGTATAGTATACATAACAACACAAAAAATGTATTTATCATCGGCTACTGAATATGACAATTTTCTTTTACTACAAACATCTGACTGAAATGTAAGATTTTTCTTTCCACAAAAAAATAACAGGACAAAACAAATCATTATTTACCAGTGCCCAAAAAATGCACTTACTTTTTACCATAAAATATACATGGTCACTTTTATAAATGGCTGGCGAAAGACATTAGATTGTCAGAGCCCTGTTTATATACAAGACTAGCAAACAAGTAAACTTAGCCACATGATGTGAGAAAGTATTATATACTAACTAGATCTCCATTAGTTTGCGTGGCCCACAAAATCTCTTTAAACAGAAATTAACAAGAAACCCCAAACTTAGTCTGAGATAAATAGATTTACATCCAAATCTTCTTTTTCTCAAATGCACAGAAAAAGGAAAGACGGTTTGTTTTAAGTTACAGTTCACTTCAGTTTTGTTACCTAAAGTCTGAGATATGAGGAGTTAAAAGCTTATTACCTATGTCCTAGGTCAGTGTTTCAAAAAGTTTGTTCCATAAAAAAGTAACATTTTAAAAATGTCATGGTCATTTTTTTAATGTTGCGATCAATAATGTAAATAAGTTGCTGTGCTGCAGGATTTCTCAGAGCCACCAGTTTGCTAAAGTACTCCGGGTGTCTCCACAAAGCTTACATAGAATGTGAAGCTTACAAAACTCATCAGACAAGAGAACATCTCCCTGGACTGATGTTTTAAAACACAATTTGGAAAGTTTTCTCTTAAGTCATCCAGGCTTTTTCCTTCTGAGTATTCTTAAGAAGAGTAATGGTTCATTCCTTTCCAATCTGTAGCTATCACATTAAGCCTTAACTCTGTGAATGGGGCTGAAATATGCTGTCTTTTCTGAGACTCATTCACCATTTACCCCAGGAGACAGGTATTATTAACTCCATCTCATTGATGAGGAACTTGAGACTTGTAAGTGGCCAAGGCAGGTCTCAAACACAAGATGTGATCACTGCAGGGTCTGCCCTCTTTTCTTTATGTTGTGTTACACAGACTGTTCTCTTTTGTTGACACTCTTTAGTGACTTCTCTGGTATGCCAAGGTCATATGACCTGATTGGGATCAATATGGGCTACCCCACATTGGCAATCTTGATGGTTTCCTCTTTGACCACTGCAGTCTATGTTAGCTTGAATTCTATCTATTGTGGAAAAAAATTACACACAGGTTAATTTTATTTAGAACATTATCCATTCTAAAGGACTGCCATTTATGACACACAGAGTAGGGTGAAGAATGCATAAATGTTAAAATTAATCAAAGATAAATTTGGAAATAACTGAAAGGAATTTTGGTTAAAGAGCAATTGGAGGTCAACATTCATGTTACAGGTGGTCTGTGTTTTCTTCCCCTTTACCTACAAGCCAAATATTACCAAGCCAGAAACCACGAAGCAGCCCTTTCCACCTCACGGTAACAAGACATTAACAGCCCACGGAAAAATCAACATATAATTTAGTTTTATACTGCTTACGAAAGTCCCTCTACTCTTTGGTACTTAAATGAATATAAGATCAGAAAGAGCAATACAAAGTGACCCACCAACCTCTCAGAAAAGTTTTGGTAAAACATATTTAAACTTCTGGATTATTGTCTGTTAGCATTAATGAGGACATGTTAAATACTTAAATTGCAAATAATTTTTTTGTTAGGAAGTAGCAGGTAACCCTCTTATGCAGAACATAAACTTGAGTGCACAAATTGCTCTCAGTGGTTTGCCATGTCTCCTATCTCCTGAATGCACCGTCTCAGACACTTTTTCTTCATCATTAATTAGATGGGTTTCATTCAGAGTTAAGAAAAGACCTTCTATGCATGTGTAAATACTGCAAAGCAAATAAAATTAGCATTTTGCTCAGAATTTTCCAAGACAGAAGAATTCCACAGAAGTTATTTATAAATATACATTAAACAGACATCTGATAATATTAGTTTTTTTTGTTTTCCCTACAATCCCTTAGTGGAAAACTATAATCGCAAGGTATATGATCAAACAGAAATATGCTTTTGTTTCTGAGTGAGGAGAGGCAAATTCCATAAAGGACATTAAGCAACTCTATTATCAAATCTAATATATCTTTTAATATTGTACAGAAAAAAGGCATAATGCCAAAATGTGCTAGTTGCATGCCGTACGTCTTGTTTGCAAAATTGGTTACTTTGTCCTGTCTTTATTCAAATTTCGAGAGGATTTTCTCTCAAAATAATTAGACTTCTCTTTTCTATGAATAAATTCATGCACAATGTGTACTATAGCCACATTTAAAAAAAATAAATGGTACTTTAGCAATTTGACCCTGGTGAAAATAGAAAGGCGGCTGCTTCTCATTTTCAGAACAGCAGAAAGAATAAAAAAAGAGCTCTAATTCCAGAAAAGAAACAGGGACATAGATTGTGCCAAACATTAAAGAAATGTCTGGCAGGGATTGTTGTCCCACAAAAGATGGATTGGCTAAAAAAGTTATGCTCACAGACACCTTTTCAGCATCAATCTCTGCAAAGGAGAGTCAAAGTTTAAAAATACCAGCCTCTGCCAAAACAAAACCAAAATATACGTATACACCTATCATATAACCTATGAACAGTTATGGGATATAATTTACAAATATTTTAGTTTCATAAATGCAAATTGCAGTCGTTGCATCTTGGCGTATTATAACCAGTAATATCTCTTCACTTTATCTACTCAAAGTTCACATCTAACACTCAGGAATATAAAATATGGATAAAAACCTCTTTAGTTACCATCAGATGAGGGGGCTCTTGCAAAAAGGGTTGAGAGACAAGCAGCAATATGCTGTCTGGAAATGAACCAGTGGGACTGCTCAACAAACTTTGTGCCTCATTCTACAGTCACCGCCTCTGTTCCTTTCCCAAGGATGCTTAGGCCATTTGATGAAACACCACTGCTTGATGTCAATAAATCTTGATTTAAGGCATAAAATTACCCATGGAAGAATACCTTCTACACATCATAATGGAATTTGTGTCCTGACTTATAGATATATGCAAGAATGTGATTTCTTTTCTTAATAAAATTTGGACAATTTGGATTATTCCCTCTCCCTAGATACAGTTGACAAGTACACCAAAAATGCTTATTTTAAGCCAACCATAGCCACAGAAGAAATATGCCACCAACCAAACCAATGATATCCTGTTTAAATCAAAGGGAAACTAGGCTGCTAGTGATCCTAATGGCCGTAAGCCCAAAATGGACCATAAATCCATCATGCTAAGCACTAGGCCTTGTTGCTACTGTGGTTGCATAAAACCAGTTAGAAACAACATTGCTGTAAAACCGTAAGCCAACAAAACTTTACCTTTAGTTTGAAAATCTCCAAGAATATCAGGCACTATCTGGTTAAGAGAAATTTCTTGATTAAGAGAACTTTTAATATATTCCTAAAACATTCCTAAAGGGACTGTTTGGTTATAATCATTTTTCTTCCTCTTTGCCTTTAAATCATTCCTCTCAGACTAGATCCTCTGCAGCAATTACCATTGACCCTTGTGACATTGTTTCTTAGCCATATCCTACTAGAAAAGCCAATGGGCGTTTCTGAATTTTGAAAATTGTAAGGAAGGCTGTAGTACCTAAAATCTCTCTCTGTCTCCCATGTCTTAGTTTAAACTCATTATTTATCCTACGGTGGGAGGGAAATAATGTATTCATTTGGAAGTTGCAATAATGTTTAGAAAAGAAAGCTCCCCCAAATCCAAATCCAGGATTTCTTCTCCAAGGTTAGGCCAGTCTCTAGCAACCCATTTTAATGTTTTAATGGTGTGTATGTTTGTAAGTTATTTTTCAACGTAAGTCTTTGTAAACTGTATTTTTAATTTATCTGCTCCCATTTGGTAGTTTTAATTTATGTGACAGAATACAGGTTCAGAAGCAATAAAGTTAAATCACTTTTAAAGTAGACTATAATTAAAACTTCCATTAAGTTAAACTGTCTTTCCTTTACTTTTTCTAAGTTAGTGATATTTTAACTTATTTCAGTGGAAAATGGTTTTTGCCAGGTAGCTAACAACAGCCCAAGTGTCTCATGGAAAGATATTTACTTGTCTTAACCTTTCTCTGTAACCATTAGGGTCCTTGTCATTTTGACTTCCTTTCAGCTAGTGACCTCTGCCCTGCTCCAATTTAAAGATAAACTTAAAGACATTTCCCGTGAATGTGTGCTTCTTCTAGTTTTTCGGTGGAAACAGTAGGATCTACTTGTCTAACCAATTATCTCCTATTTGAAAAGACATGTGGGGTGGGTAATTGTGTATTGGAAGAAGGTTTACAAAGAAGTAAACAGGAAAAAAAGGATGTGCCAACTATAAGTGAACCCAGAAGTCAGTATCAAAATTGGAAAATGAAAACTATTAGAGAATAAACATGTAACCTTCAGGAGTCAGCTTTTATCAGCAATATAGAGGGCATATGTAAAAATATTTCTAAAATAATTGGTTGGAAAATGTCACTGGAATTGGAGTAAAGCAAATCATCTTTTGTAAATTTGCACATTATTCATAAAATTTGTATATAAATATACTAGAAATGGAACCTTCATCATTTAGAAGTTTAGAAATGCATTCCCGGTGTCAGCAGTCAAACTAAGGCTAGACTAAACAGACTGAGCTTTATAAAACAGCATTTTTCCTCCATCATTTCTTGCTCTCTGAGAATATTATTCTTTATGATATTGCTTTTGAAATCCTATTTTTTATTCCACTTGTTGAAAACTAAAAGAGTAATGGAGTAGAACAAACTGATGTATAGAAAAATAGTATTCTAAATAATACACACACATATAGACATAGCTCATATATAAGTGTGTGTGTGTATATATAGTCATTTTGCTCAATTTTCAGGTTATATGGGCTGTTTGTGGAGTTTCCATGTTTTCAGTTAGCTTATAAATGGAAATCTGATAGCTACCTCACTCCTTCACACATTACATTAGGGAAAAATTCTATAAAGTAAAAAGTTATCTAGCCAGAGTTTATACCAGATACTGTGGAAAATTTATTGGGTAAAGACTAAAACAATCTTTATTATAAGAGACCACACCTCAATATACAATGAAGAAAAATGTTTCCCTTGTGAAAAAACATAATAAAATATGTCCATCTAACTAGTCATGAATCCCTGCAGAAATACACAGCTTTCCCTCTTCTTCCCTTTCTGAATTCCTATTCATTTTGAGTCAGGATAGCCTAGTCCATTAATTAACCTTCAGGTCTTTGAGGTCACCTCCTTGGATCTGTTCTCGATATGTTGAAATAATTTATTCCATAGTGAATATCAAAGATACCTGAATATTGCCAAAATAATGATGTCCTGCATCTACTACTATACCCGGAGATGTGAAAAATAAAAGAATGCAAAATTCACTGAAGGACTTTTGAAAAGTATAGATGTTATTTATCCCAATATAGACATTTATTTCCCATCAATGAGGGTTCTATGATAGTATCAATTATAACATAAAAATATTGTTGTAAATTATATCATACACCTTTGAATATCTGTTATTTCAAGAAGAGTAAACTAGTTTGTGGTTTTGCAAGCAAATACACATAAAGGGATCTGGCATGGCCAGTGCATTGAGTAGAAGATTTATTTAAATGGTACCTACTTAAATCGGTTGTACTATTTACTAGCTTATGTTACATATTGAACAGCTTATTGCCTATGCTGGAAAATGTGTTGCCCTAGGAAATGTGTATATACAGAAATAACATTAAGAAGCTACACTAAGAATTTTGATAGGATTAGAAAGCATAAATGTTTATTAACTATTTATATTTATGTAAAGCACATGGTACTTGGAAAATTCAGACTTTAAACAATTATAAAAATATGAACTCTCAAAGCATACTGTATCTGTTCCTATCATGTAGTACCTAACATCTTTTATCTAATAATTTTATATATGTATAATTTACCCTCTTCTTATCAGGTTATAAGCTTATTGGAGCCAGGCGGGACCATGTCCAATATTTAAAATAATGCCTTGCACATTCTGATGTGTGATAAGCAATTAAAGAAATGAAGGTTTATGTTAGATTAGTTGAATTATTTTATGAGGATTTTTACATATGAAGGTGAGAGGATTCCAACCATTCTTTTAAACATAGTGTTTTACTATAACTATGTACGGAGAAGAGGAAAAAGTTTTGTATAAATGTTGACAGAGTTAAAATTTCAGAATCCACCAGGTAGGTTAAAGAGACTTCAGCCATTTGTGAAGAATTTATGCCAGGCTATATATCTAAATTCGTGTTTCTCTAGATATTCTAAGAGGTGAAGGGAATGAATATATATTTAGACTTTAAAACATTAATACATAAGGCAAATTCCACATCAAGTATGTAATATAAGAATGGAAGAGTTGGGGATTTCATAAATGACATTTGTAGTCTTCCAAGCCATGACCACAAGATGTAAGCTTTATGAACTAGAGATGAATAGAAGAATTAAAAATGCTAAGACATGTGTTTAGTATGAAGGAAAAAAGCAGGGCCACAACTGTGAAGCCATCCATACAGTGACTTCCTGACTGATAGGAGTTTTTCACATTCCATCTTTGCCTTTGCTTTCTACAAGTGCTGGAACATTACCATGAAAATAATTGGAGGGAGTAAAGAAGACTTGGTTGAAAAGTTAGCATAGTAGCAAATGGCTTTTCTGATTTGATGTTGAAAGTACTGTATTTTGAAGTTACATTGAATAGTTTATGAGTCAGACCTGAGTGTCTGTTACTGTATCACCACAAATTGACTGAGACTCCAAGCCAGCCTCTCAACCTTTCTGGATATGGATCAGGGATGGAATCTGAGCTCTATCATAGTTCAGATGTATGACTTCTGCTTTACCACACTGAAGTCTTCATTTTTTCTTTGGTAAATATGAAATGGTGATTAAATGATAAACATAAATTACTGGGTATGGTGTTTGGCAATTAATTAGCTTTCAATCCCTACTACCTTTCATTGTTGTTATTGTTGTCATTATCTAACATTCCTACCAACAATAAAATTTTGCCATTCTACACTATTTTTAATAGTGTTTAAACTTTAAATACTGGCACACGCTATTTCTGCATATATTTTATGACTAATTTAGTTAGGTTATTTTCATTCCTGAGGAATATCAAAAACTCTGTCGCATAGAATGTTTCTTCCATCTCACCCCACCCCCCTTAGGAGGAAATCTATTTGCCAATTCTAGTTCAAAAATAGTAAATCAGCATTCACTTGACATTTTCTTAAACACTGAACAAATCTTTTTTCTACTAGTTAGAATTTTAAAGGAAATTATATGAACATAAAAGAAAAATAATTTTTAAAACTAAGATGGTCATTCAATATTGGTCTGTCTTCCTGATAACTGTCAAGAAAGCTGTGGCTATATGTCATCTTTACATGTCAGCATGGGTGAGCAAACCATAGTCTTTCGATGAAGATCAGGATTAACACTTTCAATTAACAAATGAGGAAACTGAGGCATAGAACACCTAGAAATTGTATAGCTGGCCAAGAACAAAAAAAAAACTGGCTCTTCAGATCTTTGCTTCTCCATCACATAGGCCAGACTGGTTGGGTAAGCTGCTTCCCATGGGTAAGTGGAAAAGGGAGTGATATAGTTAGAACACACAATGGATGGTATAGCACAGTGCATAATGACACTTCATTTTATGAGCTTTCCAGCAAAACACCAGTAGATTCCATAGCTAGAGAACTGCTGTTTGACAGTCTTTTTTTATTTCAGTGTACTCCAACTAACCTTTCTAGAGGTTGTGGTAAGCCACAGTGAGGGTGGAGGACAGTTTCTCTCCATAAATTATCTTCAAAGAGAGATTCAGACGAATTTTATTTAACAACAAAAAAGTGGGAGGACCTTGAGGAGGAAAAGTAACAAGGAAAAGAAAACCACATAAAACTGAATAGAGAGGATCATGTTACAGAAGAAACCATTTTCCTTCAAATTTCAAATGTTTAAAATCAAGAGAAATGATGTGATAAAAAACTAGAAGATTGGCTTTAGAACATAACTTAGGTGGAGGGGAGTTTTCCATGACACCATTAGGAAAAGTGTGCAAAGAAAAAAGTTCACTCATAAATATACATATACATATAAATATATGTGTATATATATTGTGTGTAGGGGGTTACTTCATAAACCAACTGTCTCTTGGGGTAGGAAATAAAGTTCCCAAGCTGTTGAAGAATAATTAGTCTATATCAAATTTTAGGACCTTGATCTTACGTTTAAAATTAAGAGATATGTCATTTTAAATCTGGGTACCTTGCTCAAAGGTATCCATTCACACTCATTAGGACACAGTTCATCAGAAGATGCCTTTAAACCATCTAAAAGTTATCAGTTGGTGTATTAAAGCCTTTTCAGTATAGTTTTATTGTTTGTTTGTTTGTTTGTTTGTTTGTTTGTGAGTTGTTGCACCTCAGGTTGGTCTTGAACTCCTGGGCTCAAGCAATCTGCCCACCTTGTCCTCCCAAAGTGCTGGGATTGTAGGTGTGAGCCACTGCACCTGGCCTAACAGGATAGTTTTGATGAAAAGAAAGTTTTTGTTGTCAGTAAAATGGATCAAATATTGTTTTCTGGTCCTCATGAGTTAAATATTCTTACTTTTTTTTTTTTGAGATAGGGTCTGGCTCTGTTGCCAGGCTGGAGTGCAGTGGGATGATAGGTTCACTGCAATCTCCGCCTCCAGGCTCAAGTGACTCTCCTACCTCAGCCTCTGAAGTAGATGGGACTACAGGCATGCACCATCACACATGGCTTATTCTTGTATTTTTTTGTAGAGATGGGATTTTGCCATGCTACTTAGGCTGGTCTTGAACTCCTGGGCTCAAGTGATCAGCTCATTTTGTCCTCCCAAAGGGCTGGGATTATTGGTGTGAGCCACTGCGCCTGGTCTAACATGATAGTTTTGATTTTAAAAAGTAAGATGGATCAAATATTGTTTTCTGGTCTTCATGAGTTAAGTATTCTTAGTTTTATTTTAGAGTAAATAAAACTTGAAAATTAAAAAAGTTTGAAAAATGGAAGCATATCATAGAAATTACACGTAGAAAACTCAACTCCCAATATCTCAGACTTTGATGCCTCCAGTTTGTTAACAAGCAGAGTTGAAATAAAACAATGTAAAGATTGGTTTCTGCCAGCACTATCTTTCCATTTTGAGTGAAAAAATACAACAGCTCACTCAATATACCTATAAGAAGTAAGCAAGCGCTTCAATAAATTTTGTCCATTATCATAAAACAAACAAAAAATAAACTATTACAATTATCAGCGGAAGCTGTTCCTCAAAGTAACCCAGTGGATAACAGAGGTCATGAAACTGTAGTGTAGGGAAGTAAAGATCCTTCCTACTTTCAGTCTTTAGAAGAACCAGGGACAAGATGTCAAACCCTTTGCTGAACTGTGGGTTCTGCTCAGAAGTAGCGATGTTTAATGGAAAGAACATGGAACTGGATGTAGGTTTTGATCACAGTTCTGCAACTTAGAAGCTGGAAGATCTTGATCAAGACTGGTGCAGGTTTTGTGCTTTATATATATTTTGACCATAGTGGCACAAACGACACTGTATTTTTTATTTTTTTCATTTAGAATTTTAGGACAATGTGCAAATAAAATTTGGAGTAATGTTTACTACAAGCCAAATTAATTTGTAAGTTTAATTATAAGGACTTTTTCTATACACCTTGCTGTTTCTAAATCTCTATTTGAAATTGCACAATTACTTTCACTATTGTTATTCGTTTTTTGTAAAAAAAAGAAAAGTTCAGAATTTCACAAGGATTACATTTTCTAGCAGAAACAAGGTTGTACCATTTTAATACCTATATTCTAGGGCCTTATGTTTGGCTAACAAATAAATTGTCTTTAAATTTTTTTTGTTGTTGTTGAGGCAGAGTCTCCCTCTATCTCCCAGGCTGGAGTGTAATGGTATGATATCAGTTCACTGCAACCTCCGCTTCCTAGGTTCATGCAATTCTCCTGCCTCAGCCTCCCAAGTAGCTGGGATCACAGGCGCCCACCACCATGCCCAGCTAATTTTTGTATTTTTATTAGACAGGGTTTCACCACGTTGGCCAGGCTGGTCTCGAACTCCTGACCTCAAATGATCCACCCACCTCCACCTCCCAGAAAATTTTTAAGATCTCTATTTCTGAATTAACTGTCACCTCACGATTAATTTGATTTCAACCTTTAGTCTTGTTATACTTTATAACATTTTCAACAAAACATCAATAGTGAAAAAAAAGACCTTTATAAAAAAAAGGACTGCATTTCTGCCATGGCTATATTTTATTTAGAGAACATGGGTGTTTCCCAATATTAAAAATATATTCATTCTTTAAAAGTTACCAGCAAAACAAATTTTCTTGGATGGATACAACTTTATTCTAAAATCAATATGTAGAGTGAGTGTGAATGTGTGTAGGCATGTGTGTACCCTCAGAAATATCACGCTCTATACATATAAGGAAAATAAAAATGAAAAATTAATCATACACAAAGAACTATAAATTACAATAATGAATCCCAAAATGGATACAATGATTGAAGTTTTAAGTACAATTACACAGAAGAAATGATGACAGAAAGCATTAGAAGAGAAAAAGCACAATGTTCTCTTTGTTATTGATTGTTTACTTGCCCTTAAACAAAATGCAAAATCTATGCAGATCATAGGTTTGTAAGTAAGATTTATACTTTGCATGTGGAAACTATATTATAAGGTCATTTTAAATGTCTGTATTGTGAATGTAAATTATGTTCTGAGAATTGTGTTGGTAAAGAGAATTTAAATTTTTAGGTTTTCATTTCCTTTTCTTAATAAATTTAACCTTTTATTCTAAATTTAAAAATGCAATTAGAGGTAAGGGCTTTTCTTGCAAAGTTTATCAAAATGAAATAGATAATAATTTGCTTAAAAAATCCCAATCTACTGAGAAGCAATGGTTCTATTAGCGTTAGACAAAGGATATTTTCTTTGGGACAGATTGTCATTTATTCAGTATAGGTCCTATGGGTTACTCCAAAGGCCAAGAGATGTCAGAGGGTGGGGCGATATCTTGGCACCTGGGACAGTAGCTCATATGGAATGGATGCTCTGTGTGACTTAATCTAACTTTCTTAGTGCAGGATTAAGTCCATGGGCACATCTTCTTGAAGTTCTAAACTGTGCATGTATCTATAATTGGTTAAGAACCTCAAATCTGGGACAACTAATTTTAAAATCTGGATGTTCAAAGAAATTGATCACCTGGGACAAGTAACTTTGACTCATGGAAGTTGCTGTTAATTCTGCTGGAAATTTAGGCAGAAGTCCTTATTGCAAATCAAGTTCCTATACTGTAGCATATATTTTCAAATCTTCTGTTTTTCTTCAAATGTTCTTTATTAATTTTAAAGCTTTGAAACTAAAGAAATATAATAATAACAAATATTGTTAAAGATAATTTTTAAAAACTGAACATATTGACTATAAAAGAAAAAAGTTTTAAAAGTACTTTAACTTTAAAAGAAAGGCTAAAATATTGAGAACAATTCTGAAGGTGCCTAAATGTATTAATCACCATCTTTTTTATGAAAACAAGACCAAACTGGAATATTCTAATTCAAAAACGAAACAAAATATTTTCTTTTTCAACAATGAATTCACTGAAAGATTTCGAGATTTGGCAAGATGAAGAAAATCACACAAAAATACACACATGAACCAAAGAAGAAGGCTTGAATTAGAATGACAGTTTGTCAGCTAAGTTTAGGGCTAAAGTGATGCAATGAAAATTGTCCTCAGTTTTTACCAACAAAATAGTAGAAAACTAAAACTTCCTGATTATAAAATGATAATCATCTCAATCCTGTATTAAGCCATAGAAAGCAACAGCTCTTCTTCATCTACTCAATATTTCTTTTTCACTTCCCCAAGGCCAAATGTCATCCTTTTTTGTAAAACAAAATCAAAGCCAAATGGTAAAAATGCAAAGATTTGGTTAAACAAACAGTCAAAATTTCAGTGGTTTGTATCTTCAGCATCCCAAGCAACCAAACAAAGCCAAGATATTGTTCATCTCCTTGACAGACAAAGAGCCTCAGAGGTCCAGAGTGACATGCCCGAAGGCTGGCACGTGATTGGGCTAATTAAATTAAATAGCAGGAAACAGCTTTTCCATATGCCACTGCCTGGCCACACACAAACTGTAACAGTAAATCTTTTATACTAGTCAAGGAAAAGTGTAACCATTAAAAAATATACAGTATCAACCCACCATCCAAGAATCAGAAGTTATACATCCACATAACCTCCCTGGGCCTGAACTTGAATGCCAAATGTTGAAAACTTCCAAATTCACTTTAGGGGCCGTCTAAAAGTCCATGGTAATTAAAGAGGATGAAAAAGAAACACCTCTGCCCATCAAGGTTCACTAACACTAACTTCAGCTAATATTCTGATTGCTTTAAGAACACATTTCTATACCAACTAAAATCAAAACCTGAATAGTTCTGAATCAAAGTTAAAATAAAATCTATTGCTCACTTTCCACCACTTTTAATTTCTTCCTCCTCATTACGCAACTGAAGATGAAGAGATAAATGTTTTAAAAGGCATAAAAGCCTTTGGAATCTTTTGAGAAAACTCTCCTAGTAGGCTCCCCACAATTTTTAGGCCAATGGCACAATTTTCTCTAAGTTTGCCACTGCAGTTCTAGGCTTTTGGTCAAGAACATTTTAAACATATCCATACTTTCATGTTTCTAGAAAAGTTCCCCTGGGTTCGTAGGTCCCATTCATTTTTATCAGTCATGGTTTATATTGGCACTGATTTCTAATGCAAAGAACATGAACTATGCCATAGTAATTGTCATCCTGGATAAAGAAACCAGGAACTAAGCACTGTGGTGGAAAACTAAATGCAAGAAAACTGCTTAACAGGGATCCCAAATTAGAAGACTGCAAGGCACTTTTAACTTAGAGACATAGAAAATGTAGAATCATTGCAGAACATCCATGGCTTACCTCTTTAAATAGAAGCATTAAAATATAATATACAAAATGTAAATAATAATTTTTAAAATAAAAATTACACTTACGTTACCTAGTATTTAGATGTTATAAATAGTCCATTATCTATGCTTCATACTGGAATTAAAATTTTTCATAAGACATATTATTTCTTACTATATTAAAGAGTAACTGAATTAACAGAACACGGTCTAATAAATTTAGTAGGATCAATGTTACTCAGAGAAGAAAAGGAAAGAGAGAGAAAGAAAGAGACGGAGAGAGAGAAGAAAGAGAAAGAGGGAAAGAAAGATGAAAAGAAAAAGAAAGAAAGGAAGAAAGGAAGAAAGAAAGAAAGGAAAGAAAAGAAAGAAAAGAAAAGAAAGGGAGAGAGGGTGGGAGGGAAGGAAGAAAGAGAAAGTCTAATTCTTTAAATGGAGATTAGAAAAAAAATTTAAACTAGATTGTATTATTGTTTTCACATAGTTTAACCAATGTAATTGTAGGATGCACAGGTCCTCCAAAAAACTTGGGTAAAAATGTCCATTCAGTCTGTGTTTGTCTGTATATGTATAGGCAATTGTTAATGGTTGTTCCCTCATATCTGCCTTTAAAGTTAATATTTGAATGTAAAGAGTACCAAAATCCAAGAAATTCAAAGCCTGCTTGAAAATGACCAAGCCACACTGGAGAACTGACTTGGTAGGACCCAGTAAGTGACTAGCTTCTAAAGTGAATACAGGACTAAGAATTAGTTGAAGCAGCTCATTCCCCCCAGAATAGCTGGATTTATTTTTTCAGATCTTTACTAAATCCAATCCTTTCTCTCCATCTTCATTCCTGCACCAGGGTCCTAGGCTAAGATTGATTATTCCCTGGTGTCATCCACCCCTGTTAAATGCTCCAGAGAACTCACAAATTAGGGAGCAAGAGAGAAACCAAGTTGAGTGTAAAGGTTATGATAGACTTGCACAAACAAAACTTTAACACAAGCCTTGAATGTTTCAAGTGAACATTCTTTAAAGAAAGACAGCAAATTTAAATTGTCTAACATTGAATGGAAATTTACTAGACATTAAACAGAACAGGAAAATATGAACCATATTCAAGAGAAAAATTAAGCAGTAGTAGCAGACCCCAAAATGGCAGAAAAGGACTTTAAAGTAAACAAAAATACACTCAAGGATTTAAAGAAAAATGTGAATATGTTGCAGAGACAAATGGAAAACATATCTATATTTCTAGATGTGAAAACCTCCAGATCTTAAATTAAAAATTTACTGGATGTGATTAACAGAAGTTCATCCACTAGGAAGAAAAGATGTGTACAGCAATGGAAAATGTACAGAAGAAAACATGAAGAAAAAAATATGGAAACTTGATACGTGAGACAGTATCAAGCAGTCTACTCTATGTGTAACTGGAGTCCCAAAAGAAAGAGAGAGAAAATAATTAGCAGGAAAAATATCAGATGAAATAACACTTGACATTTTCTAAACTTTTAAAAAGTGCAAACCCACAGATATAAGAAGCTCAGTGAACCAAAGAAGGATGTACACAGAGAAAACCACATTAAGGGACATCATAATCAATTTGCTAAAAACTAGTATTAACCAAAAAATCTTACAAACAAGCAGATAAAAATAAACTACTTAATGTTAAGAGTTACTAAATAGCAACCGTAATCAAGATTCTGTGGTATTGGTGTAAAGACAGAGATCAATGGAATAAAATAAAGAGCTCAGAAATCTGCTAACATTTATATGTTCAATTGATTTCTAACAAATAGACCAGAATAATTCAAAGGAGCAAGAATAATCTTTTCAAAAAAAGAGGTGCTGAAAAATCGAATCCTGTAAGATAATGAAACTCAACCTGTCTTCACATCATATAAAAATTAACTCAAAATTGCTCTTTCATTTAAATGTTTAAACTGGAGGAAGAAAGCAGGAAAACAAATCATTCTTGAAAGGACACTAAAGCACTAACCATAGAAGAACAAATTGATAGAATGGAACACATCAAGTGCTAGTGTTAGTGCTTAAATATTCTGCTCTTCAAAATGGAAGGCCAATGACAAAGTAGGTGAAATTATTTGTAACATACATATGTAGAAATAGATTGTATCCAAAATATATAATTTGATAACCAACAATAAAAAGACATGCCTCAATTTAAAAACTGAGCCACCTAATGCAGTCATTAGCTGCATACAGTTAGAAAAACCCGACAATATCAAGTGTAAACAAGAACGCAGAGTAATAGAAACTCATACATTGTTGATGAGAATGTCAAACAATAATTAATTACAAATAATTTGGCAGCTTCCTATAAAGTTAAACCTATACTTAGTGTACAACTCATTTTCACTCCTAAGTAATTACTCAAACGAAATAAAATAAATTTCTACAGAAACTTGTTTAAGATATTCATGGTAGTTTCATTCATAATTACTCACACCTGAAAATAACCTACATTTCCATCAATAGACAAATACATAAACAAATTGTGGCATATCTGTACAGTGGCTAACTATTCAGCAATAAACAGGACCATA
Organism: Homo sapiens; assembly: GCF_000001405.40. Taxonomy (NCBI): domain Eukaryota; kingdom Metazoa; phylum Chordata; class Mammalia; order Primates; family Hominidae; genus Homo; species Homo sapiens. The sequence goes on along the minus strand of NC_000007.14, from coordinate 18,677,316 downwards.
TCACTGGTACATACATGGAAGGATCTCAGAAGCATTTTCTGATTGAAAAAAAATTCAGACTGAAAATATCACAAACTCTTTTTTATATGATTCACCTAAATGAACTTCTAGAAAAATAAAAACTAATATATAGTGTCAGAATAACAGATCAATAGTTGACTGGGGCTGGGAGGAGAGTGAGGATGTGAGTCTGAGTATAAAGAGGGCAGGAGGGAATTCTCTGGAATGACATAAATATTCTCTATCTAGATAGTGGCATATATATTTCTCAAAGTTTATTAAACTCTATGTATATATATCAAGTGGAGTTTGTATGGATATTATAGTTCAAAAAGTAGACTAAAAATCACTAAGATTTAGGAAGTTGTGTGTAAACAAAAGCAAAAATATCATTTTAAAATTTTAATTTAAACAGCATGCCAAAAACCCCAGGACATTAAAAATTAGAATTTTTTTAATCCCTAAGAGAGTCCCTTTTAAGGAAGAAAATATTATCTGCTTCCATATCCAGAAAAAGGTTATAATGAGATACAACTAACCACTGTAAACATATAAAGACATAAAATATATACATTTTAAGATTTGTAGGTGATAAAGAAAATATAAAATAAAGGAACCAAGTTGGATATTTTTATGAGTTTGTCAGACAATTGAAATAATTAAGCAAAAGTCAAATAATTTATAATTTACAGTAGAAAAATAAACATTAAATGTGCTATAATTCAAAAAGTTTAAGTTTTTTAAAAAAGGATTTGATAGCACCATCTTCATGACCAAAATATATCTAAGATGCTAAAAATATAGTGTAAAGTAGACTTATTCTTCACCATGTTAAAAGAAGGTAATAGAGAGAGGACAAATGGCTATGCAAAATTATGCAGTCAAATTACTTAAGATCAAGAAATCATTGCAAGATTTCCCATTCTAAGTTCTTTGAGCATTTACCTAACTAGAGATAGTAGGTGGGGGAGGGGGGAAGTTTCCCAGAACATTTGTTAAAAAGCAGAGACAGAAAAATCTTTGCATTCTTTATTTCATGCTGATTCCAAAGAAAGAGTCCATATACAACCCCGCACTGCTAAATTTGACTGGCTATAAAAATAAAAATAAGAAAGAAAGGCAGAGTCCAGTGCAAATATGACAAGAGAACCCCCTATAGGCTACTAGACAATGCCAATTTTCTGAGTTTTGCTTTCTGATTGATGGTTTTGGTGCTGATAATAGGGTGAGAATTAAAGTTAGAGGAGACCTGGGCACAGACATAGCTTATCCAAAGATCCTCCGTGATCAACACATATTCTTAATACATCCTTCGGAACAATGATCATGTTAATCATTCACACCTAGAGTTGTTTTAAAATTAGTGAATCATTAGTTGAAATCTGGTGAAAAAAAATCCAGGATTCTTTTTATGGGAGGTGAGAGGAGACAGAAGAAAAGGCAGTGGAGAGGAAGAAGAGGAGTAATGTACTCACAGGGTCTCCCAAAGAACATTCCAGCCTGAGAACTTCCCTGTAAGTCATGAAAGGGCTGCAGCTGAATCAACCCTAGACGGTTCTCAACTCTTGGGGCAGGGAGGAGAGGCTGAGCAGCCTCCTGCAGTGACCTGGGCCGTATACATATTGCCATTTTCTATGTGTGCTAGGACATGAAAAAGGTGGGAAGTACTGTACTATAATTTTTTTTGATTACAGAAGAGAAAATTATTCATTATTAAAGATTGATATTGAGTGTAAGGTCAGCTCCTACCAAGGAGAACAAAGTTACTAAAGTTCCAAGATATATTAATGCTACTTTTCATAACAATAGCTAATTTTTACTGTGTACCCATTATGCTAGTACTCATTACACTATTTAAACATGTTAACACATTTAAAGCTGACAATTCCTTAACAGAAAAATTTAGAATTCCTGACCACATTTAACAAACCAGTAAACAGAGGCTTGGCAGAATTCGGTAATTTACTTCACATGGAGTTGCTAGTAGGTGGGGAAGTTGGAGTTGCAACTCCTGCAGCCTAACTATAAAATCAATATTACCGTACGAGGCAGTTCCATGCATAGATCTCAAAGACGATGCAAAATGCCACTGTTTTTGATGCATACATAGGGTTTGATGCATACCTAGTCAAAACAACACATCAATTTCCACATTTAGTAAGTTTTCTTTAAATATGCACAAGGAGGAGGCTGATTCACTCTCTAAGAAAGATTAATATGAATCATTTTGTCTTCTTTCCAAGCTCTCACTTTAAAAAATTATCTATAGAATACGTGGAAATAGAAAAATTAATACTATAAAGAGGTCATTCAAATTAATCTAGATATTATATTTTTATCTAAAAATGTATGCTAGATATTAGAAGTCATAGTCAATAATTCATATACAAATATAAATTATAAAAATTAATATGGTGTGAGTACTGTTAAATAATAAATTCATCAAGAAAAATATTTCCATCATTTACCATGGGCTGAAAATGAAAAATAGTAGCTATTTTTACTAAAGCCAGTTTAAAAAATATATTACTAGGGAGGACACTGAGGACAAGAAATAGCCCATCAAGTAAAATATGACTCCACATTTCACATCGAAAATAAAAGTGAGAATAAAATCATAGTATGGAAGAAAATGCCTTTAACCATTTACATCTGAATAAGAACAATGTAAAACAAAAACCATTAAAATAAAGTTCAGCTGAACATTTCATAGGTTCCCTGAGTGGCTCTAGGAACAATGATGAACACAATAGAGTACATTTTCCCTGACCTCAAAAACCAAAAAGACATAATGCCACACAGATAATGATAAATAAGAATTACATGGGAAACTATGGAACTGATTTCAAGTTGGGGAGTTCAGAAGGGCTAGAGAAATCACAGATGGCATATGGCAGAAGTGAGTGCCTGGTTAGAGTATAAAGGTTGAATTATGAAGACTGTAGCTCTCTGATATCATTTAAGTGAAATATTAGAAAGCAATTACTGTAGGTTGACCACAGAAAATGGGAAAATGGTATTGTCATTTTACAGTAAGTTAATTGAAGTAGTATAAATATCACACTGATGTAAAAGGGGGCTATTGCAATGAGAGCACCATGGATTTGTTTTACTGTTCACTAGTAGCTGGAGAAAGCAAAGCTGAAGGTGAAGTAAAGAAATATGATGATGTGAAATCAGAAACAGGAGGACCAACTGCCTATAGGAGATAAAGGAATGAAGATAATCAAAGATGACTACAAGATCATCTATCCCACTGTCTAAATGGTGGTCTCATCAACAACAACAACAGCAAAAAGGAAAAGCAGGAAAAACCAGCACACATTATGCATGAATTTACTAACTTTGAGATGAGAATGGAGCGGTAAGTGAATTCTCCTTACAACTAATATTGGTAATAAAACATTTGGCAGACTTTCGGTTGTCTTTAAGGTAAAGGAGAAGGATCTTTAAACCCTTAAACCATTCAGATGCCTCATATCTCTGCTAACACTAACATTTTATGCCTCTATGTTAATTAAGAGCAACAGAAAGATACTGGCAAGAGCAAAAATTCATCTGTTCAAGTTTTATAGCCCATCTATTTTCAAATTGATGTGATGAGATCTATCAATTAACAAAATACAAAATGAGATGAAGACGATCTAAAGCAGAAACATAAATACAAATAAAAATATGTGAGTCACAAATGCAAACCATGTATATTCTTTTCGAATAGCCACATTTAAAAAGTAAAACAGGTAAGATTAATTTTAATGATGTTATATGACTTAATATATATTTAAAATATTATTTCAACATGTAATCAATAGACATGGAATATTAATAAACTTTTTGTACTATATCTTTGAAATCTGCTGTGCATTTTCTACTTAGGCTGTACCTCAATTCTTGCCAACCACATTTAAACGTTCAATAGGTACATGTGGCTACTAGTTTGGACAGAGCAAATTTAGGGTTCTTTCTCCAGAAATTCTGTCAACAGAGGCATGAAGATCAAAGCTAAGACATGAACATTAGTTCGACATAATTTTTTTAAAGACATGCTGTTGTTTTGTCACTCAGGCTACAGCACCGTGGCATGATCATAGCTCAATGTAGCCTCAAACTCGTGGGCTCAACAATCCTCCTGCCCTAACCTCCCAGGTATCTAGGTCTACAGACATCCTTCCACACCTGGCTTCAACATAAAATTCAACTGTAATTAGTAAAACTGAGTGACGAGGGTAGGATTTTAAAAGTAATATTCATGAAGAAAAATAATTGATTTAATTTTTAAAGAGCACCAGAAAAAAAGGAATAATAAACATCAAGATTGTAACATTTCAGTGATATTTTGGGAAGAAAAAAGTAACAGTATCAAAAGTTAGAAAGCAACAAGGGTCAGCCACAGAAATATCAGAAAAGCAAGACCAAAATCAACTAGTAATTGCAACTAGTAATTGCAAAAACCGCAATTACTTTTGCATCAACTCATATAATAAGGAAAATGAAGATAAAGTATGAGAAAATGAAGTCCAATAATCATGAAGTTCATATCTCTTTGAAAATAATTTAAATGCATAGAAGAATATTTAAAAACAATGTGTATGACACAAAATGGATCAAAGACCTAATGTTAAGTGCTAAATTTATATTAATGAAACTCTAAGAAGGCAACGTAAGTGTAAATCTTTATAACCCTGGACTAGGTTACAGTTTTTAAAATATGATACCAAGAGCACAAGCAGCAAAAGGAAAAATAGATAAACTGGACTTCAGCAAAATTCAAAACTTTTGTGCATCAAAGAACACTTAAGAAAATGAAAAGAAAACTGACAGAATAGGAGAAAATATTTGCAACTTATATACCCGATAAAGGTCTACTACACAAAATATATCTAAAAGCACTTACAACTCAACAACAAAAAGACAAGCAAGCCAACTAGAAAATGGGCAAAGGACTTGACTAGATGTTGCTCCTAATGAAGTTATAGAAATGGCCAATAAGCAAATAAAAAGATGCTCAACATCATTAGTCATTAATGAAATATAAATCAAAGCAACAATGATAGCACTGCATACTCACTAGGATGGCTACCATCAATAAGGCAGGGGAAATAACAAATGGAGAAGATGTGGAGGAACTGGAACCCTCATACATTGCTAGCAGGAAAGTAAAATAGTTCAGCTACATGGAAAACAGGTTGACAGTTCCTCGAAAAGTTAAACAGTTACCATATTACCCAGAAATTTCACTCCTAGATATATACCCAGGAGAAATGAAAATATATCTTCTCACAAAAGCCTTGTACACGAATGATCACAGCAGCATTATTCATAATAGACAAAAAAGTGAAAACTGTGTGTTCAACTGATGAATGAATAAGCAAAATGTTGTATAGCCATACAAGGGAATATTACTCAGCCATAAGAAGGAATGAAGTACTGATGCTGTGGATGAACCCTGAAAATCTTCTGCATAAGGAAAGAAGCCAGGCACAAAAGGCCACATAATGCATGACTTCATTTATATGAAATATCCACAATAGGCAAATCCACAGAGATATAAAGCAGATGAGTGGTTGTCAGGGGCAAGAACGAGCGTGGAGTGGGAGTGACTGCTTAGTTGGTACAAGATTTTTTTTTGAGTTGGGGTTAATGGAAGTGTTTTGGAATTAGATACTAGTGATGGCTGCACAGCACCATGAATATTCTAAAACGTATTGGAGTAATTCCAGTAAATATAGTGAGAATTGCCTATACTTGAGTTAAAATGCAGAAGAAGCCGAGAACAATATACAAAAATAGGAGACAAGATATTTTGAAAACTATGAATCAGAGAATCTGAGGAACTTAGGTAAAAGCTATTAAAAATCAGGCCAGATTTCAGGAAGTGGTTAGGGCACCTGGCCATCTCCAAAACATTATTTCTGAATCGGACTCTTCAAAAGGCTTGAAAAAGGTAGATGACTGAGCAACCAGTCAGAACAACAGACTCAGAACCTCTAGGGGTGTGGTCAGAACCTGTTTCCCTCGAGAGGATTGTTATGCATCTTTCTATTAGAATACCACTTAGGAGGTCTAGAACGTGACAACTGTCTCTATTTTTCCCTTCCACAACGTTTTATACAGACTACTTAAGTCAAAATTATTATCAAGCGTGTCCTTGATAGGTTTAAAAAGTCTGTAAAAGGCAGCGTCCTGATGGCTTAGAAACTGGACTTTCTTTGCGTTAGTTTGGGAATGAAGCTAAGAAGTAAAGGAGAGCTCTGAACCTGCTGAAATCCTTTCTCCTTCCCCTAAAAGTTAACCAAGTGTGGCCACTCTGTTTCAGTCCCTCCTAGGACCGGCTATGGTCAGAAAAAAGAAGGCTACAGATTTTCACGATTAAAAATGGTTGAATAAAATGTGTGCAGGATTAGAACCTTCATCTAACCCTAACCCTCATTAGAATTAGAAAAAAAAAAAAGAGTACTAATCACTAATCTCACAATTTATAGAAGCTATTAAAAAAAGATTATTGATCAAGACAGTTTGGTAAATGCTAATGAGGAGAGAGAGAGAAACAACTGAATAAATTGGACAGAAGTAAGCATATCGGGCAGATATAAAGAATCGTTGCACCAACACAGCACAATGGTAAAGGTTGAGAACAGGGACTCTGGTGCCAAAGTGCCTAGGTTCAAATTAAAGCTAGACCTCCTAAATCTTTAATTTCTCTTTTGCAGTGCTCTCATCTCTACAGTGGGATGATAATAATACCTCCTTCATCAGGTTATTGTGAGGACCAAATGAGCTAATAGATATGAAGTGCTTGCGCACTGTGTGTTTGTAATAGATAAAAGTAAACATCTTTTTCTAAATCAAAATGATCCCCAAAAGTTGCATTGCCTAAACACAGTTTATAGCCTCAAAGATGTTATTATAAAATTAGATGTAACAACAAGAATATAAACGTTTTTAAGCCTACATAGATATGTTGTTGGCATGACTGAAAAGTCACATTCCAAATTTCCTTTGTGTTTGCTCAAATTCTTTGATTGCCTTCAATATTTTCTTCTTAAAACAGAGATGAAGCAATGATCAATAATAAAGGGAATAATAGTCTCAAACTCCTTCTTTTGTATCTCCAAGTTCCTGATATAATCAGTTACAATTGGAGACCTCAAACTATTTATCATTGTAAACCTTCAATCACACACCTACAATTTATACATATTACAGCGATTCAAAATTGTACACTTCAATTATTGAAAAAAACACAATGAAACACCAAATTAAAAACAATACTCTATATATATCTATCTGTTAAGTACTAGGTTTCAACAAAAGGTTTAGTGTCTGAATTCCTTTTCAACATCCTTTGAAAAAAAGGAGCATAAAACAATATATAACAATTTCTAGAAGACTATCTTTCTCAGATCTATGAAAAGTAGCAGTCTACACTTCATCAACCACCTTCACCAATGAGAAGGTGAATTTTTACTTCCAGAAGAAAAAAAATCTAATGATTATTTATTTCAAGACTTGGCAATAACTATTTTTTCTAATGAAAAGTTTTCTAATGCTGGATTGATGCTTTGTTTTAAAACTCACCCTATATAACACTTCAGAAATCAGATATACACTATAAAACCATTTTTTAATTGATTTCTCTAACTCATACTTTAGGATCTCTGGTACCAAGTTAGTCCTGTAATTTTATAGTTCAAAGGCAAATTTCAGGAAATTATAATTAGCAATAATGGTATTTCCAGAATTGTGACTGTATTCTCAAATTTATGGCACTATAAAATGATAATCCATTCTGTAACAGTCAATAATTATAGCTCCAGATTTCTTGATACTCTAATGCAATACTGATGTGACTTAGAATACGGCAGAGTTGCCTTTACTTGAATCAGGCTCCTATTCCTCACACTGGTATTATAATAATTGTTACCATATAAGGGGAGATCATTTAATTACTATTTTCTCTTTAAATTTATGTGCTGTCACTTTCTACTTGTATTTCAAGATCTCACTGTAATAGACATAATTATTACGACACTTGGAATATTATTCATTTTAATATTTATTGAGTGCTTGTTATGTTCAAGGGATTGTGTTAAGCTTTTTAAAAATAATTTTTTAAGTTGAGCAAAGTTAGGAACTGACATCTATTTAGATAAAGTTTTATATTTAGAAGTTGACATTTTAATTTAAATACCAAACATGATAACATATCATGAAAAAGTTTACACTGGCAAAAGGAAAATGAAACAAATTTTACATGTGTTAGCTATTTGAAAATTTTGGATGTAAATAGTTGAAAGTCATTATTGCTGAATTTATTGTTTTTAATGGTATTAGATGTAACTGCTCAAAATGTCTTTATTTTCTTGTTTCAACAAAGACTGGCAATGTATTTTGATATATGAGATCTAGTGTGCAAGCTTCAACTTCGATTAAATACGGCAAGTTTACACAAAGCCAAGTGTATGAAAGGGGATCTTTTAAAAAAAACTTTATTTGAGAAAGGAAGAGACTTATAACAGAAGGCAAGAAGGGAAACATACAAACAATATATTTACAACACAAAACAAGAGATCACCTTCAAGGGTGTAAATTATAATAAATACAGTAGATTTTAAAAGAGACATTTATCAATTAATTCTAAGATTATTTAAGTCCAGCTTTCCTTTTCACTGGTTCCAGGTAGTTTCTTGATTAAATTCAAAGACTATCAAATTCAAACAATTAACGTCCACCAACTGTACTGATGAAACTCTCTCAAATGACATTATAAAAAATAGTTTTTTTTGTTTGTGATTACATATCTTTGAAGTAATATTATACAAAAGTCTGCTCAGCCACATGTTCCTCCCCAAATAAAATGTATTTTAAAAGATGCACTATCCCTTTTTTATGAGATTGAAAAAAGACTTTGAAGAAAATGAATATTTATGAGATGGAAAAAATATACAATTTTATCTTAGGCATGCCATATTTTTAATGCAAAACAACTGACAAAAAGTCATTTTAATATGAAGGAATATACTAACCAAAATATGTTGGTGATAGGGAGTGTTCCTATTATAGCTATTTGTCAAATTATCAGAAGGACTTTCATTATGTGGAAAACTTTTAAACTTTCTAACTTCTAGTTATGTTAATTTAATTTGAATGGAGACTTTTTAAAAAAGGATAATGTATCTTTAGCAGTAACATTTTTAAAGAAATATTTTTAAATGTCACAGCAAAATGTAAACAACACGTGCCAATAACATACAGTTGAACAATGTCTACATTTGGCAAAACTGCTATATCTCCTTTGAAATAGGATACTACACCTTGAAATACCTCGGATTTAGAAATATAAATATTTTAATAGAAAAAACCTCACAAAGATTCTAGGTCAATTTGGATTATCCATATTAAAGGGGTCTTAATACAACGAACCTTTAACTAGCTTAACAAAAGTAAACCTATAAAACAAGGTAAACATATCAAAAGGGAATATGAAGGAAATGTTCCAGTGAAAAGCTTCCGTAACAATTTCCCTACTTGTGGTGTTATTTTCTTAGACAATAAATCAATTCATAGAGTGCCCTTTAAAAACAGAAAGAGTAAAGCACTATCCTCAGATTTTTTTTCCTACATTCCTCAGTACATGAATCACTTGGACTTCCTGTTTCCACAAGGCATTTCCTGTTCACCCTCACAGAATCACTTTTCTGTAGGAGAACAGCAGGAACCTGACAAAGAACTGACTTGAATAAACAGTGTCTTCTGTTGCCTTCAAAGTTGTTTGTATTTTATAGCATCAAAGGACATAGTCCTCCTGAAGGTGCATTATATACAAGTAAATTTTTTTGTTAAACCTATCTTTTCTAATTGTTATTTGCCAGAATGTTACGGTATATGCCCATGTCATTATGGAATTATACTTAAGAGATTCTAGTGACAATATAAAATATGATACACCTTCTTTTCAAACTGATTTTGACTTGATATCAGATAATATTCATCCTGTTACTGTGTTTTTTGCAATTGTAGACACAATATTGTATCTGATTGGACCATAATGCTGCACATTACTTCTCACTAACATTTGCATCTGCTTCATTTGCTCTTTTTTGATAGACAGTGTCATCAAATTACACAAAATAAAAGTAAAATGAGCAGTGCTATGTGAGACATAATCTAATATTTAAAGTAGTGCTGCAATTTGCATCTATATATTTAAAACCACCTGTATTCCTAATATGTTCAATTGCAACCTACACAATAACCTAGGACTACTGGCATGGTGACCAGAACATTTCTACTTAACTAAAAAAAGAGAGAGGAAGGAAGGGGCAGACTACCTTTAACAGTGTTCAAGACTATAGTATGATACATTATGTACAGTGATGTGAAAATTAAATTCTAGATGTTGCAAAAAATCAAAAACTAATCGAATGCTTCATTGATCAGACTGGGAGACTATCCAGCAGTCACTGATCTCAACACATAAACTCAAAATAACAGTGAATTTGTTTTCTTTAGAAGTAATTGGTGTAGCAGGCTTTGGGATAAATTTAAAGCCTATTAACTGCTCAGATATTATGTATCATAATTTTAGTATAACAGGTATTTCCTTACCAGTGGATTTTCAATGAAACATTGATATCTATATAGAGATCAGTATATAGAAAGACCTCTATATAGATATATACATATATCTGCATTAGGTAGAATCCTTAAACACTGAACTCAAATCATAGAGAAATATAAACTGATAGGAAATCATATCCATTTACCAAACCTGCAATGCATTTCATGTTCAGATAATGACTTTAATTACAAATCCTGGAGCTAAATCTTTGCCTATTACCTGTTGCATAAAAGCAGCCTGCTCCCCAGATTCCATTTCCTGGATCTGAGCATCTTCATCACTGTCCACTGGTTCCTCCTTGACCTTCACAGCCCCAACTTGTCCCAGTGTGTCATCCACACAAGCACTGCTGTCGCTCCTAGTGCTGTTGCCACTAGAGGGCGCTCTGTCTTCCTGCATCGCCTGGTCCCCCTGAAGCTCTTCCTCTGCTTCCTCAAGGTGACTGCCTGGTTGCTTCAGTTGTTCAATAGATTTCGAAAGCAGCTAGAAGAGAGTGTTCAGGGGTTCAAAATTCAGTAGTTCTTCATGGTAACAGAGAAGCAAATTACACTTTGATTTCTAATAACTCATACACTGTGATTTCTAATCATTGAACATAAATTTCAGAATGAACTTGTAGGCAACAAGTTTCCTCAGTAATACTAAATCTAAAGTAGTCCCATTATTCCATATTGTATGGGTCCAGTAGGCAGTGAATAAGGTCTTTAAGTGTTGGATTGTTTTTTCTTTTTAATGGATCACTCTTTAATGCAGTTAGAACATGGTGTAGAAAAAGGTAAATAAACTATCCATGGAAACCCTGAAACTTTCAAAAGGACATGTTTTGAAAGTTGAACCTGGGAATAATACTTTTCTCAAAAGATAAAGGGGGTGATAAAAAATGTTGTCAATATCATTTTTCAACGAATGTTAAACGCTATGAAAGCCAGAACACAAATGCTAATAGTCTTTGTCTAATTTTCTTGTACCTATACAGAGAAACGACAGTCAAATGAAAAAGCATCTTCTTATATATATTTGTAAGAACTAGAAATATTTATTTTGATATTCTGAACTTTAAAGAGGTGTATGATTTAAAAAAAATTAACAATAAGATGTTTTATGAACAGACTCAAATGGAAATTAAATATTAGAAAAGAATCAGGAAATTATTTTTTAATTTGGAAATCATTATTTAGACATTTTATTTATTTTATAAATTAGATTGAACTTAGTTTTCAGAAGTCAATGAATTAACTGCTTAATGATTTTAAAAGATAACTGACAATATGCCTAACTTAAACAATAGCAAAATATCATAACATGAAAGCTCAATAAATGGGGAAAAAGTCTCAAGATTATTTTGTCTCACACTGGTCATTTGTTTTATTTCACAGTGGCCCTGTGGACCAAATCATCTGCAGACCTTGAACTGTGTTTTCAAGAGTTGCTAAGTTTTCTGCTAAGTCAGTGCCTATGTAAGCAACATGCCAATTATTGTAACTAGCAGCACACTTATAATACTACCACCATAAACATGAATGCAGATTTTTCTTTGTCAAATTCATGCTTACCTCCCACTCACACATAATTACAAAATACATGTTTTAAAATGTGAATACTTAAGTACTCAGACTTAGATGGACACCTCAGCCTCTTTAGGCTTATAGACTTTCCTGCAGTCCACGCAACCTCAAATGGCCCTGAACACACTAACAAAGTCCTTTGATTTCACTGTAGGTAGATTTATTAGGAATTTTCATTCATTTGTTCAACAAATATTTACTGAGTGCCAACTATGTTCAAGACACCATGCTAAGCATTAGAAAAATAGCCACTGCTCTGCCCTCATGGAGCTTTTAGTGAATGTCTTAGAAAGCTTCAAATACTTATTCCTATTTTCAAGTATGACAAAATGCTTTGAAGAAAGAAACACAAGGTGTTATAAGAGCACATACTGCTTGGCATAGCAGTGGAAATGGGGATTGTTAAGGGAGTTAAGCTGAGGAAGTGTTATATTTAGGTTTAGACACAAAGAATGAAGGATGGAAAGGAGTAAGTTACATGTGTGAGGGGTGGGAAGCAGGGGCGGAAATAAGGGTGGGGAGCATTTCTGGTAGAAGGCAGAGTCTGTGGGGACTTTGGATTGGAAAAGGAGACCAGCGCATCTAAGTCACCAAAAGGCTAGTGGAGTTTGAGAACCAGAGGAACATGCCGAAAGATAATGTTAAAGTAGATGATACAATTTATAATATATTTGGGTGAAGAGTAAGAATCTAGAGAAATAAAATATAACTTAGGAAAAACACATATAAGACCTAAATATCACCAAAGTAAGTCAGACAAGATCAAGCTAAGAAAACATATACCAATCAAAACTCATATCACAATGAAGAAATTTGAATATGAATTTCCTTTGTGCCTACCATCTAACATCCATTGTTACTGGGCAGTCGGGAGAAGGAGGACATTCATTTACTCATGGTTTAGATGACTTTAAGTATATTTTAGGAAACTATTTGCAGGACTTTTGTCCCAATTCTGAATACTAATCAGCTCTTCTTTTCTTTAATACATAGTACTTTGGACACTACTGAGATTCTGGAGAAAAGAGACCATATTATAGTCCTAAATTTTGACTACAAAGTTGTAGGAACCCATTTAATTGGCTGTTTAAGAAAGAATATGCAACAGCATAGAAACGAGCAAGATATTAAAGAAAAATTCCTAGTTTTGGCTGGGATGCCAGGAATAAGGACACTGGGTAACAAACATCCGCTCATTATTCAGAGAGAGAGAGGGACAGAGACTATCAGTCAGTGCTGCAACCCTTACTCATACCTCAGACTACAAATAAGAGCAGGTGAGGGGAGCTTGTGGGAAGAAGGGATTTATCTGAGAAAAGATACAAGCCAGGTGAAGGAGGCTGCAGGAGCCCATCAGAGAAACCAAATGTAAGAAGACTGGACAAATGCTCACTGAGCTGTAGAAACTCTCCCTCTCACTAACACAGCACAGCTGAAAAGTTACTGGGAACCTGCTCAGTAGAGCTAGTGGACCAATGACACTAAGGATTCAAGTAGATACCCGGAGAGGTGTTCAAAGGATCCTGCCAATAAGGGCCTCTTGAGGATAGCAGAAGAACTATACGGGATGTGTGGTCATGGAATAGGAACTGAGTACCGGATGAAAGATTAGCCAGAGAGCCAGTGTCCAGGAAATGCTATGTCGGAAGTCCCTGCTTACTGGGGGGTGAGGGGGAGGGAGGGCGCGACTTGGAACCTAGCTAGCTTCTGGATGTCTGACACTACAGGAAATATTCAATAACTAAGAGGAAGCCACAAATATCACCCACCAAGTAAAAAGACTCTTCTGTTGCGATTCTTCTCCTTCCTAATCCCTGGCCACAACATGGCCTCTCAGTGTCTCAACCTCCTAACCTCCAATGGTTTTGTCCTCCACTTGACCTCATTCCCCAACATTATGACCTTACCTGAGACCTATCTTTATCAGTAACCCTGCATTACTCTAAATCTCAATTTCAAACATCATTCCTTTCTTCTGGCTCTTTCTCAGAATAGTCTGACTCCAACCATTCCTCATTCTAGTGGGTTTTCCAAGCCACATTCTCACTACATATTGTCCCCTTCATTTGCTCACTTCCCTCCTTTCTGGACTAGGCTCCATACTTCATTGAAAACCACTCCTTTATATTACCATCAGTGCTCCTGCTCCTTTCAATATGGGTTTTACTGGACAAATAAGACTTCTAACCTTGGTCAATACTAAATCTCTGCCAAACCCAAGCAGCTGAATGAGCTAGGAAACAAACAAACAAATTACGATCATGCTGAGTGTTCTCCAAATTCATGACTACACCCTCCAATGGGGTCTCAGTGCTGCCTAGCAACCCTATTCCACTTTTCTAGTTAATTTACTTTCACCGTCTCGTACTACCTCCTCTCCCTTCAAATCTCTAACATTCTCCCCTTTTCCTCACTCCCTGCTGATACCTTTGCTTCTCATTTCATTGAGAAAATGGAAGCATCAGAAGAGAAACTCAGCCTCCTGCTACCAGCACATTTATGAAGCTATCCCATCCACCCCTCCTGCTGTTGCAATGAGTGAAATGTCTGCACTCCTATCTCAGTCAACCCCTTGGCTTACACTCTGGATCCCTTCCACTCCTGCAATTATCCACTGTGTCCTCCATCACACAGATCCCCTCTCTGCTGGAATGCTCTCACTAGTACTCTTTCAGCAATATCATCCATCTTAACTAAAACTTTCCTTGACCTCCTCCCCCACCACACCATTACATACCTCCCTTCACAATAAAATTTCTTGAGTTATCGCTCTTCACTGTCTTCATTTCTCTTTTCCCCTTCTCTTTAGGCTTTCCTCTACACCATTTAACCAAAATCTCTTGTTAAGGTCAATAATGACTGCAATAATGCCAAATCCAGTGGCCATTTAAATATGATATTAATAGGTGGCAGCAAAGGTGAAACATTTTAGAAAGGGAAATAACACAAAAATCATAGCATTTTTGAAAATAAGAGACTGGTATTACCACTGCAGCCAAAGACCAGACAAACTGAGTGTTAATTTACTAGAATATAATTTCCCATCGTTAGCAAGTTAAGGAAAATCTCTAATATTAACAAACCCCTGAGTTTCCATGGAACGTATTATATGTACATTTTAACAGAAGACCTTCTGAAATCTGACCTGTGAAGTCACTGAAGTACCCAGAAATCACATTGTTCAGTCCATTAATCAAATCTGGTCAGTATTTACAACCTCACTGACACAGATATGCATATGACAGTATATATAACAATTTTTGATATGCAATACAGAAATAATTCTATTTGTTCCGGTCAGTTTCTTTGGCTTCATCTACACTTCTGATCTATCAAAGGAAACATGGGGAAGAAAAAAGCCAGAATAAATAACGTTGTGATCTTTTTCCAAGAGCAGAATTCCTTCATGGTTTGTAAAAGAAATGTTTCTTGATATAAAACAGTAACTTCTGAGTAGAAAACATATAGATATAAAATGCTGGACTTGAAAATCTTTTAATAACATTCTTAAAAACCTTATTTTTTAAATAAGGAATCTCATGCCCAAAAAAGACAAGTCATCTCTAAGATTGTAAGATATGAATTTGATTTAAAAAAAAAGAGTAGAAACCTAGAACTTTTTATACCATTCTACTCCACATTTTGCTCTGAAATAGCTATATATTCTCATGACAACTGGATTAATAGGAGCAATTCCAATCTCTCCCCTGAGCTCCAAACTTGCATAGTTAGCTGCGTACTTAACTTGTTTTCTTAGATCTAGAATATCTAATAGGCATCATAAACATTAAACACCTCAAAAATAACCTTTATTCCCATCTAACCCAATTGTATTGATCACCCAATCTTTCTCATTTGAGTAAACAGCTTTACCCAACTGCATGAGCCAAATATTTGGGATTTATCCTTGTTTCTCTATCACTCATCTTTTTCATTTAATTTGTGAGCAAGCCCTGGCAATTCAACCTCCAAAAATAAAGGCTTTATCTTAACATGTTTCTCCATTTCTGCTGCTACTACTGTGCTCCTAAATACTATCATTTTCACCCTAAACTACCCAAAGGCCCTACTCTGGGCTCCTTGATTGCCCTCTTGGCCCTCAACAGTACAATCTCTTACAGTAGCTCTAATAATGATTTTTAAAATATAATTTAGGTAACATTAATTCTCTGCTTAGAATCCCCCACTGACTTCCTATTATGCTTATAATAAAATTCAAACCTCCTACCATGGTCCATAGACTTTCGACAACCTGGCACCACCAACTTCTCCGACCTTAGTTGGGATCTTGTTCTCTCTTTCTCACATGCTCCAGCTACCCTGGCCTCTGGTTGCCCCGTGAATAAAAACATGCAGAGTTTGTTCGCCCACAAGGCCTGAGTCTACGCCGTGCTCTCTCTACTCCCTCAAATCTTTACATGCCTGACTGGCTCCTTCTTATCATATTTTACCTCTGTTATTATCTCATTAATATATTTTCTTTAGAGTCCTTATTGTTGTCTGGCATCATATCGCTATCTTTGTTTACAATATAGTTATCTCCCAGACTATAATATAAATCTCATAGGGCATAAGCTATATGTTTTTCATCATTTTATATCCTAGTACCTGATACATTGCATAACACCTAATTGGAGCTTCATAAGTTTCTGAAAAAATTATTAATGCTTAGTAACAATGCTTTGACACTTTTTCTCCTACGTTACAAAACAAAGTCAATGTCTAAAAGAGCAATAACTACCCGTTTTTCATCTTCTCTGGAATAAAATATGCTCTTTGTAAAGATTCACAAAATACAAAAAAGACAAATGGGACATCCGGTGCCAGTGTTGCAAAATATAAATGCAGAAAGGGAGTTAATCTACACTTCTTATTTTAGGTATCTGACTAAGGCTGTTTTTGTTTAAACAGTCAAATTTGTCACAGTGGAAAAATTTTCAATTAACTTCAGCAAGGAAAACTTACAAACAAAAGTCACAGAGAAATTCTTGCCTGCCAGATTTGAATTATTTCCTATAAAAGTTACTTTGTGCTATTTGTAAATTTCCGACTATTTACTAGGAAAATGAGTATTTGGAATTTGTTTTCTATGTGTTTCTCAACTACAAATATGACCACTGCAAAGCTGGTATGGGCTAACCCTTTTCTAATTTGTACTGTCACTGAGTGGCCCCAGATGTAGTGAGGAGATGTCTGCTTACTCTCAGTGGGGTGGCAGGGTCTCTCTTTGGTTGAACATCTGGAGGTGATCCCCTAGCAAAGTCGAGCTGTTGCCTTGTTGGCTAGATAACAGAAGACGAAACATCTGTGGGACAGATAAATGTGCAAGCCTGTGTGAATCTCTGCTGAGGCCTCATCTGTAAAACACACCGTGTGCCACTCGTCTGACACCAGGTGAGTTACTTCAGTGGGGAACCCAGCAGAGATGAAGAAGAGGGCAGCTGCACAGCTTCTCCTTTGCCTTTTGTGTGTGCTCATACTCATCTGTCAGGCTGTCTCTCTATTCTCTGTGCTACTGTATAGCAATTGGGCCGAACACTAAGCATGCCACGGGCAGCCTATGACCATTCTGAGTTTGTAACACACACACACTTACATATACTCAAACAGATGTTGTTCTGTGTGCCAGATACCATCGTAATTTATCCAAATTTCAAAAGTCTTCAAGGATTACAACTAAACTTCAATTCTTATCAATCCCTGCTCAGGTCATAATTATAGCAAACTCCTTAATTTCAGAATCTCACATTCCATGTTTAACATCATATATTCTATTGGCACATGATGAAAAATTCACTAAATAATAATTAAAGACTGTCACTAATGTTTATATGTTAGCACTTTAAGTTCACCTCTGTGTAAATTATATAACTTGATACAAGTCTATAAGTCTCTATAAGCATATGTACTTTTAAATAAAATATGCTTAAATTCTATAATTTTAATGTTTCCCACAGAAATCCTTTGCATCCCAACAAATATCTTCAGATACAAAATATCAACTAAGAACAGGATCATGTAAGAATAAATCTGTTCCTCATAAACATCTGATTTTCTGACATTGTCAACATACCATTAAATACAAGTGTTTGAATATGATTATTAAACTATGCAAAGTGAACTTCAATGCAACTCATCACTTTCTTATTTTGCCTCAGATTTTAAGACAGATTGTACTTGGGGAATGGCAATAGCAGAAGTTGTTGTTGTTGTTTTGTTTTTTTTTTTTTTGCTTTTTTTTTCTTTTAAATAAATGTAATATTCTTCCTTTGGAAAATAAAACATTTCCCTTAAGCTCCAAGGAAACTAGATTTAAAAATAATGATAAAATTCTGTTTGAATTCACAAATAGATTAGGTATGGACCAACTGTTCTCAAAAAACAACATGCAGAGCTTGGAGGGCTTTCAAATTGAGAGGTCTACTTGGAGTAGAACTCCAACCTCAAGCCAAAATAATACTCCATGTCATTTTGCTTCTGTGTATTTTAGGGAAGTAATCAGATGAACCAAAATTAAATAACAAGAGAAGAAAGATTTTCTAAATATTGGTTCATTATTCACACAAATTGAAGTCTAAACTGAAAAATACCATTTCTAAGCAATATTAAAGAGGTTCAAAATTAATCTCAGCATGAAGTGAATTTTTAATAAATGCTGCTTCATCTTTTTAACTCTAAATGATTGTCCAAAACAATGCCTGCAATTAAATTTTTTTTCCTCTGGTTCTCAAAACTTGCTAATATTTCAGTAACTTCAATAAGTGTTCCCTTCTGGGAAGGAAACTGAAGGTTTGTTCCAACTAGTTTGAGAACATTGCCCACCCATTTTTTCATTCTTCCAATAATTTTTTATTGAGCGTTTACTATATGCCAGGCCTTAGGAAAAGAAAGGTCAATCAAGCAAGATCCCAGCACACAGTAGGGGAGGCAGAAAATTAGCAACTGAAAAATGAAACTCGAAGTGATAGGGAGCTGAAAGAAGGGGTGAGCAGGTGGGTGTTTGTGTTTACTCTTGTTTGGATGGGCAATAAAGACCCCTCTCAACAGGTAAGGTTTGAGCTGAGACAGACCCCAAAACACAATCAAACCGTGAGAAGACGTGGAGGTTGAGCCTTCCACACAAAATAGTGGCTGGCGCAGCTCCTGGAGGTGGAAGGAGATTCCTCAAAGATAAGAGAGGGGGCCAGTGTGGCTGGAGCCTAGAGAGAGAGGGAAGGGAGGAGATGATGAAGGCAAGGGAGGAGGCAAGAATCAGATCATGACAGCCTTGTAGGCCATGTAAAAGTGTTTGGATTTTATCCTACAAACAAGAGGGAGCAAGTAGGGTGTTTTAACCATAACATGATTTGGTTTGCATTTGAAATGATCATTCTGGCTGCTATGGAAGACTGGATTTAGGGAGCAAAAGTAGAAAGAGGAAGACTGAATTTTCAAAACATACAATCCTCAGCAAGAGTGTGGAATTCTTAACCAAGATTTCTTGGCAGGGGTTGGGGCAGTGTTCTTAACTAGGACAAAAATAAGCAGTTTTCCCTTCTTTTATAGCACTGCATAATTTTATGTCCTTTTAAAAATTACCTAATAGGATTCTTTCCCTGATAATCTTTAGGATCCTTCAGGTGACAGTATACTTTCTGCCCAAGTTTTCCTCCTTTTCTCTTTAAGAGTAGAAAATAGAGGCACAGTGTGGAAAGGCATCCTTATTTTCTTTGCTAATCATTGATGATTTGGGAATGGGTCTCAGAATAGACAAAATCTCAAACCAATGAATCACTCTCTCCCAACTCATAAACATCGCCATTTCCCCCATTGATCAATTCCTTACTTTGGTAAACTGGAAAGCAGGGCAAACCCAATTAAACACAGTGACCAACAAAGGAAACAATCAGCAAAATGAAGCTAAAACCCACAGGATGGGAGAAAATATTTGCAAATTACCCCTCTGACAAGAGATTAATAACCAGGATATATATGGAACTCAAACAACAGGAAAAAAATCTAATAATCTGATTTTAAAACGGACAAAAGATGAATGGACACTTCTCAAAAGACATACAAATGGCCAACACCATATGAAAAAATGTTGAACATCATTAACCATCAGAGAAATGAAAATCAAAATTACAATGAGACATCATCTCACCCCAGTTAAAATGCTTTTATCCAAAAGATGGACCCGTAATGAATGCAGGTGAGCACGTGGAGAAAGGGGAACCGTCGTACGCTGTTGGTGGGAATGTAAATTAGTACAGCCACTATGGAGAACAGTCTGGAGGTTCCTCAAGAAACTAAAAATAGAGCTACCATATGATCCAGCAATCCTACTGCTAGGCATATACCTAAAAGAAAGGAAATCAGTATATCAAAGAGATATCTGCACTCCTATGTTTGTCACAGCACTGTCCACAATAGCTAAGATTTGGAAGAATATAAATACTGTATAAGATTTTAGTGGTGCTTATCATGTTTACAAAGCATTTTCAGATATGTTCTCTCATGTAATCCTCACTGTAAACCTCAAAAATTTGCTGTTTATGGAATTATTAAACAAAAAGGTTGAATATCTTGACCAATATTGCAAAACAAATAATTGTGCAAGACCTCAGAAACTTCTCTTGAAAAATCTATCAAGATGATAGATTTTGCAATTCATGTGAGCTATGCATTTGATAGAATCATATTTGATTATAATGATCTGTTTACAGGTCTTTGAGCCACTCAAGGGAAAGAACATGCCTTCTTTATTTTCATTTCCAGAATGAAGTGTAATGGTTGTTAATAGATAAGTCTTTGTGGAACATCATCAATTATTCCATGACCGGAGACTGTTGCAGGACTTTATATTGCTAGCTGATACAACTAGGTTAATAGCAAGAGAGCAGCAGTACATTTAAGATATGAGAGAATAGCTCTGGATGCAATTCTGCCTGCAGGAAGAGGAATACTCTAGACCAGATGACATTTCAGGGTCACTGTAGTTCCTCAGATTTCATAAGTAGTTAGAGGAAGAGCTGAAAGATACAGGAAAAAAGAACTAAAACCAGGAACTTGCAAGCTACCAAAATATGCAAAAAAAAAAAAAAGAGACTGCTACCCACTGGCAGTTTTCATGTCTACAAATCACTTAACTATATTAAAAATTCCTTAGCAAGACCTAATTTTTTCATTCTGTCACATGAAACTACTTGTCAAGGTTGGGAAACAACCAAATTATTTAGCTTCCCTTTCCCTTTGAACTGCCTGGAATCAACATCAATCAAACAATTCACGTGGTTTAATTCCCCAGATATTTTTCTTCCCCCCGTTTTCTTACCTCATAGTCATGTCCAACTATTGTTTTTCTCATTCAATAAAAGCGTCTCTGACTAGATTAACAGTGCAGAGTGAAAAGGAAAGGTCTAGGTCCCTTCCCTTGGTCTCCAAGTTATGAAAGCAGCACTGGGAATGTTTATGAATGCTGCACATTAATCCACTGAAATGGTCATTTTGTTTCTTTTCCAAACACAGGATTTCATCACATCTAATAATAAAGCAACAAGCCACTTTCTGTATGTTAGAAACCATCAACTTGTAATTATATAGTGAAATACATCTATATGAATTCCTTGTGATGATATAAGCTGGTATTCTATAAGTGGATTTTTTTGGAGACCTAGTACTACGTATTTAAAAGAATCTATTTATATTGGGCCAATTATCTCAGAATAACATCGATTTAAGGGTAACGTCAAAGTTTCTTTTATAAACCTCTATAGATAGATAAATAATCTAGGAGGCTTTTTACTGTTATAAAATTAAGACTGCCTTTCAATGCTTGCTAAAGTTTTTGGACATACTATCCATGTAATGGGCAAAATGTAATCCTAAATTGGTGATTAAAAGACCCTGCATGGAAACAAGCTGTCAAATGGATGGAGAGAAATTAAACCTGACAACACTAATGCCTACTTTCCTAAATGAAAGCCCAGTTCCAGTTTCTACTCATCCATTTTTCAAAACATAAAACAAGGCATTTTCCAACCACCCATAGATGAGATGCCAACATTTGCATTTCAGTTGAACCTGATGAAGTCGGTAACTTCCAGCTTCAGGCTTGCCCAGAACTTCCGTGAGAAGATGTTTGTCCAATCTAAAACAACGGCAATGTGACAACATGCGAGAAAGGAATGAAATGTGGCCTGGCTGTAGTTGGCTCTGTACTGCATTCACTCTGCACCGTTTGGAAAGCCTTATAATCCAACAGGATATCTGAATGTCTCACCGTCAGGTCCACGTGCAAAGACTGCCAAGTGAGTAACTTGAAGGAGGTCAATGTGTGTGAAGTTGGGAGGCAGAGCTGGGAAAGGGGATTTCTTCATCGTGGCAAATCTAAACCGGTGCAAAAGAAAAATAAGATCACCCTATTTTTTTTAATGTTTGTTTGCCTTGTTTTTAACTGTGAATTTTCTACTTTTAGACAAAAATAAAATTAGGAAAAGCCGGTTTCCTGCTTGGTCATAAAATAAGACTGTAATCATAAGCACAAATGATTAAGGACAGGCTTTTGTGTCATACAACCTATGTTAGGATTTCAGCTCTGCACTAGCCCTGCCACCTTGCTCAATCTACTTCAGCCCTGTAAAATTAATTTTCTTGAACTAAAAAAGAGTGAGTTGTTAAGGTTGAAGGGAAGATAGACGTAAGAATTCTGGTATGGAGTCCAGCTTATAGTAGATCCTCCATATAAAAGTGAGCTGATAGTTTTTAAATGACCCTACCCTAAGGTATCTATGGAGAAGGTGCTGAAAAGATGCACAGTGCCTAAAACAAGGGGAGGAAGAGGTACACTAGAAGAAGTAGGTGCAGCAAAAAGTCAAAAGTGGGTAAATGGCCCTTGTGTAATTATACTTAACATTTAATTTGCTTACAAGTAAGCCATGGATAGAATTACATTAGAATACAGCTAATATAAAGTATCTGTTTGAGAATATGAAGTATAACTTTAAAAAAATGTAAACTTTTGGAATACAGACACATGTAAAGAATTGTTCTTCTAATTAATCTCCTTCTCAAAACTTATACTTTTTTCAATAGTGCACAAAATAGTTCTACATTATAACTGCCTTCAGGGACACTTCACAAGGCAACACATTAACACACACACAGGCATGCATGCTATGTTTGTATGTGACCACAAGCATGAAGGAATATACTCTCTTAGGTTACTGTGGATGGAGGGTTGGGGACAGGGAATGGGTATAAATCAAGAGGATTTCAGAGAATATATAACATTCATGTTAGAAAATTATGTCAAAAAAGGAATAATACAGATACTACTCAAATAAACAGTCAAATTCTCTTCCAAAAGCTAATGAAAGCTCTCCATTTGCTCAGATCCAGCATTTGAGCATAATTATATTCATGCCTTGCTTGTCAGAACATAAACATAACATCTACCTGTTTTAATAAGGGCAACACAGTACATCTGCTTGACCTCACATTTACTGGTCTTGTCTTAGATATATTTTTATTATGATAAAATAGCACTCATGTCAAAATGCCTAAGTATCACAGTAATAAATATATAATAAATACTTATATCTAGACCGAACCTTGGCATATATAAGATATCATCTCATGATTTATGTAAGTTTTTAAAAAAGTGTTGGCTGATAGCCAGTCATAGGAATGCACAAGATATTTATCACAGAGCATATAAGAAAGGAAGAAAGCAAGAGAACAAGCGAGCAAGCAAGAAAGAAAAAGAAAGGGAGTGAGATATAATAAGAACAAGATAATCCAGAGAAGTAATTAACTCAAATTTTATTTCCTTAAAGATATCAGTTTTCTTTCTTATGTCTCCTTTCCTAATACTTAACACACTGTATTACTGGTTTTTTTTTTTTTTTTTTGAGATGGAGTTTCACCCTTGTGGCCCAGGTTTGGAGCACCATGGCAGGATCTCAGCTCACTGCAACCTCTGCCTCCTGGGTTCAAGCGATTCTCCTGCCTCAGCCTCCTGAGTAACTGGGATTACAGGCATGCACCACCACGCCCGGCTAATTTTCTGTATTTTTAGTAGAGACGGGGTTTCTCCATGTTGGTCAGGCTGGTCTCGAACTCCCCACCTCAGCTTATCCACCCACATCGGCCTCCCAGAGTGCTGGGATTACAGGCATGAGCCATTGCACCCGGCCTGTATTACTGTTTATTTCAATAATTCACTTCCTGCTCCCCATCCTATAAGCTCCATGAGGACACTGAAGGTTGTTTTCTTAGTGCTTAAAACTGTGTCTGCACACAGTATTTAATGATTTGTTTAACGCATCCATACATAGATTAATAATTCATTAAAGTAACTACTAAACAAAGTATGAATTTTCTTAAAATTCCTGCTCTTATGGATTTAATGGAATGAATATGAAAAACAGATATTAATAAAGATATTAATATTCTAGTTAAAATAGAAACTGCTAGGCATGAATCAGTGCAATTCTATTAATACTATAACAGAGAAATAAAGAATAATGTTGTCAAGGGGATGGGGCATGGCAGAGATCTATGTCAAATTACCTCACAACAAAAATGCCTAAAGAGATTTTGAAAATTTTCTATATATCATTCAAATAGTGAAGTGACTAGAGATTTGCCCTTTTATTTTTTAGGCAGTGCTTAGAATACTTCTTTAAAATCATCAGTATGTCTAAACAACTGTTACGTATTCTGTTTTAATCAATTACAGTTTTATTTCACCAGAAAAAAAATCCTGTGGTAATATTTAAACTTGAAATGGGCCCAGGAGAAAATTACCAATACCTTATTACTTTTTGTTTGATATTTTGTATTTGAGGGAAGTTCTACTTTAGAAACTCTTTTTTCCTCCAATCAGAAAAGCAAGGTGTACTGGCAAAAGCATCAGTCTTCCCTTGATGCTGGTATAAAGAAACTCTTGATTTTTTGAAAAGGTTCTTCCATGGTATTGGGGAAAAATGATATAAATGAATGTGCAATGACATCATTGCACAAAAATATTAATACCATATATTAGCAATAGAACCTGTTTAATGCATTTCTGATTTGTAAAATGTCTCAGAAAACAAAAGATCAAATGTTGTAAGCCTTGATTTCTTTATGATTAAACTTCTCAAAACAGTTTCAGTGAAAAATAGAATATTCAAACTCATGAGCAGAGATAAATCATTCTCACAGGGTTTCCTCTCCAGCCCAGCACTCTCCTTTCTGACTTTCCCCATTATTTACTGGCAGATATAACAGTATAAATACTATACAAGCCCATTCCAGGGATATTTCTGCTAAGCCCTTGAACACTTAC
This sequence comes from Homo sapiens, assembly GCF_000001405.40. Taxonomy (NCBI): domain Eukaryota; kingdom Metazoa; phylum Chordata; class Mammalia; order Primates; family Hominidae; genus Homo; species Homo sapiens. Next base: position 18,651,818 of record NC_000007.14, on the reverse strand, counting down.
ACCGTAACTGTAAGAGGCAAATAATCTTAGAACACACAACTATCCCACAAATATCCCAAATATGATATTAAAGTATAAGGCAACAAGTAGGTAAATTATTTTGTATGATTAATAACAGTTACATTATGTAGTTACACTGAACATGAATATTTTATAAACACATTAAAATAATAGCAAGATATGAAAAACTCTTTCAAATTTAATAAGTCAATCCTTGCATCACCCATGCCCCTAAAACTATATAGCTTTGTTTCTAATTCTTCTAAAGATTATTAGTAATTCAAACACATTACTACAAATTTTATACCAGGAAGCCCATCATATTTAATCTGATACAGGTTTAGAAATAATCCTACTTATATTTTCTTGTTCCCACTTCATTTTTTGTTTCTCTAAATTCCTCAAAAAAGAATCATAAAAAGGAAATAAAAGAAGATATATTTAAATATGTCATTTGTATGTCAACATCTTCATGTGTGCCTGTATTTCCTGCTATAAGTATCTCAAGAGTAAGGACCATCGCTTCAGTATGAATGGGTTTCATAAAGGTTCATCCATGGAAATGGGGAAAAATGATAAAATTTCTGTGGTGATTTCTTACTAATGGGCATTCTAAATGGTTAAATCAAGTATACAGCAATATATTATACAGAAACATGTTAGCTTTGGGCATCTAAGTTATGAATCTGACCCAATGTGAAATAAACATCCTTGTCACGTCACGGAAGCAGGTGAACAGTAGCCACTCACTTCTTAAGCGTTCTATTGTGAATATTTCAGGATAGGACATGGGTTTGATATTTTCTTTAATAAGCTTCCTCTCTGTCCCCTTAGACAACTGAGGGCAGGTAAAATATTTTCAAAATCTGGAGAATACCCAACGTGAATATGCCAACTTGATGAAACATATGGAATACATCCTTGGAGAAAAGCCAACTGGCGACCTGCTTGAGTCATCTAAACACCCAAGCTGAGAGAGGTTAACATATAAAGATCAGCTTTGGACTTTGAAGTTTTCTGGTCTTCATTTTGCCTAATTAAGACAAGATTTAATAATCAAACCACTGTACAAACATGTACCTAAAAGTATAGGTTTGTTTCTAATTCTGGGAAGAATTCTTAACAGATTCAAAGGAATCAGCTCCACATGGGAAAAGGTCTCTGATAAGATTTGCTTTTCTCATTGCTAAAATGCAAATGCCTGCTTTTCATCTGAGTTTTATCCAGTGTGACTGAGGTTAGCATTCGCCTGTCAAAATCTCGAGTTTGATACTGAAAAGGAAAGATTCTGATATTAGCACACCATCTGAATCTGAAACAGTGGCAATTAGTTAATAAAAAACTGTATTCCAAAATATTCTTAAAGGTATTCATAGAAACCATTTGTGGATCACAATTTCAAAGTGAGTAATTTACCTACTTTACCATAGTAAAATATATACATCCATGTGTTTCTAGGAAATAGAACCAAGCATAGCAGAAAAGTCTATCTACTATCTAATACTGGTTTTATAAACAAACCTAATTCTAGATCAAAACACTATATGGCAAAAAAATACGATCCCTAATCTTCCCTCCCACATACATTTCTTGCACTAAACAGTGGACAATTTTTCAAGAATACCTAATAATTTTAAGTTGTGCTGAAAGGCCACAAAACAAATAAACAAACCTAACTCTACCATAATATAGAAAACATATGCAGAGTCACATACAAGTCAGTGAGTATTATGCCATTAGTCAGAGAAGGAAATTGGCTCTCTCCTGAAGATACTGATTTGATATAAAATAATTTGATATGAAACCGAAATATTTGCTAAATTTAGAGAAGTGCTACAGCAATAAAATAGGCATTATCTAATGACACAGAAAGGGTCTGCAATGCATACTAAAAGGTTAGAGAGAGAGTTGTCCCTGCCAGCCACCCCATCTCTAGCACCCCAATCCCACACATACTTTTGCTACTTTGAGAGTAGCGAAGGGCTAGGCTGGAAAACTTTCTGTTCGGAAGCATGGTATCCAATCCATGCTTCCTTCATGGCTCTGCCCTTGTTACGATGGAGGCCAAAAGAAGAGAAAAACTCCAGCAACACTTGCCATAAAACCAGCAAGTGATGAAGATCCCTTTCCCCTACTGCCGTTAGAAAGATGATTAAGCCTCTGCCCATGAGAGTTTATTTTGTTTTGTTTTGTTTGTTTCTTACATCATAGTACAACAAAGTTATTACTAAGCCAGGTTTTAGCTATCCATTTATCAGTAAACAAAGTATCAGTTTGCAATATCATGCCTCTCATGCCTCTGTAACATAACTTGTAGATGATACAGCACAAAGGCAAGGGAATAGAATTTTAATACTCAGGACCTTAATATTTTCCAGGAATTTTCCAGGAATGAGAAGATGGTGCTTTTTTAAGCCTACCACAGCAAAAAGTAGTGGAAAAACTGTCCAGACCAGGTTCTTTAATATCATTTTGCTTACGAATTCATAGAAAATCCTTTACTGGCCTGTCTGATATTATGCTGCAATCACTGTTTCTTTGTAGTTGCCTCAGCAGGAGAGCTCCTAAGGATGTGGTACGGTACAGACATCCGCTGTCTATTTTAGCAACATTAAGACTTCCAGGAAGAAATGATCACAAGTTTCCGAGAAACTACTCCAAACGCTTATTGGAATGAAGTGGGGCATTCGCAAAATAAATGTAACGTAGATGCATACAAGTTGCTGAGAAGTGCCTTACTGGCTAATCTTGGCCTATCTGTCATCACCTGTACAAACTTTTTGACATGTCAACACACCACATTCAAGTCTGCCTCAAACTTTTTCTGCAACACTAAAAAATGAGGCTCCATATACATATGCCCGTATGGGCTTGTGTACCAAAATATATACCTGATCATAAAAAGATCTTGTGAATGTATCATCTCAATTTTGCTACAAATGTCTTATGAACATAATGGTGGTTAAAACACTGATATTGTGATGGTGTCCTTGAGCCAAGAAAGCAGGCTTAGGATGATCACATCCTTTTTGCTGTGACTCCCATCAACATTCCTCTTAGACACCCATATCAGTGAAGAGATACCCAATTTCCAAACTGGCGGTTAGAACATTTTGACTTGGCTTGGAGGCTTACTTTGTTCATGTGGATCTGCTGCTGGTATTGCTTCTGCTTCTCCAAGAATTGCTGGTGTTGCTGTTGAATGACCAGCTGAGCCAACGTGCTCTGAGGCAAAGGTGCAGACTGGGTTCGGTTCAGGGGTCTGTGACGGGGCAATTTGTGGGTACCTCTAATGCCAGGTGAAATTCTCTCTTTTGTTGCCAAGGGAGACTGAGGATGTAAGGGAACTCCACCTGAAAAAAAAAATACATGTATATGTGTGTATACACACACACACACACACACACATACACACACACACAATTTTAAGAAAAGATAAGAAGCCAAAGAAAACAGATACATGGTATAAACTGTAAGAAAATTAGTGAATTAGTGATGCTACCAGGCAAACAACAGAAGAATAGGTCAGGTGTGGGAAGAGAGAAATGTCAAGGCATTGGACAGGTACGCATCTGACCATACGACTCACCACAGCCTAGTCTGGTATGAATAAAGGTTAAATGAGGTGAGTCCTCCTACCCCAAGTGGATCTGAAGGAATAAATAAAGATGATAGCCTTTCCCACAGTACCAGGTATCAGGGAAACTTTTGTATAGCACTGTGGATCTCCATCAGGGTCTTGAGTAAAAGAGACATTATCCTGGATCACTAATAAAATAAAACCCTAAAATGACCTGCAAATGGTGCCATAATGAATTACCAGCTACAAGAAGCTTTTGCTGTCGCATTTGTTCTTTCAATAATAAATGCTGCAGGAGAGCCTGGTGGCTGCTGTTGGGTGGCTTTCCCTCTAAAGTAACATGAGGGTGGCTGGAAGATGCCGGGATGCTGCCTCCATACTGCCCAGGCAGAGGAACACCTTGCCTAAGCGTCTGCGTCTCACACTTCTGCTTTTCTTTGAGTGAATTCGAAGCCTGTGTTGAGAAATAACAAAGATGTTAATCCTCTTTCATCCATGTGGGTCACTGGGTCTCTAAATCATTAGACAAGTTTCCTATGCTGTAGCTTCCCAAAACAAAAGCCCCATCTTACCCAATGGCTGAGCAGGGAAAATGGACTTTTTAAACTAACTCAGTTCAAAAAAGAAGGAATAAAAATAGGGTTGGAGCACTGAAGACAATTTAATATTGTCATTGTATTGAACATAAAAAGGTTTTATAATTAAAATCAGAAGTGATGCTACATACACAATTTTAGGTGGAAAGAATAAATTCAAGAGATCTGTTGTACATGATGATGACTACAGTTAATAACAATATATTGTACATGTGAAAATTTCTCAGAGAATAGATTTTCAGTGTTCTCACCATAAAAAATAAGTATGTGAGACAATGCATATGTTAATTAGCTTAAGTCACTCTACGATGTATACATATGTCAAATCATTATGTTGTAAACCACAAATATATGTACCTTTTATATGTCAATAAAAAAACAAAAAATGCTTATTTCAGGCTTAATAAGTGGAAAGTACATTTCTAAAATATTTTATACACTGTTTAAGTTAAAGGCATACTGGAGAGGTAAAATTTATTCAAAGACTATATCATGGGGATTAAGAAGCTGGAGATAAGATGGACTGTAATTTTGGAGTTGCAAGCAAAAGGAACAATTTACCCTTTCTCTACATGGCTTCTAATAATTTCACAGAGCTGTAAGTGTCCAATGTTTAATTTTTTAAATTAAATTCTTAAAATAACCCAATGAAAGGAGGTAAAAATATGCAGAAATTTGATTTAAACATTTTATATTAATTCATAACAGATACCCAAATCTCTAAATATTGAAAATGACACTCTAGATATTTTGTATAATAAACTACAAAAAATGCTATTAAGAACTTGAAATGTATGATAACACAGTAATAAGGCAATAATAATTATATCATCAATAGCAATAATGAATTATCCTATTCAAAGGATTTAATGAATGGTGGTCATTTTGCTATTACAAAAGCAGGACTCTAATACCTCAAAATTATGTGGCATGTTTCTTTTCAAAACTCATGTTTCATCTTTCAAAATTGCTGTGCACCAGGGAGGCGAAGCAATTTTCAGCAATGGAGAAACTGAAGGACAAAGAGGTAAGTGGTTTGTCTGAGTCACACAGTAAGTCAATGCAATGTTTAATCTAGAAGTGATTCCTTGTCCTGGCCTCTTTTCCTTAAAATTTCCCAGTATTCAATGTAGAAATGGAGTACTACAAATCCCGTTGGCAAAGCAATGCTAAACTTGAAAAATTAATTGTGATGGCCTCATCCACACCAAAATGGAAGCAAAGAAAAATGAAACTTTAATCCAAACCACATTGGTTTATTCATCCAATGGTACCAAATCGTATTACCTCTGAAACATTAACTGGTCTGGCTTTAGTACTTGGTCCTTTGGGAAAAAATTTTCCCTGACCACATTAAAAGTGGTCCATGTGTGAGTTATTGAGAGGAGTGGCTTAGAACATACAAAAATAAGTAAAAATAAAATGCCTATTCATGTGTCATAAGAAGTTTTTGGGTTGGTATTTACTTATCATTAGAAGAGACAGGAAATAGAGAAGGAAAAATATTTTTTAATTAGTGATAACTGTAAAATATTATCCATGAATATTTATTTTTAGTTTCATTCCTAATTCCTTTTTTTGTTTTTCATTTACAAATGTTTCATGTGGAATTTTAAGAGCATAGCTGAATTCTGTATTTTCAATGCTTTCTTTTATAATCCCCAGATATAAGACAACATCCAAATTTTGTTTTTTCCTCATTGGTATAAGAACACAGTACCACATAAAATGACATTATAGTCTATTGACAATACCAGATATAATATCTCTTAGGTTGATTTTAAAATACGCATTGAAACTATGTGTTGAACATACAAGTGAACTTGACACATTCAACTCAGTGGAAGACTTGAAGGTAAAGATTGGCCAAACTGGTGATGAGAGTTGGAATAAATTTCTCTCTAAACCTAATGTATCATATGACCCCTGTATATATACAATTTAATTAACTAACATTTCAGAGATGAATTATTCTGGATAAGGCCCACACATTTTTTACAACTAAAATTGACACTGTTTCAGGGAATATGCCTAGAATAATTATTGCCATCTTCTGCTAGTATGACAATAACATTTCAAGTTTAGCTCTGCTTTGGCAAAGAGATCTCTAGTATTCCATTTTCTCTGCTGAGTACTAGGAAATTTTAAGGCAAAGAGTCCAGAACAAGGAATCACTTCTAGGCCTTCATGTAACAGTATGATACAGTGACTGCTTTCTTCCCGAAAGAGCCTATTTCAGTTGTCAGGACTTTTAAACTAATTGATTCACTTTGAATCTTCTGGGAATAGTTTAATATTTTTCTTAGAGAGTTTTTCCAGATACATATTCGCCAGTACCAGAGAGTCAGTAACTTAAATTCCCAAAATAAACTCATTCACAAAATAAATTCTATAAACATATGCTGCTGTGCTTTCGAAGCTGTAGCTCTCAGCACTGCCCTGGCTTGTGTTCCAGGTCTGCCACTTACTGGCTCTGTGATCTTGTGCTTTGAAACTCTCCAAGTCTCAGCTTCTCCTTCTGTAAAAACGTGGGCTGTAATCTCTGTTTCACAGGATGGCTGTGTGGAGCTATTAAAATAATATATCTGGAAAGTGCTTTTTTTTTAAAAGCTATAAACCATTATACAAATGTTAGTTATTATGTTTACATATGATTATGTGAACCAGGATAATTCTGACTTGAAATTAGACTGAATGTCTTTGAACAACACAGCAAATAGCAAACAGTGAAGGAGATGCTGGCTCTGTCAAGTTTTTCTAAAGTCTAAATACATAAAACACGAAAGAGAGTTCCCCTGTGAAAAGATATTGCTTAGGTTGATTAAGGCTGATGCTGTGCAATGACTTACATTGAGCTGGGATGGCACTGCGGGAAGCCCCAAGGTAATGTTGGGCAAAGAAGGAGAGGTATAAAGACTTAGCAGGTTCATGGAATCTTCATGAATTAGAATGCGTTGCTGTGAAACCATTTGCTGTTAAAAAAAGAGGAGAGTCTCAAAATACCACAGTATCACAAATTTTACTGTAAAATGTTCTCATTTCAGAAAATGGGTCTTACCATAATTAAGAAAAGATTTTAAGTATTTATTTTATGACTTCTATATCCAAAAGTTATAATGTCAAATTTAAATAAAAAATTTCTTCCAAAGACATAGTTATAAAATCTGAATAAAAGGCATCTATGTTCATTTTTTGCAAATTCATTTATAAAATTCTGGCTATACAAAATATGGTCAGCATGTTTGTCATCTGCTGATAAAGTACAATGATAAAATTGGATAATTCTGATTAGTATGTCTACTTCTTTTGTATTACTCAGTGAAAAAAATATGTATATAATGCCACCACAGTCATTATCTTCACCTGATTCTTCATTTAATGTCATTTTATTGATGGGAAAACTGACCCAAGAAAAATCTTAGATTAAATATCACCATATAGGGCTTCCATAGTAATCACATCTTTTTTACTTATAAACATTTATGAATAGACAATTCTGTGTGGTGTATTTTTAGATCATTCATATTCAGAAACTAAAGTAAATGTTAAAATGTTATGAGTCCTATGCCACAGTAGGCTTCATTTACATTGAAATACCCTGAACGTTTTGGCATCACTGTGCTTTTTACAACAAATACCTTTTTTTTAATCCATTACTAAGAGTCATGTTTTCCCACATGTGGCCTAATATGGTTGCTTGAATTACATTTTCTGTTTAACTCTTGCCTCCCTCCCAGAACTTTTATACAATAAGAGTTACAAAGGTCTTATTAGACTAAGGAACTCTGGCCTGATATGGTCCCCAAGGGAACAACATCCCTGAAAAAGAATACTCCATGTAACAGTATGACACAGTGGCTGCTTTCTTCCCAAACAAAAAGCATATGGGACTCCAATAATAGACCACCTCCAAGAGGGATATTGCACACACGGGCTTTGACTAAAGTAAATATAATAACTTGTCAAGCATGTTTGGGGGAGCTGTAGATTTTCCCCTGGACAAACCTGGGATATCAATTAACCGGGGAAAATATCATGTGCTGATACAATGCAACCTCAGAATGTCACTGAAGAGTGATGCACCACCAAAACACAGGATGTTATTCCAAAACATCATCTCAATCATACGTTTGTTTGGAGATGAGTCTTAGTCTTAACATAATAAGAGCACAAGGTTAAATGTGGAGTTTTCTCATTGCAACTTGGAACTCAAAGCTAGTTCAGATTTTGTTACTTCTTAAAGGAACATGTCAGATATTTGTGCATGAAAACCAAGAGGTATGTTGAAAGCAATAACATTACATTGACTTTATATGCAGCCCTTTAAAAAATTAGTTGTCTAAGTGACATAGCATGAAGATTGTTGGGAAAGATTTTAAAATTACAATGTGTGGGGTTGCAATTTTATTTTATGAGCTATCAGACAGAGTTGCATACTTGCTGTACACAAAAAGGCAAGCTACTCTTTTACTCATACAAATAATAAGCTTTTCACGAAAATTGTAAGTATAGAATACCTGTACAAGAACAAAAGGAACATATAAGGAAGTAAAAATATTTTAACTAGCTTATTGGCAGTAAATAGTAATTTAAAATAAAAGGATATGTTATTCACTTATCTGTATTCATTGAAGAGAAAATAAGTGTGGAAAAATAAGCATTTTAAATAGGGCATAATATTCATTCAAGGTTATATCTGCTTCTCACAGCACTAAGATATGGACTAGGGGATTTGACACGGACTGGGAGAATGGCACAAAAAATACCATAGACCTCACAAAAGAGTTTTCTTTGTTTCCCAGAGAGAATTTCTGTGATATCCTCCCACCTCATCACAGGAACCAGACTTAAACTAAAAGGAGAAATAGATTATCTTCTCAGACGTAATAATGGCAGCAACACACTGGCTCCTCACACTGGCTTTGACTACAGTGAAGAGATTTGGGGACAGTCTTACTCTGGGATTGCAGATCTTTGTAGTTTCCTATAAAACTTGAGTGGCTCCATTTCCTCTGGCAGTGTACTGATATTCAGCACCTACCATGGTGTCCTGGGCCAGAATTTTTTGGAGGCTAACCTATTCTTCACAGGCACTCTCAAGCTACCATTATGCTCATGCTGTCGATGAGGAAACTGAGTCATTTCCCCAATTTTGCTTCCATGTGGGACCAGCAACAAAACCTTTAAACTGACCAAGGCTATGAGATTTGTTGACAGCTGCTGCTACAGGGAGTATGACTCTGCAGCCACTGCTGGAAGACAGGGGAACCACAGAAAAGTAGGGAGAATGGTGGTGGCTTTGGAGGAGAAGAGGAAGCAAACTCAGGCTCTGAAGCTCATGGCAGGAATAAAGGAGTGCAACTGGGAGTCAGGGGACTTGGCACAAGAAAAAAGCTCCGGTGACTTTATAAATGTCAGGATCTTCAAGTCATGGAGACAATTCTTGATGAAGCAAGGATGGTTCTGTGTCCCCCATATCTACTAGGTATAGTTGGTTCTTCCCAAAGACTCTTAACTGGTATGTCGTCTTCATAGAAACTTTACAGACCGGGACATTGCTTAGCTTATCTCCTTGGATTACAGATAAGGAAACAGGCATAGCATTTATGTAGACTTTCAAGGTCTAGGATGACTTCAGAGAAATGAAAAACCATTTCCCTTGAATTATTTTCTTTAAATACAGCTTTCCTCAACTATGCTTTTTGATCGGAGCAGTCTATCTGTTCCACGTTTATCTCTTAATAAGACCTGGAGCCATAGTCTACACTGCTAATTGAGTACAGACACACTTTAAAGTCAGACTAACAGATTGGGAGGGGTACCATTCACCTGACACAATGAAAGATCCTGACTAGCATTCTTGCAAGGCTGGAAGACCATCCCACCTTAGCATTGCAGTGAGCTCACAAGTGTTTTCAGACAAAGCCAAGATTTTTCCAAGAAGAAGTTTTGAATCTGGCCCAGCCCTTAAATCAGTGCTTTGCTATGATGCCAATACTTTGCAGTTTAGAACATGGAAATGACGGTTTTAATCTGAAAATTTTTCAGAACCAAAGATTTTTATTGTGGTTAGATAAAATGAATATAGTAAATGTATGAATGGCTATTGTTTAACCTTCACAAAACAATTAACGGGTAACTTCTCTGTCTTAGATTAATGGTGTTGGGTGCAAGGCGTACAAAGATGTCCTATAAAACACCAATTCACATGGTAGTTAGGTGCACAGAAAAGTAAAGAGCTAATTCTTTGACTTGTGATAATTACTGTAATTAGAGGAAGGAGCATTATGTTGGGACATGAGATATGAAATGGGCCAAGTGCTGGGGTAGGGGTGGCCTACTCACATTTTACTAAGGCTCTTCAAAATCTTATTTAATTTCTCTCCTGTTATGTCAATAGGAGGGGCATCTCATAAATAATATTTGTAATTCAAATGAATACAAAACACATGGACTGGAACATTATGCCTCTCAATAGAGCTATTTATGTGGAATTTAAATTAAGCCACTGATTTCAATTAAAAGAGTGAGAATGTCTTCCAGAAGGGACACTGGGTATAATTAGAAAAATGGACAATGTCAACTGCCACAGGGATTCAGAAAGGTAAAAACTCTCATATGATGCTGGTGGGACAGTAGTCTGGTACAGCAATTCTGCTGAACTTTAAACCAAAATAATTATTCTGTATACCATGACCCAGTGATGGCTTTGCTGGGAATTCTAACTTCGAGAAATTATCTCATTAAGCTGTAGGATGATGGGCCATGGTATATATTGAAGGGCACCAGGACATCTACCTCGGGGCATCAGTACGCGGCAGCACCCACGATGGATTTTTGTGGTGATTGAAAGCACACCATTGGACTTCTGCATCCATAAAGACATGGTGTCTGGATGTAAAAACACAGGCTTAGTGATAAAAGCAAGAAAATGGAATGATGCAGATAACATTGTGCCATTTATATCCCATTAAAACTCATGGATGCAAAGTAAAAAATATATATGATGTAAAAATTCATATAAACAAGAACACGGGAGAGAATGATGCCTCCAGGAGCAAGGAAAATGAAAGTGGGGAAAGGAGATGGAGAGAAGGAACCAAGGAAGGAGGGAGGGAGGCAGGGAAAAAAGGAGGAAGGGAAAGAGAAGAAGATAAACAAATACTTTTCTTACTCTTAAGAAGACAAAAAAGTCAATGATAGCCCTTGACAGAATGCTAGTTATACTAGTTATGTAAATAATTACCTACTTTTCCTTTTTTTTTTTTTTTTTTTTTTTTTTTTTAAGACAGGATCTTGCTCTGTCGCCCAGGCTGCAGTGCAGTGGTGCGATCAAGGCCCACTGTAACTTCAAACTCTTGGGCTCAAACTCCTGGCTAATGTTTGTTAGGTTTTTTTTTTTCTCCCTGTAGAGACAGGGTCTTTCTATGTTGCCCAGGCTCGTCTTAAACTCCAGGCCTCAAGTTATCCTCCCACCTCAGCCTCCCGAATTGCTGAGATTATAGATGTGAGCCCCCATGCCTGGCCAGTAATCACTCACATTTTAAAAAGCTCACAGAAATGTGGATATAGAATTTTCAGTTTACTGTATATTCCAAATTATCTACAATATGCATGAGAATCAGAAAAAGAAAAAATATATATATACACACAGAATTTTGGTGAGGAGCAGCCTGGACTTGTGAAACGAAGTCTGGCCTAAGTGTCTTATACTTGAGCTCTCCCACTCATAGCTTGTAACCCTGGGCAGCACCCAACTTCCCTGGACTTCAGAACCTTCAGCCTGAGACTGAAGCACCTCTGCCCAGCTCTATCAGGTAACATGTGTGTCTATTAGAATGGCATACAGGAAGACATCCTTATGAGTGTCAATCAGCTTTGGCTTTACAAGGTCCCAAGTCCCTGAATCCAGGCTATCTAAAAAGAACATAGCCACGTTTTAAAAAAGAAAAGCCTCAATCATTTAATATTTGCCTATGGTTTTCATGGGATTTTTCAAGATTGTATTTATTTTCTACTCTTCTTTCAGATAGCTCATAGAAAATTAAAATCTCCACGTAATTAAAAAAATTGTTGAAGCAGTAGAAATCTCTCAAGTTTTCATTTTACTGGACACCAAAGAAGGTGTTACTATAAAATGGTGAGACATATTGTGAGACCAAAAAACAAAAAACAAAAAACAAAAAAAGAAAGATCATTTGACAGAGTTTCCTTAGCATTTGAAAGGCACTGATGTTTTGTTAAAGATCTTACTTTAAAATATTGACTCATGTTATTCCTAGTAAATGATTATTTTGTCATAGCAACCTCCTTTCCCTGAATTGGGGGTGGGGGGAACGTGTTTTATTTGCTGCTATCTAAAACCACAGCTCTACACCCACTCAGAAGGGAGCATAACATTTACTGCAAATGTCACAACAACTATTATGAAACAACAGGCAGATGAGTCATGTGAGATTGGGGCAAAACAAGTGACATTACAGATGATTTTAGAACACTTAACCTTATTATTAGAATCCTTTTTTAAAAGCATTTGTATCTGCTGGAAAATTTATTTTAAAAAATAGCATAGCAGAGACAGCCACTAATGTTCAACTAGAAATAAACCAGCAGCTTGGCTACCGTTAAAATAGCTATCAAATAAATCTACTGAATCTAAAGTAATAGTGTTGATATCCATGGAAACATATTTGAACCCACAGGCCCACAGTATTAACAATAAAGTAACTAGATAGGTAAAGACATCCTTGACTGGAGTTGGAAATAGAAACCCCTGAGGTTTCAGCTCCCCAACCAAGTTTACAAATGAGTAAAGCAAGTAGCTCCAACAATCTGAGTTCTGGGACTGAGCATATGTAGGAAATAGAAGAAATGGAACAGAAGTGGTCAGAGCAGATGGAGACTCACTCTCACATGAGAGCTGCTGGCTTGAAGACAAACATGCTAATGAGTTTTCCCTACCAGGAGTCAGCGCTGATAATAACAACAAAAAATGAACTTGTTCCGAACTTCACAATTTACCACCTGCCTTCCAAACACTGATTCCTTAAAACAAAGCTGCTAGTGTAGGTATTACGGTACTACCTTCTCCTAGATCAGGAATCTGGGGGTCAGGGGAAGTCTGACAACTTGACCAATGATGACAAGGTAGCCGGTTTTGGAGCCAGGTTCAGGCTGAGTCTTCTGAATGGAACACCCATACATTCTACTACAATGTGCTATTTCCTGAACCTCAATTTATGAGTAAATTCTCCTCCTACTTCTGTCTTCCCTTTATCTAAATTAGGCAGGACATGTGAATTACAAGATAGAAAATTTTGTTTTCATCTAGGGCTCAAGATCTTTAGATATAGCCTGACTTTCCTACTTCTGAAGCAGCACAATAGGATAGAATCCCATTCATTTACATGGGCTCTGAATTAGGTGACATGCTTTTCTACTTACAGGCCATAAAATAAAGACTTCATTCAAATATACACTACTTTAATACGAAAACTTACCAGTGTTGCTTAAGCAAAAACAGTAAAATAAGCCAATTTTGTAAACGGTAAAGTATGCAACCATTTTTTTAGAGTGCAATATATTATGCAAATAATTCATACCCCCAAAATATTTGTTGCTATGAAATCCCGTACTACTATCAATCTTAGGAGACATCTGTAAAAATCATCCTAAATTCTAAATGATGGTTACTCAACTATGGCTAAGAAATTTTTTTTTTCTTTTCTCCAGTTTGGGTGGAAACATTTAGTGCTAAAAAGCTAGGATATTAATTTGCTGACAGTCTTAGTCTAAATTCCGCTGTCTCCTCACCTATCGAGAATGAATTACACCATAGATCTCTGTAAATGCAATACAGCAGAAAACCACATGTTAGCCATCAGGGTTGCATTTTTTGTTCTGGGCCACAGAGAGGCTACTCATCAGTGCATAAAGGTCTGCCCACCTGGCCTTTTGGATCATAGTTCAGGCACACAATTAATTCATTATGAGGTAAGTCACTGCTTGCTTTTGAACTCGTCTTTCCAGATTTGGAGGTGAATGTCCTGTCACTGACCTGAAGAAATACCTCTACCCTTTTAAACTCCATTAAATCACATTTCCCTCTGTTTTGTTTTGTTTTTCTTTTTTTAATGGTGGGGGTGAAAGGAAAGGTTTGCAGTGAGAGAATATGTTCAACAATTAGCTGAAAAGCTAGGGTACCTAAACAGATGATTTGTGCCAAGTTATGGCTTTAGAAATATAAAACAGATTAAAACAGTATAAGCAAAATCTTTTATTTACTTTCTTCACTGATGTATACTTACTGGTTGTTCCAATATGTTGTACTAAATACTATATGCACATACATATGTATTTACAATGAAGGAATATATGTATCTTCTTTAGTAACTATCAAATCATGTTTTCCCCCTTCTTCCCCCCTGAAAGGTAATCATCATGCTAAATTTTGTGTTCATCACTCTCTCGCCTCTTAAAAATATACTATTACTACATATTATCAAAGTATGGTATTACCATTTCTGAACCTAATAAAATCCTCCCATGTTGTAAGTGGTCTTCTGAAACATTGCAATGACAATGCATTTCTCAGAATCATACATGCTGCTGAATGTAGTCTAGTGTGTTGTTTTCATTTTTCAATGGCACAAAATCCATCCAGGGACTGATTAGAACCCAGATCCTTTGCTGTTTTTGCAGTTACTAAGAATTACACTCTTCATACTGAGAGATAACAACAATCTAAAATTTTTTGAAAAAAAAAATTGTAACCAAGTTGTTCTTTTCCTGGAAATTTACTAAATAGTTGCAGAGAATGGACCAATATCCAGATATAACTGCACTAACAAAAAGATGCTATCTACAACTAATAACCCAATAACTCCACTTATGTCTCTGGCTGCAAATATAAACAAAGTATTTATTCCATCTGCTATCATGTTTTTGAAAGGATAAAGAAAAAGATAAAGAGGGGTAACAGGATAGTAAGTAAGAAATAGATGCGGGACCTGAAGACCATGTAGAGGCCAGAATTACTATTCTTTAAATAGCTGAAAATGGTCAAACGACAGCATCTAGATATTTTGCTCATGTTTCTTGGAAACTTATTTGAGGGAAATTTTTGAAATCTAGAAGGAAGGTATATTCCTCCAGGGGAGTTTTTGTTTGCTTTGTGCAGACTCCTAACGTGGGAACTACAAATGTGGTGCCATGATAAGTCAAGTTAACAGCTTGAGGTTATATGATTTGGGCTACAGATCTACACAAGGACTAGCTTGTGGTTACGACATCTGAGAGAGAGGATCTGCCCTCTGCTCTGTTCCACATCAGACAGCCCAGGGCAGGGGGGGCTGGCAGGGGACACAGCAGTAAGAGGGGCAGTCAACTAATCAATGTAACATAGATACAGGCCTCTGGGGTGTCAGCTTAGTGTTTGCAGGATCTCCTATTAGATTATCCTCCCTGGTTGGTACTAGGCTTTATCTTCTATCTCTTGAGTTTCTGAGGCCCTGAAAACCAAAGCTCAAAACTCAAGTGTGCAAATGTGCCTAGAGCAAAACTGACTTTACTGGCTTCAGTCCTTTGCTCATCAGAGACAACTTCTGGATTTCTGCCTTCACTTATTATATTCTGACCTGATAATTTCATAACTTATAAATAATTTATTATACATATCATATTGTGTTTGTGTGTATAAAATATATGAAATTACAGAGCAATAGCTGTACAGAGACATATCAGTCAAAATAACTATTTAAAATCAACTGGGTTGCCTCAGGAGACAGTGAAGTGAGCTCCCTATAAGCAGAAGTGTTCTAACAGAGGCTGGATAACCACATGGTAGAAAAGCTATGGAGATGATCCAAGAATAAGAGACTTGACCAGTCCCTTTCTGTCTCAAGGTACCATGACTCTATAAAATATAACAAAAGAAGTATGTTATATATTAGAAGTTAACGCACCAGCTCTCCTTGCACAGAGCAATGCACAGTGAAGAAGGCATAATAACAGAAACAAAAATAAGGCTTTCAGTCAATTGTTGATGACTTCAAAACAGGTGATTTCATGAGTGGCTATTTTCAGACTCTTGCCTTTGATAGCCTTATACAGAAACTACATAGACAAATTCTTGCTGACTTTTACATTAACTTTCCTCTTAGTCTTGTATCATTGGTTACACTAAATCATGTGTTACTTTAAACTAATATCCTTTAATATGTCATTCTTCAAACATAGAGTTCATATCTTGTCCATGTTTATATCCCTACTGTGAGGCAAAATGACTTGAATATAGCAGGTGCTCAAAAAATGTTTGCTCAGTGAAGCTTCACACCCTTCAACTATAATACTGCAATTATTTTTCATCACTTTTCAGTTCAAATGGATAAAAATCCACCTCGCTAGGTTCTTCCTCTGAGAGGCCTGTACGAGTTGTTTTTACTTACTGATGTGTCTACTCACATCGGCACAACCAATAACCAAGCAGAGGGACTAGTAAGTTACATAATTGTCAGGCAGTGTGCACGGAGGATCACTAAGAATGTTTGACTGAGGATTACATTTCAAGCCCAGATTGCCTTCCAAACATCTTTGGTTGTCTGATTTATAAATAAGATCAATTTTACTGAATTCCATAAATAAGAAAAAATCTGTAAGAAAAAAATTGATATTTATTTATGTCAGCTAATAAATATCAGTTCATTTCTTATAGGTTTATAATATTTACATTAGTTAGTAAATATCAATTTTTTTCAATTGGTTTACAATATGTGGAACTGAGTAAACTTCAATTCATAAATATCATTTGGATATTGAAGGTCAACTCAGAAATATCACTTTGTATTAGGTAGCTAATCAGAAATTCAGTTTTTAAAAGAAACAAAATAATAAGGGTCTTACCTCGGCATGAGGGGTAGGGGGCAAAACCGAAGTCTCATTTTCAGTAACACTTCCAGTTGGCCCATTGTTTGGTGAACTGGGACCAGAGCCTGGAGAACTGCTACTGACTGAGGATTCTGAAAAATATTGTGAAGTACAAATGTGTTCATGAGGAACATACATAGATGAACTTTAGTTACTGTAACATGTAACATTGGGCATGTTATTTTCCCCCTATGTAAATGCAAGCACTATTTCACAAAATAGAAAGAACTAAAAATTTCTGCAGTAACTCTGAATTTTCATACCACTTATTCCTCCTTTGTTTTCATGGCAAAACATACTAAATAGTGTTCAACAGTTTCTAGAGAAGTAAAGATATCCAGTTAGAGAGGGTCACAGGAGCTTTGAATGAGAAAAAAAAAAAAAACTGAAGAAAGGAATCTTTTCTTACTTGCTCTTATGCTATTACAGAAAATAACAGTAATGAAGACAATGAACTTGTGCACATCAAAAGACAAGTCGTTAACCCATGAGGTTCAGACCCATTCCATTAGGTCTGAAAAAAATTGTTCAAATGCTGTGCTGTAAATTGTTTTTTATTTAATATACTAAGGCTATACCTTATTATTGCATATACTAGTTCAAGTTATATGAAGAAAATACAATAGAATGTAAAATCTCAACATTGCACTGATGACCTTGTACAAGACCATCTGACTTTAACTCTACTCAACTTATTTTCCAGAAAATGAGAAGTTGCCTAAATTTAACATGTAGATTTGTAAATACCAATATAACAAGAAATTCCTTTTAGCAAAAGTCAGGCAACAACAAGACAGATTCTTTATTTAACCCATCCTTTCCTCTTCAGATATGAAATTCACATGTACCTCAACTTATGCAGAAACTAATGCATTTATTAAAACATTTAATCAAAAATATAAATTTCCATTTCCTAGAAATATAGCTAGAGAAGTCATCTTATCAAGCTTTGGCAAATTATTTATTCAGCTCTAATTAATTCCCTACCACCTTCTACACTTCACTCATTTCAAAATCTTCCTAGCTGCCTCATCATTACACCTTGTCAACCCAACTCTGCACAAATGATCTTGCCTCATGCTTTTCAGAGACAGGATTTTTGATATGATTTCCACCAGCATCTTTTCTTTCTACTCATGATTATGTTATCTACATTCTCTTTTCCCATTTCAAATATAAGGCATTTCTCTTCCTCTCTAACGCTCACACATTTAGTCTTACCCATGATCCCATCCCCTTAAAAAAATCCTAAAAGGATTAGTTAGGTGGAATCTTCAGGCCCTCCTCCTACACTGGAATTGCCCCTCTAGTCTGACAGCATGCTAGTAATTCTTGAGAAATGGTGTGCTCTCACAATGTCCACTCACTTCTTCAAGCCTTGGCAATATAGCTTACCCACTATTAACTGCAACTGTTCTCTCAAATGCCACCACACTTGAAGGCCTCAGAGAAAACATTCCTTTCCACATCCTTTCTACAGTGGCATTCTCTACATCCATGTTTGTCTTCCCATCTCTTTGACTTTTCTTCCTCCTACCAATTCCTAAATTCAGACATTCACCTAAGTTTGTGACTTTATCCCTTTTCTATTTCCCTTGTCAAAATCACTCAGTATCATGACTTCATATGTCATTTTGGGGCAGAATTATCTCAGGAAAGTCACATTTCTTGCCTTTAACTCATAAATTCCAGCCCAAATTCCTCTGAAAGCTGGACCTTCCAAGCTCCCCTACATATGTGTAAAACTCAATGTATGTATTTTAATATTAACTGTTTCCTGCATATCTCTATTTTTTCATCACCCTAGAGTCATCCTCACTCTCTCTTTACTGCAAATCTAATTAGTTACTAGGCCCTTTTAATGTGATCTTTACACTATCTCTCCATCTATGTCTGACTACAATCATTTCAGTTTAAGGCCTTGTTATTCTGTCAAGAACTATAGCAAAAGTCTGCTCATATTTCTGAGTCACTACAGTAGTCTCTCAAACCTTTCTTTCAAACTCTTGCAAAAGGATCAGACAGAGATAACTCACACCATGTCCCTCTGCTCCAAAATAGAGCCTAATATTATTTCCCACCATTGCCCTTTCTGTACTCTACACTCAGTCAAATTAAATCACCTATTCTCCTTTCATGCCAAATACTTTTCCAGTTCATGCTTTTGTATCCTCCTTTCTTTCCATTTCATTGCAGGCCGAATCCCACCTATAAGGTCCAAGCCTGGCTCATATAACGTATGTCCCTCAGAGAAAGGGAACACCCAGTTTCCAAGCAATATTTTCTTACCCTCTCTCAGAACACCTATAACTCTCAACTTGTATTATAATTAAATCTCTACTCAGAAATGCAGTACCACTGGAAAGAATGTGAGGTTAATGTAAGAATTCTAATCCTGCCACTTATTTACTGTGGGATTTGAGCAAATTATTAGTATAATAAAATACTTAAACACATTTTGCTCACTGCCTTTCTGTCTATATATCTGGTTTATATTTTGATTAATTTTTTTTAATCATCACCTCTGGTTTTACTTTAACAAAGGAAATGTAGAATTTAAAAATTCTTACAGGAGCTTCTTTTTCCCAACTCCTAACTCTCGTCTTTACAATATGACTGATTTCTCATTAATGTCTCATTTCCATATCATTTCCATTTCCATATTTTTTAAAAACTACTTTCTTAAACATTCTGTCTTACCAATTTTAAATTATAATATTTATATTATTTTATGATATTAAGACTGAAGTATTTCCTTATGTAGAAATCACTGTGATAAGCACTAGAATTCAGGGCAACAACTACTGTACCAGAGGATTCTATGACATGACACTGGATGGGATCTGGGAGAAGATAGCAACTGATTTTCTGAGATCTCTGATCTCAGTGTATGATATTGGAACTGGAGCTTGAAGAAGGGTAGCCAATGAAATAAGGATGTTGGAGTAGGGAGAATGGCAGAGAAGGCATTGCAGGCACAGGGGGAGTCAATTTTAACATTTGAAAAGAACAGGACTTTTTGTAGGGGGCAGAAAATACTTGAATTTGAAAAAAAAAGATGGCAAGTGGGTTCCCATGTCAATGAGTGGAATGAGTTTGAAAAGAGCTTACACTTTAATCTATGAAATGGGGAAGAGAGAAAAGACATAGAGGTAAGAGGATAACAGCAAAAGCAACTGAACTGCTCTGATGTTATGATAGTCTCTGACTAGATACTAAAAATATTTAGTATTAAGATCCAAACAAATCTCATCCAAACTAGATGAAAGTTGGCAGAGCAATGGGAAGGAGTACAGGTGAAGACAGCTGTGTGTCAGTAGTCCGGAGCCTCCAAAGACATTTCGAGTAAGTGCGGTATACCAGTTAAAAATATCTACCAAAGCATCCGTAAGTCCACTCACCAGAAATGTCTTTCTAATAAATGTACAAGTCTCTCTTCCAATACATATTGTTTCCTGAGGTGAAAGGGCGAGTGCTTATCTCACGAAATTAAGAAGAGAAATATATTTTAAATTTAAGGAAATTCGAGTAAAACTCTGGTAAATCATAATCCTTATAAATAAGAACCAATCATTACTGAGATAGGTATTGAGCTAAATGCCACTGCAATTTGGTACGGAAGAAAAAGTGACTGTGTAGAAAAAGCTATGATCAAGAAAACAGACTACAGGAACACAGAAAAGCACATTGGGATAAATAAATATGACTTCAGACATTAAGACTATGAAGCAAAATAAAATAGCATTATATTCAGTTTTGTCTTTTCTAGAAGTTTTGCTGTTAGAAGGGGCTTACTTTCTGCAGTTAGAAAAACCACCTATCTACATTTACATTAGACACCTGATAGGTTTATAATTCTTCACATTCATTAAAACAAATTCACTCCTCAACTGCCCACCCCCATCAAAGACCTCTATTAGAAAAACCTAAGATTTTTATTTACTTACATACAATAGTATTTCCTGGGAAAAAAGTCTGTAACTCCAAACTTAGAATTCAATTCGTCTAAATTAGTGATTATATTTAATGTTGGATAATACATATAAACTCTAGTAAAATAATTGTATTTATTATTCAGATTTAATATTTCTTATCCCAAGGAAATACTTTCCATTGAAATCACTAACACTTTTCTTCAGATAAGCATATAAAGTTGTCCAGATTGAATAGGAGACTAAATATTATTTTCCAAAAATTATCGGCCAAACTTTCAGGTTGCATTAGAACCTAAATACACGTTTCTACCACCACTTCCACAGTCTTCCTCTATATTGCCTTCCTGTAGACACTGTCATGGCCAAAAGAGTTATACAGAAAATAAAGAATTTTTTTAAAACTTACTAAAAATAAGATCTGATCTTGGAGAACTAATACCAACTGCCCACATTGGTATAAGCACAGTTTTCCTTGAGAATGGGAAAAAAAAGGGGTTGCAGATTACCACTTCTTTCTTCATGCAACCAAAGGAAACAACTAGATACAGTACCTGACTCTAAGTAGGTACTCAAAAAACAGTAGTAAGTAGAAGTATTTTGGCTAGTATTTTTGGTTCTTACAGCCTTAGGTCTTTCATTTCAAACCAGGTACAACTGGAACTAGGGGTGTTGTAAGACCTCAGGTTGAATTTCCTAACCCCTCTACTAAAACAGGCAGCTAAAAAAATAACTCTTCCATTTGAGACCCATGAAAATGACAGTTTCTTCCCCTTCATAAAAAGCAATATATCCCCCTCCTGCCATAAGTCCCACTTCACTAGTAAACACATAAAGTCATTTATGAGTTCTGTAAATTTGTTGAAAAGTCAAGGTTTTGCTGTTCCATGTAGTTTAATTTTCCCAGATGTATTTTGTACATTCATGTCTGAGTACAGGGGAAAGTGTTCTTCTTGGACCTCCCTCTGCTCATTTCTGATCAAATTTCATTAAAAATTATATTCTCCTGGTTGGCATTCCCAAAATGGACTGCCTGTTCCTGAAAAGAATAAGGTGAGCTTTGGTGTTCCCTAGTTATGCCTTGATTGACACATACTTCTGTTTTTTCATTCATTTCCTGTTTAACACAGTTGGTGAATGCATAGCAAGGTTTATTGAACTACTTGTGAGTTTTCAATATAATTTCCTTTCAAGAAATATTTCTTCTCAAAATAACTTTTAATATGCAGCAGGTATATTTATTCTAAACTATTTTTTTTTCATTCCTACTCCCAGCATTCATAGGTCTGCCCAGTCCTCAATTACCTGTCACCTCAAACATTCGCTTCTTGAATGAAGTGACAACATTTCCATCCTTCCGCCTGAGTAAGGGGCTGCTTCTCCTCTCTGCCACTTTCTGTTTTAACCTGGACCGCACCTTCAAGTTGGGCTCAGAGGCTGGGGATTGAGACAAAAAAAAAAAAATAGATAAAAATTAAAAAAATAGAGAGCCAATTGCTCATGTGTTAAAAAAAAAAAAAGTCTCACCCTTTTCTTGGTCCATTCTCATTCTCAAATGAAAAACCCAAGCACATAAATGAGGCATTGACTCTACATTAATGAAACAGGCAAATATTGCAATTATTTTTATGAAATCTGTGAAACTTTTTTCAACTTCTCTAAATATGAAAGTAAAAAGTAAACAAAAATATAAGTTTTCTACTTATTTTATCTAGCAGATTTGGGATTGTTAATGGGAAGTTTAATTACTAATTGTGTTTGGGTCACAGTAAGATTTATTATACTTCATTGTCAGGCCTCTTAATTCTCTCAAGGGTGAAACTTAATAACCACTAAAAGAGTAACTGAATGTGATTTTAGAGACTCTGACCTGGCTTGTGGTAATAAGAAGACACCTCTGCAGCATATAATTTATGTCTAATTCTGACTCCTGGAATATTTCTTTGTCAGTAGTTTCTAATCTAAAACCTTGGGGAAACATACTCAGTGTAATGACACCAAACCAACTAGAATCAATGCAAATAAGACATTCTATACATGCAGTATACTATCAGCTGGAAAGAAAAGGTGGCTAAGTCTTCGAATTGAAGGTTCTGAGTTAGGTTATATATTCCATAATACAAATGCACATTATTCACATGTATGTTACCATTTATTTCATATTCTAAACAGTGAAGCTTATTACAGAGCTTCACTATTTTTAAAATAATACCACTTATTTCAAAATAATTATACTTTAGAAGAATGGAAACATTGGATTGCATCTCTGTGCAGCAGAAGTGGATGGTGGTGATGGTGGTGGTAATGATCATCATGAAAAGGATATTTCTCATAACAATTAACATTTATATAGTCTTTTTTATGTTCCAGTACTATTCTAAATGTTTTATCAATATCAACTTGTTTAACCATAAAAACATCTGGAAAGCCTATGCCTATTTATAATTTGATTAGATCAATGAGGAAACCAAAACAGACAGACAGGGTAAGTATCTTGCCCAAGGTTACAGAGGTAAAAGGAGATGAAGCCAGGCTCTGTACCCAGGTAGTCTGGCATAAGTCTATTCTAAATACTGAAAATGTTGCTCTTCCAGCTTTCCTTATGTATTATCATCATAAAAATTATAAAATAGTTTTTCCCAAAGCACCACTAATCATCTAGAGCAGACACAATGTTATAATGTAGCCAGATTTTATCAGTGAAAATATTTTTGAGGGAATTTATATTTTTGACAGACCACAAGGGATATCAAAGGTAGAACTTACAATTCTTCTCCACTTTTTTTGTTGTTTTAGTCTTCAAATATCTATACTTTTTGCTTTAAGCTTCGATGGAGAACTCTTGCATTATATGTTTTCTTGGAATTGGCTTGGTGAAATAGGAACTTAAAAATGAAGTTCAGATACAAAAAATAAAGCTACTTTTTTTGTATTGTAAACCTGATTTTATGCTTGAAAATACTGAAAAGATAAAAAAACCAAAAGCCCGAAAATGCTGTAAAAGTAGGGTGTCAAAAGGTGGGGCAGAGATCAGGGGTGAGCACAAGCTCAAAGTGATAGAGATCTGAAATGTATCACTTGCCGGGACTCCCACATGAAGGCAAACAAACCAACCAATTTGGGAAAGGATTAGGATTCTTGCCAGATCTTCCAGTAGTGGCAACACACTTCACCTTAGTGTAGGAATCTATCTCAGTTTCTAACCCCCAACTTACCCAGGAATAAAGTGAGATACTGGGACTGTATTAATGTACTTAGATATGTTTTCATGTACACATGTATTTTTAAATTACTTCAAAAATATTGATCTTGCCTCCAAAAAGTTATAGATAATAAATATATTTATCTAAAACCTAGAAAGGAAAAATAAAGAACCATGAATCCCTAGGTGCTAACTACATTGGTATCCTCTGTAGCCTTGCTAATAACCATAGGAAATCATAGATTCTCAGAACTTAGATGGAGATATGATTTTATAATGCAACCTAATGGATTAAATGCTGCAAACTGGCAGTCCATAGGGAGTAAATCAATTGATCACTTCAAAAGGCAGTGGGTGGACTAGAAAAGACCATGCATTTTCATTGAGGGATGTGAATTCAGTCTGCATGGGACAACTTTCCTGTTATGAAATTTGCAGTGAGATTATAGTGCTTTCTAAGCCTGATTCTTCATTTGTGAAACATAGCTTAAAGCCTTTCCAATTAGATACCTGAGAATAACTGTGAAGATCTGGGTGAATGTAGAAGGGAAGGGTTTATGAAACATATTATTGGTACTATTTCTGAAGGCTAGTTATACAGCTAAGAGGGGCTGATCCAGAACTGGGCCCCAAATCTCCTTATTCTCAGTCTTGTCCTCCTCCCTCTCCTAATATATTGCATCAGCTGGGGCTGAGTGTCTG
This sequence comes from Homo sapiens, assembly GCF_000001405.40. NCBI lineage: Eukaryota > Metazoa > Chordata > Mammalia > Primates > Hominidae > Homo > Homo sapiens. The sequence goes on along the minus strand of NC_000007.14, from coordinate 18,626,882 downwards.
CAATCAAGATAAAAATGTGCTGACAGATTGGAAAAATAGCATATGCCATTTAAACATTCTAGATGAAACCTAGAATTTTCCAAGATTTTCAGAAAGAAATGATTTTTAAGGTCAGCAGATAGCTTTCACTCCTGTTTGTCTACTTGAGAATCAGCCAGATATAGAGCTCTCAGATTTCTTTCAATGGTCAACATAAAAAAGCAAACACCAGAAGAGGAATGAGAACTGGGTTTTAGTCTTGTATCTACCACCTACTAAAATCAGTAACCTTGAATAATTCACAGTCTTGCTGAACATCAGTTCATTCACACAGACCAACTAAGATGATACCTTCATTGTGCCTGGAGTCAAATAGATGCCTGGATGAATTACTTTATATCATTAAACCTCGATTTCTCATGTTAAAATGGGGATGTTGGAGGGATTTTCTTCATTTTCCCCCCAACAGATTCAATTGTCCTTCCTTCTCTAAGCCCATGGGGGCTGAATCCTGGAGCTGCAACACTCTAGTTCTTTGCTGGTTGGATTTCACTTGGGCTTAATCTACTGGCAGGACAGGCTGGTGGCCAAAGAATTAAGGAGGAGGGAGAGGCCAGGCTGTCCTACACTCTCCCTGTCACAGTGCTGCATAACTGGCCATGGCTATGTCTCTTCCTGACTTCATCTCCCTCTGGAAGCCACTATTCCAGGGCTCCAGCTCTCCAGCACTCCAGGAAAAATTTCCTCCCCTCTCTTCTTTGTGGGAATGACCTCCCACTATTGCTATTTTCTGGGTACCCCCACTTCCCTAAGCAGTTCATTTAACCTTACTAACTTCCTTGTTAAGTAGTCCCTTCATAAAAGTCTATGACCCACGCTGCAAAGATCTGTTCCCTGCCAGGATCCTGATTAATATAGTCCTACATATCTTTTTTTTTTTTTTTTTTTTTTTTTTTTGAGATGGAGTCTCGCTCTGTTGCCCAGGCTGGAGTGTAGTGGTACGATCTTGGCTCACTGCTGCAACCTCCGCCTCCTGGGTTCCAGAGATTCTCCTGCCTCAGCCTCCCAGGTAGCTGAGACTACAGGCATGTGCCACCATGCCTGGCTAATTTTGTATTCTTAGTAAAGACAGGGTTTCACCATGTTGGCCAGGATGGTCTCGAACTCCTGACCTCAGGTGATCCACTCGCCTCGGCCTCCCAAAGTGCTGGGATTACAGGTGTGAGCCACTGCACCCAGCCAGTCCCACATATCTTGCAGCTACTATAGGATCAAATGAAATAGTGACTAGTAGAGAATAGGCCAGTGGTTCACAACCAGGGAAGATTTCTCTTCCAGGGGACATTTGGCAATATCTGGACACATTTTTGGTCATCAGTATGGAGAGCTGCTACAGGCATCTGGTATGGGTACAGGCCAGGGGTACTGCCAAACATCCTACAAAGCACAGGACAGCATCCCATGACAAAGTATTATCTTTACCCAAATGTTAATAGTGCGAAGTATGAGAAACCCTGGGACAGGCAATCAGTCAATGGCAGCTGTTAATAATTGTACTGCTCTGGGATGACTAAAGAAAATAATATCTGTCAGAGATTCCCAAAGAAGCTGGAGAAGGGTAAGGGAAGAAAAGAAAAGAGAGATTATTAGAAATTGAGAGTACTCTATGTAGCTTGTATATATTAAATGTTTCAATAAATTTTATACTTGGAAGTTGATTTTAAAATGTTTCCAATACCACTAATATTTCTAAAAATAATAACACTAGGCAACTTTTATCATTAGTTGGTGGAGTTATGCAAAAAGGCATAATTCTCAGTTTTAGAAAGGATAACATTTGAGGCATTGTGATGATCTGAGGACATAAGGTTTTGAAAATAAGGAATCTCTGACATACTGTAAAGCACAACATAGATTTATGTTAACAAAATATACAGTATACAACTTCTCTAAAGAAAGGCCCCTACTTAATGTTTCTAGCAAAACCTTCTGCCTGTATTTCAGGTTTTGGGTCATGAGAGATATTAAAATCTCAGTAGTGAGGGTGAGAGATGAGATGATAGATAACTATCATTTAGTCCTGGCAATGCTCTATAAAACTCACTCCTAACATTTCAGAAGCCCACACACAGAAGCTCAGCATGATATATACCCAAGCAGAAGAATTAATGGCCTAGTGTGCTGACTCCGTTTGCAGTTAGAGTTAATTCTATTTTTAATGCTCTGGTCTCCCCAAAGGCTGAAGATTTCCATGCCAGTGACTTACTAATGGGATGCAAATCCTCAGAGCCCAGAAAAAGATCACTAGCTGGGGAGAGGTTCTGCTTGTATATGAATGTATTTCATGCCTAGTTACACTAATTACCTTTCCATTTTTACCCCACACCCATCATTCTCTACATCTCAATTAATCATAGAAACAGAAGGCAAGCTTTTTAGTGTGTGTGCTCATCTGAATACATTTGCCTGCTGAGATGAAAACTTTGTATAAAAATTGGCTATCATTATTTAAGTGAAAACAATCAATAGTAAAACAGAACAGACCCAATACCTTTTTCTCTTCTCACCTAAAAGAAAATATCCTCAATAAAAGGAAACAGAAAATATCTGAAGAATGCCTCATGAACTAAAGGTATTTCAAATCTTCATTCTCATACTAGTCTCCATGGTACACAATAAACTTAGGGTGGCAGGTATGAGAATAAAACATGGGAGAGGAATAGTAAACCTAGGTGGCGGAAGCAAAGGTTAAAAAATTAGGATTCCAAGGTACAGTGAGTGACACTGCCCAGACTTGTCATTTTACTAAGAGATTGATATGTGTGACTGTGTACATAATTGCGGGGCGTGATTTTTGTATACACATGCATGCAGACAGGCACACAAACTATCTTGTGTAGAAGCACACAGGACTCTGACACAAATAGACCAGACCTCTCATCCCAATGCTTTTTTTACCCCCCCTGCAATGGAGTCTTGCTCTGTCGCCCATGCTGGAATGCAGTGCCGTGATCTTGGCTCACTGTAACCTCCCCCTCCTGGGTTCAAGCAATTCTGCCTCAGCCTCCCAAGTAGCTGGGATTATAGGGGCGTGCCACCACACCTGGCTAATTTTTGTATTTTTAGTGGAGACAGGGTTTCACCATGTTGGCAAGGGTGGTCTGGAGCTCCTGACCTTGTAATCCGCCCGCCTTGGCCTGCCAAAGTGTTGGGATTACAAGCGTGAGCCACTGCACCCAGCCACCAATGCTAACTCTTTGATGTACTAACTGTAACCCCAAATGAGTGATTTCATCTCTGTGAATCATTTTATCATCTACAAAAGAATGGTAACAATGCCTACCACACATCCTGGTTCTTGGCTCACCTGGTTGTCTATCATAAAAAAAAAATTGTTCATTACATAGATGTTGAATGAATGTTTCATGAAGTGCAGATGTAAGATGAAGTTATGTTAAAATTAAACAAAATAAAAAATAAGTAGAGAGAGAGATGGCTGCAATTGGTACACTCCTTTGCCTAGTGTAATGTTTGAAAACACCATAACCATAACAATAGCCCTTTTCTGAACTTTGACTCAGTGTACTTAAAATAACTTTTGGTTAATAACTGACTTCACATATTTTTCTCACTTTCTAATTTGCCTGCTTATAAATTGTATTCTGTTTAGTTCTAAGTCTTAACTAGATCATCATCCACTTAAGAAGGACCACCTACTATGTGTATTTTGCCTCTGCTCACTTTTTTTTTTTTTTTTCCAGAGACCGGGTCTCACTCTGTCACCCAGGCTGGAGTGCAGTGGGATGATCTCAGCTCACTACAGCCTCAACTTCCTGGGCTCAAGAGATCCTCCTACCTCAGCCTCCTGGGTAGCTGGGACCATAGGCACATGCCACCAAACCCAGCTAATTTTTGTATTTTTTATACAGATGGGGTTTTGCCACATTGTCCAAGCTGGTCTCAAATTCCTGGGCTCAAGCGTTCTGCTTGCCTTGGCCTCCCAAAGTGCTGGGATTACAGATGTGAGCCACTGTACCCGGCCTCTGTTCACTCTTAATCCTAGGTTGTGAATATTCTTTACAACAATAATTTAGATTAAAAAATTTCAATACCACATTGTGTGGTATGTAGAAGTTCTTCATTCTTATTGAAAATTATCATAAGGAAAAAATGGAAAATTTTCCATTGTGTTAATATTATATAAATATTTTAACATATTTCATATATTAAGATGATTAATTATTAACCAAGATTGAGTACTAGATTAATAAATGTTTCTTTAGGCCGGGCACGGTGGCTCACACCCGTAATCCCAGCACTCTGGGAGGCCAAGGCGGGCAGATCATGAAGTCAGGAATTTGAGACCAGCCTGTCCAACATGGTGAAAACCCATCTCTATTAAAAATACAAAAAATTAGCCGGGTGTGGTGGCACGTCCCTGTAATCCCAGCTACTTGGGAGCTGAGGCAGCAGAATTGCTTGAACCTGGGAGGCAGATGTTGCAGTGAGTCGAGATCATGCCATTGCACTCCAGCCTGGGTGACAGGGCGAGACTCCCTCTCTAAATAAATAAATACATACATACATGTTTTTAAAATAATGAATATTTGGGATATACAATGATTCCACCTGTAGTGAACATTTAGCTCTGTAATCATAGGTGAAGGTCAAGTCTTCACCACCAGCTTCAGATCCCTTTCTGGCATTGTCTATTCTTCCCTGCAGTACTGGATATCTGTCAACTTCTCCACACAGTTTCTCCCTCCCCTGGGTTTCTCCTGCTATCTCCTCCTCTCAGGGATCCCTTAGGAGCTGCCATATTTAAATGTTTTGTTACTTGGAACCAAATACTTATTATAATCTATCACCTATTCATTCACTCTCTGTTCTTTCTGAAGGTTAGATTTCCTGGCACAGTTCCTGCCCAAATCTCTCCTATAACCCAGGCTGGCATTGTAGAAATCTAGAAACTGTTCAAATCAGTAATCACTACAGTTATGAAAGACACTTTGGGAACACAGTAGATCCTCCAGTCTAGTTAATCAAAATACACAGGTTACTCTAATTAAAAGTTTCATAATTATACAAAAGGTACATATTTTCAAAAGTACTACTTGGCATACTACAATAAATAATACAATGTATGCCTCTTCTGGCTGGGATAAAATGAACCTTTAATGTTATGAATTAGATTTTATATATTTTGACACTAAGGAGCAAAATTTCTAATGTAACTATTTCTAATTATAACCACTTAACAGTATGTAATTCATATATAAAGTTTTCAAAAAATAATTTTGGGGGAATTTCTAGGCACATGTATGGTAATACATGAATGCAATTTCCTAAAGACATTATAATACTATTTGTTTTTGAGAAATACTACTGCATCTATCCATTCTCTTATTGCAAATATACCAATTTTGTCTACTTGTTAAGATTACCATTTTTCAAAATCCATATTTGTAAATGTTAATCAATTTACAATATGATCTTTTGAAAAGTGCTAATTTTATAATAAATTTTATTGCTTGCTTCCGATTATGTAAGTCATACATATTTGAGATTTTTAAGAATGGGAAAATTTGTGTATACTCTAAAATGTTCCCTTTGTGTTATGTAGGTAAAATTATTTGAAAATGAGAATCATTATATTTATGATTATATCTTATTTGTTCATTTAATAATATATTATGGGTCTTTTCCCAGGTAATTACGTATTCCTTAAAATTATTGCATTTATTATGTTTTTCACTTAAAAATCTATTATGTTTTTCCCCAAGCAATTATATATTCTTTTAAAAATACATTATGAGGATATACTATATATTATATATCCACACTTACATGTGAATACACAATATTTCACTTAAGAATAAGACAATGTTGGACACTTGGGTGTACTACACATTGTTTTGCTTCGAAAGACAGCACTGTTATGTACATCATTGTGTGAGTTTTCTAGGAAGTTGTATTTCCTTCTATCAATGTAAATAGAAATTTAATTCTTAACGTTTATCACAGATGGAAACAACAATGATAACCTCTTTACATATCGGGAAAAAAAATGGTCATACATGGGAAAGAGAACTACCAAGTCATTGGAAGCATCGCAGAGTAGGATGGGAAGACAATATCGGGGCCGTAAGTAACAGGAGCATGGTCTAGAAGGGGAAAGGTGGGCATTTTTCCTTAGCATCTAAAGCTCATGACAGTGCACTCAGTTCCCTCTAAGAGCAGCACTTTTCCTCCTCCTCACCAATGTGCCTCAAGAGTGCCTGGCACTCGGCTGGCTCAGGTGAAACTCAGTAAAAGTTTACGGAGTGAATGAATGAATGTACAAATTTGCTATTTTTTCCTGTTTGTTCTAGTATTAAAAAAAAAAAAAAAGTACCACTCAGTAGTAACACTGGTTTTTAGTACTACTTTTAGTACTACTCATTACTGTTTTTTTAATACTAGGACAAACAGGAAAAAATAACTTCCTAAAATTTTTATGACATTTTAACAAATTATCATTTTTAACATAAAAATACTTTAATCAGTGTGATTCAGTTTAAAAATAAATTTTAATAGTAAGTTATAAAATTCTAATTATTTTATAGTTAAAATTAAAACCTACTATTTAATTAGATCTATTGTTTAATTACATTCGATTAACAGCTATTGAATAATAATATTGAGAAACAAGGTTGCAAGTTTCATGCAGACTGGAAGCATGTGTAGCCATATTTTCATTGTTCAGGTACCTATACAGTGCCAACTACATGGAATAAATCCTTTAGCTATTTATTCAAACAAGGAATCAAGGAATGGGAAAAAGTGCATGTTAAGTGCTGAGGCAACTCCCCCAGAGAAAAGACAGAGAGTCTTTTTCTCCTAGGTGCTCATGGTCTCAAGAATGAATAATATACTAACTGGGATCAGTGCCACGTGATAGGTATAAGCAGAGTGTTGTGGCTGAAAGGCAGACATTCATTTGCTTTGAAAGAGGATCCTCCAGGGCTTAGTGAGATGTTGACAGGTAAAGGTGGGAGAAGTGCAGTTCTATGCAGAGGAAATAACCACGTCCAAGGGCACAGAGCCCACACATTCAAAGAATGGAGATTAAGTATGCTGGTGAGGGAAGGAATACTAAATAAAAAATAAAACTTCAAAGATAAATATCAAACACATTTTAGTTAATCTATGAGATACTTATAGAGGTTATGCAACATGTATCTTCAAATTCCCTCTCTCTTCTGGCTCCTTCTCAGAATGTAGACAGGCTCAAATATTTCCCATTCAAATAAAAATAAGCCCCCATAGACACAGATCTTATGAGCTACTTCCTGTGATTGCACTTTCATAGTCAAGTTAAAGAAATAGCCTATACTTGCCACTACCACTTCCTAACCTCAAAACACTGCAATATGGCTCCAGCCCTTGATGCTTAGCAGAAATATAATGTAATCATTGATCTTGTGTCTATTTCCAGTACTTAGCAAGAACATAGGCTCGATGGGTCTCCATAAACAGTTGCTGAATGAATAATACATGCCTGTATACATCCAAGCATGAAGGAAACTTACATTAAAAGGCTGAGTCTCAAATATTGTTGAGAAGAGAACTAGATGAACCTCAACTACCCTAATTTCTAAGAATTTCTTGATGCTGAATGTCATGGCAAGAGGTCTCATAGATCAGATGTGGAATGCAGAAGGAATTTCTCTTTTCTGGCAAGCATCACAAATACTACATTTTGGAGTCAAGGAAATCCATATCTCATACAGGCCAGAATGCCTTCATATGCTAACTCCTTTATATGCTTTAATTTTTCAAATATATTTTATTTACCTAAGACAAATTTAAAAATCTATCTAGCATCATTTTGAATTATCATTTCAATAAATCGAACTAGATTATAAACATGTTTCAGTCTTCAATCCAGTTTCTAAAATAATTTTCTTTTCTACCTGAATCCCAAAGTTTTATTATAAAGTATACTTCTGAATTGGTATTTCACAAATAACATGCTACTTTGGGGGAAATCTGAATTCATACATGTGTTTATGTATTTTTTCTTGTAAACAAGTCCTGTTCACTCTAAAATTCTGTGTAATTATTCTGCTATGAATCTTTCTGTAACAAACGAATTCCTACATATATATATATATATATATATATATATATATATACAAAATTCTGTACTAGATATATCTTTTATATACCATTCAAATAGAAATGGCATGAAAAGTAATTTTATTGTGGATATATAATGTTTTAATGTCCCTCCTACTCAGACAGTTCATAAGAGCTACATGTGAACTGACTGCGTGAGAGAGTGGGGCCATTTTAGTAGGTGAGATCTATTTAGGGTGCATCCCAGTGCTTGATAGGGACACACATGGAGACAGCATGGAATTACTCCCAGAAAACGTTATAGGTCAGGATTTCATGGTCCAGAAAGGCAATACCTATCCCCTGATAATATCCTGGGTATCATCATAAACCTAAACTTTATTGTACTTATTGGTTCTCTCAGCATGAACCTCATCTTGTTACCCTCCTAAGAGTCTGGAGTTGTTTTCCAGTCTTGACTCTACCACCATAACATCTGAGTAAAATATTTAATGTCGCTGTGCTTCAATTTTCTTGCCTGCAAATGTGGACAATAACAGCCATTCCTGACCTTAAAGAGTTCAGAAGTAATAAATGGAATACATTGACTACAATAAGTATAGTAAATCACTGTCTAATTTGAAATGCCATACAATTATCTTCTTCAAATATATTACTTTAGGTTTTTGTCTCTCTGATGTTTATCTGAAAATTTTTAGCCAATTCCCATTAAATTGCAAAATCATCCTCTAGCAAGTCATTTCATTCCACAAGAATTAAAATAAAATAATATTTAAAAGACTATAACATCAACTTGCTAACATGAAAAATTTTGTTTCCTTGTTTTCTTCTGATTTACCCAGTTACAGTCATCCGGAAGCAGTTAGTCTCCTACCTCCAAAATGTTATTGCAAATTAAATTCTTAAAAATTATTTAGCAAAACAACTTCTAGAATTTTAAATACCCAAATAAATGTGTATTAGTTCCTATTTTAGTGCATATATTCATTTACTCATATAACAGAAATTTATTCAGTGCCAATTATGAGCTCTCTGAAGATGCTGGGGATACAATAATAAATAGGCTAAAGATACTGTCCTCAAGGATTCCTCAACTGAGTAGAATGTAATTTTAATATAGAGATATATGCACAGAGATATGTCAGGGCATATTTGGGCATATACATTTGGCATAAAATATGAAGTGACTATCTGGGGTGGCCTGGTGGGTAGGAAGGTACCAGGTAAAGCTTAACAGAGAGGAAGTATATATATCATCTGAGCATTTAAAGATGAGTATGAACTATTGAAGAGGGCACTTTAAGAGCAAGGAGCATCTGGAAAACCAGATGAGAATGGCTTGTGTGAATGGGAAACAGAAAGATTTGTTCATGGAATTTCAATTTTTTCATTACTGCTAGGGCAAAGGGGTATGAGGTAGTGGACTGGGGAGAGTTGAGAGAGGTCAGAGAGGGAATAAGGAGACAGAGATCATGCTTGCGATGGAGGAGCTTTAGCCTTGTACATAACAGAAGAGGCAGTAAATGGCTCTTTTAGAGGGTAGGAAGACTAGACTTAAACTTTAGAAAGTCAAAGGATTGACTGGACAGGAGTATGATGGAATCAGTGGTTAATAACTGGAATGGAGGCTGAACAAAATAGGGAATGAACTAAAACAGTAGGCACGATAAGAAAGGGGAGATTTAACAGCAAGCAATAACAGAAGTTAGTACTGGATGAAATAAAGGAAAACTAGGCACCTGGTGTGGTTCTGAGATTTCTGGACAGAACATGGTTCCATTTATTTCTTTAGGGAATCACATTGTTCAGCTTAATAAAGAGATGCACGTACATTTTTTAAACGTCTAATTACTGTTACTAATAATTGTTATCTCTCACAATATAATTTTAAGTCTTTAGGTGTAACCTCTAAGTCTATTCAACTCTTCACAGCCCCTCAGATACATTCAGGTACCATGGATCAGCAGCACCACTGACAAGGGGTCAGCAGTGACTTCTGGCCAACAGGAGACTGTCCTCTCCCCAGTTCAAATACCACTTTGCTTCCTGCTCTTGTCCTGTTTCAGAACCTTCCAAGTCACCTGGGCATCTGTTATTATTTATTTTGCTTTGCAAGTTTTGATTTTATAACCTTTAGACAACCTTTATGGTTTTGGAACGTTATTGGTAATTCAATTCTACCTCAATAGCATTTATAACTTTACTGAACTATATCATACATTCTCTTTATAATATATATTTATAAGGAAACACTATTACCTATCTTGAATGGATATAAAAGGCAAAATTTCACCTCTAGATTCATTCAGGCCTCCCCTGAATCCTTTTCTAGACAGATCATCAGTTAAACACCTTCTATTTAGTCAACTTTCTCTGGATGACTGCCCGGATAAAGGCATCGCAAACAAATTTCACATAAAATAGTAAAGGGGTAGTAAGTCAAAGTACACTGCAGAAAACACCATCTTAACGAAAACTCTAAGCACTTGGGGTAGGCAGAATAATGCCCCACTCCAAAGATGTCCATGTTCTATTCCCCAGAATTTGTGACTGTATCACATTAGGTGGTAAAGGTAAACTTACAAATGGATTTAAGGTTGCCAATCAACTGACTTAAAAAAGATTAACTTGGATTATCCAAGGGGTCCTTAAAAAATAAGGAAGAGGGAGGCAGAGAAGTGTCAGTGCAATGCCATTTGAGAAAGGCTTGGTTGGTCCTAGTGGCCACGAGGATGGGACAGCCCACAGCTAGAGCTTGCAGGCAGCCTCCGGAAGCCAGAATAAACAAGGAGAGGGATTCATTCCCAGAGTCCCCAGAAAAGAACACGCCAGGGTGATGCCTTCATTTTAGCCCAGGCAAAGCCATTTTGGACATATGACCTCCAGCAGTGTAAAGTAATAAATATAGATTGGTTTAGGCAACTAAGTTTGCAGTAATTTGTTACAGCATCCACAGGAAAATAATACAGTAGTTGAATGAATTCCAAGATTGGTGCTATTTTGGAAGTCTGAATATTCTGAAATACTGGTTCTGACTAGATCAGATTTTACTGGGCTGTATTTTTAATGCATTATTTTTAGGTAATGTAGTAGGAATTAAAGAGTAGTATTAATGATATATGATCACACAGCAAAAATGCCAGGACAAAAATTTACTTAGCACTTTGCCACATTTAATTTTCTACGGTAAAGGTTTTATTAATGTATTTGTTTACTTGCAGAAGATCCAAAAGAGAAAAAAGACAAAAAGTATAATTTATTTCCTTTAAATATTTCTGTAAAAGTTCCATAGGGTATAAGTATATAAATTAAGGATTATTTAATTTAACCATAAAATACTAAGAATACATTAAATAGCCAAGAAAAGCAATTTCCAAAACTTGAATGGGAGTATTTCCCTTTTTTTGTTGCTGTTGTTTTACACATTCCATTTGAGATATTATTAAGCCAAATACCAACTCTGTGATAGGCCTATTTCTAAGAATAACTTCATTTTTAGTTTAATGTAAGTAAAAGAGGAGGGGGAACAGTTTAAACCTTTTAATTGCTTCAAAATAGTTAATCAAAATATTTTTTAATTTTATATATGACCTTTATAGTATGAGATACAATTCCAGTCTCTTACAACTTAATCAGCTAAATATAAAATGTAACCTTCCATCTGGTAAATCAGTTTAACAGACACAATTGTGCCCCACCATAACTCAATAAGACACTGAGGAAAACCATTGAAATGCTATTTCCTTTTCTTTAGAAGAGAATTATGTACAATTTCAGCATGCTTTGCATTTCTAAAAGTTAAAGTCAACAGGGAGGTATCATTCTCCTTTACTTGAGTTTCCCATGAGAAAATCAACAGCAAGTTTAAAGCTTGTGCTGTTATTCATGAAACACTCCATAATACTAACTTGGCTTTAACCAGAACATATTATTTGGCAGCTAAAACCCTTAATTAGAATTATGGTTTGAACAGATTTTCACTGAATTCAGATTCTGGAGGGGCTCAAAGAAGAACACTATTTTTCTAACCAGTTTATTCTATTTCAGATGGTTTAAATGTTGTACTTATGATGGGTAGAAAAAATGTTGTACTTAAGATGGGTCGAAAAAAGAGAATGTTGCTCTGATTCACATTTTGTTGACTTTAATTGGGATTCACCATTTCTTAACAAGTACTAAGCATCAGACAAGAAGAGAAGAAGAGAGACTCCATTCAACAAATATTTACCAAGCACTTACTCTGTGCAACGTTTACACTAGGCATTATGGAAGAAAAAAAAATACATCTGAAAAGATGCTTCCTACTTTAAAAATGAGAAAAAGTAGGTGGGGGAAAAGACAGAACTTGGTGACAGAGTGGACAAAAGAACACAACAAAGAAGACAACAGAGACAGAACTGAACCCAAAAGTCAAGCTTGCATGTTTGGGAGAGAGGCATTGGCAGAACTGAGAAACTCAGGAGGAGGAGGAAGTCTTGCGGTGTGGCGGATTGGAGGGTCAACTTCCAAATCTGTTACACTTAAATAGTTGCAAGATACCTTGGAAATGTTAGCCTGAAGTCTATGAAAAGGTTGAAGTTTAGAGATGTGGAGTTAGATCCCAAATAAAAGAACTTAGAGGAAAAAAAATGAAGGCAGTCCTGATCAACCTATTCATTTTATAGATGAGAAAGCTGGGTTAAACCCTACTATCAGAAACGACTACTGGTTAGAATGAATAAGAAGTAGGATCAAAGTCTTTAAGATGGTGACAATTGAAATAGAAAAGTTAAAAAAATAGAAGAGACAATGCAACTTTAGGAACCTCAGGAACCTCAGGTTTCATGAGCTTCATATTTAAAGGACGCGGTGGTAAAAATAGAGAGGTAAAGCAGATGAATGAAAGGGCAGCCCATGAGGTTAAAATTTTAAGGAGCATGGGTTGGACAATGGGGTCAAAAGCCACAGAGAAAAAGGAAGCCTGAGAAAAATGCACAGATTTCAGGATTTGGGAGTCCCTGGTATTGTTTCAGAACACTGATTTAGAAGAGACCAAACGCTGAATCAGATGATACACATTTTTATAACATCATAACCTAGCATAATAACTACTTTAGAATAAATGCTCAATAAAAGTTATTCTAAACTCAATCATATAGGTAATGATATCACAGTTTGACAAGAAAAGGAGAAAGAAAAAAATTATAGCCACAACACATAGTAGTAAATTTCAATGAATTTTTGTTTTTTTCTATTTCATTGTTTAGGAGAGGGATAGATTTTGAGTGTAAGCATTATAAAATCTAGAAGACGCTTACATTAGGGGTAGTTGAGAAAAATCTCTTAGAACCAGACTCTGAGCTCCTTGAAAGCAAAAATGTCCCTTAATCCGCTCTATGTGCTCAGAGTGACCACAACTTCCAGCCCAGTGTTAAGTGTGAGTAAAAATTTGCTCGCCTCCTTTTCCTTCTCTCCTGTCTCATTTCCCAAAATTAAAAGGGACAACTGTGAAAACGACCTATTTCTTTGGAACAGCTTGAATTAGAAGATTGCTAATGAAACTCTTAAAAAAATGACAAAACTAATGGACTGTTCTTTCCAATATATTCAGTTCCTTCTAATCTTTATTCTATGAAGTAATAGACTGACTGTATTCAGTCTATTATAAATATATCTATTATATTATACTTATATATATTTATATATAAAAGAGAAATATAAATATATCTATTATTCAGTCTATTATAAATACATAATTAGATATATAAATATATCTAATTATAAACATGTACAACTTCTTAGACTATAAACTTTAATAAAATTTCTTCCAACAAAATTTTAAAATATTTCCTGCTAGTCAGCCTAAAGTTTCAAATTTTAACATACCTATTTTTAAAACTCAGAAACTTTCTGTAAACATAAACTTCCTGATTTTTGTCTTTCATATTCTCCTCTTAGTATCTGCCCCTTAAAAGAGAGATGAGACCTTAACAGTCATGGTCTTTCTTCATGTGGCAGCTTCTCCATTCTCTTTCTGACTAAATATTTTCCTGTGGTCTCATGTCACTCATCTCTAGGATTTACTCAACACTATATCTGGATTATCTGATTTACTTATTTTAAACAATGGAAAGGATTAAAATGTTTCCAATGCTTACCTATGAAATAGCCAACATTTTATTCCTCTTCCTGCCTTCCGTATCACAGAGTTCTTCATCATTGAATTCTGTGTCTACTCATCTTCTTTTCCAACCCTGGAGTCTTCAGTGAGACTCCTCAGTTCTCTAATTCTCTAACATTAATATGCATATTATCTGTCCTTCCCCACCCCTTCTCTATCTGACAGTCATCTTTCACTTCTAGAGGACTCATAACATCACTGTAATAACAATAAGTAAGTATATTAATTCTTAAAAAAAGATAAATATTATCCTAGTAATAAATCCAAAGAGAAATGATTTTCTACATATGTATATGTAGTGGTAGTGGCAAACACAATTGATGTGTCTTTAAAAAACATTTTATAAAAGCTGGAGATATATTCATTGTTTTCTTATAACTGTACTACAAACAAAAGATCCCTTTTGTAATAGCCTCTATATGGAATATTTAAACCCATGTAATTAAAGTATGTCTATTATTTATGGGCCTGTAAGTTTATCTATTTCCCTTAAGAAATACAGGAGATTTGAAAAATTGTATTTTCCTTTATAGGATTAGCAAATTAACATATTTTGGCACTACTATGACATTTACAATTTCTCAGAATTCTGTCAATAATCAGCAAATTAGTTCTGAAAGTTTGTTTATGGCAAACATATTTGGAAAGCCCAACTTGAAACAGGTTTCACCTTTGAAATACCTTATTTGAAAAACTTGTTAAATATTTCGATGCAGAAAGAAAACAAAAATTTGTGATTTTAATAATTTGTTTTCCATTGAAAATATCTCTCATCATTGCTTTTACAAAGAATATCCCAAACATATGCTATTTCTAAAAAGATTTTGAACTTTATTCATCATTGGACTGAAGTTAACTTACAAATGACACCACCTAAACTGTTATAAGTCACTACTTTTATCAGGATAGATGCTACATGGTACTTAATTTTAGCAAAATTGCCATTCTCAATGATATTAGATATCACTTATTCGTGTTCAAAGAATAAGTGTTAAGGGTTAAGAGACCAGATTCTGAAACAAAACTCGCTGTCTTCAAACCTGGCATTGTACATACTGCCATAATAAAGAAAATCAGACCTTAGGAAAGTTAGTAAACCTCTCTGTGACGGTTCTCTCATCTATAAAACTGGTGAGAAATAATAAAATCTATTTCTAGGATTATTGCATAGAGTTAATAAGATATAGGTAAGATGCCTAAAATGGATCTAGCACATAGTCACCAAAGTTATCTATTCTACTATATAAGTCTGTTAACATTAATTTTCTTCAAAATTATTATTGAACAAATATATATTATTCTTGCTAGTTGTGATCTCAGAATCCACTGATTACCCATTTATTCCTGACCAAATAATACCCTAAAGTAATGTGCTGTTCCCTTATCAGTGTTTTACTATGGAAAAACACAGTGTGGTGTCTAAAGTAGGTTAAACATCACTGTCATGTAATAAATCATTATGCTCTTCTTGCTATTACATTCTTTATTCTCCAAATATGATTTATATTACAAAGGTCTCAATGCATTTCTCTGGAAAATACAGCTTTCATCTCATAAATCTTACATGATCACCTATTATAATGTTTCAAAAAACGAAGGATTTCACATGACTCTATTGTGTTGTTAGCAGCGGTTTTTAAATAAACAGGAAAGAATGTAATAGGAAAGAATATATCATTTGCACTGTTGAGGCCCCCAAAATAAAACACAAATCCTGCTTCTGAATAAACTTGATTATTATGGAGGTGCAATGTGTACATGGGAATAGCACAGCAGCAAAGGCAAATTAAAGGAACGGAATTGTAAGATTTCAACATCACTGTTTTGGGGCAGAAAACATAGAGGATTGGGAAAAGTTTCCTTTGAGTTGAAGTGCTTACGATGGCTTGTGAAGAAAGGGTAGACAATTTATACTTGAAAAGTCCACTTAGGAAAGGCCAAGCGCATTAGTGAAAATCCACACAAAACTCTAAACAGAAAAGTTTATACATCAAAGCTGCCCATTAGATGGATGAATGCTGGTTAGGGTTTTGCTCTTAGTCCAGGTTATTTGAGAGGTAAACTGCAAACTCCATCTAAACGTCTAGAGGGCGCAAGTGAGATAAGCTGTCCGAATGAGATGGTCCTGGGAATTTATCAGAATGACCGGGGAAAGAGTGTTTGTTTTTGCTATCGTTGTTAAACTGTGAAAAGGTGAGCCTAGGCTTGCTCTGGGTTATTGTCAAAATTTGGAGGGAGAGCATTACTGCACATAAAACCCAGAAGAGGCAAGACTGGAACTCATACTTCCAATAACAAAGTTTAAATACACTGAATTGATAACATCATCTAAGCAGCTGGACACTAGGAAAATTCATTTAAATGACCCCCTCCAAACACCTCCCACTTTTTAAACTAAACTAATTTGTATTTGGTGCTTGCTTCTTAAAAATTAACGAGTTCTTAATCCAGTCTATCACTGATGGACATTGGGGTTGGTTCCAAGTCTTTGCTATTGTGAATAGTGCCGCAATAAACATATGTGTGCGTGTGTCTTTATAGCAGCATGATTTATTACCCTTTGGGTACATATCCAGTAATGGGATGGCTGGGTCAAATGGTATTTCTAGTTCTAGATCCTTGAGGAATCGCCACACTGTCTTCCAGCAGCCATAAAAAATGATGAGTTCATGTCCTTTGTAGGGACATGGATGAAGCTGGAAACCATCATTCTCAGCAAACTCGCAAGGACAAAAACCCAAACACCGCATGTTCTCACTCATAGGTGGGAACTGAACAATGAGAACACTTGGACACAGGAAACGGAACATCACACACCGGGGCCTGTCACGGAGTTGGGGGAGGGGGGAGGGATAGCATTAGGAGAAATACTTAATGTAAATGACAAGTTAATGGGTGCAGCACACCAACATGGCACATGTATACATATGTAACAAACCTGCACGTTGTGCACATGTACCCTACAACTTAAAGTAAAATAAAAATATATATATATTTAAAAAATTAACGAGTTCTGAAAATATAATTCTGTTTAGACACTGTATCTTCTTTAGGTGATGTGACTTAGAATGCTTTTACTAAGACTTGTGTTCAAACTCAGAGGGAAGAGTTTGCTGTGACTGATTAGTGAACTCTGTCTTGGACACCGAAACGGTTTCACCATGATGCTTATGCCACACATGTGCCTGCCTTGGTGTATACTTGTGCTGTCCTACATGATAATCACTAGACACAGGTGGCTTTTTAAACTTAGATTCAAATGAATTAGTTAACAAAATTAGTTATGAGCTAACTAATACATTAGTTAACAAAAATTTAGCTCCTAAGTCATACTAGCCACATTTCAAGTGTTCAATTTCAAGTGGCAACATGCAGCTAGTGCCTACTGAATTGAACCATGCCAATATAGAACTCTTCCATCAAATTATATTTGGCAGTGCTGGTCCATACTATTTTCAAAGAACCACATATGTACAGCTACAATAGGCTAATGCATTCTCTCCAAGAATTTCTCTTAATTACCTCTGTATTACCTACTTCAAAATATATATAATGACATTAAAATATGCATTTTGAAATAAAGATATTGAAGGCTTACAACCAAAAAAATAATAATAATAACATCTTAATGTCTTTTCCCAGCTATATTCCTCGGGTGGCTTGGATCTTTGCTTTCACTCAAGAATGCCTATAATCTGAAAATATGAAATAGTAGTTCCTCAAGAAGTACGGTGGTTCAACTGTTCAACTGCTGAATTAAAGTATCAATCAATCTATTAGGAACCTATTACATGTGCCTCACTATGAAGACTGTGAGCTCCTTAATGTCAGAAATCCTTTTTTACTTATACTGGTTTATTTAATATTTATGTCCAGGCCCAGCACAAAGTGTGGTTTGTCAAATAAAGGAGGAAGATGTTACAAGCATTATATTCTCAGATATTTTTATCATCTAATTGGGATGAACAGGATAAAAACAACATTATAAAATTTAATATCTCATAATTGACAAAATTACCAGCTTTTATAGCAAAAATTACAATGATATGAGAATACAGATAAGGGAAGTGTTAGAATGAAGGTTCTATGAAAAATAACTTTAGAATTTATCTTGTATATGAATAAGTGGGAAATAATGGAGGAATCACTGTGAATATTGAAATAAAAATGCAAATAAGAGGCTAAAAAGCAAATAAATCTATAAAACAGGAGGCTGATACACATAAAGCAAAATAAAGTCACTTGATAAAAAATCTTACATGTCACGTCAAACTGTTATTATGTGCTGCTTTTAATAATAACATGGTTCTTAAGCCAGTCCCCCTCCCCTCCCACTCCTCTCTCCAATTTCTTTGCCATAAAGAACACTTCCATTTTAAAGTAACTGAGTTAGAGGCTGAAAATTTAAGGAAAATACAATCCCAAATATTTCATCATTTATTTTCTATCTCTTAATTTACTTCATTAGGTAAGTCTAAAGACATATAAATGCATGCATTTGCATGGAATATTTCCTCAGTGTTCTCAGTTCTATAGTTGTGAATACTATAAATTAGGAATCATTTTTCAATAAATCTCATGATTATACAACAGATGGCTAAATGCTTTTAAAGTCTTAATTATTATTTTTTGCCATTTTCTCATTCCAATCTTATCTAAAATGTCCTGCCTGTTCTAAATGAGCATTTCATGAGGAGTGAAAAATATGTCATTAGACTTTTCTGCACTTACCAGTTATGATTAATTTGAGATACCACTGTGCAAAAGCATGGTCATTTATTTCTTATATATTCTTCAAATCATTAATATATTTTTATCACACCTCTTTATGAAATGCAATTATATATTTCCTTCTTAGTTTCATATACAATCTTAGGAATCATTTGGTCCATTTGCACTTAACTGAAAAAACAGAAATCTAAAATCATGAAGCACTATGCTCATAGTCATGTATTAGTGACAAGGTTAAGATTAAAACTTAAGTCTCCTTTTGCCATTCTAGTTCTTCAATAATTACATTATATGGCTACTACTAATATTTCCTGTCACTAATGCCATACTATTATTCTTAATAATTCATACTGGCAATATGTACTGAGACCCATGTCACACACTGTACTGGGCAGTATATTTTTGCTTACAATAACACTGGAAGGCAAATATTTTCCATATTTGCTATTTGAAGAAACTGAGGCTCAGAGAAATCCTGCACTATGTGCAGGTCACACAGCTCTCATCAAAAGTGCCAAGCTAGAATTCTCAGCTTTGTTCATCTAATGCCAAGCCATGAAATTATTTTCCATGCTTTGTCTTTCTAGGCTACCTTAGCTTTTCTGCAAGCAAAATATTTGAGTTAGATTTTCGAAGTTCTTACAAGGCTGACTCATTATCACACAATTGTCATTTGATACTTGCTCTTAGCTCCAACTACTTGTCATACAAATTGCATATGCAATCAATGAAACCAGCTTCTCACTTACTGAACTGTGAAATTTAAATCATTTTGTTCATTGATTTGAAACTAACATACTTAACTTTTTCATAAAAAATTTTTAGGATTATTAATTTCTACTATGTTTGTTATTTTAAAGTAAAAAATGTATAAATTATACATTTGTATTATTTCTTTATCATGAGGAATCTTAGTATTCTGGACCATTTAATTGTTGGGTAAATACTATGGTAATTAATCAATTACAACATTTACAAGTACCTTGTATACCACTAACTCCCTGCCACCAGAAAGCACTACTAAACTATAAACATCCATGAGAGCAATTCAGATTTCAGATATGTTAGTTTAAAAAATGAGTATCTTAAAATCAACTAAATATGTTCTTTTGAAATTGCCAACTTTTCATAATCTAAATGATTACATCTATCAAAATGAATGCTTAAAAAGTAAATTATTATCTAGAAAAAAATATTACTTTAAAAGTGAGTCTTATTTTGAAAAGAAGCTAAAATTTTCTAATTTGATACAGGTCAAAAATTGGTTTGATTTTCATACCTTGCTAAATGGTTTAATGTTATGAAAACAGTAAGACAAAAATCGACAAAAAGTCCTTACAATTCCCAAGTCTTGCTTACAAAATGTGACTTAAAATAATTTCAACCTATTTTCTCTCTCTCAGTTTTTAGCATATGAACTTGTTAATCATGAGCAAGCTGGACACTGATGTTAATCTTTAAAATAAATATAATCATTAATTTGTAAGAATAATATTGCTCAAATATGAATTTGTCACCTCAAAAAATGAAAAAGTTGAGTTTTAAAAAGTATTTTTAATGTTTTACAGATTTAAAAGTAAGTGGTAGTCTTCTGGTTTCATTTCCACATGTGAAGAACTGGGAAATTTTCACTCCCAACCTCACCACAAGTAAAAAGCTGAACAAAGTAAAAATTAAAATTATTTTCGTAGATCTATCAGAGAATTAAGGTTGCAGGGCAAACTGCCATGCTAAAATCTGGAGAAATAGGAAAATACAGAAAATCACAGCTGAGTTCAGCTTACAGTGAGCAGAAGCCAATGGAGTCAGTAACGAAGAAATATTTAAATGAGGTAATTTTAATGAGGTGTTGGAGGCATGAATTGCTGGAGGCTGAATGTGAACCAGCTTGAGAGTTAAAAACTCCAGGGGCAGCCAGGCATGGTGGCTCACACCTGTAATCCCAGCACTTTCGGAGGCCGAGGTGGGCAGATCACAAGGTCAGGAGATGGAGACCATCCTGGCTAACACGATGAAATCCCATCTCTACTGAAAATACAAAAAATTAGCTGGGCATGGTGGAGGGCGCCTGTAGTCCCAGCTACTCGGGAGGCTGAGGCAGGAGAATAGCGTGAACCTGGGAGGCGGAGCTTGCAGTGAGCCGAGATCATGCCACTGCATTCCAGCCTGGGCGACAGAACAAGACTCTGTCTCAAAAAACAAACAAACAAACAAAACTCCAGGGGCCCAGTCTCAGAAGAATCCTACATTTTCATGGGTTTTACTTCCAGGAACCCAACCAGTTTCTCTCAGTGAATATATGAGAAAAAAATCCCTTTCTGTTTAAGTGAAGGTAGGGAGTAGGCGTGGGAGAGGGAAGAAAAGTAACCATTTTGTAATACTTGTCTAATGAAAAAGTAACAATTTTGAAATACACACGAAGGATTCTTCATAACAACAGCCTACTCTCCAAGGGAAAATATTTTACAGAGCCTTATCTGACCTAAGGGAGAAGGCAATTAGTAAATCTCAGCTTCCTATCTTACTTAAGGGGAGGAAACAGGCTAAGAAGTAGTTCAAGGGATCACAGCATACAAAGTCAGGCCCACTTAAAAAAATGAAATTTAGTTGTAAGGTTATAGAACATTTCTCCTGTCCAACGCCTTACCATCACATCAACCAGGTTCTGTATTATAACAGTGAATTAAAACTGAGGGAGCTACAGGACACAAATTCTATTTAAGAAGGAGCTCTTAGGGAAACCCCAAAGCAATAGGAGAAGGAAAAAAATCAAAGGAAACTAGAGAAAACTGAAGACTCTGACATTTACCACTACAACAGATATTAAACAAAGCCCAGCCCCAGCCAGATTAACATAAAACCTCACATCAAAAGTATAATTACTCAATTTCTATTGTCCAATATATCATGTCAAGCTTTTAACAAAAAATTATAAAGCATCCTAAAAGGCAAGAAAAACAATCAGAAGAGACAAAGCAAACATCAGACCAGACTCAGTTATGACACAAATTTTGGAATTAACAGAAAGGGAACTTAAAGGAACTAAAAGTAGTATGTTAAGGGTTCTAATGGGAAGTTGGCAACATGCAACAACAGATGGATAATATAAACAGAGAAATGGAAACTCTAGGAAAGATTGAAAAGGGAATGCTGGAGATCAAAAGCACAGCAGTAGAAATTTAAAAAAGGTCTTATCCGGGCGCGGTGGCTCACGCCTGTAATCCCAGCACTTTGGGAAGCCGAGACAGGCGGATCATGAGGTCAGGAGATCAAGACCATCCTGGCTAACATGGTGAAACCCGTCTCTACTAAAAATTAAAAAAAAAAATTAGCTGGGCGTGGTGGTGGTCCCAGCTTCTCGGGAGGCTGAGGCAGGAGAATGGCGTGAACCCAGGAGGCAGAGCTTGCAGTGAGCCAAGATCACGCCACTGCACTCCAGCCTGGGCGACAGAGCAAGACTCCGTCTCAAGAAAAAAAAAAAAGGTCCAAATGTGCTCATCAGTAGACTGGACACAGCTAAGGAAGGAATCAATAACTTTGAAGATATGTCAATAGAAACTCCCTAAAAAGAAAGGCAAAAAACAATTTTTTTAAATGGAACAGAATTCCCCAATACTCTAAGAAAATTGCAAAAGGTATAACATATTCCTAATGGGAATAGCAAAATAACAAGAAAGAGAGAAAGAATAAATATTTGACATAATAATGGCTGGGAATTATCCAAAATTAATGACAGACACCAATCCATAGATACAGGAATCTCAGAGAATATGAAACAATATAAATACCAAAAACTCAGTATCGAGACATATCATGTTCAAATTGCAGAAGATAAAAGATAAAGAGATCTTCAAAGAAACCATAGAAAAAAAGAAAAACTTTATCTATAGAGCAACAAGGATAAGATTTAGATCAGATGTCCTGTCATAAGCTGTAGAATAAAAAAGAAAGTATAGTACAAAATGTTGCCAAAAAAATTTTAAAAAGAACACAAATTATCCCAAACAAGAAGGAGAAATAAAGCACTTTCTTGGACAAACAAAAACTAAGGACATTTATTGCCTGTAGGCCTGCCATACAAGAAATGTTAAAAGTTTTTCAGTGAGAAGGAAAAGGATATAGGTCAGAAACTCAGACCTATATAAAGGAAGGAGCATATGAAGGTAAAAGAAAATCTTTTATTTTTATTATCAATTGATCTAATAGTTAACTGTGCACAATAATAATAGGAACAAAATACTGGATAATTGTAGCTTTTGGAAAACAGAAATAAATGACAGCAATATAAAGAATAAAAGGGAGAGATTAGAAATACACTTTTATAAGGTACCTGTATGACCTGTAAAGTGGTATACTGTTATTTGAAAGTGGACATGGATTCACTATAAATGGATTCATCAAACTCTAGAGAAACCACTGAAACATATTTTTAAAAGAGGTAAAATTGATATGTTAAGAGAGTAGAGAGCACTGAATTATATAAAGTTCTGAATAGCAGAGGAGTCAGAGAGAAGTGAATATTTTTTTAAAAAAGTAAATATAATGAAGAAAACAGTTACAAACATTCTAGATATTAATCTAATTATATTAATGATCATTTTAAATGTGAATTGTCTCAATACACGAAGAGAGGCTGTCAGTAAATTTAAAAAACAAGACGTTCTAACTACATATTACCTAAAAGAAACCCACTTTAAATATAAGACACAGATCAAAAGTAAAGCAATGGAGAAAGATATAACATGTTCACACTAAACAGAAGGATGTTGGAAGAGCTATATTAATTTCAGACAGAGCAGATTTCAAAGCCAAGAAGATTATCGAAGATAAAAGTGGTGTTTGTTACATATTGATAAAATAGTCACAGTTCTCCAAGAAGATATAACAATCCTTAATATGTATGCTCCTAATAATGTCACATCAAAATACATGAGGCAAAACCTGTTAGAACTGGAAGGACAAATAGACAAACCTATTACGGTTGGAGACTTTAGTACTACTGACCAAAACAGAATACATTCTGAGGCATAAGATGTACCTCAACAAATCTAAAGGAACAGAATGTGTACACAGTATTTTCTCAGCCCACAATAGAAATCAATAACAGAAAGATTAAAATAAATAACAGAAAGACAGCTAGCAAATACTCAAGTAATTAGAAATTAAATAACATGACTCTAAATAAAACATGACTTAAAAAAACTCTCAGGATAAATTTCAAAATATTTTCAACTAAATGAAAATGAAAATACAACTTATCAAAATCTGTGGGATGCTGTAAAAGCAGTGCCTAGAGGCAAATTTATAGCATTGTGTATATATTAGAAGAAAAGATAAAAATTGAATAATCTGAGCTTCCACTTTAAAAAAAATAGAGGAAAAATAACAATCTAAGCTTAAAGTAGGCAGAAAAAAAAAGTAAAAATTAATGGGAAATTCAAGACAATTATAACCAGGAAATCAAGAGAGAAAACTCAACAAAACAAAAAACTGGTCCTTTGAAAGATCAACTGATGAAACTACAGTCAGGCTGTCAGGAAAAAAAAAGTAAGAGAGAAGAAACTAATAACTAATATTAGAAATGAAAGAGGGGTCATAACTATTGATGCTGTGGATGTTAGAAGGATAATAAAGCAATATTATGAATAACTCTATACTGACAAGTTTGAAAAGTCACATGAATTATTTGAAAAACACAAATTACTAAAACTCACAAGTGGAGAAAAACATAATTTAAATAGGCCTATATCTAATGAAAGAAAATGAATCAATAATTAATAACCTTCCAAAAAGGAAAGCACCAGGTCCAAATGGTTTCACTAGTAAATTTTACCAAATACTTAAAGTGTAAATGGTATCAATACTCTAATCTCTTCCAGAAAATAGGAGGACTACTTCCTAACTCTTTCTATGAGGACAGCATTACCATACTGCCAAAATCAGATACAGACATTATAGGAATAGATAGCCATTGATCAATTATCTCTCCTGAATATAGATTTTAAAATCTTCCACAAAATACTAGCAAATCAAATCCAATGATGTACAAAAAGTGTTGTATAACACAAGCAAGTAGGATTTCCTGGTATATGAGGTTGGTTCACTATTTGAAAATTGGCTAATGTAAACCATCACATCAAATGGCTTTTTAAAAAATCGTACGATTATATCAGTTGATACAGAAAAGAGACTTGACAAAACCCAACATTAATTTGTGAGGACTCTCAGAAAATTAGGAATAGAGGGAACTCCTGAATTTGACAACACAAACACAAAATCTACAGCTAATATCACACTTGATGGTGAGAAACAAAATGCTTTCCCCTGACATTGGGAACAAGGTGAGGATGTCCCCTTTTACTTCTCCTGCTCGACATCTCAACATCATTCTGAATGTCCTAGCTAGTGCAATAAGACATGAAAAAGAAAAAAAAAAGGCATACAGATTGGGAATGAAGAAATAAAGTAACGTTTTTGTCCACAAATCACATCGTCTATGCAGAAAATCCCAAAGAACCAATGACAACAAACAACTCTGGCAATGAATAAGCTGTTATACCAATTGGCAAGATAGAAAGTTAATATACAAAAGTCAGCTGCTTTCCTATATGCCAGCAATGAACCATTTGAATTTGAAATTTAAAACACAGTAACATTTACATCAATACCAAAAAAATTAGGAAAGTATAAATCAAACAAATTATGTAGAGGATGTAAATGAGAAAAACTAGAAAACTTTGATGAAAGAAATCAAAGAAAATCTAAATGAAAGAATTATTCGTATTCATGGATAGAAAAACTCAGTATTGTTCAGATGGCTATTCTCAACTTGACCTTTAGATTCAGCATAATCCCAGTTAAAGTCCCAGTAAGTAACTTGGTCAACATAGCAAAACTCCATCTCTACGAAAAATACAAAAATTAGCCAGGCATGTTGGTGTGTGCCTATGCTGCCAAGCTACTCAGGAGGCTGAGGCGGGAAGATCACTTGAGCCCAGGAGATTGCACCACTGCACTGCAGCCTGGGAGACAGAGTGAGACCCTGTCTCAAAACAAAACAAAACAAAACAAAATTCCAGTAAGTTATTTGGTGGTTATTGACAAACAGATTCTAAACTTTATACCCAGAGGCAAAAGACTCAGGATAGCCAACACAATATGGAAGAAGAGTTAAGAGGACTGACAGTACCCAACTTTAAGAATTACTATGAAGTTACAGTAATCAAGACAGTGTGGTATCGGCAAAAGAACAGACAAGTAGATCAGTGAAGTAGAATAGAGAGCCCAGAAATAAACCCACACAAATATATCTTTGACAAAGGAGCTAAGGCAATTCTTTGGAGAAAGGATGATAGTCTCTTCAACAAATGTTGCCAGCAAAATTGGACACCGATATGGAAAACAATGAATCTAGACAAGGACCTTATCTTTTCATTGAAAGTTTCTCAAAACGAATTATAGATCTAAATGAAATATTGTAAAACTTCTAGAAGAAAACAGGAGAAAATCTAGTTAACGCTGGGTTTGGCAAAAAATTTTTGGATATAAAACTAAAAGCATGATCGATGAAAGGAAATATTGATGTTTAATAAAATTAGAATCTTCTGTTCTGTGAAAGACAATGATACAAGAATTAAAAGATAAACCACTGATTGAGGAAAAATATTTGTAAGACAAACAGCAAAAAAAGAATTTGTACCCAAAATACACAAATAATTATTAAATCTCAACAATGAGAAAAAAACCAATTTAAAAAATGTAAAATATCTAAAAAGACACCACCAAAGATGATACAGAGATAGCAAATGACATATGAAAAGATGCTTGGCACCACTTGTCATTAGGGAATTACAAATTAAAACCACAATGAGAAACCACTACATACGTATTAGAATGGCTAAAATTAAAAAAAAAAAACTTAAAATACAAAGTGCTAACAAGTATGTGGAGCAACAGGAACTCTGTTATATTGCTAGTGGTCATGCAAAATAGTACAGCCACTTTGGAAGACAGTTTGACAGTTTTTTGTTGTTTGTTGTTCTTTTTTTAACAAACAAGTCTTACCACATGATCCAGTTAATGTACTCCTAGGTATTTACCCAATTGAGCTGAAAACATGTCCACACAAAGACTGCATATGAATGCTTATAGCAGCTTATTCATAATCACCAAAATTTGGAAGCAACAAAAATGTCCTTCAAAAGGTAAATGGATAAACAGTGGTTCAGCCATACAATGGAATATTATTCAGTAACCAAAAAAGCTTCAATCTACCAAAATACATGGAAGAATCTTAAATGCATACTGCCAAATACAAGAAGCCAGTTTGAAAAGGCCACATATCGTAGCCCTATGA
Source organism: Homo sapiens (assembly GCF_000001405.40). Lineage (NCBI taxonomy): Eukaryota > Metazoa > Chordata > Mammalia > Primates > Hominidae > Homo > Homo sapiens. Next base: position 18,599,535 of record NC_000007.14, on the reverse strand, counting down.
CATTCTGCAGAAGGCAAAACTATAGAGACAATAAAAAAATTAGTGGTTACCAAAAGTTGGGTGGGGGGAGGATGAATAGGTGGGGCACAGGAGATTTTTAGGGTGGTAAAACTATTCTATATCATTCTGTAATGGTGGATATATGACATGATATGACACATTTGTTAAATCTCATAGAATCTTACAACACAGAGTAAACCTTAATATAAACTATGGACTGCATTAACAATAATGTATCAATAGTTGTTCCTTAATTGCAACAAATGTACCACATTGATGCAAGATATTTAAAAAGCAGAAACCTAGGGGTTAGGAGGAGGCAACAATATGGGAACTCAACAATATCTGCTCAATTTTTCTGTAAATATAAAACTTTTCTTAAAATTAAAGTCTGCTACTTTAAAAATGAAGTTAACAGCAGAAATTAAAACTCTGGCCCTAGTGAGCACAGAACATCAATCAGACTTCCTCCTACGATGAACAACAAAAACAAGCCTGCTGCTCCGTTTTTTATTTTATTTGTTAAGAGACAGGGTCTCCCTATGTTACCCAGGTTGGACTCAAATTCCTGGGCCAAGCAATCCTCCCTCCTCAGCCTCCTGAGTCGCTAGGACTATAGGCATGCAGCCTGCTGCTTCTTTTGGATACCATAGTGAGCTCTGAAATACCAGAGAATATGCAAAATTAACAAATAACTTTACCCTCATTTTGACAGTAGCCTTGTGAGTTGCCCATAGCTTAAAAAGAAAATATTGATCACCTTTTTATTAGTTTGGTTGTTCTATTAATAAAGGTAGAAGAATGTAAGACATTAAAAAGACCTTCTACAACAAAAAGAGATTTAGTTTTGGCATAATAGAAATAAATAACATTTCCTTATACAAGCATACAGTCAAGAGTAAGCACTCCTTAAATCCTAGGTATGATCCTAAGTGCTTTACATGCATTATTTAATTGAATTCTAAAAATAACTGTGCAAACCAAGTGCAATTATTATCCTCATTTGACAGATGAGGGAATCGTGGCCTAGAGAGGTTAAATTAATCGCTCAAGATTGAGGACCCAAATTTCCAAGTGGTATGTGTGGATTCAAAGCCTGAATTACAATGGCCATATTACTTCTCAATTCTGAGAAAACTAGTATAAGATTCATTAAAAGAAGTATATTTCAATAAAAATAAACTTTGACAAGTTTAGTCAAAACAATGTAACCAAGATAGAGTACTAAGCTATATAAAAATGCTCCAGTGTTCGTCAATCTTGAATAAGATTTTGAGCAAATATCGTTATAAGCCTAAGCCATCTTTAATGATATCTTTGCAGAAATGTGTATAATGTTCATGTATGCAATTCACACATGCACAAGTGTATTCTGAAAGACACAGAAAGAGGGAGAGAGAGAGGAAGAGATATTCTAAACTATTAAAAATAATTATTGTGTTTTTTATTATAATGACTTGAATAGGTCATCAAGGTACTAGAACATAACTGCTGACTGCTATACCAAAAGGCAATTTATAAAGCTACATATCTAATCTCTGCCTTCGTTCCAGTTTACTCAGTGTGGAAAATGATACTGGCCTTCCAAAACCTTCACTTATGTTTGGACTCTTTCCATCTTTGAGTCTTATTCTAGTGTTGCTGACCATTAAAATAAATATTTCAGTGGGGCTGGAAAAGTCTCTTATCAGCCCAAGCCAAGCTTTACATGGCTTGTGCACTTTAAGAGGTTAATCTAGCCAGCTAACTCACTTTGTTCAGAAGTATTAAATGGAAAGACTGTAATATTCAAAGAAAGGCAAAGTTCATTGGGTAAAACCTCAATAATATAATGGAGGGTAAAACTTCTAGAAATTTTATCACAATATTTTATGAAACATATGCACACACTCACTGGAACAGAATCCAATCAAATGGTTTTGAAGGTCAGTTCAAAATCACCACATATGTAGAATCTCTGTGAGAAACATGTACCATTTCCAAAGTGCCAGGAAATATGTACTATTTCCAAAACTTCCTTTCCCTACTTCATAGTTTATTATCAGTTCAGCAGTGTACTATATAAAAACAATAAAGTCATCTACTACAGCAATGATACTATTTTCAGCCAAAGTATAAGTTTAGTAAAATATTCCAAATTTTCCTATCAACCTATCCTTGTGTTATAGAACAAAATTAATTACAATGTATAATTCTAGAAGGAAGTACTACTTTAAGTGTGGGCAATGCATATAAAAATTAAAAACAATTGTTATTTTCCACTTCAAAATAAGTTATGTAAAGCCTTTGATGTTGTTGTGAAAGGAGGAGAAGTCACTCCATTCTTACATTTTAAAGAAAAGTGAATTGGAATGGGCATGATTAGAGCCAACTTTTAATATAATTCCATGTTTCTAAAATGCCCAAATTCTAGGAGCAACTATCATTCTCCTAAGGGGAAGGAAGTAAAGGTCCACTTTGCGTGACAAAGGTCAGATTTCTGCAGGCAAATGAGGTTTCTGTAGTTAACTGTTCCCGGGTTATCACTGTCTGGGGAAGGTCCTAAAAGGTCAAGAGAGGTTTCAAATTGTGCTCACTGCTTAAGGGACATCCTAGGGCTATCTCAATCAATGTAAGATCATTAGGACTTTTCTAACTCTGATTCCAGTTTTACTCTCGTAAATCTTGCTTGCTAATACATATTGCTGATGTAGATTTAAAAGAAACTAAAATAGTATCATACATAGATCAAACGATAGGATACACTCATTTAACAACTTCTTTTAACTCTAAGATTGAGTTCAATGAAATCCAAGCAGACAAGAGAGGTTTAGAATCTGGCTCTAATAACAAAGCGTCACTCTACAGTAGCTGGGCTGGTGTTTACACTCTATGATCAATGACACTCTTCCAGATTTCATTTAGTATGATGTAGCTTTACACAAGCTATCTTAAACAGTTTCCCCAATCATCACATATGTTTTATTATGGTAAAATTTTATTGTTCGCTTTGTTTGTAAATACTTTTGAGTCACTGAAATACAATAAACATTGAAGTAAAAATTATTTGACAACATTTCAGTGTTATTCTTTTAGTGCAAATATATGTCTAAATTTTCTCATAATGGAATTGGAAATACACCAAATGGATTATATTTATAAAAGCTGAGTGTTCCACCTATTTTGTAATTAATGAAGGGCATCTCTAAGTATTTTAGATAGAGTATAGAAAGCATCTGTATTTAATTACATCTTATTTTTCTTAAACAGACAATTGGAATTGAATTAAGGAATATTTTAAAACCTCTATAGAGATACTAAAGTATTAATGGCTGTTCAAGAACTTTATTGCTACGATGCTTGAAAATGTTTGGTTTTACAGATCAACAGCCAGACACTTCATAAATATCAGATTTTCAACATAAAAGGAAGAAACATGAAATACTGATCAAATACAGAAAAAATACCTCTAGAAAAGACCAGGGATTTTTCACTATTATTATATAGCACATAATAAGGCACAGAAAATGTCTTGCATATTTGTACAAATCTAAATAGGGTTTGTAACATATATATCCTGAGAAGGATTTCTTTTTAAATTGTGTTGTGGATTGAAAAAAATCTATGAGAATAAATTAACAGCTTGTTATTTATTCTTCACAGAGGAAAAACCTTAAGCTGTTCGCATGGCAACAGTGGGACACAAAGTATGGGTTTTTAGTACTTCTCCTTAAGTATTAAAAATATCAGATTTTCTCACTGGGTGCTTAATGTTCCCAAATGCCACTTCTTTTCAAAGTCAGTTATCAGTTCTGCAGTCAGTTTTCAATCTCCCAGTGGTAAGGATATATTCAAAGGCTCTGTGCTCAGCAGGATAGAAGTCTTTCTCTGTGAATGTAACTATATCACTCATCAGTAACCTCCTGCCATAAGGGGAATCCATATTTTTCTTTCCTTTTAGTAACTCCTTAGATTCTTGAATGCCATTCACTGCCCTAAGACCTGGGGTAGTATCTGCATAATCTCAGTAAATAGCTCCTACTCATGCTACTCACAAATAAATGTCAAGCCTGCAGATCAAAGTCCCCACATTCTAAAACTCCTGTCCTTTATGGATCACTTTTCATAAACTATACTCATGTTTTAGAAATAACATAGAGGCTCACATTTTGCTTTCTTTCATCCTAGAAAAGTTTATTTATAAGACACTCTGATTTGCAGATAATAGGGTGGAATTCTGATGCAATACATAAAACTCAATTATCCTTGCCTTTGCATAGCCTTCTATTAAGGTATTTTATAATACTTATCATCTTTTAGTAGAAATGCAAAAATATTTGGGCTATTTAAATTAAAAAGCCACAGGTTGTTTTGCAATAGTTAAACATCCTTTCCTAGTGCCTTCAATATATGCTAGATGGCGAATAATAAATTCTTATTCATAACTGATTTTATTTTAAAATCTTCATTATGCCACAGGTAAATTATATGACAAAAAATAGCTTCGGCATGTGTTTTTACAATCTATATTCATTTTAATTTCTCAAAATTGCTTGGGAAAATGAATATAATTATTTGAAATCATTTTCACTCTGCAGATTTCATATATAAAACAAATAAATCTATACTTCTTCAAGTAGATCTGAGTCAAATACAATAGACCAAGCTATCTTACATGAATATCTTTTCAGATCAGTTGTGGAGATAAACATTTTTAAATTTACTACTGTCTCTAAAGAACTATATTTGGCAAACAACGTTGAGATTTAGAATAGAATGTACACAAATGCTATTTATATGTATATCTAGTTAAACATTTATTATAGCAGTAAAAGCATATAAGACATTAAATATATACATATCAGAATGCTCAGAAAGGAGATGAAGATGGAACAGCAAATACAATCCTTAGAGCCACAGAACTGTTTACTAAATTCTAAATAAAAGCTTAATTGCGCTATTTCCCCTAACTTCATGAGATTATCAGATATAATTTCACTCTGAGTTCTATTATAATCCATGAGATATTAGGCTAGTCACTTACTCAGAAGGTAGCTTTGGCCTTACCTGCTTTCACCACAAAAACAATTAAAATTTAAGGTTTGTAAAATATTTATTGGAAAAATTAAACTTTATTATTCTCGTTTTTGTGGTAAATGGTTGAGGTACAGCAGAAAAACAGGACAATGAAAGATATTACAGAGGCCCTATCTAATGGAGAAGAGTTAGATTTTCCGAGATACGAAATTTTTATTTTTATTTATTCCTAGTAAGAAAATAATTTGGCTAAAGTTCAAATATGATAAACTTTTAAACTGAAAAAGAGATATTTTGATTATGTCATGAATCAACTGATGCAGAAATAAGTAGGGTATGTGTGTGCATTGTTTGCTTATGCTGGGGGCAGGGGTGGGGAGGTATATTATCTACGACTCAAATCCTTTGACTTTCTTCTAGAGGTGTGGCAAAATGAAACTTACAGGTGTGTTACAGAAGAGCAAACAGAGTTCCTGTTAAACCAACTTACCAGTTTTTCGAAGGGGGAAATCATCCTTTGCATCTTGTGCTCCTGGTAATGTGTACTTGTAGGATGGAGATGTTCCACTAAGGGGTGGAGAGCTTTGATCCAATGATGTGTGGTGGGCAGCCCTAGAAAAGACAAGGAAGTTTCACTATTTACTTGGTAGTTTTTACTGCATATTGGTCAGCAATAATCAGCTGCACACGCTGTACACGTGCCTCAGCTATGTTTATGCTCTTTCTCCTTAGTGTATACAAACCATAGCCTCACATAACCAAGTTCACTGTAGCAGTATGCTATGGAATGATGCAGGGATCCTAAGGATGTCCAGCATGTGTTTGGTCATACAGTCACATAGAAAGTTTGCTTCACTAAAATAATTTACCAAGAGTCTGAGCTTTTGACAATTTGAGATTACTGCCTATGTTCTCTTAAGAGCCACCCTAGGGGAAAAGTCATCATCTCAATCCTTTCTAGTCAACAGTATAAAACAATCAAGGTAATAGTAAACATACGCAAGGACTTCATTTTAAAAAATTGCTAGATAGTACATGTGAGTACATGAGAGTAGCCTTTTTTACTGAAAAGACAGGATTGTGCCAACGGACTCCCATCTCCTGACTTCTGGGGCAGTTTCAGTAGTAAAGAATGGGGATCACATTCTTTAATATGAAACCAATTTTTTTAAATGTTTTCTTTTTCCTGGGTGAATACAATCTAAGAGATGCAACTGTGCTGCTGGAGAATAGTTTATAGGACTGAATATTGACTATCTAGTAGATATAAATATCTATAATTACATATGTAATGAAAACAATGAACAGGACATAGTATCACCATCACAATGATTGTTCTACCAGTATTATTTATTTAAATCATATATTCTTAAGACTTTATTGGTTTAAGGATATTTCTTCTAGCTATAACTGGCAAAAATGGCATTAAATTCAGATTCTATAAATTAATCGTTTGTGGTTATCTGCAGTTGGACTCTACTGAAGTTCAATTTCATAAAAACAAGGTAAATACTGCTAAGTAACATGTGAGAGCTATGCTTAATATTACCTAAGAGAACAGCTAATGAACTTTAACCGACAAATTCTTTGCATGTAGCTGTTTCTCATTTAATGCTATTATCTTTTCTTAGAACAGACTTTAATTTTGAATTATGAATTAGCTATAAATTATGTGTGTAGTTTTAGGTAACAAAATCGTGTTTCTTTTTAAATCATTCGTGATATTGATTGAATATTTGAAATTGTTTTTCAGAGATTTGTTTTTCATGTCAACTGATATACATGACAGAAATTATGAAAATCATTAAAAAGTATTTATAAAACATTATGGTATCTGTCTGTTACCTGTTTTGGGATGCAGAGAAGGGCGGATACCTATAAAATAGCCTTATAAGTACATTAACTCTTTAAATAGAACTCCCAGGCTGCTTACAATATTAATATAACAGAGTAATCAAGTACTATTCCTATCTTTAATGGTGTGAGGGATTGAAAAATATATAAGTGTAAAAATATATGGTCATTTGGCAAACACTTCTAAGAAAGAAATGAAACTATTATCTATTAGTTTATTATCCATATATGATTTGCCTATCAGTTCTTTGCCCTGAGTTTTAAAATCACCACATCCTCTATATTTTATTGAAATATTTGTGTATTGGACTTACAGAAATACAGTTCTATAAAAACCACAATACCACAGTGTATTATGTTGTCAGGTTGTGTGTCAGGAGCCAAGCTATTATTTTGCTGTCTGGGAAGAAATGAAGTGAGGTGGGCAGGGGTAAACTATTCACTGAAGACTTAGAGTTATTTATTTAGCAACCTCTCAACTTCCCTTCCCTACCCTCCCTTATCTTCCTTTCTTCCTTCCTTTTTTCTTCATTTGAGACAAAATTCTACTAGATTTTTGAAAATAGCTCTGACCTCCATCTTACACCAAGTCAAGTGTAATAAAATCACAATCTGCTAAACCTTTTGAAATTACTATATAGATACCAAATGCACCAGTTGAGAATGGAAAAATGCAAAATACAAATTTCTTTGCCCACCTCACATTTGTCAGTTATTCATTCATCAAAGAACATATATACTTCCTTGCCCTCAAGTTGATAAATGCTACCATTTATTTAGCACTTCTCTCTGTTATGTACCTTACCATGTTATTTTATAGGACCGTGCCAGCAACCCTAGAGGGCATGCACTATTATTTTCCTCTTTTTATGGAGAAGGAAACTGATCCTTAGAGAACTGAAGGAACTTGCCCACAGCCAGACAGCTGAGAAATGGCAGGCTAAGGATGTGTACCCAGGTCGGCTAAATACAGAACCTGTGTTCTTTACCCCAGGAATGAAAACAGCCAAACACTGAACATACGTGTACCAGAGCTTGGGATGGCGGCTCACGGAATGATTTTTTCCATTAGTTGGAGTGTCTTTCGTTGCTGATTTACTCAGTAGGAACTCTTGAAGCTTCTGCTTTACTTCTGTACTTGCCACTGCCCCTGAAATACACACACACACACACACACACACACACACACATACACACACAGAAACAGATGTTGATGGTGAGTTTTGTCCTCTCATGCCTCTAGAATATTTGACAAAGATTAAGAAGTAAAATCGCTGGTCACAGCACATAAAGTTTTCCTATTAAAAGAAGAAACCACAGTCCAAATATGCTTTAGAAAATAGTACAGTAATGCTTTATAAATACTACTTAAATTGCAAATTTTCAAAAGACTTTCAGCTATTTCTTTAATTACTTTTGCAAAGAGGGAATTCCCAAAATCAACTTTTTTAAGTTTAAAAAATACTGCAGAGGAACAAAACACTGTATTTTAATAATCAAGTTATCTTGAGGGATTAGATCCATATTAAATCCCTTAAACACATTAAAATAATCTTTTCTGAGTTGCTAGTTTGAAAACCTTAGTTTTTAAAAAAACCCTTTGAGCATTAAACAAATAAATATTGCTGACAATTCCAGTTCAAGTCATCAAATTTTAAACTTTGCTACGACCTGATTTTGAACTGACCTAATACAGGGGAATTATTTGGATCTGTCTCCCTCTTGTGGATAGTTCTTTTGCATGTGTTATGTCTTAAATCTTCTCAAAGTTTGAGTATGCCAAAACTAAATGGAGGCAAGGCTTTACTTAGAGAGCAATTATTACTTGGCCAGGAGTAAGGAAGGCATAGTCAGGAGATGTGGATACAAGCTGATTATTAAACAAGATGGCATATATTAGACTGCTTTAGAATTACATTATTTTTAAGGTTCAAAACAACAGAAATCAGCACCTTTGCCAGATAATGTTACGTTTGCTTCTTGAGACGCTCTGCAGACTCAATGATGTGAGCTGGTATGTAAATGTCAAAACTTTACAGTTGGGTCTGTAATCTATGCTTTTAATTAAACACAGATAATTTTGACGAGTCTAACCGCACTCTTTATCAGGCTTTGTTCTGAATAATGATCAGCTAACGATGAGGAAAGAGAGTCCATCGTTTACCCTGGTGCCTCTTACTTTCTCGTCCTCTATCTTTGCCTCTGAGAGGAGGAAGCTGCTGTTCTCTGCGATGCCTCTCTACTTCCTGTTCTTGCCTCTGCTGCTCCAGTTTCTGCTCCTTTTCTAGGAGTTCTTGTTGCTGTTTTATGGCTAGAAGTTCCTGTTGCAACTTGCGAGAAGAGAAAGACATGAGAGTGTGCAATTTCTTTAGGCTTCATAGTCATCACTGACCAAAACTGAAATGTTATGAGCTTTTGGAACTTGTTTGTATTTAGTTCATATTTGTACCCACTTTTTCTGTAAATCATTGAAATCTAAGGACAAGCAACTAATGCAGTGAAGGTCTTAACGTCATCAACAGGCAAGTTTTAGGTAGCTCCATTATCTGTGCATCCCTATCAAAACTAACTGTTAAATTCACTCAGGTCTTCCCATTTCCTTTAATTAAATCTTTAGTTCCCTTAATGACTTTTCTTTGAACATACAAACAGGAAAAGGTAGGGACTGCCCAGAAGCCTATTTTACAAAGTCCCTCACATTATAAATGAACAACTGAAATCTTCCATTCTTAGCCTAAAAAATGGTGTAAAAATAATCAACGCAAATACAGAATGGTGAGATATTAAATTAATTTGGGGGAAGTTTACCTGAAGTAAACAAATGCTAAAAATTTCAAAATCTTACAGAGCAAGTTCTCAATAGACTAATGCAATGTATATATTCATAATATGTAGAATATATTATATACATATAGTCTCTCAAAATATCAAAATAGCAGAAGCTTTATTCTTTCATTCAGCACATAAAAGCTTTTAGATTAAAGACACTGGTCAAGAAGAAACCACTTCCACAAAACTTCATTTTAATGCACTATTGTTTAGCTTTCTGAATCCCTTGAATTCACTCTCAAACAATGAATGACATGAATATGATGCATTCTTGCACTCTTTTTTATTTTTATTTTTATTCTTGAGACAGGGTCTCACTCTGTTGCCCAGGCTGGATTGCAGTGGCACCATTATAGCTCACTGCAGCCTCAATCTCCTGGGCTCAAGCGATACTCCCACCTTAGCCTCTTAAGTTGCTAGGATTACAGGCATATACAACCACTCCTGGCTAATTTTTTAAAATTATCATTTTTAGTGGAGACAAAGTCTTGCCATGTTCCCCAGGCTAGTCTCAAACTCCTGGCCTCAAGTGATGCTCCAACCTTGGCCTCTCTAACTGCCGGGATTACGGGTGTGAGCCACCTTGCCCAGCCTGAAGCATTCTTTTTTAATAGCCATCTTGAGATGTCTATTTCCACTCAGACTGAGAAATATATATCTATGAACTATAGTAAATGTGCACACTGAGGAGTAACTAAAGACCTTGAGTTCTCCTTAGGTTCTGACATTAGTAGATATGAAATCCGGACAAGTTACTAAACTACTCGGAGCCATACTTCCTCATATGTAAGAGAGAGAATATCTCTCTTCAGCCGCATATTCATAACGTACATAAAATTTAGTTTTTAAGTTTGAACCCTACTGATTTTAATTATTATTATTATAGGTTGGGCATCCCTAATCTGAAAATCCAAAATCCTAAATGCTCCAGCATCTGAAATAGTTTGAGCACTGACATGATGCCACAAGTGGAGAATTCCATACCTGACCTCATGTGATGAGTTCCAGTCAAAATGCAGGCACACAGCACAAAGTTTAGTCAGCTTCACCATGGGAAAAAAGACCCTTCCAGCCCCCTTTCAGCTGCAATATATTTTTTTCACACACGCCCAGATTCCCCCACATAAGCACACCCACAAAAGATAACAAAATGGTGTGTGTGTGGGCAAGACATGCCAATGGCATGTTCCTCACATTCAGACTCAGCAACAACAGTGATGCCAAACAACCAGAGATTGTCCACATGGGTGGCTGAGACAATGACACCTTTCCTTTCTGATGGTTCAATGTACCCAAACTTTGTTTGAAGCACAAAACTATTGGAAATATTGTATAAAATTACCTTCAGGCTATGTGTATAAGGTGTATATGAAATATAAATGAATTTTATATTTTTGACTTGAGTCCCATCTCCAAGACTCTCATTATGTACAGATATGTAAATATTCCAAAATCCAGAAAAAAAAATCCAAAATCTGATATATTTCTGGTCCCGGGCATTTCAGATAAGGGATACCCAACATGTGTTTGTAACTTTCAATACTAATGAAATTAGTAAATTTTGTTTTTTACATTAGGTGCCTAAAACTCTTGATTTTACACCAAAAAGTAATAGAACAAAAATAAAAAGCTATTATATGGAATGGCATCAGAGTCACTCTGGAGCAACAGGAAGCTAACTCTGTATATCAACCATAATAGCCTTATTACTCCCAGAAGGACATAGTTAGAAGCATTTCTGGTTACTCTTCATATTAAAATCTTTGGTGTTTTGGCTTCAATACACTCCCTTAATGGGTGTTATTATTCCATTGTAATGAAATAATATTCCATGGTAGCAGAAGGAATGCTTAAATTCTGCCTTACTGTTAAATTCTATATAGATACTTGGGTTGGTCAAATTAATTTGGTGCTTCACCCAAAGCCCCAATGTATTTGAACTTTAATCTTTCATAGGAATCTAGAAAAGCACACAATTTAATTACCACTACTATTCATTATCAAAGATTGCATGAATGAGGTTTAAAACAATAGAAAGAAATAAAACTTTAGCCCTCTATTGCTAGATGTTCTGGCCCATGAGAGAGGCAGGGCAACTTAAGAGCTTTGGAGGCAGACAGGGCAAGACTGTAAATCTTGGAGCAACAATTTATTGGCTATGTAGCCTTGGAAAGGTATCATTATTTTTCTCTACCTCAGTTCACTAGGTGGAAAAATGGAATAACAGCATCTAACTCAACAAATGTTGATTATTACAGAAGCTAACGATTCAAAAAGCTAATATAAATAAAGCATCATGTAATGCATCTTTCTCATAAAAATAAAATCTTAATGAAAAGCATCAACTTTTAGCTTTATCCATAAAAAATACAAGACAAAACAAAATAAAAATTCTAAAAATCAAAAAACTTCCTAATCTGAAAAAGTAATATTAATTATGTCTTTGGTTTCTAAGAAAACAAATTATTATTTTGGAAAATCATTTTAAAAGCTAAATTTTCCTTTTAGCTATCTCATAATTCTTTTTTCTCACAGGAGCCACTTTTCCAATATTTTCCAGATGTCAATAAACCAACACTATTGTTTTGCTTGTGCCAAATGAACAATTAATTATCTACTTGCTACTATTACCTTTTGAGTAAAATTAAGCAATAAATTTCTTTCTAAACAATTTATATTAACTTTATAGCTATCAAAGGCAGCAATATAAATGAAAAGAAGTATCTAAAGCAGTAACTTATCAGTATTGCCCTGTATTTAGGGAAACATGTCTCACTTAAAGCAGCAAAATGAACTACACAGTCCCTTACATCTTAAAGTATGGTGAAAAATGTACATTTTACTCATTTCTCTTTGCCATCTTAACATGCTGGAAGGAAAGAAACAGATCTAGATATCAATGTTTCTATTATTGTTTCAAAGGTCAAATTTAAATAAAGCTTCAGTATTCATTCAAAAATAAGTCTAAAAACTAAAGAAAGGCTACCCATACTTCAAAATGTAGCCATGAGCTACTGATTCCATTTGGGACAAAAGAAAATACTCTCACTTTAAGGTATTTTGTACATCAATAATATACAAGAGTTCTTTTTGGAAAGTTCACTACTAAAAGAAATAAATATATTTTATATCACTTGTCAAAGAGCCTTTTTAGGAATATACGATAATAAAGTTCTTTTAGGATTAAGAAACATCTTGTAAACCAAGTAATATAGAGAAGAAGATAGCATTTTTACTTCCTTAGAAACTGTCATATTAATGTGGTAAAATTACATACTAGTAACATCAGTTATCTGTATCAACCCTCTATCAATGTGCTTGTACTTGATATGCAAGTAATAAAGTTCCTATAATACAAAACAATAAAGTATGAGATAACATAATTTATTACATTCACAAATTAGCAAGTGTTTGTCATCTTTGAAAGTTAGATATAAAAATAAAATTTTTGTTGTAAATCTTTGCTGCTTTTCTGTCACAATAAATTCAAATTAAATAGCCTTGTTTCAACTGTCTTTGTCAAGAAGTTGCAAGATGTTTTACAAATAAAGCTAAAGTAATATTTATCTCTGAAGATACAAAATTTAAAAAAACAGACACATCTAATATTATTAGATAATAAAATAAGTTATTATTAAAAATTCTGGAATATGGATATATTTGTGCTAAAATAATTTAAACAACTTTAGTCTCAAATTGTCAACTACTCCCAAATACTTTCAATAAATTCTTATCTACAGTCTATAAAAACATTTGCACCAGTTTCTCCATTTATAACTCCCTTAAGCTTTTTATTATACTATTATTTTGAATGTGTACATTATGAGATCTTTTCTATAAGGAAGAGTCGGACATACTCAGAACATCTACTTATACACCATGTTTGTTTTTTAAAAACAGCTCTCTTCATATAAGGTGACTAATTTATCCTTTCTCACAAATAGTACATGTAGACTCTTCAGAAATGAAATATGAAATGGGTCTTCTAGGCTCATGCTTCTTCTTGGTGGAGAGCAGATGGGGCAAATGAACAAAATCACGTAGGAGAGAATCTAAAATTAGGATAGGAAGTTACTATTCCCTGCTATTGATTCTATGTGCTAAAGGATAAAGAAGGTCCCTCTGAGAAGCAAAACAGGTTTTTAACAGGTACTTACCCAAAGTTTTCACTAGTAAAATCACAATTCCCTTCAAGCCATATATCCATGTCTTAATCACAGTGAATCTACCCGCAAAGTGTTCCCATGGGCACTGTTCATGCCCACCACGGTGCAGACTCCTGAGTAAGGTCACAGACAAAGAAGCATTTGCTACCTTGATATGCTCCTGAAGCTGAGCCTGGTGCTGCCGTGTCAAGTTCTCATGCTGTTTCTGAAACTCTGCTATCAGAAGCTGCTTCTGGATTTGTTGCTGCTGCTGGATAAGAAGTAATTCCTGCTGCAATTGCTTCTCACGGACAACAGGGTCCACCACGGGCATCATCATCCTGAGGTCTGTCCTTAGGTCTAAAGGTGAGATGGGCTCCAGGCCCACAGGAACTTCTGACTTCACATCCACTAAAGAACCAGAAAAAAAGGGAAATGGGGTGGGGGAGGGTAATAGAAGATTGGAAATTAGCACATTGATTTGGAAACAAATAAAAAGTATAAGACCCTGTACAACAAATTTTATGCCAATGACTCTAGCCATTTCTTTACAATGATGATATAAAGTCATTTGTACATTAGTTTTGATAAATGGGCCATAGGCTAATTTTCATTCAGCAATTTGCACTCTGCCATGAATCCTCCACAATTTCCTTTTACAAACAGGTGACTTCAATTGTTTACTGGTATCAGTCATTCATAAAACTTATTCTACTGAACCACTAACAAAAATCAAGTCAACGAGGACAAAAAAAAAAATGGAATTATGTTGAGGAAAAGATGCCCTAAGAGAGAACTTCCACCATGACTACATTTGTACACTTAAGAACATCTTCCTTTGTAATCAGCGTCAGAAGATATCTTCAACTTTACAAAGTAAAGGTTGTAATATAACGTATTTGCAGCACTATTGGATGTACCAAAGACAGAATAGACAACTGCATGCTAAAATGTGGAAAATGGTAATTAACCACAGCAATGGTGCCAGATCCAAACAACAAGGAGTGAAAGTAGCCAAGTTTCTAAGTCCTGATGTTGAATTGGTAATAATCTGTATCTCAGCTACCTCATTCCTAAAATAAACAAGGTGGAAAAAGTATGAGGAAACTTAAAACAAGTATTTAATCAAACCACTGGAGTAAAAAAGATTTGATGATCTGAGAATAACTACAGATGATAATATTTAAATTTATACAAATTAAATTAGATAATAGATATAAAATTCTTAGCAAAAACTCTTAGTAGATAAGAATGCTGCTTTCAGGGCCCGGCGCGGTGGCTCACGCCTGTAATCACAGCACTTTGGGAGGCCAAGGCAGGCAGATCACGAGGTCAGGAGATCGAGACCATCCTGGCCAACACGGTGAAACCCCTTCTCTACTAAAAATACAAAAAATTAGCCGGGTGTGGTGGCGGGTGCCTGTAGTCCCAGCTGAGGCAGGAGAATGGCGTGAACCTGGGAGGCGGAGCTTGCAGTGAGCCGAGATCTCGCTACTGCACTCCAGCCTGGGTGACAGAGCGAGACTGTCTCAAAAAAAAAAAAAAAAAAAAGAATGCTGCTTTCTAAAGGAATAGTTTAAGCAGGAAAACTCACAGACAGGATATCCAGGTGTACCATTTATTTATTGTTGGTGTCCATTCTGACATTTTGAATGACCAGCATCCATGCCAAACTGGTTGTTAAATATTTTGAGTATGACCCTTACCCACAAGAATCGGGAAAATTCTGTAGTTCAGTGTAAAAGGTTAAGCTAAAGACAACAGGAATTTTGGAGGGGAAACTGTGGCAAACTGGATTGCATGGCTTTTCAAAAGAGGCCAGTCACTACTCAGATAAAACCAACTATTTGTGGGAGTTGTGGGAGAAAAAGAAAATACAGATCCAGTGTAGACAGAAATAACTGTTAACTGAAAATTAAACTGAAAGATTTTTTAGGCTGCTGGAGGGCTCACTTTTTCGTCCAGGCTGTAGTGCAGTGGTGCAATCATAGCTCACTGCAGTCTAGAACTTCCTGGCTCAAGGGATCCTTCTGCCTCAGCCTCCCAAGTATCTGGGACTTTAGGTGCATATCACCATGACCAGCTAAATTTTTCTTTCTTTTTTTTTTTTTTATAGCTGGGGTCAGGGCAGTGGGAGCTGGGGTATTATCTTGCTATGTCGCGAAGGCTGGTCTTGAATTCCTGACCTCAAGTGATCCTCCTGCCTGAGCTCCCAAGTTCTGAGATTATAGGCATGAGTCACAGCACCAGGCTCTTCAAAAGCTTTAAATACTCCAGGAACCAAACAAAATGCTTCAGTCTTTACATGTACCAGTTTTCAAATTCTGTTCTATAATCTAAATGCTTATTTGACTCTTTCATGTGTGTAACATTGAAGATGTTATTAATTTCCCTAGGCCTCTGTTCCCTCATCCGTAACTTGGAGATAGTAACAGTAAGTACTAATAGCATGTAGCACAGCCCTTAACAGATGTTTGTTTTTGCTTTTTTATTATATGAAATGGAAATTTCTTATATATTAAAATAAACCATCAATAGTAAGTAGCTAACAAAACAAACATATTAGAAACAAATATAAAAATAAAATGGCACACAATTTCTACTAAACATTAGAAAATAAAAATACTAAAACATCTAGATCAAAACAAATAAAAGAATGCAACAACTGAAAATCACCTTCACTAGTAAAGAATTGCAAATTATGAATCAAAATAGAGCATCATTGATTATTATCATATATATGACCCACGTGTATACATATATGTGTACAATGCCCCATTGTATAGGCTAAGCGTATGACCAAAGAGACGATTATTTATGGCAAGTGGAGCTGTCAATTGGTACAAAACTTATGCAAAACCAATTTGGTAATACGTATCAAGAAGTGTTACATATTTCTACCATTTGATTCAGGTTTGCCAACTCTAGGATTATATCTCCAGGAGACAATACTGAATAGGGAAAAAAACAGTTCAATGTCGTATTATTTACTAGAGTTCTAGTATTGTTATTGAAATCACCAACTACAAGGAAATGTCTCAGCAAAATATGTCGCATCCATTTGGTAGAAAAGCTACGCATTCATTAAAAATAATGTTTGTGGGAACATTAAAAAAGTTGTCACATTAAGTGAAAAAAGTGATATTTACACTATGATAACCATTTAAAAAATATATATATATATAAGCAATGTAGTCAAAATAGATTTATCAAGCCTCTTAAAGTCCCAGGCTTCATTCTAGATGTTGGGGTTTGGTATTTTAAAGAAAGACAAAAATTCCAGCCCTTATCGAGCACATATTCTACCACGGTTTTTAAATCATATTAGTTTTTAAATTCTAATAGCAATGACTGGTGATGTAGAGAACAGAAGATGGCTGTATTTTAGACGGAAATATGAATGATTCTCCCTTTACTTTTCTGTATTTTTCCAAATTGCATCTAATGCTCTATTACTATAAGTAACTAACTTAAATTTGCAGATTCCAGTTTGGGAACTACAAAGTTAATTTTCCATGTGAATTTAAGAGTTATTTTCAGTGAGTAAAAAAAGGCTAACAGAAATCCTGTCTACAGATGTTAAGGCTTCATATACTTAAATGTCCTTGCTGGTCATCTGAGTTGAATGTCCATGTGCATGTGCCTGTGCCTGTGCATGCAGACTGATATCAATCTTGGGTTGCTTACATTGGTTATTTTGCCATGGATTGACCAGAAGTTTGCATTGATGGTACTTTATGTGTCACTTTAATGAAAATGGGAAAATAATTTATAAATGAACTATAGTTTGGTGGACATTGACTTCTCAAAGATGATATTTGTGAAAGGAAAGAAATTAATCATGACAAGTTCAGATGCAAATTAGAATGATGGCCTGTAAGATCTCTTAATTGTAGCACCCAATGTAGAACTTTTAGTCAAGGCTCTGGAGTAACATGAGATTTTGAATATTAACTAAAAGACTTGGCATAATTCCAACCAAAAGCAATGGCAGTTAATGATATATTTCATTTTTACATTAAAAAGGCCAAGCTATAGCCTTCAGCTTTTACATGGAAATCTCAAAAAACAAAGGTCAGAACTTAACCCTATAAAGACAAAATGTAAAAATTCAAGAGACCCTGGAGTCTCTTCTTGCTGGCATTCTTGTTATCCATGAACTACAAACATCAAACCTCTAAAAAAGCTTTTTTAAAAAGATAAGAAAAAAAGTCCTACAAGTCTCTGAAACAGTTATTGTAAACCTCAAAGGGTAATTTGACTTCTTAACCTGCTATCCCAACAGAAATGATTGCGTCTAACTGCTTGCCTTTGTTCAGAGACTAATCACTAAATTGTGAAAAATCACCCTCAACTTACAAAAACTGCTCTTGATTATAAATAATTGCCCAAGACTGAGAGAAAGTGGCAGGCAAGATCCCAGTCTTTCATCCAATTTATTCAGCAGCAATCCACATTCCATTTGTCTAGACTAAATATAGCAGCGTTTATACAAGAAATCAATAGTGCTTGCAGAGAGGAGAGCAAAGGCATGAATATTTCATCAAACTCAGAGAGAAATGGCAATCAGCACACTGATGGTTCTGTGTAGGTCATCTTTGGCCTGCTAGATTAGTTCCTGTTACTTGGACAATAGCTCATCTCTGCCTAATCATAATCATATCATAGCCATTCTTTCTATTTTTAACATTAATTGCATTGTGGGTGACAAAGGCTCATCATATTCCAAAAGGAATGTTGGATTTTTCTTACATCTTTTGTGACAGGCTAATAAGCCTCCCCAGGAGAAATAATAGTAACACAATACCAGGACTGAGTTTCAACAAGTTATGGTCACTTTTACATCCCAGTATGTTTAAGAAAGGGCATTGTCCATAGCTGCCATATTATCATAATTAGAAATCAACTTACAAGGAAAAATTAACTGCCATTTTTAACAGTGGATAAATAGAATCATCTCTGTTCACAACATTCCTTGTCTGGGAACATGCAAATTCCTCAAAAATTACTTAGAACAGGTGGCCAGTGATGCATATGTTATTTTCGAAGGAATCTGATGACAGCAAATATTAGTATTCACATTAGTTGTAAATAAAACATGTTTTTTAAACTGATCTCAAGACCTTGTGACACATGTAAGAAAGGACTACGATGAAGCTAGCTTTATTTGGACTCATCTTGCTTGTCTGAGGTTGCAAATAAATGCAAATGTATGCTATATTTATTATATTATATTGTTCATATTATTATGTTCCAAATGCCCAGTCAGAACTTTTCCACATAAATATTAACTAGTCTTAATTATCACCTTGCAAAGTCCTGCCCGTTCTTGACAGTGTCTGTCTTATTTGTTCAATAGTTATTCCTTCTTTTTAATGTTCATAAGCTCCTGTGATTTTCAAGAAACATTTGAGTTTTTAGTGAACTTGTAAATGAAAGAGCTCTCATTTCAAAATAAAACCAAAATCCCAAATCATGTAGGTGTTCATAATAATTACATTTATTTGAGCATGAACATGAACATTCACGTTTAGCTTTCAATTTCTGTAACAAATATTTTTTAATTCAAGGGTCGTTAAAGAGTTCATTCAGAGTACTAAGGATAATCTAGTTACCACAGAGTATTTCTTACTTCTTCACTTTAGATGCTGCTATTCATAGTATAACAAACAGAATTTTCATATGTTCAAAAACCGGACTCTTTCGTTGCTACTTTATCAGCTGCCTTAAGCAAGATGCCAACCATTTTAATGTTTTAAGTAAACAACTTGCAAGCCTTACGTATGAAAAAACTTTAAGAATGCGCAATTTTGTGCATATACAACCATATGGCCCTTCTCAAAGCAGTAGAGTTCAAAATAATAGGTTTTCACACACACACATACACACACACACACACAGGCATGGAAAAACTCTCAACACAAATTGGTATATGCCAATTATTTAGTTAAGTTTTCCACTGAAAAAGGTGCTATAAAAATTGAAAGCATGTTTAACAACTTCAGTTAATATACATAATTACAGAGGCCACAACTTGGTTATATCAGCAATGCTGCCCAGAGCCATTTTATTCCTACGTTATTTTTACCTGGGAAATGGTTGTTCACAACACTGGCAATGCGACATATGAACTAAAAATTCTGGATTTGGCGATATACAAATGTTACTCTGATTATCTATTCTGCTTCTTCTGTTCCTCCCTTCATGCATGGAAACCTGTGAGAGTTTGGGCATGCTAACTCCATGGGAAGAGGCTGCCTTCTGTACTGTTTTCTGCTTTAACAATATTCAACCAAATATGTATTTAATATCAGCAGTTCAGGGTCCAGAAAATATTGTGGAATAGCTGTCTCAAGGCTTCCTTAATGTGTGATCCATAACAATAGTTTACTGCAAATTCTGCAGAAAACCCCTTATACAAAATTTCAACAGGAGTAGATACCTTCCATCAACTCCTTTTCATTTTATCATTCTCTCATTAACATTTTCATTTTTCTGTTCTTTGTTGCAGACTTTAATCTTTGCCATGGCAGGCTGGTTCTATTAAATTACATTTACATGTATCATGATGATAACATGTCATCTCTAAAACTCTGATCAATACCAAGATGTGCACTGATGCTAACTTAGCAAGTGGTGCTAGAGATTACTATCTCCTCTATGATATGTGCTGCCTTATCCTATTGTTTCTGTACTTTTTCAGCAAATCAAAATCAATAAGGAATAACTTCCTATAGCAATACTCAATACTGATTAGGAAGTTATCTGGTTTAAACTGTGACTCAAATTCTTTGCATGCACATATGCAATTCTACCAGTCATCTGGTCTGCTAACCTAACTACGGTTTTCACTGGGAGCCTTCTCCAAAAGAAAATGAAGAGGTCTTGAGGGCTGAAGATCCAAGAGTAGCACATTGCAGTCTTTGCTCTAATCATACCATCTCATGTTGAAATACTAACCCGCCCTGAAGAATCTAAAAAGTTTTCTCTGGGACTGCAATGAGAAATACCTAGCTTTCCAGAATTCAAGGATGCTAGCGCCACTTCTTTACTATTGGTTATGTTCTTTGCCTGATAAATGTCCCCAAAAAAGCCAGATGTGATCTTCCATACCAGTTTGTATTTCCCACTGATGATGAATTTGGCCTTGGAACCACTGCTTCCAGCCATCCTGAAATATGATGATGAGGGACTGGGGACAGGCCTCTAACCCTCTGCAGAGAAGGGGCCTCCAGGGCTGGCCTACAGAGCAAAGCTACTGAGAAGAGTGACACAAAACAGAAAACAGAAGTTTTCTTTGGGTAACATGGCCCAAAATCCACCTGGGGAAAGCTGATCGCCTCTGCTCAGTAGAGCTTCTTTCCGCAGGCTAACATGTGTGAAGGGGTCGTTACGAATAGCAGGCCAAAACACCTTCGATGTCATTGTGTGGAAAAGAGAAGAATGAATTAGGGCTGCACTACTGCTCAGAAGAAGCCCAGCCAAAGCCCAAACATTTTCCCTCAGTTTGTGGAGGTCACTCACCATCTTGTTTCTCTGGCTCCAAAATCATAAAATACCCACAGTTCCCTGCAGCTGCTAGGTCTGGAGCAGAGCACTCTGGGAAAGGGATCTTTGGGATTCTAGCTCCCAAAAGTCAAGCTAAGCTGGTGGGGATGGAGATAGAGATGGAGGTGGAGGCAGAAGTGGGGGCGTGAGTGGGGAGGATGTGTGTGTTTTGGGGAGAGGGGACAGCTGCCAAGGTTTTTAAATTTTTTTTAACAAGTCCTTTTTTTCAGTCTCATTCTTTCTATCCATGTTATGTATTATGGATTGGGTTTCATAAATACTGTTTGCCCCAACAAATTTTACCACAGACGAGTTTCACCGACACCTCTCTAGACTTATCTCTTGCTACCTTTTTGGGGGGCTAAACCACTGTCTCTTAACACATAGTTTCCTTCCTGCCTTTTACACTATGTTTCTTGCCCATGTCTTCCTTCTTTATCAACTTAATTCAACAAACATTTTTTGAGCATATGCTATTACTCTGCTAAATACAATGGAAATAAAAATAAAAAGTATAATGTGGTCCCTGCTTGCCAAAGCTCACATAAAGTACATATAAAATGGGGTTGGGCAGGGTAGGGCAAGGTAATCAGGTTCTGAGAATAGGAGAAAGGCATGAGACAGGCATCCAACTGAAAAATAATGTCCTATGTTATTTGTTACAGAGAAATTTTGAAAAAGAGAAACCACTGATTATTTCAGGTCGAGTCAGAAAAGGCTTCACAAAGAAAGCATGTTTGCCTAACCCTCCCTATGCCACCAAAAACACAGAGACGTGAACTCAGAGCAGAAGAGCATGTACACAGGAACAGGAAAAGAAAAAGGAAACTGCAAATGACTTGTGATTGGACTCTACAAGGCACAGGTGGAATGAAAGGTCAGAAAGGTAGGCAGGAGACTTGGTTGTTTCACAAAACAAGCAGTGTGGCAGAAGCCATGGCCACCACTGTCAGAGAGACAAGTTATTCAACCCCTCAGCAGCCTCTGAGTTTATTCCCTTACAAAATCTGGCCTATTTAGTTGTGAGATGTAAATGAGACTAAAAAAAGTTTCCCTTATCTTATTCTGTGAATGCTAATTGACATACTGACATCAAATGATTTAAAGTAGAATAAAGGCATGAAGGAACAGTTTATGTCTGGTGGAAGTATGTCATGGAATGGGAAACTAATGGAAAAGAGTCTCTCTCTCTCTCTCTTTTTCTCTCTCACTGCAGATCCCTTCCATTCCTAGGGCTTTGCTTCCTCTATGTTGACAATTCTATCTCCAGCTTAAACATCTATTCCACCAAATGTGCAACTCATATGTACAGGTACTACTGGGATTCTCTTTAGCTGTCTCTTACTGTTCTTTTCTCCAGTATCCCTGTATTTTTTTTTATCATTGCAGACACAAGAGAAACAGAGAAGTGATAGTGACTCCTCTCTCTTTTATTATCTAATTGATAGAAATTATCTTTCCTACTCCTGATTTTTTTTTTTTTTTTTGACATGAAGTCTCACTCTGACAGCTGGAGTGCAGTGGCGCGATCTCGGCTCACTGCAACCTCTGCCTGCCGGGTTTAAGTCATTCTCCTGCATCAGCCTCCCGAGTAGCTGGGACTACAGGTGTGCACCAGCATGCCTGGCTAATTTTTGTATTTTTAGTGGAGATGGGGTTTTACTACATTTGCCAAGCTGGTTTTGAACTCCTGACCTCAAGTGATCCTCCCACCTCTGCCTCCCAAAGTGCTGGGATTACAGGGATGAGTCAGCCCGACTGGCCCCTACTCCTAAATAGTTTTTGAAGCCATCAAGGTCTCTCTGCCACTGCTGCCTGTTTTATTAAAGCACTTCTGTTACGTTCCTGGCTAACACTCATCAGTGGAGCCTCCGTCTCTAACATGGCTGGCCTGTTTCTCCATAGTGTGCTTTCTCTGTATATTTCCAGCCTCAATAATACCTGTCCTCCACTCACTCAAGCCACACTGATTTTTCAGTTCCTTAAACATGTTATGCACTCCAGGGTCTCAGAGATTTTCCATATGTGTTCTCTCTTCCTAAAACCTTTCCCCCAATACCAACACATTTCTCTAGATTAGTCCTATCCTTCATATCTTAGCTAAAACATGATTTAATATAGATGTTTTTCTGAGTTTTATTTAATTTTCCCATTAAATTTCTCAGTTCTTTTCATAACATTCATTTGTCTATCTTTACCACTATTCCAAATTTCATGAGGGCAGAGACTATGTTTTCAGTGCTTAGTACAACATGAAAACATAGTAAGGCCTCAGTGCATGTGTGGTGTGAATGAATGAATGAATGAATAATAGTCACAAGATTATGGGAATAAAATTAGTAACACATGTGCACATCTGCATGTATATGTTCACATACACACATACCCGATTAAAATCCTAAAGCAATTACTTACTGGGCTTTTTGACTGTTTGAATTACAAATATATGCTGTTTTACTAGTTAAATTTCTAAGTTAACACATTTCTGGCAACACTGCGTAAGTATTTGAAAACAATCTGAAAAGTTTTTCCACCCAAGGTGTCATTTTGCATTTCCTAGACTCCACTGTATCTCTTAAAATTCAATGTGCTGACACGTGACAACATGGAGTAAGTGAACACTGAGGAAAATAAAACTTACCCATTCATGCTGTTTGCTTCAGTAGGGATAACCCAGTATAGGTCACACCGTGAATTATTTAAATAATAATGGCTAATTCATGATTGAATACTCCATGTTATATTACTGAAAATTACACCAGAACTGGTAAGCTGCAAGCTAAGCTAAGATTTTTTTTCAAATCTTCCATTTTAAAGATAAAAATTAAATTAATAAATGTAAATATAAAAGGTAAATCCTTTTAAAGTTAATCAAAATTCCTTGACATTTTAGCTAAAATAACCAACAGTTGAATCTTTTTTGAGACATGCTGAAATGCTTATTACTGAAGGCTCTTCATTAAAATGTGTAGTCTTGAAAGGCAACTTTTTTCAGGAAAAGTAAATTAAGAAGTTTGAATTTGCTATCACCAAAAATAGAAAATGGGAAAACATGTGATGGCAGTGGCTGGCCTGTCCAGAAGGGCTGCTGCCATGACACCAGCTGCAGTGGGGGCGGGGGCTGCCCACTCCATGGAGCCCGCAGGAGCTGGGAACAGGCGGGAGCCTCACCCGCTTTCGAGTTGAGGGGCAGAAGCCCCACCCTCCGGGGTGCAGCTGCAGCTATGGACCCAGGCATCCCTGCGCACAGTCGGGGACCTGGTAGGTCCTCTGCTCCCCACAGGCTTGGAAGTGCCTGCTGTCGCTGCCTGGCCTCTCCATGCTCCCAGCACTCGCTCTGATTTTGAAGCAAAGTTCAGGCCAAGCCCAGGCACTGTCGCAACCCGGCTGGGTATGTGCATGCTCAGGGCAGCACTGACACGCCAGCCCCCTGTCGTCTTGGCCTCCTTTGGACTTGGGCACCAAAGAGCATGAGTGGGAGATTGAGGGCAGCTCAACAGGGGCCTGCAGGCGCCCTTCGGCAACAGCCTGGGAACCGTGAACAACATGACTGATGGCGGCAGGAGGCAGACAAGCTCCTGGGCAGAAAGGGGAGGGTACCTGGTGAAGCCCCACCTTCAAGCCAGGGACAGCCAAAATCCTGGGGGCCAGGCTGTCAGTTCCGTGGACCAGAGTGAGAACTTATGGTGCTTTATCCAGGCCCACCCATGGCCGTCCATGGACCAATTAGCACATACTTCCCCTCCTCTGAAGCGCATAACGACCCTGGACTCAGCCAGACTGAGGCAGAGGATGGGACGACCTGCTTGCCGATAGAAGCTACCCGTTCTAGGTCACCTCTCCACTGAGGGCTGCACAGATGTCTGGACTACTGACTGGGGGAAGGAGCTACCCACTGTGGGTCTCCTCTCCACTGAAAGCTGGACACGTGTTGGGATGACCTGCCTGGAGAAAGGAGCTAACCACTGTGGGTCTCCTCTCCACTGAGAGCTGGACACTCGTCAGGATGACCTGCTTGCAGAAAGGAGCTGCCCACTTTGGGTCTCTTGAGAACTGTTCTGCCAATCAGTGAAGCTCCTCTTCGCTTTGCTCAGCCTCCAGCTGTCCGCATACCTCATTCTTCCTGGGTATGAAACAAGAACTCGGGACACATCAAATGGTGGGACTAAAAGAGCTGTTAACACGAACAGGGCTGAAACACACCCTCCCGCTTGCCATGTTGTGGGCGATGAGAAGGGGAGAAGAGCTGTGGCCCTTTGGGGAGCCCAGGCCCAGGGGCTCCCTGAGCCAGGGGGCTGTGACACTCTCTTTGGGGTTCAGTGGTTCCAGGCATCTCCAAGCTTCTGGGTGCCACCATGTTCCCCTCATCCAGACACGGATGCCCATAGCAGAAGCCGCGTGCAGTACATGTGCTCCAGCCTCAGCCTCCTCACATGGAGCTGGCACCTGTGTTGTTGCCTGGAGCTGCCTGCCCCACCACAGCAGCCAGTGTGCCCAGCTGTGTGCAGTGGCTAGACCCTGCACTCAATCACACACACACCCCTCACCGCTCCACGCCTTGCTCGTACTTGGCAGGTGTGGGTTCTGGGCTGGCAGCACGAGCCGAGTGCAGCCTGTTGAGCCGAGTGGGTGGAAAGAAACGGGCACTAGCAATACTCAGGCAGAAGGCACCACCTGTCACAGAGGTTTCTGGCTGATGAAGCAACGCCCTAGCGATCCCTAGACACAAACAACATAGCCTCAGTTTGATAACAATACTGCCCAAATTGGACTTTAGTAATGCAGATATTTTTAGCTGCTTTTCCACTAGTTACGATAACATTATCGTGGAATAAAAAGAATTACTAAATTATCAAACATGAAAAGAATCATTTTATAACAAGAATTATTTAAATTGATTAATCCAGAAATACAATTCTCCCTCACAGTGATTCTGTTCAAGTTATCCATGTCTTTAGTTTCTTAAAGTCAACTACTACATGGCATAAATGAAAAGGAAAAAAATGCAAAAAGCAACCTGGGCTTTGATTTACTATTCTCTTATTTCCCAGGGGTCTGAACAGGAAACAAAAATAACCGCAAATGACTAAAATATCAGTAGGCCTTGAAATATCAACATTTAAGTTAAAGCAAGCTAACTTCTTAATCAAAGCCTTTACTATTTTGATTTACTTAATCCAAACTCCCTGTCTGCAAATATGCTTTTGAATTAAGCAGTCATAACAAACCATAACACAAACATGAACTGCTAACTAATCTGTAATGGCCACTTAGTTCTAAAGTATCGCAATGTTTGCTAGTTCTTTACTATTTAAGAACTGAGTAAAAGCTTTATTCAGCTCCTTGCACTACGGAAACAAAATCAAGCCAATTTATGGGACTCCAAGGTAATAGAAGCTAAGAACCTATATATTAGTTTGTAATCCATATTATTTTGTAATTTGAGATTAAAATTCAATTTGATATAAATGTACCTAAAAATGAAATCTTGAGAAGATTCAAAATTTTAATGTTTTAAAATAGAAAATATAGGTAATAATATAAAAGAGTTACTTCTGTGGCCAGATCTAATACTCTTCCTCTGGGATCTAAAGTAAATTCACTTCTAAAGGAACTACGAGGAAGATGGTGCAAACCGTCCCCTTTCCCGTATTTTTTTCTACAACTTATATATTCTTCTAGGTCACAGACAAATACTTGGAGTTATAAGGAAATCCTCTGCCTCAAATATAGGGTTTCATAATGAGAGGGAAGTTTTGTTAGTCATTTGAAATAGCTATTTGTCATATTTGAATATGACAAATAGTCATATTTGTGAATATGACATATTTATGAATATGACAAAATAGTCAAATTTCAAATTTGACTATTTCAAATAGCTATTTCAAATGACTAACAAAACTTCCCTCTCATTATGAAACCCTAATATTTGAGGCAAGGGATTCCCTTATAACTCCGGAACCTAGTATATTATGTAGCTTATACTGTAAGTTTAATAAATATTAGTTGAATAAATGATTTTTCTTAGCAAATATCCTTCTCTAACAACATTCTTTCTAAACATATTACTCAGCAAATAAACTTTTTCAAAAATGTGTTCCCACTCTTCTATCAGGAATTCTTGCTTACAAAAAGTACATCATTATGTGCTATTTTGACAGAAAAAAAAAAAAAAGTTTCATTGGTTCATGCCTCCTGCCACCAGGAAACAATTACCTTTAGCCAGCACAAAACAGTTGAATATTTTCTGAAAGCCTCAATGCTTAATATGTTTAAGACAACAACATACATGAAAATATGCGGGAAAAGTAGGAGAAACAAAGCTGAAATGCCATGTGTGATATACCTTCCTTCTTTTCTTCTGCGATTCAGACCATGTCTTTGCCTTTTCTCTGCTCTAATCTTTTCAGTCCTGCATAACAGGAATAGGGTTTCAACCAATGCATCTTACCTCTTCTCCAGAATTTAGCTGTTTTCTAGTTCTGAGTAAATCTTTATTACCAAAAAAAAAAATAAAAAATAAAAAATAAAATAAAGTTTTAAAGCCCCACTGAAACTCCTAATATAGGACTGCACTGGCTTTTAGAAAAGAAAAACATTTCTTTAAACGGCTGGATATTTTCTTATTTTCTTCAAATAAAATCTTACGAACAGTTCCAACATATAAAACCAGCAAAAGTGGAAATGTTTTAGAAAAGACGGAGAGGAGGAACCAAGGTTCTATCCACTCACTTCCTCCGCTATTCCTTTCCCCCAGGGAATGCAGGCTCCATGGAACTCAGTTTGAAAATCAGTGTTATAAGGGCATTATTTGTTTATTTTGCCAAATTCAAATCACAGGCAAATTACATTACTGTTTTTTCAAAGAAAATGCCACTCTTGTTTTATGAGAACTGAAATTATGGGAATTTTAAAATGCTGAATTAAAAATAATAAAGTTATACTTTGTACATACAATTTAGAAAAAAATTGAACGTTAAAACATTTTAAAAATTCATGTAATGTGCTCATATAAGCCTTGCCAAGCTAAATGGATTGGCAGCTATATTTATGTTATTGCCACATGGTGGCACCACTTTTGCTCCTAAAGAGAAATATCCAGTATCCTTTGTCAGGAAGCACTTTGGATATGTGAGTTTTAAAATAGGTGAGTTTTGAGGTCCTAAGCATTCTAATAAAATGTGACTTCCCTAAATGTACTGATTCCAAGTTTGGCTTTACAAACATGGGTAAGCACAAAGAGTAACAGCATAATTTTGGCCAGTCTCCCGAGTTTCTCTTATTCTAATTTAAATTATGGAACCAACACTAATTACAGCACTTACTGTATAACAAACATCGTTCTGAATGCTTTATAAAGTAAATATTCATTCATTTGTTCTTTACAACATTATGAGGTTGCAATATCTAGTAACCTATGGAGTAGACGTGCTTGGGATTCTTACTTACAAATGAGGAAAATGGAGGCCACAGAGGAGCTTGGCCAAGGTCACACACCCACTAACAGGTACAACAGGAATTAGAACACACACCGTCCAGCTCCAGAGTCCATGATCTCAACCACTCCATTCTGATTCTATTTGACTTCTACAAAATAGGCATTTCATTTTATTTCTACACATTTCATTCTGGAGTATGCCTTGATACAGATGAGACTGAAAAGTTTTTGTTAAAATAATATTACATATTTTTGTTTTTAAAGGTGAAGAAAAACATTTGTTCATAATTGTCAATATATTCCACAGAGATATGTGTAATTGAATATATTTCTTCATATTTTGACACACTTGTGTATTTTCAGGTAAGTCTAAAGCATCTTTCTTAAAGTGTGTATTTCAGCACTCTTTTTAAGGAACAATTCTGTACTTAAGAATTCCAAATTTAATATTTCACCCTTTTCTTTTAGCTATACAAAATTCTATTGAGTCTAGGCAATTAGCATTTTTTTTTGTTTTTGTTTTTGTTTTTCTTAAATTCACTATGGCTGTACTCTCCAATCTGTGAATCTACTGATTCACAGGTAAAGACTGCCTGGTAATGAAGTCATCTTCGGTACTTGATTAACTAAATCCCATTGGGTTATATCAGACAGAGAGAGATACTAAATCATAATTAACTGTAAACAGTGTTAATGAGGTTTGGGTGTATTATTCATAAATTTTGAGATTACTTTTTAATTGAAGAAAGTAGTAACAAAAAGTAAGAGGCAGCTGTTTTTTGACAGCATGAGAAAAGATTTGAAAAGATAGACTGTGATGGTCTATTTTTTTTCCTTCAGTTTTTTTTTAGGTTCCCTGTGCATTATAAAAGACAATTACTGGCCATTAAGGCACAACTAATTAGAGAAACAGAAGGTTCTACCACAAAGAGGAGCCTGAGGCTGTCAGAAAATCCACTTTTTACATATACATAAATAAATAAATATCTGTGCATTAATTGAAGACATTTATAATTTGGCATAAGAAAATGTAATAATTCTTCTCCATGGCTTCTATTTAATTAGACTGTCATTAGAATTTCTATTTCTGGCAGAACTCATAGTATCTGTTTATAGAATTAGCCAATATTGAGAAAACCATCAGCATTACAGAATGCTTCTCAATACTTTAAGCACAGCTCTGAGATATCAGTCTGTAATTTGAAGCCATACCTCTTTGTACAATCAAAAGTATAAGAAATTATTGAAAATATTTATAATGAAGGTAACTATGCAGAACAGGAGTTAGGAAACTGTGGCTCATGGGTCAAATCCAGCCTGCCTAATTTTTTATGGCCTGCAACCTAAGAATGATTGTTACATTTTTAATGGTTGGGAAAACAATTTTTTAAAGGAAAATATTTTGTGACATAAAAATATATGAAATTCAAATTTCAGTGTTTACAAATAAAATTAATTGGAACACAGCCACTCTCATTCATTGACTTACTGTGTATAGCTGCTTTTGCACTAAAAAGTCAGAATTGAATGCCACAGAGATAGTACAGGCTGCAAAATCTCAAATATTTATTATCTGCCCCTAACAGAAAGTTTGCGAACTCCTGAGAATCAATCTATAGCCAAATTTTATTTTATTTTATTTATTTATTTATTTTTTTGAGACAGAATTTTGCTCTTGTTGCCCAGGCTGGAGTGCAATGGCGTGATCTCGGCTCATTGCAACTTTCGCCTCCCGGGTTCAAGCGATTCTCCTGCCTCAGCCTCCTGAGTAGCTGGTATTACAGGTATGTGCCACCACGCCCAGCTAATTTTGTATTTTTAGTAGAGAGGAGGTTTCTCTATATTGGTCAGGCTGGTCTCGAACTCCCAACCTCAGGTGATCCACCCGCCTCGGCCTCCCAAAGTTCTGGGATTACAGGTGTGAGCCACTGCGCCCGGCCCAATTTTTATTCTCACATGGTGGGATGTCCCTGTGACAAACAAATTTCCAAGCTACCTCTCTGCTATAATGGTTGAATGAATTAGGTTAAAAATTATCATAGTGTATTTCATCTAAAATAAAACATAATTAGGAAATAGAACATGACAGGAGAACACCATATAAAACAAGTTCTAAGTATTTTCACTAGATTGATATACTAATTTTAGACTTTGTTGCTTGCTCTTCACAATACGCAGTCAACTGGAAAACAAAAATATAAATAAGAATGATGGCACTTTAAAATGAGCAACATATGCTGAGCGCTAGCTATGACTTTTGGATGGACTTTCTCTTTGAATACACAGCTTTACTATTATCCCCATTTCACAGACGAGAATAATGAGCACTAGACAGGTTACAGTTAGCTTTGCCATTGTCACATATACAATATTATTTTTCAGTGTTTTTTATCTTGCATATTTAATAATATGGTAAATATTAATTTAGAATGGTCCTAATGAAAGATCCTGTATAATATTCCATAGTAAAAGATTCAGGAGTGTTCTCCTAAATTATCTCTTTTTCCATGAGACAGAGATTGTATACCCTTCAATAAGCTACAAATAGAACAAATACTTATTGAATTGAAATTTCTTTTAATAAATTATAGCGAAAGACATACATAGACTGTTCCAATCTGTGCAGCAGTTGCTACATAATTCTAAGCTTACATATATATATATATATATATATATATACATATACATATATCCTGTATGTATAAACTAACAAGGCCCCAGTATATTTTATAGAAACCAACATTGGAATGGGTTTTGCAAAGGGATGGTTAGAAATTAAAGGATATTCTGCTTATTTGACATTTAAATGTTTGTTAATGTGTGGGTTGATATAGTTTATTCTGAATGTTTTAAAACCTTGAGGTTTTAAAGAAACATCTTATACACCTCAAAGCTGCAATAATAATACTACAAGTTTGGCTATCACCCTAGTAATAGATCTGTAGTCAAACCACTACAGAAATTTTGTGCTTCATGCAAGATAGTTCTGGTAGTTAGGTATTGTTTAAAAACTATGGGAAAAATATTTACCCAAATGTTGTTCCAGATATTAATGCAAATTTAAATTTATATAACCCAAAATCATAGGAAATACATTGCTAATCATAGAGCTTAGCAAAGGCATTCTGAATCAAATGGCTTCTGCTTATTTTCCACAAAATTTATAATATAACTTAGATTAGACCAGTAGAATATTCAGTAGCTAGAGAACACATTATACAAAATTTTAAGTTCAAGCTTTTAAAAAAATGCTTTAAATGAATTGCTTGGAATTTATAAATCTTGAAGCTAAAAAGGTAAGTATTATCATGGTTAAACAAAAGAAATGAGAGAACAACAAACAGTGCAATTTGTCTCTATGCTAAGGTAAATGCTCTTGTATAGGGGTTGTTATTCAGGTTTCCTCGCCTTGCCCAGTTAGGGGGGAGAAGTATAGCCATAGAACCCCATGCGATTCCTTAGTTCAACATAGAAATTCAACCCGCCACATCAGGCCTGTCTTGGTTAGATTTACGTAGGCGGTTCACTTGGGCTTATTCCCCTCGAGATAAATTTGGCATGCTGCAGGACATACTCAAAGCCAAGGTTCAAAAACTACTGGGCATGTCTGGAGAGCAGGTGGGGCTGGCACTGCAGATGTCTATTTGCATGAATGACTAAGGCACCACCTAAGAAAAACTCATCTTTAGCAAAGAGGAAGCTAGGCCTTGCGACACACTTGACCTGATAACCTCAGGACCTGAGGGAAGGTTTGATTCTGAACATACGGTATGGTACATCCTTCCTCTGTCTTCTCTCACCTCCAGGTCCTAGAGTACAAACCTACTACATCCACTACACTCCTCTGAAAATGCTTTACCAAACTCGTTGGTAACAAACCTTTGTCATCTTGCTTGATTCTCACAAGCATGGGATACAGTTGTTTTAAAGAACAAGTAATGAATAAATTAACATCTCTATCAGTCTACTCTCAATTGCTTGCTAATGCCCAATACCTTGTCAATGTAAAGAAACAGAATTTGGCAGAAAGAACACTGCGTCTCCAGTTCTAGTCTTGATTAGTCCACGTCTATGGATCCTGGGTTTCTCATGTATAAAACAAATAAAACCAGGGAGGTAAAACAGTGATTCCCAAGGCTTCCTCTACTGCCAAAGCTATTCCCTCCCCACCTAAAAATTGTGTGTATGTGTGTGTGATTTACTTTTTTAGTCTTTATCAGAAAGTATATCTCATGCAAAAGGCAACTGCTGTTGGCCTTCATTGACTTCTTTGGGTAAATCAATAACCACCATACATAATAGATTCTGATGTAAAGAAAGGGAGAGGTACTAGGAAGCAAGCGGGATCCCTACCAGATAAGAAATGATAGAGAATTGAAAGCAGGAACTCTGAAGAAAGCTTTATCTAATTAAAAACTACCCTAGGACAGGCTTTGCCTGATATATAAAATTCAGTTGTGGTCAAAATTGTTTTATTCCTTGATTGTGGTATTTGGAAACCTCTCCTCTAACTTTCCATAATAAATAGCAAAATATTACTTTCCATTTTCTCTCTCAATGAAAACACCACTTTCTACAATAGTTGCTTCTTAAGGGGGTGGAATGCACAAAAATATCTACTTTTTGTAATGTTACTTAGCAAAACAAGAATAGACATTTTCCTCACTTAAAAAGTTTTTACTATACAGTAATATAATACCCAGTTTGAGAAAAATCAGAAATATTATTCTGATCCTATGAAATGTGATGGTTATTCAACAGCTCCCACATTGCTTAATAAAGAAACAGAAAATTGCCCAGAATTAGAAACCACTAAGCCAATTAAAGTTGCCAGGGTAAAACTGAAAAAAAAAAAAATTATCCACATTATAAATATCTTAGAATACTTTTCTTTCTTTCTTTCTTTTTTTGGTTAACATAAAAAGATTTCATTACTTGCAAAGGCTTATATAAATAAAATTAAAACAACATCACCAATTTGCTTTTATTATTTCAGTGCATTTAGATATTTCAAAATGCACCTTTGTTTTTTGGCTGAAAGAATTCCCCACCCTTTTTTTTCTTTTTTTCTACAGAAGTACCCTACACTGTCCAAAATATGTAGTCCTGTTCAACAGCTAAAGAACTCTTCTCCTCCTCCCTCTCTAATTTGGCTTCAAGTCAAGGCTGTTTTTCTCATTCCAACTGTTTTGGACATATGCTGGCCCAACTAACAATGGTAAACACAGCAAGCTGTCTCTGATATGATGCTGATTAAGTAATCTTGTGAGCAAGTAGAGTTTGGATATTAAGATGCTGAGGAAAAAATTACTCACAGAAATTCTCTACCCTTTGAAAAATATTTGGATTCTTGATTTTACATTATATGATAAACAAACCATGGGATATTTTTTAAAAAATACATTTATTTGGCTGAGCACAGTGGCTCACGCCTGTAATCCCAACACTTTGGGAGGCTGAGGCGGGCGGACCACCTGAGGTTGGCAGTTTGAGATCAGCCTGACCAACGTGGAGAAACCCCGTCTGTACTAAAAATACAAAATTAGCTGGGTGTGGTGGCGCATGGCTGTAATCCAAGCTACTCGGAAGGCCAAGGCAGGAGAATCCCTTGAACCCGGGAGGCAGAGGTTGCGGTGAGCCAAATTGTGCCACTGCACTCCAGCCTGGGCAACAAGAGTGAAACTCCGCCTCAAAATAATAAATAAATAAATAAATAAATAAATAAATAAATAAATAAATAAATAAAATACATTTATTTGATGCTGGCTTAGGCATTTGAAATATGAAAGAGCCTAAGATGTGGTCATTACATTCATGGATTTTCCAGTTTAAAATAAGGGCAAGTAGAGGAAACAGTGGAAGCCCAAAGATGAGCTTAAAATAACATTCTAAAGACATTGCTTCATCTTACAGAAAAATAAAAAGGTATAAAATTGAAATTTTGAGGACTTTGAATAGTGTTTCAATAAAATCTAATGGTAAAATGTTAATACAAAAGTAGTCTCTTAACGAAAAGGAATAGGTATAGAGGCCCAATGTCAATCATAAGCATGTGGTACAAGATACTTGGAAGAAATATAAACATTATAGTGCATATTATTCCTATTTAGAATAAAAAAATAAAAATGGACATCTTCTATCCTGTTTTTGAATATTAGAATTGCGCACTTATTTTTCATTTAGCTTAGACTGCTATATACCAGCTTCCTCTCAGTATGCAAATAGAATAGATAAAACCAAACTGTAAAATAAAGCCAGGAATACAAATTGTCTTTTAAAAAATACTTGGAAGCTTAATAGAAATAAGCAAGCCCCAAAAAAAGGGATTACCTCACACTTGATAAAACTGTAATTTCTCATTTATTTATCAATAAAGCTCTTACTGGGTTAGTACTACCTATAATTTGACAGACATAAAATCAGGACAGATTAATTAATTTATAGCCATGGACAATTTTTTTTTTTCAATTGTATGGTTGCAACTGTACTGTTTCCTTGTTTCTAAACTATGCAGGCCTTGAACATAGAAAGATGAGGAGAATAGTCATTGTTGTCAAAAAATTTACAATCTGGCCGAGTGCGGTGGCTCACACCTGTAATCCCAGCACTTTGGGAGGCCGGGGCGGGCGGATCATGAGGTCAGGAGCTCGAGACCATCCTGGCCAACATGGTGAAATCCTGTCTCTACTAAAAATACAAACAATTAGCTGGGCGTGGTGGCACACACCTGTAGTCCCAGCTATTTTGGAGGCTAAGGCAGGAGAATTGCTTGAACCTAGGACAGCAGGGTTGCAGTCAGCCAAGATTGTGGCATTGCACTCCAGCCTGGAGACACAGCAAGAATCCGTCTCAAAAAAAAAAAAAAAAGCAGCAAATCAACATGGTACATGTATACCTATGTAACAAACCTGCATGTTGTGCACATGTACCCTAGAACTTAAAGTATAATAAAAAAAAATAATCTAAGTTCATGGGGGGGGTTGGGTGGTTCTGAGGGAATTGATGGCAAGAAAACATACCAAAGATATAGAGTATGATATGGGCAAATACTGATGATTTGAATAGATAACTAGAGATGGTGACAGGTGCCATGTTTTGAGACTATTCTCTATAACGAATATTGTGCTAAACACCTTAAATACATTGTGTAATCACAGAAACAGGAAAAATTAATTCTGCCTGTAGGGGTTATAAGAAAATTTTCTGAGTAAAAGATATTAGGGGATGGAAAATGGGGAAATAACTAAAATAAGCTAACAATAACAACAAAAGAAGATAACAAAAACATAACCATTGAATAACTGGAGCTTATATATTTTTGGAGGAGGCTTATATATTTTATATTTCAAATGCTTAACACAGGATGGAAAAAAAAAGATGACTTTGAGAGACATTTTCAAGGTATAATAGCAGGATTTGAAGACCAATTGTATAAAACAAGTAGAAATCCGTTTTTAAAAATCACTGATATACTGAGATTATAATAGCACTATTACGGCCACATTGAACTTTTTGAAATTAATTTTAAAGTCAGTGGGCAACATCATTTGAGAGCAAAAATGGGAGCACATAAATGGAATAAACCTTTCTTAGCCATCACAAAAGTTTTCTGTCAAAATATATCATAATATATTTATGAAATCTTGGAAAATTTGATCAGTAAATACAACCAAAATAAATAACTAATCAATAAAACATGACCTACATCAAGAAGAACAAAATTGTTGGGCATAAATTTAACAAAAGTGCAAACCTTGTACATCGAAATTACAACACTGTATGGAAGGAAATTAAAGGAGATCTAAACGAATGAAAAACATTTCATTTTCATAGGTTAAATATTTAATATTATTAAGATAGCAATATGACCCAAATTCATCCACAAATTCCATGAAATCCCTACCAAAATTCCATCTTTTTTCCTGGCAATTGACATACTAATCTTAAAGTTAATATGGAAATGGAAGAGACCCAGTATAGCTAAAATAACCTTAGAATGGAAGAACAATATAGAGGACTCACACTTTCCAATCTCAAAACTTATTACAAAGTTATAATAATACAACAAAGAAGTACTGGCAGAAGGACAGATGTACAGATGAATGGTATAGAAATTAGAATCCAGAAAGAAACCATTACATTTATGGTTAATCAATTTTAGACAAGAATGTTATTTCAATGGGGAAAATAACAGTTTTTCAACAAATGGTGCTGGGACAACTAATCACATACACACAGAAAACCTCAAAATGGATCACGTATTAAAATGTTAAGAGTTAAAACTACAAGAAAATACGTGAGTAAATCTTTGTGACTTTGGATTAAGCTATGGTTTATTAGGTAACAAAATCAGAAGCAGAAGCAATAAGAGAAAAACACATAAATTGGACTACATCAAAATTAAAATTGTTGCTGAAAATAATACCATCAATCCACAGAATGGAAGAAAATTATTGCAAACTATATATCTTTAATACTCAGAGTGTATAAAATAAAATCTTACGACTCAATAATCAAAATAAAAATGACCCAATTAAAAAACAGACAAAGAACTTGAAAAGACATTTCTCCAGAGAAGATATACAAATAGCCAATAAGTCCTTGAAAATCACTCAACATTTTTAGTCTTCAGGGCAATGCAAATCAAAACTGAAATAAGATACCACTTCACATGCACTAGAATGGCTATAATCAAAAAGATGTATTATAAGAAGTGTTGGCAAGTACTTACGAGCCAGCAAAACTCCACTGCTAGATATATGCAAACAAAAAGACATCCACACGAAAACTTGTACATGAATGCTCTTAGCAGT
This sequence comes from Homo sapiens, assembly GCF_000001405.40. Lineage (NCBI taxonomy): Eukaryota > Metazoa > Chordata > Mammalia > Primates > Hominidae > Homo > Homo sapiens. Next base: position 18,561,892 of record NC_000007.14, on the reverse strand, counting down.
ATTCTTCATAGTAGCCAAAAGGCGAAACAATCCAAATACACATCTGCTGATTCACTGATAAATAAAATGTGGTATATCGAAACAATGGAGTATTATTCAGCAATAATAAAAACAAGTACTGAGTTACATGCTACAATATGGGTAAACCTTGAAACCATGCTGAGTAAAGGAAGGCAGTCAGAAGCGACCACATATTTGGTATCGTTTCATTTATATCAAATGTCCAAAAAATGGGCACATTTATAGAGATAAAAAAATAGATTAGTGATTAATTATGGCTGGTAGTATGGAAAAGAGAATGGGAATTGATGCTAATGGGTCTGGGGTTTCTTTTAAAGGGTAAAAAGTATTCTATGTTAGATTGTGGTGATGGTTGCACAACCATGTGAATAGACTAAAATATACTCAATTGTACATTTTAAATGGGTGAATTTCATGTTATCTCAATAAAGCAGTTAAAATAATCTAATTAAATTGTTTAGATATACTGAGCTCTAGGCATAACAAAAGGTTAATATACAGAACAAAATATTTCTTCATTCAGAAATGAAGATAATCTCTGGGGAATTGGCATATTCCTTTAGAATTTTTAAAGTATGCTCAGTGAAGTTGCCAATGCCATATTAGTGTGCTCACTCTAGCCGTTCAGGTTACATTTAAATTCAATACATACTATTACCAGCTTCTTTTGGAGAAGCACATGCGAAAGCATCCACTTAAAATGCCACCACAAATAACTGACTTCTTTTAATCAAGGCAATGGATCTTTCTATTTCTTCTATTCTAATCACTTGAAAGTGAGAGAAAAATGATTCATTTTTTTGTTGTTGTTTCTTTTTATCCCCTGACACCAAAGGCTTTCTGGGGCTGACTGATACAGTATGTAAGAATATCGGTGGTATCCTTCAAAGGCGCCAGTGTCTTAATAAGATAGTCATTTCCTAATGCCAGGAGGAGAGCACGGGACAAGGTGAGGTCCAAGCAAACTTCCAGATGTGTTATCTGACCTTCATGGCCTTCTGACTTTGCCCCTTGCCTTTTCCTTAACATATTCTCTCTCTCTACCAAGCTAATGCTCCCTCTCTGATTCCAGGGGAGCTAGCTCTATGGTCCCCACAATTCCCCACATCAAAATGCTTCACCTCTGTCCACGTTCCCTCTATCAAAACAGAACAGGCCTTTAATGAGGGTGCTTAATTTGTGCACTCACTCGTCCAACAAATACATACTGTTTACTAGGTGCCAATCACTGTGCTGAGTGACAAAACAAGGCACTAAGTTGAAGAGAAAAACGCATATTCCACTACACTGTAGTGAAGAAGTGCTATGTCAGAGATGAGCACGGGGCACAACAGGCACACTTTACACAACAAGGTTTTGGAAGTGAGTATATGCAGGAAACCAAGCAGCTGTCACAGAGGCATACAGGGGATGTTGGTAGCACAATGGTTAGTGTTGAGGGTGGGGAGTAAGCAGAAACTAATACGACATCACAAAGAGGTTGGGACTTTAAGAAATTAATATGTATAGAGTGAATATTCTACAACAGAAACTACTATTTCCTTTAAATCCATTTTTCTCAGTTAATTCTCACAACTCCTAGAGGTCTTTAGTATTATTTCTAACTCACAGGTAGAATAGCAGGAGTGAGCCCAGTTATGGTCCATGCTCAATATCTCTCTGCTGACAGATAACATATACCTAATATTATGTCAGATCAGTCTGAGCCCAATTATTTTTTATATTCTCCACATGAATCTTGAGATCTCCAGAAATGTTTGAAATAAGAATCTTAAAAATAATAAAAAAATTGCCTCTTGGAAAGAGAAACATGACTAAGATTTACAACAGAAGAAAAGACTTTTCATTATATAGTCTTTTGCTTATCTTAGCTTTCATATCATGTCATGTATTATCTATTCAAGTGAATGAGTAATCAAAACAAATATAGGAAGACTTTAGGATTTGGGTCAATTTGACTCACATTTAGTGTAAGACTTATATTTAGGTGGTATAGCCAGCATTACTGCTTCTAACATACAGACATTTTTAAAAGACCTTAGAATATAATATTTGAGGATTAAAAAGTATCTCAGAGACCACAGAAAAGGGTGAAAAAGTTATATTCCCAAAGCTGTTACTAAATAATTATTTTCATTTGGCTGAGACCCCAGGAAAGTAGGTGTCAACTACTCCCACATTCCAGACCACCTATGCAGGCTGAAAAGGGAATAACTGAACACCAGTGTAGGGGCCTTAGCTCCTTAAACTCCAACGTATAAAAGGGCTGCAGTAAAACCGGTCAAAGAGATGGAAAAAAGAGATGGGGAATGTCTTGAGAGAGAGTTGTCAGTATCTTCCATGTCCCTACCCCCTCCTCCTCAGGGATGGTTCAGGCTTGCTTGTCCCTCACCTTAACATTAGTAAAAAGGACTTCAGAGAATTCATTTAGAGAGATTGATATGTTTCCAGAAGTTTTGGAGATACGATCGATTGGTTTCTCACTCAAGCCTGAGAAATCTAAAGTATAAACATCAAGGATAAGAAGGTGATTGAACACACTTGGGCAAAGATGACCCACCTAATCAGCAGGACGAAGGTGTGTGTATGTATTGTGTGGGTCAGATCTGGGCCGGGAGAGAGGGAGAACAAGACTATTGGGCTTTGCTGTCTTAGAATCTGCCCATGAAGGACACCTAGTTGGAATTCAGAAGGAATATTCTGGAGGTGTACAGACTAATGTCCAAAGTGTGAAGAACAAGTTGTAACTTGTCAGTCGGGGGATGCTTCACTTAGTTCAGGGAACTGTAGATGAGTGAACCCTGGGTAAGCATCCACCAGAAAAAGAGGCAGCTTTAATCATCAGTCCAAAACAGGGATGTCACCTCACCCAACATGGAAGGCATTTCCCTGCCTTACCTGTTCCCCTCACTTCCCAATGTCACCACTCTTAACAAGCTGGCAAAGCAGCTATGGAACACAAAAGCTGGGGCAAACAGCAAAGCTGACCATGCCATTCTTTTCTGTTTCAGGTGTATCCATGCAGCTGGTTGAGCTAGTGAATCTGAGAAACCTTTACTGTGAAGAAAACGTCATTACATTGATAATTACTGAATCGAGACCATTTGAGGCTAAAGTGCTTTGATGACTTTTAATTATCTGAATGTTGCCAGAAAAGTTCGTGCTCAAGTGGTGGTCAGTGAGTCAGACTTCTCTTTCAGTGCTAGTTTGAATGGGTAGAAGAGAAAGCAATTAAAGTTGGTTTTCTGGTGGTATCCTACAAAACCCATATATTCAATACAAATGTTACAATAGAGGGACTAAATCTATTTATCATCTTGGCATTATCAGAACCAAGCATTATCAGAACCAAGTATGTTAGGCTAAGCACAACCTGAGTTTCCCCATCTGTAGAGTATGGTGGATACATTTAGTGAGCTAACCCTGAAATGTAGTCTTGAAATGAACCCTGCTGTGTAGCTTTTAGATGACCTTGGCAGAACAAAGACCTTGAGATAGCATTTTTATTTCCTCTTACCCCTTATTTCTCTGTAGTTCCTTCACTTACCAATGGCCTATGAAAGAAACACCAATAACCGGAAATACACTATATTTAGGAATAAATTGCAATGTTTATTTATTTTAGTAGCAGGAAAAATGAGTGTGTTTTCTGAGGATTCTAAGAATAAAGTATGTAAAACATGAGAAGACTAACCATTAATAATGATGGATCAGAGAAGATGACAGATTGCATAAAGTTCTAAATGGAAAAAAAGCTGTATCCTATAACTGGTTTATTAGCCCTGTCTTGTTTGGGGGCCCTTTTTAAAATGAAAATAAATGCTTTCTGTATTTGGGGCCCAAAGGCTAACCAATATAAGAACATTCTTTAAACAGCTTTTAAAAATGTTTAAAGTCTTTATGCTTGTTTATTCTAGGTTTCCTATATTGTTAAAGAACTTTTAAATGCTAGATTCTTTCAAGTTCAGCAGGTAGTAGGCTCACTTGTAAAAAGAAAAATATATGTTAGTACATGCTGAAATTCAATTAAATATTTATTAAGCCCCTAATATGCCAAAAGCCTAATACAAACCAACAATTTGTATATAAATAATATTTCATTTTTGTTTTAAATTATAAAAATAATTTATAATACTTAATATCATTATAATTGTTAATATTTTACAATATAAAATATATTTTTAAATTATAAAAGTAATTTATAATATATAATTTGCAATGTTCATGGCAAGACATTTTAACCATACAAGAGAAAAAAAGGTCAAAAATTCCCTTTTCTCACCCCTTCTACTACTACTACTAGTAGAAATCCCTAGTAACAGATTCTGTGTATTCTCCATAAAGTCTATCTTTCATGAAATATTATGTTTATATCTCTATATATTATAGATGAAACAGATAACATAACTAAAATAAAGAACACACATAACAATCCCATTTTTATTTACATTTGTAATAAAGAAAACTTAGGGAGAGGTGACTTTAAAGTATACCAGGAGGATTAAGGTTAGATATAAAAAAAAAAAAAAAAACTCATCATTGCTTTAAAGTTGTCAAAGCCCCAGGATAAAACAGCAAAAGTGTTTGCAGAATCTCCTTTGACCTACATCTGCTTTTTAAATTTTAAGTCAATATCACATGGAGAATAGATCTAGATTGTTGAAATAACAGAACTCCAAAAGAGCGTCTTCTGGCTTTAAAAATAACCACAATCATACAATTCCTGCAGTAGCTGGGAATCTGAGCACAGAACCTTGTCTCCTAACTTATAGCTAAAATACAAATGAGATCATTTAAAAATTCCTCTTGAATCTACTGAATTCCCTAATAAACTGTCACCAGGTATTTTTCTCATTAAAAGATATTAAGAAGCCCTCTCAATAAATAGCAATATTAATAGGTTTCTGAACTTGCCATACAGGAAGCAAATAAAAGACTGAATAAACCAATAAGCAATTAAACAGCACTCATTAGATTTACTTAATTACTCAAAAGAATTATTTACCCAACTCAAAAAATGATTTACCACATTACCCCCAAAACTCTTCTAAATGATAGAGAATCCATTTAGTTTTCCAAGGAATTATGTATGCAGCATTACCAACAATTTAACAGACACATGAAAATGTGTGGGGAAACACTGAGAAACAGAAGTTTTATTGAGTTAAATATTAAGATAAGTGACAGTAATTTTTAAAATATTCAATTTACTTCCAGAGGAACATTTTTCCATATGTGGCATTTGGCTGCTGACTTCAACACTGGATTGAGACAGAAATTAGTGAACTTAATTAAAGAGCTGAGAGAACATCTGAAAATTCAATAGACATTATTTAGATAGTAAAGACGCTTTGAATTTTTGATCACATAGGATACTGCTATCGTAAAAGAATTTAACTGTCTTCCAATTTTTGCCCAAAAGGTGAGAGAAAAGTCAATTTTAGGTGTTGTTTCCTACTACATTTCTTATTTCTGAATCTTGGGCACCCAAGCCCTTGCTCAATGGATAATTATTGAATGAAGGAATGAATAAATGATTTAATAAAAAGTAATATTAAGGAACTCACCTTTATGCTAAAATGACACAAATCTTTGTAACTGTTTTTGTCTATAAGAAGTTTGTGAAATCTTACCCTATCTTTACATAAACACACAATATAAACCCCTCCCAACACATATTTCTAACACGAAGTGCTACCTGTATTTAAATACAGCCATGATTCACAGCTATAACATTTTTGAACTGCCTCCAACAATAACCTGAAACTTTTGAAGCATGAACATTTTTAACAGAATTTTTGATGATATATTTATTTTTCCAATTAAAAAGATATATTTACTAAAGAAAAATAATTCAAGAAAATAAAAAGAAAATCCCAAGATTTTACCATGTAGAAAAAAATCACTGTGAGATCTACTTTTGGAGTGTAGACCAACCTATGTAAAAAGGTTTTCATCTTGCTCTTTTCACTGAATACTACAATACAACTATTTTGCCATGTTATAAAAATTTCTCATATTGTCTTTGAATATAATGAAATAACTTAGAATACAGACCTACAATAATTAATTTAGCCATATGTTACTAATGAACATTTAAATTATTTTCGATTCCTTGTTTTTTAAAAATATCGTTTATTATTACATCTGTAAATGGGTATTGTAGAAATTAGGAAATAATAAAATACAGAAAATATCAACACCAATTCCTAATACCCAGATGTTAGCATTGCTAAGATCCAGTATATCCTCTTGGATCTTTTTCATATACACACATCTGTGTGTTTGTGTCTGTCTCCGTGTGTATACTAAAATGAGGTAATATAGTCATATTGTATTGTAGCTATATTATTTTGGGGGGTCAACAATCTCCATCTATTTCAGAATAATTTCATCACATCTAAAAGCCAGATCATATTCACACACAATTCCCCACAATTGTCCCAAAATTATCCATTAGAATTGGATTGTCAATAATTAACCAAGCTCCCATTCCCCAGACTTCTTGAAGACTTCGGAATTTTTTGCTGTTAGTAACAGTTTTGAAATGCAGACTTTTGAGTATCAGGCTTTTTCTATAATTAGAATTGTTTCCTTAGGAGAGGTTCCCAGAAATGGAATTAATGAATCAAATACCATGAACTTGTAAATCTCTTGATACCTACTGCCAAATGTCTTTCCAAAAGCATTGTACCAAATTATATTTCCAACAGTGGGGCATAAGAATCTTTTTTAAATGAGCAAAGTTATATTAAAGGAGACTTTTGAACAGAATTTTAATTTGATGTCAAAAAATAATGAAACTACATTTTATATGTTTTCATCAACTATACAACTACACAATTTTATATGTTTCTGCCAAGTTCAGGTCAGTTAATTGAATATGCACTTCACACATAGAATTTAACTAGGTAAGAAAGATGTAGTATATAGTTCCTGCCTGCAATATACACATAGAAGCTACTGAGAAGATAGAAAGGACCCTTAACAGATGATGTCAATAGAATTCTAGAAGACAGTGACAGAGATGCACCCAATGATTTGTAAGAACCAGGTTCATAGTCATCCCACCCAGTCTAAGAAGAGAGAAAGCTCATGAGGGCTTCTTGGAAGGTATAACAATTTAGTTTATCTTGATGGTTAAGTAGGAGTTATCCAGGGCAGAAAAAAAAGAAGGAGGGAGACAGAAGAGGATAGTCACAGCAGAAGAATCAGCATGATCTTCAAGAGTGATCTGGGCTGGGCGCGGTGGCTCACGCCTGTAATCCCAGCACTTTGGGAGGCCGAGGCAGGTGGATCACAAGGTTAGGAGATAGAGACCATCCTGGCTAACACGGTGAAACCCCGTCTCTACCAAAAATACAAAAAATTAGCCGGGCGTGGTGGCGGGCGCCTGTAGTCCCAGCTACTCCGGAGGCTGAGGCAGGAGAATGGCGTGAACCCAGGAGGTGGAGCTTGCAGTGAGCCGAGATCGCGCCACTGCACGCCAGCCTGGGTGATGACAGAGACTCCGTCTCAAAAAAAAAAAAAAAAAAAAAAAAAAAGTGATCTGTAATACCAGTTGGTGTACACAGAGGCAACTAACCAGCCTTTTTTTTTCCTGTCTTTTCTTCGCTTTTATGGTATGCATCATTCCTTTAACATAGTTTCGACAATATAGACAATACAGTTCTATAATCACTTCTTATGCATATAGTGTATATTTCAGATCTTCCAACTGTTCTAAGGAAGAAGGATTAGAATTAATACCTTCTCTAGAGGACATCTGATAAATATATGGACTTATTTTTTACTGTCACAGTAACTAACGGTGCTACTAATAATTACTAGGCAGGAGCCAGAGAAACTTAACTTCCTACAATGTGTGGAACATTTCCATACAAGAAAAGAACTGCCCTACCTAAAATGCCAATAGTGTCCCACCCTCCCTTCATAAGAAATACTGAGCCAGACTGTAAGTCCCTTGAGGATAAAGACGGCATTTAACTTATCCATTACTCCCATCACACCTATAACTCTCTTCTAATTTACTCCACTATTTACTATGCATCACCATCAGGGGCATTACCAGAACATAAGGGGCTGTAGGATGCTCGTAGGTAAGATAAAATCAGTGGCAGCCACCTATCTCATAATTTCAATTGGCAAAGAAAACAAATCAGCTTTAATTCCCTCTATTATTTGCCTCGGGGAGAAAATTCCCAGAGACATTCAAGATCTGTGAAAAACTTATGTTTAAATAATTGTGACTTAAATCCCCTACCAATAGTTACCCGGAATTAAAGCAGAATCTTTCGAAGCTTAACACCTAATATGTTATGAAAAGTGCAGAATAAAATGATAAGTTCACACAAGTACTGTTTGTTCTTAATTGTTTGATTAGACTTTTTGAAGTCTGCAGCACGTATTGCCTTTAAAAGTTTCTTCTTAAAACAAAATTGCCATGATTTATTTTTTACTGAATCTTTACACATCATTAAAACACAGTCATTTAGGCTTTAAGACAACCACAGTGTTCTTGAGGGGGGAAAAGCACCCTAAAAACATAGGGTTCTTAAGGTTTTTATTTTACAATAAAACAGGCCACAGGCAAATAAACACAGTTCTGAGTTAAAAGTAGCAGGAGCGTTAGGTTTCAGAATTATCGTAAAACAGGAAGGTTGTGAGGGTGTATCAGAGGATGAAAGCAGCCTCAGCCCTGGAGCCTTCCTGCTGACTTGGGCCATGCCAAAATACACAATGGTTTACGCACAGCACAAATACACACAAAGGTGCACACGCACAGTACTCAAAGGATAACTTACTTAGGATAGCTATTATCTTTCAAAAGACCTAGTTCAAAAGTAGAAGATAATTTTTTTAAAAGGTTCAAAGAGTTAATGCAACTACTCCTGAAAATAACACGCTGCCAGTACACTTGGATTAGAAATGGTTTTCAAGCTTGTGCATATTAGCAGTTTTTATTAAGGTAAATGCCATCTGGAAGAATAATCTTCTCTCTTTGATGATAATTCTACAAACACACATACACACTGAAATGCCGGGTACAGGTTTACCTCTAGAGTCAGTGTTGAATTTCTCTCTGAACAATTGCTTCTAGACCACATCTCAGAGAAAAAGTAAATATCTGTGTTGGTAAATATGGCTCAAAATATACACTGCAGTAAGGAAAATATACATTGTGGCAAAGAATGCCATACCTACAGTTATAGCCCATTCCAGTAAAAGAAGTGGGAGAATATGCCAAATGGAGGTAGCAGTTAAATTGCTCACCAGAAAAATAAAGAAAACCGGGTCATTATTTTTCCTTCCCTGAAATAAAGAAGCAGCTTCTGCTTAGTTTGGAACAGTCACTGCAAAAAGGGAAGCTTGTGTTTATTCAGCTCTGTTCTCAGCAGTCCATTTCATTAGGCTTCTAGTGCTTTTTTTTTTAACTTTGTTGCAGTAATTTGTGGGTACTGTAAAGCCTACTCATTAAGTGGAAACTCAGAATCCTGTAATGCAGAATATAAGCAAAAGACAATATAAATACACACCAAAAAAATGCAAATTAATTTCCAAATAGTCTGCAGGCTCAAAAAAAAGGAAAACCTGAAAATCTAGCTACTTTTTCAAGATCATAATTTGCATTACTAATAATTTATATTTCCACCTATAAACCTACATAAACCTAATGTAAAAATACTTGACATTCTTGATAAAATATATGAACAAATTCAATAAGAGTGTAAGCTACAATATATTTGTCACAGTTTGAAATGAATTCCTGTATAATTTTAATCACAGTTACTACACAGGATTACTTGATAATTCCAAGCCAAATGCTTAATCTTTTAAAAATGCACAAGTCCACAATAACATGTAGCCTCAAAAAGTACTATCTATAGAAGATGCTGATAATAACAAATGTGATCATAATAAAGATAAGATGCTTAATATCTTTTTCCTAAGATAATAATACATAAAATACATTTCAATCCAGCCTCCTAGAATAAGTGTAGTGGTTACCTTCTGCTGTAAATAACGGCTCAAGGAAATTCAGACTCACCACAGAAAAACTGTTAACACCAAATCTAGTTCTTAAAACAATTTTAAACAATGTTGATTCTGTTTGAAACTTAAGCAACAATAACAACAAAGTCTACTTTTTCTTAGCAGGCTAAATTTCAAACAAAAAATGATCCTGTTTTCCAGTATAAAAATAGAATAAAAATAAAATTAGGGATACAGGAAGATATTGAATCACATCATACACATTTGCACTGAGGTAAGAGACACAGTTTAGTAATTGGATCGCTTTTGATACTTATTCTTCTTTTGGCTGAGAGGACACACATTGTCAGGGTTTCTATCTCACTAGTTGCTTCTTGTCTCATTTTCTGGTTCCTTGTCTATTCCCTGACTTCTTAACTCTGGTTCCCCGGGGTTTAGTTCTTGGTCTTCTTCTCCACCTATAGTCACTTCCTCGGTAACCTCATCTAATCTCATGATAAATATCACTATGTGTTGGCAACTCTCAGATATGTATCTCTGCCCTGGATCTCTTTCATGAACTCCAGACTCATATACCCACCTGCCTACAAGCAATGTCTACTTGTATGTCTAAAAGATATATCAAAGTTACCATATCTAAAAAAAGATCTCCTGACATTCCCCCTCAAACCTGCTCCATATGCCATCTTCTCCATATTGGTTGTTGGCAACACTAACCTTCCAGATGCTCATGCCCAAATCCTTGGAATCATGTTTTACCCCTTCCATTCTCTCACAATCTGTATTAAATTCATCAGGAAATCCCTTTGACTCTATCTTCAAAATATCCTGAGGGTTTTTTGATGTATGTGGTTGTTGTTAATAATATGAATAATAATTCTCTCTACCTTCACAGCTAAGAGTATAGAATAAGCCAATGTCTTTCTCAACAGGATTGCTAGGGTCCTAAACTATAATTGAGATCATGTGGTCTTCTGCTGAAAGCCCTGCCATGGCTGACTATTTTGCTCAGAGTAAAAACCAACACCTTCAAAAGCCCTTTGTAGTCAGATCTTTCTTTCCTATCTGACCTCACCTGCACCTACTCTCCTCTCACCACTCTACTCCAGCCACTCTGATCTCCCTGCTGTTTCTTAAACATTCCAGGCATCTCACATCCTAGTGCCTTTGGCCTTGCTATTCTTAGTGATCAGAAAATGCATCGCTCAGATCAATTTATGGCAAAATTCCTTACAGTTTCTCACACCTTACCCTGTTTGAAAATTGTAACTTTCCCTCCATTCCCACCTGATATCCCCCACCTACTTAACTCTTTCTTTATTCCATAGCACTCACTAACTTCTAAAATTTACTTACGAATTAAGTCTGTTTTGTTTCTGTCTCCTCCTCTTGTAATGTAAGCTTTAGAAGAGCAGCAATTTTTTTATCTGTTGTGTTGACTGGTACATGCCAAGCCACATAGACTAACACCTGCCACATACTAAACACTCATTAAATATTTATTGCATAGAATGGAACAGAACAGGATGAATGGAATACATATAGGTTGGGAAATCATAACATAGAATGGAACGAAAAAAATGGGATCGAATATAGTACAGTAAAAAATAGAAGAATAGAGCAGAACAGGTTGGTAGGGCAACTGGCTGTTTTCAGTTTTGTTACTCTACTTCATGCTTTCTATCACTAACTTTCTCTGCTTTAGGTTCTAATCTGTTAAAAAACAAAAAGATTGAGTTATAAAGAATGAGATAGCTATGAAATGATCTGCACTTCTCAAAGAAGTTATATATCCAAATTATAATGACAGGAAAATTAAATAACTAAAATTGAGTTGAAAATGGTAAAAAAAAAATAAAGAATGCCTTTCCAAAAAATGAAGGCATTCCTAAGCAAGAAAAGTAAGCTATCTCAGTATCCTACAAAAAAAAAAGAACTAGGGAGAAGGGAGAGAAAGAGGAGGAAGAAGAAAAAAAATCCTGCAAAAGTAGAAACAAATGATTTTGGAAAGAATAAATGAAATGCCTACATTCCCAATTTACTTCAAAATAACATTTCCCCATAAGAAACTGTGTGTATGTGTGGGTGTGGGTGTGCGTGTGCATAAAATATGACTTTACCAAAAAAAAAAAACCACCTTTTTATTTTGAAATAATTATAGATTCTTGGAGAGTTGCAAAAGTAGTACAAAGAGGAATCCTGTGAAAGCTTCACCTAGTTTTCCCCAATGGTTACATCTTATATAATAATAGTACAATATCAAAATCAGGAAGTTAACATCCTTAAAATGTTAATAAATTGAAGCATACCATATGTAAACTGTTGAAATTGGCTTTTTTTCCTTCAATATAATGCCCTAGAGGTCCATCCAAGCTGTTGTCTGTATCAACAGTACATTCATTTTTATTGCAATGCAGTATTCCATGGCATGGATGTACCACACAGTTTGTTTAACTATTCAGCTATTGAGGGACACTGTGAATGTTTATTGTTTTGAGTTATTTCAAATGAAAACAGCTGCAGTGAACAACTGTGCACAATATTCTGTGCGAACATAAGTTTTAATTTTTGTAGGACAAATTTCCAGAAGTGCAATTGCTGGCTTATATGGTAAATTTGTTTGTTTGTTTATTTATTTATTTCAGACAGAGTCTTGCTCTGTCACCAGGCTGGAGTGCAGTGGTGCAATCTCAGCTCACTGCAACCCCCACCTCCCAGGTCCAAGCGATTCTCCTGCCTCAGCTTCCTGAGTAGCTGGGACTACAGGCACGCACCACCACACCCAGCTAATTTTTGTATTTTTAGTAGAGATGGGGTTTCACCATATTGGTCAGGATAGTCTCGATCTCTTGACCTCGCGATCCTCCCGCCTTGGCCTCCCAAAGTGCTGAGATTACAGGCATGAGCCACCACACCTGGCCTATTTTTTATATCTTTAAAGAATCAGCCAAACTATTTTCCAGAATAGCAGTATCATTTTACATTCCCAATACCAATGTATGAGCGCTCCAATTTATCCACATCCTCACTAGCATTTGACATTATAATTTGAATTCCAGCTATTATCATAGAGATATATATATTTACCCACTGATATTTATTACATTTTTGTGTGCTTACTTGATATTTGTATATCCTCCTCAGTGAACAGTCTTTTAATATTTTTGCCCATTTCCTTATTGCTCTGGTTGTTTATTTTACTGTTGAGTGTTGAGTTATTTATACATTTTAGATATGAGTCCTTTGTCATAAATGTGTTACAAAAGTGTTGCTTTTTTTACATAGTGAAGGTTACACCAATAGACTCACATACACTTATTAAAGCAATAAATCCAAGAGCTAATTACATACCAGATACAACTACAGACATATCTCATTTTATTTTGCTTTGCTTTATTGTGCTTTGTAGATATTTTTCCTCTTACAAATTGATGTTTTGTGGCAACTCGGCTTTGAGCAAGTGTGTCAGTGTCATTTTTCCAGCAGCATGTGCTCACTTTATGTCTCTATCAAATTTTTGTAATTCTTGCAATAGTTCAATTTTTTTTCATTATTATTATATCTGTTAGGGTAATCTGTAATCAGTGATCTTTGATGTTACTAGTGTAATTGTTTTGGAGCACCACGAACCACACCCATATAAGACGGCGAACTTAATCTGTAAATGTTGTGTGTGGTGTTCCGACTTCACTGACCAGCAGTCAGTCTCTGACTCTCTGCCTCTCCTCAGGTCTCCCTATTCACAGAGACACAAGAATATTGAAATTAGGGCAATTAATAACCCTACAATGGCCTCTAAGTGTTCAAGTGAAAGAGAAAGAGTTGCACATCTCTCTTTCAATCAAGAGCTAGAAATGATTAAGCTGAGTTAGGAAGGCATGTTGACAGCCAAGACAGGTGGAGAGCAAGGCCTCTTGAACCAAACCACAAAATTGTGAATGCAAATGGAGGGAGGGAGAGAGGGAGGGAGAAAGGGAGAGAGGGAGAGAGGGAGAGAGGGAGGGAGGGAGGGAGGGAGGGTAGGAAGGAAGGAAGGAAGGAAGGAAGGAAGGAAGGAAGGAAGGAAGGAAGGGGTTTCTTGAAATGGAATCTACTCCTGGTGAAGATGCTGTGAACACTGTGGAAATGATGACAAAGGATTCAGAATATTACATAAACTTAGCTGATAAAGCAGAAGCAGGGTTTGAGAAGCATTGACTTCAATTTTGAAAGAAGTTCTAGTGTAGGTCAAATGCTATGAAACCACATCAGCATTACTTGCTGTAGATAAATCTTTCATGAAAGGAAAAGTCAATCGATGCAGCCAACTTCATTGTTGTCTTATTTTAAGAAAGTGCCACAGTCGGCCGGGCATGGTGGCTCACGCCTGTAATCCCAGCACTTTGGGAGGCCGAGGAGGGCAGATCACAAGGTCAGGAGATCAAGACTGTCCTGGCTAACATGGTGAAACCCCGTCTCCACTAAAAATACAAAAGATTAGCCGGGCGGGGTTGCAGGTGCCTGTAGTCCCAGCTACTCGGGAGGCTGAGGCAGGAGAATGGCCTGAACCCGGGAGGCAGAGCTTGCAGTGAGCGGAGATCGTGCCACTGCACTCCAGCCTGGGCAACAGAGCGAGACTCCGTCTCAAAGAAAAAAAAAGAAAGTGTCAGAGTCACCCTATCCTTCAGCAACCACCACCCTGATTGGTCAGCAGCCATCGACATTGAGGCAAGACCCTCAGCCAGCAAAAAAGGTTGTGACTCAGTGAAGATGATCATTAGCAATTTTAAGCAATAAAGTAATTTTTAATTAAAGTATGTATAGTTTTTAGGCTAATGCTGTTACATACTTAAATGACTACACTGTAGAGTAAACATAACTTTTATAGGCTGAATAAGGTAAGTCAGCCAGATTTCACAGGCAGACTGCATTTTAGCTGCTCTAGCAAAAATATTTAGTAGAAGTTATAACTATTACAGAAATTTAGTTTTACTGGTGACCTTGGAATATGATTATCCACGGGGTCTCTAATCTCAAATTCTTCAGGACAGACCATTGCAAATAAGCAAGGCCACAAAACACACAACGGAGAGAAGTTTCACTGTGAACACTCTCAGGTGAGGGGAGACTGGTGACTCAGCGATTCTCCAACTCTGTCCCTGCTGGAGAACTTTCTATGAATATATTTACATTTGTTGATGCACTACATTATTAATAGGGAAAATACCACCCCATCACTATACAACACAAAATACCAACAAAGCAAACAACTTGCCTATTTTAAAATGGTAATAAGTTCTATAAGCTTCATCCTAGGTGTTAAAGTCAAACAAAAGACTAAGAGAATGAGAAGGAGAAAGAAGGTGTCAGGATAGGTCAGGTTGAAATATAAGGAGAAGCTATAATTTATTGAGTATCTCCTTGTGTCAAGCACTGTGATAGGTACTTGTCATCAGCTAACTAGTCTAATCCTCATAAGAACTTGGAGAGTTCGTATTCCGAGTTTACAGGTGACAAATCTAAGAGTCAAAGAAACCTTATGCCTTGATCCAGATGTGACCCAGTGAGAGTGAGATGCATGGGACTATATATCCCATTCTAAAAGCTGACTTCTTGCCACTATACCAAGAATATTTCCACAAGTTTATATTCTGAAATCATATTCTTACACTGAAAAGATTTTTTTCAAAAACAAAATAGAATCACTAACTCTAAAAAGAACATCTCTTTCCAACATCTATGCAATCATTAGGCTAGGGCATGTAGTGCTTGGCAAAAGGGGCAGGAAGAAAAGCAGCCAAAAATTTAGGAGATATTCAAATTACTCCCGTTCACATATTCCTGCAGAATAAGATCACAGTTTTGTCAATATGCATAATATAAGTGAGAATAGAAATTTGTATTGGGAAAAAATAATGTAATCTGAGGAAGTAAACTTGCACCAAACTCAAGAAATTTTAGTCTAGAGATTCACAGGCCAAAGAATAAGAAAGTCAAGCTTTATTCTTTTCCCCTCTCTTATTTTATCCTATATAAGTAGGGAGGTATTTAGGGATGTTGTAGTGCATAGTGAACCAGTAGGTCGAATTTTGCCACTTAACATATAATTCTCTTGACACTACAGTGCACATGTGCCCTTTCATTCATTTCATACCTGCCATTTTATTTCTTAAATTTATTAAATTTCCCTCAATCTCCTTATGGATATCTGTTTGGCATTCTCGCACCTCACACTTGTAGCAGGCACTGTTTTGGGTGCTGCAGATATAAAGTACTAATACACAATGCCTATTCCCAAGGAACTTAAAGTCAAGCCCAGCAGTTTCAAGCCTTCTGCTTTATGGTGCCCGTGGCATATCCATAATTTTTTACTACACCCCCTAGGCCAAAAGATATACCTAATAATTGAGTTTCTTGAGTTGTCAAGTCCAAACAATTTAATAACTATTTACGTCCTAAAAACTCAACAACTTCTGGTCACTACCCAACTTCACAAACCTTGAAGTCAGATTGGAAACTGCCATTCTCACTTCTTATTCCACAGTGATATTCACCAAGTATTTGATTCTTATCACAGCAACTTCCAAAACCAAGTTTTACAAAGAGACATTATTTAAAAAAAAAAAAAGAAAGCTAATGTTGAAACTGTGAACTATCTTGAGTTAGTAGTTCATTTAGTGCTTGACAGATGCCACTGTGTTTCCATTCACACTTTAAAATGTCCTACGGCACTCCTATGTCCACCCTGGGGTGTCTAAGCACACACTTTGGGAACCATACGTTTAGTGCAGGATTTCTCAACTTTGGAACCATTGACGTTTGGAGCCAGATCATTATTTTGTTGTGGGGGAGCTGCTCTGTGCATTGCAGGATGTTCAGCAGCATCCTGTGCCTCCATCCATTAGATGCCAGTAGCATCACTCCACCACCGCTCAGTTTTGACAACCAAAAATGTCTCCAGATATCGCCAAAGGTTTCCTGGAGGGCAAAATCACTCCTATGTGAGGTTCACAGGTTTCCTGGAAGAAACAGATAAGTAAGTCAACATTTGCCAAGGAATAGCATCATGGCTCTGACAAAGGTAGCCATTTGGCAATGACCTCCACAATGCAAATCCAGTGGTAAATTCTTTATGTATTTGACCTAGATGATCAGCTCCCCCTTCCTGAAATACTGTCTTTCCTTAGTTTCTAATAGTCCACATCCTCCTGTTCTCTTAATTCATTAACCACTCATACTCATCTTTGTTGTTGTTGTTAGACTCTCTTTCTGCTCCCTAAATGGTGGAGTGTCCCAGAGTTCAGACCTCAGAACTTGTATCTTCACAGACTATGCTCACAGCCCTGGTAGGCATGTCAGCATCATAACTTTAAGTACTATCTATATGAGGATGATGCCCAAATACATATCTCTGTTCTGACCCTTTTCCTAAACACTGTCCCTTCAACATCTCCACATTGATGCCTGGTTGGCATCTCACACCTAATAATACAGCCAGAATCTATTAACATGTTTTCATTCTTAAACATGTCCTTCACTCAGCATTCACCAAAGTGCCACCAAAATCCATCCAATTATTGAAGCCCAAAACTTAAAGAGTTGTCCTTGAGGCTTAGCTTTCTTTAACCTATACCAAACCTATGAGATCTTTATCAACTCTACCTTCAAAATATCCTTCAAATCTGATAACTTCTCCCCACCTCCAGTGTTGTCACCTAGATCCAAGCCAGCAACATCAATTAGCTAAATCACCATGACAGCCTCTAGCTGACCATCCTGCTTTCACTTTGGGTCCTACAATCCCTTCTTACAGAGCAGCCAGAAGGTTGCCTCTTAGTATTTTACTACGTAAATAAGATCATGTTATTCTACACACTTAAATTAAAATCCAAAGATCTTACAGTGGCCTCAGGACTTTATCATACAGCATCTTGGTGTCTTCCTGGTCACATTTCTTGCTGCACTTCTGCTAGTCTCAACCTTGTAAGCCACTTTTCTTTTTTTTTTTTTTTTCCTAAAATACACTGAACGAGTCCAGGACTTTTAAATATGCTGTTCCCTATAATTAGAATGCTTGTCCCTCAGATATTACTGCTGTTCACCCTCTTGCTTCTTTGAGGTGCTGATCAAAATCACCTCAAAATAAATTTAGATTTTATGTTTTAAAAAATATATTCCATCTCCTCCATAAGAATGCAGGCCCCACGAGAGCAGGAAAATTTTACCTTTTTGTTCACCAAGACTGTAGTTAGCACTTAATATAGCATCTGGCATTTAGTGGTATCTCAATTCATATTTTTAAACAAATGAATACCAGAAAATATGATGAACAGATCTGCATGTGGTGTCACAAAAGTAGAGAAGAAAGGCATGTGCATCTGAACAGGGTGATAGGATAAGTTTCATAGAGCAGGCAATGTTTTAGCTTGGTTTTGAGAAGGGAAAAGCAGAAAGGGAAGGAAAGCACTCCAAGTAGAGGAAATGGCTTGGTGGGTCAGAGCTCAGAAGACAGAAGCAGCAGGGCTTGTTGAGGAAACTCTAGGCGAGTGAACAGAGCTGGGGCACTGAGCAGCAGTCCTCAGCCATTTTGGGTCTCCACATCATGCAAATTCACCATTCACATGTCCCTCAGAAAATCTTCCATGTCGTTTTCATGTAAAGATGTATGTCCCTCTATTTATGATGTATCAGAATCTCTTAAGGTGTGTGGGTAGAGAATTTGGAAGGAAACCTAGAGAGAAAAAATGACTCGATAAATACACAGGGTCTGTCAAAAAATAACTTTAAAAGGTGTATGTTTATGTGTGCATGATAATGCACACTTAAATATTTCTATTATTATCTTGAAAGTGATGGAGGCATTTTGAACTAAGAATTACCATAGTCGGAGCATTCTCCTAATTTATTATTTGTAAAATGTGATATCTACATATTGCATGACATAAATATACCATGAGCTATTTCTTCATTCCCGTTATTGAGATTTTAGGTAGCTTCTAATTTTGCCATTATAAATAACAGTAATTAATATACTTCATTAATTTTTAACATATTACACACTTAGGATAAATTTCTAGAGCTAGATTAACTCTGTGAAAGACTATAAATATTTTAATGCTCTGATACATAGTGGTAACTGATCCTCCAGAAAGAAAACAGACACATATTCTCCCATCAGTACAGTACAGGGCCTTTTGCCACAATCTTATTAATATGAAGTATTTTTAAAAATATTTCCAAATTTAATAGATTTATATATCATGATGTTATTTTGTGTTTTCTTGATTATTAATGATGTTGAGCTTTGTTGCATGTATTTACTGTCACTTATTAATCTTTTTAAAAAAGTATCTGCACATATTCTATACAAAGAAAAATCTTAGAATTTTCCTGTACTGTAGGACTATTGCTAACATTTAATAGTATTAATTGATTATTCAAATATTAACTTAGGCATCCTATGTGCCAGGAACTGCTTTAAATGTTTTATACATATTAGTTCATTCAATCCTCCTAACAGTCATATGAAGGAGGTTTTATTAAGGTATTTATATTAGAGATGAGGAAATTGAGGTATAGAGAAGTTGGTAATTTGATCAAGTTCCACAGCTATCAAAGCAGGGAGGCAGAGTTTGCTTCAGATATGCTCCTAACCCCTCTGTAGGAGAAGCTCTAAGGGGAAAATGAGTTTAATTTTGTATATGTCATTTTTCATAAGCCTATAGAACATCGAGATCAGTGGTTCGTGAATAGAGATGATTTTATTGCCCCGGGGTCTTATGGCAACTTCTGAAGACATTTTTGATTGTCACCACAGAGTGGAGTGTTGTGCTACTGGCATCTAGGGCGTAGAGGCCAGAGACGCTGCTAAACATCCTGCAATGGGAAGGATGGCACCCCACAACAAAGAACTGGCCAGTCCAAAATGTTAACAGCATCAAATCTCAAAAACCCTGATCTAAATGGATATATCTGTAGGAAGTCTGGAATTTAAAAAAGCGGTCTAGGCCAGAGAGAAAGATTTGGTATAAATAATACAGATTTACCATAAAGGATTACATTTTCATGAATCACTATGAACATATGTTGTTATCTAAAATTCCACTCACAGTCTGCTTGCCATCAAATTTATTATTAAGATTTACAGGATTAAATAGACTATAAAATCTGAACATTTAAACACATAATTCATTTAGAGAGGGCCCTTGTATTTCAGTCACTGTACAGATATAGAATTCCTGTTTCTGTTCCAACAAAAATATTTCTAAACAAAATTCCACATAATTAATTATTATGTTTGTCACCACAATGCTTGCAAGCAAATAAGATCGTTGCTGAGTAACACAGAATGGAATATTTTAGACATTAGGAAATTCCAACCAGAGAAAAACATAAAATTAAGGAAAGAATGTATTAGAGAGACAGTTGAGCCCCAATTAGAGTCATTAGCTTGGGAGCCCCTTGTGAAAGGACTAGTACCATGTGGACAGATATGGCAAGGCATAGTTGGTGATTCAAAGAGTTTCTTCAAGAAGTTAAGAGCTACTTTCGCTCTTCTGGAATCTTGGCTGGCACACCGGGCTGCCAAGGTCACGTTCTACTGGCAGGCTGCAAAGCAAAAGGCACCCATCCATGCATATTAGCAAGGGGCAAGGTGCCAACTGGAAGGCATGGCAAAGGCTATCTGCTTCCAGAAAAAAACAAATGTTATAACCAGTTGTATTTTCAATCAGAAAAAAAAAAAAAAAAAAAAAAAAACACGGTTCCTTGGATATTTGAAACACTTAATGCTATTTCCAGCTGGGAAAGTTAAATAACCATCACTATAGATGCCATGTATTTAGTATGGTGGAGTGTGTGCTTTGGAGTCAAATACCTGGACTCAAATTCTGGCTTTCTTACTTACTGGCTGTATGATCTTAGGCACATTACATGCTTGGTGTCAGTTTCTTTATCTATAAAACAGGGGAAATAATAGTATCTATCTTCTAAAATTCTTACGAGAATCATGTAGGTTAACATATGTAAAGTCCTTACAATAGTGTTTTACTTATGCTAAATGCTCATTAGTGTTGGGTATTTTAATATACTTTTGAACTAAAAACATTACATTGTTTAAATTTCAATGTTCCTTTTCTAAATATAATAGTCTTACATTACAGACAAGAAAACTCTGCAAGTTCTCTGTACCTCCTTCACAAAAATTCTTTATACATCCAAGGCTGTCTTAAGTCTCCTCTTAACTTATGTCATCATAATTCATTTTGTTTAATAGAGTACCAACATTATCTTGAAATATCATGTAAATATTTCATGTCTGTTTAACCCCCGATATGTCTACACCCTGACTTCATGCAATAACTTTTTAATAGTATATGCTGGCCTATCTTGGAATAAGGGCTTCTTTTAACATCTAGAACACATCAAGTTCTTGTCTACTGGCAAGGCTTAGCACAGTACTTGACACACCATTAGGATTCAATGAATATTTGTTAAAGGAAAGAATAAATATATTTAATAAGGTTTCTTCAATTTGATGATGACAGTGTTATATGTAAGAAAGAAGGCAGCAATTTTACACTGTCTATAAACTTTCCCACCCAACCTTTTTTTTTTTTTTTTTTTTGAGATGGAGTTTCACTATTGTTGCCCAGGCTGGAGTGCAGTGGTGAGATCTCGGCTCACTGCAACCTCCGCTTCCCGGGTTCAAGTGATTCTCCTGCCTCAGCCTTCTGAGTAGCTGGGATTACAGGCACCCACCACAATTCCTGGCTATTTTTTTTTTTTTTTTTTTTTGTATTTTTAGTAGGGATGCGGTTTCAACATGTTGGCCAGGCTGGTCTCGAACTCCTGACCTCAGGTGATCCACCCGCCTCAGTCTCCCAAGGTGCTGGGATTACAGACATGAGCCACCGTGCCCGGCCAACATTTTCCCCTTTTGCCTTATTTACTATAAAAAGTACTTATGCTTCCCATTGACATTTGTTTCTTTTATTTTGTTTTATTTTAAACAAATTGGCATATGGTAAAATTGACATTTTTGGTGTCCTCATTTTAACACATTTATAGATTCAAATAACTATAATCACAAGCAAGATGTAGAAGAGCCTCATCACCCCTAAAATCTCCCTTATGCTCCCCGTACCCTAACCCCTGGCAACCACTGATCTGTTACCTACCAAATGTTTTTCCTTTTCAGTTTAAACAACAACAACAACAACAACAACAACAAACTTTTTGTTTGGAATAATTTCAGATTTTCAGAAAAGTTTTCAAGATAGTATAAGTTCCCATATACCTTTCACCCAGTTTTCCATGTTACCATCTTAGATAACCATAAGACATTTGTTAAAACAAAGAAATTAACGTGAGTACAATACCGTTTACTAAACTACAGATTTTATTTGAATTTCATCAGTTTTTACTAGTATCCTTTTTGCTGTTCTAAGATCTAATCCAGGGTCCCAGGTTGCATTTACTTGCTGTCTCCTCTGATCTGTGACAGTTTCCCATCTTTCCTTGTTTTTCATGACCTACATGCTTTTTGAAGATTCCTGATCAAGTATTTTATAGAATATTCCTGAATTTGAATTTGTCTGGTGTTTTTTTGTGATTGGACTGAGGATATAAATTTGGGGGAAAAACAACGAGGTGAAGTGCCCTTCCTATCACACCCACATAAGTAGAGTAGAGCCACATGACTTATCACTGGTGATGTTCACCTTGATAACTTGGTGCCATTGTGTGAATGTGTTTCTGTGTTCCCTAAATTTCATTTGTTTGAAATTTAATCTCCAAATTCATATGTTGATAGCATTTGGAGGTGGGGCTTTTGGGAGGTAATTAAGATGAGATAAGGTCATCAGGGTAGAGGCCCCATGGTGGAACTTGTGGCTTTACAAGAAGATAAAGAGAGACCTGAGCTGGCATGCTCTTGCCCTCTCATCATGTGATAGCCTCTGCATCACACAGTAAAAAGCCCTCCCTAGAGGCAGCCCCTCCACCTTGAACTCCCTATCCTCCTGAACTGTAAGAAATATATTTCTTTTTTTCTATAAATTACACAGTCTCCAGCATTCTAACACAGAAGTAGAAAACAGAATGAAACTTGGTTAAAGAGGTTTCTGCCAGGTTTCTTCATTATAATTTTACAATTTTCACTTTCCTATACTCCATTCTTGGAAGTGAGTCACTAATTTAAAAGTATTATTATGACTATGCTATTGCAAGCATAATTTATCCATACCCCTATCATGTGAAAGTTATCATGTAGAGGGTGCTTTCCTTTTACTTATAACTGCACACATGAGTCAAGTATTACCATCCTGACTTCACAAGGGAATTAAGGCTCATGGCCGTTAAATAGCTATTAGTTAGTAAGGGGTAAAAATAAAATTCAAGTGTATGAATATCTGATTCCCAAACACGTGCTCTCTTCTTGTCAGACTGTCCTTTCATCTACCACAACATAAATGTCAATGAGAATGAAGCGATAAATTCCTGTCACGGTTTCTAAGTATGCAACTCACAGACTTTACTTTTACTCCTTAACATACCACCATACTTAACTAGTATGTTTATTTCACAAGGCTGTGGCTGAGCTGTGTGATAATTAGCAAACTGATAAACAGGACCTGTCACTAGTAGGATACCAGACAACACAGATAAACATCATCAAGTCTAGGAACAGGAGGACTAAATGGAAAGTGAGACCCCACGGGAGAATGTAAGTTAATGCATGACCAGAAAATGAATTCAGGGTGAATGCCAGAGAAATGTACAGAAAATAACAGCAGACAATTGTTACAGAAAAAAACTACTGTAGTTTCCCTCTTTCCATACAATCAAGACTGTAGAAGAATGAGTGGTCTACTACAAAGTAAGTCCATTAAGCTTGTGAAGCACAGAATAGAGCAGAGGTCACGTTGGGCACAGAGGATGATGCTGCCTGAGGTTATGAAGGACTGAAGGCAAGGCCCATCAACTGAGGCCTTAGGAAAGCTGCTGGTCTACCTCTTCACTCTTGTGGCTAAAACTGAAGTGCTCAAGTTCAAGATTTGGGCATTTTCAAGATTTTCAATGTCTGTGGCCACTAAGTAGATACTCAGACATTAGCTACATCTCTCTGGAACTTAACTATTCTCCCGCATAACTTTTGGGTCAGACTGGGATGAACCAGTATTCCCTCCATATACAAAAATCCAATGGCTTTCTCTGTATGTAAGGGAATTTCCAAGGACTTAGAACCTTAAGGTTACTTCTGGCTTTAACTTCCTGTTTCCACTAAATTATTGTTTTTGGCTTTGCATTTTCCACCTTTATCCCTGTCCTGGCATTGATTCTGTTGTTGACAGAAATTAGAAAAAAAAAAAAGTTTCTGCTTTTGATCCCTATTTATTTTATTTATTTAAAAATAAATCACTCATTAATTTGTGGTCTTTTTGTGGGCATTTGATTTTATTGTAGCATTGGAGATGAGTGCAGCACAATCACTGTAAAATGCAATTCGATACAAGCTATTTTTCAAGTCTATTGGCTCCTCTCTCTTATTCCTTTTCCAAACCTTTTCTCCTCTATCCCAAACCCCTTAGTTTGGTTCCATTCCTCTAGAAACAACAACGATAACAGATATGTTTCTTCCATTCTCCTGGCAGAGAGATTCAACTCTCTCCTTCACCTGTCCCAAAATTTAGTCCTTAGTCTCTTCTGGTAGTTTTTGTTAGAAGATGAGAAAGCAGAATGGAGAAGCATGGAGACAATTTTTTATTCAGGATACACTTAAAATGTTTGCTTTACGATTATTCCTGTTAGTTAAATTTTTGTAGTAGAGTGAGAGTAAGTTAGCCCCATAGTTCAGATGATCCCAAGAGAGTCAGGAGAACGTGGAAATGTGTTAGCAATAAGGATATTCTAGTAAACTAATTTCCAGGGGAAGCTGGGAGAAAGCACACACAGATATACACATAGTATTTTATGCAAGCATTTATTTCATAAATGTGTTAACTTTTTAAATATTTTAGAATATTCTATCTTCCAAAAGAGTAGTAACTATAACTAACTTATTTAATACCCTCCCTAGTATATTCTCTTGAATTTACAGAGGCTTATGGAGGATTTTTGTTGTATACAATTTAGTTAATAATCTCCTATTTCCTTAAAGTAC
The DNA here is from genome assembly GCF_000001405.40 of Homo sapiens. Lineage (NCBI taxonomy): Eukaryota > Metazoa > Chordata > Mammalia > Primates > Hominidae > Homo > Homo sapiens. The sequence continues at coordinate 18,536,736 of NC_000007.14, read as the reverse complement.
CTTAACATTCACACGTGTTTTCCTTAACCCAAGAGCTCTTATATATCCAGAATTTTAATCAGATGAATCATTCAGGGTGGTTTAAATTTCCATATAAGTAAAGGTCAAACACTGGAACCATAATGTATTAGCTAGATTAAGTAGAAGTCTTCTTAAACATATACATGATCCTTATGTTCTTAAATAGAATATATTGAATGTAACTGAATGTTTCCTCACTGAATGTGGGTCATCCTGAAAATTAAATATTTCACTTTTTGTACATATAATAATGTCCTGTTGAGGAATACGTAATTGTTCTCCAAATCTAAATAGTTCTTTCTTATTTTGGGCTCTTCCAAATTAAGTTACAAATTTTAGTTCAAATTTGTGGTTTAGGTGGGAGCTGATTCGGGAAAACATCATGCTTATAGTAGAGTAGAGAAATGAGACAGTAAAGGAAGGCAGCCAAGAAAGCAGGCAGATTACCACAGTGACAACTGGAGCTTCATCCTTCCAGGGACCTCTGGTCACCAGTGCACAACACATACTTTAGACTTAACCAAGGGGCAAGGAAGCTGGGATATTTACACATCAATTCTGCCAGTCATTCATTGCAGGCTGCTTCCTGGTGGCATTAATTCTCTGGCACTTTTAACCTGTCATGCACCTGGGTTGCAGTGTAGGCTTGAACTACAAAAGAAAGCTCTGAGGCAAAGAGAGGTTTATGCAGACAAGAGCCAGGCCGGGGAACATAAAAATGACAGAGCCCTGGGAGGTTTGAGTGGGGCATCTACAGCTTCTCCTACAAGCTCCTAATAGGAATGTGAGTTGCTTTGGCTACCATCTGGTTCCCCTCTCTTCCTCTTTATTGTAGAGTTTCATTGATCATTCCTTGTCTGTTCACAGGCTCCCTCTTATTTTCTTCTGTTTTGTTTGCTAAGTTCTGTGTATTTGAAATGTAAATTTCAAAAGCTGTTGTACTTGGTTATGAAATAGAAGTAAATTTTTTTTTTTTTTTTTTTTTTTTTTTTTGCTTAATGCCTTTATGGGCTATCCCCAGAAAAATGTTTGTAGATTCAATGCAAACGTTGTTTCAAAGCCATTTCTGATACTTTCTTTTTCTAGCATTTGTTATCAATAAAATGAGATTGTTGGATAATTGAGTTCTGCATGGATGAGCTATTAATAAAGAAATGAATGTATGTAGATATAATAGAGATCATCATTGAGAGAGATCACAAATGTCCATCACAAATTTTAATCTTATGACATCCTCATTAAAATTATAGATGTAAATATATCAGGTCCATGGCAATAATGGGCTTCCGCAGTAGTCTATTTTAGGAACTTTCTCAGAATGGCTCCAGTATTATGAACTTAAAATATTTCATATTATAAATAATAATAAGAACATCAACAATAATATTTATTATATCAATTTGGGGGTGATTTAAAAATTGTATGACTTCTGAATAAAAATGATGGATTGACCAAATGCATTTATTTCTACTCCCTTCAGAAATGCCATAAAATGACAGTAAAAGAATTAAAATGCTATAAACCTACAGCAAAAAAAGAAGAGGGAAGAGATGACAAGAATGAGCAGGAGAGTTCAGTGAATTGCTGAAGATGGAAAGTGAGTTGGATAGTGATTAACAGCCCCACTGAAAGGAGAAAGCACAACCCGAAGTAACTGCAGTGAGTGAGCAACAAGCAGCCTCATGCCAGAGAATCCCTAAGAGGTTCAGAACTTGCAGAAAGGCACAGAGGAAGACGAGTGGTCAAGCGCAAGGTCAAAAGCGCAGGGACTGGTTTAAGGTCTGATTGTAGCATCCTTAAATCACCATGCCCATACCCTCACAGCCAAGACATTTCTCCTCCTCTCTAAGTCCCTGCCACTCTCTGTATTTACTACCCTTCTTTTCACTAGAAGAATAAAGAGTTATTCCCTGGACAAACAAAACTGAGGTGAGGCCACAGCTCTAGCAGAAACGTGGGACACAAGAGCTGCACAGTGGTGGATCGAGTGCAGTTCCACAAAGCACACTCACCCATCTACTTCCCCAGCTCTGGCAAACAAGCACGTTGCCTTCAAGTAGAAGCTGGGAAAATTCTTTCCTTGAGACACCTAACGACTCATAAGGTGAGAAATGCAGACACTAGTACGCAAGGATTCTCTCTTTTTCTCTCTCTCTCTAAATTTTTTTTTAGACAAGGTCTTATTCTGTTACCCAAGCTGAAGTGCAGTGGCACAATCATAGCTCACTTCAGCCTTGACCTCTAAGGCTCAAGTAATCCTCCTGCCTCAGCCTCCAAAGTAGCAGGAACTACAGGCATGCACTGCCATGCCTGGCTAATTTGTTGTTGTTGTTGTTTTGTAGAAACAGGGTCACACCGTGTTGTCCAGGCTGGTCTCAAACAGCCCTCCTGCCTCAGCCTCCCAAAGTGCTAGCATTACAGCTGTGAGCCATCACGCCTGCACATGCAAGGATTCTTTCTAACCACATACACACAAACACACATGTACCCACTGAAAGGGCTGCTAAATGTCCATGCCGTCTATACCAGAACCCCTCTATGCTACAATTGCCACACAAATGATGAGCTTCCAAAGATCAAATGCTCATTTTAAATATGAAGGCTCCCAACACGCAGGAGAGATCAAAACAAACATGAAAGGAGGAGAGCAGAGAAAAAGTATAAAGTGCACGCAGAAAAATTAAAATGTGGTTAACTATAATTAATAGCCTCTATCGAATAGAGGAAGTTACCTACTACATTAAAATAAAGAACGGTGCACTTTGATGAAAAACTTAAAAAAAAATTTTAAACTCTTTGAAATTAAAAACTCAGTAACTTAAATTAAAATGTCACTAAATGTTCTTGAAGACAAAGTGAACTAAATCTACCTGAAAGAAAATACAATTAGACTCTAATCAGAAGGTCTAACACTGAACTAGTAAGAACTGCAGAAAAATAAGAGTAGAGAACACAAAGGAGAAGAAGTTATATTAAAGAAAGGAAAATAATTCGAGTGAGTATCTAAATACTGAAAACATAAGCCTCCAAGGTGAAAGAGGCCATAGAATAACCGAGAAAATGAATAAGGTAAGATACACTGTTATACAATTTTAGAACCACAGAGATAAAGAGAAGATTCTAAAAAGCTTCCAAATGTGTTGGGGAAGCCAAATGCAAAGGAAAGAGAGTCAAATTGGGACTAGAACTCACAATAATTTTCCACAAGGGTTCTATGCCCAGTCATACAAATCTATCATTGAAAAAGATAGAAAAATGACATTTTCAGGTATGTAAAAATTCAACAAATATAAGCTATTGTAAAATATTCTTCTGAAAATTAAAACAAAAATAAAACCGACAAAGAAGCTACAAGAATCCAAGAAAGAGAGGATTACGCAAAAGAACAGCAAAGGAACAGACCAAGGATGAGTGGGGAGCCTAAAGCAATTAGTTCCCAATAGAGAAAGAAGGCTGGAAACTCCCGGAGAAAATAGAGTTGAAGTGCTGCAGGTGTGGAAAATATTTATTTTTAAGCACATGGTAGAAACATGCAAGTATACAAAACCAGATAAATAGAGGGTACGATTTTGCAATGAACTTCAGAAAAAAGCCTAAGTTGAACTTGAAAATTGACATGGTTATAATACATGACTTGGTTCAGCAGTAAACATTTGACTAGTCATATAAATACTATTGATTTGATTCAACTACTGGGAAGAGTAGAGAAGAAAAGTGTACATATTTGTGTGTGTGCACACACACAAGCACACTCCTGTGGGTGAACACATATGGGTACAGGGGAACCTCCTCATCTCACAGGCTGAGAAAACAATGCATAGTGCTTAAAATGCATAAACAAATAATTTTCTAAACGGATATGTTATTTAGAAATATTAAAGTTAAAAAAAAAAACAGAAGAAAGCCAGAACTGTTGAAGGTAGTTGCTGCTGTGGAGTGAAAAGGAGGATTGGGGAGAGGCAGAGTAGAGAACTGCTATTTTCATTAAAAGACCTTTTCCTTTTTAAACTAAATGCATGACTTACTTTGATTTAAAACAAAAACGGTATAGGATCAATATATAACGTTTTGATAATTTTACTTGTTCACTCATAGAGAACCCAAAATTCAAATCGGTGTTTAATGCCTGAACAGCTCTCACGATAGTCAATATTCAGAGTAGAGAGAAGAGGCATAAACAAGAAGTTTATGATGTTCTAAGAAAATCATATAATTAAACAAGAAAGAACAAATTAATTTTTGGAATTGGTATATTTTAAATGAATAATTAGACCACTTCTCTTCCCATCCCTGTATCCAGAAATAATCAAATGCATTAATCTTGCTTTAGAATCATACCTCTAGGAGAGCTCATAATCTTACTGTAGGCAACAGTGTTCCTGGATGGCCAAAATGTGATGCCTTAGTATGGAAGTATTTTAATTCTTTGTGGTTTTTTGTTTGTTTGTTTTGGTTTTTTGTTGTTGTTGTTGTTCTGAGATGGCGTCTCACAGGCTGGACTGCAGTGGTGTGATCTGGGCTCACTGCAACCTCCACCTCCCAGGTTCAAGCAATTCTCCTGCCTCAGCCTCCCAAGTAGCTGGGACTACAGGTGTGCACCACCATGCCCAGATAATATTTTGTATTTTTAGTAGAGACAGGGTTTCACCATGTTGGCCAGTCTGGTCTCAAACTCCTGACCTCAGGTAATCCACCTGCCTCGGCCTCCCAAAGTGCTGGGATTACAGGCTTGAGCCACTGTGCCCAGCCTTTTAATTCTTTAAATATAAAATGAAAGCTTTGGACCAAAAAATGTATTTGACAATTTTTTTCCAGAAGCACCAAATTTTGACAAAACATAAAAGAGTTCATTTCTCATCACACGTCAACTTTTTAAACATTTCCTTTACTTGTTTGCATTGAAATGGAGTTCAATAGAACTCCAACAGTAGAAGTGTGGTTCTCGGAGGTTAAGGGTATTGAGTTTTGCTTACACAAGCACATTAGAGGCCGAACTACATTGTATAGTTAAAGAGTTAGGGGGTAAAAGTATGAAAGGAACAGAGGATTTTTTCCTTTCCATTTTCTTATTTATAGGAAATCCAGTATTTTGTCTATTAAAGACTGTCAAGGAGCAACATATAGGTCATGCATTAACTTGATTTTCTTTAATCATAGGGGAAAAATGACTTTTTATATTTTTATAAGGTTTTCAAAACTTAAAGTTTTTTTCAAGAGTACATTTCTCATTTGGTTCTTAATTACATACATATTAGCACATCACAGGAAAGAATTTAAAGAAATTAAATTAAGATAAATCATTCAACAATTTCCTGCAGTTTATGTCAAGTGGTTTAAATTCTTATTTTCTTAAGTAAAAGAGTAATTTGAGTGTAACCACATTCCTTAATAAAGCATATTTATATGATGCTTACAGTTTGCTAGTCCACTTACTTACTTTCCAAATCATTCAGATCCACACATATCTCAACAACTTAGAAACCAGTTAAGAGAATTATTCTTCCTGAGGTTTCTGAACACTAATTAATAATAATTATTATAATAAATGAATGAACTAAGAATAAAGTAAGTATAGTTTGAAGCAGGGGAGAAAAGAGAAAAATTGGTGAGTTATTCTTATTACCATGCATTAAGTCAATAGACAATGCTGAAAGTGAATAAAGCAAGAATATTATTTAAAGACAGAGAGGTTGCACTAGAAGCATACGAGTAAAAAATTGTTAAAATGGCTAATATGGGAGGCAGGGCTGGAGTACTGAAACGAGTCGGGCTGAAGCTGAAGTGAAATAGAGGATAATTTCTTTTCACTGTAAGCCTTTATATACCGATTGATTTTTTTAACTATGTATCTATATTTAAATTCTCACACTTTTATAAGTGTTACATATATGTATTTATATATACATATACACATACATATATAAATATATATTTTATATATATAATTAAGCATTCAAAACTTTTACAAACATGAAGTACATCAGAAGACTGTGACACTGGGGGAAATCCCTCAGGAAGCTGGATGGAGCCAGATGGTGAGTTCACAATGCATGACCAATAGCCTATTTCTGAACTTTGAATAAAATAAAAAGTTAATGAATGTAAAATAAGAAACTTCACACCCTTTCAGAGACTTCTCAACAAGTTTCTTTTTTTTCTAGAAGATTTTGCAGTAGCTAAAAATCCTCCCTGCCAGCTCATTAAATGGAAAACCAGTATAAATCATTTGTTAGAGCTACACAGCATTAGAAGTAGCTTTAGCAAGGGTGCATTTTTTTTTTGTTCAACACCATTGAACATTGTTTCTATTCTGAAGCAGTCATGTGTTGGCTAACTTCACATCAGCAAGTGTCCCTCAACTCTGGGGACAGCTTCCATAAAGTGTTAACGACATTGTTTTCAGATAGAACATACATTATTTTATAATTGTTCCATTCTTTTTTGTTTTGTTTTAAGACAGGATCTCACTCTGTTGCCCAGGCAGAACAGGAGTGGCATGATCATGGTTCACTACAGCCTCAACCTCCCCAATCCTTCCACCTCAGCCTCCCATGTGCCACCATGCCTGGCTTATTTTTTTTATTTTTATTTCTATTTACGTAGAGACTGGATCTTGCTTTGTTGCCCAGCCTGGTCTCAAACTCCACTTGAACTTGGGTTCAAGTGATCCTCCTGCCACACCCCCCCAAATTGCTGGGATTACGGAAGTGAACCACCGTGCCCGACCTGTAATTATTCCATTCTTAAAGCACTAAATGTGTATTTTAAAAAAATAATTACAGTAGAAATTAAATCTAGTTTTTATGGATAAGTAATGGGACAAGCAGAGCAAAATGCTGGATTTTATGATTCATTTTAAAAGAGTGAATGTCATGGAAAATCATGAACCACATCAGATCAATGAAAACCAATAAAGATTTAAAAAAATTGGTGCAATAAAGATTTTAAACATTGGTGAATCCAATGAGTTCAAGACTCTTTCCTCAACAATGTATGAATGCATTTTCTTAATTCTAAAACAACTAAAGAAATGATTGAGAAAAAACAAGTCTATGGATGAAATAAACTACATAATGTATATAACCATAAATACACGAAATACACACAATTATCAGTTTTCTTTTCTGTTATGTTAAAGTTATTATGGGAAGCTTCTCAAATTCTTTTAACAAACAAACCCTAGGGACTAATCCACTAACTTCCTCAATCTACTTTGGCATCTACTTTGGAAATCTATACAAGCATTCATGTAAATACCAAACTAAGTGTTGGATGAAAACTTAACTTGGAATTGGCTAAAGTAAAATCTCTGTCCTTATTCTGGGACAATACCTCCCCATTTTTATTGGCTGCTTTCCTACCACTTTTGATTTGCTTTTATGCCCATCTTTTTATTTACTTTTATGTCCTATGCCAACTGACAACCTTAGGAAGATGAGGAAGGAAAAGAAGGGGGAAGGAGATGAGAGGCAGCTTTCCTTGGAAGGTTATCTGGATGACATTTGACCATTTTTCAAAAGATTTTTTTTTTCTTCTCTGGTTATTTTCTGTCTCCTATTTTTAATTTTCTTCTTGGCTACAGAAATTTTCCACTCATTGTTATTTTGTTTAGCTGTTTGAGGCTCTCTTAACATTGAGTCATATAAGAAAAAAGGTTTAATACCCAGACAAATGTTTGGGAATAAAGAGATTCACATGACAGAAGGATAAAGACATCAAGCAAGAAAACAGAAATGTAATACAAATACCCCAGAAAAACTCTGATGGCTAAAATAGCCATTTTATCTCATGTTTTTTACTTATGTGGTTCCTTTGTAAATAGGTATAATTCCAAATATGCACACCCTAGACTGGGCAGGAAATTGTTAAAGTTAGAAAGAAGAGTGGAGGTAGAGAGGTATCACTTTCTAATAATACTTCATATGTTGAAACATGGTCAACTATATTCCATAATAAGTCCCATGCTCATCGATTCCTGTCTCCTTATGTATCTATCACTACTATAAAATTCATTGTTATTAATACTGTTAGTACAAAAGTATTTGTAAATTGGTAAAATTTTATCACTTTTAGAAATGATTTCCTAGAATAAAATTCCTATTAAAGGGAATTATTCTGGTACATAATTATGAGTTTGCTAAGTAATTTTTAATGCCCTGAAAAGTAAGTAAAGTGGCAAAGAAGAGAAGACTAAACCTTAATTTTAAAGGTGATATTTCAAATTTTTAACTAAAGGATCTGACAGTCCATTTGGTCTGAAAACCCAGAAGATAATTCATTCCATTTCCTTCACTGGGCTTATAAATATATCATTTTACCTAATTTTTTTCTGTTTTCACTTATATAAAATGTTATTTGTTCTAATATGCTATATTAGTATTTCTCATTTCTTCTTACCAGCTCCAAAATCTATTTTCTGAAAAATAAGCAAATTAATTCGACCTAATTTAAAAAAAAAAAAATACTTCATGGAAAACTTCTACAGAAGCACCCTCGACCTCCCCAATCCTCCCACCTCAGCTTCCCATGTGCCACCACACCTGGCTTACTTTTTTACTTTTATTTTTATTTTTATTTTCGTAGAGACTGAGTCTTGCTTTATTGCTCAGCCTGGTCTCAAACTCCACTTGAACTTGAGTTCAAGTGATCCTACTGCCTCGCCCTCCCAAATTGCTGGGATTACAGAAGTGAACCACCATGCCCGACCTATAATTATTTCATTCTTAAGGTACCAAATGTGTATTTTTTAAAAATAACTACAGTAGAAATTAAATCCAGTTTTTATGGATCAGTAATGGGACAAGTGGAGCAAAATTCTGGATTTTATGATTCATTTTACAGAACTGTAAACTGTAAACTGTCTCCTACAGAAGATAGTTTCCATGAACTTTAAACAACTTCTGTATAGAAGTTGTTATAGATAAACATTCTGGTAGATTTGAAACTAGAAAAAATAATAATACAATTTTTCAGCATTTAGATCCCACGTGAATATATTAATACAAGAAAATCATAGGTTGATCCTTAAAATTTTTACATTTTAATTTGATCAAACATCCTCTGTAAAAATTATTTACCAAAAATAACTACCAAATTCTGTGTAAAATGTCAGACTCCTAATTATAATTCTTAGAATGACTTTTGTATTGTGAATGCTAATTTAGATAAAACCAAAAGAGGGATTTTTTTCGGTATTATCACAAATCTAACAACTTCCTCATTGAGCCACAACATATCGTTCAGTGACTTTCAAATCTAATTCTGAGATATTACCCAGACACCCTCAGTAATTTTCTCAATGTTTAAACTTTTTTCCAACATTAACTTACTTAGATACATATAGTCCATATAGCAAAAGGAGAGGGAGGCAACTGTGAAAAACAAAGAAGGTAAAATTGAGATCATTCACCTTTAAATAAAATTATCCAAAAGACATGCAAGTTTCACTCTCCAACAAATTTTTCTCAAAAATTAGTATCAGGTAGCATTTCAAAAGGTAAAAGAAGAACATTAGAGCCACTACCACTTCCTAGTCCTTTCTCTTAGTGTTCTTCCATTTTTCTTCTTAATTACAGTCCAAGAAACAGGGCCTGAGGATCATGTGGAAATGATCTTTCATTATTAAATCCATGTGAATTTCTACTTAATAACCTCAAGAACTCTTTTCTATCCATTATTCTTGTAAAAGCTCACCTTTTTCTATACTAAATCATTTAATATTGCTGACTTTTATTGTTATAATCTCTAGAATGTAGACTGCTACTCTTCATTCTGGCTTACCTTTCTTTCAAAGACATTGTCTCTGAATTTCTTATTGACTAGACAGAACATTTTTTAAAGCTCAACCTAAGACCCCCTTGTCTTTGAATTAGTTACTATGCTCCATGCTCCTATCTGACCCTATCTATCCTTTTCTCTCAGGCTGTACTTCAGGATACTGTTAAGATCTAGTTGAGTTTTTTTCTTTTTAAGTTATGTAGGCTATCCTAAGCCATAGATCCTTTGTACTACAAATAGAACTGGTGCAGTTAATTGAAGGCTTCCTGCTGCTGTATATAGTCAGCTACTGAGGTAGTTTAAAATTTCAGTCAGTTCTTATAACATGCAGCCAAAGGCAACTTTAATTTCCTCTGACACCCTTATGAGATTAGCTTTGATAATATGTTTTGGTGACACATTGACAAGAACTAGATGTTCCCACTGTTTGCATCTATTGTATTACAACTACTAGAGTCTGGATCTTCAGATGTAGGTATAAAGTAGTAATAAAGGCACAGTGTCAGTTGAAATATCTACAACAAAAGTTTCCATTGCTCATAAAATACCACCCCTTTAGTATTTTGCTATCTTTATAGGTAGTGACCATTAATTTCTAATAGTTTACTTTGCAGTGTTCACAGCATGCTTCTTTTTGGCATTGGGGGTGGTCAATGGGGAGACTTGTATATCAGTCTAATAGGAAGATGATTTAAGACACAAGAATTCTCAAATAGTAACAACTTATAAATATTGCTATACAATTCCAACAAAATAGTATAAATTACAAAGCTCATGTGATAATCCATTATGCAGACTTATTAAATTATTTCAAAATTGCTTTGTGAACCTTTCCTATGCAGATTGCTGGCTTCTTGAAGGAAATAATTATTTATGTACCCCTAAAAAGTACCTAAAACAGTGACTTTCATCTGGTGCAGAACAAATGTTGAGTAGCAGGCAAAGAGATAAAAGTGGGGAAGCCACAAGACATTATGTCTTTGGTGGTGAGAGAATGTGGACTGCTGCAGAGGCAAGACTGGCAGCAAGAACTTAAGAGTCAAGTAAGCCAGAAATCGTATGCAGAAAGTAAGTGAAACATGTACAAAAACTAGGGATTGTAATTTCTCAAAGTCAGGTAGAACCAAGGCCAAAGGATCTAAGTTCCAGGGAACAGATATACAGCATCCTATTCTGTTCTGAAAGACTAGACTTAGTTGTACAGGCAACAGTCCTATACTCAAAGAGAGGTCCCATTTCATCAAGGATTAATATATTCTATGTTTCAGCAGCATTTCTAATTTTAAAGACACAATACAGTATATATGAAAAACTGGGAACTAGGACTATATAAACAGTAGCTTTTAAAAAAAGCAAAGCAATGCAGTTTACAAAAATATGGATTGAGCAAAATTGTTTAGAATGAACATTAACATCCATAGGAATTATTTTATTAAGACTGCATGTAATTTAGAGAAGTATAGTTTAACCAAAGAATTATATTTATTTTAAGAATACTCACACAGTAATTTTAAAGATTTATCTTGTATGATCACCAAAATGATTAAGAAATTTCAAGTAGAAAAGGACAAAAGATACAAAATCCTTGGTATTTTTAGGTACTTTAAAATATTTAACGCAATTAGATTTTTTTCATCAGTTACTATTTTTTTAAGTCGCCAATATTATTTGTTCTAGTGTTATATCTGGTCTCTATCCAAGTCATTACATGTTTTTTCAGCTGTCAACACATTTGCTCCAAAATTAAATTTATCAAATAATTAGTAATTATTTTCCTGTAAAAGCAACTGAGGAAACACATTATTGCATGGAAATCTATGAGGCTTTACTGATTCAGACTGATTTATTAGGATTTTTCTAGTTTGTAATGAATAGCATACTAAAAAAATTAAATCCATTACTATTATTAAATCTTAAAATGATTTTAAAGTCTCATAAGATTTCTTGGGTAGTATATTAAAATCATTATACTACATTTAGAACAGCAGTATTTTCCTTGCGTATACATATTTTTCCATATATATACTTATCTGTAATGTGTGTGTGTGTGTGTGTGTGTGTGTGTGTGTGTGTGTATGTCACTAAGTTTTATTTCAAAATCGTCTACCCAAAATCTTTTACACAGGCTCTCCATCTACTCTTCAACTCAGGGGTTTGGGAGGTAATAATCCATTAGGCAGTGCTATATAACTCATATCCACTCACTCCAATTCACTCTCTCAATCTCTCTGTATCTCTCAATCCCTAGAAGAGAGACAGAGTTAAGAATGGGAAAATATATATTCCTATCCTCTTAATCTTCCTTTGCCCCAAACATAAACTTTATTTTCAATAAAATTTTTGTTTTTAAACGTTATGCTATTGGTGTTAGATTTAAATATCTTGCAGCCACAAAACATAATATGTTGCTATCCTGAATCCAACTTTTGTACATGTTGTATGATTGTCTTTACGTGGACAAACTACTAATAATAGCAGAGAGTGAGCACCCCTCTCAACTACAGCTGACTGCAGGCCTCATCACAAAGTCGATGGCTGAAGCAATTTCACTCCCCTAAATGAGAAAAAGCAATAACCCACATCTGAAATTTACAGCTGAGGAGTAATTATGAGTTTAAAATCCCTGCAATTCTTGTTGGAGACTATAGTTAGAGTTCTCTTAGAGTATTAATATACAAAGTTGTTAACTTTCAGTCCCTACAAGAAATATGGCAGTTAATTACATGAATTATCATGCTCACATTCACTACACAGGTAAATAGATGCTATCTGTGTAGATATGAATGTATGCCAAGGCCCAATCTCTATATACCTTCCATACTTGAGTACCTATCCTGAGAATAGCTAACCCAGCCAGATGAAGAAGTGCTTCTTTCCCCTCTATGTTTTCATAGTGTAAGGTTTTCCTACTCTCAGTGTTGCTCTACACTTCATTTTGTGATAGTCAATCAATGTTACCTACCAAGCTCCACGCTTATTCTGCCAGTCCAGGTGAATAGCAAGACAAGCAATGGGAAGCAGGGCGGAGCGGGGAGGGGGAGGTGGGGGAGGGCGGGGTCTACATTTAAATCTCCTCATCTGTCTCTTGTGTAATTCCTCACCTTAACAATCCTTCTCCAATCCTTTGCTGAAAATCTTACCTTCATAAAAATTACCTACTCTAACTACTCTATGTGATGGTGCACCTTTCTCTCCCAACTCATGAACCACCTTTCTCTGCCCTACCTTTTGTTCATCTAACAGCACCATTTCTAACCAATTACATAATTATGTACATTTATAATTTATTATCAGTCTCCCAACACACACACACATATACATGTGCAAACAGTGTAGATTTCACATTCCACAAGGGCAAATATATAAGGTTGTTTTGCTCTGTCATCTATTTTGGCACGAAGATAATGTCTGGCACATAAGAGACACTCAAAAAATAATTAATGAATGAATAATGGCAACACATCTACCCAGTTATGAATGTGGAAATCTCAGACTCTGAATTTGTCCCTTTACCTCTTGCATGAATTCCCAATTTATCTCTTTCTGGTCCTTCCAGTTCACTCTTACTATTCTCTCCCTATTCCTTGCTGGGCACTTCTAGTTAATAGTTAGAGGTTATGTGATAATTACACAACCCATTTTAAGGAGTGTCCCATCCTTTATACAGCAGCTAAAGTTACTTTTCCAAGAAGTATTTCTGATCATGCAGCTCTTCTTAAAATCCTTTAGAAGTTCAAAGTCACTAGCTTTGCATGGAATTAAAGGTCCTTAATCATCTGTCTCCTGCCTGGTTTGCAGTGTCATCTCCAGCCATGGCAACATTATAGATCATGTCCTCCAACCATCTTCAAAAACACTGAACTCCCCTTCATTTATTTCCTTTGAAAGGCTTCCCAGGCCTTCTCAATATTGCAAAGTCTAGTTTTAGCACCTATTCTCTCATGTTTACTTTGCCTTTTTCCTCCACTCTAGACAATGTGCTCTTGGAAGCAAGACACTACATCATTTACTTTGGCCTAAATACAGTGGACATCCATAAATGCTTGTTAATTAAAGTTATTCAGCCTCTTTGAGCTCAGTTTCCTCACTTGTTAAATGATTTTTACCACCTACAAAGAGGATTCCTGGGAGAAACAAATAAAACATTATACATTGAAAATTCATAGCACTTAATGGTCACTGAATGTTATTAATCCTTCTTAAGACATATCATGGGCTCCATTTCAATTACCTCACCTACAGCGCTTAAATAAAAAATAGACAGGACAAGAAATAAGAGAGGCATGTTTGGTTTGTTTGCTCATTAGATGTTTTTTTTTTTGTTTTTTGTTTTTTGTTTTTTTTAAAAAAACCACCCTGCTTTTTTTTTTTCAGTATTAACAATTGAGCTTTATGATGTAGAAGCTAAGATACTCTGTCATGTCCAGTTATATGCTTGGAAAGAAACTGGACTGGAATTCATGATTAATCCTCAGGATTGAGACAAGAAATGAAAATGTGGCCAGACAGCTAGGGGTGCACTCTTAGCATATTGTTGGGAGGCCCTGGCTCCTTAAGAGTTTCCCAGCACGGAGCTTTAGTCCTCTCCATCCCTGTCCTTTCTTTGTTAAAACGTCTATCCCCACATCTAAAGAGCACTTACTAATCAGGTATCTTTTGGTTTAGTCTTTCAGAGTGTGTGGCTGTTAGTTCTGAATGGCCCTAAGTGCTTTTTTGTACTTAGTGGAGCCAACTTAGCCATTCACAGAGAAGCAATCTCTCTATAAATGAACAGATTTTCACACGTGGGCTGTAATATATGCATAACACATTTCTCGCGGTGTTAATTTTGGTCTAACATCCTCCTGTTGGTCTTGATTACCTTGGAGACTTACATCCTGTCTTCTGTATATATGTAGTTGTTAGTCACTTCTACTAAGTTGTCTCACCACCATTTCTCAAGAATGATAACAGAAGACACAATATTTCAATAACTGATTTTTCCTTTCAACAAATGTTCATTCAACCTCCTGTTTCCAGACATCGTACTAAGGCTTAGTCAAATCTAAACCTCGTGTAAAACTCTAAAATGCTGTAAAGGTCCAGCTAACTTTGTAGTAAAAATAAATGGAATCATTTCAGAATATTAATTGAATGTTTTTTTAAAAACAATACTAAGTAAAATGTAAATCTGAATATAGGTTCACTTCAAATTTATTATCGTTTTTCTAAAAACTGGAAATCCTAGACTGTTGTTTATTATTAGTCATATTATTGATATGGCTGCAAGTCAAACATAATCTGAATTGAACGTATCTTGAGAAAACAACAGCATACGAATAAATATGGTGAGACAGTATGGTGATAAATGCCATTTGGGATAGCATATTAATGGTGAAAAAATAGATAGCAATTTTTTAATTGGGAGTATTAGAAGCTTTATCCATTTTGCTTATTTTATTCATGGTGTGCAAATCAAATAGATGGACGACTGGACACAAATTCTGTGTAAATGATCTATATTGTGACAAATCGCAAGGCATCTGGTTAAGTGAGATATCTCCCTTGGGAAATAAAACGAAACAAGAAGTGTTTTTCTTCTTAAAAATCTGTACCCTGGTAGATAGGATCCAACATAAAATTAAACATCTCATCTAACTTTTCCAATGCCATGTTTCCAAAAGGAAATTACATTAAATTTGTCCATTCAAAATGCAAAAAGCAAGACATCCAAGAATGAGGTTTGTAGCAGAATGTAATTTTAAAGACATGATTTTTCTCCATTACTGGAGATATCAAACATTTTAAAAGCCTGTTCTTTCCTAATTGGATTCCAGATCATTATTTTTTTGGCCAAAAAAGAAAGGTTTTCTGCATTCTTAAAATAATTAGGCAAGATTTCAAATCAAATTATCCAATTTCAAACCTCTATTTTTCTCTCTAAAACGCCTGTTAGAGGAGGACTGCCGATGACTAAGCTTTGTGTCATTCTCATGGCTTTATTAGGAGAATGTTCTAAGTCCTTCACTTTCTATGTAATCAGAACTATAATTTCTTCAGGTTATTTTAAGACCCAGCTATGGCTAAAGCAGGAAACTCAATTTTATTCTGAGCTGTAGACATGTCGACACAGCAGAGCAGGGCTCCAGCTTTCTGGGCTATCTTCTTTCATAAACCCTCTTGCTTGGTGTCAGACCAAGGCTCTAGGCTAGTTGTACTTACTCTCTGGGTGTCAGGTAACTGTTTCCAAGACATTTACGGTAGTAGGACTGTTATTTTGGAAAATATGTGTTGACATATTATTATTCTACAAATGAACAGCTTACTTGTCCAGAGAGCACCACTCTTCATTACATCAATTCGAAAATCATATTCAACAGAAGGGCAGTTGAGAAAACCCAGGTGCCAGAAACATTTGATAAAAAAGCAGAACAGAAAGCTCATATGTCTACATGGTTCATCATACTCCCTTAGAATTTTATAACTTAATTAACCAACTCCATTTAGGCTTGCTTAGTTGCCTCTAATTATTCAGAAAAATTTTCTGTGTTGCAAAGTAATATTAATAGTGAGTGACATTTCTGCAAGTAACAGGTAACCTATTTCTTCTATAGTTGTGATATATAACTAAGTAAAGAAAGGAGAATAGGACAGTATAATAAAATAGAAAAAGTTACCTGCAAGAGGTGGTCTTCAGAATGAAAAGAAAAATATAGCATGATTACTTTAATATTTTGATGTATATCACGAAGTTTCTCACAGATACGTAAATTAATCTTATTCCTGAAGTAAACTTATTAATACTTTTAATTATTAATAAACATACTGATATAAAAACACTTTATTGAACTGTGATTTTCATGCTAGCATTTTTTTTCTTTGGGTTAAAATACTTTTACTACTTTTCTGCTCCTACTACAACAATAAAATAATGGAAACAAGTACCATGAATCCATTAGTTGAGCTTACTATGCTATATGTACTGTATACCATTCTACATTTTTTTGCATTCATTAATATATTGAGCTCATCCTTCTATGTTAATATCTTCAGACATTACTTAATAACTTTAATGACTTGTATTTCAGAGTATGGATTATGTATTGACTTATAGTTAGATTGCCCTCAGTTTTCCATTATTATAAATAAAACTGCTGATAAATATCCTGGTACATAAATTATTGTGAATTTGTGCAAGTATTTCTGTATACCAATTAAGTGGAATTACTAGATTGTTGGGTGTGTAGATTTTTAATTTTTATAGTACTGCCAATTTATGCTGCTCCAAAATTTGAACAGTGTGCTCTTCCACTAATACATGACAACACCCCTTTCCTCCAAACCACAATCAACACTAAGCATTATCTAGTCATTTATTTTTACTCCCATAATGTTGACAAAAATGGCACCTCATTGATGTGTTAATCATGACAAAGATTGATCATCTTCTCGGATACTTACTGCCTATTTTTGGTTATTCCTTTGTAAATGTCTTATTCATAGCCTTTGATTATTTATCCACTGAGTTACTGGTATTTCTTACTGATTTACAGTTTATATTTCTGCTTTATAGATATTAACCTCTTGAGCATTTAATATATGGTAACTTTTTATTTGTCTGTCATGTAATAAAAAATAGTGTCATAATTTGTCATTTAATTTGTTTCTGACTACGAAGAATACCAAGTCAACAATTATTCTTTTTTAACTTTCTCTAGATAGGATTACACTGACCTAGATCTTTCCTAGAATGAGTTGTGATGACATCACATAAGCTCATTAATATAAATAGAAATATTTTTCCAAGGCACAATGTCTAAACTATATTTTTTGCTGGCATCATTTTCATATTGATCTATGAAGTAGGGTCTTCAAACTAAACTTTAGGTTAATTCTATACATAGTATTTATCAATCACTTAGAGCCCACAGATGTTTGCAAAACTAATAATACAGACACTGGGCTTCTGGACATAAAGATTCAATTTCTACCACACTATAGCTTCAAGGGGCAAACGACACATCCCACAGCTTCATACACGTTTGATTTCATTTTGGAATAAGAGAATCTAGAAAATAAACATTTCACATGTCGGAAGCCTTTTCCTTGAAATATCAAAAACACTTTAATGTTTTAAGGTATGCTTTCCAAAATGGGTTAGATACATCTCTGATTTTAAAGATATCTATGACATGGAGGAGCCAGCCAGGGCTATTACTGGCCTTTCCGTAACTGCATTGTGAAACTGTGGTTCCCTCAGGGCCAGTTAAATACAGCAGTCGGCTTTAATGGAGGTGGGACAAGCTTTTGCATTAATTTCTCGACCTTTTCTATATTTGGAAGATGGGTTGGTTTTCTTTTTGCTTTTTATTGTGTGCTGTGGCTCTAGGTAAGTCTTTAGGTAGTCTAAATCTAGTAAACTCCCCTGCTTGTAATCTATGCCTTTTAGTCTTGGGCTGAAGACCCAAATAATCAAATTTGTTATCACTCTTTCTAAAATTGATCACTTACGTTTGCTAGGGACACAAACTTCTTTGAGTATTAAGACATGGAATTGACAGTCTCTCCCCAAAAATGCATATGTACACAAATATATTTGTTTGCAGACAATTTTCTTAGATTCAGAAACTGCCTAAAGCTCATTCACAGATCCCTTGGGCTCTCCAAGTCTCTTTCTGGGTTACTTCAAACTCTTGATTTTGATTCGTATAGAAGAAGTTCCCAAATAAATGAGTCATTAGAAGTCAGTCTAGTTGGAGAAGATAAATACCGGTAAATCAATCACTGTGGGAGAGAGTAAATCAATAAATGCACGAGTGTGTGAAATAATAATAAATAATGTCCTTTTAAAAGCTCAATTAAAACAAATAAAATAAGTGATTATTTGCTTATGGTGAAAATTTCTCATAACATTTTATTTCAAATGAGAAAACAATGAAAAATGTATGTGTGAACACTGTATAACTGTAAGTGTGAGCATGTGAGTGAAAGAACTGGGAATAGAAAATGAGAGGGACCATTTGTATTTTTAAAACAAAAAAATTGTACTTCAGCCAGAAAAGCTGTCATTCCAATTACTACTTCAGAAGTATAGTCAGGAGTTTCTTAGCATGTGAAAGAAGATTCTTGTCTTCACTACCCTGTATCTTGTCAACTCTGCACGAAAAGCCCATTTTCTGCCCTGCTGTCACAATTCTGGCAGAAACAGAGGGGTGAGAATGGAAGAAAACAGGAGTAAAGGCCTCTTCTTTAATTAAGGCATCCTGTCTTAACTTGTACTCTTCTACCTGCAACATCGTGTTCTGAAAGATGGACAAATGTTCAAATCAGTGTTGAGAAAAGATATGTGACTGACAAGAGAATAACAAAGTTGGTATATGATGTGTAATAGATTACAGCTAATTCTTTAGAATGAATGTATAGAAGAACTATGAGAGCAGCCATACTAGACTCTAGACTGTAAAAGAGGAGAAATGGAGGGGAGGAAATAATGCAGGCAGCTCTCGCATCACACAAGCTGATCCTTTAGTTCGTTCATTCCCAAACATGGTATTCAGTTCTTACCAGGTGTAAGGGACCATACTTGACATGAAACTACAAGTGGAAAGTAGCAAGTAAATAAAACATCCTCAGAACGCATTTTCATAATGTATTATTTGAACTTTTATCGTTTGTAAGAACAGAGTCAGGTGGCAAGCCGTGAAATGAGGCAGTCACAATGACGGACTCTTAAAAGATATCAATTCCTGTAAGCACATGACGCCCTGCACTGCTTAACCTTTCTGAATATGTTTGTCTTTAAATACCAGAAAGTAAATCTGTCAATGTGTGAGATCATCAGTTTTGATCAAAAAATTTATCTTGGACTAAATATTCATATTTATTTAAACATAAATTAGAAATGTAGAGAATGCTGGCTGAATTGGGGTGATGGTGGTGGTTGTTGTTGTTGCCAGAAAAAGAAGCCTAAAATCAGATGTCTTTTTAAGTAATCTTTCTATATAATTTTTTACCATTATGCCAGATGTTTGATTTTTCAGCTAAGGCAGATCAGATGCTCAATGTATTACTATCTTTTTTTTTTTTTTTTTTTTTTTCTGAAATGGAGTCTGACTCTGTCACCCAGGCTGGAGTGCAATGGCACGATCTCGGCTTACTGCAACCTCTGCCTCCTGGGTTCAAGTGATTCTCCTGCCTCAGCCTCCCAAGTAGCTGGGACTACAGGCACACACCACCACGCCTGGCTAAGTTTTGTACTTTTAGTAGAGACAGGGTTTGGCCATGTTGGCCAGGCTGTTCTCAAAACTCCTGACCTCAGGTGATCCACCCACCTCGGCCTCCCAAAGTGCTGGGATTACAGGCGTGAACCACTGCACCCAGCCTAATATATTACTATCTAGAATGTGAATTTGACACACATCAGAACATCCTCTGGGGTTCTCATGTGAAGGAGGTGAGAGGAAGGTTGAGTTGTCCTTTCCCTGTTTCTGTTCTTAAGTAAATAGGATATTGACTAGGGCGGTAAGGTGACATCCTCCTTCCTGGAAATCACAACTCTAAAAACACCAGCTATCCAGAACATACCAAAGACTCAAGTGATTTTGGCCTTTTATTGTCCAAATTACATTTTCTATGGATATGAGCATAACTGAATATATTTACCCAGAGGAAATCCTTCTTAAAGGTCTTTTAAATTTCATTTTAGAAACCAACGCAATAAGCCCAACCATCTGAGGTTTTATTCTCTAACTATACTGCACATAATAAATTAGGATGACACAATGTGGCCCTACTAGAAAGAGGCCCGCAGGCAGGATGAAGAGTATAAAATCACAGCTGCAAAGCCATTTTTGTCTGAAGAAAACAACCCAAAAAATTTTAAGTGTGACTGAAGAACCTCCATATTTGAAGTATGACGTAGTTAATATTCATAAAAATAATAATGTGTCCTTAGTAAAAGCATCATGAAGAATGAAAAGAAGTTCTTCTTCCCTTTAAGTTTTAAAATTAAAAATTGGCTTTTAAAATATATTCTTTATATATCTTATGCCTAGAAAACCCAGGATAAAAAGCCTAGAACATTTAAAGTGCAAACGCACATGTGCACTTGAAATATCAGCTGCTGTAAATGGATGATATTCAATCCATTCATTCATTCACTTATCCCATGAATATTCATTAAGCAATTATTATATGTCAACCAATCTTCTAAGCCTTAGGTTTGCTTATGTTGAAACTCCATGTTTTAATTAACTCAGGGATTGTATTTTTATTTTATAACTATTTCCTTTAAATGCTAATGAATGTGCTCAGGGATGGAACCCCCTTTGTTCTCCAAAATTATAATGCTCTTTGATCTCACTGACAAAATAGAAGACTGCTTACTGCCATTCTGTTAACTGGCTACAAATCTTGGTCCAGGATACTGTGGCCTGAAGGGTCCAATGTATCTAGAACTCTACCTCATGTTTTGGGAGCTGCTGCTTAGCCCTGGATTCCACATAATATGTCTAACGCTGTAGGAGTTAGAAATCTTTGCAAACTGGCTTTCACCAACTACCCAAGTAGCTAAAAAAAAATTTCATTCTCAGAATACTGAATATTTGTGAATGACTGATGTGTTTTTGGCAACGAAGTGAATACTTCAGTGAGGCACACTATATTCAGCAATGAGATACACTTAACATATGAAAGAAAAATTTCCATGCATTACATTTCAAAAGATTGGAATGAGGAAGAAGGAAAAAATACTCTTGTTATCTTGATTGCAACATGTAGCTTTGGCATCATTTAAATATCACCATAGTAGGTGTAAAACCCAATAAAATATGACTTTAGAACCAATAACCAATATAATCTCTCTTTCTGTTTTTAAATTTTAACCATATGACTATAAACTGGAGTTTAGAAAAAGTTATGAATAAAAATTCCTAAGGACTATGTAGTACTTATCCCAAAATACTAGTTTAACGAAGAAAATTATTTTTATTGTTATTATTTTCTTATTATCTTTAGAGACAGGGTCTTATGTGTCATCCAGGCTAGAGTGCAGCGGCATGATCATAGCTCACTTCAAACTCAAATTCCTGGACTCAAGCAACCCTCCCACCTCAGCCTCCGGAGTAGCTAGGACTACAGGCACACACCACAACAGCCAGCTAATTATTTTTCGTTTTTATTTTTGTAGAGACAGGGTCTCACTATGTTGCCCTGGATAGTCTCAAACTCCTGGCCTCAAGCTATCCTCCCACCTTAGCCTTCCAAATCCTGAGGTTTATAGGCATGGGCCACAGCACACAGCCAAGAAAATTATTTTGATTAAAATAAACTGGGGAAAAAAGATAGCTGGAAACAATTATTTACTTATTAAGCAGCTGACCTGCAGCAATTAATTATATTAAGTGTTAATATTTAACTGGAATTTCTGCATTTTTACAATCATCTCTGTTATTGTGCTTAACTGAAATTTCTATTTTAGCCCAAAATAAGTCCGAATTTTTAAAAGTGAAATACAATTTTAAATTGACCTAGAAAATTCAAATGTAGTCACTGGGCAAAGAGATTGGAAGAAAAACATGAACACTAACGATACAACTTTATATTTCTGATAAACAATCAAATAATAATCTTCATTACTAAGATGGTAATAAATAGTTCTAAGCTATAAGAAATTTGGCATATAGTCAAATTTTCCATCTATTTCTTTCTACTTCTATTAGAAGAATGACATAACTTGCTACAGAGAAAAATATGAAATAGTTCAATTACAGTTGTAATACATACATTGTATATGCATATACACATACAACGCATATACACACCACAGAAAAAGAAAGATTGACTCAGATTGTTTTGAGGTATCAAACTAAGCTAGATAAGTCATAACAATTAGTGATAGTTCTTTGTAAACAGGTCTATAACAGACCACAACACTTTTGTGAAAAGGCAACACATTCTAAGCCAAAGTCAGACATGGCATAAGCTTCAAAATAAGCAATAACGTTTAAATAAGCTAGAAGTGAATGGGTTTCTAAACCTAAAATCTGTAGGATTATAAACTAGCAGTATCAAACAAATTACTGGGGTTATTTGCCCACTAAATCAAAATTATTTTGGAGGTTCAAGAAAGACATAGTCTTGCGATATGATCTGGTTTAGGGAATTAAAAAGTCAAATCCCTAACATTTTTAAGGATGGCAGGGACCTAACGGTAATCTAGGCAACCCATCCTAGCTTACAGATGCCAGAGAAGACAGCTAGATTACCTATCTCCACACAGACAGTGGCAGATTTGGCTAAACCTCCTGAAAATCCTCTCTATTGTGTTGAAAGTGATGTAGCCACAGTGGCCTTTATTCTGAGAACAGCCAAATACATAATGGTCTCAAGGGCCTTGGCATTGGCTGTTCCCCCTGCCTGGAATTGCTGTCCTTTGATCTTTGCATGGCTGGGCTCTTCTAGTCACTCAGGCATCAGCTTAAAAGTCACTTCTCCATTGGTCTTTTAAGGCACTATTCAGTGACTAACTTGGTGAAGCTTTAGGATACAGTTATCTACCTTTCTTCTTTGACTAAATTATCACCTCTCTATTTCACTCTATCGTACTCATAGATCTGAATCTTTTATTTGGTCTCAAGTTATTTTTTGAGAATTGAGCTAGATAAACATTGTGTACTTCTCTCACCTAGTTTAGAACCACTTTACTAAAGTCCCTGCCCTATCTTCATAAAATTCCTTCCGGTCCCTCTATACAATGCAAGATCCTACATGCATGATACAATACATAGGCTTTGCAGAAATTTAAATTGTAACCTGCATAACTGGATAACAACAGTATTGCAAACATAGATATTTGAGTACAAAATCATTTGGCTATGAGTTTAAAAACTGAATATATTAATTGTTCCCAAACTATTTAATTAACAGTTTGTCCTCTTTCCATTGATTTGTGATGCAAACTCTGTCATACACAAAGCTACTAAAAATAACGTTGTATTCTATTCCTTGTCATCTATGTGAGCATGTCCCTGCCCAAACCAAATAATCATTATTAATACAGCTTTGTATGACTTGACATCTAGGCTTCTTCTCTCCATTTGTTGCTTTACAAAACTGCCATTTGTGCACACTTACTCGTATATTTGAATTTCTGGAATCAGTATGCCTTGTTCCTTCATAGATCCTGTCAGGATTTTAATCAACATTGTGCTGAAATATAATACACATATAATGTATAGAAGAAATTTACAGCAGACTATGTATGAGGTGGGAAATCGAATGGTTAGTAGAGTTGAGGTGGAAATAAGATTTACTTCTTGTTATACATCACTTAGTGTATCTGACTTAATACTATTCATCAAGCATCTTTTTTAAAAAACTGTTTTAAAAACAAAGAGATATGTAGATTAATTTGGGAATAAATAACTTTTTAAAGATGTAGTCTTCCTATTCCTGAGCATAGCATCGCTCAAATCTGATCAAGTTTTCTTATATGCCCTTCAACAATGTTATTAATTTTTCCATAAAAGTTTCATTTGCCATGTAAATGCTAGCACTATTACATTTTGTGTTTGGTTGTTTTTTATATAAAACAGTCCTTTCAATGTTTTATTTTGTACTGACCTTGTACTGAGCAATATAAGTGAACTCTTTATTATTTCAATTATTTTATTTTCCTTTTAATTTCTAATACATCTTATTGAATGCTCATGTCTTGAAATATTGACTAGGACATCCAAAGACAATTCCTGACATTAAAGAGAATGTATTTTAATTTTACCATTAAATATAAAGTTTCAGATAGGGTGAATGGGTTTTGGTCAACAATACTTACTTCCCTCTTCTATTTTTTAGTTTAATAAGAGTTTCTATGCTGGAAGTATACTGAATTTTATTGCATGTTTTTCTACATCTAATGAGAAGATTTTTTTTTTTTTTTTTTTGCTTAATTCATTATTAACAGGGCAACATTCACTGATAGACTTTTTTCCTTTAACCAATCTTGCATTCCTGGAATTCTCTCTCCATAAAAGAAAACCCATATGGCTAATAGCATATGAAAACCACTCGAATCCAACAGTAGTCAGAAAAATTCACAGAAAAAAGTAATTCTCTACCATTTTCATCTTTAAGATTGGCAAAAATATCTACAGTCTGACAATATCCAATATATTGGCAGGGGTGTGAAGAAAGTGGGTCTCATATATATGACTGGTGAAGCATAAAGATAATCTCTGTTACCTGTTGGTTGAGTGCCCAAGGAAGCTGACTGGGCAGTAGATAATCAAATAGAACAATGTTGTCTCCTGTGTCCACTAAACAATTTAATATTTGTCTTTTCTTTTATTTGTTTATTTATTTATTTGAGACAGAGTCTCACTCTGCTGCCCAGGCTGGAGTGCAATGGAGTGATGTCGGCTCACTGAAGCCTTGACTTCCTGGCTCAAGCAATCCTCCCACCGCAGCCTCCCAAAGTGCTGGAATTAAAGGCATGAACCACTGTACCTGGCAATTTAGTTTGGTTTGTAGTCATCTAAGACTGAACTGAGATAGAGGTTTCTAACGTTAGAGTTATAACTATATTCAGATTTGAAACTATGTGCTGGAAAGAAAAAGTAAAAAAAGAAAAAGATATTGATCTTTCCAGATCAAGGATGTGGAAGAATGTCCATTTAATTACTGGGATAATAAATAGTGAGAGACTAGGGGTACTACGGGTATCAGTTGATTGAGGGTTGTTTTCCTTCTTACAATATAAAAGTTAGGTTAAGCTGGTATTCAGATAATTTTTTTCTAATATTTTTATGTTCATCTTTTAGCAAACAAATGAACAATGATAAGAAAGCCTAATTGGCAGCCTTTGCAAATTCACTAAAAGGACACTGGCATACATTTGTTCACCATGATATACTACACTGTGTTCAACACCTATGCTGTAAAATTCGGTTTTATTATCTAACTCCTTTCTCAGCCCACACATCTATTATCAACGAACTCAATTAATTTTCTAAGTCTTAATGCCCTTATCCTAATTTATGCTGTTTTAAGGATAAAATAGAGCAAAAAGACTACCCTGAAAGATTTATATCTTATTCCCTATACCATTCCTTTCCCACATACACATAAAGATAATTTTCTCATTCTTCTCTTAGAAGAGTTGTACATAGAGATTGATTCACCCATTCCATCTATATTTCCTTAATATCTCACTATGTTAACTCCTTATTCTGACATTTTACTTTAGATAATTTTTCAAATTACTGATACCCTTGGCATTGAGATTTTGATTAAATTGTTCATCAAAAATCATCATTCCTTGCCCCCTTGTCAAATAATATAGCTAATTAAATAATGTCAGAATAAATGTAGATGAGCTAGATAGCAATTGTGGGGATAAATTATTTCCAATTGATATTATTATTAACAGAAAAATCCACCTATTTTTGCCCCTTATCTAAGAAAATTGTCTCTACATAAAAACATAGGAGAAGGGAAAAATAGTATTAAATGCAAAGTGTTATTTGAATAACATAAAAGTACACCTGTAATCATTTTCACAACTAAATTTATTCTTCTCTTGGATTAAAAAAAGTATGCATTTATATTCAGGCAGTCTTAAATTAGCTATTTCACATTTCACATTTTGAATGCAGACACATATCCCAGGAAATTTCTATTGGCATTCATTATTCATTGAAAAATCACATCAAATAAGAATATTCCCAAATTCCCTTCGTTAAGAATAACTGAAGCATTTAAAGGGTCATACACACATTGTTAAAGCATTGGAGGTCATTCCTGCTTACATTCTATAATGAATAATTTTAATTTGGGGGCAAAAAGCTCTAACACCTCAAAAATGTCTACATTTTTCAAATCTACAAAGAAACTGAGGAGTAATTTTCTTCATAAAAGAAGAAATCATTTTTTAAAAATACCAAATGTATAAAAACACATTGTGCAATAACACTGTACTCTTTAATCATTCATTTATCTAAAAATAGTCTCAGGGATCAATTATATGCTAGGTACTGTAGGGAATAAAAATAGAAGTAAAACATGATCCTTTTCCTCTTGGAGCTTATAATATAACTAATTGGGGGGATGAGGACACACATACACAGTCACAGTGTAAGACAGAAAGTGGAAATGTTCTAAAGAGAGTAATAAAAGGACTATGAGGATCGAGAGAGAAGGGAGAAAGAGAAAAAAAATACACGTAATTAGGGAAGTATTAATATTACAGAGGTGAGGGGAAATCAGTGATGGTGTCAGACATTAGGTAACATTTGCATTGGGCTTGTAAGAGAATTTTCCCCAGTGATGACCAGTTGGAATAGAGCATTAAGGTATCTCAGAAGAAGGAAATACCTGGTAATTCTTAGACTAAGAAATCAACAACAACAAAAACAGATAAACAAGCAGCCTCATTTAAAAAATACAGCTTTCAAGGACTCAATAAATACTGATTGAATGAGATAATCACTCGGGGGAAAAAACAAGTCACCACTAACCATTTTTCTCAAGCTACACTGTGAATCCACAAAGCACGTTGGCCAGGAGTTTGGCTCGGTCTCAGTCTTCTTGAGGCTAGAGAAAATCGTAGCTGACAGTCTTCCCCTGGTTCTCCCACCTACCCATTGATAAAGGCTTCCCCACCCCTTCCACAAGGCAGAAGTTAAGTGGAGATTAAAATAGCTCCAGAACACTTCCTGCTCTATTCTAATTGTGCTTTGACTTAGACCAATTGGAATGTTGAGGGAAAACCCCATGAGGCATCAAGCATGTGAGATAATGTGTCAGTCCCTCAAAAATGTTTGTCCAACCTACTCTGTGTATCCACCATTGTTCCCTATTCACAAAGCATAATGTGTGAGGAAAAATAGCTCTTAGCTGTTTCTCCCTTTTTAAAAAATAGATGTGTCACCTTCATGAAATACTTCCTTATACAACTATTTTTTTGTAACAACATGTCACGAATCTAGCCAGTTGCTAACCCAACGACGACTGTGTATGCTATGTATGCTAAATATTTTCTTGGGAAGTTATGATTCTCCAGCCGCCTAACAAAGGTGTGATTTGACCCATGATCTACCTGAATTAAATACCTGGCACGTTGTAGGTACACAGTAAATGCCTGTGTGATGAATACTGTATTTCATACTCCTTTAAAAAGTGTGCAATATTGTGTTTATGAGAAAATGTTCTAAGACTTCTAACTTCAGCTGGCGAAGATACTCTGCTCCCCTTCTTTTGGGTTTCTGAGAAAGAGAAACTGTTTGCTTCACTGAACTACTAGCAATGACTCATACTGCTTGGGTAAGAAATGTTAAGCACAATTGACAGGGCAGGTGAGATGAGGGACAAGGGTGAACCTTAGGAACAAGGAAAGGGAACAAGTTCTAAAAGAGCCTTCACTTCAAGTTAATAATATGAATACAAGAGAGAGGCACTTGGTTCACGATCTCTATGAAAAACAGAGAAAATCATAGCTAACAGCCTTTCTCCAGTTCCCTTACCTACCTACTGCTAAATGCTTCCCCATCCTTTCCACAAAGCAGAGGTAACAATATTGAAATAGATCCAGACCATTCCTAATCTATTTTAACTGTGCTTCTGTTCTACTTGACTTAGACCAAATTAAACGTTGAAGGAAAATCTACTTTTTTTAGAAAGATACCCTTTACAGGTTAGCAGACTCAAAAGCCTTCACTTAACTACCCTAGCTACCCTAGTTAATACTGCCCTATCAGTCACTTTCTACCCCATTCTCTTATTTCACCTTAATACTAATTCCTATCTCAAGTAGCTTTATCTATCCATCCATCATTCCATTGAACAACCAACCATGTATCTCCTTGCTTTGTTTAATAGCTGTATCTTCTGTGTCATATGGTTGGTTCTTAAAACAGTTTTGGGTGAAAAAATGAACCGATAAATGACTCTTTCACCCCAGTTCCCAAAGCTTCAAACAATTTCATCTTCCAAAGTCTTCGACCCGCTCATTAAAAGAGTGGTCAGGATGCAACATGTTATGTTGTTCCTTCAGTTGCTTCCATTTCCACTCTCTGAATTTATTTCCATCTTGACTTCTTTTAAGATACATTTCAATTACTGTGTGTTTCCTATTTTTGTCTTTCATTTTGGAAATTCCTAATGGTCAGCAGATAACCAAACAAAACACAAAACATATTTATCTTTTAAAAACATGGGAGGCCAAGGCAGGCGGATCACCTGAGGTCGAGAGATCGAGACCAGCCTGACCAATGTGAAGAAACCCCATCTTTACTAAAAATACAAATTTAGCCAGGCTTGGTGGCACATGCGTGTAATCCCAGCTACTCAGGAGGCTGAGGCAGAATAGCTTGAACCCGGGAGGCGGAGGTTACAATGACCCAAGAGGGCGCCATTGCACTCTAGCCTGGGCAACAAGAGCAAAACCTCATCTCAAAAAATAATAATAATAATAGCCGGGTGCGGTGGCTCACGCCTGTAATTCCAGCACTTTGGGAGGCCGAGGCGGGCGGATCACGAGGTCAGGAGATCTAGACCATCCTGTCTAACATGGTGAAACCCCGTCTCTACTAAAAATACAAAAAAAAACTAGCCGGGCGTGGTGGCGGGCGCCTGTAGTTCCAGCTACTCGGGAGGCTGAGGTGGGAGATTGGTGTGAACCCGGGAGGTGGAGCTTGCAGTGAGCCGAGATCGCGCCACTGCACTCCAGCCTGGGCGACAGAGTGAGACTCCGTCTCAAATAGTAATAATAATAATAATAATAATAATAATAATATGTAATGAATATTTGGAAGACCTGCATAAGTTATCCATTCTATAGCATTTGGCAAATGTTTAACATAAAATGCACTAACATCCATTTTAACATTTTTATCATTTAGGAAAAATGAGTTAATAGTAAAATATAAAATGCGAATTTAACATTAAAACACAATTCTAATTTTAGAGCAAAGTAACAATTGCTAAGGTTTGAATTAAGCACACAAAGTAAATTGAGAGAACACTTCTCAAATGTAAAACTGCATATTTTACTGTATATGAGACTTGCTGGGAACATCAAGAGGTAGTAATACCCAAACAGCAAGCAGAGGCTTACACTTACTTTTCTCATATGCTGAGAATTTTATCTCATCTATTTAAATCAGTAACTCACAATAGTGCATTATAATGACAGTATCTTTTATGGCTATATTTTATATATTGTGGTAATAAAGCTAGGAGCATTGGTGTTATTTATTATTAAAAGTCATTCATGATGTATACTTGCCTTTTTCCCATACTTATAGTTAACCTGTATATTTATTGTGCTTATAATAGTCAATTGTTTTTCATAAACCAATTCTTAAACCCAAGCTTCATGGGATTAAAAAAAAAAAATTGAGAAATTGAATAGAATTTAGATTTCTTAATTTTTAGAAACAGATATATATACACTTTCAATAATAGAATCATTCTTACAAAGTGAAAAAAGAAAACAGTATGTGTGTGTAATGCCATATTCACGAGAAGGGTCAACAGCCCCAAGAAGCTCTGTTTATGAGCAATATTAACACCAAATGGAGAGCTTAGCAATGTCTGTTTCTAAAAATAAACCCTGTGTGTCTCTTGTTGTCATCATCAACCAGAGTCCTGTGTGCTCTGAGACAGCATCAAGGCCGCCTCTTTGCCTTTCCATAAGCATGATACATCATTACCAGAGCTCTCCCTTTTCTCTCAAGGTGGCAGAGATAAAAAGAATTCTGCAATCACCCTAAGCACACATTTAAACAACATTATTGCCCCTTAAGCAGACAGTTATCATGCTATTTTGGCAGCAGGAAGGAATCTGTGGTTTCACTTGAATGTTATTCTTCTTTATTTAAACTACTAGAAATAACCCAAAAATGACAGAATGCTCTTTCTATAAATAATCATTCCAGTGTAGAGTTATATTAGGAGGTAACTCATATGGCATGATAACGCCTAACAAGCTAATCTTAGACCTGCGATGCCATAAGATAGAAATACCGAGGCTAAGAATAACTGACCCAAAGGAGTCAGGCTGCTAAAGAGAGGCACAGACATGTGGACATCTGCAGGTTTTAATGCATTTAATGATCTTCTGAAAGCTTCTTTCCCCTAGGAAGGCAATAAATTATGTCAATCATTAACGTGATAATCAATAATGCTTTTACAATGTATTGATTCCTGAAGATGGCTCAAGATTCTCATAGCAAATAAGATCATAAAAATTACCTGTTGGAAAGCCAAGAGTGGGCTTTTGCATAATTGGATTAGTAGGTAATGGGTGAATTTTACGCTTAAGCCACCTACAGAACATATGACATTCATCCAATAAAGCAAAATTAACTCAAGATAAAGTAAAACGTAGTATGATGATAATACATATAAACACAGCCATCCAGTTTTCACCTAAATTGTCCAAACTGGACCCAAATTGGACAGATATATATTCAAAATAAGTAGAAACTGAATTATGTTAGCTAGATCTTTATTGTGGCTAGAGAATTTCACATTGCAAGTTGAAATTAGGATTTGAGTGGTGATATAGGCTTTATTAACCTTACATTTCAAGGTAAATGCCAAGGTGAGTATAATTCAAACCTTTTGGTCAAAATAAATGAACCCCATAATGCTAACATTTCAAAAAAAATTACTTTCTCCTGCCAAAATACATTAATAATAATTTGCTATTTTGAAGCGGGGCTAACTTTACCCTCATGATCTGTGTATCATGAACACTGGCAAACAGGTGCCAAATGCATCAGGAATGCTGCTTCTGTCCAGAGCATCTGCTCCAAGGAAAAGAGCACGCTCATAGAAGCTTGGTTTCCTTAAGCTCCTCTCAGCCCTGGATAGTGCTAACTTCCTCGAATTTAATTATCTAGCACTGAGAACATGAAGTAAGGATCTTCCAGCAAAACTTTCAACATGCTTGCCTATTTGTGCCTTAAACCTCCCAGGATTAAGAAGTCTGTCTAGGTATTTGTTTATACATATATAAATGTGTCCACATTTTTAGTACCAAGCAGAATTATCCTATGCTAAATATTTTTTGAGAAAAAGGGGCAGGACCCTGCCATTTAAACACGACCCTGCCATTTCCTACCTACAGTAACCATCAGTAAATTTCTTATCTCTCTGAATATATTTCCTCAACTGTAAAACACCAATATTGCTGCAACAACTACTGCATTATTAAACTGTGGTGAGGATTAAATGATCAAGTGATACACAGAGAAACTTTTGAAACATTAGCCATTGTGTCAATAATAAAAGAATGACATAAAAATTTTTGAAAAAAATATGCTTACAATCACTGACCTCTAAAATTGGAACTAGGCTGGGCGCAGCGGCTCATGCCTATAATTCCAGCAGTTTGGGAGGCCAAGGCGGGCAGATCACTTGAGGTCAGGAGTTCGAGACCAGCCTGGCCAATATGGCGAAACCCCATCTCTACTAAAACTACAAAAATTAGTCAGGCATGGTGGCACATGCCTGTAATCCCAGCTACTTGGGAGGCTGAGGCAGGACAATCACTTGAACCAGAAGGTGGAGGTTGCAGTGAGCCAAGATCATACCACTGCACTCCTGCCTGGATGACAGAGTGAGACTTTGTCTCAAAAAACAGAACAAAACAAAATAAAATAAAATTGGAACTAAGCAACTAGAAGATCAGAGAGGAGTATGACAGAAAAAAACAAAAACGGGTGGTGATAACTTTCTAACTTAAAATGGATAGTTCCTAATGTAAAAATCATGTACTTAAAATACACCCTTGAATTTTGATTATGAGATTTCAAAAGCATCATCAAGAATAAAGTTAAAACAGTGCTTAACACAAGAGCTTTTTCTTATTCACCCTACATGGGGTTCCCTGAAAACCTTCTGGGTAAACACATTTTTACTAAAGCAAGAACTCCCAAGCTATGATGTCATTTAATGAAAACTCAGTGAAATTTACTTATTTTTTGTTTTCTGGATTTTGGGGGGTTTATTTTGTTTTTAATATCAAGTTTCAAATTTTGAAACAACTTCATGACATTCTCATTTGAAAATGTCATGCCTTAGACATTCACCAAAATGTACCTCAAGCAAATTGAAAATAACATCCACATGGCTGCAACTGGGTCAATAATGAACATACATTATGAATTTAAAAGTTTCTGATACAAGTGGTGAACCATAAGGAGAAGCAGGAAAATAAAGTCGTGGGTATTTCCAACCTTATCAGCATGCAAAAAGTTTAATCATAAGCAAATGACTAGTTACACTCTGTGGTTTGGTAAATTTCTTTCTTCCTTAAAAGTGGTTTTCATTGGATTTAATTAATGGGTATTTAAGAAACACTGTACACGAAAAGCCCATCACTTATTTTACTATGGAAAAGTTAACATTATGATAATGAATGGAAAATATATTCTTATAAAAACACAAGAAGTATTTATTCTTATATTCATGAATCATAGCAACTCAGAGTAAACCTAAACATAACGTTCTCTGATAACACTTGAAAGTGTAGGTCGTTTAGTATTGTGAAAAATGTTGTTTAAATTAAATTTGTTTTGTGCAACCAACTTAGTTGAAGAAGAATGGAACTAGGAACACCAGGCATTTCCTCTTTCTTTGCTTCCTTATTGCCAACTTACTGGGAAAAGAAAAGGGGAAAACTGCCAACAGGAAGGACACCACATATCCCAAGCTAACCACTCACTTCAGCTTCCTTTCAAAAACAGGGGGGACCATGGCACAGCCAACACTCATTTGAGGCAGAGGCCAACATATTTTTGAATTTCTTCTTGAAAGCTTCTTTTCTAAAGTCATTTGCATGAGCTTTTATTTCAATTAAATTATTTTCAAAGCATTCAAATTCAGAAAAAAAATGTTAAAATGTAGTGCTTATCATTCCATATTGTAAAAATTGTTCATGATTCTTAAAATGTAATACTTGTGACAACCTACTGGCGAACACATTCTGAGTATTTTTAAGATAATCCTCCTTTCATATATTGAAAACAATTCATATATTATTATATTTCTCAAAAAAAATTTTGTGTGCCTCGAAGCCAACATTAAAGGAATACTCTATTCACGTTTATAATAAATGCTTGTAAGGCATGAGGCCACAATGTTGACTCTCCTTCCTTCAGAAAACATGATTAATAGCTTAGAGAGATCCAGTTTCTTCTACAATTACTTCAGTCTCTTTATTAGGGGGCTTCTTCTAACAATAGACAGTACTAAGAAAGGCAATCTATTCAATATTAATAAAAAACTTATATTCAATACTAGTAAAAAATACTTACATTAGTATTTAAACAGATATATTATCTTCATGAAAAGAAAGTCAACACCCATAGTTCAACTGAAAGGGAAATTATAAACATAGTCCATTTACTTTATTATATTTGTGGAAACTAAAAAGTAAATAAAATTGCAAAGAAGAAACTTCTTATCACCAATATCCACGTTGTAGCAAATACTGCTAGTGCCTAGCTAACATCTATTCCTCCTGCTTCTTGGTTCTTCCCAATAGAAACTTGAGCAGGTTTAGGTATCCTGCCTTCCCAGCTCAGTCATGGGTCCCACTCCTCTGAAAAACAAGTGAAAGAATAGGCAGGTGATGCTATTCTAGTCAATATAGAATAAAGGATGATCTGCTGGAGAAGTCTGGGTAAGATTTCTTTCCTTTAAAAGAGACGCCAAGACAGCAGTTTCCCCTCTTTGTCTCTGGAGTTTGTCGTGCATAAATAACATGATGCTTGAAACTGCTACGAGTCAACTTGTGACCATTGGAGGATCCAACCTTTGTCTCTGCAATTTGTTATGCATAAACATACATAATGCTTGGAACTGCTACAAGTCAGTTTGTGACCATTGGAGGATCCAATCTTAGGATCACACCAACCAAGGCTAAGACCAGCAGAGTGGAGCTATATGAAGGACCTGAATGCTGCTGCCATTTTTGACTACCTGGTGCTGCCTAACCACCCAACTACTTTATCACATGATAAATGTCCTACTTGTCTGTCATTTTGACTAGAGTGTTCTTTTATCTGCAGGAGAAAACAACCTAACTAATATACCTACTACTTACAATTAATCACTGTTAGTATTTTGACATGGTAGCTTTGTGTGGGGGTGTGTAATGAACACTTCTCATAGAATACATGCCTATTATAAAAAATCATACACTGTAAAGAGGTATGATGCTGAAAGAAAAAGCCCCTCCTCTTCACCAAACACAGCACAGCATCTTTCCTTATTTCTTCCTATCTTTATATGAATTCTTCAGGAGATGGATGGATAGATTTAAAAAATTATAAAAATAAGAACATATCACTGATGTTATATTTATTTTTAAAAACTGAAATTAAACTTAACTGAATTTAAATTTAAACTTAACTGAATTAAGCAGATTTAAAACTGCAGTTGAAGGAACTATAAATGTACTAAATACTTCCTTAACGTAAGAGATACTATTTCCAAAAAGACCTCTTTAAGGTTAAATAAACTATTTTTAAAAATCAGTGCTTTGAATCTTTTTTTTAAGTATGTGTTTCTATTTTAAGCAGCAGGGAGTCTGTCCCTGCTCAGAAAGGGAAGGATATTAGCATTTCTCACATCCTTCCATCTCACCTCTCTCTAACACCTCACACTGGCCAGCTTTATTAATATTTTTACATTCCCCTACTTTATAATATCTGTTTTCTGCCCTATAAACACAATCCAATAGTTGTTTAAATGCATTCAGTGTTCCCTCGTTACTTTGATAATGTTTTCTCTACTTCTGAATTTAGTTTTTTGTTTGTTTTAAGTTCATCTCTTCACTGTGTGGCTTTCACTGTCAAGCAGCCTCTTTCATGTTTGAGAATTTCTACTTTGTCTAACTGTTTTCCTTTTTCATTTACTCTGATTTTTTTCAAACCTTTCATCTTTATGTGTAAAGATTTTTACCTGGGCCTATTCTGTTTTCTTCTATTTCTAATGAATATTTTTTTCTATAATCATTATGATTTTCCATTCTTGATTCATTTCCTGAGATCTATATCTCCTTTCTCATCTCATTCTCTTGTTTATCATCTCACCTTTCAGCTTTTTTTAATATAAAATTTATGTAAGGTGCTCTATTTGTAGGAAGCAATACTAAGACGTCTAATTCCATGGGTTCAATGAGTTGATGTTTTTCTTCTTGGCAGAATCTCTAAGTTTAGTTGGTGAAAGGTACGTCATTCCAAAGAGCTATGGATCGATCTTTCTCCCAATTTAGTACGCTGCTCTGAAGCCTTCATTTCTACTATTTCTCAGCCACAAGAGAAAACAAGAACAACCCAAAATGGTGAGGATACCTACTCAGTTTTCTTCTCTTCAGATTTGGGAATCTTAGTGAGAATCCTCAGGAACTGGTCAACTTGCCAGTAAAATTCTAAGACAGCCCAGGAGACAGGTCTCTCTGTTATGATCAAAGAACCTCTGCATCCATTTTTGCCTTGGCTGTTAGCCTCTGAGGTATGTTGCATTAGGTTATATCATTTTCTTTGCTCAGTTACTGTTGAATATATTGGGTGACAGGGATGGAAGGTATGTTTGCTGGCTGACATGCTATTTTGGGCTCACTTCATTATTTATCAGTAGTGAGAAATTATGAGGCACATTTTAAAATTGCTCATCTCCAAAATTAAAATCATCATTTAGAATATTTTTTGAATTCAGAATTTGGATTTATTTCAGTCTTCCAAGGGGTTTTATTGGATTTTCTTACTTAACGGACATAACAATAATTATGCCTCCTGTGTCATCCTTAGAAATATGAAATACTCATTCTTGTCTCCATTCTCAATGAGCCCATTTATAATTATATTTCTGATTGATACCTATCATCTATCTCAATTGATAACAGACTTGCAAGTGAAGATAACCTGAGTTAGAGAATGGCAAAACAGTAATTATGGGGAATACCAGAAGTGATTCTTGACATGACAGGAACATTTCACAGACTTACATTTTCATAATTAGATTCTGCTTTTCAAGTAGACATAAGTGACGTGACTACTGAATCTAAAATGTTCCCTTCCCCTCAACACCATACACTAAGGAACAAAAGGATTCAAAAAAGGGTGAAGATATATAAAAGAATTTCAGGACTTTGATTTAAATGTTTTTCTTTTATACCCTAAAGTAAGAATAGATGGCCAAAATATGAGCTTTCCTTATTGTAAATATATCTTACATTACTTCTGTACAAACTCTAGGAAATTCCTTCATAATAATTGTTCCAATATTGTCTGGACAGCTCTGCTGCCCAACGTGTTAAGCAACATGCTTGGCAATGGGAGAACACCCCTAATCCTGCCAGCTCCTGCAGAGTGACCTGAGTCAATATTTGTACATGCTTCACTTTCTGCCACAGTTATCACTTACCCTGGCCCACACAAGCCACAAAAGTAGGGATGTACTTGACAAAATGTGTCACTCACACTGAATTCTAAGATTTAATATTATAGAACTTTAAACTAAAATATATTAGTACAATATTATAGAACCTGGTTCTACCAAACATGTTTAGCCTGGCCGAGTCAATATCAAAAAAACATACAACCATAAAAAAAACTTGTATTCCAATAGTATATAAAGAGCTCTGTACAAAAACCATCAATATTAGTGCATAATATCCAATATAACTAGAACAACAAATGGGAACTCTAATGCAATTGCTAAAGAAATTACACAACATAACCAATGTTTTAAAAATAATCTCATGAAATCTGCGATTGGGGTTCACTGTTCAATCACATACTGTGCAACTTCTTTGCCTTTATTACATAATGAGACATTTCAGAGAACACACACACACACACACACACATACACACCCTACTCTTACCTATAGTGATAGTCTGCATAGGAAAGATCTCAACTCTTATCAAACCAAGGTAACAAAATAAATAGTTGATTTATAAGATAACTAAGGCAAACTGATTATCAAAACAAACAATCATTTCCCCCATGTGACCTACAATGTAACTCATGTGGCTTGTTCAGCAAGATAGAACATGGCATTGAAAACCAAGATCTTAGGTTCATTCACTAAAAACAACAATTCTAATAGTGAGTATACGTTTTAAAGACATATTGATACATCTGAACCTCACAAGAATGCTAAGAGGCAAGCAGGAGGACATCATTATTCTTCAGTTTGAAGATGAGTAAAAAAATCAGTACACAATCGGCTAGCAGTGGAGCTCATGCTAGAATACAGAGTGTCTGACTCCTAGAACAGTGCTCTCTCCACTCCTTTGCACTGCTGCCAGGCATCCTTTCTCTCTTTCAAATCCAAAGACTCTGCTTCTAAGCCTATGAATCACGTCCAGACCACTGGTCCAAAAGGGAGCTGAACAAGATTTGTAGCTAAATTAAGACAAACATACCCCTAATTTAGCAGTTAGCTCAAAGGACAAACCCTACTGATAGTGGTTCACCAGCATCACCATCTGTTCCCTAGCCCTACAGCAGTGAATCTCAGTTTGCTGAAGGTTAAGGTGGGGAGATTTTAAAAACCTCAATCCCCAGGCTGTTCCCCATACCAATTAAACCAGGCATTCTGGGAGTGGAATCTAGGTATCATATTTTGTAAAGTGCTTCTGGTGAGTCCAACTTTGAGAGCCAGTGCCTCACAGGAAGTATACAATAAAGACTAGGTGAATTAAATTTAAGAACATATATGAAATATATGGCATGGCAGGAAGGGTGTAATTGTTTTTATGCTTCACATTTTAAAAATAAATAGAACTTAGTGATTATGTATTTATACCAGACAGGTTTTGGGAGTTGATGTTAACCTACATCACTTTTCATTTAATAGCTAGCTGCTGCTTAAATGTTGCTTCTTGTAGAACTGGCCAAAGCATGGACAGCCTGAAGCACTTCCCTGTCTGAAAATCTTGTTGCTTTGTACACAAACCATTAAATGCTAGGAAAATGACAATCTCTACTGAAATGGGTGTAAAGCTGTATGTGATTATCAAAGATGTGGAGAAAAAAGCAAAGCTTGCAAACACCTGTAGCCAGCCTTAGCTTCAGCAGACACTTGCTACTTGGAAGGCATGTATGTTTCTACCATATGAAAAAAAATATCAAACTTGTAACACAGAAGTGAGGACTAAAAGGATAAAGCATAGTGCTGAAAAGATTTCTAAAATAGTTATTTTCAAAGGGTTCATCCATATTTTAAAAAATAAAATGCTAAGTTAAATGACCAGTCCCATTAGAGACATACCTGTTAAACCCTCCCGGAGCCCTTGTCAGCTTTGCAGCTATAAGAATAAACTGTACTGAAATTCTGGTAGGTTTGCTTTTGTTAAGCAGGCACTATTCATTAACATAATTCCTGTCACTTAAGTGTATAAATACCAAATTATGCAAAATTGATATTTTATTCTGATTCCATGAAAAGATTGGGTCAACAGAAGGATCTTAAAATTAACATAACTAACCAAGGTTTAAAGAAAACTAGCTTTAAACATAGATCCCCATATGGGAAGGTGTATTAACACCAAAACAGACATCATGCCAACCTGTGGAATATTTCTTTCACACCTAGCTCTACAAAGTAAACACTGCTTTATGTGGCATTCTTATCATGGAAATCTAGGCGGTGATCTATAATTACGATTAAGCCCACATGGGAAGTGGGATCTAAGTGAGAACTTTAAGCCAATTTTAGGTTGAAACATTCAGAAGAGGACAGAAACAAAGAGTTCCCAAAGCTTTAGGAAATAGCCATAGGAAATAAATATGAAAGGCAATAATTACACGTTAAGTGATACTGCCTGGAGAGTATGTTCATTTAGTAAGTATAAATTGACAAGGCTGACAAGCTCAATCTCCCACCAGCTCATCTCCTTGAGAAACTAGAAATTAGAATCTGTTCCTATTATCCTTTAAAACGCTGCACCTGCTTTTAACACATTTACATGTGTGTTATGCCATCACATCTGCCTGACAATGCTAGACTTCCCACATGTTTTTGAAGAAAATTAAAATAAGCATCTGCTAATAACAATTTTATTTCATCCTAAACAGTTTCATTTGGGGCTGATGAGAAAAAGCCACATAATGGAAAAAAGAAAACTACCTTTATAAC
This sequence comes from Homo sapiens, assembly GCF_000001405.40. Taxonomy (NCBI): domain Eukaryota; kingdom Metazoa; phylum Chordata; class Mammalia; order Primates; family Hominidae; genus Homo; species Homo sapiens. Next base: position 18,496,803 of record NC_000007.14, on the reverse strand, counting down.
TCTGTGGCAAACACATTTTAGAAGGTAGGTCTATAAATAGATGTGCTTCTGTAGGCACAGAGTAAATATAAAATCGTCAGGCTAGCGGGGCTGCAGTTTAAACTGAAGCCCCAATATGAACTTACCTGATTTTTAAAGTCCTATTAGAATAGGCTTACAATCAGTACACAGCTCCTTTTTCTAGTTGCATAGTAAAGGCAAAACACCCCCAACTACATTTTACTTATCTCAGTCTCATCTTTCATCAGAAGCAATAGTTTGCAATTTCATTCAGAAGCTGCTGTCCCTAAGCAGACTGAATATGCACAGAAACAGTAATGGAAGGGATCTAAGTTAAACCCTACAGACGCACCAAGAAAATAGCAACATCAACACGAAAAAGCAGCAATTTCCTTAAGAGAGGTGCTTTTCTTAGCTGCATTTCCCAAGCCAGCCCCCTTTCAAACCTAAAACGTCTCAGTTATGAAAGAGGATCTTACCTGAGCTGATCATACTGTGCATTCTTTGCTGAGCCAAGAGCTGCTCTCGTCCAGCCACCCCATCTGAGGAAAAACAGGAGTCACTCTCGTAAATTGTCTGCAGCATATTCCAGTCACTCTTACTTCAGCTACATGAAACATTCATCACTGCTCAGTGCACCGGCCCCAGGAGCTACCCTCGCTGGTTCTCCCTCCTCCCTGAGGAGAAGCAGCAGAGGATCAACTTCGACAATGATTTCCTTTCTGCTCAAATGGGCATCCACTTTTAAAAAGACCTGGACACTTTTCCCATGTTACCAACCTGTGTGCAAAGCAGAAAGGACAGAGTGGATGCTATAGCTCTCTGGAGTTTAGGTTATCCCGGAAACTACAAGCAGGTGGGAAATAGGAACGTGCTTCGGGGTTATTTCTTTGTCAGAATACGTAGAAAATTATTAAGTCTACCCACGAGAAAAAGAAACCAATTAAACCTGGCTTAGAGTTCTTCAGGCTGCTAGGGTTTTGTTGCAAAAACCCTCAGTCCTGCAAGTGGCTCCAGCCGGTGCCCTTCTCCTATCTGTGTCTGTGCCTCTCTTCCCCCTTTCTCAGTCTCTCTCAGCTCAAGTTGGCTAAAGCGAGTGATAATCCATTTGCATATGAATCAACAACAGCATGGCCCACAGGCACAGAAATAGAACAATGGTCGGCCTGAGCCAAAAATAGGTCAAGCATGGCCGAGTGATTGGAGCCTGCATTAATGCATTTAAAAATACCCCAGCAAACCCAGCTGTCCAGCCTCTATCTTTCCAACCATAATTCTCTATCGCAGGGCCTTAAAACCAATTAACTCTTTCCTCTCTCGAAGCTTGCTTTACACACTGTGTTTCCATACTGGCGATTCGCTTCCAAAGAAAGGAAGGCAAGAAAAAAAATTAAGAATCATAATTCTAAGAGGGCAAATGCACATACATTTCATTTCATTTTATTTTTGTAGTATGTGTTTTTGGAAGAGAGAGGAGAGAAGTACAGAGCTCTGTATTGGTTCTAAAATAATACTGGAAGCTTTTGCTCATAATGTGGTTTCTGCCTCACCCACGCACAGCAATCCTGGTGTTCTATTTTTGTTGCCTGTTTCTCAGGCTACACTGCAGTTGGCTGTAGCACTAGAAGCTTTTCTGCCTTCTAGTTTCAGGACTAACAGGAGATTTAGCAGAGGTACTTTTGGAAAACAAGCACACCCCAGAATAAAATTTTTATGAAGGACAGGCTTGATTTTTTACTTGCTATTTATGCAAGACAATTGTCCATTTCACAAATCCTATTGTATCTTAGTACCACCTATGAATTTTATCGCATCCATCCAGTTAGTACTATATCTATAAACAAAACAAAACACAAAACACAAAACCGTGGCTTATATGTGAAAATTTCCCCTCAGCCTCTCAGGCTAAATTCAATTTACTTGCAAAAGGAAAAGAAAGTAGTCTGATTTCTTATGGATACAGAATTTCTGAGCATATGCACCTGTTGATGGATAAATCATATATATGGTTAGTACCCAACTATGACTGTTCTGCATTCAGCTATACATTGGTTGCCCGAAATATGGACCTCCTAACTTTTCTGTAGAAATAGCATTTATGATAGTCAATAGATTACCAGACACATTGTGGCGTTCAGCTATACAGTACAGTAGATAGTATCAGAGTTTTATAGTCTCTGGTGCTACATTTATATCCTTTCTATATAAGAGATAAATTTTACATTCCAAAGAGGGATCCTAGCATCTTGTCACTTCCAAGAGCAAACCCAAAAGTGATAATCTACTAGTCATGGAAGCTCTTTTCTCTTTTCTAAACTAAATCAGCGAGGAAAATGTAATTCTAAGGCATCAGAAGCAACAGGGGAAAGAGAGGAAAAAGCAGATTATTTCAAAATTCCCAGAACAATCCGATGGAAGAGGGATCTTGGTCAACTCCAGAGTATGAAGTCAGAGGGGGCAAACAAGGGGACACAGAGTTTTGATGAAAGGGAAGAAATAAGCACGTTAAATCATTCATCAAATAGGCCACTGCTGAATTCCTCTTCTTTCACAGATTAATTTCTACTGAATACTCTACTTCTTGAAAAATTGTATTTGGATATGTAAGTTACAATTTTTAAAAAATATATATTCCAAACTGCGTTTGACTTAAGCTACACAACAAAATCTTATGTTCCTGTCAGTGGAAAAAACAAAAAGCAATTATCTGATTCCATCTGATATTACAAATAAACTTTTGATTACAAAATTTATGTGTAAAATTCAAAGGATAGAAACAGTGTGGACCTAATAATTTTCCTTAAGGATGATGTACTGAAGTAGTAACTATCATCACATTTTAGACCTGGGAGGAAATTTAGAGATAGTCAATTGTAGTTTTCAAACTCTGTCTCATGACATAAGGTACCTGCGAGTTGCCTAAGTTTCCTCAAAAAAGGTTCTCCGTGGAACCAGGGGAGCTCCACTTTTACCTGTTTCCATTTGGAGATTTGAGATTTCTTTTGAAGAACTTTTTTTTTTTTTATTCTACAAAACATTTATGTAAAGAACATTTTTTAAATTGCGGTATATTTGACAAATCAAGATTCTTTATATTTCAGGTGTACAATTTGATGATTTGATACACCTATACCTTGTGAAATAATTACCATAATCAAGCTACAAATCTATCATCTCAGCTAGTTACCATTTTTTTTGTGGTGAGATCAGAACAAGAACTTCTTATATTAAGAAAAACAATCATTGAAATTCACTCATGAGGAAACGAAGGAGGCTTGATTACAAAAGGACTCACTATTGGAGTCAGGCTTTAAAGACAGTAGCTTAAGGAAATACAGGTAATTAATAACTAACCATATAGGTCTAGCATTTATATTATCCAGTCTCACCATCTTGTCCCTTACCAAAATGATACAAATCATTATCTGAGATATTCCAAATAAAATTTAATATGATCTACTGATGAAAAATGGACCCACTGTCTGTTTCAGAGTGATTTTTAACAGAATACAAAAATTTATGATGAATATACAAAAGAGATAACAAAATCACCATATTGATACAATATGCCTATGCATCTTTTGTCTTTTTAAGTTTAAATTACACCTTCAAACAACAATTGATAAAAAAAGATCTCTCAGCTTTTATAATAAAAAATAAAAAATAGAATAAAACTCCAGAAGACTGAGTTAGTAATTATCCTAGTTCTTAAAGGATCCAGGAAAGGGCATTCCACATAAAATACTGTAAATAATGTGTCTTCTTCATTTTGACCATTATTTAACATGAGGTTTATTTACGTTTCATCCCTGCATTCTTGCAGTATGTTTTTCCATCAGCCATCTTCTCTTTTATTTAACTCTTGATAATGAAAAAATATTTTAGAGTGAAAAGACATTGGATACTTACAAAAAACCCCACTTGTTTCTCAGAAGAAAAATAAGTATCATCAAAACAACCATCAACTATATTGATTACCATATTTCCATTATTAAGAATGTTGAGTTAATTCTTCCCACATCATCTCAGTAATGTTAGTAAAGAAATGTGACTCAGTTTCTTTTGGGGTATTTATAAAACTACAGTTTACTAATGTGGGGGAAAAAGATATATGTTCTATTACAAGAACTATAACAAGCTAATACAAATGTCAGGCTAGGTAGATGGGTAGTTTAAAAAGTTTCAATGTAACAAATTCAAATTCAATTAAGTAAGCATTTATTGCAAACTAATCCAAATATTATATGTTATATACACATAGGTCAAAGAAAAAGGTAAAAAAAGTAACAAGGGCCAAAAAAATCTCAGGTTCTCAATTTAATAGTAAATGAAAGTGGGAATTAAATCCTAATGTAAAATGTTATTTCAAAGTTACCATAATCCAATTTCTTTCTATGCAGACATATAAGCAAAAAAAAAGTATTAAAAAACCTGTATGGCACCAAAATATTTCCAGAAATATCCTCAGACCTCTAGCTCACAATGACCTTTTCTAAAATGGATTTAGATCACAATCCTGAAAGACACAATCCCACATGCCATAATCCTGAATGTTGAAATCTGAAAAGATACAAAATCCCTAAGGTCTAAATCCCTTAGGTCTAAAATCTCTCACGTCTACAATCCTGAAAATAACAATCTCGAAATATTAAAATCTCAAATATGAAATCTTGAAAGCTGCATTCTGGTGAAGCGATTAGTTTTTGGTCGTATGCAGGATTATTGCATCATGTTAGTTGCATCATGTTAGGCGGCTGTTACAGTCTTTACTTGGAAATTAAGTATGGTTAAGGAGAGACTTACGGGAGCCAAGTTGACAAGGGGTGGACCTGTGGATTCAATTTGAGATGTCACTGGATTAAATACTTAGAAACCTATTAAAGCATTTTTTGGGTGTGTCTGTGAGGGTGCTTCCAGATGACATTAGTGTGAGTTTGAGTGGATTAGGTGAAGAAGATCTCCCCTCAATGTTAGCAGGCACCATCCGATCTGCCGGGGACCCATATAGAACAGACACAGGAGGTGAACTGGTTTCTGTCTGAGAACTAGGGCAGGCTTCTCTTCGAATGCCTTGGACATCAGAAATTTGATTCCACGAGAACTGCATTATCACAACGTTGACTTTGCATATAAGCAGTACTTCTGAACCCAAACATGTCGAAATTTCTTCAATAAATGAAAGAAAGATTTTGTACATCTGCGCTTGTGAAAGAAAATTTATCAGGATCTCGGTTCTTTGGGTAACTATATGCGTGTTGTTGACCCACTGAATTTTTTGATCCATCTTGCCAAAAAGCTTAGCTTCTTCATCCGGAAATTTAAGATGACTACAGTTATATAAAGCTGGGTGCACACAATTATCAACCACAGTGATATGCATTTATACATTTCCATTTTTGACCTATTTCTTTATAAATACGGTTTGTCTGCATCATAACTGTTATACTGGTGTGACTGTTGCTAGTATACCTGAGTGTTTTTGCTTGTAAAAATATGTGCCATTATTTATTTTATCGTGTACAGTGTATTGTTTTGTTTTAATTTTTCTCAAATAAACCCCCTTTTAAAATGTAAATAAATATAAAGAATGTTTTATTATTTCTTTCAGAATTATATTTTCATCTTTTGGGATTTCAACACTTGAGATTATGGAGTTCAAGTTGTATTTTTCTGGATTATAATAGGCTTTCTTCTAAAATCAATCTCAGTTGATAACTGGAAACAAGCAAAGGAGGTAATGTAACCCAATTTATTCTACCACAATGATATATCATCAGTTCATCTGTAATCAAGCAGAGACTTTTCATGTATTAACAAACCCTATGATTCTGGAATGTAAATGAAGTAAGATTTAAAACTTAATTACCTCAAATACCGAATTTGTGCTCTACAATTGTAGTATGCTGCAAATTACTCACCAATAACTGCTGCTCCTCCACTCACTCACTCACTCACTCACTCACTCACTCATTGATGTTACCTCTTCTCCCAACCTCACATTCCTCAAACTATTGTTAAAGCAATAAAACTATATGCATTTGCCTGCAGTCAGTGAGCTTGATTCCCTTAGACCTCCAAGGAATAGGATGGAGGGGAAAGTACAGTGTACTAATTTTTGTTCCAACTCAAGACCTTATTTATCTGAATTTTCTATTTCTTAGAGGAACATCATCAATTCTATGTGAATAAGGGATACTCAATTAACAAGTGATTTCTCCCCACTTAGAAAGCCTAATTAGATAACAAATGGTCTTCTGAGAAAATCTTCCTCATCTGACGCAAGATTTTACAGCAGGTAAAGGGTCTGAGAAATCACGTTGGCATTGAAATTTCAGGGAGACTGTTATATTTGAAAGCAAAACAAATCAACGACAACAAAAACTTTAGAATCATTGGCCTTGCAGTGATTGAAAATAACTCTTCCCTTCAAATGGGATGTGTTGAGCCAAGATTTATTCTATTTTTAGAGGATTACAGAGGATCAAAATCACCTGGGAACTTGCTAGAAGTGCAATTTATTGGTTCCTACCCCAGAACGAGTAAGTCAGAATCTCTGGAAGGAATCTGTATTTTAATCAGCCCTCCAAGTAATTCTGATGCACAATAAAGTTTGAGAACCATAAGATGAGATCATCCTTTCAAAAGCAGGAGTTACACAGCAAAAATATAAAAGAATAAAGTATCTTTTGGTGTGATTTCAAATTAGCCAACATTTTTAGAGAACAATTTTTAAAAATGAAAATAATTAGACTAGGTAAGGCTAGGTAAGAACAAGGCTATCAATATTCGGAGTATGAAAGACTAAGGTGGATTGCTAAGAAAGGGATCCTCTAGCTTGCGAATGAGAGCAGCATTGTACTCTTAAGATGATGGGCATGTGTGCACAGCTTTTCCCTGCTCAGCCATTTTGTTCCAGGTTCTATTTTTTTCTGAGTGTTTTCCAGTTGCACATCAGCCCCTCTCTGCAGCACTCAAGGCAGCCAGCACAGGAGGAGAAATCAATATGGCCCTGTGCAGTCCTGTAATTAGAGATAAGGAAAACTTAATAGTCTTTTGATAGAATCAAGGGAAGTTTATTTTTTCTATGAAAGTGAGTTATTTCATATATTGAATATCAACTATTTCACAGCCACAGTGCAAGCCCTGAAGATATAAATGTATACAAGAATGAGACAGGCCCTACTTTCATGGAATTTTCAGTTTTAGAAGCAATACAATCAAGGTGATTACTATACAGTTTGATAAGAAACTCTGTAACTAAATTTTCTTCAAGTCTTCCCTAAATTTTAATTTATAAGCATGGATTCAAAATAATAAATTTCTCAGGATTGTTATAAGGATGATAGAGAATTATACAATACCTGGCAAATAGGTATTCAATAAATACTAGCTAATATTACTATAACTGATTATTAAAAATATCCTCCTATGGACCTTTAATTCATGATTATTAAAATGTTGAAAAGCTGTTACTCATTTGTTTTTCTAAGAAACTGTATAAATTCTAAAGAAAGTTATATAATTGATTAAATGTTGAATTATTTACTCAGAGTTATAAAAAGTTTCATGCATCAACTTGAAAAAATAGTTCATTTTGCTTTCTCCTGTATTACCAGAGCTTAGCATAATGTCTGGCACATAGTATGTCACTCAATAAATATTTCTGCAATGAATAAATGATTCCTTCTTCAGATGAACCTATTAAGTGACTACTGATCTTGAGTAAATCACTAACATACTATTCAACCTCTAATATTTCATTGTTATTCATTTTATATAGTTTCTTATTAAAATATTAATTTAATAACAAAAATAAACCATAATTAAAAGCTAAGTATATAACTGAATAAAGAATCTCATTGAAAGCAAGTGCAGTTTAATTGCACTTTCACTTTTTGCATTTCCTTTGCCTTGTTCTTGTCCCACAACATAGACCAACCAGTGAAAAAGACTTGGCATCAGACTGTAGCATAAATGATCTCAATGTGACCATCATTATCTAGTACAATTTGAATGAACAAAGTATTAAAATATCTTTCTTGTGAGGCATTTATAGCAGATATCAGCACTAAGAAAATATAAAAATGTGTTTGTAACTCTGCTTTACAGTAATGAACCTTGTACTACTAGTAACCTTGTAGTCATGACAGAGCTTCCAGAAAACTCTGGTTATAAGCTGCATTGGCTAATGTCTTCATGCTCTATCTTTAACTCATGAATTTCACTGAATACACCATTTGCGCTCAAAATTCTAGAAGAAATATATTACAGCTTCAGACCCAACTTTGCCTCCCTTCAAAGGTCACTACAGAAACTTATAACACAATTTTTATACTTCGTATAAACAGCATTTCTGTGACCCTAAAACTAATGTTTCATATAAGATAACTAAGCAACTTAACATCATTTTGCATTAGTATATGTACTACATATGCCTGAATGTATCAGTACATATCAACTAGAAAACCTTGCTTTTCCTTTAAGTGACACGTAATGGTTCATGCTGAATAATGAAGCACTATTTTCTTTATTTAACAGTGTCTACTTTGAAATGCAAGTTAACACTGACTAACCCATCCTATGTTGACTAAGCTATGTACATACAAGGTGTTCACAGGATCAGAAACTTAATGGAAAGCTCTGTTTCAAGAAAAGACTATTTTTAGCTACAGGACTATGAAAATAAAAAAATTCTAGAAGTCCAGTTAAGGATTAGCATTCTGATCTTCACTACTTGGTATGAATCAAAAGTTTATTTTATTCCACAAAATAAGTCTGCTTCTTATGTAGCTGCACATTTAATATTTATCAACTTGGAAATTCTGAACACCAAAAATTCTGTCATGTGTAGCATCTGAATATATACCACATTTGAGAGCTGTGACAAGACTAAGTTACTACTTGCTAACATAATTGTAGCAGATACCAAAAGTCAACCCAGAGCTTTTTACATCATTTCTTGCTACAAAAGTCAAGTTGATACGTGGCATACCACACCATGATCTATAACCAATTTAAATCAAGAGGATTCTAGAAAGCTAGCCTCTGAAAATAGCAACAACTTTTGGTTAATGTTGCAATTCAATTCTGACTTCATAATTCGATCTAATTGGGTGTGAACTATTGAATTTAAGAAATAGCAAGTACCTAAAACATATTTTACTTATGTTTCAACAGATCAAAAGTATTTATAGCAATGGCATATAACTAAATACAAACATTTACAACTGGCCATATCACTAAGTTTATATTATACATCCTATGGTTATGGAATCTTCTCTACTTCAGGACTTCTCTTATTTCAGTGCCAAGAACAGAGGCAAACACACTCTAAGGCCATTCAAGTTTTGACAACCACCTGACCTAGGAGTTCAACCCCTAACTTTCTTTTGCAAACATCATGCAACAGACACAATTCCTGGATATTACCCAAATTTTTCATTTTTCCATGTCTCTGAACATGATGTTCTTGTATTCACTCTTTTTCATTTGGGAAATTCTTTTTCATTTTACCAGTATATAATGTCCTTCTTTGTCCCTTATGATGACTTTTGCCTCAAGATTACTACAACAGACTTTCTTTTTATTCACATTTGCCTGGTAGATATTTTTCTTTCCCTTTATTTTCAACTTTTCAATGCCTTTATTTTAGGCATCACTCTCTTTTATAAGCAGCCTACTTCTGTATCTTTTTCCTTATATCCAATATAAAAGTCTCTGCATTTGGTGAGCTCACAGAAGGGAGATAGAAGCCCTTGCTGGTGCACCATATTCTCTGGAGCTAAAAGCAGTAAATCCTTTTCATCCCCCAAAACACTCTCCAAAGATGATCTCCTTGGCAAAGCCACATGTTGGTTGAATAGATACATATGAATCTACAGAAATGTAGATAAAACATTTGATAACTAAACACTTCCATTCATACTTATTTTCACAAATAAATGTCAGGCACACAATTTTGACCATCTTCTGCATTATCATTCCCCATTCTACCTACCACCCTTCCCAAATCTAATATTTTTTCTGGACGAAATTATACCCAAACATGTTTCATATTATCAATATAAAACATGGAGATTATAAATTATATTATGCTTTATTTTCCTATAATTAAACACAGGAATTAGATATTCAAGATTCCAGAGAATTTACTTAAAACATTTCCATTTCTATACTGAAACTATGTTTACTGAAAATAATTTTAACAATTGTTTCTATGCTCTTAAGGGTCTCCCTGGTTCTGTCTAACGGCCATACTGGCTTCTATTACAGTTTTTCTACAGAACACATTGATGAGACACTCTGAGAACATCAAAGCTCTAATAAAAAGAAGTTCCACCTTACATTGTCATCGAGTTGAAGGCTGTCTTTTCAGCTTTAAAGAGATCCTACATGGTCTAAGCCTTTTGAAGGAAGGGCCTTATGATCATATACTTTCTAGATCAGAGAGATATATTCTGGAAAATGTGGAAACTTTGGCTTCAGATATTAATTTAAATTTGATTCATGAGAATAATGGCATCTCTTTTTTATGAAACAGAACTATATAACTGGTATAGTTTGCCATCAAAGTTCATATGTTGGAAACTTAATTCCCAATGCAACAGTGTTGAGAAGTGAGACCTTTAGGAGGTGATTAGGTCCTTCAGGAATGGATTAATGTCATTATCATAAATGGGTTTGTTATAAAAGCAAATCTAGCCATCTCTTGCTTTCTCATGCTCTCTTGCCCTTCTGCCTTCCACCACGGGATGATGAAATAAGAAGGCCACACAAGATGCCCTTACCATGCTCTTGGATTTCCCAGCCTCCAGAACTGTAAATAAATTTCTTTTCTTTATAAATTGCCCAGTCTGTGGTATTCTATTACAGCAACACAAAACAGACTAAGACAATAACATTTCAAATAATGTGGCTTATTGTATGGATAAGAGGCCTGGATTAAGACAGAATTTGATATGAATTTTGTCTCTGCCACTTATTATGCAGGACTGTACAACTTGGATACGTTACTTAGCCTTTCTGAGTCACAATTCTCTCATGTTATAAATGGGGATATTAACATCTGCCTTTCAGTATAGCTTCAATATTTAGAAACAGTAAATATAAAGTTCCTAGCATTATGATAACATAATAGCACTCAATATACAGTAGTCATTATGATTATAATATAATATTAATACATAAATTAGAACTAAATGATTGAAGGACTACTTAGAATTCTGTATTCTGAACTAAGATAATTGAGTTCTGTATTGCCGAACTAACATCAGCTATAAACATCATAAAACAGAACATAAAAATCATTAGTCTGCTTTGTTTCTTAAAGAAAAAATAAATATATATAATAAATATATATAAATTAAATATGAAAAGTTAGAATGGAAATTTTCATCATATGAATATCACTCTGTAGGCTGCTAAACAAACCATTCATATTCAATGATTCAATGATTCCTAACTGCCAAATAAGATATGGAAATAATGAACAAGAAGGTGGTGGAATATGCTGGGCTATTTGCTATATTCTTTTTATAAAGCCAAATCTGACATTTTAATATGAGAAACGAAGCTTGATAACAACACTCACATGAAATACAGAGCCTTCATTAGGTACAATGAATTACGCCTGTGTTTGTCATTTAATTCGAACCTAGGAATATCTTCAGTAAACAATGTGTTCCCCCCAACTAATGTTTTCTCTCCAGATGGCAGGGACAGTCTATTTAAGAATCAATCAGCTAACATTAGTTATTTCACCTGAAGCTGTAACAATCTGTTTTTTGTAATGAAGCAGGGACTGTTGTCTTATTTTGGCTATGTCTGAAGGAAATTCTCAATGGTACTTGCTTATAAGCAGAAGGGACCCTTTGGAACCCAAGTTTAGTTATTTTAAATTCAAAACCCTAGATGAACTAAAATTTTTTACGTTTTCCTTTTTTTTTTTTTTACAGGTGGGGTCTTGCTCTGTCATCCAGACTGCCATGCAATAGCATAATCATAGTTTACTAAAGCCTCAAACTCCTAGGCTCAAGCAATCTTCTCACGTGATTTCAGAGTAGCTGAGACATAGGCATGCATCACCATGCCTGGTTAATACTTTTTCATTATTTCAATTAGGAATAATTATGTGTTGACTTCAAAAACCGAGGCCTAGTTAAACGAAACTAAAATCTAGGAGCTAAATGGTTCTAAGGGCTAATTAACAGGGAATCCACAAACATAAGTTAATGCTATCCCCTTCAAAAGCTAGGGAGAAAACACTCAGCAGACATAATATTCAAAAACTTCAGGCATTTGATTTCATTTAAAATATGCACTTCACTCAAAACATGCTTATAGCATTACATGAACAAAAAAACTTAAACCAATATGGGGGTTAAGAAATGAGAACCCATGATTATCAAGTTCTATGATAATGGGGCTACCTTTGTATTTCAATACCTATAGACATTTACTTTTTTTTTTTTTAATAGGATCTTGCTCTGTCACCCAGGTGTAGTGCAGTAGTGTAATCATAGCTCACTGCAAACTCAACCTCCTGGGCTCAAGGGATCCTCTCCCCTCAAGCGCTGGGACTACAGGCACACACCACCATGACTGGCTAATTTTTTTTTTTTTTTTTTTTTTGAGAGATAAGGTCTTGCTTTGTTGCCTAGGCTTGAACTCCTTGGCTCAAGCAATCCTCCCACCTCAGCCTCCCAAAGTGCTGGGCTTACAGTGGCCACCATGCCCAGCCCCATAACAGTATTTTAAATATTTAGCCATTAGGGTAAAACTAAAGTACCCTTTTTTACACTTTCAAATGAATCATGAATTATTGTAACATCTCAAAACTGTGTAGATCATTACATAGTAGAATATATTGGCCTTCAGACATTTAAATGTATGTGATTCAAATCAGTTGATAGAAAACAGAAAGATTAAAATAATACTCAAAATTTTGAATTTTGAATCTGTGCCAATAACACAATGTTTAGACAGTCATGATATAAGCCTTTCTGGTAATAAAATTTGTTAATTTTGAACTTTAACAGAATTGCCAATGTAGCATCAGTTTTAGAAAATTTGAGATAAATGAAAAAACAGAAAGAACTTGATTTGTAAAAATTTTAAATGACTTTATTTCCAGATGAGAAAAATTCTGCCAGAAGTTCTTATGTGTATCCAGAAGCAATTTAAAATTTTCTAGAATTAAGCTTCTTAACATAGGGCGACCTGGGTAAGAAGACACATTAGACAACATGGCCACCCTTCATTCCAAAAACCCTCTTTCCCAGGATTTTCCTATGATCATAACAACAATGCCTACTGATACAGGTCATAAATAATCCTCAAAACACATCCACTATCAAACAGATTACTGGTCAAAGTTCTTCCAATTCACTGCTGTGGGTTTATTTTCCTTTATTCTGCTTTTTCTGAAAACCTTGCTCTCATCTTTACTTAGGTTCTTCAAAATCACTGTATCCTGTCTGTATATCAATGCTTTCGCACATGTCCTTTCTAGTTGCTTAAGATGATATCTCCCTCATTTCAGCAATCATTACCTGTTCTTGAGACACCCATTTACATAATACTCATTGAAGCCTTTGTTTTCTTTCACAGAAATCAAAAGTTGACTTTCTTGCCCCAACTTAAGCACATATTTCTTATCCATTAGCTTCCATATTATTTTCTGCATCTCTCTTCTTTCTTTGTAGTATATAAAGCGTAATTTACTGTATATAATGCATATACTATATAATGCATAATTCACCATCTTTTTCTTTTGCTAATTCTTAATATAGCAGTGGAAAAAGTCACACTTCAGAGCAGTACTTCAAAAAAATCTGTCTTATAGAGTAATGCGTTAGACTTTGTTCTGTTTTTAAGGGTTTCCTCATATTTAGATAACAAATATGATTTGCTTTGACAAGTGTTAGTTCTTCCAATGGCTCCTGGGAAGAAGGGCCTTCAGTGTTCACACAAAGTGGGCATGACCAGAGAGGGCAGCAAGCCACTGGACAGGACACCCATGAGCTGTAGAGCCAGGCACACCTAGCTGTTAATGCTCCCTTGGTAATGCTTTGATTCGATGGCCCAGGAAGAAAAGTTATGCTCTGTGATTCCAAAAAAATGTCTTAAAAATGTGTGATGCTTCTCTAAGAAAAAAAATAAATAAGGGCATTGCTCAGTTACTTTTCTTCTTAATTTATGTTTTAATCCTTCAATACAATTTTCTATCCTTCTGTAATAATCATTTGTAAGATTTGATAACTCTAATAACATCTCAAGTATTTATTGCTGGAAGATAACTGAGATCAAGACAAAAATACAAACAATATCCACATAAGGGGAAAATAGTTTTTAAAAAAAATCCCTGAGACGTGGCAGCCAAGGAGAATTTTTTTTTTTTTTTTTTTTTTTTTTTTTTTTTTTTTGGTGAGTCCAGGTCTTACTATGTTGCCCAGGCTGGTCTCAAACTCCTAGGCTGAAGTGATTCTCCTGTCTCAACCTCTCAAGCAGCTGAAATTGCAGGTACACACCACTATGCTCAGCAGCCAGGGATACTCTTTAACAGTGTGACAGGGCACATGAGGGTCCATGGTTGTGCCCCTGTTTTCAGTTCAGACCTCTTCCCTTCTTGCCAGAACAAGCAGAATATGATCTTTTCCATCACCTTAATTTTGCAGAGAAAGTGCAGAGCACACTCAGAGTTACAGAGGCTCCTGACTGAATGATCATGCCTCAAGGCATATATGATGTGGCGATAGGCAATTGATGAATGGCTTGGAAGGAAACCAAGCCCTTTGAAAATGCTGGTAGTGAAGACTTGGCACATAAAGTCACCCACAGGCCATTACAGACACAGCTAATAATGATTTTTCTGCAAATAATTACAAGGATCTGGACATGAGGAAGTAACAACCAGACAAAAGTCTTCATGCAATACTGTGGCCCATCCAGAACTGAACCTCAAGCATTCAGACTACACAAGGCAAGTAATCTAGCCTGGACTTAGCTCCATATGCTAAAGGTATACACTAGATCCACAGTGAGGGGTGAACTGAAGATTCATATCACAACTCATCATTTGTCATGTATAATTTTGCTTTAACTATATAGGAAAGTAAGCCATTCTGCAGTTGATTAACTCACATTACATCATTTTATCATCTTTTCAAAGCCTAGAATGAAAATAAATTTCCTAGGTATTATAATGGATACTGGGGTGACACAATCTGACTACTGAAGACAAAAATACCCTGGTACTCAAAGTAAACAGAACCAAGTATAACCCTTATAACCATAACCCATAGTGTTCAGCAGTTTATAGTGGTGTTGTAGTTAATATCCATTTGAGTAACCCAAAAGTAATATCTAAGTAAGTAAGGTCCATTATTTGTAATTTTTGAACACCACGAAGGAAACATTAGACCTGTAACAGTACACGTATGCAGCAATAACACAATAATTGCGTTCCAGAGAAAATTCATATTCTGTTAAATATGTACTCTAAATAACAAGTTTATGAGATGATGGGATTATAAGCAAACTGTTCAAAGCCTATGTTATTTGGTAATTATACCACCATGTCCATCATCACTATCATTATCATATAATATTATTATTATTACTGATATTTACAGTTGTTAAGTGGGGATAAAAGTTGGATTGCCCTCTCCAAAAAACCAGCAGCTCAGCTTGGCCAGAAGCCGCCACAGTGGATGGACAAATGCACAAAACAATAGAGAGGACAGTGAAGCGGGGTGATGGGGACTGAGGCACTGCTGGGAGAACTGGAGCTCTGCTGCAGGGCTGCAGCCTAGGTGGGCTTGGAGGAAATGTCCCCTGCCATGAGCCTACAGCATAACAAGTTTGGGCACGAGGAACTGAGATAAGCAACTCACTGGATGCAGATACTAGTTTTTAATTTCTTAAACATACTCCAAATGATTCCTGTTGGCAATGTAGCAGCCCAGTTGATGGCTTTTTCTTTCCCATTTATTACTAAAAGTTATTATTGTATTTCTACTCTTCTGGTTCCCCATGACTAGAAAAAAATCACTTAAGAACCAACATCACTTTATACTCATTATCACCTATGTACCAATCACATTTAATTTTTGTTATAGAAACACGTGTTGCAGCAGAACAGACTAAATATCTTAAAACTCTATTTCCTTTCCTCAATCTGCAGCTCTGACCTACTGGAAATGCTTTATTCAGCTCACTACAACCACCTTTGAAAGCCTCCTGCAGCTCTATCCCCCAGGTATCTCTGTCTCTTCTACTTACCTAACCACTCTCCCTCCCTACAAACTTTCTGGCACAGCAGTTGCTCTATGGCCCCAAAGTTAGGGAAGGGTGCCCATCCTGCCTCAGAATCAGGTTGTCTGGTTTTAGAATTGTACAGCACATTGTCTCTGATTACACTTCAGTGTTAAAATATTGTTATGTGTTAGAGGCAGGGTGGTGCTAGGAGAAAAAACATAGATTCGGACTCAATCTTGACCACACAGCACTCTAATTTCATAATCTGGGGCATGTTATCCTCGGTTTTATCTATGTACTGGTGATTACCATCTATCCCTAATAGTAGTGTTGCTGGGAAAACCTAGAATGTCTAATACAAACACTGGTGCACAGTATTTAATCAACAACTAGTAGCTAATTAATTAGTATGTTGTAAACCTCATACTCAAAATAAATTTACTTTTATCTCAGAAAAAAATTCTAAAAAGTTCGTTGGCAGCAGACTAGGGAAAAAAAAATAGAAAGGAGGAAAAGGTTCTGCTAGAAACAGGCAATCTTCCAGAAAAAAAAAAAAAAAAAAGACAGAGTGGAATTTATAAAATAAAGGAGAAAGAAGAAAAGCTAAAATTAGCAGATTTTAGACCTCTCTTAGCATTGCAATCTAGGATAACTGAGTGTTGGCACACACAGGCCTACTCTCACACTTCAATATTATGTAATATAATAAACCATTACCATATTACATAATATTAAAATAATGTTAATAAAATAGTCTTGAGCGATAGTTAAACTAAGTAAAGTGTCCTGAATTGAAGAAGTAATAGATAAAGGACAATAAAGAAAAAAATAGGGAGATACATTTTGTCCATGGATAGAAAAAAATCAATATTTAGTGTTAATATTATTCTTAACTTGACAAGCTACTTCTATATTTACATGAAATAGCAAAATTCCAAGAAAAGTCATAATTTTGAAGGAACTTAAAATGAGGGTATGTGCCTTATCAGATTTCAGGAGTTATTTGTTAAGCTATACAAAAGAGAATACATTATTGGTTCAAATATAGACAACTAGGTAAGAGAACAGAATAGACCAACGACAATTAGGCCCACATATGTGGAATATTGTCCCACATATGTGGAAGCTTTACATATATCAATACTAGCACTACAGAGAAGGGAAGATTTTCAATAACTGGTGCTAAGATAATTGCTACTCTATGTTAAACTCTTATTTTTTGTATCAAACTACACATACACATATACATGTACACTCCCACTCAGAAAATCAATTCCAAGTAGATTAAACATATATACAAAAAGCAAACTTGAAAAGTTTTACAAGAAAAAATGTCAAAGAATACATTTAAATTCTCAGGTAAAGAATTGATTTAAATGAGACATAAAAGAACACAAATCATAAAGAAAAAGATTGATAAACATGATATAATAATATAATTTTGTGCAAAGACACTTTTAAAAAGGGAAATGTATTAATGACAGATTGAGAGAAAACGTTTACAGTGAATTTAATGAATCAAAAATGAGTATTCAGAATATATATTAATAATGGTTAAAAAATAAGAAAAGACAACCCAATAATAAAGTTGGCAAAAGAAAATAGGCAAGTGATGGAAAAGAAACTCTAATGTCCAATCCACATATGAAATATGTTACAGCACATTAGTAATCAGAAAATTGAAAATTAAGCCAAAATGAGACACCATTTTAAACCCAGCAGACAGACAAAAATTGAGTCTAACAATACCAAGTATTGGTAAGAATGCTGAGTAATAAGGACTCTGATACATTGATAGTGAAAGTTTATTTTGTTACAAACATTTCATTTAATGAGGGCTAGAGTTTCTCAAGAAATTTTCATTTGAAGTAGCAATACTTTGTATTTTGTAAGGGAACTAAATATTCTGGTACAATCCTAAATTGAATCTTGGCTAAATTTATCTTCCTCTTTTCTTTTCTATTTAATTTAAACTAAATGTATTCTTTTCAAGGTTTTCTCATTGTAATTCTGTTATCAACAGTGAGAAATTACTATGGCATCTGAAATAAAAGTTGATTTTCAAACTAAGTAATATAACATAAAAGGAATGAGCTAATAATGCGCAGCCCATCATCCTGAGAGTGCAGCACAGAATTAGAAAATGCATAAACTGCACTTAAAAGTACAGTATTTTGGCCCGGCGTGGCGGCTCACGCCTGTAATCCCAGCACTTTGGGAGGCCGAGGCAGGCGGATCCCGAGGTCAGGAGATCAAGACCATCCTGGCTAACACGGTGAAACCCCATCTCTACTAAAAATACAAAATATTACCGGGGCATGGTGGCGGGCGCCTGTAGTCCCAGCTACTCGGGAGGCTGAGGCAGGAAAACGGCGTGAACCCGGGAGGCGGAGCTTGCAGTGAGCCCAGATCCTGCCACTGCACTCCAGCCTGGGCGACAGAGCAAGACTCCATCTCAAAAAAAAAAAAAGTTTTTTTTGTTTGTTTGTTTTTTCCTAAAGGTGATTGGTGCTTTAAGGAATCATTCATGTCTGTTTACAACCCTTGGGCAATTAAAGTATTGACTGGTCTTTGTTTTCTAGTGTGAAAAGCAAGCATAGAAAAATGCAGGTATAGTTGTGGTAGGCAAACACATTTTAAGCTAAAATGAAAACTATTAGAATTGTTATTAAAATATATTAATAAATACACCATTGGCAGAAAGGGCAGATGGTAGTTACAGGCTGTGAGTCGTTAACATTAGATAAAGGAATATATATAATTATTCTAAAGTTCTCTTGATTTTCATGAACGCATGTGATAAATATAATTTGTGAATAATGGCCAATTTTAAGAATCGACATAACATTAAATTCTGGAACTCTTATGTAATTTGTCAAATGATAAGCTCCTCTCTGGCTTTAAGTTTCAAAGGCTCATGAATGCTGGAAATGTGATGAGAAATGAATTTTGAAACCATCTTAAACCTCTTAAATTATAAAAATATCTTTTACTAGTAAAGAAGTATTTTCACCATATGGAAACAATTTGGCCTTAATTTAATAACTATCTCCATCTCAAATATATTTTGTAAATGCAGTCTTTTGGTTCCTGAAATAAATACACCTGTGTGTATTTGTTTCACACACACACACACGCATGCACGCACGCACGCACACATAACTGATCACCCTGTTTGTCAGCCTTTGCTTAGAAATTAAGACACGCTGGATTAAACTGTGACTTAGTGGGGACCAAGTAAGGTCTCAAAGGCTATTATTATTGTCCTAATATTCATGTTTTGGGGGAGCTAACTCAAATTAGAAAATATATAGTAGATTGCAGATTAGTCATAGTTGACTATAATATAATTAATTACTTTAATCTGTTTAATGAAGGATTCATCAGAAGGGGTATGTGTTAGCTTTGGAGTCAGAGAAAATGCAGAGCACAAAGGTGAACATTGTCAAGGTGAACATTGTCAATGCCCACCTAAAGTCTACTTTGAGGAGAGGGTGTTCAGTACCAAAGGCATGTGAATTCCTATATTTGTAAGTGGTAAGTATTATTTTTCTTAGGAGCAGAATGTTTTCCTAGGAATTATTAGGTAAATACTTTGAAAACCTATTTGGCATGGAACATGAGACCTCCAGGGGGCAAACTTAAAAAGCAGAACTTTGCAAACAATAGAAAGGGTTTAGCTAACTGCAGGCTTTGCTTTTCTAGGTAGGAATACAAAACTGGAGCCAGAACTTAGTTGTTCAAAATAATAAAATCTATTTGGGACCTGTGTGGACAGAGAACGAAGAAAAAATTGAAACAGAGATATACAGATAAGTTTATTGCCTTCTAGGGAGAAATATTAAGGGAAGAAATAAGATATTTAATTGGACTTTTAAAATTAACTGTATGATAATCATTTGGCTTTTTTCTTATACATTATGAAGTCTGAAATACTAATGCTTCAGGCCTTAAAGTTTAAAGAGAAAGTCCAGAAACTTACGTCATGTTGGGTTTGGGGTCACATCTGAGGCTGTCTGTGATGGTCCTGCCACATTTAAGTCCCCTAGAGGCAGATCTAGTCAGCCGTCTTAGCCTCATGCTATTAAACACTCAAACCATGTAACTAATAAGTATGGGTTTGAGTCAATATTCTGCCATGATACATCTAATTATAATCTGGTTTCTTACAACTTGTTGGTCATTAAGTCATGAGGATATTGTCCCTTGGGGAAATACTTTTTATTGTGAGTATTCATTTGTCATTAGGATTGAATCTACTAGTCTTTGTGGGCATTACTGATGTGAATTTGTCAAGGTGATGCCACACTGTGGGAACTTATCCTTAATCAGTGTTTTCTGAGCCCACTATCCCTGCAGAGTAACATAGCATAAACATTACACCTGCTATTTCTATTTAAATATAATAGCATCCAAAAACAAAATGTAAAAATTGAAGTTTAAGACTATAATAGAGAGGAGTCTTGATTTCCAAAAATTGGCTTGTCATCCCTAATGGAGACCAAACATGCAATAAGAGGTCTGCCTTATAAACACATAGTTGGGTTTCAAGAGACATATCTAAACTGGGCTACAGAAAGCACACATAAAAAGTCACATATGGTTGTACCACAGAACATACCTAACTATGCCATTTTAATCTTAAAATCACATAGAGCTACATGCAGAGCAAATAATGCTGAAGTCGCATTGAGATGTTCTGGATTATTAGTGATTTTAGTGGATTTTGCTGATATTTTGCTGTTTATGACTGACATTTACAGAAGCTAGAGCCTAACACAGTCATTCCAGAAGAAAATTTCCCTGCAGTGAACAAAGCCCTTTTGTGCTTCTGGTAAAACATGACTCCACTAAGGCAATTAGCTGTTTTAAAAATAAACTAATTCATTTTGGAGATCTGATGTATAATTATGCAGCTGCATGGGCTGGGGCGGCATAGTGACTGGCTACAGTGTTAGTAAAATTAGAAAAAAATGCATCTCCATGTTGACAAAGTACTGATTTATTGTCCAATTGCCACCTTTGCCTTGTTTGGGGCTACAGAATGAACTTCTTTCTACAATAATAAAAGTAATTTCTGATAATGATAGCAAGATATCTCCCGGGACAGGGGAAATGGTAACCAAAAATATTTATCCATATTCTTGCTTCTAAGAAGCTTGGCACCCTCTATAAAATTAACTCTTAAATCTCTGTAAAAATGTGACTCAAAGAATTTAACTTAATCACTTTATACACAGAACAATTCCCTACTAGTTCAAGAAACAGAATATTTGGTGACATGGCACTTTGTGTGGGATCAGGGGTCAGAAGAGTCCATGGCTCTTGTCCCATTTGCAGAGATTTGTTACTAAGGCAGTGGATTCCCTGGGTGAAAAGATCAAGGTCTGGTCACTGACCACCACAAGATCCTTCCGAGCTCTGTTAGGCAAAGGATTCCTCCTGACCATGACACTACAGCAGGCCTTGCTTGAAGCCTGAGCTGCCACAAAACCCACAGGGTAAATCCACAGCCTATAATGAACTTTAGTTTAAAATTCTATTAACACTTACTGTGACTATCTTTCAATTACATTTTATGCTTCCCAATAAGTGACATCAGCAACATCCATACAAGGTGTCTTTATAGATTTCTCTTTCCTTTTGACCATTCCTTCTTTCCTTTCTTTCTTGCTTTTTGCTCCCCTCCCCTTTCCACCCTTCTCCTCTCCTCTCTTTCTTCCTTCCATACTACCTTATTCATTCACTTTTTCTCCTCTAGATTTTCCAGATTCTTGCTATGGAGACGGTTTTAAATTTCACTGTTTTTGTGTCTCTGACTTTCAGGTTTGATGCTGTGTTTATTAAGAAGTAGTTCACTAATACCCTGAAACCATAGAATATGAATCTCAGCTCAAGATAAACACATAAAATAATCATTATCTATTTCAAACATGCTTTAAATGCTCTGAGAACATAAAATCTTCTTAAAATTTGGTAATAAACCTGCCTTACTCCCCCAAAGGAAAAAACTATAGTTCAAAGATAATAAAATATGTACAAATAAAGAAATATATTAAAATTTGATTGCTTTGTTTCCCTGGATATCTGATTTCATCAGTTCAGCTCAGCCTACCCTAGTGATTATTGTGGCTAGAGTCGAGCAGGAAAAAACACATGCCACAGGGGCAGCTATAGATGGATACCTGACATGCAAAAGCACAAGTGTGACCACCTTGGATGCTGCTGATATTTTGTTAAACATTTTTCTAGACAACTAAAAACTTACAGTATAGGTACAAGAATAGTACTAAGAACTCCATATACCCTCTACATAGATTCACCCATTATTAACATTTTGCCACATTGTTGTTTTTAAATGTAATTTAATTTAGCTTCCATAAAATGCATATATGTATGCACATAGAAAAGTTGAGAGAGATTACCAAGGCTCACAATCAGCATTGGACGGAAAGAAATAGCCTTCCTCAGAGAAATGTTACCATGCTATCCCCTTCCTCCATTTCTTCTTTGATGATTTCCAAGAACATAGATAAGAAGCTGAAAAGTACAAGGGCTTGGCAAGTTAAGAACAAGTTGTTTCATTCCTGCACCCTAAGTGATGTGTGTGGAACACCATTAACTCATACAAGAGTCTTTTTATAGCATTATTTACTGTACAGCTAATATAATGCTCCTCTTAGACTTTACCCAAAGATTTGAAGGGTTTGATTTCTGAACTATTTTAAGACCATTTAACACCATTTCACCAACAGGTTGATCCATCAGCATGAAGCTTTACGGAAAACATAACAAGGCTCTAGTCAGTGAGAGGTGAGCTGTATTACTATTTGATATGAAAACTTAAGTGTGCTATCCAAGAAGAGCTACTGAGGAAAGAACTCAGGGTTGCTAAAGACCACTCGATGTATGTTTTGTCTTTTATCTTTACCTTAAGAATTTCCAAAATAATCTCTTCTTATATTGTCATAGGTTGTCTTAATGAGTTATGCTATGGCTTGGCTTCTGCCAAAACTTCTTAAAATGCAGTCCCTTGTCTGTGCATCCATGCACATGTGCACCTGGGCTGTGAATACACATATTAGTGGAAAAGAAATATTGTCTCCTAGAGACTTGTAAAGCTGATGTGTATATAGGAACTGTTGATTTAGCAGAAAATAGAAAGGCTGGGTTTCATAAAAGAAAGAATCGAAAACAAGTCCTCTGAGTTAATGTTAGAGGCATGCCTGGTGCTAAGGTTTCATCACAACTACCATATGTTACTTCTTCCTAACCTGACAAAATTCTCTGCTGAACCCTACAAACATGCTGATACAGATACTGAGAAGGGTGACAAAAGAACATGGGTATAAAAGTTGCTGCAAATCCCCAATGCCTTTTTTTGAATGGGTGTTAAGTAATGCTGGCGATCCCTGTCTGTATTTGTTTCTGGGACCAGAGATTCAGCAAGGCCAGTGATCTCAGCTCCCCACAGTCTGAAAAATGCTGATTGCTGAGTTTTCTTCTCCGTGGCTTTGACATATCCCAGACAGGTGAGTCTATCTGGATTGCTGTGCATATGGATTGTTGTATATCAAAGGTGATTTAGAAATTGCTAAGTGGCCTTAATTCATTCATTTTTACAAGTGAACACCCAGTACATCAGGTGCTGTTCTAAACAACTGGGATAAACCAGAGACAAGATCTCTGCCCTCCTGGGGCATACACTCTAGCAGGAAAACAAAGCGATAAACAAGTATACAAAGAAGTGACATTCTACATAGGGATCATTGCAACATTAAAATAAAACAGGGTAAGGGGATACAGAGTGACTCAGGAGGCATGCTCTATGTATTTAGAAAGGGTGGTTGAGAAGGCATCTCTTGCTAAGTTGGAGACACTTGACCTGAGATCTGAAAAACATGAAGGAGCCGGTCTTGTAAATACGTAAGGAAGGCCCGCTTCACGCAGAGGGAATAGACTTCTGTGTGTCTGTAACAGAAAGCAGGCCAGTGGAACTGTATCACAAAAAGCAGTGGGGAGAAGTATACATGATGCTTTTGGAGTAGACAGCAGTCAGAACCTGTCAGTAGTTGCAGACTGCAATAAAGGAACAAAGACTGAGCTTCCGGGGGTTGCGCATGTGGGAGATGGGGACATAAATTGGGAAAGAACTCCATTCTCTTTCTAGGATCCTTATCCTATGGCTTGGATTTAGGACCATGCTGGGCCACTCTGTTTGGGTGGCAGCTAATCAAGGACAGAACCAGAGATGAGTAGATTACAGGGAGCAGTCTGAAGATGATCTGTGTCATTTCTTAGCATGGAATTTGATTTTAAATCTGGAATTAACAATCTTTTCTTGGAAGTAGAGAGGGATAGATATTATAAATAAATATAATCTAAAAGCAAAAACAGGACTCAAAATCAAATCTTCCAGCTAAAGGCAGCTAAAGCAAGGCTCCAAATCAAATCTTCAGGTTTAGAGGAAGTCTGTAACAATTAGAGAACAGCCCTGTTCACAGCAGACCAGAGGCCTGGAGAGAAGAATCAGCATGGACCTCAGAGGTCTGCAGCCTGGTTTGCATTAATAGCAGAATTTAAAACAGGGCTTTGGCAAATCAGAGCACAAATAGTTATTTGCAAAGTTTTTTTTTTCTTAAAGGCACCAAAATCAACATATCTAAACTAGTTGCATCTTCCTAGCATCTCTCATCTCTTCTCCCACATCCTTCTGGTAGTAATCTCTGATTTTCTCTCCACAAGGATGGTTACATAATGGTCCCCCTGACCCACCAGCCAAGAAATTAAACCAAACAACAGGCACTTGCCCTTAGCTGGGCCAATCCCAATCTCTCAGAATTAAAAACTGGCACACAGAACAGCATGTGCACAGGCCTGGAGTTAGGATAAGGTTAGGAGCTGAGTTATGTTGGGTAGCATTCCAGAGAGAAGTTCAGCAGGCCCCTGATACTGAGCTTTCACCTAACCCATTTTCCTAATAGATACCTTTTTTGTTTAAGTTGACCATATGGATTTTCATTGATTATAGTCAAAAGATCCTTAGCTAATATAATCATTCATACTTATAGATGTTGCTTTGGAACCATGAATGTTGAAACAGCACAATTAAGGGCAGCA
Organism: Homo sapiens; assembly: GCF_000001405.40. Taxonomy (NCBI): domain Eukaryota; kingdom Metazoa; phylum Chordata; class Mammalia; order Primates; family Hominidae; genus Homo; species Homo sapiens. The sequence goes on along the minus strand of NC_000007.14, from coordinate 18,471,426 downwards.
TTCATAACCCCAAAATTAATGCAAACAGGTGGAATATTGGATAAAAACTAAAAGGTATTGTGTAAAAGCAGAAAGGCTATGGCTAGGACTTGATTACCCAGATATCAAATACAGGGACAGTGCAGCCATTTGGATTCAGGCCATCACTGTATGCCGAGAGTGAAGTAATACAAATGTGTATTCATTCATTACACAAATATTTCTCAAAACACCTGCCCTGTGCCGGTTATAGTTCCAAGTGCTAGAAATATAGCAATAAAGAGGAGGAAAAAGGTCCTTGTTCTTTCAGCATTTCCATTTTTGAACTTTAACTCAACAGAAACTTACCCTTCATATTTTCTCGGTCAATTATTTGAAACAGAGGTTCCATCTGATAAAGGTGTACTCCATAAATATAGTTCAAAATAAAAAAAAAAGTTCAAAGTAACTATTCAAGCTAAATGAAAAATCCCCTAGCAATACTGTAGAGACAAATTCAGGACTCAGATATCCTAGTATATAAATAAAATGAAAGTTCACAAACTTGAGTATAAGTAATAATAATAATATTAATAATATATGCAACTGGTTAAGCACACAGATTCCAAAGGCTTATCTCTCTGAAATCTAATTCAGGAAGGTGTAAGAACTTGGTCTTTGCATTTTTAATGAATCCTCCAAGTCAGGGGTGGGGCAAACTATGGCAAATTCAACCTTCCGCCTATTCTTCTAAATAATGTATTACTGGAATATGGCCACGCCCATTTATTTACATATTATCTATGGTTTTTTTCCTGCTAAAAAGCAGAGAAATCCTTGTAGCAGAGGCCATATAGCCTGCAAAGCCCAAAATATTTACTGCTATCTGGCTCTTTATAGAAAACGTTTGCCAACTCCTGCCTTAAGAGATTCTCACATAGGCTGTCTAATGTCTGTAGTGAAAGATTCTTTTACCTCTGCATTTTAATGATTTAAAAGAAAGAATTTTATTTTAATACCATCAAAAAGAAAACTCCACAAGTGGCTAAGCGTATGGAAATAAACACAAGGAAATACTGAAATTATCGTTACAAATTAGAGATTATAGTAGCTTAAAACAACTGGCTTTTTGGTTTGGCTTCTTTTTTTTTTTAAGAGTTGGGGGTCTCCCTCTGTCACCCAGGTTGGAGTACAGTGGTGCAACCATAGCTCACTGCAGCCTCAAACTTGTGGGCTCAACTGATCCTCCTGCCTGAGCCTCCTGAGTAGCTAGAACTACAGGCATGCACCACCACACCTGGCTTATTTATTTATTTGGTAAAGACAGGGTCTCGAACTCCTGGCCTCAAGGGGTCCTCCTACCTTGGCCACCCAAAGCACTGGAATTACAAGTGAGAGCCACCATGCCTGGCCCTGTTTCTTAAATTAAAAAAATATATATACTTGTCTTAGAAACTATGGAACATTTGGAAAATCGTTATTAATAAGCTATGCACAGAGATCACCTCCATTAAGTTTCTGACATAGCTCCTTATATTCCTCTCTGCTACTGGCTTATTAAATGCAAGAAAACACATCTGGGCGTCAAGCTGGGTGACATGATTTTACTCTCCTGGTTGATCTAACCTATGATTCGTTGTTTCTATAATATATAATATGAATGATTTACCTATAAGATCTGAGTTCCCCTGCTAAGCTGAGCTACATGCAGGAAGGAATTGTAACTCACTCATTTTTATTTTCACAATAACTAGGATCCTCCCTGCTACTTAGTAGGGACTCATAAAATGTTGATAGAATAAGGATAGAGAAAACCACTATACAGTTGTGTTCTTGCATGAGGTCCTATTTGTGGGAACTTTGTGAATTGCTCCCATTCATGAAATACAATGTGGTACCATTAGGTTGTTACTACTGAACACCTACACACTTTCTCTTGCTCTGTTAAGCTCCCTGTTAGATGTGTCACCATTTAAAATGTGCTTTTTTTTCTCGTTAATGTGAGTTTTGCAAGGTCAACCCACAGTTTCCCAAAATAACACTAGATCTGGTATTTCCCAGAAATAGCATTTACAAATATGACATTTAATACTGCTTTTTGATTTATGAGATCTATAATTGATGGTGAATAATAATATAAAGTTCCCATATTTGACCATGAAAATGTACTTTTCTTTCCCAAAGGGAAAGTAGCAGAATATTAAAAATAAGTTAACACAATTCTTCTTTCAGCACACAGCCAAAAGTTTTAAAAAATCACATACACATACATAGGTCCACAATAAAAAAATCTTAGCTCCTTCCCACAGGTTTGATTTAGTCACACTGGCCAATGGAGTAAAACTAGAAATCATAAAAACCTGGTGGCTATCTGTGGGAAAACCCAGAGGCCACCACAATTAGATGTGGGTCTGAATCAATGTAGAGTAGGTGATTATAAGACTTAGAGAAATGGCAGGATGAGTAAGATGCATGAATAAAAGTCTGAAGTGAGACAGATGACCAAGGTAACAATGATGTCATCCATCTAAACTCAAGGCTGACAATACAGAGATTTATCTTTTAAATTGATTTTTGTGTCTCTTGGTTTGTACTTATACCACAGTCTGGAGGCTCAGAGAATATAAAGAAATATCTGGCACTTAGAAATGGAAGACAACACAGGAATCATTCAACATTAAATAAGCACAATGATACTTTCTCATCTTTACAGATCCCATTCATTCATGAATTTATTTTTGCACAAAATACAAATTGATTTTTACCAGGTGCCAGGCTTCTCACTAAAATTTTAGAAGACCTGAAGCCCATACTCATGTAGTTTACATTCTATCCAGGAAAAGAGACATTTAAAAAATTAAGCTGGGCCAAGAGACACGTGCCTGTAGTCTAGCCACTAGGGAGACTGAGGAAGGAGATTCACTTGAGCCCAGGAGTTCAAGGCTGTATTACACTATGATCACACTTGTGAATGAATAGCCACTGCATTCCAGCCTGGGCAACACAGCAGGACCCCTCTCTTAAAAAAAAAAAATTACACCTTCCAATGGTTAAAGCTATAACAATTTGAGCAACAAAATAAAGTAGTATTGAATTGTAACACAAAGAATAAAATAAATATCCATGTGTCCACACTGATCTAAGTAAGTGGTTAAATAAATAAATGGAGAAGAGATAAATCTCCCATACAGAAGAATTCTAAATGATTTATGTAGATACCCTCTTCTCAAGGAGGAGTTTAAATTTCACCCCCTTGTTTATGAGTTGTGCTTAGTGACTTGCTTCTAAAGAGTGGAGTATAAAAAGGGAGAAAAAAGTAACTTTAAAGAAGTCTAGCAAACATTACCTCAGCCAAGTGGTCAAAGTTCACATCACCAGCGATAAGTCATATTGATATGTACCCTCTGCATCATTTGAGGGAAAGGTACTTCACCTCCATGATCTTTCTCTGAACACCTATAACCTAAGTCTAACCATGAAGAAAAAAACAGATATAACCCAACAGATGGAATTTTATAAAATATCTGAGTAGTACTACTCAAGATTTTCAAGGTCCTCAAAAACAAAGTCTGAGAAAATGGCATGGACCAGAGGAAGGCAAGGATATATATGATGGCCAAATGCAATATTGTATACCAGATGGAATACCGGAACAGGAAGAGGACACAAGGGGAAAACTATTAAAATCCAAATAAACTGTGGAGTTTGGGCAACAGTAATGTGCCAACGTGGGTTCTCTGGTTGTAATAAACGTAATATAGTGATATGAGATATTAACAACACATAAGGCAAAAAGAATGAGTAATATATGGGGACTGTAATATCTTGGCAACTTTTCTGTAAATCTAAAATTTTCAACAATAAAATGTTTATTTTATGAAGTTACATAATTTATCAATCATTTATAGTTACGGTAATATAAATGGCAAGTATAGAATTTTATGACAGCCCTGGGATTTGTGGAGAGCTTTTCCAAGAAAGTGACATTTATCAGAGGTCTAAAAGATAAGTATAACTTAGGCAAGAAAGCAGGAAAAACAACAAGAGTTGTTTCAGGCAGAGAAAGCAGCAGAGGCCTGGAGTGAGATGGAGACCAGTATATATGATAGTGAGATAAACTGGAAACATTCAAAGGATAGTTGATAGGAAGCATTAATAGGTCAATGACTGATAGAGGTAGGGTATGAGGGAGAGGGAAATATCAAACATGATTACCACATTTCTGGTCTGTATAACTGACTGGGAATGTGAGTCCATTAACTGACAGAGAACAAAGAGGAAAGATCAGTAAGTTTGGAATGTGTGAGTAGGGAAGAAGACGGTGAGATATTTTGGCCTTATTAAAGTTTATTTGACTGTGAAACATCCAAACAGGAATGCCAAGTAGGTAGTTTTACAGATGGGTCTTGTGGGCAGATAACAGATTTGAAAGTCACTGGTGTATAGACAGTAATTGAAGCTCTTTGAAAAAATAAGAGTGCTTAGAGAAAGAGAAAATAGTCAAGCATAAGAATGAATAGATATTTTATAAAAGAGGGAGGGAAATTATAAATGGTAGAAATAAGGAGATTGAGAAGAATAAGGTTTCCCTGAAACAGACAGACGATCTTCAGAAAGGTAAGAAGGAGCATTCAGTGCATGGCAGTGGGCAGACCACAGATTGTGGCAGGCAGAATTTTTGACCACATGATTTTCACCCCCCTAGTCTTACTTCGTTGAATGTGTTACACTACATGGCAAAAGGGAATTAAGATTGCAGATGGAATTAATGCTTTAATTAGCTAAATTTAAAATAGGAGATTATCCTGGATTATTTGGGTGAGCCCAAGGTAATCACATTGTCCTTAAAAGTAGGAGAGGAAGTCAGAGGAGTCGGTCAGAGATGTACAATGATAAAGAGACAGAAGCAATTTGAAGTACGAGAGGACGTCTACCCAATATTACTGGCTTTGAAGATAAAGAAAAAGGGCTGTGGCCAGGCACAGTGGCTCATGCCTGTAATCCTAGAACTTTGGGAGGCCCAGGTGGACAGATCACTTGAGTTAAGGAGTTTGAAACCAGCCTGGGCAACACAGCAAAACTCATCTCCATTAAAAATACAAAAATTAGCCAGGTGTGGTGGTGCATGCTTGTAATCCCAGCTACTTGGGAGACTGAGGCAGGAGGATGGCTTGAGCCTGGGAGGCAGAGGTTGCACTGAGCTGAAATCACGCCACTGCACTCTAGCCTGGGCAAGAGAGTGAAACCCTGTCTCTAAATAAATAAATACATAAAAGAAATAGAGGTCACGGGACAAGGAAGGTGAGTAACCTCAAGAAGCTGCGAGTGGTCATCGTTAAGAACACAGTAGCTCATTCTTAGACAAAGAATTGAATGCTGCCACCAACTTGCATGAGCAACAAGCTGATTTCTCCCTTATAGCCTCCAGCAAAGAACATAGCCAATGTGCCCCACTAATACTTTGATTTTAGTCTGGTGAGATCCTTACTGAATTTCCAGATCACAAAACTGTAAAATAATAAATTGTGTTGTTTTAACCTGCTAAATTTATGTTAGTTCCTGATGGCAGCAACAGAAAATTAATATAACATCTAAATAGATATATCTCCACATTAGAAAAAGAAAGAGAGTCCATCACTGGATAAGGGATTTTTAACAAATTTACAAAAGATAGAAGTGGAAAGGGGTAGAAGCTTAGTAACTGATTAAGAAGATCAGACACAGCTATAAATTATTGTACTTTGGGAAAGAAATAAAGACAGAAGAATACAGACTTTAGTCTCAAAAAAAATCAAGGAATGAAAAGGCAACGGCTAATACTCAGATCTGAATGTATGAAGAGTTATTCAGATTCTGATTCCAAAAGAGTAGATCCTGCTCCTATTCCCACTCAGCAGAAACTAGCAGCCCAGAAAAAAGAGAGTGCATTTGTATTGTTTACATTCTGCTCTTTAAAAAATTATAAATGAAAGCTGCAAAATTCACAAACCCCACCCACCTCCACAGAAATCAGACTCTCTAATGTATTTCCTCTTTCTTAATAATGAATATATAATGAAGGATCACAGTGAAGGACTTTGTGGGGAAAGTAAGCAACATAAAAAGCAATATCAAAATAAACAGGAGGGAAATCAATAATAGATGAAATACAGATAATTCAAGAAATAAAAGAACCTATAAGCAATTTAAAAATAATGGGAATCTTTAGAAATATACAAGACTATGTTGCATCTATACAAGGAGAAGCAATATAAAATTAACCAACATAAAGCAAAGAACTTCAAGAAACTAAAAAAAATTTTAGAGTTTGTTAAAAGAGGAAATTGTACTTCATATAATGGCGTATCAGGTAAAAAGAATCAACACTTGTAGAAAGAACTAAAAAAGCTCTACAAATATTTTTAAAGGCAACTAAAACTGATGAAAGACATCAAGCTAAAGATCCTAAGTGCCCAAAATATCCCAAACATACAAGAAAGTATTAAAGGGATAAGATACAGGATAAGAAGGAATTCAGAGGAGTAAGCCTAAAATTTGGTATCACATTGACCCTTGGAAAGTTTAGTGATTTCAGAAAAGGTAGCTGAGAGGCTAAACAAAGGTTTGACAATCTACTAAATCTTAGAGGACATAAATTGAAGTCCAGAACTCACCAAAGAGGGGGTTATATCAAAACACTCTATGTAGGATTGAGACTCCAAGGTGTTATAACACAGAAATAAAAGGAAGCATAAAATATTCCTAGATAACATAAAAGACCACACTTGAATCATTTCAATCCCAGAATTTTGATTAAATTGATCCAGTATAGCAATACTGTATAGCAATGCTCCCTGTCATTTGAAAAATGACTTGTTAATTTCAAACAACATACTAGGCCTCACATTGTTTCTGAGAATTTTAACATAGAACATCTGACATGCAATTAAAAAATGACTAGGCATGTGAAGAGACAAGACAATCTGACAAAAATCAAGATGACACAGATGAACCTACAGGTAATACAAATAATGTGCTATCCAATGCAGATATTAAAATAAACATACTTAACATATTCAAGTAGGAAAAAGATGACTTTGAGAACTTTTTAAGCCACTACCTACCATTCAGAACTAAAAAATATGATGGTAGTTTGAAATCCAAATGTAGCTGTAATCATATTAAATGGAAGTGAATTAATACCACAATTTTAGAAGACAAGTATTTTCAGTCTGGACTAAAACATGCTGCTTAAAAGAAATTTTAAATATAAAGATATAGAAAGTTTGAAATGAATGAGAGATATACTATGCAAACACTAACCAAAAGAAAACCAGTGTAGTTAAATTAGCACCATAAAAAAGTACTATTAGATACAAAGGAAAATGAAATATGTTTAAAATAAAAGTCAAATAGACAAACAGACATGCTGGGAGATTTTAACATATTTCCCTCAGTAAATGCCACACAAGCAACAAAAACTTAATCACATGACTTCAAGTACATACAAATCCTTGAGGATAATTGACCAGAGGAGTCTCAACAAATTTCCAAGTATTAAAATCTGAGTATGTCCTATACCCCCAGTGGAATTAATCCAGAAATTCATAATAAATAATAAACAGATAACATCTGTGGGTTTGACAAGTATTACACTCATAAGTCAAAAAGGGAATCAAATGGAAAACAAAAAATTATTTTATTTGGATGATAATAAAACTGGGAAAAACTAAAGCATAATATGCTGAGAGGAAAAACTACAGTTTTCAATATATAAAGGAAAACAAAATCAATAAGCAACCAACCACTTCAAAACTTAGAAAAAGAAATAAAAGTTAAACTGAAGGAAATTTTTTAAAAAGGTAACTGCAGAAATTATTTAAATAGAAAAAATATGCAGAACAAAGAGGTTCAGTAAATTCAAACAAATAATGCAGGAATATTAAAGGAGACTTCAAATATAATAGGATTCTCCATTATAAAAATAAAAATGGAAAATTTAGATACAAGGGACTAGCCAAACATACACAACTGACATATAAGTAAATAGAGTATTTGAATAGTCATAAAACAATTTTTAACAAATCTAACCCATAATTTAAAACCTCCCCTTGCCCCACACACACACCTGCAGGCACAGACAATTTTATCAGTAAACTGTTGCAAAACTTTAAGGAAGAAATAACACCACGTTCTTCCAGAAAAGAGAAAATACTGAATAACTCATTATGTGGGTATATCTTGGCGCCAACTCTAATAAGAGAATTTCAAGATAGGAAAATTACAAACTAATCTCATTCGTAAACATAGAGACTAAAATCCTAAACAAATGTAAGAAATAAATCCAGAAATAAGTTAAGGATGAGTTCAATTTATTTCAGTTATAGGACTCTTCAAGAAAAATTTTAATTAAAACTGAAACTATATACCCAGTGGCATAGCTAAAATTACAAAACTGTGGACACCAAGTATGGACAAGGAATTGGAGTGACCAGCACTCTCATACAGTACCAGTAGGACTATACATTGGCACAATCACCCTGGAAAACTGTTCAATATTGAGTATTAAATTTGACTATATTTATATGTTATCCTATGGCATATTAATGGCATATAAAGTTTTCCCTATGCATAGGAAAAACAGCAATAATAAAAACACTATTAAACATGATCAAAACTGGACACACCTAAACACCCATCAAGAGTAAAGTGGTAAGTAAATTGTCATATATATTCACAGTCATGGAGTAGATATTATACAGCAGTAAAAATCAACAAACTAAAGTTATAAACGACATTGTGAATCAATCTCACCAACTTAAGTTTGAATAAAAAGGCCAGTCACAAAAGAATATATACAATATCATGATATTTTATACAGCATAAAAACAGGCAAAATGAAACAAAAACACTGATAGAAATCAAGATAGAGATTACCTTTGGGGAAGAAGGTTGGATTGGGGTTGGGGTTGGGGGCTTGCTTGCTATAATTCTAATGCACTGGCATTATTTTATTTCTTCATCTGGGGGTTAAGAACTAGAATATGTTCATTGAGCATTTTCTGTATGAGGGTTTTAATTAAGAAAATAAATAAATAAAGGTTCCTGACTTTTAACAGCATTCTTAAAAATAATCGAGTAATAATGTGAACCTAGTGTCTGAGTAATTTTATAAAACAGTTCTATGAAGAGTGGATGAGAACCAGAAGCCTAGACAAAGGAAAGAAGCTAAGAGGCTGTGTGCAACAAACAATTCATTTATCAGAGATCAAATACTGGCGGGTGACTGTGAAGATGGAATTGCTTATAACATCATTATTTGAAGGTTAAAACATACTTTTATATGATAGTCATAATTTCCAGATGATTTTTTTTTAATGTTAAGACCAGAAGTTGTAAACTCTGAGTTTTATAACTATTTAAAGGAGATAGATAGTATTACATGATAACAAGAAATACTTAGTCAAAACATAACCATTTACTAATTTAGTGATCACGACCACACTGCTCAGTTTCTCCAGGCCTCTGTTTTCTCATCCTCACATTTGGGAGGATGAAATGAGATAATCTATGTCAGCTGTCTAGCTGAATGTCTGGTACATAAGATGCATCCCTTACATGTAAGCTACATTATCATCATAGGAAACTGACTAAAGTCATATTAGTTTAAACACATTTTTAGTGTAACAGTTTAATCAAATATTTCATCTAAATGTTTATTTAAAAAATCTAACAGTAACACAGTGATCTTAAAATAATTAAGGGAGATCTCTGATCAGATGCTGCCCTGGAGATAAAGGTAGGCAATGACAAAAGTGACAAAGTGACAACTTCAGTCCAAATTTGCCAGTAAAAAATATGATGGTTTTTAACACGCAGTTGCTTTTCCTAGTACTAATTTCAGTGTTATATTTACATAATAAAAAAGAAATTGTATTATTAGAGAGCATAATACAGCTGCTAACAAAATGAGGGGCAAATGTCACACTACCAGGTTACAATATTATAAACATTTTAGGAAATATTGGATATGACCAAAACTTTTTAAGCATTTTGGACTTTTAAAAAAATTGTAAGCAAAATATTTTAGTATCATTCAATTTTACAATAAACACTTCCACTAAAATTCTCCCTTTACCATTTTAACTGAAACTTAATCCCAAATTACCAATATCTACTTAAGCATTACATAACAGATTTTTATTTTTAAATTTTATGAATTTTGTAATAGGATCAATCTATGTCAAAAAGGGTTAGGTTTGCATTCTAAAAATCAATTAAGTACTGGTTTCCAACATTTAGCCTTTTTTTTCTGACTGAAAAGTCTGCGTATGTCTGAGAGAAATATATGTGTGTATGTATGTATACGCATGCACACGTACACATACGCAAGATTTGTTGTAGGCTTCTTTTGCCTAACTTTGTTATTCTTTTCCACGGTTAATAGGCTTCCCCACAGAAAGAGTGCCGCTTATTTAATTTTCTTCTTCTGGCTTTTTTACTCTTCTCTAGAAATCATTGCTTATTTTCCAGAGCCTATTAAATAGGTTGAGTTGCAAAATGTTAGTCACAGTAGATCATTAGGTTGTTTTAATAATTTTTCTGCTCAATCTACCTTACAGGAAAACATAGTCTTTCCCTTCAAATACTTTCTATTTGGGTTCAGGATAATCCACTCCTTTTTTTTTTTTTTTTTTTTTTGAGACAGAGTTTTGCTCTTGTTGTCCAGGCTGGAATGCAATGGCGCGATCTCAGCTCACTGCAACCTCCACCTCCTGGGTTCAAGGGATTCTCCTGCCTCAGCCTCCCGAGTAGCTGGGATTGATTACAGACATGTGCCACCACGCCTCGCTAATTTTGTATTTTTAGTAGAGATGGGGTTACTCCATATTGGTCAGGCTGGTCTCCAACTCCCAACCTCAGGTTATCCACCCGCCTCAGCCTCTGAAAGTGCTGGGATTACAGGCGTGAACCACTGCACCTGGCCCCAGGATAATCTACTCTTAATACAATAGAATGAATTCGAATTCCATAAAATACAGAAACCTTTGAATTTTGGTCCTCAAATGCAGTTGCTATTTACCATAATTCTACAAAATTTTATATAATTGAAAAAAATATTGTTTATTCTGCCCTGAAACCAAGCTTAGCCCCTGTCAAAAGATTTGTTTCCTCTCTATAATTCCACACAGGTTAAACTACAAACACAAGTACAAATAATGCTATAAATTATCATCAGTATGGTGATGGGCTGGAATTATACCTTCTACTCATGAACAACTATGATTATTAGAAGCAAACATAACTTTGGGAGGCTGAAGCAGGAGGATCACTTGAGGCCAGGAGTTGGAGACGAGCCTGGACAACACAATGACATCCTGTCTCTACAAAAAGTCAAAAAGATCAGTGGTGCGTGGTAGTACATGTCTGTAGTCCCGGCTACCCAAGAGGCTGAGGTGGGAAGATTGCCTGTGCCCAGGAATTTGAGGCTCCAGTGAGCCATGGGTGATGAGCAGAACCTCTGTCTCGAAAAAAAAAAAAAAAAGCAAATCTGTAGGCTAACATTTCCAAAACCCTTAACTTCATCCATAAGCAGTATGCAAACTGACTATCTGAAATACTTGATATAAGAAAAGCTTGATATTTAAAGTGGAATAGATGGATGCCTTTCTTAAATATGAGGACAGGAAGAAAAGCTGTAAGAAAACCAAAAGGGAATTTCCTTTCACTTTAATAAGGAAGTTATATGATGTAGCCCAAGGGGACACACTATCCTTAGAGAACTCTACTAGGCTCCAGCATAATCCCCCAAATCTACACTTGCAAATGTTAATTTGTAATTTGAATACCATGAAAATTAAATCATCACCCCAGGCAGGACGATTTACTGGCAAGGGAGCAAAAATTGAAGGCTAAGGGCTGTTTTCTGTGGTTGCCATTAGTCAATTACAGTCAGTCAAAGGAAGCTTACATTACCTGTTATAAAATTGCTTCCCCAGAAGACAAATGCTTTAAAAAAAAACTAGAAAAATAAAGCATCTGAGCATGTAAACTACCAAAATGCTATTTATTTACTCACCATTTTTGTAGAAAATTTTTTCACTTACCAGTTTAATATAATTTTATGCTTTCCTATCAAATTCCCACTCCACTATAGTATCCTTCTATTACACTTTTCTGGGAAGAGGAGTTAATTCTTAGCATTTTAACCTCAGTCTGGTTTATCTGTTAAAACTTAGTAGGAAGTAACAGATATCAGGCAGTTGTGGCTAAGGAGAGGAAGGAATGCAGGGGCCTAAGATAAAAAATTATAACACGAGTAGAGAGGGGTAAAAAGACCCCAAGATATGTCTAATCGATCTGAGTTTTGCCCAGCTGGTAACCTGCTGGTAACCTGCTTCTCTGACTCATGCCAACTCCGAACAGCAACCTCTTGGTCAGTAGCCCGTGGCAAAACTGGGTCAAGCATATCTTGGCCAAGTTGTTGCTGACCGCAGCTTTGACCAATAGCCTGGAAAAGGAAGTCACCCACTCATGTTCAGCTCTACTCCCAAGAAACCAAAGAAAAAGGATAAGGTCTGGTTCTACCTGGGAAGATCCTACAGCAGCCACAGAATAGCACCCATGGTACAAGGTTCCACATGAGGTCTGTGGGGATAAGAAAGTCAGGTTGAAGAAGGAAGGACCCTCCATGGGAGTTGGAGTGACAAGCAAGAGCCACCACCTCCAGCTCTCTCTTTGTTACTACTCTGAGTAGAGGTCTACAGCTTATCATTTATTAATCGAAGTTTTGCCTAGTTAAGCCACAAAAAAAAGTTTTGATAGCAAGATATTATTTTGTGACCTTTCGCCATGATACAGAACACTGCAAAAGGAAACCAAAATTCATCAGTTAAAACACAGTAGCATTGGCTATGAACTTTTAAATAAATTCAATCTTTGTGAATTGTTATCCAGTACTTAAAAGGACAATAAATCTTACTTCCTTTGGAAACAAACTACAAGAGTATTAATAATATTAGTGGGTTACTACTGGTTTTAGCACAAACTCATCTGAATTCTATATTTATTGGTATAGCTTGGAGGTCACATAATTAGAGGGTTTTTTATGGTTTCCTAGTAACCATTTTCTATCAGAAGCATTAGCCATAGTTCACATATGCTCATCTAAGTTACCAAGCCTAAAAGAGCTCTCCTCTTGCTCATTAGATATAATGCTGCCTAGTTCAGGTTTTCATTTCAATACATTCTTTTCATCATTTTCACCTGTGAATTCTGGTCAACCATCCACGATTTAATTACCAGCACCCTGGCACTGAGAGGGTGAGCGTCTCTTTTGATAATGCAACACTTCCCTGGGGCAAAATGCCAAAGAGTTGTCAGCACAAAGGCACCTACTCTTTGATGGCAAGGCAGCAAATGTCACAATACAACAAATATGATTCAGCCTTAACGTTTTTATAAAAACCAACCCCATCTGAGGCGTGTATGGCCATACACAACCTCAGATAGTGAGAAAGAACACACGAACCAGACTCTGTAGTGTCAGTGTGTGCATTTGCATACACGTGTGTGCTTCTGGGAACACATGCAGACTCTCTTTCAATGGAAGTGATCTAACTCCCATCTGGCAGAATAAGACCCATCCAGGAACAAGGAAAAATCAATTTAGAAAGTCTTATCACCTGAAAATAGGTGATTTCAAACACCATGAAGCCAGTTTAACAATACTTTTGACTAATCAACAAAATGAAGCTCTATGTAAACTATTTTTAAAAAACTCACTAATGCCTCAACAACATCAAATTCAGTTGATATGAAAGAAAATTAATTAGAGCAGACGTTTATAACCTACAGTTTATAAAACTATTATGGCCTATATGCAGAGATCAACCAATTTGTAAATATAATGGGTCAGCTGCACAGGGGCAGACAGCAACTAATCAGAAAGAAACTCTCAATTAAAAGTTTATGAATAATTAGATTATTTTTAAAACTATATTTTGTAACTAATTTTAAAAGTTAAATTAAAATTTTGAAGGCAAATCAAATTTATAATATCTCATGAATTTTATTTCTTCACAAATATATTCACTGAAGCAATTTTATTTCTTCACAAATATATTCACTGAAGCAATTTCCCTTTCAGTTAATGACAGTTCTATTTCATATTAAATTAAAAGAGTAAGGCAGTATAAGTTGATGGGATTGTCACTGAGTGGTTCACTTGAAATACTGTAGGAAAAATGGGAGCAGAACTGCATGCACATTTTCTGGGATATGAAATGAAAAAAGCTTTATTCTCTTCTTTCTCATTAGCAAGGGTTAAGAAATGGACATGCTGAGTTAATCAAAATCTCTGAGATTCAACAAGTATCTCCAAGGAATCCTGGGAATGGAAATCTACTAGACTAAGGTCTCAGAAAAGGTAGGCACTTGAGCTCCACTGCCATCTTTCTATACCAGAAAACCTGAGTTTGAGGACAACACAATTTGTAGCAAAACTGAAGGTGGATAAAACTATGTGTGACTCCCGAGTATAGCTATATATAAAGCTGGTTCTACTTCCAGGGCCATCGTTTATGTGAGCCAATAAATACCCTGCAGCTATTTGAATTGGACATTTTTAACTTGGAACCAGAGTTCTGCATGGCACATCACTGCATATTCAATTTAGAAAATAAAAAACAATTTGAAAAATCTCTTGTGAACGAGGAACTTGCGAATCATCCCATTTAAGTAAGTACACAGTAAGGATTGTTATTCCCATTTTATAGACACAGGAAGAGAGGTGGTGTAGAGAAAATCATAACTGAAATAGAGAGGCCAAACCTTAAATTTAGTGTAATGTTATACATAATCTTATTTTCTAATATCTTCCATCAACTGTTTTTCAGGTTCATAAATCATATGAATGAAAGTGGTGAGTATATATAAGCTCAAAAACTAAAGGTGGGCTGGGCTTGGTTGCTACCACCTGTAATCCCAGCACTTTGGGAGGCCGACGTGGGTGGATACCTGAGGTCAAGAGTTCGAGATCAGCCTGGCCAGCATGGTGAAACCCCATCTCAACTAAAAATACAAAAATTAGCCAGGCATGGTGGCATGTGCCTGTGTCCCAGTAACTTGGGAGGCTGAGGCAAGAGAATCACTTGAACCCGGGAGGTGGAGTTTGCAGTGAGTGGAGATCACACTGCTGCACTCCAGCCTGGGCAACAGAGAAAGACTCTATCTCAAAAAAATCAACCAACCAACCAATCAAATCAAATCAAAAGTAAAGTTGGACAAATAATGCAAATGACTTAATTTATGGTAGAATGAAATTATTTTATCAAAATTTGTTCTAGCTCAGCTGTAATTATTTTACCTAATACGATCAGCAAGGAAATAAAATGTGCTGGGGACCCTATTTATGTAATATGTCATTACATTTCTATCCCAAGAAAATTTTAGAGATGGAAACTCACAAATATTTTAAGGAGTTAAATCTCCCTAGCAAGTAAAAAAGCTTCTTCTGTTTCTTTTAGAAATAATTTCCTTGCTTCTTTATTTTATCCTTTGGTTTCAATGTTTTCTGGTTATAGCTGATGTCAAGGTTGGCACTAATTGATGATAAAGGAACATTTTTAAACAGCAAGGAAAACACATTCTAAAGATGCTTTATAGCTTTCAGTAATCTAATTTGTGGGAAATGGAGAGAGGAGTACCACAGAGTGCTTTTCAATAATTTATGGTGGAGATTCACCTTCTAAATTTAGAAACATAATTTGTGACCCAACTGTGCTGTGAATCTATTGGTGTAATTAGATGGTTGGCTACATCCCCAACCCAGTCCATTCTTGCACTGTCTTCTGGGTGTGCAACAGATTTTGTGCTTCAATCCATCCTTTGGAAAATGATTAAATAAAAATCGTTCATTTATGTTTTTAAAATACGATTATAATCAACACTGAGACCTGGCTGGCAGATTCTCACTGTAAGAATTGTTCCTTCTCAGTTTGGAAAAAAAGATAAATACCAGTAACAAAATTCTTTTTCCATTTCATTTAAATGCTGTAATTATACAGGATTCTTCAATTGTGTAATGAAATCAATGTCCTGGCTAAAATTACACAAAAAAATGAGAAAAAGGGACAAGGATATCATAGCCATAAATATTTCCAGTAAAAGGTTTACAGGATTCTTTGGGTTTGACTTAACTTTTTTTTTAAAAGCTATTTCAAATATCAACTTGAACTTAAACTGAAAAAACAGAACTAATTTTATCTTTATTTACATGACTATATACAAGCTACAGAATATTAAGTTTCTTAGAGCAAACAGGAAGATATCTGGCTTTTTTACTACACTTATTTCTATGTCCCTGTCTCCTTTTTATTATCCAAATATTGGGCTTTAAATAAAGTAAAAAAATATTCAGTTTTCAAAAAGAAAAAAGAAAGAAAAAATCAAGACCAAAGGCAGCTGTGAATTATGTGAGACCTGTATGTTCAGAGACACCTTATTAGAAATCAGTTAAGATGACAGTAAATTCTGACGCCATCCTCCTCCATTTTTAGGTAAGACAAAGCTTTTATTTTGAATATTTTCCTCAGCAAGAGCCAAGATACACAATGAAAATTAACTTATGATGTTTTCCTTTACAAAGCTATAGAAAAATAATTATATTTAACCCCATAATTAGAACAACAAAACAGTTAAATAAAATTCATATAATTGGTTAATTATCCAATGCCACATTTTTTAGGATAAATGCTGAAAATAGCAGGTGCATAACAAGGTATAAGATAATTTTCTTTAGGGAATTAAAGAAAGTTTCTTGCTGTTCACAGGTTCTTCACATGGTGAGCAATAAGAAAAGTAAATAAATAAATTTTATTTTACCTTATAATGATGTATGTTTCTAAGTTGCTTTCAAGAATATATTATGTTGAGCTTACTCTAACATAAAGAAAGGATTTGGAATTAGAAACCCAAGTACTTGGGTTTGACTTCCAACTCCACTGGCTTTGTAAACTAGAGTAACTTGTTTAAATTTTCTGAGCCACAGTAGCCTTACATAGGAAGTGAAGACAGTACTTGACCTATTTATATTACCAAGTAAAGTATCTGAAAACATAACACTTTGCAAATTTTAAAGTGCTATTCAAATATAAAACACTGCTATTATAAAGTATTCTAGAGTTTTAATCTCAAAATTCGAGTGACCTACCTAAAATTATAAGATTAATTACACTGTCCAAGAAGAACTTCAATTTTTTGAGCCCAAAAGTAAAAAAATCTCTGATTTTGTAAATCTCCAGTATTTTGATAAGATTAATAAATGTATCGGACAATTCCTAGATCTTTTTTGTTACATCTAAGCTGGCTTTTAGTAATTCCATAATTAACACTTCAGAAAATTTTAGCAATTCTATAATTATTAATTTAGGCAATTATACTTTGGAATAATATGTCTGTTTTCGCATTAGATTATGAGGCTCTCAGTGCATAATCTAATTCCGAGAATATCTTGGTACTTGCTAAATAAATATTTCTGCAACTGAATTGAAAAGGAACAATTTCCCCATTTATTCAAGGCTCCTGAGTCCCTTCCCTTTTGTCTTTGGGCAATTCTAAATGAGACTCTGGTTTTCATCTGTAGATTGCTTTAGCAAGTGTACTGTTTGATTTAGATCATATTTATAAATATTGATAATTTAGTTCCAGATACCTGCATAAAATATCTGACATTTACTTATTTGTAATAATCTATACAAAAATTTTGGAAAATAATGTAATCTCTGTAGACAAATTATGAAAAACAAAACAAAATAAGTTATGATATTATATAGTATTAATGAACTAGCTAAACTAAATAGTTAAGGGAAGCTTTAGACAAGGATTAGCAAATATGTGGCACTTGTGTCACCACAACCTCCCAGGCACTAGTTTAGGCACTCCCAGATAAGCACTACTAATTCTTTTCCGACAAACCTCAGCCTCTTTCTTAACATAATACTCTAGGCAGCTACTGTGAATACTGTGAATTTAACATCCAAGGAAAAAAATATTTGCCTATTTATGTCTTAGGCTATTATGTGCTTGCAGCAGCCTATTAATGTATGTCCTTGATCTGTTTAACTAAATGGATTTTAGCTCCAGAATTAAATTCCTTCCCCCCACTTTTTTTAATCAATGCTGACCTTTGTGTACTTATCATCATTACACCTGGAAATAGGTTAATACTTTAGAATTAATACAGTATAAGAAATACATAAGAAGTAAGTGAAAACCTTCAGTAAATAAAAAGATAAATAGCACATTCCAGTCTTTTGAAACCACAGGCATATACAAAGCAATTTTTACCCTAACTACACAATTAGAGAAGTTCCTAAGGAAAATTCTGATTAGAAGATATAAATTCATTCAATGAATACTTTATAATTTATTTTATAAAAAGCATCACAGGAATAAGAAAAAAGCAAAATCATGGTAAACTTACATTGGGAAAAAAAGGTAACATTTTATTGTTTCCTTGATAGAGCATCCTAGTTTATATTATGTGTGTCCAAGTTTATATTATTGTATTAGTCTGTTCTAATGTTTCTAATAAAGATATACCCGAAACTGGGTAATTTATAAAGGAAAGGAGGTTTAAAGGAGTCACAGTTCCACATGGATGGGGAGGCCTCACAATCACAGTGACACGTGAAGGAAGAGAAAAGGCACATCTTACATGGCGGCAGGCAAGAGAGCATGTGCAGGGGAACTGCCCTGTATAAAACCATCAGATCTTGTAAGACTTATTCACTATAATGAGAACAGCATGGGAAAAACCTGTCCCCATGATTCAATTACCTCCCACTGAGTCCATCCCATGACATATGGGGATTATGGGAGCTACAATTATAGGTAAGATTTGGGTGAGGACACAGCCAAACCATATCAATTATATATTGATGCATCTAAGTCTGCATCTTATAAGACTGTTCACATGTTCTTTCTCTTTCTCTATGCAAATGGCAGGTCTTCCCACCTGTAGTTTCCCACAAAGGTCCTTTGACAAATCAAGCCCACACTCCAGGTTGTGACCCTCAATTGGAAGACATGAGCCTCAACTTCCAAGGCTCACTTCTGATATTTCTGCTTGTTTCCTCAGAGTGTCATACGCGTATGTGTTCTTACTGACGTATCCTGGACAATGTTCCTGCTGCCACTTCTATGTTATCCTTGGGCCACATTCTTAGTGCTCATTTTGGTTGTTCCTGGTCTTGAAAGATCACTACATGAGGCTCAGGGAGTGTGTGGCTACCACAGTTCAGCCTAGGATTCAGGTCACTTTGCTGTTGACCTTGGAATTCTATCTTGATAATCTGCCCAATGGCCACTCAAACTGCCCTGGCTAGCATCTCAAGGCTGCTAACTGAAGTTCAAATGCTGACTCCGGACTTCAGATGGATCCTACAGCAAAGTTACTTGAGACCTAATACTTTAGTGAAGTATCTGTTTTAGGTTCCACACAGTCCTTAACATCTGGGATATGGATCTACCATAACGATGGCTGAACTGGGGCAGATTTAGGTGACATTGCCATGCTGTTCCCAAAGCCATAATTCCCCTAGTGTCCAGGTGCCCTTTAATTCCAGGTCACTGAGCCAGACTCTTTTCTTTGAGTGAAGCTTTTCCTAGGGACCACAAACTCCTTCCTAAAATGTGCCGCCTGTTCTCCAAGCCATCTCACATCACACAGTTCACCAAATATGCCGATAGGGCTGAATAGCAAATGTTTCCCCCCACCCAACCCCCGCCGAAGCACCTCTATATCCACATAGATCAGTGGATACAAATAATATCCACATAAATCAGTGGATACCTCTATATCCACATAAATCAGTGGATACAATGCATCAGTGGATGCATTATATCTGGGAAATCCACATGTCAGATCTGTACTGTATAATTTCTACTCCTGGCCAATCGAGATTCTCCATTATTTATGCATATCTATCTAATGTAATCCAATATACTCACCTATATGTATGCATATATATATACATATACACACACACACACACACATATATATACACACACACACACATATATACACACACACACACACACACACACACACACACACGCACATATACATGTGTCTTGGTCCATTCAGCCTGCTATAACAAAAATATCTTAGACTGGGTAATTTATAAACAACAGAAACTTACTTCTCACAGTTCTGGGGGCTGGGAAGTCCAGAATCGAGGGGCTAGCATATTTATGTCTGGTGAGGGCCCATTCCTCATGGACGATGCTTTCTCTGTGCCGTCACATGATGAAAGGGCAAAGGGGCCCACAAGCTCCCTCAGGCCTGTTTCGTAAAGGCACTAATCCATTCTTGAGGGCAAGGCCATTCTGACCTAATCACTTTCCAAAGACCTTACCTCTTAATACCACCACAATGGTGACTAGGTTCCAACATAAATTTTGGAGGGGCACAAACTTTCAGACCACAGCGGTATGTATATGTATACATAACCTATATGTGAACATATATCCATGTAGAAACACGTATGACATTTGACATCTACTACTCTTTTCCCTTTGACACTTTCACCCTCATTTTCTATGTCTTGTTGCATAGCAGTCAAAAAGTAAATGTATGAGATATCTAAACAAACACTCCTTTCCTTCTGATTAAGAAGCTGACCAATCACAATATAATCTCTGAAGCTTCACCTCTTCCTAAAAAATAGAATAAAAAGTTTGGCATTAGCAATATTAGTTATAGTATGAATATGAAGAAACAATGAAAGCACAATTCCAAGTCAGACCTCTGAGTTCTGTAACAAAAGAGAAGCACTCTTGAAATAGGAAATAATTTATTTCTTAAAGTCTCAATCAAATGTGTTCACATGTGGCTAAGAGAAGAACAATATCAATAATGATAGAATCATTTATCAGACAAGCAAAATTACTAAAAGTGTCTGCCCTGTAACCAGAACTGGGAAAGGGGCGGAGACTAAAAATAAGTTTACAAGCTCTGTTAGAAATTCTTCTGCCGCTGAAATAAAGCCTTTTTGGAGACACCTTGTCTACCCTTTGCCAAAAGCAAAGGCTTCCATCAGTATTCATGGTGCTTATCATCTATCTTTAAAACAATGGCAAAGTTGGTGAATAAATATCAAAGAGCTAGGGTTGAATCAGTAATCACAGATGTTGATGTAATAATTAGAACCAGGCACTGTTATGTACCATTTAGTGTCAGTGAGTGAGCATTTCACAATAATCTTGCTGACTTTGCTTATTCTAGGCAATCAGAGTTGGAAGGACTTCCAAAAACATTAATTCATTCCACAGACACATTGAACAGCCCAATATTTGCCAGGCATTGATATCTTAGTCTGAGTCCACTTACTTCTCCCATAAGTGGCCATGCAGCCTCAACTCAAATATTTAATAGAGGTAGCATGATCTTTTGAGATACTTGTTTCATTTGTTAACACCTTTGTTAGAACGTATTTCAGTTGGAAATATTTAATGTCATGAAAAATGGCAAAAACAGAATAATAGGTGAAACATATTTTAAAAGTCTGATTCTAATTTTGTTAAATAGAAAAGACATGAGTATAGAGCAGAGGTATAAATTGGAGATTTTCATTATCTGAGATACTGCAAACAGATAATTAGTAAACTTAAATTTTATAATAAACTTGAGGAAGACCTTTCCTCAAAATTAAACAAAACATTTAAAAAGTATATTTAAATGTATCTTTAATAAAATTTTCAGTAATATTTATAACTCTGAGCTCCTTCTTTAATGGAGAAAGTATTTTTTGTGAAGGGTGGAAGAGCCATGGTGGGGAAACTTTTTTATTTTATGTAAACTTTTATTCCAGTGCTACATACATCCTGAAAAGCGGGCAAACCATAGGTGTATATCTTAGTGTATTAATATAAGTAAACACTCCCAATAAACCAGCTAGATCAAGAAAGAAAACATTTGAACACCACAACAGCACTCCTTGTGCCCTCTCTCATTAATACCCTCAAAGTAACTACTAGCCAGACTTTTAACACCCCATGTTAGTTTTGACCATATTTTTAACTTTATAAAAATTGAGTCATATAGTAGGCACTCTTGTGTTTGGTTACTTTCTTTCAGTATTATATTTGTAAGGTAAACCAATATTATTGTATGTAACAATGGCTCATTCTTTTTCATTGCTGTATGGTGTTCCATTACATGAATGTTTCATAATTTATCCACTCTAATTTTGAGGCACATTGCTCTCACTTTTTGGCTACTATAAATAGGGCTGCTACAAACATTCTTGTGCATGTACTTTTGGAAAACACATTTAGTGTAAACATTTCTATTGGATATGTATCTAAAGGTGTATGCAGGGTCTTAAGGTATACATACGTTCAGACTTACTTATTATAAAGTGTTTTGGGCTTAATTTTGCCAGCACAAAAAGGTAAGATTTTATATCACAGGCTTCAGTTTTGACAAAATACTCTAGGGCCTATTAATTGGCCCAAGAGCTTTTCTTATTCCTCTGACATGCAAATTATTCTATCTGCCCCGATTCTGTCACTTTATTATTATATTTTTAAGCATCTACTATGCCACAAATCTTGTAGGTTTGGTCTTCTTGAACTATCAACACATCAAATTCTACCAGAATTTCAGGAGCCTTGCAGTCCAAGTTGTTTTCCAACTCACTTTTAGCAATAAAATCCTGAATCCTTTCCAAAAAAACACAATTTGACTTTGCAAATTAATTTGTACCATTTTTGCAATATATTTTTGAAAGGAGTCTCTTCCAAATTGTTTTCAGAAATGAATAGGAAATTGACCAAAAAGGAAACTGATGGAATGGGTCCATTTTCAAAAGTGGAATATTTAAATAAAAAAATTATTACAAATGTTCAATTTACCATAAAATAGTTACGTTACCCTCTCTTCCCTATGCAATTTAATAACTGTTAGAAATCTAATAATTAATACTCAATTTGAATACAACCATACATATATAAAATCTTTAAAGAAAAGGTACCAAACCATTTCTTGGTTATGGGATCAAAGGTGATATTTTTTCTTTTAATGCTTTCTTGCATTTTGTACGATAAATATGCATTATTGTTATTAATATAAGCAGAACATATTCTTAAGGATTAAACTAAAATTGAACGTTGCTCTCCTTTCAACATCTACTCTTTGGTCTTAGTTGGCTTCATGTAGCTATACAGAATAAATTTAATGTGTTTCCCACATAAGAGTTTATGGAATAATTTATAACAATCACAGTTGTCTCTTTTTCACAGGAGAATACCTCCAGATCGCCAGGCATGGT
Source organism: Homo sapiens (assembly GCF_000001405.40). Lineage (NCBI taxonomy): Eukaryota > Metazoa > Chordata > Mammalia > Primates > Hominidae > Homo > Homo sapiens. The sequence goes on along the minus strand of NC_000007.14, from coordinate 18,448,151 downwards.
GGCTCACGCGCGTAATCTCAGCACTTTAGGAGGCTGAGGTGGGTGGATCACTTGAGGCCTGGAATTGGATTTGGAGTTGGAGTTGGAGTTGGAGACCAGCCTGGCCCACTTGGTGAAACCTCCTCTCTACTACAAATACAAAAATTAGCCAGGTATTGTGGTGCACGTCTGTAATCCCAGCTATTAGGGAAGCTAAGGCAGGAGAATTGCTTGAACCCAGGAGGCAGAACTGCAGTGAGCAGAGATCATGCCACTCCACTACAGCGTGGGTGACAGGGTCCTCTATGATTTAACCACTCCCCTTTGTATACGCTCTAGTTGTGTTCTTTCAATTGTATATTCTAATAGGAATACATACACTATAGGAGCCAAAGGAGTTTTTAAGCAATCAAATTCATAGATTTCACAAAATGTATGCCAGTCTTCTGAGATGTATATGACAGTTAACTATAAAGTTCTTGCTACAATATTCAGCCTGGATAATAAAGCATAGTTAACAAAAACTCTGAATACAGATGTTTTAGGTATTGGTGAAAATAATCTCAACTTTATAAATTAAATTTGCATGACTAAGATCATTAATCTGATGTATTTCAAATTATAACCTACACATGAATAAAAGGAATTATGGACGTGGCTGCATTTCTGTTTTTCCTCTACATGGGCTAACAATACAAATGGCTCCACAACAATATAATAAAACTAGACACATCTCAAGGTCTTCTGTTTTATAAGCAGCATAACTTTATTGGTTTTATTTTTATCTCTGAAGTAAAAAAATGGTAAATGAAAAAGGTTAATATTAGTGACCATAATTGTGGTAAGCGATATATAAGTGTTTCTGTAAAATATAAAAAATATATTAAAATAAAGTGTGAAATATTTCTTCACATGGGGGTTATTTTAGGTGTCAGTATATTTCATCATAAATAATTTTAAACTCTCTGTTATTTTTTGTTTTCACACCACTGACTCATATCTAGATTTGGATTTTTTAAAAGGTCAATGATACCACAGATACACTAGGGCCAATAAATATTTCCATTATTTTAAAGACGTCAGTAATCCTATCTTATTTTTAGGGTTGAAAGAATCTATCAAGATGGGAATTCAACATTTACCCAAATATTCAAAACTTTTTGTTTTTAATGTAAAGCTCACATGGTCACAAGCATTTATTGATTAGCATATACTTAGATATACGTTGAATCTTTTTTTCATAGTAGTGAAAAATTTTAGAGAAACTAAATATCCAACCTTAGGAAAAAAATTAATCATGTTACACTTACATTGTGGATAATGTACAACTGTGGATAATCTGTTGAAAGTATTTATAGCTTTTAACACAGAAGGCAGCCCTTGATATTTCCAAGTTTTTTTCAAAAAATGCATCTTGCAGGAAAATATATGTTGTTCTCAATGACACTTGGAATATATGTTCTACATCTACGCACACACAAAAGAACGTGTATATTTGTAAATGCATAGCAAAAAGGTTGAAAAAAACTATATCAACAGTGCTTTTGCTGAGGATGTGGACATAGAGGCAGAAAGACAGTTTCACTTTTTAAAAAACAGCTTACCCATAATATATTTGAAAACAATAAGCAAGTATTACTTTTGTAATTAAAAAACCTAATATATTTGAATATACGTTATATGAGAAGCAGCATTAGCAAAAAGGAAAAGATTCAACTCAAAAGTGTATCCCTAAACCTTTCCCAGTTTTCAAGTCCTGTCAAATCTATGCTCAACACTTTCTTCTTTTAAACCCACCCCCCGACTAGGCATGAGAAAGAACAGTGACCAATGCTGATGCATGGCTGGGTTTAAAGCAGTGATGTCATACACACCAACCTAGAAAACCATGAATATAATATCTGAATATGACAATAAACTATTTATTTTTGGCCATCTTCTGAATTCCAAATTAGATACAGTTCTCTCACTTTAGTGGAAGTTCTGTGTGTGTGTCTGAGAGTGTGGGAGCCAACAAAGGGTAGTGTTTGTCCCACTGAATTTAAATGTCTCTGCACATTATCCTCTTTGCTGGCCAGACGACAAAGGCCTTTGCCAGCCCTACTCTCTTTAAATAGAGACCTACACTTTTTAAATAGAGCTTACTTGTTCCAGAGAAAGGTTTTCTTTCCTTGTGCTCAAATTTTGTTCTTTAAGGAGCAAATGAGTGTCTATGTCATCAGCAGCTCACGCACAATCCTAAGATATGTTTGACTTGTAAACCGGTTTTTGTTCAAAAGGTTAAATAGAAGTCTTCTTTTAATTCTCTGCTTTTATTTCTAGCACCTAATGAAAAGGTCAAACCATTTTCAGGATATTTTCAAATATTGCTGTCAACTATCTTTTTGGCTGATTTAACTAACCATGCATAAAAGGAGGTTTTTGATTCAGGCAAGCTGAAGTTTCAAAACATTGTTTTCATGGCTATCTATAAACAGCTCTGCCTCGGGGCATTTGGGAATAGATAGGCCTGGTTATAACATACAGGAGAGCAATTACTGGCACTGATAAACAGTACTGGGTTTAACTTTTCATTAAAATTGGCTCCGAAAATTCTATGAACATTAATTGATATCACAGGTAATTCTTTCAACAATGGAAGATGCAATCTGAAACAATCACAGAGGCCGCTCAGCCCCTACATATTTCAGCATTAAATTTTGAGTACTTTGACAATATAGTTAGGGATATTATTTAATGAGCAGAAAATTATTATCCTCTTGATATGTCAAGTTGATTAACACTATCATAAAAAAATATAAATATATAAGCAAATTATTCAACTCATTGAAAAATAGCCTATAGTAGAAAACTATAGTCATCAAAAAAGTTAACTCAATGTAATTAGATTTATTTTACTACTTAAAGGAAGTTTTGAGTTGAGCTAATAGAACTAACTTTACCTTCACAATTACTAAAAGTTGATTACAGTTGATTAAGTAGGTAATCTGTTGCCATGATATGACTATTGTCTTAAGAAAATGTGTAATTCAATTTTCTGCAGCTGTGAATTCTTGTTTCGTTTATTTGGTGAATGCAAACTCCTGCCTTTCTATAAGACAGACAATGGCCACTATGCAGGAATTTTTCAGGCCATAGTATGATAAAGCTCTTGCATAATTTGAGAAACTCACATGTACCTCCCATTTCCAGCCCTGGGTCTTAGATCACTTGTATATTCTAGGGAAATTTAGTCACTAAATGAAAGAGATGAGAAAGATAATATTTTCTATTGCTAGTACATAGAAACTAAATACAAAGATTATAAATAGCTTGATGGTAATGGTACTTGATGGTAATGGTCAAGAACAGGCTTAGTAAGACCTTACTTTGAGAAAAATGACAATACAACAGTGTTATCAGTCAACCAATGCGAAAATTTATATTCTGGTGCAAAACATGTATCTTAACATTGGCACTTTTTTATTTCGGTATTCATGCCTCCTTTGGGCGTAGCATACTATAAAGAACTATGAAACTATAAACCTGTGGGGAAGAAAAAAGTTCTGGCAAAATAAAATAATGAGACTCCTTTGTATCTAGGATACCATCAACTCATCCCATATGCTTAAGAAAATGAATGTATTTGGAAATAGCCATTTAAGTACTAAGATGAGTATGGGATATACAGTGGTCGGGGGATAAAAAATACTAATCTACCTTTCCCCTTTTATTTACAAGATATGTAACTGAGTGTGTAGAAAATACAAACTGAGATGTCTATTGAGACATGTACTTCATTATTGATGTTGATAGCACATCACTCTTTTTTTTTTTTTTTTTTTTTTTTTTCAGACAGGGTCTCACTCTGTCACCTAGGCTGTAGTGCAGCATTGGCATGATCATGGCTTACTGCAACCTCCTTCTCCCAGGTTCAAGCAATTCTCCTATCTCAGGCTCCCAAGTAGCTGGGACTACAGACACACGCCACCACGCTTGGCTAATTTTTGTATTTTTAGTAGAGAAGGGGTTTCACCATATTTGTCAGGCTAGTCTTGAACTCCTGACCGCAGGTGATCAACCCACCTTGGCCACCCAAAGTTCTGGGATCACAGGCATGAGCCACCATGCCCAGTTGCAAATCACCTTTGTTAGTAGTGGCCAGCATGAAACTTTTCTCCTTCAGATAGACAGATACATACATACACACATATATGCTTACATGCATACATACATATATACATACATACATACATATATATACATATATATAATACAAATGTATGTTTATACAAATGTATATACAAATGTTATACAAATGTATATATGTTTATACAAATGTATATACAAATGTTTATACAAATGTGTATATATATATGTATATATATACACACACACACAGAGAGGGAGAGAAAGAACATAATGTTTGTGTGTGTACAAATTAAAACGGGTTCTACTGTCATCCAACACATATTTATGATCTTGAATTCTATTTTACAAATGAAGGGTGGTACTCTGCTATTTAACACAAAGAGTTAAATATTTAGTTTTAAACCAAATATTCATATATAAGATGTCTTGAGGGTTTACTAATATTCATCCCCTGAGGATCTCCTCACTGTTATAAGAGCATAACATGTTTTTTAGAATGGACCATAACTAACAATTGAAAAGACAAGACTTTTTAAAAACTATTCACCCTATGGTATAATTAGTGCTTACTTCTTGTTGATTTAATTCTATTTACTTTTATGAGGTGCATGTGTGTTCTTCCTAGAACACACCCAGTTTCCAATCTGGTATTTACAAGAGAGGTGAGACTACTTACCCATTGGTCTTCTTTGGTGTAATTTTCTAGCAAAGCAAATACAGTTACATTTAATCACTAGATAATTTTCCCCAATCATGTTGCCACGTACACAAAATTAATGATAAAATATAATTTATCTAATCCCTGTGGAAATTTATAATCATAAGCAATAAGAGGTATTTTCTTCAGAAAAAAAAACTCAAGTCAATAAGCCAATTTAGGTCAAAGTAGGTCTTCACCATTCCTGGCTAGTTTATGATTACTGAGTTTGTTTCAATTCAGTGGAAGTGGATTTGTATCAGGGCAGAGACTACTATTAATTCTCTTTCTGTTTATGATACCCTAGCAAATCAGTAGCTCCCATTGAGTTGTGTTGTTTTGAGAGAATAATTCAGATTATTAGGAGTCAATCAGCTATCAGCCTGGATGCCTAGGCCATCCACTGTAGTTGAAGCCCCAAATATAGCCCCTTGTGATCTTATTAGACTCACAACAAAGTCACCTTCCCTGTTTGAAGCTGTGCTTTTGTGGTTGGGCTAGGACTGAATATTCCTCTGGGGAGGTAGACAAACCAGCTGCTAATTAACCAGGCGCTATCTTGACTATCCAACCACTGAAAACCTCAGAGAGAAGAAAAAATACAGCTTTTCCATGACACTAGAGTCTAAAGAATTACAAATAGATATTGTAAAGTAGTAAGACAGTATAAACTCCTTTCACTCAAAAAGATAAAATTTAATACAGACATAGGTCAGTTCAGATAACTCTGAGGACAACTGTAGTACAGTATTTCAGACAATGGAGGATCCAATGCAGGCTAAGATATCCGACTGATTTTGGGCCTCCCTAATGGAGATAAAATGAGCATATGAATACATTAAGCAAAGATTGGGGAAAGGTGGAGAGGGAGATGTACCATGATAGCATGGAGTGGAAGTCTCAGCTTTGAAGGAATGTGAGTCCGGCAACTGGTGGGGAAATAAATATTTGGTCACTTCTATTGTCTCAAATTTATTTCCAAGCATTAATATGAATCTTAAGGCTACAACAAAATAATGTATCTTGTAAGAGAGATGAATGGACAGGAAAAAAAATTAGAAGTCTTCCCAACCACTCTTATACATAGGGGTAGAAAATGCTCAATGTTGACCGGAAAGAAATCCTGTAAATATGATGTCAAAACATTGTCATTGGTAGTCATCTATCATCTGTAGGTTGCTCTGACTTTGAAGAATCCCTGCATTGGGAATTGAAAATCTGTGAAAACTAATTTCCCCTCTATGTCACTGTATCTCTTCTAAATATGTAAGTCCCAGCCGGGCACAGGGGCTCACGTCTGTAATCCTAGCACTTTGGGAGGCTGAGGCGGGCAGATCACGAGGTCAGGAGATCGAGACCATCCTGGCAAATACAGTGAAACCCTGTCTCTACTAAAAATACAAAAAAAAGTTAGCCGGGCGTGGTAGCGGGCGCCCGTAGTCCCAGCTACTCGGGAGGCTGAGGCAGGAGAATGGCGTGAACCCGGGAGGCGGAGCTTGCAGTGAGCTGTGATGGCGCCATGCACTCCAGCCTGAGCGACAGAGTGAGACTCCGTCTCAACAACAACAACAACAACAACAAAACATATATGTGTGTGTGTATATATATATGTCCCTTTCTGGATGGAAGATAGGTGGAAGAAGAGAGGGATTCTTAAATAATTTTCTTTCTTTTGTTTTATATTTCTAAAACATAAGTCTCCTGAGAGTCTCACCTCCAAACAAGTGAATACTGAAGAATGTCCTCAGAATGTAACACAATTTGCAATCTATATTATGCATGTGTGAAAATAAGAGCTGAGATAAATCACTTCATGTTATTTCCAAGCAAGTGTTGTACCACTATATAGAAAAATATGGAGATTTTAAATGTGCTTATATGTGTGTATTTTATATGCACCTAATACTTCTAAATATATTTATTTAAACATTTAACATTTTTCATTGTCATGCAAGTGCTAAGATACTAAAAATTCAAAAAAGATAAAAGGTAATCCAAAAATAAAGAGAAAGATAAATGTTCCAGTAAAATATTACAATAAAAGCTGACATGTGATGTGGGTGAAGCAATGGAATACTTTTTTTTCTTTAAAAAAGGTCAGATGTCTACACAGCACTGGATATAAAAGAGCTTATGAAGTTGCTATTAACAAACGAACAGAATGACATGTTCTTTGATATACAAATGTTAGACCTAAGAAAGAACTTTGAGTATCTGGGGTATCCCTTCAGCTTTTATGAGAATTTGATATTATCATATCCATTTTATAGATGAAGGAACATGATCCAGAGAAGTCCATTGAATTGCCAAATTCTCCAAGAGCACACAGTGATAAATCTGGAACTAGAAGCCAAATCTCGTGTCCCTAATGCACTTAATTAAAGCAGTTAATATCATTAACTCTTGGCTTACAAAACATTAATATGAAAGACTGGAAGTCAAGCAGCTTTCAGAAAAGATAGTATTTAAATATAAAAGATCATCAAGGTTTGAAGACATATATGAGGCTGCACTAAGAAAGAGAAATTCCTGAGTTTTACATGTCTTGTTGTGTTTGTTTATTATGGCAAACAAAGTGATTATGGCATCTTAGAATCATCAGCATCTGTATATGTCTTTTTTCTTCAGAAAATGTTATTTATTTTAGAAGAAAGAGTTAATATAATCGATAAGGGTAATGAAATAGAAAACAAGAGTAGGTTTATAAAATAATATCAGAAATAGAAAAGGGAAACAAGAACAGAGATTAAAAATGTCTGAAATAAGACAAAGTAAAATGCATACAAAAACCCTTATTCACTTATGGGGGAATCACAGCATTAGTTCTAGTCTATTTAATTACAATATAAAGAAGTAAACCGGCCGGGCCTGGTGGCTCATGCCTGTAATCCCAGCACTTTGGGAGGCCGAGGTGGGCAGAGCACTTGTGGTCAGGGGTTCGAGACCAGCCTGACCAACATGGAGAAACCCCGCCTCTACTAAAAATACAAAAATTAGCCAGGCATGGTGGCGCATGCCTGTAATCCCAGGTACTCGGGAGGCTGAGGCAGGAGAATAACTTTAACCTGGGAGGCGGAGTTTGCGGTGAGCCGAGATCGCACCACTGCACTCCAGCCTGGGCAACAAGAGTGAAACTCCGCCAAAAAAAAAAAAAAGAAAAAAAAAAGAGGTAAACCTAGTTAAGAGAATATTTCACAGTATCCCAAAGACAAAACAAAACAATGTCCAGTTATTCTTATATTTATACCATACAGGAATTTCTCTTACAGTCTCCATGATGAAGTGATGTAATGAATAACTTCCTTGATAATGTATTAAGAGTGGGTACAATGATGAATTTCATAAAATATTTTATCAAGCATCAATACAAGTTGAAGGTATTGCTATCATTAAGTGAAGTAATATCTACTATCATTAAGTGAAAGCAGTTCAAAAAATAGAAGATTTGAATTTTTTTACCACAACCCATAATAGAAATACATTTTACATTTTGTGTGTTTGTGTGTGTGTATGTACATTCAGAGAGAGAGAGAGATTTGAATGTGTTTTGTGTGTGTATGTATGAAGAGCGAGAAAGAGATTAAAGTTTTATGAAATGATACTTCTCTTACTCTTTCTACATATTATACATTCTGATACTTTCAATCTTGTGTTTAAAATGCCAGTTTCAAACCACTAAATTGATTTCTCAAACTACAAATAGGTCTCCATGTCAATAAGAAGACAGTAGTAATGAGACCTAGGACCTCTGAAGTTTTTGAGCCAAAAATTTCCCAGGGTTCCTTCGAGTAATGAATCGGGGAAGGTGATGGTGGGCATATTAGCATTATCGGTGCACAGGATGTTGGGAACCTGATGAAGCAGACGTGAGATGGGCAAAAGTTCTTGAGTCTTTACCTAAGTGAGAGACTGTAACAAGACTGATAGCCAGACAGGGTTTCATTTGTTGTCTTGATTTAAACAATATTAAGCATTTCAAAGTTTATCATTGCTATTGGGAAGTCAAATTACAATGCGCTTCCAGTATTTATAGAAAACCGTTTTTAGAATTAGAGACAATGAGAAAAGAGATGAAGAAAAAAGCAGAATAGGGAAACACTTTGTAGTCACAGAGAAAGAGAGAGAGAATGAAACAGACTGAAAACTCCTACATGTGGCAACCTTTTCATTTTGATTCTCTGGGATGATCAGAAGCGAAATTTAGCATTATTCAAAGCCACCAGATCTGATAAATAAAGATAATGTAAGATAAATTAACTGCTTAAGTGGAGGGTACTCACACTCATCCAAAGTTACATCTAATATACATTATATGGAAGTACAAATACTAAGGATGATGTCATATCCACAGTATGCACACACATTGTTTTGTACTATGCAGTGTTCGAAAATAATTTTCACTTCTCTGATGCCCTTAACTGTTAGCATCATCACTGTAATGCAGGCAAAGATAATTTATAATTTCTGTTGGTTTTAAAAATATTATTAAAAGTTTAGTCCCATAAAATGAAAATAATTCATACATTTATAGAATAAAAAGGGAAAGTCCCTCTCACAGGATTATAGAATTAACAATTATTAACACTTTTCTGTATATCTTTCCAGATCCCTTTTTCTGAACATTTACACACATGCACCACACACACACACAGACACATTATATAATGTTACACACACACACACACACACACACACACACGCACACACAGCATATCACTGTCTTTTCACTTAGCAACATGTCTTGGACATCTTTCCATGTCTAGACATATGTTTCTATTCTAAAGTATAGATATATTCTAGTTTAATCTTTCTCCAATTGTGTTGTGATTGAAAATAAAAACTCTACATGCATGAGTCTGAAGAAATGTATAAATATTTCACTACAATACATTGATTCTAAAAAGTCCAATGACTGGCAAAGTGTTATATTTAAATTGTTAAATGAAAACATGGTCCCTCAAACTTTTCTAATAGTATATCAGAGTGCCCAGCACACCCCATAGCATTACCAACACTGGATAACAGGAATCTTTTTAGATTTTTTATCAATCCTCAGAGTGAATAAAGGTATCTCATATTAACTTTTTCTTGATAATTTATTAACTTAAGCATATGTCATATGTTTATTGGCCATCTGATTTCTTCTTCTATGAATTGTGTTTGCATATCCTTTGTTCATGTTTATATTCAGTTTGATTTGTGAGAACTTATATACTATTTATTTTTAATATATAAATATTTAGCCAACTAATAAATTTATTATATATATAAACTTTATATATATACCACTTTATATAAAGTGTATATACATGTTATAAAGATGTCCAAGACATGTTGCCAAGTGAAAAGACAGTGATATGCTACGTATGTGTGTGTGTGTCTGTGTGTGTGTGTGTGTGTAACGTTATATAATGTGGCAGTGTGTGTGTGTGGTGCATGTGTGTAAATGTTCAGAAAAAGGGATCTGGAAAGAGATACAGAAAAGTGTTAATAATTTTTAATTCTATAATCCTGTGAGAGGGACTTTCCCTTTTTATTCTATAAATGTATGAATTATTTTCATTTTTGGGACTAAACTTTTAATAATATTTTTAAAACCAACAGAAATTATAAATTATCTTTGCCTGCATTACAGTGATGATGCTAACAGTTAAGGGCATCAGAGAAGTGAAAATTATTTTCGAACACTGCATAGTACCAAACAATGTGTGCGTGTACTGTGGTATGATTTCATATCATACTTTATATAAAGTTTATATATATATATAAACTTTCAGATTATATATATATAATTTCCAGATTATATATATATATACACATTATCTGGAAGTTACAACATATTAAATTTGCAATCTTTTTCCCTTATGACTTCTGAAGTGTATATTTTGATGGGAGCAATTATTTAAAAACAGAGTATAGATGAGCACATAAAGATGCAAAGGCTTGAAATGAGTTGTCCATGGTCGCAGAGATACACACTGGTGATTCAGGGGTCTGACTTTGGTTGGCTGAAGTTCCTCTGGCTAGAGCTCAAACAAACTACAGTAACAAAAAAGCCATATGATATTTTTGGCAGGCTTTAGTGTTCTTGAATATATCATATGTATATAAACACACACACATACCACATGCACACATACACATACACTCTTTCACAATTCTCCTTCTACCCTCAGACCTTAAAGGCTACTTTCTGCAGACCATTTTAGCTTCAAATGAAGTTAAATTGAGCCTAAAATCAACTTTAATTAAAATCAGCTCAGAAAACCTGATACTGGACTGCTAGTGCTGTGAGGAAATTTACAGAGTTTTAATTAGTATATAAAACTCCCAGTCCCATGGGAAGACAGTCTTCAAAATATCTCTGGCTTTACATGACCTTCATCCTAAAGAGAATCTTTACTTAATAATATGTGTATTCATGCTATCTGTTAGATTTATTAATCAGTAAATAATATATAACCAGGCTTGAATTTCAGGACCAGCAATCCCATTATTTTCATCACATCAAATCTATTCCTTATTCATCTACTTCTTCCCTCAATAAATAAACAATGCTGAACCACCATCTACATTTCATTATCTGCCTACTGCTAACACAGAGATGATTTAACTATAAATTGTGTATTAAAATGAAGCCTCACTTAGCACATGCAAATTTTTATGAAAACACCATCTATTGAATTTACAATTTACAAGGTATAACCATTCATAGCAGATGCTAAATGTTTTACACACTTTCCCGTGCAAAGACGTTAAATTAAATGTTTATTGTATATGTGAAGCACCAAACAGTCCCTCATGACAATTCCACAACTTAAAATCATTAAGACAGATGGATTCATAAAGATCAGTCTATCAGAAATTAGCATGAAAACAAAACCACATATGGATTTTTTAAATGAAAACTGAATGAAATTGGGAAATCTTTTCCCATTTACCTTACCATTACTCACAAGAATTCCTAATACGATTACACCAACTTTCAAAGACTGCAGGCTTTTTCCGTTAAGATTACTGCCTAAACCTTTGTGGGGTAGCAATAATAAAATTTGCATAATTTTATTTGAAGTAGAAATTTTAAAAATATCATCTTAATCAAACTTTAGACAATACCACTTAAGATTTCAGCAGTAATCAATTTTTGTAAAACTACTTCATGTATGTTGTGTACATACATATTAAAAGAAAATACACAGGAGTCATCAATATTAGTATTGGAAAATCGGCCAAGTGCAGTTGTTCACGCCTGTAATCCCAGTACTTTGGGAGGCCAAGGCAGGTGGATTGCCTGAGCTCAGGAGTTCCAGACCAGCCTGGGCAACATAGTGAAACCTCGCCTCTTCAATAAAAAATACACACATATATTTCATATATATGTATACTTTATATATATATAAATTTTCCAGTTCTTTCTCTCTCTCTTTATATATTATATATTTTATTATATATATACACATATATATATTGCATATCACTCTCTTTTCACTTAGCAACATGTCTTGGACATCTTTCCATGTCTAGACATATGTTTCTATTCCATTCTAAAGTATAGATATATTCTAGTTTAATCTTTCTCCAATTGTTTTGTGATTGAAAATAAGAAGTCTGTATGAATGAGCTTGCACAAATGCATAAATATTTCACAATAAGTTGATTCTAAATAATCTGTACACCAAACCCCCAAGACATGCAATTTACCTACATAACAAACCTGCACATGTACCCCCGAACATAAAATTGTAAAAAACAAAAAGTCAATGGCTATGTAGACTATGGTAACTAGGGTCAAATGAATAATATTTGCACTATACTAGTAGCAAAGTTTTCCAATACCTTCTCTCTCTCGAAAGTTTTGCTACTAGTATAGTACAAATATTACTTAATTGACCCTAGTTACCATAGTCTATATAGCCATAGACTTTTTCTTTTTCATACTTTTCAGTTCCGGGGTACATGTGCAGGTTTGTTACATAGGTAAATTGCATGTCTTGGGGGTTTGGTGTACAGATGATTTCATCACCCAGGTGATGAGCATAGCACCTGATAGGTAGTTTTTCAATCCTCACTCTCCCACTTACCTTCACCCTCACGTAGGCCCCACTGTCTATTGTTCTTCTCTTTGTGTTCCTATATGGTCTATGTTTAGCTCCCAAGTATAAGTAAGAATATGCAGTACTTGGTTTTCTGTTCCTGCATTAGTTCACTTAGGATAATGGCCTCTAGCTCCATCCATGTCGCAGCAAAAGACATGATCTTGTTCTTTTTTTTTTTTTTTTTTTTTTGGCTGTGTAGTATTTCATGGGGTATAGATACAATATTTTCTTTTTCCTGTCTACTGTCAATGGACATATAGGTTGATTACACATCTTTGTTATTCTCAATAGTTCTGTGACAAACATACAAGTTCATGTGTCTTTATGGTGGAAATATTTATATTCCTTTGGGAATATACCCGATAATGAGATTGATGGGTTGAATGGTAGTTCTGTTAGAAGTTATTTGAGTAATCACCAAACTGCTTTTGACAATGGCTGGACTAATTTACATTCCCACCAACTGTGTATAAGTGTTCCTTTTTCTCCACAGTCTCATCAGCATTTGTTATTTTTTGACTTTTTAATAATAAGCATTCTGATGGCTGTGAGGTGGTATCTCTTGTAGTTTTGATTTTCATTTCTCTAATGATTAGTGATGTTGAGCATTTTTTCATATGCTTGTTGGTCATGGGTTTGTGTTCTTTTGAGAAGTGTCTGTTCATGTCCTTTACCCACTTCCTAATAGAGTTGTTTTTTGCCTGTTAATTTGATTAAATTCCTTATAGATTCTGGATATTAGACCTTTGTTGCATGCATAGTTTGCAAATATTTTCTCCCATGTCTGTTTATTCTGTCGATACTGTCTTTTGCTATGCAGAAGCTCTTTAGTTTAATTAGGTCCCATTTGTCAATGTTTGTTTTTGTTGCAATTGCTTTCGACATCTCTGTCATGAAGTCTTTGCCAGGGCCTATGCCCAGAATGGTATTTCCTAGGTTTTCTTCTAGGGTTCAGGTTTTACACTTAAGTCTTTAATCCATCTTGATTTGATTTTCGTATACGGTGAAAGGAAGGGGTCGAGTTTCAATCTTCTGCATACGGATAGCTAGTTCCTCCAGTGCCATATATTATATAGGAATCATCTCCCCTTTGCTTGTTTTTGTCAACTTTGCCAAAGATCAGTTGGTTGTAGGTGTGTAGCTTTATTTCTGGGTTCTCTATTCTGTTCTGTTGGTCTATGTGTCTGTTTTTGTACCAGTACCATGCTGTTTTGGATACTGCAGCCTGTCACATAGTTTAAAGCAGGTAATGATGCTTTCAGCTTAGTTCTTTTTGCTTAGGATTGCCTTGGCTACTCAGGCTCTTTTTTGGTTCCATGTGATTTTTAGGATTTTTTTTCCCCAATTTTGTGAAAAAGGTTGGTAGTTTGACAGGAATAGCATTAAATCTGTAAATTGCTTTGTGCCATATGGACATTTTAACAATACTGATTTTTCCTGTCAATGAGCATGGAATGCTTTTCCATTTGTTTGTGCTGTCTCTGACTTCTTTCAGCAGTGTTTGACAATTCTCATTGTAGAGATCTTCCACCTCCCTGGTTAGTTGTATTCCTGGGGTGGGGAGGTGTGTGTGTGTGTCTATTGTGAATGGGACTGAGATCTTGATTTGGTTCTCAGCTTGGATGTTGTTGGTGTACAGAAGTGCTACTGATTTTTGCACATTGATTTTGTGTCCTGAAACTTTGCTGAAGTTGTTTATCAGATCTAGGAGCTTTTGGGCAGAGACTATAGCTTTTGAGCAGAGACTATAGCTTTTGGGCAGAGACTATAGAATCATATTGTCTACAAACAGAGATAGTTTGACTTCCTCTCTTCCTATTTGGATGCCTTTTATTTCCTTCTCTTGCCTGACTGCTTTGGCTAGGACTTCCAGTAGTATGTCAAATAGGAGTGGTGAAAGTGGGCATCCCTGTCTTGGCTTGGTTCTTAAGGGTAATGCTTTCAGCTTTTGCCTGTTCAGTATGTTGTTGGCTATGGGTTTGTCACAGATGCTCTTGTTATTTGAGGTATGTTCCTTCAATGCCTAGTTTGTTGAGGGATTTTAATATGAAAGAATGTTGAATTTTATCAAGAGCCTTTTTTGCATCTATTGAGATGATCATGTGGCTTTTGTTTTTAGTTATGTTTATGTGATGAATCATTTTTATTGATTTGAGCATATTAAAGCAACCTCGCATCCCAGGGATAAAGCCTACTTGGTCAGGGTGGATTAGCTTTTTGATGTGTGTATAATCATAGACTATGATCCTCCTGTGCAGAACCCTTCCACTGGTATTTCTTTTCTTTTTTTTTTTTTTTAAGACAGAGTCTCATTCTGTTGCCCAGGCTGGAATGCAGTGGCGCGATCTCGGCTCACTGCAAGCTCCGCCTCCCGGGTTCATGCCATTCTCCTGCCTCAGCCTCCCGAGTAGCTGGGACTACAGGCACCTGCCACCATGCCCAGCTAATTTTTTGTATTTTTGTTTAGTAGAGACGGGGTTTCACCATGTTAGCCAGGATGGTCTCTATCTCCTGACCTCGTGATCCGCCCACCTCGGCCTCCCAAAGTGACGGGATTACAGGCGTGAGCCACAGCGCCCGGCCTTCCACTGGTATTTCAAGCATGCAAAATGAACATTCAAATTTTCAACAGTGTTCAGTAGGTAGACAGTAGCACTATTCCCAATTATAGGGGAAGATGCAAATATCAGTGCATGAGAATGCTTTAACAAAGGCCCAGAATCTGAAGGAATAGGAATAGCTACAATCATGAGGAATGTGATGAGAAATCTATGTCCATTTTTATTTAATGTTTCTCCATTCATTAATTCAACATTTGTTGACTGTCTACCATGTGCAAGACCCTCATACTAGGCTCTAAAAATCCAAAGGTAAATATGTTAAAATACATGTCCTCATAAGAGTTCACAATCTATTAGAAGAAACAGACAGGTAATGGATGGAATGGGAGAGCTGCCAGTGGGTACCCAGAGCTAAAAAGAAATGCTTCCCAATGGCAGATAGTTCAGAGCTTCCCAATCAGTTCAGAGCTGGAGCGTAGTAGGTACTTAATAAGCATTTGTTGAGTGGATAGATGGATAGGTGGATGGAGGTGCAACTCTTAACTTGGAGGAAGAAAGCAACATTTGATTGATAGAGATTTTGAAAGCCATGATTGAATTTGTCAGACAAATAGGGCTAAACAGCTGGGCTAAGGCACAAAGGCATGGATACCTGTTTTATTCAGGACACTTCAACCAGTACTTGCCCAGAAGGATGTGAGGAGGAAGGTGCAGAAGATGCGTTTGAAGAGGTAAAAAGGACACATTCTGGAATTCTGACTTTCTCATGTAGGCAATGAAAATAGTACTCAACACAGTGTTCTTTCTACAGATACCAAGTTCTCAATAAATGCTGAATAAACTGACTTCGTGATTTTTCTTACAATAGACAAAAAAATTAATGTTTGAGTCTGAAGGAATTGATATGAAATTCACAGTCATACCCACAATCGTATTTTACGTATTTATTGAAAGTAGCATATAAGTCCCTCATTCATCAATCCAGTATGTATTTATCTAATATTTACTTTTTAAGGCATCATGGGGGTATAATAGGATAATAATAATGTTAGTAGCAATGATATTTGCATCAGGAATGATGTATTGCCTGGGAGCCCTCTCATTTACAGCTATCTTATTTGGCTATTCCTTGAATTGAAGTCCTCAGGGTTGTTGGGGAAATAATACACATGCATTAAACCCCTGTAAAATTAAAGTATAACAGATTTTGGTTGGTATCAAAATTCATGTCACGGACGAAGAAAAAATAAATGGAAAAGTTACACAGGCATGATGTGACTACATTATGGCAGTCGTTTCCCTAGTTCTCATGACTTCATCAGGCCGGGACCCTTGAAAGTATCTGAGAGGAGTGATTCAAGGAATATCTCCTATTTTCAGGCCCTGATAGAAGTAAAAGAGTCAAAGGGCTTTAACATTTAATATATTATTTCGCATCATTACCATATCTAACGATTAATTTTCATTTATCTGTAAGTTCCTTACTATTTAATTTTTTCCTATTTTGTATCCACAGTGTTTCAAGCATATAGAAACTGTATGGAACAGTAGGTGCATCACAAGGCCAATTTAGTGGGTTCTGAGATGGGATGGGCTGAGTAGGAATGGGACAGGACTGGACTGGACAGGACAGGACAGGACAGGACAGGACAGGACAGGACAGGACAGGACAAGATAGGATAAGCAATGCAAGGCATGGCAAGTGTAGGCTAGATGAGATTAGTCTGGAACAGAATAGAAAATATCAGTGTGTTACATAGGGTAAGGTTTAGTTTTGTTTTGTTTGGTTTGGTTTGGTTTGTTTAGATAGTCTCACTCTGTTGTCCAGGATGGAGGGCACTGGCACAATCTCAGCTCACCGCAACCTCCACCTCCCGGGTTTAAGTGATTCTCATGCCTCAGCTTCCCAAGTAGCTGGGATTACAGGCATGTGCTGCCACATCTGACTATTTTTTTTTTTTGTATTTTAGTAAAGACAGGGTTTAGCCATGTTGGCCAGGCTGGTCTCCAACTACTGGCCACAAGCAATCTACCCATCTTGGCCTCACAAAGTGCAGGGATTACAGGTATGAACCACCATGCCCAGCCTGGTGAGGGTTTTACTTAATGAAACTTTCGCTTCAATTATTTGTATGTGTGTAGATAATTATAATTTAGAATTTGAGGTGAGGAACAATGACTCACACCTATAATCCTAGCACTTTGGGAGGCCAAGGATGGAAAATCACTTGAAGCCAGGAGTTTGACACCAGCCTGGACAATATAGCAAGACTCTATCTCTACAAAAAATTAAAAAATTAGCCAGGTGTTGTAGCACGTACTTGTGGTCCCATCTACTCAGGAGACTGAGGTGGGAGGATCACTTCGGCCCAGGAGTTTGAGGCTGTAGTGAGCTATAATTTTGCTAATGCACTCCAGCCTGGGCAATAGAGCAAGACACCATCGCCAAAAAAAATCATTCAATTACTGTAGGTTGTGGTCCACAGTTTGAAAAACACTAGTCTAGGAGAACAAGTTCAAGCTATAAATTCAAATTGGGTCAATTTCCAAGCTTTGGCATTCCTGGCTTTGCGTACTTTGTATATTTTGGCAAACTAACCTCTTGGAAGCCTCAAAGTCCTAATATCAAAAAAGGATGATATTCTTTATCTTATAGAACTATTATAAATTTCAAATATTAAATACCTAATGTATGAAATGCCTGTAAGAGTTCTTGACACCCAAGTGGTATTTATAAATTATTAACATTAGTTTACATTGTAGTCCCTTAGGCAATGCTGGTTGAATGTAACTGAAATGAATTGCTTTAGTATTTCAATCAAATACTGACAAATTAATTTAAAGAAGAATTCAGTCCACTGAGAAAAATGTGTATTCTTTGTCAGCTCTCTACTCAATGGAAGTGTATCTAAATAGCATAGGAATTCGATGATTCGTTTCAAAGAAATTTTGAATTTCTGCCTCTCCAAGTTTAAACTTTATGCTTTGCATTCATTCTTGAATGACTTGCAACAACATGAAAAAATTTTACCAAAAACACGTAATCTATAATCTCCTTTGTTTTTACTGCAAACACTAAAAGGTAAAGACAAGTTTAAAATACATACACACACACACACACAGACACACACACACACAAATACACACACACAGAGTCAAACTTATGGATAGCCATCTGCAATTGAGGACATTAAATGATGAAGCCCAAGCATCCAGGGGAAAGTTAACTTTTCTATAAAAATGGGTGAAGGAGTATTACATTTACAGCTAACAAGGAACAAAACACCACATTCTTGAGACATGAGAACTTGGCACAATGTAGAAAGGTGGCAGTGGGGAGGGTAAGATAAAAGAAAGAACATGAGAAGAAAGTAGAGGCATTAATTCCTACTCACTTATTATTTAATTTTTTCATTCAACTAGTATGAAGTAGGGATTTGTTGAACTCCTAATTCATATCATGGTAGACATTTGGTCTAGGCGCTAGGAATACAGCAGTTCCAAAACAAATTCTCTGCCTCTGTGAACTGTATGTTCTAATGGGGGAGATCGATTGCAAGTAACAAAACAACAAGCCTTGCTAGTTGGTGATAAGGACTGTGGAGAAAGCAGGGTAAGGGGAAAAGGAGGGTGCCGTAGGTTGGAGGTGGGTAGGATTGCTATTTTCTACAGGGTGATCTGAAAAACTTCTCTGAGAAGGTGACAATTGAGCACAGATCTGAAGACGTGAGGCGAGGAGCTACACAGATATCTGGAGATGAACTCTCTAAGCACTGGGATCAGCAAATGCAAAGGCACCAATGTGGTGTGTGCTCAGCATGTGGATGGTGCAGCAAGGCCAGCATGGTAGGAAAGAGTGGTAGGAGATGAATCAGAGTGAGGGGAGCCACAGATTCTGGTGGGCCCTGGAAAGCATTTTTGCTTTTACTCTGAGGCAGATGGGAAGCTACTGGAGGGTTCTGAGCAGAGAAGAGACATGGTATGACTTCTAAAAGCTCACTGGGGCTGCTGGGTTTAGGATAAACCAGGGCTCCAATGTCTCCACATCCTTGTCAACAGTTCTCTTTTGTTTTTGTTTGTTTGTTTTGAGGTTAGCCATCCTAACAGGTATAAAGTGATATTTCACTGTGGTTTTAACTTGCATTCCCCTGATGATTAGTGACATAGAGCATCTTTTCATATACCTGTTGGTCATGTGTATGTCTTCTTTGGAGAAATATCCCTGCAAACCTTTAGCCCATTTTTAAATGAGATTATTAATTTTCTTACTGTTGCATTGTAATTTTGGAAATTAACCATTTATTAGATGTTTAGCTTAGTTTACAAATATTTTCTTCCATTTTTCTAGGTTGCCTTTTCACTCTGTTGATTATTTCCTTTGCTGTGTAGAAGCTTTTCAGTTTGTTGCACACTGTTAGTGGAAATACAAAATGGTGCAACTGCTATGAAAAACGGTAGAGGTTCCTCAAAAAGTTAAAATTAAAACTATCATACAATCCAGCAATCCCACTTAGAGTATTTATAAAAAAATTGAAAATATAAATGTACACTGACAGATGAATGTACATTTTTAAAATGTGGTATACATATAAAAGGAATATTATTCAGCCTTAAAAAAATGGAAGTCCTGCCATATGCGACAAAATGAATGGAACTTGAGGACATTATGCTAAGTGAAATAAACTAGTCACAGAAGGACACATACTGCATGATTCCACTTACATGAGGTAACTAAAACAGTCAAACTCACAAAAGCAAAGAACAGAATAGTGATTCCAGGATCTAGGGGAGAGCATGGGGAGTTGCTAATCAATGGGTATAAAATTTCAGTTATGCACGGTGAATAATTTCTAAAAGAGCTGCTGTACAACATTATTCCTACAGATAACAATACAGTATTATACATTTAAAAATCTGTTAAGAGGGTGGGTCTCACCCTCTTAAGTGTTCTTGCCACAATAAAAGAAAATATTTAAAAAAAAAAAAAGAAGAAGAAAGAAACTGTGTCCAGGGTGGGCGATGAGAGGTGGAGGGGAAGGGGATTAAGGACAAAACCAAGGAGATCAATGAGAAGGTTACTGTAATAATCCAAGAGCCATGGTGGAGGCCAGGATCAGCAGGATTATGGTAGAGGTGGAGCAGATAGGATTCAAAGATAGATTGATTGTGGATTGGGAGAGGGAAGAGGAGTCAAGGGAGGCTGCTTGTGTTTAGACATATGGAAGTCAAATTCTAAAATGAATGAATGACTAAATAAGTAAGGAGGTAAAAAAAAAATAAAGAAATAAAAGCAAGCAAGGAGACCTAACATTCAAATGTTTACGTCTAGAGAACCCAGAATACATCTTACCCCTGCTAATGACCAAGTATTCTCTGGCAATTGGGGACTGGGTAAGGTGCCACAAAAAAGATAAGGCTGTAGGTGTGAATGAGTACCTATACTTATTTAAGGACTTAACTTACTTCAACAGGAATTTAGGAATAGAGAGAACAGAGCTTTCAATTTGAAACAGTCAGTCATTAAAGGCAAAGCATATTAGGGTGTTGTTGTGCCTGCAACAATTGGTTGTTACTCTCCAGCCGGTTAATACCAGCTAGGCAATGAAGTTAATTGTATGAAGGATCAAAGAGTTGAGCTCCTACAGAGAAGCAAGTGCATACATTGCCAATATTTCATCATTCAGAGCTACTTTCTTCTTTTCCTAATATGAAAGCTATAAAAAGAAAAAAAAAGAAAGAAAACAGCCCCTGAAAGTGCTATTGTTAAGACCAAAAACTAATTAGTCATTGCTTCCCAAAGTGTTATGTGAAATGTCTCCAGAAATAATGGTCTGCTTTCTCAGATTTTATAGGTTTGCTGAGTCTAGTGTTCTCTGGAATTTCCTGTTTCCCTTGCTAGGGAAGATTGAGTAAACTTTACAAGTCATCTTGAATAACACAAACCTTTCAATAAAGGCAATCATTTGCAGATTCATAAAGTATAAAACTAGACTTGAAACAAGGATGAGAGTGGTAAATAAAAGCAATTTCAAGATGGTGTGTATGAGTGTGACTAAACTTTTTGGCTATTAGATGCCTGAGGTAGTCATTTTCTACTCTTTGAAGATGCTGAATACAAATTTCACATTTCCTTTCAGTGTGTTCATACATCAGATAAACTATGATCTAAATATGGTAACCCAATGCCCTCAATGTATGTAAATAATTTGCGCCAATTCAATTGTAAATTATATAGCTATCCCTGGATAAAAGCTGCTATTTAATATTAAGTATCATTGTTATTGTATGTTAGCAAAATATTCAGGTTCTTTGCTTCTAAGATTAAAAACTGCATTAGCATTTGCATAAACGCCGCCACTTACATGAAAGCTCACTTGGCAAACTGGCACTTAGTGGAAAAGAATGACAAATGACTTGCATAGCAGCTGCTTTCAGAGATTGCTATGAACAAAAAATAATAAACATAAACCACGAACATTTCTCTCCTAAAGCTCTTGATATATATCAACCAATTCCCTGGAATTACTCTATCTGATTTAGTCACATGTGGCTCATAATTATGCTTGATTTATTCAGAAGAAACACTATACCAAAAATCAAATGAAAACACTGCATCTGCATTTCCGCAATTGTGTGTCCGTATATCACTGTGCTAATGTTATGAAGAGTCTATTCCCCACTGAGAGCCTGCAACTACTCAGTCATGTCCAAAGTGAAAACAAATCTCTCTTCTGTTGTGTCCTCCCAAAGTTAAAAAATATCTTCTGGCTTGGCAAAAGGCAGGCTGGACTTGATCACAAGGGGTATAATTTCTGAAGGACAAAACAAACCTGTTCTAAGACATATGATGATCTCACCTATATGCATAGATCACAGGGATATTGTTAAAGGGACTTGCAGTTCGTTCTAGAAAGGGCCCAAACCTTGCACGAAGCCTGCTAGGAAGAAATTTCCTCTCAATCTTTTCTATAAATGTAATGTACAGTGAGTATTTCAATGCTAACTCTCCAGAATCCACTACCCACATGGCACTTTCTGCTTCCTGCCAAAGCACTGGTAATTTAGTATTAACTGGCGAAGGAAGATCCTCCTCTGGAGCCATGTGTAAGACTTAGTTAAATGTTAAAATATGCCAAAGACTTCATCCACTCTGATATTTTGAAAACTCCAAATACAATTTAGTTGACAAGCTTCATCAGTGGAATATCAGATAGCAGCTCTCTCCCTAACACGCGTCACCTGCCCACTCAGCTGTGAATGGGAAAATGTGTCATGCCACCTTCAGCTCTGCATTTTTCTCTTTCATGGTGACATGAGTACTTGTTGAATAGTCTTATTTCTTATTCAACTATGAAAACAGTGTCATTGTGATACATCTCAGATGCAAACTGGCATTTTACAACTATTTCTATATCTACTTGGATGAAATTGTCTGCGATAATAATTTTGTTAATGATAATTTTGCATTTTTCTGAAATTTTAAAATCTACTTGGACACAATCCTGCAAGCTGTCTGCAAATTCTGTCCAATTAACTTCAGAAAAAGCCAAGGTTCAACTTGCTGCATGCTATTTTATGACAAGAAAAAAATTGGTGTACTACACCTCAAGATTAAAATTAATAATAAAAATATTTTCATATACCTCTCCTAGGTAACCCACAAATATCTTTGACACAAAACACATCAGTAATGTGCAATTTGAATATACAATAATAGAATATTCTGAACTAGGAAATCATAAAACATATTCTTATTACTATTATTTTAATTATTATTATTTAATTGAGATATAGTCTCGCTCTGTTGCCCAGGCTGGAGTGCAGTGGTGATATCTTGGCTCACTGCAAACTCCACTGTCTGGATTCAAGTGATTCTCCTCCCTCAGCCTCCAGAGTAGCTGGGCACGTGCCATCACGCCCAGCTGATTTTTTTGCATTTTTAGTAGAGACAGGGTTTCACCAGGTTGGCCTGGCTGGCCTCAAACTCCTGACCTCAGGTGATCTGTCTGCCTCAGCCACCCAAAATGTTGGGATTACAGGCATGAGCCACTGCGCCCAGCCTATTTTAATTATTAAAACCTAATAGAAGAAGAATATCTCATTAGATTTTTTTGTTGTAAAAGTCATATAATCACATAATAGCCATAAAGGCAAACAAAAATACTACTACATGACTTCCACTTCTGAGCACTGTTGTCATTATATAAAGTAAAAATAAAGAACTGTGAAAAATGAGCCCTCCAGTATAGTGTCCAGTGACTGTCCTATAATTATTTTATTTCATCTTCATAGCATCCTGATGAAGTAGGTATAATTATTTTCATTATACAAATGAGTAAAATTACTCCCCAACATTTAAAATAACTTGCCCAAATGTCCACAGTCAGTAAGATGCAGGATTGGTATTTGAACCTAAATCTGTTTGCCTCTATATTCTTTTCACTACACTGGTGAAGGGGATGTTTTCAAAAATAACTCAGTTGATTGCCAAGTGTGTAACAGTAAACATTTGGAAATTGACTTGAATGAGAAGTCAAGCTCTTTTTTGTCAGACTAAAGATCAGTAACGTGGAATGTCATAGCTCCAAATCAAGGAAACAAACTCATATTACAAGATTAGGAGTGAATATAAAATTACTGCATATTTATAGGTGATATGTATCAAAACTACCTTCATAATTAAGAAGGTTTCTCCTTCTATTCAAAATATTTGTTAAAAGGTTGGGCTAGAGTCTCCAAATATGGCAGCCAACAGTTCCTTCCCTCCTTATAAATGTGAACAATTCATCCCAAAAAACTGTGAAGTCCACTTTCCCTTGCTGTGAATCTGGTCTGGCACTGTGACTTGCTTTGGCCCATATAATGCAATATAAGTGGTACTGTGCCCACTCTGAGCCAAGCCTTTAAACAGATCTAGCCTATAAGAGGCCTGGCACTTTCTACTTTTGCTCTCTTGGGATCCATTCTCCATGTAAAGAGCTTGGGACTACAAATGCTAGGAGGCCATGTGGGGAATGGCCCTGAAGAATGAAAGGCCACCTTAGGCCTGTCAGCCCAAGCCTCCACTAAATGCCATGAGAGCAGAGACCACCATTCTGGTAAATACTGTCCAAAATGCAGAACCATGAGCAAATAATTAGTTGTGTTTTATGTCACTATGTTGTGGGGATAATATTTTACAGACCTATAGAAAATGAAAATAGTGCTTCGTTAAATCTATTCTTTTAAGCCACTGCTTTAAGCATCTTGTAATATTTTATGAATAAAGCCCTGTCTTGATGGTATTTCTAATACCAGAAACTAAGCTCTTTTAATATTGTCAAAGAAATAAATTAGGTTTACTGATTTTCTCAAAGTCTTAAACTATATACATAGCCTCGCTTAAATAAAAAATATCTATGGTTACAAAAGAATCACAGCAAATAAAAAATTATTTGTTGAAATTTTCACTCTGCAAAAGCATAGAAAGCTGTTAAATTTTAAACATTCATAAAAATAATCAATGTACTTTTTGAAATAAAAACAAAAGATACCTGTTCTGAATAAACCATAGTGTTCTAGGTAATTGGACTGTAAAAACAAAAACAAGTATTAATAAAATCCACTAGTTTAAACCTGTTATATTTTTAGTAAAGTGCATCTCAATTACCCAATAGCAGTCTGCTATAAAATAACTTTTGATAGAAAACTGATGCATGTGTAGCCAAAGAGAACCCTTTCCACATTACACTTTAAGGGCATACCTTGGACTATGAGATTGAAAGTTTTGAGACCTAACCTCTCCATATGCAAACTTAGGACTGTAAAGAAGCAGTAAAATTATTAACATAAACTTAAGATAGGAAACCAGTCTTGAGAGGGGAAAAAAATAACCTTTAACCCAATCCATTCTGAGGTAAGCAGTGGCTGTGTGTGTGTGTGTGTGTGTGTGTGTGTGTGTGTGCGCGTGTGTGTGTCTTAAAGCTAATGACAGGTTGGCCTGTGACCTGCTGCTACTTTTTCTCTCCAAGTCCAAACCCCACAGTGATTCCTTCCTTTCCCATGACCTATTGCCAGACTTCTGCTTTCTTTCCCCACAGGCCTGGCTTCCCCCTCCTTTGAAGATTCTGTTTTATAAAATCAATGCCTCATTCTTGCCTAATAGAGTGCTCTTTAGAGACCACCACTATTAGTCCATGGACAGAAACTGGGCAAAGTGGAATAGATTAGGATTTTCTGCATGCGTATAAGTATTTGTTTATGATCGATTTGTAATTGGCATATGCATTCTCCAACCAGGCTACCTCACCTGACAATATTGAATCTCTTGTTGCTATTGCTTGGCTGATTGCTAGTTGCCAATATCTTCTCCTTTCTAGTCTTTCTCCCTTGCAATAACTAGACCGTGTTTCCTTTACTGAAATAGAATAGGATTAAATGAAGCAACAAAATAAGGGGAAACTGAGGAGAAAGGGAAGAATTTCCCAACTCTTTTCTTGCCATTTTATTGGCCACTAGAAGACCGATGCTAGGAAATGAAAAAGTCTTTAGTGTGCTTGGAGGGAGAATAAACTAGAACCAAGGCATTAACTTCCAGATGTGAGAATATGTCCTCTTTATATCATCTGGAAAATAAATGGAGTAAAAGTAGAATAGAAGGATCTACATTTAGGCACAGCAAGAAAACACAAGGATATGCAGTGGCTCCTAAAAATAGATTCCAACAGACACACAATGGCAGTCACAGAAAAACATGATCAAGCCCGAAAGATATACCCAGATTAGGAGTCACCACCACCATGATCCCTTCTGGGATTAGTCCAGGGCTCAGCTTCCACAAACAATAACCACCAGCCTTTCAAGATTTAGTGCTGTCCTTACAAGAGACTGTTTTCACTCAGGGCTCTCATTAATCTTGTGCATTCACCCTGAGTCTAATCACGTGGTGAGCTAAGGTTAAGAGACTGTTTTGGGGGAGCTAAATGCTTACTTGTGAGGTAAACTCACTCATCCGTGACACTGAGCTACCAAGAGGGCAGTGAAAGAAATAATTTAGGAAATTATGCCCTGGAAGTTTCACTTTATGAACGTGTGAATCTGTCTCCCAGCTTCAAAGTTACCTCATTTGGGAAAAAGTTCCCTGTATCTTTCCAGACATAAAAATAATTGTGTTCTTTCTGTTTTATTCTATTTCTTTCTTTTCTTCCTTTTCCTTTTCTTTCTTTTCATTTTTTCATTCTTTCTTTCTTTCTCTTTCTCCCTTTTCTCTTTCCCTTTCCTTCCTTTCCTTTCCTTCCTTCTTTTCTTCCCTCCCTCCCTTTCTCCTTCCATCCCTCCCTCCCTTCCCCCTTCCTTCCTTTTTTCTGTTTTTAAGAGATGTCATATTTTCTCATTTTAATGCAAGTTTTGAGATAAAAGATTTTGGAAAGAAGTGTTTTGAAATTTACCTGTTTCTTAAAGAACTACTTTTAAACTAACTCACTTTGCAAAATTATTCTAAATATGAAATAATTTCTTGAAAACACTACAGAATCAACTATCTAAAATAACAATATTTCTATGGTCACCTAACAATATAGTTTTCATTAAGAATACACAATTTTAAGGATAATGAAGGGTAAGGGGAGGTAGGACATAGTACAGAAGCAGAATTTTAAATGGTAAAAATGAAAGCAAATCAAGGTACAAGGTAAGGCATTATGATGCATGTCTAGGCATGCCCTCATTATGCTATATCTTTGCATGAGCTGTTACTTCTGCCTGGAATGTTCTTCCAGCAGATCTTTGCATGGCAGCCTGTTTCTCATTCAAGTATCAGCTTACACGCTAGTCCTTGGAGGGGCCATCCTTGACCACACAATCTAAAGCAGGTGTCCAAGCACACTTAATTGCTTCATTTTGTTTTACTTTCTTCTGGGTAGTATCACTACCTGATATTTTCTTGTTTGGTTTATTCACCTTTTATTTAAGCCCCTCCCCCAATTAAAAAATGAGTTCTGTAAGATCAGGGATATTATTTTTCTTCTCACCACTGAGTCTGCATGATCCACAAGAATGTCTGCCAGAAATTGGGTACTTAATAAAAATTTATGGAGTCAGTGAATAAACAAGTAAATGAATGTATGCTTTCAGAAGACTTTACTTACCCTGCAGCATGAATTTTATGAGTTTTAAATATGAAAAATCTTTATCAAGAAGAAACTGAAGTATCACTGATACAATGCTGTAACTAAAACCATAAAGAGAACAGGAACTCTGTTTATTGTTATATTATTATACCAGGGCCTATCCTTCAAACCTAGAGTGATTTACTAAGATTTTACTATTACAGACAAGCTGAGCACATTGAACTTTGATATCGTTACCTCTAGCAATCACAAAAAGTAACATGAGAGAAGTCAGTGATTTCTGCAAACAAAATAACTGCAGAAAGTACACCTATTCCTAGGCCTGAAATGCAGACTTCATGTCAACAGTCTAGAAGGATAAATAAATCATCTGGGGTAATCAGATAGTACGCTTGTCCCAAGTGCAGGAAAACTACATTTAGGAAGACAATGTTTGTTCCTGCCTGGCCTTCCAAACAACTCTAACAATTTATCTAATCTCAGTGGTTTATGAGTTTTGTTTATCTCACACAGGTCCGCTTCTCTTTCCCAACAATTTCTATAGACTAGCAGAGCTTTTTGTTTTTACAAAACAGGGGCTATTCTCATAGTGCCTGTACCTGAGTCTGTAATCTGCAGGTGCAGGCCTCCGAGATTCATGGGCTACCATCGCTGGAAAGCTGCACTCTTCCCAATGTGCAGGAAACAGGCTATAGGAGCTTTTCATAGTAATGGTGTATGCTTGTAATTTTTAATGAACCTACCCAGTGACATATCCTTGCAGCTATTTTCACAAAGAAACCAGAAGGCTTTTATAAAAATGGAAATATTTTAGGAGATCTTAAGCAAAAGAAAAGATTTATTAAAAAAAAAATGGGTCACACTTCTGGAATGTCTGTTTCCTTTGGTTTCCAACCCTCTTCAAAGGTCTACAAGGCTTATTTCAACAAGAGTGTAATTTATCATTCTCCCCTTTAAATAAAGAGTTCTGTATAATAACCGGAGTAATAAATTGTGCATAGAATAGAGTCGTTTCTCCTCTTTGGAGATTGTGAATAGCGTCTGGAGAGAAATACTGCCAGGAAATGCTTAGTGGAAAACACTAAAACTTATCTTCTCACTTGGAGGCAGTAGATGGAGCACAGTCTTTGCCTGACTCAAACGGGGGTCTCATATATGGCTTTACATTTGCTGTGAAACCTTGAGCAGTTACTTAACTCTTTAAGCCTCAATTTCTTCATTTGTAAAAGAATAATAATTGTGGCTACTTCAAATAATTTCTATAAGTACTGAATGATACACTTAATACATCAATAATTGACACATATTTATTATTAATATCATAGTTAAAAAGGCATTTTTTCTCATTGGTCATATGTTCATGACAAAGAGGGCAGGAACCAAATCAATTCCTGTTTCCTTGTCATACAATAGAAAGAAATAATATTAGGAAACAATGAAAATTAAAAATACATCTCCAAATAGTGCTTTTAAGTATTAATGAAATAATTGATTTCCATATCTTCTATATGGTGTAAAGAAAAGGACATATAAAGATGACACAAGTTAGCCATTCAGACATGTGCCATTGTCCCTAAAGATTCTATGAGTTGTACAGGGCAGATGCTCAAAAACAAAACAAAGAAACAAACAAACATTACTTCTCTGAATAGTCTTAGGTAATCAATCTTTGAATAAAAATGGGTAAAGTATTTGAGCGTATACAAACAGTTGTTTCCAGACTATTGGAGTACAAAAATGTTATGGGGACTCCACATAGCATGCACCCCCTCTTGTACTTTTGCCAGTTAATGAATGAAAAGAAAAAAAACAAAACTCTTATAATCCATCAGCTATCATATTAAAAAAAAATTCTTACGATTCATCAGCTTTCATATTAAAATTCAATTAAGCATAAAATTTTATCACTAATAAGAATGACAAAGTAAAAAATAAAGTCCTTTAAATTGAATAAATTTAGTTTTGTGAAAAACTTCCTAATTCTCATTGTTCTGTGGCCTGGTAAAATCATCCTTAAAGGTAAGTACCCATACTTTCATGTGACTTTGGAAAACACTTCCACAATCTATTAAATTACCCACAATCATACTATTTCATTATCTTATTTTTAAAAACTTTAAGTGTTCGTGTAGCTGTAGTTTTTTTTTTTTTTTTTTGGTTTGTATACTTTTCCAATTTTTAAAAAAAGGCAAGTTTTTATTTTCTGAAAAGAAAAAAGTAAATATAAAGGTGTATTCAATAGAAAAAATACTAGGATTTATTCTCTTGAGTTTTACTCTCTGAAGTGGACACTTTGGTAGTTAAGTCTAAAAGTCTTCCCACTTCAACTCTGCATGAAGTGTCAAGGAAGTTCTGCCTTCAACTTGTAGTAGCAGGAATTGAATTTACCCTTCTGCCTGAAACAACTAAAACCCTGAAGCGAACAAAACCAAAAGCTGAGCAACGGTTTTCAAGATTCTAGACTTGAGCCATCAAAGGATAGCAATCCTGAGAGATGAGAAACAAAGGTGGTGAGCTCTATGATTGTGCAAAGTTGTTGCCAAGAGAGCATTTCTATATGATGGCATAGGGAGGGAGAGTCCGGGGGAGCGTGGTGGACATCCATCCAGACTTGAGGAAACAGAGCTGAGATTTCAGGGACAATAAAGCAGTTAGAGTTTTCTGGATAGAGCACCAGAGACAAGAGGGCTGAACAGGCACAGAACTCTAAAAATCTATAAAAGATCTCTATTAACTATTCAGCAGAGTGCAAATTAATACATATATGTATGGGAACTATTTGAGGCAAGAGAAAGTACCACCTGAGAGGCCTAAAGCTAACAGCGACCAGCACTCACACAGGCCAGGAAGAATGCTGTTCCTACCAGCCATGCTAGAAAACTTCATAATGGAAACTGTATTCAGTAGAGTATCCAGAAGTGTGTTGTATCAGTACTAGAAAATAATTAGTCAAAAACTAAACACTGCATTAGTCCTGATAAATCTCAAAAACAACACTCAAGAGGATAAAACTGTTTATAAGTAACTTAACTGCACCCCAAAACAAACTAAGATTCATAGGAGTATGAAAATATCTAGCACCCAAGAAGTTAAAACTCACAATGACTGGTTTCCAAAAAAAATTATCAGGATTGTTAAAAAGCAGAAAAATATGACCCATAGTGAGGAGAAAAGCCAACGAATTGAAAATGATCCAGCACTGAAACAGATGTTAATAGCAGACAAAGATATTAAGACAGTTATTGAAACTGTAATTACATGTTTAAAACGTTAAGTGGAAATACAGAAGATATAAAAAAGATGGAAGTTGAACTTCTAGAGTGAAAACTACAATATATGAGATTAAAATATACAATGGATAGGCTAAACGGCAGAGGAGACAATGCAGAAGAAAAGATTAGTAAATGTGAAGGCATAGCAATGGAAATTACCCAAAAGAAAGCACAGATAGAAAATTAGATAATAAAAAGTCAGTGGGCCCTGGGATAGCTTTAGGCAGTCTAATATATTCGTAACTGGAGTCACCAAAGGCAAGGGATGGAAAAATATTTGAAGGATATCTAAATTTAATGAAATCTATAAACTCACCCATCCAAAAATCTCAGCGAACCCCAAGCACAAGAAGCATAAAGAAAACTTGACCAAAATACACCATAATCAAATACTCAAAACCAAAACTGAAGAGAAATTATTTTACAAATTTACAGTAAAAGAAAAATCACACACAAAGAGACAAAATATGAATGACAGCTAGTATTTCTTAGGAAACAGTATAGGCAAGGAGACAGTGGGTCCACTTATTTAAAATACTGGCAAAAAAGGAGATCCAAAGGTGACATTAATTACTACAAATTCTATAGATATTATGAAGATAATAAGGTAATATTATAAACAATTTTTTTCAATTGAATTGAAGAACTTGAAGAGGACAAACTCTTTGAAAAACCCTATCAAAGCTTACTCAAGAAGAAATAAATAACCGTAACAGCCCTATATCTGTTATAGACATTAAATATTTGGCAAAACACCTTCCCACAGAGAAAATACGAGGCCTGATGACTTCACTTGCAAATTCTATAAAATGATTAAAGAAAATATAATACCAATTCTACACAGCTCCTCCAGAAAAATGAAGAGGAGGTAATACTACCTAACCCCAATGAGGTATTACTCTAATAATCAAAACCTGACAAAGATATTACAAAAAAACTACAGAAAATAGTAATCTCCTTCATGAACATAGATGTAAAATTCTTTTTTTGTTGTTGTTTTTTGTTTTTTTTTGAGATGGAGTTTTGCTCTTGTTGCCCAGGCTGGAGTATAATGGCACGATCTCGGCTCACTGCAACCTCTGCCTCCCGGGTTCAAGCGATTTTCCTGCCTCAGCCTCCTGAGTAGCTGGGATTACAGGCATGCGCCACCATGCCCGGCTAATTTTGTATTTTTAGTAGAGATGTGCTTTCACCATGATGATGGTCAGGCTGGTCTCAAACTCCTGACCTCAGGTGATCCGCCCACCTTGGCCTCACAAAGTTTTGGGATTACAGGCGTGAGTCACTGAGCCTGGCTGCAAAAATTCTAAATAAAATTTTAGCAACTCCAATCCAATAATATATTAAAAGGATAATACATCATGACCAAGTGAAGTTTATCACAAAAAAATGCATAGATGATTTAGCATTTGAAAATCAGTCAGTGCAATTCCCTATAACTAAAAAAAAGAGCAAGAATACAGTAAAGATATAACAATAGTAATCCCATACTTGAAATCTGCAAAACATATATAGATACTCAGTTATTTCAGAATTAAAATGTTTAAATGATCTCTAAAAGGAACTACACTTGCAAAATTTTAAGTGAACACAGGGGCTAGAAAACCTTGATACTGCATCATAACATTCTCATATACTGTTCAGGCACGTTTCACCACATGAAGTTTTTAAAAAACAAAAACCAGCAAAACCTGAAATCATCATTCTTTGAGCAGAATAAATTTTCCCTCTCATTATTATCATGAGAAAAAAGCAGACCAAAAAGATAATTATGTTAGAGAGCGTTGCTCTTTATAAAAACATGAAGTATTACACTAATCATCTTATCCAACTATGGGTAGCTAAATGCCTCTCTTTGATTGCCACTGGACCAAGTTGTGAGGTTCCTGATGGATTCACTAAAGGCCTCTAAAGAAGGAAGAGGTACAGCTGAGAGGCTCCTAACAGTAGCTACCAATTAGCCAATGTGGAAATATTTCAGTATTTTTAAAACTAGCGCAGTTGTACCAGTGTGAACTGGCTTAACATCAGCCCCATGGGTTCTAGTTTACACAGAAAAACACATACACTTTAAGCCATCGAGAACTACATCACAGTCTATCAGCATCGTGTTCTACTATAAGTAACGCCATTAGAAAGAGCAGTGTACCAGGAGGGAGAGGATTAGAGTTCTCACCTCAGTTTTGACCAATTAGCAGCTGTGTAAACTCTGTCAAGCTACTTAATGCCGCTGAGTATCAGCTTTCTCATCTGTAAAATTCGGGAAAATATTTGGGAACACAATGAGAAGAAGGGTGAGGAACTAACAAAGAGAAAAGAAAGAGGCACACAGGCCATAGAACAAATAGGCGAGGTAGGAAGCCACGGAAAGCAGAGAATGAGGACCAAATACAAAGGGTTTCAAGTAAGAGTATTCTCTACAAAAAGGAAGAGGAGGAAAAAAAGTTGAGGTAAAAATATCAAACATCCTCTGCTTCCCCATTAAATGTAAAGTCAACCAGGATAGTCTTCAAAAATAACAAAGAGCCTTTCTTCTTAAGTTATATTCATTCTTAATTTCTTCTAAGAAGCGTTTGTGCCTACCATTACAATGTTTTTCTGTATTTAGAAGTAAACATTGATATTCTTAATATTCTGCCAACCTGTTTATTCAATAAGAACAGGCAATGTAACTTGGAAATAGCAAGATGTAAAAAATTTATATCTCAGAGGTCACTTGTTTACTTATAATTTATTTGTTACAAATATCTAAAAGGCATTTTAGACAGCAAATATAACTAAATACTTACGTTACTGAATTAAAATTCAAATAAAATGCATAGTGAAAGGTATGTCCTTGTAGTTAGGCTGAGATAAGTTATTTACCTCAACTGAATACTAAATTTAATTTCCTGCCAGCCAATGCAAAAAAAAAAAAGGAAGGATGAGTAAGGAGCAGACATGTCTCCTATTATTTGATAAGAAAAAACATTAAAGTTACTTTTTGTCTTTTTTTGTCCTTTAATGGACATCAGGTAATATAATGGTCAATATCATTGTGACATCTTTGCAAAATACATGAAAGTAGGATATTTCCTTTAACAAAATGAAAAAAAAATCTGAAAGTTCTGCTTATCTCAAATATTTTTCAAATTTTCACTTAAATACATTTTGAAATTAAATATAAATAACCATGTCTTTTAAATGTCTAAGTACTTTAATATCTTAGCAGCATTCTAGTTACAGCACCTCAGTTTTAAAACGCCGTTCATTTACTTATAATTTCTTCCCTCTGGCCTTCTAATTTCCTTCTGAGGGGAAGTTTCTCATGTGTGGTCTGAGTCTGAAGGGAGTTTATTAGCACTTTCACTTAAATCTCTTATCATAACTGGCTTATACAATATTCAAGGAAAAGTCCCAAATATTAAAGTATGTTTACCTTAACACAAAGATATAGCACCTACCACAGAGTTAATCATTATTAGCTAATGCCCAAATGCTAAATATCTTTAGTTTTAGGCAGCAAAAAACACCAGCCTCAGTCTTGCAATGATGTATGAGGTCATTTTACTCACCTAAATTCTAAGTACAGTATACAGAATAGTGATTCCCAGCCTTTTCAATATACCCTTTTATTATCTATTCCTCTATGTATACAATTAATTCAAAAATTTTGTCTACCAAGCAAATTGTATAAAGTAAGAATTATATAGTTTCATATTATTTATAAACAAAGACACATATAATGGCAAATCAGAGCTTCCGACATATAGGAGAGACAATGTTATCATACTGTTGATGTAGTAATAAACAGTGAAAATGCTCAACAGTTTAAGTCTTAAGTCTTGTGTATCTTTAAGTGGGGGAAAGGTATTAACATTAGGACTTCAAAAATATCAACAAGGAAACTAATGTTTAAGTTGGTGAATCCTTAGGGATCCAGAGATAGACTCCAGATTGGAATCATTAGTTCCAAAGAATTCTTTTCTTTCTCTTTACAGTCTTTTAATGGAACCTAGAGAACCAGTGGTATATTATACTTATCACATACTCTTTCCTCAAATTAAAACTGAGACGTCTGGGCTTCCTTCTGCTCTACTTTCCTTTTTTGATATCATTGCAGCAAATACCAATTCATAACAAAAATATCTATAGGAAATTACATATTATTATTTTGCATACCCTTCAAATTGCGATGAAAACTTTCCTATTTAGTTGGTAGCTAAAACTAATGAATGCCTTTAAATGAAATTTTAGTAGGTAGACATCCTTGACAGAGAAATTTTACAATTTACTTAAGCTAAAACATTTTTAATTAGTTAATCTAAAGATGGACATATTTTAAAACCTTGACTGGCACTTGTTTCTAATGTAGTTTGAATTGTTTCATATTCCACTAATTTCTAAAGTTTTTAAAATCAATATTCATTTAATTTTGAATTTTAAAAAATAAATAATCCATTTCATTACACTATTGTTTTAATTTTTTCAAGTTTTCATTAGATGAAGAGTCTTCCTTTGCTAGACGGCCTTTTCTTCTAATTTTTACATAATTTTTACCTCACAGTTGAACTAAGAAAACTGGAGATATGAGTCCCTGTTGCATGTGGCATATACTTTTTATTATGAATAACATTCACTTTGTTTTCTGCCATGTAATAAAGAGATCAGGCTTTGAAGCAAATCACAACTGAGCGTGAGTCCCTTAGTGATGCAACGGCCAGCAAGTTACTTCACACATCTGAACTGCCGGATCCTCATCTAACAGGAGTATGATCGTGTCTTCATCATAGGATTCCTATGGCACTAAATGGTAAAAATAAATGATTTATAAGGCATATAGCACAAAGCTGACGAACAAAGGTGCAAGCAATCACTAATACCATCCCTTATAGTACTGTGGGAAGCCTTCCTTTCCTGAAACCTTTGCCTCTGTTTTCTCCTCTGATTGATACATTCCATCGTAGTTTTGACTTTTTTGTTATTATAGTTTTTTCAGTGAGCTATATATTGTTTGTTTATTTATCTACTCTGGCTAGAAAATAAAGAATGTGCAAGAAAAAACAAATCCTTATAACCTATTCTTAAATAACATTTTCTCCCAGACAGGCACCTAGTAAAAGACCTACACAGATGCTCCTCCACTTAGGATGGGGTTATAACCCTATAAGCCCATCATACATTGAAAATACAGCAAGTTGAGGCTGGGCGCAGTGGCTCACACCTGTAATCCCAGCACTTTGGGAGGCTAAGGCAAGCGGATCATTTGAGGTCAGGAGTTCAAGACCAGCCTGGCCAACACAGTGAAACCCCTTCTCTACCAAAAAAATACAAACATTAGCTGGGCATAGTGGTGCACACCTGTAGTCCCAGCTACTCAGGAGGCTGAGGCAGAAGAATCACCTGAACCCGGGAGGTGGAGGATGCAGTGAGGTGAGAACATGCCACTGCACTCCAGCCTAGGCAACAGAGTGAGACCCTGTCTGATAAAAAAAAAAAAAAAAAAAAAAAAGCAAGTTGAAATTACATTTAGTACACCAAACCTACTGTGAACATCATAGCTTTGCCTAGTCTACCTTAAATTTCTTCAGAAAACTTACATTAGCCTACATTTGGGCAAAATCATCTAACACAAAGACTATTTTTTAAAAAGCTAGCTGGGCACAGTGGCTTACGCCTGTAATCCCAGCACTTTGGGAGGCCAAGGCAGGCAGATCACGAGGTCAGGAGATCAAGACCATCTTGGCTAACATGGTGAAACCCCACCTCTACTAAAAATACAAAAAAATTAGCCAGGTGTGATGGTGTACACCTGTAGCCCCAGCTACATGCGAGGCTGAGGCAGGAGGATCGCTTGAACCCAGTAGGCGGAGGCTGCAGTGAGCCAAAATCACGCCACTGCACTCCAGCCTGAGTGACAGAGCAAGACTCCATCTCAAAAAAAGAAAAGAAGTCTAATATTTCATGTAATTTATTGAATACTGTACTAAAAATGAAACACAGAATGATTGTGTATTTGCAGTTTGATTTCTGCTGAAGGTGTATTACTTTTGTACCACCGTAAAGTCAAAAAAATCTTACGTCAAACCATCAAACATCGGGGACTATCTATATATAGAAAGTAGGTCTCCAGTAAATCTTGTGGACTGACTTGCAGCTTTCCCTAAGGTAAGATACCCACCAGCACTCCATGGATGTACCAAATACTCAGGCTGGAACTCTGGGCTTATTTGCTTATTAGCACCTCCCAAACACTGACAGACAAGCCTGTGCTACAAATGACTTCTTGCTGAGAAGCTTAGCACCTTTTCACTTGGCAAGAAATGATTTCCAAAACTAGGCTTTGATTCCCAAATACTTCCTTGACGATTATAATTCTATAAGGCTATTTTTTTTACTTCTTTCCTATAACATTGAGCTTGCTTCTCACAACCCTCATTAAAATGGTGAATTATTTGTAAAGCTATATTAATCATAAGACTTGATAAGAATATCATTTGGAGTACATACACAATTTAAAAAAATATTTAGGCAGAAACTTTTATAAAAGTCTCTATTCCCACCTTCTTAAATCTCACTGGGTCAAAAGAGTTGATGATTCTTCTTTCCTGACACAATATATCCTTTAAAAATAAGGAAATACATTCCTGTCAACTCTACTGTATGTACTACTGTCTCACATTTTAAAATGAGATTTTAAAAACAAAGCTAATTTAACAAAAGCCATAAAGGTCATTCAAGTCTTTATTAAAATATAGTACATTATCAGTGTATGTATGTATATAACATGTAAATAGTGTGTGTATATATACTTATTATCATATACAATTATATGCACACAATTGTCACGCTCAGAAAACATTCTTTGTTGAAACAAAGAACTATAGGTTCTTGGCAACCAATTTGGGAGACAAAATTTTTATGACTGATGTCAGAGCTAAAAGCCCAACAGGATTGTTCATCCAGCATTACTTCTTTCTTCATTATGTCCATTGCCAATGCCTTCCTGTGGTCCTCAGCTTCTCCATGACACACTCATCTTGTCCCTAAGTCTCTCCATCCCCTGGCCCCATGCAGTCCCACCTCCCTTGCTGCTCCATCACCCTGACCATAGGTTAAACCAATTTAGAAAATAACCATTTCTAAAGAATGAATTTTTCAACAAGTGCCAATGGATGAAGTACCTTCAAACTACATTATATATTTACCAAGAGAGTGAAGAAACTAAATCACAATCTAGTGTTCCAAAAGTGCTATATTAAGATTATGATGATACTAAGAGAAACAGACAGAAATTCTCCAAAAAAAAATGGGTAAAGAAAAATTATGGACTAAAAATTTAAAATAAAACGAATACTTTCTATTGTTCACTTTACTACCCTTTTCTTAGTTAAAGCTAATTCATATCACTATTTCTCTATGCTAAAACAAGCTATGCTCCTGGATACAAAGATCTACTTCTAAGATTTTCGGGCAAATGTTTAATTTAGCCAATATTTGAGGAGCTTTCCATCCTAAGATTACATGTAAAATATAAGAAAATAGAGTTTCCAAAGAACTACAATCCCCTTATCACTTTTTCCAAAATTTAGTTCATTATGTGGAATCACATCACTAGCCACAGTATATGTCTTTGTATTTCCTAATGAAAACATGGACTCGAAAAAGGAAACATACCATCTATTAAATGTAAGTAAAATTAAGCAAACACGGTCTTTTGAAAGTAAAAATAAAATGACAGATTTACAGTATTTCATGTGGTAGAAGCAATTTCTGAGACAAGGGCAGTTTCTGAGGGTTGGGAAGGGAATGCAGAGGGTGCTCTAAACTCAGTCTCAAAGAGGCACTACCAAGCTAATTATTTTCTTCTATGCTTGTCTATAAGCATTACACTTTTCACTTTCTGTGAAAAAAAGGCCCATCGTTAATGAGATCCATAAAGATTCCTTAATCAGCTTATACTGTGAAAGAGTATTAAAGTCTCCATTTTCACAACAGGCACATGAAATACACACTTTTATGATATATTACTAGCACAGGAACTTACATCTCTCTCCCCTTGAACCACCTGCAAATTTTAATAGTCATGTATCGCCAGGGTACCAGAAACTCATAAAAGTTTAACCTGCCAATTAACAAGTAGGTAAAGTTCCAGTCCTGTACCATAATTTGTTTGCTTCCAAGGCATAGACAGCAAAACCTACAAAATATTCCCTTGAATTTTTTTGCAAGGCAACTACATTCCAGGGCTGACTTCTTTCAAAAGTCACCAACAAGTAAAAGCACACAAACGCATATCAGAAATCACATCCTTATGGAGGGCATAAAGTTAGGAAAATGTGGAAGTCTAAAAACGGATTTGATTATCTCCAAAAAGCTGCTACCTGAAGGGTTTTATTTGCACTAGGTTGCTCTTGTTTCAAATTTAATCTGCGCCTTTTCTAATGTTGTGCTGTAGATCTGTGTCATTTGTTGCATTCTTTTTACCAAGGAGCTGCATTAGAAATTATTACATACTTCTAGGACTGTTTGCTCTTATGTAAATACCCAAACCATGATCTCAACCATAGGACCCACAACATAAAAAAACTAAAGAAATCATTGCAAGAAAGAAAAAGCCTCCCAATTCTTTTCTGTAACAATGGTGATGGTTACTAAGGACATTCCGATAGGATGACTTCAGGCTATGTAAATTTCATAAACGGCCCATTAGTGTCAAGGTCCTTGGTCTCAGTCCCAGCCCAGCTAGTCATACAAGGAATTACTGCCATATTAAGAAATTGGTTATTTTTTGAACTTACAGAACCAGGAAGAGCTATTTTCCTTTTCTAGTGTTTTATTTATGTGAACTAGCCTCCTAAGAAGGAAATTAAAAGATTTATGTCAGAAAGCTAGTAGAATTATTATTATAGCATCTGATTTTCCTATGGCTGTGAAAATACCTATATACTCAAAGGCCAAGAGACAGACACAAGTTAGGAATTTGTTCATTCATTCATTCATTCTCTTCCTTCATTGAGTGCCTTCTATAACTCAAGAATTATGTATTGTAGAAACAATAATTTTTTAAAAGACAACACATACTTGCCTTCATGTAGCTGATAATCTAGTGAGGAAAAACCTTTAGGTTGGTTCTTCAATATTTGCTGATTTTAACACAATTCATCCCCTTTTGTCATCAAATTAACAAAATCATCATACTAATAAGTATTAACACTTATTGAGTACCAACTTTGCGCCAAGTATAATGCTAAGCATTATACATACATCATCTCATTTAATCCCCTCAATAATTCCACGACGTAAGTACGATGTAAGTATGAGGTTAATTTGTCCATCGACACACAATTGAATATGGCCAGAACTCAAACTCACTCCATTAGAATCCAAAGTGTTTCTTCTTATGATTTTATTATCTCTATCTGAAAAATAATTTAGGATCAAATCTTAGCAGATCCTAACCTACTGAAAGACATTTTCTGCAGAACTTATATATCTAGACCAAAGGAAACACAATAGATTTCCTTTAACTGCGGGGAATAGCAGCATCCTTTTCCTTAATGGTCTCCGGAGTGCAGTCTTAATTGACATATGAAAAACAGTTCTGCCAGTTTTACTATTGTTCTATCGAATGGTGCATCCTAGTGCTCTAACATTTAACTCATAAATGCTTTGCAGGGTTTCAAGAATTCAAACTGCATTGTAATGTTATTAAGTGCCTACCCACATTCTGCTAGAGACTGTGTGAACAATGGGATGATTTTTTTTTTTATCCAAGATCTTACCTGGTGAACTGATGAATCACAGAAGGCTGCACATTGACTTTGAATTTCCTGTTTCTATTGGCTGTTCATACGTTTTTAGGCTCTTTGTTTGCCTAAACGTGTCACCCCACTTTGAGATTTGTTACAGTAGCTTGAGACATTAGAACACAATACATAAGGAGACAAGATTTTAATGTGCAACATTATTTGTCCCTGATGAACAACTATACTTACTGCAGAGATGTTCAAATAACATTTTGAACAAATGACTCTTGGGTCCAAGAAAGGAATCATCGGATAGCATTCAGGAGTTTTTCTAGATATAGAGCAAAGAACTCAATAAATAGGTGAACAAAACATGAAGATTAGGAAAGTGGAATCCTCTCCAACAGACTGAGAGATAAATAAGATCTGGAGTGAAAGAAAAAAGGACCAGACCTTAGACTTCGGAAGTTTAGAAAGAAAGAAATACATATAGTGAGATCAGGAGATTTCAGTAAGAAAGAATACCTAAGCTGGGTCTATACATATTGATACACCTTTAATTGCTTATAGACATATTGTTTATATATTTCTATTATTATTTTCCAGGCATGTAACCAAGTTGTTTATTTTATCTAAGAAGATATATCTGATTATTTCTGGGAACCTATCTCACATAAGTAATTTTAAGCAATACATCTTTATGTGTATAAAGAGAGTCCTTCATCACTATATTATTTTTAATAACTAGAAAAAGAGAGAAAAAAAACAAAGATGAAAGAACCTAAAACTCTAATCATAAGAGAGATGTTTCATACAATATGGTGTAGTTACTAGACCAAAATTAGGCATCCAAAAAAGTTATACGTAAAAGTATTTTAGAAAAAAAGGGGAAGGCCGGGCATGGCAGCTCACACCTGTAATCCCAGCACTTTGGAAGGCCAAGGCGGGTGGATCACGAGGTCAGGAGATTGAGACCATCCTAACACGGTGAAACCCCGTCTCTACTAAAAATACAAAAAATTAGCCGGGCATGGTGGCAGGCACCTGTAGTCCCAGCTACTCGGGAGGCTGAGGCAGGAAAATGGCGTAAACCCGGGAGGCGGAGCTTGCAGTGAGCTGAGATCGCACCACTTGCACTCCAGCCCGGGCGACAGAGCGAGACTCCATCTCAAAAGAAAAAAATAAAAAAAAAGAAAGAAAAAGAAAAAAAGGGAAATATTGATTGGGTTGGTACAAACATAATTTCAGTTTTTGCCATTAAAAGTAATTGCAAAAAACTGCAATTACTTTTACACCAACCTAATACTTGTCTTATAAAAATGTTTGGATGAGAAAGTAGGACAATGTTTTGTGTTAACTCTACTTACAATTATGGAAAAGTCATATTATTTTGAATCGATTAAATAATTTATAAACCAAAATGATACACTTGTTCATGTTATACTAGCTGAATTATCAGTATTTTTAAGAATGTTTTCATTATTCTAAAAACTGTAGGTAACATAATTGTACAATATTGCTTTTATATTTAAAACATATATTTACAACCAATGATTGGTCTAAAACTAACTGTTTGTGTGATAACTCCTGGTAGACAGGATTCATGAATCCCAGAGGGGAAGGGAGGCCAGTTACCCAGAAATCTGGTCAGAACAGAGAGGAACTGCCAGGCAATTGCAGGAAACCCAGCTAGAAACCACAGGCAACTAAGCAGAATCTGCCAAAGTTGTTTTGTTAAATTGTTTTTATGCTACAGGTTAAAGTGCTAAAGCGGTATTTTAGTTCAAGTGCTAAAGTTGAAGATGGCAAATTATTATCTGAACTTGAACTATTTTAAAACAAAAAATTCAAGTGTACCTTTTCTAACACTATCAGTTCTGCCTTAATTTCTTTCCCTAGCATATTTTTTTTTTCTCTCTTGAAAATCCTGCACATTCAAAAGATATTTTCTTTCTTCTTATGCCCCAATCTCCATTACCTTTCTAAGAAGGATGCCCAGGTAAGCTGGATATTGTTTTTCAGATTTGATGAACAAAAGTTGCTCAATACCAGGAGGAAAGGAACCAAAATGGCTATTCCCACTTCACTGTGGGTTACAGATGCTTCTATACTGGCTGTGCTGTATTTTCACTTGGGGAAGGAAAAGTGAGTAAGATAGGGGGATGATTATGGGGAGAAAATGTGTGGAGAGACACTGAAAAGCAATCTAGAACAGGAATCAATAAGCAGAATTAAATATGGCAAAAAATACTTAGAAATTGGAGTTATATTTGTGCATGTTTAGGTAAAAACAGGAATGTAAAACTAGTCTGAAGCAGCTCTGTTTTAAGGGAGAGCTAGGGAAAGTTTACTAGGTTTTCATTTCCAAATGAAGCTGTCTATGTACAGCATGTCCTCAAATAATGTTATTTTGTTATAACTTTGATGAAGAAAAAAATCAATTCCCTGCCGGGGGCCACTATCTATATGGAGTTTGCGCATGCTCCCTTTATCTGCGCGGGCTTTCTCTGGGTCCTCCTGTTTGCTCCCACAGCCCAAAGTTGCACATGTTCGGTGAATTGGTGTGTCCACATAGTCCCCATCTAAGTAAGTGCGAGGGTGTGTGTGAGTGCACCCTGCAATGGGATGGCGTCCTGCCCAGGGCTGGTTCCCTGAGCTGCTGGGGTGAGCTCTGGACACCCACAACCCTGAAGTAGAATAATCAGATAAACAATAATCGTACTTCTTTTTATTAATCTTTCTTTTTATACATTTCTACATATAGCTTACATTTATTTCAATAGTTAATATTAGAAGTATTTAGAAGTTTGGTGATTTTTGTGACCATAAATATACTGTAGAAACTTAACTATTGTTTATATCAATTAGCCTATGGTAAAACTGATTTTGTTATACAACGTTTCTCTTAAAGTTGCAGTTTCCAAGACCTATCAATGATTAAGTGAAGATTTACTGTATTTTGTGTTTCTAAGCTTAACTATTAATAGTATAAGAAACCCTAATTTCAAGAATACAAAGTGAAGTAAAATCAATTCAACATTAGTAATTATATTATATACCTGCCTAGGCACTAAGCACTGGAAACAAGTTAGACACAGCCCTTACCCTGTAGAACTTACAGTCTAGCGTAATCCTAGCATAATTCTCCAATATACAACCTATTCTCATTCTCCTTCTTCTAATGTGACATTGCTCTTTCATTCAGGATAAATCGTTTACATGATTTATTATTTTTCCCTTTAAAAAAAACATTACATTTGTCCTGCCTATGTATGTTATATACCTCTTAAAGACAGGATGCCTCTTACATTTTTGCTGGCTTTCAACTTGTCAATCAATAGATACCTTTTGGTGGACTAACTAGATATTAAATATGAATATAACATCATTGCATTACACGACATTATATTTGTATTTTTATATGACAAGTACATGTGGTCAAAGAAGAAATTTGAAGATACGTATTGCCTCATCCTTATTGATTTCTGATTAAGGTCAACTCCCCTTTTCTTTTCTGCATTGGCCTGTCAGTTTCTCCAACATGCCGCATTCCTAGCCTCCTCGAGAGCTCTAAAAGACTCTTCTGCTGCCTACAAGGTCTCGCCCCTCTTCATGGAACTAATGCTAACTCATTCAGGTCTGAGCTTGCAGACTACTGCTTCACAGAAGCTTATTTACCCTGCCCTACCCAGGGTAGATTAAGTCTCTCCATTAAATAGACTCATAGCAAGTTCTACTTTTCTTTCCCAATGTTTACAATATGTCTTAATTACATATTTTCTTCTATAACTATTTGATTAACATATGTCTTGATCTATAAAGCAAGAACTCAAAAGGCAAGAACTGTTTTTGCCTTGCTCACCATGGTGTACCAGATCAGAACCTTGGACATAGTAGCTACTCAATAAATGTTTATGAGTGAGCCAAGCCTACCTAGGGTTCATTTACGTATTTGTTTATGCATTTATTTATTTTCATTTACTCATTATTCATTTTGCCATTTCATTCTCACAAATATACATGGAGAAATTACTAGGACTAGGCACTGTGCTAGACTCTGATGCTACAACCAAATACACAGCAGGTGTATTTTTGAATATAGAAAAAAGACCCAGGAAAATAACAAGTGC
Source organism: Homo sapiens (assembly GCF_000001405.40). NCBI lineage: Eukaryota > Metazoa > Chordata > Mammalia > Primates > Hominidae > Homo > Homo sapiens. The sequence goes on along the minus strand of NC_000007.14, from coordinate 18,403,450 downwards.
AACAGCGTGTTTCGATTTTATGATAGAAAGAAATATGGAAGTACATGGAAAGAAATAGTTAAAAATAGTTAAACCTGTTCTGCCTTCCCCCAATAAATTAGTATTGATCAAATCATAAGACCTAGTATGCCATTCTATAGTAATGATGACTTTACCGTAAGAGTCACTGAATTCCATTATTATATCTTGGATATGTTTCTATTTGAGATAAAATGGCAAATTAGCATTATCTTGCTATGTAAGTATATACCTCACTGTATTTATACACTTAACTGGGAAATTTAAGTCTGTATGTACACACAGTCAATATAATTCCCAGCTCCAAATCTGTAAATAAAGATATTTTATATCCAATTCTCAAAACATGCAATCAGATGTACAATATGAAATGAAATGTAAACATATTTCCCTAAGCCACTAATTTACTATCAAGCAAGGGACTTTTCAGGATCAAGCCGACTCTGACTCACAGCTAGGCAATTCTGTGATTGCGTTTGCTTAAGCCACAGCCAGCGTTTTATATAATCGCTCTGTTTAGAACATCAGATTTCCTGTGGATTTTTTTTAGATTTGCTATGCCACCCAAAATTTTCTCTGAAGGGTAATATAATGTATATGGCTTTTTATTGAGTCTGTTCTTAAAAGAGGTGCCTAGCCAGTAAAGAAGTGCCTGAAAGCAACCTTTCATTCAACTGTTTTACATACAAAATTCATCCCAACCATCAGCAATACCACATATGAACCAGTCTCTCACCTCTATGTTCATTATTCACACTGCTACCAGAGTGAGTTCTCCAACCCAGAAATCTTATCATGCCTCTCACTTGCCTGAAACCTTCTGAGGGCACTCCGATACATTCATGATAAAAGTCCAGCTCCTTAGCTTGGCAATCAAAACCCTCCATGAACTGGTCCCTGTTTTACACTCCCAGCTCACCACCCACCTCACTCAGTCTTTTACTTTATACTACATTGATAGTGAGAAGTTAATGGCTTCTCTATCCCCCACACTGTCTCATGCCTTTGCACAGGCTCTTTCCTCAGATCAGAACCTCCTCCTTTTCTGGCTTAAAGATTCCTACTCAGTCTTTAAGATTTACTTCATTTCATTCCTTTAGGAGGCCTTTGTTGAGCTCTCCATCCCAGGATAGACAGCTTACTCTGTTTTCCAGAACAATTTGAGCTTACTGTATTTTTATGCCTATTATATTATATTGATATATCTGTTAACCCGTCCTACTTCTGGTTAGACTACAAGATCCTTGAGAACTGAAGAACAGGGATATAAGTCTTATTTTTCATTGTATCCACCCCCTCCAAGTCAACCATGGTGTTTAACTCAAGATCAGTGCCTAACAAATATTAGTTGTTTCCTTTCTCAAAAAGGTACTGAAGGCATTTACAAAATAGATTATTGAGAAAAGAATGAAACAAGTATAAAAACAGTCATAAATCAGGAAGTGGATATGAGAAGTGCCACAAAGCAGTGTGCAAATAAAGGCCAGTGGGAGCTGAAAAAGGGAACAACAGATTGAGAATATCAACAAAAGTTATATTCGAATTGTGTTTCTCAGAATGAGTATAATTTTGATAGAAGAAAATGGAAAGAGGGCCAGAGAAACTGCCTGTATAAAAAAATACCAGAGGCAGGTAACACCAGATTGTGAACTATGAGTAGTAACTCTGGCCAAGAGAGCTGTACGTAGCAGAATATGGAAGAAAAATAAAAACGAGGCTAGGACTAGAGCATGGGTTTTTTTGAAAGCTCATGCATTTAAGTTTACTCTATACATGATGTAACTGAGGCAAAAACCAATGCAGGTTGTTGAGCACAATTATAACAAGAGAAAATTACCTATCCAGTTCTGCTGAGGCATTGAGGTTATTCTCCATCATGAATACCATGATCACCACCATGATGATCACCACAGTATACCCTAGCTCTGCCACTTTATGATTGAAAGGGACAGATTAAGTCTTATCATGCAAAGTGCAAAGCTCCCAGAAGAATGCGGTGTTTTGCAGAATATGGCCACCCCAACCACCAGCATAGCCACTCTTTGCTCCTCTTCCCAACTGCATCTTCAAATGAGGCAAACAGCCATAGAATCATGCAAAGCAGCTGTGCAAAAGTGAGCCCAAAAGATGTATACAGAGTAGAGAGGAGCTGACCTTTCCTTGAGTATAAGTTTTTCTCAAGGAGCCCTGGAAGTGACTATCAAGCTGTTTTGTTCCCTGCTAGCTGTAATATCACAATTATATCACACTTTAAGTGGATAACACTTCATTAAAAATACCAACTAAAAGCACTTTTCAAAGAGAAAACCTTTGACATGCCATGACCAAAATGATTAAAAGTAATGAAAGCTGAACAAAAAGTAGGAAGACTTATTTTCTCCAGAAAGCCCATAAACAGCCTACAAAAGATTAAATTTAGATGAGTTTCCCAAGCGTTTTTATACCACAACTAAGGCATCTGAGACTAGCTTATGCAAATTACACTACTGTTTATTTAGCTTCTGATAGCTCAATCTAAACACTCAGGCCTCAATCCATTAAAGAAAACCTAAGAGGAAAGTAAGTTTCACAAAATGCAGACGTGGTTTGCAGGATTCAATCTCCAGTTTTTGAAGGGGAATGTCACTGTAGTCTGTTCCTCCTTTTCTGGGCCTCAGGATTCATGGCTTTCATCGTACATCTACTTTCTTGTTCCTCTGCCTCTCCTATCCAGTAGAGTCCTAATTCATCTTCATCCTCCTCTATTTGACTCACATAATTGCATGTATAAATTGATGCAGGGTTCTCAACTTTTCTAAGTGCCACTTTTCAGCATCTGCTCCCATTCCAGAAACTGTCCACCTTCCTCATCCAGTCTTTTCAAGTTCCCATTCATACCTCCCGGCTATCCTCTCAATGGATGACCCCATGTCCAACTTCACAGTGAAACCAAGAAGTCATCTGGTGGGAGGGAATACTGCCAACCCCCAGTTTCTACAGCAACATGCTTGTCTGAGACCACACCCATCTTGATCTCTGTCTTCCACTTCAGTATTGTAGTAAAACATGTCCTCTTCCCTGTCAATCACTCTCCAAATCATTGATACAGCTGTTGAACAGCAGTTATGTTGGAAATTTTACGTATTTCTACCCTTACAATCCAAAACCTCTCTCACACCTACACATCGCATGCTTTTACCTTTATTAAACTAAACTAAATAAGGGAAAACAGTCTGTATCTTCCAAAGTCCTTATAATTATTTTTCTCTCTTTACCTTCATCTAAGACATGACTCCAAAGTAGCATGGTACTTCTTCCATCTAATGTTGTCAGCTACAAGTCTCCATGCTAGCTGCTAAAATAGAAATCATAAAAGAAAGACTCACCCATAACCTCTCCAAATTCCTGTGGTTTCTGACTTTTCCTTTGGGCTCTGATGCGAATAGGCCAGTGTAAGAAGGCCCTAGGTACCCTGACACAAGGACAGTAAAGAAGGGTTCTGTGACCTCCTAAGCATACATTGCTGCTGTGCATCCTCGCTGTTCCCCAGCCTGAAAAACTAAAGAAAAGAATGTGACTTCAAGCTTGCTGGGAGCAGATTTGCCAGCTACACAGGTGCCTGGGAGCCTTATGCAGCCCTGCTCCAGCTTCTTTCCTGGAATGTGGCCTGTGAATATCTTGGAGAGACAGGAGGGATGTGATATTTCTCTATCATGCTCTGCAAAGCACACACCAAACACTCTGCTGAACCTCAAGGGAAGCAGCTCCAGTTCTCTTGATTAGAATGTCTTCCTAGTACTCCTCTGAGAAAATGTGATGCTTGGGGAAAAGAAGCCTTGCATATTTATTTGAATGACAATCACTTTCCTGGTTGCTATGATGTGCCTTGCCTCATTTAGCCTATTACTATGAGATTCCCTTGTCGACAAAACAACAAATGAAAGTTGAGTTTTACTGTGCTTTAAACAATGAGTGCCATTTGTGTCCGAATTTTAAAATCTAAATTTAGCTGAACACCTCCATACAATTTAGTTCTTCCTTTCGTACCTTTTATAACACAGAATTTTTCGTTACTGTACCAGAAATTGGGAAGAAAAAGTGTCATTTTTTTTCTTTTTGTGACACTGGGGATAACCCTCACCCTTGTAAATCTGGTACAGAAGGGTGGGTTTTTCAGTTTCCCATATTGTTTTACTCAGTACCACCTGATAAAAAGCTTATAGAAATTAGCTTTGCCACACACCACTGACCTGCAGAGTCATTTTTCAGCTTCATGAACAAGTCCAAAGGAGAGGAAATTATTTTTTATTAACCAGGTACTAAAAACTAAAGCCTTTTATAAGGGTTGCTTGCTTCTTTCCACACAGAGCAGTGGGCAAAGGAAAAGAAATCCAACTGCAATAACTTTGCCCATAGGCAGCTTTATTAAAATCTATAAGGTGAAATTTTTTAATACAATCAAATCATCATAAAATATGTTAGGTATTTATGGTAAATACAACTATTATTATACACCTTTCTCCTGTGACACCACCTCTGGGAGAAAGGGATTTCGTATGTTTCAAAAAAAAAATGAGCCTTTTTGTAAGGTGCATTTGGGTTCCTCTAGTTAAGGTCAAGTTGCATTTTCCATTATAAACATGTTTCCAGGGGTTTATTACTTTGTCATAAAAATCTGCTTGGGGCTAAAATACAGCATATAGAGTCTTAGCTCAACAGCACATTCTTTTTAAAAATGCATCAGAATTGGCTAAACTTAGTTTAACCATATTTAAATGTAAAATTATGACTGAAATATATCTTAAAGAATTCAATGGGCTAACACAGCTCAAGCACTGGGTTGAGCAAAGGCTCATACGCACAATCCTGTATCTTTCCACTTGTCCAATCTAAGGAACTATAAAGTCCATCACAATGTTTCCAGGTTAAAAAAAAAGGCAAATGTTGTAAGCTATAAAAGACAAAAAGAAACAAAAACAAAACAAAAATAAACAAACTCAACTCTAAGGCAGTGCTTTACTTTCTGAAATTTGAAGTAAAAGGGTTTCCCAAGAACAAAATCTTATTTTGTTTCACAATGTTCACATTAAGCATACCTTCTTTTCTACATGGAAAATACAAAGACATCAGTTAAAATCTGAGAAAAATATGGAATCAATTGAAAAACTGATATTGTTCATTATTAAATCATGCTAGTCTATGTTTTTCTGAGTTGTGCTTTAAATAGTTTTTGCTTATTTTGAAATACTGTTAGTTGAAGAAGGACAGCCCTTTGAAGCAGTTGTGGAAAATACTCATAAGTAGAAGCTACAAGGGATGACTTCTAGGATTCGGGTTTAGAAATGGATCATAACACCCTGTAATACAAATTTACTTTAGAATAAACTTGGAATTTCAGGTTGGGTATTTAAACCTTGGACAAATCTCCGAACCTCAGTGGGTTTCAGATCCCTCATCTGTAAGATGATGTGGCTGAATCAATGAGGGTCAGGATCTTGCCAGCTCCCGCTTCTTAGGATGAAATACACAGACAATACCTGGTTTGGGAGGCTGCTACTTTGTGACATTGTTAAAATGACACCACAGGCCAGCCCCTTCTCTGGCCCTCCTGACTGATTTAATACTACCAATAGGGTCAATAACACTCAGGAATGTGGAATTTCTGTCTTTCAAACTCTGATGTAAATTTCACTACAACTGGCTTTTTGTTATCAGGCAATGGAGAAGGGATGTCATAGAGAATGTATTTCCATATGGCAGAATGTTTAAAAATCACTTATATTTTAATTTTTCCATATATTACATGAATTTTAAAAAGCAGATTGCATTTCTGAATGATGTCTGGTTTAGTTAACATTAAAAGAATTTTGCATTCTCAAAGACACCCACTAACACTGGGAGGATGGGAAGCTAAATGTTTTCTCAGGAGGTAGGGGTGATTACATTTTCCTAAAACAGTGAATAAAGTGTACGATCCATCTCCCAAAAATTTGCCTAGGGAATAATCCCTATGCTGATTTGCCTTAATGAAGAGCTTTGATTTCAGATTGCCCCTTCAAGATTTTGTGACATGTTTTTCTTTCTGTAATAAAAAAGCATTTGATGCCTCTCAGTGCATTCTGAGTTGAAAATACAGTGGATTTTTACCAACAAAGTTCTTAGGTAACTTAGTGCTAATATGTCAATGTCAATTTCCTTTCTTTGAAAAACAAAAACTATATGACCACTAATATACAAGGACCACTCCCTTCTGCCCCCGTATTCTCTCGTCCACACATCTTCACCCATTTAAAAGCTGTGTGCCTTCTATTTCCATTCACATCCATTATATCCCTTAATCACCTATTCTCATGCACCCTAAATCTATTCTCTCAATACCCTTTTGTATCTGCCTAAAGATAGGAGTCGACGATGATCTTTTTTTTTCCAACATAGAGTGGATTTCTCTCACTCAGAAGACTGAATTCTGGGGCAAGGGTGGGGAGCAATCGGTATTGGGAGAGAAGGTATTACATTGTAAGTCAAAAAGAAATGAACAAACAAACAAGTAAACCAAAAAAAACAAAAATGTGTTTTACAACACAATGACAACCTTTGACCCAAGTAAATTCACCCATCAAAATCGGCAACAAGGAATCAGGAGAACTTGTGGGATAAACATGCTAACTGAAGTATTTTTCCCATGTAAAATTCCAAATATTTAGCAGTCTTTAATATATTGGCTAAACACAATTATCACCGCTGATTAGAAACCTGGAATTTTTAAGCCTGGTCTGCGTAAAGGAGTGTGAAACTTAGGGGCATTGTCTCTTAACAGTGACAATCAAGGGTAAAAATTAACACCTTGACCTCTATCCCTTAAAACAATTTCCAGGATAGAATCTAATTCAAGTAAAAAATCAAGAGCAGCCTAAAATGGAAAATCAAGTTAGAGAGGAGAATATACGGAGAAGGTGGGGAGGGGGGAATATCAACTCCTCTTTGCTTCCAAGCTATTGGGAATATTAATAAACTAACTATATATCCTGTGCTGAATGCAATCAGATGAGCTCATCTATACTATCCCTCCACCCTTCTACAGCATCCTGCCAATACCTGCGTAGTTCTTTTCATTTCTGTAATCATCTTATAAGTTTTTTAGCCTATTTATTGTCCATATTCCTCACTAAAATGTAAATTCTGTATGAGTGGGGAGTTTGTGTTTCTTATTCACATCTACTCCCAGTGCCAGTGCCTATTATAGTACCTGGCACACAATGTCCCTCGGTAAATATTTGTAGAAGAAAGGAAAGAAGGAAACAAGGAAAGAAGGAAGGGAAGGCAAGGGAAGGGAAGGGAAGGGAAGGGAAGGGAAGGGAAGGGAAGGGAAGGGAATGACACTTTGAGAGTCATTGGCAGGACAATCTACTCAGCTAGAAACCATATAAAAAGACTGGCTTGTCCCTACATCCTTCCTAATAGAATAAAAAGTGTAATTTCAAAATATTATAATTTATCAAAACATAATTTAAAACAGAATCAACTACTAGGCCAATATATAGGCTTTCAAAAGAAGGTAGCTACCTCCTAAATTTTTCTCACATAGAAAAATGGCATCAAATGTTAATGGTATCAACATGAAATTCTACAGATCAAAACTTTTTGAGGTAAAATTAAAGGCTTTAGGCTTTCTCTGAAATAAGGTAACGGCCTTGGGAGAACAGTGGTTGAGTGTTTAAAAAGGTAACATGTTTAAAAAGTCTAATATGTCTTGGCAATGTCAAGTTTCCGATACATAAAATGTATCTTTGTTGTGATCATAAATAATATCAAAGAAATCCAATCTCAGGAAAAAATAATCAAACTTGAGAATACTCTAACAAAGAATTCTCTCCTTCCCATAAGAGTGGGGAGGTATCTAGTTTTTTTTTTTTTTTTTGAAGCCTTAGGTCACTAAAAATATAAATGTGAAAATGTCTGCCATAATTCATTTATTCTGCAATTCCACAATCTATATGCACAAAATTACCACATGATAGTCCCATACATGCATTAATTCCAATAGAGAAGAAGTGCAAAGGGAGTCCACTCCAAACAATTAATTATACTGCTTTAATTTTTATGTTGCATTTTCACACATTATCTCATTAAATACTCAAAATTACCTAGTCAAGTTGAGTATTAAGTGAGATAATGTGTGAAGTTGCTAAAAATTAGCCCTATTTTAAGGTTAAACTATTTGCCAGGTCACACAGCTGGTGGAAGAACCGTGACTCAAAGCCTGAACTTACCTCAACTATCATCCTCCCTCCAGTTTCTCATAACTGTCTCCATACACCACAGCATTTTACCAGGTACTCCTATTTTGGTAGAAAGTCAAACAGTGCAAGTATCAATTTAAATCCACCTTGTAAAATTACGATATTATCATTTTTACTGAAATTTTTTGGTAAATCACATTGACCATCATATTGAGTCAGAATACTATTAAATGTCTGAATACTTGTGTATTTAACTCAGTGGAAGTTTTGTCTTATTTTGTTAAATTATGTTAAATGAAAAATTTCAAACTAAAATATGAAACTATTTAATAAATACATAGGTAATTGTGTTGCTGATTGGCCTGCATAGTGTCCTTTGGTATCAGAAATGACACGCTCCTCCATACAACAGTTCGGCTAAGACTTTACCTTGCCATCTTGAAAGCAATAGCCTTGTTACAGCCTGACATGGTAAATCTCCAGAGTACAGTTCTTAAATAATGAATTTCAACAGAAATGAAATGTAGTCTATTGTACTAGCCCTTGATCCTCAAGATATACTTTAAAATAACTTGTGAAACTTTCCACACACAGATACACACACACACAAAACCACACATAACACACATGCATACACACCCAGGCCCAGTCCCCTTGGACCACTGAATCAGAATTTCCAAAACAGGGTCCCAATATGTGTACTTTTTAAGAACTCCACAGGGGATTCTGTTTAAGAGTCAAAATTCAGAAGCACTCCTAGGAAGTGTAACATTTGTTTCCTCTGACAATTTTTAAGAATAATATTTTATGGCATTGTAGGAAAATGATGCTGAGCAATATCTCTAAGGATTCTAGACGATGCTCCCTCTTAATATTTCCAATCACACCACCTGCAATAACCCTAACTTTTCCAGCCTCTATTTTAATTTGTTAAAATAAATGTGACACCTACAGAATTTTAGTAATAAGATTAAGACAGCCCCAACCTTTGAGTGTCCCTTTAACAAACAAGGTATAATTGTAAAGGATAGCCTCTTTCTAAATATTTAAGGCCCCTTGTAGAAATGCTAAGTGGACATTATTTAAAGACTAAGGTACACAGAAACCTGACACACTCACTTTTAATAGGGAGGTAGACTGTTGTTTATTTAGCTTTTGAAATCAATCCTAAATTTGGCTTTATGGAACCAAAAAAGTCTAGCTTTAAATTAACAGACTGCCTTCTATTGTCCAAGGGATAATTTGAACTTCACTGAGACATGTCTATGAATGGAAATAAAAATAACTCACATTAAACTCTAAGTACTTCCCCACACGCAATTCACTTGCCACAAGGCCCATTGTTCCGTGCGTGGCTTTTAAGCAGCCTGTAGGAAATTTTCACTGAAACAATTTCCCATAACCAAGAAAAGGAAGGCCAAAATGATTTCACTCAAAACAAATAAAACAAAACACAAAACACAAAAAATCAAAAAGCTTCCTAAGCTTTCAGCATCTAGGGTATTAAAAGCAGCTCTGTCAGGGTAGCAGGAATGGGAAATGGGAGGTTCCCATAATACTCTAAAATTCTGTGGCTTTAATTTTAGCTCACTTTCCTCCTGCACTTCTAAACAAAAATCGACTCCAGATGAGTCTTTCTGTTCACAGTTCTACATGCCTCCCCCTCCCTGCCTCACCTCATCCATCCTTTTAAAAACTTAATTTTAAACCTAGAAATATTTCAAATATCTAGAAAAGTAACAAAAATAGTAGGAGAAGCATGCCTGATTTAAAACAGGTGACCATTTTGCTGCATTTGCTGCAAATCTCCTCTGTTCCCTCTACTCCTTTACTATCCAGGTCTAATCCATCTTGAAAAGAACCTCCCTGATCCTATCTGGTCAAGATTATCTCTCCTCCAAAATACATTTTTCCTAATTCTAATTTTGACCAATTTTATGTTTCTTCTCTTGTCCAGGATACTTCTTATAAACTTTACTGGTTTAATTCACTCTTCTTCTTAGCCTAAATTAATTTCTTTAGTGATTATTGTTCCTCAGATTTTCTATTTCATCTTGAGCCAATTTATGTTTTTTTAAAAAAAAAAAATCCATTTTATCTAAATTTTTAAAATCATCAGCAATTTTTTTGTATTTACTTAAGATTTTAATATCACAAGTGAATCACTGTTCTGCCCATTCCCATTTCTAATAATGTTCATACATCCCTCCACACTTAATTATTTTCTTTAAAAATCTTGGTGAAATTTTGTCTATTTTATTAGTATTTCCTTTTTTTTTTTTTTTTTTTTTTTTGCCAGTCATGGCCAGACCTACATTCACACCTTTTTAGTGAACTGTTAACTCTGAATGTCAAGTCCAGCAAATAAACAGGGTGAGAGGAAAAGTATATTCAGCTGCTTCCCTTAGCCCTCGCTGGTTCTTTCTAGTCTAAATCATATCTGAGTGACCCCTCCCATGTGAAGAATGAAATATCATGTCCTCTGGAAAAATAAAAGTATAACTCAAATACTTTGTTGATGACAAGGTAAAATACTAACAATATCAATAATAAATTGATCTGGATGCGCAATACACAGAGGTCAATCTCTTACCATTCTCTGGAAAATTGCATTAGTTGGATTGCAGATGTCAGAAAAGGTGCCAGAGTGAGAACAGGATTTAAGCTAATAATTATAATAATTATAAGAATATCACGTTTGCATTTACCAAATACCTATATTTACCAGTAACGGATTTTAACATCATTAGCATCACCCATTAAGAATATCTGTCTATCTATCTATCTATCTATCTATCTATCTATCTATCTATCCATCTATCTATCCATCTATCTAGAGAGACAGAGATTAGATATAGACAGTGTGTGTGTGTGTGTGTGTGTGTGTGTGTGTGTGTGAGAGAGAGAGAGAGAGAGAGAGAGACAGAGAGAGAGAGAGAGTGACAGAGACAGAGATAGAAAGAGAATGTATAATCATGTACCTGAAGGTTCACAGCACACTTGTGGATCATATTATAATAATCCCAGATTGCCAGGGAATCTAAGGTCAAGATAGGCTGAGTAACTCACTCAGGTAATACAACTTGTAAATGGTCATTCTAGAATGAGAATACAAATCTGTGTGACTCAAAACTTCTCTCTTTTCACTGTGTCTTGCTCACCTCATTAAAGAAATTGCTAGTTAAATTATGAGGATGAGGAGGTCATTTTACATAAGGGAAAGATACAAGTAAAAGTAAAGTGTGGGAAAGTGAAAGGCACCATGGAGGAGATAGGCAAAGTGCCTATTGATAATGGGCAATGCTTACTACATACCAGGCTCTGCTGTGAGCACTAGGCCTGTGTGAACTCATGGAATCCTGTAAATAACCCCATGGTAAAAACTTCTATTGCCCTCATTTGACAGAAGAAGAAACCAGAGAGCAAAAAGATTAAGTAACTTGCCCAAAATTGTCTGTGTACTAAGTGAGGGGTTTATATCCAGGCATCTTACTTCAAAGCTGCCATTCTTAATAGGTGATAAAGATGAAAAAGTGGAGACATTTTCAGAAGCTCTCTAGTATCCTCAACATAGTTCATTATTTCTAAGTGTGTCTTCTGGGTAACACTATTTGTGTGGAGGTGGAATGTTAATATGTTATGTGAACAAAAGGTTTTGCTGGCCAATTGGTGAAGGCTATGCAAGGTTTAATGCAGGTAAACAGGTCACTTTGTGACAGGATTTCCCGAAACATCTAAAATATATCACTATACAACTTCAGATGGCCAAGAAAAGGATGTAGGACACAATGTTCTCTCTTCTTTTTTACTTTCTTTTTTTTTTGGGGGGGGGATGGCGTCTCGCTCCATCGCTCAGGCTGGAATGCAGTGGCACGATAGCGGCTCACTGCAGCCTCTGCCTTCCGGGTTCCAGTGATTCTCCTGCCTCAGCCTCCCACATAGCTGGAATTACAGGCACGTGCCACCATGCCCGGATAATTTTTGTATTTTTAGTAGAGACGGGGTTTCACCATGTTGGCCAGGCTGGTCCCGAACTCCTGACCTCAGGTGATCTGCTCACCTCAGCCTCCCAAAGTGCTAGGATTACAGGCATGAGCCACCGCGCCTGGCTGAACTTTGTTCTTTGAGATGGAGTCTCACTCTATTGCCCAGGCTGGAGTGCAATGGCACAATCTTGGCTCATTGCAACTTCCACTTCCCGGGTTCAAGCAACTCTCCCACCTCAGTCTCCCTAGTAGCTGGGACTACAGGTGTGTGCCACCATGCCTGGCTAATTTTTGTATTTTTAGTAGAGACAGGATCTCATCATGTTAGCCAGGATGGTCTTGAACTACTCACCTCAAGTGATCTGCCTGCCTTGGCCTCCCAAACTGTTGGGATTACAGGCGTGAGCCACCATGCCCAGCCCAAACACAATGTTTTCTAATCTTCCTTAGAATGCTTATTGTTTCACAGAGAAGCTGGGGACAGATATATTCTCATAAGTCACTTCTCCTTGGCCATGCAGCTAGTTAGTGGCAAAACTGGGGCCAGAACTGAAGACTTCTGGCTGCTGGACTAGGCTTTGTCTAGGCACAGACTGAAATATATCCTTTGAACAACGTACAGTAATTTAAGGTTTTATGAGCAGGAAAAAGCCGGACACAGAATATACTGAAGTGGAAAGAGAGGAGTAGCCTGTACCAAACTACTACAGAACTCAAGAATGACATGCAAAGTGGCCTGGTCTAGGATGTGACAGGAAGGAAAAACAGGAACTAAGAATAAAACCAAACATTCAAGAACATAAGTAAACCCTAAGGGTTTCTAGGAACCAATGGTTGCTGTGAGAGACAGACCTTGCTGACCTACTGGGATCTCAGCCATAATTCTGAAAAACCTAAGAGCAGGCACTGAAACCCCCTCTCCAGCTCTCTCAGTGTATTCCAGGGAGTGATCAGTTGCCAAGAGCCATGCAAACACTACTGAATTGTGTCTAGTCATTATCCGAGAATTACTTTTAAATCTAGCTATATTCTTCCTAACAAAAGCCAAGAAAATCACGGTCAAACCTTTGAACAAATAAATGTTCAGTTCTCACCCCTTGCCTCATCCCCCATTACTTCCCTTCTCTACGACGTGTGTGTGTGTGTGTGTGTGTGTGTGTGTGTGTGTGTGTGTGTGTGTTGTCTTTCTCTAGGGTCAAACACAACTGAGATCTAAAAATATCTTATTTTTTCAGAACAACTACACTAATTGATGCGTATGGAGAACATGTTAGTCATGTTCACAAAATGCCAAAATAAATATAAAACTGTATCCTCAGGAAGTCACACACTCTCTAAAGTATACAATCCCAGAAGCCAACTTTTATTAACCCCTCTTTGCCTTTGCTGCATTTTTAGAAAATCAAAATAGTTATCTCTTTCAGAGTATCACATGATATTAATGATTAGTTCACAGTTCCTTTTCCATATTTTGGTCCCTTATCATCTAATCATTAAGTCCAACTGTCTTTAAGGTAAACATTTTCTTTTTGCTTATGCATATACTTGACATACATAAATTCCTTCCCATCATCTTGTGGCAGAGACCACAAGCCAGCCACTAATGTTTCTCTCCTCCTACCATATACAACCCAGCCTCCCTTGCAGTTAGGTAAAGTGACAACCTTGTCTCCAACAGAATGTGAGTAGAAGTAACAAGTGCCATTTCAGATCTAGCCTTTACAGAATGACCATGAGCACTCGTCCAGATGCTGTTTCCCTTCTAGTGCCTGGGATGCAGACATCCTGAGCAACACTGGAAGCCATGTGCTGATTTCGAAGCTACCATCACTACAGGGCCCTGAAGAATACAGGAGAGCTGCTGTGCTGTCCTAAATGCCTATAACTCCAGGACTCTTACGTGAATGAGAAATAAAATATTATTGTGATTATCCACTGATTATTTTGTGGTCTCTGTGCTACTACTCCTAGCCTAGCTTAACAGAGAAAGTGAATTGACAACTTGAAATGAATTGGGACTGTAACAAAGGCTCAACACTTAAGTATTAGCTTAGTGGCCAAAATCAGGTAGCAAAAAAACAGACAAAACAAGCTGGAATACTGGCAACTCATACCAATGAAAAAACATTCAGTAAAACTAAAGCCTACAGCTATTCGAAAGGCAATCCAATTGCCTAGTGAAACTGCAGCTTCAGCGAACAAGAGGGTTCAAGAGGCCATGATGTTCTTATATATTGTTGATTTTTGCCACTGACTGCAAGGTACGACAAGAAAAAGGTTAGTTCAGACAAAAATTAACTAGAAATGAAAAGGAATGAGAGTGTCAAGAAATTTGATACTTTGAAGAGCTGAAAAATTACACTGCATCTGATTCCCAAAGAGCAAAAATAAATATAAAAGCTTTGAAAAACAAAATTCCATTAAAATTCCCAATTCACAAAAGACTTAGTTCTGTAACAAAAATAGTATTGTAGCTAAGAATAAAGCCACCCCACCAATTCCCCCAGTCTGTTGTTTCAGATGGACTCAAGGTGGCCACCACTGAGTAGAGAAAGAAGCACGGGGCATGGAAAGAAAGAAAAAGAGCAGAGTTAGGAACTACATTTAGAACAACTTTTCATGTGTTTCCTGGTCACGGAACTGACTAGAAGCAATATATCAGAACCTGTTAAATTTCTGAGGGAACTAAAGTACTAAGAAACTACAAGTCTATGGTTTAAAAAAGCAAACTCTCTGATTAAAATTTCAAAAAAGCACTGTGAAACTAGTTCTCAAAAATACTTCCTCCTTCCCTTCTCCTCTATCCTCACAGGCTGCACAAAACAATATTGGGGCTTCAGACTTACATGGAAGGGATGGGGGCTCTGAAAGCTACACAGCCCTCACTGTGGACACCTTCCCTACCAGCTACTTCAGATGTGCTCAAGGAGGATCAGTGTCAAGGGAGAACCTCTCAGGGAGTCATGGCAGGGGTACTGGGAACATAAATAAAATACTCTAGGGACAACTTGGGAATGGTCTTATTTGATTATCTTAGCCACACGTACAAATATAGCAGGGTGTTTTTTAGTCATAACATTTACGTCGTTTTTGTAAAACAAGCCTACATGAATATGTGAAATAAACTCTCTCCTGGATAAGATGGGCCCACATAGATCCTATGTATAATTTAAAAATATTCTTACTAGAATTTAAAACTAAAATTTCAGAAATTATTTAAAGTACAAGAAATCACTGGGTTACTGCAATCTAACGTGAATGGAAAGCTTTTTTCTTTTTTTTTTCTCTCCACAGATTATTTTGTCCTCTGTAACCTACTTTAAGACACACAAAAAATGTTAAGATGTTTTTCACATAATGACATAATAAAATTTATTGCTTTACTGTCACAAACACAGTCCCCAACAAAGACTATAACCACATCACACTATTGGAATTCATATAAAAAATATCAAGAAATGAGATGTTTTATTCGCTTATCCCTATACCAACTGATATTATTATTTAATCATTTATTTTGCCACTGAAATAAAAGGTTTTTAAAAGTACATACTGCCTTAGTTATTTCTAAAATTCTAAAGATGAGCAATGGTGCTATACCACTGGCTTGGCTAGGAGTACTACTTCAGTTGGAATTTCTCTCTGTTCAGCCTACCTCCTTCCTCATTTTCTATGAGTAGTCAAAATAGCAGAGTATCACTTTTGGAGTGACATGGCATTTCGGGAAAAGCCCACACGACAACTGTTTAAAATATTCTTTGCAAGCTTCTGACTGAGAAATACAACACAGGCAATTTGGAGAAAGCTTTAATTGTACTCAGATTCTATAATAGCAAAAGAGAATAAAATGTGGGACTTTTTTTAAATGGGCAGGATTATGAATCCAGCATTTAATTGAGCCCTTTTTATATGCAAAACTCCTCACTGGGTACCAACATATTATATTGGCTGAAAATCTACACATAAATAGAACAAGAATAGTGATGGACAGAAAGCTGTGGCAGGGTAGATTCCCCCCTTGATCCAGCCCATGCTGAAACATAGAAAAGATTCAACTTATAAAAATGGGAGCTTTTTAAAGCAAAGAGAGACAAGCCCTCTTTGAGCAGGAGATACTCTTCCTCTTCGAATCTTCTTTTATCCTCAGAAATGGAAGCTCCATATTCCTTATCTATCAGCAGAACTAGGCAGATCTGAGACTGGCAATCTTCATGAAAGGCCAGACCCAAGAGGGTTACAAAGACATAAAAACACTGATGAGCTGCCACATTGCGGGAGGTGAAGAAAATGGTAAGAGAGAGCTGAAGGGAGAGAATCCATGGTAGATATTTCTGTCAAAAGCAGAGAATGAATTTGGCCATGTGGTGTATCCCAAGAGACCAGACTAAATTCCATTAGTGGAATTCAGTAAAAGAGCTGAAATGACAAAAGAAGGCAGTGTGTAATCTTCTTTTCTCTGAGGACTGAATACGAGTGGGAATAGATTGCTTGAAACTATAGCAATAGAACAGTCTCTTTTCCAGCTATGGTTTAATCGTGATGAGTTGCTTTGATTACTCTAACTAGGCTGCACAAAAGGGACTGGGGGACCACCTCATAGAGTGTAATGTTACATGCGATGTTCTTGTAAGTGTTTAATTCCCCTCCACTGGTAAGTGGGAAGGTTCAAGGCGAGCGTGACCTGGGTTTCAAGTTAGGGTGTGGCCTCAGGTTGTTTTGGCTTCAAAAGGTATTAAGTAACATGCATAGGGGGGCCACAAGGCTTGTCTTAGAGAGGCCATTGCAAAATAACATTACAAAATAAGATTTTCTATGCAAGTTCAATGAAAATAAGACCTCATTTAAAGGTCTAAAACTGGAGTTGATAGAAAATACAAACCAAGTGAGGTGAGGAGTAAGGAATTACTCAAGGAAATGAAAACCATAAAGAAGTGAGAAAACTGCACATATATGATGCAGGTGCCCAGGGTGCACATTATGGGGCTGCCAGAAAGTTAACTTATGAAAAGATCTATACAAGGTACATGGTGTCAGAGGTGCAAACAAGCAATCTATGGGAGTTCAGAGTTGGGGATCGGGGAGAGCTTCATTGATGAGTTAAGCTGAGCCTGAATGGCTTTCACCAGAGAGAAATGGGGTAGACAGATATATCAGGAAATCAAAAGCACAATGATCAGAAGAAATAGAAAATGAATAAGTATAATCATCTAAATACTAAATGCTAAATCTTTGCAGAAACAAAGAGTGCGTTAAACATTAAAAGCAGCTTGAAAGGTAGTTTTGGGTATATGGAATGTGAGTTTTTTTTTTGACAAGCAAACTGGGAAGAAGGAAAGGAGCTCAGTGAAATTAAATATCGTCCACTCTATAACATACTGAGCAGGTCCTATGCTAGGAAATTTTTTCTTCCAGCTCTTAGAGAATGCCTGTAATGACCTCAATATTATAAAATGTATTTAAAAATAAAAAGATTCAGTGCATTGGGTTTGTTTTGCAATAAAGTGGTCACTATCATGTTGTTTAGAGGTATATTCTAAAGCCAATTTATGAGAAATGGCTATTAGCGAATAGTTCCAGAAGAACAATATCGTAAGTATGACTATGGCCCTTATTTTAGTCAATTTGAAAATTGTTATATCTGATTAGATGTTCTCAAATAATACTCTCCTGTCAACAGAAGAGGAAGGGAAAGACCCTACCACAGACCAGAAAACAATACAATGTATCTATAGTGATATAGTGATGTATCTTTCCAAAATACACTCAGATTTACTTTAGTGGGTTAACATATCCCAGACCAAAATTGAAAACTGGCTACATTCACTAGCATACTAAGGCAACTTTATTCATTTCTTATGGTGTTATTATCCCAAAGGAAAATGATATGATTTTAGAAGCACACATACTGTGAGAAGAACGTTATTGAACATACACCTATCTAGTATCATTAACAGTCTTAAAACATTCCTGCATTTGAGAAGTGCTTATTTCTTATCTGGAGCTGTAATGTGTTTATTTGATTCCATCACTTTGCCTCTTTTTGCAGTAAGGTGCCTATCACACATAGAATTAAGGGTTCTCGAATGTCTATAATAAGGAAATAAATCTTTTCTTTTTCAAAGTTAACACTTTTGGCATCCACACCAACTTGAATCCAAGCTTTACACATTGGTGGGCCAGGAAAAGAAGGATTGAAGGATTATCTCAGGCAGAGTCTCACATTTGCAAAAGGTAAATAGAAACAGAAAGGTCTCACTTTACATCCAACTGTGATGTTTTGTCTCAAAAGCCTAACATCCTTCACAGGAGAAATGTGTCTATCTAATCACCTCCTTGAAGGACTGAATAGGAGCTACTGGGATGGAATGAGGAGCAGACACAGAAAGTAGAATAAAATAAACCCCCTTCTGCTGATGAAAGATCAGGCCTGGACTTGAACTTAACCTTTTTTTTTTTTTCTTTTTTCTCCCCAATCCTGACATCAAGCAGGGCAGAGATCCATAACATGCTGGCTAATGGCTTATGGGATAACTCAACTACTGGTTTCCAGTCACAACCCTGCTGCTTTCTGCATCAGTGATTTTGGAGTATTTACTTGCTCTCCCTGAATCTCAACTTACTGATGTTTAAAAGCAGAACGCCATTATGTATTTCAATAAGCTGTTAAGGGAATTCAAAAATAAGCTAAGGAAAAAATATTGAATATTTGATATTGAAAAATATTAGTTTCCAATGTTTCCCTTCATAATTTTGACAGGCACTCCCTTTCAGAATTAAATAATATAGAAAGTAAAAAATACAATAAAATAACCTGTAATATCTCAATCTTTAAAAAATGACTATAAATATTTTAGCATTATTCAATTTAATCCTTCTAGTACATATGTATATGTTTTGAGTGTACGCATTTTTTTTTTCTTGAGATAGGATCTCCCTCTGTCCCTCAGGTTGAAGTGCAGCGGCACAGTGACGGGTCACCACATTCTCCTCCTGGGTTCAAGCAATCCTCCCACCTCAGCCTCCCAAGTACCTGGGACCACAGGCACACACCACCACACCTGGAAAACTATTTTATTCTTTGTAGAGATGAGATCTTCCTATGTTGCCTAGATTCATCTTTAACTGTTAAGGTCAAGTGATCCTCCCACCTTGGCCTCCCAAATGGCTGGGATTACAGGCATGAGCCACCATGCCTGGCCTATGTGTACTTCCAAATAATATTTTACAAAACATTGTAAAACATACCCAGTATGTTTTGTAACTAGTACATTTAAGACAAAGAAATTTAAAATGTTGTAGTAATTTCATCAGTTCTTTCTTTTTTTTTTTTTTTGAGACGGAGTCAGAGTCTCGCTCTGTCACCCAGGCTGGAGTGCAGTGGTGCAATCTCGGCTCACTGCAAGCTCCGCCTCCCGGGTTCACGCCATTCTCCTGCCTCAGCCTTCCGTGTAGCTGGGACTGCAGACGCCCGCCACCACGCCGGCTAATTTTTTGTATTTTTTTTTTTTTAGTAGAGACGGGGTCATCAGTTCTTTCTTGTATTGATTTCTTCCTTTTCTTTCATGCTAAAAAAGCTTTCTTTAATGTTAGATGCATATCTATATTATCTTCAAGCTTTTTCCTGCTTTCTTTTTTTACATTCAATCCTGTGATCCATCTGGAATTTATTTCAGTATATAATGTGAAGTAAAGGACTATTTTTTTCTCCAAAGAGCCAGTTTTTCCCAGAATCATTTCTGAAATAACCCTTCATTTCTTTACTAACTTAAATGCCAGTTTTATCATATACCTGAACAGGGTGCCAAAATGTTTTAATCCACGTGCCAACTTTGATAGCCTAATAGTGTTCATCTAGTTCTGAGATCACGTCCAGGCCCAGCAGGGAAATGTGACAACATCAATTACTAGTGAATGTCTACCATGGTAACAATATGGGGAAAGAAGGTAACTGTGCCACAAATGTGCCATCCCTGCACGAGCACATCGATTTCTGGGTTTTCTAGTTCATTTCTATTGCAGCTTTATGATATGCATTTTAATATCTTGTAGGCTGGGTGACTTTATTTCTCTTCTTAATCAAATTATGTATGGTGGTTCTTTAATGTTCATTTCAGATGAATGTCATTTTCTCTTTACAAGTTTCCTTAAAAACTTGTTAGAATTAATTTATAACAGTACATTTATTTTAAAAGTATGAAAAGACATGACATCTTTACCACAATGCATCTTTCTACCCAGAAATTTAAGTTGCCCCATTTAGTCACGGATTTTCCAAATTAAAAAGAAAATATGTGTGTGTGTATATTTGTATTTGCACATTTATATACATATACATACACACTCATACACATATACAGATATATATTTCATGTTCTATACTTCCTTAAGTTTCAGTATATTTTATGTTTTTTGTTGCTATCATGAATGGAGATATTTGTCTATAACTGTTTCCAAATAATTACTTTAAAATTATTACTTTTATATGTATTTTACATCCTCAGCTTACTATTCCTTCATGTCATTTCTAATAATTTTTCTGCAAACACATTTTGACTTTTAGGTAGACAATGACATCGTATCTGAAATTATTAGACTGCTATCTGAAATTTTCTTGTTCATTTGTTTCCTTATTGTCTTTCTCTACACAGTCACTCTAAATAATACACTCCATGGGCGCAGGCCTTGCCTGTCCTGTGCACAGTTTGATCTCCAGGGCTTAGAAAAGTAACTGCCATATGGCAGATACTCAATACTTAATGAACGACCCTGTTCCTTGAAATAAAATCTTGCAAAAACAATGGCAATATTCCCTTCATATTTCTAAGAATTATATCTCAAAGGTTTTCTTCCTGACACAATACATTCATTAGAACTTCCAGAATACCATGGTGGAGGTGGCAACTTTTCCCTTATTTTTTACTAAAAATGTAGTAGTTTTCTATTACATATATAATTGATATTTCAATCTGGCTTGGGAATCACTTGTTACTATTAAGAAAGCACTTTCTATAACTATTTTTGTTTCTTGTTTTATTTTGTCTTATCTTTTTTTTTAAGATATGGAATAGATATAGAACATATTTTGGATATTTCCTAAAGGAAAAATACCACGTAGGTTTTCTCCTTTGGTCTACCAAGATGATTTACTGTTTGAGTGGAAACAATAACTGGATTTTTTTATGAGGGAGTTCCAGACTACTTTGAGACTCTCATATTCACATTAGAAAAACATTATTACTACGTTTAGAAAAATGTTACTCACACACACATTTGTATTTAACCTCAGAGATGAACTGGCATTAAAGTCTTTCATGCATGGACTATCCAAGAGTCCATATACCTGAGGCGAAAAATAGGAAACAAGCAACAACAAAAAAAGTAAGAAGCTAAAATATTTTGTAACGTTAAATATACTGCCAAACCCTGAAATAAGAACTCTCTTGTCAGCATGTATTTTCCTAAAATATACTCTTCAACCTATTTGTCTACTCTGTTAAAGTTGTCTCTAATTAATATTTTATTATTTAAGTTATTTTTATTTTCTTCATATTATTTCAGCAGCATTATTTATCTAAATTTGAGTACTGAATGAATAGTCTATTCTCACTTTTTCTTACTTAATAAAAAATGGCCTAAAATTTGTCTATTAATTATAGTTTTGTCCTATGCCATACATTATGATATTTTATCCCATCATTGCCACTATTTTCTTGTCAGTGATTAGTTTTTATTTCCTTTTGATCCCAAAATTTAGAAAGTTGATTTTTCTTTTAAATCTCCCGTGATTTTCTTACGTAAAGCTTTGATATTAATTTATACTTTACTGCTTGGTGGTCAGATAATATAAACTATGCTCTTTCTAGTTAGAGAAATTTATTCAACCATGTTAATTATATCTTCCAAATTCTTCCCAAACTATGTGGTCAAAGACCCAGAATAAAATTGTGTTTCTAACACAATTAATCTTTTATCTTTATTTTATTTTATTTTTCTTTTTTTTCTTTTCCTTTTTTTTTTTTTTTTTTTTTTGAGACAGAGTCTTGCTCTGTCACCCAGGCTGGAGTGCAGTGGCATGATCTCAGCTCATTGCAACCGCTGCCTCCTGGGTTTAGGCAATTCTTGTGCCTTGGTCTCCCCAGTAGTGCAGGACTATAGGCATGCACCACCACACCGGACTAATTTTTGTAATTTTAGTAAACATGGGGTTTCTCCATGTTGGCCTGGCTGGTCTTGAATTCCTGGCCTCAAGCGATCTGTCTGCCTCGTCCTCCCAAAGTGCCAAAGTGCTGGGATTACAGGCATGAGCCACAGCACCTGGCCCTAATCTTTTGTTTTTCCCCAAAAGTTTTGCTTTATAAATATGAAGAGATAGCTTTCTTAAGCTCCAGAGTGCTGGAGGTAAAGATGTTTGGGGAGCCCCAGAACTTCTCTTTCCTCCTAGATGAGAAAGCAGCTTTGAAAATTATGCACTTGTTTAAAAACAAACAAAAAACCTCTAAGAGAAGCTTATTGATGTTTGGTGTGTTTGGTGACGGACACCAATGTGTAAATGGATTCCAATTTTGCAAGTATTTGGCCTCCCTTTCAGCTCAGTGAAGACCATCGCTAGACCATACCTGTGCCAGGAGAGTCAAGGGCAACAGCGTGAGGGCCAAAGGAGAAGCCATACAGTCAATTGCTGCATCCTTCCTCTCTATACAGATGACTCTCTTCTGTTTCACCAAATACCCTTGAAAAATTTTATGGCAAACTTATAACAAGTAATGCTTTGGTCTCTTTCTGCCAGTCTTAATAACCAAACTGCAATATACGATTTAATCAATACAATTTAATTTGACACTCTTTGCTTTGGTGTTTGGTACATAAACTACAACAACTGTGTTTTCACCATGGATGTTTCTTTAAATTATTTTAAAAAGTCCTTTTTTCTCATGTAATGCTTTTTTGTCTTATATTCTATAAGTTGTTATATAATTTTCCCTATTTACTATATATCAATTAAGATATACGTTAACCCATTATTTGATTTTAATCTTATTGTGTCACTTTGTTTCAGGCCTTCTGCAAACAATTTTTATAAAATCTAATTTGAGAGAGCCTCTGCCTTTTAAAGTAAAATTTGATACATTTGTATTCACTAGCATAATTAAATGTCTCATTTTACTTAGAGATCAGAGTCTTTAAGAACTCAATTGGTTTTAGAGAAAAACTAAAATGTGTTACTCCATTCATTCTACTCCAGGTGGGGAGCAACAGGAGCGATTCTGCCCTGACTTAGTGGAGGTTTTCTTGAGTAAGAGCCAGCTGCAAGACCCAAATCCAAGGGTGTTCCAGGAAGTTCTAACTGATCCTTTAGGAAATCTGCAGCATCTATGTGGAAATAAGATACCTTAGATCTGTTTAAGAATCACATGTGAGGGTCAAGAAATAGAGACCTTATAATTATTTGCCAATAATGTACCGCAAGCCTCAGAAAAACTACACAATGAAGTCAGACAACAATCCTCCCAGTAAAACAGAAGAACAAATACTGGGGGAAAAATTCAGTGCCCTTGTGACAGGTTCTGAAACTAAGACAGAAAAGGATTGCATACTTAAGGTTAATCTTAAAATTTAAGAACTGTTTGTGAAACTAGACTTTTAAATTGTTTGTGTGTGAGTTCAAAAAGACACAACTGGCACACTAACCAATTCCTTACCCTAACTCAGTTCAATTTCTTTCATAGGACAGGAGGCCATTTAGAGACAGAATAGTGCAATGCATTCAAGGATTCAAGAAAAAACTAGTATTGATTTCCCTGAAAAGATGCTCACAATACAAACAGATTTCTCATAGCAAGACAAAGCTGTTGTTTGTCTGGTATACATGGATTTCAGGCCTACTTGCTACATTAGCAAACTTAATTGTTTTCTCTACTGACAGAACTTCTAGCAACTAAACAGTGACCACTAATGTTGGATAATGTGGTTACGATTTTAATCTATACTTATCTAAGAATCAATATAACCTGATGACATACTAAAAATAATGTAGTTTGTATTCATTCTCTTAAGTGCATTTTCTATTATTCACAGAATCAGATTTTTGAGCGGTAGATTTTCAAAAGTATTTTAAAACAGAGAAGTTATTTATGAGTTATAAAGTTATAAATGTCAATAGCTGCATTTCAACTACAAACATAGAGCCTCATGTGTAGTAAGAATAATGATTTTTTTAGGTATAAATCTTCTAAAAAGCAAACTTTGGTTTTATTTTGGCAGGTATCTAAGTAAAACTGATGTGCCCATAAATCAGATAACCAATTACAACATTAGATAAAACTGAATTAAGGGAAGGCTTTCCATATTTAGTTCTACTAAAAACAATACAGATGTCATTTAAATAAAAACAAGCTCCCTTTGCTATATGCTCTATCGCTTCAATTGTGTAGACATATTGAAGTGAAGGCATTTTGTTTTGTTTTGTTTTGGTATGGGCTATGCATTTATAAAATGCGTATGTTTACTCCAAAACAGAGACTATGCATATACATAAACATATTTATATGCATATAAACATATGTGCATAAATATATATCTACAGTTAGGCATGTGTGCATATATTTATATGTATATGTATATATAATTTCACTTTGCTCTAGTAAACATCCACATAAAAATTAGATTACTAAAATTTGACTTTCTGTGGTTAGGCTCCTTTCTCTCCTAACTATTCTTAATGTGAATTTAATCCATTCTCAGATATTTTTATCTGGCATTATTATGAAAAAGCTATACTGTAATATGATTAGCAGTGTAGTAAAACAAAATAAATGTAGTTTCTAAGTATACACATAAAGTTTTTTATATAATTTATTAAAAATAAACTTTTTAATATAATACATACACGGATATAAACAAACACATACTAAATTAATTACTCTCTCAGAAATTTAACTGTGGTATTTGTTTGTACTAAAAGAAAGTTTCTAATAGTTTTGACATTTGTACAATTGAAACTCCTTTGACTTGTCACCTGCTGATTACTCGAATCTCTTATATTTTCCTAAGTCTGCACTCAATCATTCAGTCAGTGCTATCAGTATGGGGTCACTGGAAAATGGCACCTAATTTAGTTATGCCTCTTGTTTTTGCTGCCTCAAAACCCTTCGAGCACTTCATTTTGCTAACTAATTATTTAAAACACCATCTATTTCCAAGTTTCTAGGTTTACTCATTTTCTTGCATCTACTGGGGAATCTGAGACCTCCTTTAAGTCTTCTGGAATGAAAGTTAAGTATTTCTTAAGATGTAAAATTAAACCATTTTCTTGTTCCCTACTCTATCTACAGGACCAAATGTCTACTTTAAATCTGGAGAACAAAAGGAAAAATAATAAAAATAAAATTCTTATCTTTGTATGGATAACTGCAGATTTTTTTAATGCTTAAATGTAACGAGATCCTTAATGAATCATTATTACATTATTATCTTTGGAGAAGAAATCACAGGCAAGATAAATCAGAACAACTGCTCAATATGAATCCATAGTCCACCCAATTTACTGAAAGAATAAAGTACACCTGAACTCTGGAGGCTGCTATTTAAATTTCAAATCATATTAAACACATTTGCTACATTCACTTTGGTTAGAAGATTTTAAAACTTACATTGAAATTATTGTCTTTATTTTAGCTTCAACATATCAAGTGTCATGCGCATATATGGATAACGAGTTTATTTCTCATTCTTAAAAGGAAAAAAAGAAGAAATCTTCCTAAATCAGTAGTTAATATGGTTAATAAATACTACTGACTAGAAAAATATTGACAACATTTTGTACATAAAACTTATGCTCATTTTTAAAGGAAACCTCTAGAAAACCAAACACTATATACTGAATACGTTAAAATTCTAACCTCCAATGTGATGGTATTAGGAGGTGGGCCTTTGGTAGGTGATTGGGTCCTACCCAATCATCCATGGCTCTACCCTTATGTATGGGATTGGTGCCCTTATAAAAGAGACCCCTGAGAGTTCCATCACCCATCCACCATGTGAAAAGGTAACTGTCTATGAATCAGGAAGCAGGCTCCCACCAGAACTCAACCATGCTGGCACTCTGATCTTGGACTTCCAGCCTCCATAACTGTGAGAAATCAATTTCTGTTGCTATAAGAACAGAAACTGGTGCTATATCAGCACTGTCAACACTGTATCTCTAGCCAAGGACTACTTTACAGTCTCTTTAATTCATCAATAATCATATGCTTGTTCCCTTTAAAAAACCATTAATGTCTTCATCAGCTTAGGTTGCCATAATAAAATAACATAAACTGGATGGTATAGCACCTAAGTTACGCTGCTATAATAAAATACCATAAACTGGATGGTATAGCACCCAGCAGTCTATTACAGCAGCCTAAGCTGATGAAGACACTGATGGTTTTTTAAAGCAAACAGGCATATGATTATTGATGAATTAAAGTGACCATAAAGTAGAAGTTCTAGGCTAGAGATACAGTGTTAATCTATAGTTTCCAGGTTATTATTAACTGGACCTTAGCTTCAGCATCTCTGATAGCTCTTTCTCAATTTAAGCAAAAGGAAGGGAGGCTCATGTTAGTTTTATGGTTATTAACCAGAAGTCTGCATCAATATGGTGTAAGAATTATTTCATGACTGCCAGGCACCCGAAGCAACAGAAATATACAATAATTAATTCAGTAATTTAACATTAAAATGGAAATATGCATCAACTTAGAGTGCCAGAAGTCCTAATATACCAAAGCTGATAAATCAAAGCATTCTGCATATGAAGCATGAGGAAGTATGTACTCATTCTATGAAATCAAAATTATGGCATCAGGGCAAGTTTAGTCACATTTTAAAATAATATTTATGTCCTGGAAATAGAACTATTACAAATGTACACATTTCAAATCTTATTTAGAAGAGAAATTATCTCTACTTCTAGATTGAATTTATTTTGATAATTTTTTTAATTGAGCAGAGTACCCACTTCTCTTCTTTCATGGCCCAAGCAACATCAGTGTCATGCTCTAATCATTGCCTTTCACAGTGGCCTTCCGTGTATCTCTTACTCCCTCCAGGGCCTCATTTCTTATACCTCCTCCCCATTACCAAACTGCCCTCTGGCTCAGAAGGGTCACAAAGATCTCTTGGCTCCTTCTTTAAAACCACCCACCTAACTAAACGATAACACTCAAGGTCAATAATCATGTTTTAATGATCTTGCCTATTCTGCATATAAAAACTATTACAATGGAAATTGTACAATACATTCATTTTATAATTATTTCTTCACAAACATGATTTCATTTCATCTTTGAAAAAAATGACATCTGAATTAGCATTAGGGACAGATCCTAATGCATTTCCTCTAGATGAGGCATGGATACCAAGCTGTGAGGTGGCATACCCAGGACCTTGCAGCTGGTTAGGGCCAGCTAGGATTCAGTCCTGGATGAACTTCTGATTCTCAACCTCAGAGCCCTAGGGGCAGGGCCACCACTAACCCAGGCTAGTGTGAATGCAGCTCCACACTGGGGCTTTAGGCTTACTAAAAATGAGAGCACACTGGACTGCAGCACCCATTCACCCCTCAGCGAAGTGCCAGTGTGCAGGGTACCATCTGCACCACATATGTGGTGTCCTAGCTAAGGAGAAAAGGAAAGGACAACTTAGTAAGGGCCTACCATATACCAACCGCATTATATAAATTCTCTTTTGTTTTTTTTTTGTTGTTGTTGTTGTTTTGAGATGGAGTCTAGCTCCGTCGCCCAGGCTGGAGCGCAGTGGCGTGATCTCGGCTCACTGCAACCTCCACCTCCCGGGTTCAAGCAATTCTCCTGCCTCAGCCTCCTGAGTACTGGGATTACAAGCATGTGCCACCATGCCCAGCTAATTTTTGTATTTTTAGTAGAGATGGGGTTTCACCATGTTGGTCAGGCTGGTCTCAAACTCCTGAACTGAGGTAATCCGCCTGCCTCAGCCTCCCAAAGTGCTGGGATTCCAGGCGTGAGCCGCCTCACCCAGCCAAGTTATCTTATTTATTATCCCAAACAATTTTATGTAGTAACATGCATGAAGCTATCATCTCCTTCTGAAGGACCAGCCTGAGGCTGTTTACAATTAACTTTGTTTACATAACCACATTTTAAAATAATGATTAATAGTATAGTAAATACATAAACCAGTAACATAATTATTATCAAGTGATATGTGTTGTACATAACTATATGTGCTAGGCTTTTATGCAACTGGCAGATTAGGCTTGTTTACACCACCATCACCAAAAAACACGTGAGGAATGCTTTACACTATGACATTAGGACAGCTTAATAGCACCAGGCAATAGGAACTTTTCAGCTCCATTATAATCTTATGGGACCACTGTTGTACATACCATCTGTCATTGACCCAAACATTGTTATGCAGCACATGACTGTATATTATGCTGCCAACAGCAGAGGATCTAAATATATAGACTTTATATATTTTATATATATAAAGACTTTAAGAGGTCTGGAGACACCCAGCATAACAATGTTTCAGTCAATGACTGAACACATATACAGTGGTCCCATAAGATTTTTATGGAGCTGAAAAATTCCTATAACCTAGTGATGTTGTAGCCATTTTAATGTTGTAGCCAAATGCATTACCTTTTCTATGCCTAGATACAGAAATACTTACCATTGTTTTACAATTGCCTGAAGTATGCCATACAGTAACATGCTGTACAGGTTTGTAGCCTAGGAGCAACAGACTATACCATATAGCCTAGGTGTGTAGTAGGCTATACTCTCTAGGCTTGTGTTGTAAGTGCTCTCTAAGATGTTCACACAATGAGGAAATCACCTAACCATGTATTTATCAGAACCTATCCCAGTCAACAACGCATCTGTGTATTTGTGTGTATACATTCAAAACTATATATACACACACCTACACCTACACTACATATATATATAACTTCTAAACTGTACCTATATATGTGTGTGTGTATATATATATATATATATACACACATACATACACACTAGATTTATGCATGTACTACATATATCTAGTATATATGATACGGTTAAGCTATATTTTTATGATATATATGCATAGTATGATTTAGTGAATAAGCATTTTTTCAATGTAAAAGAAACACATCCGAGAGGGAACTAGTGACATTTTAACTCCATTTTGTGATTTCAATAATTTTTATATTCACCATATTGTAACATTTTTTACAGTATCAATAAATTAATATCTCCCCCATTATTTTTAGAAGTACTTAGATTAAATATCTAATTATAGAGTGCTTTTCTATTTCTAAAAATATCAAATGTCAACCACAAAAAAAACTGGAGTCACAAGTATAAGTCTACTGTTTCTCTTTAAAAGTTAGCATGACTTAAATGCCAGAAAAAATATATTATCATTTTTTTCCAAAACAAAATATCAAAGCAACCTAAAAAATGTCAATGATTAGAAAAGAAGGGTTACCTGAAGAGTTTAAGTTTTGTCATGTTTCCTTCAAAGCTTCTTTAGTTTCACCTGGATTTCAAGGGAAGTAGCATTGCAAATGTGGCATTTACACCTCAATTCCTGGCATGGAATCTCTAACCTATTATGAAATCCCATTAAAGTAGAAAAATGTTTTCAATATTCAAACAAAAAGAAAGTTCATCAGGATGTCTGAATTACTTGGACACAAAGCTCAACAAAATAGTTTTCACTGTCATTGCTAAGACCCTCCAAATATACATCTTTTTGTATTGTAATAATCCCATATGCAGTCACTATTATTATCCCCTGTTTTACAGATGAATAAATGAAGGATACTTAAGCTATCCTTTTTTTTAAGGTAACATATACCAGAGGTCCTCAATAAAAATGTTCTAAAACCATATGAACTTTACATAAACTATAACTTGAAATAAATGAAGAAACATACCCACCCACCTTTTCTTACTACACCACCTTTTCTTACTCGTTAGTGCTCAGCTAGAAATTACTACAAATACATAGCAGTATACTTACAGTAGACTTATACTTGTGACTCCAGTTCTTTTTGTGGTTGACAGTTGATATTTTTAAAAATATGAAAAGCACTCTATAATTAGATATTTAACCTAAGTACTTGTAAAAATAATGGGGGAGATATTAATTTATTGATACTAGTAAAAAGTTAGAATATAGTGAATAGTAAAAATAATTATTAAAATTACAAAATGAGGCTAAAAAACTCAAGTCTTTTGACTCCAAGTCTGAACAAGTATCAGACAAATGACTAAACATGCAATTTCCAGTTTATTAAAAGTAACCATTGTTATGAATAGAGAAATCTGTTATATGGTTAATACCTCTGTTTGCCTGTACCAAATGCCTTGTCCTTTTTACAATCTGTAACAGCCAGTCACTACCATGGCATCACTGACATCACCATAAATGCCATCAAACACAACCAAGTCTGCCAGAAGCTGTTCAGCTAGTCAAAAAGCTTTTTTCTGTCAACCCTGGTAGATCACAGACTAGACTAGGTCTGGGCCTAGCTTATAATCCTAGGGACACTGTCGTGATGTTCTCATGTTTAAAAATTTGCAGAAAATAATAACAGCTCTGCCCCTCTTACTCTTCTATCAACATATTTTAAACCATTCAAGAATGACACTAGGAGTGGGAAGAAGTGTCTATACTAAGCAAGCCAAAGCCTTTAAAGGGTCATAGTCTTCATTTAACATCTGACGTGGTCTTCACTTAAGGGAAAATACAGTCCTGGAAAACAGACTACCTTGTCTCACCAGCTCTCTGCTGTGGTTCAACCCTCTTCCTGCCATGCCTGTCCTGGTTTGGAGGTTTGAGAAGCTCTTGGTAGATCAGCAGGGCTTGGTTTGCAGGTTTGAGAAGCCCTTGGTAGACCAGCTAGCTCTAGATTCTCATGAGTGTCCATGTATTTCATTCTGCCTGGAAAGCTTCATATTCATACAGTTGCAATGATTCTGTTCAATCTGCCTAGCTCAGTGGCTTTGAACTTGGCTTGCACATTGGAATCACCTGGGAAACTTTCAGAACTACTCACACTTGAGCCTTGTCAAAGACCAAATCAGTTTGTTGAATGTGAGTTACCTTACTGGGTTAGCTGAGCTCATTCAGCTTCCATGAATGCTTCATTTGTAGTAAGAAAGTTATTGATTCAAAGATCATCCATGTCATTGCAGGTTACTATTCAATTTTAATCCAAAGGGTCCCTAAGTTAGCATAAGATCTGTCATTACCTCGAGAAGCCCAGGATATAGCAGTTAAGAGCACCAAAACTTCCATCTCCAGACTGAGGAAAGACATATGACCAATGTCAAAAGATCTCTGAAGTCTGTTTTTGCCCACTGCAAGGCAAGTTAACCTGGGGAATTGAACCATTATACATTTTCTTGCCCACAGCATCATATCAGTGGAAATTGATGTCCTTAATCATTTTAGACAACTATGAAGGAAAAAAACCTTGATCTCATAATTATTTTTTATTTCAAACATATTAAAAAGGTATGAGAAAAGAGAATGGATAGCTGTGACAGAATGCAGAAACTAATAATTCACCCATTGTTTCTGCTATTGTGTCTGTATAGTACTTTTCAATGTAATTAGTTCCTATTTTTGTTTGCTTTTGCTTTTGCTGTGGAATTCCTAATGTGTTCTAATACATGTATTATAATAGATATAATGGATACCAAAATAGACTATCTTATACTAGAATGTTAGAATCAGTGAGATAAAATATACACACAAAAAGATATTTCAGCCAAGGCATACATTTAGTTAATGCATTTAACCAGAATTTTAGTGGAAAAAAGTTGATTTTGAAAAATTCATTTATCTTCCTTCTTAACATTAATTTTAACAGTTAACAATAAAGGTGCTACATACTTTCTACAGGAAAAACAAAACAAAATAAAATCTCCTACACCCAAACATCCACATTAAAGTTGTTTTTGAAGGGGAAAAGTGTGCACCTACATATCGTTAAATTGAAATCCATACTTCGATTATTGCTGCGGAGCAACTGGCAAGGTTTGTTTAGCAAATTTCATGCCAAGATTCTGAAGTATGCAGCCTACCCCTTTCCACACATAATTCAATATAAACACTTTTCTTCTGACAGACATTCTGAAAGATCAAAGTGCAGAACAAAGGCAAAGAGTGACATGATGCGCGAGTTCTGGACTATTGAGATGAATGGATAGATTAGCCAGAAAATGCACGATGACACCTCAGACCTGCAGAAGTGGTTCTGTTTATGTGATGACAGTTTCAGTGCTTAGGAGACCCAAACCTCTAAACAGCCATTTTCCTCTACGCCCCTACGGAAACTCTGCAATATTTCAACAAGTCCATCCATCAATGCCAATCAGTGCAATTCACCTGACATCTCATTATAGGTTTTAAGCAACTGGCTGTCATCTAGAAGAGAACAAATAGTTCATTACACAAACCATTATGGACCAAATAGAACCCTTATGCAAAATGCATCAAACAGAATCCAGTATATTGCTAGCAAGGGCTAGATAAAAGTCAAATAAAATAAACTGGCTATTGTGGAATATGCTCCTTACAGAGCACAATGATCCAATTGCCTCACACTTATGATTTACAGACTAATATTATAAAAAGCAGTGTTCAGCTTGCTAAACAAAGAAATATGGTTTTATGCATATATACTTGAGGTAGAGAATTAAATTAAGAGTGAAGTTTTAACTACATGGACTTCTCTGATCTAGAAGTAGAAAAAAAGGAGAATGTTTGGGTTCACTAGCTAGAGTTCAATATTTTCAGCAATTTCCAGCCACCCTCTAAATTAATGTTTTCAGCAATGTCGTATACCATCATGTTGATTTTAGAATATGGCAAAACATCAAAATCCTGGCCAATGTTACTCCTTTCACTGCTAGCTTGGAAGGATATGCAATTAATTCTGTTACAGATTTATGGGATTCTAACTAGAACCACACTGACTGGATTGCTAGTGAGTACAGGGAGAAGGTAACCCAGTTGGGGCTGGAATAACCTATAGAATACATGCACAATGGTTTGCACGAATAAATTTACTTTCTTAATAGCCTGCGCTCCATTCATTTAAAATTCATACTTCTTTCCCTTTCTGTATCATTACCTCTACTGACAAGTTCTGTTTGTAGTTACAAAAAAAGAACTGGAAAAGTAAGTCTTAAACATCTTTTTAAAAAAACTCTTCTTGAATATGCTTTCAACCTACAAAAAAAAATTATTGCATTGGCAGGTGATGAGAAAGTTGACCTTACAATTTTTTCCTACACTGGAATAATTTAAAGATTCTCTATAAACTTTATTTCCCCTCAGAGCAGCAGTTACACGGATGCAAACAATCCCATTTGGAGATGATGGCAGGGACAGACACAGTGAGCGCACACCTCCTCAATCATCCCTCTGAGTCTCTCCTTGATGGACCTTGAAACACTTTTCATGACTTGCTGAACCTTGAAACACTGTTTCTGACATATAGAAAAACAATAGTAGATATCTTGACCTAATCGGCCTCCTGTACTGCAAAGTCCACAGCATTTAGGGAAAATGTATTTCATTTATAGTTAGAAATTCCACTAAAGGAGTCATTAAATAAAGCCCAGATATCAAGCTCAAGATAAAATATTCCCAGGATTTCCAGGTAAGGACATTAATTTACAAATATTTAAAAGAGAAGAAAAAAGGGAGGAGAAAGAAAAAAAGGAAAAAGAAAAGGTAAAGAAACAGAGGAGAAAAAACAGAGAATAGATCTGCAATATAACTCTCTTGGTTCACTTTCAGAGAACATGGTAAGCATGTTATTACAATATTTTAAATACCACTATAGAAAATAATGATACAGTTAATTTCTTTTTTCTTGAATTTGAGGTCACTAAAAGAATTTTTTAAGTGTAAAACAATTATTTCCATACGAATTCCACTATTCTGCTGTTACATTGAGACAAAACAGACTCAAATAATTCATTTACAACAATCCAGAATTGCATTTCTAATTCAAAAAAATAGACATAGAAGGATCTACTAAATTATTTTAAATAGAGATATGTGGAAATACTTTTCACTTTAAACATATAAAAGATCCTGAAGTAGAGCAAAAGGAAAAAAGATATAAGAAAACCCTAAATGCCCCATACATAAATAATGTGAAAGCACTTGGCCAGGTGGTATATTTTTCACAGGCTGAAAAATGGGTTTAGTAGATTTTAAACTAATAGCAGATGGAATACAAGTTTAATTTACAATCACTATCTAGATATTTATAAGGATTTTTATCAGCAATATATTCAAGCATCAGGCTGTGGCCTACATAGTGAGTTCATCAGTTACAACCCCTGTTCCTTCTCAGGGGCACCACAGAGAGGCATTTCTCTCTTTGACTTGGCTACTACTTAGGTAGGAATTTCTGTATTCCATTTTGCCTCACTGAGCATGTGTCTGAAACCTGGACATGTTGTTCCTTCTTTTCCAATATTACTCAAGTGGATCATCATAAAGCTTAGATAATGGAAAGGGTTAATCCTTATAATCAGCATAAAGGGGCAGATGGGAAAAGGTATAAAATAAACTGACAGCCATTTTTTCATAAAATTAATATAAACCTTGGGGGTTTTTTTTCCCAGAAAATAAAGCACGGTTTAGCAAAACAATATGTTTTGCTCTATAAACATAGTGTACATGAGAAGCAAAGGTCTCAGCAATGGAACCAAACAGAGTTCAGAAACAGAAACAGCATGTTTGATATATAAGAAATTTGATATATGGCAATAGTGGCACTGCCGATCACCGGTTAGTCAGGGATACTTGGCTAACCATATGGAAAACAAAAATGAAACTGGATCTGCACCTCATACCAAACACAAAAAAATCCCAGATGGATTAAAAGGTAAAGTGATAGATCACTTTCATCTTAGAATAAAATATGGGAGGATATCTTTATGACCTTTCATAGGAAATTTCAAACAAGACATTAAAAAGTATTAACTGTTTAGTTAAAAAAAAAGTTTGAATCCATC
This sequence comes from Homo sapiens, assembly GCF_000001405.40. Taxonomy (NCBI): domain Eukaryota; kingdom Metazoa; phylum Chordata; class Mammalia; order Primates; family Hominidae; genus Homo; species Homo sapiens. The sequence goes on along the minus strand of NC_000007.14, from coordinate 18,368,161 downwards.
AAAAAGAAAGCTTCCATTTATCAATGACACTAAAAGGAAGTGAAAGGATGATATGCAATCTGGGAAAAGATATTGGTAATAAAATTGACACGGGATTAGTATCAAATTATTACAATGACTTCCATAAGTCAACAAAAGATAGAAACAATTCAAAAGAAAGTAGACAAAGCAAGCATTTCCCATAAGTCGAAACACTATGTTGAATAAGTATCAAATCAATAAGTTTCAAAAGATACTCAACCTCATGCTAATCAGGAAAGTGCAAATGATCACACGAACATTCTCCAAACGACAAAAATGAAAAAATCTAAACATACAAGTGTTGGGAAACATGGGAAACACTAGCAGCCTTCATAGGCTGCTGATGGGCATATACATTGGTTTCAAACATCTTCCAAAATAACTTGGAATTATCTTACACAGTTGAACATGTACCCACCCTATGACTTAGCTCAGCAATTCCACTTCCAATATACCTTATACCCATACATGTACCAGAAAACATGCACAAGCATGTTCAGAAAATGATTGCCATAATAGCAAAGCCTAAAACAATGTAAATGCCTATCAAGAGGAAATGAGATAAGCAAATGTCATTTATTCAAGGAAGAAATATTAAAGTGCAGTTAAAAATGAAGAAATGCAAACACCATTGTAATTTCTAACATTATAGTTTATATATACAAAAGGAACAAAGCAAAAGGTGTGCATACCTATTCTGTTTGGTTTCTACAGAGTCTTTACCAATTTTTATCACGTTCAAATTTCAATATCAGATGTGTTATATAAAAATCTGATACCCTTCTTCTCCTGAAAAATAGGAAGAACAGGGGACCCCAGGCCCACATGCTTGCAAGGACTAGTCCCATGGCTCCCATCCAGCTTGATTTGTACATTTATCATATCAACTGGCCTTCTCTATGCATCTGAGTTTGCAACCCCTTAGAATGCACTGGAATTAACAATGGCTTTCTTGGAATGATGGAATTAAATATGATTGTATTTCTTCTATTTACTTATCTGTGCCTTTTCATTATTCTGATATGAACATCTATTACTTGTGAAAAAGAAACAAAAGCATTATTTTGATGTATATTCTGAAAGAAAATGAAAAAATCTCATACAGATGGGAAGAGAATGAGAAACTAGTTATATAGAAAGGTAGTGAATGCTACATATTAAGAATTGCATGTTAATAAAACTAGCCAAATGTAGGAGATTTTAATAGGCATACTTCATCCAAAGCATTTTCTATAGATTTTTTTCTTACTAAACTGATTAAGTACACAATATATAGAAGATGTGACAATCTAACTAAACGCATCACTTTACATAAAAATAGGAGAGTCAATACATTTGAATTTCAAGCTGAGAATGAAATATGAGCCAGGTGAATAGCTATGAGGATTTCTTTTAGAAACCAAGTTATAACTCTGCAACTACAAAGATGGAGAACTGCCTTGTAGCAAAGACCTAACAGCACTGCCAAAAAAATGTCATCTGTCAGTGTCATATATTCTCAAATTTTTTGAAGGATAAAGAAAAAATGTGGTTATGGAATTAATGCATCCCACTCCTTGGCTCTCAGCTGTGCTCTTTTATAGTGTATCCATATAAAAGTTCATCAGCCAAGAAGGTTCCTGGCCAAATGTGACTGAAGGACCAGAACCCATGGAAGAGTAGGCACAAGTCTTGATTGGCATTATTGCCAGTTACTTTGGGGCAGACAAATTCTACCGGTGCAAATTCTAGGTCTGGTGTCCTGGGCCAACTGCCATGATCCAGAAACTTTTATTCCCAAAGTTCTATGCTATGTCAGCCCATTATTTTCTTCTAAAGCACACAGAATACTGCCAAGTAATAACTGACCCTGTTTGTGACAGAACCTCCACTTCCATGAGTCACTTTGTAATAGATTTGTCAGTTTCTGAACAAGCCTTGCTTACAGCAGTTCTGCAGTTATCATCACCCATGATCAGTTTCCCTCCACCTTATCTCTATATAATACATAAAGCAACGGAAATTAAGGAGATTAGGAATAAGCATTAAATTATAGCAGTGGGGAATTTTTTCAAATAAAATTTTGAAATAAATATTTTTCAAATAGCCTGCCATTTGATTTTTCAACCATAATCTATGATTCCTGGTTGCTTTGCGTGGTGACAGAAAACAATTTTTAATAGAGAAGAAATTGACAGAAAAAAAAAAACAACTGAAAACAACACTAAAGGATAAAAGTAACCAGCAGAAGAATTCATCAGGCATGATGTTACATTCATTTAATCTTCTCTTCAACTCTATTTGGAAATTACTATTAGTTATTATTACTACTAATATTAAACTCAGAAAACTGAGTTTTTCATTCTAGAAAATGCTTAACTATAATTTGCCCAAAGGCATAGCTAAAAAGTAGTAGATGTGATGTTCAAATTCCATAGTCTGTTCTATACAAGAGCCCACACTTTTTAAAACATAAAATTGTTCAAATGTAGGCTTTATTTGCTTTTTTATTAAAAAAAAAAGTCATAAAGACTATAAAAGTCAAGCCTTTCAAAAATAAGCTTATTACTGCTCGTTAGTCCCTTGTCTGTATTTTCTATTCCTAGGCTAAGGATTATTGGAGAAAGAAGACAAAATACTGCAAAAATGATTCATCACACTTTCATGTTATAGTTCTTTATTTCTACTCAATAATTTCATACAAGGCCAGGAGATCCTTTATACCAGGGATGGTGAATGTGCAGAGCATACACTACTATGTCTCCCTAATTATAATGCCAGGAACTGCTCATGACATACATAGCTCTTATCTGTTAATATTATGTTGGCCTCAGAAGCCTTCTCAACACAATATTCCATGCAGCTCCGACCTATCAGAGTTCACACTAGATCTAAAATTTATTTACAACTCTAGTTCTATCTCACTCACCAAAGTGGTTCTAACCCTATCAAAACATCAGCTACCAATAACATTCCTGCCCTACTTACTCCCAGCAAACAGCCCTGAAGACACCTAATTACATATCTTCTCTCTTATTGACCTCACTCTTTCCATCTTTGCACTAGTCTATGAAGGTGTTTTTCTGAAACTTACCAGCTGTCAATGTTTTTCAAACACTCTTTGCCCCATCTCTTAGCTATCCATGTCTTCATGTATTCATTACTTTTCAATCTTTTACCCTGTGTGACACTTCAGCTCCACCTGCACACAGACTCAACTTTTTCTTGTTCATAAAAATAAATTTCCCTTCGATTCTGCTACATTTTAAAGGTATTATCTAACGTTTTTTCACCCTGATTAATTTTTGAGCTTCCTGAAAGAATTATCAATACCTGATTTCTCTCTTTTATTTGCCACCTATTCATTCCTCCCTGTTTTCTCCACTAAAGGTCTAGCAGGAAAATTCGAAGGTTTGTTTAGTCTTAATCTCATCTGTCAACTCTGCTGCATGTTAGGTTGTAGACCAGGCCTTCTCAAGCTTTAAAATGAATCTCCTGGGGATTTTGTTAAAATGCAGATTTAGATTCCTGGGGCTTTGGGGGCCTGAGATTCTGAATTTCTGGAAAGCTTCCAGGGTGCCCATGCTGCTGGTCCAGGAGCCATTCTGAGTAGCAAAGGTATAGAAAATTCTCTATTTTCGAATGACTGTCTCTTCTTCTTTACTTTCAAAACACACCCCATGCTAATTCTCACCATTTTCTGACTGCTCTTTTTCTTCCTCCTGATTGCTTATTTTTTCCTTCCTTGTGCCTAAATGTTTATTTCTAATGTTAATACAAGTAATAGTACTATTTTGAGCATTTATCATATGCCGGTGCCGCAGACCTTATATTATCTTAATCCTCACAGGAATCCATGAGAAATTTTTCGCTTTAAAGATGGTTAAATGGAGGTACCATTACTAACACTGCACAGCCAGATTAGAACAGGGATTCAGCCCCAGGCAGTTTAACTCAAAAGCCTGGGATCTTCAGCAATCCTGCCTCACACAGATGTTCAAGAAGCCATGAGCAAGTCAGTGACGCCAACTTTGCATCCTGAAAATAAGTGGACAAAAGAAGTGATAAAGAAGGAGAAAAGGCTGCTGAAAAGAGGATTATGAACTATTGTGGGAAATTTTATAGATAGACATTGTAAAAGAGTGAATGGCTTGCTATTGAAAAATAATCTGATAAAGCCCAACCATTCAGAATGAAATTCTGGGACCTGAAAATCTTTAGGAAAAGTTAGACCCTGAAAAATATTAATGTTAAGGCATTTCACTAAGAAAAGCAAATGAATTCTGGGGCAGTCAGTATCCTTTCAATGCAAGTCATTGGACCAAATAATACAATGAGATGCCCTTTGTATAAAAAAATTGAGATTGAAGATCAACCATGAACAAAAAGAGGAGGCACCTGGTAATGTCCCCGTTTGTCTCTATTTATGTCTTCCTCACTGTTCAGCCCATTGGCTTTCTCTAATTAATCCTTATAACACTGCACTTCTGAGGGGCAAATTAGAAACAGAAAACATCTCCATTTTGTAAATAGGAAGCAGATGGAGAAACTTAGTGGTTCTTAGTGAATCAATAACAGCACTTCAAAATCAAGTCTAACTTAGATGCCACTGATTTATTTACATAGCACAGTACCAAATGCAAATAATAATAACAACATTTTCTTTCTTTCTTAAGAAAATGAACCATCAGAAGTCTCCAAAATTTATTTTTTTCTTTGCGAATCTAGGCCAAATTCTACAAAAATGGGCAAATGTGTGCCAGTTCTTTCTCTAGGATGAGTATGTTTCTTCTAAAACCCACAATTACTGGATAGAATCCCTGTCCATTAATCCTCACAATCAGCTTTAGAAGTATCTAAGATCAGACACCAGGAAGTTACAAAAGATATATATACCTCATCTGACATTAAGAAAAAGTAAGGAGGGAAATTATATGGAAAATCTACCGTGGTGAAAATAAAAGCCATGGATTAAAGGCTTTAGGAAAACCCACCTTATTAAATCCTAGCCTTCCTTAAAAAAGATAAACCGAATTAATTATAACTAATGGTTGTAATTACTTTCAAAATATGCTTTTCTTGACATAAACATTCTTTAATCAATCCAAAATACAAAAATGCTTATTAGTGAGTTTACTATTTTAATAAGCTGTATCAACACATGTCTGAAACTGGTATCTCCAGGTATTTGAATCAATCTGGGTGGGATAAGTCTCTTTTGTTCTACCATAAATTCAGCACTTTCAGTCAGGCATAGATTTTTACTAGAGGAAATATACAAACTAGATATAACAGTGCATATTTCTGACCTTTAAAGACGTAAACCAGAACTCTTTACTATTCAAGATTCTCTACCTTCAAATATGAGACTCATGAATACTTATTGCTAAGATATAAATGTAGCATGAAAGCCAGTATATGAAATTTAAAGTCACCAGCAAGTTAAGTTGATATCAGATTATCTTTCAATAGCAATCCATTCACTCTTTTACAATGTCTGTCTATAAAATTTCCTACAACATGAATAAGGGTTAAAAAAAATTTCATCAATCCAGGGTCAATTTTTGCTTATTTTTTAAAGAGAAATCACTGCTAGTACACTTAACATTTACACTCATAATTCCAAGCTATTTAGAACTGTATACCATATACCTATTTATTTTTTATAATGCCTTTAAGAATCATAAATCTCCAAATTCCCCAATATTTAGAATCTATATCATGATTTTAATGACTGGATCATCTAAGTTACCAAGAAACTTGTTTTTAAGTTACCATGATTGTTAAAAACCAAAGTTCTTCTACAAAGATAATAGAAAAATATAACTTTCCTCTAACACAAATATATAGAGAAATTAGGTTTGCAACACATAAGCATCACAGATTTCTATTCTGTGACAATAGAATCCTACGATCTCTGCAATTCTGTTAGTGAAATTTGGAAATGAGGACTGGAATAAATGCGGAAAGTCTACATGGTCAAGTATGAAAGGTTAGATCATTTGCAGCCTAACAGCTCATTCTGTTCTCCCAGAAACAATTCATAATCAGTGAGGAGAGCTACGACACCTAGGAGAATTGGAGAATGTGCTGGTGCTCCATTTGCTCCCCCTCTGGTGACTCCTTAGGAGCAGGGAAAGCAGTAAGTTAGCCTAAGAAGGTGGCCCATGCTGAGTCAGCACTTGTCCTTGAACCAAGAAATTCCAGAAGGGCGGGGAGCTGGCAAGGAGAGAAGGGAAGAAATAAGGAACACTTGGAGGAAAATAGCATATCATGTACTGACGGTGAGTCTCCTGAGTGTATCAGTAATTAGTTGGCTTTATGCCAGAATGTTTTTTTTTTTCTCTCTCTCCTTGCAATAAACGAAATAATACATTAAAGTGTTTTGTGGACTATGGACAATTTGGAAAATTACACATTTGCAACAGCATTGCTCTATGAATTAAAGTTAAGGTCTTTTCCTTAAACAGAAGTAGAATTAACCATATATTCAACAGAAATCTAACCCTCAGTAAAATTTTATGCCTATTGAGTCAGTTAAAATGTTTCTAAAGAAAGAGAAATGAATGTTTCCTTTGGTTTCCCTGGTGTAATATAAGTGAATATAATTATTTACCAAATATACAGAATAAGAATGTTTAAATTGAAATAATTAAATTTCAATTTAAAGGTTTTCAGGTCTTCTTGAGGTGCAGTGGTAAAGAAGGGGTAGGGAAGGCAGTGAATACTACCCAAATAAATCGACATGCAATAGATTAGATGTTTGAAATGAACTGAAAGCAGTGGTCTAGGTAACTTCAGGAGAGAGGTGTGGGTGGATAAGAGGCTTTCATCACCATTTACTTTCACTTACTTATGTATTGTTTGAGATTTTTAATGAGTACCTGTAATTTTTGGAATTTAATATTTTAGGAGAAGAAAACCCAGTTTTTCTCCTTGCTAGGTTTGATCAGACAAAGGAATACATCTCTCCAACTTTCAATATCTTAGTATAGTCTATAAAATACATTATTGTTCATAGTTGGATGGTATGTAGACAAAGAACCACCTGGGAGGAAAAAAAAAATTTGCTAGCTAAAGCACTTTCTTATAATTCTCAGAAGAGGAGAAACACCATTCCATTCTGAAACTAGGCTCTTTTGGAAGAAGCTTAATGAACTGAAAATTTGCCCCTTAACTGTGGCATGTTACAAAACTGATCCCAGACAAGGGTAATTATTCTGCCATTTCTTTAAATAATTTTCAGGTATATAACTTACTGCTAATTAATTTACCCATTGATCATTATTTGTCTAGTATGAAAATCAATCATTCAACTATTATGTATAAACAAATGCTCTAGACACTGAAAGTAAGTAAGTATAAAAAAATGTCAACTCTTGGAAAGTAAACATTTTTACTGGTATAACAAGACAAATAAAAAAAATTGTCAGCAATGTACTACATAATAATTTTGAAATGAGTGGTGCCAAGAGTGCTGTAGTAACTAAATGAAAGGAATATATTACTCTTTGAGGAAAGAATATGGAAATCTTCAAAAAGGAGATGAGATTGAAGTGGACCTTGAAAGATGAAAAGAATTTATTAAAGTAACAGTGAGAGGAAAAGCACTTGAAACGGTAATTCTTAAATTCTCCTTTTTTTCCACAGCAAATGGAGAGGCCTCTGGAAATTTATGGCTAAAGAGATGTTCAGAAAGTGTAGGGGAAAAGATTAAAATGAGGATAACAAGTCATAAGGTTGATGCATGTTTCTAGAAAAAGGAAAATAAAATAAGGAGAAGATACTGAAAAATATTACCAAAGGACATTGGGTCTAAATGACTGAAGGAGTACGACAGTACAGAGGAAAAACTTGAACATTTCACTTATGTAAACTAGAAAAATGATGGCACAAAGGAAGTCCATCCACTTGGTGGCAGATATGAGTTTTGCCATAAATGTTTAAAAGTAATTGAAAATGTAGGAATATACATAGGATAAGAGGTTAGGACTGGAGATTAATCTCTTAATTACAATTATAGTTGAGTCCAAGAAACCATAAAAACTTTCTGAAAACAATCTAGAACAAGAAGAGCAGAAGAGCAAGAAGTGAGGGGTTTAGAGAGGAGAATCGGAGGGTGGAAGGTGAGGTAACCGTGTCCTGTGGCAATGCTAAGGCAGAGCAGAAGGTGGTGTCAGCAGGAGCCCTAACTGCAGAGGAAAATGAGGGTTAAGAAAATGCCCTTCAGTGTGGTTAGAAAATCACCGAAGTGGCCAGGCACGGTGGCTCACACCTGTATTCTCAGCACTTTGGGAGGCCGAGGTGGGCGGATCACCTGAGGTCAGGAGTTCAAGACTACCCTGCCCAACATGGTGAAACCCTGTCTCTACTAAAAATACAAAAGTTAGCTGGGCACGGTGGTGCGTGCCTGTGGTCCCAGCTACTCGGGAGGCTGAGGCAGGAGAATTGCTTGAACTCATGAGGCAGAGGTTACAGTGAGCTGAGAGTGTGCCACTGCACTCCAGCCTGGGTGACAGAATGAGATTCCATCTCAACAAAAAAAATCACCAAAGCAACCTTGCTGGGTCCCTGGAGACACAAAGCAGGTGCTGGGGACTACAGTTACATGCAAGTTCATTGTACTATTTGCTCTACTTTTATGCAATTTTGAATTTTTCATTCTCAAGTTTTAGAAAATGTGAATGAGAGTTGAGGAAAAGCAGGTTAGTGGAAGAAAAGAAGTAAGAAGATAGTTTGGGACAACAGCAAATATCCTTCCCTCCTTGTCCCTTCACTGCCACAATTTACTATTTAATTTATTTTATTTTATTTTAGACAGAGTCTCACTCCGTTGCCCGGGCTGGAGTGCAATGGTGCGATATTGGCTCACTGCAACCTCTGCCTCCCAGGTTCAAGTGATTCTCCTGCCTCAGCCTCCCAAGTTGCTGGGTGTGCACCACCACGCCCGGCTACCTTTTGTATTTCTAGTAGAGATGGGGTTTTGCCATGTTGTCTGGGCCGATATTGAACTCCTGACATCATGTAATCTGCCTGTCTCAGCCTCCCAAAGTGCTGGGATTACAGGCGTGAGCCACTGTGCCCGGCCTCACTGCCCCAATTTAAGAAAGAAGTACTGGGCAGTGATGAACAGTGCAGGTTTTAGCATAAGGCCTTCTGGGTTGAAATATTAGTCCTACGATTTATTAGCTGTTGTCCTTGGGCAAATCATGGCAAATCACCTAATCTGGTATTAATTGAATACTACTGACTATGTGACAGGTACTTTGCATAAATTTTTTCACATAATCCTCACCACATTCTTCTAACGTGGTTATTATACCTCAATTTTCCAGTTCAGAAATATCAGTGAGGGGACAGGTGTCTAAAGTTATAGCTAGAGTAAGTGGTAAAGCCAGGAATCAAATGTGTATCTGTAAATTCTACTAATGTCTAGTTTTGTGTTCTTAAGTACTAAGTGATATAGAGAAGGAATAACCTATGGCACCATGCATTCGATTAAAAGATAAGTTCCTAACAATGATATCAAAGGATATGTAGGTATACTTATCAAGTTCTTCATGTTCTCATCTGCTCCCATATTTCAATTTTTTCCAAATTCCAACCCTCAGAGAGAAAACACTCATTCGAAGTTGCTTAAATTGCCTCAGCTTTTAAAATCAATGCCAGTTTGCATAAAATAAAAATCACAAGATATTCATGTTTCCAAAATCACTTTTAAATATCCCACTAATCATTAACTACTGTCTCAACATAGCCACACCTAATAAGCTAAAAGCTATTTATAACTTTATAGGAAAAAAAACTGTTTCTTCTACCTCCTACATAAGTGTTTGTGCTCCCAACATCAGTGGACTCAACACATTACTTCCCATTCCTAAATTGCAGGTGAAACTCAGTTGCAAGAGCATTTTTGTCTAGATCACAACCACCTTCTAAACTTCTTTGTTGTTGTTTTGTTTTGCTTTGTTTTTGAGATGGAGTATCTCTCTGTTGCCCAGGCTGGAATGCATGGCACCATCTCAGCTCACTGCAACCTCTGCCTCCGGGGTTCAAGTGATGCTCCTGCGTCAGCCTCCCGAGTAGCTGGGATTACAGGTGCCCACCACCACACCCAGCTACACCTTCTAAACTTCTGCCACATTCATATGAGCCCCTCTCCAATCCAATCTCCATAGAGAAACCAGAATAATCCTATCAAAAGCAAAATCAGATAATGTTGCTGTTTTTCTTTTGCCCTCTGGAGGCATCACTCAACCTAGAAACAAATCCAAGCTCCTCACAAAGATCTTTCAGTCCTGGCCAGTTACCTCCCCAAGCCACATCCTAGCTTACTTCTTGATTCACAGTGAAACACTGAGACACTAGTTCAGTTTCTGCAACAAGCCATGCTCCTTCCTGACTCAGGGCCTTCTCATACTCTGTTCCTCTGCCTGGATAACCCTTTGCCCAATCCTTTATGTGGTAGGGCCACCTAAGTTCACCTCCTCAGAAATTCTTTCCTAACTCTCTAGCCTAAAGTTGGCCCCAAAGGTTATATATACTTACTGACCTTTTTTTTCTTAGAATTGATTTCAATCTGTAATTATGTATTGTTATTTTTTGTTTATATACTGTTTTGTCTGTCTCCTATACTGGCTATAATTCCACAAGGGCAGAAATTGTGTTTGTGTTCTCTCCCTTCTCCTTTATTTCTTTCTCTCAATAAACAACCAAACAAGGCCTAGCACACAATTAGCAAGCAATCAAAGTTTACTGAGGAAAAAAAAGGAGAACAGAGACGACAGAAGGAAAGAAAAAGTCAATTTAACTGCTAGGATCACCCAAATACGATTTTTTTAAATCACAGCTTAAAGGTCTGTTCAGGCATTTCTCATTGTTTCTTAATACTGATTGATGTCTACCCTTTTTCACATATATATTAGATTGGATATATAGGAAGAATGTCAGAAACGAAGTAACAATAAGACATAGTGAGGGGGACCTAAAACTGTTTCAGGCTCCTACACTAAAATCAACTCCAATAAATCCTATAAGATTCTATAAGATCCTAGAATGGTATAAATTTCCAGGTATTTTTAAAATTCAATGATCATAGGGAAAATGCCATTAATCGTGGGGATGAGAAGAGGTAAGGCATTTCTTAAAATGACTTTCAGTATATACCTTAATGCTAGTTAATTTACCTTTCCAACCCTTATTTGTTGGCTTCTACTGTACATAAACTAATAATAAATAATTAAATGAAAAGAACAACAATCAAAAAACACACCAGGATGCTTATGTCTTACAACTTTAAAAATTCTTATAGATTTTAAATCCTGCATCCCTAGTTATTCATACATTGAGGAGAACTCTACATTTATCTTTTGGCATAGCCGGATTCTTCCGATGCGATCTGAAGAACTTGTGTCAGGAATTCTTATGACAATCTCCTGGGCATCAACCCTCCCCCATGTGCAAATACCGGTTTTATTCATTAACTGACTATTGTCTTTACCTAAAAATCAAGCTCTCTAAAGGAAAAAGGTTGTGAAAGTTTCAACTGAAATTACTCCTATGTTCCCCTGTAGAGAGAGCTGAAAGATCTTTCAAGGACATTAAATAGCCAGAGGTGAAAGGGAGCAACTAACAGGAAGGAAGGGAGGATTCATTCGCAGGAGTCACTATAGGAAGGTCCTCCACTGTGAGGTCGTCAGGATGAACTAAAATTGGAGAGTTCATCTGAAACAACTGGGCATTCTTGATGCTTGGGAGTTACAAGTTTGTTGTCTTTAAAAAAAAAAAAAAAAAAAAAAAAAAACCTATGTGCTGCCCTCTAGAGGCTACAAAGAATAATGGCGCCACCTATTAAAAACTGAAAGGAAAAAGTACAGGCAGGAAGAATTTGTCTTTGCCAAATGTATGACCTAACGTGTTACATTTAGTGTCATACTTCAAATTAGAGAAGTAAATTAATATCATGTACGGGAAATTCTGAATTTGATGCAAATAATGATTCTGTCTGAAGACCCAATTCTGGATCTTCCTTTTTTTCTTTTTTAGTTTTTTTACATGCATTTTTAAAAATGACTTTACTAAGGTATATTTAGATACCATAAATTTGGTCATTTAAAGGGTACAATTCAATGATTTCAAAGTTCATTTAAACCAGATTGTACAATGATCACTATAATCCAATTTTGGAACATTTCAATCGCTTGCAGTAAGATCCCTCTAGCCAGTTTATGGCTAATACCCACCCATTCCTGCCCCAGCCCTTGGAAATCACGAGTCTACTTTGTTTATCTATAGATAGGCCTCTTTTGTTTTTAAAACAGAGAAGTTTAGAATTAAATGCTTCATAACATGACAAGGCAATTCCTCCTTTTTGTAGTGCTTTTCCTTCAAAATGTCCTGCCTTGATCAGTGTCACGAAATGGGGGTTAAATCCCTCACCAAACCAAACTCTGGGGAAAAGTACCTGTAAATGCCTAATTCTCAATGTCTCACACTCTGTATATTTAACCTTCCACAGATTTGAGGGTGATGTTAAATTTGTCTCTAATGTCTCTGAAAATTCACTCTGGGTATACTTTTAGCATGCAGTCCAACAGTCCATTTCAAAATAAGCTTTCACATCCCAAGGTTTTATAAAGGATTCATGGTTTAAATATCTGCCTTCATTAATTATGAGCAACCCATTTTTAACAGAATTTTTTTAATCCTAAATTATTCACTTCTTTAATAATGAACTTATTAAAAGTCTCCGTTTTGAATATCTGAAGAACATGCTAGTTCTGGTAGTATAAAGAGCCTATGTTGAAAATGAAGATTCCCAAGAACCCAGACTCTTGGAAGGTTAAGACCAGAGGCTCTAAACCATCCTTTGTGGTAAAAATCCAGCTCTTGAATTTCTGTGTAACCCTGAGAAGGGTACTTAATTTCTCTGTACATTGGTTTCCTCATGGACAAGTGGAGATAATAAGAGTTTTTATTTCATGTATAAAAATGGTGAGAAGTGTACTTGGAGCATAGCCCTTGGTGACTGTCTGCAATCAACATTATGTGAAAGTTATTTTACCAAGGATAATTATCATCACTTCTGTTTGAGAATAAAGACTGGATTTGTAACTGGTGGTAGAAAAAATGACTGACAATAAGCAGATTGAGGATCTGTAATTATTAATTTATCATTCCTTGTATCACATCCTCTATGGCTCTTCAAGACCAGCTGTGGTTTCAGTGCATTTCCAAGCCTAAGGAACAAACCAGGAAGAATGCAAACACTGGTCTCAGAGATAACAAGTCACATCAGAGCTTACGTGCCCCGATGTGTTGACTGTCTAAAGCTTTTTGTATTGCCTGTTTTAGATCCTTCTGAAGGGCATTTCCCTCACCACATCCAATTGATGAATTGCCTTTTTCACAGAGGTCAGGTTTTGGGATCAAGGCAAAGGGAAAGTGGAGGAAATCTGGGCCTGGATAACTAAAATAAAACAAATTAGACAAAAGAAGAAAGCAAAGATAGGTATTAATGGTTTGATTTTTAAGTTCCTTTTTCTCCTAAGCAATTGATGCTTTAATTCTTACGTACAGCGCATATCTCTGTGAATCAAAACCAGTAGAGAATCAAACCACTATAATTAATATAACAAGGCCTGCTGACTCACCTCCACTAAACACAGTCTCTAAAAGCCTAAATCTGCACATTAGTTGCGATTAATTCTTCTCTCCTCTTTCAAGCACCGTAGAGCAGAGCTTTATAAATAGCAAAGTGTGTTAATTTAAACAAAATATAAGAAACCAATTTTTTCAAGGTGGTAAAGACTGGCCTGCATATTTTCATTATTGCATAATGGTTACCTTTAGCCCATAAACTACAAGGTCATAGTAAGGTCACAATGAAGTGGCAAATGTAATAAATGGGAAGAAAAGTAACTAGAGACCATATTTAAAGTGACTTTTTTCCCTAACTAGGTAAATAAATGTCCTTTTAGTATAGTTCATTCAGTAGGGCTGATTTAAAATAGGTTTTCTATTTGAATCATTCATCCACACCCTATATGATGATAAAATTTCTTTTAAATTTTCTTTTTAGTGCTTTTTTTTCACCTTAAAACATACAACCCAGAATTTGCTAAGTCCCAAATGGTTTAATTTAACTTAAAGGGTAAAGCCACCCTTGGCTTAGAATGTGCATACACTAACATTCAAAATAAAAGAAGGTGAAACAGGTCACACTGTTCAGATTGTGAAGATAACATTAAAATTGGCAAAGAAGAACAAAAATGAAAAGAATAAGTCCATGCTCTTTGTGTTTCTATAAAACCTATCCCTTACACCAGGTGGTGGTAATCCAATGCTAGGAGTTCATGATTTTAAAAAGTTGTGTACCTGCTACTTCACTATAAAACACAAAGGTGCAAAGTCTGCTTAGGCAGAAAATAGCTCGAGATCTTTCAGATCCAAATGTGTAGGTCAATGTGGTAACACAGGCCAGGCATTCTGCTGTGTTTTTCATTTATATGCTGTTGATACCCAAGATACAGCAAATAATGTCATCAATTTCCTTCAATTACCTCATAGAGGATTCATTTGCACTCAGGGAATAAAAAGGTTGCCACAGTAGCTTCAGGATCACTCAGCAGCAAGAATCGGCATTAATAACTATCCTCAGAGGCACAGAGGGAGGGAAGAAAGTCATTTACTTAACATTCTTTAATTCTTTGTGGTATAACAAGACTATGTCATGATTTAGAGCTAAAAAGCACAGTTGTTTTGCTCACGAGAAAAGTCTTTCATAACCTACACAGTTTTTGTGACACATGGAGTTATGAGATCTTAGGCTACCTTTAAATACGGTATCCCCCTGCTGAAAGCTCTCAAACAGCTTGCAGAGGAAAAAAAAAAATCCCAATATTACTTTACTCCTGAGACATCAAATATCCCATGTCTTACTTTATAAAGAAGTTTCTTTGTACAATAGCTAGATAGTGCTGAAGAAAATAACTTTTGTATGCCTGTATCATAACACAGGGTCATGTATAGCTAATTAAGCATTCTTCCTTAGGTTTGATTACATAAAGAGTTGGTTTTGTAATACAATAGCACATGAAGGTCAGTATGGTTATGAGAGAAACCTTAGATGCTATGACAAATCCAATAACTAGCAGGGTATTTGTTCATAAAAGTAAAGCATTTCTCAAAATATTTTGCTGATTTGTTAAGGTACTGGAAGATATTTTGCTGGCCGCCGAGCTGACCTTCTGCAACACCCTATATGGTGAGGCTGTTAAAAGATTTTCTTAGAAGATACAGATTTGTATTTTAGAGTAAGACAGAGACAAAAACAAGGATCATGAAATGGAGGTTCACAAGTATCTGAACCAAAGTGGGGAAAAGGGGGGAAAAAAACAAACATCAGCCAGCTCCTTATTTGCACACCGAGATTCACTAACTCTATATGGTAAGTCCTATTTCCCGTCATTTTCCCTGAATCTAGCATGCTAACCATCATAACGAAAAAGAGTTTGTTTTCACCTTTACGTTCCCTTTGAGTATTTAAAACGGGGAATGACTCACATCTCACAAGGCCAAGAATCTTTGAAATGAACTTCTGGAAAATTTAAAGGTACCTGGAGCTCCTGCAACAAATATAAGACTGCACTGCCCTCCAGAGGTGACTCCCTGGCAATTACCTTTAATCAATTAATGATAGGAGGACCAAGTAACTGTGTTGCAGTAATCTTCATTGCAATTTTAGTCCTTCTATCTCAAATAGTTTTCAAAACACAGGACTAAAAATCAGTGGCAACCTACTGTTTCCCTCTAAGCAGAATATTATATTGTCTCAGCTCTTCTATCTTACTTCATTTTGTTTGAAAATAATATTTGCTACCTCTTTGGCTAAATGTTAAATATTAATATTTTTGGTTGGAGGGCCTATTTATTCATGTACATTTTTCAGAAAAATCAGATTAAACAGACAGCCTAAGGAAACCTTAAGAAACCTGAGGATCCTCAGAGATAACTGAAGGTCACACAAAGAACAGTTCAGAAACAGAATATTTTACTGTCTAATTATGTTGTCATCACTTAACTGAAGCTTGAAGGGTGCCCACAGTTATTGTGAGAAAAATATAAACTCATTTTGAATTTTTTTCTTCTTGAGCTTTTGTTCTCCACAGCTATGTGATCTAGTTCTGTTCTGTTCCACACACACCTTCCAATAGTGGATAACCTTGTATATTGTCACTTTCCACATATTCACCGTCAATTCAAATTTTTTGAGATTTAAGACAAGGCTAATAATTTCTTGATAAAATTGTAATAACCTGTGTGTGTGCCTGTATGAATGACTCAAAACACATCTTTTAAAAGTTCTTGACAAAATTAAACATTATCTACACAGCAAATATTTATGTAGGGCTTTGCAAATGCTAACTCATTTAATAATCACAACAGCTATGCAACAGATAGTTTTACTATCATTCACCTTTTTTTACAGATGAGGCAGATTTTGAGAGATTAACAAAATCACAGAGCTGGGACATGATAGAGCTGAGATTCAACTTCAGTTTAGCTTCAGCGTCCTGGTTCCTAACTTCCTCACTTTGCTTTACATGGTCATTTAAATATATATATCTTCCCTCCCATTATAAAAAGCATTAATAAGATTTAAAATAAAGTTGATACTTTTAATATAGCTGTCTTTTTTTGTTTTGGGGGATTTTTGTTTTATTTTACAATTCATAACACATAGGAAACTTAAAAAATATTAAAACTCTGGGAGATCAAAATGTTGGAAGACAGAATGAAATTGGAAAACAAATTTTTTGTGTGATTACTGCAAATTTTACCAAGTCATTAATCTTTAAGGGGAAAAATATTGAAGCAACATGGAAAAATGTTAACTATCTTACAACGATAAATAAAAATTATATAAGTAAATCAGGCAATGATGTATTAAAGTCAGTATTACATTTTATCTTGTAAATATCAAGCAACTGTTTAGTGTTTTTGAAATAAATCATTGTGATTATGTTTAACGCAATAAAAAATAAAGCAGAAAAAACTATTTACAGCCGACTACTAAATTCATGAAGGAAAAAAAGGAGTTAAGAGGAGACTTTGATTCAATCACAGAGGCTCCGTCACAGACCTACAGTCATTTAACTTAGGCAGGGGTTATAAAATGTATTTCAGGTTGCACTTACAAAACAATGTTCTTGCACCAAGCACGGGTCGACCAGCTACCCAGCGGCTGGGTTCAGAAACTAGAAGGCCCCTGGGAAAGCAGCTCAGTAACTACAAAGCAAATGTGGTCAATGCCCAGTGTCGTTATGGGGATTAGACAGGGGTCACAGCTTCACGGCAGCACCTGCACAGCTATGACATAAGCTTATATTCGACATAAATCATATTCCCTCTGTTTTGAAAGCAAATAATAAAAGAGTTGTTCCATGTCTCTTGACCTTTATTTCTGGGAAAAGTGGATTTTTCCCTTACAGCTATGGAATGTACTAACCATTCCCAGTGGGACAGACTTAGAAACCCCGTCATAGAACAAATGTATAAATATCCACCTTCTCACTTCCAAAGTGATTTGCATCTTACACATCAGTAAAGTATTACTATTTTCTAAAGTAGCTTAAAATAAGGAGAGAAGGGAGAGTGAGAAGGAAGAAAACACACAAAGAGGATACCTGAAAGAGGAAATTAAAATACTTGTATTGATGAAGATACGTGATTGACCAGCTGGTGATAAAGAGAAATTAGATGAGTATTGTCACTGACAGTTGCTAAATGTTGTTTTGCACAAATGCCAGTAAACCTGGTACACAATTAGCTCCTGAATCCATTTTTTTCATGGAATCCAATTACTCAAAATTACTGCCTCCAAAAAGAAAAATTGCTTTTCAAAACTTGGCATTAACATTACTTGAGAGTCAATGAAATGATGTTTTCAGATCTTGAATTTTTAAAATAAATTCTAATTTATTAAAGACTAATGACTTTTGAACCACTGAGTTATACACAGGTACAATAATTCTGAATACCCACAAATACAACTTGAAATAAAGGCAAACTTCAAAATAAAAGATAATAACAAGAGGGAGAAAAAACCTGGAAAACCTATTGAATTAGCATTACCATGCTTATATACTACTATTAATAATAATGAATGATGGCCAGAACTGGCACAAACGAAGTATTCTGTCAGCAAGTAGAAGACCTCCTAATACTGAAGTAATACCTAATTCTCACATATGTTCCAAAGCCCTAATTTCCAAAGCAAAGAACAACTGAAATATACTAAGTATTAATATTGAATAGCCACTTCATTATTTGAGTAAGGGATCTTTCCAAAAACCTTTTATTCTAAATATTCTACATAGAAAGACATATTTTTTCTGCATAGTGCTATTCCTGTTGGCGTGAAAAGTAAAACACAACACCACATTTTTTTTTTTGTCAGGAACTTTGTTTAGAAAAGTATACTTAACAAAGACAATATTAGGGTAACCACCAAGATATCACATATGAAGTTCTAATGCTGTGAAAATTATAAAATTACTAACATAAAGAATATCAGATATGTCCCCCAATTCAATGTTTGAGAATCAAATATTTATTGCATCCCTGCTATGTGCTAGGCAGTGGGGATAAAGCAGATAACATTAAGCTACCATTCTCAGGCACTAACATTATACTGGGAGAAAGAAAAAATAAAGAAAACTATATTAGATGTTAAGATGTTAGCTGTTGATCACTGCTATAGAGAAAAAATAAGCCAGCAAGGAGGAAGGGCAATATCTGTGTGTGTGTGTGTGTGTGTGTGTGTGTGTGTGTGTGTGTGTGTGTGTGTGTGTAGATGTTCTCAAGTATGGGAGGTCATCTGGAAAGACATCTCTAATGAGGTCAGGGAGAGGTGCACAGCTTACCTAAGGCAAGACAGTTTCAAGCACAGGGACCAACAAATGCAAAAGCCTTAGAACATGAAAGACATACGGTGCAGTGCTTTGTAGGCCTTAGTAAGTAAAGAAGCTGAATTTTACTCTGAGTGACAGAAAACCATTAGGAAGCCAATGGGAGAAATTCATGTTCTCATATTGGGAAAATGACTGTATTAAAGTTATGGGAATAGCTTATAGTGGACAGAACTTGGGCTTGAAGACAGATATACAGGTATTAAAATAATTTCTGTTCTTCACAGCATCATACCTATAAGATGCTGTCTCAATTACTGAGTTCTGTGTTCTCAGACTCCATTTAAATAGTCATAATACCTAAACTGCACTACTACTGTGAAGATTAAATAATACAAGCAGCATCCAGGACTGTGCCTGGATTACAGTAAGTGCTTAACAAATAGTAGCTGTAATTTTAATAGTGTTGCAAGAAGTTGAAATATGTGAGTTTAAGTAGGAAATACACCAATTTTAAAAGGGCTAAAGAGAAGGCAGAAGGAGAAAGTTTGTGTTAGGAGATTTTGGATCCTAAAAGTTGTTAAAGGATTCTTTACCTCTAAATACATCTCCAAAAGATGCCAGTAAGAACCACAGCTCAGAACAACAGATGTGTGATTGCATAATGAAATCTTGGTGTATAGTAAAAATACCTAATAGAAATAATTAAATTATGACCCCTACAGTATAATAGATGCCTAAAAACAGTGGTATTTTTCAGAAAAATTAAGCATTTCTTGGGGCATATCTAATTGAACCTTCCCAAAAATCCATGAGTAAGGTATTATCCTCATTTTTTAAATGAGAAACTGAGATTCAGAAAGGGTAAAAGACAAGTTCAAAAATCACACATGTAGTAAGTGTGCTCAAATCTGGTCCATAGTATAAATGCTCAATAAGTGTTGATAGCTAAGCATTTCCTAAATGAACATACGAATCTATACTCCATATCTTACCTCTTAATCGCTGACATTGCCTCTATAATTAATTAAATCAGATAAATGTTTCCCAAATTCTCCTGATCATAAGAATTACCTGGGGTGCTTGTGCTTTTCATGTCCAACTGCAGGACCCAAAATATTTTGTGGAGCAGCCTAGAAACTGATATTTTAAACCAGCAATTCAAGAGATCCTAATGATGAGGGAATTTTGAGAAACAGTTGCTAGTTACTGCATGATCCGTCTTTCAACTCCAAAATTTGCTACCTACTTCTCTCTTAAAATTAAAAGCAAGAATCTATGACTGTCAACCCTTTATCTATTTCAAAACTCAATACTTATCATCTACTTTGTAAAAACAGAGGGCACTGAGATACAGATTAAAAACATACTGCCGGCCAGGTGCAGTGGCTCGTGCCTGTTATCCCAGCACTTGGGGAGGCCGAGGTGGGTGGATCATCTGAGGTCAGGAGTTTGAGAACCCCATCTCTACTAAAAATACAAAAAATTAGCCGGGCGTGGTGGCATACACCTTGTAGTCCAGCTACTCGGGAGCCTGAAGCAGGAGAATCACTTAAATCTGGGAGGCAGAGGTTACAGTGAGCCGAGATTGCATTCCAGCTTGGGCAACAGACTGAGACTCTGTCTAAAAAATAAAATAAAATAACGTAAGATAAAATAAAATAAATAAGAACATGTTGCAGTTTATCAACTTGGTCTAAGATCCCTTTGTTTAACTGAATAGGAATAAACACAATTTACATGGGAGTTGTTGTTTTTGTTAGTTTTGTTTTCCCATTAGTGGTAGAAATCTAAGCAAATGTCTAAGTAAGGATGTTCTAGTATTAAAACTTTCTGCATGGACTCATTATGAAAAACATCCTCCCCTAAGCCTCCCCAGGGAGTCATAATGGGGTTCCCATAGTATCTAGAAACCTTACTTCATGTTTTATTTCTTGGCTGCACAACTAAGAGTGTTGCTAATGAAGTGCTCATTTTCCTTCACTTTCTGCTAAGAGTGGGAAAATTTATAATATGCTTTAAAAATACACATAGCTACATATTCTAGCAATTGTTGAGTGGTGTGTACTTTGCAGTGCTGGTAACTAGGATTGGAAAATGTTACATTAATACGGTGAATTTTATTTTTCACCAAGTATTGTGTTCTAAAAAGAGTTACTGTGAAATATTCATTCAGTATGGTGCAGAAAACAAATATGAACAACTTTTAAAACCCCCATCCCATGGTACAATATAAAGAAATTGATGCATAGATGTCTTATTTCCTTTGTGCCGCCAGCCTCTCCTATGAATGCCACACCCATGAATTAGGAAAGACTGAACAGATCATTTTAGACCTAGAAAACAAAGTGGTGGATTGGCTATTCCACTTTCCTCAGATGAAGAAAAATGACCTGCACTCTCAGCTTCTGGCTCCCAACCAAACAATGGGAAATTTTCTCCTGTTGCTATGAGATTTTGGTGAAATATAACTGATGAGAATCATCAATAAACCATACCAGTGTCTATTGTAATTGTGGAAGAAAAAAGTGTCTTTCGATCCCATTGACCATTACCTTATCAAAAAGCAAAAACATCTTATTTTCAGATGGGAAGGAGAAGATTCTGAGAGTATATTTACTAAAAATACTATTTCCTGGTCAGATGATTTTTTTTCTTTTAATGACAGCAAAAGAACAATGTAAAAACTGCAACTCTCCTCTTCAATCTAAGGTAAATAATTCCCAGAAAATATTCACATATATCTTTTAGTTCAACATAAATGAAAGGAAAAAATGCAAGTTGTGTTAATAGCGGTTGTGACATCTAACAAAAGCAAAACTACAAAAGCTAAAACAGCATGTGACAATTTTTGAGAGTTAAATTATCCAAATTCTCTCATAAAAATAGTCATAAAGATGTAATGACAATGAGTGACCCTTGTTTCAAAGCACTGTCAAGTTAACTGTACTTTGAAATCTAGTTCAATTTATCTGCAACATCAAGCCATCAATTTCAAAGGTTTTATAATTCATAAGACATTTTTAAAATAGAAACATTTTGGGTTTTTTGCAGCACAATTACTGCTATCCTAGGAAGGAGAAAGAAACTTTCTTCATTATGGGCCATAACATAACTTTTCTTTAGCAAAATGATCTGTAATTAAACCAATTACATTTAGCATTCAAAAATTCAGAATGTTGTTTCTATATTTTCTAAATTAGCATTGGTCTACTTTAGTCTCTCTAGAAAAAATTGAGAAAAATGAGTTCCTGAAAACTTAAAATACCTACCTTTAAACTCATGTCGTTTCTGCTGTGTTTGGAACATAAATGTACTATACATGCGGCTCCTTGAAGAGAAACAGACAGAAACAGGAGTCGTTGGAAAAGAGTCAACTCTAATGCATGCCAGAGGCCAGCAGGGGGAGTAAAATCCCAAAAATACAGGTAAAAGGGGAAAAAAAATGCTGAATGAAGGTATAGGCAGCACCAACTTGTAAAGAAAAGAGAATCAGTCACCCAGTCAAATAAAAGGTGAAAATCAGATTCTTCAGGGCCTTGGCTCAAGAAGATAAAATGAATTCTCATCCACCTGTGAGAAACAAATGCACCTCTTTCTATGTATGTTCCAGGGAGCATAATAAGCTAAAAGGGCAAAAAATTGTCCTTGAAATTTTGTAGTTTTTTTTTTTTTTTTGTCTTCTGTTGAATAATAAAGGGAACAAAGTGTCTTATGAGAACACAATCATGTACTTTCACTAAACAACAATTCATTAAATGAACAAGCTTTGAATCCCGCTGTGTGGTTGGCTAGGAGAATTGTGATTCCTAATGTCAATAACCTCTTAATCAGATATTTGTTCTAATATATGAAAGGAAATAATGCTTAGTATGATCTGCATGGATTAACAATTTAGAAGCACAAAGGAGGGAGAAATTCCTGAAAGCAATGAAGAACTAAAGAACATTTTAGGCTAAAATATATTCTACATTCTAATGTTTCATTTTAAGTCATTTTGTACACAAGGACACAGCATTATCTAGAAGAAAGAAAATTCTGGGCTTTGGAAACACAATATCCCTTTCAGGTCATAGAATTACCAATGCATCTGATTAAATTATTACCTGTCATACCTCTCAGGAGCACCTACTACCATCTGACAGGTGTTTGCTTGCTGGTTATTTCACTCATTACATAAGTGAAGGGCTATAAACTTCATCTTCTCTTATTTCCATTAAGATGTGAGGCCGTGAGCTTTTAGTAGAGAGCCCAAGATCATCCAAATCCCGATTATGCAAGCTCTCTGTGGAATGACCTGACTGATTACTTTTTAATAGAAGATTTGTTCATTAAAGACTGCAGCTCCTTATGGATTTTACTTATCAATCCTTAGAATTTGGTGAATTTTTTTCAGTGTTAAAAAGAGAAAGTTTTGCTAGAAAATCTTCAACTGTGCAGTTAACACTGAATTTGATAAACAGTACATTCCCAGTAACAGCCACCAAAATTCCAAGTTAAATCTGTGCCCTTGGAATAATGCCAAAATGCCACAGCATATTTGCACTTTGAACAAATTGCAAATTTTTAACTCCTATTTTTTTCTGCCAAAACAAAGGCTGAAAATATGTGGATTCTATCTTCCCTGAAAACTTTACAATGGTAATTTGGGATGCAAAGAAAAATGATTTTAAGACCAATAGAATGGTAGATTAATTTGATTTACTATTTAAGTACGAATACTACCTGAACAATTTCTGGAAGCCATTTGTAAACATAAGTGCTATGAAACAGTCACTAACATAATCTATATGTGAAATCAGACAATATTATTAGAATTCTTTCTGTGCTACTTGGCCAATATTCTTAACCATTCAACCTCAGTTTCCTTATCTGTGAAATGAGGATAATAATACCTTATAAGCTTGTTGGAAGAAGTCATTGAAATAATATCCGTAAAGTGCTTGATCTAGTTCCTACCACATAGTACATAATCAACAAATAATACCTCTGATATCTTATTAGATATTTTCATCTACTGGGTTCAAGACACTAGTCATAGCATTTGCAAAACAAAAATAATTTTTGAAAAGACATTTCCAGCTTTTACTTATAATCTGAAATACCCTAATTTTTCACATTACATGTGCTAAGAAACTGAATATTTTCTGTCAAAGGCCACTCCCCCAAGACAATTACTCATTAAGACCCTAAAAAGTGATATTTCTATTGAATTGCTCAACACAGAAGAAATTGTAAAGAAGGCAGATATGACTTGGTCCTGACCCAATACAGTTGGGTTATTGGAAAAATAAGGGTTTACTAAACTATTTCTGAACTATACTAGACTAGACTAGGCTATGTATTACTTTAGTGGGTATCCTAAAATAAATATCATCTATGCTTACTTTTTGATAAAACAATACTATGATTCTTTTTGTTAGAAGTAAATACATATATAAAGGCGAATTTACTAAGAAAATAATGTTTTCTTGAGAAAATGCAGTTCAGTACCCATAAAATCTATGCGGAAATGGTTGTTATTTTTACTGAATCCAAGAAAAGTAGAGAAGGCAAAAGAGCTCTCTAGTTAGATCCAAGGTAGAAATTTATTTCTATGTTTTATATTTTGCTGTTTTTAAAAATGTACATTAAGCAAAGTATTCTTTAATATAAAAATATGCTTAAATTTCTGTTTTAATTTTGAGTTTAAAAAATCGCTCCTTCTTCCCTTTCTCAATATTCTGTAGAGACACAGCAGAGCTGAACACACCATACACTAGGCAACATTTTCTGTAGATAATCTGAATTCTATGATGATTTGAAATATGCCTAATATTGTTTCCATTAAACTCTGTCAAATATGTTATAACTGTGTTAAGAATTTATATAACATAAATTTCCTTGGACATTTTAAATACCAAGTTACTAATTACCTTCCTTGCCAAAAGTTCATAAGACATAAAGTATTTACTGTTAAGTAGCTTCTACATTTCACCTTAGGGAACGGTGAAATGTGTTCCAGTGGGTAGTTTTAGTGACACATGCCTAAAAAAAACTGATGAGTAAGATACCATAGAGATATGTTAAAATCCCATGCTGCTGGTTTAACAGCCCAACTTTTACTGAGAAAGATGGAAATAAATGTGTGTCTTCCTTGACAGGAGATTTTATACAGGAGGGTACCGAGAGGATCCAAGTCATAAATAAATGACTTGGCAAATTGTTACTGGGAATCTTTTCTCCGGATAGGGAATTTCACTCTCAGAGGAACATTTTGAGCACCATGTAAGTGTCCTTAATACAATTTCTCCCAAGAAATTTTACCCAACTAACTATATTCACAGTTACCACCTGTCTTTCAAGATGTATGATTCTTCTCTCTCATTCAGTAGATCCACTTCACTCTTTGCTTGCACATAACGCAAATATTCAGCTTGTTTAATAGAAATAGAAATTGAATTCAATATAAGTGGACAGACAGCATTTACAAATGAAAGACTGTTTCATGTGATTTGTAATATAAAATAGTGATAAAATAAGTAATTTATTGGGTGTTTGCAATGTGTCTATTCAGTGATTTATACCATTACATCAGTAAAATTTATCAGCCACTCCGAAAGTAGGCACAACTATAATTCTAATTTTTAGATGAGGGAATTGAGGCAGAGAGGTAATTAGCCTTCTTAATAAAAAGTGAAAAAGTAAGCATTTAAAACATTTTTCTTGTAATATAAAAATTACTATGAGTCAGAAACTCCATTTCCTGTCAAGATGGCATAATGAACCAGATTTACTATCCCACCTGAAATAATTAAAAATGGACAAAATATTTGAAGCAAACATTTTAAGACACTGGACATGAGGCAACAAAGGAGAGTAATCCCTGTGAGATGTGAAATTTTCAAGGTGAGACCAAATATTGTTCCAGTTTAATGCCTTGAAAGATTTTCCAGTGATGGGGCAGTGAGCAGAAACCGAAGAATAAGTGAGGAAACTCACAGAGTGGAAGAAACAGAGCTGAAAGTCTGACAACACCAAAGCGTTCACAGGAGGAAGAATCAGAGAGGAGAGGGAAGCACCAAACAACACAGAGAATTCCAGGCCTATACAGAAGTTCTTCCCTTGAAAAATCAGCAGGGTACTGACCTGTACATGTGTGTAAGGAAATTAAATGAGGCTAGGGAAAGAATAAGCCTAAAGAATTAAAGGTAATAGTTCTTTATGGTCACAAAAAGCTAGAAATGAGAGGAAAGCCTCTTTGATCACGGGACACTGAGTACAGTAAACTGAAGAGGCTTCCCCGAGTAGTGAGAAGTAATAGCCCTAGACAGCATTACTCTAGTCATGCCTGACTGGAACCAAAAGGATAAAACTGTTTTCAAATAACTGTCCTTAGATAAAGCTGAAGAATATTTATAGAAGTACAAAAAATTTTTCAAGACCCAAGAAAGTAAAATTTGCATTATTTCACATATAATAAAAAATTACCAGGTATGCAAATTAGCAGGAAAATATAACCCCAAATAAGGAAAAATTAATCAATCAAAATAGGCCAAAAACTGATAGAAACCCTAGAATTAATTGAAGAGAAAATAGAAAAAAACACATTGAAACAGTTGTGTCACTGTATCCCCTATGTCCAAAAAACTAAGTAGTGGCATAAAAGACATTAGAAAGAACAAAATAGAAGTTCTAGAGATGAAACTATAACCTGTCAGATAAAAAACACTTTGGATGAGACTAACAGCCAATTAGATATCGCAGGAAAAAAAGATTAGCATACCTGAAGATACAGCAACAGAAACTACCAAAATATGAAACACTCAGAAAAAAGAGAATTAAATTTTTTAAAAAAGAAGAGAGAATTGTCAACATGTGGGAGCATTTTAAGTTACATATATTTGAAGCCCCCAAAGAGTAGAAGATAATTTGAAGAAATACTGGCAAAAAAATTTTCAAATTTTGATGGAAAATATAAATCCACAGAATCAAAAAGCTCAACAACCACCAGGCACATGTGTGTGTGCACACACAAACACACACACACACACACAAAACATGAATAAAACTACTCCAAGGCACATTATCATCAAATTTCTCCAAAAGAGTCATGGAGGTAGGGGAAAATCTTAAAAGTAGTCAGGGGGGAAAACACACACTTTAAGTACAAAAGAAAAAAGATAAGGATGGCAGATATTTTATGTCAGAAACATTGTAACCAAGAAGATAGTGGAGCCAACATTTTCAAAATACTAAAAGAAAAAAAAAAGTCAACTTGGGATTCTATACCCAGCCAAAATATCTTACAGAAAATGGAAAAGACTTCTTCAAACATACAAAAACTGAAAGAATTCATCACCAGCAGACTTGGACTTCAACAAATGTTTAAGGAAGTCCTTCAAGCAGAAGGAAACTGATGCCAAATGGGAAAATTGATTTATACAAAGAATAAAAGGCACAGGAGAAGGTAACCATATGAAAAAATAAACATTTTTAATTATTTAAATATCTAAAGATACTTGAATGTTTAAACAAAACTCATAAAAATTCAGCATGGGATTTATAACTAATATAAAGTAAAATCTATGACAATGACAGCACAATAGGAGGGAGAAATGGAAACACACTTTTGGTAAAATTCCCGTGATATACATGAAATGCTATAATATCACTTGAAGATAGATTACAATTTAAAGATGTATACTATAAATCCTGAAGTAACAACTAAAATAACAAAACTAAGAGTTGTAGACAATAAGCCAATAAAAGGAGATACAATGGAATCATTTTCAAAATAATCAACCCATAAAAAGGTACAAAAGTAAAAAGGGAACAAAGAACGGACAGAACAAGTAGGAAATGAGTAGCAAAATAGTAGATTTAAACCTAACCATATCAATAATCACACTAAAGGTATATGGTCTAAACATTCCAATTTAAAGGTGGAGATTACCAGATTGGATTAAAAATCCAATTATATGCAGCCTTCAAGGTACTCATTATAAATATGACTCAAATAGGTTAAAAGTGAATGGAGTGGAAAAGATATACTATGCTAACACTAATCAAAAGAAAGTTTAAGACATATAGTTTGCAAAGCAAAGAATATTATTGGAGATAAATATCATTTCATAATGGTAAAGGGGCCAATTTATCAAGAGGATATAGCAATCCTAAATGTTTATGCACCTAATAAAAAAGGTTCCAAACACATGAAGCAAAAATTAACAGAATGGCAAGGAAAAACAGACAAATCCACAATTATAGTAGGAAATCTCAATACTATTTTCTCAATAACTGATAGAAAACATAGACAGAAAATCAGTAAGAATATGCAAGACTTAAATACCACTATCAACATACTTGACCTCATTAGCACTTGTAGAAAACTCAACAGCATAATACACATTCTTTTCAAATGCATATTGAATATTTACCTATAAATGTGGTCTTATAGACCACATTGTGTGCAATAACACATCTCAAGAAATTTAAAAGAATTAATGTCATAGAAGTTATGTTTTTAATCCCCAGTAGAATAAATTAGAAATCACTTACAGAAACATATATGTTAAAATCTTAAAATATGTGGAAAATAAATACAGCATTTCTAAATAATCTACAGATAAAAGAATTAAAAAATAGGAAATATGTTATTTTTATGTTTTAGTGTATAACTGTAAGGTGTACAATATAAAGTTTTGAACTACATATACACAATGAAGCTACTATGCAAATTATCGTATCTATTACTTCACATAGTACATTCTTTTTTAATTTTTTAAAAATATTTTAAACAATGAAAATGAAAACATATCAAAATCTGCAGATTGCTGCTAAAATAGAACTTAGGGGAAAATTTATAGCATTAAGTGCCTATAGTAGAAAAGAAGAAAGATCTTAAGCCAATTGCTTCAGCTTCCACTTTACGAAACTAGAAAAAGAGAAGCACATGAAACCCAAAGGAAGTTGAAGAAAGGCAATAATGAAGATCAGAGTGGAAATCAGTAAAATAGAAAGTAGAAAAACAATAGAGAAAATCAATGAAATCAAAAGCTGATTATTTTAGAAGATCCAGAATACTGACAAACTTGTAGCCTGACTGATCATGGAGAAAAAAAAAGGCAAGATACTAATTACCAATATTAGGAATGGAAATAATGACGTCACTACAGATTCTACATATACTCAAAGCATAATAAGAGAATATTACCAACAACTTTATGCCTATACATTTGAAAACTTACATGAAATGGACAAATTCCTTGGAAAACACAAACTACCAAATTCAAGAAGAAATAGGTAGCATGAATAGCACGATATTTATTAAAGGATTTGGTTTCATAATTTAAAATCCTTCCACAGGAAAAGCTCTAGGCCCAGATGGAGTTGACTGTTGAATTCTACCGAGGATTTAAAAAAATAATAATAATGCCAATTCTCTGTAAACTTCCATAAAAATTAAAGACTAAGGACTCTTTCTCAATTTATTATATGGGATCAGAATTACCCTGATACCAAAATCTGAGGGACACATTACAAGAAAAGAAAATTATAGACCAATGTTATTTAAATAGAATACAACACTATATAAAAAGCATTATATACCTTGACCAAGTAGGATTTATCCCAATAATGCAAGATTGATTTATCATCTGAAAATCAATAAATAAAAGATGCCATATTAATAGAATAAATAACAAAAACTACATGACTTTTCAGTAGAAGTAGGAAATACTAAATGCATTCTTGATGACATGAAAATAGGTGTAAACTTTTTGTTTATGTCAAAGTAAGTGATATTCACTCAGTAATACTGCCAAATATTTATTAAGTACCTGCTACGTACCTTGAGCCTAATCCTTGGATCTAAGAAAACATTAAGGAAAAAGAGACAAAAACCTGTGCCTCAATAGAGATTATATCCGTATTGTTGTCATTATCACTGCAACATCGTTGTCATTTCTCTTCCTCTGTTCAGATATTTCTTTGAATAGCAATGGTACTTTACCACCCACTGCAACATTGCCAACATGGTGAGTTGTTACTGCATATTCAATTGATTATATATAACTTACCCTGTATCTTCATAGCCTGTGCACATTCTATTTCTACTTCTGAAATGTGAATTATCTTAAAGACAATAATTTTATTTTTCCATTCCTGTTTACCAGGAAAAAGGTACTTAACCCTGTTGTAGATTTAAATATCAAAACAATAGTGAAAAATAGTAATGCCTTAAAGTTGCACAGTGCTCTATACTTTTCAAAGCATTTTCACATTGATTATCTCATTATCTCATTTTTAAAACTATTTGAACTCACCAGAGAAGGATAATGTTACATTTATTTTACAGATGAGAAAACTGAAGTCCAAAGAAGTTAAGCGATTTATCCATCATTCACAGTTATTTAATTTTTATACAAAAATAGATGTTATTTACCCATCTCCTTCAATTTTCAGAAAGATAGCTGGTTTTAAAAATATGCACCATCTTTTTTGAATGTAGTGGCACATGCCCAATCATTTCCTAAGCGGGCCACTTCAAATACATTCAATAATGAAACCTTTTTAATATGGCGACTAAATATTTCTACTCAATGGTAATGAAGTTCAGCACATACACACGCTGCAAGTCTTACGCTGTTACCAGATGATCAGGCTGGCCGGAGTCAGCAAGTGCCCTTGCAAGGAAGATGAGATCAGGAACTAAAAATGCACATTATTATAACATTAGAATCCAAATGTAAAAAACATTCATTACATGTCTACAAAGTTACTCTGTAAAAATAAATTCCCCTTACTGAGGGATGTTTTCAAAGTGTTATACAGGAATGTTAAAAAAATAAGCTGCTTTTTAGACCTATATCATGAAACCATGTAGTTGATTTAGCTAGAAAAATAATCATCTTACTCAAATTATTGAACAGAGGCTAACTCAAAGTGCTAAAGCATATTTTGGAGATTCTTTATCCAATTTCAGTAGAACTGCTACTGCACAGCTGACAGGAAGAAAGGAAGAAAGGTTTTCCTCTGCTATAAATAAAATACAGAAGTATAAGAAGGGGGAGCATTTGAAAGTTGGTTGATTTGCTGTTCCTCTTTTAAAAGTCACTAAATTAATGTGAAAATAATTAATATAGTAAGTTGTTCATGAATTTCTCCAAATGACTGCAATTTTTTGAAAAATAATCTTACTCTATCACTGTTTCTGATATAAATTAAATATATTATAATTCAATTGAAGAAAATCTAACAAAAGCATTAAAAATTATGTTTCTAGGCACAAGCAGAGCTCATTTTACTTTAATTATACGCTTCTTTAAATTGGTAATTATAAAATATATCCTGACAAAATTAGTTTTAGTTACAAACTTAGGCATGTAAATTTCACACAGCCACCATTTTTTTCTGACACACTGTCAGAATGTCACAGTTTTAAATAATGACAGTACATGGTATGACACTACCACTTTTTAAAGAAATACATCCATAAGAACTTAACGTTCAATTGGCTTCCTCAAAAGAATATAGACAAGGAATAAATCATGACAATAGCTTGTCATCTTATAAAACATGAAATTAGCATAATGAAGTATTATAATAAATATCCTGAACTTGGAGAGTGACTTTTTGAAATATGTAGCATGAGATTAAACTAGCAATAATAATTAAATCTCACCCAAATGGCTAGGATTGCAGCCAAATTTCTATCAGTTTTATTCTTTAAAATATAGAGACAATTTTACATATATTCATAGTGAAAAGTACA
The DNA here is from genome assembly GCF_000001405.40 of Homo sapiens. Classification (NCBI taxonomy): domain Eukaryota; kingdom Metazoa; phylum Chordata; class Mammalia; order Primates; family Hominidae; genus Homo; species Homo sapiens. The sequence goes on along the minus strand of NC_000007.14, from coordinate 18,336,496 downwards.
TATGTTAAAATGAAGATGTTATTTACAGCAGAGAGGACAGTATAAATCAACAGTCTTCTCATTACAGAATTCATTCCACAGAGCCTTGTTTGCTTAACTCTGCTTATGTATGTGGACTGCATTTGGGTCAGTGGTTGAATGTGAAAACATGGGACACAAAGAGAGAGGTTAGGATATAGCACATGGATAACCAGATCTGGGCAACATCTCATGAAGGATTTAAAATGAGGCTAGGCCAAAATGCTTATAATAATAACAACAACATTAACAATAACATCTGTTTGACCTGATACAAGATATGCTATGTGCTATTAATTTCTATCTTGTAAATGGAAAAACTGAGGCACAAGAGGTTAAAATACTTGTCCAAGACCTGATATCTAGCAAGCATTTGAGTAAAAATTTGATCTCAGCCATTCTGACTAGAGAAGGTAAATTCTTAATTTTCTTAAGAGAAAATGTAAAAGCATTGCTCTAAACTAAATATTTTATAATTATATCATTTACATCATCAATGTTACATCATGAGCAATAAAATAAATAAAAAGACAAACTACAAAATGTCTGTGTGACTGAAGTACTTCTTGAAATATACTAGTTCATGTCTTACACTTGCCATTATTTATGGATTGGCCTTCCATACAAAATCACTTCCCCACCATTGCATCAGCCATGATCCTTTCTTCACTCATCAGTTCTGCTGACAGCCAGTGAAGGTGATGGTTTGGTACCACCCCAGGTATAGCAGGGCTAATAATCCTGCCTTTTTCTTTACTTCCTTCTATGAGAAAGAGATTCTAAACATTCTTAGAAGGATAAACAGTAGCTCAGCATTTACCCCCACCCTTTACCTGAGAATAAATCTACTTTCCCCATTAATCTTTTCAGACTCGTTAGAGATGTCTAAAATTAAAGTTATCTAATTCTTGCCCTTTTACTCTCCCAGGCTCCAATAGACTCTTGCAAGTTAAAGCAATGAAAAACAGCTAATAGCCTTCCCAGACTTGCACTAAGATAAGAAGAAAATCCATGTACATCAAGACCATTGTGGGCCTGATGAAACCTTGGAACATGGCAATGAGCAATCAAAAAGGAACCATGAGATGGGATCTCTGGGTCACCGTCCTACCTGCTGAAGAAGCCACAAGATTAGGACCTAAGATTGTTGGTGGCATAAAGATCAGTATTTTTATCTCTCTGCAGCTATTGCTAAATTGTTTTAATTTTTCTCCTGTGCCCTGCATTACATGTATTTCTTCCAATTTCCATTTTTTCACTTCTTCCTATTTTCAAGGTTTTATTTATCTCCTTAGGGTTGGAAAATCTTCTGAAAGATGGTGGGCAGGTGGGAAGTAAGTTGACAATTCTCACTTTCAATATGAAGACTTTCTCTTAATCCCTTTTCAATCCCTCACTCCCAGCTTCCCATATTTCAGGTGTCTGAAAGTCTCAAAATCTATGGATTAATTTCTTCTAATAATCAACTTCTAAAACCCTGCCGGACAAAAAGAAAAGTTGTCTCCTAAGTGTGCAGGGTAGTGAGCCAAAGAGGGGAGAGAAGTGATCTGGTGATTTGTTATTTACACACATTTTTAACCTACCATTATGTACTCAGCCCTTAACCTCATCCCCGCCTGTAATCTCTGGACCCATTAGAGTTTCAGAGAGCAAAATAGCTTGCTTCTCAATGTCACTCTCCTTATAGACATCGAACCTGAACTTCCTCTGTGGTGCTAACTCCTCCACCCTCTTCATATATTCCTAAAATTTGCTAACATTCCTTCTTTACAATTATCTTTGTTCCTATTCTTTTTCCTGTGCATTCATAATTTAAATTCTTATTACTATTTGAGTGGAGTTTCTGGAAATAATGGATATAAACGTATGTTTTTTATTAATGCACTGGAAAAGTTACGTGATTTTTGAAAAAGTGACCATCACCAATAATCTTTAATATAAAACATGCCCTGATTGTAACAAGAATGCCTCTGGCATTTGACAAATTATGAAATAGATTGAGATACATTTTCTTACATAATAAGGATTATATTATTTCTAGTTTATTAATATTTTCCTGCAGGAATAGCTTTTTATCCATCTCTGGTGAGATGTTTTTTCTTTTGATCTAGTTCTGTGATTATTAATGAATTCCTGACTCTAAGCCATTCCTGATTCAGGTGAATTATTATTTTAAAATATTGCTAAATTTAATTTGCTACTTTATACTTACACTTTTGCCTATAAAGTCATAAAAATTATTGGTCTGTAGATTTTTTGTGATATGATATTCTGTCAGGTTTTAGATTCAGGAGTATGAGACCTTCAAAAACAGTCATTGGAATACTTTCTAGCAACTTCTATTCATTAAATAAGAATTTATCTCTTGAAAATTTGAAAATCTAACTGGTAAAAACATTTTGAGAAGTAATCCTCAAATGATATTTCTCCAGTTTTTCCCTTTTCAAAATCTGTATTTTTCTACTCTGAAATTATAAGTAGTCATTGACTTTTTTCCTGCCACCAAGTTTCACAGTGTGTTAGCTTATAATTTCTATTTTTATTATAATTTATATTTCATTTAAACTTCTTTACTCATTTTTAAAATAACTGTACTTAACATTTTTAGCTATATTTTCAGACATTTGTCATTATTATTTTTAAGAACCAGCTCTTGCATATATAAACTCCACTTTTTACTGATTCTTTAACTTTATATTTTATCATACCTCATTCTCCTTAACATTGCTAGATTATGTTTAAATTTTACCTTAAAAAATACCTAAATGATTTGCTGGGGTTTTTTGTTGTTGTTTGTTGTTTCATAGTGAAATTATTTAATACTAATATATTTGCCATGAGAACAGCTTTGGCTGCACCTCATAAGGTGCACCATTTTGTTTATTCCCTTAATGGTGTTACTATTTTCTAAATAACCTATGATTGCAAGTGTTTTAAAAACACATTTCATGGTGTGTATTTGAGGTTTATATCCTGATGACATGGGATATAGAGAGATAGTAAAATGGCTATATAGTGAAGCAGATGAACATAGCTATCATCTCACATAGTTACTATTTGTGTGTGACAAGAGCAGCTAAAATCTACTTAACAAAAATCCCTAATACTGTACAATTTTATTAACTTTAATCCTCATGTTGTACATGAGATCTCTTAATTAGTAATCCAACACATGTGCTATTTTGTATTCTTTGGCCTAAATCTCCCCATTTCCTCTCTCCAACTTCACCCCATCCAATGGTAAAGACTGTTTTAACATTCTCTATTTCTATCTCTAGTTGAGCTCTGTTTAAAAACTGCCTCTGACTCAGTAGTTTTTAATGGCTTGTTCCTTCCAAATCGTTGTTTATTTTGTATTACTGTTTTTTCTTACTAATTTCTGCTTTATTACATTGTGATCAGAGAATACAGTATAAAGAGTATCTTTTGGCACACAAATTAATACCTAACAATATCAGCAACTATATTTGGCATGACATAAACATAAATTTTGGCATAAAATAAATTAAGGCTTTTCAGACTTTAGTAAATACTCTGAGAAGGGATCCTTGTGTAAATTTATTTCCTCACAGTAGAATATTTCTGTCAAAGATTCCTGCACTTCTGAAATTAAGCCAGGTTTCTGCTTCTCCAGTGCCGTAAGGTGTATGTTGATTTCTCAGCCCCTAACAAAACTATTAGCTCACAGTCTACTGAACATGAAAAAAGATTACATCCTCTATCTTCAACACAAAAAGATAGGCCAAATTGAGATGTAGTATTTTTCAACTATTTAAATAATCACCATCTTGAATTTCTGGAAAGTATTTTAGAAATGCATTAATTGAAATCCACAGCAGCTCAACGGCTTGACTGCCATTCCACACCTAATATAGAGGAGCCAGGTGCAAAACATTTTTTTTAATCCCTGTGCCATAGCTCCCTTCCAATGCATCCCCTCTTTTATTGGACCAATTACGGAATATACTCAATTTTAAGTATTTTTAATTTATTTGGTTAGAAAAGCTACATGCAAGAAGAAAAGCAACAGTCAAGCTTAAGTGATGAGAATTTTTTAAAGTAAAAATCTCTCTCTCTCTCTCTCTCACACACACACACACACACACACACACACACATGTGCGCATGCACAGCCACAATTCACAGACACTTGGAAAAACTAAAAAATGGTCTTTGAGGTGGAATGAGGAAGGCTCTTAGGGGAACTCTGGCTAAACAGACCAGTTTATAATATTTACTTCTCAACCTTACCTTATTTCTACCAGAATATTTTGGTTGTTAGTTTGAAAATCTCTAAATGAAAAAATAATCAGGGAAATTATTAAGTATCTGTGTGTGAATTACTCACTCTGTTAGAAAGAACTTTTATTCGAACTCCAAAGAAAATAGATGGCACTGTTTTAAGCAAATTTAAACATCTGAATGACGGGCAAAGGCCATGAAAAGTATATTGTGCTTGACAGAAGTCCAGTATCTGTGTTCCAGTCCTGGCTCTGGAACCTGAGCATCTAACTCAATACTTCTCTAGGCCTCCTTTTCCTAAGAGGCTCCGCACATGTGATCACCACTGTGCCACTGAACTCAAATTTTGTGAACCTGAGTTTGGAGGTGATATTGTTTATTATTTCAAGCAATCTCTATTGAGGATCTACCAAGTGCCAGACAAAAATGCTATGATATAGAATATAGCATTTAAAAGGACAGTTCTAGTCCCTCTCTCCAACAAACTTGTAGCAGTCCACTACTTCATCACCTCGAATAAGGTAGGTAGTATACTTAAGATAATCATTATTCTAATATATTTTTCCTGTGTACACAATAGACATTTTGTACTTCTTTTTTTAAAATTTTTTTATTATACTTTAAGTTCTGGGATACATTTTGAACTTCTTTGGGAGTAACTTGAGGTTGATGAAAACAAAAACAAGAAAAGTTAAACATTTCTGTTACATTCTGCAAGCGATACTACAGGGTCAAAAAGTTACATTTTACTACACAACTAATAAAAGGTAGTGCTATATTCCTCAGCTACATTTTTGTCTGATATTATTAGAGCTATTCTAATTTTAACTGAAAATATGTATTTCCTGAAAATATGTTAACTGAACACATCTTTTCTTTTCATTAAAAAACACGATTTTTCATTATGCCATATCAGAGATTAATAACAAAAGTAAAAGATAATTAGGCAAAGGCAAAGACATTTAAAATAAATGAAATTCACAAATGTATTACATGCCTGATTGGCTAAAATTAAACAACTAATCTGAATATGACTGATGGGAATGATGCTGAAGGAACAATTAAAACAAAAGCTAAGAGGCTCTGCACATGTGATCACTTCAAGTTAGGTGTCTTGTTATTTTCCATTTACCTCTTGATAGTTGTACCTATCAAATGCAAAACCTATGATCAGTTTCCCATCTCTGTTTATGGTTGTGATAACAGAGAAACCAGTTATTAATTGGTCAACTCAAATTGTATTCATGTATTACTGTATGTCTGTGTAATCCTCCTTGATCTAAAATTTCCCTGATTCTCCTCAGGGTTATTTGCCTTGTGTTAGTAAAACCAGGATGCCACAATGCTAAACTTACTGTTCTGCCATTTGTTTCAGATTATTCTTCCTACATGCTCCAATTTGCATAACTTTATTGTTTTGTAGATTCTAAGCTTGTGAATTTATTACCAAGGCACCTGCCAGTGTTACTGTATTTAAGGAACTGTCAGCAGTTTCTATTTTGGGGTTCTAAGTTGGCTACAAAAATTCACTCTGGGATAAATTTTGGCATGTGTTATAAGGTAACAAACCAAAAGTGACTTATTTTTAGAAAACAGGGAGGGAGTAGAGGGGAAATAGTTTTTGGTTGTTTTTTTTTTCCCTCCTGAGGTATAGAAATATAAAATCAAAAACAGAAGTTGGTGGTTTCAGAAGTATTCTAAGAGATTAATTCTCTTTGGTTTTTCTGAAGTTAATATCTTTTCAACCCATTAGTCAACATTACAGACTAATGCTTTGGGGGACTGTGACAAAATATTAAAAATATCTGTTCTATTTACAGACAAGGTATCTTGTATGTCCATTAATTTTAATAGTGGAATAGCAGTTTTAGGAGAAAAATATAATCCATTTAGTGAAAACTAAATGTGAACTAACAAGTTTCAGATTTCCGGCAAATATCTAAGTGTCTGAAATACCACCCCAAGTGTCCCCACACCACACATCTACTCACTATTATCACAGAGCTTCACTAAAGTGTGAAGAATTACAGATGCCCTGGGTTTCATTTAGTTTTGAACCTATGTCTCTGAAAAGAATCTTCACAATCTAAATCTTCATTTGGCAAGCAGAAAAGATTGATAAGTATAACTAGAACATCTGCAAAATAATATAATCAGAAAATTTTTATTTTCCCAAAGCATCAAGGTATGAGAGGTGGGTATCATACCTTCCCATTATTCTCACACACGGAACACACACACACACACACACACATACACACAAGCCTTAGAATGCAGCAATAAAATAGACCCAAAGTACCTTAGAAGTAAAATATACACTATTCCCAAAGCAAAACTAGTAAGAATGTTGTGGCTAGCTAAACGGTAGTTAAACATTTCTTCAGTACTTCTGGGGGCCAGGCACTAAGCTAGAGAGCTGGGTTAGTAAGCCTACATAAAATGCATAAAAGGCAGCAAGGAGAGTGTAATGTGAAATGGAGGAAAGAAACAGAAGGCTTCAAAAGACATAATCTGGATCCAAGTGCCATCAACAGGAATTATACTCTGGCCCATGTTCTTGAGCAATCTGATCCCCTGACAGGCACATCACTTTTGTGAATCAGAGAGCACAGAATATCAGAGACCAGTATCATCAAACATTGAATTATACAGTTCATTCCATTCACTGTTTTTTTTTTTTTTGGAGAGATGACATTTCTTTTGTTTACTAATCGACAATTATTCCATTCACTCTTAAGCCGACACTTACCAAAGTGGCCTTCTAAGTATAATTTTTACATATTTATTTTAACTGACAAATAATAATTGTATATTTATGGAGTACAATATGTTATTTTGATTTATGTTATACATTGTAGAAAGATGCATCAAGTTAATTAACATACCTATCAACTCACCAACTTACCATATTTTGTGGTGAGAACGTTAAAAATCTATTCTCCAATAATTTTGAAATATAAAATACATACATTAAAACTGATTCCTCCACTCTAAAATTTTGTACCCTTTGATAAAAATGAACAAAACTTTAGCTACACTAACAAAGAAAAAAAGAAGACCCAAACAAAATCAGAAATGAAAAAGGAGATGTTACAACTGATACCACAAAAATACAAAGGATCAGAAGAGACTATTATAAACTATTATATACCAACAAGTAGGATAACCTAGAAGAAACAAATGAACTACAAACATGGAACCTACCAAGACTGAACCAGGAAGAAAAAGAAAATCTGAACAGATCAATAATGAGTAAGGAGACTGATTCAGTAATAAAATATTTCCTATCAAAGAAAAGTCCAGGACCTAATGACTTCACTGACAAATTCTACCAAACATTTAAAGAAGACCTAATACCAATCCTTCTCAAACTATATTAAAAAATTGAAGAGGAGGAAATACTTCCAAACTAATTTTACAAGGCCATCATTACCATGATACCAGAGCCGGACAAGGACACTACAAGAATAATAAATAAATAAACTACAGGCCAATATTCCTGATGAACATAGATGCAAAAAGTCCTCAACAAAATACTAGCAAACTGAATTCAAAAGCACATTAAAAGGACACCTCACCATGATCAAGTGGGATTTATCCCAAACATGAAAGGATGGTTCAATATCTGCAATCAGTAAATGTGAACACCATATTCACAAAATGAGGATAAAAATTACATGATCTTCTAATTATAATTTGATTTTCCCTATAAAGTGACTTTCAGTTAGTTAGCACAGAGTGGGTTTACGTGTGTATTCTAAATTACTTAGTGCAAAGAATTCTTATTGTAAACCAATAAATTTGCATTTTGGTTATACACTAATATCTGGTGAGTTTGGTTAATGCAAGCCTGTCCCTGCATAAGAGCACTACTCCCAATATCCTAACCCCGTAAGTGTCTGGATCTCCATGGCTAAGATCTACACCCTAGAAACTGTGAGTCCAGCCCCAACACATAACGGGCACTCTTCAATAAACGAGTAAAGGCAATTCCACGTTGCAAAAAGCCCTGGAAGGCAGCTGACATCTCCTGTGATCACCCTTAGATTACTGTGTAGTTTCCTCTCCAATTTCAATAGGAACTAAAGTTCAAAGAGAAAAATACTCATGGGTTAAGTTTCTATAATTTCATTTTATTGTAATGAACTCCAAAAAAAGCTAAAAGCAAAAAGGTTTCTCAGCCATACTTCATTTCCACTCTGATGTTTTCCAGTCATAATTACTGCTTAAATATTCTTTTATACCATGCTAGATTTTTCCAATTGGTATGGCAGCCTATTGCTGAAAGCCACCTTAGAACACTTCTAACTCAACATCCTCTTTTACAAAGGAGCAAATTGATGTTATGATTTCATCTAATACTATAACAATAAAAAAGGAAATAAGTACCAAATGAATATTAAAATAACCAAAAAATTGTTATGTAATTAAAATCAGGAAGTTTGGTAAGTTAGATAGTAGGAAATAAAAAATTATTTCAGAGTAACTCATCTATATTATATTTTGCCATTTATTCAACTTTGGTTGGTATAGGCTCTTCAACTTTATCTTCAATTTTCTGATAATTAATAGTTTTAATTAGCTTTTTCTCATTTATGCCAGATATAAAAACAAGTTCCTCAGAAATACATGTTTTTCTTTTTGTTTTTCTCAGTTTTTTTTAGCACAAAAATTTGCATCCCAAGATGAAGTGTCGCACATTCCATGTTCTGTTGTGTAACCGTTTAATTAGTGTAATATTCCATGTTTTGGCTTTTCATAGTAGGTTGAATCTATGCAGCTGTCATATCTGTAGGTCAGAAATGATCAATTATCAGCAATTTCATATAGTTCTAACAAATATTTACTGAAAATGTGATTATTACTGCAAATTAACTATATTATAGCATTACATCTTCTGGCCATTATATCTAGGTTCTGATATGTAAACTAAAAAATAATAATATTTTAGTTACCAGATTAAATATAATCTATAGTAGGTAACTGCTCATCATAAGAAATAAGCTTATTTCCCTAAACACAACTATTTTTAATCTTATAAGCCTTCCATGCACTAATTAAAAATGAAAAAGAGGTGTTTCCTTACTAAATTAAATAGTCCAATAAATAATAAGTCAAATGTAAAACCAGCTCAAATAAAAATCAATGTAAGTATTCATTTATAAATATTTTATAATATATCTATATGGACATTAATGGGTCATCAGCAGACAGGAACTATAAAAAAAGAATTCCTTCAACTCTTAATTGCTTTTACAGATGTAATGAGGCATCCAAAATCATAATGATGAAATGACAGAAAATAAGGTATTCAGGGGAAAGGTTCATGTTTACCTGAATAACCTTCAGGACTTAACCCATCAATAGACTACCCATCATCAGTTCTCCCCTGAATTCTAACTCTGAAGACCTCGGATTTCTGCAAAGTTTCTACCCTGTACAAAAGGTAGAAAGAAATAGCTTCTAGAAAGAAATAGCTTACAAAGATAGATGTGCACCAAAACAACATAGCCCATGCAGTAAACAAGTCTTAGCTAGCACTAATAGAGTTTTTAAAAATCTCAATAATTTAAAAGTGATGATAAATCCAAAGTATACATTCATCACAGTTATAGATGGAGCATGTACACTGTTAACATGTTGCTTTTCCTAATCAGATCCTTCATTCTGAGCTCAGAAGTTATGGCAGCATGTTTGGCTATTTGGGACAAAATCAAAAATATATAAGTGGTGAAGAGGAATTGAGAATTGGTAATTCCTATAGAGAAGTGAAGCATCTACTCCAATAGCATAAAATAACCAAGAAAATAATATAAATATTTCTGAATATGTGTTATCCAACATCTACTTCTTTCAAACAATTTTTGCCCCAAACAAATTGTAAAAATTCCTAAGTATGTTGTCATTTATAAAAAAACACTTTCTTTTAGATGCTTTTATTCAAGCATACCTTATTTGAAGAATGTAGGGAATTTCACTTTAAGTTAAGTTCTTGAAAGTAAAGGCCAAAACCTTTTGCCAGCAAAAATGAAACTTGAAATAAGACAATAACAGATCTTTACATTTATTAAAAACAGAAAATATTAAATGTAATTTGCTATGAATAATTTCATTTCTGCTGTGTCAGAATATCATTGGTCTAATGTATCACCTGAAAAGTGATAATTTTACACACGTGTATCAAGAACAAAACCCAGCAGAATGTGTTCACTTTGGTTAAATACAGTGATGTGTGGCTTAACAACAGAGATACATTCTAAGAAATGGATTGTCAGGCAATATCTTCATGTGGACATCACAGAGTGCACTTACACAAACCTAGATGGTATAACTTGGCTATCTGGTATAGCCTATTGTTCCTAGGCTACAGACCTGTAGAGCATGTTACTGTTCTGAATACTGGAGGCAACTGTTACACAGGTATAAGTATTTATGTATTTAAACATAGAAAAGGTACTTTAAAAACATGATATTATAATCATATATATGGTCTATCACATGACTGTACCATTATTTACAGCCAGTGACAGAAACACTTATTTTATTATTTTTTTTTGCTTAGATTACACTAGACCATGTGATTTTTACCACGAACTGAAGTTAAATATCCCCAAACTTGAAAATTTTGTGTGTCTGTAATCCCACCTGTTTGGGAGGCTGAGGTAGGAGGACCACTTGATCACTGGAGTTTGATACCAGCCTGGGCAACACAGTAAGACCTCATTTCTTAAACAAAAAGAAAACGGCAAAATTAATTTCAAAAATAATAATTACATTGTGGTGACTATATGGAACTCAAATTGCTTTACTCTGGCTGTTCTAGTAACTTGTAATGGTAAACTTGACAAGATGAAATCAGTCCTATTAAAAGGAGGATAATTATTAAATTGATATTTTGATCATAATGTCAACTGGGGAAATTGAAGACTTCTTTTTGTTTTATTCATTGCTGTTATATTTAAAAAATAGGGTTTTCTTTTGAAAAGCGCTGAGCATCAAAAATTAAGGAAACTAATATTTATATTCACATGCTTATCTTAACCTTGATCTTTCTCTAGATAGTCTACTTCATCTCATAGACAAAACTATTGGGTCTTTTTTTATTAACTTCTAGTACTTCTTGTGCCTTTTATTTCAGGCAACGGATTCAACTCGTACTTGTTGGTCAATTGTTCCCAATGTGCATAAACAGATGTAGCTCTCTGCTTAGATATTCAATAAGCTCTATGGTTTACAGCAATTGAAGGATGGCAGAAAGGGAAGGGGGCTTATTATAACTTTAAGAACTTTCATACCTTATTAGAGAGAAAAGGAACTTTATACTATTTTCAACTGGAGCTTAAAACAATCTGCTGTATTTTAGTATTTGGTGAGGACGTCTCATGTCATTTATCACATTATACCCTGCATTATAATTATTTCTGTAAATGCTAAAGTTATTAAAGGGACCTCTAAGCACCACAAAGGCAAGAGCTATTTCTTGCTCACCTTTTTATGCTCTACAATAATGCTTCTCAAATTTAATGTGCACACAAATCATCTGGGGGATAAATCTTATTAGAATGCAGATTCTGTTCAGTAGTTCCGCAATGGGCCCTGAGTGAGGCATTGCAATTTCTGCCAACTGCTGCCCGTGCTGGTGTGAGGACCACATTGTGAGTAGCAAGGGTATACAGCACCCAAGAAAAACCGTAAGCCATTTAAAAGCTATTTCCTTTACTTTTCTTTGAGAGAAATGCCTAATTAGCTATTGTAGAAAGTTAACATTATGAAGTACCTACAATATGCCAAAGACAGTTGATAATTCTTACATCCCTATGAGACTGGTACTATGATTATCTCCATTTCAGAGACAGGAAAATTGAGACACTAAGAGGTGAAGTAATTTGCCAAGAAATTGAACCGGGGTTTGCCTAATTTGAAAGCTTCTTCTATAATCACATCAGCATGGTTCCTACTAGCATTTTGTAGCCATAATAAATGAGGTCATCTTGACTGCACTTTCTCTCCTCTCTCAGGGAAAGCCTTCCTCATCCTTCAAAGTCCAGAAAAATGCCACTTCTTTGACTCCCCTCCACTTTGTGTAGTTTTGGAGATATAGATTGAATGTCTATGTGCCCCCAGCATTCATATGTTGAAGCTTCATCCCCAGTGTGATTGTATTTGGACGTGGGGCTTTTGGAAGCTGATTGGGTAATGAGAGCTGAGACTTATGAATGAGGTTAGTGCTCTTATAAAAAAGATCCCATAGAACTCCCTCACCCCTTCAGTCATATGAGGACAAAGTGAAAAAAAAAAAAAACAAAACAACCATAAGCCAGGAAGCAGGTCCTTCCTAGGCTCTGAATCTGTCAGCACCTTGATCTTTGACTTCCCAAGCTCCACAACTGTGAGAATAACTGTATGTTGTTAAAGTCAAGTGGTCTATGGTGTTTTTGTTACAGCAGCCCAAACAGACTAAGACACCTGACTTTTCCTGAGATTCCCCAGCAATTTGTTCTTCTTGGTACTCACCAAAGACTATTACAGTTACCAGGGTGGGTGTCCCTGGTCAGGTGTCAAAAGCTTAAGACTTGGAACTAGGTCTTATTCATTGTTGATCCCCAAAACTTAGGACATGGGAGCTTTTAAAAGATACAATGCCTCTAGGCTCCACTTCCAGGGATTCAAATTTGTTAAAGCCTAGACATCAGCATGTCTATAAAAATCCCCTGAGGATTCTAATGTGCCCCCAGGTGAGAAGCCCTGACTTTGGGCTTCATGAGAGATAGTGAGGACTGGAGCTTTCACTGTGGGTGAGGTGTGTATCCCTTTGAGAGGTGTGACTCTCCACTAAAGTGTTGAGAATAGTCTATATGGAAACAAAGGCCCAAGCCAAGAACTGGGCCAACAAGTCAGAGGCTACTGTAATAATCTGACAGAGAGAATAGAGCTTTGGACCAGGGAGGTAGCAATGGAGGTGGTGAGAAATAGTCGTGGGTCTAGATATATTTTCCCTAGTAGAGCCAATAAGAAAGAACTGGAAATCAGTGGATATGGAGTCTGGGAGACTGAACGGGTTCAAAGATAACTCCAAGGTTATGGGCCTGAGCATCTAGAAGAGTAGGTTTGCTACTTTCTAACATGAGGAGGCCTTAAGAAAGGATAAATAACACATAAACCTTTGATGCTATTCATTCCAGAAGTGGGCCAACCATCCTTGAGGTTGACATTATTTAAAATGGCATCCACCCTTTAGTAATGGAGTTCTTTTCCCTGTCATACTTTCTCCATCCTGACACCCTTCTCTAAACCAGGCACCTTTTCTTCCCCAAGCCAACTTCCCAGCCCTTCCCAGAATCCTCCTTTCCCCTCATGAATCCTTTCTCATTTCCCATATGCTTATTGGAGGTATTTTTCTCCCAAGGGGACATTATTCTTGCTTCTTTCTTCATCTTGAAACTAACTGTTATTTTTCTCTCTCCTACAGTGACCCCACACTTTGCCTTCAATCCTGTTCTCGAATGTCGGCTTACTATTATCCATGACTGTCTGCTTTCTTCTCCTGTGCACCTAACAAGAAAACCACCTTGGATGCCCCTGCCAATCGGCAATCAGCATGATCCTCACCAGCATACTGTAGAGGTGGAAACAAACAAAAAACATTCTGCGTCTGTCTATAGAATTAGATCCTTTCAATATGGAAATAATAATCTCTTGCTAAGTAGAAGATAAGGGACGCGGTATATCAAAATGATACGTTCCCATTAAGTAAGCCTTGAAAGTTATTCTCACTGACAAATCAAAGATGTATCTAACTATACTCTTGGAGGTAAAATGGATTCTGTGATATCTGATATGGTAATCCACAAAAATTAGTTACTCTGTGATAGCTTAGAACCATGACAGTTACACTCAATATCCCTTTCTCAACATCCAAAAATCTTTCTCTTATGCCCAAAGTTTGTGATTATGAAAAAGAAACAGGCCAAGTAATTCAAATTGTGATGCTCACATTCATATCCTAAAGTATGGGACTAGAAAAAATAATTTTCTGATTGTGCCCCAGCTTTACAGATGAACAGTGTTTAATGCTGCTAAATCGATAGTGAAGAAGGGATTACTTTAATACAGGCTTTACATGTAGATGATATTGTTCTAAATGTTATTGTCAGGAGATGGTTCAAATAAGAGAGAAAGGACCTGAGAAGGCCGAGTGACATGGGAGCTTTACATTTATTCCACTAGAAATCTCAAAGGCATTCTCACCTCAAAGAAGAGTAAAATAAATTTAACTAGTTTGAAATGTTAAATATCTCTCTAAAAATGAGGCGAATACATAATGGAAAGCAGAAATATTTCGATTTCTGCCCTACTTTTTATATAAATTCTAAATGAAATATTCAAAGCTACAAAAAAGTTACAGCTCTCCAATTTAAAAGAAGTGGATAACAACATTTATATGGTTCTATTGTGCACCAGGGCGCGTCTCATCTGGGGCACACTATACAATTTGATTGGAACTTGGCTTAGTTCAGGAAAGAGAAGAAAAGCTAATAAGGCAATTATTCATGTGCTACCTAAAATCAGACAGGAATTTGAACCTTCTTCAAAAAGGCACAGTATATAAAGGAACAGTCTTTCCAAACCTCACCAATATGTACAATTTCTGAACTAAACCACTTTCCCATGTAATTTTCTTATTCCTGTAATTCCACAATAACACAAACATTTTTTTAAAAAGCATATAAAATGATTCTGTGGTTAAAATGGAGTATCTTCAGCAACATAAAGGCATATCACCTATTTAGAATGGCCTGTTATTGAGTTTATGACCATTCTCTAGCTCACCTTTTTCCTTTCTCTTGTGTGGTACATGGAATATGGTAAGTATTAAAAACACATGTGAAACAAGTAGGGAGATGAATAAGGTAGATGAACTAATGATGAATGGATAGGATGGAAAGAGTATGAAGGTTCTGAAGGTCTGGAGTTAACCAGGGAGGAGAGAGAATAATATGTAAGGGAAGAGATAGAAAAAGTAGTTGTAAATACTAAGAACAATTTCCATCTCCTCCACTAGGTGGACTCAAGCCAGATCTGACTTGAGTAGGGAAATTTCTGACACATCTATAGAACTTGCCTTACATATGTTAGAGTCCTTAGGCCTTGAGGTGTGGATAGAGGAACCTATTTGGTCAAGTTCTATGAAAATACGTAGCCTACAAAAATGGCGATTGCATATGTTCAACCTAAGACAAATATTTTTATTCTCAATACTAGTTATTTCCTTAATTATCTCTCTCTTCTCTCTTCCTCTAAACCATGACTTAGATAAATGTGCTGGAAAGTGGACAATTGGAAAGTTCTCCTAAAAAGTTTATGGGACTGCTTGAGGTCACACAGCTGGCCACAGGCAGAGCAGGGGCCAAGCAAATAGGGTCTACCCCCGGCCCAGTGCTCTTTCCACAACACTATTGTGACAACTGGGGTGGGGGGTGTCCAAGGAGAGAAACAAAGTGGGAGGAAATGTCAGACTTATCTGCTCACTCAGAAATTCACTAAAGGACATAATTATATCTACCAAAATAGAGATCCCTTCCTCCTCATATACCAGAGCACAATGAAGGAATAAAAAATGAGTCAGCAGAAAGAATGACAGGTCCTTCAAGTTCCATGAGCTAACAGCACTTTTAAAGAGTAAATCCCAAGTTTGCCAAATTCAAGAGTCCTCTGCTGGTGATTAGTTAACGTGATTGACAATAAGGGATACTCTGAAGAGCCACCGATCCTGCAGCAACACATCTTTCAAGGTTGGACAGGAGAGCCGGTACAAAGGATTTTATTCCCTCAGTCATTATTACTGTCCTGAAAAATAAGAGCTTGTACTATTCACAGCAAGCTCCTCCATTAGCTGGAAGTTAAAGACAGATTTCGAAGCCTTGTGGAGGTGTCACCACTGGATTTAATGAGAAATCAACCACAGAGTACAGGAAGGGAGAAAAATACAGTACAATCAAGTATCTGATCAACCCAAATTAATCTCATAAGCAGATAAAAGGAAGTTAATAGGCTGCTACTGCAAGCATCCTTGATGATCACTGGGCCCCTCAGTGTGGTTGAATGTCCTCAAGACATTTCATCCACGGATTTGCTGATGAGCCTGTTAAAAGTCAGGCTGCCTATAGTGACTAGCAGGTGCTGAAGTAAGTTGGACTAGAGAGTGAAAAAAAATCTTTAGTTCCCACCACCCCTTGTGAATTGTTAAGGTTAACATTTGGACCTGAAAATTGGTCATCAACAACAACAAAAACCTGCTAGAGTAACTAAAATAGATTCTATATGTGAAAAAGAAAATTACTTTTCTCACTCAGTTTGTGCTCCAAGAAAAAAAAAATCAAAATACTGGATGAATGTTGTGATTGCCTGCCATTAATGGCAAAGCTGTTATTTTAAACAACTGCAAAGAAACTTTCAAAAGCCTTCAATAATTTCAATAATATTTAAGCCTAGCTGTAGATGACAAATACATAAGTTGGATGGCTAAAAATTTTTTTGAGGAACACAACAGAAGTGCCTCTTAAATTTAGCCTTTTTTATGTTTTTGTCAGAGCTAAATTACAAGCAATATATTGGTGAGTTTTAAAAGTCAAAAAAGAAAGTAAATTTAGCACAGAGTTTACAATGGCAATTTCTCATTCCAATAATGATGGGGAACTCATAAAATTTAGGCTTTGCAAGAATAGCAGATTTGTTTGACTTATTTTTAAATTTATAGGCGTCAACAAATAACATAGTTTCCAAATATTTGATCTGATTTTTAAAATCTGGCTGGGAATCTGCAAGTTTCCATTTTATTGGTTGCTAGATGAGCTTTTATTTGTAGATACATTGTGCCTAATTTTAAACTGCATTTTGGCTTTATAGTTTATGTTTAAATGCATAAACACAAAAAGAAGGAGATAACTAAAAGATACTTAAGATCTGAAAGGCGATTTTGAAAGTTTTACTGAACCCCAAACAAATCTTCACCAGCAACAGAAACTACTCTAGTTAGTATGAATAAAAAGAAAATACCAGAAAATAAATACCACGAAGTGTTTTTGTTTCAACCATCATGGCGTTTTTAAGATTATCAGCTCAGAACTGTAAAAGCAATCAACAATTACGGTAAATGCTACTACGCTAACAAACATTTAACGTTTGTTTGTATCAGTGCTTGTCACACTACAGGTTACAGAGGAATCCCCCGGAAATGCAGATTCTGACTGAGGAGGTCTGGAATGGGCCTGAGATACTGCATTTCTTGGATCTATCTGCTGTGATACAAATACTGCTGATCCCAGGGCGAGACTTTGAGGAGCAAAAGTCTGTAATGTACTAAGCACTATACTAGTCGTTATGTTTTTACATTTAACCTCCACCACCCTATGATATAGGGAGTATTATCCCCCCTTATCACATAAAGAAACAGAGGAAAAGAGGTATTTCACATAATTCTGTGACAGACCCAAAGTATGAACCCAGGTCTCTTTGAAGCCAAAGCACAGACCTTCTCTGTAATAGTTTACTGCCTTCGTCTCTCAAGAAAAGAATTGATCATCATCAGTAGTTAATGCTACTTACTAGCAACTTGCTAATTCATGATGAATTGATTCAAATCAACAATAGAACAGTTTAAAAATCCAGATGCTGAGGCCCCACTCCACTTTACTTCTTTTTCCATGAATGCAGTAGGAATTGTCAGTTCTAAATATTTTCACCATCTCCACAGGTGACTCCAGGTATCACTGAAGTTATTCATTAGTTATTGCTGTCTGTAGTTATCGTTGAAACAAATGCCATCTGCATTCCATTTGTTATTGAAAACAGTAAGTGTGAGGTGTGGTTGCTGATCAAGCTGATCACCAAGATGGAAAGGATTTCATATTTTTTAAAAAGGCAGATGTTTATGTAGCATTTTTGTATTGAATTAAAACATACAAAATTTAATCTTTCTATTAATCCCTTGGCCTGAGCTACAGTCCTATTGTAATTCTCCCTTACTTCACGAAGGGCTCTGATCCAAGAGATGCTGGCGTATCTTGCAGCTGCAAGTAAAAAACCATCCCATTCTAACACCTCCCTAGGAGGCCAGGACACTGGGATGAACCAGGCTCTGATATAATTCTTTTCCTCTCTCTTTGATGCTGTTTTGATGGCAAGCACATGTCATCAAAAAATATATGATTAGTCAGAGCTCCTACAGGCAACCATTATCATATTTTCTGGAGTTTAAGTAGGGCAAGACTCTCTTCCCATTTCCACTCTTACCAACCATTTTAAAGAGCCTGTATACAGGCCATTTATGCAAGACAGAGCAATAAAATTTATGAAGAACTTTTGGCAACACGGATTTCTGTTAGACTACTAAGTATTTCTGTTAGACTACTTTGGTAACACAAAAGTAGTCTAACAGAAACAAAACACAAAGGATTGCCTTACACCATAGATTTACAGATTTTCCCCAAAGTAGAAAGTCCCATCCCCCGAAACAATTCCACAGGTGGCCAGAGGCTTTTCACTGCCTTGACACTACTTTAGGCAGCAGTTGATTTAGCAGTTATCAGAGAACACAGATATGGCACAAGCACGGCATGCCATCAGTAACAACTGGAGCCAGTTACTCAACTCACGTTTGGGAAATACATACGTGAGTCATAGGTTCTACTATTTTTGTCAACATTACAAGTGACGGGATATTCCTATACAGTTTTTCTTCCTATATTTTCAAAAGTCCGTTTTAAGATTCAAATTTATCAGACACAAGTCAAGCATACTTAATTTCAGCATTTTATTATTCAAAATATATTAAGAGCAACGCCCTCAAGATAATAAATTCACTTTTTAGAATAATCAGAGAGCCATGACTAATTATAGCTTTAGTCAAGAAAATCTGGCTGCTAGAAATAAACATATGATACAAAGTTACTCAATCACATCTTTCATTCATTACTACACTCATGAGTCTTTTAATATGGCTGAATTTTTATTTTAATTTAATTAATTTATTTATTTATTTTGAGACAGAGTCTCACTCTGTCACCCAGGCTGGAGTGCAGTGGCGCCATTTATTTATTTATTTATTTATTTATTTATTTATTTATTTATTTATTTATTTATTTTGAGACAGAGTCTGACTCTGTCGCCCAGGCTAGAATGCAGTGGCGCCATCTCGGCTCACTGCAAGCTCTGCCTCCCGGGTTCACGCCATTCTCCTGCCTCAGCCTGCCTATTAGCTGGGACTACAGGCGCCCGCCACCATTCCCAACTAATTTTTTTGTATTTTTAGTAGACACAGAGTTTCACTGTGTTAGCCAGGATGGTCTCGATCTCCTGACCTCGTGATCTGCCTGCCTCGGCCTCCCAAAGTGCTGGATTTATTTTCTTATTTTTTATTTTTGAGACAGAGGCTTGCTCTGTCACCCAGGCTGGAATACAATGGCACAATCTTGGCTCGCCACAACCTCCAACTCCTGGGCTCAAGCGATCCTCCTGCTTCAGCTTCCTGAGTAGCTGAGAATACACCACCTGAGTAGCTGGGTGTGCGCCATGACACCCAGCCAATTTTTTTTTTTTTTTTTTTGGAGAGATCTGGTTTCGCCATGTTGCCCAGGCTGGTCTCAGACTCCTGGGCTCAAGCAATCCATGTGCCTTGGCCTCCCAAGTACGGAGATTATGGGTATGAGCCACCGTACCTGGCAACATGGGTGAATTTTTAATGGAATCTTATTCCAAAGAGGACTCCAAATTTATTTTTTGTCACAATGCAGCACAAAACCATTATAGAATGCATTATTTCCCAATGAAAAGATTCTAAATGCCATATTTCTCAATACTTATACATTATATGTACATATTTCAGCAGACAACCCCAAACTGAGTGCAAAGTTATCAACAGAAATATTCTGTTAATACAAACTTTAACAGCTCCTATTAATAGGAACATTTCTTCTATGCATATTGTGCAGGACCTTGTGACTCAAAGTGTGGCCCTTGAACCAGCACAGTATCATTTCAGAGCTTGTTAGAAATGCAAAATCTCAGGCCTCACCCTAGATCAACTAAATAAAATGAATCAGTGTCTGCATTTTAAAAAGATCTCCAGATGACTTCACAGGTACTTAACATTTTGAGAAAAACTGGTATAGCTCTTATGCAGCTAGGGTGCTTATAGATGTTTTCAGATTTCATTCTCACAACCACCCTATGAGCTAGGTATTTTCACTTTTATCATTACCATTTTAAGGAGAAGAAGAAATAAAACTCAGTAGTAACTTTCCGAAGTCACATAAATAGAAAAAGACAATTGCAAACACAGGTCCATCAGACACTCAGTCTCTAAAGGACTCTCTTCAGTGCAGACACCCAGTTTGTGACTGGCTCTCTTGTGATCTGTGACAGAAGTCATCATCACAAGGATCTGTCCAGGAAGAAAGTCAGTTTAGACTGAGCAGGTAGAGGAAATGCACACTTCCATAAATATGCATCTCTCAACATCCAAAGGTGAGGGTGTCATTCTCCTAGAAACTCCCCCCAACCTCACCAAAGGGGGATGAATTTAATCACTTAAATTATGTAGTGCTGTGAATACTTACATCAAAATAACTCATCCTTTTCTACAGAAATAAATTTCAAGTCTCTGATCCTAGCCTAAAGCCTGTATTTTCCTAGTGCAAATTGGACATCTATTTAGGCTTACAGCAGAGAGGTGTTAACTAATATGCAGTGAAATGAGAGAAAGTATAAAGCACAGAGGTTAAGAGTGTTGACTCACAAGTCCTGCAGCTTGTTTTACCAGCCTGGTTTCATAAGTTATGAGCTCTGTGACCTTGAGCAGCTAATGAGCCACGCTGTGCCTCAGTTCCTTTATATATTCTAAAGGGACGATCATAACATGCCCACCTCATGAGATGTTAAGGACTAAAGGAATTCATACATATGGTAAACACAGAACAGTGAATGCCTGACCCCTACTAAGTGCTCAATAAATATTAATTTTACAATAAGGTATAGGAAACAGAACAATAAAAGTTGGTTTATTCTTATTAGTCTTATATTAGTCATCATTAGTCTTATAAAAAGAAAAGAATCCATTTTCTTTAACATGAGGATTACAGAAATGCATTCTGTTCTGATACTCTGCCTAATACCTACAATCAGATCACAACCTGTGTGTGGTTAATATTATTTAGTTCATGTACTCTTGCCAAGGTTTTTCAACCACGTTGCTGCGAACCATTGAAGACAGAACCTTTCTTACTGATCTTTATTTCTCACTGTTCCTTGCTCATATTAACTACTTAACACATATTTATTTGTGATGGTGCAACATGAAGAATAAAAATCTGAAATATAAAACACGAATTTCAAACTTCATTTATTTAAAAGACAGCCACAAAGTTAGAAATACAATCATGTAGCTTAAATATTACTAAACCTATTTTAAATTTATTGCTAAAAATGCATCTACTCATCAAATAATTTCTGTAATATCAACCATGACAACTCAACCCAGTTGTTTTGTTTCACGGAGCTAGAATAAAATCTCACTCTTAAAACACTGTAAATAACTTACTCTTCAATAAGTAAAAGCCTGCGTATGACACTGAACATATAAGAACAATGAAGGTTATAGCATCCAGTCCTCCTAAAACTCTTCTAGATTTTCTTGCCAATGCACCAACAGAGATAAAAGGAAAGTTATTACCTGAAATAAAACCTCACTCCAATTTACTGCCACATTTCCAGGCATCTCATATCAAACGTAACTATTAATAGCAGGATTCTCACACTGCAAGTCCAGTCTAATTTATAATTTATCTCCCCGACTTTTCCTGTTTTTCTGTCTTGGGATTTTTCAGCCTGAAAGAAACACCATCCTGTTTTATAGGTTTGGTTTAGAAACAGTGACTGCAGATCCTCTGCAAATGGGACACTATCCCTTTGGCTGGGCTATGATCTGGAGATAAGGCAGGCTTATTACTATCTCTAGAATACAATGGCCTCCTCACCCACATATCCCTCCCTTCTGTCTCACATTGCTAACAGCATAGCTATGAGTTTCTATAGAACTTGTCACCAGGGAACTGTCCAACATACTTTGGCAAAGGAATTATTTTGCTGCCTAAGGAAAGAGGATAGGAGGATAGTAAAAAGAATAATCTCTTGCTTGGAAGCTGGCCATCTAATTAAACTCACAAGAGTATTGATTCTGTCCACTTAGATTAACTTTAATTTTATGTATAACCAAATTACAGATTCAACTTAACCAATGTAGATCCCTGAAATCCCTCCAAAAATATATCAAATGTCTCTAAGTGAAATTTCCCAAGTGAACATGATTGCAGTCCAACTTGATTTATTGTTTATTTTCTATTTTAACTTAAAATCTTAGCACAAAAGGATAAATTGAGGCAGTGTATTAAGTAGAATGCAGCCCACATGATTTAACAAAGGAAGAAGAAACAGTTTTATATTCATTAAGGCTATGTTATTATTCCAGTGGTTTATAAAATATTCAAGAGTAGCATTTTAAATTAAATTGTTAGTGTGTGCAATAATTTTCACCTAACACATCACACATTATAAAAGCATTTGCATATATTAAAATCCAAATATTCCAAAGTTCACACATGGTGACAAGGATATGAAATCCTGAATTCCGAGCTTGACTAACCAGTATCTGACTAGTGTGTTCCACATCTTTACTAAATGCTGAGCAAGAGAAAATGAACTAAGTATTTGGATCTGAGCCTTAATAATTCTCAGTGTCAGGTCATAAATCTCCTGACAGGAAAATATTAAATTCTGAAATCACTTCTGAAAGAATTTATAGCATTATTTTCTTCAGATTATTTGCTACATAGCACCAATTTTGTTATCTCTGAGTTACTGTGGATATAATTGAATCAGAAAAATGCAGAATGGACCAGGTCACTTATCTATACATTTCTACCAAGTTTCCACTTGATTGCTTTACTGGTCTATTTTTCATATAATTATCAATCACTAATATTGAATACTTTTTCCCTGAAATCAGCTAAAATATTCTTAGAATTCATGGGTGACCGAAAACTCAGGTGATGAAGAAATGTTTTCTTCGTAAAGCTGAACAAACTGTTCCCAGAATTGTCTTGAAAGGATAGGACAAAGGAATAGGTAACCATGCATTTAAGAAAACAGGTGCCTTATGTCTAATTTTCCAAATCTCTACGAATTATAGGAAGACAAATCTGAAAAGTTTTTAAGGGCTATGGAGAATAAAGTAGCTAGAACT
This sequence comes from Homo sapiens, assembly GCF_000001405.40. Taxonomy (NCBI): domain Eukaryota; kingdom Metazoa; phylum Chordata; class Mammalia; order Primates; family Hominidae; genus Homo; species Homo sapiens. The sequence goes on along the minus strand of NC_000007.14, from coordinate 18,312,940 downwards.
TTCAGAGAAACAAAAATATTTCTCCTTCTAGAAATATACCCTCAAAGTCCCTAATAAACCCATTAAACTGTTAGCAAATTGCATTTCTTAAATCTTTTAAAGGGGGCCACTTTAATTTTCCAAGAGAAGATTGTCTAGGGCAAGATACAAAGATTTCTTACCATGATTACTGTTCACAAGCTAAAAATAGCCATCTAAGAAAACTGAGATCAAGCAACTTCCTGACACAAACCTGACCTAATTCAACAATTTGATCTTTATCAGTCCCTGCTGAAGACCCAGAGAGTTGTGAAGCTTCTGCTAAGAATAAAAGACCATATAGAGGACTCAGAACCCTAGGTGTAATTTAAATTTAAAATAATCAGGCTTGCAAGAGATTATAAATTACCTAATGTCTTCTAACAGAGGATCTGTTAAATTAATTTTGGAAAACCCACACAATGAACTACTATGTAGCAGTGAAAAAGGAGGCACAAGGCACTTCCACATGTGGAACAAAATCTGAAACATAAAATAAGAGGAATAAATTCAAGGCACAGAAAATGTGTAGTAATATTTTAATGTTTACTACAGATACTCACACAGACACACACAGCATAGCATTCTGGAAGGCTACACAAGAAAGAGACAACAGTGATTGTTTCTAGGAAAGAGAGAGAAAAGAGAGACAACCAAGGAAAAGATGGAGAAATAGATTTTTCACTGTATGGCTCTCCTATCTTTGCATTTTGTGCCTGCTCATCTGACACATATTTTTAAATCACATTTAAAAGCACCAGGGAAAGAATATGTCTGTGTTCAAAAATATGCAGCCATGGTAGCAGTCCTGCACCTCTAACTGTATGCCCTAGAAGGAGTCAGGACAATAGGCCCTACAATCACTTTGTCCTCTCCTCATTCACCAGGAAGGTCCACATAATCTGGGTACACATCTTTTCCACCTACTGTTCTTTAGATTGTTTAAAATAAATTTCCCGTGGTAGTGCCAAGAGGGTGGTTCAGTGGCAAAAGCCATTTCCCCCCACAGTAATCTCCATCAGCCTCTTTACAAATACTTCCTAAAACAAACACACATCCTAAATAAAAGGATGCCTTCAAATGGAAAAGTAGCTCTAACGCCAGTCTACAGCCAGTCTCCATTCCTTCATCTCTAAATCCTTCTATTTAGAAAATTTGAGGCTGTCACTATATTGTCCCCATATTTGGGAGAAAAACATTCCCCATTTGGTTCATCCCTCCTTGACAGTAGTAGAATATGAAGGAGCTGACTAGGTAAGACAGAATATAGTACTATGAGCGAGGGCTTTGGAGACAGACTACCTAAGTTTGAACTGCGGATTTGCCACTCATTATGTAAATTTGGGCAACTAACCTAACCTCTCTGTGCCTATTTCCTCATCTGTAAAATATAAATAATAATATTATCTATCTGATAGCACAATTTTTTATTCTGCAGGCTGTGACTATTAATGTGAGTAATGAAATCAATTTTCTGAATCTCAACTGGACTTTTAAAACTGAAATTAAACATAATAAAATGGAAGGGAATAAAAACTCACAAGTTATTAGATATAATAAAAGTTGATTCATTATTTCTTTTCCTAATCATATACAATATATACATAAAGGAAGTATATATGTACCAAATCTCAATTTTTTCATTGGGGGTTATGTTCAAAAGGTTAAAGGCTTTTGTCATAAGTAGGCTGTGTGAATAAAAAGTATTAATAAATATAAAATACTTAGAACACTGTTTGGTACTGTGTAAGACCTCTAAATGTTAACTGCAGAATCCTTGTTATAAAAACAGTAACCTATTTTTGTCATCATCATCATCATCATCATCACCTCTCTCCAGAACTGAGAGGTAAACAAATAATATCAATATAAAATTGATGTGAGCAAAAAGTTACATTAACATAAAGATCTTATTACAATTTAATTAATGATATTAAAAATCTATATAAATAACCATCAATAATATATAACTTTTTTTAGAAATAGAAATTTGAAAGAGATAATAGAGTAGATTTGTATAACATGGTTCAGAAAGACACTGAATTTAGCGGCCCTCAGCAATTTAGTAAGAGAGTGTGTGTGTGTGTGTGTGTGTGTGTGTGTGTGTGTGTGTAATGGATTTGTACAAGTTGATAAAAATCTGTAGAAAATGTCAACTTCTCTTTCCCCTGATTCTATAGCTGTAAGTTAACAATGCTGTATGATGTCTATGTCACACCTGCAGGTATATATCAAAGGTGGAGGCCTGAATTGGTATCATGGACAATTCAATCACTGGACAAGGGATTGTTGGGATATTCCCAACTCTAAATGTTAACTTGTGCACAGTGCGAGTATCAGGAGAAGTTAAACGTGAGTGTATGCATAATTTTTTGTTATGCCTCTGATTGTAATTAGAAAAATACAACTGGCATTTCTGATTTGTACATGTGTTCCTTAGGAGACTGGTTAACATGAGGCTGTCACTGACACACAGGCTAACTCTTACTTTACTGACCAAATTCAGTTTCAGGACACACATATTGCTAAAATGATGTGAACACAGCCAGAGATGCTGTTATTCTCTAAAGATTTTCTGGGCCATGGTATATCGTCCTCCAAAGAAATATCTATCCCAGTGTTTTTCAAAACCGTGTAGTCACAGAGCCCAACATAAAACTCTGTGATACGTAAAACAGAAAATCAAAGTTCCCATAGTTGAAATGGACATGGGGAAGCCTGGGAACCATTCCTGATCATTCCCCCCAACCCCACCCCCCCACCACAGTCCTCCCTCTTTCCAATCTGGCAGGCCTTGGGATAGCTTGAAAGTCTCTACACTATCTGGGCACTTATCAAGCTAAAGTGTGCATCTGAATGATCAGGAACACGAGTTAAAAATCTAGATGGCTGGGCTGCACCAGTGTCTGAACCAGAAAGCCTAGAATTTGCATTTCTAATGGTCCAGGAATCACACTTTGAGGACCACTGCCCTACCACATTGCTTCAACACATTTGTTTAATATCACAAACAAGGACCACCTGGATTTCATCCTTTGCAACTAATGTGAAATATTTAAATATTTTTTATTATAATAGCATATTTTTTAAAACTCTAGATATTGAAGTAGGTAAATTTGAGCTTTTTTTTTCATCCAAGTCAGTTTTAAAATCTAGTGATTTAGTTTTATTAATTGAGAACAATCTCATCACGGCATGAGAAGGCTCTGATAACATGCTACCACAACAAATGTTCCCGAAAGTTCTTTAGGTTCGGTTTGCTTATAGAACAATAAATGTTCCCTGTTTGGAAACAGTCCCCAAATGTTCCCTCTTGTTTAAACTGTGTGAATTCTTAACATACTCAGCACACATACTGTAATCTATGACTGAATAGAGGCCTTTCTCTCCTCAGGGAGAATGGAAGGATGTTATTTTGGGGAACAGTGAGGCTACCTTTACCATTTTTTTTCTAACTCACAAAATACTGCAATAAAGTATTGCTCAACTCAGACTGAAACAATTTTCCCATCTGTCAAAATATTTTAAATAGTATCAAGCTGGTATTACTTTGTCAAAACATTTCATCAGAGACAGTATCTAAATTTAAACAAGCAGTTCCTCGAACTATGTAAGTAAGGTGAATAAGCTGCCACTGGCACGGTATATTTTTTGGAAAATCCACAAGGTCTCATTAGAAAGTCCTTAAAGGAAATGGGTGTTTAAACCAAGGACGAGTGTACCTTGGGCTGAACATTTCATTGTCCTTGAAATGATTTATTTCAACTCCTCCCAAACGCCATAGAACAAGCTCAGCTTTACAATACTTCTGGTCAAAGTCTCAGTAAACTCACAATTATGCATTGAAATGTGGGTAATATGGATTGACTTAGAGATCTCCACAAACACAAGCAGATAATTTGCATATATTCTCCAAAGGAATTGGAGTTGACACGAATTCTCCTCTCACCAGCCATGTGACTTTGTTCAGGTTCCCTGGTGTTTCTGGACCTGTTTCTACATCTATGCACACAGGTAAAGCCTGCATCATAAAGTGGATCTGAAGAAGGGATCATTCAACAAACCCTATCTTCCTGTCTTAGTATTTACCCATAAAAACTCATACGAATCCCCAGAATTTGAGTTTAAATTAGAGAACAGCAAGAATAAGAGAAAATATAATGGCTAACATCTTTTCATATCCTACAGATATATATACACACGTACACACATATATATATATGTAACTTATATCCTTGCTTAATATAGTTTCCACTTCTTTTTGTTATAAATCTGACACAAGAAAAAGATTAATAGAACATTCTTTCCAGGTCAGACACACCTAATATATTTTTCTCCATGAAGTAGCACATCTTCAATCACCTACTGAGTACACCAAAACTTTTATATATCTTTAAGAAATGTAAAATCCAATACCACGTACTAAATGCAGATTAAATATCATTTTGAAAGGGAGTATGGTATATTTACAGCAAATGATGATTAGGCTATGAAGTGCCCAAAGCTTAAATAATTACAGATCAGAGTTCGAGTGTACCTTTTCCTCAAAAGAAAAGTTCTTTTCTTGTATATGGTTAAGCAAATTTATATAACTATGAAAGAAACAAGGCTACAACAGTGATTTATTTTCTTCTGATGTTTAAAAGTATTCTACGTAGGCTTGGTTTTGCAAATTTCACATTTTAATTAACCTAGTTCATATAGATTGCTAAAACCAACTTCGTAAATTGGATGAAGTCTTTAACAATCAACATCAGTCAGTGACACTATTAAAATGTTTAAGCTACTTGGCAATATAAATTAAGGCAAAGTTCTTAAAATTACATTTGAGTTTGAAAACATGTATTTTTATATTTGTAACACTTTCATATACATGTATATTTGTAGGTATCAGAAATGGTTTTTCTTCTAGAACTTTTTGAAAAGCTTCCAAGTATTTTCATTTCCTGGAAAGTATATCTAGTCAGATGGAGAACCATTGGTGCATATATTCCACACCCTGACCTTTGGTGTTAGTGACATCGGCTGTTTTGTTAATGTGTGATAATTGTTTTTAAAATATTACTATGACTTTAATAATAATTACGATTTTTTTCAATTTTACAATTTAAAAAAAATTTGGGACAGAGTCTCACTCTGTCACCCAGGCTGGAGTGCAGCGGCACAATTTTGGCTCACTGCAACCTCTGCCTCCTGGGCTCAAGGGATTCTCCTGTCTCAGCCTCCCGAGTAGCTGGGGCTACATGTATGTACCACCATACCTGGCTAATTTTTGTATTTTTAATAGAGGCAGGGTTTCACCATGTTGGTCAGCCTGGCCCACAACTCCTGACCTCAGGTGATCTGCCCGCCTCACACTCCCAAAGTGCTGGGAATGCAAGCGTGAGCCATGGCACCAGGCAATAATTTTGATTTTATAATGTTAGAAACTAGTTTTAGAATCTAAGAAAGAGCAAGCACTTTATTTGTGAAAATGACATGGTAACAAGAACTTTGGGGGAAATGAATTTTTTTATAATGGTCTTGAACAATTACCATTATTTTCACAAAATTCAATGTGTTCAAGATGATTCTCATATTCAGAACCTTTCTAATACACGTCAGAACTTTCATTTATGTGCCCTCCCTTTGTACTCATGGATTAACAGGTATAAATGTTCATGGTTGTTGAGGTGTCAATTACTTGCCCACGGACTCAAAGCTCATAAATGAGGAAGCCAGGATTTGAACTTGAGAGGTATGGCTTTAAAAAAGATACTCTTGCCTCCTCCTATACAAACACACACACACACACACACACACACACACACACACACACACACACAAGAACTGCCCTCCTGTAGCTGAAGGGCCAAGATATAAACACACAATAAATTTAATAACATAAGAAAAAATTAACTTCACATTAATAGATAGAATACATGTCACAATGTTAACTGTGGAATGAGGTCCACGAGAGAAGTGAGATCTCAGCCTGCTGGCTCAGATGACCAGGGGAGATGGCTGCATGAGGGAGTTTGGAAACAGACATGGAGAATGGAAAGAATTTAAGTAAGTGGGGGGTGTTTCGCAAATCCAAAATAGCACAAGCAAAAAGGAGTGTGAGTAAATAAGTCTGGTTGGAGTGAAGAATTTATATTCAGCAATATTGATGAAGCTTGAAAAACAGTTGAAATAACTGTAGAAATCTTAAAGTCTGAGGAGTTAAGACTTAATCCTGCCAGCATGAATATCCATCCAAAGATCGTAAGCAAGAAAATGCCTGGATCAAAAGGCGTTGAAGAAAAGTAATTACCAGCAGCACGAATAGCACCACTTGGAGAGAGACCAAAAGTATGTGTAGAAGGCTTCAGAATCTATTGGTCAATTCCAAACTACCCCTATATTACTCAGTCTTAATTAAACTTAGATTACTATCATCTTTTCTTTCCTACAAAGGCTGCTACTTCAAAACCATGTAAACATATTTCTGGAGCATGGGTAAAACTCAGATTTACTTCTGAAAACACATCATAGCAGATGCTATCAACAGTCCACCCATATCTCCTTGCTTTTGCGACTGCAGTACACACTGGCCAGACATTGACTTCTAACTGTAACGATTGGATGTATTTTTCAGTGGCCAGAAGTGCTGAGGAATTAACATCCCCACCCATAGTCTGAGTCCTACCCACAGCAGCCCCCAACTAATAACGATGTTCAGGAGTTGGTATTGAAATACCCCAGCTCCTCACCCTGTGTGCCTGTTGTACAGAGATTTCCAGAGTTCCCCAGCAGAATTAAGCTTTAGTTACCTAGCACACCAACTTACTTGATAACATATTGTTTTTTGGCTGCCTTCCATTCCCTGCCTCATTTCCCCTATTGGAGTTTCCTGGGATCTCCTCCCAAATAAACAACTTACACTTCATTCCATGTCTCAGGACTGGGGAGTGAATTGCTGAGGGCGGGAATAAATTCAAACTAAAATACATCTTGGTGTTCTAGCTCACTCATCTTGGCTCAGGTTACCTTCCTCGTTCCAGTTAGTCCCTCAAAACCTGGGAAGTACTTCCCTTCACCAACCCATTCCAAGTTCACCTTATCAGCCCAGGCCACTGTACCAAGTTCCTTTCCTAAACCCTTAAGCAATTACTGCCTGCACTCTTTACTCACTCTATATTACATGGTGTGCTATGCATATGTCTTGTCTTCTCATCTATTAGACCCCTGCCCAGAGATCAGAAACTTTGTTTCTTTGTGTGCTCTACAAGGGTACAACAGAACTATGTGTCATTCAAACAGTTCTAGATTACTACTTCTCTGGTTGACTTACAGACCAGAAAACCTGATGATAAAAGGGGAGTCATGCTTTATTTAGCTTTGAGTTATGTTTCTTTGGACACATATGGGTTGGTACAGTGGAAGAAGGTGAAAGGACCAGCAAATGTGAATGTGGATTTCTAGCTTCAGTGGAAGCAAACTATTCCAGAACATGTTTTCATTTTCCTTTTTCAGAATTAGTCGAGAAAGTGGGGAAACTAACAATATTTCTTTTTCTTTTACTCAAACCTAATATTATTCATGTATTTTCATATTTGATGACTGTTTATTGAGAACCTGCTATGTGTCAGGCACCGGCCTAGGATATCTACATGCACTGGTTGGTGGAGGGTATACGATTTTTGCTATTGTGGCACTTATCATCAAGAGTGAAGATGGAAAAAGATACACAGTGTGCCAGTAAAAACAAACACAAACATTACAATTATAAAAAGTGGGCTATGGAGGAAATATACAGAATTCTGGAAAAGAGAATAACCAGGAGGGAAAGGTGCTACCCAGATTGGTGGGTCAGAGAAGGTCTTCCTGCCCTGAAGGAAGAGTGTGTGAGCAAAAAACTGATTTCTTATCCTATAAAGAAACACAATTTAGAATTTCCAGTTCTTAAACTTTTTACCCTATTCCAATAAAATCAGGGACCATGGCATCTGGATGTGTTAGGAAGGATTCACTAGTTGGGGACAGCAGAGGTGGGGGTGGGGGCATATGTGAACGTCCAGGGCAGCATGGATCATTTTCATACATTTTCCACTGAGGGTTCTATCCTTCTGATCTGCTGGAGAATTTCTCTTAGAGAAATCACAAGACATATTCTTAAGTCTTGGAATACGTAAAAATGGCTTACGCACTCTGCCCCCATTAAAAAGTGATGTATGGACCTTAAATATTAATTTAATATCAACAGTGTAGAATATGGCATATTTTGTGATTGCATGGTAGGTGATCTAGTTTCTGAGATTCACTGATCTCTATTACTTTTTTGTCAAAGAGAACCTACTTTTTTTCAACTTTCATGCAGTACATGTACTCTGATGACTTTTCTATACATCTGTGTCCCCTGCTAAATAGCCTGAGGGTCCCCAAAACACAACCCACATTACTTTACCTATAACAGGGGCTCCATGATGCTTGCTAAGAATTAATAATACTATTAGCACTTATGGAATGCTTAATATTTTCCAAAGACTTTGCTAAGAGCTACTGGTATTGCTTGAGAGTATGAGCTCTGAAGTCTGGTAGTCTGAGCTTTTTAAAAACCTGGCTCTATCAGTACCAGCTCTAAACCTTTGGGAAAGTAATTTACACTCATCATTCCTCAAAGCTCCCATCCATAAAATCCAGATAATTTCTAGTTCATAACTTAGTCATGAACATTAAATGACAGTGTATAGAAGGCACTTAGTACAGTCCCTGGTATATTTAAATGCTGAACTTTTAAACTCTTATATAGTATAATCTCACAATAGTACCATGTAACACAGGAGGAACCTGGGGCTTGGAGATTCAAAACACTTTGCTAATGCTGGGCAGAGCCCAGGTCAACGAAATTCTATGGGACTCTCTATCAAGCAGGGTTTATACTAAGCTGCTGTAACAAAGAAACCAATTAATACAGTGTTGTAAACAACAGAGAAGTTTCTTTCTTGTGTAACACTTCAGGTTGGCAGGACCTCAGCAACCAAGGTTCTTTCCACCTTGCTGCCCTGACATTTCTAGAACACTGCTACAGCAGAAGGTTGACACTGGACCAAAACCATGTGAGGTTCCAGCCAGCAGAACGGGGAAGGAACATGGAGCCTAACTAACATCTTAAAGCACAGATCCAGAAGTGACACAAATTGCCAAATCACTCACATTCTATTCATAAGAACTCAGCCACATGGCCACACCTATCTCAAATGGGAACTGGAAGTCATAGTGCCTAGCTGGCCAGCCACGTGCTTAGGCACTGTTTCCATGGAAAAAGAAGGAATGAAATTTGGTAGTCAGCTAATAATCTTACCATGGACTCCAGCACCTATGCTTTTCAACGTAAATGTAAGAGTCTCATTCCGGCCGGGCGCGGTGGTTCAAGCCTTTAATCCCAGCACTTTGGGAGCCCGAGGTGGGCAGATCACAAGGTCAGGATATCGAGACCATCCTGGCTAACACGGTGAAACCCCATCTCTACTAAAAACACACACACACACACACACACACACACACACACACACACACACACACAAATTGGCTGGGCGTGGCGGTGGGTGCCTGTAGTCCCAGCCACTCGGAAGGCTGAGGCAGGAACCCGGGAGGCGGAGCTTGCAGTGAGCCGAGATCGCGCCACTAAACTCCTGCCTGGGCGACAGAGCAAGACTCCGTCTCAAAAAAAAAAGAGTCTTATTCCATAACTACCCATTTGCCATCTCTGAAAACTTAATAGCTTTATGCTAGTGACTTGACCATAATACAGGTGGGGTGAATTTACTATACACTTAATCTTTATATTAACTGGTGTTCTACCCTTTCTATGAAAAACTATCAATATTTTAATGGCTTCTTTATGCTACTGCATCCAGTAAAATCATGTTTTTAGGAAAAGTCATAAAAAAAAACAATTGACAAACAACACTTTATATTATATATTATATATGTACAAAATAAGACCTGAAGGAAAAAGTTACTTAACTGAGATGATTAACTATTGTTAACTAGTAATTCAACCAGTTAAAGAACTCTGGAAAAAGAAGATCACAGAAATAATATTTGTTTAATATCTGTCAGTATCCTAAGTGCCTAAAGTCACTCAAATGACTACTGAGCACTCCCTAGGCCCCAAACACTGTACTATAGACTAGACACTGTCTATGCCTTCTAGAAGGTTTGTTTCTAGCTTTACAGAATGACTTCATCATACAATTCCTACTGCCTTACAGACTAGACATTTAGATGAAGAAACTGAAACAAATGAAGGCAAAGTCAATTTGTTCACGTCTTCTAGAAAGTAGGTTCAAACTTTACATAAATTTTTTCCTTTTAGTTTACTACCACCTCACAAAGAAGGCATTATGGATGAAGAAACTGAGACTTGGAAAGGTAAAGTTAGTTTGCAAATATCACTGAGGTAGCTAATAATATGCTTATGTAAAAATCCAGATCTTCCTGGCTCCAAGACTAACGCCCTTCTTTGACACCTCAACCCTCATATCCAGCCACACCATACACAATAACAATGTCTTCACCAAAGGATAACATTGCATACTTCGTATCATCATCTGGATTCCTTCCCATTTTCTGACTGAGATGATGCATATAAACTACATATGCCAAGTAAGTCCCCTTCAGAACCACAATTAGAGAACTAAGCATATGGGCATATGTCACAAGTGTCAATTAAGTGTGTAAGATTACTAGCACTGACCCAAGAGTGCAAACAAACAAGTAGACTGGAATTATTATTAATCACATGTACATTTTCTACTTAATTGCTGTATGACTTGCACCCTTAAACTCTTCAATTTTCACTTAAGGAAATCACCAACTGATGGTAAGGCTGCTGTTCTTAACACCTGAGTATTTTAAATTTTTAAGAACCACACATATGACTTCAAAAGCAGTAGAGTCATTGAACATTTAAATCATTTAAATAAATTACTTGGTCAAATGCATATGCACAAAAATAAATAGATCTGAAGATTTATACAAGATCCATTTTCTTGAATTCTATGGTGATTTAGAGGGAATATAGAAAACACAGGTGTATTAAGACTTCATTATCTGAGAACATCTAATTAACAAGACAGACCTTTATCCACTGCATCATTCATTCATTCTCATTATTAAACATGAGTGTCTGGTGGGAGAAATGGGAAGCGAAGAAGCTGGCACTTCTCATTTGAGGGCAGATTTATTTTGATCTCTTGGTCTCTGTAGCAAGAGCTACAAAAAATATAACTGATTTTTTCTATACACATGCTTATTGTACATTTTTATATATGTAAATTCATACATTCAAATGCAGTAGGAGTCAAAGTTTTCATCTCCATTTCTGCATTTAAATACTTAGATAGTAATAAGAAAGAAAGTATTATGCTATCTACTATCCCAGTGGGACAGTAAATGAAACCTAAATAAGTCTCTGGAATAAAACAGAGGATTAAATCACTTTATGCAATAAAAAAAAATCTATAATGTATCTAGATTGCTTTTTCCTCTAATTATTTTCAGGTTAAGGTTAAAAAACACGACAACAATGTCCTGCTCTATCATAAAATGCAACTTCAACTACCATATTTAAATTAATTTGCTCCATCTGAGAATACAGACATTCTATCTTTAAATCACTTAGTCAATAGCTTCTGATATTATGACCTTAAAGTATTATTCTGATGCTTATATTGAGAAGCGAGAAGTTTCAATTGAGCAATTTAACTTGAGGGAATATTATTTTTTAAATAATTTCACACAAAATGAGTATAATAAGGTCATCAAAATACATTTGCAATAAACCTTTTATTTATAAAATTGCATTGCGGGAAAAAAAAACAGTGTTTTCATCCAGAGAAAAAAATGTTTGCATTTCTTAACTTCAGTTTTGAAGAAACAAATTAATTTCTTTAACTCAACTTAATAATTCTTTATTTGACAGGAGTTTTCTCAGCATGATTCATGAGGAATAGTGTGAGCTCTCCCTTATTATACTGTATTAACTAGAATCCATGACTTTAGGGGTTTCAACTGCCATTTCATAACCTTTAATACAATAATTATATTTTTCCTAGAAGTATTTTTTGTCAATTACATATACAAAATCATCTTTGTCTTCTAGAATATATGCAAAATTTATTTTCTAGCAAGCACAGACAAAATACGGCTTTGCTAGTTTTAATATAACCGGTCTGTTTATGTGGAATGGTGTGTGGTATATAGTTCAAGAACTTTAATGTTACATTTATTAAGATCTTTACTTATATTTAACTGGGAAGATAATTGCAAACTGAAAAACTAAGTCAATCTGTTCTTGTAGTATGTCTTAATTTTATTGTGATAAAAATAATGTCTACATATAATTAACATATTGTTAAACTGCTTTTTTTTTTTACTTATATGCAGAGACTAGGCATTATTCAAAATTTTTTAGTGGCTTATACAACCTGCTTTTAAAATGTCCTTCACTTCATTGTTTCTTCATGAAGGTATTGATAAGTCAAAGAAAACCTGACATGTATAGAAGAAAGCCTTCCACCAGGAGTGGAACCAATTAAAAACGGATCTTAACCCCTGTCATTCCTTGGAAAAGTCAGTATATCTAGAGCAGGAGCGTCCAATCTTTTGGCTTCTCTGGGCCACGGACTGGAAGAACTGTCTTGGGCCACACATAAAATGCACTAACACTAATGATAGCCGATGAGCTAAAAAAAAAAAAAAAATTTGCAAAAAAATCTCATAATGTTTTAGGAAAGTTTACAAATTTGTGTTGGGCTGCATTCAAAGCCACCCTGGGCTGCACATGGCCCGCAGGCCACAGGTTGGACAAGCTTGATCTAGAGAGAGGCTGCTGTAAGGGGAGGAAGACCTGAATTTTAGGGTGGTGGTATCTGAGTTCCTGGGAAAGTCACTTAATGTCTCTTAGGACCTCAACTGCTTCATTAACAAAAGGAGATAATAAAGAATATCTTGCTTGTCATGACAGTCTCTTGAGAAGCCTTCAAAATTTAACATCTTTGACTAAAATACGTAGCTCCCTGGAATCAAGAAGAGGAACAGTGCTTGCTTGCTAAGATGAAGGTGGATTGGTAGCCTTTTCTCCGCACTGCTTCAGATCTACATTGCAGAGCCCCTGAATGACTAATTCTGGAGATTTTCCTTTACCCCTCCGCCAATCATACTTTTCAACCAAGTTAGAATTTGTTCCTGCCTTCTTGAGCCAGCACCAACCTGTTTTACAAATGGCATCAAGCCATGCATTTCATTCAATGATAACCTTTCTTTCTCTAACCTCTCAAGGTGAACTAAACCTTTTTTTCCTGACTGTAAAAAATCAAATTATGTCACCTCATTTCAAGGAAAAGATCAGTAATGGCAGCCAGACCCAAAACACCATTTGTATGCAAAGAGAGTTAAACTGCTGGAAAAGTACCCTCGCCAGTAAAGTGTGGTATCATTAAACACAGACTAAATTTGAAGCAGAAGTGCTAGGAAAAAAAATATATCTTGAAATGTGATAGGGTCCATTACGCTTCTTGATGAGATTACTTGTCTCTCCAATACATTACCCAAAGGCGCTTACAAAACAAGGAATATATTACGTTGGAATTATCAGAACTTTTCTAAGTAGGTCAAATTTTGAAGCAAAAAATACTTCAAATTTTATGCAGTGTTGCAAAAAAAAAAAAAAAAATCTTAAGAGTTGTACAGCCAAGGTGCTAATCACTTTTTAAAATAAATTTTTAAAAAAATCTTACTCTTGCATAAACATTAAATGTACCACTTTACAATGCAGAGTCCTACACCTGAGGTTATTTACTGTCATCTTAATTCATTTTTCAACAATAAACTGAATTTTTATTATATAAATATCTTTATTCATTTGGAAACTCAAGAATAGTTGGGCTCCAAAATAAGTTTAAAATCTAACTCATCATTTTGAATCTAACAGATACAATCCTAACTATAAATACAGAACACTTTCCCTCCTACTTACTGGGTTTTCGTTCACGGTGTTGTTACAAAATCACAAAATGCTGATATGAAACTTTTAATAAAATTTCAGTTTTCCTATAGGTAAATTCATAATAACAGCTTTACTATTTGTTTTTATAACTTTTTATATGGGATATTTAAACCAACTCACAGCTATAGCTATATGACTAAGAGTGTCCTATGTAGCAACACTGTCACATAAAAATTGACTTAAGAACAGTCAATTCAAATACAAGCTAAACAAAGAAAGTTCATTGACTGGAAAGTAAAAACTTTTGAAAATTATCTCAAGTAAGAATTGATGAGTTCATGTCCTTTGTAGGGACATGGATGAAATTGGAAATCATCATTCTCAGTAAACTATCATAAGAACAAAAAACCAAACACCGCATATTCTCACTCATAGGTGGGAATTGAACAATGAGATCACATGGACACAGGAAGGGGAATATCACACTCTGGGGACTGTGGTGGGGTGGGGAGCGGGGAGGGATAGCATTGGAAGATATACCTAATGCTAGATGACGAGTTACTGGGTGTAGCGCACCAGCATGGCACATGTACACATATGTAACTAACCTGCACAATGTGCACATGTACCCTAAAACTTAAAGTATAATAAAAAAAAAAAAAAAAAACATAAAAATGTAGGTCTTACATTTCTAATGTTATGTTTATAAAGGTTAGATAAATATGGATCAGAAAAGTACTTGTGAAAATAAATAATAACAATATCACCCTGTTTAGCTTACCTCTGCCATGCTACCATTGAGCACCACTTTAGGTTCAGGCAGTGAAACCCCCAGTGAAGAAGCCATCTGGGAGTGAATATATTAGGCCAATCATAGTGTATTGTGAATTACTGGAAATAATACAGACTTGACACATTAGCATTAGTAAGTAGCAGGACTCTGAGAAAAACGAATTTAGAGCTGTAACATTTAAATGGCCTGTGAGAGAAGAAAGGGCAGAGTGAAATCCCCCAGGCACAGGCCTTAGGCAGGATGGAACGTCATTAAGGCTAAAAAGCATAGAACATTTTTGCAATGATTTGACACATTATCCAGACCAACTTCTTATTGTGAAGATGAAGAAATGTAGGACCAAAGAAACTAACAAAAAGGAGAATGGCAGCCCTAGAAACAAACTTTGTTGATGTCACATTTTTACCTAGCACTGACATTTACTGTGCCACTGGTGGTTCTTCTGATGACTAAACTCCTTTGGATCAGGACTAAAAACTGTGCCAAGTCTTACAAGAATTCCAAGCCAAACCATAACATCCTATTTACTGTCACAAGAATCTAACCTAGTTTAGAATGTTATTGTAGCATTCAAACATTTAACATGTTGTTAAAATTCCACTATGTATTTATGTATCCCCAAACAAGGTATGAAATTTGAGTTTTTAAATGTCTATGCCTGTAGGATGGATTGGCAAGGAGAGCAGTCAGAAAAATAAAACAAACTCAACAGCTATCTGAGAAATGCAGACACATGGACCAAAGAATTGGTGCAAAATTCTTTGGTCCACTCCGTTTAATGGCAAAAACCACAATTACTTTTGTGCCAGCCTAATAATCCCCTACCATAACATATATTGTAAAGACAGCCCGAGGAAGCCTATACGTGGACATAAAACAGTTTTTAATTAAAAGTTTTTTAAATAAAAAAGTTTTTAAATAAAAATAAGCAAAAGCCACAGCAAAAGCTTATAATGTGTTTTAAATACCACCATTAGCTATGGGCATTCCCTAAGCTTTTTGTCCCCAGGTTTCTTCCTTTCATGTGGCTTCAACTCGTACCTACACGGAAGTTTCTCAAATCTTCACCTCCAGCTCTACTGCTCAACAATGACGTCTCTAAGTCTCTATCTTGAATTGCCCAGACAGAGCAAGCTCTCAGATGTCCTGCTTCCATGGCAAGTACAAGTCTAGACAATAAACATGGCACTTCAATCTTCCTGAAAGAAGGCACCGCATACAAAGTCTGTCTCAGCCTGTGTGCTTCTTGTCCCCTGCCTCCTTCTGTGATTCTGTTCATAAAACCTCCATTCTAACACTGTGTTTAAACCACTGTCATCTTGACCTTAGGCTCCCCCTTTCTCCACAGAGGCAGACAGTCACAGAAATGTCTACTTCTTTCTAATGGTGCCACTGCCCCCGCGCTTGGTGCCAAGCCTCAAAGCCATGTGTCTGCATTTCTCAAATAGCCATTGAGTTTGTTTTATTTTTTCCATGGCTCTCCTTTCCAATCCATCCTACAGGCATAGACATTTTAAAAACTAATTTCATACTTCGTTTGGGGATACATACATATGTAGTAGAATTTTAACACAAGGAAACAAGAAACAAAATATTTAGAATTGTGTTTCTCCTTGGCCAAGAGGGGAATTCACAAAGGAGGTTTTATTGATAATGGTTAAATTCCATATCCTGCGTTAGTTATAGGTATCTAAGAGTTTATTATAGTTACACACACACACACACACACAAATATGAGCTATATGAATTATGTTATAATCAAGAGAAAATAAAATTTATTATTTTTAAAGACGTAGATCTTTACAGGTTTAAAGAAAATTAATCTATTAAATGTTTAAAGTATGTTTTAATACTGAAACTTCTCTAAAATGCACTTCAGCATAGGAACTAACTTTGCATAAGGAAGCCAGTTCTGCTGTAAGAAGTCTAACATGCACTGGGTGGAGCACTGTCCTCTATTTTTAACCACATAAATAAATTCTATTGAAAATTCTGCAGAGGTAATTCACGTGAGTACACAATACTTTTATTTATTCACGTTGTTTTTTACAAAGAAGT
Source organism: Homo sapiens (assembly GCF_000001405.40). Taxonomy (NCBI): domain Eukaryota; kingdom Metazoa; phylum Chordata; class Mammalia; order Primates; family Hominidae; genus Homo; species Homo sapiens. The sequence continues at coordinate 18,296,096 of NC_000007.14, read as the reverse complement.
TTCAAGATAAAAACCAAATTCAAAGATCACTTACTACACAAACCTACTGGTAGACCATGAAAAAAAGGCAGTAAAGGATCTCCCACTCTCCTGCAGAAAAATTCTAGTGAAGATCTACTATTGCCAAGGCACTGAGCAGGTCTGCATTAGTCTATGTCAAGGTTTCTCAGCCATTGACATTTGGGGCCAAATAATTCTTTGTTGTGGGGGGTTGTCTGGTGCATTATAGGATATTCAGCAGCATCCCTGGCCTCTTCCCCCTAGATGCTGCCCCCTACATTACCTGCTGCCAGCTGTAATAATCAAAAATATCTCTAGACATTGCCAAATGTGCTCTGGGGTACCAAACTGCCCCCGGTTGAGAACTACTGGTCTACGCAAATGGTTCCCTCAGCAATGGTACCTGGTAATCTTGATATTGGGAATACACAAGAAGAAAGTGCTGATTTCAAGTACTTTTGCACTTCCAAGGAAGTAAGTTTAGACCAGCATAGTTTATTACTGCTTCCTTGTATACCATACAGTTATGTAAAGATAGAAGTAAGATAATTTCTAAATATACTGCCACTTGGGAAAATAATATGTCTCTTTTATTGTCTTCATATATTTATTCAATTAGTCAACAGTAAAACTGATTAGTCAGTATGTTAAAATGCAATGCAATTTTAAAGAAATTATATTTTCTGCCTGTTTACTTTATGTCAATGAGCTCCATGATACCAATTCCATGGTATTTTTTGATTATTTATTAGCTCCTTAGCATTTGACATGGATAATCACTCCTTTCTCCTGAATATGCTATTTTCTTTTGTTTTCCTTAAAAACTACAACTTTCTTGTTTTCCCTTTTCTCTGACCATGACTTATCCACCTCCTTTACTGGCTGCTTCTCCTCTGTCTTCTAAATTTTGGAATTTCCAGTGGTTAAGTACTGGGCCCTCAGCTTTTCTCACTTCATCCCATCTCTCTGAGTGATCACATCTATTTCCATGGCTTCAGTTAACATCTACATGACATCTTATGCCTACTTGACATCTTCCCTTGAATGTTTCAAAAGCATGTAAATTGAGAAGTCCAAGCCTGCTTTTTCCAATTTGCCCATCTTCACACAAGACGTCTCACTAGACCCAGTTGCTAAACACCATAGGATCATAATTGATGCTCCCCAATGACATCCAATTGTTTACCAAGTCCTATTAATTATACAGTATTTCTCACTCTGTCCACTGCCCCTACACCCCTGACACTGTTTAATCCAAGTGGCCATCATTTTTGGACTAAGCTATTGAAATAGTTTTCTAACCTATTTCCATGTGTCTACTCTTGCTCTTCACGAATCTATTCTCCACTCTGCAACTAGTTTAAAAATATTATTCAGGTCATGCAACTCCCCGTGTAAACCTTTCAATCACTTCTGATTGCACTTGCACAACATGCAGCTGCATAACATGACCTACTAGGCCCAGCACGATCTGGATTCTGCCAGTACCTCTAAGCAACTTCCCCACTTTTTACATGTTTCAGCCATGCTGACCTTTACTCTCTTTCTCAAAGAGGCAAAACTATTTTCCATTTTGTCATATCCAGTTCCCTGTGACTAGAAGCATCTATGCCATTCAGGTTGTTTAAAGTTAACTTCATTTGAGAAACTATCCTTGATCCCCCAAAGACTATAGGATACGCTATATAAATACTTAACATGTATCACATGTTAAATTAATACAACACCCCTAGCAGCTCAGTATCATTTTACAGGTGAAGAAACCACGGAATAAGAACATTAGTTAAATACCCAAAACCAGAGGGTAATGGGCTTTGAACCATGATTCTCTAATCCCAGGGTCTGGGATTATCCATACACACACACCCTCTCTCCCAATGTAGACAGTACAATGTAGTTAGAATATATTTTGTGAACTATAGCATCACTTATTTCATACAACTCTTTTTCACCCCAAACCTGTGAATTTTCTGAGGGCACAAACTGTGATTATTGATTTCTGGATCTCCAGCAGGAGATGCTAAGCAATTGTGAATAAATGGACAAAAGAACAAATGAAGACAGAATTCATCTCAAGGGAAAACAATGCTTTATCTATTCAAGACTTTTAATACATTTTATTATTAAAATTTAAATTGATTATTAAGTTAATAATTAAATCAAGCATTTAAATCAAGCACTAATGTTTATTGATTTTTAAAACTTATTAAATGTTTACATTTAATAATAGCAGTGACATAATGCATTGACAAATGTTAAAGATCAGGATAGAAAACAATCTGTAAACATGAAGGCACTAGTACGCAGTAATCCCGTGGGTGACCAACCCCACCAGAAATTACATTACTGCACAAAGAAGTGGACACTGACAAGCTAAATGGCACTCTGAATCTGTCTCTAATGACAGACAAATACAGAAATTTCCGACCCTAAACCATGCTTTACAGGTTGTGAATATGTTCTTATGAGATGAAGACATTAGAGACAAAAAGAAAAAGAAAAAAACCAAGATGATGGAACAATTCTGGAAGATGGTTTGCAGTGGCCAGTACTAAAGAGCTGCTCTGCTTTCTCAAAGGTTTAAGAATCTAAGAATGCCCGGTGTGTGATGTTCCCCTTCCTGTGTCCATGTGTTCTCATTGTTCAATTCCCACCTATCAGTGAGAATATGCGGTGTTTGGTTTTTTGTCCTTGCGATAGTTTGCTGAGAATGATGGGTTCCATATATAACAAACCTGCACGTTGTGCACATGTACCCTTAAACTTAAAGTATAATAAAAAAAAAAAAGAATCTAAGAATGTGACATAACAGTGACCCTTCCCACTTCACTCCCCCCAACACTGGCAGCTGCAATTCCCTTTATCCTTTTCTTTTTCTGCAAAAAGATCATATGATTTCAAATCTCTTCCAATATTTTTATAGGTAAAGCTTGGCTGATTCTGTCAAGATGACAAAAGTACTGTAGCCAACGAAGGAAAAATGAACGATTGCAAATTGTATCAGATTGCCTGATAAAAGGCAAGTCAATCATTTATGTCTGATGTTTGCATTTTTAGCTCTAAATTTTAGACCATGTCCCCTTGAGTGAAGAAAAAAAAAAATTTAAAACACCATTACTCTATTGGAGGGGAAAAAAAACTCCAAAGTTGTGAAATTAACCTCTCTCTTCATTCACACATTCAGTTCTATTTTTGCAGTTGTACCCGTAATGTAAAAGATAAAGCACTTCAAGTCAATTCCAGGTTTCTAAAATGTCTGACTGTGCATGTCCCAGTTCTCTTCAGCACCTCCCAGAAGATTCAGCCAATTTTTATTTCTGCAGCGCATCAATGTTTATCATTTGTTTTACAACAGCACTCCATGTTCTCAAAAACTGACTTAGATATATTTCACCCTCCTCTACAAAAACTCAAGAGAGACAAATGGCCTTAAAAACAAAATCCACCACTGAAGCATGGTTAATTTACTAAAAGAGCATTTCTTTTTTTTTACCTGTCAGTTCAATATTTACTTTTTACAGCGGTAACTCCACACCATCCCCACCCGCCTCTGTATTTGTCAAAATTTATGACAAATTTCCAGCTTGTAATTAGGCATTCTGAAAATACACTGTGGGAAAACTATTACTAGAGAAAAGGTTTTCCATTCAGCTTGCTTTATAGGAATACTGACGACTTTCATCTTCAGGAAGCCTAAGAGCAAAACCACGGATGCATTTCGAGTGCACATGTTTGAACAAACCTATTTCTTGTGGACAAACGCTCTAAGAAGTCAGACAGACTTGGAACAAAATCCTGGCTGTCCCTTATGAGCTGGGTAAGTAGCTTAGCTTCTCTGCACCTTAGTTTCCTTTTCTATAAAATGAAGATATTAATATTAAGTATTATATAGGGATATAGGGAGGATTAAATAAGAAAACCACATAGCACAGTGCCAGGTGCATTGTAAATGCTCAATAAATGACAGCCATTACTATAGTATAGAAAAAAAATAGCTTAGGGAAGGTCCTCACCATCCATTTGTTGCCATCCTCAGAATTTCACCATTCTCATTAGCAATGAAAAAAGTATCTGAGCAACTTGCAGCCCTGGAAGACCTCTACATCAGAGATGGATGCATAAGAGCTCAGATATGAGGCAGCCTCTAAGGCCCAACAGTGTTGCCTAAACCCAACTGCAGCGCCCCTCCAAACAGACATTAGAGGAGTCCATGAAGCCCATGACAGGGTCTTTTCCATTAGATCTACTCCTTGCTCTGTGAGCTTAGACCAATCTCTACTCCCTCATCCTCAAAGTGAGAGGGTGGGCAAGACAACCTCAGATAACTTTTGTTTGTAGAGAGAATTAATTCAGAGCTGGTGGGGGAAAGCAAGAGCAAGGAGTTTTCCCAGGGTGCAAAAGCAAGCAAGATATCTCAATGGAGACTTTTCCTAGCCTGGCATTATAAAATAATCAGGAGAAAAGCAATGGTCAGAAGACAGCCCAATATGCTCAGATACAACCTTTGGCTTTCTGCTTGGACAAATCACAACCCTACCATCACTCTAATAATTTTGACCAACAGTTGTAGGGCTAACAAACAGTGAGCACTCTATGTTCCCAGCAATTTTCTGAGTCTTGGCATGCACTGGTTCATCATCCCTCATGCTCAGGAGATCAGTGCTATTGTATTCATTTTTAGGTGAGGAAACTGAGACACAGAAAGGTTAAGAAATTTTCTTAAGGATACTGGATTGTGACAGAACCAAATTTGACCCCAAACAGTTTGGCTCCAGAGACTACAGTCTTAATATCTACTATCCTCTACTCCTGCTCCCACTGGTAAAACAACCAGTGGAAACTCACTTGTGCTTTCTATGACTCATAATTCAATTTTATGTAATAATATTTCTCTAAACTTTATATTGCTGAGCTGGTATGAGCCTTTAGGAAACTTTAGGCCTCTTTTATTTAATGTTCACAATAGGCATATTTCAAAATGCTGCAATTCAACTAGATTGAAGGAGGGAGTGTACCACAGAGGTGTGGATTACACAACCTGGGCTCTGAAGTCATAGCTGTTGAAGCTATGTGATAGATGCATGGGAAATCTCTATACTATTCACTCTATTTTTGCTTGTGTTTGAAATTTTTGATAATCAAGGAGTTAAAAGCAACAAACATTTTCAACCACAAAGAAGACAACAGAAGACTAAGCTGTTTCAGGATCTAGGCGGACATTCAGCTTCAGTAGATAATGCCCCTGCTGACAATTCCGGGCTAAATTTCAAAAAATCAGAGTACAGGAACTTATTCATCAATATTTTTCCTAATTCAAGAACCCTCTCCCCAAAATACTTTAGTCTTGTCTATCTGAAATAATAAAGGCATTCTCAGAGTTGAATTTTTTGCTCAATGTAATTTTTGTTGTTGTTGTTGCTACTGTTACTGATTGGAAAACCTTTTGCTTCCCTCCGCATGACAAGTTTATCTTTCCACAGCCTACAAGTTATTAAAGACGATTTGCAGAGTCAGACTTAAAAACATCTACCCCACTATCTTTTTCACAGTTCTCTTAAAAGATTAAAATAAAGAAACTTACCCGTTTTGTTGTGCATTCCCTCTTTGCCAAAGTGTGCTGTGGTTTCGCAAACTAGCTCAGTCCTTCTGAACTTTTCTGTATCCGTTATAATATTAAAGAGCCACAAGGAAGGGAAGTGGTTAGTCAACTTGCTAATTTTATCAGTCCCTCCCACTGGTTAAATAGTACCTGATGCTACAGATGCAATATCAGTTTTCCCAACTCATTGCCCTGCTACTGAACGACTTTATAAAGACTGCATAACTTGGGGGCAAAGACAGTTACTATAGCTGGTATGCAGGCATGAGAGAGTTAATGAATGAACATTTTATTACTATTAATAAGAAGCCTAATAGACTACAGAAACCAGCAATTCAACAGAATGAGGAGGAGGAGGAGGAGAAGGAAAGAGAATGTTTGTCAGCTCCATACTCTAAGTATACTCAATTTGGGTAGGAAGGGGAGTGATTTTTTAATGCAATCAGAGGACGTGTGGGAAGTGGCTGGTGTTTCATTTGTTGATAAATGATTCTGCCCTGGAATGGATCCAATTTACCGGATATAGAAACTTCCACAACTGGGGGCCCTGGCTCTGACGACTTTCTTTCTCTGAAGCTTACTAATTAAAACACAGGGCAAAGTACCAAATGTGTCCCTCTGAATGAGGGAAAATTAGACATCCTCTGAAGAAGCAGCTATGAATTGTTTCTTAGATGGAAAGGCCTGCGGTGAATGAGAGGAAAAAGAAGAGGCTGAGACCGATTTTAATGAAATAAAATGATTTTGCTGTTTCAATCCCACTCCAAAAGATTTCAACATATAAAACACTGTCACTCCAGAACCCTAGATGATGCAATTTTCTGAGCTACTTAAATGGGTGCATTTGAATTAAATCTGGAGTACTCACTTTGAAGTGCCTTTCCCACCATATCTAAGGATTGTGGCATTAGAAAAAAAAAGTCTGAAAACCAAATCATCCTGAAGCCTCACTAGCTCTTGCTTTTGATTGGCTAGGAAAATGTTTCTTCAAAGAAATTCTAATTTTTAAAATATATTTACATGTGGTAATAGTTTCACAAAAAGAGTTAAATTTGGTAAGCTGAGGCAGGTTGAGGAAACTAGCAATTCTGTCATTGATACCCTTCTTAGTATACCCCCAATGCAGTGATACTTAGCTTATAAAATAAAGAAAGGAAAAACTTTGAAGACTTATTGAATTTATTTTCCACCTCCTAAGTCTCTTTTATAATTAGATCTAAGAAAATGAAAATCTAAGTACTACACTGAAGGGAAATACAAGCAATGCCTTGCTCTGAGATCTCTCCAATAGTTTCTCTTGAAGAACAAAAACTGCACAATTCTAAGCCCCCAAGGTCATATTTTTATATTTGGTCTGAGTTTAAGGTGAGAACAAACACCTGAAATCAATACTTCATAGTCATGACTCTGGCTTTAGTCCCTCTCACTTACATCTGTGGCTTTTGCATCTTCAGGAAAGAAAGAAGAAAAGACACAGTTCTAGAAGAAAAAGAAGAGGGGGAAGTGAAAAAGAAAGGGAGAGAACTTTGCTTCATTGTCCCCTTCTCCAAAACTCTTAACAGCTTCCCCAAGCATCTAGGTTTGGTGGCACCTCCTCGGCTTCATCCACAGGCCTTCCTCATCCATTCAAACACACCTACTTGCCCCTCTCTGAAATCCTGGAGCATATTTCATCATCCTCTCAGTCTAGGCATAACTTATTTCTATGTAATGTCTTTCTAGAAGCCTGTAAGCCTCTTTAGGACCAATGTATATTCTCGATGGTCACCTAGAGCATTAAGCTGCTCAAGCACAAAGCTTCACTTTTAAAAACAAGTATTTTGTAATGCCGCTTTTACTAACCTAACACAAAGCTCATAGTTTATACAAACAACCTCTATACATAATATTCTTTTTAATCATAAAGTGCTCCAGGCATGAACATAACTTACATATTGAGGAAGTCATCTGATGCCTGCCCTACTACCAACAAGTAAATATGAATTAAAGAGAAGTAATAAGCAGCCAGTACTTTTTCAAGAAGAGTAAGAAAGTGAAAGACTGGAGGGTTGAGTGGTTACATGGACATTAGGCTAAAATTTAGTATTAGAATAAGAAACAATAAAGCAGGCTTACAGGCAAGTGATAAAAGGAAAATAAGAGTAACTGAAGTCTAGATAACATGCCAAGGCAAATTATAGATGGTAAAAGTAAAGAACACACAAAGAAGAATTAATATTCTCTCATAAGATCTGATATTTATTTCTTATTCATAAAAAATGTTAAAGGAGTGTTAATTTTGCTTTTTGTTGTATTGAACAAGGGTGCTACAAATGAGCACTGATGGAGCTGCACTGTGTTGGTTATTCAAATACCATGAGCCACCTTGTTGTCAGCAACATGGTTTTCCAAATGGTGAACAATGCACAGTAAACCTTCCAAAGCAAAGAACAATTTTACCTGAAATTATACAGTAGCTGTAGTCTTAGGAAATTCAACGTATACTAAAATTGAATTAAAGCAATTTTTATATGTGCAACCAGTTTTGTTTCCAGGCTCAAATAATTATAAACAGGTGTTTCACCTATATGACTACCCAAAGGGATTGTTGAAAATGCAGGACACAACTTCCGGGTCCAGTCCTCTCACATAACAGGACTGCAGTCCACTAAATGCCAGTAGTGCTCTCCAAGCATTGCGGCATCCAGAAAACACTTTCCAGTCTTCCCTTAGGGGCCAGTACAGCCTCATTGAAAAGCACTACCCTAGACAAACTACTACCCTTCAAACAGCTGGCTTTGGGAGTCAGGTAGGCACATCAAGATGTGAAGGAGACCAGGGCAGGAATGCGCTGAATGCAGAGTGCATGCTCTGGCTGGCTAAGGCCAACTGTGGCCATCTGCTCTCAACTGTGGCCAACCAGGATTCTGAGCCCCAGCAGCACAGAATCCCCATCTATCAAGAGAAGGTGGACATCTGGATTTTTATGTGAAACCTCCTTTTTAAAAAAGAGTTGGCAAACACTCTTTGAACTATGCAAAGTTTGTCTTCAGGCTAACATGATTACTGGTTGCTCAATCAAAAACATATAACAACATTTACAAAATATGTAATGTCAGAGTATGGTATTCAGTGTAACAAGTACTTTGATCCCCTATTGTATATAGGAATTATATAGAATAAACTGGAGTATCTGCCAACATGTTAATGAGAATTCTCTAAGAATATATTATTTTTTCATTTTTCTTTTTTCTTTGCAGTATTTTCTAATTTTTCTAAAATAAACAAATAAGGCTTTGCAGTAAAAAAAAATAAGCAATAGAAAATATATTTCCATTTTAAAAATTGGAAGATGGTAGTTATAAAAAGCTCTTTAAATACACTCAGAAAAAACTACCATTAAAATGGGCAAAACAAATTAAATTCCTTTCAAATACCCAGTTCTGCTTCATCTGAAGCACTAGTTAAAGATCAGATGTAAAAATTAAACTGTCTGCAAATCAGAACAGGGATATGCCTGGTAATGGAATCATTACCTTGTGTTCTAGATATGTAAGTCATTACATTATCTCTTTTATTAGATAGTCAGAGCCCACACAGGAAGGAGGCAAGTCTGACTGCGTGTCATAGAAAGCACCCAAATGAATTGTGCATCAATTTAAAAAGACCTAGTGTTCTAAAAGTGGTAAAAAATAAACTTTCCTATGAGCAATAATAATAAAGTTAACCTTTAAAATGAAGGTGCTTTAGTAATTTAATTACCTTTTTCCTATTTACAAAATTAATATTAGAAGATGAGTCATGATGGAATTCAATAAAATTATTTTATTAACTTCCTCTAAGGCTTAAAAAATACTTTATTAAACCTCTCTTTTTATAATTCAGTCTTATCCTTCACTCTGCTAAAGACTTGGACCACATTTTATTCCTATAAAAACTGATTTTCCCCCAAATTAGAAATATGTAACTAGAAATGATTCAAAGCTGATCCTCCTAGGTACCAAAACACAATATCCTGAAAAATAAGCTTACACCTTGAAATATCATACATAATAAGACCACTTAAAACACACATTTATATAAACTATAATTATTATTTTACATATTATATAATATTATATAAATACATATTACTATATATGTAATTATTATTGAATTTTCACAATTTAGAAAAATGTACCACTAGACTGGATAGAGAGGGACTAATTGAACCATGGTAACTGGTATGAAAATAATGATGATACAATTTTTAGAGATATTACCTTTTCTTTTTTTCTTAGGAAGCATGGTCATGCACGGTGCTTATTTTGAAAGGAAATTCAACCTTTTCCCTCTTAAGTTATATGCTGACTAGAGCTTGAGTTCTTAAATATGTGTTCAAGTTTATTCATTTCAATTCTGCAGAATCAGAAGATTATACAGTTTGTGAACTAAATCTTTCCTTTCAATTGTATCTTTCAATTTTGACTACAAAAGCAAATGTTTACAGGTTTGAAAATTGCTAGTTCAACATTGTTGGGGAACTCAGGGTGAACAACAAAATTACCAGTTGCCCAGCATAAAAAGAAAATCTCATTAGCATAGTATCATGCAGTATGTTTTTCTGAGATGCATCCCAAATTTAGTCTCTTTAAAATGCCTTTGACACTTGACTAAATTTAGTGCTAAGGTGATTATTTTTAGCCAAGATTTTGCTTATTGACATATATTCAAATAAATGAGAAAAACTACCACTGGAACACAAAGTGTCTAAATATGTACTTGCTGAAAAGAAGGAGCATTCCAGTGTGCCTGTCTTCTCTAGTAAACATAAGACATAACACTCAACTTCACTGGTAAGCAAGTAAATGTAAATTATGAAACATTAACATTTTCATATATCATTGATGCTAATAGATAATGACAAGCACATGATGTGAAAAACACTGCTGGTAGGAGTGTAAATTGGTACACCTTTCCCAGGGAAAAAAATGTCACACTATATCAAGAATCTTTTAAAACGTTCACACTCCTTAAGAGTGATTCTATTTCTAGGAATCATTTCAAAAGAAAAAAAATCAAGGATGTGGATAGTGATTTATGTAAATGAATGTCCATCACACTGCTACTTTAAAGTGTCACTGAATAACTGCAAATGGTGTATATTCCCAATATAAGGAAAATAGTAAAAGAAATTATGGTATAATTATGTCATTATTATAAAAATTTCTACAAATCATGATACTGAAAATACTGAATAACACTAAAAAATGAACAATACTGAGTAAGAAAGGGGATAGAAAAATATACATTATGACTTGGTATTAATGACCCAAGTCTTAGAACCCAAACATACACTTGCCATTCACACCCTCACAATTTCCCCCAAATTTTATCCCACAGTCAATGGAAAGAACACCAAAAGAAAAGCCCAGAGTGTGAAGACTGTGTCCTTTACTTGTCCTTTAGCTTCTGGAATTTTAGTTCATTTTACTTTGGTTTAGTGGATTTTAATTTTTCTCCTTGATAAAGTGAAGCTTGTCTGGCAATTCAGAAGCTTTAGGTGAAATCCACCCAACTTTAATGTGGAAACAACTGTCATTGGGTCCTTATTTTAGTTATTCCACAAGAAATCACATTACTTTTTAAATCAGAGTGCTGAAAATCATGTCTGACTTATAGCAAAATGAATTTTTAAAATTTTACCTGGGACAACAGTAAGAGTGAGTGTTGGATTTAAATCAAATGAAGAAGAAAGAAATCTACCTGTATCTAGTCCCTATAAAACCAAGCACTGGACAAACTGGAGCTCTTTTAGTTCTCACAACAACCCTAAAGGTTAAGTTTTCTCATTCCTAATTTACACATGGGGAGACTAATTTACCCAAAGATTAGATAAATCGGCCAAGTTCTCACATTTGGTAAATCAAGAACCAGAATTCATTATAGTCGATCCTGACCACAAAACCAAAGACTAACACGATATACAAAGATTTTATAATGGAATACAGGCAGTTAACCCGTGGTAGTCTTCAAACACACTTTTCTTGTCTGAAGTTACTTTGGTGGAAGATGAAATAGGAGATAATGGAAAATTGGGTAAAAGCACACAACTGAATACATTAACTGAGCCTATATTTTCTCAACCAAAAGTCAGGACACAGGATCTGAACCTGTGAAACAGAAGTAGTCCCAGAGTTTCATGTTTCATGTAACCATCATTTGCCTAATGTTTGATGAAAAAATATATACATATGTGTGTGCATATGTGTGTTGTAAATACCAAATTAAATTTATAATTCTATTGACTTTAAAGGTAAAGTCACACAAACAATATATGATCATAAAATCAAGTAATACACAAAATATATATAGACAAAGCAAAAATTGCCTCATTATCCTACACTACACAAAAAAGCCAATGGGAACAATTTGGTGGCCTCCTGGACTTCTTTATGTTAACATTCACAAAATTATGGTAGCACTTAAGGAAATGAATGTTGTGTAAATTGTACAAGTGACATGAGGCAGGGTTTAACCTTAAACACATTGGTTTAACTTCCAGAGGATCTCCTTTCTAACTTTTTCTTTTGCTGGGGCCAGAGGGGAGAATACTCCACAAACAAAGAAATGGAGAACTTTGTTGTTCTGATTTGTTTATTTTTAATACTTTCCAAAAATCCAAAGTATTAGGTGGTTGATTCTGCCATTTATTCCTGTTTCCTTTTGAGCAAATCATTTAATTCTGCAGCTGAATGTTTCCCATCTATAAATAAGGGTGATTACCTAAAAGAGTTCTGAAAAAGTCAATGACTCAGTAACTATATGGAATTATATTTCAGTATCTTTCTTTTAAAATCTGTTTTAGAGTAATGCAACATGCTTAACAAAAATGAAATGCAAACCTTTAGAATTTCAAATGAAGAATTAAGATACCATTGGGCCACGGGTACTCACAACCTATTATGCAAAAAAGAATGATAATCAGTTCACCAAATAATAGCCATACCACTGTTAAACTTTCTGCTTTACATAAACTTGGTATTCCACTACATTTAAAATAAATCTCTAATTCACCTTTGCTTTACTCAGTCTCTTTGATATGGTTTGGCTCTGTGTCCCCACCTAAATCTCATCTCAAATTGTAATCCTCACATATTGGTGGAGGGGCCTGGTGAGAGGTGATTGGATTATGGGGGTGGACTTCCCCCAAGCTGTTCTCTTGATTGTGAGTGAGTTCTCAGAAGATCTGGTTGTTTGAAAGTGTGTGGCACTTCCCCCTTTGCTCCCTCCTGCCACCATGTGAAGAAGCTGCCTGTTTCCTCTTTGCCTTCCACCATGATTGTAAGTTTCCTGAGGCCTCCCAGTCACGCTTCCTGTTGAGCCTTCAGAATGTGAGTCAATGAAACCTCTTTTCTTCCTAAATTGCCCAGTCTCAAGTAGTTCTTTCTAGCAGTGTGAAAACAGACTAATACACTCTTCTTATATTATTACTATGCCCCACTATGAAATATCTCCCCTTGCTGGGTTAGAGTGTTGAGTATCTACAAAATTGAGATAGAAATTTCAAGGCACTGAGAACCAGAAAAAGGTCAAAGAGTTTCACATACCCTATTTATTACCTTTCAAATGCAGGGCCTAAAACATATTCAGAATTTCTAACATGTCTTTCAGTCCTAATTTTAAGGGTGGGAATCTTTAATCAATCAAATAGTCCTGGGCTCTAGCTAGTTCTGTTCACAAGGTGACTGGCTGTATAGAGTGAAGACTACAACATCAACCATGTGGCCAAGAGAAGGGAGTACCCAGACTCATTTATTATTTTTCCCCCGGTGGATTGGTATGGATGCACTGTGAAGTTCAATTGCAACATCCTTTTGCCTCATGGAATACATGGGGATAAATTCTTCACCAAATTACACATAATCCAAGTGAGCAGAATTCTTAAGGAAATGCTCAGCAAGTGATAATCACTTTCCCTCAGTGCAAATATGTCATTTCCCTTTCAAAAAAGGGTCCCGGGACCTTGCATTGTCTTGTTTAAGAATAATAATCACAACGTATCACTCTCATCTATTTCCCCTAAGAAGTAAAATGTTTTTATTTCTCAAGGACAGGGAGTCTTGGGCACCATTTTGAGATTTTCTTGAGAAATATTCACAATATACTTCCATTTACTAACTATATAATCTTAAGAATGTTATTAAACTTTCTGGACTTTATTTCTCATTTACAAAACGGGATTTATAATACCTATTCCATAGAATTGCTGTGAATATTAAATAAGGTTTATTATATATAGGGCCTTGCACAGTGACTAACACATTGTAGACAGTCAAAACCTGGTAAATACAATTACTGTAACTACTAGCAATAAACAGTATTTAGTTTTTTCCTCCTCATACTAAGAAGGATATTATGATGATTCTGTGAGTGTGTGTGTTTCTTTCAATATTTCTTACAGTAGCTGCAGGCTTATTCAGGCCCTTTTTCTAAACGCTTTACTATATAGTTTTAAAAATCCTTTTAAGATCCATAATCCTATTGAGTCAAGAATAAAACGTGTACTTAGTTTCAGGCAAACAATTGTTCAACAGAAGCCCCTTCAATTTTTAATTATGTTCTCTTCCCTTTCCAAGTTCACTGTATTCTCTGATTTTTAATCTTAAAAGTCAGTCAGGGTACATTATTTATGTTATATTCAATACGGAGAAAAAGAAGAAAAGGGATTTTATTCAGGACACTAACTCTAACCTTGAAATGTTATTTTCTGAACATTTGTTCTGCTCACTGAGCAAATTTTAGTCTTCAAGTCAGATGTCTAAATACAGCACTTGAGCTCTGCTTAAAGGCTAAAAATACAGACTTCTGCACAAGGTGATGGTTACAAAGGAAGGTGTTTAGAATACGGTTCAATAGAAGCTAAGGTAATTGAGCATTAGCTATATAGTTCAGCCAGAAGAATTCCTCTTCTACGCTGAAGCTTTGGAGTCAAATCGTAGGCTATTATCCTTTGAAATACATTTTACATGGAAAGAGAATCAATTAAAGAAGTGGTTTCCTGAAACCTTCACCAGGTCCTCAGTTTTGATCATTTGAAGACTAGAAGTTACGGAATCCTTTGTCAACCTCTCTCTCTCTCTTAAATTAAGTACTTAAGCAGAGTAAATCTGAACAGGAAGACTGGCTGCAAAACCCATGCAGTATTTTCCTCCTCTTGAGAAAATATATGAATATAAGTCAGTGAATAGTTTTGATGCTCACTAATACCACGATAAAACAAGGTCATCATATAGAAAGTTTATCATCCTCCAGGAAACACACTGCTTATCACTGCCTGATTCTGCTTCAGACTCACAAACTAAGCTTTGTTCCACCTTGTATCATCTTAGACTAAGTCTTCTCAGACTCACAAACTAAGCTCTGTTCCACCTTGTGTCATCTTACACTAAGTCTTCCTCAGGCACATCTGCCCAAAAGTAAAGTGTCAAGGAGAGGGGAAGAGCAAAATAAAACAGAGGCCTGGAATGGATACTATCTCTGTTTTCAAATCACATGTGAGGTTCATTTAATTCTTTTTCCTTCTGAGAAACTGGAAAAGATAACATTAAGCGAACAAAGAAGAAAAGGGCAGATACAAATGTTGATGTGCTCATGATAAATAATGCCTAAATAAATGATTAAATGGAAGAAGAAGTCATAACAATATTAGACCATCTCAATAAGTTATTTTATTATCCAAATCCCCTCTTTTTTATTTATTTATTTATTTTTTTTGAGACAGGGTCTCATTCTGTCACCCAGGCTGGAATACAGTGGAACAATCATGGCTCACTGTCACCTTGACCTCCTGGGCTCAGGCTATCCTCCTGTCTCAGCCTCCTGAGTAGCTGGGACTATAAGTGCAGGCCAACACGCCAGCTATTTTTTTTGTTTTTTGTTTTTTTTTTTTGAGACAGAGTCTCGCTCTGTCACCCAGGCTGGAGTGCAATGGAGCGATCTTGGCTCAATGCAACCTCCGCCTCCCAGGTTCCAGTGATTCTCCTGCCTCAGCCTCCTGAGTAGCTGGGATTACAGGCACACACCATCATGCCCAGCTAATTTTTGTATTTTTAGTAGAGATGGGGTTTCACCATGTTGGTCAGGCTGTTCTCGAACCCCTGACCTCATGATGCGCCCACCTGGGCCTCCCAAAGTGCTGGGATCACAGGCATGAGCTACTGCACCCAGCTGCTAATTTTTAACTTTTTTGTAGAGATGGAGTCACACTATGTTATCCAAGCTGGTCTCAAACTCCTAAGCTCAAGCAATCCTTCCGCCTTGGCCTCCCAAACTGCTCGGATTACATGGGTGAGCCACTGTGCCTGGCCCAAATTCCCTCTTTAAATATTGATTATACATAAGTCTCACGAACCTATCCTGTCTTTTTCAATATTCATTTTATTTCCAGTGCCTAGAAACATAACTGACGTAGGTCCTTAAATATTTGCTAAATGGATAAGTATATTTTCATTTTCTTTTTATTTGCTTTTTAACTTTTCAATCTTTTTAAGGGTAATTCAGTTATTTTTTTACATCTCTAAGAATTCCCCTTTCAACACTCAGAATTCCCCTTTCGACACTAGCCAGAAGAGATAAATGAAAAATTACATCATAATTCCTTAATAAAGCTTTCATGCAAGAAATAATATTTGGTCAATTTACATAAAAAATGAATCAGGCCTCTTTGAAACTAGTTTCTAGGCAATATTTGTCCTTATTAAATGAGTAAATGTGGCTGGGCATGGTGGCTCTCACCCTGTAATCCCAGTACTTTGGGGGGTCGAGGGGGGTGGATCACGAGGTCAGGAGTTTAAGACCAGCCTGGCCAACATGGTGAAATCCCATCTCTACTAAAAATACAAAAATTAGCCAGCTGTGGTGGCGGGCGCCTGTAGTCCCAGCTACTCAGGAGGCTGAGGCAGGAGAATCGCTTGAACCCGGGAGGCAGAGGTTGCAGTGAGCTGAGATCACGCCACTGCGCACTCCAGCCTGGGCAACAAGAGTGAGACTTTGCCTCAAAAAAAAAGTAAATACAAACACACATTCATACTAGATATATATCTGACCAATTTTTTGCATCATCTTCATCATGATGTCACTGGGTAGAAAAGATCAAAATATGAAAATTTCCCTAACCATTTCATTTATTCTTATCTCATAACAATCAAACTTGCCTACAAATTTACTCTTTAGTAAGAACAAGGATAAAATTGGTGGTGGAAAAGCCAGGCAGGCTGTGAGATGAACTAACATTGGGACAACAAAAATCTGAAAGTCGGAAAGCACACTGCCATCTCCTTGTGTTGTGTCAAGTACGTTTAATAAAAAGCAGTTTGCTACAGTCAAACATTTCTTCGTAAGCGAGCTTTTATTATGACTGGATTTTGTTATTTGGTAGAGATTTAGTTGTACTTTATTGAATGATGAATTGAATTCTGTCCACGCCTGAGATTGGTCCGATATCTTTCTAATTTATTTCCAAAATGACATATAAAATTTACTTTAAAATTCCCCAAACGTCCGTATCTGTGTTTCTGAATTTCCAGATCCTGACTTTCAGAACAGAGTACCTACTTCCACAGCAGAGAAAACTCTTGTTATAGAATGTTCAATAGAATATTCAATAGAAAAGAAATTATTTTTCTTCCTTGAATTACTAAACACCTCTTCATACTTTTCAAAGTGATCTTTTAAAATCAAATGTGGGGTGCATAAGAGATTATGTCTCCCTTCATATGCATAAATTCACAATGTCCTGGGGCATTGACTTCAGCACAGAAAATTCCTGATATTTTAGTCAATTTAAAACAAAAAAAAAGTTTAAGAAATAACTGCATCATATAGAATTTTAAGTACTTCTCTTTCATCATATTACATAAAAGGCATGTCTAAATTTAGACATATGTAAACATGCCAATCCCTGAAAAACCCTAGACCACAGAAGTTCTAGGGAAAAGTCTGTATTATATTAAATATGAGACTCCATTTCCTTGTTTTGAATTATTGGTGCTGCTGTGGCAACAGCACAATACAGAACTTTGTTGCTCTCTCAGCAAAGCTATTTATACTATTTAAACTCTTCCCAGGGAGTTCTTCCTCTACCATGTTCTTCCATTATTTTAATAAAGCACTCCATTCAAAGCGTATGTTTTTGTTTTTAAATCATTGCTAAATGTGAAATAACAAATCTCACCTTGGAACTGTTTAGGCAGACTCTAGACACGAAGCTAATCTCTTGACGTGTTCTAAAGTCACTGAGTACCCATTTCACAGATCACAGTGTTCTGATATAAAAGGCCAATTTCCTGCAACTGAAAGGAGTGATATGTGGCTTCTAAATGCTCGGAAAATTTACCAAAATATCCAGAAGTGGAACATAGCTGGTGAAGTAATGATTAAAATACTTCCGAAAGGAAGAGATTCCTGTGGAAGTTCAAGATGGTGCTTCCTCTTGTTTGTACGATGTTGCTAGTGAAGTGAAGGTTCTGATGTCACTAGCTGAAGAAGCAAGTGCAATGACATAGACATGGTAAAGGACTAACGGTAATTAGTTGCATAAAGCTAAACGATAACAAGTTTTTTTAAAACTTGATCTCTGGGATAGTTAAATTAACCAAGCAAAGAGAAGAATCAATCAATTTTATTTAAACTATTAACATGTTAATTACCTATAACTACAAAGCATTTCCTATTAATTAGTAAATTGACTAACCATTTAGCTGAATCAGAGGTAAGACTTTTTAATAAAATCTTTGACCATGGGACCTGAAAATATTCCCATATTTGGAAATTAATCAAGACAGTCGAAAGAAGTTGTCAGGAAATGAGAAAATGAGGTAGGAAAATGACTTCCAGTAAGTCTTCTTTCAAATGACGGGAGATATTTGCAGTTGTGGGTGTAAAATAAGATACTTGAGTCAGGCAGACAATATCAAAATGGAAGAAAAGAACTATAAGTTCTACGTATAAATAAAAATTTACTTCTCCAGCTTCATCTGTCATCCTCCTCCTCCCACCTTGCACACCTACTACTCCAGGTACAAGTAATTTTCATCTTTCTTTCAACAGGCCAAAACCTTCCACTCTTCCAATTTGCACCTGCTGCTCTGCTTGTCTGCCCCATCTCGTCTCCTTTTTGCTGGTAAAGGCACATGCACTTTTTAAGACATGGATCAGTTGCCTTCTCTGCCAGCTTGACCACTTGGCCAGTGTCCTCCATCCAAGCAGAGCCTGCCACTGTTTCTTCAGTGCCGCAGGCGATCGCTCCTACTTCTTCTGGAGTGCACAAACTTTATCATTGTTTCCTATCTCCTTCTCACACTAAACTTGGGTCTCCTCTAGGGCAGAGTCCACACAACGCTCATTCATCTAGCTTTGTGCCTGTTTTTTTGTTTTTTGTTTTGTTTTGTTTTTTTAACAATGTAACTATCTATGATTACTGAATGACTGGTAAAAATAACATCAAAATAAATTTCAAATCAAATTAATAAACTATATGTTTCAAGATTAGAGGCAATTTGCTCATATAAAAGGATGCAAGAAAAATTTAGGTATAGAAAAAATGATAAGGATAAAAAGAGAAAAATTTAGGAGAAAAAGACAAAGAAGCCATTTTTGTCACTGTCAACTATGAATACAAGAAAACTTATTTAGTAAATATTGTCCTATTAAAATGTTTTTGAAGTAAATATTAGACAGGCTAAAATGAATAAGCTTTATTTCTAGTTTTATATTTGGCTCACGAAGAAAGGCAAATTGGGTAAGCTGTCACTTCAGCTATTCATTATTTCATTATAAAATGTAACACCACTCACTGTCTATGGAAGTAAAAAAAAGTCACATATTCTATCTTATTAAAGCCTATGCCCTCTAGAGGTGCTCTGTCAAGCTGAGAAATGGCATGTCAGGAGACATAATATGCTGCAGAGACAGATGTCCCTATTCAAAATGCATGTATGATGATCAATCACAGCTCAGAACACTCCTGAAAACTCGAGTGCCACACTTAAAAAACAATTACAGAAAGATGTGTTAAAATAATATCAAGAAGCTGACACAAACTGAATGCATTAGGCAAGACATTCTGAAGTATTTGTAGAAAATAGGAGGTTTTGTGTTTTTCTAAGGTTCCATATAAGAGTTTAAAGGGTATTATAAAGGAAATACTGTATCAATACCACACTTGCTCTTGGGAAAGCTCTTTCTTGCCTTTTCCTTCATTACTCTGAGCTACCTATTCAATGTGCACACCTGGCCTACCATTAATTCCATTCCTAGTTTCATACAGGTTAAAAATGGAGTCAAGCTATAGTATAAGAATAGATATAAAATCTGATAAAAATGTATACTATGATTGCAATTATTTTTAGTATCTACCACTGAACCATGGCATCTTTCTCAACCAGGTGCTTTCTTTAAATTGTTACATTATAGATACACAGAATAACATAACAAACAAGTGCATATTCATTCAATCATTTATTAAACATATGTTTACCGAGAGTCTACTATACCTGTACTCTTCAAGGTGCTGGGGATATGCCTGTGGATAAGACAGACAAAAATCCTGGCTTTTGCAAACTTTATGTTTTATCATGGGAAGCAGACAATAAAGAGTGTACACTAAACAGAGGTAAATGACAGGTATGTTAGAAAATAGGAAGTGCTATAAACAAAAACGAAGCATGGAATGAGAGTGTTACAATCTTAAATAGAGTGGCTAGTGAAGGGCTCAGTGGTATGGTGACTTCTGAGAAAACACCCGAGGAAGGGAAAGGCCACGTAAACAAACCCATAAAGGTACTTGACCATGCAGATTGAGAGAAAAGCTCAAGGATAAAATATGTCTGGTGGGAGCACTTGAGGCAGGTCCAGTGAACATCAAGGAGGCTCTTGCAACCACAGCAATTCAACGAAGGGGAGAGTTAAAAGAATGAAGTGAGACAGATGGCAAGGACCATACCACACAGCGCCTTTGAGGCCTTTTAAGACTTTGGCTTTTTCTGGAAGAGAAATAGGGAGCCACTGCTGGGCTTTGAGAAAAAGAGTAATACAACATGATTCATACTTAACAGGACCATTCTGGCAGCTGTGTTAAGAATAAACGGTGGGGCTGGGAAGAGTTTCTGGGGTGAAAGCTGAGAGGCCAATTAGGAAGCTATTTTGAAAATCTAAGCAAAAGATTGTGGTGATATAGATCTGTGAGGGTAGCTGTAAAGTGAGAAGGAATAACAGGCCTCTCCTTATGTATTGAAGGTACAGACAAGAGGAGTTTCTGACTGAATTTAGGGCATGAGGAAAAGACAACATTCAATGATTTTTCAAAAATTTCTGGCCTGAGCAATTAGAAGTAAGTGTCATTAATTGATATGGGAAACACTGTGTGTAGAGCAATTTTGCTGAAATGCTAGCAATTCAGTCTGGCCATTCTAGAAGGCTACCAGATCATCTGGATATACATGCCTGAAGTTCAGGAAAGCTGCCTGGGCTAGACATACAAATTTGGGGCTACTGTCACGTAAATGGCATTCACAGCCCCCATCCCTAAGAAATATATTACAAATAGACTTGAAGCTTCATTGCATCCCTCCCCACAAATAATCTGTTCTGAAATTCTGAATTTATCATTCTGAAGCATGTCTTTGTGTTTTATTTCATATGTACATAACCTTAAAGAATATATAGCAGTGTTATGCATAGTTTCAGCTTTATATAAATGATAAAGTATAATAATTTTCTGCAACTTATTTTTCCTAAACATATTTTTGAGATTTGTCCATGACAATATGTCAATCCCTAGTTCATTCTTTCTCAGACCGACATAATATTCCATTGCATAAAAATATCTCAAATTATTTATCCATTTTCCTACTGATGGCTGCTATAGTTGGGATGTGGTTTGTCCCCACCCAAACTCATATTGAAATTTGGTCTCTGATGTGGCAGTGTTGGGAGGTAGGGCCTATTGGAAGGTGTTTAGGCCATAGGGGTGGATCCTTCATGAATAGATTAATGCCTTCTCTTGGGGGTGAGTGAGTTCTTGGCCTTTCAAGAATGGATTCATTCCCCTGAGAGCAGGTTGTTAAAAAGAGCTTGGCTTCCTCTGATTTGCTCTCTTGCATTCTCTCTCACCATGTGATCTATGCACATGCCTGCTTACCTTCTATTTTCCACCATGAGTTGAAGCAGCATGAGGACCTCACCAGATGCAGACAATTTTCCAGCCACTTGAATTGAGAGCCAAATAAAACTATTTTTAAAAATAAATTATCCAGCCTCAGGTAATCTGTTAGAGCAACACAAAATGAACTAATAGAATGGCTATTCACTTTGATTCTATTTTTTTAATATTATGAACAATCCCGAATAAATATTCCTGTACATGTCCCTTTGTATACATATGAGAAGGTATCCCTAGGGATTATACTTCCCATAGAATTTCTGGGTCCTTATAAAATATGAAACTTTACTACATATATAGGTGAAATTTTCTCCCAGGTGTCACCAATTTACATTCCTCAGAATTATGAAATTTCCTACTGCTCCGTATCTTCACTAACACCTGGTGACATTGAACTTCACAATTTTGTCAATATGATAGATGCGTAAAATTGTATAACAGTGTAGTTTTGATTTGCATTTCCCTAATCCTTGTCTTGGCTGCTTAGTAGACATTTGGGTTTCATTTTAGGATTAACTATTCTTATTTGTCCCGTCTTCCACTGTGTTACTTATATTATTTTTGGTATTCTGAATGCTAATTCTTTGTTATATTTAATGTTCATCATTTTTATTCATAATTATAATCCCTTCCTTTGAGATTAGTGCTTTTTAAAATGTTGTTTATAAACTACTGTCCTTCCCTATATCACACAAATATCCTCCAATTTCCATTTCCAATTTTAATTTGTAATTTATCTGGAATTGCTTTTGTGCTTTCATGAGGTAAAGATACAATTTCAAACTTTTGTCCCAGCACCATTTACTAAGTGACTCATCCCTTTCCCACTGATCAACAATGACACCTCTTTCAGATATGTATATATTATGTGTAAATTAGTCCTTTCTGGCTCTCCAGTCTGGTCTATTTTGCTATACACAATATACCTTATGGCTTTATAAGAAGTCTAGGCTGGCTGCAGTGGTTCACACCTGTACTCCCAGCACTTTGGGAGGCCAAGGAGGGAGAATCACCTGAAGCCAGGAGTTCGGGACCAGCCTGGGCAAAAAAGGGAGACCCTAAATCTACAAAAAAAGTTTAACAATTAGCCAGGCATGGTGTGGCATGCCTGTAGTCCTAGCTACTCAGGAGGCTGAGGTGGGAGGATGGCTAGCTTAAGTCCACGAGTTTGATGCTGCAGTGAGTTATGATGTCACTGCACTCCAGCGAGGGCAACAGACATCCTGTCTTGTTCAAAAAAAAAAAAAAAAAAAAAAAAAAACGAAGAAGGGGAAGAAGGGGAAGAGGAAGAGGAGGAGGAGGAGGAAGAAGAAGAAGAAGAGGAGGAGGAGGAGAAAGAGGAGGAAGAAATAGTAGTAGTAGTAGTAGTAGTAGTAGTAGTAGTAGTAGTAGTAGTAGTAGTAGCAGTAGTCTAGTTATCTTATAATGCCATTCTTCCCACTTTATTCTTTCTCCTCAAATTTGTCTTTTCTTTCCTGACCTTTACTCTTCCAGATAAATCTGAGAATTAGCTTGTCAAATTCTATTTAAAAATTTGTTAAGGTCTTGATTAGAATTTTACTGAACCCATACCTCAATTTGAAAAGAATTAGCAAATTTATAACATTGACTTATCCAATCCATAAAAATAGTATTTCTCCATTGATTTAAATCTTCTTAAATGACTTTCATTAAAAATCATTTTTGTACATGAACATATTTTGAATCTTTGATTAGGCCTACTTCGAGGTTTCTTTTATTTCGATAGCTAGTGTTAGAGACAGCTTCCATTGCATTTTGTAACTGTGGAAATATATCTTTTTGATCCTTCTATACACATCTCATTAAACATTTTAAATTTAGTGGTCCTTATTCATATATTGATTATAAATAAAGGGTCTGGAAATATTTATTGTAGAAAAAAATTATCCCTACATCCTACTGACTCCTTCTTAGAAAGGTTTTGCTGCAACACACTATATATGTATTTTTTAAAAAATCTTAAATATGCCCCCGTCAAGAAAGAGTTAATTATACTTACAAGGTCTAAATACATTCAGGAGGCTGAATGATGCGCTGCTTTCAAATAGGAAAGCACCTATGCACAACTGGTAAGATTCAGAAACAAGGAAAATATTTGATGAAACTGTTAATACTATAATTGCTGGTAGAGTTAGCACTCATCCTGTAAAACATAAACATTTGAAATACTGCCATTCCATAATAATCTATGATATTACTAAAATTCACATTTCCAAAACTTCACATTTCCAAATCAGTACATTGGTGATGAATGCGCTTTCAATGGCTGTTATTGTTCAACAAATATTGTACTAATCTCTATTATTTGAGAATTAATTTTTGATGCTTCTGACTCTTTCCTCTCAAAGATGTTGGAACAGATTCCTTCCTTCATTTATGGATGCATTCATTCATCATTTACTAAATGCTATCAATGTTCTGGGCACTTTGTTAGATGCCTGAGATACTGTGGTGAACAGGACGTGACTGATTTTTGCCTTCACAGAAGCTTATAGATTCCTGCAGAAGGCAGGTATCAAAGGAGGGTTCTCCATCCTGTATTAAAATGCTGCTGCAAAGGAAGCATGGGGTGTCAGGAGCACAACTTAGCATCCAAGGAAGAAGGCATCACGAAATGCCCATCTTGAAGAAGTGCTTTCAAACTAAGGCTTAATAAAAATGTAGGAATTCGGGTGAAAAAAAATGTGCTTCATGCTGAGGGATGCATGAAATGGAAGACTGCAGCATTTCTAAGATTCAAAGTTAGTCTATACAGCTGGATCAAGAAAAGCAAGGGGGAAACTGGTACCAGATGTTTGCTCTTACTGAAACATATGGCAGGCTGAATACATATACCACTTGGGCTGTTCAGTCCAACACCATGGTGAGGAGGAAAACTGGGAACCACTAATGTTCTAAGTTATGGATCCTTCTAAAATGTATGTATCTAATGTGTGCTTAGGCAAGACAGCTGGGAGTATTTCACAAAAAGCTCCGGTACAATCTCACTTCAATACACAAATCAATACATAGAGTATATATACATACAGGTATATAGCCACATTATCTCTCTAATTGAAAACAGGTAATTCTTTTAAAATCACACTGTACACTTGCAACATCTATGTTTTCTTCCCCAATTACACGTTCTACAAGAAAGCATTACCATGAGATAATCACAAGGAATAATAGTGAAAAACAATCAATATTACACTGCAATGTTTGCAATACAGACAAACTTTGTAGAAATTATTTCTTCTACCTTTTAAGAAACTTCCATATAGTAGTTACTAAATACCCTGAGCATTTTTTCCAGGCTATGTTTAGCACACAGAATCAATTTTAATGCTAAATTTATTTTTGCAAATTAACAATGTTACACAGAATCGAATAATAAAATTAAAGGGAAAATTTTGTTAACTTGTTATTTATTTTTCTTTTCATTAAAAAATGAAAAAATCCATTTCCAATGATGATATAAAATTCACTCAGACTTGGCTGGTTTTCTATTGGTTTTATTTAGCTTGTCAGAAGACCAAAGAAAAAGAAGGCATCTTCTCAATAATTAGTCAGAAGGTGCACATAAAATGTAATCATACTACCAAAAGCAACCATGACTAATAATTTAGCATTTTTCCTCCTACTCTTTTTTCACCAAGAAATAATATACTACGTATGTATACACATACATACATATTAAAAACAGATGATTATGTAAGTTTATAGCCTAACTTTTTACAGAAAAAATAACGTTTAAACTTTTGATAGACAACCTGTTTTATGAAGGTAGTATCCCACAAAAGAAATGTACCATATCCCACAAAGGAAAGTACCAATGTACTTGGCCTTTTCTATATTATTAAGCATCCAGAAGTTTTTCTGAGCTTTTGCTTTTTATAAGTAATGTAGCATTGAACTTTTTTATTCTATGCCTGTTCTACCAATAACAGGAAATCAGTGGCAGAGAAGGTAACAGGAAAAGAAATCCCCTTTCTTTTCTAAGTCACAGTTTTTTTTTTGTTTAATTTCTACAAACATTTATTGAGAAGCAACTCCATGCCAGGCCCTTTCAAGATATCCCACTGAGGATACACAGATGACCGAGAACCAATACCACTTGCTAGGAGTTCACTGTCTATTACAGTGGATTTCAACAAGGACCATTCTGCCACTACACAGTGCCCCAACCCAGGGGGACATCTAGCAATGCCTAAAGACATTTTTGGTTGTCACAATGTGGGCTGAGTGTGCCAGTAGATAGAAGCCAGGGATATGACTGTACCTCCTATAACGAACACAACAGGCCCCTACAACAAAGAATTATCCAGCCCAATATATCAGTAGTGCTGAGGTTGAGAAACCCCTGTCTAGCCCTTTTGTGTGGACTGCTTATCTCTATCAAACTCAAGAGATCTTTTCACCTCAATGATAACACTTAATAAGTTATAAGAATCAAAAGGCACACCAACAATCACCATGCAACTACATATTTAGGCAGCCCAACTAGGAGGAGGCAATCCTGGTTCCCATGCATATATATGTGTGTGTATATATATATATGTGTATATATGTATATATACGTATATATATGTGTATTAGACAAGGTCTCCCTCTGTTGCCCAGGCTAAAGTGCAGTGGCACAATCATGACTCACTCCAACCTCCAACTCCAGGGCTCAAGCAATCCTCCCACCTCAGCCTCCTGAGTAGCTGGGACTATAGGCACACACCACCATGCCCAGCTTCCCATGCTCATATTTCGAACACAATGACTTCATATACTGATCAGTAAACTCTGGAGACTGGTGAGTGGTGAAGGTCTTCTTTTCTGGTGCATACACTTCAGGCCCAATTCAGTGTAGTTCCTTCTACTCTCTTTTAAACCTTTAGACTTTAGGATTTTCTCAGGCAAGGAAATGAAAACAAGGTATTTTTAACTACCTGCTCAATTGCTTGGAAAATTACCTCTTAAAACATTTAAACACCCACTTCTCATTTTTTCCAAAGCCCTAGAGTAGCCAAGTGATACAAATCACTAGAATTCCTGGTTGAGGAACTATAATTTTTCAAAGTTTAGAGTTTTATTTATATATATTCCACGTTACATATTCCATATATGTGTATGTATATATGTGTGTATATCTGCAAAACAAATAATCATGAATTTGCTATAAGCCCTGAAGCAGCACATTCCCTGAACTTCCAGAAGACTTAACTTTGATAGACCCACTTATTAACCCTCAAAGGGCAGCAAACTCATCATAATGATGGAAATCTAAGTAACTATAAATGCAATATTTATTAGGCAAAAGAATCCTGATTTTGTGTAATGCTGTATAAAATGAGATTGTACCATTACTTTAGTCTTCCATTTGTTCAAATAACCACAGCACAGCTGGTGGCAATAAAAGCTATTCAATTGTTTTCTTACTGTCTGAGTTTGGAATAAATGGTCCAGCTCTAGAAAAGAAACTGTTCTTCTGATCAGTTCCTTTCAAGTGGTTATCCATTTAAGTAGAGAAGTCAAAGTAGCCCATCAGTAAATACCTCATTACATAAAACATCAAATACCAGCCACCCCCCATTACTGGAAACACTGGCTTGGAAAATAAACAAGGGCAAAATGGCTCACTGCCTTTAATCAGTGTAATGAATACTATTAACTCAAACCACAAACTCCCTATTCACTACAAGTGAATTATTTAGTTCCAATATCTTTCCAATAGTTTCTTTTTCTCTTTAAACTTTAATTAAAATCAACCACATTTGAAAATTGAGGCTCTTGAGCCTAAGAGAGAATTTTCAGCAACAACTTTTTTTTTTTTAATTTGGTTCTTGCAACCTCTCTGGCACTTGAAAACTCTTAAACTCAGCTGGAAATGAGTTCATAAACTTATGCCCATAAAGTAAAATTTAAAATTCAAACTAATAACAAACTTTGGTCATGCAAATTCTATGTGCTAAATATTACAGGTATATGAGAAATAAGATATAGCCATCAAAGAAACTATCATCTCAAGCAATGTATGTATCGACTGTATGTGTGTCAATAAAACATGGACATGGACATAAACTTTTTGAAAATAGCTGCAAAATACACAGCACAGTGGATATGTTAGATGAATTTTATAAAATATTTTCTACATTTCTCTTTGATTTCTTCACATTCTAATAGGCTTAGTGTTTCATTAGATCAATTAAATAAGTGAGCTGTAATGAAAATACTAATTGATCAAGAAAGGCACATTTTAAATTATTCCAATAACTGAGTAGCACCAACATCAATTAAGATTGTGTTAAGTCAGGGTGCTCAGCATTCTATCAAGTACTATGTAAAGAAAGAGTAAAATTGGAAATACTATAAGAATGGTGTCACAGGTTTTTTTGTTGGTATTTTAAGAGTGTTTAGGTATCTGCCTAATATTTATTGTCTATCATAAACAGCTATGTAAGGACAGAAGCAGAAGCACAAAATATTTCCAGTCGAGATCTAGCAATCCCACTACTGGGTATGTATCAAAAGGAAATGAAGTAAATATGTCAAAGAGATATCTGCACTGCCATGTTCACTGCAGCATTATTCACAACAGCCAAAGTATGAAATGAAACTAAGTGTCCATCAATAAAGAAAGAATAAAGAAAATGTGATGTATACATATACACGGAATACCTTTCAGCCTTAACAAATAAAAGGAAATCCTGTCATTTTCAACAACATGGACAAAACTAGATGGCATTACGTTCAGTGAAATCAGCCAGGCACAGAAAGACAAATACTGCATGATCTCACTTATAGGTAGAATTCTATAAAAATTACTCTCATAGAAGTAGAGAGTAGAAGGGTAGGTACTAATAACAGTGTTGTGGGGAAGAGACTGGGGAGCTCTTGGTCAAAAGATATAAAGTTTCGGTTAGATAGGAGGAATAAGTTCAAGAGATCTATTGTACGTCATGGTGACTATAGCTAATAAAAATGCATTGTAGTATTGAATATTGCAAGAGAAATATTCCTAAGTGTTCTCGCCACAAAAAAAGTAGTATGAAAGATAATGCATAAATTAATTATCTCAACTTAGCTGCACCACAATGTATACATGTTTCAAAACAACATATTATACATTATAAAGTCAATTAAAATAAATTTAGAAATAAGTTTTAATGTTTCTAAACTACACTATCATAATAAAGCCATGTCTTTTAGATATGACCTTGATTTAGCAAAATGTACTTTGGAGTACAGAAGCTGTAGACTGGTCCCCTCACAATTTATATTAATAACATGGTTTTATTTTCACAGCTGAACAGCACAGAAGTCAGGTTAAAACCTAAATATGTGATTTTTGTAATTTTTTTTTCTCAGTTTGAAAATTCTTAAAACCTATGTACCTAATGTTTTTGCATCTCTAAAATTGGATGGCTCCATCATAAATATAAATAAAGCACTAGTTCTCAAAAAGCATGGCACATGGGCTCTTGGGCATCAAAATGACTTTCATAAGAAGACTAAGATGTTATATGTTTTCTCACTGTGTTGATATTTGCACCGATGGTACAGAAGTGATGGCAGGTAAAACTGCTGCTGTCAATTATCAACAATCAAGGCAGTGGTATCACAGTGTATTTACAGTCATTGTATCCCTTAAAACTGTACCCCCACCTTTAGGAAAAAACCTACAACATATATTTTATTTACTAATATTCTTGATGAAACAGGAAAAAATTAATTTTATTGAATGTCAACTGTTGGGCATGCATCTTTTTAATATTCTGTGTGATGAGATGGGACGTGCACATAAAGCCTTCCTGCTGCATACAGATGCACAATGTCTGTCCTGAGGAAAGGTACTTGTGCAATTGTTTGAGTTGCAAGCCAAACTAGCTGTTTTCTTAAAAACAGAAAAAACATTTTTACTTGAATGATTCAATTAACTGATTATTCAGACCTGAGTATTTGGCCTATAACTTATCAAAAATGAACCCAAAGTGCCTGTCACGGTAAGGAAAATAACTGAGAGTAATTGTTGCTAATAAAATTAGAACTTTCAAGGAAAACTTTAAATTTTTGAAATTGTGCGTTGGCCACCATGATATCTTGTCAATACTTAGAATTTTCTAATGAGATAAATGGTGTAATTAATGAAAGTGTTTTGTTAGATAATGTACAATGAAGTGTGTCAGCATTTGGAAAATCTGTATAATTTAGTGACACACATTTTTTCCAAATGACCAGTGAGTGATGCAATATCAAGCATGGTTAAAAAGCCCATTCAAAGTGCAAGATAGACCAACAAATTTTAATGTAATAAGAGTATTAAAAATTATTGATATGGTGTCAGCTTCTACATTGCGACCAACCTTTAGAAAACTACTACTTTTGAAGTTTCGGTGTGGTATTATAGAATAATCTCCATAATTGTCTGCAAAGATTCTTAAAATACTTCTTCCTCTTTGAGCAATATTATCTGTGGAAGGCCAAATTTTCCACATATTCTCAACCTGAAACACATATTGCTACAGATTGCATGCAGAAGCAGATATGAAAATCCAGCTGTCTTGTATTAAGTTAAATATCAAAGCTATTTGCAACAATGCAAACACTGCTACTCTCCTAAATTTTTTTCGAAAATATGTTTATCTTTCATTAAAAAAGTTTCTCATGTTAACATGTAATGGGCATGTTATTTATTTATTTATTTAAATACCTTTAATTTTCTTCTAAATGAAAAAAACTTGTGACTAAAGAGTCATTTATAGGAATCTACTGAATTATCATAAGGAAAAAAACCTC
Source organism: Homo sapiens (assembly GCF_000001405.40). Lineage (NCBI taxonomy): Eukaryota > Metazoa > Chordata > Mammalia > Primates > Hominidae > Homo > Homo sapiens. The sequence continues at coordinate 18,265,530 of NC_000007.14, read as the reverse complement.
TCAGACTTAAGAAATGTGCATAGACTCTTTGTAACCCCAACTCTAATTTCTGGTGTTTTCTAGCCACATGCTTCGTCAGAACAAAACTATACAATATGCTTCCTTGGTGGGTACTCTGGCGTTCTAAATAAATGGCTGATTTTGAACCTAGAAATTCCGTGAAGGTAAACAGCATGAGCAGATAGCTAATAGCAGATAGTGCTTCCAGCAATATTTTTGTGCATATCATGATTTTTGCTTGGGCCTGCCTTTCAACTACCATGAAGATTATTATAATTGAAAGTGCATCAATTCAATTGAAACACTCAATATTGATTTGTCCTTGCCCTGAAGAGACAGGTTTTCTCTAAATTATTGCAGGACCTATTTTTTCATCATTTAATATAAATTCAAAATTAAATAAAATCCACTATTTGTAATAAAAGTCCTTTCCATTCTTCAGCCAGCATTGAGACTCCTAAACACATGTGCTCTGAACTTAACAATGTACCATGACAGACATAACACAAGCATTTCTGGGAACAATGTTTGGCTATTCCTAGAGTAACTAAATAGTTTTCCCTTAATGGCACTAAAGCCTATAATAAAACAAAAAGTCCATAAAAAGATGTGGACTATCTCATACCACTGAGATATACTGCCAATGTTTTTAAAAGTATAGATAGCTAAATTTCTAAATTCACTTGCATAAACAACTTTTCCTTGTAAGTTAAGATTTTGTCTAACTGAACCATCAATTTAAACCAAGGGCTTTGAGATGTCAATAAGATAGATAGTAATATAAACTAGTCTATTCCATTAGAAAGAAAATCCAAACAGCAGGTATGCATAGGCAAGAATGTCTTAACAGGAGTCATCCTTTCTAAAATAAGAATGTTAATCCTTCAAAATTAATTGTTAGCCTTTTAATGTCCCTCTTACATAATAATTATATGTCATTTTTAGCAAGCTAACATCTCCCGTATCCAATTTCATCATGGCAATGAGGTACTTTATTTGGACAATACTGAAAAATTATTTTTAAGCCATAATGTGACTAAAAATTCTTTAAATTAATTCATTAATATGGATATACATGTATGTTTACCCTGCTTTGTTCTTTGACCTATTGGTTATTTGGGAGTATATTGTTTAATTCCCATATATTTGAGAATTTACTAAATTCTTATTTTTTTTAATTTCTAATTTCATTCCATTGTAGTTGGAGAATATACTTTGCATGCTGTTGGTCCTTTAAATTTTCCTGAAACTTATTTTATGGCCTAGCAAATATGGCTTAGCCTGGAATAGTCCTTGAGCACTGAGAAGAATATGTATTCCACTGTTGTTGGGTGGAAATGCCTATTAGGCCTAGTTTTCAGTGTTGTTCATGTCTTCTATTTCCTTGTGGATGTTCTGTCCATTATGTAAAGTGGAGTAGTGAAGTCCCCAACTATTATTGTTAAATTTTCTATTTCTCCATTTTATTCTGTCAATTTTGTGTCATACATTTTGGGTGCATAAATGTTTACAATTCCTATGTCTTCTTCATGGTTTGAGCCTTTTATCATTGCAACATGTCCTTTTTTGTCTGTAGTAAAATTATTGTCCTTTAAAATCTATTGTGTCAGCCAGGCCCACGTGGTGGCTTACACCTGTAATCCCAGCACTTTGGGAGACTGAGACAGGTCAATCACTTCAGGCCAGGGGTTCAAGACCAGACTGGTGAACATGGCGAAACCCCATCTCTACTTAAAAACAGAAAAATTACAAAAATTAGCCAGGTGTGATGGCACATGTCTGTAGTTACAGCTACTTGGGAGGCTGGGGCATGAGAATTGCTGGGGCTTGGGAGGTGGAGGTTGCAGTGAGCTGAGATCACACCACTGCACTCCAGCCTAGGTGACAGAGCAAGACTCGGTCTCAAAAAAAAAAAAAGTCAATTATAAACTCTTACCAAGCAAGATTCTGAGTCCACAGGGATGAGGACCTGGTAAATTCCCAAAGGTCATGCTCCTTATGGAGGTAAGGCATATGAGCTCAGGCAGTTTGTTCAAGGCAACAGGTGAACAGAAATCAAGAATAGGTGCCTGAGTCAGTAAATGTTTGGTTCCTTTTACACCTCAGTACCTTTCTTTTAACATCCTCCTGCCTGCCCTCCTGATCTTGTTGAATCAAGCTGTGGACCAGAGTGTTAATGAAATAATATTACAGAAGAGATTATGAGAAAATTGGTATATCATGCAGATATTATATAAAATCTTCTTGTAACATAAAAATGCGGTTTTATTATTTAAAAAAAATCTATTGGGTCTGACACACAACATACTGATATTAGTGTAGTCAGCTCTCTTTCAGTCACTGTTTGCATGGCATATCTTCCTCCATTCTTTTACTTTCTACATTCTTTTACTAATTTGTGTCTCTGAATCTCATATGTGTCTCTTACATAGAGAATACAAATAGATAATATTTTCTTATCCATTCTTTCAACATCTGCTTTTTTTATTGGACTATTTAATACATTTACATTAAATAAATTACTCATAAGGTAGGATTTATGTCTACCATTTTGTTATTTGTTTTCTATATGCTGTCTTTTTGTCCTCTCTTTCTCTATTATTGCCTTCTTTTATAAAAAATCTGTATTTTATAATGTATCATTTTAATTCCCTTGTTATTTCTATTAGTATGCATTTTAGTTGTTTTCTTAATCCCTGGTGATTAATATTATCTCAATTTATAACAATGTAGGTAGAATTAATACCAAGTTAATTTCAATAGTATATAAAATCTTGCTTCTAAATAGCTCTGTTCTCTACCCTCTTCTTTGTGTTATTGTTACACAAATTACTTCTGAATACACTATTAGCCAAACACATAGTTTTATCGTTATTGCTTTAATGTCATTGTATTTTAAATCAGACAGAAGAAAAAATGTTACAAACAAAAATACAGTTATACTGTCTTTTATATTTACCTATGCAGTTACCTTATTAGTGTTATTTCTTCATGTGGATTTGAATTGTGATCTAATACCCTTTTATTTCAGCCTGAAGGACTTCCATTGGTATTTCTTGTAGAACAGGTCTACTAGTGGAAAATTCTCTCAGGTTATGTTTATCTGGAAATGCCTTAATTTCTCCTTAAAAATTGGAGGAGTTTTTCTACAGATAGAACTTTTGCTTGATAGCCTTTCCTTCATCACTTTGAATATGTCATGCCACTGTCTTCTAACCTCCATGGTCTCTGAAGAGAAATCAGCTGTCAGCCTTATTGAGACTCTTTTAAGTGAGATAAGTCACTTTTGCCACTTTCAAGATTATCTCTCTTGTTGTTTAACTTCTGTACTTCCTTACTCCCCTATGTTTAAATATGTAAACTTTGCTTTGGGTTACTATAGCCCTTTGCAGTTAATTGCTTTGTTTTGGTTTTATTTTTAAAGAAACAATAAGGGAACCGACAGTTTTTAGTATTATCAGTGTTCAAATGGTCCTTGTTGATTTTTACAATAATACCTGAGTAAGAGGTGTACATCAGGGGATTTGATATATCTTTGCTAGGGCAAAAATGTAAACAAAATATTAGCTGCTTGGCTAACATTTTTTGCCAGATTGCACTAATAAGCAGCAAATCACTATGTTAAAATGAATTGAAAGAGAGATTTTCATTTAGTTGTATGATTTTATGTTTAGGACAAGTAGCCACAATGCACACACGAAATCTTTAAAGTGTCCTTGCCCATTTATTTCTGCAACAAAAACAAAGGGAATATGCCTTTTACTTCACTAACTCCATTCCACAAAGCTCTAGCAGAAAAAGACAACTAAATTTATCTTCTTGGTGTTAATGGAAAAAGTATGCTCCATGAAACCCTAACTATCCTAATCCATGCTTGTTTTCTGCATAAGCCTCAAACCTTTTGCGTGGGTACTTTATATTGCATCTCACTTCTAGAAAGTAAACCTTACTTTGGAGTGGGAATGAAGATAAGAACCCTTCCCATTATTCTCACAGAGTAACAGCCTGACAGTTTCTGGACTTGTGTGACTATCCTATAAATATACTGGCCCAATGGACTGAACTGTGGTATATGTTTATTTCTTGGGATTCTTAAGGATTTATTCTTAAATGAGTGGGAGAGAGTTGCAGTACTGGATTCACAGAAGCATAGAGTTTCCAATATAACACATTCTGCTAAGTCAGAAACAACTATGTTTTATTTTATTTTATTTTTTATTTTGGAGACAGGGTCTTGCTCTGCCACACAGGCTGGAGTGCAGTGACATGATCATGGCTCACTGCAACCTCGAACTTCCAGGCTCAACCAATCCTCTCACCTCAACCTCCTGAGCTGCTGGGACTATAGGCCTGCATCACCATGCACACCCAATTTTTTTTTTTAATTTTTTGTAAAGACATGGTTTCGTTATGTTGCCCGGGCTGGTCTCAAACTCCTAGGCTCAAGCAATCTCCCTGCCTCGGCCTCCCAGAGAGTTGGGATTACAAACATGAGCCCCAGAGCCAGCCATGCCAGAAATAATGATAAAGTTGTCCAGCATGTTTGCTTATATTTCAGAACCATTAGGCACCTATTCTATGGCCGGATCTGTTGTTTTAACATACCGACTGTTACCTTCTCCATACACAGCTCTTTATGACTTCTAAAGTAAGAGCTTGACCATTCCACCAAAGTCAGTTTCCAGGAAGAAAGCAGTATAATGTCTCAAATCAGCCTATTCTGTATATTCATGCTCTTTGAGAATAAATGGCCAGGACATTCATTATCTCCTAGTTATTCATTTACTCTTACTCTTGAGCAATAAATTATTAATTCCTTATAAACCTGTTTCCCTATCTCCACTACAGACAGTAAGAGTTCCTAGGACTGTTGTACTGACTAAAGGAAATAATGTTTTAAATAGTGTCTGTTGGCCGGGCGCGGTGGCTCATGCCTGCAATCCCGGCACTTTGGGAGGCTGAGGCGGGCAGATCATGAGGTCAGGAGATCGAGACCATCCTGGCTAACACGGTGAAACCCCGTCTCTACTAAAAAACACAAAAAATTAGCTGGGCATGGTGGCGGGCGCCTGTAGTCCCAGCTACTCGGAAGGCTGAGGCAGGAGAATGGCATGAATCCAGGTGGTGGAGCTTGCAGTGAGCTGAGATCGTGCCACTGCACTCCAGCCTGGGCGACAGAGTTCACTCCATCTCAAAAAAAAAAAAAACAAAAAAAAAAACAAAAAAAAGTGTCTGTCACAGAATTAGCACCCCGTAAATGCTAGCCCTCTCAACAGCAATACTAAAAATACTCAGAAGCATGGTCATAGATCATCTTTGACTAGCAAGGCTTTGACCAGGTTTAAAAGGCAGCCATTGGGAACTCACTATAAAGGCACAGGTTGCTAGATCAGATTTGACTTAAAATAATTGTAGTGATCATCATTCATTCTTCATTTAAATACTTAATGACCATCTTCTGAGTACACACACCTAACAGTAGCCCATATAGGAAAGAAAAATATAAAGATCTCTCTAAAAGGCTCATACTATTGTGGGAATATAAGACAAATATACATATCAGTATGATATGGGGGAAACTGTGGCCAATGCCAACTGAAGTATGAAGTACATAGTGATGGGGAGTTCACATATTGTCATGACGACTGGTATACTATAAAATGTTTCTAAAAGAGGTAAGATTTTTAAAATTCTAAATATATTCCTTTCATTCTACTCTTTTATTACCCAATAAAAGTGGGCTCGAAAGGTGATCTAAAGGGTAAATATTAAATTCTTTTCCTCAATCAATATTTATTGAAAACCTGCTGTGTGCTAAACACTTCATGAATCCTCACACAACACTTGAGGATAAAACTGGCTTGTTGGCCGGGCATGATGGCTCACGCCTGTAATCTCAGTACTTTGGGAGGCTGAGGTAGGTGAATCCCTTGAGTCCAGCAATTTGAAACCAGTCTGGGTAACATGGTGAGATTCTATCTCTACAAAAAAATACTAAAAATTAGCCAGGCATGATGGTGCACACCTGTAGTCCCAGCTACTCAGGAGGCTGAGGTGGGAGGATCTCTGGAGCCTGGGAGGCAGAGGTTGCTGTGAGCTGAGACTGCACCACTGCACTCTAGCCTGGGGGAAAGAGCAAGATCCTGTTTCAAAAAAGAAAAAACAGGCTTGTCTTCATATATCAATAAAATCTTACTTTTATTGGGGGGTGGCAGGGGACTGCAATCATGGCACTGTTTATTTTGGCAAAATTTAATCCCTTGGCTGGGCACTGTGACTCACACCTGTAATCCCAGCACTTTGGGAGGCCAAGGCAGGTGGATCACTTGAGGCCAGGAGTTCAAGCCAGCCTGGCCAACATGGTGAAACCCCATCTCTACTAAAAATACAAAAATTAGCTGGGCATGGTGGCGCATGTCTGTAATCCCAGCTACTGGGGAGGCTGAGGCAGGAGAAGTGCTTGAACCCAGGAGGCGGAGGTTGCAGGGAGCCAAGATCATGCCACTGCACTCCAGCCTGGACGACAGAGTGAGACCCTGTTTAAAAAAAAAAAAAAAAAAAAAAAAAAAAAAAAAAAAAGGAGAAGAAGAATCCCTACTTTATTATTACCTCCTGAGGAAAACTGCAAGAGTCACCTCAGTTTATATTAACTAAAAACAGCACTTGCTCCAGGAGATGTAATTCAAAATTATTACATTGTCTAAAATACTGGAGTTGAATAGAGAAGCTACTGATTTATAGTATGATTTTTCTCACTTTCTGAATAGTTTTCCCTTTCTTTTCTTTCAAGAAGCTATATTTCAGAAGTGTAAACTGAATTTAGTATCACATAGACCTTGAGTTCAATTCTTAACTTTGTAACATATTAGCTGTGTAATCTAAACCAAGTTATTTCTCTGAGCTAGTTTCTTCTTCTGTATAAAATCTAGAGAATAGAAATAACCATCACAGCACTTTGTTTATACCTTGCAGTTTCCTTCCCTCAACTTGTTTACAACTAAATTGCCCCTGCTAATGGACTCTGGGGACTTGGGAAAAAGGGTGGGACTGGGGTAAGGGACAAAAGACTACACACTGGGTACAGTGTACATTGCTTGGGGTAATGGATGCAACAAAATCTCAGAAATCACCACTAAAGAACAGTATTCGTTTAACCAAACACCACCGGTTCCCCAAAAGCCTACTGAAATAAAAAATAAATAAAAGAAACAGTTACCATGTCTGTCTTGTTCATCTTTACATCTCTCATTTAACCCAGTGCTTCACCCATATTAGATAGTAACTGAATGTCTAACACCCTTCCCAATGTTTGGGTAAAGGCAAAAGCAATAGATCTACGCTTAACCAGTAAAAGAATTTATATTTATTTCATTTCCTTTTCACAAAGAAAAATCTCCAAATTTACTGCTCCATAATGTTTATCTAAACTCAGTTAAGGGAAATATGATTCATGAAGGCTTATCTAACTGTCTTTTAAGTCAACTTAGATACTTTAATATGTGCTTCTCAACAGTGCCTTGAAGGTTATGATTCAGTGGGTCTGAGATGGGGTTGGAGAGTCTGCCTTTCTAACGAGGCCACAGATGATGCTGCAGTGTGAACTGACACTGACTGGCCCGGCTCTAAGTCCCTCCCTTACAGTTTGTGTCTAGTGCACATTTTTTTGACCTCTGTAAAAGTTTTTTCTGGATGATGCTTAGGCATTATGCAATTAACCCAAAGCATTATAAACATGTATTTTTAAAGTACTAAAACAAGTTTTCTCTATCTACTTGTAAGGATGTTTTTAAGGATATTCATTACTCATTACATTCTATGGGGCTTCTCTCAGAGAACCTACAGAAAAGATTTATTTCTGCCTAGAGTTGGTATTAGGAAGGGTTGTGCTCTTTCTGAGTAGCTGGTTTGTTTTTATACTACAGACAGTGCCAATCTTATAAACCTCCTACCGTTCACTCTTTTGTGTGGCTAACAGAAAACTCAAGAGACAAGTATGTGGGTCATTTATTTATACAAAATGGATAGTACCTTAGCACCTGGATTCTATGTAGAACTTCATCTTTAATTTATGCTACTTTTTCTTTTTTTCTTTTTGTGTGTGTGTGTGTGTGTGTGTGTGTGTGTGTGTGGGAGAGACAGAGAGAGAGAGAGAGAGAGAGAGTCAGAGAGACAGGGTGGTCTCATTGTGTCATCCAGGCTGGAGTGCAGTAGCGCAATCACAGCTTATTGCGACCTCCACCTCCTGAGCTCAAGCGATCCTCCTCCTGAGCTCAAGCAATCCACCCACTTAGGCCTCCTAAAGTGCTGGAATTACAGGTGTGAACCACCACACCTGACCCAATGTTTTCTTCTCTTATTTTTGTTTTGTTACATTTATATATTTATACACACACACACACACACACACACACATACATGCACACACACACACATACACAATTTGAGACAGGGTCTCACTCTGTCACCCAGGCTGGTGTGCAGTGGTATAATCACGGTTCACTCTAGCTTCAACCTCCCAGGCTCAAGCAATCCTCCCACCTCAGTTTCCCAAGTAGCTGGGACCTCAGATATGCACCACCATGCCTGGTTATTTTTTTTTACTTTTTGTAGAGATGTGGCCTTACTATGTTGCCCAGTCTGGTCTCAAACTCTCGGGCTCAAGCAATCCCCCTACCTTGCCCTCCCAAAGTGCTGGGATTACATGCATGAGCCCCTGTGCCCAGCCACATTTATGTATTTTAAACAAACTTAAAATCCTGTTCAAATAAGAGAGCAATGGAACTAGAAAATAAAAGAACGGAATTGTTCAACTTTTAAGAAACAGAAAATATACCCACCACAGTTCCTAAACATTCCACCATTATCTGTTGCAAAAACTATAAAGCAACTAAAATTTTTATTAACACAATTACTTTTTAAAAGATTCAGCTTCAAAAATTCCTTATGATTGTTCCCATTACTGATGACAATGAATTATGCTAAAGCAATGCCACAGAAACACTAGTTGGAGAGGTAGAAAAGGCTCTTCATTGGCTGCATGATTTACCTGAAGCTCCTTGATAATACACCATCAATTTCATTACTCAGTTTTGGAGTTAGAGGTCCTTTCAACTCTTCCATCTAGCTCCTCTAAAATCCAATCACAGCTCCAAACTCCTACAGAATTGTATTTTCTATCCTATTTATTTGCTATTCCCCAAATGTTATGCAGTATTATTATTATTATAACATCATGGTTTTATATCTTTGTGTGTTCCTCACTTCACCTACCACCCCACTTTCCACGTAGTCAGAATCAATATTACTTTCTGCTTAAGCAACAGCATTACTATCTTTTGTAGGAACCCTAAAATACGGGGCATTGTATAATAATCTCAGATACGCAACATAAAAATAGGAAGTGGAAACCTAAAAACGGGGGCAAACGAAATTAGCTCTTCAAGATATTGAGAGAAGAAAAGTCCTAGATATGCTGAGATGTCAAGGTTTCTAAAGAAACAACAATAATCATGAAATCATCTCAGCAATTAAGGCTTTTTAAACTGTGCTTTCAATGCTTCCTTAATCACATCACATGATGAGTTGTGAAAACTCATCAATGTTGGGCCAGGCATGGTGGCTCACACCTATAATCCCAACACTTTGGGAGGCCGAGGCGGGCAGATCACGACGTCAAGAGATCGAGACCATCCTGGCCAACATGGTGAAACCCCGTCTCTACCCAAAATACAAAAATTAGCTGGGCGTGATGGTGCGTGCCTGTAATCCCAGCTACCTAGGAGGCTGAGGCAGGAGAGTTGCTTGAAACCTGGAGGCAGAGGGTGCAGTGAGCCGAAATCACGTCACCGCGCGCCCGCCTGGGCAACAGGGCGAGACTCCATCTCCAAAAAAAAAAAAAAAAAAAGGAAAGAAAAAGAAAAGAAAACTCATCAATGTCACATCATCAAAACTATCCATAAAGCTGTGGGCTTTTAAGGTTATCCACAGTCTGGCCACAACCTATGTTTCCGAGCTGAATAATTTTCCAATATTCTTGTACTTATTTAATTCTCCAGGCAAATCAAACAGCTCCTCCCTTTGTCTTGCTCATACCATGCTCCCTGTCTGACTTATGGCTGTCACATGACTAAATTTTTCCCATTCTCCAAGAATCAATGAAAAACTTCCTTCCTCATGATGTTGTCTTGCCCGGCTCTCCAACCTAAAAAGAATCTCACTCTGCCATATTTATACCACTTATCTGTCTCCTGACCAATTCCAAAATACTGGCTTGACTACATTTTATTTTTCTTGTGTATGAATATCAGCTATGTGTTTAGCTCTGTGCTGGAAGTTATGGCTGCTTTTTGTTAATATCCTGAAAACACCTACTGGGCTCCCTACTACCAACAACAACTTAGTCTTTAAATGTCTATTAAATGAATACATCCAACAACCAAGAGGCATGCATTAACAGGTTGATATAAATAAAAAAGGGTTCTTTGCTTGTTTGACTTATGAAACAAGTCACTTTTATCATACCTATAATTTATATATGTATATGTGTGTATATAAAAAGCATATATTCATAATTTTATAAAACATATCAAATATAAAAAATGTTTAGTCTACATTTTTCAGTTTTGGTTATTCATGACATGGTTTTTCTTTACAGAAGTTGAAAAGAGCTACTCATAAAATGCAAATCCACACAATAGTACTCACCTTAGTATTACTGCACTTAATAAAGCACTTAAAAAATCATATCAAAGTACACAGTGCTCTAAACTGCCAGATTTAAATTATTTTAAGTGTGTGATTAAATATGCTATAAAATTTCCCTTCAGAACACTTATTTTATTTGTTAAAGAACATATGTTCTACCTCAAAATAACCTGCTATTTTTGAACAATTACTCAGCTACATACTTCCAACAAGCAGCAAAGGTTACCTCAGATAAACCTTGATTTTACAAATCTGAAAGCCTTTCTATGCTACTCTAGCCAACTGGAAATTCATGAGTCATAGGTGAATATTACAGGTGGTCTTGGAAGTAATTTTTCCTTAATGCAACTAGCCTGAAAGAAAACTTGTTTAGCAATTAATATTTCACAAACACCCTCATATATATAATTGTTTGCTTCAAAGCAAGCATGAAAACATATATTAGCATTATGTCCACTATTCATACAAGGCAATCAAGTCTTAGAGAAGATAAGTGAATAGTCCAAGGGTGTATGGCTACTTAATGAGGATTCCTAGATAGGTAACTCTTTACACTATTCCATTTAGTCCAAGATTTGAAATAGAGTTACTTGCCTTTCATTTCCACTAGAACTGTCTTTGGACAGCCATTTCTTTTAAAATAGGTGCTTCCAAATTCACCAATTTATTTGATATGCCTTCCTTCTTGTTTGTTATGTTTTTGGCCATTCCTTTTTCATTTGACTTTGTGTTAAGCTGGAAACTTTTGATGTATATTGAAAGTCCAGAAAATTTTACATCAATGCATGATGTTTAAACACTATGGCAGAAGCAGTGCTGCATGTTTCAAAACTCTGTTTTCTTTTCCTCCCCAGCAAAGGGCTAGATTACATTTCCCAGGCTCCTTTAAGTTAAGTGGAATGACATGATTAAATTTTGGCTAAGGAAAGGTGGTCAGAGGTGATGGCTAGCACCTCCAGTTCTGGATGAAAAATGAACCCTTCAACACAATCCTCCACACTTCTTCCTCCCTTGTTTCCAGGCCAAATGCAGAGGATCCACTGGGGACTCCACAGCCTTCCTTGATAGTGAAGCCTATCAGTGGAAGAAATCGGAATTCCTAAAAGATTGGGCAGAGCAAAGGTTCCCAACACCTGTCCCCTTACCACGAATACTAACTCAAACTGGATGGTGACATGGTGAGAAATAATCCTTTATTGTATTAAGCAATCAAGATTGTGGTTTGTCAGTTCCATTAAAACATGGGCAAAGGACATGAACAGACACTTTTCAAAAGAAGACACACATGTGGCCAACAAGCATATGAAAAAAAGCTCAGTATCACTGATCATTAGAAAAATGAAAATGAAAACCACAATGAGATACCATCTCATACCATTAAGAATGGCTATTATAAAAAGTTAAAAAATAACAAGTGTTGGCAACGTTTTGGAGAAAAAGGAATGCTTAAACACTATTGGTAGGAGTGTAAATTAGTTTGACCACTCTGGAAAACAGTGTGGCAATTCCTCAAATACCTAAAAACAGAAATACCATTCAACCCAATAATCCCATTACTGGGTATATACCCAAAAGAATATAAATTGTTCTATTATAAAGACACATGCATGCATATGCTCACTGCAGTAGTATTCACAACAGCAAAGACACAGGATCAACCTAAATGCTCATCAACAGTAGACTGGATAAGAAAATGTGGTTCATATATACCATGGAATACTATGCAGTCATAAAAAAGAACAAGGTCATGTCATTTGCAGGAACATAGAGCTGGAGGCCATTATCCTTAGCAAACTAATGCAGGAACAGAAAACCAATTATTGTATGTTCTCACTTGTAAGTGGGAGCTAAATGAGGAGAACACACGGACAGATAGAGGGGAACAACACACACTGGGGTGGAGGATGGAAGAGGGAGACGGTCACGAAGAAATAGCTAATGGGGACTAGGCTTAATACCTGGGTGATGAAATAATGTGTACAGCAAAGTCCCGTGGTGCAAGTCTACCTATGTAAGATTGTGGTTTGGGAGTTAAATTTACCTACCATAATATAAACATGAGCAAATAACTTAATTTCTCTTTTAATAATCAACAAAAATAAAAAAAAAAGTATGTGATTTCAGGTTCAGATTCCCTAGTTATTACTAGCTTTCACAATTAGCTAAGTGCTTTTATGAATGTGCTTTGGTGTTAAGTAGGCTTGAGACAAAGTAATACATTCAAAGTGTTAAAAAATGAATTATATACAACTCCAAAAATCTTACCTTCAAAACATGGCAACAGAGAAGGATTCCTAATTTTGATATTTCTGAAGTCATTCCTATGTTTCATGCACCTTAGGGTATGTAGGATATATATCCTACATATAGGATAGGTTCATTATATATGTCTAATTAAGCTATACTTTTGCAGTTATAAAAACATTAAAGTCTAAGATTTACATGTGTGATGTTCACATTTTAATGGTGCATCTGTTACCCATGAAGAGAGGAGAAGGTTGATATGCTCTCTGCTTTCAGACAATCTGCCTGTAGTTCTCCAGGCCATTCCTGGAACCAGTGGCCACATTGACTCCTGCCCCACTTCAGGACTTGAGGATCACTGCAAATGGTTGTAGTTCCACATTTCTCTTGTAGATGGCAACAAATATTTCATATTTTTTTTGTCCCAACTTCTCTACTGAATGCTAACTTCATGAAGGCAGAAGACTTCATCTTCTACTTAATTTATTTTGCTCTATGACAGTAAATGCTGCATGCTCTCAAGACTAGCTTACTGACATTTAAAATTATTTGCTATTTGTAATTATTTGCATGATAGTGATAGAAGTGAAAAATCTAGGAAAATGAGAAGATGCAAGCCATCATTCATGGAAAGTGCACTCTCGGGGACATACGTATATACAGTGCATCTAATTTCCCTCCTTTAACTCATCTAACCATAACAAAGTAAGTTTCTAATACTAACTTCATGGTAGTTTGCAGAATTGGGAAATATGTAAGCCACATACGCATATACAAAAATGTCATTCACCTGTTATCACTCAGATAGTTAAAGAACATGCATTAAATGGAAATTTTATACAAGGTAATGACAGTATTGATGTGATACAAGATTAAAGGTTGTCCATCTTTTTTCTTTAGTTGCAGGTAAAGTCCTACCAGAAAAAATTCAAAAGCTCAATGACTAATGTCACTTTCATTTGTTTTTAGAGTGTCACAAAAATTTGTTCTTAGAATCTCCCTGCCCTCCATCTTCTCCAAAGTCCACCCTAGAATTTTTTTTGTATTTTTTTCCTTCAATATTTATATTAAGTTCAGGGGTACATGTGCACAATGCACAGGTTTGTTACACAGCTAAATGTGTACCATGGTGGTCTGCTGCACAGATCATCTCATTGCCTAGGTATTAAGCCCAGAATCCATTAGCTACTCTTCCTGATGCTCTCCCTCCCCCCACCACTCTTCTCCAACAGGCCCCAGTGTGTGCTGTTTCCTCCCAGTGTGTCCATGTGTTCTCATCATTCAGCTCTCACTTATAAGTGAGAACATGCGGTGTTTAATTTTCTCTCTCTGCATTAGTTTGCTGAGAATAATGGCTTTCAGCTCCATCCAAGTCCCTGCAAAGGACATGATCTCACTCCTTTCTACAGATGCATGGTATTCCATGCTGTATATGGACCATAATTTCTCTATCCAATCTATGACTGATGGTCATTTAGATTGATTCCATGCCTTTGCTATTGTGAATAGTGCTGCAATGACCATACATGTGCATGTATTTTTATAATAGAATGATTTATATTCCTTTGGGTATATATCCAGTAATGGGATTGCTGAATCAAATGGTATTTCTACAAACCCATTAAAAAGAGGCCAAAGGACATGAACAGACACTTTTCAAAAGAAGACATACATGTGCCCAACAAACATGAAAAAAAAGCTGAACATCACTAATCATTAGAGAAATGCAAATCAAAACCATAATGAGAAACCATCTCACACCAGTCAGAATGGCTATTACTAAAAAGTCAAAAAACAACAGATGCTGGTGAGGTTGCAGAGAAAAAGGAATGCTTTTACACTGTCGGTGGGAGTTTAAATTAGTTCAACCATTGTGGAAGACAGTGTGGTGATTCCTCAAAGACCACTCTAGAATTTAATACAAGAAAGGCTTTGAGATTTGCGTGGTAACTCATTTGCTAAAAAATATTTATTGAGCAGTGACTATGTGTAAGGCTCTCAGCTAAGTGGTAAACATACAAGATTTTGATCTACTAATCTTGCCCTCATGTTGGTGATAGACTACCAAGGAATACCCACAGTAAGCCCACAACTATGAGTGAGAAAAGTGGGATGATGGAAAGCCAGATGTTAACAACCAACAACAGCAACTGAAGGCTCAGGGACATAAAAGTTGGAAGGTTTGCTTAGTGAGAACCATTCTCTTTTTGTCTTACTGAGGATTCATACTGTACTGGAAAGAACATGCAACATATGTTTCTGGTTGCCCAGGAAATGTATTTACTTTTACTGAGACACTAATTTCTGTGAGGGGCAAAATAATCACATTGTTTTAGATGTTGCCTCTAAACCCAATGCTGTTTGCTCTTCTGCTTCATCTATCTTACATGGGCCCATCCCAACTTGAATCATATGACAATGCAGAGAAATAAAAGCATTTCAACATCTTTATACGAGTATCATATCTAAATAAGGTATGGTTTTCCTTCCTATTTCAATAGTCCACCACTGATCCCATTGTTTTTATCTCACTGGCAGAGCTTTTTAATCCAATTCCACCTGAATAATGTGGGGCTCACTCTGTTGCTCTCACTAGATGGTTATTTACTTCACAGCTGAAAAGACATTTATTTTCTTGGTTTCTTTTCCAGTTCCTAGAGTAGAATCCTGCCTAAAATTAGCAGGCATATTTATAATTAATTAAACCCTTATTTTAAAGATATTTACAACTTCTCATCTAAGTGTTCCACCTGCAGGGGAGTATAACCTATTCATTAAAAGGAAGATTATAATATTATAATTCATAAGGTATTAATAAGAAATGTTAAAGACATTAGGTACCAAATTACCTAACTATTTAATTGGTGTTCTCTCCCAGAAAAAAATGGAAATACCTTTCATTGATAAGAAAGAGTTAATTTGGGGGTAGAATGGTAGGTGCCTGTGGGGAGCAGCAAACTCTGACAGATTTGCTCACTTGAAGGAACGTTAGGAAATAACCTCTCCCCTGTAAAACTACCCACTTAAAAAACAGATCTGTTCAGAAAGTTTTTTTTTTGTTTTTTTTTTTTTTTTTTTTTGAGACAGAGTCTTGCTCTGTCGCTCAGGCTGGAGTGCAGTGGCATGATCTCAGCTCATTGAAACCTCCACTTCCCAGGCTCAAGCGATTCTCACACCTCAGCCTCCCGACTAGCTGGGATTACAGACACGTGCCACCACACCCAGCTATTTTTTGTATTTTGAGTAGAGACAGGGTTTCACCATGTTGGCCAGGCTGGTCTTAAATTCCTGACCTCAAGCAATCTGCCCACCTCAGCCTCCCAAAGTGTTGGGATTACAGGCGTGAGCCACCACACCCAGACTGAAGAAAGATTTTATGAAAATATTATTTTATTTAAGAATTCACTAAATTTTTCTTGTTTTAAGAAAATATATACCAAAATATGAAAATGTAAAGAATATAAGTTAAAGATTAATTAGGATTTTTTTATGAGCTTTGGGAAAACTGGTATAATAGCACTGTCCTCAACTGTATCCCTAAGATTCCAGCTGAAAGTAGTTTGAACTCAAGACTTAAAAAGCCAGAAAAGTAAGTTAGAGCAAGTAGCATAGTTGTTTATTTGATTAAATTACAAAGCAAAAATAAGCTTTAACTCTATTTTCAATTGTTGCAGGATAATGACTGTCTTTATATATTTTTTGAATAATCCAAATGATTTTGCATAAATGTTGACTGAATGAATAAATCGCTGAATGAATGAATCTAGCTCTCATCTTTGCACCACAGAATTTAGCATAATACTTGGCACATAGCAGATAAATAAGCCAAATAGTTCTTGGAGGAAACGTTCCTTCCCACAGCCTTGGTGAGAAGACTTTTACAGACCAATCCTCTAAGATCATTTATTGCATTTTAGCCTCCTCCCTCTCATGTAGTGCATGAAAAAAGCTGATTTTCATTCGGAAATTGTAAAACAATGATCAAATGAAATAGTAGAGTAGCATGCGAGAAGGAATGAGACATGAACCAATGTGCCTGAAGAGACTGTGGAAAGTGACACCTCAAAAACTGCCAACAATTCCACCAAGTTTCATGCCCACCATGTTCAATACATTCAAGGGCTTTCTCCCCTTTATGATACAGCTACTTTTCCAGAAAACTTGTCTCTAAAATTTTTTAATGTCATACGAGCATAAAACTAGCTAAAACAGGATCTATTTATGTGCAATACTAGTATGATGGTTGTTCAGGTGTTTGCCTGCTTCCCAATTAATTGAGCATATAAGAAATGTTAAATTCATTTCACTGCAACAACTTTAGAACCCTATTTGTGATTTAAAAAATTAAAAACATCAAATAGCAAATTCAATTAGTAAATCTGCAATTGCTTTCTTAATCTACCATATTTTTAAAATTTAATTATCCCAGACACGACTTTATTAGTTATACATAATACATTTAATAAGTTATACATAATACATTTTTATGTACTTAAGTAAATTAAACACTGTAAAGGCCTTAAAATGAGTCTTGCATATAATTTCCTGTTTTTCCAAGAAACTAGGAGGAAAAGCTATTCAGATATTCTCCCCATGACTTCAAAATTTTCCACATTTTCTTAGTTTTTATAGAAACAGTTATAAGCTAACCTATAAAAAGTACATAAATAAGACCTTTACAGGATAGTTTTTAAAAGTGTTTTATTTTGTAAAATATTAAGCTTATTATTAGTGTTCCAGAAAGAGAATCTTCTCTCAGATCTGTTTCTTTTCTCTCCTTATCTTGCTCATTAGTTTATTATTCTTTTTAAATGATGACAAAGAGCATCCTGAGAAACTGTGAGGAAGAAACTGAGACAATATTTTGCAAAGAAATGCATCACTCACCAGAATTAACTATAATTATTTGTTAGAATAATTAAGAAATATGGAGCTTTCTAGTGAAGGTGAGGCACCGAAGAAGGGGGTACTGCCCTCATTTTTTTCAGCTTTTATGAGAAAGTCTTCCAAATATTTGTCCCTACTCACTGTTCCCAATTCTCCTCTTTTCATTTTCCCTTAAACCCATTCCCATATGACTTTTGATCCAACCACAATCTGCTAAAGCCAACTGTCCATCACTTCAGCAGCATCTCATTCAGTTGACCTCTCCTCCTTGGTTTACTTTCATTACATGGCTTCCAAAACACTACACACCCATGATTTTTCTCCTACTTCAATTCTTTCTTTTATAGTTTTTTTCTGTGCCCCTCACCACTAAAGGAGAATATGCCCCAGTGCTCACCACGTGGCCTCTTCTCATTATCAGTTCACACTCAATCCCTCAGCGATTTCCCCCATTCTCATAGCTTTAAATACCATCTCTATGCTAATGACTCCCAAGTTGTTTTTTCTCCACAACAGAACTCTTTCTAGAACTCCAGACAGACATATCCCACTAACTGCTTGACACCTTTATTCAGATGACCAGACATCTCAAACTCAACCTGCCCAAAACAGCATTCCCTATATTCCCCTGCAAGCCTGCTCCAGCCATAGCTTCCCTGTCTCAGTTAATGGCAACTACATCCTTCCAGTTGCTCACGTTAGAACAACTGGAGAATCCTTAACTCCTTTCTGTCTCATCCCAAATCCAAGCCTACAGCAAATTCTCTTGGTCCTAGATTCAAAATCTTACTAAAATTCAATTCCTTCTAGCACTCTCACTCTTGCTACCCTGTTCTGAGCCATTATCTCCTCTCACCTGGATTACACTGATAACCTCCTAGTCAATCTGCCTCTCACCCTGTCTCACACATACGACCTACTCTTGCATAGAGTTTTGCCCCTCGGTATAAAACTCTGGAATGTTCTCCATTTTGTTCAGAGTAAAAGTCATAGTTCTTACAGTGGCTTACCAGGGATCCGGCTCAGCCCCCATTACTTCACTGACTTTCTCCCCTACGAAACTCCCCTTCACTTACTAGACTCCAGCCCACATGAGCCTCTTCACCTCCCCAAAATGCCAAAGACATCCACAGAAGTAGAAAGAAGATTAGGAATTTCCGGGAGTCTGAGGAAGGTGGGAATGGGGGGGTGACTATTTAGTGAATATGGGTTCTCCTTTGGGGTGATAAAAATGTTCTGGAACTAGGCAGTAGTCATGTCTGCACACTGTGAATTTACGAAATGCCAATGAATCGTACACTAAAAATGGTTAAAATTGTAAACTTTGTTATGTGTATTTTACTAAAGTAAAAATGCCAAGCAGACTTCCAACCTTTGCTGTAGCTGTTTCCTCTGCCCAGAGAGTGCTCTTGCCCTAAATTCCACTTTACTCCCTTCCACCTCTAAGTCTCTGTTCACTGTCTTATCTAATGAGGCCAACCACCTACTTCATAATGCAAACTGCTCCTTACTCTGTATCTCCCTTACCCTGCTCAACCCTTCTTTTTCCCATAATATCTATTTCCTAGCATACTAGATAACTTACTTTTTCAATAAATTCATTGATTATTGTCTCCTTGGCTAGAATGAAAGCTCCATGAAGGCAAGGGTCTTTGCCCTTGTGTTCAGTGACAGATTCCAAGTGCCCAGATAAGCACCTGGTACATAGACTCAGTGATTATCTGTGAATTAATGCTCTTCAGTGTTCCCAGATATAAGCAATGACTGATCCAGTCATGGTAACTAACTTCTGGAAACATTAAGCCTGATTCATTCACTATTATTTCAAAAATATATATCAGGCCTCCTGAGCCAAGAGGTTTGCTGAATGTTAGGGATTCAATGGTGAACAAACGAGCACAAAACTCCCTCTTCTTAAGTACAGGAGGGACTTTGTGGAGAATTCGGGGTGGCAGAATAAGCTCCTGAGAATTTAACTTAATCTTATTCTTCTCAAATTTAGCTTCAATGAAGAGAAATGAAAGCTATTGTTTCTCATTCTCACATCTCCCAAAAAGTAACATTGAAGGTAATCTCAGTGTCCTTGAAGTTAGCCTTTTTGAGTGATTAAGTTGAAAAGAAGTTCTATCTTGGTGGGCTCCCCCAGAGGCTAAATGGGCCTTTGCATTGGGAGGTCAAAGTCCGGGTTCATGCCATTCTCCCGCCTCAGCCTCCTGAGTAGCTGGGACTACAGCCCATGAGGCTACTGAGCTAGAGTTTTTGTTTGAAGATGGAGGAGAAGAGGAGGTCTCAGTGTTAGAAGTGGCTCCATCCCTTGGGGTGTCTAAGAGCTTCCAGATACATAGAAAAGTCAGGGGTTGCAATTCTACAGGTTGGAAGACATATGAACCCATTTGATAGCATAGCCTCTGATGTGACGATACCACAAGGGGATGCCTGCTGGCAGCCTGCAAGGGAGAAAGAATTAGTACTAAGCAGTAAACCTTTGGGAGATGAAGCAAAATTTTCCCAGCTGTCCTAGAGTGAAACCAGCTGCCAGTGGAGTCATCCAAATCAAATTGGCCCCACATGCCTAAGCAAGGAGCCCAGGAGAAGTCACATCAGTATGAACTGAGGACTGAGTTCCATCCCTCCTCCATTTTCTAGAACTGAATAAGCTTGGAATGCATCAATAGATAGATAGATAGATAGATAGATAGATGCAGATTAGATAATAGAGAGATGTATATATATGTTATGTCCATATACAGATACAGATATAGATATATATCAGGAAGGAGGAATCCTCAGACTGAGTGACATTTACTTTCCAGTCAATCCTGAATACAAAAGAAAAAGTGAAGATTTAGCTATTGCAACATTATTATTATTATTATTATTATTTTTGAGACAGAGGCTCACTCTGTCTCTCACTCTGTCGCACAGGCTGGAGTGCAGTGGTGTGATCTTGGCTCACTGCAAGCTCCGCCTCCCGGGTTCACGCCATTCTCCCGCCTCAGGCTCCCGAGTAGCTGGGACTACAGGCGCCCGCCACCACGCCCAGATAATTTTTTGTATTTTTAGTAGAGATAGGGTTTCACCATGTTAGCAAGGATGGTCTCGAACTCCTGACCTTGTAATCCACCCGCCCTGGCCTCCCAAAGTGCTGGGATTATAGGCATGAGCCAGCACGCCTAGCCGCAACATCTTACTAAGCAATACCAATCTGTAAGCTCAGAGAAGTCAAGGACAATATGCCATTTGTCTGTTATAATTACAGTCCCTTCCATGAAGCAAGTTTTCAAGAAATGAACAAATAGTGATTTAAAATGAGATGAATGGAAATCTGTTTGCATTTTGCAGTAGTTTAATACTTTTCTAGAAAATACCACTTCATTTCAGCTGCCAATTTGCATAGTAGGGGGGTTTTGTTTTTGTGTTTGGCCCTGAAATTTTTTTCTCATATGACTAGAACTCCAGTTTTTGTTGCATAAAAAGAATCCCATCCCCACCCCTCCAACCCCTCACCCTCCTGCACTATTGGATTTTCTTTTACCCTTGCTCAGCTGTTCACTTGTTCGTATTTGGGAAGTTACTCGTTTTATTTTAAAAACTTACTTTTGAGCTCTTGCCTCAAAAAAGAAAGAGCCTTACTGTCATGCTGGGCTATTCAGCAACAGTCTATTCCCCTCCATGGGATAAACTCAGCCTTCTCCCCCATAGTTTATCTGCTTTGGGAGCTGGATTACTGCCTCACAAAACAGCACAACAGTACTATTATCACATAATCATTATCATTACCTCACTTTCAGCCATACAGATCCTTCTAATCCTGAACATCTTGCCTCCCTAATCTTGCTGTATCTATCTTCTCCTGCTGTGAAACTGGTGCATTCCATTTTCACGGAAGCTTAACGTAATCACAGATAGAAAAATAAAATAAATTTTTTAACTAAGCTGCATTTTATTGATACCACTGTGTTACACAGACATTTAAAACAGCTCCATGTTTCATTCAAGTAAACAAAACAAACATGTAGGTGGCAGTGGGGGAGAGGAGATGATCTTAGCCTAGGTCCACGTTTTCTTCCCCAATCTTACCTTTTGGCTTTTGCCATATTATTTAAGGGAAACACTTCTGAATGGAGACTGCTCAGCAAGCAGTAGAGCTGTCCCCACTCTGAGTGGAATTTGGAAGGAGCACAGCCATTCTATGACATTTGTCCAGAGGCTACAAGTCATCACTGTGTGACTGGGCCTTCTCCATGCCCAGGTAAAGCTGTAAGGGACATCCAACATGGGGCCCTTTCTTGAACACTTTGGCAAAACATGGATCATTCTAACTCTAAGAGGAAGACACAATCCAAGCCCTCCAAAGCTCCAAAGAAGTAGGGATTATGCTTTAGTCCTTAGAACCAAAGAAAAGGAAGTCAAGAATAGTTTCGTAGCACCATTGGTGCTATAAACGTTCACAATTATTTCTTTACATCCATCGAACATTTTTTCCTGTATATTTTCCCAATTAGTGTTTGCTTTTACACTAGTAATACAGAAAATCAGAAAATAAAAATGCACAGAAAAAGAATGACTATGTGAATGAATGCATGAAATAGTGGGGAAAAAAGAAAGAAGGAAAACTGCAATCAACAAGACTCTAAACATTCTCAATCAGTTAATATTTTGATAAGTAACCTTCCACATCTTTTCATATGCAAATAGCTAAAACAAAATATTTGTTTTTCCAGAAGTAGAGCACTCAGTATCTATTGTTTTGTGCTAGTTTATGCACCTAACAACAGAGCATGAAGGTCTCTTTCTGTCAACAAATGTGATGCAGATAAAAATATTTTTTTTCTAGTAAGACCCTTCCATTCTAAAGGTACATAATAGACCAAGAGATTCATAGAAATCTCTTGAATTGTAGAGACTAAGGAACTGACAGAAACATTTAAGGAAAATGTGAGAGAAGCACCTGAAGTGGAGATATAGTAGAAAAAAGTAGAAGGCAGAAAAGGGAAAACATAAAAAGCTATGATTAGCACACAATTTAAGTAGAATTTTACTTTGATGTCACTATGAAATACAGATTGAAGAGAAAATAATACTGTCTCTATTCCTTAAGAATAGAGAATGGCATAAATATATGCTATAATGCTATAAATATATGCTTCACTTTCTCAAAAAGAAAATGAAGAATACCAGAAAAATTGACTGAGAAAATATTACAGATGGATGATGTTACATTATCAGGTTAGATCATCTCAAGGATTTAAATTCAACTCTATATGCCTAGCTTTGTTATCCAGTCATTTTTCTCAGAACAAATCAATCGGACTTCTGTTTCTTCCAGTAACCTAGAGCTTACAACCTTACAAAATTCTACTCATGCAAATATAGTACAAGGATTAATGAAAAGAAAATATAATAGTTGTTAAGTCACACAATTTCATTTCTCCATCAAAGTGTAACAAATGCCTTACATATACAAGGAGTTGGGCTATATGTTCAGAAAGCTCCTCAGAGGCTAGTGGGGGGAAAATAGTGGTAAGGAAATTCTAAGTCAGAATGTGGTAGAATGCTGTGTATTGGGGAATGACAAGCAGATACCCAGTGATTCCTTTACCATGGACTGGGGAAATGCATGGGATCCAGGAAAATCTGACACAGGTAGAGCACCCTAGTGGTTGGAAACCAGCAGTTCAGAGCCATCATCTAAAGCTCAGTCCCTGCTATTCCCAAAGGTTTGCTAAAATCCCTGAACTGACTTGCTGTGGTTATATAACAGAAGCAGCCCAATCCCTAGACAGACCTAGGCTCTATCTTACCTTCCTTCATATCCCAGCACAGCCTTGTGGCATATATTTAAAAGTGATTGCAGTTTTTTGGCTCACGAAGCAAGTGCCACTACTCTCTTTTCTTCAGCATATTAATACATATACCTCAACTGGCCACGTCATCCCACCATATGTATAACCACAATGGTACTCAGGCGATTCAGTGTCAGGAAACACTGAAACTTGGCTTGCAGGCATGGTTGAGCCAAGTGACCAGAACACTTCTCACTAAATTACACTAAAATGTTGTTGACTTGGGCTTTTCATTGAATAATGGCATTGGACTTTTAAATCATTAATAAAATAGGAAACATTTTATTTTATTCTCTTGTCTTATTGTGACACTGTGGTCTACATGTAGTGAAAACAACAAAGAGGCAGCAACGTGAGGAGATCACAGATTACTTCATAGAAACAGCTGTACACAGAATCTGAGCAGCCACAGGGCAGGAAGAACAGAAACAACAGAAAGAAAAGAGCTCCCAATAATGGAAAGAGAAAACATCTTTTCTCTTTTTAACACCAAGGAAGGCTATAAACCAACTATGACAATAATGGAGCATTTCCAAGAAGGAATTCACAAAGAGACCATTAGATCACATTTTCATTTGCAAAAAGATAGGCTTTATGAATTTTCAGTATATACTTTGTTTTGTGGAGTAACAATTAACAAACTAAATAACTACAGACACATAGTTGATAAACAGCAGTGTAACTTAAGTGAAAGTATTTGTATTTTGAAGTTACCCAAATTTTAGCTGGGGTCCCCTGGCCTTTAAGACCTAGAAAGAACGACCATCTCAATTCTAGAACCTGGGAAGCCCTAATCCCCTAAGGGTATCTCCTAATTTCTGAGATCAAAGATCTCACGGTCTGGACTCTGTATACACCTGAAGTACTGGTCCTATTTAACTTCAGATGGTCAAGGAAGGTCTCAATGATGCAGTGACATCTGAGCAGAGACCTGAAAGAAAGGAGGAGAGGCAAATAATGCAAATTTCTGGGAGAAGAGATAAAGGGAAATGCAAAAGCCCTGAAGTAGGTCTGTGTTTGCTGTATGCAAGAACCAGCAAGAAGGCCAGTGTGGAGTAGAATGAACAAGGAAGAGGGTTTTTACAGATGAGGCCAGAAAGATTTGAGGTGCATATCACTTATAGAACCGTGGAAGAGGATGACTTTTCTAGATTTTGTTCTGATAAGATGGGAAGCCACTGGATGGTTGTGAGCAGAGGAGTAACGTGATCTGACTTTTAATAGGATCACTCTGGATACTGTACAAAAAAAAATTAAATCATGGAAAGCAGAAGCAGAAAGATAAATTAGGAGACGACTGTGAGAGTCCAGGCAGATATTTTTTTCTCAGAGGAATTCTCTTACCAGCTGTTTGGAAAATAGAATAAAATATTCTTCATATTTCAACATTAAAGATATAAACTAGAAACACTGGGGGATTACAAATTACAAATAACTGCAATCTTTTAAAAAATTCCAATACAAGGAAGGTACTTTTTCCATAGGGGAAAATGCAGTATAGGGTAAGAAATCAGAACACAATGCAAATCCAGGACCCCAGTAGAAAATATCCCAAATTACAATCTACACTCAAAATTCTAAACAGCTATGGTTGATTAAGGCCTTCATCAATACCCAAATAGGAAGAATCATGAGGAATACCATGGTGGTTTTAATTGTACAGTATTTGCAGTTATAAATCTAGGAAATAGCCAGACTTTTTTAAAGAATTCACCCCAAATGCTTACATTTAGATCTTAAACAATATTTTCTATTACTTTTACCAAGTTCCAAGTTAAAAGGTTTCTTCTGACATTGTTAAGGAGATGAGACCGACTAAATAAACTTTAGAAACACCGAAGTTTTCTGTCCTGGACAAAGTCCAGGACAAATTATCCAGAAAAAAAAAAAAAAAAACATGCAGCACCTATCACAGGAAAGGCGAGCTGTACAAGGATACTTCTTTTAAATACGTCACCTCTTACATTTCATGCAATATTCCTTTAAGTATTATTTGCCTACTTACCTTGGAACTTTTACCCAGTATTGTGATAAAAGGGGATTAAAATTCCAGGAACTATTAACTGTTCCCAAAAGTCATTCCCATTCTCCTGTGGCAACTTAATATATTTGAAACTGAGCCCATTTTTGATTAAACTATAGGAAGACTCTGCCAGGTCTCTGCTAAAATTTATCACGTATTTCTCTTTCATGTCATCTGAAATGTTTTTGAAGAAAATCAAAGGTACATCTAAAATAGAATTTTATTTTTAACTTCTTTTTGCCACTTGAAAAGAATGCAGTTGTCAATGACGCTGATCTACGGGTGAAGGAAAAAAACCAAGGTGGTCAGGAAGGCAGCCCAAAGTTTTCACAAAGTCCTTGGTCAGCTTTTATGTACATCAAAACGAAACCTATGGCCCCTGATGACTGAAAGCCTTCATCTACTCACAGCCTCTCTCCTATCTCCTCTCCATGCTATGTGGTTGCAGGGGCTCTTCCTTTTCAAGTCAGAATGTCAGACAAGAGGGTGCTGGTGGTTGATATTCATCCTTTGTGAGAGTTACATCTGTCAAAGTAACCCAGATAAAATGGGTTTCCTTCTATTTCTAATGGCAGTTTAAACTATTTTAAAAGGATGTATCCTTCTGTTTGCACATGATCTCAGTTTTTCTCCAGTGTGCCAGGGATATTCTATCACCTTGTATTTTGAACATTGTCTTTTAGGGGGAAAAAAAAAACAAAAATAAGATGTGTACTCTGACACTCAGAAGTATAGTGACAAACTAGACAATTTCCAATCGTAAGTGTAAAGCCGGTGAAAAATCTTTAAGATACACTTAAAATACCCATTAAGAGGAAAAAGATTATGCCCAGAGTTAAAAAATTATGGGGAAAACAACTTGTAAACATTACCAATTTGAAGCTGAGTGCCTAAGGCAATGTTCCTGACTTGCACAGGAGCCAGTGATTTGCCTCTGGAGTCTGTTCCACACCTCCCTAATAGATCTGGAAGCTACAGACAATTAATTATTAGATTATGTAACTCCCACTGCTAAAAGTTAGCGGAACATTCTATGGTTTTCCTTCAAGTGTGCTGCTTTTCAGCTAGGGGTGCAATTTCATCAGCTCACTCATCTTTGTCTTTGTGCTACTTAATCCTGGCTTCCCAGGGTTTTCTTTAATTGGCTCAGCCTTCTTCTGCCCTCAATCAGCCTAATTTTATTCCTGGGTTCTCAGTGAAGATGACTGAATCTAAAAATTGTGGTACTAACGCCTTATAGCAATGTCAGATATATTTATCCATCAAAACTTCTATATATAGAGGGTCTATCTTTCTCTGATTAATGAAGGCATGTCATCAAAAGCTTCTGAAATCTACACTGCGCTGGGGAAATACTGGAGGAACCTCCCACTACGCTAGTGTTAATGTGTGGCAACCAGCAATTATGGCACTGTGGAAAGTTCATCGGTCAAAGAACTAAAAGACAATCTGACGTGGTTATGACTGATGTTACTACATGCCTTTGCAAGCAACGCACTCACTCTGAGACTCAGTTTACTTATCTATAAATTAGAGAGAAAGCCAACTGTCCCAAAGGGTTTTGGTCATTGATAAAATAATAAAATGCCTTGCAAATTATAAATGCTGTAGAAATCAAGGGATCACACTACTATTGGTATGCTCAAACTCTAATTTCCTTATCATTATGGAAGTAAACTAGCTCTTGAGAACTTGGAGTTTTTATTATTAAAAGTTAATTAAGAAGATCTTCATTAGCATGTGCAATCAAGTTCACTGTTCTAATTGGTTCACTGAAATTTCACTGCTAAAATAGCATGGAAGGAACCACAATAAAATCCTGAATAAATGTTAATTTCATAGCACCAAATGTATTAAGGACCAAACAAAAGATTTATGGCCATTGACATTACTCAACTCAGCTGTCTGCTTCTGATGATCACCTACCTACTGATGCAAGAATACTACACCAACTCCAGTGCTTCAACCATCACCTTTGATAAGATGCTCACAAATGAACATATGCAGCCCACACCTTTCTCCTGGGCCTTATCTCAAATCCTTAACTGTTTGAAATCATCTGAGTTCCTGACACTTACCAGTCCTAAAGTTTAATTCATTGCAATTGTCTAAATTTAGGCTGGCTTATTTTTCATTAATAATGTCATCATTCTCTCAATTACCCAGCTCAGTACTTCATCCGTTCTTCCTTCAAAATATCTTTCAAAAATTTTCCTTTTATTCTGACCATTAACTCCCTAGTGTGCCTTTATCATCTCAATCCTAGACTAACATGTGTTCTCCCATGAGCCTCCATACTCATAATCCCTCTATTTTATTCCACATATGCCAGAATTAATTTTCTTAAGATTCCACCTTCAGGTATCACCCATTTATTCGAAATAACCAATACCCCAGTACCATGCCAAGTTTTCAAATTCCACTCAAAGTGATTTTCCTTAATTGAAGTCACTCCACAGCAAGATGTTTCCAAGCTTTAATAAATTGCAGTTGGTAATTTATTAAATTACTATGTCAGTTACATGTGACTAGATATTTCCAAATCAGCAAGAAATACTCAACACAGCCTAAAAATAACTTCTAATCATGCTTCCTACAAATCTTACATGTACAAAAAGTAATAGTTGACTCTTTCACAGCAACTCTCCGTAGCCAGTTGCCCTGGCTCCCCAACCAACAACAGTGTAAGCTGGGGTTGCCAGCCTGCCAAAGATGCGGGACCAACCTGCACCAGTGGAAAAAGCAAAGAAAACACCCAGTGGAGGTCTTAAGTCAAGTGGGATACGAACAGAGTGACTAACTCTACTGGCTTGCCCAGAACTAAGAGGTTCCTGGGACATGGGAATTTCTTTGTTAAAACTGAGAAAGTCTCAAGCCAACTGGGATGAGTCGGTAGCACTAGTTGAGACCATGATGCACGTTGCCAAGCTGCAGGAGAAGCACTAAGCACAATCAGGTCAGGGAAGTCAAGGCCATGGGGTAGGGGGCCAGAGTCCATGGTGCCAAAGGCCAAGGAAAACTCACGTGGATCATATTTTGCCACAGCATGCCATTTCAAAAGCTTTGTCGCCCCCACCCCCACAGCCGTACATCATGAGTCTTAATTCGGCCAAGTGTATGAACTACCTCCTGACACTACATGAGGCACCAAGGTCTGTCTGTTCACTTCATCTGTTTGGTTCATTCCAGGACAAAATTGCAAGTGCATCCAGAGTGTACATAGAAAATTCTATTTTATAAGCTACAAACCCAGGTGTGTATGATGTGTAACTATCTTAATTTCCGTAAACTGAACTTAATTCCTACCTTAAACCCCCAATTCCAGCTAACAGCAGACAACTTAATTGAGTCACTTCAAGTAAATGCAATCTAATTAGTGACTACTCAGTTACTTCTGATTTAAACTCTGTCAACTTGGAATAAGACACTCATGCCTTCTCTTCTTTAAGATCCCACAAACTTCTCTAGGGTTTCTGGGTTGGAGGGGATGATATAGGGCTCTTCTCAAACTTCAGGAAGCAACAAAGTCACCTGGAAGACTTGTCGATTACAGCCCACAGTGTGTGCAGGTCTGAGGTGGGGACCCAAGGATCTGCATTGCTAACAAGTTCCTAGTTGATGCTGATGCTGCAGGAGGTCTCAGGGATCATGCAATGAGAGCCACTGGAACAAGGATAAGACTCTTCCAGGTGACATTAGCTCCTCATTGGTCTTTTTCCAGTCTCTGAACTGTTTCTCTCAAGTTTATCATCTCTGCGTTTGACAACAAAACAACTCCAGTGAGGGTGGAAGGAGTACCCTACCTGTCTCAACTTGACGATGATTCATACAGTATAATGCAAAGAAATGTGCAGTTGTAGAAGCACCTCTACTAATATACCCAAATTATGATTTCACTATATCCTTAGTGTCAGTATCTTAGCATTGTACACATAGGCCCCCTTGGTTGTAACCTGTAGCTTGTTACATAGTATTGATCCAGTATACAGTGAAGAGAAATGACTAGAAATAATCAGTCTTTGTCTCTTAATAGCATTGTGACCTTAGGTAAGTTCTTTAAATTTACTTGCTCTCAATTTTCTCGACTACAAAATAAGGCTAATATCTTCCCTGCCATGGCAATCTCACAGAATATTTGCAAAATTCAAAGGTAATGTATGAGATCATGCTTTGAAAATAGTTAAGGATTAAAGTTAAGTTATGATGCAAATAACTTCCAATCAGCCTAAGTGGTTAAAAGTTTATAAAACCTGGATACATATAAATATTTTTTCTTGTAAATACTCACTAATACTTCTAATACTGCCGGTCACTCACTGGTCAAACTCATAGGCAGTTAGGCAGTGGGGAACCGGACCCAACTGTGTACATCTCTTCCTAACCCCATGTTCAGTGACATTAAGTTGGTACCTTGAAATCAACAAATGCTACAAATCAAAACTTGTGCATTGTTTTCAGAGAGTTCGTTGTTAAAACATTTACCAGAATACCACTGCCTATAAGACATACTGGGTCTCTCGGAGGTATATTTCCAATATACCTCTGGTAAACTTCAATATAGTGATAGTCAGATTTTGATAAAGTGATAAAGATTTTCTCTTTTTTATACCACACAAAAATGTTTTCATTTAAGCAAAACATATTAAAATATAAACAAATATGGTGTTTTACCATATGTACTCCTTTATCTGCAGCAGTGATTTTCCACATCAAATGGGATAACAATCATCTAGGGTGCTTGATTAAAATGCAAATTTCAGAGCCCTACCCCTAAGAAGAATCTGAACAAGAGCTCTGGGCAAAGGATCCCAAAGGGGCTTTTTTCACAAGCTCTGGGGGGATCCCAAATAGAGGGTCCTAAGATGACATGTGAAGCTATGGATGAAACAAAAACCCCACATTCTGGCTTTCAAAGTCCTCTACCACCTGGTCATTAACTTCCTTCTCTCCATCTCCAAATGTTCCCACAGGTGTGCCTCCCCTGAATTCAGAAGCTACCATCACTGTCCTGCAACAGAATCCTTGGCCTTCAAACTTACTTCTGTGGTTTCTCAAATGGAGGGATTTTGTTCCACTATCTCTATATCCCAGCTGTCTCTGTGAACCTACTACTTGACAAGCTGTCAGCAAATGTTAGGCAAAAAACAATAGGACATGCTGGTTAAGAGCCAGGCTCTGGAGTACACAGACTTGGTTTCTCACCAGTCTCTTCCACTCATTATCAAGTTGGTCAAATGCTATGCCTCGGATTCCTAATCTGCAAAACGATGGCATATTAAATGAGTTGTACATATAATACTCAGTGCCTGAGCAGCTAAATAAAGGTTAGCTGCTTTTTATTAATAAGGTGGTTAATAATAAATGAGTAGATGGAATAAAAGAATGAATGAGGAAAACGGTCAGTTCAATTTCTAAGAAATAACATTAGTTTGGCCACTCTAGCCTACCTACCCCTTCTCTAGATTTCTATAACACTTATTCTCTCTTCTACATATTGGCAATTTATCAGTCACTGCTTTTTACTGTTATTCACAATTTTAAATACAATTATGTTCCCCAACTACACCTAAGACCCTTGAGGGAAGCATCCAAGATGTGTTCTTGGTTTTGGCCCTACTTTTCCCAGCACAGGCTTAATTACCAGCACTCTGTAATACCTGGTACACTGCCTCCCTCATATAACATGTGTCTGGAAGGGAGAAAGCTCTCGCTTTGTACACACAACTACGTAATCTAACACACATCACCCAGCTAGGCAAACTGAAGAACCAACAAAGGTGAAAACGTCCAGATTAAGAAAGCAACCCTTACATATTTTATGTCAGTGTTTGTTTGGATTATGAAACTATGAATGTAATTGATGCAGATGACTATATAAAATGAAGACCAAACTTAAGAAAAAAAAAAACTTGGTTTACCTATTTGCCAAGTTTCCTACAGTATGTCTTGAAAGCTCTCCAATGTGGACCTTGTGTTGACAAGATAAAACAAATTTCAGAACCTTTTATACTAGCAAACTTAGTAACTGTTTCAAGGGCACATGCTGGCAACAAGTCAGGACAGGTATGCAAATTGAAATCTTGCAAAAAGTGGCAAGGAAAGAGGGTCAAGAA
This sequence comes from Homo sapiens, assembly GCF_000001405.40. Lineage (NCBI taxonomy): Eukaryota > Metazoa > Chordata > Mammalia > Primates > Hominidae > Homo > Homo sapiens. The sequence goes on along the minus strand of NC_000007.14, from coordinate 18,233,713 downwards.
AGAAGGAGGAAGGTCTGTGTGTGCTCCGTTCCCCTACAGGCTATAGAATATTGCTGAGCCTTTTGCCAAAGCAATTTTACTTTAGTCACAAAAGTCCTGCTGAACAAAAACAACTTGTTTTATAAATTAGCTGTCAAATCCTTGGAGAAACCAACCATGAACAATTTGTTCTTGGTTATATTTCCATTATTGTCACTATTTAATCCATAGTTTAGTGATTAATGGTTTTCTAAGAAAACTTGTTTGAAGTATAAAGAATGAAATCCGTTAAACCAAGTAAGACCCAAAAAGATTCATTCCTCTTGGGGTCTCATCAGTACTGAAACCGCCTTGGCATAATTAATGGTCCAAGAGATGAAACAGGACTCCTATTCTGTCATGTCTCTTCTATTTAAGTCCTCAAAAATGAAAAATAATGAGTAAAGGTGTAAAACAAATTGCTTGATGCCAAGAAGCAGAAAAATCTCATTAAAATAATTAGAATTTCATCTCAAATTATTAGACACTGTTTCACTGCAGGAAAAGCCCAGTTTAGGTAATCCTCTGATGTATATGGGCAGCAATTATGAGCTGCCATTAAAAATGTTCAGAAGGATGTACTTTCTGAAGCTTGATAAGAAACCTCTAGACATGCTTCTCTCAGAATTTAAAGGCTGTTTGGGGGCAACAATTTTTCAGAAGTTTATACTTATAGACAAAATTGCTTATTCCTTTAGTTTAATTGAGTCTCCTAGATATCTGAGAGAAGAGTACAGCACGCAAAACTGTTTATTATGAACCTATGCTCATAAATTAATGGAAATGATGTTTGCATGGATAGCAGATTAGAAAGGGGAGCAGAGAATGATAATAGTGGATTTATTCAGGAATTGGGCAAAGGGCATTAAATTTTCTGTTATGCAGTAAACATGAATTAAGAATGCTGACAGTAACTCAACCTGGCTCTACAGTATTTGGGGTCAACAACCTGTGTCCCTGAACTGGTGGCATGCAAACCATTATTGTAATCCAATCTGATTTGTGTAATATGCTATATTTTTGAGTAAGTACCAATTATGAGAAATGCATTCTGCAAATATCATGAGCAATAGAGATACAAGAATTCATTAGAATCCATGCCTCTAGGGACATTGAAACCTAGTGGGGGATAAAAACACAAATAGAAATAACTACGATAGAAAAGTAAATTTTGAGGCGCTCTGTGAAACACCAGGGAGGAAGTGATTAGGTCCAACTAGGGGGACAGGTAAAGGTTTTACAGAAAAGACAGAACACAGAAAAGTTTATAATTTTCCTAAGATGTGGAGGCTTGGGACAAACTTGGTTAAAGGGCACATCTCAGGAAGTGTTGGGACTACAGTAACAAGGAAAGAAACAGACTATCATAAAAGGCTATAATTACACCCCATATTAATTACACTGCAACCCTGGGAGCTTCTGGTTTGGGTTTTGGATCCTCTAGGAACAAACGTGGCACACAGTAGTCACTCAACACATATTGAGGGAAGGCAGCCAAGCCCGATGGAATCAAGGAGGGAGACGACCCCAGCTAGGGCAGTTATTTCAGTGTAAGTTCCATACAGAAGATCACTAGAGTTTTAAATGTGAAAGTGTGCTTATTTTATATGTGCTTAAATATAATGTCTCATAATTATGATGAGTAAGCAACAAAAATCACAAATGCACTCATTATTTTACCTTCGATGGAAATTAATTTGTTCCCATTTAATATTACAACAATGTTAACTCATTTTTCAGTTTGTATCTTTCCATGTCTTCATGTATGATTTCACATGTTTTCATCAGTTTTAACAATGGAATACAAATGATTTCTTTGTACCAAAGGATAAGAAAAACTTAGAGAAAATTACACTCAAATCGAGTAGTACTTCAATTAACATATACAAGTAATAGTTAAATTAACAAGTCCTTTAGGAAGGAGGCATGTAAACCAAAGCCAACGTAATGAGAAACGCTATTTCCTTCTGCATCAATTTTCTGCATTTCCTAGCTCCCAACTCCCACATAGAGGCTCTGGTCCTTCACATCCCATAATCTTATCAAAAAGTGGAGAATGACTGCTGTTAAAATTCCACTCTAATTAGCACTCATTCATACTTAAAATTAACTCAAAATATTTTCACTTTCTAGAGCTCTCTAATTGGCAATGTTTTTTATTCCTGATAAGGAAAGGCATTTTCTCACTTTAAGGGATTCTTGAATACTTAGGTTGCCTACTAAGCCTATCTAGCTGACTCAGGTAGTCCTAAACACTAGCCCATATGGTGCCTCTTCTTGGGACTGGTGTAGTGGGGAGCACAGCCCCATGAGAGGGGATGCAGCTTGATCGCCGTAAAGTGGGGAGAAACGCAGATGCCACTGCCTATTACCCAATGAGTCTATGCAATGGAAAATCTTCCACAACTGAACATGGCAGCCCTGCTTAAAGGGCAATCCAATTTAATTCTTGTGGGATGATTGGGGAAGAATGCACAAATGCACACTGTAAGGCCAGACTGGTTCCTTACTGTTCTGGGATCCCAGCTAAGGCTCCTGGAAACTTCAGGGAATAAAAGAGTATATGTTACATTTTCTGAAGTGAGCCTGTATCACCACAGCAAAGGGTTGTCTGCCAGCAGTTCCCTCGCTCTAAGCTTGTCCCCAGTGGGCTTTCCATTCCCAATTATAAACTAGCCCCAACCTTCACCTCCATTAACCTTAGTTGCCTGAGCTTTGCTTAAGACAAAGATACTTTTCTCACTATTTAAAATTTGTTATATATTCTTGCTTATGTGGAACACATCCTTCTGCTTTCCTGGATTATTTCTGCCTGTAGTTATGGAGTCTCTAAAAAATAATTATGTTGTTGGAACGCATTAATCTCATTAATAGAGCTATTACTGCCACCAGTGAATAATGTTGATGATAGGCTTTTAAAATCAACTTTTAAAACTACTTTTAAGAGTTTTGTTTACTTACGTACTGTCTCTACTTCCAAAAAAGGATTTGAGATGCCTTAGAACACAAAGACCAAAACCCATTAACATTGCATATAAAATCAAAGTCAAATAGCAACAACGAAATGGCATCCCAAAACCCAGACTGAGCAAAACGACCTCATTTGAGCACAACATTTAATTCTGGTAGCTCCTATTGCTCAATTACAGGAACGTAATAGGTCATTTCGGGTGATAAATGCTATTCTGGTGCTGAGAACAAAGAGGAATTTATCATGTGAATTTTTCTTTGCAATTCACCAGGTTACATGGTGAATACGGTCTTTGACAGCAGCTCTCAGGAACCACGCAAAGGCATCTATAAGGGCTAGCTTCGTGGGCACGTAACATGTGCCCCAAGCTTAGAAGAGCCCCACACTTGGTTCAATGCTCTGCTGTTGCTGACTTGAAACTATTAACAGTTTTTAACCAGGATTCCCACATTTTCATTTTTCACTGGGCACTATAAATTATGTAGCTGGTCTGGACATCTTTCATCCAGCTTTTTCTTAAATCAGCCCCTAAGTTTCTTGTTTTAGGATGTTTCTCCTTTGGCAGAAAAAGTATAGTACTTGCAGAATTTATCCTATGTTTTTCTCAGTATTAAAAATAATCCACCATGGTTATATAGATCCTCATCCCAACCTGCACCCATTATTTTTAAATCTTATAAACACTAAACTTAAGCAATAATAGAATTATTTGGGGAGTAGAGGAAATGCCACTATTTTTCTCTCTCTTATTTAAGTTCAAGACACTGTTCATTAGAAATAACATTTATTATGATGACTTGTAGAAACAGTTAAATATCTTTGCTGTAAAATTAGTAAATAGGCTTCTGGTTTAAAATCAATGACCCAGTTAGATGAAGTGTGACTTCATCAAATTGAAGAATTTGATCTTTGAATCATGCTTTCCATGATTTTTTCCCTTGATCTAATTGTCTTAAAAAGTAAATGTTCAAAGGTGTTCAAAGACAGCAGCAGCTCTCAGGAATAAGTAAAATATCCTCAGAGGGCATTTTGTATCTCACTCTACCTTCAGATCAGTTATAATCACTCCTTCCTACCTGACGGATGGACACCTAGCCAGTTCTTTACCAATTTTTGTGCATAGTTGAAAGACATCTTTGCCATCCATAACTCACCAAGTAAAAGAGAACTTGGCAGCTGCTGTCCATATGATTGATGGAAACTGTGTCTGCATTGTAATAGCACTAGAGGCACCTTTCGGCACATCAGGCACGGCACCGAGCCTGCTGCTGGAATACGTTCGAAGGTGTTGTGACTCCAGCATCCCTGCACTCTACTTTTAACAACTACAATTTTCTAAGCACTGTGCTAGGCACAAAAGATACAGCAGTGGGCAAGACATCCTAGCCAGTCTGCAGCTTAGAATCTAATGAGCAAATTAGATGGGTAAATGGATCGTTACCACACCATGTATATGTGACACAGTGGCATTACAAAGAAAGCAATCAGGGAAGGTTTCCTCAAGAATGTGACATTCAATCTCATTTTAAAATATTTAGCTGTATTATCAATTCACAATTTAACTTATTAGATACAGGTTTATGTATGAGGTTAGAAGTGAATTTATTGTGAATTAATGAAGTTTAAGTACAGGGCCCTTTCCTTGCATAGGCCCCTTCCGAGATCTTTTCACTAATTTTGCATTTGTAATTCCACATTCTTTTTCTTAAAGAGGGCCCCATGAAACTGCACAAGTCTAATAAGCCACAAAACCTGGATCCTGCCCTGCATGGGTTCCCATACTGGATTTTGACCTCAGCACACATAAAGTCCCTTTCAGAATGACAGGCTCACACGACTGTATTCTGTTAGAAATGTTGGTTCCATTTTACTACCTCATAAACTTATAAAGATAACAGGCTAGTTTGGAAGGCTGCAAACTTTACCCTAGTCAGCCTATCTTTTTCAGGCTAAACTTTCTTCCTGAGTTCAAAGTTGTATTGCTAATGCCAGCCTTCCTCCTACTGAAAACATAAAGACAAGAGAAGGTGAGCACATGCATTTTGGTGTTGATCTGAGAACCAAAGAGAGGTTAAAAAAATACATATATATAATGCTAAGAATAAAGTCCTTCAACTGCAGTTCCTTTCAGACACTAGAACTTCTCACTTCTTGGTCTCACCCCATGGCCTGGATGAGCTTTCTAGACAACTTCATCAGGGGAAGGAAATATAATTTGTTTATTTTTCTCTAGAATATTGCTATCTAATATCTTGGATTTCCTTTATCACAGTGACAGTGAACATCAAGATTGTTGAATGGGTAAAACTGTGTTTTCAGGTATGTGGCGTTTAAGATAACTTTTAATCAAAAGAGTATGTACCTACCAGAAAAATTGAGTTTTATACGTCATTTTCAGTAAGTTTATCTGCTTTATTAAAAAAAAAAAAGGTTATCTACTTCTGGGATCATTTTTCTTTTTAAAAAATGACTTGGCAACAATAGAAATAAAATTCAAATAAGAATAGTAATTCTTGGAGTATTAAACAACCCCCTTTATTCTATGAAAGTGTCTGTGACTAAAGGTGTGTTAAACACTGTTTACAATTCTTTTGCCACTAAACATTAACATTTCCACCAGATAAAGCACAATGATTAAAAATTGCAAGCTAAAGAAACTCAATTCACATGATGCCATTTCCAGCAAAATTTATTTTGATTTATTCTGGATAGAAATGCAAATAAATCTTTTCAGCATATATAGACTAAAGAAGATTGCCATGAGACTTAAACATAGTTATTATAACACAGGGGAAAATGAATAAAAAGTGTATTAGCACAGCGGCTTAGAAAAAGAGACATTCAAAGAGTATAATTCATCCGATAGGCACTAACAGGTCACACTGTTTCAAATCAAGAATGCAAACAAAAGTTCTCAAAATATTAGGAGAAAACCTTTAGAAGCTATTATAACATTACACAAAAGGTACAAAAATAGTAATATGATAATATTTCTAATAGTGAAAAAATGACAGCAGGCAGCAGGCTACATTATTAGTTGATACTGAAGGGCCTTCAGCTAAGCAGCACAAGATTACCTTTGCCAAAGACTTTCTGGTGTAAATTGGGAAGGGTTTTACCAGACATGGTTCCAGGCTCTTTATCTGCACCTAAGAATGTTGATAACAAATTATTATCTTTTGAAATAGTCCAGCCTTTAAATAGTTGTATATTGGCAGCAACTAAAAAAAAAAATTGCTGTGCAATCACTTTGTGTGTGATCATGCAATTTTAGCAAGTTCAATGTCAATGGAAATGTGTCTTCCCAAAAATGAACTTAAACTTTCCTTTCTCCTCCCATAAACCAGAACACTTACCACATATCAACAGTATCTTGTAGTAAACAGTGGCAGGAAACAGCGAATTTTTATATTCTTTCAAAAAAATTTTTAACTGAATAATTTTATTTAAATAAGTGGATTCATCAGAAAACTAAAGAAAATACTCAGAAGGATTACAAAGTCTCTATCAAAATGGGAGAAGGCTAATTAAATTTATGGCTACCCTAGCTTTAACATAAACCCATTGATCAGTATTTCAAATAAAAGGCATTCACAGAAAGACTTATGTGTATGCACCCATCTAACTTTCTTAACAACTTTATTTGAATGTCTTGCTCTTCAAGGGCAAAATTTATAAAACTATACTAATCTACACGTCCCCTCCCACAAACCTCCTTTCCTTGCATACCACTAATAGATCTTCCTCTCTCTAGCTTTGCTTCCCTCCAAATTACAGTTAGAATGATTGTCCCCTCAAAACATAAATCTGATTCTGTCATCGCTCTATTTGAAACCCTTCAAATGTTTCTGTTGCCCTTTATTCATCTGAATTTGACTCACAACTCACTCTGAGATCTGGTCACTGCCTACATATCCTGCTATATCACTCCAGATTCTGTCTCTTAGCCTAGGCTGTAACCGGCCATGCTGAATTGCTGTAAATTCCACAGATGTGTTAAGACATCTTTCTTCTTGCCCAAACCCACCTTCCTCAATCCTACTCCCTATTCCTTCAGCTGAAATATCACTTCCAATGAACCCCTAGGCTAGGCTATGTTCCCACCATATTCCATACTTCCTTTTTCATCAACTCTGTCTTACACACATCATTATTGCTATGGGAGGGAATGATTCTTCCCCACTCCTTTAGTTTTTTTTATGGAAGGAGCACTACTAGCGTGACACTTATTCTTCCAGGAGGAGTGACTGACCTGGTAGATTTAAAAAGGGCAATGTATAGTCTGCCTCTTCTATCCCTTTTTTTTTTCCTGGGAGTTAGCTCACCTACAGGGAGCATGTGCTCAACCTCCAGGTGCTGTATGTCTCACAGGGGCCAAGTCTTTTCCCTGCAGGGGAGCCTGCAGTTGTCCACCACTCCCAAAACTGGATGGGTACATCTCTCTGATTCTGGGGTTTAATATTAGAAAGATTATTTGCTCCTTGAGACAAGAAACATGCTCCAGTATCAGCTATAGCAGTCTAAAGGTGGTATTTTGGGTTAGTTTAAAGAACAATTCCACAAAACATTCAGCCTTAAACTTCACATACTCTAAATTTATCTTATTCAGTGACATACATTAAAGTATAGATATGTTACAGTTAAGTACATTTCAAGATAGCTGGAAAGAGGCAAGTTAGCATTTTGGAAGATGGAATAATGGGTTAATGAATTATATTATGAGTAAAATTAGGAGAGATAGATTATTATATTTTAAGAGTTTCTGGTACCCTCATTTTTAATTTATAATTTTTATTGAGCATAACAGAAAACAGTTAATACTCTAAGTATGACTTAATAAATTTTATAAGATTACTATTTTATGTTTAAATATGTTATTTTAAAAGGACTAATGTATCTCTGAATATGACTTCCTATTTAAAAATCAAGGAACAAGTTTTCCCTTTGATAAAATGAAACTGTAACTTTATCATGAAATCCAACAGGAAAATATAAATCATATAATAGAAAAACCTGTCAGTGAATTTTTTCTCCTCCAAACTATCTTTTAAGTGAAAGATGCCTGCATAAACTAATTTGTGGCAACTTAATTTTTATTCATTCAATTATATTTAAGATTCCATGTATATGCATGAACACATAATTAAACTTTCTTGTAAGATTTGTCTCTAGACTTGAAAGAAAAAATATATATTCTCAAAATTTGAGAATTATGATGCTACTGCATAAAACATAATGAAGGATTATATGTCAATAGCTTCCTTTTGTATTTATGACAAAAAGAAAAACATTCCAAAAAGAATTATAAATGAAAATCTCAGTTGTACAGGACAGGAACAAAATGTGCAATAAGCAGAAGTCTTTTGGGATGTATTTTTAAACAGGAGGTTTTGAAAACTCCAAATTTAGATTCATAAAAAGAGGTAGTGCAAGTGTGAAGCATGTGGTCATTTTGGCATACTCAGTGTATAACTTCTCTCTTTACCTATATAAGGATAAAATAAAGCTTCAGAAATGTGCAAAGCAGAAATCTTCCAGTTCTGTTTATCCACTTTCAGTCAGGTAGTAAAATATCCTAATGTTCTATGAAGAAATCTTCAAAATGTACTACTGAAAGAGCCTGCTAAAGAGAGAGAAATCAACAAGTTCTTTATTTAGCTACTGAGCAGTTTAAAGGAAAGGATCAGTGAGGGTTTTTTTTTAAGCCAACTATGCCTGTAAGTATCAGTCCATTTTACTAAACTTCCATCATCTTTACTTTGCTGCATTTTTCTACTGTCTTGCCCCTTTCATCCATCCTCTATATCCTCCAACTTCCTCTGCAGCTTTTTTTGGGGGGACAAAGGGAAGGTTCAATGTTCTTCATGTTCTTATTTACCTCCTCTTTATTATCCTTTCTCCTCCCTCTGACCTTCTTTGATTATTGTAATTACTTTACATCCTCATATTTCTTTTAGGAATTCAATTTCTTATACACTCTCCATTCAACTTCGAATTCTACAATCTTTGGTCACGCTTTGTAAAGAAAGGCCTCCTTTCTCTTGGTTATGGGAGACAGGGAGCAGTAATGGAGGGATTAGGAAAGAGCCTCCATGTGAATGTGTGTGATGTTTCTGTGCCTCCCAATCTCAAGAGAATACTGAACCCTTCCCAGAACCTACTGTGACACAAGCACCCACGCTGGGTGGCAGGGCAGGGAACAAACCTGTTTGCGGAGGTTAATTTGTGCTAAGAATTTAAATGTGACTTCCTGCCTATTTCCATGTTGCTATGTGACTTTCAGTTCAATTTTGAAGAATTCTGGGCCCCTAAGGACCACTATGGTTTTAAATACAATTTTAAATTGATATCCAGAATTTGAACCAACCAAGAACTATGAGTCATATCTAAAGGAAACTGGACTTTCAGTCACCAACAGCTGGTTAAGTAGAGTCTTGGCCATCAAGACATTAAAATTATTCCTCACTCTCTAACACTGAATGTCTAAAAAGAGGACATGAACTAGCATAATATTCATAAAAATGGACACTGACTTCATAAACAGTAATGATTTAACATGTACCCACTGTCAAAATGGTATGCAGTCATACGTACATGTGAACAATAATGAGCACAATCAAAATTTAACCCAGGAATATACCTACAATAGCATGCCCCAAATCTAAATGAAGTTAACTATTCAGCTTTACTAAAAAAGTTAATTAAAAGACATACTATTTTCCTGAATAGAAAGATAAATATTGTAATGACGATAATTGTGCAATTACAATTAGTGCAATTACAGACTATTTTAAAAGGAGAATTTGTACATTAAATTTTACATGTTGATTCTGGAAGAAAAGATATGTGTGAATAGTCGAGAGAAGTTTTAAAGACAAAATAAAGAGGGAGACTTTCCCTTAGATATAAAAATTACTCTAAAATCAGAATAAAGAATGTTTTACTGACAAAGAAATGATGATTATTATAATAAGAGTATATAGGAAACATGTAGACACATGTGCATATATAAATAAACAGTATAAAATGAAAATGAAATTAAACAGGTGAACCCCACAGGAATTAAATATTTAACAATTAAAAAAAGAAAACACAGTGGCTACAATACAGGAGATTTTCTTGTTTGTTTGTATTAATAATCTTGGGCCTAGGGAGATATCTGACTGCCTGTATTTGTGTTATGGCACTATCATTTAAAACGGTGTAGCCTTGGATAAGTGATTACCCACCATCTATAAAAGGGAAGCTAAAGTATTCTGTTCATTGGGTTGCTGGGAGGTTTCAATAAGAACATGCACATAAAGTGCCTTGGCATCCAAAAAAAAAAAAAAAATTGACCGGGGTTTTTACTCTTAGCATGCAAACAAAAGCCAGAAACCATAAGCAAAAAAGAATGGGATGTGTGTAAATATGTCAACTTTTAGGTATTTTGTGCAACAAATATCATCATAAGAGGTAAAAGAAAAAGACGTATGTAAATATTTACAACATACGTATCAAAGGCTATATTAAAAGCTCTTTAAATTACTAGAAAAAACAAACACCCTTAAGAAAAACAAGGTACATGTCATGAACAATCTGTTCCCGAGAGAAACATAAAGGCCCACAAACATATGACATTCTTCTCAACTACACTAATAATCAAAGAAATACATTTCTTTTTTCTCACCTGACTGGCAAAAACTGTTATTCATATTATTGTAAAAGAGTTAGTCAAAAAGGACTTTCTCCTGCAATACTGACAAGAGAGTAAATTGGCAAAACCTTTTAGAGAGCAGTTTATGAACATATATTGAAGTTTAAAATATGCATTACCTTTCCCTTAACAGTTCTATTTGTAAGAACTTAGCCTAGGGAAATAGAGAAGTGTGCAAAAACATACAAAAGAGGTATTTCTTCATACTGTTATTAAAATAGCAAAACAAACCAACAATCTAAGAAACAGAACTGTCATTACTGAAGGGGAAATAGATCAACAACAATTTTCAATAAGAAAAAGCAAAATAAAGAATAGTACATGTAGTACAATCAATCCCATTTAAAATGTTTTAAATATGTAGACAGCAATAGAGGTTTACATTTGCAAATAACAAGTTCTGGAAAAACATGTGTTAAACTGTAATCAGTGGTCATCTGTAGGGGGTAAGATTATGGGAAACATTCACTTTTTAATGTATACTGTCCAGTACTGTTTCAATACTTTTAAACATTTAACAATTCCTTTTATAATAAGAAAAAATAGGGACATTTCTATTTTGGAAAAAATAAAAGATTAAGAAGCTCATAATAATTACTTTCCTAGTTTTAGTTTCTCACATAAAGCTAACAGCTACCTGCCCTTTTGAAAACACGTTGCTTAGGTTTAATAAGGTCCTTGTCAAGAATTAATAGATACTTAAGTGTTAACTTCCTTTTTAAAAGAACTACAATTAAAAGAGCCACTTATAAAAGAATAAAGAAAAGCATGTTTCTCAGTTCAGGGTTTAACTTGCAAGTAACATTTCCATTAGTATTTGAAACCAAGAATTATGAACCAGATTAAGCAGCACATAATTCAAATTTCAAAATGTGTTTTATAATTTAGAAACTCAGAAGTTCCCCATACTATCTAAACCTCGCACCTTTCATCATAGTTTTTAAAAGGAGAAAGTTACCTTTGACCCACTACTAGCAAACTAATTCACTTCTTTCAGGAACTAGAGTGACATGGAAAATTCATGATCATTATAGTAGAAAGGAAACAAGACATTCTTTTTTCATTAATGAAGGGTATCAGAATCTTCTTGAGATCAGATATTTTGCATTTTCCAAGGTTGTTAACATTTTTACTAAAGCAAGCTGTAACTGTATCTTTAAATATGGAAGGTCACTACCCAATTTAGTGAATTTCACTTCCTCAGGAAGCAAAGGAACAGCCCTGTGACTAGATATTATATCCCTCAGAAAAAATCAAGTTGGATTCCTCTGAGGGAGACTAACTTCCCTATCTCTAAGGCATAAAAAAAAAATTAACATTGCTGTTCTTAGTTTAGTCCTTATTTCTCCTGCCAAAAGTTGTGCATTCCCCAGATTCTCTCAGGAAGCATCATGTTACAAAGCAGAGCATTCTGAACTAACACTTACCAGTCATCTAATTTTCTGGAAGCTCAGTGTACACATCTGTAAAATAGGAATAACATCATCTGCTTTATAAGGATACTGTAAAGACTAAATGGGATGCTGAGACTAACATGCATAATACAATGTAGGAGTTTCATAAATGCTACTCCCTTTCCAGCAGGTCTGTAGCCAGGATAAGTCATAGGAAACACCTCCAAGAAAGGAATACAATTGGGCTCGTGCCTGTAATCCCAGCACTTTGCGAGGCTGAGGTGGGCGGATCACCTGAGGTCAGGAGTTCGAGACCAGCCTGGACAACATGGTAAAACCCCATCTCTACTAAAAATACACAATTAGCCAGGCATGGCGGCGGGCCCCTGTAATCTCGGCTACTCTGGAGGTTGAGGCAGGAGAATCGCTTGAACCTGGGAGGCGGAGGAGGTTGCAGTAAGCCCAGATTGCACCACTGTACTCCAGCCTGGGCAAAAAGAGTGAAACTCCGTCACAAAAAAAAAAAAAGGAATAGAAATGCAAAATATTATAGAAATTGTCACTGTGGAATTATAATTATACGATTTTTCAAAGTATGTGTTTTCTTGAAAAATAAAGTGTTAAAATAAAAAGTAAAAGTGAGGTCAACCAAAGGAAAGCAACAGCTATGTCACATTTTAATTTCTTCTTTTTAAAACAACATATTCATAAGAGAACAAGATAACATTACTAAAAGCTTCTTGAGTAGGAAATAAGTGAGAAATTATGGTTCCAGTGTTTGGAATCTGATTGCTTTCTTCCTGACTTACTGAGCTCACTTTAAGAGTGCATCCCACATCTGAGCTACGACAGAGACCCTGCATCACTGCTACATTAAAGTCTCTAAAACCTTTCAACTGATGGTCTACAGTTTGCTTCATCTCTTTTGCCTGACAATTAAGGTTCTCAGTATTCTGATCAGACCATTCCTATCCATACTGCATCCCAAACACAGATTCTCTAGGTTAGGTCAATTTATTCACAGCAAAACACTACATGGTTATCTGTCTCTGTGTAGGTGTCCATACTATTCCTGGGCTTATGACACTCCTTCTCTCTTACTCTTGTACAAACCAACCCATTCTTCAATTCCAGTTCAAGACCTATGATCATCAGCCTCCCCCAGTGAAATCATGAACATCTATGTATCTATACACTTAAGAGCTGGTTCCACAGAATTCATCACATCTATGGGTTTCAAAGTTCATACTGCTAGTCTATTGCTTGCTTTGTTTGGCACGGTCTTCAGTTCTGAATAGTCATGGCTAATATTATTCTATTTTTAATCTTTCAGCAAACTTTTATAGCAATGCGATAATTGCAAAACTCTTCACTGGTGCAAAAAATAAATATTTGTTCCCCTCCCTCCCATCACATACACTCTTGGTCAGAATTATAGCATAAATTTAATGTTCACCTACAAATCACTGAATTTTTCATTTTGTTATGGTCTTGTGAAGATCTCCCCTTCCAACTACTTATGTTAAGAATAGTACACATTTCCATAGTTATTCCTGTTGCTTTATACATGTATCATGCACTTGTGTGTGCCAGGCACTATGTGTACATTATATAACTTAGTTTTGAAAATAATCTGGCAAATCTGGCAAAATGTATTCCTTTTGTATAGGTGAGAAAACAGGCTGAAAGGACCAAAGCCACAAGGCAGGAAACAGAGTTGACTATAAAATAAGCGCCTTATTCCAAGGTCTCCCTGCTACACTCTGCTCCTGCCTTGCCAGACAACATATTCTATCCACTCTCACTGTTAAACTTACTTAACAACTTTCAAATTTAAAACCAATTATTATGAAAATATCAAAAACCAAAATAAAGTTTTTTGGAAATCCAGAAAACTGTTCAGCAAGCTATTATTTATTTTCTTTTTTGTACAACACAGAGAACATCAGTTATATGAAAGTCCTGGGCAGGAAACTTTCGAAGTAATAACAGTCATTCTCATTCTATCACATGGAAACACTGAGAGTGTTTTTATTATTTTTTCAGACTAGACAACTCTCAATTATGATTTTATTCCTTGACAAATGTTCCTCAGCACTCACCAAATTTTGGCAGATGGCTTACAACAAAAGTAAAAAAAAAAGCATCTTCTCACTTTTTAACTCATTATTCTAGCAAATGTTCAATCAATAAAATGTAAGTTAGAGAAACTTAGTTTAGTCACCAACAAACTAATTGGTATTTTGAAAGTGCTTAAGTTATTCAATTATTTTTCAACACTTCCAGGTTCATTACAGAACCACTCCCATTGTATAGCCTTAATGAAAACATCCAGTGAAATAAATTTTGAAAGAAAGCAAACTATAATTTTTTTAAAGAGAACTAATTACAACTTTAAAAGTAATTATGATAAAGATACCTTTAAAAATCAAGAAGAAAAATACTACATAGATTCAAGAATAAGACTCTTAAAATAATTCCCCTACCTTATTAGTAATAAAAAATTCAAACTGCCATGAGATACTATATTCCTTATCAGGCTCTTTATATTTTTAAAATATTGTACCTAGTATTGAAAAGCACATAAGAAGTTAGGCATCATTTTGTTATGGCAATACTAGTATAAATTTGGGTACAAATTTCTGCAGAATATTTTGACATTATGTGTAAAAAGCCTTAAAATGTTTACATGCCTTGACCCAGGAGTAACATTTCTAGGAATCTATTTTAGGTAAATGGCAGGAGATGTGCTCAAGGATTTGTAGACAAGAAATATTATAATTTATAATAGTCAAATGCTCAAAACAACCCAATTATAAAATAATGTTAAGAAACTGGTAAAATAAATTGGCATGCCCTAAAAATGGATACTAAGCAAACATATAAAAATCTCATTTTAGAACACTATTTCATAATATAAGAAATGTTTATGGTCTGCTGCAATGGAAGGGAAAACAAAAACCTGGAAGATCCACAGGGACTGAATGGTGGACCTAAGCGTAACTTCTATGTCCTTCTGTGTGTGGTGGATAGCTTTCAAGATGGCCCAATGATCCGCACCTTCTGGCATTTACTCCCTTGTGTCATTATCCCCCACACTGTATAACGGTTGGTTAGTAGGGTCAATGGAATACAGTAGAAGGAACAGTATGTCACTTCTTTTTAAATTTATTTATTTATTTATTTATTTTGAGACAGAGTCTCTCCCTGTCTCCCAGGCTGGAGTGCAGTGATGTGATCTCAGCTCACTACAATCTCCATCTCCCAGGTTCAAGTGGTTCTTATGCCTCAGCCTTCTGAGTAACTGGGATTACAGGCGTGTACCACCATGCCTGGCTAATTTTTGTATTTTTAGTAGAGACGGAGTTTTACCAAGTTGGCCAGGCTGGCCTCAAACTCCTGGCCTCAAGTGATCCGCCCACCTCAGCCTCCCAAACTGCTAGAATTATAGGCACAAGTCACTGCACCCAGCCAGTATGTAACTTCTGAAAGTAGTTCATAAAAGACATTGTAGCTTCCACTTTACTCTGTCTTGGATCACTCACTCTGCAGCAAGAAGTGGCCCACATGGCAAAAAAACCAACATCTTTTGCCAATAGCCAGTGAGGAACTAAGGCCTCCAGTCAATAGCCATGTGAGTGAATCATTTTTGAAATGGGTCCTCCAGCCCCATTCAAGCCTTCAGATAACAGCAGCTCCAGCCCACAGCCTGACTACTACTTTAGGAGAGACACAGCAAAAATGGCCCAGTTAAACCTCTCCCAGATTTCTGACCCTCAGAAACTGTGTGAGAAAATTAATGTTTGTCATTTTAAGTTGTTAAATTTTAGGGTAATTGTTACATAGCTAAGCATGTTTCTCTATATTTTCCAAATATCCACGGATAACTTGTACTGCTTTTAAAATCAGAGAATAAACTGCCATTTTAAAACACTAGACATTGTCAATGCAATCCTAATACAGATTTTTAAGATTAATTCCAGTGTTTCAATTTGTCAAGCTAAATGTTTCCGAAGGATTCTCACATGGATAGCACACCTATGTTAGTTGGTTCAACTCCATATTAAATGTTCCAGTTACAGTAAATTAGCAAACTTTAAAAGTACCCAAAAAGGTCCTTTGAAAATAAAAAATAAGAGAAAATAAGAAAGCTAAATATTCAATGCAAATACCTTTTAAAAAAGTGAACAAACTATATCTAAGGAAAGCAAGAGGAAAAAATAATAAAGATAAAAACAGTTGTTAATTTCAAATACTAAAATATTACATTCCAGTAAATAAAGCCAAAAGTATTTGGAGAAGGAAAAAAGAGGAAAACAAAAGGCAAATCTTAATATTCAAGAAAAAGATAAAATAGTAAAGTAACAAAAGGGGGATGAAAAACACAGAAAAGAATAAAAGAATTATAAAGAATATTATGTATAGTTGGTTGTTAAAGAATGAATTTTAATAGTTCAATAAAATTAAAAGATCATCCCAGCTGAGTAGAATATATAAACCCTAAAGAGATGAACAGTTCTAGAAGAAATTTAAGTAAACAACTATTGTCAAATAAACCTGACTGATTTTTTGCGTGGATTCTTTTAAACATTGAAGGAATGGAAAAATATGGAATTTTTTAAAAATCTGTTTTAGAATGTTACATTCTGCTAGTTGATATGGTAAGTCAATACGGTTTTAAAAAAAAGTCCCTTCCTCAAGATACTTTACTGTCCTCCTTTGTAAAACTGTCATAATAACTATGCAAATGACAATATTATAGGTGGCAGTGTACAACTTGTATAATCATAAGTGATGGGCCTAGTAACCCTGACACTAAAACCTGAAAACCAGCTGACAAAACAGAAAACTATCATTCAGTATCACAAATATAGAGGCAAAAATGCTAGATGAAATACATTCCAAACCCAACAGCATATTAAATAATAATAAAACATGTCCAATTGTGTTTACATCAGAAATCCCAGAATGGTTTAATACTAGGTAATCTACTAATGAAGTTACGACATCAATAGGTCAAAATATGTTAAAACAGAACCTATCCCTGCATGCTAAATAACATGCAGTCATCTCAATACATGTGCATAGGCCAGGGTAGTTCTATAATATAATAAAGATTCCCTATCTTTAACTTACAATGAGCACCTTATTAAACATTTAGCAGAGTTGTTTCCAACAAAACCAGATGTACAGATGCCTATCACCAACATTAGGAAGAAACTGTAACATTCTTACCAATACGATAGAAAAAGAACTAAAATTTGAAAATATTGGGATGGCAGATTATGTATACTTATAATATTACTGATTATCTAATAAAAATAAGAGATTTCAGTGAAATCCATGAACTTTAATGAGATTTTGTTAAACTTTCAAATATGCCAATAAGAACAGTTGGAAAACTTTCTGGGAAAAGCTCCAACTAACCAACTAATCAATCAACCAATTAATCAATCTCTCTGTTCTATCTCTCAAACTCTCTCTGTCTCTCTCTCTCTCTCTCTCACACACACACACACACACACACAGACACGCAGGCACACACATACACACATACATTTCATGCTGCATACACCTAAAAATAAAATTGTGGTATTTACTGAAAAAAGAAAGGAAGGGTGCCTTCTGAAGAGGTGCGAGACGAGAGAAGCCATAGTGAAGAAATGACACAACTCTAGAAAGCCATCATGCATATGAATATGATATACCAGATGAATGACTTCTTTCTTTATGAGAAATGTTTCAGAAATTGTCTAAATATGTATTTATATGATTGACAAAAACAGCTTGGAATATGCCAATGGTGCCCAAGGGTATATAACAAACATTTTCAGCCCAATGCTTATCTTTTCTTCAGGAAGACCAAGGCAAGAAAGACCCCCATGAGATGAAGTAAATACGTTTTCCTTTCATCTACTATTTCCTTTGGAGTCACTAACCTTCAAAAGCCCCACTATTCGGGGACTACATTTTATGTCACAAGAGAGCAGTGCCCCCTTTTGGTGCCAAATGCCAAAAGTTCTTTGAGGGCAAGGACACAGTCACTTCTGCAGATCCTCAACACTGCCACATAAAATCATTTAAGCAAAGCAAACTATTAAGCTACCAATCCTTCACATGGTAAAAGAGGAACAATTTACCCACATTAGCATAAACATGGATACATTTGGCAAAGATCACTTTTCATGTATCATGTTCTTTTCTTGAACACCAACTATAGGACCTTACATGCTAACAGAAAACTGATGTATATTAATTGAGTGCATAGGCCTTGTTGGCTCTTTCTAACACAAATCTCTTGACATAAAGAAAGGACCGGGACTTTCTCTAGAACTAATATGTCTATAATGTCTCTCATCTAATGATATCAAAATGCTTTTTTCGACTGGCCCACGGAGGTATCAGATTTCATATTCAAATCTAGATCTTGCGTACAACTCTGTGAAATATGAAAAATAGAGTTCAGTAATTGTTTGGATATAAAATTGTCTAATAGAATAGGGTAGAATAGAATAATCCATTTATTAGAAAGGAATATTATCTGTTTCTCCCTTTCATTTCCAAGAAACAACAAATAACACCAACTCTTTGCTAACAAACAGCATAAGCCCATTATCATACCATAGTACTTAAGTATAAACTGTTCTATTATTTTATGGTATCTTTCAAGAAGTACCATTTTATAGCTGCAAATGAAAATAATACCAACAGTATGCTCTTCCAAAATAGTCAAAAGTAATAAGATCTTTTCCATGCCCCCATCAGTTTGCTTTGAGTGGACAGAACCATAACAAAGAGGTCTTTTTATAAACAATGCTTTGCTTTATTTCCTGCTACCTATGACAGAATTTGCAGGTATGCCCTGCTGCATTCACTAATGAATTTATCTCACTTTGTTAAATAAAAACATAAAGGTATTATTTTGCTTTTGTAAATGTTATACACATTATATATAAGCTTATATATAATGGCTATCATATATTATATATAAGTTTCCTATGCTGTTTCATATCACACAAGTGCTTACCAATTTCTTCAATTACTACCCATCAGTGTAATTCTTAACTATATACTGGAAAAGCATCAAAGTGAGATTTTTTCCCCAGCAGTATGAATTATTTTTAAAGCACATCAGTTATAATTCATCTAACAAGGTGGGATGAGAGAGATCAGACTCTTTCACATACAATCTGAGCTTAAAATAAATGCTAAGAAGCAATACTGTAAATTCCTTGAAGTATATGAAGATGGCCAGAGGCATGCATTTACCTCTGAAAAAGCAGCCCTAGTTAGGTCAAATGCCAATTTTCATAGCTTAATGGGTGGAATTAAAGATCCTGAGCCAGACACACCATTAATACAAGAGTAGCTTCAAATTCTGGCTGTAATACTTTCTGTATGATGTTGAATAATCATCATTCTAGTGATAATTCTAGAACAATTATACTCTATTAATATAAAAATGTTATATTAATAGTGACATCCTTATCTGCAAAACAGAATAAAAATATATACCTTATAATACTATGTTGTAGTGAGGCTTAAATGCAATAATGTATAAAGTGATTAGCATAGTTCCTGGTAAGAGTAAATAAACCTGTAGCTACTATTATAATGATGTTTATGTTCTAATATCACTTATCCTGGAAATGAAATACCCTCTCCTCTTAAACTGGGGAAGGAAAAAAACAACTGCTGGGTGATTACTAAACTTACAAAGCTGGAAGGACTGGAATTATGGAAAAATTATGACTCAAGAGATCCTTCAAAGGTACTTCACAGTCTGTTACATGATGCCTGGTAGACATGTCTCAAGAAATAAAGCACAGAATATTTCAATTCCTGTAATGGGAAACCAGGGCTTAAATACGCTTTTCCAAGAAGTGGTGCCACCAGTGAAAATGGAAGAATTGATAGTTTCACATCTCCTAAAAGTAGGCTGTATCTGAGTTTAGGTCTTACAGTGTGAATAGCTTACACATTTAGCTTTACTATTTTGTCTGAATAGGAGCTGAATAAAATTAGAATTCAGCCAATATCAGTGACTACGTTTGCAGTCCTCAGCTGATGAAAATCAGTCATGGCTACATAAGACTAACAGAGAAAATTTCTTCTCAAAGAATACGATCATAAAAGAAAAATCCCAAGAACTACCACATTAATAAGCATCTGTAAGCAAGCAATAATTCAGTAACTATTATCAGAGTTTATAGTAATTAGACATGGGTAGAAGAAAGTTAAAAATTAGCTAAACCATCTTTCTACACGTAAAGCAACATAATTTCAAATATGAAAAATCCTGGTCTCTTATATATACATGAGGTTGTAAGGAGAAAAATGGAGGGGGAGGTCATGAATACTGCTCATCATTCTCTAAATGCCAAATTGAAAAATTAATCACTGGCATACAATAACTTTTGAACAGTACTCTGTTCCATGAACAGATATTTCTGTAACCTGTCAAAAGTATTCTTTGTCTTGCCCTAGAGGGAAAATTTATTAAAATAAATTAACATTTTACTGGGTCTCTAATTGGAAGTGGCTGTTCTCAACAAACATGTTTATCAAACACTGTGACTGGCAAAATGTATTACTGTAGCTGTAGTTATCCAAATTACATGCTGTCTAAAGCAAAAAGGGCAAAAGCCATCTGGCTCATATAACTTGCGTTTTCTAGACAGCTTGCAGCTGGTTCTGATTAAGCAGCATCTCAGAACTCCCAGAAATCTATTTTTATCCCTGGAAGTGTATTTTTAGGACTCACACATCCAAGGCACAGGGCATTTACATTAATAAATGAACAACCACTTTGATTAGGAAAAGGTTTATGTGACACTTTGGTTTAGTCTCCAGCTGCACAGATGGACTACAAGTTGTATATGACAGTCTGAAACCTAATCTTTGGAACTTACCTGCTCCCTGGCCATTTTAGTATCTCAAGGGAGGAACACAGAAAAGATGCCTCCTCTGTCTTATGAAATAATCAAGGAAATACATCGTAACAAGAAACTTCACTGCAACATCTTACCTATCCTAGGAGGCTGGTACAATTATTATCCCATTTTACAGATGAGTAAACAAAGGTTTTGAAGGCTAAATAACATATTAAATGTAAACAGTCAGTGAATGATACAGCCAGGACTCACATCTGTATCTTTGATGACGCAACAAGAATTCACACCCGTATTTTCTGGCTACAGAGCCTGAGCTAATATTAACCACAAGATTATGCTGTCTCATCACAGACAGGGTTAATAGTGAATTTTAAAAATGTATTTTATTGTAAGAAAATGTAATAATATTATATGAGGTAAAGAAGTAATCATAACTTTGGATGGAAGAAGCATATTAGAACATTCTAGAACTGAATAACAATACAGATTTGTATTAATAAATCTTACAATAAAAAAAGATAAAGAAGATTTTTTCTTCTAATTTAAATCTCCATAGTTGTATTATTCATCATCCTGTTTATCATCATCCTAATCATCAAATTGGGATGAAGTCAGACATAGGTGCTGGACAGAAACATGCAGAAAACATTTAGATAGCTATGAAGACTTGGACATTCTAATTTTTATAAGCCTCTCCCCAAAGAAACACAGTCAGAGAATCACTGAGCAACGTGAACAAATCAATTTTTTAGTTACTCAAGAATTCTCTTTATCCTTAATCCCAGGTGACTTTCCCCTTCGTTCACTCCACCATGACGGCCATTTGTCCCTCAAACTCCCACTCTCCCCTTCCCTCCAGAACTTCTGACGCCCTCTTAAGTCTCCTCCTTACCCTTCCTTCTCAGCTAAATGTCCTCACAGGAGGCTTTTCTCACTCCCTCCACATTATTTACTCTCACAACACTCTGTATTCACCACAATAATCACAATGGACACGGCACACTTTTGCATTCTCAGAGCTTAGGGAAATGACCAGCACTCAAAAGTGTTTGCTGCATACATAACCACAAAAGTCATTCTATCCAGGCACAGATGTAGAATATGTGGTTTACCTAGTTATCTCCAGATTACAGTTTTCTTCTTGTTTGCCATCAATTAAGTAGACACTAGTGGATGTCTCGATAATTTTGTGAGAAGAATCAAATCAAATGTCCATAGAATACTGTACAATAATCATTTTAGAAGGAAGTCATGAGTATATAGACTTCTACAGAAGCACGTCATTTTCACATGCAAGGACAAAAGGTCAAATCAATTCAGATATCCTTGACACTGGCCTTCTCTCACTGTACCACAGCATTATCAAGCTCAAAGTTCACCTACTATGTGCTATATTTAAATCCAAGAAATAGCCTCAGGGCCTAAATATTCTAATTTGTGTTTAAGCTCAGATTTGTCATGTTGAAACTATAGGTAAGTGGGCTTCTATGATGAGCAGATCTTCATACAAGCCCAAAGGTATGGAAGCACAGCTCAATAAGAGCTTTGTAAAACAACGGGTGAAATGCTGCTGATTAGATAGTCACTGATGGGATTCCTAAATCACTAATCCAAAACTGACATTTTCTCCTTTTATTATTAGGCATTCTCATTCCACAGCTATAATCACATGCTTCTGAGTTTCCAGGGAACTTTATACATCTTGACTGGTAACTATTTGCATGCATTTTAAGTAACTGTGGTCATATTTACCATCATGACTCCAAAGGAAAGGCCGTCCTGTACAAAAATGTCCTACCCTTGACATCATTTCTACACTCCCCCTACAAATAAATACCTTCTGATGATAAAAACAGATAATAATGAATGGTTGCCAAGTTTCTTCTCCTCCGGACTGTCATGGAAGATTAAGTGTTAAAATGATGAACTTGGCTATAAATAAAAGGGATTATTTCATTACAAATAAATAAAATTTGTCATTTTATAACATGAAAAGCTACTTCATGTCCAAATCTAGAAGTAGAAAAGAGAATTTCTATCTAATATCCTACCTTGAACTGAAAATTACTTAGCCATATTAACTTGGCTTTGGTTCCACATAATATAGCAAGTGCCTAAAAACAAAAACAATACTTCTCTGATTCTGGAAGTCTATGTGTCACAGAGTGCAAAGTAAGAAAAGGAAGTAACTGGTTTTAAAATAGGCTTGGTAAGTGACTCAATTACATTATAATGAACTCTTCTCGACATATCTTTAGTTCTAAAGGTAAAATGCGAGTTATATTTGAAAAATATTAAAAGTTATGGAACAAGCTGATTTATTCTACATTGTCTGAAATAGGAAACCCTCTTAACTGGAACTTATGTTCTTCATTAGAAAAGTGTTAAATTTCCAAAGCCGATGACGCTAATAAGCAACTTATTGAATTTTAATTTTTGAAAATTAACAATCTAATTATAAATTCAAAGTTTCCCCCTTAGACTATAAATATTTTGAGAGCCAGATCTATGTCTTGTCTTATTTAAGGTTGTATCACAGAACACCACAGAATATCTGGATTATACTAGGTACCCAATAAATGCCCAATGAACAAGACAACATTTTAAAGAATTCCTACTGTGCTTCACTTTCTTTATTATTTCAGACAAAAGGTTTACAGAATGTATCATTTGTAGTTATCCTTAGCAGTCAAAAAGAGAACTAATGTCAGTGTTAAAAAAAAAAAAAAGTACCTTCTCTTGGCCGGGCGCGGTGGCTCACGCCTGTAATCCCAACACTTTGGGAAGCCAAGGAGGGCGGATCACGAGGTCAGGAGATCGAGACCATCCTGGCTAACATGGTGAAACCCCATCTCTACTAAAAATACAAAAAATTAGCCAGGCGTGGTGGCGGGCGCCCGTAGTCCCAGCTACTCTGAAGGCTGAGGGAGGAGAATGGCGTGAAACTGGGAGGCGGAGCTTACAGTGAGCCAAGATCACACCACTGCACTCCAGCCTGGGCAACAGAGTGAGACTCTGTCTCAAAAAAAAAAAGAAAAAAGTACCTGCTCTTTTACCTTAAGATGTTCTGCTTTTTTATTAAGCTCCAACCACTCTGATTTCAATAAAGGAAAATTTGATCTGTCTCATCTCAAAATTGTTGAACCATCAACAACAATTCAATCAGCATCTCAATGATTCAATTCCACAATTTTGCCCGGATAATAGTAGCAGTCTTAGATTTCATAAAAGATCACAGTTCACACCAGAGTAATTAATAATCAAAGAGAAGACTATATCTTAAGTAAAAGTCAGAAGTACTTAGCAAGAGATATGGCTATAGAAAGAACACTGGCTTCAAGCGTCAAGATGGGTTTGAGCCAAAATTTAGCACTTACTAGCAATGTGATCTGGGCTCATTTCTCCCTGAGGCTTATTAGCAGTGTCCTATATTAAATGGGGACCATAAAGTATTTACCTCATGGGTTTATTATGGAAAGTAATATGTGATAAGGTATGAAAAATCTCTTGGCATAGTGACTGTTATATAAGCGGGTGACCAATAAAGTTTTGTTGAATCAGAATGTAAAAGGTCACAAAACCAGAAAAGTCACTAGCCCTTTCCATTAAAATGTCTATGCCTACAGTGGTTTATGGAGATTACAGACCAAAAGGCCCACAGGAATTTGGAAATGACATAATAAATAAACAAAATAAAATTTGAAAAAGGTAAAGCTGCTAAGCAAGGTATGTTGACTAATTACTTTTGTTTATTCAGTGGATTAGGACTTAACTAAGGGACAATTAAGTTGTATATAATAAAATATTAAATGCAAAAAATGCACATATGAGTAAGGCAGAAGTCTTTTCCTGACTCAATTATTATTTCAAAACTCTTAGACTTATGAGCCACATAATTATGTGGTATCTTCCAGTCTCTCTTTATTTTTCATTTTCCTCATGCTAATTTAATTTTCATTATTTAGCTTGCTTTCCTTCTCATTGACAGCTAGATAAAATTTTTTTTTAAATTTTTTTCTATATCTTATCAATGATAACTTTGTTTACAATTTAAAATATATTACAGGCCGGGTGCAGTGGCTCAGGCCTGTAATCACAACACTTTTGGAGGCAGAGGCAGGTGGATTGCTTGAGTCCAAGAGTTGGAGACCAGCCTGGCCAACATGGCGAAAGCCAGTCTCTACAAAAAATATAAAAATTAGTCAGGTGTGGTGGTGCGAACCTGTAGTCCTAGCTACTAAGGAGCCTGAGGTAGTAGAATCACTTGAGCCCAGGAGTTAGTTGGAGGCTGCCTGAGCCTTGTTCATGCCACTGTACTCCAGCCTGGATGACAAAGAGAGACCCTGTCTCAAAAAAAAAAAAAAAAAAGATACTCTCAGACATTTTGGATACAAATGACTAGGTCCATCCCATAAATTAAAATTGGCTTCAGATTAGGGGAGTCATTTTGTTTGTTGCAGGTGATGTTAAGGGAGAAGTGGTAGCTAGGATGAGATAGAAAATGTGAAAGGTGGTCATCTGGGTAACTATAAGCATTTGAATTTGTCTCTCAAACAGAAGAACTGAACAGGTTGGTCTGAAATCACCCACAGGTAAGCTAGTTCTTTGAAACGAAAGTACTACTAAGCATACGTATGAGAAATTTATTTTAGAAATTAGAGATCCACATAGCTGTGCCACTCCTAAGGAACATGAAAGCAATTTGCTTTTTAAAAATAACATAAATAGGCCGAGCACAGTGGCTCACACCTGTAATCCCAGCACTTTCGGAGGCCGAGGCAGGCAGATCACCTGAGATCGGGAGTTCAAGACCAGCCTGACCAACATGGAGAAACCCCATCTCTACCAAAAATACAAAATTAGCCGGGCGTGGTGGCTCATGCCTGTAACCCCAGCTACTCAGAAGGCTGAGACAGGAGAATTGCTTGAACCCGGGAGGCGGAGGTTGTGGTGAGCCGAGATCGCGCCATTGCACTCCAGCCTGGGCAACAAGAGCAAAACTCCTTCTCAAAAATAAATGAATAAATAAATAAATCTAATAATAAATAAATAATTATGAGAGACAGTATGTAAGTGTGTGTGTGTGTATGCATGCACACGTGTGTGGCAAAAGACATGGCATCTATATCTATCCTTTTATGCCACAGCACTCTTTTTGTTTTGGCTGCTAGAAAGCTCAAATCAAAAAAAAAAAAAAAAAAGACTCCTTGGGCAGATGAGGTGAGAGGACAGCTTGAGCCCAGGAGTTCAAGGCTGCTGTGAGCTACGATTGCACCACTACACTCCATCCTGGATGATAGAGTGAGAACCTATCTTTATTAAAAATAAATAAATAAAAATAATGAATCAAAACAAAATTGCATGGATCCTAAAATATTTATTTTCTTGTTTCCAGTTAGGACTTTCTTCTTATTTATACTTTTCCAGATAATGCACCTTTTCTTCTATACACATTTTATTATTATTAAGTTGAACATGTTCTTATAAGATATTTCAAATCAGGGCCAGTTGCAGTGGCTCATGCCTGTAATCCCAGCACACTGGGAGGCCAAGGCAGGCAGATTGCTTTGAGTTCAGGAGTTCGAGACCACCCTGGGCAACATGGCAAAAACTCATCTCAAACAAAAACAAAAACAAAAACAAACCAAACAAACAAACAAAAACAATTCCCAAGCTACTTGGGAGGCTGGGGCTGGAGAATCACTTGAACCTAGGAGGCAGGGGTTGCTGTGAGCCAATATGGCACCATTGCACTCCAGCCTGGGCAACCAAGTGAGAACCTGCCTCAAAAGACAAAAAAAAAAAAAAAAGAAAAGATATCTCGAATCATTTTTTGAATGAGGCAATACATAAATGAAATAAAATAAACATTTGTACTAAATTTATTATCCAGTTGCTGCCACTCCTCTTCCTACACTTAAACTAACTTGAAAGGCTTGGAACTGGGATTACCAACAAAATTTCAGTGTGTCCTCAAAAAGCATGATGCACCCCTCCAAAAAGTGAATTTTTTAAGGTCCATCCATTTATTTAAGTCAATGGCCCTGTGTGTACCCTTATTATTTTTTTATGATTCACATAGGAAACAAACTTATTATTCTTTAATTTCCTGCAACCACAAGAATAATCAAGTAATTGAAAGGCTGAATTTCTCTGGGAATATTCACCCTCCCCCACATCCCCACCTTTTCTTTTGTATAATGGGATCTTGGCCAAGGATCTTGTATATACAAAGAATTACACAAAAGAGAAAGTCCAAAGACAAGCCTCCATTGGGATTTATTTACGTCACTGAGGCCCTGCTTACTCCTGACCTAATTTGTAAATACAAACATATTTTTAAATAATATACAGTTTAGAAACTGGAATAATGAAATAAACTTTATTCTATATTTTAATAGTCAGGTTTATACAACTAATATGAGCAGAATTCCAGAAATGATTGCTATTTGATGTGTGTTTAAGTTTTATTTTCCAAAACTCCTTAATGCCTTTAATCCCCTCCTTGTTACCAATTAACAGCTGCAATGATAGAAATTACAATTAACATTCCAAAAATGATCATCAGTCACAGGTTTCCATGACTATAAAACACAGATTGTTTTCCATAATTCCAATCAGGTTTTCATAAAAATATAGCTTTCATGGCACACAAATTTTTCATTGGCCTATCATTCATTTCAAAAGCAACTATTCAAAATTTTAACTATTAAAAGTTACTATTAAAAAAATCTCAATGAAATTTCTACATTGTATCTGTGTGCAGTATTTCTTACCAAATCCCAAAGGTATTACCAATGAATGTTTGAGACCCCACACTCAATAAAGAAAGATAAAAAAGTATGGGCTCCGATTTTCCCTGTGAATGGTAAACCCAAAATATAGGCTTCTTTAAAGAAATAAATCAAACACTGAATTACCTGTAGACTGTCACAAATAATATCCATAAGATGCGTATGTTTAACATGAAATGTTTCTAACCAGTATTTAACATTAAGGAAAACTACAGAATTTAATTAGAAAATTAAAAAGATGAAACAGACAATAACCCTGAGGGAGAAGATTATAGGATTTTAAAAAATCAAATTTTTCTAAGTTATTTTGTAGATATAATAAATTAGCAATTTAGATCATAATCAAACTTTCATTAGAACTAGAAAATATAGGGGAAAAAGGTAAAAATATACTGTCACCTCGGTGCTATCAGTGCTTTGTTCATCTCTCCATTCTGGATTTGTAGCATTATAGTATAATTACATTTTTACATGTCTGTTTTTCCAGCAAGACTTTGATTACTATGAGTGGGGAAACCGTATAATTTTAATTTCCATATTCACAGTTTGTAACACAGGAGAAGCTCAATGTTTTTGGAAAAGAAGACCTGAACCTACTACATTTAAAGCATATTATCAAGCATTAATAATTTGAAGAATTAAATTTTAAAAATATTTTTATATCTAATTTGAAATAGATCAGTGAATAAAAAAATAAAGCCCAGTAAAATATCTAATTATATGTTAGAATGTAATAATATGATAAAGGGGAAATTTAAAACAACTGGGGAGGAGAAGACAGAAAGCTATGTAATCAATGAGGCTGACATAACTGGCTAGTAATTTGAGGAAAAAAATGGATCAAAATGTATGCCATATACTATCATTATAATACTAATGTCTCTAACTCCCTATGTGTATTTGTGCATATATGTATCCGTGGGTTTATAAACACACACACACACATATAAATTAGTTCACTAAACATTAGCATAAAATAGAATTGAATATTTTTTTGAAAGATGACAACTTTTTAAACCTAGAGTCAATAAAAGAAACAAAATAATATAACTTTTACAACAGTTTGAGCTTTAACACTAAGAAAAGTAATAGTCATGGTAAAATAAAAAAACAACATATTGCAGAAATATGTTTATCAAACATAAGATAAAATGTTGATTTGTATGTTACATACAGGGGATAAACAATCTGACAGAAAAACAGAAAATCAAGAAGAAAAATACCTCAAAAACATGAACATGCACAACAGGAAATTAAATTATTAAAGACACATGAAGAAAAAAAGAACACACACGCATTTTATTTACCAAAGCAATGCAAACTGAAACAACACTGAAGTTCCACTTTATATTTATTGAATAAATACAAAAAATTATTTTAAAAAAGCAACAACGATCACTGTTCAGGGTCTCAAAAAGTGAAACTGAAAAACCCATACATTATTGTTAACAATTTATATATTTATATTAGAAAGCAATTTGGCAAAGCACTTGAAAAGCCATTTGTTAAAATCTACATCCTTTGACTTACAAAGATATGCAAAGCCTTTAACCTAATAACATCAGGCCAGAAATTTTAAACTGAGTAAATAATTCCAAAAAAAAAAAAAAAAAAGGCAGATTCAAATAGGTATTTGTGGTGCCATAATTTGTAATAGCAAAACTTTATAAATCTGTCTGTAACACCATAGGAATGATTAAGTAAACTACAGATTATCAAACAACCACTCCTGAAGGAATCTCATAACGTCATAAATATAATGGAATATCTTAAACAGAAAAAATATATATTATTTTTAAAACTTTCACTGTCACTAAATTTTTTTTACCTTTCCCCACTAATGGAGGTCCCTCTTTGTTTCTCTGACCAATAGTAGCCCATTGATATCTAACTAGGAAAAGCAAGATGGTTACAATCAGCTTTTGTTTGTTTACATTCACCATGTGGACACACGCTTCAGTATGCATGAGCTTTCAAAACATTGAAAGCTCATACATAGCTTTGGAGAAAAGGTAGGCTATCCCCTATATCTCTACATTACCTCCAAAATACAGTGCTCCTTCTACTTTTACTTTCGATAAATGTAACCAGAAGGAGAAAATTTGTTCTGCCACAATCACAGGTGTTCACACAACTCTACCAGATCAGCCGCTGTGTTGAGACACAACTGGTGTGCCAGAAACAAACTAGGAAGTGGTGTGTGGGAGGAAAGAAAATTAAAAGTTGTTAAACACATTTTTTTAGGCATTCAACATAATCTGTTGTTCTAATTATTTTCCTGGCATTTATGCAGCTGAGTTAATTATTATACAAACTAAAGTAAAACTTTAGGTTGCCCCAAAACTGTTCCTTCATTATTCCTTTCATGATGGAATTTGCCTACCCACATATACCACATACATATAAATGCATTATATGATGAAATTTTCTACTTGGAATAGTATGCCTCTGGGTCTTATATTATCCTACATTTCTCCAAAATACCAAACCATTTTATGCTTCTTAAGATCTGTCAATAACTGGAAGACTACTTCCTCAATACTTCCCCTCTAATGGGAGCAACTGTGAAAACTGCACAAAATAATTTAAAAATCAAAATGCCAAAATCGGTGCCAGTAATGAAGACAACATACACGGTTTGGCTGTGGAAACAAAGTGCCTGAAATCCTCATATTTCACGTAGACCATCAAAGAAGTCAGGTTATTTATTAATATTAAATTACACAAAATTTAGACTCACAATCTTTTAATGCATGGTTCACCTTTTAAAATATCAGCCAGTAACACCTCAGACAATATCTTTTTAGTCTATTTTTCCTAAATAATAGTGTACTGAGAGAAACACTTGAAAACACAGAGGAACCCTGATCTATTCACCCAATTAGGCACGTGGGGACTGTTTTAACAGCTCACATTTATAAAGCATATATAATGTTCAGACACTCGTTTAAACTGCTTTACATATATTCATCCATTTAATCCTCACAAGAACTTTCGAGGTAGATATCTTAATTAGTATGCCCATTGTGCAGATGAGCAAACTGAAACAAAGGAATGAAGAGCTGAGTTTCAACCCAGGCAAATGGCTCCTGAGCCCATGGCAACCACTTGAGCATCATTCCAGGTGTACTGTGACAACTTCTATGCTATTTCCTGTATGACCTCTCTCAGGTTCCACTATAACAGATACTTGACATGCCCATGAAGCAAAAACATTATGGTGATTCAAGAGAAGTCTGTTAAGCTGCTCACGCAAAAAGAATTCATCTTAATAATCATGATTTCAACTCCAAGTATGCTACTGGAACACCTTAAATCTTAACAACTTAAATCATAATACATAAACTCTTAAATCTACTAGTCTGCAATTCTGTATCTTTTTTATCTAAATGGCCCTCAACCTACTAAAAGGAAGTGAAACCTGCAAGCATAAAAACAGTAAAGGAGAAAGTATGAGTATCAAGAGTATTAGAATTGTAAATTACTTTTCATTTACCTCTGAATTAAGTACAAGTGTCTGTGCAACATGCACCACAAGGCAAGAAATCTGAAGGAAAAAAAAATCCCTTAATATGAAGAAAACTTAAATATTATCTGGGCTCTCATAAGTAAGTATCTTGAAAGCTAATGTAGAAGATTTAAAAAAAGAGATAAACATTGGAAAAATATCTGGAACAAAATGAAATAGTGAAACCTATAGAAACCTACCTACATGAATCAACTAAAATTTCCAAGAGAGTTCTGTGATCTGAAATTTTACTTAATTCAAAATCACAGGAAAATGAAAGCAAAACAAGATCATGTGAATCCACCTATAGATGGCTGAGAATATATTTATCAAAATACAATGGTGGGTGCTGGCAGAGGTCTAGAGCTTAAACAAAGATGTAAACAGAGAGGTAAAAGTCTTTCCCAACTTTCTCTTCTTAAAAATGTGAGAACAATGGCCTGGTCAGGAGAGAACAGGAAAAATTATTCATCTTCCATTACTGGGAAGTATTCTGAGCACGTTCCCATGGTGCCATCTCTCATTACCGGCTACTTAATTCTTCATTTATTTTTCTCTATTGTAAATAATCAGTTGCCTAGGCTGATTTTGCTACCTTTGCTTTTTCAACTCTATTCAGGAGAATAATGGGAAAATAACTCATCTTACAAGGAAAAGAAATATACTAATATTGG
Organism: Homo sapiens; assembly: GCF_000001405.40. NCBI lineage: Eukaryota > Metazoa > Chordata > Mammalia > Primates > Hominidae > Homo > Homo sapiens. Next base: position 18,201,764 of record NC_000007.14, on the reverse strand, counting down.
TTTCAGAATACCAGTGTGAAACAGGAATGCTAAAGCAAGAGAAAAGAAGGAAAGAGAAACACTCACCAGAAGGTGAGCCATTGAAGGACACTGCTTTCCATGAGTGGGTATGGACTGCTCTACTTGGCCAGACTTGAGAAAGAGGCCCTTCCCTTGGCAGGAGGCCCTTGGTTCCTGGAGTCTCTCAGAGGTGCTGCTCAGCTAGTCCTCCCTGAGGGTGGGCCCTGCAGATGAGGGCTGGACCAGGAACCTGCAGTTGCACACTTCTCTATGACTGAGTGGCTAAGCTCAGTAGGGGACTGTTAAAGGCATAAGAAGCTGGCTTCCACCTTGGGTCCACTATGTGTTCTAAAATTTAACACTGTTTATAATGAAGCTATTATTTTGATCTCTGTCTTGTTCCTATATTTATTTCTTAGTGACTCAGAACACAAAGAGAATGGTATCATAAATAACACCCTAGAATCCTAACAAATGTAAAACTAATTTGTTGGCTGGTTTCCCAAATTAATATAACATATGGGGAGCTACATTTAAAAAGCTTTAAGGAAAAGAGGAAAACTACCCAGAGGTACAAAATCTGAGACTGGGAATGGGGAGTGGATCTTTCAGCAGCCGGATAGACTTGCAGAGACCCGTTCTGTTGCGAGGCGGACACGAGTTCCATCCTAACAGTGCCGTAGCTTCCTGTGAGAACTAAGGAACTGGGCCTGGCTCCCCTTATGTGTAAAACGAGGAGGCTGTACCAAACCATTTCTAGGGCACCTACAGGCTCCAGCATTCTATGATGGTATAACTAAAATTAACTAGCTTTGGCAGCACCTTCAAAGTGAAAAATGAAAACGCACATCAGTCCCACATCACAAGACTGAAGTCAGCCAAGAGCCAGAGCCATCTCACTTTAAGAAAGAAGAAAAAGCTGTTGATCTGCAATAGGTTTAGAAACTGCTGAGGAGGGAAAAAATTATAATAACGAATTAAAATAGGACATTGACCTCTGTGAAAGAGACCTCTGAGAAAAATAAGTGCTGGGCTAAAGGAAAAGTAGCTTCTCTTTGTATGATTTTTCAGATAGATATGTCCTTAGAAATATCATTCATAATGTTGAACTCCCAATTGCTCGATGGTGTTAGTCTACTACCAAACCCCAATAAAGTCCCATATTAGCTTGCGGATGAATTACGGCTTTTAGGGTTTATCTGGAGTCCAATGTGATACTATAGATTGGTTGGGCCAAACTCCACAGAAAATGCCAAGAAACATTTGAGCCAGGCCAAAAAGTACTGAAACGTTCCACTGACACAGAACCCACAAGTCAACATGAAGCTTTCACTGGAAGATACAGCCTTTGAGTGAAGTTTTCCAGGGATCCAGCCAAAACTCATAGAATATTGAAAAAACCTCTCAAATCTAAAATGGCTCCAAATGGAGGTTTATATAAGAGGGGAATTATGCATGGAAATTTATCATTCACAATCAGTGTTTTCAACTACTGATTCAATTACATCAGAGGATTTTAATTCTTCCTGGAAATTCATTACAAATTACAGGTAACTGCAGTCTGAACAGACCTGTGTATTTTTAAACAAGTCAATTGTTTCAATGAGATAAGTACATTATTTCCAGCAGACAGATAATTGTTTTCTTGTTCAATTGCATTACATTTGTGTATCCAGGTACAAAATGTTACAAATGGAAAATTACTAAGAAGCAAATCAGTCATTAGTGTGACTTATAAATGGAACAAAGTTGTCACAAAAGTTTTACTCTTGCTTTTTTATGTTTCTGAATACATACATCTTATTATTTTTTTTCTCTCTCTGTTTTTTGTTTCAGAGACAAGGTCTTACTCTGTCCCCCAAGCTGGAGGGCAGTGGTGTGATCATAGCTCACTGCAGCCTCAAATTCCTGGGCTCCAGCAATCCTCGCTCCCATCTCAGCCTCCTGCGTGGTAGGACTACAGATGTGCAACACTAAGCACAGCCTTTTTTTTTTTTTTTTTTTTTTTTTGGTAGACACATGACTTCACTATGTTGTCCAGGCTGGTCTTGAAACCATGACCTCAAGCAGCCCTCCTGCCTCAGCCTCCCAGAGTGTTGGGACTTCAGCATGCCACCACGCCCAACTAATTTTTTTATGTCTTGTAAAGACAGGTCGCACTATGTTGCCCAGGCTGGTCGCAAACTCCTGGCCTCAAACAATCCTTCTGCCTTGGCCTACCAAAGCATTAGGATTACAGGCATGAGCCACTACACCCACCCTATTTTAATCTCTTATCTATCAGATTGCAGAGCAAACAATAACAGCAGATCCTTGGGTTTATATAACCAGATATTACATTATACAAATGGAACTAAGAGGTCAGCTGATCAACATGAATGGCTAAATGCCTTCTATATAAATATAAACAAAAATAAAATGAATCCAAGGATAAATTATTAAACTTCACAAGAAATCCAGAAATTGGGATCTGTGGAAAATAAAAATAAATAATTTTAAATTATATCTATTGTAAATCAACAATATTTCTAGCATTACTTTGGAGATAGAAGAATTGTATCTGAAAAGTCTATGTGTGATTCTTGCTGTGACACTATTCCCCAAGAAAACTCTTAACTGTTAGTTGTCCTCAATAAAGAAGCTCTAAAGCAAATTAAAACAAACAAACAAACAAACAAAAAACTTAATGACAAAAAGCAAAATCAGCACTTTGGTAGTTCAAGGCAGAAGATTGTTTCCTGATGGAAATTTTACACTATAGGTGATAAATGACAAAGATTGGTCATGGAGAGTACCCCTGCATACCAGAAAGTGAGAAGACAATTATAATGTTAATTAATATCTAAAACAACGCATGATCCTGGGGGCAAAATAAGTTCTATTTGATAAAAAAAAAATGTTGGTTGTTAGTGCTAGTAGTCTAATGCCTTTGAATTAAAGTTTATGACATCTATTTCTGTTTGACAGTTTCTATGTCAAATACATGATATCAACATACATGCACATTTTTAAAATAGAGTTCATATTTTCTCCAAACTATTTTTTGGAAATTCACCATATTTCAAATTGTACAATTAGGAAAAAAAGTTAGCCATCTATAATTTAACCATCACATATTGATCAAATACCCAAAACTGACATTGGATATAACCTAGAATAATGTGCTATTCAAAACAGAAAGTATTCTTGCATAAATTAAAAATGGATATTGTGAGATTGTATGATGTTAACATATCTAGAAACATATGAGGAGATGCAAGAGAATTTTGAATGAAGTATGGTAAACACAGGACCATTTGAGCCACTGATTCTTCCCTTTGTTTTCAATTACATAATCAACTCTAAGAGAAGATTTTACAGTTGGAAGATTTGTAATAGAATAAAATTTCCATAAGAACCAAAATTTCTCTATGGTGTTGATATTAAAAGAAAAATGCTGCTTATATTTTTTTCTTTTTTACAGTTATATTAACTTAATGCTATATAAAATGGGGTTAGGTCCTGTATTAAGAGATTTTCTTTAAAAGTCACACCTTTAATATTTTGCGAAGAAAATTTTTAGTCCAAAGCTGCTTCTAGACAAGATTATATGTGTTTTGATTTATTTAATCTATTACAGTATTTTGATTGATATTAAATAAATAAAACATTCAAAAAAGGGATATAAAAGATGATTTGCTTTAATGTTTATTTTCTGAAGTTACTCAAGGCCATTTTTGCAGCTTAGAACAATTTTCAGCCTATAGATATTTTTCTCCATAACTTTTGAGTTGTAAGGAATCCTACAAATTCTTAATCCAATCTCCTCATTTTTTGAAAAAGGAGTCAAAATCCTAGGAATTAAAAAGTCAAACCTCAGTCTCTATATCTAAGTGCAAAGTCAAGATTACAGCAAATAAATCCTAATTCCTGGTTCAGTTTTCCTTAAAAGGCTTTGTCTCAAGTGGAAAATGAAGAAAAAACAATGTCTACAAATCTCAAATATCTGAAGTACAACACTTAAAGCTAGGGAAAAAGGACTGAGTAAATTGTTGGCCTCATGGAGCTTACATTCTGGTGCAAGAGGCTGACAAACCAATGTCAAGAGAGCTCTGCCACCAATATTTTTATACACTGGCTCATCTTTCTCCTCTAGCCCCATAATTCCCACCTGAAGAACCTCAGTCAAATCCTTGCCTATGCTTGTCTCTCTCATTCACCTGTGAACTCTGTTCTGTCACGTAACTTCTTTTGCCCTACTTGTAGATGATTCAAAGATGCAACATCCAGCCTCACCCACACAAGCTACCTACCTCACTACAGCTGCTTACAGTAATTTAACTTGAATCTCCAATATCACTTCAGAGTCAACAAAATCAAAACCAAATATATTTTCCATCAAAATTGACTGCCCTTTTCAATTTCTCCATTCCCATTCCTAAGTAATTGTTAATTCCTTTCTCAACTCCTGTGGCTCCCATATCTAGTCAGTCTCCATATACTACGCGTATTAGTCAGGGTTCTCCAGAGAAAGAGAGAAAGAAAGGGAGACTGATTATAAGGAATTGGCTCACATGATTAAGGGGTCTGGCAAGTCCAAAAGCTGCAGAGCTGATTTCCCAGTTTTGAGTCAGAAGCCAGAAGGCTACTGCAGAACCAGTAATGGTCAATGTCCCAGTTTAAAGACTGTCAGGCAAGAGAATTCTCTCTTACATAAGGGGGGTCAGCCTTTTGCTCTACTCAGGCCTTCAACCAATTGCATGAGGCCCATCCCCATTAAAGGGGGCAATCTGCTCTACTCAGTCTACTGATTTAAATGTCAGCCTCATCTAAAATCACCCTCACAGTATCACCCTAAGTAGTGTTTGACCAAGTATCTGGGCAACCTGTAGCCCACTCCAGTTGACACAAGAAATTAACTATCACACTATGGTTTTACTTTTCAAAAGTTTCACACCCTTTTCTCCAGTCTCATTACTGTCTTCTCGGTTCAGGTCCTTATGATGTAAAACAACTCAGCCCCACACCCCTACACCCTTTTTAGTTCAGGCATCACTGCGTACGCTGTGGACACATTTATTTTCAGAAATGTTTTTTATCTTACCATCCCTGTTCTACTCCTTAACTTATAATGACACCTTACTCTGAATAGATCGAATTCTTTTTCTTATTATATATTGCTTTACATAATCCAGCACCATTTGGCCTACTGACCTTTTTCTTCCATCATCTCATAATTCAGAACTTCCATTATAGTTTGGCAATAGCTTAAATATCTTGTTCAGCCACCAATGCCAATTCGCTCCTCAACATACTCCCTTCTCTGAAAGCACTGTACATTCTTCTTTGCCTATTCCATCCCAATCTCATCCATTTGCCCAGGTTTGTCTGAAGCTTTACCTCCTTTTTGAAATTTCTCCATTCTCCAAACCATATATATCATTTAATTTCCTAATCCTCATGTGCACATAAACTAAACAAAATCACTGTTCCTCTACACTATTCTGTCTTGAACTCTAATTTATTAAGATTGTACATCCCTCTTTCTCATGTCTCCAATCTTACCCCACTGGCTCCAAATGTACACCTTCTATTTATCTTGGGCTGAAAAGCTTTGAATCTGTATGTGCCAGGCACTGTGCAAGGCAATGGATATATAAAGAGGTATTACTCTCAAGAAATGTGCAGTCTTATATAAGAGATGGATAAATATTCAAATAATTATGGAGGAATGTAATGCATGCTAAAACAGTGGTAGACACAAAGCTTTAAAAGAATATAGAGAATATAAAAGAAGGAGAAAATCGGTTATCCTGGTACAATGATGGGGTAGAGGATAAATTAACAGGAGGAAGACAGAAAAAAGGCATTTCAAGTATTGAGAATAACCAATTTTTTAACCAATACAAAGGAATAGGGATGATGATGAACATAATATATGTGTTCACGTTATGATGAAACATTTATACATAACGGCAAACATATTGAGTATAAAGAATGAGAGCCCATATACGATATGGCTGCAAAAAAGAGGATTAAATTCATCAAAAAAGTGACAGGTGCAGAACTCCAGAAGCAAAAATGTCTGTAACAGTGAAAATGCTAAGTCCATGACTTGAGTAGGGCTGAGGAGAAGCAGGCCCGGCTGAAGCATGGAGCCAAAACACTCCTGACCAAGAACAGTGGAACCCCCTAGAGTATAGGTGAAATTGTGTTTGTCCCTTATCACTGATCCTAAAGAACAAAAGATTTTTCAGAAATTGTTTGGCAACAAACCTCAACTTATCTGGCAGCATAAACTGACCTACACAGATGTGAGGCTATTTCATGTTTTTATTTATCTCATTTAAGATTAAGATCTATGAATTTAACTGCAGAAATACTATTTTTTGATTATAGGGAACCATCCCAGACCCCATTAAAGGTGATAGGTAATATGGGGGTATATGGTACTTTTGAAAACCCAATACATTTTTTAAATCATACTACCTTTTTAAAATCTGATAAATTCTTGACTCCAAAATGCATCTCAACTAGGGTTTTAGATAAAAATATGGGAACCTTAGGTTTTGAGGTTCCACAGAATCTGTCAGATACACAAAGAGGTCTATTGTCCAAAAAAGGTTTCAGAGTCCATGAGCAATCCATTTAGAATTGTTGTTTCAGATAGAGAATAAGTTTTCAGTTCCCCATACTTCCTATTATTGACAGCGTTTGTGACCAGTGGCAGAGTTTGTTTTATTTAAGTAATATTAGTTAAAAACAAAAACTGGCAATCATGAACTCTTAAACCAACCTTTCCTCCTTATAATGCCAAGAACACCACACACACACACACACACACACAAAACTATAAAGCAACATTCTCTTTGCCTCCTATAACCTTAATAGATAATTTCCTGGAATTGTCTATTCAAATAGAAAATTAATTTCCATGCACAGCTGGAAATACCACATTGGCAAGCAAGGAAAACATCAAACACCAGTAGATTAAATAACAAGTGGAAGAACTATAAAGACTAAACAAAACAGAATTTGCTCAATAAGATGGTCATATGAGAACAGCTGTTTGCCTGTTTATTTAATGTATGAATACATCTTTAAAATGAAGTTGCAATCATCATGGCAGCACTGGATCCAGAGAAATAATTAGGGGATTAGATGATTCAAGAAGTGTTACTAGTGTTGTGGGAAAAAAGGGGTTAGCATCTCTCTTGTTAAGAATCGAAGAGGCCCTTGGGCCTATTTTCATAGCACCTACCATGGTTTTTTTCAGTTTGGGATAACGGGAAATTTCTGGAGATGGGACAACGGTGAGGGTGGCAAATGGTGTGAATGTACTTAATGCCACTAAAGTGCACACTCAAAATATGTTAAAATGATAAAATTTAACCACAATGAAAATGATTAATTTCAATAGGATAGAAAAAAGGTCTTATAAATCAATAACAAAACAGAATAGTCTAAAAGAAAAATAACCAAAGGACACAAACAGAAATTCCAAACATGGGAAGAAAATCCTACAGAGATATGTAAAAAAGCTCAAAACTACTAATAATCAAGAATGCAAGTAGAAATGACTACAAAATATCATGTTTAATCGTTATAATTAGCAAAGATTTAAAAGACTGACAGTTAATAAAGAAGCAGTTTTTCTAGACCCACTAATAAGATTAGGCTGTACTTATACATCTCCTTTCTTTGGCTTGGACCGACCTCATGGGTGTCCCTTTCCACAGTGACAGCCATCAGGAAAAATCAGGCTCATCGTGCCATTTGGGACTATTCCCTGATGCTGTAACTGCTTCAAACAATAAGTTACATGGCCGATACTCAATTAAGAAGCAAAGTAAAAACAGAATAATATGCTTTGCACAAACACTTTAAAAACAAAAAAGAGATAAAACAGAACACCACCTTCAGGAATTGCCAGGCAGAAAGGCAAAGAAGCAGCCTAACAAGGTGGGAAAGACAAAACCTCACGTGGCAAGTCGGCCCCCTTGGCCCTGCTGCCTCAATTCTCAGGTAGTCAGAGAAAAAAAAAATCAGCTCATAGAGCAGAACTGACACTGTATAAATAGCAACAAGGAGAAAGTTCAATATAAATCAATGTGTTATGAGAGCAAATATAGAGAAAATATTATAGGTGAGCTTTATATTGCAGGACTTCCTAATGAGTGAAAGGTGGAGTTCAAGATATTAGGAACATTTCTAGATAAGGCATAACAGATTTCCAAGTAGCATATTGTGTTATATAGCATGGCGCTACATCTCTTTCATCTTTGACAAACGAAACCCCCTTTTACTTCAGTAAATCTCCCTGTACACCACAAGCAAAGGGAGAGAATAATTTAATTGTTTGACTAATTAATTTATCATAAAGAAGGAAGTAAGTGGCTAGCTTTTAAAATACCTGATACTAAGTAGGAGCTCAATAAATATTTGTTGAACTGAACTGAAACAAATGGTAGAAGCTAATGGTGATTTGTTGTATCTATTGATGAAATGTATTAGATTATTGTTCCACCTTTTCATCTGACTTTACCTAAGATCTTACCTCTACAGAGAGCTATAAATATTCTGTTCTTTTCCCCTTGGTATTACAAGCACCAACTACCCATCCAACATGGTGCTCAGAGACTCAGCAAAGATTATCTCCCCAGAATCAGCATCTTTGATCCAATTTCTGGTCACAAAAATATAGCAATTTTTGAGCAAGGGTGAAAAATTGTAAAAGATGCATAGGTAATTAAACAGATTATAACAAGAGACCCCTGATGACAGATAAGCTGCCTCAAGGAGACCCACTCAAATAAAATGAGAATCAGCCTCTTTCAGTTTCCTCATCTGTAAAATGGGAGAAAAAGTCAATCAGTGGCTTTTAAGCTTTTTCAACAGCTACTCATACTGAGAAATACATATTAAATACAATGCACATATATATAGAAACATGCTTATCTATATAAAACTCATGCAGTCTCATAAATTAACACTAAATGTTACAACGTGTGTGCATTCTGGCATGTTGTATTTTAGCCTATTCTATTCCATTGTTGAATTGCAACCTACTAAATTGATTTCATGAGCACTGGACTAGATGATTTCTTCACAGTGCATTAAAAGAAAAATCGTGATTTTACTTAGAAACATTCTAAAAATACCTACCATCCCCAAATACTATATCCTTAATGACATTTCCAAAAGCAAATTCCTGAGTGAAATGATATAACCCCTACAACACCTTTACCTTCCCTTCTCCTCACAGTAAATACCCATGATTCCTTTCCACTCCACTGCTTTGCCAGTGATTTTCCCAGGGTGCATGACTACTACCAAATCTGGCAACGTAAGTGAGCACAAGAGGTTTTGCAATAAAAGTTAAACATCTACCCAAGGAACTCCCTTTTATCCATAACAAAGTGCATTTGAATATTTACAAATGCAATAGCTATGCAAAAGTCAGAATGATATTACGCAGCAGCAGCAAGCCACATCAATCTTAATTTTAATTAAATGAAAGACACTACCAAGAAGTTGCATTCTACCTGCCAAATATAAAGGATTTGCTCCCTGAAATAAAAAAAAATTAACTTTCTAGAATAGTATTTACCGTCACTTGTAGATTTTCCTAAACCACCACCTTCTACTGTGACACCCCCCCGCCCCCCGGCCGGGTTCATCCTACCTCATTTCCAGGAATGGACAGGAATCCCTGGTGAAAAATGAGTTGACTTTTGCATCAAGCAATACTGTACAATCACAATTAAGGGTTTTTTTCTAGCACATAGCTGGGGAAAGACCTTGTTTATGTCTTCTCGTCATAGCTTAGAAAGCACGTATAATGTCTCCTCAAGGGCAGCAATACAATCTTGACATAGAATCTAACAGTATTTGTGCTTGTCAATGATTTCAAAATGCTTTACTCTAAATCTTTTCTCAGTTTTCAAGTTTACAGGGCAAGGAAGAAATTAATGGATTTGGATATTTTAATCATTATAGTTTATAAAATGTAAAGCTGCAAATTCATAAGTTTTCAAAACATTTCAATTCATAAGTATCAAAGAAATACAAATGTCAAAAAAATTAAATTCATTGTCATCTTGTAATCAAAGAATTCTGTGTAGTTTACAAACTTGGCAAGCCACATTTTTATTTTTAATTTCTGAACTACTAATTCTGGAGGAAAAACAAACACCATTAACTTCCCCTTCAGTCACTAGCTGTCTGTGCCATGTGTGTTTATCGTTTCCTGCCACAAGGAAATACATTTGAAACAAAGAATGATATTCAAAGAGAGTTCTCTGGGTTTGTCTAAAATCATTCTCTCAGGAATTGAGAAACCGTGTAAAGAAACATGATTAAATTATGATACAGAGTGATAAGACTATGGAGAAAATCTTCACATTTTTGTCTTATTACATTATTTCATCCAGTGCTTACCAGGTCTGCAAAGATTATTTAATGAATAAACTGAGCGTAGTCAAGTTAAGTAACTTTTCTTCACCCACACAGCTAATAAATGGCAATATATCTTTCCTTCCTTATGATTTTCTTAATTTTTTTGTATAGCTTACTTTATTGTAAGAATACAGTATATAATACATACAACATAAAATAATGTGTTAATCAATGGTTTATGTTATCAGTAAGGCTTCCAGTCAACAGTAGGGTATTAATGGTTAAGTTCTCAGGGAGTCAAAAAGTTACACATGAATTTTCCACTGGGGGTGGTGATAGCACCCTTAATCCCTGTGTTGTTCAAAAGTCAACTATAGTTTGATCCCTGTGATTCTAAAAAATTATCACTTAATAGTATTCAAGTATTTATTGGTGATAGGGAAGTAGACTTTTGACAGTGGGTGAAATCCATGAGATAAATAATATTCCGCATGTTTTACAAAGGTAGGAGTTTACAAAGGTAAAACATGCATAATATTTAAATATTTAAAAGGAATTTGGGACATACAGAAATTTCTGAGAAGCAAAAAATCTGTAAATACACAGTGAGATGATACAAGTGATTTTAAAAGCTGAGTAATTTTACTTAATAAGAGTGAAAATTGGGAAAATAAAAAGAGAAAAGCAACAATCTTTATTTCAATATATTATTTAATAGCTATTTCAATGATAGCGTAGAAAGTTTTAGAGAAACGTTTTCCACTCCAACTTATTTTCTGGTCATTATTTTCCTCTTGCATCATAATCTTACAGTTAATGCCTTTTATCTTGCAATATTGGGTGGTCTTTTTATAAGCCAGTTTATAATTACAATTTTTTGACTTATAATGGGTTTATCAGGATATAGCCCCATTGTAAGTTGAGAAACATCTGTATAAATTTTGGCGAAGGCAAGTCATCTATGCATGTACATGTGTGTCCCTATCCCTAAGCACATATATTCAAACACACAAATACATATGCCCATAATCATTTATGTACACATATACACATATTTATTTATATACATTTATATATGTATATGTATCTATGTATACATGCCCAAAATTGGACAATCACATATGAGCTAAACAAGTTATTTATGGCCGGGCGTGGTGGCTCACGCCTGTAATCCCAGCACTTTGCGAGGGTAAGATTGGTGGGACAACTGAGGTCAGGAGTTTTGAGACCAGCCTGGCCAACATGGTGAAACCCCATCTCTACTAAAAATACAAAAAATAATTTGCCAGGCATGGTGGCAGGCACCTGTAATCCCAGCTAGTTGGGAGGTTGAGGCAGAAGAATTGCTTGAACCCGGGAGGCAGAGGTTGCAGTGAGCTGAGATCGTGCCACTGTACTCCAGCCTGGGCAACAAGAGCAAAACTCTGTCTCAAACGTACACACACACACACACACACACACACACACCACACACAAGTTATTTACAAGTTAAATCTTTTTATGTGTTTCACATTGTGCTCACATAAAAATATCTCATGCTCTTAAAAATGTGAGAAAAACACTTCTTTGGAGGATTCAATTTAATTAATGTGTCTTTGGGTTTTTTGACACTTGGTTTGCACCTCAGTAATGCGTGAGAAAGGGTGACTGGGAGGTCTCAGATATGACAAAGTGTCATCACATCAGATGACACTGGCTGACTACCTCAACACACAGTGCTAGCAAGAGACCTAGGATAATCACAGGCATGCACCTGTGTTCTGGGTCTTTGGGAGGAACACCAGTCTTACCATGCCCCACAAGGCTCTGTAAATCCTTGCAGATTCTGGCTCAGTATGGTCAAGTGGGGTCTGGGAACTCACATACTAATAAGCCCCACGTGATTCTTTTTTTTCTTTATTTCTTCTAAAACAAACAAACAAACAAACAAAAACAGGATACATGTACAGAATGTGCAGGTTTGTCACATAGGTATATATGTGCCATGGTGGTTTGCTGCACCTATTGACCTGTCCTCTAAATTCCCTCCCCTCACCCCCCACCCCTCAACAGGCCCTGGAGTGTGTTGTTCCCCTCTCTGTGTGATGTGTTCTCAATGTTCAACTCCTGCTTACGAGTGAGAACATGCGGTGTTTGGTTTTCTGTTCCTGTGTTAGTTTGCTGAGGATGATGGCTTCCAGCTTCATCCGTGTCCCTGCAAAGGACATGATCTCATTCCTTTTTATGGATGCACAGTATTCCATGGTGTATATGTACCACATTTTCTTTAGCCAGTCTATCATTGATGGGCATTTGGGTTGGTTCCATGTCTTTGCTATTGTAAATAGTGCTGCAATAAACATACATGTACATTTGTCTTTATAGCAGAATGATTTATATTCCTTTGGGCATATACCCAGTAATGGGATTGCTGGGTCAAATGGTATTTCTGATTCTAGATCCTTGAGGAATTGCCATACTGTCTTCCACAATGGTTGAACTAATTTTCATCCCCACCAACAGTGTAAAAGCATTCCTATTTCTCCAAAGCCTCGCCAGCATCTTATTGTTTCCTGACTTTTTAATAATCGCCATTCTAACTGGCATGAGATAGTATCTCATTGTGGTTTTGATTTGCATTTCTCTGATGATCAGTGATGTTGAGATTTTTTCACATGTTCGCTGGCTATGTAAACGTCTTCTTTTGAGAAGCGTCTGTTCATATCCTTTGCCCACTTTTTGATAGGGTTGTCTTTTTCTTGTAAATATGTTTAAGTTCCCTGTAAATTCTGGATATTAGACCTTTGTCAGATGGGTAGATTGCAAAAATTTTCTCCCATTCTGTAAGTTGCCTGTTCACTCTGATAGTTTCTTTTGCTGTGCAGAAGCTCTTTAGTTTAATTAGATCCCATTTGTCAATTTTGGCTTTTGTTGCAATTGCTTTTGGCGTTTTTGTCATGAAGTCTTTGCTCATGCCTACGTCCTGAATGAAACTGCCTAGGTTTTCTTCTAGGGTTTTTATGGTGTGAGGTTTTACATTTAAGTCTTTAATCCATCTTGAATTAATTTTTGTATAAGGTGTAAGGAAGGGGTCCAGTTTCAATTTTCTGCATATAGCTAGCCAGTTTTCCCAACGCCATTTATTTAACAGGAAATCCTTTCCTCATTGCTTGTTTTTGTCAGTTTTGTCAAAGATCAGATGGTTGTAGATGTGTGGTGCTATTTCTGAGGCCTCTGTTCTGCTCCATTGGTCTATATGTCTGTCTTGGTACCAGTACCATGCTGTTTTGGTTACTGTAGACTTGTAGTATAGTTTGAAATCAGGTAGCATGATGCCTCCAGCTTTGTTCTTTTTGCTTAAGATTGTCTTGGCTGCACAGGGTCTTCTTTGATTCCATATGAAATTTAAAATAGTTTTTTCTAATTCTGTGAAGAATGTCAATGGTATTTTGATGGGAATACCACTGAATCTATGAATTATTTTAGCCCCAGGTGATTCTTATCAGACAAGCCTGGGAAACATGAATTTTGTGCACAGGAAGAAGCACACTGAAGAAGGCTGAAAATATGGTTTGCCCTATACCCTTGACAGTAGGAATGCCTTGTGATTACTGACAATTTCTGTAGGCCATGGCAAGCCATGGAAGATTTTCGAGAAATTACATAATTAGATTTGTGCTTTAGTAAGATTCACTAGGCAACACTGTATGGATTAGGCTGAATGGAGGGGAGAGGGAAAGTAGACTAGTTCTAAGTCTAGTAGAATAGTAGCAGCAAGGAGTAATAAGTGCAAAAGGTTGGCAACAAAAATGGAAGACAAGGTTTGTCAAGATTGGAACAGATTTGATGTGGAGGGGAATAGAGTTAAGAGTTTTAAAGATGGTGCCATGGTTTTAACCACAGGTGGCTAAGAAAATATCTGTGATGTTCATAGAAAGAAGAAAGTCAAACGACTACTGAGTGAAGTATGAATAAATGAATTAACAAATAAATGGTCACAAGAAAAGCCACTTGCTAGAAAAGAAGATAGAATAGGGTTTTAATCCCAGTTCTACTTTTCTCCTTGCTAGGATGTGCCAGACATGCCTCTTAAACTCTCTGACCCTCAGTATCCTCATTTATAAGTAATGCCAGTAAAACCTATGTCACAGGATTGCTGTGAAGATTCAATGAGATTATATGTAACACTTTGTCCACATTAGGTGCTTAATAGACAATTTCATTTTTGCCCGCCTTTATTTTCACTGACTGTTATTTCCAATGACTTAAACCCATTCCAGGGACATAGTAGGTACTCAATGTACACTTATTGAATAATAAATTATTACTGCTATAATTCTATGAAGACTGAGAAAAGATCATAGGGTTTGCCCATTAGGCAGTAACTAATACACTGAAAGTTGCTTAAATGCCTAGGGGTTTTGAACACTTTGGGGAAGTAAAAGTCAGTCCAAGTATACCACACAGGCATTCTAATTTAAGTAGTTCTGTAGAGTAAATATTGTTTTACTTTTATTCTGCATGTTAAAGAGATAAAGACTTCCAATTAGAAAATAAAAATCTGCTTTTATTAACATTAACAGTTTTCAAAACCACCTTATGCTTTATTTAGAGTTTTTACAGTACATTATCTTATTTGATCATCTGTCCTTTGAAGTATGGAATTCAATTACCACATCATCATTTCTATTTTAAAGTTGAGAAAACTGAGATTCAGAAAAGTTGAGTGACTTTCAGGGCATGAAGAGCAGAGCCAGGAATTTAATTAAGGTCTTCTGACCACAAATTTTCCTGGCTTCCCACTCCTGACATTCCTCAAGCCACTTCATGTTAATCCAGAAGAGCTCTCTTCTATTTTCTCCCTACCCGAAGTTTTCCCTAAGATTTGGTAGTGAAGAGTGGGGCAGAGTCTTATGGGCTTTGGGAATTTTTGAGTGTCATGCTCCTTCCTTAAAACCCAACCAGCACCAGAAAGCACCATCCTACCACAAGTCCGGTGCCAGCGGCACATGCCAACACCAGCAGTGCACCTGTTCCTTGTTAGCTTCAACAGAAAAACCTGTTGCTCAGTTGGGAAATATCAAGACTGTCTTTTTGGAAAACGTCCCTGTAAAGAAGGTACAAGCTTTAATTTTAGTCTTAACCAGTCAGCTAAACAGAAAAATTTGTCTTCACAGAGGGTTAGCGCTACCTTGTTACCAGTGGCTACCGTGTTGGACTGCCTAAATTCAGATCCTGGCCCAGTCGATAACAAGAAATATAACTTTAGACATGTTAACCTAGCTAGGCAAGTCTCTAAGGCTTGGTTTTCCATCTTCAAAATAGGATTTTAGAAAATAGTCCTTACTCCATAGTGTTTTCAATCTGATAAAATGAGATATCACATATAAAGTACTTAATACACTTAGAACCTGAAATACAATGAACACTCAATAAATGGTCACTGCAATTCAGCAATATGTGATATCCCAGTTTTACAGAAAAAGCAACATAGGCCCAGAATGATCAAGATACTTTGCACGAAGTGACAAAATACCATTTTGTAAGAGTAATCATGCTTTCTTTATGGAGAAAAAAAATGCCCGAGATAATCGCTGGATTTTTTCATTGACTGCAAGTGTCCCATTTACTCCATTGATTTTAAATTATTCATTTGGAAATTAATGTACAGTTTCAATTCATAAGTTGGAACAATATGAAGGTAGGGGAAAACGAGGCCCATAGCTGAGATTTAATAATCTTGAATATAAGAAGATAAGTGAGTTTAAATACAAAGAGAAAAAAAAGGGGCTTTTTAAAAAGTATAGATATGTACTCTTATCTATGCTTGTAACAATATTTAAATGAGATTAATTTGTCTCTTTTCAAAATAGAACTAAAAGTTTAGTTTTCATAACTTAATAGACAATATTTCCTCTTTTAGAAAGGACATGTCATCTCCTAAATGGTAAGGATTTTATATTTATTTACTTTATCCTGTTCTTTGTGCTTTCCTGATGCTTGCTTTAATAGCAGTCCTCAACATTAGTTGCACATTATAATTACCTTGGAGGTTTAACGAATACTCACGCCTAAGCCTCATAAAAGTCAAATTAAGTCAGTATCATTGAGGTGGTGGTCCTGGTTCAGACTTTTGGTTTTCATTTTTAGTTCTCCAGGTTATTTTAATGTATAGTCCAAACTGAGAATCAGTGGCTTTCCTGATGTCTTTCAAATAACAAATGGACTTTTTTTGCCTCGATCACTGTCTGTAAGTAAAGTTGTTTGACTTCTAACCATAAAAATCACTTGCTTTGAAAGCCAGTCTTGGGCTTTATTGCAAATTAGTTTCATTTCCCATGATTCTAATCAAACACTTTTGTGATATTGCTATTCTATTAATTTTCCTAATAAAGTTAGGTGGGAAGAATTACATAGGCAGACCACATTTTACATAGCAACTCAATTACAGTACTAGAAAAAGAAATAGGACATGCAGGATACAGACTAAGGCAAGCTCTGCAGTATTTTTTAAGAGATTAGGTGTAAATCATAAATTTTAATAAAAATGTGACTCTGATACAATAGCACAAAAATACAGTACTATAATATTAAAATATCTGACACAACTATATAGCTGTTCTGAAATCCTTTTTATTCAATACCCTACACCTTTCAAATGAATATGCTGGATTCTGATTGTGAAATAATCCGAGGGTCAAGAGAACAAGACAAGCATAGAACATTTGATCTGGTTAATATAAGTTGAATATACCTATTTTGAAAATCTGAAATCCAAAATATTCCAAAATCTGAAACTTTTTGAACACCAACATGATGCCACACGTGGAAATTCCTCACCTTACCTCAGGTATACAAATTTTGTTTCGTGCACAAAATTATTTAAAATATTGAATAAAATTACCTTCAGGCTATTTGCATATGGTATGTATGAAACATAAATTAATTTCATGTTTAGACTTGGGTCTCATCCCCAAGATAGCTCATTATTTATTTTTTTATTTATTTGAGATGGAGTTTCACTCTTGTTGCCCATGCTGGAGTGCTATGGAGAGATCTTGGCTCACCGCAACCTCACCCTCCTGGGTTCAAGCAATTCTCCTGCCTCAGCCTCCCAAGTAGAGCTGGAATTACAGGCATGTGCCGCAACGCTCAGCTAACTTCGTATTTTTAGTAGAGACGGGGTTTCTCCATGTTGGTCAGGCGGGTCTCGAACACCCAACCTCAGGTGATCTGCCTGCCTCAGCCTCCCAAAGTGCTAGGATTACAGGCATGAGCTGCCGCGCCCGGCCAATAGCTCATTATTTATATGCAAATATTCCAAAATCCAAACAAATACAAAATCTAAAAACTTCTGGTCCCAAGCATGTCAGATGAGGAATACTCAACATGCAATAACAGGTAACAAAAAAATGTATAATTTATATATTTTAAAGGCAATAGTTTTATTTTCCTGGATTATTTAATAGTGACTTTTTATGCATACTCATTGTGAGAATGGTAGAATGAAAAAAGTTTCAGGGCACTCGAAGAGGAGGGGAGGAGAAAGACACTCAACAGCCCAGGATACTTTACCATTTATGTATTGTTACTTTAATACCTTAGTTTACAAACTGTTTAAAATGGCCAGGTGTGATGGCCCATGTCTGTAATCACAACACTTTGGGAGGCCAAAGCAGGAGGATCTCTTGAGGCCAAGATTTTGAGATCAGCCTAGGCAACATAGCGAGACCCCCATCTCTACAGAAAAATGAAAAATTTAAATTAAAGAAACTGTTTAAAATGACAAAAGTAGTGAAGTGTTCTGCCAATCTTCTTATGCTAGGATAACCTTCCAAAAGCAGCTATCTTCTGTGGGGGAAAAGATGGAGTAAGGTGAAAAAATGGAATCCAAGGAAGATCCCCAAGGATTTGAAACTGAATCAGGGTCACAAAAACAGGCAGCAAAAGTTGAGGAAATTCTTTAGATTTGTCTCCTTCTAGCCATCGTAATTATTATGTATGTAGAATCTGAAGCACAGGTAGAAAAATTCACGATTGAGGGATTGGTTCATTTGCTTACTTAAATATTCAAGGGCTTTTTTTAAAAAAACAAACCATGGCTGGGCGCCGTGGCTCACGCCTGTAATCCCAGCACTTTGGGAGGCCGAGGCGGGCGGATCACGAGGTCAGAAGATCAAGACCATCCTGGCTAACACGGTGAAACCCCGTCTCTACTAAAAATACAAAAAATTAGCCGGGTGTGGTGGCAGGCACCTGTAGTCCCAGCTACTCGGGAAGCTGAGGCAGGAGAATGGCGTGAACCCAGGAGGCGGAGCTTGCAGTGAGCCGAGATTGCGCCACTGCACTCCAGCACGGGCAACAGAGTGAGACTCCGTCTCAAAAAAAAAAAAAAAATCATATGTTAAGTGACTGGCAGCCATAAACAGGTATAAGATACTGCCCTGAAAGCTTCAGTGACATTTAGTCTTGTCCCTCTACTCTTCTCTCTTTCTTCCGTTTTTTAATTGATAAGGTGATGCTTGCTGACTACCCAAGTTTTTGACTGTGACCTCTCTTCTGATGATTCTTAAATTCCTGTCTTTGAATTCAACTACTCTTCATCAGCCTTATTCTCAAGCCAATCTCCTGACAACTAGCAGAACTGTGGTTAACAATACAAACTCTGGAATTAAGGTACCTGGATCCAAGAGCTAGATTTACTGTAAGACCTTGATAGAGCAAGATAACTAACCCCTCAAAGTCTCAATTTCCCGTCTGTAAAATGGGATAAGAATAGTACCTACCTCAAGGCTTATGAAAATAATTCATTGACATAAAGAAAATGCAGTGAAAGCCCCTGGCTTGTGAGAAAAACTCAACAAATGCTAGCTATCTTTTCCATCAATATGTCTCACTCCCACTAATTCTACTGTCATTCTTGAACTTTTAAATTACCTTTGTTACCTCCCACTATGTTTGTCTGTTTTCCCGTCAGTCATCACATATTGGCTATTCTTCTTTTGAAACACTTTAAAACATTCCTCTCCATTTTTATTTCCCCCACAGAAGCCTGCTCCTAATACTTGTACGACATAGAGCAAGAGTACAAATGGAAGCCCAGAAATCATGTTTCTAAATTTTTAAAAAGTATATATCAACCTATTACCTGTCAAATAAAATACATTTTACCCTCCTGCCTTGAAAAAATATACCTTCACAATGACCTAGAGGACCAGATTTAAATTTAGAATTCTCAAGCTCTTCAAGTTTCCAGGCCAGAAAGTCTCAGCAAAAGGAGAGAGAATTGGTGCCTAGATCTTGGCTCCTGGGCCCTGCTGCCAGCCATGACACACACCTTTTCCCCTACTCCAGACCTCTGTGGATTCCCTTTCCTCCACCCTCCCCTAATCAATGCCTGTTGAAATTTTACACATCCATCAAGGATATTTCAAACACTTCCGTCTTCAAATTTCCCTTGAGCCAGATGTGATCTCATTTTCCTCTGAGTATCCAAACTATTTTGTTTCTATATATCCTGAGAAAACTTACAGTATTTTGACTTGCATTTGTATCAGTACCCTTGTATTTGGTTTTCCTATTCTTCAGACCACAGGTTCTCTCTGTTCAATGCCCTCAGCATGTAAGAATCTGCTAATAAGATTTTTTTAAAGGACCCCTGGGCTCCACCTAGAACCAAGCACAAGGTGGGGTAGGGGGACAGGTATGAGTAGTTTGTAAAGGCCTGCTATTGATGCTGATGTGCAGCCAGGGTTGACAAAAATTGTATAATTGTGGTGGAGGTCTAAACTTTATTTTTGTACTCAATATATACACCTGAATTGAATTTAAGCTGATGCGTGCTTTGACCTCTGTAAAATACTTTCTGGTCCACAGGCTACACTACACATAATCCTTGTAGTTACTGAAATGATTTACAAGTACTGAGGCATGCTGGTGGCTTGTGCTCCAGAACTGTGCAAAAGGAGACATACAAAGAATTAATCCAATAGTCTAAATTGTCTCTTTTACCTTTATTTTAGCATTTATTCTGTATGGTAATCTCACCAACAATATAATGAATTTACTAAAGGCATGATCAGTGGGTTATTCCTATTGCCTAGAACAGTGTCTGGCACATATTAGGCATGAAATAAAAGTTTGGTGAATGAACAAATGAATGAAATGAATAGCAATTACAAGCCAAGCCAGCATGACTTCAGATATTATTTCAGGCGTTTAGTAGCTGAATAACAACCTCCCAAAAGATACCCACATCCTTATCCCTAGAACTTGTGAATGTTACCTCTTAGGGAAAAAAAAGGACTTCCCAGACATGCTTAAAGGTTCTGAGATGGGGAGATTATCTCAGATTATCCAGGTGGTCCCAAAATACAATCACACATATGCATATAAGAGTGAAGGAGGAGGAGATTTGACACACACGCAAAAGAAGGCAATGTGACCCCAAAGGCAAAGACTGGAGTGATACAGTCACAAACCAAAGAATGCCAGCAGCCACCAGATGCTAGAAGAGATAAGAAACAGATTGTCCCCTGGAGTCTTTGTGGGGAGCAAGGTCCTACTGACACCTTCATTTCAGCCCAGTGAAACTGATTTTGGACTTCTGGCTTCTGGAACTGTGAGAAAATACATTTCCTTTGTTTTAGGCCACCAAGTTTGTGGTAATTTGTTACAGCAGCCACAGGAAACTAATACAAGATAGAAAACTGATATCCAGAGAGATAAAGTAACTTGTTCTCAAAGGCCCAAAGTTAGTTAGGGCAGATTGGGGTTTCCAACAGGTATTTCTTGGCTCCTTCTGGTATTCTTATTCTTTCCAATTTACTCTGCTACCTGCCACATGTTATACAGCCCATTGAGTTCTGACACTCTTTGATCTAATCTAGGTACCAAATACAACCTCTCATATGGCCGCAGGATGGAAATTGTAAAATGATCAATCTCTCATACTCATCAATCTTATCAGTGACTTAGCTGATTTGGAAAAAAAAAAGAAAAAAGAAAATCACTTGACAAAAATGACAAAACAAAGTTGCTAGCACAAGGTCCAGAAAGAAACACAGAGCAAACATTTTCAATGCACCATATATAATGAATTTACAGCAGCAAATGTCCATAGGTTAAGAATGTGGTGTGTGTGTGTGTGTGTGTGTGTGTGTGTGTGTGTGTGTGTGTGTGTATGTGTCTTGGGGAGGGTGCTCACAAGAAATGCTGGCATGACAAACAGTGTAAAAACACATCAAAAGATGAAGCAAGGCAACTAAGGCGCTCACTACTGGGGGTAGGATAAAGTAAGGAGCTGACATGTAATTTGAAAAGGATGGCATAATTCTATGTGCTCAAAAGTGAGCAAACCTAAAGACAGAGACAAATCTGGAAATTGTGACAGAGCTGGGAGATGATGGTTTTAGGCCTCAATCTCATCAGTGTGGAGAGGCTTATAGACATGAGATTTTTGTGACATTCAAAAAAGGATAGTTACAGGTCACGGTTGAGAGAAAAAAGCACATATTTATGTGTGATCATTCTAAATGAACATGTGATACTTTACTATCTCTTGTACAATTACATCTTTTATGATACCAACATAACAAATTCATGACATATTTTCCAAATGAGGAATCTGGGACAAAGGGAGATTTACTAAATAAAAGATAGATGACAGGTGTTTCCAGAGCTGCGTTTAAGTCCTTGGGCTTTTACTAAGAACTTCAAATATGCATTTGTATAATTTCTCATTAATAGATAAACAGATAAGGTAATAAAATATTCAAAGAAAAGACGTTTGGGTTTATTTAGACCCAATGAGTGTGAACACCATTTTTCCTTAGGAGAGGGAGGGTAGAGAATGGAAAGAAATATAAGAGAGGTAGAAGCAAAAAAAACAAAGCTTATTCATCCTTATATAGTGGTTAAGAACATAGAACCCCAACAGGATATAAACATTTCTTTAATGATCCTGCAGTAATAACAAGCAAAATAAACAGTCAAACCTTAACATGTCCCTCCTCCCTTAGGACCTCAGCTTTACCTTGTAGTTTAAGAATTAGTCACTCATTTGGACTGGGGCAAGTCCCTATGGATTCAGAGAGTTTGCAATCAACTAATGGGTTATGGCATTATTGTTAGTGGATGATACCCCACAGGAGGCTGGACTATTGCATCAGTCAGGGTAAAGACATACTTGCTATGTGTGTGACAAACAAAAGCCTACCCAAGGTGGTTCCTCAGAGAACTCTGAATGAAAGACATGCAGTGCTTGCTTGTTCCACATCTGTTATTTCCATAATCTTTAGAAAAATAAGCTTCCTGGGCAAATATGAAAGGAACTCCATTTGACCAGATACATTCCAAAGTAAGAGATCTTGTTCTCCATTAAATGCCATACCACAACACTGTCAAATAATGAAGCCAAAAACACATCTTTAATGGAGACACACAGAAAGTTTAAGATCCTAATTTAATCTTAATAAAGACTTCAACCATTATATTAAAATATTTATTAGTCTATCACTTTAAATAAGAGGAACTGAAAATGTATACAGATTGAAAAGTCACAAATTTTAAGCCGGATGTTTTCCTTTCTATGTATTTTACTGAAGGTCCTCAGAAACGTAGTATATTTAAAAGTTACTGCTAATTATACAGTATGCAAAACTGTATTACTTTTTAAAAGTATAAAGAATGTTGGATCAATGAATTCTAAACTAACTTAAAACAATTTCCTGCTCAACCACAATTAAAAATCATGTCACTCTTTCCACTATTCTTAACCACAATACATATTTGTTTTGGGAGAGAGGTGGTTTATAAGCATTGAAACAGGGAGAAGTTCAAGTTACTAAAAGGAAAGAGGGTGGTAGGTCTGCTTCTACCGCTGTGCTAGCTGAAGAAGAGCCAAACTTAGCAACTTCCCCACATTTAGAGAACTCAGTATGAAACCACAAGTCTTGCAAACAATGACTACCCTATTGCAATGTTTGTTGTTCAATGAATAGATAAGCCACCTTAGAAAGAGGGGGGCCGGGTGCAGTGGCTCACGCCTGTCATCCCAGCACTTTGGGAGCCCAAGGCATGCAGATTGCCTGAGGTCAGAAGTTCGAGACAAGTCTGGCCAACATAGTGAAACCCTGTCTCTACTAAAAATACAAAACAATTAGCCAGCATGGTGGCATGTGCCTGTAATCCCAGCTACTCGGGATGCTGAGGCAAGGGAATTGCTTGAACTAGGGAGGTGGAGGTTCCAGTAAGCCAAGATTGTGCCACTGCACTCCAGCCTGGGTGACAGAGCAAGACTCTGTCAAAGAGGAGAGGGGAGGGGAGGGGAGGTGGAGGAGGGAACGGGAGGGAAGGGGAGGTAGGGGGATGGAGGAAGTTCAGTGGATAGCACTAGAGGTGAAAAGAACCGAAAGTCAACAAATGAATAAGCAAAAAGAAAAGGGATATGATTCATGACACATATGAAACAGTTTGGTTTTGCTCAGGTATATTCAACTGCTTCCCTCCTCCCCAATTCCATGCCCCTAGCACCACTATAATCAGCCTCCTCACAAAGTGCCCTTTATTCTTCACTTATTTGGCTCCTTTTGTGTGCTGGGCAGTATATTACTTAACTAAGAGAGCAACCATAAATACAGCTGCCAACTGCTTCACTCTATATACACCCCACAAAATGTACTTAGATGTCCCTTGCCCTCAAAAAGCTAAGCCTATTAGAGAAGACAACCCCAGTACTAAGGTAAGTTCCAGAACTGAGAGAGGTAACAAATGTCAGCGTCACCCAGGAAGGCCTCACAGAAGAATGGAGTAGGAGCTGGGTGTTGAAGATAAGTAAACAGGACACTCCCAGTGGTGAGGAAGGGTCATTCAAAGGCCTCCAAGCAAGAAAACTGGACCTGGGGAAGGTAAGCAGCTCTACATGTTGAACAGAGTGGGGTTCATTGAGGAGAAAAATAAGATAAGCCTGAAAAGGGTACGGGTTCTTATATACCTTAAATAGATGTGATAGAGAGCCACTGACATTTCTTATACAGGGCAGTGACTATATCAGAGTTAGGCTGAGAAGAGATTAATCGCACCATAGACAACAGACTTGCTAATCAGGAAGCTCAGACACAGATCCATCCGTCTTCAAGCAACTTCACAGAATTTAAATGCAGGTACTAACAGGGTGTACCCAATTTCCCTTCATTTCCCTTCCTCCTCACGTATTTTATTTTCCATAACTTACTTATATAGACCCCAAATCTTTTCTGGACTTAGGCAGAATAAAAGAAAAAGAAAGAAAACTAAGAAAGGTAGGAAGGCAGATGGGTAGGCGGATTATCAGTTCTCCCAACAGAAGGGAAAATGACATACAATGTCTACTTTGACATACTTTATTGAAATTCAAAGACTCGATAGTGTACATTACCTAACTCAAGTTATGGTATGTATTATTTTTCCAATATCTATAGTTGGCTTCCTGCATTTTTCTGCTAATTTCTAGGTTCTTTCATTGACATACCACGACCTGTTAAAATCTTTCAATTTACTGTTTCACTTTAAACATAAAGCCAAAGTAAGATACATCCAACTCTTCTTTAATAAAAAAGGAAGCACAATAATACAGACAAAAGGATAAAAATGCATTAAAAAATAACATAAAAATTATCCAAACATGATGAAATAATCTGTACACCAAAGCCCTGTGACACACAGTTTACCTGTATAACAAATCTGCACATGTACCTCTGAACTGAAAATAAATTTTTTAAAAAATTACCCAAACAGAATTTTCATAGCTGTATACTTTCATTTTCTAAGAGTTTAAAAAAATCTCTAATTATAATAATTTTTCAATACACATAAAATGATAGGAGACAGGGCTTTTGGAAGATCTAGTTAACAGTCACTGGGTTAATAACTTATTTTACAGACAGTATACCCTAAACAATAGTAACATATCCCAAAATTTACATGTCCATGAACCACCAAGCAAATATTTGGAATTCCAGTGACAAACCAAACAAGTAACTACAATGACTTGCAATATTTTTTTCCTTATCAGACAGAGATTTCAAAAACAGAGGTTCAAGATAACAGTCTGGCTTTTCCCATTTGTACGGCATTCCTGGATCTTCAGAAAGCACTGGAGATCTCAAGACCAGAAAAACACAGGGAAGGAAATCAAGCAGGCTTTCCAGTAACAGCAGACCGAAAAACTGTCACCAGCTTTTATTAAACATGTTTACATTCCTAGAGAGTCCAAAACTCATGACTAGTTTTTCTCATGAATAATGTCATTTTGACATTTCTTTCTGAAAAACAATTTCTTCTGAGAGTTAAAGATAAAAGGTGAGTGCTTGGTCATACACCACTATGATTATCTGCCCTCTCACAGAACTCACAGAATTCCAAAGAAGGCAGAATTACTAGGGCAAATTCCAGCTCCAAAGGAAAAATCCCCAGCTCACCCAGAACACTTTCCAGTGGAACTACATTACTGGTATGAAGAGAACATTTTCTTGGACATTAAGAGCCTGGGAGAAAAGGTTAATTATGCAATGATATGTGAGGAGCAACCATCTATCATAAGCAGCAAGAGCCTTATATAATCAAGTGCCAGGAAGTTATTCTAAAAAAAGGGGGGGGGGGGTTAAAAATAATTTTACAGATTACCTCAAAGCTTATCAATTTCCTATAAATCAATACAATATTTTTTAAAAGTTCACCAATAATATGGTCATGAGTCTTTCATTTGGATATTAAAGCAACTCCAAAGCAACACAAATCAACACATAGGCATGCATTATAAAACTATGGACTGGTCCGTTCCAAGATGGCCAAATAGGAACAGCTCCAGTCTGCAGCTCCCATCGTGATCAACACAGAAGACAGGAGATTTCTGCATTTCCAACTGAGATGCCTGGTTCACCTCACTGGGACTGGTTGGACAGAGGGTACAGCCCATGGAGGGTGAGCTGAAGCAGGGCAGGGCATCACCTCACCTGGGAAGTGCAAGGAGTTGGGGAATTCCCTTTCCTAGCCAAGGGAAGCCATGACAGATGGTACCTGGAAAAACGGGACACCACCCAACCAAATACTGCGTTTTTCCAATAGTCTTAGCAAATGGCACACCAAAAGATTATATCCCACTCCTGGCTTGGCAGGTCCCACACCCACAGAACCTTGCTCACTGCTAGCGTGGCAATCTGAGATGGACCTGCAAGGCAGCAGCCTGGCAGGGGGGAGGGGTGTCCGCCACTGCTGACGCTTGAGTAGATAAACAAAGTGCTCAGGAAGCTAGAATTAGGTGGAGCCCACCACAGCTCAGCAAGGCCCGCTGCCTCTGTAGACTCCACCTCTAGGGGCAGGGTATAGCTGAACAAAAAGCAATAGAAACTTCTGCAGACTTAAACGTCCCCTTCTGACAGGCCTGAAGAGAGCAGTAGTTCTCCCAGCATGGTGTTTGAGATTGGAGAACGGACAGACTGCCTCCTCAAGTGGGTCCCTGGCCGCCATGTAGCCTAACTGGGAGACATCTCCCAGCAGGGGCAGAATGACACCTCATACAGGCAGGTGCCCATCTGGGATGAAGTTTCCAGAGGAAGGATCAGGCAGCAATATTTGCTGTTCTGCAGCCTCCACTGGTGATACCCAGGCAAACGGCGTCTGGAGAGGACCTCCAGCAACCTCCAACAGACCTGCAGCTGAGGGTCCTGATTGTTAGAAGGAAAACTAACAAACAGAAAGGAATAGCATCAACATCAACAGAAAGGACATCTACACCAAAATCCCATCTGTAGGTCACCAACATCAAAGACCAAAGGTAGATAAAACCACAAAGATAGGGAGAAACCAGAGCAGAAAAGTTGAAAATTCTAAAATCCAGAGCACCTCTTCTCCTCCAAAGGATCGCAGCTCCTCGCCAGCAATGGAACAAAGCTGGACGGAGAATGACTTTGATGAGCTGACAGAAGCAGGCTTCAGAAGGTCAGTAATAACAAACTTCTCCAAGCTAAAGGAGGATGTTCGAACCCATCGCAAGGAAGCTAAAAACCATGAAAAAAGATTAGACAAATGGCTCACTAGAATAAACAGTGTAGAGAAGACCTTAAATGACCTGATGGAGCTGAAAACCATGGAATGAGAACTACATGACGCATGCACAAGCTTCAATAGCCGATTCGATCAAGTGGAAGAAAAGGTATCAGTGATTGAAGATCAAATTAATGAAATAAAGCAACAAGACAAATTTACAGAAAAAAAGAGTAAAAAGAAACAAACAAAGCCTCCAAGAAATATGGGACTATGCGAAAAGACCAAATCTACATCTGATTGGTGTACCTGAAAGTGATGGGGAGAATGGAAATGAGTTGGAAAACACTCTTCAGGATATTATCGAGGAGAACTTCCCCAAACTAACAAGACAGGCCAACATTCAAATTCAGGAAATACGGAGAACATCACAAAGATACTCCTCCTCGAGAAGAGCAAACCCAAGACACATAATTGTCAGATTCACCAAGGTTGAAACGAAGGAAAAACTGTTAAGGGCAGCCAGAAAGAAAGGTCAGATCACTCACGAAGGGAAGCCCATCAGACTAACAGCTGATCTCTCTACAGAAACCCTACAAGCCAGAAGAGAGTGGGGGCCAAAATTCAACATTCTTAAAGAAAAGAATTTTCAACCCAGAATTTCATATCCAGCCAAACTAAGTGAAGGAGAAATAAAATCCTTTACAGACAAGCAAATGCTGAGAGATTCTGTCACCACCTGGCCTACCTTACAAGAGCTCCTGAAGGAAGCACTAAACACGGAAAGGAAAAACCGGTACCAGCCACTGCAAAAACATGCCAAATTGTAAAGACCGTCAATGCTAGGAAGAAACTGCATCAACTAACTGGCAAAATAACCAGCTAACATCATAATGACAGGATCAAATACACACATAACAATATTAACCTTAAATGTAAATGGGCTAAATGCCCCAATTAAAAGACACACACTGGCAAATTGGATAAAGAGTCAAGACCCATCAGTGTGATGTATTCAGGAGACCCATCTGACGTGCAGAGACACACATAGGCTCAAAATAAAGGGATGGAGGAAGATCTACCAAGCAAATGGAAAGCAAAAAGAAAACAGGGGTTGCAATCCTAGTCTCTGATAAAACAGACTTTAAACCAACAAAGATCAAAAGAGACAAAGCAGGCCATTACATAATGGTAAAGGGATCAATTCAACAAGAAGAGCTAACCATACTAAATATAAATGCACCCAATAGAGGAGCACCCAGATTCATAAAGCAAGTCCTTAGAGACCTACAAAGAGACTTGGACTCCCTCACAATAATAATGGGAGACTTTAACACCCCACTGTTAATATTAGACAGATCAACGAGACAGAAAGTTAACAAGGATATCCAGGACTTGAACTCAGCTCTGCACCAAGCAGACCTAATAGACAGCTAGAGAACTCTCCACCCCAAATCAACAGAATATACATTCTTCTCAACACCACATCGCACTTACTCCAAAACTGACCACACAGTTGGAAGTAAAGCACTCCTCAGCAAATGTAAAAGAAGAGAAATTATAACAAACTGTCTCTCAGACCACAGTGCAATCAAATTAGAACTCAGGATTAAGAAACTCACTCAAAACTGCACAACTACAGGGAAACTGAACAACCTGCTCCTGAATGACTACTGGGTAAATAACAAAATGAAGGCAGAAATAAAGATGTTCTTTGAAACCAGTGAGAACAAAGACACAATGTACCAGAATCTCTGGGACACATTTAAAGCAGTGTGTAGAGGGAAATTTATAACACTAAATGCCCACAAAAGAAAGCAAGAAAGATCTAAAATCAACACCGTAACATCACAGTTAAACGAACTAGAGAAGCAAGAGCAAACAAATTGAAAAGGTAGCAGAAGGCAAGAAATAACTAAGATCAGAGCAGAACTGAAGGAGATAGAGACATAAAAAACCCTTCAAAAAAATCAATGAATCCAGGAGCTGGTTTTTTGAAAAGATCAACAAAATTGGTAGACTGCTAGCAAGACTAATAAAGAAGGAAAGAGAGAAGAATCAAATAGACGCAATCAAAAATGATTAAGGGGATATCACCACCGATCCCACGGAAATACAAACTACCATCAGAGAATAGAATACTATAAAAACCGCTATGCAAATAAACTAGAAAATCTAAAAGAAATGGATAAATTCCTAGACACATACACCCTCCCAAGACTAAACAAGGAAGAAGTTGAACCTCTGAATAGACCAATAACAGGCTCTGAAATTGAAGCAATAATTAACAGCCTACCAACCAAAAAAAGTCCAGAACCAGACGAATTCACAGCCGAATTCTACCAGAAGTACAAAGAGGAACTGGTACCATTCCTTCTGAAACTATTCCCATCAATAGAAAAACAAGGAATCCTCCCTAACTCATTTTATAAGGCCAGCATCATCCTGATACCAAAGCCTGTCAGAGACGCAACAAAAAGAGAATTTTAGACCAATATCCCTGATGAACATCGATGCAAAAGTCCTCAACAAAATACTGGCAAACCAAATCCAGCAGCACATCAAAATGCTTATCCACCACGAACAAGTTGGCTTCATCCCTGGGATGCAAGGCTGGTTCAACATACGGAAATCAATAAACATAATCCATCACATAAACAGAACCAATGACAAAAATTAAATGATTATCTCAATAGATGCAGAAAAGGCCTTAGACAAAATTCAACAGCCCTTCATGCTAAAAATTCTCAATAAACTAGGTATCGATGGAACATATCTCAAAATAATAAGGCCTATTTATGACAAACCCACAGCCAATATCATACTGAATGGGCAAAAACTGGAAGCATTCCCTTTGAAAACTGGCACAAGACAGGGATGCCCTCTCTCACCACTCCTATTCAACATACTGTTGGAAGTTCTGGCCAGCGCAATCAGGCAAGAGAAAGAAATAAAGGGTATTCAATTAGGAAAAGAGGAAGTCAAATTGTCCCTGTTTGCAGATGACATGATTGTATATTTAGAAAACCCCATCATCTCAGCCCAAAATCTCCTTAAGCTGATAAGCAACTTCAGCAAAGTCTCAGGATACAAAATCAATGGGCAAAAATCACCAGCATTCCTATACACCAATAACAGACAAACAGAGAGTCAAGTCATGAGTGAACTCCCATTCACAATTGCTTCAAAGAGAATAAAATACCTAGGAATGCAACTTACAAGGGATGTGAGGACCTCTTCAAGGAGAACTACAAACCACTGCTCAATGAAATAAAAGAGGATACAAACAAATGGAAGAATATTCCATGCTCATGGATAGGAAGAATCAATATCTTGGAAATAGCTATACTGCCCAAGGTAATTTATACACTCAATGCCATCCCCATCAAGCTACCAATGACTTTCTTCACAGAATTGGAAGAAACTACTTTAAAGTTCGTATGGAACCAAAAAAGAGCCCGCATTGCCAAGACAATCCTAAGCCAAAAGAACAAAGCTGGAGGCATCACGCTACCTGACTTCAAACTATACTACAAGCCAACAGTAACCAAAACAGCATGGTTCTGGTACCAAAACAGAGATATAGAACAATGGAACAGAACAGATGCTTCAGAAATAACACCACACATCTACAACCATCTGATCTTTGACAAATCTGACAAAAACAAGAAATGGGAAAGGATACCCTGTTTAATAAATGGTGCTGGGAAAACTGGCTAGCCATATGTAGAAAGCTGAAACTGGATCCCTTCCTTACACCTTATATAAAAATTAATTCAAGATGGATTAAAGACTTAAATGTTAGACCTAAAACCATAAAAAAAACCCTAGAAGAAAACCTAGGCAATACCATTCAGGACATAGGCATGGGCAAGGACTTCATGACTAAAACACCGAAAGCAACAACAACAAAAGCCAAAATAGACAAATGGGATCTCATTAAACTGAAGAGCTTCTGCACAGCAAAAGAAACTATTATCAGAGTGAACAGGCAACCTACAGAATGGGAGAAAATTTGCAATCTATCCGTCTGACAAATCTACAAAGAATTTAAACACATTTACAAGAAAAAAAACAACCCAGCCCATCAAAAAGTGTGCAAAGGATATGAACAGACACTTCTCAAAAGAAGACTTTTATGAAGCCAATAGACACACGAAAAAATGCTCATCATCACTGGTCATCAGAGAAATGCAAATCAAAACCACAATGAGATACCATCTCACACCAGTTAGAATGGCAATCATTAAAGAGTCAGGAAACAACAAATGCTGGAGAGGATGTGGAGAAATAGGAACACTTTTACACTGTTGGTGGGAGTGCAAACTAGTTCAACCATTGTGGAAGACAGTGTGGCAATTCCTCAAGGATCTAGAACTAGAAGTACCATTTGACCCAGCAATCCCATTACTGAGTATATACCCAAAGGATTATAAATCATGCTGCTATAAAGACACATGCACATGTATGTTTATTGCGGCACTATTCGCAATAGCAAAGACTTGGAACCAATCTAAATGTCCATCAATGATAGACTGGATTAAGAAAATGTGGCAAATATACACCATGGAATACTATGCAGCCATAAAAAGGATGAGTTCATGTCCTTTGCATGGATATGGATACAGCTGGAAACCATCATTCTCAGCAAACTATCACAAGGACAGAAAACCAAACACCACATGTTCTCACTCATAGGTGGGAACTGAACAATAAGAACACTTGGACATAGGGCGGGGAACATCACACACCGGGGCCTGTCGTGCGGTGGGGGACAGGGGGAGGGATAGCATTAGGAGAAATATCTAATGTAAATGATGAGTTAATGGGTGCAGCAAACCAACGTGGCACATGTATACCTATGTTAACAAACATGTACGTTGTGCACATGTACCCTACAACTTAAAGTATAATTTAAAAAAAAAGAAAA
This sequence comes from Homo sapiens, assembly GCF_000001405.40. Lineage (NCBI taxonomy): Eukaryota > Metazoa > Chordata > Mammalia > Primates > Hominidae > Homo > Homo sapiens. The sequence goes on along the minus strand of NC_000007.14, from coordinate 18,169,456 downwards.
AAAAACTGATGTATCATAACTGCAAGGAAAAGTATGGCAAAATTAAAACCATAACGATGCCTCACCCGCTGGAAACTCAAAATTCTGTAAATCTATAGACTAAAGACAGAAGAACCGAGAAAATAAGAGGGGTGCAGTGGATAAGGAGACAATTAAAATGCAATTACAGTATGTAAGAAAAACAAGTACTTCTATTTTGTTCATAAAAAATACTTTTGCAGGCTGGGTGCAGTGGCACATACCTGTAATCCCAGCACTTTGGGAGGCCGAGGTGGGTGGATCACCTGAGGTCAGGAGTTCAAAACCAGCCTGAGCAACATGGTGAAACCCCATCTCTACTAAATACAAAAAATTTGCCAGGCATGGTGCCACATGCCTGTAATCCCAGTTACTTGGGAGACTGAGGCAGAAGAATTGCTTGAACCCAAGAGGCGGAGGTTGCAGTGAGCCAAGATCATGCCATTGCACTCCAGCCTGGGCAACAAGAACAAAACTCTATTTAAAACACACACACAGAGACACATGCGCGCACACACACACACACACACACACACACACAAAAAAAAAAAAAAAAAAACAAGACATTTGCACCTCCTCAGAACTTGTGATCTTTTAACAATTTTATTTAACACAATTCTTAGCTTTCTAACCCTACAACAAGTTAGAGGCAGTGAATTATAAATGGAGAAAACTGCTATACGTTGACATTCTCAAAATATGACAAAAATTAAGAAATATGCAGAAAACCACAGAAAGTAAAGCCTTGGGGGATATTTAGTGTAAAAGTACAGGTTACATGGTTCCACATACCTTTGTGTTTCCCTAGAGTTATTATAGTACTGCAACACAAGCACACATGCACCACACACGTACACACACACACACAGACACACACACAGAGTTTTTGTACTCTGAAGAGTAAACTCCAATCTATACAGACAAAAAAATCCTCCATAAAGGTTCCACATAATGTTATAAACAAAGGGCTGTACATGTGTATTTGCAGAGGTAGCAAGATTTTGCTTACAGGGCTTAAGAAAATATATAGTCTAGCATTGTTTTATAGTAGTGTTCATGAAAAGATCAGTGTAAAACAAGTATTTATCAACCACTGTATATTTGGCCTAGATTTTCATCATAATACTTAAAACTACAGAGGTGTTGAAAAACGTGACCCCAAAATGCAATAAAGAACAAACATAAGAATTGTGATTATAAAGTTTAAAGTACTTTTTCCTCAGCATATGTGCAATTATAATTTCAGATAAATTGACATTATTTTTAAACACTAATTAAGGACATATAATATTCAGCATACATTTTACTCCCATTTTCTGCAGAGTTCCCACTAACAGGAACTTGAATTTTCTAATAGCTACACTGGGCATTATCTATTCTGCATGATTCATAAACAAAGGCTTAGGCAACTCTTAGAAATGTTGGTGAGCTGATCTGCCCTGATTTTAATGTGTTTCAATCTCTTCAAAGGAAAATTACTTAACTTTTTAATGACTGGTTAAATCAAGAGTGCATTATAAAATACTGCACCTCTTGGTAAGCAATACCGTATCTGCAGTCCTAGGTATAAAATTTTAAGACAAATGTGGTAGAGAGAGGCCAGCTGTTCACCAAACCTGTCTCCTCCTCTTCCTGGAGTACTGCTAGACTACTTTTCCCAGCCTCCTTTGTAGTTAGGTATGGCCACGTGGCTAAATTCCACTCAACGAAATGTGAACAAAAGTGATGTACCTTTGGAAACCTCTCACACTCAATGCACCTCTTCAATTTCCCTCCCACCAGCTTGATGCGGAGATGCACAATGACCTTAGAATACATGAACTGAAGAAGCACAAACCAGTTAGAAGCTGTCCGGGGCAAAGGGTAGCCATTAGAAAAACAGCAGCTCTCTACTCAGTCTTTATATGAACGAGAAATAACCTTTTCTGTTTGGCCTGCATTATGGAGTTTGTTTGTAGTGTTACAATAATGAAAATTATATAAGTTGAATTACCCACCAAAATTAATTGTGAAAAGCAAATATAAAAACAAATAAATGTTCAAAACAAATTTATACTGAACATTTTCAGAAAAGGTTTATGCCTCACTTATTAAAGCACTGTCCTTCAAAAACTAGAGAATGAATAAAATGCTTCATTTGGTTTATGTTTCAAACTTGAATATCAGATTGAGAAGTTTTGACTTACAAATGGCAAAAGAATGAATCACTTAACTGTGAAGTTAAAGTAGTAAAAAAAAAAAAAAATCCAAAACAATAGTTAATAACTTTAACATACAGTGTTTCCCATTAATACCATACCCTGTGATCAACTTCTGCTACAACAAACATCAAAAAACTAATTTGTTTTATTATCCTGGAATAATTTTCTTGAATATTACTTGAAATAGATAATTGGCCAGTGGCCTGAAAATATTTTAGTTATGTAGAGCTACTTGTCATGGGATTTGACCTGTATTTCATTAAAAAGCTAACTGATCATACTCATCTAGGGAAGCCATAACCTATTTGATTTGCCCTAAGACTCTGTTTCATTTAACATTCATTTTTTTGGTAACACACTATGAACAAACTGAAGAAAAAATACCCACTTGGACATTATGATATTTGTTTGTAGCTTTGTCCTGGTTTTAGTTTCCTACTTAATGGCTAAATGGCACCACTGTGGGTAATGCACTGGAGTAAAAATGGTGAATCATTAAAGAGTTCGTAAATTTTAAAAACAGGGGCAGGCCTTCTGGGTCCCATATGCTTCTAAAAAACCTGATGTTGTGCTGTATTAATTGAACCATGAAGCTTTTATTAGTCCTCTTTAAAAATGCTTGCAGAGAAGCTTTTATTAATGCTTGCCCCCAAATTGTTTATACTACTTAGCATTTCCATAACAATTTATATTTCAAAGAACTTTTTGATCATTAGTTACATGTACTCTACATTTCTATGGGGGAATTCAGCTGTTTAGCAAAACAGAGGCATGAAGATAAATCTCTTAATTAATTTTTGCCCAAGACTTGCCAATAAGAAAATGAATAGAATACGAGAAAATGAACAGAATATAAGATCTTGCTATAAACCTTTCACTTCTATAAATAGCTTGGTCCTCTCACTTCATATGAGTAGAGTACTTCCCACAATGGTGAAAAGAGAGATGAGCTAGCTTTATACAAGGGGCTTTGAAAACTAATGTTACAGGACTTTGCAACACAGCTTTGGCCACTTTACCTAGAAGCCCACAAGGCCAGAGCATTGCACAATTCTAAGGGCAACAGGCACATTGTGTTCTATGCTTGGAAAATTCCTTTGGATGCGTTTTCATCAAAATTAATTACAAAAAATAGATTCATCAAATTTAAAAATCATGTTAGGGTTGATGTAGCCCAATTTATTTAAAAACGTTCAGGCTGAAATTAGGTTTTCTATAATCTTGAGATCGGACTAAAAAGCTGCCCTGGGTTAAAATATGCTTAAACTTCTTTTGAGGAAAATAAAGGCACTCCATAAAAATCTCTTTGGTCCATCCACCTCCCCATAAAAATGAGATGGCCTAGATAGACGCAAAGCCACTAGAATGTTCCCCTCAAATTATTGCCTTCTCTAGGTTTCCACTGTGTTAGCTTTCTTTCTTTCTTTTTTTTTTTTTTTGAGACAGGGTCTTGCTCTGTGGCCCAGGCTAGAATGCAGTGCAGTGGCTTCATCATGGCTCACTCACTGCAGCCTTGACCTCCTGGGCTCGAGCAATCCTCCCACCTCAGCTTCCTAAGTAGCAGGGACTACAGGCATGCACCACCATGCCAAGCAATTTTTTAAAAAATTTTTTGTAGAGATAGGATCTCACCATATTGCCCAGGCTAGTCTCGAACCCCGGGGCTCAAGCAATCTTCCCACCTAGGCCTCTCAAACTGCTGGGATTACAGGCATGAGCCACTGCACCTAGCCAGTGTTAGCTTTTTATTTATCTATCATCAGAGAACAAAATAACTGAATTAGCATAGTTTTGCTCACAAGAGAAACATTTACTTGAGATAAGACTTTATGATGTGTTTTTGTGTTTATAGTCTCCAAATATGAAACACTAGTGCTGTTGAATGGACTAAGAGCATTTCTACACTTTGCCAAGTCATAGCAAAGAGCAATATACATTCTACAATCCAGTATCCTTCCCCCAGGCTACCACACGATACTCTTTCAGGGAGGAGTCTGGAAATCTGTATTTTTAACAAGTCTCAGGAGATTTTTACTATCTGACATGTTTTGAAAATGCTAGATAAGTCCTAAAATCCTTCCTTCTGAGATTTGGCAATTCTGATAAAAATTACATTACTAGAAATAGTATCCATACTGCTGTACAGAGGAAATAAATTTCTGGTCCTAAATTTATTAAAATACTTAAGACACTAAATGGACTAAAGCTATTACTATTTGTCTCTCCCATGAAAGGGTGCTGTCCCTAAGGATAGAAACTATGTTTTAGTGCTTGTTGTGTCCCTATTGGGTAACACACTGGCTGGCACAAGTTAGATGCTTAATAAGTTTTGAATGAAGAGCTCAACTGCAGCAGCTAGCTGCCAATCTTATCCAGATAGTCTTTCCTCCATTCAGGATCCTCAGTGCCCAAAAGCAATACCCAAGGCTCTAACTTTGAACAGAACTGGGCAGCAAAATTAAAATAAAAACTAGTAAATTTTATATACAAAAATCAGCACTTATTGTTTGACTGAATGCATGATTAAGACGGCGGCATTTTGTATTTCATATCAACCATATTTGAATATGGATGGAGAACGTTTCTAAGAATGATGTTAATGTATGGGAAAAATAAGAATTCACACTATACCAGAACCAATTTTGAAGACAAACATACTCAGTCTGAAACATGGACTATTAAAGAATTTCTGGAACTACTGAAGTGAGTCTATTTTTCTTTCTGGTGCACAATAACTCCTTAGAGCCATTTGTGGAACAAAAGCAAAATAAATGGATGATGATTGCATAAGACCAATTTAATTCTCTTTTTAGATAGTGGGGAAAAAAGATGTAAGAAAAACATATTTTTTTCTAAATCAAACAATCAGGTTATTTCTCAGAATATATACGGCACCCTAAGATGCAGGCTAATAACAGGAGAAAATTTTTTTTTATGTTTGTGGCAGGAACATTTTCCTTTATCCATGCAAAGTGAATTTCAGGTCTCTGATCATGGTTTTTTACTTGCAATAAATAGAAGAAACTCCTACCCACCTGGCACATTTACTATCACTTTCCTCAACTTCAGATTTCATTCATAAAAACTTCCCAAATGGAGTTGATTGAGACTTCTGCATAATGTTATTGTCAACACAGCAGAATGATTTATAAGAAAAAAGTACACGAGGAAATTTTGGTGACCCTAAAGTCAAGTGAGCTTCATTCAATGGTTGTCTTATTTATCCATCACCTTTTCTCTCCTCATAACTGAACAATTATCACAACTCGCAAGAATTTCCTCATCAAAATAGCAGCTTCAAGTGAGATTTTCATTTTATAAAATCAACATTCTTGGGGAGCAGGGTAGACCAACATCCACTGCCAAATATTATCACAAGAAAAAAATACTTGACCACAGTGGTTCTAAATTAATGCCTCTTTTAAACAATCCAATTTTGAAACACTGAATTTATATACAAATAAATATACATAATATTTAAAATGCAATATACACCTATATAAGGTAAATGTTAATTTAAGTTCATCCCAACAGAAAGAATAATAGTACTAGACTATAATTGTAATAAGCAATGCCGCTCACAGAACACACTTAAACAAGGTTGTCTGTAGAGGCTGGTAGGGGATGGGGTGAGAAATGGGCAGAAGAAGCTAAACCAGTGATTCCCAAAGTGTGGTCCCCAAGCAGCAACAGCATTGTCAAGGGAACTTGTAAAAATCACAATTCCTGTGCCCCACTCTAGACTTACGAAATCAAAAACTATGAGAATAGGGCTTGTTTTAACAAACTCTCCGAGTGATGTCAATGCATGCTAAAGTTTGAGAACCACTAGGCAATAAAGACTCAGAGCTAACAGGCATAAGTAAGTAACTGCCATCTGCCTAACCTAGTGACATGCCAATTATCAAACATGGTTGTGACTAAAGACTCAGGGATTTCTGGACTGCACCATTTAGAATCAAGTTCCAAATTCAGCATACAAGTTGGAGGCCTGTTGGGGATGTGGGGAAAGGTTGATGAAACAGCGGAATTCCCAAACAGCTAACTTGGGTGTGGCAATCCAGGGAATGAAAATCTTGGCAAGTTGTCTCCCTTATAAGCCCTGAGTATGATAGTACATAAGCTTCAACTTAGTTCAATAAACCAAGGATATCAATATGCTAAGGAATCTATAAAGAAATAAATGCTTCTGTAAGTATCCAAGCAGAAAATTCTTGTAAAACTTGTCTGTTACTAGTATGTGGTATCTGACCCTACTTCATCATTCCCAAAACTTGGATTGTGTTTGCTCCAAAAATGACAGCCTGTTCCTGGAGGAACGGGTGTTGGCTGTGCTGATCACAGCACTACATGAGCAGCACACATCACTGGAATAGGAGGAAGCAGGTGCTGAGATTATAATTAAATATGTATATAGGAAACAGGAATGGCAGCAAAGAAGGGTGGGGAGGAAAAATATCCTTCCTGTGTGTCAAAGAGATGGAGGTGGAGTCAATCCACAAACTGACTTCCAAAGCCCCACAGTATAATTTAAAAGCATACAGACACATGTTAGGACAGAAAGATTACAGGTGAAAAATGGATTCCTATATAATAGTTCATATTCATAACTTCATAAAGTTCAATCTGAATGTTACCTTGGAAGCAGAAGAATTAAAGTCCCATGCTCAGACTACAATGCAAATCAAATCAGTTGTCCAGGAAGCAAACTGGGTTAAGCAATAGAGAATTAGCTATCGAATGCAAAATTCAAAATTTGTTACATTAAGCAATCTTTGTCCAAAAAAAAAAAAGTTCCTTCATAAATTAAATTACTTGGTTTGAAACAACACAAAGCAACATCTTTCACATGAAGTCTATTAACAGTTTAAGAAGCAACCAGACTGACCAGGCTGTGCAGGTGAGCTCATCATGAGAATCAGAGGGACTGCTAAGACTAGGATGCAGATTCACAGCCTTTGTCGTTCAACTGCTGACAATGGTCCAGGAGGGGTTGGCAGAGGAGAAACCTAGAACATAAGAAAAATGCAGTGTTTAAGATACAAGCTATATCAAGTCACACTGAAAAAGAAACACAGAGAACTGGCCTTGAGTGTCGACTCAGCCACAGCGCGACCATGTGTCTTTGAGGCAGTCATATCAACCTTACAGGTCTCTAAGTCTTCATCTAAAAAAGAGCAAATTTAGCAGTCTCCCTTATAGCACAGGAATATTGTGAACAGAGAAATAAAATAATAGGTATAGAAGGAATCAGTGAGGGAGAAAGCAATTCACATAATTATAATTAGCTTATTGTTTACTGTTCACTATAATTTGTTTGCTATTATCATTATTATAGAAATAAAAAAGCTTTTTTGGATTTTTGCATATAAGTATCTCATTACATAGCATTTTAAACTATCATTATCAAAGACTTCCTTTTACAGATAGGACCTCTTGGCAAAAAGAAATGTTTAATGGACTAAAAAAAGAACAAAAAGGCCATAAACTATAAGAGTGACAGAAAACTCCCATGATAATTTCCACTTCTTCTTGAGGTCTTTTGTAATCTTGTTCCAGCCCAAAGTAATAGCAACCATAGCCTTTCTAGGAGTCAGACTAACAGGATGGACTTCTTAAAAGGAATTTAAGGGACTTTCTGCTTTTAATTTTAATGTACTTCCACTTCTAGACACTTAGAGGAAAAGCAACTGGAAGGACATTTTCCTAAGAGTTTACTGGAATGTCAAACTTAAGAAAAAAGCAGCAGCTTTTAAAATTACACTTAATGAGTTTCTTACTAAAATAGTATATCCCAATTGCACTATTTTTATAGACAGATGTTGTAACTCTGAGAATTATATACTCCTTTATCTTCAGAATCCAACGTATTTATTGTGACTCGTTTTTCCGTCACTATTTTGAAAGTGTTATTGCTATTTTTGCCCCAATATATAAAGCCAGATATAAATACATATTTTCTTTGAAGAACTTTATAACATCACCAAGAATACCTATAATACTTATATGGTCTCTAAATAGAAATGTGCTATTTAGTTATTCAAACAGCTAAGTAGTGTCATTAGACCTAGCAGGCTACTTCTCATCACATCCTTGGTGCTCAATAAGTATTAAGATTTAATGACAATTAAAATGTACATTTTTATAAATCTCCTTCAAAAATTATATTGATGTGCTGTTTTATTAACATCATCTGAACAGTCTTGATTTCTGTGTCAATGAGAAAGCAACATCTCTACAGAAAGATAAAAATGAAAAGCAAACTTTTTTATTTTTATATCAAGAAATGGACATTCTGACATTAGTTTTAGATAAAAATTGTTCAATGTGATATTTACTATAATAATAATATCACCCTTTGGGAGACCAAGGTGGGTGCATCACTTGAGGTCAGGAGTTTGAGACCAGCCTGGCCAAGATTGTGAAACCCCATCTCTACTAAAAATACAAAAAATTAGCCAGGCATGGTGGTGGGCGCCTGTAATCCCAGCTATTCAGGAGGCTGAAGCAGGAGAATCACTTGAACCCGGGAGGCAGAGGTTGCAGTGGGCCAAGATAGTGCCACTCCACTCCAGCCTGGGCAACAAAAGCAAATCTCTGTGTCAAAAATAATAATAATAATAAATACAAACATTGCTCACACTGTTCTTTATAGTTACAAAGTGCTTTTAGACATGCCACCATATCTGATATTACTTTCATAAGAACCATGCTAATAGATAACTTGTAACTCTCTCCTCTCACCCTGGACCTAATAGGTGAGAAAACTGAGATGCTATCTGCTTCATAATTAAAAGTAAATAAAATAAAAGTTAAATTTACTTGAATTTGAATTTATAGACTATCCTAAATTGACAAGTGTGAGCTTCAAGATTTAGTCATTCTTACTTTTTTACATTGTAGTCTGAAACATTTTGTAAATGCTCTTGATACATTCTTGATTCTCAATGGCACAATTTGATTTTAAATTAAGAATAACGAATAGAAAGCAACAGGAAACCTTTAGAGAATGTAAGTGAAGCAGCTCTGAAAGGTAACTTCCATCAAGGGCATAGTTAGTGTGATTTTTAAAAAATCTTTTTCATCTTTAACGTCACTTTGCACAATTGATACTTGTGTATTTGCAAATATAACTCAAATTTAACCAATAATTTCCAACAATTCAACAGCAGTTAACTTCTCCCACTTATTTCCACAAAAACACACACAACAACTCTCCATGACATGCTGATTTGTGGCTGGGCATGTAATAGTTGGGTTTTGACTTCACAGCTCCAAACCTGAGTTGCAGAGTAAATCTGGGATGGAAATATAAATTTGACTTACAAATATCAAGTCTTTTTTAAAGTTAAACAACTCCCCTTGCCTTCAGTCTTTTTAATAACTGCCTCCACATGACACATTGGTCTAACATTTATGAAAATGTTATCTGAATACTCTTTTAATGAAAATGAATAGGCATTTCTATATTGATATACACTAGTTTCCATTTATTGCATTTCCATTTCCAATAATCCATATTAAACCAAAGTTATCATTACTGCCACAGCTGCACAAGTAGAATATGGTCATTTAAGGAGTTCTCCTAAAATGTTTCAGGGATATGGATCTGCTGTACATATGTGCACATCACATGTATTCATACATCATAGGCTATATATGCTTCCCTCTCCTCACACCCACAAAATCAGATTAGCAGCCTGATCCACACCTTTTAGGGACAAAATTGATATATAATTTTATACAAATTAAGACCACTTTAAGTTGCCTGGAAAAGAAAGAAGGGTCAGTGGTCAACATGTGTTGATGACAATAGGGAACTTATTCTCAAATCTTCCCACACTTCTTTATCCAAATGGGCTGCAGAGTAATAGACTGTTTAGAAGTTCCCCTCATATATTAGTCATTCTTATAAGCCTGAACTAGAAATAATAGGAAACTCGCCTTCAGGTAGGTAGATAACAAAAAAGAATAGAAAAATAATACAAATTGTTTGTAAATACAGATTATCAAAACATGTAATAGAAGTATATCTGCTTCCAATTAATGGTTTCAATGAATTTTAACATGAGTTTCCCCATGCTGTAAAAAACATATACATATTCGTGCACATTTAAGGAGATAAACACAAGTGCAGCAAAAACAACTGCTGCTATGAATCCTTTGTCTCTTAAGATCCAGGAATGGTTATTTTGGTTCTTAACTATATCCCTTGAGCTACATAAATCCACAATAAAAGACTAAGAGTCCTTTGCTTCAAAAAGATCATCTCTGACTACAATTTTGTCAGCTCTCTGAAAGTACGTTACTACTGTAATATATTCAGATGTAGCACGGAGCAACAACTCAAGACAGTGACATCCTGCAGTCTCAGCTTACCCATGCAGCCAGAAAAAAGAGAGGGCACTACCACATTTCACTGTCCCAGCCTATTACTGTCCTTAACATCATACGTAGTGGTCTTCCATAGGTCCTTTAACCATTCCACCTATGTGGCCTTCTCAATAGTAATAGCATCACAAGTCAGCAGAGCTTTATATGTCACAAAGAAATTGCACATGGAGTATCTCTTCTGATCTTCACAACAGCCCTTTGGGTTATACCGAATCAGCTGTTATTATTCCCATTTTACAAACAAGGCATCTGAGGTGTAAAGAGGTTCAGGGATTTGTTTACAGATATGTGGCTGGCAAATGGAGGGCTGATCCTGTAACTCTTAGCCCAGTGCTTTCTTCGCGGCATTGCAAGGAATTACAGACCACTTGAGCAGAGCTGTATGAACATCAAGACATTGCCTATCTACTCATTACAACTTCAGTAATGGCTCATTGAGATACAGGTCTTCTTTACTAAAGGACCTGTCAAGCCATTGAATAGATCAAACTCAGTCACAAAACATGATACAATGAATCCAAAATTTGCCATAAAAGTCTACAAATCAACTCACAACAGAAGCTTTCAAATTTGACTTAGACTTCATGTTCCTTGAACATCACAATAATCATTTTGGTTTTTAACTATACTCTGAGCTTATTACAGTTGTCTTTTTTCCCCACTTTTGGGTAATTAGTATTATTTTGGATAGTGTGCTACTAAAAAAGCAGAACGCTTTTATAGTCTATGTAGGTAACAAAAACCTTGTCTATTTAAATCTGATATATCTTTCTCATGGCTAGGGCAAGCCAAAATGTACAGTTCAGTCTACACAGCCATTCACACTTATCTGCAGGTCCTTCTCTTCTCAAATTGAGACATTAACCATGGTTCCTCCATAGAGTATCCTTCAAAAACTCAGTTTATCACAATCACTATACAGATCATTTATTGGTGGGAAATGCTTACTGTGCCAACACGTTGAACACCAAGAGATTCATCAGATCCTCAGTCTCTCTCTCTCTCTCTCTCTCTCTCTCTCTCTCTCTCTCTCTCTCTCATGCCTTAGAACCTGAAATTCTGCTGTAATTTCAACTTTGGAGAAAAGCATTAGAAAACCGCTCTTAACATTGTGTTCAATTCAACAACCCTTACTGAGCACATACAAGACACACTGTTACCCAATATGGAAACCTTAGATTCTATTTCATTTCTCTGTTTCTTGCTTTTACCATAGACAGTCACCAGAGTCAGAACACTGACCTCTTAAAAATATCTTTCTTATCTGAATCCTCCTTTCCATTTCAATTAATACTGCCTTAGCTCAATTAATTGTTTGTTCTTGATTGGATTCTTAATCTAGTCTTCTATCTGGTATCCCTGCCTCCAGGGAATGTATAAATAAATGAATGAGTCAGTAACTACAATTTGGTGACACACAGCTCCTTAGTTGGTATTCAAGTGCCTTCATAACTGGTCTCCTTTCATCCCACTTTTTCTTCTTCCTTCTTTCCCTCATGTATAACCCCTATGGTTTCAGGCAATCTGTGATTACTCCTAGAGTGATGTTCAACATTATTAGCTACTACCGAGGCACAGGCTACTCAGAATGAACACCTGTATAAGCACTGGTGGAGCCTTACTAAAACATATCAGCTGACTATGAGTCCTGACTATTCCTGCACAGTATCATTCGCGTGTCCATGCTTTTGTGTCTCTGTCTGCAAAGGATACTATTACCTTTTCTGCATCTCCCACCTTGAATTCTTGGGGTTTTTCTGGTTGGTTGGTTTTTGAGATAGGGTATCAGTTTGTCTCACGTGATCACAGCTCACTGCAGCTTCAACCTCCGAGGCTCAAGTGATCCTCCCACCTTAGCCTCCTGAGTAGCTGGGACTACAGGCGTGTGCCACCACGCCCACCTAACATTTTTACTTTTTTTATAGAAACAATTTATCCCTATCGTCCTGCCTCAGCCTCACAAAGTGCTGGGATTACAGGTGTGAGCCACCACACCCAGCCGTATCTTGAATTCTTTAAAGCCATACTGAAATGAGAATTCTTAGCCAACCACTCCAAGTAAAAGATCAGCTTTCTCATCTCTGTTTCCACTGTATCTTGTACCATACCCATAATAACATCACATATGTTAGACAATAATAATGTATCTTATGTTAGTGGAGTACTTTCATCCATGATGAGACTATGTTCTTCAGTTCAGGGACTGCACTACATTCATCTTTGTAACCCCCACACCTAGTAGAGTACCTGATACATGGCAGGTACACAATAAGTTCCTGATGAATAAGTGAGCAGGCAGTAAGAACTTGACCAATGATTCTGTAGTTATGCAACTTTGAGGCAGAATCACTTATCCAGTTTGTTAGTATAGATTTCTGAAGGACTAGAACATAGTCCTTGGATTTGGATCAGAGAAAGAAAGAAAAATATCCTTGAGATGGGCCACCATCTAGAAAGGGCAAACCCAGGTGGGATGGGTGCCTTCATGGGTTGGGAAGACACCAGACATCCCCAGACCTTGCCCATGAAATATGTTGACCAAGATAGGGTCACTTCCCAGGCTTTTCAATTGAAGTAATTTCTTAGCTCATTGAAAGGATTCCGTTTCTCTCTCACCTTATTAGCCTCAGCTTTTTTTCCCCAAGGACATCCATCTTTTTATTAGACAAGCTCTATAAACTCAAGTTGGCCTCAAAACAATCAAACCACTTATTCATGAAGACAGGGGAACATGGGATACAGAGATGTAAGGATACTCGTTTCCCTTCAACTTTAAGTAGCAGAAGCAGGACTGTGCTCACAGTGCTCCTGATAATATTTATGTTGTCCTGAGGAATAGAATGATGAGAGTCTAGGACTCTGGGGGTTCTGGGGACTGGGAAGCTGATGGGCACAAGCAAGAGCCACATCAGCAATGCAGTCGGTGATTTAACCTTCCCCAATACCGTAACAGACACCTGCTGCTCTGATTCACCAAACATGCTGGCAAAGACTGGCATATCAATTACTTTTGGCTCATTCTGGACTCTGGGGAGTTATCTATGCAAGACTATTGGTTTCACTCCCCACCTGCACTGCCAAAGGTTTGCTGACTTCACCCTTAGAGTATCTAGGAGCAGAACATGTCACCCAGAAGGCCACACATCTAACACACAGTCTCTGTGCTTACATTTTAAAAGCAAATAATAAGCTCCATTCTAAGACTTTTAGGAGAACCATTTAAGAACAGGCTACATTGTTGGGTGTAATATAGAGCAGGGAACGCAGCTTGGGAGGTTAGTTATGCATATATTTTGCATATTTAAGATAAGATTCAGTAGTCTATACTATAAATATAACTCAATGGTAACATCTAAAAATACATAACATAATCAGGAATGGTCTGCTGGATATTGCATTTCATAAGAAGAAATCTTGCCAACTACAGTACCTGCACTAATAAAAACAGACCTTTTCGTAGTAAGCCTTGATTTTTAAACACTGGGCTTAGCCCCAGGGTATCCAGTACCCAACCCATATTCCAAATGCCTCTACATCATAAAGATCATTTTATCAAAAAGTCTTACTGCACTGATTTTTATTGGATCATCTTTGAAGGCCCTATCTGCAACTCCCCTCCTTGGACAATAGGGAGTCACAGTCACCATTATCACCAATTTGAGTTTAAAAGGAGACTCACAATGCCCAGAAACTGCAGGATATACAGGCTTCTTTTCAGTCATGGCAAAGAGGTTGTTAAAAAAAAAAAAAGAAAGAAAGAAAGAAAGAAAAAAAGCTTTGTCTACCTGTAAATACACACTGGACAGAAGTCCAAAATAGAATTGTGAAAAGGAAGTAATAGTCGAAGTGAAGGAACTTGTAACAGACAACCTCTGATACCTGTGCAGCAGGAGGGCTTTGTAACTCACACGCTATAACCTTCCCTGCAGAAAACTGCCGACCAAGCATGTTGAAAAGAACCCGTCTCCCCTGGTCTACTACCTCACCTGCGTGGAGGCATGGGTTATGATCAGCTAGCCAAACACAAAAGACCTTTAGCCATCATTGTAATTAAGAGTGATATGATTCTCTTTTTCAAGCTTCAATATTGTGTACATTTTTTAAAATTCTGTGATTTCTTTAATCACATTTCTTTAATGCTGCAACTCAACTCTTGAAGATCTGATAATCCCCACGTTGAGCAAAGTGCTCTTGTAAAATGTTTCACTAGCTAGGCGGTCTGGAAGTCAATTAACCTCTCTGAGCCTCAGTTGCTTAAACATGAATTATTTAACTTATGAGGTCATTGTGAGGCTTGAAGGAAATAAATGTAAAGTAATCATTGGTAAGGTGAAGGTGCTCAAAAACATTGGCTGTTATTATCATTACAGAAATTTTATTTTACTTCAGGCCAAATTTCATCCCAAGAGAAAACAGTGACACATAGTGCCTCTCACTGTGGCACAGAGTCCTGCAGCACAACTATTCATCTTTCTCACTCCACTAGGGTTACAGCAGGTATCTAATTACTAAAGCTTTTTTTCATTCTTTTTCTTTCTTTTAGAAGGCAAATGTGTACTCTAAGGAAATATACTGTGCTATCCTTTGCTTGTGAATATACCATGTTTACTTTAATCTTTCACTCGTGTTAGCTATATAAAAAAATCACTTGGATGTTAATAGAAAGAAAAACATTCGAATAGAAAAAAAAACTGTAAGTTAGAAACAAGTATCATTTTATAGAAATGTGAAGGGAAGCATGAAGTCTATTCCCCGGATATTGTATAGATCTTTCTATACAGAACTTGAATATGTTTTAACAGATTGGCTTGGGAATTTCAATAGACCTTAAGGTCCCTCTATTTTGGGAAGGATATCACTGATCGTTTTACTCACTGTTCTACCTGTTGCTAGCAGTCCATACAATTTTAAGCCAGCCAAGACACATCTCTAGGCACAAGCAGATGTGCCCCTCAGGTGAAGAAGTGATAACAGAAAATACCCACACAATGTAGAAGGAAACCAGTATGAGTCTTAAGTCACCAGGGCCATTGCCCAAAGATGTGAGGTACATGGCACCCTCCCCAGCCAAGACCCACATTGGCACTGATTCTGTTTACTCCTTATCCCTCCATCTGAGGCAGGAGAATAGGTTCTAGAGGCAGGGACCCTAAAGCCGATTTGCACTGACTTCCTAGAACTAAATCAAAAGGAAAACCCCAAGTTTCCATGCTCAAGTAACGAAAGGACCAAAGGCTACTCCCTTTGCAACCCTCCCCACCTTTTTCTGCAGGGCAGATGAGGAATTGAAAGTACCTCTAATTGGACCCCTCCCACAACCAATCAGGCTGGTAGAGGGCCAAGTCTTCATTTGTACAGAACTTTATAACTTCACTTCAGCCTCTGATTGGTCACTTTCTGCAACCAATCAGACTGGTCGTGGGCTGCTACTTCATTTACATAGGGTGTATATCAAGTAACCAATGGGAAACCTCTAGAGGGTATTTGACCCCAGAAAATTCCATAACAGGGCTCTTGAGCCCCTATGCTCAGGCCACTCCCACCCCGTGGAGTGTACTTTCATTTTCAGCAAATCTCTGCTGTTGTCACTTTATTCTTTCCTTGCTTTGTCTGTGCGTTTGGTCCAATTCTTTTCACCGCTAACACATCTGTGACCCTCTTTTCTACTAGGTTTCTCCAGAATCCCTTGCAATTGATTAGGCCACTGGTTATTTGGCCCCTTTCCAAAGAACTTACCTTCACTAATGAGTTGAACCAACCTCATCTCCCATCTTTATCTCCATCTCCTCCTCCCCTTCCAAAGAACCCTACTTTATACCTACAACTAACTTCAATTCCGTCCCTCTCTGGTTCTTTTCTAGCCAATGCTGTTCCTTTGTCTACAGAAACTTCCTTGTGAAAACACACCAATACACCTAATTTAGGATACACCTAAATTTCCAGAATACACCAATTTGTAAAAAATGAATCATATCAGATATTGTTCTTTGAACTTCACCCTATAATTAGTATTGACTTTTCTAACTTACACAAACTTTATATTCAAGTTAAGAACAATCCAAGTTCATGCTATGGAACCTTGTGGGCTATATTTTGCACAGGAGCAAGTTAGCTCTGCTTGAATGTAACATGTACTTATTGAGTGCTTGCTATGAATGTTCAGAGCTGGGGGAGTTGTTCAGATAGCTCCTGTCTCCCAGATTTCATACCAGTGATTTCTCAGAGTACAGTCCAAGAACCCCTCAGAAAATGCAGATGCAGACACTCAGGACTTATCTGAGACCTTCTGAATCAGAATCTTTAGGACAAGGGCCCAGAAACAGCATTTTAAACAAGTTTCCATGGTGATTCTTAACTAAGCTAAAGTATGAGAAGCACAAGAGAAACAACATATGCATATGAACAATTAAGAAACAAAATAACAAACATATATAGAGAGCAGAACAAGGAAAAGAACCCTGACTTTGGAGTCTGGCTGACCTTAATGCAAATTCCAATTGCCGTATTTTCACAGGCAAATTATTTACCATTCTGACCTTCAGTTTCCTCACTGGTAAGTTGCTGGCTCTAATAGTTACTTGCAGGGTCACTAGGGATGAGTGATAATATATTTAAAATACTTAGCATACTGCTCAATATATGTGAGACATTATGACATTCAGGGCCTCTGTGTTACAAACTGCCCCTCAAATTGTGAAACACTGCAGCCCTGATAGCTATTTTCTTTAAAAAAAAAAAAATGGGACAGCACAAGTGCTACAGGAATTAGGAGTAGGGAGTTCTCACTGTGATTAGAGGTAGAAGGGAAGATACATGAAAGAGCTGGTGCACAGCTTTAGGAGACTGAAATTTATTCAAACATGCATGGGTGGTAAAAATGTCCTCCTTTCCCAGAAGTTCTCCAAGTCATAGCTACTACGCTCAGTGAATTGTAAACAATTGCAAGAAACAATTTAAAAATTACCTTGCTGTGTCCTTCAACTATTCTGTGAATTAAATGATCTATTTTTATATTCCTCATATCATAAAACATTTCCACTGTCAAAATTATCCTCAAAATTATCTCAAGTTTTATGCTAGTAACATGATGATAGTTTGTTGTATGTAGCACATTCCATTCCCAAGGAGATAGTGGAATTTTATACAGACAGCTTCACAAATATGCCATCAGTTATTTATACACAAAATGATAGTACTGACCTCCTGCCAGAAGAGGGAACTCTGGGTTACTATACTATGATTACAGTACAATATAGGCTGCAGCTTTTCTATCATCTCTTCGAAGAACCATGTGAAAGATGTCTAGTGAGGATCAAGGAGGCTGCAAAGACATTCACCTGCTCCAGGAAACTAACTGGCCCATGAGAGGATAAAGCCTCTTAATGATCCCATCAGTAAAACAGGCTACTTGATTAAGCTAACTCACTCAGAACCAATCCTATTAAACCTCATTATTCCTGTGAAGAATCAAAAGTATCTGCAACTCCATCTCAACAAATGGAGTAAAGTTTCAAATGATAAAACCTGAAAAAACAAGGTAACAATTACTAAGTATATAATTACAGTGTCAGAACTCAAAACAAACTCCGCACTCAATCCACAAGACATCTATTCCCCCTGAGTGAGAAAGCCACCTTTGAAACTGAAAATCTATATAAAAACAAGGGGACCAAAACAATTCATTTAATTGAAGGCAATTTCTATTATTTCTATTAATGTCATATAGGGGAAGAGATACAGCCTTTGCTTTTATATTCCAGTTCTGCAAAAAAAAAATGCATATATATATGCATGTATTAAAATAGACTGAGACAGATTAACACATATAAATAGCTCAATCCAACATCTGTAGCAGCCCTTTAGATTGTATTAAAGTCCTAGCTGTTTATCAGGCTGGTAAATCATATCAGCTCCTAGTTATTTAAATTGCCAGTTTCCAGGCAACCATTTCTTTTTGTCAACTGTCACTCACTCTTAAGTTCCTCTGCAATACTTCCTTAAGAAAAAAATAGTGAAAAAATCTTGACACACTTATTTTGGGCATAAAAGATGCACTTAATTTTATCTCTGATCTTCAAGAGTCTGAGAATCGAGTGATATTGGGAAAATAAAACCTGTTTAGTGAGTTGGAGGAGTAGCAGTGTTGGAACAGAGAGTGATGTGGATGAATACCCAGACAGAAAAGTTGTGGGACTTTGCTAAAGTAAGGGTCCCTTTTGGGACCTGGCTCACAGTAGAGGTATGTTTGTGACAAAAGCCTTACAATAGAAAATATGCACTCCAGAGATAAGAGAAGATTCTCAGCAAAATTGATGTCCAGTTATTATTTTTATAATCATGCTTTTCAAGGTAAGGCAGAGTCCCTTAGCCAACGAAGATAATATTGCAGTGTGTATGCAATTCACTTTGTCAATACAAGCGCTTCTAGAATCGCCATTCCCTGTCTCTCTGGACATCAGTTTCAGACCAGATCATCTCTAAAGTTTTTGCTAGCAATAACATTTTATAAACCCATCACTCTTTAAATTACACAGTTCTCAATTGCGGCCTATATAAAACTGGACCAACCTAATAAATCAGACTGTTTTGTTGCTACATCTCAAAAAAAAAATAGAAACATATATATCTAGATACAAATAAAATTATTTCAATGTATAATGGTGCTCTTTATTTAAAAATGAAGAGGGATATCTTACTTCAAGTAGGAAATGGCAGAACGTGCCGACTTTGAATTAAAATATTTGTGCACTTAAAAAAAAAAAAAAACCCTAATAAAGTGCAAAGACAAATCACACTAGGAAAAATATGGGAATGCAAATAACCAACAAGAATTAGTAATGGGATTATGGCTGAGCACTTTAGATTACACCTGTAATCCCAGAATTTGGGGAGGCTGAGGCGGGAGTATCACTTGAGACCAGGAGTTCAAGATCAGCCTGGGCAAAAATAGCAAGACGCCATTTCCACAAATTTAAAAAAATGAAAAACTGGGCTGGGCGCAGTGGCTTATGCCTGTAATCCCAGCACTTTGGGAGGCCAAGGCGGGCAGATCACAAGGTCAGGAGATCGAGACCATCCTGGCTAACACAGTGAAACCCTGTCTCTACTAAAAATACAAAAACTAAATTAGTTGGGCGTGGTGGTGGGCACCTATAGTCCCAGCTACTTGGGAGGCTGAGGCGGGAGAATGGCGTGAACCCGGGAGGCGAAGCCTGCAGTGAGCCGAGATCAAGCCACTGCACTCCAGCCTGGGCGACAGACTGAGACTCTGTCTCAAAAAAAAATAATAATAAATAATAAATAATAAATAAATAAAAAACCTTAGCCATGCATGGTGGTACGTGCCTGTAGTCCCAGTTACTCAGGAGGCAGAGGTGGGAGGAACATTTAAGCCCAGGAGGCCAAGGCTACAGTGAGTTATGATCACACCACTGCACTCCAACCTGAGTGACACGGTGAGACCCTGACTCTAAACAAAAAAAAAAAAAGAAAAAATTATTAATTATTATAAGAATTAATATGTTGTTAAATATTATAATTAACTACTAATTATTTTTTCTTTTCTTTTTTCTTATGTATAAACGAGTAAGAAAACAAAACAAAGAACAATTTAGAAATAAGAAAAGGACAGAAGCAGGCAATAAATAAAAAAGACAATTTCAGCAGCTAATAATTATATGGAAAGATGCTCAATGAGATACCAAAACACATCCATCCAATTGGGTAACATCTTAAAGTCTTATAATCCTCACGTTGGCAAGGATATGGAACAGTTAAAATTTTCATACACTTTCAGAGACAGTATAAATGCACACACCATTTAAAATAGCAATTTAAAACTATCCTGTCAAGTGGACAATGTATGACACCCTATGATCTGTGTAGGTACAATACCCTCCCCCTGCAAAGATATTCATGACCATATCCCCAGAACCTTTGATTATATTACCTCATATGCCAAGGGGAATTAAGGTTGCAGGTAGAATTTAGGTTGCTAATAAAATGACCTAAAATCATAAGATTATCCTGGATTATTCAGAATGGCCCAACGCATTCACAAGGATTCTAAAAAGTGGAAGGGAGAGGCCAGATGTGGTGGCTCACACCTGTAATCCCAGCACTTTGGGAGGCCAATGAGGGAGGATCACCTGAGGTCAGGAGTTCGAGACCAGCCTGGCCAACATGGTGAAATCCCATCTCTACTAAAAATACAAAAAAAATTAGCTGGGCGTGGTGGCGAGCGCCTGTAATCCCAGCTACTCAGGAGGCTGAGGTGGGGGAATCGCATGAGCCCGGGAGGCGGAGGTTGCAGTTAGCCAAGATCACACCATTGCACTCCAGCCTGAGTGACAAAAGCAAGACTCCATCTCAAAAATAAATAAATAAATAAAGTAGAAGGGAGAGGCAGAATACAGTCAGGCAGAAGTGGAGATGTGCCTATGGAATAATAGTCGATGCAGCAGTGCTGGTTCTTCAGTCCTGCTGAAGATGCAGGAGAGAGACCATGATCCAAGGAATGTGAGCACTCTCTAGAAGCCAAAAAAGGAAAGCAAATGGATTCTTCCCTACAGGTTCCAGAAGAAACACAGCCCTGCGGATACCGTGAGTGTAGCCCAGTGTGAACCATGTCAGATTTCTCATCTATAGAACTCGAAGATAATACATTTCTGTTGTTTCAAGCCAGCACACTTAGGATAATTTGTTTCAGTAGCAATAGGAAACTAGTAAGTGACCCAACAATTCCACTCCTAGAGAAATTCCCCAACATCTTCTTGAGAAAAATCACAAAAATATTAACAGCAAGACAATGTAGAACAGAAATTCTGGAAACAGTCTAGATGTCCATCAACAGGAGAATGAATATGTGAAAACTGTAGCAGTTTATATATTAGAATAATACACAGCAATTAATACAACGGACCTAGAGCTATATATGTCAAAATGGATACACCTCAATACTTACAGTAAATTAATGACATAATAAAATCAAAAATGATTTATATAATATACCACATATATAAAGTTCAAGAACATATGAAATAATATCGTAATATTTATGAATAAATATTTTATATTTAAAAGAATAGATAAATGGGAATGGTAAACACCACATTCAACTCAGGATAATGGCTAACTCTGGACAGTGAGTGAAATTTTACAAAGAGCACTTCAACTATATTTTAAATGCCTTATTGCTTAAAAAAAAAATGAGTCCTGAGGTAAGACAAAACATAAACATATAATGAGTAGATGAGTATTTATTAAATTTATTATTCATATTTTTCTGAATTGCTAAAATATTTCATAATAAAAAAATAAACAACATATGCTCCAATGATGTATTTTCCATGTGTCCACCAGCGAACAAGCAAACTGATTCTTCCCAAGTTCACAGAAAATGATCTCACCCAAGAAAGTATCCCTATTAACTTGCCAATTAAAAGACAAAAATACCTAAAAGCAAACATCAATATTTAATCCAATTTTTGTAACCTTCCAAATGTACACTAAAACAAGCAGTGTATTTTTATTTTTCCTTTTATTTTAAGCAATTTCATCTTAAGTCTGCAAAGTCAAGAAGTAATTCACATTGGGAGGGTTTCTTCTGCATGTCTCCAAAGAGGCACACCCAGGTATGAAGAGGTCTATTTGCAAGCGGGTATTTACAAAATGGACCATAATAAATATACTGTCACCTTTCAGACAAAAAAAAAGGGAGATGATTCATTTAGGAAAAAGAGTTTAAATAAGCTGTAAGTTGTTAAATAGACAAAATAACATTACATATCCTTGTCAACCCTCCACCAATGAGGCTCAATAAACCTATTTGCTAAAATATGCAAATATTGAGGAAAAAAATAAATCCACTTTTTGTGGTTTCATATTTTTCCCTTGTTACTTATACTTCTATCAAACATGATGCAATTCCTATTTTTCTCTTTTTTAAGGGACAATGTCTGTCTAACGCCCCCAGGGCATTATGAGAGGATTAAAAAATGACTGTTCTGCTTCTTGGGAAAAATGTTAAAAATGAGGGGGTTTTCTGATTTGAATGCTTTTCCTCCTAAACTGGAAAACTTAAACTTGTTCTCTAGGAAGCATTAATAACTTAAAATACTGGAACCAAATTGTTTTCGCTAGAAGGAAAAAATAAATACAAGAAGAATCGAAAATAATGTGTAACTTAAATATATGACACAAATAAAAGTTAAAAGCATTGTTTCTGCAGCCCGTTGTTGCTGAACTAAAGCTTATTCAATGTCTTAAAAAACCAAGGTCTCTTTCTTTTAAGCCTGAGAAAACTAATTTTAAGTAGTTTTGGGTGGTACATAACTTAATACCTATGCTGCCAAAATGCCAACCACAACATAAAAGCATAAACATAGCAGCTCTGAAGAAAAACTTTTTCCTTTGTTGTTTTCCTGACCAAGCCAAGCCTGAGCCCAAATAAATTTATGTCTCAATCAACCACTGTGAGTATTGAAAATGAAGAGTTGCCATATCATACCTAAAATGGAAGGTAAACATATTATTCTAGATTCATTTATAGAATACTATTCAACGTACTAATGGACTATTAGATAATAGACTAAAAACTATTACCTAAGAAACAGTGATGTAAGAAATAGCTCAGCCAGACATTAAGTTATAATCAAAGCTCTTATCCCTTTAATTGATGCCGTATTTATTCAGAGCATGACAGCATTCAGCATTCTGGAATTACTTGATAGGGTCCCTCTTCTTCAATAAGACATTTCCTTTTCTTGATCTCTTTTTCTTCTGTTTCCTTTTTTTCCCAACCAATCAGCATGAAGACTCTTTTGCTGGTGAATCAACAGTCTTATATATTTGCTATGTGCCCTTTTTCCAGAGAAATATCATCTCTTGTTCCATTGACCTCTTTTGTGGGGTCTTTCTGTTCTGCCCTAAATTTGCTCCTCTCGGGATACCTCTATTTCTCCTAGGTTGAGCTTCCTCAAAGTAACACAATAGAGATCTCTGAAACTATCTAGGCTACTTTGCTCTCCTTTAGAGGAACTTCCTCACTCACCTCTGACAGATCACCGGTATCTGAATACAACCCCTATCAAAGATTCAGCACATCCATTCTATTGATGAGAAAATCATAAACATTTAAAAGATGTTCCTTATATTAAGTTAAAATATACCCCTCTGTAACTTCTATTTTTTGGTTTGCTCCAGTCAGTCTTCTGGAGTGTTCCAGAATCTCTTTGTTATAGTACTAATATATAGTCATTCAATTATTTGAATGCTATCATGTTTCTTTCCAATCTTAAATATCCTCTATTCATTCAAATAAGGTTTTAACCCTAAAACCATTAGCCCAACAAATATGCACAGCTTCCACTACCAAATGCTGTTAACTTAGTAATATGATTGACATATGTCTGGATAATATACTGGTAGGTACTACAGCACAGCCCTTACCAGCTCAGTCAACTTGAAACCATATAACTGCACCCAATGCCATTACATCACCCTGTATTTATCACTTCAAATTATCTCCATGAGATTATCTTGCTTATTCATTGCTTCTTATTGAGTGCTTGCCTACATCAGACTATACCAGACTACAAGCTCCATGAAAGCAAAGATTATGTCTGTCTAATTCACAGGAATCAGAGATCAGTGCTTGACATATGACATATAGTCCATATCAATTGTTGACTGTCCAAATAAAATCAGCCTAAAATATTGCTTCTCAGGGATGTCACCTGAATAAATCTTCAGGATCACTTACTGACCTAAAGTCTAAGTGTTGTCCATAAATTGTGGAAACACAAAGCAAGTGAAACTTAAGTCTTTGTGGCTAGGGAGTGTTCCCAGAGTCGGTGATGACAAGCTGACTTCTACAGGAGGAACAGAAAGATGTCATTCAAAATACATTTTTACAATAAACATACAGTATCACAAGGTCTTTCTACTTCATTCC
Source organism: Homo sapiens (assembly GCF_000001405.40). Lineage (NCBI taxonomy): Eukaryota > Metazoa > Chordata > Mammalia > Primates > Hominidae > Homo > Homo sapiens. The sequence continues at coordinate 18,144,889 of NC_000007.14, read as the reverse complement.
TCAGACCTCAGGGAGTTTGAAACTTCAAGGTGGTTAGAAGAAAAGGTACAGGGAACAGAATGTGTGACTGTGCAAGCAAAAAAAGAGGATGATCCAGAAACTGCTAGCACAGTGACTGAGATGATGGCTGGAGAGGAGATGGAAAGAGAAAAGGCAGAGAGTGAGGCTAAGGAAGAGATGGAAAGAAGAAACTTATCAGGGCAGATCACGAAAAGGAGAGCAGAGAGGCTTTCAGAGGCTTAAACAAGAGTACAACATCATAGGGTTAACTTTTAGGGAAAAAAAAATATGGTGGTCTCAGAATGGTGCATATAGCAGAGGAGGGTATGACTAGGTACAGGAAGACTGGGCAGAAAGCTGCAGCAGAATTCCAAATAAGAGAGAAAGGGAGACTGAATTAGAATAATAGGAGTGGGGTTGAACCAGAGGGAATGGGCAGGGAAATCCACAGAGGTAGGACCCACAGGGCCAAAAGATGACAGGGTGAGTGAAAGGGGAAGTCCAAGATAACCCCGAAGGTTTCTGATTTGGTGGACCAGAAGAAGGTTCCAGTTACAGTAATCAGGAACAAAGAATGAGGAACAACAAGCAGTTCAGAAGCCTTCACTTTCCATGAACTGTGGGAAGAAAATACCTCAAAGTGTTAATGGATCCCTCTTAGAGCTGGTATTTAAGGTGACTTTATCTTGTTTATCCTTTTTTTTATTTCCAAATTTTCTAAAATAAACATGTATTATTCATAATCAGAAAATGTTTTTATTTCCAGAATTTTTCAATAACACTGCTTTTATTATTTATTTCCTTCCCACTGAAGAGTCTGAAAGTCATTAAAATCAAAACCAGGTGTGACATGTAGATAGACGTGAGGGTATGAAGATTTTATGTTTTTTGCATAAATAGATCCAGCAATAGAGAAGACTGTGACACTACCAGGTGATCCATGTCGATTTAGGCTTTTTTTCTTCTTCTAATGAGATTATCTGCCACATGGCACAGGATTTTTGTATAATGCCTACACTAAGAATACATCATGCACAGCCATACTGTGCACCAAATTAATAGGTAAAATAAAAAGAGACACTCTTTTTTTTTTTTTTGAGATGGAGTCTCGCTCTGTCACCCAGGCTAGAGTGTAATGGTGCGATCGTGGCTCACTGCAACCTCCGCCTCCTGCCTCCTGAGTTCAAGCAATTCTCCTGCCTCAACCTCCTGAGTAGCTGGGATTACAGGTGCCCGCCACCACGCCTAGCTAATTTTTGTATTTTTAGTAGATACGAGGTTTCACCATGTTAGTCAGGCTGTTCTCAAACTTCTGACCTTGTGATCTGCCTGCCTCGGCCTCCCAAGAAACACTCACTCTCTATGAATTTATTACATTGCTTTTAATTTTTACTTGATCATAGCAGCAATTCATCTTATTTACATACTTAAAAACATGACATGGTAATATAAAAACAGCTTCTGCCTCCACCCTGTCAATAAATAGAACTTCTTCTAAAACATACCATTTTCATAATCAGACTGACCAAAAGCATCATACGCATAGAGCTTTTTTAAAAATGTCTTAATGTAGTCAGTTGTGTGGTAAGAATTAACAAGTAATATAACTTAATTTCCTGATTTCTTTGAAGAATGTTCTTCCAGGTTCTGAAAAGAATTACTATCAGCAATTCCTACAAAATACAAATATGCCATTATAGAGATTTATTAATTTGACAATAGGCGTAGGTGCACAGGATAGACCAGTTTACAAAAGCAGGGGGAGATCTTTGCCCTAGTGTCACATTTAGGTGATGAAGCAGCAGGGGATGGAGTTTTGGAAGCATCTCACCCAGGTTACTATAAATCAAAAGTGATTCAAAACTAGGGATCCAAGGATGGAACTGAAGGACATCCCCTGCCCTGGAGGGACTGAATATATCTCACAACTAAGTCCAGGGTTTCTGTGGATGCAGCTGTTACAACGGAAGGTTATAAGGAAGGAGGCTCCCTCAGCATCATATAATGGTGGCTGCTATCGGTTTACGCCACACACTTGGGAGCAGGGAGAGGAGGAGGCAGAAGTTGTGAACGTGAAGCTGAATAGTCTTGACCCGCCACGTCCTCTAGGAGGATGGATGATGGAGCTGTTCATTTCAAGGGAAGTAAAAGTCTGCAGCCCTATGGGCCACCTGAAATCAAAGGCCTGGGCCCAAGGGCAAGCTGCAAAGTCATTAGAATGGCCTAAAATGAGCTGGTCCCAGGAAGGACAAAACTCTCTGACCAGTTGTCCCTCTGATTAAAGCAGAGAAACAACTAGGGAATTAACAAAACTCTAATTCCCTTGCATGGTGAGGGAGGCACAACAAAGTTCCATGTGGTGACGTTCACTTCATCCCAGTAACAACAGAACAGATGTCTCCATAAGACGTCATGGCACTGCACAAGAATCCAGTATATTTCATCTTCAAACGTGTATTTTTTTAATAGGGAGAAGAACCTCAGGGATAAGAATGAAAATTGCCACTGGGGGGACAGAAGGATGAGCAGGAGAAGTGAGGGGCTCCCTGGGGGATCACTCTCCTCTTACTGATTGTTTTGGAAACACAACGTATTTCAAGGGTTGTTTCATTGGGCCAAATTAAGTTACTTATTTGGGCCAAATTAAGACATGTCTAATCCTTTCTATATCACCTAAAATATGCTTAGGGGCATCGGAAAATGCAGGAGACCCTTGGGGTACAGGCTCTTTGTAGCCTTGCTCTATACTCTCTAGGAGACAGAAAAATAACTCATCTACACACAGAGTGGTGAAGTGCTGGAATTCTTCAAATAGAACTTGTCACTCAATTAGGATTTAGGAAAAAAGTCCTGACACAATAAAGGACTAGGGTCAATTCGATAAATTAAGAACCCAAGGTTTTATGTGGGGAAATTATGATTCAATGAACTGATAGGGTATTCTAGATCCAATCCAATATTTGCCTCCTTTATTGTAAACTCTGCTTTCCCTAAAATATTTCAAATCTATAAAGCCACAGTCTTGGTCCTGCTCTAAGACATTATTTATTGAAATAAATAAATAAATGAAATGAATAAATAATTCAACAAATTTATTGACAGCAGGGCCAAGATTGTGGCTGTTTCAACTTGGTAATACGGAAATGATACAAGTCACTAAGAATAACAGACATGTGGAAATGAAAAGAGGTTAAAAAAAAGAGCTCCAATCCCACCCGTGTCCCCGCTATTCTGAAAGCCCCACGGACATTGCATCAGAAAAATACAAATGGACTCCAAGTGCCCCAGCAGTTTAAAATTTTATTTGAAAAACTAGGCTGTCAATAGCTATACAAGTACCCTGGCATCATGAAATTTTGCTCTATTCAGAGATGTTAGTCCTCACCTAGATTTAATATTGCTCTCTGAATACCAAAGTTTTAAAGTATTTACTATGCAAAATTTCCTGCTCAAGCAGCAGCTCAGGCAGCAGAGACCTGCCTATAGGCTCTGATGGGTTTTTAGACTCTCTGCACCTTGGATCAAAGGCAGGATTTCCAGATAATTTTAAACCTCTTGCCAGGATGCTCATGAAATGTTCAAGGTTTTAAAATTTATCACCAGATAAAGGGAAAAAATGTTTTTTAAAGTAGATAATTTTTCTGCAGTCCTGAAAGTGCTTTTTAAGGAACATAATCACCTCATTCAGATGTACTGAAACTAGCAAGGGAACAATACAGTTTACTTTTGAAAGGACTCTGCAAAACACTCATTACAGAACAATAGAAGCTGTGCTTCAGCAGGGCCCTCAGTTCAATTTTAAAGTCTAGTGTGGCTTGCTTGCTAATCAGGGCACACAACTTCTCAAAAGCTGAAGATGCTTGTTTTCATAGAGGCCAGTTTATCCTAAATAAAAATGCTGCTCATTGAGAATTTTAGCTTTATGAAGGCATGGGAAGTCAAATTCTATTGTAGACACTCTCTTTAAAAAAAAAAAAAAAACTTTAAAGTTTGGCTCCCCATTTAAAATATGAGTGACCTCCAAATTAAATGCTGTGTCAAAGAAATTGCTTTGTTTTTAAGGTGATATTTTATTACTAAAGAACTTCAAATAAAAAACAGAATATATATATATATTCAGTGTATATATGTATTCTATATATGTGTATGTTCAGTGACATAGGCATGTAAGTTAAAATCCTTGATAATGAAAGGAAAAGGTTAATTTCATTCTTTCAAATACTGCATACCAACCAATAACTTATTTTAAAAATCTGTTATCATAATTAGATGGATATAGTAACTGCACAGCTAAAAAGAAAATATTCACTAATCAATAGCCTAAGCATAATGTATAACAATTTTTCCTACATAATACAAAGTATTGACAGTTTCCTAATTTTGCTTATTTGAAGTAAAATAATAAGAGATGGGATAAAATCTGGATCTAGTCTAAGAGTGACTTTTTTAAAGTTCGGTGGAAGACAGTATTTTTTTTCTTGTTTTTGTGGGCTCAAAGAGAAAACCCTGTACAATAACTTTTATGCAGATGTTTCCATCTTTAAAAAATACAACAATATCCACAATTTCTTCTTTTGCCAGTTCTGTCTCCCATGGGATGGAGGCCATATCCCTGTTGCCAAGAATTCCCCAAGCAGTAGATTAATATGCTGTCACTGTTTTCCTATCAGAAGGTCCTTTCCCAGGTAGAAGGGTCCCGGGATGTTTGCAGATTTCATTTTGGGAAGATATGAATTTTATTTGAGTAATGAGTACCCTGGCTTTGGGGGAAAACACCTACATCTAGCCATGGCTTTCATCATGGACTGAGGTTGCTTATGGGCTTACACTTCTCCACAGTGTTGTATTCATTTCTTGTGGCTGCCATAACAAATGACCACAACCGTTGTGCCACAGAACAACAGAATGTATGCTCTCACAGTTCTGGAGGACAGAAGTCCCACATCAGTTTTCCTGGGCCAAAATCAAGGTGTTGGCGGGGCTGTTCTCCCCCAGAGGCTCTAGGAGATAATTCATTCCTTGAAGACTCTAACTTCCGGAGGCTGCCCAGTCTTTGCTTTCATGATCGCATTGCCTTCTTCCCTTCTGTACGTATTAAATACCCCTCTGTCTCCCTCTTTATAAGATACATGTGACTGCATTTAGGGCCCACCTGGACAATACAGAATAATCAGAGTAATCTCCCTGCCTTAACCATATTTGCAAAATCCTTTTTGGCCATATGAGGTAACATTCACAGATGCCAAGGATTAGAAGGTGGATATTTTATGGGGTGCCATTATTCAGCCTACTAGAGGTGTCTCATACAGTCCAACATATTACAAAACAGTTTGTAAAACTTGCCACTTTACTTTTCCCTGACACGGAAAAAAGGAATAGCAAACGTAGTGTGTATAGATTATAAGTAAAGCATCATAATTACTTGGTGCCACAGGATAAAATAAAGTGTCATAAGAAGTCCAGGGCCAGGCACAGTGGCTCACACCTGTAGTCCCAACACTTTGGGAGGCCAAGACAGGAGGACTGCTTGAGCTCAGGAGTTCCAGACCAGCCTGGGCAACATGACAAAACCCCATCTCTACAAAAAATAACAAAAATTAGCCAGTCGTGGTGACACATGCCTGCAGTACCAGCTACTTGAAAGGCTGAGGCAGGAGGATAGCTTGAGCCCAGGAGGTCAAGGCTGCAGTGAGCCAAGATTGTGCCACTGCACTGCAGCCTGGGCAACAGAGCAAGAGCCTGTCTCAAAAAAAAAAAAAAAAAAAAAAGTCCAGATTATAATTATATGATGGTGATACCCAATAAAATTAAATATTTAATATTCTTAAGCATACTTTCCACTGTCTAGAATGAATCATTTAAAAGAAAATTTTAACACATCTGATTACCTGACTACCAAGTTTAGAAATGGAAGATTACTAGAACTGCTAGTAAGCATAAACATAATCATAGCATTTATTTGTTGAGATTACCATGTCTCATGCTAGAATCATTATTCTAGAGTGCCAGGAAGGTATAATAAAGAGAATCCAGTACTCTGAATTGAGAGACTTGGCTTTGCATTCCATCCTTGCCCCTGATTAATTGAATGACTTCAGGAGAGCATTTTTTCTCAATTTCTTACACTGTGATGTGAGCGATGTCCCTGGGCATTTCCCTGCCAACCTAGATTCTTAATGAAATAGACTTGAGCCCCTAATTTTTTGGCTGGTGCATGTCCAAAGGAGTTCCTAGAAAGGTTGCAGCCTGCCCCACTCTGCTTCTTGGGCTCTCTCCAGCACTGTATCCACTTGAGCCAAAACCCAAATAACTAAATGAGCATGTGCACACACACACACACACACACACACACACACACACACCTCTCTCTCTCTCTCACTACAGCTTCCCACCATCTTGCTATTTGGCTCCATTTCTTTCTCTCCCTCTCATCTCTATTCCACACTCCCTCCATCTCCTAAAACCAGGAGTTCTAAACCCTTCTTACACCATTTGCAATCTAGATCTCATTCTGATGTCTTGGCACCAGCAGAAGATGTCCTTGCAAGGAGAGAGGGAGAGGGAGGCACACAGGTATTAATAGATCAGGGCTCATGGTCTCCTTAGAACCCTTACAAAGAATGAATCCAGGAGCTGGTTTTTTGAAAGGATCAACAAAATTGATAGACCACTAGCAAGACTAATAAAGAAAAAAAGAGAGAAGAATCAAATAGATGCAATAAAAAATGATAAAGGGGATATCATCACCGATCCCACAGAAATACAAACTACCATCACAGAATACTACAAACACCTCTATGCAAATAAACTAGAAAATCTAGTACTAATGCATAACTTCCTCAACACATACACTCTCCCAAGACTAAACCAGGAAGAAGTTGAATCTCTGAATAGACCAATAACAGGATCTGAAATTGTGGCAATAATCAATAGCTTACCAACCAAAAAGAGTCCAGGACCAGATGGATTCACAGCCAAATTCTACCAGAGGTACAAGGAGGAACTGGTACCATTCCTTCTGAAACTATTCCGATCAATAGAAAAAGAGGGAATCCTTCCTAACTCATTTTATGAGGCCAGCATCATTCTGATTCCAAAGCCGGGCAGAGACACAACCAAAAAAGAGAATTTTAGACCAATATCCTTGATGAACATTGATGCAAAAATTCTCAATAAAATACTGGCAAAACGAATCCAGCAGCACATCAAAAAGCTTATCCACCATGATCAAGTGGGCTTCATCCCTGGGATGCAAGGCTGGTTCAATATACGCAAATCAATAAATGTAATCCAGCATATAAACAGAGCCAAAGACAAAAACCACATGATTATCTCAATAGATGCAGAAAAGGCCTTTGACAAAATTCAACAACCCTTCATGCTAAAATCTCTCAATAAATTAGGTAATGATGGGATGTATTTCAAAATAATAAGAGCTATCTATGACAAACCCACAGCCAATAACATACTGAATGGGCAAAAACTGGAAGCATTCCCTTTGAAAACTGGCATAAGACAGGGATGCCCTCTCTCACCACTCCTATTCAACATACTGTTGGAAGTTCTGGCCAGGGCAATTAGGCAGGAGAAGGAAATAAAGGGTATTCAATTAGGAAAAGAGGAAGTCAAATTGTCCCTGTTTGCAGATGACATGATTGTATATCTAGAAAACCCCATTGTCTCAGCCCAAAATCTCCTTAAGCTGATAAGCAACTTCAGCAAAGTCTCAGGATACAAAATCAATGTACAAAAATCACAAGCATTCCTATACACCAATAACAGACAAACAGAGAGCCAAATCATGAGTGAACTCCCATTCACAATTGCTTCAAAGAGAATAAAATACCTAGGAATCCAACTTACAAGGGATGTGAAGGACCTCTTCAAGGAGAACTACAAACCACTGCTCAAGGAAATAAAAGAGGATACAAACAAATGGAAGAACATTCCATGCTCATGGATAGGAAGAATCAATATCGTGAAAATGGCCATACTGCCCAAGGTAATTTACAGATTCAATGCCATCCCCATCCAGCTACCAATGCCTTTCTTCACAGAATTGGAAAAAACTACTTTAAAGTTCATATGGAACCAAAAAAGAGCCCGCATCGCCAAGTCAATCCTAAGCCAAAAGAACAAAGCTGGAGGCATCACGCTACCTGACTTCAAACTATACTACAAGGCTACAGTAACCAAAACAGCATGGTACTGGTACCAAAACAGAGATATAGATCAATGGAACACAACAGAGCCCTCAGAAATAACACCGCATATCTACAGCTATCTGATCTTTGACAAACCTGAGAAAAACAAGCAATGGGGAAAGGATTCCCTATTTAATAAATGGTGTTGGGAAAATTGGCTAGCCATATGTAGAAAGCTGAAACTGGATCCCTTCCTTCCACCTTATACAAAAATCAATTCAAGATGGATTAAAGACTTAAACGTTAGACCTAAAACCATAAAAACCCTAGAAGAAAACCTAGGCATTACCATTCAGGACACAGGCATGGGCAAGGACTTCATGTCTAAAACACCAAAAGCAATGGCAACAAAGGACAAAATTGACAAATGGGATCTAATTAAACTCAAGAGCTTCTGCACAGCAGAAGAAACTACCATCAGAGTGAACAGGCAACCTACAAAATGGGAGAAAATTTTCGCAACCTACTCATCTGACAAAGGGCTAATATCCAGAATCTACAATGAACTCAAACAAATTTACAAGAAAAAAACAAACAACCCCATCAAAAAGTGGGTGAAGGACATGAACAGACACTTCTCAAAAGAAGACATTTATACAGCCAAAAAACACATGAAAAAATGCTCATCATCACTGGCCATCAGAGAAATGCAAATCAAAACCACAATGAGATACCATCTCACACCAGTTAGAATGGCAATCATTAAAAAGTCAGGAAACAACAGGTGCTGGAGAGGATGTGGAGAAATAGGAACACTTTTACACTGTTGGTGGGACTGTAAACTAGTTCAACCATTGTCGAAGTCAGTGTGGTGATTCCTCAGGGATCTAGAACTGGAAATACCATTTGACCCAGCCATCCCATTACTGGGTATATACCCAAAGGACTATAAGTCATGCTGCTATAAAGACACATGCACACGTATGTTTATTGTGGCATTATTCACAATAGCAAAGACTTGGAACCAACCCAAATGTCCAACAATGATAGACTGGATTAAGAAACTGTGGCACATATACACCATGGAATACTATGCAGCCATAAAAAATGATGAGTTCATGTCCTTTGTAGGGACATGGATGAAATTGGAAATCATCATTCTCAGTAAACTATCGCAAGAACAAAAAACCAAACACCGCATATTCTCACTCATAGGTGGGAATTGAACAATGAGATCACATGGACACAGGAAGGGGAATATCACACTCTGGGGACAGTTGTGGGGTGGGGGGAGGGGGGAGGGATAGCATTGGGAGATATACCTAATGCTAGATGACGAGTTAGTGGGTGCAGCGCACCAGCATGGCACATGTATACATATGTAACTAACCTGCACAATGTGCACATGTATCCTAAAACTTAAAGTATAATAAAAAAAAGAAAAAAAAAAGAATATGGTAAATACTACCTTTTTAAAAAAAAAAAAAAAAGAAAGAAATTTTTGCAAACAAACACAATTATCTTCCTAAGAGGATTTTGTATTTTTGTCAAAATAGTAAGACATTTCCTACTTCATTACATTTTAAATGGGGTGAACAGTATCCACTTGAAAAAGGTAGTGAGAACTTAAGGAGAAAATAGATGTAAAATAATTTATCACAGTCTGTCACATATGATGAACTCATTATATCACTACCATTACTACTATTACTATCATGCTTCCAGGATTTAAATTAGATCTGTTTAGATACAAACCATATATAAGAAAATCTATAGTGAATATTCGTAAACTGACTATAAAAATCATTGAAGTCAGAATCATAGTTTGATTCAATGCTATATTCTAAAGGATTGTCATGCATAAAAACAAATGGCAATGAATTCCACTTTGAAAACAATTTTGCATAGCTTTATTTTTAGTTCCTCAAAACTGGCCTGATTTTCTTTTTCCTGGATGAAAAGAATTCCCTCTGAAATCCCTAATGTAGCAAATAAAGAGAGAAGAATATTTCTGGTATCAGTCAAATATTATTTGGGTGAGGGTAAGAACGGGCATGGAGATGAGGGTGAGAACTAGAAACAGAAAGCTGATTTAGAATCACACCTAGTGCTTAAGAATGAGTAATAATGTTGTTCACTATGTTGATAACTTACAACTGATCTGCTTTTTTCCTTTTATGCAGTCCTTGTAACTAATTTCTGCCTTTAAAAATTCATATGAAGTTACTACTGCTTCAAACAGAGTCATGCGTGAGAATTTCTAAACTATGTATATTCAATCCATGAATTTTGATAATGACAGTACAGTTAATGGTGGAAATTAAGCACTAGCTCCATTGGTCTTGATCTATCAGAGTTATAGAGGAATTTATATGGTCATCCAATGGCTCATTTCTTTCCCTAGCAGTCCTTGAATAATAACTAATATATGCCATGACATTAATAAAAAATAATATGCTATCCAGCAGAATTAGGAATAAAGCAGGTATATACTTGGCATTACTCAGCCACAAGATAATTTAGTCTCTGAAATACCAAGGCTCTTGCTAAGGGGAGTTGAACTTTAAAGCAGTCCCACAGTATGAACGCTGAGAACACTATGGTGCCAAGGAGCCAACACATTTACAGGAAACTTCTACAAGGTTATTCACACAATGGTTGTAATGGACCAATTCCAGGAGGGTGAACATTATAATCAAAGCTGAGTTTTACTGTGTTGACCTTGCCTAAGAAGTGGTGCTCAGACACATTAAAAAAAAAAAAAATAGATGGATGAAAGGCTAGAGATGTGTGTGTGTGTGTGTGTGTGTGTGCACGCGTGTATATTCACACACAGATATATAGATATAGATATTTTTAAAGAATAACTGCAAGCAAGCAAATAAGAAAGTAAAATGTAACGCCATGGAAATGTTGCATGCTTCCCATAGCAACTTCCAATAGTCAAATGGTGTTTCTCTGAGTAAGCGACACGAAAGCATTTACAGAAACATGTTGCTTTCCCATTTTTCTACAATAATCACTTTTTCCATTTTATGCTTTTGGTTATCTGTCTCAAGTGCCATTTTAAATGCAAAACAACCAACAAAACTCGAGCCCATTAAGTCATTTAAAAAGGTGTTCACGTACACAGTTTGCTAAGTGAAAACGTTCATATCTGCTGAATAACATGTGCATCCTATAATTGCAAAATTGAGCCCAGGGATAATAACCAGGAAAAACAGACATCACACACTGCTAAAAATAAGCTGATGCCAAAGCTACCAGACTTAGCTCCTAAGTCTCCCTAAAATGACAAGAAGTCATGCTGTTTTTAGTTTCAAGTCATGGATATTTGACAAGTCTTCTCACATGTCATCTAGAATATCACCACTGCTTAACTAAATGCTCAGTGGATTTTTTTTTCTTAAGAGGGTGATAAGAGGAATGAACAGTTCTAAATATATTATGAGATTCTGATATGTCCAAAGACTATAATTATTTTTTGTGATTAATCCTGTATTTTACTGATATGCCATGGGCAATTTTTGTGGAATTTGTTCTATTTTGAGCCAGAGTTCATATTTCTGTGTTTTTGTGTTTTTCCAATGTATTTTCCAATGCAATTTGTGACAGAAGCTAAGGATGGTGAGCTGAGGGTGGGAAGAAGTCTGAATCAAGATTTGCTTTCCTTGACAAACAGACCACTGCTATCAGCTGTTTCCATGGTGAGCAGTTTCAGCTACATTAAAGACCAGAGGACTCAGTTAGGACAGGGCCCAAAGTTCACAGCCAGTTGATTTAATTCTGAGAGTTATTTTGAAAGACTGTTAACCTTAGGGTGCTATACAAAAGTAAAATCAAATAAAAAATAAGTCACTTTATTTAGGGAAGGGGGAGCAGGGCACATTGGGATTCTGATATAAAGAAACAATATCATTTGAAAAGGTCTTGCACCAATCACCTTACTAAAAACCAATCTAGGCCCAACTCTTTATTTTACTGACAATAAAACTAAGGCCTCACAGGTCCAAAGAACTCAGCCAAGGTCTTTTAATGAATACAGGCCATTTTCTGAATAAACTTAGTTGAAGGAACATGCTGTCTTTTTTGAAAATTATTAATTTCTTCCACATAATGCAGAAAGGAATGTTTTTGGATCCCACAAAAAGGAGGCTAAAAACTTCAATCAAAGCCAGGTGTGGTAGTATGTGCCTGCGGTTTCAGCTACTCAGGAGGCTGAGGCAGGAAGATCATTTGAGCCCAGAAGTTGGAGGCTGCAATAAGCTGTGATCACCCGCTGCACTTTAACCTGGGCACCAGAGTGAGACAAAGGCCCTGTCTCTTAAAAACAAACAAACAAAAACAAAAAGAAAAAAAGACTTCAATCACAACTTTTGAATATATTCAGATATGACAAAATATTTTACCTATTATTCTTCATATTATTACAATCTTATGAGAGTTTCTAAACACCTTGAATGTAGTTCCATTTGACTTCTGTAGTTAGTAATTTGGAGATCATCATGGATTTTGGAAGCTACTCATTGTCTGAAGAAAAGAGAAATAACATCACTGGGACACACTGGCACAATGAAGGGAAGAAAAAGCCCTTAATTGCTGTGACTTGGGAGCAAAGGGAGGGAAGTAAATGAACACGCAATAGAGAATTTCAAAAAGAGGCGTGTGAAGGTGTTAGAGAATGGAACACATTCAACTCTTATATCTCTAAGTCTGTAATTACCACCTGGCCCACAGAACAAGCAGTGATTCTCCATAATCTATCTGTTGCCATTAGCTAAAATAGCTCTTAAATACTTGACGCCAGCCTCTTCTTTGCCTAAAACATATTGGGGAAGAAGGTGTCTTAAATTTTGACTCCCAATTATCTATAATTCCAACCATAATTCTTAAATTTTGTATTGCTCAGAGTGCAAAGACCAAAGATGTGTGAACATGACTGCCTGACTAGATCTGCTCTCCATGAGGGAGTGTGCGTCTAAAACCCTTTGCTAGCACTGAGGCTCTCACCGCCTCACCTTCACCCTCCTCTCTTGTTCGTAACATCAGAGTTTCTGTCCTTTGCTTAACAGAAAGGGAGTAGTGACAATGACCAAAGCTTTGGCTTAGGAAACACACTGACTCTTCCTTTTCTGCCTTCAAAAAATGCCCTCTACAATTTATTTCAGAAGATAGTTTAATAGTATGTATACACTCTACCCCCTACTGCATCCCACAAGTTGTCTAGCCAAAAACAAATGAAGATTATTAATACTTCTTAATTCCTTTTCTTTGGTAGTAAAGCAGCAACCCCCTAATTTCCCAAGAAACCAAGGAATTCTGATTAGTGCTACTAAACTCGTTCTTTAACCATAACATTTTGATTTTCAGCAGACTGCAGATATCTACCCAACAACCAAATTTTGCTATTAGTTATCAATCAATCAATATTTTTTAAGTTCATACTAACAAATATTGGGCACTGAATCATCAATGTTCTATTTTTAAAGCAGAGAGCTCACCTTTTGAGAAATCACTGGAAGAGATTTGGGTACGTATGTGTTCTTTACACATACCATCTAAAATGTCAAAATGTATGCTGACGAAGTTCTCCTTTTATTTAGAGGTGGATGGAAGCTTTGTGCAATTTGTCTATTATAGTACAAAATCTCATTTGGATTCCTAATTCTTTTAGGTGAAAGAGCACAAATTTGAGCAACAGAAAAATAACCAACTGGTGATTTGTAAAGATTTCTAAACACTCGATTATAAGAAACTAGAAAGACAACTTTTCATTAATATAAATTTTATGACTTCATTTAGCAATATGGAAACTCTTCGAAGTTTGGACATTGCTAATGGTGTAGGGAAACAAAAAGAGAAATAACTTCACTGGAACAAGGTAGCACACTGAAGGCAAAAAAAAGTCCATAACTGCGGTAACTTGGGAGCAAAGATGAAAAGCAGATGAACATGCAATAGAAAATTGTTAAAAGAGGCATGACACAAAAGATCACAAATTATATAATTCCATGTATATGAAATATCCAAAATAGATAAATGGGGAAAAAGTACATTAGTGGTTTCCTAGGGCATCGGGAATGGAGGGATTTAGGGGTGACAGCTAAAGAGAATAGCGATGAAGTTGTTCTAAAATTGATTGTAGTGATGGGTGCACAACTCTGTGAATATACTAACGACCACTAAATTGTATGCTTTAAATGGTTGAACTGTATGATATGTAAATTATATCTCAATAAAGCTGTTACCAAGAAAGGAGGCATATGAGGATGTTGAAAAATGAAACACCAAAAAAAGCAACTACAACGGAGTAATTTAGTAAGGGAATAAAACATTTGGGGAATTGGGCACTATGAACAGCATCACCGTCCCTCATGCCACTATTCCTCATGCTTACCTTTCAATTCTTTGAGTCCTCATGGCTCTTTCCTACCTCAGGGCCTTTATACAGGTTGAGCATTATATAGGTTGAGCATTGATCTGAAAATCTGAAATCCAAAATGCTCCAAAATCTGAAACGTTTTGAGCACCGACATGATGCTCAAAGGAGATGCTCGTTGGAGCATTCTGGGTTGTGGATTCTGGATTTCAAATTAGGGCTGCTCAACTGGTATATATTCTGAAAATATTCAAAGGATTTTGGTTCCAAGAATTTTGGATAAGGGATACTCCATCTGTATGTACCATGTAACATGTCTGATCCACTCTTCATCCGTTGTGTTGTTTTGGTTTGGTTTGGTTTTGTCTAGCCAAGAACTAATCATCGTCAAGAGTAGATCTCTCTTAGCTTCAGTGCCACTTCCTCAAAGAATTTAAATATATCCATTCTAGAGTGGGTGACACTGTTATTCTCATTCACTTGAAACCGGATGCTCTCCCTAACACTTATATCACTTTGCCATTACATATTCATTTGTGTTTACTTATTTTATTGCCTTCTCCTCCATTGACTATAAGCTTCATGATGTCAGAGTTTACATCTGTTTTGTGCCTAGCACAATTCAGAGGACAGTTAATGGGGAAAATAACTATTGGTTGGATAGATGAATGGATTAAGAATGAATGAGTGAGTACCACAACCAGTGTCTTACAAGACTGCACAAGCTACAGATAATTGAATATGCAAAAAGACAGTAAAGTATTTAATCAACTATAATAACAAAGTTAAATATTCTGCTTTCCTCAGGTTTTAATATTGTATTAAAAACTGGACAGAATCATAAGTAAAATAAAAATTAGTTAAATTTATGTGTACATGCCTTCAGACACATTAGTACACATAAGACCCTACTAAATGCTGACTCATTTTATAGGTTCTATAGGCTTATTAATTAAAACTTAAAAGGTGAATAAAACAAGGTCCTCTCTCAATGAATTTAGAGTCTAGCATGAGAGAAAGACACATTATAACAACTCTGGAATTACAGAGAGAAGAAAGAAAACAAACCTACCTAGGCACATGAAAAAATAATTTCCATGGTATATCAGTTTAAAAACTGTTTTTCAATAGAATTTCAGTGTTAATGAAATCCTAAGAGTTCAATGAGGATTATACTCACATTTTAGATATAATGAAATCTATTCAGTGACTTCTTCAATAGCCATACAAATAGTAGGTAAGAGGAAGACACGAGAGTCAAATCCCAGTCTCCTTGCTTCAATCACAGCATTGTTCTCTTTAACATATTTGAAAGGATTAGGGGCTTATGTTATGTTCTCTCTCTTGCGAAAAAGCACATGAGGAGAAATGCGCTCTGGAAATCCAGATAAGGCAATGTAACTATATCACTTCTGGAAAGCTAGCTCCTAAAAGTCCTGTTCTCAGCCTGTTAGAGTGGCAAGAAAGGAAGAAAAGGAAAAAAATGAGCAATGAGAGAGGGAGGGAGAAAAAAAGAGAGACAGGAAGAGAGGGAAGGAAGACAAGGAAAAGGAAAGAGAATCAGGATTCAGCTGTACTAATCATAAGGAATAAAGAGACATGGCACAAAGACCCATTAAGAAGCTATCTTCCCTAACCCCTACCATTTAGGTAAAACATGCCATTCAATTTTTTGAATACATCTGTTTTGTCTGTAGTCAAATCTAAGTGCATGGCTGACTGCAGAGACCTTGGGGAACAGCCTTTCCAGATCCCCTGCTTCTATTCCAAGGCATCTGCACATAGTTCAGATGCTTTTTGTAATCACTCAGCTACCCTAAGGTGTCCTGAGAAGCAGTTCTGAGAAAGGTTCATGTGGCTTGAGGCTTCCCAACTCTGTTGAAGCCAGTAACAAACTAATAAAGACCTCGGCTATCATTCAATCCCACCCCTGCTTGATTTTACAGACAACAAAGCCAAGATTCAGAGAGATGAAAGGAGCCACATTCATCCATAACATACTGTTAGCTGACCCAAAACTATCATTCTTATTGCAGCCACATTATGGCTAACAGCACACGCTTCCTGCTTAGTGGTCTGAAAAGACTTTGAGGCCCCAGTTAAAGTCCTTAAGGTAACTAGATAATAAAACAATCCTACTGATTTACCCAGTGGTTTCCAAGCCAGTCTCTGAGATTTTTTGGTAAAGGTACAAGTTTCCTAGAGTTTGGGCAGAGAACATAAGGTGCTGGCTTGGATTAGCTTCACTGAGAAGCGTCTGGTCTGCTACTATGTTGGTATATAGCTAAATGGTTGGATACTGAGAACCGTAACTTTTCCCTCTGTATTCTTGTTACTCAAGAAATAAAAATTGTATTGTAAAAGTGTTACCTTTTACTAAGTGAAAATATAGTTTAAGAATTGTTAGAGACCTCAATCATCTACTAATTCTTTGAAAAGTATTTTATAAAGTTTTTTTTAAATGCACGAAAATTGTCTTCAAAATTTGTTTAGTATACAAGAATCAAAAGCAAAAGAAATCTGAATAATAATAATAATCAAATTTTAGATAAAATTAAAAACATAAAGTCACCAACAGGTTCTGTGGGAAAAATACCCTATCAGAATAACTAAAAGAATGGTCTTAAGCTCTTCTTTTTCTTTGCACAGGGTCTAAAAATTTTGGCCTCTAGAGTTACCCTGCATTAAAGCATGGCTGTGTTAAGTAAATACATAACTTGAAAAATATAATCACTGAAGACATTAGCTCTGACAAACAGGCTAATCCTATTCCTTTTTTAAAATAGTCACTAGACACTTTGAAAACCAGAGAGAATAAGGTCCCCAGTTAATGTTTAAGTTTACCTGAGCAGGTAAACTGCAAACTAAAGAAGCAAAGAATGGGGTTAATAAGCCAAAGCCAGAAGTACAGAGGGAGCAGGGAAGCAGATAAAGGGGTTCCTGGACAGACTTAATGCCTAGAGAAGGAGAGAGAAGGAAGGGACACTACTAAGGTTTCCAAATTTCACAAGTAATAATAAAACATGACACCCACTTAAATATAAATTTCAGATAAGCAACAAATAATTTGGTAATATATGTATGGCCCACACAATATTTAGGACAACAATATTTGGGACATACTTATGCTAAAAAAGTATTTGTTGATAATATAAAATTCAAATATTACTAGGTGTCCTATATTTTTTTCTGACAATCTAGACACTGGTGAAGAGAAGCACAAACTCACAAGTCACACTAATATTGATTCATATCCCAGCTCTATCAATGATCTTATGCAAGTTCTTTAAATTCTCTGAGAATCACTTGGAACCTAACAGCATTGCTGCAAAACCAAAATTAGATAATATTAAAATGCCCAGGCATCAATAACTATTCATTTATCCTCTTTCGTTCACGTACTTCACAGTTTTGTCTGGAGCTAACTTGGATTAGAAAGATACTTTTTCATGCAGATTACTAATTTTAATCCCAATTGCTCTTCCTTGAATGCGGACAATATATAGGGTGCTTAAAATCTTAGCTTATAATCAAACTACTACTATCTTTAATCCAAACAGAAATACAGTTTGATTTGGGGAAAATGTTTAGAGCAAATTGACAGCCAGCACTAGTAAACCCCTCACTCTCAGAAATTGGTAGTTTCCACAGAATGATTGGACTTTCTGTGGCCAATAAACTAAATTGAAAAATCTCCAGCCAACTGTAATAAACACAGAATTGAAGCTAATAAAACACCACAGGGCATTTCAAGGTAACTCAGCAGGAGAGAGCTCACCAATATAGATGTGTTTACAGATGGTGACTAAAGATATAATAATTAATCTGCTTTTGAACTAATGAACAAATCACATGCTTCCTTAAAATACAAAGCACAAAGCTCTTAGCTGCTAATTAAGTTCAGGAGTGGAATAAACACTTGATTTGCAGGAAAGGATAAGGCTCATAAACAGTAATATACAGCTATCCAAGTCTTGCCTGTCTGACTCAGAAAAAACACGTGCTCTATTCAGAATGTAAAAACTGACCCAACGCTATCATTCACCTGGGGTTTTCAAGTCTTAACAAGATCCAAGATAATTTTTTATTAGATGTAATGTACTTCCTCAAGGATCTTTTACAAAGTAATTATTCTAAATTGGCTATAAGAATGCTAAATGTAGTATTTTAAAATAATAATAATACATAAAGCTTGTACAAGTTCAACCACAGGACACAAGCGAATCAATACCAGAAATCCAATAAATCAGTTATTCTCTATCCCCTTTGTAAGTGTTTAGAGTAGTTGACTATATAAATAGGAAAGAATTTCTCATACAAAATTTAATGGAACCAGATTTCTTCTCCTAGATGAAAGAAGGAAGAAGGAAAACATACAGGTAGATAGACCAACAAATAAACAAAT
Organism: Homo sapiens; assembly: GCF_000001405.40. Lineage (NCBI taxonomy): Eukaryota > Metazoa > Chordata > Mammalia > Primates > Hominidae > Homo > Homo sapiens. Next base: position 18,125,961 of record NC_000007.14, on the reverse strand, counting down.
GATAGCCAGATAGACTCAGGGTTGACAAACTACAGCCTGTAGGCCTGTTTCGGCACCACTTACAAAGTAAGAGTGTTTTCACATTTTTAAATAGTTTTTTAAAAACTCAACAGAAAAATATTTTATGACACATGAAAATTATATGAAACTGAAGGAAACACAAGGAAGTTGTCCATAGCTAAAGTGTTAATGGAACACGGCCAACTTGCTTAGCTATTGTGCATGGCTGCTTTTCTGCTACAAGGGCAGAGTAGTTGTAACACAGACCATATGGCCCACAAAGCCTAAAATATTTACTATCTTGCTGATAGTAAATATGAATGGTATGCCGACCCCTGAGATAGATAAGTAGATAACACAGACTGTAATCCCTGTCTACATGTCCCAAAAGGTTTCCAAAGTGTTGTCATTAAAATCACCACAGTACTTCAGAATTTATTTTATCATCACTTAAGAAACAAATCATATATATCATGAGCCAGTCCTCATCTTGTTGCTCCATTTAACACACACACACACACACACACACGCATATATATATGTGTTAGTGTATATATACATTCCCTTGGAAAAAAGAGATTCAGGAAAGTCCTAGAAACTCAGCGTCTCAACAGAGGATCTCTGTGCCATCTCCCCTCACAGCCCCAAAACCTTTGATGTTGCCTTCACAGCCCCTTCCCCTCTCCAGTCCTTGATCTTCACTTGCACTGCAGCCTGTCCTAGGCAGTGTCCCGGGTGGCAGGAATTGATATGGCTGAGACAAAGGGTAAAAGATGGGGGGGTACCCTCATTCCCCAGGACTGCTGCAGCTGTTCTCAGCCACGAGTCAACTTCCTCCAACACACCTTTCTCCCTCCTCATCATCAAATCTGGCTATTTATCAAAAATATAAGAAGATAATACCTCAGTATTACAGACTCAAGAACACACTCTTTCTGCTTTAATGTTCTTTTATCTTTCTCTACAGTGCTAGGATGAAAAAGTGTGAAGGGCAGAGAAGCTTCCCCCAACAACCACTGTCATCTATTTCCTCTGTTGCTAACAATGTTAAAAAAAAAAAAAGAAAAAGAAAGAAAGAAAAACTGAGAAAATATCAGTCATCTGTTCCTTTTGGGATCAGAGGCAGAAGTGTAAGAAAAATGCAGTGAGGTTGTGTGTTGCTCTAGAATGGGCAATATGGAAAGCAGAAACCCTGTCAGTAACAGCAGCTGGGGGCAAGGCAAATGGAAGGAACCAGATCAATCTCTTGGATTCTTAAATAAATAAACAAATACATAAATAAATAAAGTGAAATGAACCCATGACGTCCAAAAACTCCCCCTAGAGTTGACGGTATTAGAAGGCCTCACGGGTGCACACCATCCCTACACCAACGCCCATAGCTTTACCAGGACCACAGCTTCTCACATGGAATCATGTAAAAACATAAGATATCTGGGAAGAACTTTGGAAGGTTCACTATTGTAACCTCCATGCATAAAATACTGCTTGTAATAAAGTAAGTGCTTCATTAACATTTGTTGAATGAATAAACTGAGGAATAAACAAATCTATCCCACCTCCTTGTTTTATAGAAACTGGAGTCTGCAGAAGAAAAGCACATGACTTTTTCAAGATCACACAGCCACTTGGAAAGCTAAAATTTTTCTGACCTTGCCCTTGCCCTAGGCTATTGCTGTATGGAAGCAGACCGTAAAAGACATAGATAACATTCACCCAACAGATATTCCACCTTCTTATTTGTCTACAGATCTCCAAATGAGCTCGGCAAAGTGATGACAGAAGGTGGCCACCTGCTTATCCCCCGAAGGTGAACTATACTTCAACTAGAACTTAGACTCTAAGCCACTTCTAACAATCTGATTCTTGGTGGCCAGTGTTTAGTTTGGGGCAGGCTGTGAGTCAGGGTTCTGGCCAATGGTATGCAAAGGGAAACCTGCTGGAGGTGGGGCTTCTGGGAAATAGTTTCCTATTTAGTAAGATTAAGATAGCACCCCTCATTCTTTCTCCTTTAGGAGGTTGTTATGTACAGACAAGATTCTTACATATTTGGTGGACATCTTCCAACTATAAGGTTATAAAGGTTTATAGAACCCTGACTTAAATGAGATGTTAAATTAACCACTGCTTAAACTGCCTGTTTTAGACTTATTATGTGAGAGAATTAACTCTAGTATTCAAGTTCAATAGTCTCTTGCTTGTAGCCAAAAGCATGTTGAATCATGAATTCACCCTTGGAAGACACCCTGTTGCCTGCCCTAGCCTTCATACTGCTTCACCCCAGGTCATGGGAACCAAAGATACATCTTAGGGAAAAAATGCTGATCCTCATTGCCAAAATGGCAGGAGGACTTTAAAATGCCCAGTTCTACTCCAGTGAAATTCTAGTCTATTCCAAGCTAAACTCCAAATGCATTTTCCCAATAGAAATATTATTATATATGTTGTGTGGGCCCCGTGATGATTTTAGAGCAGAAATTGTACGATATGGTTTAAATAGGCTTTTGTGGGTTGGCCTGGAAACCTAACATTGTTTCTATGGAAAAATGTTTCAAATTTCATACGACTCTGTTCCAAATGAACTTTTGAATGCCACCTGTTTTAAATCGGGGGGTTACATATTTGTTTATAATTAAAATACTTAGGCATGAAACTGAGTTATCAGCTGCAAAAATCACATTTGGAGTTCTGGCTTTTAAACTGATAAATGTTCCTTTACCATTTTAGATAAAATAGCTCTGAATAAAAGGGGGTTGTGACCTCTTGCAGTACCAACTTGCAATGCAAAATTAGAACTAAGATAGCCTACCAGCTTCCATTTTAAAGTAATTTTCTGTTGGAGGAAGGAATTACTTTACAAATTAAATAGGTATTGGGCTATTTATTAGGAAATAACCACCCATTGTGCCAAAACCTGTCACTGCAACCAATGTCTCTTTAGGGCCATTGGGAAATATTTAAAGCAGTAATTTGAATAAGTATATGAATTATTTGCCCTCAAATAAAGAAAAAAACCCTAGCAGAAATCTTTGTATGTAATGATAGATCCAGGCTGGGCACTGTGGCTCATGCCTGAGCACTTTGGGAGGCTGAGGCAGGAAGATCACTTGAGGCCAGGAGTTCAAGGCCAGACTGGCCAACATGGTGAAACCCCATCTCAACTAAAGATATAAAAATTAGCTCGGTATGGTGGCACACACCTGTAATCCCAGCTACTCAGGAGGCTGAGGCAGGAGAATCGCTTGAACTTGGGAGGTGGAGGTTGCAGTGAGCTGAGATCATGCTGTTGCATTCCAGCCTGGGGGACACAGCAAGACTCTGTCTCAAAAACAACACCACAAAAATTAAAAATAATGATAGACCCAAATCCTTAGAATTCTGTGTTCGAGTCAACCAACAACTAAAAGTTGCCCCCACTAAACATATACATCAAAAAAAATATCCATTTCTTGACTCAGATAAGGATATAGTAGGAAAAATACTTCCTAGTTATTTTGGCTTTTTTCTTCAGCTATAAAATGAAAATAATATCATCTAGGTCCCAGAGACATTGTGACAACTACATACCAAAGCATTTCCCAGCGCTGTGTCTGAAACCCAGTAGGCACTCACTGTCAGTTCCATTACTTTACATCTTCTTCTCCCGCTACAAGAATACTGCCCTCATATAACATATCCATATTCTCACCAACCTACACACATAACTGACAACCAGAGTTTATTCAACTGGTAAATATGCATATGGTCTCTAAAGAAAGTCAATTCCACCACAATCTTTCAACTGCTTGTGAAAATGAATTAACTTAAGCTCTCCCAACCTTAAATAAAATATTATGATTGAATGCTATGGGGGCTTTTCAATACTATAATTACTGTTACTTGTACTTAAATTCTGCTGATACCATGGATCTTGAAGTTGGTTTCTGGGGAACTGGCATGTTGAAGAAATACAAGAATGCCTTCATTTCATAAAAGGTTGAAAAAGAAACACAAAATAATAATTCCGATTCAAATCAAGGTTGGATATGACATAGAAAAGTTCATCTTTTCCTCAAGATCTCTTCATCTCTTCTTTGTAAACTGTTAAGAGTTTCAGAGTGTCTAATCCTACTCTCAATAATAACCTTTTTTATCTAAAAATAAATTGCAATCATTAGTAATGCCTGTAAAAAGAATGTAGTTATTATAAAACAGTAAGACTCTTGTTAGTATAAGACAGTAAGGTTTAGGCCTCAGTGTTCCTGATGCTTTGAAATTCACGTTGAAAAGCTGGAATTCATTCTTTCGGTTAACTTGACTGCCACACTGAGCACATCTCTGTGTACTGCTCCCTTAAAAGGTTCAATTATTGAATGTTGATTAAAAGCTGTTTTTTCAACTCCTTTATAGATAATTTCAATGGTTTTTTTTTTTTTTTGCATATTCTTATGGTGCTCACCTTACCTTGGCTGTATTAGCTACATGTCCTGTCCTTTCTCTCTTTATTAAACCTACCAATTGACAGAATGAACACCCAGTAAATTACTGAGGTGCCTTTGCTCTGTGTGCTGATTATCACACAAAGCAGCTAAAGCTGCTGCCACAAGTCTCCAGAACAAAACCCGACACCCTGTGGAAGTGTAAAACTCTACGGGCAAGTATAGCCCTACACAAGGCAACTGCCTATATTTTTCAATGTGCAAGTCCCAAAATACTCTATTCAAAAGGCAGTTTTGACAAAAATTTAATATTCTAGAGGAGGGAGTCTTGCCAATTACCTTAAACCACACTTCCCACTCATAAAATGTAAGTTTTCAAATAAAATAATTTAAATTAACTTTTTCTTACCTCTTACATTCCAATAACCTTCCTTATCTGTCAGGATTTGTCCCAAAATTGAGATTTATCAGTGACCAGAGATGTAAGTAAAACACAGTTTTCTCATGGGGTTCTCCGCACTTCTTTCTCTAAAATGCAATTTGGCCATTCTCTCATCTCTATGTCTTCTGTTATGCTCTAAGTCCAAAACCCAACATCTACCTTACTGCCAGTGTGGAAGTAAACTCTCATCCTTAAGAACCCACAAAGAGTCTTCGATTTCTCAACAACCAGCAAGCTCTACAAATCACCATCATGCCCAAGAGAAGAGCAAATCAAATTGCTTTTGAAAGATACAAAGAGAAGCAAAAACTAAAAGCTCTCATTCTTAATCTAAAAACAATGCATATGTATGAGCAACACTAAAGTCTAAATATACACTTTGTATTTCACCCACACTGCTTATGACTACAGATTTTTGCCAAAAATATTACATTTAAGCATAATACCTCAACTTTTTGAAAATCTCCAAACCCCCTGTCTTTTCTCCCCGCTGCCTACCCCCACCCAAATATACTACTACAAACTTCTGGTAAAGGACAGATCTTCTTATCTTAAAAATGAAGAAACGAGGATGAAGAAAACTTCCCAAAGCAGCAAAATAGAAAAGGTTTGTGTTTGGGGACCATCCCTCAATTGGCTTTACAGACTGGAATGGAATGCTGGCTCCGTCTCTAATGAATGGCTTGACATTGAAGAATTTACTTAACCCTTTTGAACCTCAGCTACAAGATGAGCATAACATCCTCTATGATCAGCATGCATATTTATTAAACAAGCTGTAAAGCAGGATTTCTCAACCTTACTACTACTGGCCTTGTGGACCACATAATTCTTTGTTGTGGGGGGCTGTCCTGTGCAATGTAAGATATTGAGCAGCACCCCTGGCCTCTGCCCACTAGATGCCAGTAGCACTCCTCCCTTCTGTTGTGATGTCTCCAGACATTGCCAAATGTCCCAAGGGAGCAAAATCTTCTCCTGTGGAGAATCTGGTGACTTTTCTACCCAGTAGTAAATGTTTACTAGACAGTAGTCACTATCATCATTATCTATTAGACACTGATTTCCAGATACAAACTGTGATATAATTCACATTTCAAACTTCCCATACATTACCCCCAAAAACATTCTTTGGTGGCAAAGATGGAAAGCATGACAAGATCATGGCAAACACCCCAAGGATTGATCAATACTTGATGAAATGAATTCTCAATATGACACCTATGGTCTTTTAAGTAGAAAAGAATTTTGAGAGAAGTTGAAAGGATGTAAAATCCCACAGCTTTGACTCACGGAGAAAGTTATGGGCACAAACCACCACTTCCCAGTCATAATGTCAATTTGTAGCAGAGCTGTGACCAAAATAACTGACACACTTACTTTCAGTCCAACAGATATTTCACTTTACCATGACAGGTATATTGGGAAAATCCAAATTAGACAGTCAGATTTTCCAGTGTCTATTCACTATCCAAGTGTGTTTTCCCATTAAATCCCTCTGATCAACTGGCTAAGCTCCTCAATCTCTCTTCCTGTTTCCTTCACTACGCTGAACAGTTCTTCAGAAGACCGACAGTTCTCTAGAGTTTAGAAGACAGGAGACAAATTCAACCAAGACAAGTTTGGTGGTAAGAAACTGGTAGCTTCGGTCTCTCTACTGTGCCATAACAAACATTTTCTATGGCAAATGTCCTCAGCTGAGATAGAACAGACTGCCTTTCATATTTCACTTAACCAACATACATTGCTTGGTCAGATCAGTTTTGCCTCTAAGACCTATTCCAACACTGCTGCTTGCTGTATTTTCTAAGACTATTTAGTATTACAGGCATGTGACAGTATCTAGACTTGCAAGGAAATAGCATGGAGCATGCAATGGACTGGTGCACTTTGATTTCAGATATAGCATCTTTTCTGTTATAGTAACCTACCATTTACTAAAAGGTCCATGTTAGAAATAGAGTGTAAAGTTTGTTATCATGTTCTTGACTCAGAGAAAATAAGCAACCAAAAAGTGAAACAGGAAACATCCAATTTTTGCTTGGCCCTAATTATGGTAATTAAGGAAATTAGTCTAACTCTAGAAGAGCTTCAGATAAAATATTCTGAAAGAAGCCAGGTTCAACTCTGATATCCCCATGCTGACAAAAATGGGGTACTCATGCCGTCTTAAATCTAAGCTACCTGCATTCAGCATGCCACTTTTCAGGTGTTTTCCGATTTCCCATACTACCCTTTCTTGGCCAATATTCTCTTAAAGCCCAGATGTCCAGCTTCCAAGTTCAGCATTAATCTGATAAATTAATCCATGTCACTGTAGTAATGGCTTTCCCTAAAAAGAATATACAAAAATAGGCTCTGGATACAAAATAGACAAGGATTTGAAGGCTAGTAATTTGGACCATGTTACTTTCTTAAGCCCTGGACTGTAGGGTGTGGAGTAATAATATCACCCATCTGATAGTCTGCTGTACATAATGCTGTTCCTAGCACATGGTGAATGTCAATAATAGCAACTATATCATTAAATTCCTCTGTTATATCCTAAGTAGCTCAGACAGTGAAATTGTCAAGCAAGCTAGAAAATAAGGGAGTTATATTAAAATTATTTTCCCCAATAAAATAGGGGAAATATAATGAAGAAAGAATTTTTATAAAAAATTTCTATGTTCTATACATGAAGAAACTGTGACATGGCCAAGACAAACACAACATGTTGATGTAACATTCCTTTCCAATGGCCTTCACCCCCATTCTACCCAGATTAAGTAAAGTTAGGGATCTGCTATATTTCCCATCAAGGAACCATAAGGACTGACAATATTCCAGTTCTGACTCTCATGTTCAAGTCTCTGAAGGAACAAGGCAAGAGAAAGCAAGATGTCATAGAGAAATGTGATTACTTGGCTCATTTGTGAAGTAGGGATAATAACAATATAATCCTCATGGATTCTGGTGAGGAGTAAATGAAAGAATGCATGTTAACCCTGAGCCCTGGCTTTACTATGGGGTTAAACTCCCATAAATGTTGGTTGTTATTATTACTCAGAGGAGTTTAAGATCCTCATCACACTGACAAGGCAAATGAGACTCAGAGAGATCTGTAAGTGATGAAGGGGGAGGAAACAGAGCCCAGTTGTCTAATGTGTATGATAATAACATAAGAGAGGAGGAAAGATGTGGAACTACAGGAGAAAGAGTCAATCCAGGGAGCACTACCACTGCTGCTGACTCTTCATTCTCTCCATTGTCTCTCCATTCTCAACTTCTGAATTCCTTTCCTAGGGCTGCCGTAACAAAGTACCACAGACTGGGCAGCTTAAAACCACAGATGTTTATTTTCTCACAGTTCTCAAGGCCAGAAGTCTGAAATCAAGGTGTCAGCAGGTCCACGCTCCCTCTCAGACTCTGGATGGAGTCCTTCCTTGCCTCTTCCTAGCTTCTGCTGGTGGCAGGCAATCCTTAGCATTCTTCAGTGGGTGCATCATCCCAATGCATCAATTCAATGCTGCATCATCCCAGTCTCCACCTCTGATGTCACATGGTGTTTTCCCTGCGGGGATCTCAGTCTCTCTATCTCTTCTCTTTTTTTTTTTTTTAATTTTTTATTTTATTTTTTGAGACAGAGTCTCGCTCTGTTGCCCAGGCTGGAGTGCAGTGGCGCGATCTCGGCTCACTGCAAGCTCCGCCTCCCAGGTTCACGCGATTCTCCTGCCTCAGCCTCCCGAGTAGCTGGGACTACAGGCGCCCACCACCACGCCTGGCTAATTTTTTGTATTTTTTGTAGAGATGGGGTTTCACCGTGTTAGCCAGGAAGGTCTCGATCTCCTGACCTTCTCTTCTTTTTTATAAGGATACCAGTCATATTGGATTGATAGGCCACCCTACTCCAGTATGATCTCATCTTAACTTCATTACATCGGCAAAGACCTTTTTTCCAAATAAGGTCGCATTCACTGGTACCAGGGGTTCAGATTTAAACAGACCTCTTGGGGAAAAACAATTCAACCCACTACAACCCTCTCACCTGGAAATAGTTTATAATGTTGCGGTTTGGTTTGGTCAATCCTAAAGCTACAAATGTGAAGTTCATTGAAATGTTATTCAGGCTAATGGACCAATTCAGAATGATTGTAACAAAAAGGCAACTATGCCTACTTAACTATGTTTACTTCCCAAGCTCATTAGTGGTTCCATGTGGTGAGAAAAATTTCCCACTCACTGTATCAAATTTAGCACATTTATTTAGTCTGAGTCAATGCCTGAAATATCCTTTCATACATTTAAGCCAATTTTCCCCAAGGTCATGCAGCAAGATAGAAGTCACAGATCTTTCTCCTCTGAGTCAATCACTATGAAATACAGCACTGAATTTGGTGAAGGGGAGTTAGGCTATGAAATCTGCCTAGAATAATAGAGTTGATTTATTAAATCAACTCTATTATTTGTTAATAAAAAAATAAATTTTTATTATTTTATTTGATACATATGTTATTTGATACGTATGTTAACCAAAACATATATATTTTATGTGATACATATGTTAACCAAAACCAAAGCACTATTGATCTAGAATGAACTATAATTTCATATAGCTGTTTCTATAAAGAGGTAGGTTATTTTTAAACACTGAATATCAATCACATTTTTCCCAATCATAATTCACAGTATAAGGGAATACACAGTACTTTTGATTAATATCATTTAATCAAAGTGATAGTTGACAGATAAATTGATCACTTTATCCTTTTCAAAAAATTTTAGCAAGTAACATAAAATGTAACTTTTCCAAGCAGGCATAATTTTCACAATTGCTAGAATTTGTGTCCAATTTCTCATTCTGGAATTTTTCTAATATAAATTTATTTCTTATTCTCAAAAATTCAATTACCTAAAAAATGAACTAATCTAAATTATGGTTATATATGCAAGAAACAAAGCAATGCATATCAAATTTTCATTAACATACACCACGAAAATTGCTAGCAAATTTGATCTAACACAGGAAAATTATCTCAGCATGAAACCATTGAGAAACATGAGAAGGCTTTTCTTGAATTTCAAAACGTGGATGAATTTTTCTCTATAGAAATAAACACTACATTTTATAGAAAACTATAGAGATACAATTCAACGTGTAACTAAGTATCAATGTAGTGAAGTGGTTAGGGTCCACATGGTGTCAGATACCTGAGTTTGAAGCCACAGGTTAGCCCTGGAAGCTGCAAAAAATTGAGACAGCTACTGAATCTCTCTAATACTATTTATTCTCAGCTTTAAAACAGGGATGATGATAGTAGTATCAGCTTCTAGGATTTTAATGAATAATAGATTAAGTGACTATAAAATCTTTGGCATAATGCCTAATTGTTATTATTACTAGGAGCACAGGTCCACAGCTGGCAGGTATGGCAAACTGCCTGGTTTCACAGTATAGCTGCTATGAGTTACTGGCACTGAAACACTGGTCAAATAACCGATTTGAACATCAAATTCCTCAAAAGGAGAAAATAATAGTAACTCCCTCAAGGATATAAAATAATATAAAATGTAAATGACTTAACCCAATACTGGAATCTACTACATTTTCAGAAAAACTTATATCTCATTGTATTTTCATGGTGGAATGTAATTTTGCAAATAACATAATCATTGGCTTTTCATGCACTTGTGCAACCAATTTTTTTGTCATCTAAAAATATTCTCACAAATCTAAAAGAATTATCACTTGCCTAGAAGATCAGAAGTATTATATTTTTGCAAATGTGAATACTGCAAGATTGATCCATATATGGATTTTTTTTTTTTTTTTGAGACAGAGTCTCGCTCTGTCACCTAGGCTGGAGTGCAGTGGCACAATCTCTGCTCACTGCAAGCTCTGCCTCCCGGGTTCATGCCATTCTCCTGCCTCAGCCTCCCAAGTAGCTGGGACTACAGGCGCCCGCCACCAAGCCCAGCTAATTTTTTTTGCATTTTTAGTAGAGATGGGGTTTCACCGTGTTAGCCACGATGGTCTCGATCTCCTGACCTTGTGATCCTCCCACGTTGGCCTCTCAAAGTGCTGGGATTACAGGCATGAGCCACTGTGCCCGGACATATGAATTTTTTAGAAATATACTTATACACTTCTAATCTATACTCTATGCTCCCTGGGAGTGTATGAACAAATGGTTGCCTTAAATTTCACTCGTTTCTAATATTTTTTAGCTGCGAAGAGGCTAACATATTTCAAACAAGAAGTCTGAATATATAGTCCCACACAAAACGGAAAACCACCCAGCAATGTATGCAGCTATATTTGTTTAAATCGTTCAGATATAAAAAGTATTATCAGGCAGATTCTCAGATCACTTTCCTCTTTGCTTATCTTTTTTACAGAAGCCTTCCCAGCAGCCATGCTTGAGAATGAGATGTCATTAATATTGGTTCCCTTTCAAGTCTGGGGTTACTTCCTGGACTGCTCCATCTAGATTGACATTGAAGAATGGATCCTCTCCGCCAGAAGGAATTGTGTCAGGTCTTCACTTATTAATTAAAAATAGTCTAGATGGAGGTCAACAAAGTTTGTCCCAGGCCTGCAGGTAAGGACTAAAAAGGTAGCCTTCCAGGTGAAATAGCATTCAACTGATAGTAAAAATGCAAAGGTTGGAGCTAGACAGGACTTGAGATCATCCCCTTTGGCAAACACTACTAATTGGCTAACAACAGTCATTCTCTACCAATTTCTCCTTTGCTGTCTCCCAATATAGATGTGGGAAAGCTAAATATTCACATTCCCAAACTCTATTGTAGCCAAGGGTGGCCAATGAGGTCTAAGAAGAATTCCGCTAAGGATGTCTCTCTAATGCGTTTGCTTCCTTGATTAAACCAGACACACACATGGCTAGTGCTGTGCTGATTCTTCCCTCTTTTTCTACCTTGAACATGATATTTAGACCACAGTATCATCTTGCAACCATAAATTAATCAACAAACACAAGGACCAGCTGTCTGAGTGGGCTACAACAGTGTTATAACTCTGAAAACATACATGCAGAGTTATTTTTCCAAAGTCTTGAGGTCCTCAGCCAGATGTCTGAGGTGCTGTTAGACTGCAAGGTGAGGGGGAATGTAACTACAGTGTTAGGCTCAAAGTGATAGCTACAATGGCACACTAAGGGCAGATTACATATGTATATTCAATATCAACAGCCATATTTAGCATCATCAATACCAATCTCTATGAATATTTAGGATAATTAATATTTCAGAAAATAGATCTGAAAAGATTTGAAATGTCAAACTACCATGCAAATATAAAAAAAAGCTCTGTATCTTACTATGTTTCAACTGAGAGAAATATAAGGACTGCAAATTTTAATACAGGAAAACTAATAGAACTAAGACAGTGTAAGCAAAATGTTATGCATTTCTTTAATTGAAGCATACATATACAAATAAGAGTGTGTTAAAAGCAAGAATCCAAGTGAAAAAGTCATAAATTATAATGCTGAAGAAAGTCATGTTCCAAAATAAGACTTGTTTTCTTCAGCAGTCTGGATAACATTTTACCTTGTGTTCAAACTATCCATGCATGCAATGAATGTAGTTTAGTCAACCTCAAATTATATCCCATTTCTGATCATCTCGTAGAAACTTAATCCGTGTCCATGGAAATGTAGCATTACATTGCAAAGCTAAGTAAAAGAAATAATAGTTGGCATTTAAATGCAATGAGGCGCCTTCAAATTGTCTCTCATTTTTTATTTAAATATTTCAGCCTAGAAAAACAGACTAAAAATACAGCATAATAGTTCAGAGATTAAATCAGCATGAAATCTTGCCATGGTCAATCATAGTATTCACCTCTTAATCTATACTTTATTCATAAATTAACTGATATCTTTCTGAGCTTCTTTTCCTGACCTCATCCTTCTTATTTCTTAAATTACAATTCACTGATGTACGTGATTTTAATGTACGTGTACTTAATTTATCACATCTTATGTTTATCATTTCCTCATCCTTACAGGAATAGGGGTCCTTCCTGTGTTCAAGGTTAATTTTCCCACAATAGTCTATATCTTATTTCTTCCTATTTCTTTATCGCCTTCTTCTAACATTTACTTCCACCTTCGCCTGTACCATCAATCTCTCCCTCTCTACTGGCTGCTCACTTTCCACTCAAGGAAAAACACAAACAAACAAACGCTCTCCCAAACCTGTAAACATCTTCTGACTACCTACCAACCTAGTACCTATGCAACATCCCTTCTCTGCCATACTTTTCAAAAAAGTACGTGTGACCTGCTTCTTCACATCCCATATATATAGCCACTGTGTGCTGATAAATGTTAACAACTGGCTCTCATCAAAATAAAAGTGTATATACACACATATATATGTTCATTATAAATTGTACTAAAATAAAGGAGATACAGCACACAATTGACAAATAATAATAAAACATATAATATCCTTTACTGAAAATTCCATATAGCCAACTGTTTCTTACAAAATGCTTTCATTAATACTTACCAAACCTGGTAGGTTCTGACACTAATAATATTTTCTTTTGCATTAATAAGTAAGAAGAAAGTGAAACAATGACTGTGTATATCGGAACTTCTCTTACTCATCAATATTGAGAGCAACTTCTTTATTGAATTGGATGACAGTTCACAAGTACCGAAAGACCATTTCCTCGATTTTTTTGTGCCATTCACAATGTAATTGTTGTATACCAACACAAGTTTAACTGTAGTCCGCATTCTTAACAATTTCTCTATCACTTTCTCAGGTCTAGAAAATCAACAAAACAAAATCTCCGATTTGTGGCATTTATTTGCCAATTTCCACGGTGTAAATACTCTCACTTTGGCTAATTTCAATATGCCAACAAGAGTCAATAAACATAGACTTGAAAAGAAATGTGCGGTAGTACACCATTGTATAGTACATCCACCCATTCAGGAAAATAATAGACATAAATAACCTTAAGAGCATAGATAATAGAAAAATGTTGTAAAATAATTAGGGAGGATGAGCTTTAATATTTTTACTACATCTATTCTAATACAATTTAATTGTAAGTGTACATACTTTAATTTTTACTAATGGCTATTTTAACAACCAGCTTGCATAATTCCTGAAAATTTAACAATCCAGCTCTCTCAAGGCAGCATAAGCTAGATCTAGCACACCACTGGCAGGAAATACAGCTTGTACATACACCACTCTACTGCACCTGCTCTTGCTAGAGCCAGCATGGAACTGCAGTTTCAAAGCCCATGGCACCTCTTACATTTACTTTATGTGACCTCTTGGCAACATTCCCAACCCTTTCCATACACCTTTAAATTACAATTGGCCCTCCGTATCTATGGATTCCACATCCCCAAATTCAATTGCAAATGCAAAATATTTTTTAAAAATAAATAAATAAGCAATAACAATATAAAAATACAAGTTGAAAAACAATACAGTATACCAACTACTTACATAGCATTTATACTGAATTAGGTATTATTAGTAATATAGAGACGATTTAAAGTATACAGTATGGATTATATGCAAACACTATACCCTTTTACCCAAGAGACTTGGGCATCCACTGATATTGGTATCCAAGGGAGTCGCTGGAACCAATCCACCACAGATACCGAGGGGCAGTGATACTCTGCCACTCTTTTCCAGCTTCATTTTAGGACTTTATCTAACTTTCTCCTTAAATATTCACATTCTAACCTAGGCCTCCTTTTCTGCCTGTTTTGCAAACCTAGTCTGGGCAATCTCACTAATGACTTCAGTTAGCAACTACTCACCAATCATCCTCAAATCTCTGTCACTTTGCAGACCAAACTATTTTGCTAAGTTCCAGAATGGACAGAAGACTTCCTTATGAGTTAGGTCCCCTTCTTCTATACTTACTAATGAAGTAATTAGTTGGGTAATTATTTACGTCTGTCTCTCCCACTAAGCTGTAAGCTTCACAGGCACATGGAACATTCTGACTCTTTTCTTGCCACATCCTCAGAGTCAAACACATTGTTTGGCACAGAGTACTTACTCTAGGAACTGATGAAAATACAAATGAATAACCCATAAGCACTTCAAACACAACAAATACAGAATACAACTCAGCAAATGTCCCTTAAAATGTGTTTCTCTCCTGAATTCTAATTACACTGACCTATACCAACATCCAAACTCTTCCCCATGTGAAAGAATCCCAGACTCCCCTTATCATCTCCGTTCCTCATCTTTTAAATATCTATCATATCCATTTTGTCTTCCCCATCATCACAATTACTACCTCAGTTTAGACTCCCCGTTGGCTGGACCGCTGTAATAGCCTCCCAAGCTCCTGGCCCCCGTCTTTCCTCACTCCAACTCAACTGCATAGTTGCCACTTACCAAATTGCTTAAAATTGTGACTATGGCCATCTCTGTCTAATAATCTATCAGGTGTGCTCTACCATCTAGAGGCTAAACTCCAAACTCTTTACCCCAGCACTTACACAGCCCTTTATAGTCAGGACTCCATCTGGCTTCCCAGCCTCACTCACCATCCATATTCCCATGTGGAGTCTACACTCCATTTGCACTTACATGGAGTTCCTTGTCCTTTGTCACATCTCTGGGCCTCTGCACATTACTTCTCTCTGCCTGGAATATCTCTATTGTTCATGTGGTATTCAAGGTTCATCGTAAGTATCCTTGCCACTTTTCTTGACCCCTATGGAAGACCCCTCCTCTGTACTTTGATAACACTCTGTAGCTTTTATGACTATATCTATCCTCTTCTACAGTGGTTACTTTTGAACATTTATTTTTTACCCCAGTAGACTATGAACTTCTGCCCAAAATAGACTATATCTACCAAAAGGACAAACACATAGTAGGAATTCAGAGCTCCTTCTATGACTATAAAAAGACAAACCATTTGTTCTGCAGAGAAAGTGCACGTCCAAGAAGCTGCTGTCCCTTTTAAAACCACTCACCTTGAAAGTCATCCACTTAGTTTAATGATGATGGCATTACTCCAAGTATTTTTGGAAGTCAACTTTCAGAATTGTCTGGGGAATGTTCTTTAAATTATCTCAAGTGAGGCCAAAAAAACATCATTCTGAGCAGATCTGAGGCCTGGGAGAAATCATGGGGTGAGCAATACAATTCTGTGCAGAAAATGAGGAATGAAATATGTAAAGCACCATACAATGATTGATGTGGGGGCAATGACTAAGAAACTGCTCAGAAGCATGCCTAGAGGGAGAATCACAAAAAGTATTTTAAGCAAAGTTTCTTATTATTTCAAGCCATTTACAACTCCTTAAGATAGATTAACAACATTAAAGTGGATATGTAAGTACTGGTAACTTGGTTGGCGCACCACATGAAGCTCTTCAAATTCACATTTTACAAAGAATGTCCAACATGAATAAGTATTACATTAAGGGGAGAAAAGAAACCAGCAATTAAAGAAATTTAATACACAGCATTAAACAAAGTAAAAAAAAAAAGGTTTATTTATTGCTGCACTTCTCAGCACTGTTAATATCTTAATGTGCCTCTCTATGAAATCCATCTATGTATGGTACACAGGATTTCTCAAATTCTTTTAATGTCATAATCCTTTTTTCTTGCAGATGTTGTGGGGTTTACATCCCATCTACTTTAGGAAACACTGCTTTCTTTGGGACTGGATAACTTATCATCAGAAACTACACTGACACCAAAAGCTACAGATGAAGTTAGAATTTACCCTAACCTACCTACCTTACATGACATAGCTCATTTATCCTTACAAGATATCCTTACAACAATCTTATAGTGTAGGTAGTACTAATATCCTCAATTTGTAGTTAAGGGGGAAAAAATGCTTAACCTGGGTACTGAGTGGTTCTCAGTTGCACTGCCTCTAGGGCTTTGCTCAAGCTCTCCTGGAATTCACTGTTCCTTCAGAAATTCCCTGTTTCCACATGGATAATTCCTATCCATTACTTTAAGGTCCATTTTATCCACTTTCCCCAGGAAGTCTTCACTGCCAACTGGCTAAAAATAACCATCCCCATGGTACCTTATTCCTTTCATGAAACTTTTAAATTTACTGTCTTATACATGTTTCGCAGAGAGGCCAAATTCACATGGCCTAAGAAGAAAACAAGCTTTTGACTGGCTAACATATTCCTGATAAGAGACGAGTGTGGCCAGGCGCAGTGGCTCACACCTGTAATCCAACACTTTGGGAGGCCGAGGAGGGAGGATCATGAGGTCAGGAGTTCGAGACCAACCTGACCAACATGGTGAAACTCTGTCTCTACTAAAAATACAAAAATTAGCTGGGTGTGGTGGCACGCGCCTGTAATCCTAGCTACTCAGGAAGCTGAGGCAGGAGAATCGCTTGAATCTGGGAGGCAGGAGGCAGAGGTTACAGTGTGCCAAAATCACAACACTGCCACTCCAGCCTGGGCAAGAGTGAGACTCCATATCCAAAAAAAAAAAAAAAAAAAAAGGAGATGAGTGTAAAATGCTCTCAACATTTTAAAGTATGTTCAGGAATACGATCTCATTTGATTCTCCATTTTGAAAGAAAGAAAATAAGTTCTCATTTGAAATAAAGAAACTGAGCTTTAAACAGCTAATTGCCTCTACAAGCGAATTCATACATCCCATTACCTAGTACAGCCTTTACACACAGTAGGTACTTACCTGAGGACTGAGTAAATGCTTGAGAAAAACTAACTTAAATTCTGGGCTTTTTCACACTTGAGCACTCCTCCCATGATGGCGCCCATCTCCATATACAGTGAACGCTGTTGGTACTGCCCCACACTCCCTGGTCATTGCTACTTGAATCTGTGCCCACAGACTTCCAACCGTCAACCCTTTTATTTCTTTACCTGAGGGTTTTCTCTGGACCTGCACTGCAGTTGGAAACTCTGGGTATTAACACCCCCTAGAAGAGCCCTCAACTAAGGACTAACAGGTTCTAGGATATCATATCCCAACTCCCTTGCTTCTCATGTAGCTAATTGTAGGCATATTTTTCACAGGTCCCCCGAAAGAATTAAAATTTCAGTTGCTCAAGTCAGTAACTTGCTTAATACAAACAGTTTACTGAATGCCTCCTTAGTAAACTACCTGCACTCAAATCTTTGTCTAAGAATCTGATTCAGAGAACCCAAATAAGACATATAGGGTCGAAACAAGAATTTCTAGTTTTAAAAATGAAAGGTAAAAAAGGGGGAATTACTTATAAATAACTAAGTATAATCACATTTTTGAAAGAGAAAACATTAACCAGCCACTATCTACCACTGCATAATGAGCAAGTCCAAAATGGGAGTTAATGTTAGTACATGAATGTTAACTCATGAATTTGCTGACATGAAAAAGAAAAGCTGTTTTAAAAAGTACAGAAAACACTTTAAAAATATGTTAGGGGAGGTGTCAGTTTAAAATCCACTTTAGGCCTTAAATCTAACACCTTCCTCAGGTGTATAGGTTGAGAAAAAGTTTTAAATCTCACTTTTTTGCTTCTACTCTTTTTGAATTAGCTTTTTAAAGGAGGTGTCTGTCTGTGTGTGTGTGTGCGTGTGAGAGAGAGAGAGAGAGAGCAAGAAAGAGATCAAGTTGTATTTCAATGAAGCCATCTAATTAGGCATTTCTTAAAATGTCCTCAGATCTCTGATCTTCAGTAGGGCAAATGCTAGTAGTCTCTCTCACATGCCTACATTTGACCACAAAGGATGTCTAATCATTTGTTCAAAACTTACCAAACACTTTCTATGGAGAATTACTGGAATTTAGTTGTAAAGATTTTTTTAATGAAAGACAAAGCAGTTATCACTAAGCAGCTCCCAGTCTAGATGGAGAGACAGAAAAAGAAACGGATATTTACCATTTAGGGTAGCAAGGGATGCCCAGAGTATTTGGGAAGCGCAAACACCCTAGGTTTGCTCCTAATCTACACAGGGCAGGGGAGAGGGGGCAGCAAAGCCAGATTAATATTGTGACATGATGCTTGTTCTAAAATATCATAGTTGCATACCCAGTCCACTACATTTTATTTAAAGTTTAAAAACTATGAAACATAACACTTACATGCACACTCAAAAAAGCTTCTTTCAAGATTTTCTGATTGCAAAGGTGGTATAAGCTCATCAAAGTTAATTTATTTTCATTTGTAGGGTACTCCTGCCTGCCCTGAAGAGTCTACATAATCCCCCTATTAAGTATTCCAGCACTGGTGTATAAAAAGGGATTCCAGGAGAGGTGAAATATGAACTCAAAAGAAAATCAGGAATTTAAGAGATGAATGTGAGGAGAAGAGAGTGGGAAGGACTTTTCTGGTAGAAATGTGTACACAGGGCCAGCCACGGTGGCTCACGCCTGTAATCCCAGCACACTGGGAGGCTGCAGCAGGCAGATCATTTGAGGTTAGGAGTTCAAGACCAGCCTGGCTAACATGGTGAAACCCCATCTTTACCAAAAATATAAAAAATTAGCCAGGTGTCGTAGAGTGTGCCTGTAATCTCAGCTACTCAGGAGGCTGAGGCAGGAGAATCACTTGAACCTGGGAGGCGGAGGTTGCAGTGAGCTAAGATCGCACCACTGCACTCCAGCCTGGGAGACAGAGTGGGACTCCATCTCAAAAAAAAAAAGAAATGTGTGCATGGATAATAAGACTCATAGACAGCATGGAACTCTTGGAAGAGTTTGTAGATTAGCAGACTAGTGCAAGGGAGAGAGGAACAGACAGGCAATGGATATGGAAAGACAAAGTACCCAGAAATGAGACTGGGAAAACCAGCAAAGGTCAGATCATGAAGGATCTTGAGTTCTAAGGAGCTTTCGGTTTTTGTTTTGTTTTTCACTGCGTTCCCTGACTTTTTCTGAGGTATCATTCACATACCTAAAAATTTACCCTTTTAATCTATATAATTCAGTGATTTTTATTATATTCACAGAGGTATACAGCCATCAGCCCCATCTAATTCCAGAAAATTTTCATTGCCACAGAAAGAAACCCTATATCCTTTAGCAGTCACATCTCATTCCCCCTTCCCTTTGCCTCAGGCAACCACTATTCTACCTTTAGTCTTTGGCTATTTCCTATAAATTGAATAAAATAGCATGTGGCCTTGTAAGTCTGGCTTCTTTCACTTAGCATAATGTTTTCAAGGTTCACCCAGGTGTAGCATAAATCACTGCTTCATTCCTTTTTGATTACCTAGTAATATGCCATTGTGCAACTACACCACATTTTGTTTATCTATTCACCAGGTGGTAAACATTTGGGTTGTTTCCACTTTCTGGCTATTATAAATGGACATGAATAATCATATATACATTTTTGTCTGGAAATATGTTTTCAATTCTTTTGGGTGTATACCTAGCTAATATAGTAACTCTCTGGTTAGCTTTTTGAGGAACTACCAAAATTGTTTTCTGAAGTGGCTGTGCCCATTTTGCATTCATACCAACACCAGAGTTTGAAATCTACATCTAGAAAGCATCTAGATGTAGATGAAATCCACATCTAGAAAGCATCCTAGATGTAGATGAAATCCACATCTAGAAAGCATCCTAGATGTAGATGAAATCCACATCTAGAAAGCATCCTAGATGTAGATGAAATCCACATCTAGAAAGCATCCTAGATGTAGATGAAATCCACATCTAGAAAGCATCCTAGATGTAGATGAAATCCACATCTAGAAAGCATCCTAGATGTAGATGAAATCCACATCTAGAAAGCATCCTAGATGTAGATGAAATCCACATCTAGAAAGCATCCTAGATGTAGATGAAATCCACATCTAGAAAGCATCCTAGATGTAGATGAAATCCACATCTAGAAAGCATCCTAGATGTAGATGAAATCCACATCTAGAAAGCATCCTAGATGTAGATGAAATCCACATCTAGAAAGCATCCTAGATGTAGATGAAATCCACATCTAGAAAGCATCCTAGATGTAGATGAAATCCCCATCTAGAAAGCATCTAGATGTAGATGAAATCTCATCTAGAAAGCAGATGAGCTGATCAAAGTTTTGAGGCTAGATAGAAAAATATTAAAATTTCATTTTAGAAAGGCTATTCCAAAAGTAATATTGGTTAGAATTCTATTGCAAGGAAGCCAGGTAAGACAACATGATTGTCTGATTAAGATAATAGTAGAAATGATCTGAAGGAGGAAATGGAATTGAAAACAAAGGGGGAGGAAAAGGAAATAGCCTTTAGAAAAGATTAATTCAAAATTTAAATTACTTTGAATTCTGTGTGGCATCAACAAAACATGTCTATAAGCTGCCAATTTGTGATCTCCCTTACAGAGTAAAGGGAAAAGTGAGCCAAGAATCAGAATATGCCCACACTGAGGGAGTGAATTAAATAGGGTCCCAAAAAGGAGACAAGGAGAGAGCAGAGGCAGAGGAGGAAACTGGAGAGTATGATATCCCAGAAGCTCTGGGATGATCATTTCCAAAAGGGGGAGTAGTAAACAGTGTGAAATGGTATAGGGAGTCTTTTCACACTGGGAACTGAAAATTGAAAAAATATTTGGTGTCTGCGGGCAAAGTAGAAAGCTGAACAACTTAGCATTCTCTCTTTTCCCAACCCTTGTTTTTTTCAAAAGTCAGCATAAGGATTTAAGTGCCTCAAATCTTTTTTTAAATTTCTCAGACAAGAGCCAGGTAAGTTTAATTATATTGTGTTCCTCACCTCAGCTGATAGATATTGAAATAGTCTGGTTTTAAAAAAATGAAGGCCTTTGAAAAAGTTTAGATCTCTATGATGTATGATCACTTGGTCCTTTCAAGCTTATGGTTACAAAAAGAAACCCTTAATGTGTCTTATAAACAAAAAAAAAAATACAATTATGGGAACAATGTACAGCAGGTTCTCAAATAATGTCATTTCATTTGTTTCATTATAAAGTTGATAAAAGAAAAAATGACTTCCTAGCCCGGGCCACTGTGTGCATAGAGTTTGCACATGCTCCCCTTGTCTGCACGGGTTTTCTCTGGGTACTCCGGTTTCCTCCCACATCCCAAAGCTGTGCATGTTAGGTGAATCAGCGTGTCTACACAGTCTCGGTCTGAATGTGGGTGGGTATGAGTGTTCCCTGAGATGGGATGGCATCCTGTCCGGGGCTGGTTCCCAACTGGTGCCCTGAACTGCTGGGATCGGCTCTGGCCACCCAAGACCATGAATTGGTGTAAGTGGGTAAACAATTTTCAGACTTGTTTTTAGGAATCTTTCTTATGTATGTATAGCTCACATTTATTCCGATGTTTTATATTAGAAATATTTCGATCTTTATGTAGAAGTTTGGTGATATTTTTGTGACCAGAAATATGCCATAGGAGCTTAACTCTTGTTTATATCAATTAGCCTGTGGTAACAGTGGTTTCCTTGTACGTCATTTCACTTAAGGTCGCAGATTCCAAGAACCTATCCATAACGATAAGTGAGGACTTACTGCATATAGCTTTGGCTGTACGTGACAGAGACTGAAAATAACAGTGGCTTAGTTAGACAAGACTCCAAGCTGTTATGGCAACTCTGCTTCAAGAAGTCATCATCTATGAACAATAGGCACCGGGGACTCCAAAAGGGAGGAGCCAGAGAGATGGCGCAAAGGGCTGAAAAACCTCCTATTGGGTACTATGTTCACTATTTGAGTGATGGGATCGACAGATGCCCAAACCTCAGCATCACACAATATACCCTTGTAACAAACTTGCATATGTATCCCCCGAATATAAAATAAAATAAAATAATAAAGTAAAAATGTCACTATCACAGTCTGATATGGTTTGGCTGTGTCCCCAACCAAATCTCACCCTGAATTGTAATAATCCCCATGTGTTAAGGATGGAGCCAGGTGGAGATAATTGAATCATGTGGTTGGTTTCCCCCATACTGTTCCCATGGTAGTGAACAAGTCTCATGAGATCTGATGGTTTTATAAATAGGAGTTCCCCTGCACAAGCTCTCTTGCCTGCCACTATGTAAGATGTGCCTTTGCTCCTTTGCCTTCCACCATGATTGTGAGGCCTCCCCCGCAATGTGGAACTGTGAGTCCCTTAAACCTCATTCCTTTATAAATTACCCAGTCTCGGGTATGTCTTTATTAGCAGTGTGAGAACAGATTAATACACTGTCCTAGGCCTTCTTTAAAAATCTTGTTGCTCTGCCATTCTTAAAGTGCTGGCATCCTTAGCAAAGTCTAAGATAGGCAACCATTATTCCCACATTCCAGCAAATGAGAAGGGAAAGGAGACAGCACACCCCGTCCTTTAATGGCCTACTTGGAAGTTGCACATAACCATTCTGTTTATATCCTGTGGTCAGAACTTTGTCACATGGTTTAAAATTCTTAGCTGCAAGGAAGGCTAAGAAATGTCATCTCTATCCTGTAGGGATTTGTCCCCAGCTAAAACTTAGGTGCTTTATGTCTGAGGACAGTGGGGAAAAGAGAGACTAGGAGACAACTAACAGTCTCCCTCACAGAGTAGTATTCGCTTTTTCAAGATTCTATTCTTAAAATTCTATAAATTATTTATATTTTGGTTCAATTTTGCAAGAGAATATAAATCTGGCCTAACCTTTATTCTTAAATATTGGAAACATAGCCATGTAACACTGCCACAATTTTGGCTTCATGGTGCTGATATTTATGACAGTGCTGAAGAAAAAGTTAATTTTAATTTGTTCTTACAAAATTATTTTCCTAAGAATTCTAAAGTAACTCTAGTCTTCTTGCCATGCTTAACAACTAGCTTTCAAAAGACTACATTAAAAACTCAAATTGCAAAATTAAAAAATCATTGACATATTCCTACGACATATGGAACTATACCACCTCAAGGATTCTTTTAAATTATCACAGTCAATTGTGCCCTTACTGCCAGAAAACTCTTGAAGTAACAAGATGTATTCACTATAGCAAGATGTGCTCCTGAATTTTGACACTTTATTCTCATATTAGTTCACAGTAGTATATTTTATCATTCAAATATGAGAGAGGATTAAAAATAAAATAATTCACCAGCACATAGTTCACTATTGCTTGACATATGAACAATCTCAAGGCCTATCCATGAACTACAGAACCTCCTGAATAAATATAAAAGAGGAGCAATCCATAAGTGATCCAATTTAAAATATAGTAATTTATGAGCTGTTTTATGATCATTCACATTTACTAGATTCAAGAGTACATTATTTCAAAGCCACTTGGCTTCTATCCTTAAAAAACATGGTACTTTCCCATAGTGGCATCTTTTATCCACTTAAAAGCATGTAAATTATTATGCTCAACAAATTTAACTCCTTATTTTATGACCAGCTTGCCTTAAGAATGGTTTTGAATGGCTAGGACAGTGATAAAAGCATCAAGCATGATATAGAATATAACTGTGCAAAATGGATTTTTTAAAATATGCTTGTAATATAAAATGTTAATTAAAGAAAATTTGGAAACTGCTGAAAAGAAAGATGTAGAATATCAAAATAAACTACATTAAATTGAGCATTAAATACTTAAGTAGTCGCCAAAATGATATTGACCAACAAGGTTTTACATGGAAGAGAAAAGGAATGGGGGAACCACTTCCAAAGAAGACTGAGTAAGAGGGATTGGAATTATCCCCCTGCCTAAGAAAATAAAAGTTCTGTACAAAATATGAAGCAATAGTTTTCAAGACACTGGACACAATGCAATAATCCTTGACAAACAGAAAACACACGAGGTGAACCCTAAGAAATGGGAAACTGATGACCTGGGCTCTATGACTAGTCCAGCTTCCAGATTGTGGCCCAGGAAAGGAAAACCCAGGCAGAGCCTAGAATAATCCCTGAATTGAGGAGATGAATTGGAGGAACTAAGGAGATCAGAGCAGCTGGATGTCACAGGCCAGAGTACTGGAGGGGGGAAAGCTAAATATGAAGAGATATTCAGAGGTCTACAAATGAGCTCCCCCCTTGAATATTCAGCAGTGTAATGATCAGGACACAGATGTGAGAAAACAACCCAAAGTTAGGAAAAGAACCACCTGAAAGTGTTAATGGGAACAGTACCCAGCACTCACACAAGTCTGGGAATTGTGCCTATTCCTACCAGCCAGACTGGAAAACTTCATAATTCATGGGGTGTTGGGTAGAGTACTCAGAAACTAATCTTAAAAACAAGACCTGAAAGGATCAAGCTGTTTCCCAGTAACTAATTGCATCCCAGAAAAAAAATACTCAAGAAGATTTATAGGAATATAAAAATATCCAGCACCCTACAATTCACGATGTCTGGCATCCATCAAAAATTACTAGGCATGCAAAGATATAGGAAAATATAACCAATAGCAAGGATAAAAAGTCTATCAAACAAAATTGACCAAGAACTAAAAAAGACATTAGAATTTGCAAACAAGGTCATTAAAACAGTTATTATGAATCTATTCCATATGTCCAGAAAGTTAAATAGGGACATGGAAAATTGTGAAACACCCCATTGAACTTCAAGAGATGAAAACTACAATGTGTGAGATGGAGAACACACTAAATATGACTACTTGGTAATGAACTTGAAGACACAGCAATAGAAACTACTCAAAATGTAACATATGGAGAAGAAAAAATAAAAATAAACAAACAGAGCATCAGTGATCCTAATATACATGCAACTGGAGTTCCTGAATAAGAGAAAAAAGAGGAGGGACTCCTAAAAAAATTCTGAAGAAATAATGACTAACTTTTTTTTCAAATTTGATGGAAACTATTAACCCTCAGGCCCAAGAAGCTCAATGAACCCAAAGCACAAGAAACATGAAGAAAGCTATACCAAGATACATTAAAATCAAATTGTTCAAAACCAGGAATAAACAGAATACGTTATAGGACTTGATATCTATAAAGGAGAACAAAAGTAAGAATGACAGCAGGTTTCTTGTAAAAAAAAATGCAAATGATAAAACAGTGAAGTAACATCTTTAAACTATTAAAAGAAAAAAACTGACCTAGAATTCTATATCCAACAAAAATAAGGTGAAATAAGACATTTTCAGAAATACAAAAGCAAGCTGATAGGATTCATCACCAGCAGATCTGTGCCACAAGGAATGTTTAAAGGAAGTCAGGCAGAAGGAAGAGGATATCAGAGGAAAATCTGGATATAGACAAAGGAATAAAGAGCACTGAAATGGTAACTACTCGAGTAAATACAAAAGATTTCTGTTTTACATAAATATCTTTAAATAATTACTGTTTTAATAAAATACGAATGTAGTAAGGGCTTTATAACATATGTAAGAAAAATAGAATAGGGTATAAAATATATTTTAATGAGTTTCCAGTAGTTACCTGAAAATTAGAACACACAACAATATTTCAGATCTGCTATTCTAGAGAAATTAAAACTGTAGCCGTTATTCTGAAATACTATTCCATTTGGCCTACACTTTCCCACTTGGCTTGAGTAGTCTTAGCATTATACTTTTGAAAATATAAGTTAAGGTGAATATATGATGTTTGTTCTCACAGAGAAAAGCAGTAAGTAACTCCAAAAGGGTGTTCTGGTTAGTAAACAAGTTATCTCATAAGTTTAAGCAAAGGCCTTTGATGAACTTTATTTTTTTTTTCTTTATTTTTTTGAGACAGAGTCTCACTCTGTCGCCCAGGCTGGAGTGCAGTGATGCAATCTCAGTTCACTGCAACCTCCACCTCCAGGGTCCAAACGATTCTCCTGCCTCAGCCTCCCAAGTAGCTGGGATTACAGGTGCCCACCACCGCACCCAGCTAATTTTTTCTTTTTTGTATTTTTAGTAGAAACAGGATTTCACCATGTTGGCCAGGTTGGTGTCGAACTCTCAACCTCAGGTGACACACCTGCCTCGGCCTCCCAAAGTGCTGGGATTACAGGCGTGAGCCAACACACCCAGATGAACTTTATAAATAAAAGCAAACTACTGTTTCATTATAATACTAAATTTATTTAATATTTATTTTAATGTAGGTAACTTTTAAAAATTGGGTCAAATAGATAAATAGGAGATTTTAAAATATATCTACAGCACAAGTCACAAAGGAAAGTTCCCTTCCTCATTTCCCCAACCTGTCAAGAATGAACATAATGTATCATTTACATCATTAGGGCTTTTTAGGAGAATGTTTATGGGGAAAAATTGGGAAAGAAGATAACAAAGCAGTACTAGCTTCTCACCATAGAGAGGCATATGAAAGCAATAAGAAGATAAAAGCTCAACCGGGGATTCACAAGTTCAAAATTCTATATATTGCTACTGAATTTGTCTCCCATTGTGTGAAATCTATTCAAGAGCACATCTACAAGTCCACTCAATGAGCAGCTGTGTGCTGGACTGAAAGTAGAAATAGAAGGAATAAAGAGGAGATGCATCTTTGGGGTAATGAGGGAAAGGTAGGTTCCAAGATGAAAATCTAGTATAGACAAAACTGCCTTGAAAAGAGGTTAACTCATCCATAAAGTATAGTTAACAATCTTTTGTGTGTATCGCCCTGAACAGAAATGCTGATGCACACTCAAGTTTGGGAACTACTAAGCTAGACTAAAAAAATGAACAAAAGGCAAGCTTCCATGCTGAAGTCTGTGCATTCAAATTCTGCCACATAAGACAACAATTAAATCTCTAGCAGTAAACAGAAAATGAGTGGAAAATTCTAAAGTATTTCTGCTAGTCAGCAGAGCTGATTTCAACTTATTTGCATAGATAGCCTCTATAACCATTACATACTACTAGATTCAATACTGTTATAAGAATTAAAGGAGAATTGAATATACCCAATACTGAGGTTCAATATATGTACAATAACTTAGAAGTCTTGCTCCAGCAGAACTACAAATTGCATAAAGATCTCAGCCATTTGCAGGAAGCAATTCCTGTCTTTCTAAATGACAGTCCTGTAGTATCGATTTCACGGATTTGGCAACAGCAGTGAAACTTGTCATGATGGGATTACATCTTATGTAAGGACTGAGTTGTAATGTTTAAATGCATATGGTGCTAGTTCATTCTTCTGGACCAGAAAGGGTAAAAGGGCAAGATAAGCAAAGAAAACAATTGGAGAAAAAGAATATTCAGACATTTTTCAGATTATAATAAATTTGAAATGTGTTTAGACTATCAGTAGACGTTAGTACACAACATCAAATATGGGCTGGCAAAGCATAAACACCAGAAATGAAAATGATGATGGTGGTATTAACAATGATAATATAGGCTGGGTGCAGTGGTCCACTCCTATAATCTCAGTTACTCCAGAGGATCACTTGAGGCCAGAAGTTCAAGACCAGCCTGGTCAACAAAGCAAGATTCCATCTCTAAAAAAGAAAAAATCTAATAAAAAATTAGCCAGGTGTGGTGGTATATGCCTGTAGTCCCAGCTCCTTGGGAAGCTGAGGCAGGAGGATCAGCTGAGCCCAGGAGTTCAAGGCTGCAGTGAGCTATGATCACACTGCTGCATTATAGCCTGTGTGACAGAGCAAGACCTTGTCTCTAAAAATGATAATAATGATATAGATAATCCAAGTTTAAATGGTTTATTAGGGGAAAAAAGGACTAAAACAGAAAGACAAGCAAACGCAAGATAACCTGGGTCATTAAAAAAAAAAAAAAAGGTAAAAGTGTACATAAAACTTATTTGGTAAAGCGGTGTCAGGCCTCTAGCCTAATAAGGAAATGATGAAATACCAAAATAGATGGTGGGGCAAGTGAACAGATGACATCCAATGTTGCTGGTCATTTAGGAAAGAATGAAGTCAACTTGGTGGACTATATTGCCCTATTTTTAAAGTGATAAACTCACTTCATCCATCCAATACAACAAAATCAAATAACAACATCCAATTATAACCAAAAAATATAATAATGTTAGATATGAGAGCAAATAAGTTTGAGAAAGTACATTTTATCATTTGGGTCTGTGCTGCCCACTAGCCATGTGTGACTATGCACTCATTAAAACTAAATAAAACTCAATTCAGGCCATTGGCCACATTTGCTAAATTTCAAAGACCACATGTGCCTAGTGGCTATGATGTTGCAGAGCATAGACATAGAATATTTCCATCATCACAGAAAATCTTACTGGACAGCACTAATCTATACAACTGTTAGAAGTGCCCTGTACATAAGAGATTAGATCTAAAAGAGTACGAATACACACACACACACACACACACACACACACACACACACAAAGCCAACAAGTCATCCATTCTTTCATTCAGAACATTTATTAGGCACTTCTCATGTGAGAGTTGCTGTGCTACGCATTCAGAGACCACAGATTAAAACAAAATAGTCCCTGCCTTTGAGTCACAGAGCAATAGGAAATAACAATATATTAATAATCGGTCAATCAGCAAACACTTTTTGGTCACCAACTATAACAAATGCACACAGTGCTATGGAAGAAAACAAAACAGTAAGCATATAGTCTCACCTCAAGGAGCTTACAATTTCATTAATGACACACAACATAAGGCAAGATGTAAAATGTTTTAAGTGGCCAATTAACATTTGCAACTGTGTATTTCAAACTGAGGTCCATGAGCTTGATGTGAAATATTTTTTTTTCCATTTTGGGATTTCATTGGGATGATCATCTAAATATACATGTTGTATGCTAATCAGTTTCTGAATAAACGTTTAAAAACTAAATACTGCCACCAAATTTTCATCATGTTGTTTGCACTTGGTGTTTTGAATCATGCATAAACTAAGTGGAGACCAAAGAATAGAAAGGTTGCTAAACAAATAAAGTCTGTTTAGAGAAAAGGTGAGGATGAAGTGAGTCATTACAGAACACTGGGTAGCACAGGCAGGCAAAAGTACCTGTACTATAGAGGTTATAATCATCATGAGTGTGAAGATAATGCATGCATCCTATCTCTGTGTAGCTTCTACATAATCTGTTCTCCATTCCAGAAATCTTGGAATACAGCTTACAGATTTGATTTAGAATTCGATGACTCCACAATACTAATCACATTTTCAAGGGAACGAAAAGATGTTATAGAGATCTCAGGTGATACCTCATTAAACCTGACATTTGAGGGATTATTTGAGGAATTTTGATCATGTGTAAAGCCTGATTATCCTGAGCCATACACAAAGCCTCAAAGTTAACATTGTTTGTTTGGTTGTAAAAGGACAATTTTTGTATCTATATTGATATAAAACATAGAAATAGATTAAAGAAAAACAGAATCTGAGACTGCATCTTTATACTTTTAAACTGGATACTGGCAATGTAATTTCAACAATACAGCATCATTTGTCACAGAGTTCAATGTTGTTTCTTTTAATTTCATCAATTCTGTTGTTTATATTCAACATTTGTTTGTTGGGTTTGGTTTTATAATTTATGAAATCTATAAGCAAAAGCATTCATATTTATGTTCCTATATACCTAAGTAGAATGTTTAATAAAAAATAAACACACTCATACTGTACAGACCTGTAGTCTTAGTCAAAACCGGCCCATTCTTCCTGTGGTGTTTTATTTGGAGAAGGTACCCATTAGGAAGCCAAACCTTCTCTGCCCTCTTTTCCATCTAAGTGGTGGGAGACTATGAATCTCTAGCGAGCCACAGGGTAATTGCAAGAAGACCATAAATACACATGTAAATCCTCCTGTATATTAAATATACTACTATATTTCAAAAATATAAGGATGCTGTTTGGGGTAATAAAAATGCAAATTCCTTTTAAAGACTTTCCTAATACAGTAGCCTTTTTATTATGGATTTTCTCAATTAATACTAGAATTCCATTTGTAAGCCTGCGAAAACATAGCCATAACCCTAAACTACAGTAGGAATTCAGAGAGGAATGAGATCTCAGTGTGTTGTAGTAATCAGGGGAAGCATCACAGAAGAGGTGGGACATACACTGGGCCCAGTGAAAAAGTAGGGCAGAGAAGCACAGCTTCCTAATCCCCCAACAGAACCCCAGCAGAATGAAAGTCTGATTTTCGCTACGAGATGATCACTTATAGAAACCTATGCTACACGGTTCTCTTTCCATTGCAAGAGGCAGAAACTCAATTTATGGATAATTCATTGCTCACATAACATATCCGTGGAAAAAATCAGCTATAGAACGAGACTTAAGAATGACTGGATGCAGGAAGTGAAAAACTGAAATGTACTTATTTCTCTCTCTCTCATCTTGACTTTTCTTTACACGTCGATGTATTCTCTCAGGCTGGCTATTCCTGTTTATCTAAAATCGAAGCCACTTGCTAGCTCCAAGTTTAGGATTGAAATCCTTAATGATTTACTGGATGAAAGGCAGGGAGTTGCAACAGTTAAAAATGTAAGGGCCTGGCACGGTGGCTCACATTTGTAATCCTAGTGCTTTGGGAGGCCTAAGCAGGAGGATAGCTTGAGGCCAGGAGTACAAGACCACTCTGGGCAATACAGCAAGACCCCTTCCACAAAAAATGTTTAAAAATAAACAATAAATAATTTTTTTTAATTAGCCAGGTACGCTGGCATGAGCCTGTGAGTCCTAGCTACTTGGGAGGCTGACACAGAAGGATCACTTGAGCCTAGGAGCTCAAGGTTATACTGAGCTGTGATCACACCAGCCTTGGGAGTAGAGCAAGACCCTGCACCTAAAAAAAAAAAAAAAAAAGTAAAGGTAACAAAGATAGGCTGGGTCCAGGCTGTGAAAGAACTTGTGTCATGCTAAGAAGTTTGGGCTTTTAAAGTCAAATCTGGCCTAATCTAGTTTAGGAAATCTAAAACCTATATGAAGAAATTAAGTTTATTTAGAGACTTCCTGAGCTACAGTGTGCTCTAGAATAGATTAGTACTGTTGACCCCAGTCAAGCTGGGGCTGGCTCACAATTTCCTTCTTTGAGAACAGTAGTATTCTAGAAGGGTGGACACCTGAACCCAGATGGAGCAATAATAAAACTCCCTTTGCCTGGCCACAGTGGAGTAGTCCATAGGTGTGCACCTGATCTAACACAATCCAATCATACTCTTCCTTGAGGTATTCAGTTTTAAATGTTTACATTTAGGCTCAGATACCCAGGGAAATCTTAAAGGCTTCCTCATACTGTGCTGGGATGTAGAGTAAAACTCAGTAAAATTAACAGAAAATAGATAAGACTTCCTGGGTACAGTGGAGCAGCAAGGGGATCTGGGCCAATGATTCTGATCAATGGAACTAGATCCATTTAAAGAAGATATTTAAGTACATAAAACAGAAGAAAAAAGTAGAATATCTATGAATAGATTTCAGAGGCACCACAGAGTAGAAAGAGGGACTGAGTAATAGAAGAACAAAGGAAGAATGTCTCAATAGACTTTTCAAGATCAAAACAGTGGCATCTACTGAAAAAGCTATAGAAAGAACCCTATGGCCAAAGAGGCAATGAGAATTCATAATGTTACCTGATTTAATTTAATAGTAGAAATCTACATATAGGAAAGAAAGGAGACACAGTGCTTTTGATTTTAACCAAAATGATAAGTAGAAATAAAAATGCACAGCCTCTACTCCCCATTCTTACTTTTAGATCTAAGAGAGACCTATAATATGTACTTCCTGCTGAGAAAATAAAAGAAGGCATGATACAGCACACTCTCTCACTCCTCTCTTTAACCCTCATCTTGCAGTATCCAGTTCTCTCAAGCTGAATGATGGAACCCAACAGCAATTGTAGCACTGACATCCACTTCAATGTGAGTAACAGGCTTTCCCCCTGGAAACTTCACTTACTGCTTGTGAGTATGGGATGTGTACTACAAGACTTCAGGCTCTGGAATCAGACCTGGATTCAAATCCTAATGCCACCCCTAGCTGAACGACCCTTGGCAAAGTATTTAGCCTTTCAAAGTCTCCACACACCTGCCAGGGGAGAAGGGAGGCAGAACTAGGGAAATATAAACTAAACTGCCAGAGTTTGAGATACAAAATAGATAAAATGTGTCTGGCAAAGTGCTTAGAGCACAGGGTGTGTTCAATAGTCCCCAACCCACTACATAGCACCCTATAGTCACTGGGCCACAAATATAGTACAATGGTCCTTAGCTCTACTCCTTTCTATAAAATGAGGGTAGACCACACTGCAGGCCTCCAAGTCACAGCGCTGGTTCCCTGCAAGGATTAGTGGAATCAGTCCCTTAAAAGTCTTTCATGCGTGGAATATATTTAGGGACTAATTAAGTCAATACCCAGACTAATGTATGTGTAGTGATTCATCTTTCAAAGGTTTTCTACTCCTTTCTTATCACTACCACTCATAAATGGACCCTCATTACCATTATTCTCCTAAATCCTGGAAGAGTTTTCTCTTCCAAGAAGTCATCATGACTTCAGTCACTTTCCAATTCAATCCCATCCCTAGAAGGCTATCATGCCTATCCTGGCCAAAAACTCAAACATTTCATTAAGCAATCATTTTTTCTTCTTTCCCTCAGCAGTGGACACCTGTCATTCTTTTTGGCAATGGACAATGGGACCCCATTATTATATGTGGAGAATCCTCTCTTTTATGATATAGAGCCCACATTCAACTGTAGAAGCTATATGCCAGCAGCGACAGCAGCAGTACCTCACAGGACAAATTCTGCAGAGGGATTTGGAGCCTTGTTTCTACTTGAGTGGCTTCAAAGTCAGGTCTGCTGACTTTACCAGAGGTTCTTTTTTTTAAAAAAAAAAAAAGAAAGAAAGAAAAATAGGGTCTTACTGTGTTGCCCAGGCTGGAGCATGGTGGCACGATCATGGCTTACTGTAGCCTCAAATTCCCAGACTCAGGTGATCCTCCCACCTCAGCCTGCCAACTAGCTGGGACTTCAGGCACACACCATCACGTTCAGGTAATTTTTTCTGCATTTTTTTGTAGCAACAGGGTCGCGCCATGTTGCCCAGGCTGATCTTGAACTCCTGGACTCAAGCAGTTCATCTGCCTTGGCCTGCCAAAGTGCTGGGATTACCGGCATAAGCCACTGTGCCCACCCTACACCAGAGATTCTATGAGCTAGTCAATGTGGTGGACATACCCTAAGCTGACCTCCAAGGAGTCATGCCCTTGTATAGCCTGATGTCACTCTCTCACTATTATATTATAGTATATAAGACTCTTTCTTATCAGACTGGAGCAAGAGAGACTTCCTTGCTAGCTTTAAAAAAGTAAGATGCCATGTTGTAACAGTACCTATGAGAGGGCCACATGGCAAAGAATAACAGCAGCCTCTAAGAGTTAAGGGCAGCCTCTGAATGACAGCCAGCAAGAAAATGGAGGCCTCAGTCCTACAGCCACTATGAGATAAATTCTGCCAATAATAGAAAAGAGCTTGAAAGTGGATCTTTTCCTATTGATCTTCTGTTGGGATTGCAGCCCTAGCCAACATGGGAGAAGATCTCTGGCCAGAGGACCTAGTTGAGCTATGTGTGGACTTCTGAGCAATGAAACTGATATGATAAAGGGGTGTTGTGTTAAGCTGCTAAATTTGTGGAAATGTGTTACACAGCAAGAGAAAACAAAGTCAATATCCTCTAATAAATTTATTTGATGCTTATATTAACTAAGTTAGTTTCCATGACTTGCTACTGAATACCTTGAGTGACACACAGACTATCCAAATCTTACCCTTTCAGTGGTCACTTCAAATTCCAGTCATCACTACTGTACTAGAACTAAACCAGTCCACACCCATCTCCTTCTTATCACAGCTTCTGTAGAGATGTGAAGAAAGTACCATTTCCAGCAACCTCAATGCTCCTCAAGCTCACCAGAAACACGTTATACTCTCTCTGGTGCAGCAAACAATAGATAGTAGTTTTCCTCTCTTTGAAGCTCTAAACAAAATTCACCATAGTAAACAGGAAACCACATCTGAACTTTTTTTCAGTACTTGATACTTAATGATTTGGATGAGCTCCTATAAACCATTTGTAATTTAGGGAATGGAAGAGTAAGAATATACATATTAGCTTAATGGAGAGCTCTTGGTACTGTCTGCTTATTCAAAAATACTTGCATAAGATTACATATTACCATTATCTACAGAATTACAATGCTTCCTTCTGCAAGCTGGATAATATATTCCACTGTTAAGTGTAATAATGCAATATCAGAAGTCTATCACTTTAGTGTTACAAATCATGTGGGCAATTATCCTAAAAAAATTCTAGTGGGATTTGAAGGAGAGGAGATTTGGTGAGATGAAGAAAAAGAACAAGTTTCTGTCCTTTTCTTTTTTTTAAAAAAAGTCTGATTTATTCAGATATGAGATCTACATGGAAAGAAATGACTAGATAATTCCATAAACCTTCTGTTCACTTTGATACCTGTAAGTTCGGCCAAAGAAGCAGAGCTGATGAGAGAAATAGACATCCCGACACCCAGAATATGATCTCTGACCACTACTGGCTGCCTCTGGAGTGAACACTCCATTACTGTCCCCCGTCAATACTCTCTCTTCCCAAAAATCAGGTTCTGACTTTTCTTGCCAGTGAGGCTGATGATCCTCAAGCTTGACAACTGTGCTGATAAACTTTAAGAACTGCTTTGATCAGTAAAAGGGCAGTAGGTAGTTGATAGGGTGAGGCCAGCAGGGCAGAGAAATATGTGGACTATGGATTGATTGCAAGAACAAATATTCTGCAGAGGTGTGTGTGCTTCTTTGTTTATTTCAGCAGTAGCTATTAGAGTCATGGTTCTCTCCCATCAACAGGCCAACAGTATGATCCATCCCCTTATGACTATATTGACTGATTTAAAATCTGATCTGCACATGTATAAAGATGACCACTTTAAAAATCTAGAAATACATAAATTTATGAAGTTATCATAAGACACAGGAGCAGCTTGCTCTCATAATTAAAATACAGGAAATATAGATGTTAAGCTCAGCTTCACACTGATTCACTATGGTGTAACGTTGGGTATATCAGTGTACCTGCCGCCTCCTTCCTAAAATGAGAACAATATGTCACCCTACTTATCTCTCAAATGTTTTGAGGAATCACCAAAAAGTGTAAGAATTATAATAACAAACTGGGAAACAATTGTATATATCTGCAGATGCATGCAATAAAAATTAAGTATGATGTCTATTGAAAGCAAAAGGCTTCAAGCAGTAAGAGCCCCCACCAACTTAAACAGTAATACAAATTGTATTTTAAAACAAACAAAAAAAAACCAATGAAGCAAAAATAAAAAGCCACATTTGGATGTAATAACAAAAAATGTCCATAACTACAATATTTCACTAATGAGAAGGTACAGATGCTACATACAGAAGGATTTTATGATGTCCATATGTTTCTCAAATGACTCTCCTTGTTAGCTATTTCTCCACATCTCTATTTAAGAATAACCTGCACCTTCCCCACTGAGTGTGTACAAATTATAATGTAATATGTTGTAATATTTAAACAAATTCAAAAAAGAAGTAATTCTAATAAAAAGAAAGGAAAGCTACATAAACCTAGATGTAGATATTAATAAAAATCTGAATTCTGGTGTCATTCAAATTAGTTAATTAAATAGGTTTATATCTGGTCAGCTGGCCTTAAGATTCAAAACTCCTAAACCTCAAATAGAATTCATCTATATCTTAAATATATAATTATTTATATATAGTGGCAATAACTTCATAAAACAACTCTTTCTACCATAATAACGGTTATGCTTAATTTGGTCACCAAACAATCACAAAAATCTATAAGCATGTATAAAATTACCTTTTAATTGCAAAAGAGCCATCATTATTTCTACAAAAGACAGCACTTTAATGTGCTAAACACTCTCTAGTCAGAGTGCTGGTCTGACTCTCCAATAAAGGCCAGCCCAACAGGCTGAACTGCAGAAAGAAAGAAACAGGAAGATCAAGGTTAAAAAAAAAAATCTGTCTCCTACCCATAAACTGGTATTTAATTTAAAACTCCTTAACTTCCTTCTGCACAACCTTATGTGCATCTAACCGTGTCCATTTTGTAGTAAAGATTATCAATTCACTAGCACAGCTAAGAAAGCATCTCTCTCCCTCTGGCTGGCAGTTTATCAAAGGTCAGACAGGATTGCCACCTTACATGCATCTGTTTAATAGCTAAAACATATATGAAAACACTAGCTTTTTCCCACACAGAAAATGGCATATTCTAAGAAAATGCTGCTCTTCTTCAAATGTGCCCCATTCAAACAAAATGGATGAGAATAAATTACAAGCAAGTTTTACAACTGACTAAATTATGTTGTTTTGGAAATATAATATTCTTATTAGCCATTTTAAACATAAATGGTTTCCAGAAGGAACATCAGTAATTTGATGTTTGGGGAATTAAATTGGTCCAAACTGGAACAGTGGTTTAAAAGGATAAGGAAGACTAATTATCTGTGGTAAAAGGCAAATATATTAAACAACAAATTTTCAGTCACAATAATTTCCATAATAAAAATCAAAAGTACGAAAAAGAAGGTCAAAAGATATCTTTTAAACATGATTGCTGATTTCTTAAATGCAACTTATTCTGTGCTGTTTTTAATTACAGGATTAGAAAGATTTCTGGGGCATCAGAAAACATCCAGGCCTTTTCAAATGTCATAAGGTTTTCTTTTGGGAGATTTTCAATGTTTTTTTCCTTTAATATGGGTTTTCTATGTACGTACTCCCTTTTTCCAGATTTCGACAGTGCCTGCAAGATTTGAAAACATGACAGTGCTCTGAATACTTGTAATTCCTAAATCTTACTCCTTATGAGAAATCTCAGCACAGCAAGAGTATTTAGTTGTATATGCATTGTTATACCATTTGGGGAGAAAAAAATTAACTCTTCGCTTTCTTTTCTGGTAGAAGTTAAACTTTTTAAGCCTTTCTTACCCCTTTCCCATATTTTACACACACACATACACACCCCACATACATGAAATAATGAATATATGTAGATATCTCATTTCTTATAGGATTTCAAAATGCTACAGTTACTTAAAGCTGAAAGTTCCTTTTAGGAGATTACACACACCTCCCTGGAAGAAAAAACAATTGACAGATCTTCCTGAAATTGGAGCACAGGAGACTCACTAGAGAATTCTCCAAGTCCACATCACAGGAACTGCATCCTCAGCTCTCCGTTGCAGGCCACCTCTCCTGACAACCGCGCCTCGGATCTGGAGAGAGCTCAGTCCCGCTCTGTCACATCACAGACACACAGGCCTGACACCAGCACCTCTCATTGCGGACAAGGGGATAACGGCTTCAAAGCCAAACAAACGCAGCCTGCTAGGCGCTCAGGGAACGCCCCCGTCCTCCGTTCCCTCTAGTCCCCACTGTGACACCCTCGTATGGCATCTAATTAACCAGTTTACCTTAATAAGCTTACGATTCATCACTCTCCTTCCACTAGTCAAGGAACTGCTTTATCTCCCATCCCATCCCCCAGCCTCCTGAACTTTTCTTAAAACCCAGGATTCTGATGTATTGACTTAAAACTGAAGTCCTCCACGAAACATCAAAGGTACCCCCCAATAAGCGTTGCTCCCCTCAAGCAACACGTTGCCAGTACAAACTTTTCATTCATAGCTCGGCTCCAACATAAACTGGGTGTGTTTGGGGGCGGGAGAGAATCACGCCACCGACCGCTCGCCTCAGTTTGCCTAGCCAAATGTCAGGGTCTGCATGCCACAAAGATGACCTAGCACCCAACTTCTGACGAAGGTTCCCTTAAACCCACCGGTCTCCGGGCTGCGAGATGCAAGGCAAGTGGCATCAGAGTCCGGACTGAGATGCTGTTAACCTGCGGAACCCGAGAAGGGAATACCGCGGCGCATCCTGAGGACCGGTGGCCCCCAATTCCCAGGGCTTTCCTCAAGCACCAGCCGGGGACTCTGCCGTGGTGCCACTCACCTCCGCCCGCTCCTGCTGAGGCTATCGCGCCCTCCTTCGCTCCGCGCTGGCGACCTCTTAACTTCTCCCCCTTCTCCAAACAGCCATCTTTCGAGGAGGAGAAGAGAATGGTGAGGCAGAAGCAAAAAGGGAATGAAAGTTGACTCGGGGGCCGCCGCTGCTCCTCCAGCCGAGATTTACCGGCCGCGGCGGGCGCTAGAGGAGGAGACCGCGGCGAAAGCGGCGAGAGCGGCGGGCGCGGCGCGGCCGGCTCGGTGCGCGCTGCGCGATGTGCGGGACGCGCCGCCGCCGCCGCCGCCGCCGCCGCCGCGCGGGGGGGGCTCGGGAGGGCGGCAGCGGGCGGCTGCGAGCTGCGAGCTGAGCGGGCGGCGGCGCGCGGAGAATTTGCTAAAAATAGCACTTCTTGGGGAGGGAAGTAGGGGACGGAGGTGGGAGGAGAGGCTCGGCCGGGAGCCCCAGCGCCGCGGAGGCTGGGCGGGGCTGGGTGGGGATAGGAGGAAGGACCCGCGGCGAGAGCGCGGGCCCAGGCGCTGGAGACCCGCAGGGCGGGCCGGGAGGCGCGGGCCGGAGGGGATTACGGACGCGGGAACACCTGGGCGCGCGGCCGACGCGCTGGGAAGGACGCGCGGGAGGCGGGAGGGCAGCGAGGACATCCCGGGGTGGAGCGGAAAAGGGCTCTGGGCTGCACCAGCGTTTTTTTTCCCCCCCAGGGGAAGGACCAGGGAACCTAAGACGACTTGGGATTTCTGAAGCGAGACATGCCCACGCGAGGCGCGGGGTGATGGTCAGGCGGCGGCCGTGACAGAGAACGGTGCTGGGGAGAAGCCAGGCCGCTGCCTCGCCCTCTCGCGCCCCCCGTGGCTCGGGG
This sequence comes from Homo sapiens, assembly GCF_000001405.40. Lineage (NCBI taxonomy): Eukaryota > Metazoa > Chordata > Mammalia > Primates > Hominidae > Homo > Homo sapiens. The sequence continues at coordinate 18,086,345 of NC_000007.14, read as the reverse complement.
AGCCCCGGCCGCTCAGGTGCGCGCCACGCAGCGCCAGCCCGCCCCAGCTGAACGACTTCTTTTAAAGAGGAGGTAGCATTGTGGGGCGGTACCTGGAACGTCCCCACAGATGCGTGGAGCTTGAAGAATCATTCAAGGGAATTTTAAGAGAAAAAAATGCTACATTTGGGGTTTGTCAAATGGGAAACGTGAGGGAATATGGTGACTGCTGTTGGAAACATGACTTAGGTATGCCGCGTTTTAAGGCTGAACAGAGAGGACCATTCGCTCTGAAACCAACCCTGAAAGAAGGCAAGCAGAGTTAGAAGGGCCGAGAATTAACGAGGTGATCTCCTTCAGTGGTTAGTATTCTTACCTTGGGGATTTTTTTTCTGCTATAAATGAAGTCTATACTAGCATCACTAGTAGCTGTAGATTCCTTTATGAAGTGTACAACAATAAAATATTTTTTTAAGTGTAATCCTAAACATACTTGGCTAAAGCTAACAGTTGATCACTCAAAGAGGCTAATATTTATGGTGTATGTAATTTGACCATCAAACGAATTAAAGCTGGTGTCTCTGCTTTCATATTTATGGTTTTCCTCTACGTCAGCTAAAACACAGCTAAGCTTATAGATTAATTATATGGATGGAAAGATCAAGAAAGACCTAACCCAGTACCCTCATTTTTAGAGGAGAGAACTCGGATCCATGGGAGTAGTGTGATTTGCCCAAGGTCTCACAGTGGCAGAGTTAAGATTAAAATTTAGGATTAGGGCCTAGGCCCGGTAGCTCAAGCCTATAACCCCAGTACTTTGGGAAGCCGAGGCTGGAGGATTGCTTGAGCCCAGGAATTCGAGACCACGCTGGGCAACAAAGTGAAACCCCCATTTCAAACAAACAAACAAAAACCTCAGGAATAAAGCCAGACTACCAATTTCATAACAGCAAGATAACTCGAGAAAAGGAGTGGTATGGTAGCTGTACTTTTAAAATAGTTCAGCATTCTTAGGAGGATAAAAGTGTATGATGGCTAGATTTATCCCTCACTTTGCTCTAATCAGGAATTCACGCTGCAGGAGTGGTCAGCTAGCTTTAAATAAAAATTTAAAAATAAAAAATAATAAAGATACTCCAAAGGCTGTTGGTGCTAGAGCTTCTGCTTAACTTTCTATCCACACTGAGGATTCTGTTCGTTAGCATGACGAATCGTAGTAATGGGTTCTCATTTCATGGATGAAATTGATGATATTGACTCAAGTAGAGATATTTCTGATTTGTATATATGCCAGATATAACTATCTAGTGACCTTTCACCCTTTACCTTTCAAAATGGAGTTAAGAAATGGTCAAGTGTCCAGCCTTTAAGTTTTTGGAGGGTTTTTTTTGTTTGTTTGTTTTGGTTTTGGTTTTTGTGGGGGTTTTTTGTTTTGTTTTGTTTTGTTTTGTATTTTGAGACAGGGTCTTGTTCTGTCACCCAGGCTGGAGTGCAGCTGTACCATCAGGGCTCACTCTAGCCTTGACCGGGGCACAAGTGATCCTCTAGCCTCCCAAGTAGTATCTGGGACTAACTTTTTTAGAGACGAGGCCTTACTTTAGTGTCTAGGCTGATTTTTTTTTTTTTTTTTTTTTAATGATTCTGTTTGCCTACCATTGACTTTAAGGGGAAAATTCTCCCTCTATTGTCTCTCAAGAAACCTTTCATGTAAAGTATGGCTGAAGCACATAAAAGGAAATGCCCCTGGGATTTCACTGGGTATCTAAAACAGATTTTGTGTAATAAAGATGTATATGGCAAAATTTGAATTGAAACTTATTTTCACCTTTTAGGGTGGTGATACCAGGCATAGTTAACCTTCACTTAAGTCTAATTATTTAAGTATCCCATGTCCAGGTCATTTCACAAATGGGAGCAGTCTTCCTCATCATTCTGCTAGACATTTGAATGCTGACTTTGAGTAAGATACATGCTGCGTGCTACTAGAGACTCAAATTTTTAAATTACGATTTAGTTGAAAAGATAATTTATCTTAAAAGTTTTGGTTGGGTTGGCATGTTCTCTGTTCAAACCTATATTATTGCATATATGACACTATATTATAATTTTTTCCTGGTTTTAGTCTCTTGTCAACTGAGCTCTAAGAGGACAAAGATAACTCATTCACATTTTTTGTAGTTTTTTAATAGACTATTTTTCAAAACAGTTTTAGATTTACAGAGAAATTCAGAAGATAGTACAGTGAGCCTTGAACAACACAGGGGTTAGGAGAGCAGACCCCCTGCAAAGTTGAAAATCCACATATAACTTTTGACTCTTTAAAAACTACTAATAGCCTACTGCTGACCAGAAGCCTTCCCAAAACATCAACAATTAACACACATTTTGTATGCTATATGTATTATATACTGTGTTCAAACAATAGTCTAGAGAAAAGAAAATTTTATTATGAAAATCATAAGGAAAATATATTTATTATTCATTAAGTAGAAGTAAATCATCATAAATGTCTTCATCCTCTTCATCTTCACGCTGAATAAGCTGAAGAGGAAGAGGAAACGTTTGTCTTGTGTCTCAAGGGTGGTTGAGGTGAAAGAAAATGTGCATGTAAGTGTATCCATGTAGTTCAATCCTGTGTTATTCAATGGCCAACTGTATAGAGAACAATATACATGCATACACACATACACACATACACACACACACACACACACACAATTTCTCCTGCTATTCTCATCTTTCTTTAGTATGATACATTTTCTACAATTAGTGAACTGGTATTGGTACATTATTAACTGAGGTCCGTAGTTTATCAGATTTCTTTTTGTTAGCTTTTACTAATGTGCTCTTTCTGTTTAAGGATCCCATCTAGGAGACCACAATATATTTAGTGATCATGTCTTTTTAGGCTTCTGGCTGTGGCACTTCCTCAGACTTTCTTTGTTTTTTATGACCATGACAGTTTTGAGGAATCCCAGTCAGATATTTTGTAGGATGCCCCTCTGTAGTAATTTGTCTGATATTTTTCTCATGGTAAAAATAAAGTGATGGATTTTGGAAAAGAAGATTATAAAGTTCTATTTTCATTACATTATATCAAGGGTATATACTAGGCAACATGGTTTGTCCCTGTTGATGACGATCTTAATCGCCTGGCTGAGGTAATGTTTGTCAGGTTTCTCCACTGTAAATTTACTCTTTTTCCTCCCCTTTACATACTGTATTCTCTGAGAGGAAGTCATTATGCGCAGCCCACACTTACGGAGCAAAGATATGACCTCTTCTTTTAGGGCAGAGTATCTACATAATTTATTTGGAAGTGTTAGTCATTCACTTTTTATTTCCAAAGATCAGCACAGAGCCCTCAACATAGTAGGTTCTTACTACATGTGACGTGCAAGAATAGGATTAAACGGAATTTTTCCCCTCAAGAAAGTTTATAGGATCTGGATGTCAGCAAAATGGTGAATAAGACTTTCCAGTGCTTGTACTCCTGCAGAAACATCAATCTGAACAACTATACATGCACAAAAATACACCCCCAGGCCATCTGCTGTGGTCCTATACACCAGTGAACCCACAGTTCGGGCCTGCTTCAGCAGACCTTGGGTCTAGGCCTATCCTGGTAGACCCCAAGCTCCAGGCTAGCTTTCATGGCTTCAAGTACCAAGCCAACACCCATGATCCTTGGCTCCAGGATATAACCCAGAGACTCAGAATCCAGTAGACCCCAATGTTAGGCCAGACCTCATGGACTGAGACTCCAGAACCAAACCTGCCGACCCAGGCTACAGACTGGCCATAGTGGACCCAGGACCTAGGCCTGCTCCTGCAGACTCAGCCACAGGGCCACCCCAGTGCCAGACCAGTTTCCAGCCCCATCTTAGTGCCTGCCCATCCCCTGCAGATTGAAGCTCAAAGCACACAGCAGTAACAGGTCAGTCCCTATAGACCCAGGATTGGGGCAGGATCCCATGGACACAGGCTGTAGGAACACCCTCATGAACACAGGCTCCAGGGCCACCCCCGTGGACTCAATCAACATGTCCACCCCAGTGGATGCAGACCGCAGGTACAACCCCATAGACCTGGGCACTGGGGCAGCCTCCCTGGGAAATCCAGCAGTAACTCTACCTGTGAACCACACCAGAAAGCATGCCAGAATCTCTAGACAGACTGACTGGTAAAAGTTTTTCCAGATAAAGTGTGTCTGCAAAGATTTTAATAAGTCCCTATTTATTCAAATTAACAGACACCAATACATACCGATAAGGTTCAAGAAAAATCAGGGAAACGACACCACCAAACAACGGAAATAAAGCACTAACTAATCCTAAAGAAATTGAGATCTATGAAATGATTTACAAAGAATTCAAAATAATTCTTCTAAGGAAACTTGGCAAACTTGAAGGAAATACAGAGAAATAATTCAATGAAATCAAGAAAACAATAAATGATGAAATGAGAAATTTAATAGAGATTAAAATTATCTTTAAAAATCAAATCCTAGAGCTGAAAAACATAGTGAATGAAATAAAAAATACAATAGAGAGCATCAATAGTAAAATTGATGAAGAAAAAGAATCTGTGAACTGGAAGACAGGTTATTTGCAAATATATAAGAGGAGAATATGTAAATAAGAGGAGAAAACAGAAAAAAAATTGAAGGAATGAAGAAAGCTTACAGAATTTATGGGAAAGCATCAAAAGAGAAAATATTTGAATTATACCATTTCAAGAAGGAGAGAAAAAAGATAAAGGGCCAGAAAAAATATTTTTTGTTTTTGAGAGGAAATCTCACTCTGTCATCCAGGCTGGAGTGTGGTGGTGCAATCTCAGCTCACTGCAACCTCTGCCTCCTGGGTTCAAGCAATTCTCCTGCCTCAGCCTCCCAAGTAGCTGAGATTACAGTTACCTGCCACCACACCCAGCTAATTTTTGTATTTCTAGTAAAGACAGGGTTTTGGTGAAAAATGTAATATAATCTGGTGAAAGATATAAATATCATTGTACGGGAAGGTCAAAAGTCCCCAATCAGATTCAATCCAAATGAGACTACACCAAGACACATTAAAATCAAACTGTCAAAAATTAAAGAGAAAGGGAGGATCCTGAAAGCAGCAAGAGAAAATAAGCATATCACACAAAGGGGAGTTCTAATAAGGCTAGCAGTTTATTTCTCAGTGGAAACCTTACAAGCCAGGAGAAAATGGGATTATATATTCACAGTGCTGAAGAAAAAAAAAGAAATCGTGCCAGTTAAGACTACTGATATTCAGCAAAGTTGTTCTTTAGAAATGAAGGAGAAATAAAGGCTTCCCAGGCAAACAAAAGCTGAGACAGTTTATACCACCAGAACTGCCTTAGAAGAAATGCTAAAGAGATTTCTTCAAGCTGAAGGAAAGGACTCTAATTAGTAACAAAAATATATATGAAAGTATAAAATTCACTAGTAAAAGTAAGCACAAAGTCAAATTCAGAATATTCTAATCCTGTAATAGTGGTGTGCAGATCGTTTATATTTAGTGTAAAGGTTAAAATACAACACTATTAAAAATAATAGCTACAATAATTTGCTAAGATATACACAATATAAAAAGATGTAGATTCAAACATCAAAACATAAAATATCAACATTATTGACTCAGAGTGAAAAGTTTTTTAACATAAAATGGGTAAAATAAAAATACTGAGTTTTTCTATGCAATAAAAATTAAATAATTATCATCTTAAAGCAGCCTGTTATGAGATATTTTATGTAAGCCTCATGGTAACCACAAAGCGAAAACCTACAGTAGATACATAAAAGATAAAAAGTAAAGAACAAAGCATACCACTAAACAAAATCACCTAATCACAAAGGAAGACAGTAAGAGAGGAATAAAGGAACAAAGGATCTACAAAACAACCAAAGAAAAAAATAACAAAATGACAATAATGAGTCCATACCTATCAATAATTACCTTGAATGTAAATGGATTAATTATCCAATCAAAAGATAGAAAGTATATTAACAAATAATAGGCCCAACTACACGTTTGCTAGAAGAGACCCCTTTCACCTTTAAGGATACACACAGATCGAAATGAAAGGATGAAAAAAAAAAACAAATTCCATGCAACTTGAAACCAAAAGATAGCTGATATGGTTTGGCTGTATCCCCACCCAATGTAGTTACCATAAGCCCCACATGTCCTGGGAGGGGCCCGCTGGGAAGTAATTGAATCATGGGGGTGGTTACTCCCATGCTGTTGTTTTCATGATAGTGGGTGAGTTCTCAGGAGTTCTGATGGTTTTATAAGGGGCTTTTTCTCCTTTTGCTTGGCACTTCTTGCTGCCACCATGTGAAGAAGGTCATGTTTGCTTCCCCTTCTGCCATGATTGTAAGTTTCCTGAGGGCTTCCCAGTCCTGCTGAAGTGTGAATCAATTAAACCTCTTTCCTTTTTAAATTACCCAGCCTCAGGATGTCTTTATTAATACAATATCAGAGGTAGCTATGCTTATATCAAATAAAATAAAGAAGGTCATTATATAATGATAAAGGGGTTAATTCATCAACAGGATATAACAATCATAAATATATATGCACACAACATCAAAGCATCTAGATATATAAAGCAAATTTTAATAGTTTTGAAGGAAGAGATAGGCTGTAATATAAAAATAGCAGAGGACTTCAGTACCCCACTTTCAGCAGTGAACAGATTATTCAGACAGAAAAGCAATAAGAAAATCTTGGATTCCAACTACACTTTAGATCAAATGGGCCTAATAGACATTACAGAACATTCCATATAACACCAGGAGAATGCATATTCTTCTTAAGTGCACATGAAACTTGTTTAGTGGCCTAGACAATAATAGATCATATAGTATAGACCACTAAACAAGTCTTAACAAATTTAAAATTGAAATCATATCAAGTATCTTTTCTGACCACAATGGAATTAAACCAGAAATCAATAACAGGAAGAATTTTAGAAAATTCATAAATACATGAAAATTAAACAACATGCTCCTTGACAACCAATGGGTCAAATAAAAAATTTAAAGAGAAGTTAAAAAATATCTTGAGACAAACAAAAATAGATACACAACATGCCCAAACTTATGGGATGTAGCAAAAGCATTTCTAAAAGGGAATTTTATAGCAATAAATGCCTACATCAAAAAATAAGAAAGATCTCAAACAACAAATCAAGGAGATAGGGGGAAAAAGAACAAACTAAGCCCAGAGTTAGTAAAATGAAAGAAATAATAAAGATAAGAGCATAAATAAATGAAATAGAGATTAGAAAAACAAGGAAGATCAATGAACAAAAGAATGGATTTTTTTGAAAAGATAATCATAACTGACAGACTAAGAAAAAAGACAGAAGACTCAAATAAATAAAATCAGAAATGAAGACATTACAACTGATACTATAGAGATACAAAGGATCATAAGAGACCACTGTGAGTAATTATACACCAACAAATTGGATTACCTAGAAGAAATTAATAAATTTCGAGACACATACAACCTACCAAGACTGAATCATGAAGAAACAGAAAGTTTGAATAGGTGAGTAACAAGTAAGAAGACTTAATTAATAATAAAAAGTCTCCCATTAAAGAAAAGCCCAGGACTTGAGGTTTTCACTGCTGAATTCTACCAAACATTTAAATAAGAACTAATACAAATGCTTCCAAAAAATTGAAGAAAAGGGAATACTTCCAAATTTGAAGCCAGCATTACTCTGTTACCAAAGCCAGAAAAGAACACTACAATAAAAAAAACTATAGGCCATATCCATAATGAGCATAAATTCAAAAGTCCTGAACAAAATACTAGCAAACCAAATTCAATAGCAAGTTAAAAGCATTGTTCATCACGATCAAGTGAGATTTATCCCTGGAATGCAGTGATAGTTCAACATATGCGAATCTATAAATATGATGCACCACATTAACAGAATGAAGGACAAAAACCATATAATCATCTCAATGAATGAGAAAAAACATTTTACAATATTCAACATCTCTTCATGATTAAAAAAAACTCACCAAATTAGGCATAGAAGGAATATACCTCAACACAATAAAGGCCATACATGAAAAATCCACAACTAACATCATACTCAATGGTGAAAAGTATTCAAAGCATTTTTCCTAAGATCAGAAACAAGAGGAGGATGCCCACTCTTGCCACTTCTAGTCAACATAGTACTAGAAGAGCAATTAAGGAAGAGAAAGAAATAGAAAGTGTCTAAATTGGAAAGAAGGGAGTTAAATTTTCTCTGTTTTCAGATGACATGATCATATATATTGAAAACCCTAAAATCTCCACTAAAAAATTCTTTGAACTAATAAATGAATTCAGTTAAATTGTTGGATACAGAATCAACATACGAAAGTCACTAGCATTTCTGTGCACTAACAATGAACTATCTAAGAGAAAAAAATCAAACAATATCATTTACAATGGCTACAAAAAACAAAATACATAGGAATAAATTTAACCAAGGAAATGGAAGACATGTATACTGAAAGCTATAAAACATTGATGACAGAAACTGAAGAAGATACAGATAAATGGAAAGACACTGTATGTTCATGGATTTGAAGAATTAATATTGTTAAAGTGTCCACACTACTCAATGCAATCTACAGAGTCAATGCAATCTCTGTCAAAATTCTAATGTTATTTTTCATAAAAATAGAAAAAAAAACTAAAATTCATATGGAACCACAAAAACTCCCAAATAGCCAAAGCAATCTTGAACAGAAAGAACAATGTTGAAGGCATCACACTGTCTGATTTCAAAATCTATTATTAAGCTATTGTAATCAAAACAGCATAGTACCTACACAAAAACAGACATATCAATCAGTGTAATAGGATAGAAAGCCTAGAAATAAACCCAAGTATTTACAGTCAATTGGATTTCATCAAAGCTGCCAAGAACATACAATAAAGAAAAGATAGTCTCTTCAGTCAGTGGCGTTGGGAAAGCTGGATGTCCACATGCAAAAGAACAAAACTGGACCCTTATCTTAAACCAGATACAAAAATCAACTCATAATGGATTAAAGACTTAAACATACAACTTTAACCTGCAAAACTACTAGGAAAAAAATAGAGGAAAATCTCCATGACATTGGTCTGGGTAATGATTTATTGCCTAGGACCTCAAAATCACAGGCAGCTAAAGCAAAAGTAAACAAAATAGGATTAAATCAAACTAAAAACCTTCTGCACAATCAAGAAGACAATCGACAGAGTGAAAAGACAATGCAAAGATTAGGAGAGAATATTGCAAACCATACATCTGATAAGGGAGTAATATCCAACGTATATAAGAAACTCAAACAGTTTAATAGCAAGAAAACAACACAATTTTTAAAATAGACAATGGATCTGAACAGACATTTCTCAAAGAAAAACAGACATTTCTCAAAGAAAAACATACAAATGACCAACAGGTATATGAAAAAATGCTCAACATCTCTAATCTTTAGGGAAATACAAATTAAATCCACAATGAGATATCACTGCATACCTCTCGGAATGGCTATTGTCAAAAAGATGAAATATGAGAAGTGTTAGGATGTGAAGGGAACCTTGGTACACTATTAGTGGGATAGAAATTAGTACAGCTGTTTTGGAAAATAGTATGGAAATTTCTCAAAAAACTAAAAATAGAATTATCATGTCATCCAGTAATCCCACTACAGAGCACATATCCAAAGGAAATGAAATCCATATGTTGAAGAGATATCTGTGATCCCCTGTTTACTGCAGCATTATTCACAGTAGCCAAGATATGGGATCAAGCTAGGTGACCATCAACAGATGAATGGATAAAGAAAATGTGGTATATATACCCAATGGGATACTCTTCAGCTTTAATTAAAAGGAAATCCTGTCATTTTCAACAATGTGGATGAAACTGAAGGACATTATGTTAAGTGAAATAAGCCAGGCACAGAAACACAAATACAGCACAATCTCATTTATATGTGGAATCGAAAAAAGTTGAACTCATAGCAAAGAGTAGAATGGTGGTTACCAGGAACAAGGCTGGTGTAGATGTTAAGGAGAGGTTGCTCATAGGATATAAAATTTCTATTAGACAGGAGGAATAAATTCAAGACATCTATTGTACAACATAGTAACTGTAGTTAATAACAATGTATTATATTCTTGAAACTTAATGAGAGTAGATTTTAAATGCTCTCACCTAAAAAAAAAGTATGTAAGGTAATGCATATGTTAATGAGCTCAATCTAGCTATTCCAGAATGTATCCATATTTCAAAACCTCATTTTATACACAATAAGTATACACAATATGTATTTGTCAATTAAAATGGAATAATTTAAAAAGAAAGGTGATGCTATTCTCTGCATTTAAGCAGGAAAAAAGCCTCATGCTAAATTTCCATTTAAAAAAAAAGTTAGGCATGGAGGGGAAGATAAATGAGGTATTTGTGGTGATGGTGATGGTAGATGTTTTCTAGTTTTCTTTAGAGGGAGAAGTACTGTGTACATTTTACTATTATTTGAAATATTTGTGGCACTCCCTAAGGGGTCATACTTCCCATACAGCCTTCCCTTGGTTTTTCCATTTATCTTTTTGTCCTCAGACATTAAATCAGCAGTTTTGCATATAAAGGAAATTGCTCCCTTTTCCAAGAATGAAGGCCACATGAGCAGAACCTTTTCCAAATCACTGAGGATGTAAATGTGACCCAGAAGTAAACCACTGAGATTTGGGGGTTTGTTGCTATTACAACACTAGTTAGCCTATCTAGTCTGATTGCAAAATCCTAAGTTACTAAAATGAGACCACCAAATGCTGTGCTTGATTCAGTTCTTATCAGTGATCACCTTTGGGGTGCAGCCTTTTAGGACTATTTGTGTTTGGTTATGATACAAGTATGTTTTAAAATGTTTTCCCATTATATTTAAAAATAAACATTGTTCTTTATAAAGGAACAAGCCTCATGTTTTGTTGCAACACTATCAATAAAATTAATTGAACCCCCACTGTGTGCAGAACACTACGGCAGAAACTGTAATCATTTTTCTGAATATTAATTTTAGGATGACATCATTTACTTTTCATTGACTTGAAAAAGTAAAGATGTAATATTTAGAAGTAATAAACAAAGAAATTTAATTAGAATAATATACTATCAGAGGTGGATTTTACCATGACGCTAATGAAGCTTAGGCTTCAGGAAGCCTCATTTGCACAGGTACCTTCTAGGACTGTATTCGTAATTTAGAATTATTTTACTTAAAAGGGTCCCAGATGTGTATAAGCTTCAGACCCCACCAAACCTGGCTCTTTCCCTCAATACTACCAAATATGAAAGCATGAAAACAAAGAGCTATAAGAGTCCTAAGAATAAATGGCAGCACTCCCACACTGGAGCAAGTACACAGAATCTGTACATCTCACCTCCCAGAAATAGGGTTTTTGGAAAGGTGAACCTGAAGCTTGAGTTCTGTAGTGAGATTTAAAACTGAGTCAGCATGTGCATCTATAACTGTAAGGCAGGAGGATACATTCAGCCTTGGGCAGAGTCCCCTTAATCTAGAAGCTACCTGTATTAGTCTGTCTCACACTGCCAATAAAGACATACCCAAGACTGGATAATTTATAAAAGAAAGAAGTTTAATTGACCCATGGTTCCACATGGCTTGGGAGGCCTCAAAATCATGGCTGAAGAGCAAGGGACATCTTACATAACAGCAGGCAAGAGAGAATGAGAGCCAAGCGAAAGGAGAAACCCTTATAAAACCATCAGATCTCATGAGACTTATTTACTACCATGAAAACAGTGTGGGGGAAACTGCCTCCATGATTTAATTATCACCACCTGGCCCCACCCTTGACATGTGGAGATTATTACAATTCCAGGTGAGATTTGGGTGGGGACACAGCCAAACCTATCACCACCCAACATGCAAGGCCAGTGTCAGCGTACCCATCATAGCATTTTCCCATCATGTGGCTTTCATCTTATCATCCAAAAAATATTTGAGCAAGTTATTAGTCTTCTTCATAAAAGTTCCAGTTTTTACCGAGATTTTTTTCTAGAAGTCATTTCATCTTGAAAATAAGCTTTCTTATGGTTGCTGATAATACTTTTTCTTGAGGTTTAAGTAACAATTTTTCTCAATTAATTTTGTCAACTTCTAGGTCTGCAACAATGGATATTGTACTGCTCATCATCTGTTCAGGAATTCCCCATTGAAAGGACAGATCTGTGCAGTAATAGAAGTTGTAATGTGACCCATTAAGGATTTCTTTCTCCTGCTAAATTTTGAATGGGAACTGAATGAATACGCTGCCTCTATTTTCGATAATTCCTTTCTTATGCAAAAACATGTGGGTCATGGTGAAGTTTAATCACAACCCAATGGTCATTTATGAAATACCCTGAACTGCAATTAGTCATGTACAAATATGAAGCACCATTATCATGTGCATTGTTAGCAGGTCCTCAACAAAGTTTTTGAATTATGAAACAAACAAGAGCCTTTGCATATACATGTATGCTTTCAGGGTGAACTTAAAATATTCCTTTTCATATCTATTATTATAAATACTTTATGTTAAGCTGATCCGTGTACCCCAAATCTATAATCAGCTTACATTGCAAGAAAAGATTTTAAAATCTAGATATATATTTATATGTATATGCCTACATTTATACATGTAATATTAGTAGGTGAACTAAATAAAGCCCGTATCAGAAAATAACATAAATAAGTTTTATACCAATTAAGTTAGAGGAATAATGTGAGCAAATAAGTACTATTTATGGGCTGTTTTCAGTGGATTTGAACTAATCATTAGGTTATATTTCAGCTCTAATATAATATTACCTTATGACATAAAATATAAGTTCATGTTGCCTTGTGAAGTTGGAATGTTCAACCAGCTGGAAAATTTTATATCCCATATGAAAAAAATAACATACTAAATTTAGGATGCCTTTTTGAAGGGATCCATTTTTAGTCCTTTTAAGAGTTAGGGTTTGCTAAGCTATGAAATATCGAAATGGTGGCTCAATCAAATTAAGTTTTATTTATTTAATTTTAACGTAAGAAGTCTAAAGACAGGAAGCTGTTGATATTGATTTGTGGTTCAAGGATAGAAGGCCAAGGTTGATAATTTTTGTGGCCTTTTCTTTTTTTTTATTTTATTTATTTATTTATTTATTTATTTTTATTATACTTTAAGTTTTAGGGTACATGTGCACATTGTGCAGGTTAGTTACATATGTATACATGTGCCATGCTGGTGCGCTGCACCCACTAACTCGTCATCTAGCATTAGGTGTATCTCCCAATGCTATCCCTCCCCCCTCCCCCCACCCCACAACAGTCCCCAGAGTGTGATATTCCCCTTCCTGTGTCCGTGTGATCTCATTGTTCAATTCCACCTATGAGTGAGAATATGCGGTGTATGGTTTTTTGTTCTTGTGATAGTTTACTGAGAATGATGATTTCCAATTTCATCCATGTCCCTACAAAGGACATGAACTCATCATTTTTTATGGCTGCATAGTATTCCATGGTGTATATGTGCCACATTTTCTTAATCCGGTCTATCATTGTTGGACATTTGGGTTGGTTCCAAGTCTTTGCTATTGTGAATAATGCCGCAATAAACATACGTGTGCATGTGTCTTTATAGCAGCATGACTTATAGTCCTTTGGGTATATACCCAGTAATGGGATGGCTGGGTCAAATGGTATTTCCAGTTCTAGATCCCTGAGGAATCGCCACACTGACTTCGACAATGGTTGAACTAGTTTACAGTCCCACCAACAGTGTAAAAGTGTTCCTATTTCTCCACATCCTCTCCAGCACCTGTTGTTTCCTGACTTTTTAATGATTGCCATTCTAACTGGTGTGAGATGGTATCTCATTGTGGTTTTGATTTGCATTTCTCTGATGGTTTTGTGGCCTTTTCTTAATTAAATGGCGATTACAGGTTCAGCCATCAAACTAATTCCTAGACAGTAAGAAAAGACAAGAGGAAAATATAAAAGGGATAGTACACGCATCAGGAAAACAAGGGCTTTCCCAGAAGTTCAACATACTTCTGCCTAGTTCTCACTGGCCACAACTATGACACATCATCAATGCTGTCTGCAAGGAAGACTGGAAAAGAGAATTGTTTCTTAATTATTTATTTATTATGTATTTTCCCAGCCCCCATACTAGAGAAAGATAAGGGAAAGAGGGTTAGAATGGATGAGTGAATCAACTTATAATATCTTCCATAGTCCTTAAAGTTAAGTTTCCTAAAAAATGTTGTATTGACTGTAATAGGAAAATTTTGTTATCCAACGATTTTTGAAGAATGTGCTTTGTTACAGAATTTCATAGAGTTTCAGACGTTCATTTACATGATTTCAGTGACCATATCTAACCCATCTAGGTTTTACAAATGAGGAAGCTGAGATCCACAAATTCTAGCTGACTTGCCCAGTCCAGAATTAGTTATTCCGGAACCAAGAGCCCACTCTGATTTATCACACAGCTTCTGTGTTAGCATCCTCCTCCCAGTGTAACCCCTGTCCATTATGCCTTTTCTGTGTAAGTACTTTTAAAAAACAGTTTTAAAAAGAGAGAAGGAAAGAAAAGCGCGCGCCCCATACTCTAACTTATTTCCATCTTCTGAGCCAAAATTCCAAATACATAGCAAAGATGTCTCAATATATTGGTATGGTTTTGATTAATATGAAAAGACAGTTTTACATTATAACCCTCTTTTGCTGCTGCCCCCATTCTAAACCTTCTGCTGTTAACTTTGGAGTATTATTTCTGAACATTAAGAATACTGGAATGAACCTTCCTTTACTAAGGATAATTGTAACTGCCTATTCAGGAGTACAGTCTCATCTGTAACTCCTTGGAGCTGTCTGAGAAGACAGGATACATCCACAAAATAGTCTTAAGAAAATTCAAGCTTAGAAAAAAAGATTAATTTTGAGAGCAGTTAAAAAATATTTGTTTTACAATAGTTTTGATCATTAAAATCTTCAGTCATGTTCTGTTAAATATAATTGGAAAACAGAAATTTTTCTTAGAGTTTATTTTTTAAATTTTAATCTCTAGACTTTATTATGTAACAAGCTCTACTAGTTATTTATAAATTCCGAATTTTTATTTTCATGTAATTCAGGAACATTTAGAAGGCATTAAGTAGGCCGGGCATGGTGGCTCACGCCTATAATCCCAGAACTTTGGGAGGCCAAGGTGGGCGGATCACCCGAGGTTGGGAGTTTGAACCAGCCTGGCCAACATGGTGAAACCTCGTCTGTACTGAAAATACAAAAAAATTAGCTGGGCATGGTGGCGCATGCCTGTAATCCCAGCTACTTGGGTAGCTGAGGCAGGATAATTGCTTGAACCTGGGAGGCAGAGGTTGCAATGAGCCGAGATCGCACCATTGCACTCCAGCCTCGGCGACAAGAGCGAAACTCCATCTCAAAAAAAAAAGAAAGCGTTAAGTAAATTCTCATCATGTCATTGTCTTTTAAAAAAAATAATTCATTGTAATGTGGATTTGTGTAAAATATGTAAGCTTTATTTATTCTACGCTAAAGAACTCCAATAAACAGCTTTTAAATGGTCTCGGTCAGCAGGTAATTTTTAAAAGATAAAATACTAAGATTGTACAGCTACATTCACACAATTACCATGTTACTCTGAACAGAGTATCAAGAAATAAGACAATGGTGGAACAGAGCAGAGGATACCATGGACTTGACTTAAGGGTAGCATTGCTCAGAGGTTTTTTTTTGAGATGGAGTCTCACTCTGTCACCAGGCTGGAGTGCAGTGGCACATCTCGGCTCACTGCAATCTTGCTCAGAAGTCTTTTACTGGCCAAGTGGGCAAATTTGCTATGAAAGTAAAAACATGTCTTTACAGATATTTCTGTCATTAAAAAGTAAACATAAGCAAAGACCTGCAGATAGACAGTGAACAAGTAATAGTCTGACAATGAATTCTGATGGCATGAGGAATGTATTTGCTTTTTAAAAGTTATGCAAAATTACGAACACCCCCCCACACACACTTTAAAGGTTTATTTTATGTTCATGAAATTGGTCCTTGGCAGGTCCGCTATCAGTCTCTTCTACAATGTCTCTATTCCAAGGCCTAGGCACATAGAACATAGCTATCCTGAAAGTGCATTCTCATAATCGAGGAAACAAAGCTATGGTGGATGGGTGCACTGGCTCTAAAAGCTTCCAAATGAGAATTACATACATCTGCTCTGCTCATATTTCATTAGCAAAAGCAAATCATTTGGCCATGCCTAACTTCAGTGGAAAGAAGTATAATCGTCTCATGGGGAGGAAGTTCAAGTAGTATTGAACGTATTGTAATATTTATTAAGGATTTCCTATATACAAGGCACTAGACTAGGTGCTAGCACATAGATGATCTCATTTAATTTTTACAACCCTACGATTTGGGTACTGATAATTGTCACTGTTAAAGAAGAGGAAATTAAGACAGAATAAAGTTGACTAGTTAAATCTCACAGCTAATGAATGAATAATGAAGCCTAATTCAGACACAGACAGTCTGACTTTGGGGCCCAGCTCCTAACAAATTATACCGAAGTAGCAACACAAGGGTCTACTGCACAGTTTATTGAATGCAGAAGGCAAAAGATGCAATATTCAGAAATATGAGCAAAACAAAGGAAGCTCATAAGACTTGAGCACTAAGTCAGCAAATCTTGGTAATACAAATATTCAGTAAACTTGATTATTTGCAAAAGCAATCCAGACCTACCTTGCAACATCCATAATAGCACAGAAAGAGGCATTCCAGGGAAATGAGGCCAAGAAGGCCAATAAGGATACTGTCAAACAGATATTTATTGAAAAAGACCAAAGACTAAGACCCAAGAGGACTGAAAAAATTAACCAAGATGTGGATCCCCGGCCTTTCAGGGATCCCTGGTTAGGAAGAATTTGTGGTCAAAACTAAACTCATACTGAATGTTTCTTTACTTACAGGTGTCTATATTAAAATGTTATCTTAAATCTTAATTTAGTAATAGTTTTATTTATAATACATACTTGTGACATTCTCAAATAATGCCATTTTATCAAATCTAAAATTTAGTGGATATTGCTCCCAGCGAAAATAACAATCAGAACCATCCTAAACATGGTCATTGGTGTTGTGATCATCATCATCACCACAGCTAACATTTAATGAGAGTTCATAAGTATCATATGTTTCTCTCTATTTGCATTATCTCAATCAACCCAAATAATAACCCTGTGAGAAATGTACAATAATCAACATGAGGTAACTGAGGCTTAGAGGGATTAAGTAACTTGCCTAAGTTCACAGAACTGGTAAGACGTGAACCAAGATTAGACTCCAGGTGTGTCGGACTCTATGCTTTGGCTTTCACACTGGTGCTTAGGCAATTCCTTCCTTTGTTCACTCCCGAATGAGTTAAGAGAAGTAGGCAGGAGGATGTAGAATCAAGCCCAAACTGATACAATTACATGAAAGGTACATGGGATTAATCAATCAGTTTATTTTCCAAACCCAAAACTTTACTTTTCCCCCATTTTCACTCACATCCATCAAAATAGAAACAATATGATATTGATTATATTCTAGTGCAAATACATTGCCGTTAATTTTGTCACCTTAAGCAGGATAAGCTTACTGCTGTAGCTATAGAATCGTTGCTAGGGACAAGTGTGGACACACTAATATGTGAGCTGCTACCAGCATTTCCAGCTGCTCGAGTCTACTCTTTTCCTGCTCACCCAAATCAACCCAGTCCTCTTTCTCATTTGTCCTAACAGGCCCAGTTGCTGCTGCTGCTTCTTTCTCAAGCTATTCAACATAAAATTGTTCAGGTATGCAAGTGGAACTCAGTTATCCATAAACTTATTAAATAAAATGCTGCATATTTCTTTCAGTCCTATTATTCCTTGGTTCTAATCCTGGCCCTCTGATATACTAACAAAGGAGAAAGTTTTTAAAAATTAAAAATTAAGTTAGACTTTGAATATAAATCACATTCTACAGTAAACCACTTACCTTGAAAAGACAAGTAGATGTCTGAATGGATAAAGAAATGAACACAATATTGACTGAGCACATTATTAAATGTGTCAATTCATTTTAGATTCCAATCTTAACTGTTCATTTATGCTCAGCTCTTCATCATTTGTAGCTTTGTGTAATCAGTAATCAGTAAACGGGTCACATTTTCAGTTTAATTTCAATGTAGTTTCAGTTTCATGGTAATTGGGTCACATTTTGCAGTTTAAAGAGAATTATTTCATTCATTCTCTTCTCAGTCAGCCCAGATGGCTGACCTCTGCAGACTGCATCACCTGGCTTCCTTGCCTTTGGGCACCTGGTTGGGTTTGGCCAATGTGAGGCTCAGAAAGAGAGGTCACATATTATTTAGTACCACCACTCCCAGCTTTGTCTGCTGGGCCACAGCTTGGTAGTGACTGCATGCCTCTTCAGCTTGAAGTTTCCAGAGCTATGGCTCTTACAGGGTTTGTTAAATTGCCCTCACTTCTCAACTCTTCAGACCTAGGGATACTAAGGACTTGCTGCTATTGCTGCAAGAATACCAGAAGTACCCAGTTCCTAGGTACTTTATTACTTGTTGACTATTTTAAACCTTGCCTACACCTCTATACGTTGTCACTGAAGCCCTTTTTACACCTTTGATTACACCTTTGATTGTGCTATCTGTTTTTCTGCCTGGACTATTATATAGGCTAAAACCACCTGTAATAAGAATAAGTCTTTAAGTCAGTCAACCGCAAAATATTCTGACTGGGGCTACCATGTTGCTCTATCATCATCACTAGAATGAGATTGGATACCTGTTTTAAGGCACACCAGGCAGCTCACTAAAGCTTAAAATTCCAAGGTTTCCCGAGAATGCTGGATTTTCCCACCTAACTGCATTAAAGGTATCTAGGACATGCTTGTATTTATCCAAGCTTTAGTCTCACTGGCCAGGGAAGAATCACTTTGTGTGTGTGTGTGTGTGTGTGTGTGTGTGTGTGTGTGTCTGTTTCAACTTAATTATGAACATGTGTATCTTCAATGCATATATCTAATACAATAATAGTAGTATCAATATGACAGGTAGAGCATTGCAAGGAGATGGATCCTTCACTTAAAATAGGTAAATTGTGGACCAAAAAGGAATTTGTTTTTGAAGTACTTGTCACAGAAAAGCATTCTTTCCATTATAGTGTGTTATTAGGGGCCATGGTTGAAGAATCAATAATTCTATCAGTCTTCAAAAGAGAGTGTCAATACTCCCAATCAGGCAATTTTAGAATAGATGATCTGAGACCATAATTAGGCATTAGAAGAATTGGAAAAACAGAAAATTTCAGATTTGAGGATATCCACTACATATAAAGAGGAAAAAAATGTGCCCATAAGGTTATTTTATTAGCATGGTGGTTCTTATCAAATCTACTAAACAACAAAAAAAAATGAGCTTGTTCGGAAAAAATAGATCAAAATCATAAACAAAAGTGATCTTTAATGAGTTCAAAAGTAATCGGCAAAATTCAGATGATTCAATGAATGAGGACTAATCTCCTAACTCAGTAAGGAAAAGTTTAAATTAATTCTCTCAGTTTGGGACTGTATTTCCATATTATACCTCCAACCTTGGTATTTATTTGTATTTTTAAGGTAATGTCTGTATTTTACCTCTTATGGATGCATTTATTTTTATGCTTTAAAGAAAATGACTTTCTCTAGTTGAATCCAGAATATTGTAAATCCCCAGTACCATCAATAGCATCTTCCTACTCTTTTTAAAGAGATTTTGATCTTTTGTTCTTGAGCGAGAATGTTCTAGTGTCAGTTGAAAACCCTTGAAAAACATATTTCAGCAGCTATATTTTACAGGGTTTTACTTACTTCATAACAGTTGCATACTTTAGTGCTTTAAAAATCATTTTAGATTGGTAATATATTTCTTAAATATGTATCCTCTTCTCTCCACTGCCCCGGGGTTTGTTCAGACCTTTCCGTTTAATACTCAAAAATGAAGTGCTACTTTCCCTAACTCTTTGGCTGACTGGTAAGAAAGGCATATTTTGTCATCTTTAAATATGAAATGCATCCATAATTTTAAAAATATGTTACTTTATAGCCTCACAAAGACTGAAGTAAAAAATATAGGGCACAGGAGACATAAATTATGTTTTCTGAGAAAAGCTTACTGGGGAAAATATTCTTTTCTGCTTGTTTTTCTCACTTAGAAGTTTTAAAGGGATGAAGCAGCTATTTCCTCAGAAAGGAGTAGAGAATTATAGGACAACTGATAGGCTATCTTCACAAATCCTTATATTGAAATGCTATTTTAATATATTTCATATGGAATTATAGCAAATCCTCTTTTCTCCTATTTCAAATTGATTTAACCTCAATAGTAGCCAAAATATTAAGCTAAAACAGAATACTTTTGAAGACTAATTCCTATATTTCATCATTATGACTTTTCTTCAATTTTATTATAAACTTAGTGTCTATAATGGAAAAGTTTAACTGTTTGAGGGTACTCTATTTAAAACTTTGAGTTAAATGTAGTGGATTGAACATGTACTTATCTTAGCTTCCCCTAAAACCCCATTAAAATGACAGTGAAGATTTTTAAAAGCATAAATCCATGAAAATATAAAGAGTGAGAAAGAAGATGAGAACAGCACAATTTTAGAGGCTGGAAAACAAAACGGATGAACGTAACTGACTTAGAAGCCAAGAGAAAGCTAAAATCAGAAGTTAGTCAACCCACAACTCATGAGTCAGAAGTAACGGGTACCTGTAAAAGTGGAATCGCAAAGGGGCAAGAGTTGAAATAATGGAAGGAAACCCTGGACAATGTTTCACATTTCAAGTTCTCAGTAGCCACATGCAGCTAGTAGCTATGGTATCAGACAGTGCTGAGTTATATATACTGGCTCTGGGAATTTTCATTCGCCTTTAGGAGATGACATAATAGTGGATCGCTGAATGGCTAGGGAAAGTGATGAGACATATATGCCCATTACATTGGTAACAAGACCACATGGTGAGCTGACTTGAAGTGTCAGACCCCACTTGGCACTGTCCAGTTGATGCCCAGACTTTAGGAATTTGATTAATATGCCCTGGCATGGAATGAGTATGATCCTAGAAATCTTGTAGTTTGAGGATAGCATTCTCTTAAAAGAGAAGAAAAAGGTTCATTCTGGATATTTGAAAAATGAGATGCTTAAGAGGGCAGAATTTGAACATAAAGAACATAATAAAGGCTGGGCATGGTGGCTTACACCTGTAATCTCAGCACTTTGGGAGACTAAGATGGGCTGATTGCCCGGGAGTTTGAGACCAGCCTGGACAACATGGTGAAACCCATCTTTACAAAAAAATAAAAATAAAAAAAACAAAATACAAAAAACAAAAATTAGCCAGGTGTGGTGGTATGTGCCTATAGTCCCAGCTACTCGGGAGTCTGAGGTGGGAGGATAGCTTGAGCCAGGGGAGGTCGAGACTGCAGTGAGCCAAGATCACGCCCCTGCTCTCCGGCCTAGGTGACGAGAGACTCTGTCTCAAACAAAACAAAACATACACACAAACAAATGACGTAATAATAAAGACCCAGGATGTGTTCATGAGGGTCCCCCAATGAGAGGTTTACCATTTTGTGCTTCTGCCCTTTACACTATGTGTTCAATCACATTTGGTTGTAATAACTTCTGTTGCCTGCAATGCTTCAGTAAGTCTGATATATCCTTGTAGCTTGGTGTGGGTGATATTGTAGGAGAATAAAGGCTTAGGACAGAAAGGGAATGATGCCTACCTATCATAGAGAGCTGTACAGAGCCTCCTGCTGGGAAAAGGCAGTATTGCAGAGTTCCCAGAAATGACCAGCCACAAAGAGAGGGATTGAGGCAGAGAGAGAAGATGAGCTTTTGGTGAAGTCACAACAAGGCCTCAGCTGACCCCATGGGGAGCTCTGAAGCTGGGACAGTCCTTCCAGATGTCCTGAGTTGGAGTGAGGGAGCTGAGCCACTTTTATCCTTAGTTCAACCAATTAGATGCAGGCTGGCCATAGAAGGGGGCATGAATTTGGACAAAAAGACTCCCTTCCACAGATGACATTTCATCCCATCAGCTGAGAGAAGAAGACCCTCAGTTCTGAATGGAAGATTTGGACAGCAGAGTACAGCATCCACGAAAGTGGAGAATACTGGTATATGGAAAAGTGTTAAAATTTAAAAAATACAGATTATATTCAGTTATCCAGTGATACAGATTTATATGGCAGGGGAAGAGAGTTTGAAAATAATTATATTAACATGAATAAGAAATTGAATGGTAAAAATGAGTATAAAGATTGTGAAGATATCAAACTTTTCTTGGCATTTTATATTCCTCTGTATGGAAATTATGACCAAATAAAAATAATACCTTTTTATCCAATGTTGTAGTCTTTATCCAGACGTGAGAAAAAATGTGTATTGATTTGGAAAGTCCCCTCTCCAATACCCAGTCTCTGTCTCTCTCCCTCTTTCTGTTTCTCTTTTTCCGTCTCTTAAACACACATATGCACATATACTCTTTTAAAGAGACCTGCTTTGTTTGGCAGACACTTGGATGAGAAGTGTGTTGACATGGATGATTGGCTGCTTAAAAGACAAATGAATTAGAGTAGAAGTTGCTAAACTGCTTTGTGAGAAAAGTAGATTCGGTTAAATACAGGGAAAGGTGGAGGGTAAGCAAACCTGAAACTAGAAATGAATCGTTTGGGTGGTAAGGAAGTTTCTTTGAGATAGTAGGGGATCCGGGGAAGAGAATGGAGGTGACTGCTGGTGGCCCAAGAGGAACTTTGGTGGGGGAAGAACAAAGAAGGAAATTTTTATTACATTTTATCTGTGTAGTATGCAATGTCAACTTTCTCATCTCTCAAACCACAAAATCTGCAATGCATTCTTCATTATTCACCAATACATTATGGAGTTGAATATTTTCTGTTCTGCTTCATTTTGTTTTATTTTGAGCTGCAACAAGTGTGAGTACTGTCTTCTAGTGGCCTTAAGGTTAGAGGGCTTAGACTGCTCACTGGTAACCAGCTGCACTTGGCAACAAATGTATTTATAGCCAAGGTGATGGTAAAACTGGAAGCTGAAAATAGAGAAAATGCCTGTGTTTTACATTATCATTAGACCAACTTCAAGTATGTCAAAACACCTAAAAATCAATCTATTTGCACCATCACCATGAGAAAATACAACTGTATTAGAACTGAGAATTTGATCTGGTGAGTACACCAATCTTATCACTTTAAATACCATATATACGTGGATGACTTCCAAATGTATATCCTAGCCTAGATCTCTCCCTTCATTCCACGTTCTGTGTCTGCTACCAGACAAGTCTGCTGAGATGCCCAAACCTGGCATCTAATTTTCCATCTGCAATAAAGTTCCACTTAACAATTATTTCCCTCAGTTAATAATTAACTCTAAGCTTCCATCTACTCATGCCAATAATTTGGATTCATGTTTGACTGCTCTCTTTCTCTCACAAGTGATATCCAATCCATTAGCAAATCTTATTAGCTTTACCTTCACGAAATATCCAGAATCTGACCACATCTCTCCACCTCCACCATTCACTCTCTAACCATCATTACCTGGATCGTTGCAACATCCTCTTAACTGGTCTCTCTGCTTCCAAGCTTACTCCACAGCTTATTCTCAACACAGAAGCCAACACAAATAAAAGCCACAGACTTAGCAATGGCCTACAAAATCCCTAGATGATCAATTGCCCCACTGACTTCTCTGCGCTCATGTCTTATAGCTGTCTTTCATTTTCCACGGGTCTGACTGTCCCTTGAACATGCCAGACACACTGCTTCCCAGACCATTTGCGCCTGCTGCTTCTTTTGCAGGAATGCCCTTCTCCCAAATATATGCAAACACATCCCTTTTAAAACATTAGTATTTACTCACAAGTCACATATTTAAATTTACAAACCAGCACCCCCCATTCTGTCACTCCTTATTCCCTTCCCTGCTTATTTCTATGGTACCAATCTCCACCGATGTACTGCATTTTTTACTTATTTATTGGAATACTATATGTCTTCACTCCATTCCCACTAGAGGCAAACTCAACAAAGACAGAGATTTTTATCCTGTTCAGTATTGTATCCCTAAGTGCCTAGAATCATGCTTGGCACATAGTAGGCATGCAATAAAATTAACTTAATAATGAATTTAACAAATTAATTTTACACTAGGAATGTTTGAGAATGTTAATGCCTTCATCTTGATTTTTCTTTTGAGAATTTTATCATGTTTCAATCTACGTATCTTTTCATTGATGCTTTACAAATAGGAGAGTTTCATTTGGCGATTTCACTTTCTAGTATTTTTTTAAATCCAGTCTGCTCAGGTTTGCTGTTATGAGGCAGATTACCTGCTGAGCATAATTTTACTGTGAGTATATGCAGGAGGCAATACAAGAGATGCTTATGATACAAAACCCCAAATCCCAACCCCTCTCTTTCAGTTCATTCCTTGTGGAAAACACAAAGTTGCATATAACGTTTCTAACAAAATGCAATCATCTGGGGAAGGTAGAGTGGAAAAATAAGTGGATGGCTTGAAAGAAAAACACTGGAAGTTGCAATTTGCCTTTCATAAATTCACACAGTAAGAAATTCACCTGAAAATGGAAATTCTAAAACAACTAGAAAAAATATATGATGTTACAAACCAAATCTTTGTTTTTCTATCTCTTCTTTTGTGCAAGTGGCTTCCATTTTCTGTGATTTCATCCCCCAGAAGGGACTGTCTGCATTGGTAAATACACTCCTGGGACCCATCTATCCTTCCATCCCCATCAATTGGGAACACTTAGTGACTGTCCACTGCTCATACAAGATACTGTGATGCATTTTTTAAAAATTTTTTTAGTATACTTTAAGTTCTGGGGTACATGTGCAGAACGTGCAGGTTTGTTACATAGGTATACTCGTGCCATGGTCATTTGCTGCACCCATCAACCCGTCATCTACATTAGGTATTTCTCCTAATGCTATCCCTCCCCTGAACTAGACAATGCCTTCCTTAATCTTTTTAGTTTTTCCAGTTGGAATGGGGAACATTGGAAAGACAACAATATCTCGTGAATTCACACTCCACTAAAGCTGAATTTGTGATAAAGAAGGCCAGACTAATGTTTATGCTATCTCTAAAGAAAGTCTTTGTTTTTGCTTTTTGTTATTGTTGGGTTGTTTTGTTTTGTTTTTTCCTTTTTAGACAGAGTTTTGCTCTTTCACCCAGGCTGGAGTGAAGTGGCGTAATCTCAGCTCACTGCAACCTCCGCCCTCCAAGCTATTCTCCTGCCTCAGCCTCCTGAGTAGCTGGGATTATAGGTGCCCACCACCACACCCGGCTGATTTTTTTTTTTTTTTTTTTTTTTTTTAGTAGAGAAGGGGTTTCGCCATGTTGGCTAGGCTGGTCTTGAACTCCTGACCTCAGATGATCCACCAGCCTTGGCCTCCCAAAGTGCTAGGATTACAGGTGTGAGCCACTGCACCCAGCCAAGAAAGTCTTTGTTAAGTAGATGAACACTTTCACAAAATTTTATGAAAACTCTTTCAACTATTTTAGGCCACTACTTTCAAGTACCTTTAAGCATTTAAGAACACTCACTTAAACATGGCTCACTGTTATGCTATTTAGAAATAATTTTTATCTATTTACTAAAAGCAAGTCAGTAAAATACATCTAAGTCAACTTTTCCTTCAGACCCAGTTATGGTGTCTTCTTTAAAAGAGGAAAAATTGTAATTATTTTCAAATATCATATCAAGACATCAAAAATTTAGTTGGGGTTTTTAATGCTAAATATAAATTGAATGCTTTTTAAAATACTTGTAACAAATTTTAAAACATTCTTGTAACTAACTTATATAGAAATACATACAAGTGCTCTGTAGGCAGTGGGAGAATGGCAAAATGAAAGAAAGAAAGAAGAAAGAAGGAAAGAGAAAGAAAGAAAGAAAGGAGGAAAGAGGGAAGGAAGGAAGGAAGGAAAAAGGAAAGAGGGAGAGAAGGAAGAAGAGAAAAAAAAATCATAAATTTAGAGTTAATGACCATATGCTTTATCATTATATGTGAGGTAACTGAAACCAACTATGTTATAACTATAGACTACACAGCTGTACAATCAAAGCCACCTGTGAACTGGTCCTGTCTTATTTAATTCATTCTCCAAATAAAAATATTTTGTGTACTTATTTGGTAGTATTATAAATTTTCCCAAGATGAAGACCATGCAATTTGCATATTTTGTATCCCCAGTGAGTATATTGATCTGGACATGGCACATACTTAGGACTTATCATCCAAGAAAAGCAATAGACTAGGAGTCAGAAGTTTTACTCCTAAATCTTCTACTTAAAATTTTTGGTCAACAGCATAGTATAGGTGTTTAAGAGCTCTAGATCTCCATCCTTGGGTTCATATTCTGCTTCCTTCTCTTACTAGCTCAATAAGCATGTCATGATCTCCCTGCCTTAATTTTTTCATCTGTAAAATGGGGGCATAAGAGTTGTAAATACTTTATAGGTTTTTGCAAAGATTACATGATTGCTGGCCTGGAAAGCTCTTGGTACTATGCCTGGTACAAAGTAAATGCTCTATAAATGTTAGTGCCAACTTTTACTGCCATTGTTGTTATGAATGTGATGTGTATATGTAACTCACTCAACGTCTCAGTGTTTAGTTTCTTCGTGTACTTTGTGAAGGTACACATCTGCCCTCCATTCAAGCCAGTAATGTCACCAAGGCTCATGGAAGCAGGCTGGGCCCAATCTGAGCTGGAAGAAGTGTCTGCACACTCAGTCAAGTGGTAACACAAAGAAGGGAACAGTCAGTTGTTGCCCCGGAAACCGAACATGGAGATAGACCCATGCTAGAAGAGCAGAGCAAAATAGCAGCTGATACAAGGAGAGTATAAAATGACCCAGTCAAAGTGTGGTGAGTTATGGGTAATTAGTTCAAGGCTGAGAAAGGAGCTAATCCTCAGGTTATTGAGTGTTCACTCTGGGGCTGTGTGGGTTTGGGACCTGTTTTTAAAGCTGAAGGTAGAAGGAGACAGCAAGTAGGATGCCTGAATCTCCAATTTTGCCTGCTCTACACCTCACTATCCAACCTTTCCTGCATTCCCTTGCTGCTTCTTAGCTGCTGACTGCTTATTTTGTTCTGCCTCCTTCATTCTTGGTGCATGAACCAGTTTGCCTTAGCCTTCAATTCTTTAGCTATGCTAATCTCCCAGTTATGCTAATCTCCTCCTCATCTTGGCTAATTCATTGACAACGATCAGGAACACACTTGTCCAGGCTGCAACCGTCTTCTACACAGGACCCAGAAAATTGTATAAAATCAATGAACATTATAAAATTAATTTTTAAAAGCATTTTATTTTACATTCTGGATACATGTGCAGGATGTGCAGGTTTGTTACATAGGTAAACTTGTGCCATGGTGGTTTGCTGCACCTATCAACCCATCACCTAGTCATTAAGCCCTGCATGCATTAGTTATTTTTCCTGATGCACTCCCTCCCCCTGGCCCCATCCCTGACAGGCCCCAGTGTGTGTTTTTTCCCCTCCCTGTGTCCATGTGTTCTCATTGTTCAGCTCCCACTAATAAATGACAACGTGCAGTGTTTGGTTTTCTGTTCCTGTATTAGTTTGCTGAGAGTAACAGCTTCCAGCTCCATCCATGTCCCTGCAAAGGACATGATCCCATTCCTTTTTATGGCTTCATAGTATTCCATTATGTATATGTACCACATTTTCTTTATCCGGTCTATCATTGATGGGCATTTGGGTGGATTCCATGTCTTTGCTATTGTGAATAGTGCTGCAATGAACATACACATGCATGTATCTTTATAACAGAATGATTTATATTCTTTTGGGTATATATGCAGTAATGGGATTGCTGGATCAAATGGTATTTCTGGTTCTAGGTCTTTGAGGAATCTCCACACTATCTTCCACAATGGTTGAACTAATTTACATTGCCACCAACAGTGTAAAAGTGTTCCTATTTCTCTACAGCTTGATAGTATCTGTTGTTTCTTGCCTTTTTAATAATGGCCATTCTGACTGGTGTGATATATTTCATTATTGTCTTGATTTGCATTTCTCTAATGATCACTGATGTTGAGCTTTTTTTCATATGATTGTTGGCTACATGTATGTCTTCTTTTGAGAAGTATCTGTTCATGTCCTTTGCCCACTTTTTAATGGAGTTGTTTGGTTTTTTTCTCATAAACGTGTTTAAGTTCCTTGTAGATTCTATCCATTAGACCTTTGTGAGATGGATAGATTGCAAAAATTTTCTCTTATTCTGTAGGTTGTCTGTTCACTCTGATGACAGTTTCTTTTGCTGTGCAGAAGCTCTTTAGTTTAATTAGACACCATTTGTCAATTTTTGTTTTTATTGCAATTGCTTTTGACCTTTTTGTCATGAAATATTTGCCCATCCCTATGTCCTGAATGGTATTGCCTAGATTTTCTTCTAGGGTTTTCATAGTTTTGTGTTTTATATTTAAATCTTTAATCCATCTTGAGTTAAAAATTAATTTTTAAAAATCCTAGGTATTTATTCAAGAGAAATGAATACTTTTACTCACACAAAAACTTGTACACAAGTGTTTATAGCAGCTCTTAACTGTTTTTGGCAGCTTATAATCACCCCAAATTGGATACAACCCAAATGTCCTTAAACCAATGAATTAATAAACATACTCTGACATCTCTATATAATGGAATGTTACTCAGCAATAAAGAAGAAAGAACTGCTGATTCACATAACAACACAAATGAATCTGAAGTACCTTTGCTAAGTAAACAAAGCCAGACCCCAAAGTCTACACAGTGTATGCTTCCATTTGTTATGATTTGAAATGTAAAACTCTAGGATCAGAAAACCTATCAGTGATTGTCAGATGCTGGAGGAAGGTGAAGGCTTGACTACAAAGAGACAGCATTAGGGAATTTGGGGGTATGATAGAACAGTTTTGTGTCATAATTGTGGTGATGGATACATGACTTTATGGATTTGTCAAATCCAATAGAACTTCATACTACAAAGCGTGAATTTTACATGACTTAAAAAGTAGAATAGTGCAGTTCCCCCAGATTAGTAGTAATGGAGCTGTTATTACATTGAGGCCTAAATAACCTCAAGGTAAGGATGCAGTCACTGGAATCCAGCAAGAGGGTCCTGTAGAGGAAAGGGCCACCTTGAGAGAAGTTGTATCTTTTAATTGAGGGACATATGCAACCCAAGGTGATGTTCCAAGGAGGGATCCAGAGAAATATTAATAAATATGCCAAACTTGCTCTCCTCTAACTCCTGATGAGATGCCTATGAGCTGAACCCTACTGAAAGCAATAGATGAAGGAAACCCACAGATGCAGTCTGTACAGCACATCCTTGCAAGGCACAGAAGTGGATGGAGGAAGGTGGAATGTGAGTCTGGAGAAGCCAACAGAAGATAACTGCACCTTTAATAAAGCAGTGAAGATAGGAGGTAGGAAATTTATACCTTGACTTTTCTATTTTCCCTTAATGCCTTAGAGCACACATTGCATGTTATGAATCAACCTTTTTCCCGTGCATGATGAAGGGTACCATCCATGAGAGATTTGAAAAAAAAATTGTCTCTCAAATCACTTTCTATAGGGCTTAGTTCTCTCTTGCAGCTCTGTTGAGAAAGGCATGTATAGTTGGACAGAAAAGTAAAAATTAGCTTTAAAAAAAATAGGCCAGGTGTGGTGGCTTATATTTATAATCCCAAAACTTTGAGAGGCTGAGGCAGGAGGATCAACTGAGGCCAGGAGTTCAAGACCAGCCTGGGCAACACAGTAAAACCCTGTCTCAATTCTATTTAAATTAAAAAAAGAAAAGGAGAAGGAACAGAAGCTGCATCTTTCAAAGGTTTTTAGTAGTTGGGCTGTCAAGAGCAGAAGACAAAGGAGATCTGACTAATGCACTGACTGCCAGAGGAGAAGGGAGGGTTTAGCTTTGGATAGAAGAAGAGACACTTTTTTCTTCTCACAGATGAAAAAAAGAAGATGGAATGGATGCTGGTAAATTTTAGGTGCATATCACGAAATTGAAGAAATTCACACATGATAACTCTTATTTTCTCTGTGCGAGATGAGAAAATTTGCATAATCCTACTTCATTCCCTACTCTGTTATGACTATCACCTATAAAATGAAGCCGCTGGGAAACAGCAATGTCAGAAGATCACTTTTTCTTTTTTTAAACACGTAACTCAACTTCGACTTGGCACTTGAGTTAGCATCGGCTAATAATCATTTTCTGAAGTATTCTATTTCATTTACATCTCTTGTCTCCTAGATGGAAGAATGTTAGTGGTGAGGAAAGCTGTCAAGTCTCTGATTACTGCCTACAAATGTTATCACTTGCTACTGTTAAACAATGTTCTGATGAAAATATTACTACTAATGGAACAACGTGCATATGTTCTTAGGATAGAAATAGTACTGCTACATTCTGTTTGCTTACAAGGAGAGAAAATTCACATTGAACTGAGGTGAAAAGTAATTTCTTGAGCAAAGTTCTTGTGAAAATTTAACTCTGAACACATGCATTTCATAGAAGTTTGTGAGAGACTTCAGAGTTGAGAATATTCCTAAGTAAAACTTCATCTAACATTAGGAATTATTACAGAATGAAAGCAGGTAATGCAGCTCCTGAAGACTAATTTCATACTTCTGGGTATACTACCCATACGTTTAGTGCCGTAAACTTTCCCAAAAAGCCTGATAAAGGACAAAAGATAGGGCTAGAAACCACCCTCAACTCTATCCACAAGCAAATTTCACACATGTACCAGCCATCTTCACCAGTCTTTCTTAAATTTATATTAAATGATATAAAATCACATCTAATGTATTCAATGAAGATGACAGAAATGCAAATTTGAATTTTAAAAGACTTAGGATACAGTTATTAAAAAGCAACAGGGAGGTAGATATAAGCATTTTACATAAAATAAATAGCAAAGAAATTTTAAAATTAAAACCGTATTTTTTACAATGTGGTATATTCTTTAATTGGTACACAGAACCATCTAAAATATTAAAGAATTAAAGATTACCACATTAAAAGCTTCCAGCCGGGCGTAGTGGCTCACGCCTGTAATCCCAGCACTTTGGGAGGCTGAGGATGGCTGATCAAGAGGTCAGGAGATCAAGACCATCCTGGCTAACTTGGTAAAACCCCATCTCTACTAAAAATACAAAAAATTAGCCAGGCGTGGTGGCACGTGCCTATAGTCCCAGCTACTTAGGAGGCTGAGGCAGGAGAATCACTTGAACCCGAGAGGTGGAGGTTGCAGTGAGCTGAGATCGTACCACTGCACTCGAGCATGGGTGACAGAGCAAGACTCTGTCTCAAAAAAAAAAAAAAAAAAGAAAAAGAAAAAAAAGAAAAAAGAATAAAAAGGCTTCCTTACAGAAGGCAAACGAAGAAAATCTTAAAATTCTTTTTCACAAAATTTTTGAATATTATTCAAAATATTTAACCCTCTGGGCAGAAATTCTTGTTTCATTGGCCAGTAAAACAATTTAGATCCTGATACCCTATTTAAAAAAAATTTATAAGATTGATCAAGAGTCTTAAGCTTTTTCATGTCTTGAATTAATAATTCTAACAGTGGGACTCTATCTTAAGGAAATAATTTTATATGTGGACAGTTATTTATGGGTAAAGATGTCCACTGCAACATTGTTTTCAGTTTAGCATCACTTTTAGTTTTTAAAGTTAAGAAACAAACTAAGCCTCCATCTCCATTAATGGGGAGTGGGAGTGGACAGTGGGGAAAAGTTAAGGACACTGTCGCACATCCATTCAATACAACAGGGGTGTCCCATCTTTTGTCTTCCCTGGGCCACAGTGGAAGAAGAGGAATTGTCTTGAGCCACACATAAAATACACTAACACTAATGATAGCTGAAGAGCTTAAAAAAAATTGCAAAAAACATCTCATAATGTTTTAAGAAAGTTTACGAATTTGTGTTGGACCGCATTCAAAGCCATCCTGGGCCAAGTTGAACAAGATTGTAATACAATTTTATGTAATTATTAAGATTCTTTTTTTAAGATATTGCACTATGCAGCTGTTAAAAGGGGTAAATAATACATAAACATGAAGATGATAGATAGTAACACATCCAAAATGTATTAAGTATAAAATGTAGGTTGCCAAACTCTATACAAAGTATGATCCCAATGTTGCATGTTTACACATATATTTATCTGTATATACACATAGAAGTTTGTGTTCAAAAGCATGGGCAAAAATTTGGAAGGATATACACTAAATTTAACTGCAGTTATTTCTGTGTGGCAGATTACTGTTGCTATATGCACTTATGTATTATTTGGAATTTCTATAACTAGCATGAATTATTTATATCATGAGACTAGGAAACAAAGAAATATTCATTGTTGTTTAAAAATTATGCTTGCTAGGCATTTTAAATGGCTAGAAAAAAATCCTTATGCTATAATATTAAATGCAAGAGCTAGAACTGAGAATCCATGTATAGTAAAGTTTCAAATGTGTTTTAAAAATTGAGGAAATATGCCAAAATGAGTGGTGGGATTTTCAATGACTTTTCCTATTTATTTATACTTTTTTATACTTTTTAAAATTTTAACAATGAATGCTTATTAATTTAAAAATAAGAAATAGACAAACATAATACTTCACAGGAAGTGTGAAGTCTCAAATAAAAGTACTAGGAACTAATGTTCATTGTAGAAAAATGCCACTAGAACATGCTCAGGTATGTATATTACACAACCGTGTGATTCAGTGTGTCATATGTTGTTTATGACAGGCACTTTCTGCCAAGTGTTCATTTATTCGTTTTTGAAATGATCTTGAAAACTTTACCATAGACTAGAGCTTCCAAATTTCTATGTTCTGGGCTGCTGCATGGTTGACCCTATCAAATACAAACTAATCAGAGGCTAAGGTGACTAAGCCTCTGATGAAAATCTAACCAGTTGCATAATGTATCCTTGAGCCATTGTCAAATGATAGGTATAAAATATAATAACAATGCTTTAAATTCAGAGGTTAAAAAAGGGGTTGCTGCTATGACTTAAAAAGTTTAGTAAAGTGGGGCTATGAGAGTTTAGGGAAGGTAAACGTGTAGGACTTACATTGGGCAATATTTGATTAAGATGAGGAAAGTATTTCATGTAGTCATCATTTACATTGAAGTGAGTTAAAAAATAACATCTTACAACCCAGATATGCAAAAATAATAATAATGATAGTATCTTTGTGTTTTGTAATGGCCATCCTATCTATCATGAGCCTGGTCCTGCAGGGAGTTGGCCAGGAGAGTGCTGTAGGTGAAGGACACACACTTACCAAAAGTTGGTTTCTCAGTCTCTGACCCTCTCATTGATGACTCAGTATTTTTAAAATTAATGCTGCACCTTTCATATTTCCTTCAGGAGGTAAGAGGGGAATGAGTTATTCTATGTAAAAAGAATAGTTGTTATAATTGTTGTAATCACCAGGTTCCTGACCGATTTCTTTCTCCACAGACCCATCAAGGTAAAATGAAAATGATGCCATAGCCTTTAATTTTTTGTGACAGTCTTGCTCTGTCGCCCAGGCTAGAGTGCAGTGGCATGATCTCAGCTCACCGCAACCTCTGCCTCCCAGGTTCAAGCAATTATTGTGCCTCAGCCTCCAGAGTAGCTGGGACCACAGGCGTGTGCCACCATGTCAGGCTAATTTTTTTGTATTTTTTCTAGAGATTGGGTTTCACCATGTTGCCCAAGTTGGTCTCTAACTCCTGGGCTCAAGCGATCCACCCGCCTTAGCCTCCCAAAGTGCCGGGATTACAGGAGTGAGCCACTGTGTCTGGCATATCCTTTAAATAACGGACTTGCATTTAGCCATTTTAACTTTCCCAAAACAGATGTTAATTAGGGGATAGTATACTCTAAATCCATACTAAGACAGAAATGCTTTCTCAATTAGTGAGGTGTCTCCCCCTTCCCAGATTATGTCTCATTTGGTTACTTCCATCTGAGGCATACTACAGATAAATAATTTCTTCTAAGGAGTTACAAAGCACTCTAAATGCTGTTCGCTTGTTTCTATTTTAGATATTTATTTATGATTAGTATAGACAATTGCACATTAGGCCGGGCGCAGTGGCTCATGCCTGTAATCCCAGCACTTTGGGAGGCCGAGGCGAGCAGATCACCTGAGGTCGGGAGTTCAAGACCAGCCTGACCAACATGGAGAAACCCCGTCTTTACTAAAAATACAAAATTAGCTGGACATGGTGGCACATGCCTGTAATCCCAGCTACTCAGGAGGCAGGAGAATCGCTTGAACCTGGGAGGCAGAGGTTGCGGTGTGCTGAGATTGTGCCATTGCACTCCAGCCTGGGCAACAAGAGCAAAACTCCATCCAAAAACAAAATTGCAGATTAGCATCACTAACCTAACAATCTGAAATGCTCCAAAACCCAAAAAGTTTTGAACACCAACATGAAACCACAAGAGGAAAATCCTGCACCTGACCTCATGTGATAGAACAAAGTTTAAATGTGGACAAAACTTTATTTCATGCACAAAACTATTTAAAATATTGTATAAAATTACCTTCAGCCTATGTGTAGAATGTGTGTATGAAACATAAATAAATTTCCTGTTTAGACTTTGGTCCCATCCTCAGATATCTCATTATGTATTGCAAATATTCAAAAATCCAAGACAATTCAAAATCTGAGACACTTCCAGTCCCAAGCTTTTGGATAAGGGATATTCAACCTGTAGTTTGGAAGTGTGAGGAATCAGCAAAACAGGGATGCCAGAAATTCTTTTTAAAGCATCCTATTCTTCCCAGTCAGCTTTCCAACAACTCTGTTGCCCCTTTTAAAGGTTCCAAGCTTCATCTCTGCATTGCTGACTAAAAGGACTCCTTGCCCTTGCCCATCATTTGCTCAGTGGCTCTCAGTTGTGGGTCGCTTTAGCTTCTGCTTTTTTTTTTTTTTTTTTTTTGAGACTGCAACTTCTGCCTCCTGGGTTCAAGTGATTCTCCCAAGTAGCAGGGACTGCAGGCACACACCACCATGCCCAGCTAATTTTTGTACTTTTAGTAGAGACAGAGTTTTGCCATGTTGGTCAGTCTAGTCTTGAACTCCTGGCCTCAAGTGATCTGCCCGCCTCGGCCTCCCAAAGTGCTCGGATTATAGGCATGAGCCACCATGCCCGGACTAGCTTCTGTCTTAGGAGACCTCTTCCTGGGGCTCTGCCACAAATTCTGAGGAAGAAAGGAACTGGAGAGAGAAGAGCTGGGCTGAAGGGTCTGCTCAGTGTTAGGCTTCACGATTCACTCAAAACTGCCCTTCCCTCTGACCTTCAGCCACTGTCTCTGGGGCAAGTCTGTGAAGCTCAGCTCTGTGCCACTCAGGACATGCTCCTTCTCCATCAGGCATACTGCCAGGGAGCTTTGGAGATAGGTTTTATTTGGGGATAGGTTGAGAGACCAGCCAGTGACTCCAACAACTCTCGCAACTGCCCTTTCCAGGAGGCCTTCAGCCCATTTCCTGAAGGATAAGCTGTGTCTGGTTTCTCCATATCTGCTCCATGTGGCCCTCTCTTTGCGTCACCCACCATTAATCCAATGTACCCTGACCATTGCCCACCTGCTAGGTCCTGAGCTTCGGCTTTAGCTGGAATAAAAATGTGTAAAAAGGCATGTCTGTACACTAAAATATGTCAGAGGCGAGGAAGAAATTAAAGGCAGAGTCAGAAAAATTTCATCATAAAACTGCAGTGTAGAGGTTCTGGGAGTGGGTGGGCAGTGGAGGTGTCTGAAAGGTAAACTGGGGCTAGAGTATGGAGGACCTTTAATTCTGAGTGAAAACGATGAAATGCTACACATTTTATTTCTTAAGCAGTGGTATTTTTGTGATTTATGTCAACAGTTTATTTTTGAATCTTAAAAAAAGTTATTTTGGTCACTTTAAATATACCACAGGCACATTTTTAAACTCTTAGATTTTGTTAACACCTGCAGCTTTGTCATTGTACAAAATAAGTCACATTAAATGCTAAATGGAAAAGCTTAAATTAAGTCTTTCAAGAATAGTCTCATCTGGAAACCAGTGCTTATGGTGAGGTTTTGGAGCACTATTGCTCTAATACCATGCTAATCACTCTTAAATATGACTCTGAGATAAATACTTAAGGAAATGTAAAGAAAGGGACCAATTCACTTGCTGATCGTTCATCAAAATCACATCAGCTATCTATTAACACATACTTCTATGCTATGTGCTATTAAGGAAGAAGTTAAAAGCATGGTTTTCATTTTTTCACATCTATAACCTATAAATCTATAAAATAAATTTAATTCTAAAAACTGTCATAATTCATATTGATTTTTTAACCTACATCATAAATCTGTTACATGATCTTCACTTTTTCAAAAACCCCTCAATTAATGCTAACTACATTTTAGTTATTGAGCTCCTACTGTTATTTATTTATTCTATATCAATTATGCGCTTGACCTTTGCATATGCTACCCAATTTAATCTTCACAACACCTACATGAGATAGACTTTACTATCCTCATTTCAAAACAAGCAACCTGACTCTTGGCAAAGTTAAGTAACAGGGCTTGGTTACCCAGCTAAAACGTGGTCAACGAAGGACCTAGCCCAGTTTTGTCTGATTGCAAAACCTGTGCTCTTTCTCCTTCACATATTGTCTGCTCATCAAATTATGAAAAAAACAATGTGGAGAGAATAAATACTGGGCATGGTGGGGTCATAAACATTGGCATGCCTGGCTATGCCTAATGGAGTCAGAAGCAAAGAAATCTCCCCACGGAGAGGCAGAGACCTAGGTCCAGATTTAAGGAATAAATATTACTGGATAGAGGTATCAGCATTTTCAAAGACAAATATGAGTGAAGAAGCATGTTGGCTTCAGGAACCTTCAGGTGATCTGATAATGTTAGAGTACAGAGTAAAGTGAATTACTCAGAGAATAAATCATAAAAAGCTTCTGGAGTTTGACTTCATAGGAACTTCTTGTTTCCAGAAAATGAAAGTTTCATTTAGAGGAATCCTATAGTTATAACAGGTTCCTTTGTTTGGTGAAGTTGCCAAATGGAAATGTGGCACCCAGGCAAAAATGATTTGTTCATTCGTTAGCCATTTACTGAGTATTGTTATATACCAGAAACTGTGCTAGCTACTGGGAATACAAAGACGAGTACGATCATTTCCTATTTAGAATATTGTACTGTAATTGATATTGACTCTCCATCATCCATCCTGCCATGCCCCTTGTGTACCAGCAATGTAATTTTGAGGATTGGCCCAGTCACAATACATATAGTAATCCAATCTCTCTTTCAAGTGATTGGTTCAGGAAACCAGACTTAAGTCCACCAGTTTCAAAATATCCTTGAGACATTTCTTGTCCATAGGTGAATTCATAGTCCAATTTTTTTTCCAGATCCCATGGAACTGATCATAATCCCATTGTTAAGAGACCGATAGATTGATTGATACACCACTTTATTCTAAAAAAAGGTTTGAGGCTGCCAGCAGATATGCATGCAAAATAACAGGATCAAGAATGAGCTGATGGGCTGGGCGCAGAGGCTCACGCCTGTAATCCCAGTACTTCAGGAGGCCAAGGCAGGAGGATTGCTTGAGCCCAGGAGTTTGAGACCAGCCCTGGCAACATAGCAAGACCCTGTCTCTACAAAAATGTAAAAATCAGCCAAGAGTGGTAGCATGTGCCTGTAGTCCTAGCTACTCGGGAGGCTGAGGTAGGAAGATCCCTTGAGCTTGGGAGGTAAAGGCTGCAGTGAGCCATGGTCACGCCACTGCACTACAGCTTGGACAACAAAGCAAGACCCAGTCTCTAAATAAATAAATAAATAAATAAATAAATAAACTGATGAAAAATTTGGAATAAGGAAAAAAAGAACAGTGAACAGCTACTTGAAGAAGCAAACATGATCCTAATGCTCCTAGGAGAAAAAACAAAGTGGAAAACTTGAATAGTTACAAGAATCACCAATTCCATGATTAAAAAAAAGTAAAGGTTTACATTTTTAATTATTATGTTCCAAGTACTATTCTAAACACTTGAAATATATTAACTCACTTAATTTACAGAACAGTCCTATAAAGTGGGTAAAATTTTTATCTCCACCTTTGAAATGAGAAAGTGAGGCCCATGGATGAAATAAATTATCCAAGTCTTATATCTAATGAGTCTTCATAGTCCAATTTTTGTAGATGAGGCTTAATATCTACTTACATTTCAACCATGAAAAGAATCTGAAGGATATAGTCACTGAATGTAGGGGTTAGCCGGCAGGGGTTAGCAATTTAAACATATACTCCAAGTTGAGGGAAGAGACAAAGGGAGGGAGAAGCAAAGGGAATAAAGTTCAAAAGTGACAGTGCTAAGAAAAAGTTAAAAAGTAAATGAGTGAATGAGTGCTTAGGGGAAGCACAGTATTCCTAATACATTGTCAAGAGAAGAAGATCTCTCATGGGTCCTCATAAATAAAGTTTGTACTTTGATCTTATAAAAGTAAATATTGCATTCTAATAGCTAACCTGATTGTGAATTAATTCAGAAAATCCCAAGGCAGATAAACAAGGTTTTTTTTTAAAGTATAGGGGAAAGCCCATGAAGGAGAAAGTCTGGAAGTAAGAGCTGGATGCTCTGAAAGACCTTTGTATTTTCTCTCAGTAGTTATGATCCTTTTCTCTGCCAGATGAGTAAGGTTTTCAGTTTCAAAAATATAGGCTTAAGCTGATTATGAAATGAATCCTTCAATGGGGACTGGAAAATCTACTTGCCTAGCAACTACCTTTCAAAGATATATATATCTTTGAAAGACAGTTATATATATATGTATGCCTATAAATATACATCTATAAATATATACCTATATACATATATATGTGTGTGTGTGTGTATATATATGTAAAACTATGTATACCCAATATATACCTAATTTGCTATCTGAAGTTTCCAGTAAAACTACTATTTTGATAAACAGTAATTTCTATTTTTTCTTACAGTAAATAAAATTGAAAAATACCTTAAAGCCTCATATATTTTCAGTGCAATCATCTTACCTTTCCTTCATCATCAAATGTTTGGGTTGTTTTCCACTTGGGCAATAATTCTAACATGAAAATCACAAGTAAATCTTTGGTGCTCTATTACCAGGCATGTATCCCAGACAGACATGGCCCCCTTTTATGATACCCCTCTCCACAGCTGAATCACTCCCTCCCCCCAGGCTTTCCTCTTCTCCCTTTTATTAAAAGCTGTTTTCAGGAAAGGATCTGAACAACTCACTCCCACTAAGGTTAAATGCAGGTGAGGCTTAATATCTACTTACATTTCAACCATGGAAAGAACCTGAAAGATCTAGTCACTGAACGTAGGAGTTATCTGAAGCTAGCCAGGCCTTGCAATTTAAAGATATACTCCAAGTTGAGGGAAGAGATGAAGGGAGGGGGAAGCAAAGGAAATAAAGTTCAAAAGTTACAGTTTACATTTCATTCTTATGTTACATCATAAAGAAATACATTTTCTGCAAATGAAGAGTATGTACTAGAATATTGCTGCATTGTAAGTGTTGTAATATACTTATTTTTGCTAAAGAATTTCAAACTTAGAAAAACAATAGTCAAAACTTGCCTTTCAAGACCAGTGCTACTCAGTATTGTTCACAGACCAGTACAGTTCTGTGAACTCTTCGCTACGACAATTATAGATGCTCACTGAGAATAAAAATTTAGAGACAAAGAATTTTAGAGCAGTTTGACAGAATAATTTTATGTCTTTTGCATCAAATGGTAAAAAATTTGCATTTGCATTTTTATGCCTTCTTAAAAACATTCTTTTTCTAGTAATTCATTTTTTTGTATTGGTAATACAATTACAATGCATTGGTAATTTTAAAAAGAACTGTCTTTACACCACAGTTAGTTTGAGAAGCTCTGTATTAGACCAGATAAATGCTTCTCAAAACTTAAGAGTGTACAAATTGTCTGGGGACCTTTTTAAAACAAAAATTCTATTTCAGTAATTCAGGGGAGAGGTATTTCTAATAAGCTGCTGCATTTCTTTTTGGCATGTTCTTGGCTCACTGTAACCTCCACCTCCTGGGTTCAAGCGATTCTCCCACCTCAGCCTCCCTAGTAGCTGGGATTACTGGCACCTGCCACCACGCCCAGCTAATTTTTGTATTTTTAGTAGAAACGAGGTTTCACAATGTTGGCCAGGCTGGTCTCAAACTCCTGACCTCAAGTGATCCACCTGCCTCGGCCTCCCAAAGTGCTAGGATTTCAGGAGTAAGCCACTGCGCCTGGCCTGCTACTGCATTTCTAATAAGCTCTCAAGTGATGCTGAGGCTGCTGGCTGTAGAACACACTTTGAATTGCCCCCCTATTACTGAATCAAACTTTGCATTTTTAATAGGATTCTCCTAGGTGATTCCCCTCCATGTTCACATTTGAGAAGCACTGTTCTAGAGTTTATTGTGGCTAGAGAAATAGCACTTATTGATAAACTTGTCATCCTGCAGCTGCTGTTTGGTGCGCTATAAGGCCTAGAATTTGTGGAAAGGTATACCACCTGGAAATCCTGGGGTCTTTGTGACACACCATGGAACATAGACATTGTGTCAGATAAATACGATGGTATGCACTGTCTCATATATTCCCTTGGCCTCACCTGTTTCCTGTAACTTAAACGTCACTGTGACTGAGTCTGTGAGAGCCTGCTTGATTTCTCCTTCTGCAAGTTGCATCTTCTGAAACTGACTTGCATCACTCCTGTAGAGTGCATTTTGACCAGTGGGAGAGTCAGTAGATAAAGTCCCTTGTTTTTTTTTTTGTTTTTTTTTTCTGTTTGATGGACGGTTCTGGGGTTAATTTTTTATACAACTCATCTGAAGACTTCATGCAAGGCTGGGCAGATGCACCTGCCAAGGAGTAGCCATGTCTCTTCTGGGCTTGTTAGAAGCTGTGGTCAGAATGGTAAAGCACCACCTTGTATTTGCTTCCCATCTTTTTCTGTCTCGATTTTCTTTTCTGTCACTTTAGCTGCTGTGTGATCGAACATTTCAACAAAACATTACCATGTAAGCCTTGCCTTTGGTTCTGTTTTCTAGAGAATATAGGTGCTAAGGCAGATATATTTTGTATGAAATTATAAACAATTTTGCACTGCATGGAACACACTATCATATTTTGTTCTAATGCAAACAAATGGTGTCAAGTGTCAGAGGTTTTAAAAATATTTTATGGGAGAAATCTTCTATCCATTAATTCAACTTTTCTGGTGAATTTGGAAAACATTTCCATGATTTGTATAATCAAATGTATATTCAGAAATCAATATTTGAGAAACACTACACTCAGGTAATAAAGAAACTAGATGATAGAAGATAAATGAATTTCCAGAAGATCTTAGGGAGTAGCCAGGGGATCTCTAGGCATGGGCGCTGTTGCATTTTGGCAAATGGCTGTTAACAAAAACTGAAAGATTAATAGAATCATAAAAAGTTAGAAATCACAGAATCCTACTTCATTTTGACAGATGAGCCCATAATAAGGAAGAAATTGTTGGAACTAAAAAGATAGACTGGTGGGTGAGAACTGCAGTTCCCAGTATATGCACAGTTTACATATATAAATATATCCTTGTTGCTATTTTGTAATATCCAGAATCACACAATATTAGAGTGAGAAGAAATCGTTGCTATCACATAATATAGCTTCTAAATTTTACATATAAGACAACCAAAGACATAAGAGGGTGGGTGACATGCCTGAAATTACCCAGTACTTAAAGAAGGAAGGCATGGAGATTAGAATCCAAATATTCTGACTCCCATTTCAGTAATTTTATGTGGCACCATGGCATGGGGAACTTCTAAGTGAGTTACCATCTTAATTCCTCAAAAATCTTCACCGTAGTACCTGGAGTGTAGTAGTATATTTTATAAGAATAAAGCTTTGCTTTTCTTAGGTAAATTAACAAAAAGATTTATTTCATAAATTAAATAATTAACCATAAGGATGGGAATAGAGGAATTTTGTCATGTAAAGATAATGTATCTGAATGAATGGTACAATTTATGAAAATCAGAGAATTTCAGGACTAGAATAGGCCTTAACTAATCTCCATATCCTGGCTGGAGCTACTTACTATCTATCCTACCCACCAGAAGAATGGCAACAACCTCCAAAACCAAAACTTCCATGTTTTTAGATGCATGAATTTCACTGAAATAAAAACGAAGTTATTTCCTGAGTACTTTTATAATCCAGCCACCAAGATAACCCATTTAAAAGCCTCTTAGTAACCTTATGAGGCAGGCACTATTGTTAACCCCATTTTACAGATTGGATCATTGCAGCTGAGAGAAGTCAAGCAAGTTTTACATGTTTACATTGCTTTTAAGAACAAACTTCAATCTGCTTCCATACCCCTCATTTATATATATTATACCACATTATAGTCTAGCTAGCCAGTCAAAATGGCATCATAGGCAGCCATGAGGCCCCTGGAGTCAGACAGAGTTCAAATCCTGCCTCTACTGTGCACTAGCTATATGACCCTGGGAAAACTACTTAACCTCTGTGTGCTTGCCATTTCCTTTCCTGTAAAATGGTGGTGGGATTTTATGTGTCTGGTCTATAGTAAGCACTCAGAAAATTAGCTATTATTACCAGAGGTTGAAGAGCCAACTCAAGCTAAAATAGACCTCTTGGTTGTCCTGGGCACAGCAAAATCAAATTGACTCTACCATCACTAATCTCCCTGCCTTTAGGCTCACCATCTAGTGGGAAGAAGCTTCTGTAATACTTCTTAAAGAAGTCATGTATTTATCCTGCTAAGGTAAACAGGCTCAGACATTTCCTTATGCCAGAACTTGCTTGGAGGTGTCAGCCTCTGCTTCTCCCAGGGTTCATCAGTGTCATTTTATAAGTTAAAAAAAAAGAGAAATATTTGAAGATGGTAATGAAATTGTCAAATTGTAAACCAAATCAATATTCACTACAGGAAACTCTGAATATTGTATAGTTTAGAGTATTTGTAGTAGACTGTATTCATGAAGCTATAAAGAACTGCTTGAGACTGGTTAATTTGTAAAGAAAAGAGGTTTAATTAACTCACAGTTCTGCATGGCTGAGGAGGCCTCAGGAAACTTATAATCATGGCAGAAGGGGAAACAGGCACATCTT
This sequence comes from Homo sapiens, assembly GCF_000001405.40. Classification (NCBI taxonomy): domain Eukaryota; kingdom Metazoa; phylum Chordata; class Mammalia; order Primates; family Hominidae; genus Homo; species Homo sapiens. Next base: position 18,042,919 of record NC_000007.14, on the reverse strand, counting down.
ACATGGTGGCAAACGAGAGACAGAGAGAGAGAGTGTGTGTGTGTGTGAGCATGCAGGATAAACTACCACTTATAAAACCGTGAGATCTCATGAGAATTCACTCACTATCATGAGAATAGCATGGGGGAAACCATCCCCATAATCCAATCACTTCCCTTCCTCGATGCATGGGAATTACAATTCGAGTGAGGTTTTAGTGGGGAAATGGAGCCAAACTACATCAGTAATAGTTCTCAAACATGGCTGGACATTAACCTGAAAAGCTCTTAGGGTTAGGGTGACCCAGAACCACATACCTCAGAATCTCTGGGGTCAGGGCTGAGGCATCAGGGTTTTTTTAAGCTCCTCAGGTGATTTTAACACACAGCCAAGTTTGAGAATCACTGGTCTAGTGCTACTGAGTAAAAAAAATTCCCGGGGTTGGGAATGGAAATAAATATTTTCAAAACATTGATGATTGGCCACACTGGCAGTCACTGGTTTAGAAAAGATATCACCCCAATAAAATGGCTGAGGGCCTATGTTTTCAGTTATGAAATCTGAGGACACATTGCCAGTGGAGTTTTCAGACAGGAAATATGTAGTAAGATTTTGGTTTTATTTATTTATTTATTTATTTTTTCTTTTTGAGACAAGGTCTTGTTCTGCCACCTAGGCTGGAGTGCAGTGATGTGATCATAGTTCATTGCAGCCTTGACCTCGTGGGCTCAAACAATCCTTCCACCTCAGTCTCCGAAGTAGTTGGGACTACAGGTACAGGCCACCACACCCAGCTAATTTTTGTATTTTTAGTAGAGATGGAGTTTCACCATGTTGCCCAGGCTGGTCTTGAACTCCTGGGCTCAAGAGATCTGCCCGCCTCAGTCTCCCAAAGTATTGGGATTACAAGTGTGAGCCACTGTGCCCAGCCAATATTTTGTATTACAGATCATGAAATTTGAAATCGCTTCATAATATCTCACTATTTACTAGCCTATAAACAACATAGAGGATTTGAAGTTAAAAGAGAACTTCATTTTATTTTAAATTTTTTGAGACAAGGTCTCACTATGTTGCCCAGGCTGGTCTCAAATTCCTGGGCTCAAGCGATTCTCCCATCTGGATCTCCCAAAGTACTGAGATTATAGGCAGGAGCCACCATGCCTGGCCTAAAGGAGAACTTTAGATTTGTAGTTTCCCTTCTGTTTTACTTAAATCATAACCCTTAACACTGGACCAACATAGTTTATCTTTTACCTACTAGGAATTAATTTTGTATGAAAATTGGGTGAAACTCAGCCTTTATAGTACAGAAGAGACAGCATGAAAATCACAGCTATGTAGGAACCAAGCAAAAACAGTGCTGATTTATGAAACTTCACAGACTTAGAAATAGAAACAAAACACTAAATATTCATGAAATCCCATACAGTGCTTGCACATAAGTTACATCTCAGGGATTTGTAACTTAGTTATAGGAAAAAATAATAAGCTGAGCACATCCAAACATATGAAACTTCTCAAGTGTTAGGTTTCACTAATTTCTGGTCTTATTTTGTTTTGAATCATAAATAAACCATAAGTATGCTATAAGTGGTTGGCCACAATCTAAACCTCCCAATGAAAAGTAAACAAAGATTTCATCAGCAAAAAAAGGAGTAAAGATGGAAAGAAGGATTTAATATCAATCTTCTCTGATTGCAAGGTTTTTTTAAAAGTGGTAGAAGAAGCTCCTTAAAGACACAAAGCCACAAGTGAAAGAAGCAAGTAAAATTCTATCATTCAATGAAGCAACATCACAAACCTATCATGAAAACATTCCATTAAAATAAGAAAATCTGTGCCATGTACACTTTAGAGTGAATCATAAATTCAAGAAATTATCTGAAAGGCTAATACAATAATCAAGGGAATCTTAGATTTCATTGAGTTACTTTGTCAATTTTGGTCTCAGTTTCATACCATAATTATCCCAATTTTATTTAACTATACTAATGACAGATGCAGACTTCAAACACAAACACTGTGCACACAAGCCACATTTCAAGTGAAAAGATGAAAAGAAGCTCACTGATGAAATCTAACAATTCAACTCAAGAGCCATTTATTTATTTCAGACACATTGGCTTTTTAAAATAAGTATTATTCAACGAATTACTAAAAATCCATCATTTTCATCCTTTTTGCAACTTGTGTTTTTTCTCCTTCAACGTGTAATAAGTCGTAATTAACCCCAAATCACTCTGGAACATAATACTGTTTTTTAACAACTGTTAAGAACTTGTTTAATTAGAAAAAATTTACCATAAAGATACACTGCGTGTGTGTGTATGTGTGTGTAAGGAAGAGTGTTTTCAAATGGCCTTAGTTTACCTGCGACACAAATAAATGCTGGGAGATAATGTATCGCCTCCATTGAAATGCTTTTACTGTTCTTAAAAAAGCATGTATGATACTGGAATGTATAAATAGTAGTTAAGCATTAGGAATGTGGAGTGACACATCCAGTGTAATACTACACTGGTCAGACCCACAAGAGCTCAATTGTTTAGATTCAGATATTTAAGAGAGATGTGGAGGCCAGTAAAAATGATCAAAGAATTTAAAAATGTGACCAATAATGAAGGCCTTGACAAAACGAGATTATTCAGCAAAGGGGTTTTTAAATGAGGGTTCTCAAGTATATAAAGAGGATGATATCAGCTACTCTCCATCTTTACCGCGGAATGAATGAGCAGGAATGAGATTAAACTTCAGCAGAGAGACTTAAGCAAGATATAAGAGAATTTCCCAAATGAGTTATATTTTTAAAAATAGAAAATCATCAAAAGGGTCTATGGAATTTCCTTCCCCAGAGATATGTATAAATAAGGCATATATTTTCTTATTCAGAATGTTCCAGCGATGTCTTGCTGTGAGGAATAGTCTGCTATCATAGAATCTCAGCAGAGGAAGAGTATGTTTCCCAGTCACCATTTATTGCTATAAAATATACTAAAAATGGAGACTTAAAATAGAGTTATAAGAAGTAAGCATTGGCCAGACACAGTGTGGCTCAGGCCTGCAATCCCAGCACTTTGGGAGGCCGAGGCGGTCTGATCATGACGTCAGGAGATGGAAAACATCCTGGCTACAGTGAAACCTGGTCTCTACTAAAAATACAAAAAAATTAGCCGGGTGTGGTGGTGGGTGCCTGTAGTCCCAGCTACTCGGGAGGCTGAGGCAGGAGAATGGTGTGAACCCAGGAAGCGGAGCTTGCAGTGAGCCGAGATCATGCCACTGCACTCCAGCCTGGGCGACAGAGCGAGACTCCGTCTCAAAAAAAAAAAAAAAAAAAAAAAAAAAAAAAAAGTAAGCATTAAAACACTAAAAAGATTTTTTAATCTATAGTTTAAAATATGCTTAATTCCTGTAGGATAAACTGAGGAAAGCAATAAACTGTCCTCTTTTGGTTAACCAGAAATTTTTCACATGGCCTTATGACCAAACTTTTTTAAAAGGGAACTCACTCTATCCTTGCATGAGGAGAGAGCCTGTTATTACAAGGATCCATTAAGATGTCAATGTAAACACACCTCAATCCATGGAGAAAGGAAATAAAAACCTGCTCCACCTATAGACCCAGGCTTCACTCTCACCTGAAAACCCTCCCAGGCACAACATAAAAAGGCTCCTTTCGGTCTCACACCACATCACTCATGGTCATTTTGTTGACATTCTTTAGGCCACACCGTCCTGCTTTCGATTTTGCAGATCCCTACCCTATTGATTAGTCTGAATGTTCTATCCTCACTTTGTACTTCAGATTGAGCAGTGCCTTCCCAACTCTCAGCTGACTGGAGAGTTTTTGGGTGAAGACTCACCTGCTTTGAGGAAACCGACGGAACCATGAACTCTTTAGAAAAGAGCTACCTTCAGCGTGTTCCCCTCTCATCACAGCTCACTCTCACTCCCTGGAGAGAAATGGACACAGTGATAATTTACCTGTTCTACCTCACTGTTCTTGCCCCTTTAGGAGGAAGATAAATGACAAGTAAAAAAGAACTTGGAGTGGGTGCCCATGTAGACCAGGACTCCATTATCAGTTTTCAAAAAATTTCAACACCTATCTATATCCTGTATACAAATTAGCTTATATGTGCAAAGTGTATCTGGTACATATATAATGTATAAAGTTCCTAATCCTTTACATTTGATTTATTTATTTCATCCTAACAACCCTAACAGGTTAGGACTCTTATTGTATTCATTTTGCAGATGTAAAATTTGGCAAAAATGTGTTAAGTAATTTGCCCCAAGTCACCCAGATCTTAGGTTAATGAGCCAGGATTCAAACCCAGGCAGTCTGGCACCAGAGTCTGTGTGCATATCCACAACACCAAACTGCCCCTCTGCAATTAGATAAAACTTAAAGGACATAAGAAATCAACTATTTTGCTCTACTAGTACTTAGATCATTAATCACCATTTTTCTGTACTCCAAACAGATAAAAGAACTAGTGACAATAAAATATTGCTTTAAAAATAAGAAAATTTTTAAGAAATAAAGTATTAGCTTAACCACTGGCAAAACCTCCTTTTCCTATGTCTACAAAAGGAATAAAACAGATTGACACTAATAAGCTGTTTCTTATGTTTCATTGTAGTTTGTTTGAAATGAGAGCTCATGAATTGAATTGATAAGAAGTAAATTAACATATAAGGATATGAAGCAGAATGTATTTATACAAAAATTGACTGTTGGTGAAGTAAACTGCTAAAGTCAACAACAATTACAAGTAACATTTTAAAGATGAATTACTAGAAGGTAGTATGTAGAATATATATTTATTATACATATTTAGTGTCTGTTAGTGTTACCAGTTAAGGGTAGTTTTCCAGGTTCTTGATGTTTTGAACAAAGAATTGGACAAAACACACAAACAAAGCAAGGCAGCAAAAGCAGAGATTTATTTTAAACAAAAGTACACTCCACAGTGTAAGAGCGAGCTCGAGCAAGTGTCTCAAAAGCCTTGGTTACAGAAGTTTTGGGGCTTTAAATACCCTTTAGAGGTTTTCCATTGGTTCACTCTATGCAAATGAAGTAGTGGCCTGCGACCAGTCTGATTGGTTGTGGAACAAGAAGAGTAGGCCCATAACTAGTCTGATTGATTGCAGGAGGGGCCCAATCAGTGGTACTTTCATTTTGCAACTGCCACAGAGAAAAATGAGAGGTTGAAAAGGGAGAAGCCCCTAATGTCCAGCTACCATGAAAGGGCCTTAGGTTCCCTGCCTCCAGACCCTATTCTCATGCCTCATTTGCACTGACCTGGAGTATATTATAAATACAAATGGAGTCCTGATTTCCAAGGTCCTATCAGACATGGGAAAACCAAGTTGGAATTGTAAATATAATTATGACACAAACTTACATTAATTCCAAAAATTCCCTCATCTCAAAGTGTCCTACAGTGAACTATTTCTGACAGTTTCTCAGACTACTAGTTTCTTCTATTTAATACAGGATCTCACATATTTGTCCACTCCAACCTCTTCATCCGCCACCATGGCACAGCCTCTGCTACCACTGATCTTCCTAAGATGGCTTCTCCTTAGGGCACATGGGTTCTCTGCCAGTGGCCACTGTGGCTTGTGGCTCCCATCATTCAGCCCTCAGGGAGGGGATATGAGCACAGACTCACGCTAAATTATTGATAGAAAAGCTAAGACTAGATATAATCATCTCAGGCTTCATTTTTAAAGTCTTTATCAGCCAAGGGAGATAGAAGTTAAGGCCCAGGGCCTGCCCAAGGTGAAAAGTCTGATAGAAGACCTTCTGCTCATTAAATTGGGACCTGAGAGCGCTCTATCTTCAGAGTAATGGTGAACCAGAAAGAAGCCTGTCGCCACAGTCCATAGCAGAGAGGAATGACTTGTGAGCGCAGCAGCCAGCAGATGAAAATGATGTGAGGGGGTGTGAGAGAGAAGATACCTAAGAAATTGTGACCTTAGGCCACCCTTGCATAGTTCTGCCATCTGGGGTTGTATCACCAAGATAATCTGGGGAAACTGTAGCACTGTACTTGATTTAAGGTAGTCCCAGATAGTAGCTTCTCCAGGCAGGAGTCAGAAACAAATTATCTCTGGAAAAAGAAACTTTCATTTTAGACTTCAAAGAATTTTAGTAGAAATAAATTCTATTTTCATGAGAGTACACAGTTAAACATAAGCACAAAAGGAAAAAAGTCATCATGAGGAAAACAAAATAAATAGCAGATAAAGACTCTAAAATTTTCAGATATTGGAATTACCAGACACATCTTATAGAACAGCTCTTATATTAAGTATTTTACAAATAGTTTCAGGCTCAGGCTGGGAGCGGTGGCTCAGGCTTGTAATCCCAGCACTTTGGGAGGCCGAGGTGGGCAGATCACGAGGTCAGGAGATCGATCGAGACCACGGTGAAACCCAGTCTCTACTGAAAATACGATTAGCCGGGCGTGGGGGCGGGCGCCTGTAGTGCCAGCTACTCGGAGAGGCTGAGGCAGGAGAATGGCGTGAACCCGGGAGGTGGAGCTTGCAGTGAGCCGATATCGCGCCACTGCACTCCAGCCAGGGCTAAGGAGCGAGACTCCGTCTCAAAAAATAAATAAATAAATAAATAAATAAATAAATTAATTAATTAATTAATAATAATAATAATAATAATAGTTTCAGGCCGGCCGCAGTGGCTCACGCCTGTAATCCCAACACTTTGCGAGGCCAAAGTGGGCAGATCACCTGAGGTCAGGAGTTCCAGACCAGCATGGCCAACATAGTGAAATCCCGTCTCTACTAAAAATACAAAAATTAGCCGGTCGTGGTGGCAGGCGCCTGTAGTGCCAGCTACTCGGGAGGCTGAGGCAGGAGAATCACTTGAACTCAGGAAGCAGAGGTTGCAGTGAGCCTAAATGCTCCAATTAAAAGATACAGAATAAACATATTCTGTTACATAACAGAACAAAACAAAAAAAGAAAACTACAGGCCAATATCACTGATGAACATAAATGCGAAAATCCTCAACAAAATACTAGCTATCTGAATCCAACGGTATATCAAAAAGATAGTACACCATGATCAAGTGGTTTCATACCAGGGATGCAGGGATGGTTTAACATACACAAGTCAACAAATGTGGTACATTGCATAAACAGAATTAAAAACAAAAATCAAATGATCATCTAAATAGACACAGAAAAAGCATCTGTCAAAATCCAGCATCCCTTCATGATTAAAACCCTCAGCGAAACTGGCATAGATGAGAAATACCTCAAGGTAATAAAAGTCATCTATTATACTGAAAGGGAAAAGTTGAAAGCATTTTCCCTGAGAACTGGAACAAGACAAGGATGCCCACTTTCACCACTTCTATTTAACATAGTACTGGAAGTCCTAGTCAGAGCAATCAGACAAGAGAAAGAAATAAAGGGCATCCAAATCAGTAAAGAGGAAGCTAAACTGTGGCTGTTTACCGATAAGATTGTATACCTAGAAGATCACAAAGACTCATTCAAAAAGCTCCTAGATCTGATAAATGAATTCAGTAAAGTTTTAGGATACAAAATTAATGTACACAAATGAATAACACTGCTATACACCACCAACAACAAAGCTGAGATTCAAATCAGGAACTCAACCCTTTTTACACTAGCTGAAAAAAATAAAAAAAAATAATTTAGCAATATACCTAATCAAGGAGGTGAAAGATCTCTACAAGGAAAACTGTGAAACACTGCTGAAAGAAATCACAGACAAACAAACAAATGGAAACACATCCCATGCTCATGGATGGGCATAATCAATATTGTAAAAATGACCACACTTCAAAAGCAATCTACAGATTCAATGAAATTCCCACCAAAATATCATCATCATTCTTCACAGAGCTAGAAAAAACAATCCTAAAATTCATGTGGAACCAAAAAAGAGCCCACATAACAAAAGCAAAAAGGATAAATTTGGATCCATTAAATTACCTGACTTTAAACCGTATTACAGGGAATAGTTTGGTAACAGCCAACTGATCTTTGACAAAGCATACAAAAACACAGAGTGGGGAAAGGACACCCTATTCAACAAATGGTCCTGGGATAATTGGTGAGCCACACGTAGAAGAATGAAACCGAATCCTTATCTCTCACCTTATACAAACATCAACTCAAGATGGAGCAAAGACTTAAATCTAAGACCTGAAGCCATACAAATTCTGGAAGATAACATCAGAAAAACTGTTCTAGACATTGGCTTAGGCAAAGAGTTCATGACCAAGAACACAAAAGCAAATGCCACAAAAACAAAAATAAACGGAACCTAATTAAACTAAAAAGCATCTGCACAGCAAAAGAAATAATCAGCAGAGTAAACAGACATTCCATAGAGAAAATATCTGCAAACTATGCATCCGACAAAGAACCAATATCCAGAATCTACAAGGAACTCAAACAAATCTGCAAGAATGAAACAACTAATCCCGTCAAATAGTGGGCTAAGGACATGGATAGACGATTCTCAAAAGAAGATATACAAATGGCTAAGAAACATATGAAAAAATTCTTAACATTACCAATTATCAGGGAAATGCAAATTAAAACCACAATGAGATACAACCTTACTCTTACAAGAATGGTCATAATTTCAAAATCCGAAAATAATAGATGTTGGCATAGATGTGGTGAAAAGGGAATGCTTTTACACTGCTGATAGGAATGTAAACTAGTATAACTACCATGGAAAACAGTACGGAGACTCCTTAAAGAACCAAAAGTAGAACTACCATTTGATTGAGCAATCCCACTACTGGGCATCTACCCAGAGTTAAAGAAGTCATATGAAAAAGACACTTGCACACACATGTTAATGGCAGCGTAATTTGCAATTGCAAATATATGGAACCATCCTAAATGCCCATCAATCAATAGGTGGGTAAAGCAAATGTGATACATATACACATGCACACACCATGGAGTACTACTCAGCCATAAAAAGGAATGAGATAATGGCACTCACAGCAACCTGCATGGAGTTGGAGATGATTGTTCTATGTAAAGTAACTCAGGAATGGAAAAAACAAATATCCTATGTTGTCACTTATAAGTGGGAGCTAAACTATGAGGACACAAAGGCATAAGAATGCTGTCATGGATTTTGGGGAGTCGGGGGAGAGTGGAAGGGGGCGTAAGGGATAAAAGGACTACCCATCGGGTACAGTGTACACTGCTCAGGTGACGGGAACACCAAAATCTCAGAAATCACCACTAAAGAATTTATCCATGTAATCAAAACCACCTGTTCCCCAAAAACTATTGATGTAAAATAAAATAAAATAAAAAGAATGAGGGTGGAATGAAGATGTTATCAGAAAAAAAGGAAAAAATGGAGTGTTTCACTAGTAGCACCTAGAAAATTTGTAAGGATATACTTTAAGCAGAAGAAAAGTCATGCCAAATAAAAGCCTTAAGATAATAAAAGAGGACCAAAGACAGTAAAACATAGGTACATATATCTAAAGGGACACTGATTGTATAAAATATTAATAATAATAATGTGAATGTGGAAGTAAAAGAAAGAAAAGAAGAAAGGAAGAAAGAAAAGAGACAAAATGATAATAGCTGGCTGCTACTATTTATATCAGGAGGGAATAAATGAAGTTAAATGACATGAAGATCTTTGCATTTTCTGAGAGGAGGGGAAAGGTATTCATTAACTTATAACTTTGATTAGGAGATACAATAAAATCTAACCATATCCTATTTATAAGCAACACATTTAATACATAAACATGCAATAAGATTGAAACTAAAAAATAAGAAAATAAACCAAATGCTATCTAAAAAGATAGCTAATATAATAAAATAATCACCAGACAAAATAGAATTTAAGGCAAAAGGCATTACTAGAAAAAAAATAACTGTTACCTTAAAATAATATCATAGTTCCTCAAAAAGTTATGACAAATTAAATTTCGGTAACTACTGAGCCTCAAAATATAAAGAGAAATAACAAAGGGCTATGTAAGGAGAAATCGATATATACCAACAGTCACTGTGGAAACCTATTTCTTTCAGTATTTGATAAAGCAGACAAAAAATTCAGTAAAGCTATAGAAGATGTAAATAATACTACAAACAAACCAGATCCCAGATCTAATGCATGAATATGTATATCGCACCTATCCACTCAAGAGTACATTTCTTCTTCAGCACACACAAAATATTTATGAAAAGTGACCATGGAGGACCATAAGAACAGTTGCAGCAGATTTCAAAGGACTAAAATCACAAAGAACATGTCCTTTGGTGTGTGATTAAGCAAGAAACCCAAAACAACGAAATATCTAGAAATGCCCCGTGTATTTGTAAATTAAGAAATAAACTTTAAAATAACCCCTGAAATGAAGAAATTGCTATCCAAATTGGAAACTGGCCTTATCTGAACAATAACAAAAATACTACACATAAAACTTCAGGTAAAATAGTACTTAGAGGAAAAATATATAGCTTTACTAGTGATAAATAGTAAGCTAAGCACACATTTCAAATTAGAAAAGGGACAGCAAAATAAACTCAAAGTTGAGATGAAAGTAAATAGTAAATAATCTTGAAGTCAATAAAGTTAAAAACAAGCAGCCACTGAAGTATGATACATCAACCATTAGGTATACATCAAAACATTAGGTTTTTTAGAAAGGGCTGATGAAATTAATAGACTGCTGGTGAAATTGATCAAAAAGAAAGAGAATAATTACACAAATCTAATACCAGAAATGACAAAGGGAATTGTACTAAAGATGTTGCAGACACTAAAAATATAATAGGAGGATCTTATGGAAAGCATCTAGCCAATAAATTTAGATAAAATGAAATAGATTCTCAAACGTATCAACAGAACAACAGCATCAGTCTTGTCTAGTGTCTTGTTAGAAACACAAACTCTGGGCCTCCACCCCAGGCCTACTGATGAGAAACTCTGAAGATGGAGCTTGGGAATCTGTATTCTAACAAATCCTCCCAGTGATCCTGATGCTCTGAAGTTTGAGAATTGCAGAACCATTCCAAAACAAACGGTACTCAATTTTCCCATAGGCGAGTACACAAGTAGTCTCAATGTTTATTGTTAGAATTAAATAAATGGCCAATTTTGAGGAGGGAAAAACTGTCTTTTTAAAGGGGTTTAAATAGCGTAAATGAAGCTTGCATTTTGTCAAAATAAACATATCTTTTTTTAATTTCATGAGACTAACATTGCATGTGAGAAACAAAATATTCATTATCAAAAACTGCTTTGAAATACTTTAAAATATTTCACAGAAATATTGAAAAGATATTTTCTTATTTGCAATTTACTACTTATGGAACCTCTCTATATGTTCGTTTGTCTTTTACAATGACATATTCAGCTCGTGTAACCTTGCTGTCATTCCAAGATTATTATTTTATGCTAAGATTTTTAAGTTCACCAGAAAGTTTTTTTTAATTCCAAAGTACATTTCAAAAATACCCTCATGAGTCTAACATAACACTCAGAATTAAAGCCACATTTCTGAATCACAAAAATTTCTCCTATTCTATTTGTTTCACTCAGCTTTATTTAGTTGCTATATACACATTTATTGTTTAAAACGACAGATTTCCAACCAAAAGCTCAGTAAACACTCAGAGTAGTCAACTTTAATCATAAACAATCACAAAACAAACCTTAAAGCATTTATATCAATGTGAAGCTTTGTAGGAAATTGTTTTCCCAAAGTATTGTGGATGATTATTATGAATAAAATAAATGAGGTAAAGTAATGTTACAATAATGATCTGGAACTGTGAGTCAAATGAGTTAAGATTAAAGGCACAAAGAAACTCTGCCTAATAAACCAGCAGATAACTGCTGGAAAGAAAAATATGTTCCTCGTTTGAAATTAACTGCCAAACATTCCCAACCTACACAAAGCTGTCATAAAGGACATCTAAATCTGTCCTTGTTTGTAACATGTGTTGTGACAAGATTTGACAGTTTATCAAAAAACTATAATTGCCACCTAAACATCTAGCATTTTGTCAACTGCAAGTATGTTTAGTGAAAGCATTTATTTCATTTAAAATACAACATCCATTTTTCTTCACTTTCTGAAAGAACTGACTGAATTTCTTTTTTCTCTAGCTGATAAGCTGCATCAGAGCTCTCTTTGAATTATTTATGTTGGAATTGTGAAGGGTAAAAGAATAATCGGTAAAGCAAGAAACTATTACCAAGGTTTTATATATATGTGTGTGTGTGTGTATATATATATATATATATATATATTCTGGGTATTGACTCAAAAGACCTTCAAAATACAGTAATTCTCACAGATCCATAGAGATGACATTTAAATATGCTTGCCTTGGGAAGGAGAAAGATAAGGCATTGTCTCTATATCGCAATTTTTGTTTCCAGAATAATTTAAGAAACAATGTCCTTAATAGAAGATACTATTCAATAGGCATCATTCCTACCTGTAACTTGTGAAATGCAGCCAATGATAAAACAGATGTCCCTCTCAACCTACAGAGACCAAAGTAAACAGACGCTAAATCCCCTTGCAATAGACCAGGTAGGTAACAGAAATGTCAGAATAACAAAGCTACTTCCCTGACACTACTAATGGTTCATTTCTTTCTGGGAAAAGTTTTTGTTTTGAAAGCAAAAAACTTTCCAGTCTCATGTTTGGGATTATGTTCTTTATTGTAGTTGCTTGGTAAAAGAGAAAAAAAATGCAAATATTTTGTAGTACTTTTAAATTTTTCCTTTATTCTGATAAATCTCAAAGAAAAGGCTTGAAAGTGTATAGTTGATAAGGCCCTACTTGGAAATTCAGGAGTCCCACATTCTAATCCACACTCTGCCTCTATTTAGCTGATAGATCCCAGGCAGGTTACTTCATTTCTCTGAGCCTTAGTTCCCTGTCAGTGAAGTGTGATAATCAGACTAGGTGGTCTCTAAGGCCATATCTATCTTTAACATTTTATGACTGTAGACAAATTTCTGGAACTATAACATGTAGCAACAGCTAGAGCTTGAAACAAAAATAGCAGCAAGACAAAAATTTCTCCTCCTTAACACCTCAAGGAAAATGCAACCAAGTATGGGTTTTAAATGTTCACATTAGCATTTAATCCTATTTAGGTAATATTAAACCTGTTTAGAATCTGTTTTGTTTTTTAAACAACACTGAAAAATGTGTGACACACAGAATAGTAAGAGAAAAATAAATTGAAACTACAAATACTATTAGTGCTTCTAAATTAAGCCACGGGATTTTTAGAAATCACTTTATGTAGTCTGGCTAAGGGTGAGAATTATGTGGTATAGGTAGGTCTGTTGATTTTTTGTGTGTGTGATAAAAAGAATATGAATGAAGGGTTATGGACAGAAATGGGCTGGCATACACTGTCAACCAGGAAGAGGCTGAACTAGAGAGAAAACCATGTTGATGCCAGGAGAGAAATGATTGGATCAGCAGCAAGCCATTTTGGTGTAAAATTTAAAACATAGCTGTTTATTTGAGTTTATAATAATACCTCATTCAATATATAAAACTACCTTTTTATAGCTAAGTAATGTTTTTCACAGACATTGCTGAATCTTACCCATCTTTGTTGCCTACCCCATTTCTTATCCCATTTCTGAGTTTATCCTATTCATGAACCCAACACATTAAGGAAGCCCAGAAGTGTGGTGAGAAAATCTCTTAAATTATTTGGTTATCTTACAATATGAAAAAAATGATGATTTGGTTTTAGGCTAAATAAAAACACCCTGGTATCCAAATGTCAGGCACACAATTAGCAAGATATAAATGGTTGATCTGTATCTGATGCCTCCATTATTTTTATGAAATCATTGGCATCTATGGTCCTTTCTGCCTCCTTCCTCACTATTTCCAGCCCCGATACGCCATAGAAGCTGTATACTTAAAATTTGCTAACAAACATTTAATTACCAAATACATTTTGTTCATCATTTTTACTACAAAAGTAATAAATGTTCAAATGCCACACTGATAGCAGTAAAATGTAACAGTCCTCCTTCATTCTCAACTCTCACAACCTACTCCCCTCTCCAAAGGTAATTATTATAAAGAGGACTTCCATGCTAATTGGATGCTTTCAGTATCACATAATCTTAAATACATAAATATAATACTATGATATTTTTGTGACTGACTTTACCTTTAAAAAAATACCTAGGAGACATTTCCACATGATTACACTTAATCTATTTAATGGTCGCATATGTATATACAATAAATTATTTGGTAATTTACCTATTGATGAACATTTGTTGGTTCCCATATTTTGCTTTTATAAACAATTCTAGGGCAATTACTATTTGTCATGCACAATTTTTATACCCTAGAAGTAGTATAATACCTGACATATAGGAGGTGTTCACAAAATATTTATTGCATGAATGAATACAGCTACACTACTATGTAGCCATATATATTTGGGGTGCTTGTGAAAATTTCTCTGAAATAGATTCCTAGAAGTATACATGATGAGTCAAAGTTTATGTGCAAAATTACCCATGCAAAATCTACATATTTATACATTCCATCCGAATAGAAGACCTTATCTTAACATTTTGGCTACTTGATGTGTGAAAATAGCGTTTTCTTGATTACTTCCATTGTTTCACGTTTCTTATCCATTTTTTTTTTACTGTGATTGCCTATTTATGCCATTTTTCAACTTTCTATTTTATTGTCTTTTTCTCACTTCATTGGGGAAATTCTTTCTAAAATAATCTTTTGCATATACTTTAGTAGGTAATTTTCCTTTTAAACTTGGGTTTTGCTTTGTAGTTTTATGTTTTTATGCATTCAAATTTGTTTAAATAGCCCTGTGAAACTAATATAGGTGCTAATAGAAAAAAACTCCATACACTGTAAATACTTGATTATTTAGTCTAAAAGTGTGAAGTGGGAGGTGGCAAGCAGAAATTTTTTCAAGAGACCCAGGGTCAATTTGGGACCGCGCGCCGCAAGGGGGAAGGGACCCTAACGGTTGAGTAACAACCGGAAGCCATTAGAGTCTGTGCTTCACTTCCGTTCCAGCCTCAGCGGCAGCTGGATCGCTCGACGGAGTGCCTCTGGTAGTTGGCCAAGACGCCGAATATCAAAATCTTCAGCGGCAGCTCCCACCAGGACTTATCCCAGAAAATTGCTGACCGCCTGGGCCTGGAGCTAGGCAAGGTGGTGACTAAGAAATTCAGCAACCAGGAGACCTGCGTGGAAATTGATGAGAGTGTGCGTGGAGAGGATGTCTACATCGTTCAGAGTGGTTGTGGCGAAATCAACGACAGTCTAATGGAGCTTTTGATCATGATTAATGCCTGCAAGATTGCTTCAGCTAGCCGAGTTACTGCAGTCATCCCATGCTTCCCTTATGCCCGACAGGATAAGAAGGATAAGAGCCGGTCCCCAATCTCTGCCAAGCTTGTTGCAAATATGCTCTCTATAGCAGGTGCGGATCATATCATCACCATGGACCTACATGCTTCTCAAATTCAGGGCTTTTTTGATATCCCAGTAGACAACTTGTATGCAGAGCCAACTGTCCTGAAGTGGATAAGGGAGAATATCCCTGAGTGGAAGAACTGCATTATTGTCTCGCCAGATGCTGGTGGAGCTAAAAGAGTGACCTCCATTGCAGACCAGTTGAATGTGGACTTTGCTTTGATTCATAAAGAACGGAAGAAGGCCAATGAAGTGGACTGCATAGTGCTAGTGGGAGATGTGAATGATCGTGTGGCTATCCTTGTAGATGACATGGCAGACACTTGTGTTACAATCTGCCTCGCAGCTGACAAACTTCTCTCAGCTGGAGCAACCAGAGTTTATGCTATCTTGACTCATGGAATCTTTTCTGGCCCAGCCATTTCTCGCATCAACACTGCATGCTTTGAAGCAGTGGTAGTCACCAATACCATACCTCAAGATGAGAAGATGAAGCATTGCTCCAAAATACGAGTAATTGACATCTCCATGATCCTTGCAGAAGCCATAAGGAGAACTCATAATGGGGAATCTGTTTCCTACCTGTTCAGCCATGTTCCTTTATAACAGAATAACTTCTAGGTTATGCTATTTTAAAATAAAATAAGATTAATAAAAACAAACCTTGCCTTTATTTTTTCTTAGGTTTGATTAAAAGTTCAGCAGAAGATCCAGCTTGCTCCAGTGTAACTTTCTACATCCCACATCAGGTATATAAGAGTTTACCTTAAATTAGGGAAAAACAGGTTAAGAATAATCACTAGGATTTCCTGACTGGGTTGTCTCATCTGGCTTCTTTGATGATTTTGTTAGCCCAGCAGCTTTAACTACAGCCCTTCTGCTGCAAAGATTTCAGACTTCTGAGGGTGTTTTGTAGAGGTGTTTGAAAGTGGTTGGAAAGCTTACATGTAAATGCTTCGGAGTTTTCTTTTTTCAGAACAACTAGCAATAAAGCCACCCAATCTACCCCCTGCCCCAAACCCCCACTTTGTGTCACAAATTCTCCAAGTTCGATGCTCAGTTGCAGCAAGAGCCCTGAGCCACCACAAAATTAATTCTGGTTGCTGAACACCCTCAACAGCAGGAATAGGCAACTTTCAGCTTGAGCAGCCATTGGGATCTTGAGAGGAAGCAACAAGTACAGTAAATGCTTCTTGAGAGGAGGAAGATTGATCTGTCACCATCTATTTGGACACTATCTATCTTGGATTCTCAGTTATACCTGTTCCTTTTGATTTAGCTTTACCTCCACCCATCTTGACCTTTTCATTGCTAAATATCCTACTGGGCCCCAAATGGTCAGGGTACCATAGTCTTCTGGAAGGCAAACCCACTTTTTGCTATGTAATCTCTAATATTTATATTAGTTATTTTTGCTGTAACTTAATCTTCCTTAGTTTATTACCACCATTGTAGTAGATGTTAGGTGACATTGTAGTGACTTTTGTTAAATTTAAACATTTAATTTTTATCTCCCTTCCTTGTATTTTGTTGGCCCCTCAAATGACCTCAGATTTATATTTTTAAAATGTTGTTATTGTCCTTTTTAGGGAAAACCAATAAAATATCTGCATATATGTGTGGGGTGGAGAGGGGTGGTGCAGAGCACCATACCTAGATTTATCATGTGAAATTTCTGATCTCCAAGAAAAAATCACTAAGAATTTCTAAAGAGTAAAACAAAAACAAGAAAGTTTTAAAGAAACAATATTCAGATTGCTTTAAATTTTTCATTTGAACGCTTGGGCTGTAAGCAAAATGGAATAATTTCCTCACAGTTCTAAAGGAATATTATTTTTCACCTAAATTTCTGTGCTTAGCCAAACTATCATTGACATATGAAGACAATATTAAGGGACTCAGAAACTACTACCACTAGTGTTTCCTGAAAGTACTTCTTGGAGATACTGAAAACAAAAAATATATACAGCCAAGAAGAACACATAGAATAAAAGAGATGGTGGTAAGCAAAAAAAGAAGTGACACTGACAGAAAAATAATTTTTATGAAGTTACTGTAAAGATTATGGCCGTTATTAAGGTAAAACTCACATAAAATTGGGCCACATCATGAAGCAATTTTGAGGCTGGGAGGAGTTAGGGTTAGTGTAAATTTATTAAGGATCTTGTCTAGTTTTGGATGGAGGTTATTAACAACAATCATTCACATTATAGAAAAACCTGAGTTTAAATAAGGTATTTTCTAAAATTCAAGGGCAAGGAGCAAGCCAGAGAAGAAAAGAATGGGATAAATAACTTCCAAACTCCTAGAAAGAAAAAGAAGGTGGAGCAGGGGGGTGGGGGGGAATAAGCAAAACTCAACAAATTGAGCTGAAGATAGGAAATAAAGAAAGAAAACATAGCAAAGATAAAGTACCCAATATATACTATCACAAAAGTCAATAGGTTAATTTTGTAAAAGATACATTATTAGATTGGGTAGCTAAAATACCTAATAATATGCTATTTATAGGACACACATCTAAAAAGTTTGGTATAAAGAGATAGAGAAAATATACAAAGTAAATGGTAACAAAAAGAAACAAGCAATGATAGATTTAGTCAAAACAAAAGTGGAATGTGCTTTGCTGATTAAACCCACCAATAAGTTATAATCATCATGAATCTTTATCTACCTAACAACTCAACATGGAAATAGAAAAAGAAAAGTGAATCAGCGAGAATATAAGAAGAAATGGAAACGCACAATCATCATAATCAAAGAAGGAAATTTTGATAAAACTCTCATAAGTTATCAAGAAAAGGTATTATAGGGTTTAAATGACTCCATTATCACAACTTAATATAGAAATTAAACATAATTTACATTTCAAGTATGCATGAAGCAAATATAACAGGTTTCACAGGTTTTAAAGATTTTTTAAAAAGAAAAAATACATAATAGGTCATAAAAAGTCTTAATAAATTTCTTAAAGAAATGTATGTAGACTATATATAGTATAGTAGCATTACTACTATCATCTTAACAATATTATGAAAAAATAAAACTATCAGTAAAATAGGAATAGAACAAACCTTGCTTGACCTGCTAGAGAAAATCTGGTATAGACCTAATTAAGGACATACTTAATGATGAAACATTGAAAACATTCCCATTAAATTTCTAAACCAATGGGAAAGAGGCAAGGAAAAAAAGAGAGGTATCAATACCAGAAGGAAAGAGCCAAAACTTTCATTATTTGAAGATGTCATGATTGCCAACAAAAAATCCAACAATCAAAAGAAAAACTCAGAATTCATAAGAGAGGTCAGTAAAGTGAAAGTATGTAAGATAAAATGACATCTTTCCTAAATACCAGTAAAATATAATTTTAAAACATAATTGAAAGAAATGTTTCCACAGCCTAAAACAATAAAATCTACAACATGACCAGTAATAAATCCCAAAACTGTAGGATTTGTATGAAAAAATGTTGCCAAAGGATATAGAAAATACCTGAATAAGTACATTATAAACTTGGATAGGAAGAACAATATTGCAAACATGATAGTTTCCTATCAAGTCAGTGTGAACCTAATCAAAATCTTAAAGGGATTTTTTTTTTTTTTTTTTTTGTCAGAGTCTCCCTCTGTCACCCAAGCTGGAGGGTAGTGGCCCAATCTTGGCTCACTGCACCTCCGCCTCCTGGGTTCAAGTGATTCCCCTGCGTCAGCCTCCCCACTAGCTGGGATTATAGGTGTCTGCTATGACGCCCTGCTAATTTTTGTATTTTTTTTTTTCAGTAGAAACGGGATTTCACCATGTTGGCCTTGCTGGTCTTCAACTCTTGACCTCAAGCGGTCTGTCCTTCTCGGCCTCCCAAAGTGCTGAGATTATAGGTGTGAGGCACTGTACCTGGCCAAAGGGATTTTTAAGATAAGAGAATTTGACACAAGCTTATTTTAAAGTTCATCTGGAAAAGTAAATAAGCAAAAATATTCAACATCTTTTCTGTGTCACAATACATTAAAACATTTCAAAGCTACAGTGATTAAAATGTGGTATTGATGCAGGAATGGACACATAAATTAATATTGCAGAATGTATATTCCTGAAACAGACTCATGTATACTTACAGGAATTTAGTACACACATACCCTATTTAGTGGAGGGACTGTGTTACTGGAAAGAGGTACATAACTGAATCAACTCTATCAGAGAATTGCTATCACAAAGTCCCTATGGAGATGCTTTCCTGATATCCTGCCTTGGCAACCACTTCTGCGGTCTACTCAGAGTCTCCGAAGTGGGGATGAGACTACTACCTTAGTTTTTTCCTAGCTATCTTCATACAATTGTTGGTCAATCTAGATCACAGTGATGCTTAGGATGGCCTTTTTAATGTCAGTTAGCACTTACCAATATCTAGTTTCTCCATGGTCTTAACCTTCTGCTTCCTTGATTGCATCCTGGAAAGTGCCTCTTCAAAAGCCTCTCCAAGGCTTCTACTTTTAAGACCCATTGTAACACTATTTTCTTGCTTATATGAAGCATATTCAACATTATTATTTCCACATGCTTAATCAGTCATTTGGGACAAACTTCTCTACAAAATACAAAATAAACAAAAGACAGCCCATTGAATAGTAAATAACACATGCTGCAGAACATATTCACCCTATGGTAGCTAAGCAGTGGGCCTCCTAGCTGAGGCTATAGTGTTCTTATGCTTATTGCCTGAGAACTGTTTTATACAGTTCGTCACACTACACACGAATTCCCATTGGCTGAGAGCTCACACCCATATTTAGAGAAAGAGAGAGAGAGGGAGGGAGGATTCTGTTAAAATGTCATTAAATCAACTCAGGAATCGTGGTACATGCCTGTAGTCCCAGCTACTCCAGAGGCTGAAATGCTGAGATGAGAGAATCACTTGAACCCAGAAGTTAAGAGACCAGCCTGGGCAACATAGCAAGACCTCATCTCTTTAAAAAAAAAAAAAAAAGGCATTACCTCAAATATTCATATATATGATAAAACTGGCATATTATAGATAAATAAGGCATTGATCAATCAATAGGATCAATAGGGCCAGATAACTAGCTACTGATTGGGAAACCACAGCTTTATCTCATCCTTAAATGATGTACGAGAATAAATTCCCTAGGAATGGTTATAAAAAACAGAATTGTAAAGCATGAGAAGAAAATGTGGAATCACATATACCTTTATAGTTAAAAAGGCCTTTTTTTTTTTTTTTTTGAAACAGGGTATCCCTCTGTCACCTAGGCTGGAGTGCAGTGGCTAGCAATCTCGGCTCACTGCATCCTCCATCTCCTTCAGGATCAAGCAATCCTTCTGAGTAGCTGGGATTACAGGCGCATGCCACCACACCTGGTTAATTTTTGTATTTTTAGTAGAGATGGGGTTTCACCATGTTGGCCAGGGAGGTCTTGCACTGCTGGACTCAAGAAATCCTCCCGACTCAGCCTCCCAAAGTTCTGGGATTACAGGTGTGAGCCACCGCACCTGTCCAAAAAGGCCTTTTTAAGAAGGATATAAAACTTAGAACTCATAAAAGATAAGATTGAAACAGGACTTCTGTGATTCTACAGCCAGAAACAGACTGATACTCAGCTACAAATGTGTACTACCCTTTGAGAGAGGATGAATGACTCTAAGGGCAGAGTGGCACAGAGGCCAGCTGGGGCTGCTGAGGACAGCCCAGAAGCAGACTGAGCTGCCGCCATAGGCCCAGAGGCTAATGGAGCCATTGCTGCAGACTCAGAGGCTAGAGCTGTGGCCCCAGCAAGTGGAGCATCATCTTAGTCCACCCAGACTGCTGTGATAAACTACCATAGACTGCGTAGCTTATAAGCAACAGAAATTTACGTCTGACAGTTCTAAAGGATGAAAAGTGCAAGATCAAGGTGCTAGAAGATTCTGTGCCTGGTGAGGGCCCACTTACTGGTTCATGGACAGCTGTCTTTTCACTGTCTTCATATGACAGAGGGGTTAGAGAACTCTTGGGGGTCTCTTTTATAAGGGCACTAATCCCATTCATGGGGGCTCCACCCTTATGACCTAATCGCCCACCAAAGTTTCCACCTCCTAATACCATCATAGTAGGGGTTAGGATTTCAACACAGGAATTTTGGGGAGACACAAACATTTTGTCTATAGCAAGCATCAAGCCACATATAATTAGTCTTAGGTCTTGAAACTTAATTAAATTTCTCCTACTAGATTTCAGAGTTGGGACTGACAACCTTTTTATTCCTTCCAATTTCTCTCTTTTTGAATAGGAATGTATAAGGATATATATTGTAAACCCAATTCATGCATAAGGATACGCAATGCCTGTCCCACTCTTTTACTTTGGAAGTAGATAACTTGTTTTCTATGTTCGTGATCCAGAGATAGAGAGGAATTTCTGCCCCAGGATAATTTATACCCATAGTCTCACCCATATCTGATTTAGATGACAAGATCTGAGGCTTTGGAGCTGATAATATTTAGGTGAGATTTTGGACTTAGTGCTGATGTTATCATGGGCTGAGACTTTTGGAGATGTTGAGATGAGGTGAACATGTTTTATATGTGGACAGACATGAAATTTGGGGAGCAAAAGGGATAGTAGGCTGAATAGTGGCCCCCAAAAGGATATATCCAAATCACAACCCCCAGAACCTGTGAATGTGACCTTATTTGGATAAAAGATCTTTACAGATGTAAATAAGTTTAGGATTTTGAGGTGAGGTAATGCTGGATTTAGGGTGGGCCTTAAATATCATTATAGGAATGAATAGGCAAAAGAAGGTTGGAGAGACAGAGACACAAGGGAGAAAGTCATTGATGATGGAGGCAGAGATTAGAGTGACACGTCTACAAGCCAAGAAATGCCAAGGACTGCCAGCAGCTGCTAGAAGCTAGGAAATAGACTCTCCCTTAGCGTCTCCATAAGCAACCAACCCTGCTGACACCTTGACTTTGGACTTTTAGCCTCCAGAGAATAAATTTCTGTTGTTTCAAGCTACCCAGTTTATAGTAATTTGTTACTGCTCCCCCGCCCCCCAGGAAACTAATACAGATTCTGGTAGCAGGAAGTGGAGTCCTGCTATAACAAATATGTAGGAATGTGGAAGTGGCCTTGGAATTGGGTAATGGTAGAGGCTGAATGAATGCTGAGGTATATGAAAGAAAAAGCCTAAATTGCTTTGAAGAGACTGTTGGTAGAAATAGAGTTGTTAAAAGAGATTCTGGTGAGGGCTCAGAAGGAAGAGATGCTTCTCTCATCTTAGAGAATGTATGTGTCCTCGCAGATTGTTGGTAGGAATATCAACATTAAATATGCCTCCAGTGAGGTCTCAAAAGAAAATGAAGGGTATGTTATTTGAAATTGAAGGAAAGGCTGTCCTTGTTATAAAGTGGCAGAAAACATGAATGAATTGTGTTTTACTGTTGGGTGGAAGGCAGAACTTCTAAGTGATTAACTTGGATATTTAGCTGAGATTTCCAAGCTAAGTGTGGAACATGCAGCCTGGTTCCTCCTTGCTGCTTATAGTAAAAGCAGAGAGGAAAGTGATAAATGTGGAAGGAATAAAGTAAACAGGAACCAGAACTTGATGATTTGTTGAGTTTCTTAGCCTATCCAGATGGCAAAGAATGTGAAAATCAGGAAATTCATTGTTAGAAAATCATGCTCTGGATAGAAGGCCAAGGGTGTGGCTAGATAACCTTTTCCTGAAGAAATTAAGTGTGTGACTCATAGGTCTAGTCAACCATCTCAGCAGAAAGAAAGAATAGCGTCTAAATAGACTGATAGAGTACTAAATAGCTATTGTGCTTTGGTTGATTTTTTAAAATTGATATAAACCTTACCTAATGATAGGCAAACCTAGGAATAACTAAGTAGGCATCTAAAATACCAGCCTAAGGATTTTTCATTTATTTAAAAAAGCAATGAGAAGCCCTTGTAGCTTTTTAAGTGGATTTTCAGTAGATGGCTGATGCAATGAAAACTACTTTCATTTTTTTTATTTTTATTTTTTTTTTGAGACAGAGTTTTGCTCTGTTGCCTAGCCTGGAATGCAGTGGCCCAATCTTGGCTCACTGAAACCTCTGCCTCTCCGGTTCAAGCCTCTGCCTCTCTGGTTCAAGCGATTCTCATGCCTCAGCCTCTGGCGTAGATGGAATTACAGGTGTGTGCCACCGCACCTGGCTAATTTTTTGTATTTTTAGTAGAGACAGTGTTTCACCACGTTGCCCAGGCTGGTCTCAAACTCCTGGCCTCAAGCAGTGTGCCCCCATTGGCCTCCCCAAAGTGCTGGGATTACAGGCATCAGCCACAGCACTGGGCGAAAACAGTACTTTCTAAAGAGAATTCAGCAGTATTGTGCAAACTGAACTGTACTGGAAAGATTCTGCAACTGGGAAACTACATGTGCCTGGGTGGTTTCCATTTTGAGAAATTGGGCCTAAACAATATTTTTTTAGTGTTATAGTAAACAAAGAAGCCTTCATTTTTTTCTAATCCCTAATGCACACGGGAGTTGTTTACGGGAATTTAGTCTGGGTATAAATTTCTAAATGTAATGCTGACAGAATCTCTTATCAATGACATGATTAATGATGTTTTCTTCAGAGTGGCTTCAGTTAGTGTTTATTAAGATGCTTCCCAAATCCTAATTCTATTTCAAAGATACAGTCAGATGATTATACTTATGAGTACCCTGTAAGAATGAGAAAAGAAAAGGCAGTGATTGAATGGTTTTAAATAACACATTTTATCCTGATTAATTATTATGCAACTAGTGACTTTCTTCTTCTGTTTTTATATGCATCATTCTCTTTCTTTCTTTTCTAGGAAAACCATTAATTTTTTTCATCTTGATTTCATTGCAAATGCTATGTAATGACTGGCATAACTCACTGCTTAGGGCATGGGAAGGGAGCCTCCCTTTTGCAACATGAAAGAGTCTCTGGTTGTGGAATAGGCAATGAGTAGTGTCTGTTTCACAGACTGAAAATTGTGCTTTTCTTCTTCGTCCTTGCTTACTGATATGGTTTGGCCATGTCCCCACCCAAATCTCACCTTGAATTGTACTAATCTCCATGGGTCAAGGGTGGGGCCAGGTGGAGATACTTGAATCATGGGGGCGGTTCCCCCATACTGTTCTTGTGGTAATGAATAAGTGTCATAAGATCTGATGGTTTTATAAATGGGAGTTTCCCTGCACAAGTTCTCTTGCCTGCTGCCATGTAAGATGGGACTTTGCTCCTCATTCACTTTCCACCATGATTGTGAGACCTCCCCAGCCATGCAGAACTGTGAGTCAATTAAACCTCTTTCCTTTATAAATTACCCAGTATTGGGTATGTCTTTATTAGCAGTGTGAGAACAGACTAATACACTTACCATTTGGCTTTTCCACTTAATAACCTACCAGTTAAGGAAGGATTAGAAAAACTAGCCCTGTGAAGGTCTCCAGGCATATTAAGATATGGGAAGAACAGCAAGAGCAAAGGCTTTGAGGTGGGAACATGCATGAATTACAGCAACATAAAGAAGTTCAGTGTGGCTGGAGTAGAGTGAGCAAGAGACACAGCAGAATGAGATTAAGTCCGCAAGCTGGGGCAGATTCAGATAATGTAGGTAAGCTATCACATGCTCTAAACTTCTCTATCTCCAGTCACCATCAAATTGACCTTTTTTATTTTAATTTTTTTCAAGACAGGGTCTCACTCTATTGTCCAAGTTGGCATGCATTGGTGTAGGTCAGGGCTTACTGCAGCCCCGAACTCCTGGACTCAAACAATCCTCCCACCTCAGCCCCTTGAGTAGCTGGGACCACAGGACTATCACCATGCCTGGCTAATTTTTAAATTATTTTCTTTTGTAGAGAGATGCGGTATCACTATGCTGCCCAGACTGGTTTTGAAATCCTGGGCTTCAGTAATCCTCCTGCCTCAGCCTCCCAAAGCTCTGGGATTTTGGGAGTGCACCACTGCACCTAACCTCAAATTGATCTTTTGTTTGCTCCTTGCTTGTTAGTGCTCAAGTCTCTACTAGGAAAATTATGTCTTAAATTATTCCTCATTAATAAGAATTTTATCTTTCACAGGAGCTTTCTGAAAACACTGGCAACTCATACATTCCCAAACTTGCCAGGTCATCAAATTCTTGGCTTCCCACTCTTGACTTCCCGAATCTTCAGATAAGAGGCTTGGAAAACAACATTTTTAAATGATTATCTTCAATGATTCTTATGATCTGGCAAGCTTAGGAAACACGAAGCCTCAAAACCAAGACTGATTGAGGTAATTTTGAGTGCAGAAGACAGTTTTGAGCAGTAACATTCCAAAAGACATGCTACTTTACTAATACCTGTGGCAGCTCTGGTCAATACTTGAGCTGCTACTTTCCCCTACAATGACCATGGCCTTCATCTCTCGTGGATCCTAGAATTCCTTCCTGCTGACTTGAGACATGACCTCAGATTCTTTCTCCATGCAGGTATCCAGGCAGCCACTATCAATTGATAAGACCTGGCATAGAAGGCGAAACTTAAATGCCATCCCTCTCATAAGGTTATCACTAGACTAGGGCAACTTCTCAGCTGACTTTTATTTGGGGAAATACTAAATTATTACATTTTAAAAAGTTTGGGTTAATCTATGGGGTTAAACTTATTTTATTGACTCAGCAATATATACTGATGTAAACTTCACAACTGCAGTATCCGGAAAAAACGGATTATGACTATTTCTTTTATAACAGTTTATATATGCAGACATATTTCTGAAAGGGACAGTGAAAACAAAAATGAGTTTTAGAATTAGAGTTTAAGGTAAATTCTGGCTGTGCCAGCTATATTACCGTACAGCTGTATTACGGCGCATTAGCTGTTAATATTATAATATTAGCTGTACTATCAGCTATCTTAGTAACCAATTAATATATGTCTTTGAATCTTTGATTCTTCATTTCCACAAAAGAGACAAAATACCTCGCACAACTGCTGTAATTTAATATAAACGTTTATGTGTGAAACAGCTAGAAGAGTTTTGGTCACATTATGTGGACATGAAAAAAGCCTAGATTTTCTCCTTTTATTTATTTGAAACAGAAATCTCCATCCATTAGCTGACTCACTTATAAGACTCTTTGTGCGTTCCTCTGTTTGATTACAGAATTTGGGTAATACATGGAAATTTTAATAAACACCCTAAAATGCTATTTATGCAAAGTTTAATAGTTAATATATATTCAAACAAGCAAAATCTTTGAGTAACCTTTTTAATTCTTATGGGCATGTGCCCTAGACTTGTAAGGAAACCATGGAATCAAAGTCTCTTCGAGTTAAATGGGACCCTCAACATCATCGGTACGATGTACTGAATTCTTACAATAGATGAGAGAAGCTAAAATTGGGGCCTCATTTACAAATATGTTTGTCCTGGAGTTAATAAAGTATTGTCTAAAACTAAATTTTCTATTTCTTCAGTAAAGAGTAATGACTGTGAGTAATGTGCAGTCTTCAATTATTGAAGAAATATTAATTTATATTAATGATAAGGCAGGAAATTTAAGCTAACCCAAGAAAAACAGATGTAGGAAAAACCTATGCCCAAAAATGTTTTCTAAATAACTCAAGTAATCAGAAATGTAAATAAATAAGAAAATCCCATTCCTAAACATGAGAGTTATTCAAAATTATACTGAAGTTGAATGTGTACACCTCTCAAGTTTTCCCAAGTTTTGTCTTTCCTCTACTCCTTAAGCATAAGTACTTCTTCAAAACATATATCAGTAGGCTAAAATATCAAAAAGTTAAATTATAGGTTGTTGCTACCTGCAGTATTGCATCAGCTTCAAGGGTCAACCCCTATTTTCTGTCTCTCACCTCCCCTTCCTTGGCTATTCTCAAAGAAACTTGCTAGCTTCTCAACCAATCCTAACAAAAGCAGGCTCAAAACCTTTGAATCTGCAACCTGGTGCAGATTTTAAATTAACCACAGCAATGGAACAGCTACCCACAGTGGTGGTTCCATATGCCCTCTGTTTCTCCTTTACCACCAACGTGGCTAAGCCCAAGGTCTGCCATATGAGGACCCAGCCTCGGGTGTCTGGGCATTCCTTGGGTTGTCACCCTCTGATCCTCCCTCTTATGTTAGCCATTAGACTAGCTTTTTCCTTTGATTCGCCTTCTTCTCTATATTCTATCAGCTCTGTGCCCTTGTACCCATTTAGACTGCGGCCCTACCCTGAGCCCCAGGTGATGTGAAGACCCTAGAAGCTTGCTAGTCTTAGTGTCTATGTCCTTTCCTGAGGAGAAGCTGGTTTCTCTTGCACCTCCTGCATTATCACATCTGTTCAACTCTTCTGCATCATTACCTAGATTTCCTATCATTGCCTTCTGCCCATCAAATCCACTCTTCTGATGCTGGCAGTTGCTGGTATCATGCCCAAGCTTGCTGTGTCTTTTGGGTGCTCTGCTTTTGGAGCCCCCGTCTGATCTCACTGGGGCCACCCTCTCACTTCCCACACCCTAATCTTTGCCACTGTGAGTAGCTCTCCACCCAGTTTTGGCCTTGACCAGCTCCCTGCTGAGGTCCCCATGTGCTTGCTAACAAGGCTGACCTAAGTCAATTCTACCTGTTCCCTTGCCACTAATATGTATCTACATACTTTCGCCTACGAAATGCTGATAGTAACCTTCAAAAGCATCCTTTTAATCTCATCATTCTGATGTTCAAAAGCCCAATATTAATTTTCTATTGTCTACTGCATTTGAAAAATTCTTCTGTTTGGCTGTTAAGAATCTCCCAGTGAGGCCAGGCATGGTGGCTCATGCCTGTAATCCCAGCACTTTGGGAGGCCAAGGCAGGTGGATTACCTGAGATCAGGAGATCGCGACCAGCCTGGCCAACATGGTGAAACCCCATCTCTACCAAAAATACAAAAAATTAGCCGGGCATGGTAGCGGGCACCTATAATCCCAGCTACTCAGGAGGCTGAGGCAGGAGATTGCTTGAACCCGGGAGGCAGAGGTTGCAGTGAGCTAAGATCGTGCCATTTTATTCCAGCCTGGGTAACAAGAGCGAAACTCCGTCAAAAAAAAAAAAAAAAAAAAAACTCCCAATGAAACTATCCTTATAAACTTTATAAAATAAACTGAGCTTGCAGCACATTCAGCATTAATCATTAGGTCAGCTTGCCTTCTGACCTGCTTCCTCATAGTTGTGTGGTGCCTGTTGTTCTAGAATCACATAGACTCTGGATTATAGCTCCCTTAACTGCTCTATAGATAACAACTTGAACATTATGAAAGGTTAAGTTTTCCCTTTGAGATATTCTTTCAACTCCTACATACCAGCAAAACTACTAATGTCAGTTGAAGGACCCCACAAGGAGCTGACTCACCAAAGAATGCAGTTTTCACATCCTGATGATTTTATACCCCTTACCCTGGCCAATCAATAACCCCAATTTTCTAGCCTCTTGCCCTCCATGATTCCCTTAAAAACTCCAGCTCCGAACTCCTTCGGGAGATGGATTTGAGGGTCTCCTCCCATCTTCTCACTCAGCCACCCTGTGATTATTAAACTCTTTCTCTGCTGCAAACCCTTCAGTGTATTGGTTTATTACTGTACAGTGGGCATAAGAACCTGTTGGTCCTGTAAAACCATGGTCCATTCAATCAAATTTCCCAAGAATTCCCAAGAGTCAGATATGATTAGCTCACAGGCCAAGTCCTTTTCTCATGCTGTTGGTTCCACATAATCTGCCCTCCTTCCTCTTCCCTGCATGTTCCAGTCCTACTCGTTGCTCAAAGGCAAGCTCCAGTAGGAATCCCAACATAAAGTCTTTCCTGGACCCTCCAGCTCTTTGGTACATTGACCCAGTATATATATATTTTTTTAACAATTTAGTACTTCTTTCCTAATTGCTTCATACGTTTTGTTAGTCCTGCCGTTC
The DNA here is from genome assembly GCF_000001405.40 of Homo sapiens. Taxonomy (NCBI): domain Eukaryota; kingdom Metazoa; phylum Chordata; class Mammalia; order Primates; family Hominidae; genus Homo; species Homo sapiens. The sequence goes on along the minus strand of NC_000007.14, from coordinate 18,013,471 downwards.
ACAGGAGGATTGGAAGGATTCTGTAAGAAATGACCATTTGCTCTACTTTTTTATTTCTTACAGTGCTTAGAACAGTGAGAGGAGGCATAAAATAGACTAATATAAGTACAGTTGGTTTTAAAAGTGCCTTATAGGCAAATCTTTTTCTTTGCATTGAAAACACATTGGTCGAGAAATGGATTCAAGATAGCCAAATAGGAACAGCTCTGGTCTACAGCTCCCAGCAAGATCAACACAGAAGGTGGGTGATTTCTGCATTTCCAACTGAGGTACCCAGTTCATCTCACTGGAACTGGTTGGACAGTAGGTGCAGCCCATGGAGAGCTGCCAAAGCAGGGCTGGGCGTTGCCTCACCCAGGAAGCACAAGGGGTCGGGGAATTTTCTCCCCTACCCAAGGGAAGCTGTGAGGGTCTGAGCCTGAGGAACTCCGGCACAGATACCGTGCTTGTCCCACAGTCTTCGCAACCTGCAAACCAGGAGATCCACTCCGGTGCCTACCCCACCAGGGCCCTGGGTTTCAAGCACAAAACTGGGTGGCCAATTGGGCAGACACTGAACTAGCTGCAGGAGCTCTTTTTTTTTTCCATACCCCAGTGGCGCCTGGAATGCCAGCAAGACAGAACCGTTCACTCCCCTCAAAAGGGTTCCTGAAGCAAGGGAGCCAAGTGATCTGGCTGGGCGGGTCCCACCCCTATGGGGCCCAGGAAACTAAGATCCACTGGCTTGAAATTCTCACTGCCAGCACAGCAGCAGTCTGAGATCCACCTGGGGCATTCGAGCTTGGTGGGGTAGGTGCATCCACCATTGCTGAGGCTTGAGTAGGTGGTTTTACGGTCACAGTGTAAACAAAGCCACTGGGAAGTTCGAACTGGGTGGAGACTTCTGCAGCTCAGCAAGGCTGCTGAGGCCAGACTGCCATATTTCTCCTCTCTGGACAGGGCATCTCTGTAAAAAAGGCAGCAGCCCCAGTCAGGGGCTTATAGCAGACTTAAACGTCCCTGCCTGGTGGCTCTGAAAAGAACACCGGAACTCCCAGCACAGAGTTCGAGTTCTGCAAAGGGTCAGACTGGCTCTCAAGTGAGTCCCTGACCCCCATGTATACTGACTGGGAGAGAACTCCCAGTAGGGGCCAAAAAACACCTCATACAGGAGAGCTCTGGCTGGCATCTGGCAGGTGCCCCTCTGGCTCGAAGCTCCCAGAGGAAAAAACAGGCAGCAATCTTTGCTGCTCTGCAGCCTCCACTAGTGATATCCAGGCAAACAAGTTTGGGAGCGGACCTCCAGCAAACTCTATCAGACTGGCAGCAGAGAGTCCTGACTGTTAGAAGGAAAAGAAACAAACAGGAAACAAACAGAAAGGATTAGCACATCTACTCAAAGACCCCATCCAAAGGTCACCAACATCAAAGACGAAAGATAGAGAAATCCACAAAGATGGGGAAAAACCAGCACAAAAAGCCTGAAAATTCCAAAAACCAGAATGCCTCTTTTCCTCCAAAGGATCACAACTCCTTGCCAGCAAGGGAACAAAACTGGATGGAGAATGAGTTTGACAAACTGCCAGCAGTAGGCTTCAGAAGGTGGGTAATAACAAACTCCTCCAAGCTAAAGGAGCATGTTCTAACCCAATGCAAGGAAGCTAAGAACCTTGAAAAAAGGATAGTTGAATTGCTAACTAGAATAACCGATGTAGAGAAGAACACAAATGACCTGATGGAGCTGAAAAACATAAGTATCAATAGCTGAATCAATCAAGTGGAAGAAAGATATCAGTGACTGAAGATCAACTTAATGAAATAAAGACAGAAGACAAGATTAGAGAAAAAAGAATAAAAAGCAACAAACAAAGCCTCCAAGAAATGTGGGACTATGTGAAAAGACCAAATCTACATTTGATTGGTGTACCTAAAAGTGACGGGGAGAATGGAACCAAGTTGGAAAACACTCTTCAGGATATTATCCAGGAGAACTTCCCCACCCTAGCAAGACATGCCAACATTCAAATTCAGGAAACACAAAGAACACCACAAAAATACTCCTTGAGAAGAGCAACCCAAAGGCACATAATCATCAGATTCACCAAGGTTGAAATTAAGGAAAAAATGTTAAGGGCAGCCAAAGAGAAAGGTCGGGTTATCCACAAACGGAAGCCCATCAGACTAACAGCAGATCTGCCTGCAGAAACGCTACAAGCCAGAAGAGAATGGAGGCCAATATTCAACGTTCTCAAAGAAAAGAAGTTTCAACCACCCAGAATTTCATATCCAGCCAAACTAAGTTTCATAAGCAAAGGAGAAATAAAATCCTTTACAGACAAGCAAATGCTGAGGGATTTTGTCACCAGACCTGCCTTACAAGAGCTCCTGAGGGAAGCACTAAATGTGGAAAGGAACAGCCAGTACCAACCACTGCAAAAACATACCAAATTGTAAAGCATATCAACAGTATGAAGAAACTGCATTAACTAATGGGCAAAACAACCAGCTAGCATCATTAAGACAGGATCAAATTCACACATAACAATATTAACCTTAAATGTAAATGGGCTAAAAGCTCGAATTAAAACACACAGACTGGCAAATTGGATAAAGAGTCAAGACCCATCAGTGTGCTGTATTCAGGATACCCATCTCACATGCAGAGACATACATAGGCTCAAAACAAAGGGATGGAGGAATATTTACCAAGCAAATAAAAAGCAAAAAAAAAGCAGGAGTTGCAATCCTAATCTCTGATAAAACAGACTTTAAACCAACAAAGATCAAAAGAGACAAAGAAGGGCATTACATAATGGTAAAGGGATCAATGCAACAAGAAGAGCTAACTATCCTAAATATAAATGCACCCAATACAGGAGCACCCAGATTCATAAAGCAAGTTCTTAGAAACCTAAAAAGACATTTAGACTCCCACACAATAATAATAGGAGAATTTAATGCCCCACTGTCAATATTAGACATATCAATGAGACAGAAAATTAACAAGGATATTCAGGACCTGGACTCAGCTCTGGACCAAGCAGACATAATAGGCATCTATAGAACTCTCCAGCCCAAATCAACAGAATATTCATTCTTCTCAGCACCTCATCACACTTATTCTAAAATTGGCCACATAATTGGAAATAAAACACTCCTCAGCAAATGCAAAAGAATGGAAATGATAACAAACAGTCTCTCAGACCACAGTGCAATCAGATTAGAACTCAGAATTAAGAAACTCACTCAAAACCACACAACTACATGGAAACTGAACAACCTGCTCCTGAGTGACTACGGGGTAAATAACGAAATGAAGGCAGAAATAATATGTTCTTTCAAACCAATGAGAACGAAGGCACAATGTACCAGAATCTCTGGGACACATTTAAAGCAGTGTTTAGCGGGAAATTTATAGCACTAAATGCCCACAGGAGAAAGCAGAAAAGATCTAAAATTGACACCCTAACATCAAAATTAACAGAACTAGAAAAGCAACAGCAAACAAATTCAAAAGCTAGCAGAAGACATGAAATAACTAAGATCAGAGCAGAACTGAAGGAGAGACATGAAAAAAACCCTCAAAAATATCAATGAATCCAGGAGCTAATTTTTTGAAAAAAATCAACAAAATAGATAGACCACCAGCCAGACTAATAAAGAAGAAAAGAGAGAAGATTCAAATAGATGCAATAAAAAAATGATAGAGGGGACATCACCACTGATCCCATAGAAATACAAACTACCATCAGAGAATACTATAAACACCTCTATGCAAATAAACTAGAAAATCTAGAAGAAATGGATAAATTCCTGGACACATACACACTCTCAAGTCTAAGCCAGGAAGAAGTTGAATCCCTGAATAAACTAATAACAAGTTCTGAAATAGAGGCAGTAATTAATAGCCTATCAACCAAAAAAAGGCCAGGACCAGATGGATTCACAGCCGAATTCTACCAGAGGTACAAACAGGAGCTGGTACCATTCCTCCTGAAACTATTCCAATCAATAGAAAAAGAGGGAATCCTCCCTAACTCATTTTATGAGGCCAGCATCATCCTCATACCAAAACCTGGCAGAGACACAACAAAAAAAGGAAATTTCAGGCCAATATCCCTGATGAACGTTGATGCAAAAATCCTCAATAAAATACTGGCAAACCGAATCCAGCAGCACATCAAAAAGCTTATCCACCATGATCAAGTTGGCTTCATACCTGGGATGCAAGGCTAGTTCAACATATGCAAATCAATAAATGTAATCCATCACATAAACACAACCAAAGACAAAAACCACTTGATTATCTCAATAGATGCAGAAAAGGCCTTCGATAAAATTCAACACCCCTTATGCTAAAAATGCTCAATAGGCTAGGTATCGATGGAATGTATCTCAAAATAATAAGAGCTATCTATGACAAACCAACAGCCAATGTCATACTGAATGGGCAAAAACTGGAAGCATTCCCTTTGAAAACCAGCACAAGACAAGGATGCTCTCACCACTCCTATTCAACATAGTATTGGAAGTTCTGGCCAGTGCAATCAGGCAAGAGAAAGCAATAAAGTGTATTCAAATAGGAAGAGAGGAAGTCAAACTGTCTCTGTTTGCAGATGACATGATTGTATATTTAGAAAACCCCATTGTCTCAGCCCCAAATCTCCTTAAGCCGATAAGCAACTTCAGCAAATTCTCAGGACACAAAATCAATGTGCAAAAATCACAAGCATTCCTATACACAAATAACAGACAAACAGAGAGCCAAATCATGAGTGAACTCCCATTCACAATTGCTACTAAGAGAATAAAATACCTAGGAATACAACTTACAAGGGATGTGAAGGATCTCTTCAAGGAGAACTACAAACCACTGCTCAAGGAAATAAGAGAGGACACAAACAAATGGAAAAACATTCCATGCTTATGGATAGGAAGAATCAGTATCGTGAAAATGGCCATACTGCCCAAGGTAATTTATAGATTCAATGCTATCCCCATCAAGCTACCATTGACTTTCTTCACAGAATTGGTAAAAAACTACTTTAAACTTCCTATGGAACCAAAAATGAGCCCACATAGCCAAGACAATCCTGGGAAAGAAGAACAAAGCTGGAGGCATCACGCTACCTGACTTCAAACTATACTACAAGGCTACAGTAACCAAAACAGCATGGTACTGGTACCAAAACAGATACATAGACCAATGGAACAGAACGGAGGCCTCAGAAATAATACCACACACCTACAACCATTGGATCTTTGACAAATGTGACACACACAAGCAATGCGGAAAAGATGCCCTATTTAATAAATGGTGTTGGGAAAACTGGCTAACCATATGCAGAAAACTGAAACTGTACCCCTTCCTTACACCTTATATAAAAATCAACTCAAGATGGATCAAAGACTTAAATGTAAGACCTAGGACCATAAAAATCCTAGGAGAAAACCTGGGCAATACCATTCAGGACATAGGCATGGGCAAAGACTTCATGTCTAAAACACCAAAAGCAATGGCAACAAAAGCCAGAATTGACAAATGTGATCTAATTAAACTAAAGAGCTTCTGCACAGCAAAAGAAACTAGCATCAGAGTGAACAGGCAACCTACAGAATGGGAGAAAATTTTTGCAATCTATCCATCTGACAAAGGGCTAATATCCAGAGTCTACAAAGAACTTAAACAAATTTACAAGAAAAAAAAACCCCATCAAAACACCAAAAGCAATGGCAACAAAAGACAAAATTGACAAATGGGATCTAATTAAACTAAAGAGCTTCTGCACAGCAAAAGAAACTATCAGAGTGAACAGGCAACTTACAGAATGGGAGAAAATTTTTGCAATCTACCCATCTGACAAAGGTCTAATATCCAGAATCTACAATGAACTCAAACAAATTTACAAGAAAAAAACAAACAACCCCATCAAAAAGTGGGCGAAGGATATGAACAGACACTTCTCAAAAGAAGACATTTATGCAGCCAAAAAACACATGAAAAAACGCTCATCATCACTGGCCATCAGAGAAATGCAAATCAAAACCACAATGAGATACCATCTCACACCAGTTAGAATGGCAATCATTAAAAAGTCAGGAAACAACAGGTGCTGGAGAGGATGTGGAGAAATAGGAACACTTTTACACTGTTGGTGGGACTGTAAACTAGTTCAACCATTGTCGAAGTCAGTGTGGCGATTCCTCAGGGATCTAGAACTGGAAATACCATTTGACCCAGCCATCCCATTACTGGGTATATACCCAAAGGACTATAAATCATGCTGCTATAAAGACACATGCACACGTATGTTTATTGCGGCATTATTCACGATAGCAAAGACTTGGAACCAACCCAAATGTCCAACAATGATAGACTGGATTAAGAAAATGTGGCACATATATACCATGGAATACTATGCAGCCATAAAAAAGGATGAGTTCATGTCCTTTGAGGGACATGGGTGAAATTGGAAATCATCATTCTCAGTAAACTATCGCAAGAACAAAAAACCAGACACCGCATATTCTCACTCATAGGTGGGAATTGAACAATGAGATCACACGGACACAGGAAGGGGAATATCACACTCTGGGGACTGTTGTGGGGTGGGGGGGGGGGGAGGGATAGCATTGGGAGATACACCTAATGCTAGATGACGAGTTAGTGGGTGCAGCGCACCAGCACGGCACATGTATACATATGGAACTAACCTGCACAATGTGCACATGTACCCTAAAACTTAAAGTATAATAATAAAAAAAAAACAAGAAAACCAAATAAGGCATAAGCTGCTTATAGTGAAAAAAAAAATTCATTAAACCTTGGACTGTGAGCTATATATGTTGTATATGATTTTTCTAAGGAAATCCCCAATATCCCAGTTTCTAAGACAAATAAAAGTCCTCTGAAAAAAAAAAAAACCCCATCAAAAAATGGGCAAAGGATATGAACAGACCCTTCTCAAAAGAAGATATTTATGCAGCCAACAGACCTATGAAAAAATGATCATCATCACTGGTCATTAGAGAAATGCAAATCAAAACCACAATGAGATACCATCTCACGCCAGTTAGAATGGCGATCATTAAAAAGTCAGGAAACAACAGATGCTGGAGAGGTTGTGGAAAAATAGGAACACTTTTAGACTGTTGGTGGGCATGTAAATTAGTTCAACCATTGTGGAAGACAGTGTGACGATTCCTCAAACATCTATAACTAGAAACACCATTGGACTCAGCCATCCCATTACTGGTTATATACCCAAAGGATTATAAATCATTCTACGATAAAGACACATGCACACATATATTTATTGCGGCACTATTCACAATAGCAAAGACTTGGAGCCAACCCAAATGTCCATCCTTGACCGGCTGGATTAAGAAAATGTGGCACATATACACCATGGAATTCTATGCAGCCATAAAAAAAGAATGAGTTCATGTCCTTTGCAGGGACATGGATGAAGCTGGAAAACATCATTCTCAGCAAGCTATCACAAGATCAGAAAACCAAACACAGCATGTTCTCACTCATAAGTGGGAGTTGAACAATGAGAACACATGGACACAGGGAGGGGAACATCACACACCAGAGCCTGTCTCGGGTTGGGGGGCTAGGAGAGGGATAACATTAGGAGAAATACCTAATGTAGGTGATGAGTTGATGGGTGCATCAAGCCACCATGGCACATATATATCTATGTAACAAAACTGCACGTTCTGCACGTGTAACCCAGAACTTAAAGTATAATACAAAATGTAAAAATAAAAGAAAAAGTGAGATCACATTTAAAAAAAAAAACACATTGGTCACTAAGCTGAGGAGTGATTCCATTATGTATGATACCATGATTCAACGATGCGGAGCTTTCCTCTGTCAAAACTATCCAAGTATCAAGGAAGACATAAGGTGGTACTCCCCATGTAAAGCAGAAACATGTTATCATTGTGGAAACCTGTCTGGAGTGGTAACTGGAATGGTACTTGACTCAGCTGAGTTAAAAAGCCTGGGAACAACTGTCTCCTGATTGTTCCACTCAGAGATTTTCAGGGGTATTTATTTCAAACATGAATTTCTAGGATGTTTATTTCAAACAGGGCTGAGGACTAAGGAAAGGTGAGAGATGATGAACTATGTATGTTCTTAGGAAGAGAGAGGAGAGAGAAAAAACATAAATGTAAAGATTCTTCTACTATGAACTAGTTAAGAGTTAAATTGGAAAGGCACCATAAGAGAGCCATGCCCAGCCGGGCGCCGTGGCTCATGCCTGTAAACCTAGCACTTTGGGAGGCTGAGGCAGGTGGATCACGAGGTCAAGAGATCGAGACAATCCTGGCAAACATGGTGAAACCCCATCTCTACTAAAAACACAAAAATTAGCTGGGCCTGGTGGCGCGCGTCTGTAGTCGCAGCTACTCGGGAGGCTGAGGCAGGAGAATCACTTGAACCCGGGAAGCGGAGGTTGCAGTTAGCCGAGATAGCACCACTGCACTCCAGCCCGATGAAAAAGTGAGACTCCATCTCAAAAAAAAAAAAAAAAACAGAGAGAGAGAGAGAGATCCATGCCTAGCAGCATTTATCTCACATCTAAACAGTGGAGTGCTGGTAAATGTTTAACAACCAACTCTCTGGAAAATAAAAGTCCTAATTTGTACTTTTAGAAAATTTCTGTGGAATAAATATTTCCATTGCCAAATTCAAGCTACCAACATACCCTCACTGAACAAGAAATTGGGAAGAGCTTTGCACAGTTTGGTCTAGTGAACGAGTGTGAGCCGTCTTCCCAACCACCCTACATAAAAGGCAAGGACAGCCACTAGGAGAACTTTCTGAAATTAACTTGAGGGTTTGTGACATCTCTCATGTTATTCAGTTTCCTGAGGTGGGAGGCAGTGCCTTCTTATGGAAAAAGGCCTAAATGCTTTTATTAAAATAAAATCAATGAAACAGTGTTTCAGAAAGACTGAGTCGCATTCTTCAAATGCCTATGGTAGCAAGCAATGCAATGCCACAGGATATATAGAAACATTTCTCATCTTTGTTTCTGGATCTGAAATAATCTGTTTTATATCTAATATTATTCTTTCATATAGCAATCTTGAGTGGACTTTTAAAGTTTACTGAGAGCCTACTTGGTCCTAACTACTTTTTTAGGTGGAGGTATTTAAAAATAAAAAGTGGCTTGGTCCCTTTCTTCAGTACCTATAAACGTCTTTCCTCTTGTTAGAGGCCCTAGAAGATTCTTGTGAGAAAGATTTAGTTTTTTACAATAGTAATCCTTTCCATATAACCAATAGAAGAAGGACCAGGAACTGTGGCCAGGACTGGGGACAAGTGGGAGCTGAGGAAGTGGTGGGCTACGGCGAGAGTCTGAAGAGAGATACAGCTTAACTGAGAAAAGCTTTCTTCCTCTTGTGCAGAGACAATAACCGAACTATGATCATTTTAGAAAAGTTAACATACAAAATTGTTTAAGAATTAGTTGACCAAAAAGTAAGTAAACTGAATCAGTTAAAGGTTACAAATATAAATTGATATTATGTGATATACAAATATAAATTGATATAAAGCGGTCTACACAAAATAAGTTTTGACAACTTTGACTTATTTAAATGAATAAAAACAAAATGTTAATTTATGGACATAATTTGGTAGCTAATTAGTCATGCAGTACAGCATTGCCCTTCCACAGTTTATTTCCATCAGCAGAATTAATCACAGCAGAGCAGATGTAGTAGGGACAATCCAAGGTTAAAACAAACGATACAAAATAATGAACTGGAGCACAAGATGATAACCTGGAGAAAGTCATGATTTATTATTCTGCCAGAGTCTTCTGTGGATTCTGCAGCCACTTTATGCAAGCCTGTCTCCCTTTTAACCAGATATCTCTGATTGTAGTGATCTTTTACTTTGCATTAATTTTATCTGCCTTTGAAGGTAATGTAACTGTGATAAGAGCCAATTAGTTTTGCACCATCGAGAAACACAATGAAATGTGACTTGAGAAAACAAAGATAAAATTAACTGTCTAAATGAGACTACAAGGCAATCTAATCTTTGCTATTTTCTTATAGGACTAAAGCACCATACGTTCAGCATCATAAACTGAAGGACAACTATAAGGATATTTGAGATGGTTCAAAGACATGCTGTAATGAACACAATTCTTCTAGAGTAACATTAACCAGTAATTTAATGCTAACTTTCCACAGGACTTGAGAACTATATCTACAGATTACATTACAGACAAATACAAATGCCAGGGTACCAATATGGGAACCAACTTCTTTTTAAACTTTATATTTGGGAATTTGCTTATGAAATAAAATAAGCAAGATGGTCTTCAATTGAACATTATCTGGCTTTATTCTGCCATTGTTTCCCTATTGCATATTTACTGTATACCCAGGAAAATTCCAGTGTCTCAATTTCAGGGGTGTTGCAATAAGGAAACACTTTTGGTGAGGTTAAATTTTTTCATGTCTTTCATGTTTTTTAGTGTATACTTCTAGTAAGACTTGGACAACTAATGGTTCAATAATACAAACCAGTTACATTGGTCTCGGTCTCATTTGTTTGTGATAAAGATCATACCACAATAGTCAATTTTCCATCCTTTTTAAAAAATAACAAACAATTTTAGTCTTACAGAGGTTATTTTTTGAAAGGTGGTAAAAATAATAATGAAAGTTTTTTTTTCTAAGTGGAGACACAGACACCAAGAAATTGAAATAATAAAAAACATTAAATTATTCTACTTTCTAAAAACTGGCAAGGCAATAATGAAGGCAAAAAACAAGCTGAAATATGTATAACATATATGACAAAGAATCTATAGTGTTAGTATGTAAAAATAAATAAACAAATCAGCAAAAGATGATCACCTAAGAGAAAAATGAACCAAAGAAAACCCAAATATAAATAATTTACAGAAGAAAAAATAAAAGGGCAAAATAAACTGAAGAGGGGGTGGAATTCAATCTCCCTAGTAATGCAAAAAATAAAACATACTATTTTTTACTTATCAAATAGAAAAAAATTAATAAATAATATGAGCTTGGAATAGGAAAACATCCATAAATCATTTGCAAAAGTGTAAATTGAATCTTTTTTGAGGGCAGTTTGGAATAGTCATACTTTTTAATTCAATAATTTCAATAGTAGAAATTTGCTCTAAGTAACCATAATTGTGCTAAAAATTTTTGCTAAAAGAACGTTCATGCCGGGTGTGGCGGCTCATGCCTGTAATCCCAGCACTTTCCGAGGCTGAGGCAAGCGGATCGCCTGAGGTCAGGAGTTCGAGACCAGCCTGGCCAACATCGTGAAATCCTGTCTCTACTAAAAATACAAAAATGAGCCGAGCGTGGTGGCAGGCGCCTGTAGTCCCAGCCACTCAGGAGGCTAAGGCAGGAGAATTGCTTTGACCCGGGAGGCGTAGGTTGCAGTGAGCTGGGATTGCACCACTGCACTCCAGCCTGGGCAACACAGCAAGACTCCGTCTCAAAAAAAAAAAAAAAAAAAAAAAAAGAATGTTCTTGGTAGTGTAGTTAAAAATAGTGAAAACTTAACAACCACCTTAAAATATATCCATTGAGAAAATATTCATTAAATAAGTTATACTGCTATACTGCTCCTATTCAGTAACACTCTGCTGCCATTAATGTGGTGTCTCCAAAGTTGTCTGCAATTTAGAATCACCTGGGGATCTTTTAAAAATTTTAAAGACCAGGTCACATTCCACACAAATTAGATTATAATTTCTGGGGATGAGGCATTGTTTTTTTTAAGCTCCCCAGGTACAATGTGCAATATCATTTGGGAACTATTGCATTAAAACAATATAGAAAAATATTATCATGAAAGAATGTTCACAATATATTGTATTTTTTAAAAAAATCAAGATGCTAAACAATATTATTCAGGACATGGCTGTGTTCTATAGAAATTTTGTTCTACTTGCAACCTTTATGAAGGGACAGCCCCAAGCCTCTAGCAACATGCTCCACCTTCACCAAATCTGACTGTATCAAGAGTGAGCTACTGGTCTACAGGCTCAGTGTAGTTTGGCATCAGAATCCCTAACCAGGCAGAAATAAGCTGTGTCAATCAGAATTTTGCTCTAATTAAATTGCAATTGTAAATATTGAAGGAATCAGGCAGTGAGACTGAAGCTGAAGTGATGTGCGAAGAAAGGTCATGAGGCACAGAAAGGGTCATGAAAAAATAAAAGTAATGAAGAAGCAGAAAGCGTTCGTAAAATGTGGCATAAGTGAAGCTCTGCAATACTTGTGGAGGGTCTTCAGGGCTTCCCTGATGCAGAAGACCTACCTGGGCCCAGTCTCCTTGAGGCCAAGTGGAACCCCAAACAGAGTTGTCAAGACAAGCACTATGCATGACGGGGAAAGTCTCAGTCCAGTTTTGAGGAGTGCAGAAGTTAAAGACTCCAAATACCAAGAGGGCAAGTTACGAAGGCAGAAACCAAGGAAACAGACGTTGATAAAAAGCCACGAAGAGACCGGGCGCGGTGGCTCACGCCTGTAATCCCAGCACTTTGGGAGGCCGAGGTGGGCGGATCACGAGGTCAGGAGATCGAAACCCTCCTGGCTAACACGGAGAAACCCCGTCTCTACTAAAAACACACAAAAAATTAGCCGGGCGTGGTGGCGGGTGCCTGTAGTCCCAGCACTCGGGAGGCTGACGCAGGAGAATGGCGTGAACCTGGGAGGCGGAGCTTGCAGTCAGCGGAGATCGCGCCACTGCGCTCCAGCCTGGGCGACAGAACGAGACTCAGTCAAAAATAAAAAAGCCATGAAGAATAAATGGATATGGTGATGACACTAAAGTTCAGGTTCTGTGGAATTTAGATTCATTTCCTAGCAAGAGGCAGTTGGCAATTTTTAAATTCCTGTTTGAAACTATATTTAGGCTAAGCTTTAAAAAATAAATGAAAAAGAATTTTTCTATGATTCGTTAAAAAGAAAAAAAGGCCTTGGTTTCCAATCCTCAGTACTACGTTACTACTAAGTATTTAGGTGCCATGGGAAGAATCATTTCCCTCTCTTGGCCTCACGGGTTTCCATATATGCCCAGGAAACTGAGCTAGTCTCTACCAGCCATAAACTTATCATGGAATATTTTTTAAATTTAGATAAATATGTAAGTAAATCTAGGATGCTGGAATTTCCTCTGAGTGGCCTTCTTAAAAACAAAAATGATTTACTATTAATCACTTAAGTCAATACACTTAGGTAAATGTTTTACTATTTTCTTTTTAATTTTTTTTGTAGAGACAGGGTCTTCCTGTGTTTCCCAGGCTGGTCTTGAACTCCCGGACTCAGGGGATCCTCCCACTTTGGTCTCCCAAAGTGCTGGGATTACAGCCATGAGCCACCAGGTCTGGCCTATTTTTGTTTTTTTGAGACAGGGTCTCACTCTATTGCCCAGGCTAGAGTACAGTGGTGCAATCACAGCTTAGTATAGCCTTGAATTCCTGAGCTCAAGTGATCCTCCCATCTCAGCCTCCCCAGTAGCTGGAATTACAGGTATGCACCACCACAACTGGCTAATTTTTTTAATGTATTTTTGTAGAGATGGGGGATCTCACTATGATGTTTTACTATTAAAGAACTAATATGCCAGTGATGTCAAACCCAATGTTCGCTATCTTTGGGGATACCTGAAGGTGCTCCTTATGGAACACAAACAAGTATTGACACTTTTAAGAAAATCAATTTCCAGATCTTCATTTTTCAATGACTTTTTTCCCTAAAACTGATGCACCTTACAGTGTGCTATGGTCAAAGCATCATGTCTGTTTTCCTTTTCCACCTCCTCTTTCCCTGATACCCTTGTCCACTTTACCAAAGAAAGGCGTGCCTCTTACCCATCCTGAGCCTTACAACCATTACATTTCCTCAGATTATATAAAGACAATGGAGTGCCAAACAAAGGGCAATTCAAAACGTTGGTGCCTGTGAAGCCTCATTTAATCAAGACATGATTTGGGTCTCATGTAATCAAAACACCATTTGGGTCTCTGTTACTTTTCTCAAAATGACTTAAAGGAGGAATGAGGTAGTAATTTTGGGACCAGCCCAAACTGAGTCTACTCTGTTAATAACAAAATGTTGAGTTAACTTTTATATAGAACAGAGCCCCAAACTGCAAGTCATGTTGTCCAAGCATGTGCAACAGAAAAAGCTTTGAGCTCTAACAATATCTGGAAACAGTGAATCCTCCCCTTGGAACCGAGAAGACCAGGACACGACAGGGACCTGAACACCAGAAGTTTATCAGAAGCAAGGGGTGGATGGGCCTGGAAGATCCGGGGCTAAAATCCACCTTGACATATGTTTCCATAAACGGTCAAATATAAAGTCCTCCAATCAGACCGTGTGAAACCAACATTCCTAAATCCTTTTCCCTGCCCTCTGAGCCCATAAATTTGTCCAGACTCCAAACTGGGGAAACAAATCTGAGTCTGCTCTTGTCTCCTTGCTAATCGGTTTTGCTATAAAGCCTTTTTTTTTCTCAAAAGCATGTGCCTCATAGTATTGGCTCATATGTGTATCAGGCAGCAAGCTCATTTGCTTCGTAACAAAAACTTCCATTTTTACTTCCAGTAGTAAGGGCCTCAAGTTTGAGGGAAAAGAACAATGGTGGAGGTAAGTTAGTGGGTTGTTGTCTTTTTAACATATATTCAGGCTTGTAAGAAAATATTTTCATTAACATTTGCTAAAATATTACTAGTACTGTAAATTCACATTTCACTTTGGATAAGTCTCCTGTTCATCACATGTCAACTACTTCTCTGTTTATTTTGTTATTCCTATCACATAATTATGCAATTTGGACTGCTTTAAAGGGAATCTGTTATAGACTCTTCTGAAAATAATGCATTTAGAAACATTCATGGAGAAACCTCATAAAAGCTGTACACTTATTAGTGACCATGTTGTTAATTTCCACTAAAAGTCTCATTTTAGAAATAAGGCACATTTATTGATTGATATACAATCTATTGAAAAAAGACTTACATCCATCATATCAAGAAATTCATTTCTGATAAAATCTTACTGTTAAATGTTTAATAATAATTTATAAAAGCATAATATGTTTAGAACTGTTTGATCAATTATTCAATATTAAATGTAATCATAACTCAATCCAAAATAATTTTTTTTTAAGACTGAGTCTCATTCTATTACCCAGCCTGGAGTGCAGTGGTGTGATTGTAGTTCACTGCAGCCTCAAACTCCTTCACTCAAGCGATCCTCCTGCCACACCCCTCTGAGTAGCTGAGACTACAGGTACGCACCTCCATGCCCGGCTCAAAAGAAAATTTAGTACTTAGAGCTCTATGGTTACCCACAATATATGAATTTTCAAGTGTATTTTATGTGTATAGTTTTGTTTCAAAGAGGCATAAAGATATAACAAAAAAAACTTTCAAAAAATGAATACTTTTAAACATAAAAACATTACATTGGAATAAAAATCAATGGGGTAGGTGTATGGAAATATAATATAAGGAGGAAAAGGAATAATGCATACAGTACTTTCTAACTAAAAGATCTTGATGTATTTCTCAAACACATGATCGTCAGCATGAAATCACTATGATACCAGTTTCCATTAGCTATATTTAAGAGCATTTTAGCAGTTTTAATTTAAGATGTTAATATTTTAATGTTGTGGAAATGGGGCACTTTGTAACTATTAAGCCCATGATAAAAAATTTAAAAGTTGACTTAAAATTAGCAATGGGGCACCTAAATTTTTCAGAACATTTTAGGGAGTAATAAAACCAAAAAAGCTGAAGATCCATTAAATGGAACACTTTATATTTGGCATTTAATATTTTCATGGCTGTTACTTACCGAAGGCATGGAAAAATATTCAAAATATATTACTTATTAAATGACAGTTATGGTATGATACATTGCAATTTAAAAAATCTAGAAGAAGATGTTGATATTTTAAATTTATTGTTAATATTAGCATATTATGTCGATTATTTAAAATATATTAAGTAGATTATAATATAAATACTAAAATGTTAACAATGATCATCTCTGACTGGTAGAATTATGAGTGATTTTTTTATTTTCATTTTAGTTTATCTTTTTTCTAATTTTCATATCCCAAGCACACATTATTGACACAGTAAGAAAAGATTATTTAAAATAAAAATAGTAACATGTATTCTTTGATCTGGACATCAATAGCTTTACTAAACAAAAACAACAGCACCGAAAGGAAAAAAACAATGCCCTGAAGAACTTGATTCATTGATTGTAATTTTCAAGGTTTAGCCATGACAAATACTAAAATAAAATCTTGCTTCTTGATCCTAAATTCAGCTGTCTTTTATTCTGAACAAGGAGTGCAGAATCAGGTCCTGTAATAGCAGTGGTACTACATCACTAAAAGTATGCTGCATAAGTCTTTGTAAAAAGGCCAGTCAGCAGAAAACATATTTTATAAAGGCATCTCCTGTGTGGCTCTGAATTATAACTTATCTTAACTCAAAAATATAGAAATTAAGAACACAGAAACAGTAGTCAACTTATATTCTACATTAAGTTTGAATTATTATTCTTCAAGGAGTTCTGAGGCTGTTCAGTGTGTATTAAATCTTGAACAAGTTATAGGTTTTTGGAACCAAACAGTAATTGGTATGTAAAACTGGCTTAAGCATTTCCATCTGCACACATAAAATTTTGATTAATTTTTGTTCTAGCTATGTGGTGAGGCATAGCAATCTGTTTTGACATTGAGCTCTTATCCACATTTAGCGGCCTGAAAGGTCATTATACTTTCACTCTCTGTGAAGACATTTCTTGATAATAATAGACTGTATAAAAATAGTACCAGGTGATACTTGGCTAGCAGTCAAATGGGGCTCTGCTTTGTCTATAATTACAATTTCTAAAGAACTCAATTCCACAAACACTTGACTGAACACTTTGGTTGTGTTAGCTTTATCTTGCATATTTTGGAAATATACTGGCCAGAGAATAGCCTGATAACCCTATGTCAATAAATTTATTTTTCTTCATCTTAACCATTAATTCCAAAATTTCTCTTTAATTTAAAAGCTAGAAAACATAGAGTTACAGGGAATGTAAATAAAAACATTCTAATAAGCAAAGACTAAATTTTACTGAATCTGGCTTAGCAGGTAATGAAATAGAACTTTGAATGCCAAGTGGGTGAGTTAGGCAAGATCATCATATCTTGACTCTACACTTGTTTCAAGTGTACAAGTTATGGTATTCTAAGGATTGTATCTGAATACTGAGGGAAGAGAATATTTGAGTTACATTTTATGTAGAGATAGATGTTACTCTCCTAGAATTGGGCTTTACTTGAAATAGAAACAGTTTAGAATAAACAGGAATGAACGATTCTAATGCACTTTGATTTTAAATGAGGACTCACGGAGAGGGAAAACTATACTCAAACTTGAACTGGCCACCAAACCAATTCTCATGTACAAAAAACTGATTTTTCATTTTAATATATGATTTACTTGTCCAAGATATTGCTGAATATTGTTTATTAATATATATAATTCTTTATAGAAGGTTTTTCTACTTGATTTTGTTATCTACTCTATGTTTTTCCATCAGGCACTCACCCTATAATTGTTCAGAAAGTCCCCCACCAAAAAAACTTTCCTAGTTTATTTAGAGACTAATAGTGACTACCATAATTTCATAATTCCTTCCAGTGAGATGTTAGAAACAAACACCTGAATTTGAATCCCACTTCTAATACTGCCTGGGTGTTTGATGTATGACTAGTTGTTGCACATCTTAAATGTTGGTTTCATCATCATTTAAGTGGAAATAGTAATATTCACTTTATGCTATTGCAAGAAATAAGCAAAGAAATATCGGGGAAAAAAACTACCACTATGTCTAACACACATAATAGTTCCTCAAGAAGTGTTCTGTGGCCGGGCCTGGTGGCTCACACCTGTAATCCCTGCACTTTGAGAGGCCAAGGCAGGAGGATCAGTTGAGCTCAGGAGTTTGAGATCAGCCTAGGCAACATAGTGAGCCCTCGTTTCTACTAAAAAAAAAAAAAAGAAGAAGAAAACGAAGAAATGTTCTGTTACATTGAATTCTGATATACCACAGATTGCCTTACATTTGTTGAAAATTTGCCAAAATCTCTGTAGCAATAACATTAACATATCAGTAACTATGTGAAATTAGTATTATTTTGATTATCAAAGTCCATTGGATCAGGTCATAGATAAATCTACGTTTAACTGAATTCCATGCCATAATTGATTTGATCCAATGTATTTATCCTATTGGTGCATTTGTTTAATGGTGCCTTTACTAATTCTGTTACTATCAATGCTGTTTACTTTAAACATTTTGATTGTCTTTGTACTTCAGTTATTAAATAAGAATATAAGTGCTTAAGAACTTCAGTGTTCAACAAATGTGGTTTGATTTGGCTAAAAATCCAAAAGCAAATGATGAAAAAGAATTTGCTGTCATGGGCAGATTTACTTTCAGTGAATATCAAATTATTGAAGGCTTACTGCAAAGGGGAATGTATTAAACTGTATTAAAAGTTCTCCTGCAAAGTAGGGTTAAGCACAAAGCAATTAATGAAACCAAGCATCACTCATTCACCTGTAGAAAAAGTTTTATGTAATCATTTCAATGCTGTTGTGACCCTTTGTTTCCCCCAGGGAGTGACAACTTGGGAAGCAATCAAAGCTTAAGCAGTAATTACATTAGTAATTGGGCCAGTTCCCATCCAGAATTTTTCTCAAGACTCTAAATTCCCTTTCCCTGGTGGGGCTATTTTGAAAAAATTAATTGTGCTAGTCAATTGTCCTATGTAATGCTATTCTGGAAGCTTCTATGGATATGTTAAAAGGGCAATTTAATTAAAATACAGAGAAACAGCTATTGGTTTTCTTTATCAACTCCCGTCTGTTAAAAATTCATAATTACGACCTACCTTCATTGAAAAAAGCACAGACAGATACAGGAAACAGAAGGGAGATTTACAAACCCTTTTCCTATTGGAAAGGTTCTAGCTCAGTTCCCTCTAACTAATACATTGAGAAGATAAAAGCTCAGTGTAGTAAAATCTCTACTTATGCAGTTCAGCATCACCATGGAAACATCTCCCCCTCAGTGAAATAATGAGATGGTAATGAAAACAGCTGCCACATTATGAACCTAGGCACAAACAGAGGCCGAGTTACTCATGCCAAATAGTGAGTGACAGGGGGTAGAATAGATGGGGGCGGGCATGCGCAAGGAGTAATAAGAAAGCCCATCAGTGGGTGTTATGGGAAGGGGTGGGACAAACTACCTAAAATTCTAATATTGAAACTCTCAATTTGATTACTGCAAATTTTGGTAGTGAATTTGTGGCGTTCCCATTGCAGAGACGATGGGGTATATAACTTGAGCTTTGATTATCTGAGTTCAACCTAATATTTCACATGTCTATCACTTCAGACTCAAAATATGTGGCTTGACAATTTAGGATTCTGTATTCTGCTGGGTCCTAAAGCACATGTGTAAGATGGGAACAGCATTAGGATGCCAGGAGAAAAGTACCATTTTGGAGGATAAATGGATATGATGTCTCTCCTTAAAGAACTCCCAAGTGAGTAGAAATTACACTCTCTCCTTCAAAGATGGTCTGGGCCCACAGATTGGAACTGGTGATAGACTTGGATGCATAGAGCAAAAGGGGACAAATGAAAAACAGTCTTGTGGGGAAATTAACATTAAAAGGCATGAATCCAAAAGGTCTGGACCAAGAGACAGAAACAAGGTTCAGAATAAGGCAATCAGGCAAATAACAAGAAACCCAGAATATCATGTGGACTATATATATACTGTACATTACATATAGTAAAATATATTTGGATATGTGTACATTAAACATGTATGATTTACATTATATTCATATTTAATTTAAATATATCACATGTATTTGTATATATGCATATGTGTGTATATATGTACATGTGTGTATGTGCATATGTATAATACACAAACTATTGGTTTAAAAATCTCCCATAAGGAGAGAGACACTTTTTCTGAATGAAGAATTTAGATCAGTCCCTGGGAGACCGAGCCTTCAGGGTTGTAATACAGCTGGTCACTAAAAGTGACCAGAAAATCATGGGTCTTGCCCTATATTTCATCAAGAGATAAAGTGGAAACTAGTCCCAGAGGAAATATTTCAAAGGAGAGTGGGAGACAAATATAAATGTGTTTATTTTTATATCACACATGCTTGCTAGTTTGATGTAATACTTTCACCTGGTGACTTGTTGCATATACATGATGAGGGAGGAGAAGCTAATGCAGAAGGAGAGGTAAGCACGAAGAGGGGAATAATGAGTTTGGGTTTAGAAGAAGCAGGGCTACCACAGCTTTCAAAAACTGATTGGCAATAGAAATCTTATTTATTTTTTCCATGCATCTCTGCATCTTTTCACTAATTTAACAAAACTTTAACAGATGCTTATTAGGGTAGGAACTGTGCTTAGCATGAAGTGTAGGTGGGTGGAACAGTAAACAAGACAGGTGTGGCCTGTGTCCTCCTAGGTCTCTTAATCTCGAGGATTGACACCAGTGGCGCAGACTACTCCCATGAAGCTTGACTATGAACATGAAAAAATGGAAGTAGCTAGAAGGACTGGACAACTTAATGATTTTTTTTTAAGATGAGAAAGGTTTGACCGTGTTCATTTTCTATAAAGGAAGAGCTATTAGGAGTTAGGCATGGTGGCTCATGCCCATAATCCCAGAACTTTGGGTGGCCGAGGCAGGCAGAGCACCTGATGTCGGGAGTTCAAGACCAGCCTGGCCAACACGATGAAACCGTGTCTCTACTAAAAATACAAAAATTAGCCGGGTGTGGTGGTATGCCCGTAATCCCACCTACTCGGGAGGCTGAGGCAGGGGAATGATTTGAACCCGGGGGTTGGAGGTTGCAGTGAGCCGAGAGAGGGCGCCACTTCACTACAGGCTGAGAGAGCAACAGAGGGAGACAGTCTCAAAATAAAAAACTAAAAAAAAAAAAAAAAGAAAAAAAAAAGCGTTAGTAGGGAGAAGTTAAAGGAAAGAATGAATGCAAGACCTAGAAGAAGAAAGGAGGATCTGGACTTGACAATTCTCACATATATATTGGGGGAAAGACGCTGACAGATGTGGGGGAAGAGGAAGGTGTAAACAGTTGCTCCAGTCAGTCTCCTCTCCTGCATTGCTGTGGAAAGTTAAGGACATTTGCTGGAAAGAACTGGAGTGCAGGAGTCCTGGAGAGCTTCAGGAGAGAGCAGGGAAAATGTAGAAATGCCTGTTGAGAAGAATGCGAAGCTGCTGAGTGGTTAAAATGCGTTTTTTCTGGACTGTGACCTGCAGCAAATGACTTAATGTCTCTAACCCTAAATTCCTTCTCCTGTAGTTTGAGATTAATAGTAGTATCTGTTGCTGGTATGAATATGCAATTCTTGCCAAGGGAGGGGTATGCTGGCTAATGACTATAATTTTTTTATTTCTTCCCCAAGTCATCTAAACACATTTTTTTTCCTCCCCTACATGATGCAGGGGCCCTAGGACCAGGGCTACAACATAACTGCTGAAGCAGGGATGATTTCTGTAACTAAGAAACTATGTTTTAAAACTTTATGTCAGAATTCCTATGGGCCTGATGGGAGTGGATTGTGACTTCGCCCCATCTGGCAAATTGGGGCTAAAAGTGAATACAGCTATATAGCCTGGTAGTAGGGTGGCTCACGAGTCCAGAACCCATGTAACCCTACCTTCTGTGGGCGGGAATGGTCTGAGAGAGAGGCACTTGTTAGACTAGTATTGCTACCAGCAATGTGGACCAGCACAGTGGCCAAACCTAATATCCCTTCCGAAGGTGGAAAAGTTTCGGTAAAAAATAAATGACAAATGGGAAAAAGGAGTACTAATAATAGCTGAGGGTAAATAAATGAAAAAATGGGTTATAAATGGAGGGAAATCCAATATTACCTTAACAACTTGAAAGGGTCTCAGAGCAAGAGATAACATTGTCTCTTAGTTCAATTATTCCAGATGCCTGAAAAGGTGAAGCTATACATTTGCCAGGGCCACTTCTGCTTTTGGAACCTGACAAGATTGAAAGAAAGCCAACAAACATAAATGGCCTCTCCCTGGGGGACATTCATACAATATGATGGACTGGACTAATTATTCGTTACTGTGAATATTCTGTTGATGTAATGGATCTGTGTTCGAAAACCAGGGGGTGGCCTGTAGTGTTATGATCTGTTTATATATGTAGATATATAAAAGATATCTATCTATCTATCTATCTATCTATCTTTCTATCTATCTATCTATCATCTATCTATGCTTTCTTCCATGGTTTCTGGCTCATAACTCTCATAGCCCCTATTACAGTCTTTTGCTGTAATGTTGGGTATGTTAGGCCTCAGGGTCAGCCTCAGGAAGCAGAATGTCTCTGACTTTCTCCTGCCCTCCTTTCACCTGCTCCAAGGCAGGACTCTAATCTTCCCCACTTTTCTGATTATGGGACATAAAACTCTCATTCCAGAGAGAGTCTTGCATTGTACCCGGGGGGGAAGGAATGCTAATATCAGGAAGCATCCATAACAACCCAGGAAAACCAACTTCAGAGAGCTTCCGGATAGCTGAACACCTGGAGGTTCCCGGAGGGTGGCGAGCCCAGGTTGAGAATGGAAGCTCTGTATCTCTTCCCCCGTATCTCATCCTATGCATCTCTTCATCTGTAGCCTTTGTAATATCCCTCATAATAAACTGGTGAATGTGAAAAAAAGAAGAATAGTATCTGTCATAGAGTTGTTATGAGGATTAAATGAGATAATGCTTATAAAGCACCTATCACAAGGAGTGTTCAATAAATATGAACTATTATTTATATTAATACAAATAAGAGATCTGGCAGGTTACTAGAGCTTTTGGGAGAATGTATAGCAACACGTGCCATTTTTTAAAAGAATTTCAGGCCAAGCATGGTGGCTTACACCTGTAATCCCAGCACTTTGGGAGGCCGAGGCAGGCAGATTACCTGAGGTCAGGAGTTCAAGACCAGCCTGGCCAACATGGTGTAAAACCTTATCTCTAATAAAAATACAAAAATTAGCCAAGTGTGGTGGCAAGCACCTATAATCCCAGCTACTTGAGAGGCTAAGGCAGGAGAATCACTTGAACCTGGGAGATGGAGGTTGCAGTGAGCTGAGATTGTGCCACTGCACTCCAGCCTGGGCGACAGAGCAAGACTCTGTCTCAAAAATTCACACAATATTAAAGTACCAGTTGAGATTGGGTAGGCTGTACATGAAATGGTCCTATTCTATACAGTTACCCAATAGTTTACAGATGTGCTTTGTAACCTGGATATAACAGAAAAAAAAAAGGACAAATTCCTCAACTGATACAAAGTTGAGGCAGGGATGGCCAAAGAACCTTTAAGAGTGCTAATGAGAGCATATTTGTCATCTACCATAAGGTACATTGTCTATAGAGAGGCAAGTTTAGTGGGCAGATGTTGAATAAAAGTGAAGGTGTTAGGAAAAACGCAAGTATCCTTCAAACTGAAGCAGGGCAGAGAGGAAGCTAGATGGAGCGATCTAAGAATTGGAGGAAGAAAGTGGTTTGTGGGAATGGAAAGTAGTGACTCATCAGAGTTCCATGAGGGCTCTGTCCATAAGGAGGCAATGTGCCTTTAAAAGCAGGCAGGGCAAGTTCAGAGTTCAAAATGTTACCAGTGCTCAGGCATGGTGGCTCACGCCTATAGTCTCAACTACTCCGGAGGGTGAGGCAGGAGGATGGCTTGAACCTGTGAGGCAGAGGTTGCAGTGAGCCCAGATCATGCCACTGTATTCCAGCCTGGGCGACAGAACAAGATCCTATCTTAAAAAAAAAAAAAAGAAAGAAAGAAAGAAAGAAAGAAAGAAAGAAAGAAAGAAAGAAAGAAAGAAAGAAAGAAAGAAAAGAAAGAAAGAGAAAGAAAGAAAAATGGTACCAGTAAAACTCATATCATGAATTCAGCTTCATAGCTACTCTTGAACAAACTAGCTAACTAGCTCCTGTACACAGCCTGTCTCCTATTTAGCTGGCTTCCGCAATGGTTCAGGGTCTTCCTCCTCGGTCACCCAGCATTGGACCCTAGTGTGTTCCCATTGCACCGTTCTCATGCCATAAGAGGTTCAGCAAGCGTTCTTTCTTGGGATCCTGTTCTAGTCACTGCTTTGCCCCAAGGGGCTAGTCAAACTCTCCATTTCAGATATCCCTCTGTAGCCCAGGCTCGTTCTGGATTTACATTATCCCCACTGACGGCCTTCCAGCTCTTCCCTGCCTTGGCCTGGCTGCTGTAGTGCCCCAGCTACCTCAAGAGATCACCATCAGTGGCTGCTGCAGCATCGCCTCCCTCTGGCTATGTTCTGTTAAGGTAAACAAGAAGAATGACAAAATTTTCATCGTTATGTGTATCATTCAGAGAACCTTTGCTGATGATGGAAGACGCTAGCCATTGGATAATGTATTACTTTGGCAACTGTGTTTAGTAGGTTTAAAATTGGCAGTCATTACTCAAATGTACAGAAATGATGGTGGAAATCTCATATTCCTGCATTTTCAATATCTTTAACTCTTCTTTAAAATTTCACGTCTTTCAGGCAGATAGTGTTTTTTAAAGTACCACTTTCCTTCTTTTCTTCTTCCCCATCTTTGGTCTTGTCTTCTCTCCCCTAAAGTGAACTAAGTCCCCTGGGGATTTATGATCACCCTGGTGTATTTATATGTTGAGGGTGAGAATAGGGAATATCTGGTCCAAGGGCTGTGCCCCATTTAGATGTGTCGTGTCCCACCTGGTATCTTAACTTGGCATTTGCTGTGCCTTAGCTGCCCCTGCTTGGCCTTGGGGTATCATGAGCTGACATCTGCTGCTGCTATCTGTGGTGCCAGATCTGATGCATTTAGAGGTTTTCTCTCCTAGTGTCGGGCCGTTTCTAGTCCCCCAGGCCTCTCAGTTCTTCTATATACCACTTGAGAACTCAAGGACACTCAGCTGTGTCCCTTCCTGTGCTGAAATGTATGGGCCTGTACAAGTGTGCTTTCAGGCCTTGGATCCCAGACACTCCCATCAGCTGTCGTCACAAAAGTTCTATCAGCGCCAGGGTTTCTGCCAAGCCTCTCTAAGGGGCCTGTGTTCTTCTTAGATGTTTTTCTTTAATTCCTCCTCAACCTATTTGGATTTTCTAGCTAAGGCAGAATGAAAATCTTAGCCACGTCCCTTTCGTCTTCTTCTTCAACAGCTAATTGACATTTTATCTCTTTTCATTGTGGTGAAAAAGATGCCCTGACATTTAACAATAAATTCTTCCCATTTTATGGTTTGTAGGATAAACCAGAGATTTTTTCACACCATGAATCGTGACTCATTAATAGTTTATAAAATCATTTTTGTTAAAATTAAATAAAATCAAACAGAATAGAAAATATAACTCTGTCATGTAATAAGGGTATGTATTGTTTTGTAATACTTTGTGTGTGTGTGTGTGTGTGTGTGTGTGTGTGTGTGTGTGTGTTTTACACTGAACCAAGGTGTAAAATATTTATTTCTGGGAGTTACTGTCAAAAAAGGTTTGAAAGTTTCTGGTATAAACTTTGCTTGGTTCTCTAAGTTCTGACTTTTGGAGACCTAAAATAATTTTCTCCTTCAAATTGTTCAATTCTTGCAAATCAGTATGCTTTGACATATTATTGGTTTTTACCGTAAAATTTCAGAAGCCAGTATTAGTTATTTATTCTGCCTCTCTTTACTTTTCTCTGAGACAATAAATAGCACTGACTGATGTTTGTGACAAAAAGAAAAGAAGGAAAAATGAAACCTGGGACTAAAATCTTCATTTTTTAAAAAATCAAATGCTCTCAGAATGCATACCAATGATTAACTTTTGAAATGGGTGAAGATAAAAGAATCTCCACAGTTCCACATACATTAAGCTATGGTCGTCTTATAAAATAACTATATCTAACATTTATTGAGTGCCTAGCATGTGCCAGGGAGGAGAACACAGAAAGGAGAAGAAATGTCTGCTCACATTCTAACTGGGTAAACAGACATAAATAACTAATCATCCAGTAAGTGCTAGTAATGTAATTCAGCACAAAGTCCTAAGGATCCATAGAGGAAAAACACAGAGTCACAGAACTTTAGAATAGCTACTCCATTTAAACATAAACATGGGAACAGCAACATGGGAAAAGTTCTTGAATGCACAGTGCATGTTCAAGAAGATTAGACAGAAGGCATGAGACAAACATAATAAGGTGAGGCTGAAAAGAAAGATTGAGGATAGGCTGAAACATGGGAGTTCTTAACTCAGTCCTGGCAGCATTATACATTGCTAATTTTATTGCCGTGTGTCATGCTTAGGAATTTGTACTTAAGTTTGTAAGCAAATGGGAACCAGCAGAAGTTGTAAGCAAGTGTGTGCTATTTCAATGTATTCTGGAAAGTTAAGTGCAGGGAGATAAGTGCAGGGGTGTGTCATAACATGGAGAAATTTGGTAAAATAATAATTTTTTAAAAAACATGATAACCAGTTGGAGATCGGGAACACAGAAGTGAAAGGCATCCCCGAGGCTCCTAGCTTGGTTTAGTGTGTAGATGGTTATAGTAGTACCTGAGATGCAGCTCATAAGAGAAAGAACACAGTTTCTGCACAAAGCAGTACTAGGGGAAAATTTATAAAGTTTATTCACAGTGGAAGAAAATTTACTCTAGGCTGGGCACAGTGGTATTTCAATGTAATCCCACTACTGGGATTACAAAGCTCATGCTTGTAATCCCAGCACTTTGAGAGACCGAGGCTAGCAGATTATTTGAGGTCAGGAGTTCAAGACCAGACTGGCCACCATGGTGAAACCCCGTCTCTACTAAAAATACAAAAATTAGCCGAATGTGGTGGCAGGCACCTGTAGTCCCAGCTACTCAGGAGGCTGAGGCAGGAGAATCACTTGAACCGGGAGGCAGAGGTTGCAGTGAGCCAACATTGCGCCACTGCACTCCAACCTGGGTGGGTGACAGAGAGAGATTCCATCTCAAAAACAAACAAACAACAACAACAAAAAGATTTACTATAGTGGGGGCTTTCAGGGAAGGAGGAGGGACAATAAAATGTGCCCTTATCATAGAGACATTCCTTCTCCTGGGATTTTATTCAATCTGTCTGGCTGTATCAGAATGGGCAGAGTAGGAGAATATATGACCTGGATATAATACTGTGTTGGGGGGCACGTGCTGCGGTGATAAACCCAGCTGAAGGCTGAGGAAGTCTGTGGCACCTGGAGTCGATACAAACAGGCAGTAGGTGGTAGTAGAGGCAACCCCAGGGCATGGGGAAGTCTATTGTGGTCTGAGGAAGGTGTCCAATGAGCAATCAAGCATAAAGATATAGAATCCAGGGAAGGGTAATACCTGGGAATCCCCACAGGCCAACAACTACTAACAAGGAAGTGTCAGAAGGTGACCTATTCACTGGTGGGTACTCGAGGGAGAATTCTAGTGCCCGAGAGAAAACCCAGCAAGGCAAAGGACTGCAGACCTATGGACATGGAATACTAGCTAGACATGAAGTAGGGTCAAGCAGAGGAACAAAAACAAGCAACCAGGTAAAAGGCTGAGGGTATAGTTTGTGAAGTGGGTCTTGGAAACAAGGTAGAAGCCTGTTACCAGCTGATCAGGAAGACTGTGGAGAAAGGAGCTAACAGAGTACTAAGTTCAAAAGTGTCAGCCAATGCTTCTTTACCCAGCTAGTATGTTGTAACCACTTGGAGAAATTTAAACAAATATTTTTGCCTAGTACCCATTCTAAACTAATTAAAATTGGGTTTTCCGTTGGTGGAGCCTAGATGTTGCTCTTTAAAACAAAAACTATCCAAGTGTTGTAAGCAAAAGTTGAAAAACACTCATCTAGAATGTACTCAACCATCGTAATTACCTGGATAGCTTTTAAAAAAAATCCCTGAGGTCAGGTTCTACTCCAATAGATTCTAAGTTAAAGTCTGGGGTTCAGCTTAAATGTAAGCACTTTTCAAAGGTCCCCAAATGATTTTAATATGCAGCCGAGGTCAAAAGTCATGGTCTAGAACTACGCTGTCCTGGTGACTAAGGTAGCCACTAGTCACATGTGGCTATTAAGTACGTGAAATGTTGCTAGTCTGAACTGAGATGTGCTGTAAGCCTAAAAAACACACTGGGTTTTAAAGACTATGAAAATAGTAATGTAAAATAGTCATTAATAATTTTTATATTGATTACATGTTGAACATTTCGAATATATTGGGTTAAATAAAATAAACTATGAAAAAAAAATTTAGACCAGGCGCAGTGGCTCAAGCCCGTCCAGCACTTTGGGATTTCAAGGTGGGTGATTGCTTGGGTCCAGGAGTTTGAGACCAGCCTGGGCAACATAGCAAGGCCCCACCTCTACAAAAAATACAAAAATTAGCTGGGTGTGGTGGTGGTGTCTGTAGTCCCAGCTACTCAGGAGGCTGAGGTGGAGGATCGCTTGGGCCCGAGAGCCGGAGGCAGTGACCAAGATTGTGTCACTGCACTCCAGCCTGGAAGACAGAGTGAGATCTTGTCTCAAAATAAAATAAAATAAAATAAAATTTCCTTTTTTCTTTTTATAAGGGGTGTTGGAGAGAGAGAGGTCACCTTGGCCTCCCAAAGTGCTGGGATTACAGGTGTGAGCCACTGTACCCAGCACCTATTTCTTTTTACTATTTAAAATGTGGCTACTAGAAAACTTAAAATTACATATGTGACTCGCATTATATTTGTGTTGTTTTGGAGCTTCTTTCATGATTCCAGCCTAAAGTCCAGATTGGTCCTAAGGACAACAGTTGAGCTGAGTCTGGGTAGTCCAGGTGTGGGAGGAAAAAGGCTGCAGAAACTGACACCCTGTGGCCAGAAATATCCTTCCCTTTTACAACCCTTATTATGTTATAAAGTTAAAGAACATCAGGGGTAAAGGGAATATGAAAAGTCATCCAGTTTAACTCCTTCATGTTATAGTAGAAACTATTTATTTCATTTCATTTTGTTGTCCTGAATGAAATTCTTGCAGTTGGCCATCCTGATTAAGTAAGAAGCATTCTCCTTTAATAATGTAAACAACTTGAAACTGAAGAAACTATTACACACTAGTTTGAATTACAGAATTCAAACTAATTCAATCAGATTGCACTCCTCATAATACCCAAAGGAAGGCTGTGGGGCTGAAAATCCAGTTAGACTCAGGAAGGAGTGATAGGACTATTGGGAACAGAGAATACCTTGAAGAGCAGGATTGGCCCCGAAAGAGTCCTACAAAGGGCACTTAGGGCAGGAAGAAGATACTGAAGCTGTTTATCTGGGTGGTCTTGGAAGTGACCGTGAAAAAACAAAATGGGATACTACTAAAAGGGCATTCAGAATTTTTTTTTATTTCAAAATTTTGCCTGTTTCCAAGGAAACAAGAGAAAACTAGACTTCCTTTTTTTTAGCTCTCATAAGCCTGACTAATATTGCAGTATTAAAGTTTAGTAATACTGAAAGTTAAATGGGCTTTTAAAAATCAGGAATTGCTTGTATGCAACACTGACTGCTCAATGGAAAATTCCTTACAAAGCTTCGCTTATAAACTGCACCTGGATTTGCTAAACGGTAATAAATCTGGACAAAACTAAGCACATAATATACTCAGTGGGTTAGAGTTTTATAGCTTGGAGTTACTGTCTCTTTGACTGCTAACAGACTTGATTGGATCCTTTGGACAAGAAGGAGAGCATTAAGTATCCCTTCATATCTCAGAGTCTGTTCTGATGGGCAGTTTAAAGTCAAGAATAGTAAAATGGGTGTAGAAATCTAAACTTGATTGGCAACTTTGACAACCAAGGATTTCTTTTTTAAAATTTTGTTTTGTTTACCTTGAGAAAGAGATTTCTATTTCTCCTGTCACTTCCTCATATGAGAGTTAGTTTTATTCTGAGTAATATGTAGCAAATGAAAAAATTCTTCTTTAAGGTGAGTCATCATTCTGCTTTTGGATACCAAAAAGAAGAAGAAGAAGAAAAGAAGAAGAAGAAGAAGAAGAAGAAGAAGAGGAAGAGGAAGAGGAAGAGGAAGAGGAGGAGGAGGAGGAGGAGGAGGAAGAGGAAGAGGAAGAGGAAGAGGAAGAGGAAGAAAAGAAGCAGCTCAGGAAACTGATAAAAAGAAACCCTAGACAAGCAAAGAGGGCTATGTGGAGAAAAATGTTAGATTAGCAAAACAATTTTGAATTGATATCCTGTCTTAAATGTATTATCGGCTCACAGAGCAAAACAAAACCCCTAAATAAACTTTGTGAGAAGACTCAAATTTGTCTGAAAATTTGACATACAGAAATTCCTAAGATTACGAGGGTAATGTGTTTAGTTAATAGGTTTAGGATAGTTTCTTGTAAAAGCTTAGATCTTCGTTGACACAAACATACGCCATTTTATTGTGTTACACTTTATTGCTCTTTGCAGATGCTGCATTTTTTGCAAATTGAAGGCTGTATCAACCCCAAGTTGAACAAGATTATTGGTGCCATTTTTCCAAAAGCATGTACTCATTTCATGTCTATGTCACATTTTGGTAATTCTTGCAATATTTCAACACATTCATTACTATTATATCTATTATGGTGGTCTGTCATCAGTGATCATTCATGTTATTGTAATTATTTTGGGGCAACGTATACTGTGCCTATATAACAGCCAATTTAATCAATAATTTGTATGTATACTGACTGCTCCACTGATTGGTCTTTCCTCCAGCTCTTTATCTCTCCTTGTATCTTCCTATTCCCTGAGACACAACACCATTTAAATTAGGCCAAGTGAAAGGAAGAGTCACACATCTCTCACTTTTCAATCAAAAACTAGAAATGATTAAATTTAGTAAGGAGAACATATTGAAAACTGAGATAGGCCAAAAGCTAGTCTTCTTGCACCAAATAGCTAGCAAAATTATGAATGCAAAGGAAAAGTTCTAGAAGAAAATTAGAAGTGCTACCTCAGTGAACACATGAAACCATAAGAGAGCAAAACAGCCTTTGGCTGATAAGGAGAAAGTTTGAGTGGTCTGGATATAAGACCAAACCAGACACAACATTCCCTTAAACCAAAGCCTAATCCAGAGCAAGGTCCTAACTCTTCAATGCTATGAAGTCTGAGAGAGGGGAAGAAACTGCAGAACAAAAGAGGTTGGTTTAAGAGGCTGAAAGAGAGAAGCTATCTCCAGAACATAAAAGTGCAAGATAAGCCAGGCATGGTGGCTCACGTCTGTAATCCCAGCACTTTGGGAGGCTGAGGTGGGTGGATCACCTGAAGTCAGGAGTTTTAGACCAACCTGACCAACATGGTGAAATCCTGTCTCTACTAAAAATACAAAAATAAGCCGTGTGCGGTGGCAAACACCTGTAATCCCTGCTACTTGGGAGGCTGAGGCAGGAGGATTGCTTGAACCCAGGAAGCAGAGCTTGCAGTGAGCCAAGATCGCACCACTGCACTCCAGCCTGGATGACAGAGTGAGACTCTATCTCAAGGAAAAAAAAAAAAAAAAAAGCAAGATAAAGCCACAAGTGCTGATGTAGAAGCTGCAGCAAGTTATCCAGAAGATGTAGCTGAGATCACTGATGAAGTTGACTACACTAAACAACAGATTTTCAATGTAGATGAAACAGCCTTCTATTAGAAGAATATGCCATCTAGGATATTTATAGCTAGAGAGGAGAAGTCTATGTCTGCCAGCTTCAAAGGGCAGACTGACTCTTGTTAGGGGCTAATTGCAGCTGGTGACTTTAAGTTGAAGCCAATGCTCATTTACCATTCTCAAAATCCCAGGGCCCTTAAGATGCTAAATCTATTCTGTCTGTGCACTAGAATTGGAACAGCAAATCTTGGATAACAACACATCTGTTTAAATCATGGTTTACTGAAAATTTTAAGTCCTCTGTTGAGACCTATTGCTCAGAAAAGAGGATTCCTTTCAAAATAGTACTGCTCATGGACAGTGGACCGGATCACCCAAGAGCTCTGATGGAGATGTACAGGAAGATTAATATTGTTTTTCTTGGCTGTGAACACAACATTCATTCCATAGCTCATGAATCAAGAAGTAATTTTTACTTTCAAGTGTTATTCTTTAAGTAATATATTTCATAAGGTTATAGCTGCCATAGATAGTGATTCCTCTGATAGATCTGAGCAAAATAAATTGAAAACCTTTTGGAAAGGATTGACTATTCTAGTTGCCATTAAAATATTTGTGATTCATAGGAGGAAATCAAAATATCAACATTAATATAAGTTTGGAAGAAGCTGATTTCAACCCATATTGATGACTATGAGGGGTTCAAGCGTTTAGTAGAGAAAATAACTGCAGATGTGGTGGAAACAGCAAGAGAACTACAATTACAAGTGAATCCTAAAGATGTGGCAATCTCATGATCAAAGTTGAATGGATGAGGAGTTGCTTCTTATGTATAAGCAAAGTAAGTGGATTCTTAAGTTAAACCTACTCCTGGTGAAGATGCTGAGAACATTGTTGTAATTACAACAAAGAATTTAGAATATAACCTAAACTTAGTTGATAAAGCAGTAGCAGGGTTGAAGAGGATTGTCTCCATCTTTTTTTGAGATGGAGTCTCGCTCTGTCACCCAGGCTGGAGTGCAGTTGCGTGATCTCAGCTCACTGCAAGCTCTGCCTCCCGGGTTCATGCCATTCTCCTGCCTCAGCCTCTGGAGTAGCTGGGACTACAGGCGTCCACCATCATGCCCAGCTAATTTCTTGTATTTTTAGTAGAGACGGGGTTTCACCGTGTTAGCCAGGATGGTCTCGATCTCCTGACCTCGTGATCTGCCCGCCTTGGCCTCCCAAAGTGCTGGGATTACAGGCGTGAGCCACCATGCCCGGCTGCAATAAGGTATTTTAAAACTAACATATGTACATTTTTTAAGACATAAGGCTATTTCACACAATAGACTACAGTATAGTGTAAACTTAACTTCTTTTTTTTTCTTTTTTCTTGAGACAGGGTCTTGCTCTGTCATCCAGGCTGGAGTACAATGGCTCAAACAAGACTCACTGCAGCCTCAACCTCCTGGGCTCAAGCGAACCTCCTGCCTCAGCCTCTGGAGTATCTAGGAACACAGGTGAGTGCCACCATGCCCAGATAACTTTTTAAAATTTTTTGTAGAGATGAGGTCTTTCCATGCTGCCCAGGCTGGTCTTAAACTCCTGGCCTCAAGCAGTCCTCCCACTCTGGCCCCCCAAAAATGCTGGAATTACAGGTAGAAGCCACCACACCTGGCCTAAACATAACTTCTATATACACTGAAATCTATATACACTGAAATCAAAAAATTGGTGGACTTGCATCATTGTTACATTTGCTTCATTGCGCTGGTCTGGAATCAAACCTACAATATTGCTGAGGTACGCCCGTATCTTGACTTTACTCTTCATAGCTTTATAAACCAAGATCCACCACCCAAAACTTTGAGTATCAGGCTGCTCTCTACTTTCTGAGTCCTAGAAATGTCTCTTCATGTAGTGTAGTTTATTTTAAGCCTGAGGCTTTATTTCTTTACTTTTCTCAACTCTATATAGAAATGGTTCCATTTGACTAGATTGACTAGATAATCAATTGCCTCTTTTCAAAAAGAAACACTTTATTGCCCCCATATTATACGTCTATGAGCTTAACAGATTTTTCTTCTCAAATGTAGACTGATTTCTTTCTTTTTCTTTTTCTTTTTTTTTTTTTTGAGATGGAGTCTCGCCCTCTTGCTCAGGCTGGAGTGCAATGGTGCAGTCTTGGCTCACTGCAACCTCCGCCTCCAGGGTTCAAGCAATTCTCCTGCCTCAGCCTCCTGAGTAGCTGGGATTACAGGTGCCAGCCACCACGCATGGCTGATTTTGTATTTTTAGTAAAGACAGGGTCTCTCCTTATTGGTTAGGCTGGTCTCGAACTCCCGACCTCAGGTGATCCGCCTGTCTCGGCCTCCCAAAGTGCTGGGATTACAGGCATGAGCCCCTGCGCCCGGCTGATTTCTTTCCTGATTAAAAAAAAAAGTCTGAGGCCAGACGCAGAGGTTCATGCCTCTAATTCCAGCACTTCAGGAAGCTGAGGAAAGAGAATCACTTGAGGCCGGGAGTTTGAGACCAGTCTGGGAATCTGGGAAATATCATGAAATCTTATCTCTACACACACACACACACAAAAAAAAAAAAGGTGTTTTTTTTTTTAATTAGATAGATATGGTGGCACATACCTGTAGTCCCAGCTACTCAGGAGGCTGAGGCAGGAGGATTGCTTGAACCCAGGAGTTTGAGGCTGCAGTGAGCTATGACCACAGCACTACACTCCAGCCTGGGCAACAAAGCAAGACCCCATCTCAAAAAAAAATTAATTTAAAAAAGTATGAGATTTTTCAGAGTTAGAGCTAGAGTTAAGGCATAGAGAAGCAACAGCAAAAGGAGTATAAACTAGCTTACCTAACCTATGAACACCTCAGGAAAATATGGCAATTATGGAATTTGTCAGTTTTTTTTTTTTTTCAGACAAAGTCTTGCTCTGTCACCCAGGCTGGAGTGCAGTGGGGAGATCTCGGCTCACTGCAACCTCCGCCTCCTGAGTTCAAGTAATTCTCCTGCCTCAGTCCCCCGAGTAGCTGGGATTATAGGCACGCACCACCGTGCCTGGCTAACTTTTGTATTTTTAGTAGAGACAGGGTATCACCATGTTGGTCAGGCTAGTCTGGAACTCCTGACCTCGTGATCCGCTTGCCTCAGCCTCCCAAAGTGCTGAGATTACAGGCATGAGCCACCGTGCCCAGCCCCCAGTAGGGCTTTTACAGTTTCTGTTTTATATGAGGTTACTACTTTTTATTTTTATGAAGCATACAAATCTAACATTAGAATTGGGCATCATTCCAAATGAGCAGAGTGTTATAATAATCTGTCACATTTTCTAAGTAACTTTTTAGTAAAACAATATCACTTTTACTTATAATTAGTAATGGAATGTCTCATGTTTAATTGAGTACATGTCCACTGAGTAAATACTACATTTCTCCGCTGCCCATGTAGTTAGGTATGGAAACTGAATAGTTTCTATCAAAAGTGAGAGGGTATAATGGGTTCAATTGTGGCTTCTTGAAAGATATGTCCACTTGGAAACGAGAAAAAGAATCTTTGCATGTGTGATGAAGTGAAGGATCCTGAGATAATCATCCTAAATACAGGAAGGGCAGCCCTTAATCCAATGACAAGGCAAAGGTAGAGGAACATTTGAAACACAGAGACACACGGTAGAGAGAGCAATACGACGACAGAGCAGAGACTGGAGTTATGCAGCCCCAAGCGAAGGAATACCTGGAGCCATTAGAAGGTAGAAGAGGCAAGGACGGATTGTCCAGTAGAGCCTTGGTGGAAACATGGCCCTGTTCATGCCTTGATTGATTGCTTACACCTTGTTTCACATTTGTGGCCTCCGAAACTATAAAAGAATAAGTTTTTGTTGTATTAAGCCACCACGTTTGTGGCACTTTCTTACAGCACCCCTAGGAATCTAATATGCCATTCTTGCTCTTCTTCTTTTTTTTTTTTTTTTTTTTTTTTTTTTTTTTTGAGACAGAGTCTCACTCTGTCGCCCAGGCTGGAGTGCAGTGGTGCGATCTTGGCTCACTGCAAGCTCCGCCTCCCGGGTTCACGCCATTCTCCTGCCTCAGCCTCCCGAGTACCTGGGACAACAGGCGCCCGCCACCACGCCCGGCTAATTTTTTTTTGTATTTTTTAGTAGAGACAGATTTCACCGTGTTAGCCAGGATGATCTCGATCTTCTGACCTCGTGATCTGCCCGCCTCGGCCTCCCAAAGTGCTCGGATTACAGGCGTGAGCCACCACGCCCAGCCGCTCTTCTTCTTTCCTGCTCATTCTGAAGGCTGGAACTCCCAAAACAGCATGAGACCATGAAGGAGCCTTAGAAATGAAAGCTAGACAGGGCTAGACATGGCAGAGTAACCCTGTCACCATGGTTTCCCACCTCTACATATCTTAAAATGGAAAAGAAATATCTTCTTTAATCCATTGCTATTTTGAATAATGCGAATCTATACCTCTTGTGTGATATTTATTTTGTGTGGTTAGCTTGTCATCTTCCTGAGAGCCAACCTGACATGAGATTCATCTTTGTGTTCATTTTAAGTATTGATGTTAGTCATATTGCCTGTTGAGTCCTCACTCAACAGGCAATTGTTGAATGGGTGGGTCGATTCAACTTTAAATCTTCCTGTCAGTGTATAGAAGATTAAGCTTCTGAGCTTCATCAAAACCTGATCAAATCTGAGTTTTAATGATAAAGCCTGCTCTATGGTGTTAGGCACATAAAAGGAAGTCAAACAAAATTAGAAGATTGTAGCCATTATAGGGAGAATGTAAGAGACAGAGATACAATTTATTTTATATTTAAATTCCTGTAGTATTTAGTTCCCACTCCCCTCTTCTTCCTGTTCTTGCCCAAATGGAAGGCCTTTGCTTCCCAACAGTGTATCTGTGAGTTGTTAGGGAAACGCTTTAAACCTTCATGCAGACATGAAACATGATAGGAAGCCTTAGAGTCCTAAGCTCTAGTGACCAATAGATAGAGAACTAGAAAGTGAAATTCAACAGTCTTCCTCCCATACCACAATCTAAGATGGAGCTAGGGAACTCGAATTATAAATTATAGTGTGTGGGGGTACCCAAGGGGATATGACCTAACTCCTCCAAAGCCAACATTTTTCATTATTGGGGGTGGTAGTGGAGGAGTATATTTTAGAAAGCTTCTTCAAATCCAAGCAGCTTTCAGCGACAAGATGACATAATCTGTCACTGGCCCAGAGAGAAAGGAACAAGAAAGACAGTAATCCACATTTCTTCTTTTAAATTAAAGTTGACAATCCCAATGCTTTTGATAATCAGCCAGGGTCAGATTTGTGAATTTTAAATCCGGACCATTGGCCGGGTGCGGTGGCTCATGCTTGTAAGTCTAGCACTTTGGGAGGCCAAAGCGGGTGGATCATGAGGTCAGGAGTTCAAGACCAGCTTGGCCAAGATGGTTAAATCCCGTCTGTACTAAAAATACAAAAAATTACCTGGGCGTGGTGGCGGGCACCTGCAATCCCAGCTACTTGGGAGGCTGAGGCAGGAGAAATGCTTCAACCTGAAAGGCGGAGGTTGCAGTGAGCTGAGATTGTGCCACTGCACTGGATGACAGAGCAAGACTCTGTCTCAAAAAAATAAAAAGTATAAAAATAAATCTGAACCATACAGATATTTGGAGTGGAGCAATAACAGTAAGCTTGCCAATAATGGCATTTAAATTTGACGTTAGCATAAGTATAATACACATGATTTCCAGATATCCATTGCTCAAAATATTTGGAGTAATCACTTTCATCTCACTTCCCTGTATTTATTTATTTTTATTTTTATTTTTGAGACAGAGTCTCACTCTGTCACCCAGGCTG
Source organism: Homo sapiens (assembly GCF_000001405.40). NCBI lineage: Eukaryota > Metazoa > Chordata > Mammalia > Primates > Hominidae > Homo > Homo sapiens. The sequence continues at coordinate 17,975,863 of NC_000007.14, read as the reverse complement.
GAGTGCAGTGGCACAATCTCGGCTCACTGCAACCTCCCCCCACCCCCACCCCGGGTTCAAGCGATTCTTGTGTCTCACCCTCCTGAGTAACTGGGATTACAGGCATGCACCACTACACCCAGCTAATTTTTGTATTTCTAGTAGAGACAGGGTTTCGCCATGTTGGCGAGGCTGGTCTTGAACTCCTGACCTCAGGTGATCTGCTCACCTAGGCTTCCCAAAGTGTTGGGATTACAGGCATGAGCCACCATGCCCGGCCTTACTTCCCTATATTTAAATATCACTTTGGTTCTCAATGTCTGGTAGGCATGTGAGCATAATAAGATAAAATCAAAGCCAGGTGCAGTGGCTCACACCTGCAATCCCAGCACTTTGGGAGGCTGAGTCAGGAGGATTGTTCAAGCTCAGGAGATCCAGACCAGCCTGGGTAAAATAATGAGACCCTGTCTCTACAAAAAAAAAAAAAAAAAAAAAAATTATCGAAGCGTTGTGGCACGTGCCTGTTCCAGCTACTCGAGAAGCTGAGGCGAGAGGACTGCTTGAGCCCAGGATGCTGGGACTGCAGTAAGCCATGACTGTGACAATGCAGTTCAGCCTGGGCAACAGAGCGAGACCCTGTCTCAAAAATAAAATCAAATAAAAATTAAAGAGAAAATAAAATCAATGCCAGATGTATTCAAGCTCAATATTCAATGTCACTTGAATTGACAGAGTCAATAAAAGTGCAGAGGACTAGTATCCCCATACCTTACTCTTATCCATGTAGTTGTTCATTCAATATTAATATATATGACACTGTTCCTGATTCTAAGACTATAAAGTTAGATCAACTATAGATCAAATGTATTGATTTATATTACAAAGTTAATCAAACATAGATCAAAAAGTTTATACTTCTCATAGGTAAATGGAGCAGAGATTAATAGTTGTACCTATATCATCCTGTCTTTATGCCCTATTAATATAACCCCTATATTGTTAAACTCAGCATATGGCCACATGGAATAAAGGCTGCATTTGTCAGCTGCTTTGGTTGCTAGATATGGACGTGTGATTCAATCCTGGCTAGTGTAATATACGTGGAAGTGGTATATACAACTTTCAGAATGGGCCCTTGAAGTGCAGAGGCGATGCTCTTCTTCCTCTCTTCCTCTTTCATGCTGATTAGATTGTGGATACAATGGCCCCAGCTTGAGCAACCATTTTAAACCCTGAGGTTGAAGCCATGTGCCAAGGACGGCAGGGCAACAGGACAGAAGAACCTAAGTTGATGACACCATGAAGCAGTGAAACAGCTTTCAGCTGCCTCCTTCAGGACTTCAATATGTGAAAGAGAAAAGAATATATGTGTTTAAGCTATTATTATTTTGGATAATTTTCAGTTACATGTAGCTGAGCTTAATCCTAGTTAACACCAAGATTTAAATTATTGTAGAACATGAGAATAGCCATACAGAGTGACAAATGCTCTAGAAAAGGAGGGGATTCATTCCGGTTGGAGGAATCAGGACTGTGTAGAGACAGTTGCATTTGAACCATGTAGGATTTGGGCATTTGGAAATGAGGTGGAAACACGGCATCCCTATGTGGGTTGTGGAAGGATATTGATGACAAATAGACCTGCAAGGGCAGCCTGGAACCAGGTGCTGTAGGGACTTGAATAGCACCATAAGAAGTTTGGCCTTTGCTCGACAGGCAATGGGGGAACATATTCAGACCTTGATAATGAGAATACCTGGCAATGCTAGAATAGTTCTCTCCAACTTTTTTCACATGAGGCTATGCATAGAAGAATATTTTTATAGCACATTGGGTTAAATAGATGAGGCTTTTAACTGTTGAGGGCAACTGGCCCCATGCACAACTGCTACGGCCCCACCTAGGAGCCCTGAGGCCTTCAAGGATGAACACGTTAATATAGCTATTACTTATTCCTATGTGGCACGCCTGTTAGGGAACTATGCCATAGGGGATCAATTCTGTTGTAAGATAGAGAATTTTTTTTTCTTTTTAGACGGAGTTTCGCTCTTGTTGCCCAGGCTGGAGGGCAATGGCGCGATCTCGGCTGACCGCAACCTCCGCCTCCCGGGTTCAAGCAGTTCTCCTGCCTCAGCTTCCCAAGTAGCTGGGATTACAGGCAGGTGCCACCACGCCTGGCTACTTTTGTATTTTTAGTAGAGATGGGGTTTCTCTGTGTTGGTCAGGCTGGTCTTGAACTCCCAACCTCAGGTGATCCACCCGTCTCGGCCTCCCAAAGTGCTGGGATTACAGGCGTGAGCCACCACGCCTGGCCAAAGATGTTTTTATTTAGACATATTTATGTGAATAATTTATAAATGGAACTTGAGTGAAATGAGAGATTACATTCTATTAATAGGGTTGGTACCTTTGACTTCTACATAAATCCTGAAGAATATCATTCAATAAATTGAGAGTGCAGATGGTGATGACATTAAAATGTATACCTCTCTCTCCATCCACACATATTATAAATATATATGCATTTATATTATATATGCACATATATATATACATACACATAACACACACATATATATCAAGGAGAAATGCAGAAATGATTCCAAGTTTTGCCAAATATAATTTTGTATTCATTTTTATAAACAATTAGACACATTTTGGAAATTGTTAATTTTCACACTCCAGTGACTAATATCCTCACCCCCTACGCCCATGCCATATGGCTTTTTCCTATGTTCCTTTTACACATAGGCGAGTATGGAGACAGGGATAGGCCCAGGGGAGCCGAAGGCATGCAACTCCCTAAATAAAAGCTGCTCATGAGTTTGCCACATTGGCCAGTCTCTTTGGGATTGTAGTTAACATTTCTTATTAATAAAAATAAGAATAGTAAGAATAAGAATAACTAATATGCAGAATGCCAGGTGCCAGTCACTGTATGCAAACATAATCTTATTTCATGCTCACAACACAGTTATTACCCCCAATTTAAAGAAAATCTAATTTTAGGACAAAATTTAAATCCTTTATGCATTTTTCTCCTGCTAGAACTGAAACAATGAAAGAACTGTGAAGTGTAGCAAGTTTTTTATGTGATAAGTGCCCAGGAGTTGTTCTGTGTATCCTATCGTTGGGGCTCTTGCAAATATGAATCAGGACAAAATGCCTCATGCAGGACTGTTGGGGTATGTGGTGGGGGAGTTTTTGTTTGTTTGTTTGTTTGTTTTTGAGACACCCGCCACTGCGCCTACCTACTTTTTGTATTTTTAGTAGAGACAGGTTTCACCATGTTGGCCAGGCTGGTCTCAAACTCCTGACCTCCAGTGATCCGCCCACCTAGGCCTCCCAAAGTGCTGGGATTACAGGCATGAGCCACCACGCCTGGCCTGATATATGCTTTTTTTTTTTTTTTTTTTTTTTTTTTTTTTTTTTTTTGAGATGGAGTTCTGCTTTTGTTGCCCATGCTGGAATGCAATGGCATGATCTCGGCTCACCAGAACCTCTGCCTGCCAGGTTCAAGAGATTCTCCTGCCTCAGCCTCCCGAGTAGCTGGGATTACAGGCATGTGCCACCACACCCGGCTAATTTTGTATTTTTGGTAGAGATGAGGTTTCTCCGTGTTGGTCAGGCTGGTCTCGAACTCTTGACCTCAGGTGATCCGCCCGTCTTGACCTCCCAAAGTGCTACGATTACAGGCGTGAGCCACCACGCCCTGCCGATATATTGCTTTTAATTGGGCAGCCTGAGTATTTTGGTCCTTGACAACCCAATTAAACTCCAGCTTTGGCTATTTTCATCAATAAGATGCAAAGAAACACAGCTATGAGTCATTTTCCTTTTCTGTAGGACAGTTTTTCCTTCAATTAAATCAATACGCTTAAACAATCTCAGAAAACCCAGAATCTCAAATATCCTTGATAGTTCTGAAAATCAGGGTATTCATGGAAAAATTATTCATACTAAGATCTATTCTGCACGATAGAAGCACAACTTTGATGTAGAACTATTGCTATGATTTTAAAATATTATATTTCTCCAAAAAATTCGGTTAAAACCTTCATTTTTATCTATTTTCTTTTGCTTTATTCTGTCGGCTTAATGAAACCAAGAATGACAAGATACATGGAAAACCTGCATCTCAAGCCATGATTTTATTCCTAAAATCAAATCTATTTTTAACAGATACCGAGAGCCAGGGACTAATTTTTACACAAAATTATGCATTCATGGAAAAACTGTGAATGAATCTACTGCTTGTTAAAAGAACTAAAGTAAGTGATGGTGTAAACTGCCACCTAGAGTTGAGATTTAAATTCAGTTCAATATCTAATATAAAAATGACCCTATCAGTCCAAGATTTTTAAATCTCACATATTTAACATGTACACCAAAGACCTTCACTATAGAGTCCATTTCATCCTTTATCTGTAGAGTCTATGTCTCTATAAATTTGGAAGTTCTGCAAAAAAAAAAAAAAAAAAAGGTTTTTATTGAATGAGTACAGTACAAGATTACTAGAAGTAAAAATGTTATATATGTTATTATCTGTTGGCTATATTTTTTAAAATAGTCTTTGGGAAAGTATATTTAATATATTAACATATGCAAATTATTCACAGACAAAAGGTCAAATTATTTAGAATGTCTTATGTTCTAAATTCCTTGAACAAAAATATATTCAGCCTGGGCATTGTGGCTTATACCTGTAATCCCAGCACTTTGGGAGGCCAAGGCGGGTAGATCACTTGAGGTCAGGAGTTTGAGACCAGCTTGGCCAACATGGTGAAACCCCGTCTCTACTACAAATACAAAAATTAGCAGGGCATGGTGGTGTGTGACTGTAGTCCCAGCCTATTTGGAAGGCTGAGGCAGGAGAATTGCTTGAACCTGGGAGGCAGAAGTTTCAGTGAGCCAAGATCATGACACTGCACTCCAGCCTGGGTGACAGAGCAAGACTCTGTCTCAAAATAAAAAAAAAAGTATATATTATATTATATTATATTATATTATATTATATTATATTATATTATATTATATTATATTCAGCCCAGCTCTTTCAATCATAACCTATTTGTCTTCCTGCTTCACTTACATATACACTGTGGGTCAGAGGCTTTTACCACTCAGTAGGATCACTGTCATAACAGTTCACTGTGTGAGCTACTCAAATTTAAATAAAACAGTAAATTGCTGGGCGCAGTGGCTCACGCCTGTAATCCCAGCACTTTGGGAGGCCGAGACGTGCGGATCACCTGAGGTCGGGAGTTCGAGACCAACCTGACCAACATGGAGAAACCACGTTTCTACTAAAAATACAAAATTAGCCAGGTGTGGTGGTGCATGCCTGTAATCCCAGCTACTCGGGAGGCTGAGGCAGGAGAATCACTTGAACCCGGGAGGTGGAGGTTGAAGTGAGCCGAGATTGCACCATTGCACTCCAGCCTAGGCAACAAGGGCAAAACTCCATCTCCAAAAAAAAAAAATTTAAAAAAAATTAATAAAATAAAACAGTTAATTTGTGTGAGGTCTAGAAAGCTAATATCTCACCTCCTTAACTAGGTTACTCTAAAACCATACTCTTGTCAGAATCCCTAAAATTAATGGAGTAGCTATAAAAGAACCCAGACAGTTTCAAAAATTGAGAACAGCCATTCCTACCCCAAATTTTCACCCAGTCACAAGTAGAAAAAGGATTTCTACATCTAACTACTCATGCACATCATGGATCAAGCCTTAAGTCTGTGTGTGTATGTCATGGCAGTGTTGAGCTTTTCTGGGTCAAGCAGATGGGTCTATGAGATGAAGATTTAGAAGAGAGCCAACGCTAATACGTCCTCTGAAAAATTCTACTTTGTCTGCCACCTGACTAATTTATTTTATTTATTTAGTTAGTTTTGAGACAGCGTTTCGCTCTTGTCACCCAGGCTGGAGTGCAGTGGCTCAATCTTGGGTCACTGCAACATTTGTCTGCTGGGTTCAAGCGATTCTCCTGCCTCACCCTCCTAAGTAGCTAGAATTACAGGTGCCCACCACCATGCCTGGCTAATTTTTGTATTTTCAGTAGAGGTGGGGTTTCACCATGCGGGCCAGGCTGATCTCAAACTCCTGACTTCAAGTGATCCTCCCGCCTCAGCCTCCCAAAGTGCTGAGATTACAGTAGTGAGCCACCACACCTGGCCAACTACTCGAATTCTTAACCCTGGCTACGTACCTGGTTTATGTTTAAGCCTGTCAGAGCATGGAAAATAGGTTGTTGACTCTTTTCTGCCAAATATAATTTCCTACTTCTTTCTCCTCTAATAATTCCTCATTCTTATCCTCCCCACCCACTTTCCCAGGGCAAGTTTATTATCCTCATTTCCTCCCATAAAATTCTGTTTCAACATTCCTTTCCATTATCTCTTTGTAACCCCCATGGCCCAGTCCTCTGAGGGAAAACCTGTGTTTAATCCTGTCTGTTTCTATAGCTTCCTTCCATCTCTTCTAAACTCTTCCCATGTCTTTGCATCTCTTACAGTTTCCTCTGTGAAGCTCTTGCCTTCCACTGCTTCTATAAACAGCCAAAATGTAGGCAAAGCAAGCTTCCTCCCTATTCCCTAGAAATTTCTACACGTTAAACTGCATTCTTTTCCTCCTCATTATTTAACACTTACACCTTATTTGCTCAGTCAGCTTGCCAACACATACCTCTGCATCTCCTCTGTTTCTTCTGTCACTTTCATGAAGCCATTTTTGTCTATTTTAGAGGATTTCTATCCTCATTGCCTTTGTGATTTTCATCTCCATGCCCAGTCCTAACAGTGTCTTACCATTTATGTTGAAATACCTTGCAACATGACTTGAGCATTCCCCGTGTGAAAAGGATTCTTCTGCATGCTTTGCAGTTTGTATTACTTTTTCCTTTAAAAAAGCTCCATGAGAGTAGCATTCTTATTGTGCTCATTTTACAGATAAGGAAAGCTATGCAGGAGTTCAAGTAACTTGTCCAAAAGAAAAGTCAGTAAGTGATAAAGCTGGAATTTGAAACTCAAAAAGTTTAGAATCCAGAGTCCATAGATTTCGTTACTAGGCTATACTGCTTTAGCTTTTCTTCCTAACTGCTTTTACCCAATGCTAGCCATGAACCTCAAAAGACATGAGAAAACATAGATTTAGGCTGATTAAAGAAGGGTTTAGGAAGTCATCTCACCTTTTGCAGTGAAAAAACACAACGGATCCAGGCAGCACTCTTATATAATAATAATTTTTTAAAAATGGTAGAAAGGATTTGGAACCAGGCTCCTGGAATTTGATTCCAGGCTTTACCACCTGTGTAACTTTGTGTGGTTATTGATCTCTTAATTTCCCTTTGTGTGAAATGGAAATTATATCTGCCTTTAGCCAATATTATGATTCTAATCCAAAGTTGTGACTCTTTTTTTCTTTTTCCTTCTTTTGTACTCCCAATTATGCCTCTTCCAACCTAATACTGTCTTTTTGTTGGCTGTTGTTTGAACTGATAAAGATCCTAAGCCCCAGGTACAATCCTTTCCTCCTCTAATCTCTCCTTACGGTTCATTCTGGTAAATTTTGACTCTTGCTAAAGACTGCTAAATGTCAGGCTAATTTTCCTGATAGAACTCGCTGGAATAAATGATCTAACCCTTAGAGAACAAAAGATATTTTCTACATGAAATAGGTGATAAGTGCGAAAACTGCATGTTAATGTAGGGCGACGAGATAAATTTTCATAGCCCTCATAAAACCATATCAATGAAACATCTGTTCAGTCTATATAATGGGAATATGTTCTGCCATCTATCAATCAGCGTATCAACTAGCATATGGACTATTTATATATGTATATATATATATATGATATAGGTTATAGAGTTTGGGAGGTATTAGATGATAATCATGCAAACTGAATGCTTAGCACGCTGCTGGGCACATAGTAAGTGGTCAATAAATATTAGCTATTGTTTGCATTGCTGTTCTATAAGTGAATCTATATTTAATTATTAAATGTCTGACTAATATTCCATGCAAATAAAAATAATTAGACATGCCCACTAGAGAAGCAGACACAATTCTGCTTTCATAATTGTATCTTTTCAGATTGATCTAATCGATTATACTGCTCACACACTGCTAGTTATAATTCACTTGAATTTTGATTGACATTAGCTTTTCTTTAATGCTGTAGTCTGAATGGGGGCCTCAGAAAAAAGTCTATGAAGGGAAACATTAAGCAATACTAATATTGTTTGTTCAGTATGTAGATCACAGATGATTTCCATACTTCAATACATTTGAGAACACTAAAAATACGCTACAGGAAGGTGCATATTATTGGTATTTAAAAAACAGAAAATATGGGGGATTATTTTAGTGTGTATTATTGCTCAATGTCATATACCAGCATGGGCAAAGAAGAAAGCCAGGGACTGGTCTGGTAAGTGAAATGAAACTATGGCAGGCTTTCTAGTTTTGTCTCAATTCTAGAGACAAATTAGGGACAATAGTAAGACAGTGACATTAATAATTATAATTCCTAATAAGGAAGTGGCATTAAATGTGGGCAGAAGTTTCAGAAACAGTGGTGCACAAAAAAGTCATATCCACAATTGTTCCTGAGAAAAATCAGAAATTTCCCACAATCTTGAGGGAAGCTAAATTGGGAAACAGACGGGTCAACTGAGTAATGTCAATAAAAGTGGTCAGGGAAAAGCTGAATTCAGATGAACTTTTCTATACAGTTTGCCTTCTAAGATAACGGCTTTTATTAATCTGGTCATATAAGCAGAAATTTTACCACGAGTATAGAAATACCTTAAAGGTACTGTTCTTCCCGTGAGCCCTAAAGGAAAATTGTGGATGTTTTAAAAAGACACAGAGAAACAGAGTTTCTCAGAGCCACACAAGTACTCAGGAATATCATGAGTACCGTGGAATATAATGAGTGGCCCTGGGCACATTGCTAAACTCTCTGTGCCTGCATTTCCTTGTCTGCAAGACAGAGATAATAATAAACCTATCTAGGTTTTTTACTATCTAGAGATAAAGTTGCCTAGATAATTTCCAAAGATTATACATGGAAAAACACATAGAACCATTCTAGAACATATTATTTTGCTCATTAGATGTTAGTTATCATGATCATCTGTATTTAAATTTAAAAGGGTAAAATGGGTCATCTGAGTACTTTTTCCCTGGAAGCCCCTTCCAGTGATGGTAACTTTTTTCTCTTTCTTGAGACAGGGTCTCACTTTGTCACCCGGGCTGGAGTGCAGTGGCAGGATCTCGGCTCACTGCAGCCTCGACCTCCTGGGCTCAAGTGATCCTCCCACCTCAGTCCCCCAAGTAACCTGAACTAAAGGCATGCGCCACCACACTCAGCTAATTTTTTTAATTTTTTGTTGAAATGGGGTTTTGCTTGTCCAGGTTGGTCTCGAACTCCTGAGCTTAAGCGATCTGCCCACCTTGACCTTCCAAAGTGCTAGCATAGCAGGCGTGAGCCCACGTCCGGCCCAGGGGTGGTAACTTTAAAAATTTTCCTATTCTTGTCATGGAATAATCATACCTTTACCATTTTTTTTTTATCCTGAGATCATTAAAGACGTATCAGTAGAAATTGCTCTAATACTAGTGGAAAGGAATCAATAATTATTTTCTTCTTTAGATTTATTCCAGTCTAAAGATTTAAACCTACATTTTCTTCTGTTAGCACAGCTCCTAAGGAAATTGTACTAGTACTTTATGTTTGAGAAGGCCTTGATATTTTCAAAGCAACTTTGAAGAGTAATTAAACAACATCTCTATGAAGCAGGTCAGTACTTTCATCTTTCAGAATAGGTAAACAGGACACAGAGAAGTAAAATAATAATTTGCTTTAGGTCATGAACTAGCTCATCATTTGAAATTACTTCCTGTCAATTAACTAGTCTGTGGTTCAATCTGACAGGCCAAGCTACAACAAATAAAATATCAAAATACTACTTTGTATATTGTTATATATTAGTGAGTCATCAGTGTATCCTGTCCTTCACAAATCAGAACTTTGCATCTCATGTTCTGGCTGCTTCTGTTGACCTTCCTTTCCCAGCCCCTTTATTTTTCTAGCTAATTTTAACTCATGCTTTATAATGTGACTCATGTGGAATCTCTAAGGAGACTTGCCTGGCCTTGCTGTCTCTTTTAGAGTCTCCTACTCATTGTTCACAAAGCATTCTGGGTCCCACCACATATCTCTATCATGGCACTAACTAGACTCTATTATGATAAGGGGCTTTCTGAGGAAAAGGAACATTTCTTTTTTGTCTTTATATTCTCTAGCATAATATCTAGCACATGATATTTGCTCAGCAAATATTTTTGAATGAAAAATGCATATATGGGATATGTATTAGTCAGGATAGGAGAGGATGTGCTATAATAACAAACACATACTAAGTTTATTCCTCACTTAATAGAAATGTCTAACATAGGTCAGAAGAAGGCTCTGCCTCCATAACTCAAAGATGCAATCTGACCAGACTCTACCACCTTATGGTGCTGCATTTTCTAAAGCAGATAGACTTCTAGATTGACACAAGGAAGGAGAAAAAATTGCTGGAGGAGTGCACACGGAAAGTGAAATTCACTGTGACAATAATTTCCATTCAAAAATCATTGGCCAGAGAACTACTCACTTGAGACCTGAAACAGATAATGTCTGTCATTGGCTTAAATCCCTGATTGGCATGTGTTCAATGGCCAGCACCTGTGACTCTTCTTCAATAGCTTCCATTTGGGTTACTGGAGCCCCTTTGCATCAAGAGCCAGAAATGCCTGGTGCATACTTTGAAGTGGCTGTTGATTTTTTTTTTTTTTTTGAGACAAGGTGTTACTGTGTCGCCCAGGCTGAGTGCAGTGGTGTGTTCACAGCTCACTGCAGCTTTGACTTCCCAGGCTCAAGTGATTTCAGCCTCCCAAGGAGCTGGGACTACAGGTGAGAACCATTATGCTTGGCTAATTTTTTGTAGAGATGGACTCTCACTATGTTGCCCAAGCTGGTCTCGAACTTTTGGGCTCAAGTGATTTGACTGCCTCAGCCTCCCAAAGTGCTGGGATTATAGGCGTGAGCCACCGTGCCTGTCTGTGGCTGTTGATTAGAGACTGTTTTGTACAGGAATATTAGCTCAGCTCCCTTGCTTCAGGTTGGGATAACTCTGAGAAATTGTTTTCCCTCCAAAATTCTCTTGTAGGATCTTCCTAAAGCCTACCATGTGTGGGACTTTTGCCTTGCTTGGCTTTATTTCATTCTCTGTCTTGCTTCTATCACTTCCTTACAGTCTTCCTTGAGAATATTTCCTTAATATATCACTTGCATATACATTCTTGTCTTACAGATTGGATCTGGGAAACTTGACCTAAGACAATATCACCTAACTAAAAGGTGGACAGGGAAGTTTTATGCAATACGTTTCCAGAAAGAAAGAACAGATATAAGTGAGCGCTATAATGTCTGCCACAGCATAATAAAAGGCAATTTGGTGATTAAAGAAAGCTAGCTAATTCTAGCAATAGGGACTGGACACAGGAAAGGAAAGGCAGGATAGTGTGGGAAAAGCATCACTGAGAAGAGTGACTTCACTGCAGGTAAAAAACTGAGGAAACCAAGCTAGTAGTCCAAAATGCAAAGTTGAAAGAAGCCCTGGTCTTGGTCCTAACAGGAGTCATTATTTGAGAAGAACCAATTGTGCAGTAATTATTAGAGATGACAGGTAATGCAAGGGGTCCATGTCATATCAGGGTATAAATATGTACAAGGAAGTGTAAGTACCAGAGGAAGTCAATTTGATGGCATTCTGGTTCTGAGTTATTATTTTAAAGCAGGTCCTTAGTTAACGACTAATAGTATGGGGAATTCCGGAATAGGATGTGGCCTTTGGTAGGAAAATGGTAGTAAATTCTATGCAGGGCCTCTGGGTATTGGAGAAACAGACTAGAGGCTCTAATTTTGGTGGAGTACTAATAGAGAAAAAAATCCCAGTTGAATGAAGTGGGCAACACTGTGAGGGTAGAGGTAGGCTGCACTTGATGAGCACAGTTTTGCCCAAATCTCACAGATGGTCTGGGTGCTGGTCCTGTAGCTGCAAGATTCATCCCAGATGCCTCTGGCTGATTTTTCTTGCTCTGGTGAAGTCAGCCTTCCACTGGATAAAAATCCCTTTGGCAATAAGAGCTGCAAAGTAAAATATTTTCTCTTAATGCTTCTAGATTTTGAGTCATAGTTAGAAAGGATTTCCCTACATTCCTGTTTTATTTTATTTATTTTTTTGATCACACAAATAAAACTTTTCAATGTAATCTGCTGGTTCTACACTTTATTTTATTTACCATTGACCAATGATCACATGTGAGTGACTTGGCCATGACCTATAACCAGTGCTCGATGATTGCAAAACACCCACCAGCTGGTGGAGCAAATTCCTCCCTGCCCGAGATGATGCTTTCAGGAGCTTTCTGGGCACGAAATGCTTCTCAGTGGACAATTTTTAAAAACACACATACAGAGCCATGTGGATCCCCTATTTGTATTGTCACCAAGGAAAAGAATAAGATATAACCTCAAAATCAGTGAAGAGATGGGGGTTCTCAGGAAGGATTTTGACCTGTTATTTCTGAGGAATAGCAGAAATTTATGGAAATTCTGATTTTTCCTATAACCATATGATGGTATCATGCTTACCTGTTGCCTCCTGAACATGGAGGCCACAGTCACCAACTGAGAGGCCACAGTTTCCGACTCTGCCAGCCTCCTAACGATGTGCCAGCATAGGGGGAGCTGGAGATGTCCTCAGCAGAACTCACTTTTCTGTCCCCTCTCCGTGGTAACTCCTGTCCCTGCTCAAGTGTTCCGCCCTCACCCGCAGTTGTCTTTTCCCTTCAAAAAACAGGATGCGTGCAGCCATGGCTGAGTTGAGGCTGTCCACTCCAGGTGCAACAGGGATCAGCAGCCTCTTGCCCGCAGGGCTCTCGGCAAACTACAGAGATTCCAGGATCATGCCGTAGGTCACGCCACCAACCATTACAGCTGCTGGTGCCTCTGTCCAGTCCAAGTCATAACTCTGAACCTCAATAACAGGCAGCAAACCTTTACTGGCTCCAGTTTCTAGACCTTGCTTTTCTTCATACTTGTGAAACTTCAGGAATCGCCAATCCTACACCCAGCCATGGTCACTGGCTTTATTAGACATCTGAGCCTGAGCATAAAGGCTTCAGTTGTCAGCCACACAGACCTGGGTGTCAGGGGGCAGGTAATTTGGCACTGTTTCGTTTTCAGATTATCGATAATGGGCACTTGGAAATGTGCACCCATACCCGCCTGTAGCACTTTGGGCTCCCAGGCATCCACACATCCTTTCAAAGTGAGTAACACTTTGCTGCAGCCTTCCCCAGCTGGAGATCTCAGAATTGTCCCCAGGTTCCCAGGGTCGCAGAGATTGTCACAAATCAATAATAAAGGCAGTGAGTGCTAAAGCTGAGTCTTTGGATATGTCATGTTAGCATGGTCAGGTTTGGCAAAAATCCCCATTATTCTCGTGGCATTACTAGGTTGGACCAATCCTTGATGTCCTCGAATTTCATCTTAATGAAGCTGACACCCTTCAGCTTATCGATGAGCAGCTTCTTTATGTATTATAGATGGCTAGAGAAGAAAACTTTCAGCACAGCTCCAGCCTTCAGATCGTCTGCAATGAGCCTGCGACCTTTCGGCAGTATCTTCCCTTGCTTTTCCCGAAAAGGCCTGGACTTAACTAGTGTCATTACACTGCAGGTTCTGTGGCATGAGGAATTTGAAGAAGGCTGCAAGGCTGCCTGTAATGGGTATGATACCTTGTTTCTTAAAATCTTCTTTAGACTCTGAATATCCCTATGAATATAAGGTGTTAATTTACATGATCAGGCTGAGAGAGACCACCCAGGGAAATATGTGGCCTTCTATCTCATAGCTTATCTGCATCAGGTTTTTCCATCGACAGAGTGGGTATGATGACAATGTATCTTCCTCACTGAGTTTTGAGCAACTTTTCATTGAGATCACCTATATACAGTGTCTGGTATGGGATCATGTGTGTAGCGGCACTGACATTCATGTCTTAAATGAACTCATTCATGTTCTCTTCTAGTAATTATATGATTTAATATTTTACATTTGGATACCTGATGTGTTTGGAGAATTGTCTTTTGAATAGATGAAGTATGGATCTAATTTTGTCTTTTTTCAAATTTTTTTTTTTTTGTCTGAGACAGAGTGTTGCTCTGATGCCCCGGCTGGATAGAGTACAGTGGCGGGATCACCATTCACTGTAGTCTCAACTTCCAAAGGCCCAAGTGATCCTCTCACCTCATCCTCCCCCGTAGCTGGGACCACAGGCACATGCCACCAGGTCCGGCTAATTTTTTTAATGTTTTGTATAGACGAGGTCTCACTATTTTGCCCAGGCTGGTCTTGAACTCATGGCCTCAAGTGATCCTCCTGTCTCAGCCTCCCAAAGTGCTGGGGCATGAGCCACTGCACCTGGCTCCAAAATTCTAATATTTGAATACAATTTTTGTTAAAGACTATCATTTCCCCCCAGTGATACAAACTTCCACATCTATCATTTACTAAATTTCTTATGTGCTTGGTTGGATCTATTTCTGGACCTGGTATTCTGTTTTATTGGTCTCTCTATTCCTGCATCTACACTCTACTTTTTTAATTATAGAGGCTTTAAAGTATGTTTTATGTCATGTAAGTCTACTTCCCACTCATTAGCTTTTTTTTTTTTTTTTGAGACCGAATCTTGCTCTGTCACCCAGGCTGGAGTGCAATGGCGCAATCTCGGCTCACTGCAACCTCCACCTCCTGGGTTCAAGAGATTCTCCAGCCTCAGCCTCCTGAGTAGCTGGGATTACAGGAGTGTGCCACCATGCCCAGCTAATTTTTATATTTTTTAGCAGAGACGGGGTTTTGCCATGTTGGCCAGGCTGGTCTCGAACTCCTGACCTCAGGTGATCTGCCCACCTCAGCCTTCCAGAGTGCTGGGATTACAGGTGTGAGCCACTGCGCCTGGCCAGCTTTGTTTTTCTTCTTCTTCTTCTTCTTTTTTTGGAGATGGAGTCTCATTCTGTCACCCAGGCTGGAGCACAGTGGCATGATCTTGGCTCACTGCAACCTCCAACTCCTGGGTTCAAGCAATTCTCTTGCCTCAGCCTCCCGAGTAGCTGGGACTATAGGCACATGCCACCATGGCGGGCTAATTTTTTGTATTTTAGTAGAGATGGGGTTTCACCGTGTTGCCCAGGCTGGTCTCAAACTCCTGAGCTCAGGCAATCTGCCCACCTTGGCCTCCCAAACTGCTAGGATTATAGTCGTGAGCCACTGCGCCTAGCCTAGCTTTTCTTTATTTGGAGTTTCCCTTCATATTCTTGCATGTTTATTTTTCCACATGAATCTTAGCATTAATCTATCTTCATCAAATAACAACAACTTCAGAGTATCTTTACTGGGATCACATTTAATTTATATATTAACTTGAAGGGAATTTACGTCTTTATAATATTGAGTTTTCTTTCCCAAAGAGAAGGGATGTCTTTCCATTATTTCAGGCCTACTTTCTGCATTTGAATATTTTAAGGTTTTTCTTACATAGGTTTTGCACAGTTTTTGTTGATTTATTTCTAAATATTTCTTTCTGTCCTTATTTTAAACATTTGTTTCTTTAATTATATATTTTTAATATCTGCTACCTTATTAAATGTTTTTTCTTACTTGTGTTAGTCTTAGCATTATCTTCTGTGTTCTCAGTACACCAACATATCATATGTCTTTACATACAGTTTTACTCTTTGTTTTCTACTTTATTTATTTATTAATTTTTTATTTTTTTTAAGAAATGGGATCTCCCTGCATTTTCCAGGCTGGCCTCAAACTCCAGGACTCAAGCCCTCCTCCCACCTCAGCCTCCCAAGTAGCTAGGACTTCAGTTGCCAGGTACACACTACTGCACTGGGTCCTTTCTTTTCAAATTCTTACAGTGCTGCTTATTTTCCCTTGTATGATTTCACCAGCTAGTAGCTTTGGTCTAAGTTTAGTAGTAGTGGAGCTGATAGCTATCCTTACCTTGTTCCTGACTTTGGCAGGAATGTTTCCATCATGTCTCTATATATCCATCATTTCATAGCATGTATATCAATTTGTACAGCTTTTAAAACATATCTAGCCCTATGTGCAGAGTGGGGCCTGAGCATTTGTTTTATAAAAAGCTTCAGAACTGATTCTAATGTAAACTCTCAAGAATGTATTCCATAACAATATAAGGTATAAATAAGTAAATTAAGTAAGTGTGCAAACATTTGAGTTACATTTTGTATAGGACCTGCAGATACAAAGATAAGCACTTTATTAAGCTCAATGTAGTAGAGGAAAGACCTACAAAGTAATGATTGCATGCAATATAATTATTACAGAATAGAAAGTGTTTCATCACTAGTATATTTGCCAAAAGTTATTCTCTAGAGAGTTCACAAAAAAATTTACTTTTAAGTTTTATAAAACTGTGTCCTATAAAACTATTTATTAATCTCTGGTTTTTAAAATAATTCAAAATTGGCATTCATCAACAGTTACTGCCTAAAATATTATTATTCTAAATTTTCTGCTGCGTCCTCTCCTTGCCTCATGTGTTATTTTCAAACTGTAGCTGCATCAATTATGGCAAGCAGTCACATTCATTTTGGGGTTTTCATAATTATTTTATAATCAAAGTTCAATCAGTTGTCTATTAAATGAAGTTATGCAAATAAAAATTCTGAAAGTAAAAGAATTCTCTTACTTTTGTTAAAGGGCTTATACTAATACTTTAAATGTTTTGTCCCTACCACAAACCAACTCTGAGACCCATGTTTTTCCTCAGTGCCTATTGACTTCTGTTCTTTTTAATTGCTCAGCAGGTTTCACATTTGGAAGAGGGTAGAAAAAATGGTTCTCATGTTTGGGATGGGGTTAGACATTTTGAAAAAAGAGGAGATAGGATCTTTAACCTAAAATGGGCTATAGAATTTTAAAAATCGAACACAGCAGGGTAAACTTTTGGCCTCCTTTGTACTTCAGCTTGAACTGGTGCAGCATTTGGGTCTCATTCTCTTGCCTTGCAGGCTCTTTTTCTGCCTGTTGGGTCTGTTGTACCTTTAGTTTAAGAGTTACCTGTGAATCAGAAAAGGTAGAGGGGTCATTATAAGGTATGAGGGGAGAAAGCACAAAAGTGGATGCTTAGGATTAAATTTGGATGCTGTATTTCCGAAGAGACTAGTAGAGAAGATTTCAGATTGTTTTTGTCATGTACTGACCCTGATTTATTAAGATAGAATAGAATAAAGGACACAGGGCAGATGCTGTTTTCAGAAACAATGGTTGTTTATTTGGCTAGGTTAGTATTTTGCAGGAACATAAGCTTGTAATTGAGAAATAGGTAGAAGAAGTAACTCAGTAGAGGACAATCTACCAAGCCTCTGGCAGAAATCCTGTCAGCTATGAAAGATGTCACATTATTGTCCTTCTTCTGGAAGTGGCAATATTAGTGGCCAGCTTTATTGGTGTTTTCCATTTATTTTCAGCTTTTTATATGTGAGGGGAAAGCTTGTGCAGATATGTAAGTATCATGTATGAAGTAGAAAATGGTTTTCGGTCATTACTTTTCTAAAATATAACATTAACTTCCTAAGCGTTTGGAATGCTGTTCATAATTTCTTTTTTGGCAGTTTTTCTACACTTCATGGAGTAAGTGTATTAAGCATATCAATGAACTGTGTATATCATCTGTTTGCAATTTCCTTTCTGGCAGTATAAGGGTGAAAATCTTCTAACTCAGTATTAGTATTATCCACAGGTGAGAGTGTGGTGTTTTATATACACCTTAGTATGCATAAAGTCTTTTGTGTGAGGAGTTGCCACATGGATCTGTTGGTTATTTATTTTGTGTTTTAAAACTCCATCTGCATGTCAAATAAAATAACAACTTAAATAGGTGCCAAACTGTTTTACAGCACGGTTTAGTTTGAGATCAGTTACTACTTTCGACATCAGGGTAAGGTATCTTATGGAAGTAATAAAGAATTTCAATAAGTAGATAATAAAGAATTATAAGTCACATATTTCTTGTCTCAAACCAGATTTCTTTGCATCTAACTTTTTCTTCTTGGTGCTGAACACAACACCTAAAGCCATGTTAATTTGCAGTTCTGTTGTAATGAATTATCATGAAAATCTGAGTTCTGTCATCAGAAACATTTAGGGGCCAATTCATTAATCTTGTACCCAAACCTTTCTTTTAGACACACCCACACACACATACACACACATGCACACACTCATGTAAAGGATGGCAAAATATTGTTTCAGTTCAGTGAACAAGGACTTAATAGCTTTCTGTGTCATGCTTATATATCAACTTATCTTTGCATATGTTTGACTTAATATTATTGCCAATAGCATGAGAGGTATTTGTGAATATATAGATTCCAAGAATGTGAGCTAGCCTTAAGGGTTAGACTAGCTAAACTACCCATTAAATAGGTATAAACTACTGCAGCCTTAGAACTAAGGATAGAATTTCTTTCTGTGTATTAATTAATCATTCTCAACTAGTAACTTAATGGTTTGTATGATTTAGAGAAGTAACGCTAAATTTCAACTAAGTGCACAAATTTAAATGTAGTAAAATTCTTCTTAAAATGGTCCAGTTGGCCAGGCACAGTGGCTCACGCCTGTAATCCCAACACTTGGAGAGGCCAAGGCGGGTGGATCACCTGAGGTAAGGAGTTCGAGACCAGCCTGACCAACATGGTGAAACCCCGTCTCTACTAAAAATACAAAATTAGCTTTGTGTGGTGGCGCATGCCTGTGGTCCCAGCTACTTGGAAGGCTGAGGCAGGAGGATTGCTTGAATCCAGGAGGCGGAGGTTGCGGTGAGCTGAGATCATGCCATTGCACTCCAGCCTGAGCAACAAGAGCGAAACTCCTTCTCAAAAAAATAAAAAAGAAAAGAAAAGAAAAAAAAAGTCCAGTTAATTTCATAGCTTTAGCTCTTAAACTCTCATTACTAGACTTATCTATTAATCTGATATTTTAGTCTATTTGTATTCTTCCGTAAGCCTTAAACATTGTTTATTTACTTCAACTTTGATGGGATATTTATAATGTTGTCTATTGGCTCTAGTGAGAAAGTGTTTTTATTTTTTATAAAGTAAAATATACTGCATTTTAATTTTTAATTAAGATTTATTTTCAAATAACTCACTATATTACTTTATTGTGTGCATTACATTTTAAAGAAGATTTAAATAATTTCTTTTTAGGGCCATAGATACAATCAATCAAAACTCTTACAGAGGCTGACAAAATATTGCTTCAGTTAGGCAAGCATAACCTGTACAGCCTTCTGTGTCATGCTTATCCAAGCAATAAATTACCTTTTTAGACAAAAATCATCCTCTGAAATTGCTTTAGCTGTTTCTGAAGTAAAGGTATTAAATGTATAGTATTGGGAACACTTTATTTTGCCTTTTACCAAATGCAATTATTTTCCACTTGATAGCTAACATCTCAAGAGAAAAAGATAGGTTTCTTATATTTTACTGTTTTCTCATTCACAATAAGTCTAGTTTTAATTTGCCCCCACTAAAGGTTCTTCCCACTCTATAACTTAATTTCATTGTCCTCTTAACCTAGAAGTCTTTGTAAAAGTAATCTTAAAACATCTGAGAAATAGTCACCAAATTTGAGTTTACTGCCTGATGTCATTTCCTTGAAAGTTATTTCTAAAGACAGATAAAAGTCATTTTTTGAAGTTTTGATAAAATACAGTTACTTCTTATTCACTGTTCATCCTTCTTGGAATTTCATAAATCAAGTGAATAACAAGTGCCTCCCATTTTAGTCTCTCCTGAGAAATATGCTAACAATATCACACATATACAAAAAGGTTACTATGTGAAGAAAGTAACAAGGAAGAAATCAAATGGAAATTAAGTGCCTTTGGGACTTACAACTCTTAGGAAGCTTTGAAATCTAGGTCAAAAACATCAAAGAAAGACTCAAATTCATGCTCAGGTGAATGTAACCACCACTTGATTTGTGCGATACATGCTGAACAAATTCTGACATAGAAAGCTATGTATTTAGCTTATTTTGATTCACATTAACTTTAGTCAGCTTTTGTGGGTGTATGGTTCTTTTTTCAAATCTGAGGAAAGCCATGAACCCTATTCCCAGGGGGTAAAAATGCACCTAAACAGAAACACACAAATCTTGCATAGAATTTCAGAAAGTTTGCAAACTCAGTGAAGCCTGCTCACTAAATATACTGGGATTTGTATGAGTCAGGACACCAATGTTGCAAATAAGAGAAAGCCAACTCATATTATCTTAAGGCAAATATCAATATATTGCCCATATAGCTGGGAAAACCGTACAATAACTCAATGGCTGTAGGAAATAATGCCCACAGGAACTGGGTCTGGAGAGTCAGCATTACCAGGATGTACTCTATCTGCTGTTCACTACTGTGGGAATTATCTCTCTTGGCACAGTAATCTCATTTTCTCCTGCTGTAGAGATACCTTCCTCACATGGTGGAGAACTTAACTTGCCAGAAGATCTGGCTTAGCCACCCTAGGAAGAAGTTCCCCTGAGCATCTATGTATCAAACCCAGAGACAAATTCTCTCTCTGATTAGGACACTTGATAATCCACTAATCACTGTTGCTCAAATTAATCAAGTCTGAGTCTCATAGTTTCCTCTGTGGCAGGAAGGCAAGAGAGGCAAATTTTGTAACTAGAAGAAAGAGAATGTAATACCTTAAACACTATCACCAATATCCACAACTTCCAGTATCAAGTATCTAAGACCACAGAGATAATGGTGAGAAATTACCTTTCTCAACTTCTGTCTGACAACTATTTCAAGTTTCAGCCAAACAAATGTGAGAATGTCAAAGAAGGAAACGAGCTGGCAATTAATGGATAAACTAAGGCAATGTGAAGGGGGTAAAACAGTGTCAGTGCTGCGCTGATAAATTTGCTCTCTAGGAAAGAAAATACATACACGTATATATTTTTGAAATATACTTTACTAACATAAAGAATAAATGGCACACAATTATTAAAAATGATATACTCATGAGGTTTATGATTTTCATATAGCCAATTAAATCTCTTCTAATGCTTTTGCTGACTTTTGCTGAATTCCTGTATCCTCCCTAAATTATGGTTGCAATTAATAAAAAGTGTTCCATAAACATGAGTGTTGGCTGATATTTTCTTTTTCATTAGCAAGTAAAATGTCAGAACTTCACTCATTTGTCAATGAACAACTTCATGTGAGCAAATTCTTTACTAAATTGGATAATCAAGTTTTTGAATACAGACATACCTTAGAGATATTGTGGGTTCAATTCCAGACCACAGCAATGGAGCAAATATCTCAATAAAGCAAGTCACACAAATTTTTTGGCTTCCTAGTACATATAGAAGTTATGTTTATGTAAAACTGTAATCTATTACGTGTGCAATAGCATTATATCTAACAAAATATACATTTTATCTAACAAAATATACATTATATCTAACAAAATATACATAATTTAATTTAAAAGTATTTTGCTGCTAAAAATTGCTAACAATTATCTGAGCTTTCAGCCAGTGGTAATCTTTTTGCTGGTGGAGGGCCTTGCCTCAAGGTTGATGGCTGCTGACTGATCAGGCTAGCAGGTTGCTGAAGGTTGGGGTAGCTGTAGCAATTTCTGAAAATAAGATAACAATGAAGTTTGCTGCACTGATTGACTCTTCTTTTCATGAAAGATTTCTGTGCAGCATGCAATGTTGTTTGATACTATTTGGCCCACAGTAGAACATCTTTCAAAATTGGAATCCTCTCCAACTCGGCTGGTGCTTTATCAACTAATAATATATTATTATATTAATAATAATATTATGTAATATTCTAAATCCTTTGTTGTGATCTCAACAATGTTCACAGCATCTTCACTAGGAGTACATTCCATCTCAAGAAACCATTTCTTCGCTCATCCATAAGAAGCCATTCCTCATCTACTCAAGTTTGTTGATGAGATTACAGCAATTCAGTCACATCTCCAGACTCTATTTCTAATTCTAGTTCTCTTGCTATGTCTTCCACATTTAAAATAACTTCCTCCACTGGAGTCTTGAACCTCTGTAAGTCATTTATGAGGGTTGGAATCAAGTTCTTCCAAACTCCTACATAAATATTGATATTTTGGCCTCCTCCTATGAATCACAAATATTCTTAATGACACCTAGCAGAGTGAAACCCTTCCAAAAATTTTCAATTTACTTTGCTCAGATCCATCAGAGAAATCACTAATCTATGGCAGCTACAGCCTTATGAAGTGCATTTCTTAAATACTAAGACTTGAAAGTTGAAACTACTCCTTGATTCATGGGCTGCAGAACAGATGTTGGGTTAACAGGCATGAAAACAACATTACTTTCCCGTACATCTCCATCAGAACTCTTGGGTGATCAGGTCCATTGTTAGTAAGCAGTAATATTTTCAAATGAATCCCTTTTTCTGAGCAGTAGGTCTCCACTGTGGGCTTAAAATATTCAGTAAGCCATTTTGTAAACAGATGTGCTGTTACCCAGGATTTGTTGTTCCATTTCTAGAGCACAGGCAGAGTTGATTTAGCATAATTCTTAAGGGCTTTGGGATTTTCAGAATGACAAATGAGCATTGGCTTCAACGTAAACTCACCAGTTGCATTAGCCTCTAATAAGAGAGTCAGCCTGTCCTTTGAAGCTCTGAAGCCAGGCATTGTCTTCTCTTCTCTAGCTGTAAATATCCTAGATGACATCTTCTTCCAATAGAAAGCCGTTTTATCTACTTTGAAAATATATTGTTTAATATAGCCACTTTCATCTTTGATCTTGGCTAGATCTTCTGGATAACTTGCTGCAGCTTCTACATCAGCCCTTGTTGCTTCACCTTGTACTTTCATGTTATAGAGATAGCTTCTTTCTTTAAACCTCCTGAACCAACCTCTGCTAGCTTCAAGCCTTTCTTCTGCAGTTTCTTTACTTCTCTCAGCCTTGATAGAACTGAAGAGAGTTAGGGCCTTACTATGCATTAGGCTTTGGCTTAAGAGAATGTTCTGGCTGGGTCGATCTATCCAGACCACTCAAACTTTCTCCATATTAGTAACACGGCAGTTCCACTTTCATATCTTTTAGGTGTTCACTGCAGTAGCACTTTCAATTTCCTTCAAGACCTTTTCTTTGTATCCACAGCTGGGCCAACTGTTGGTGCAAGTGGCCTAGCTTTCAGCCTATCTCAGCTTTTGACATGCATTCCTCACTAAGCTTAATCATTTCTAGCTTTTGATTGAAAGTGAGAGATGTGTGACTCTTCCTTTCACTTGAATATTTAGGGGCCATTATAGTGTTATTAGTTGGTCTAATTTCAATATTCTTGTGTATCAGGGGATAAAGTGTTCCGAAGAGAGGAAGAGAGACTGAGAAAGACCAGTCAGTGGAACGGTCAGAACACATTATTGATTAAATTTGCAGTCTTATATGGATGTGGTACACATTACCCCTCCAAAATTACAATATTGACATCAAAAATCACTGATCACAGACCGTCATAACAGATATAATAATAATGAAAAAGTTTGAAATATTGTGAGAATTACCAGTGAGCACATGTTGTTGGAAAAATGGTGCTGACAGACTTGCTTGATGCAGGGTTGCCACAAACATTCAACTTGTAAAAACCGCAGTATCAGCAAATCGCGATAAAACAAACTACAATAGAAAAAGGCTGTGCCTAATACTTGAAGGATAGTTCTTTGTGCTATACATCATGTACAGCTAGTCATGACACCTTTATGTGTGTGTTTTCTTGTTTTGAGACAGGGTTTCACTTTGTCGCCTGGGCTGGGGTGCAGTGGCATGACCATGGCTCACTGCAACCTTGAACTCCTGGGCTCAGGTGATCCTCCTGCCTCAGCCTCTCCAGTAGGTGGGATTTCAGGCATGTGCCACCATGCCAGGCTATTTTTTATTTTATTTTTGTAAAAACAGGATCTCACTATGTTGCCCAGGCTGGTCTCATACTCCTGGCCTCAAGCAATCCTCCTGCCTCAGCCTCCCAAAGTGCTGGGATTACAGGTGTGAGCCACGATGTCTGGCCTATTATTCATTATTAACGTTTTCTCTTGATCTTAACTCTACAAAATCAGGAAAGCAATAATTCAAGCCTTAATTTTTCACTTGGCTATTTCTGTTGTGTAAATTCTCCCACTACAGCTGGTTTTAAGCTACTGACAGGACATCACTGAACACAGAGATGTGCACTAATACCCCAATCTATATTATTTTCACCATACAAGACATACATAACCTCAAACACATACATAACAGTAAAAAAGGGTAAAATAATAAGTAAAGATTTTTGAATATTCACTACCTTCGTTTTATATATCACCTATTTTATTTATTTATTTATATTTTTTTCTGTGACACAGCCTCAAGAGGTCCTGATGACATGTGCCCCTATATATCATCTATTTAATTGTAAGTTTATATACTTTATTTTTTAATAATGGCTGTTATTAGAAATCATTTAGCAAAATTCCAAAAATTTAACAATTGTTTTGTGAGCCAGTTCAAACAAGTAACAGCAAATCATGAAAGATGTTTTGCATGATTCTTATGAAGAAGATTTAAATTAAGAAACAATAATTTGAAGTTATTATTAATAACTTAGAGAGCTGACATGTAAAATCAAGATTCAGCCACGGCATCCCTGTGATTTATCTAAAACAACATACTCAGTAACTATATTTAGGTGAATATCCAGTGTCAAACACTAAAATTTGAATTGCTTTACTTTATAATTTGACAAGTTTTAGATTATTTGCCATTTTGGATTTTCCAAATGTATAATGTCATGTCAATCAATGAGAAAAATAAATGTGTCAGATTAGCAATTTACAAAGAGGAGAGGTAAAGTTTGTTAAGATCAGAATAGAACTACGGTTAGATTTTCACAAATTAACAAGAGAAATCAGATAAAACTACTGGACTCACTCTTGTCTCTTACATGAGAGGGGAGAAAGTAGGTAAACTGGAAAAACTCATCATCACTAGATAAATGATAGTTTATTTAAAGAGTTCTTTATGAGAAATAGACTGTAAAAAGCAAAAAATGGGGCCGGGCGCAGTGGCTCACGCCTGTAATCCCAGCACTTTGGTAGGCCGAGGTGGGCAGATACAAGGTCAGGAGATCGAGACCATCCTGGCTAACACGGTGAAACCCCGTCTCTACTAAAAATACAAAAAAAAAAAAAAAAAAAAAAAAAAAAAAAATTAGCCGGGTGTGGTGGCAGGCGCCTGTTGTCCCAGCTACTCGGGAGGCTGAGGCAGGAGAATGGCGTGAACCCCGGAGGCGGAGCTTGCAGTGAGCCGAGATCAGGCCACTGCACTCCAGCGTGGGCGACAGAATGAGCTCCGTCTCAAAAAAAAAAAAAAAAAAAAAAAAAAAAAGCAAAACATGCTCTGGAAAAGGAGATAGGTTTTTATAGGAATTCAAAAGGTGTACTAACTCCTAGAACTGAGATTCAACTTGTGAGAGCTTACAGAAAAAAGAGTAAGTTCCAAGTAAAAAAAGTCTAGACTCAAATTGATTTGCCTGTTATTGGCAAATAACTCCTGGGCAAATTATCCATCTGAATTTTATTTCCTTGTGTAAATGGGGCCAGCAATACTTACCCCATGAAGTTTAAAGGTAACGCACATAATGTGCCTGGCACAGAGGAGGCATTCAATAAGCATTAGTTCCCTTGTTCACCCAAGTGAACTGTCAGTGTGGGTGACTGTCAGAGGTGAGAAGCACCTGTCAAACATCCCCAGGGCAAAATCCACCCCAATCCAGGTGACTTGAGTTATTCTTTGATGCAGATTCCTAAGCAAAACACCTACGTGTACTCCCTTAGTTTCCAATTTGACCACATCCTTGGATTATATTAGCTATCGGAACTCTCTGGAGAGGTTCTCAGGATTTTCAGAGTAACTGTTCACTGTTTCCGGTCCATAACTGTCTTATTCATCCTTATTGCTATTCATTGCTTCCTTGGTTTTCTTTTCTGTGTAACCTGGTTGCAGTAGGGTTTTTTTTGTTTTTTTTGTTTTTAGATGGAGTTTTGCTCTTGTTGTCCAGGTTGGAATGAAATGGTGCGACCTCAGCTCACTGTAACCTCCGCCTCTTGGGTTCAAGCAATTCTCCTGCCTCAGCCTCACGAGTAGCTGGGATTACAGGTGTGTGCCACCACGCCCAGCTAATTTTGTATTTTTTTTTTAGTAGAGATAGGGTTTCACCATGTTGGTCAGGCTGGTCTTGAACTCCTGACCTCAAGTGATCCACCCACCTCGGCCTCCCAAAGTGCTGGGATTACCACTTTGGGAGCCACCACACCCGGCCACAGCAGGGTTTTGAGGTCACCCTTTTCACCCAGAAATCTTAATCTGCGTGTGTGTGTGTGTTCTAATCTATAACACCTAGGACATGATTTATTAAGGCCATAGTCCTTAGAGAATTGTAAATCAATTGGAGATCTACTTAAGTAATATCACTTAATTAAAACAGTCCCCTCATTCTGAAGGGTGGGGGGAAAAAGAGGGCAAACATTCCTTAGGTTAGAAACTTTCTATTCTCAGTAAGTAGAGTTAGAGGGCATTTAATTCAGGGCATATATTGCCAGCTGCTGTAACAGCCACCCATAATAATAAAAGAATTTGTCACTCATGCAAAGTCCAAAGGTATTTTTTTCCTGATCTAGTAGATGGGTTCTCCTGTGCGGTTCCTTCCAGTTTGAGTTTCTATTATCTCAATCTGTAGCATCCAAGGTCACCTTGGAAGATGGAGAGATGGGAGGATTGCTACACTCCTTTGATGTAAGCTAGTTAGACCACCCTGCCCAAATAGGTAGAGCATGTAAGCTCTTTCAACATCAATGAGGAAAATGAAATAATTAGGTGAACACATAGCATCGTCATGCTACAGATTGATTTAGAGAGATATTATGAAATATTGCCTCCTCCCCATAAACCAATGACTCACAGATTAACAACCTTCCCCTAAAGACAAACATGAAATTTAGAAACTCAATTATATTTTCACAGTGTAGAATTTCAGCATTACCAAATTTTCTGGCATATCCATAAAGTTCAATGAATTACTCAGAAGAACAGACATAACTTCAAACAAAGTAAAAGCTCTTGTTTAAGAAATCAACAATCTTTTACAGAGTACTACAACAGAATTAAAATCATAATAATATAGAACTTAACTTTAGGGCAATAAAATTACATTAAAAAGTAATTCTGTAATTCCTATTTTAAGCTTGGGATAGCCAGAATAACTACTGTTTTTCCATGCAGTTTTAAGCACAGTATATACCAAAGTAATAATTTGTAATATTTTGTCTGTGATATTTCTCTCATCAGTTTCCTGTGGTAAATAGAGCAAAGAGTAATATATAAAGATTAAGAAACAATGGCTTGTATTTTAATTATATGATCAGAAGATTTAAAGAAAAAGCCAGATCTCATCTATTTTTCTTCCCTTTTTTGAGGCTAAATTACATTAGGCAAACATGTAAAGGGTTTAAGTATCTTCTGTGTACCTTCTAACCACTAGATGTTGAGCGATAATTGATGTTCCTGATATGAATTCCATAACCTTATGCTCTCTAAATTTGAATAGTTAGCCCATTTAAGATTTAATGAATAAAATAATATGTAAACAAATGAGCATATTCTATGATTGTATAGACAGATTATCTGGTAAATAGCCAATGGGGTACCTCTACCCAGAAGGCAGACATGTCACTTAAAGAAACACAGTTAAAAAACATGAATTCCTTCATTCATCCTTCTGCCACTCCTACCAATAAAAACAAACACATCCCATTCAAAGCAGAACATTTAGCTCTCTGTTAGCAACAGCAAGAACACTTCCCCAGCAACAGGAAAACTCGAAAAGGACATCTATTTTTAAAAATAAAATGTGAAGCCCTCAGCATTTTGCTGATTTAGTGAACAAGACAGAATACAAATCTTATCCATCGAGATTAGGTGAACATCCCATAGATTTCAAGAACAAATAGCCTGATTTTACATGTCTTTTATTTGATAATTTGATTTGTCTTTATACACCAGGACTTTTCTTGACATTTTTGCTGATTTTTCTGTTCATGGATATTTGCACATATGGCCATTATAAGGTAGGAGGTGTCTCATTTTAAATAGAAAGGTGGTAATTCAAGGAGTTCATTATCATACACAAAATAGTTCACAGCAGTTTGTGCCACTGCTTGGTAGCAAGGTTTTTGTAAAAAGGTGATGATGCATATGTTTGTTGAAGGAAAGTGATAAGAAAATGAACTGCAACTTACTTTCATTAAGTATAACAGTTTTAACACGAAAAGAAACCTTATGAAGCATTTGATCTTGAGCCACAAGGCATTGTCCAATGATTACAATAATAACCCACCGTATTAATGTAGACAGTATATTAGTGTTACTCTAATTATATGTTTTAATTTCATTACTTTACAGAAAAGGAAACTGAAGCTCAACAAATGGTGATCTTTCATTTCCAAGGTTTAATCTCATTAAACAGCAAAGGCAAGGCCACAGTGCAAATCTTTCCACGCTTGTATTCTTTTTATTCCACAGCCAATATTATGGGGCATGTGTGTAACATCTCTTCCATTTAATTGTATATACATTTATTATAAATAGTTTTCAATTTAAAATTTTCATTCAAAACAAAAAGATCACCATATATGCAAGGGTGAAGACATGCCAAATTAACTGTGCAAATTATCATATTATCATTTAAAAACAACAGCAATTCTTAGAATAATCTCATTATTTTACCTCAGTTGTTAAAATAGTAAAACAGGAAGCAATATAATGACAGCCTTTGATTTCACCCTTCTTCTGTAAAAATGAAACCAGCTGAGGTAAGCCTTAAATATAGGCACGTATTAAGCTTCATCTATGAGTACTGATTCCTTTTCTCATTTCCTTCTTTGGCTAAAGGCAAAAACAGGAGTTCAAGGACCCACCACAACATTTATGATTCACATTAAAAAATGAAGGACAAAGATGGTTGAAAATTTTTAGTTCTTAAAGTTAGCTTAATTAATATACTTGACACAGTACACACACAATTCTGTATCATACAACTTCACATGACATATATACGTACATATAGATAAGTTTATACATATACACAGTTATGTATAA
Source organism: Homo sapiens (assembly GCF_000001405.40). Lineage (NCBI taxonomy): Eukaryota > Metazoa > Chordata > Mammalia > Primates > Hominidae > Homo > Homo sapiens. Next base: position 17,946,522 of record NC_000007.14, on the reverse strand, counting down.
ATGTATATATATAATTTTTTCTTTAAATATTGGCTCTTCTACTAGCTATGTAAACTTCAGCAAAAAATTTTAACTCTCTGAGCCTCAGTTTACTCATTTGTAAAATGGAAATAACAGTTTCTATCTTATAGGATTATTGTGAAGCACTTAGAACAGCTACTAGCATATGGTAAGACTTTAACAAGTATTAGGTAATTAGGTATTATAGAGAAATCGATTACATATTATATATCAATATAAATATCTCTATGATTCAAGTGAAGTTTATTCAATACAATGATCAGTTGTTTGGGTCTACAGATAAATATGTAAAGGCAATTTTGTTATGTACTTCTCTTTTCCTTTATGTTTTAGGGCTATGAAACTATTCTGTATGATACTATAAAGTGGAGACCTGACATAATGCATTTGTCAGAACTTGCAGAACTTTGCAGCACAAAGAGTGAAAATGTATGCAAATTAAAAATCAAATCATTTAGGAGGTAGGCAGATCTCAGGAAAGAATGCTGACTTTGACAAGAGAATTTAAATGTATTGCAAACATATGAAACAACCTCAATGAAAGGGTTGGGAGAAAAGGTGCTGAACTAAGTGACTTTAGGAATGATTTGTCTATAAGACTGAAGGGACTGCATGTAGGCAATGTACTCTAGTTGATAAATTTGTTTCCAATGGGAGTATGGGTTAACAATTCTGAAATTGCCATATATGTATTTTCAAACTGAACAATTAAGTAAATGGATGGTAGATGTTAGGTGTCAGTTTCTCACTGTTGAAGTGGAAATTACATACAGATAAGCTAGGGGAAGAGACTAGAATGATCCATCTGATAATGGATTAGAGTTGGAGATACCAGTATGAATTCACATTTAGCTTAATATAAATACAGATGATTACATGCAGAAATATTTATACATAGGCATATATACATGGGTTAATATACAAGTATTTAATTCCTTGCTGTGTCAGCTACGAGGTCTTAAAAGAATTGACACTGAAGCAGCAAACAGCACTTCTTGAGCCCAGATTTTGGTTTCTGACACCATTCTCCAATAAAAGAAACCAAGATTTCTGAAAGATATGGCTAATTCTAGGCCTGGGGCATGATGACCCCAGAGCATCTTATAGTACTAGAAAGTAACCATGTGCTTAAAAACAAAACTAACCAAACAAAAAACCATACCACATTGATGGGAGTATATTAAAAGGAAATAGGACAACTAAGAGAGCTCCAGTGGCCAAAGCTGGGACAATTTGAACAACAAAGTAGTATTAGATTATAACTCAAAGTATAAAACAAATATTTATATGTCCATACTCATATACATAAATGATTAAATAAAAAGGGAGAAAAGACAAATCTCCCATGCAAAAAAAAAATGCCACATAATTTATCTACATATTCCACCAGCAAAAGGAGAAGCAGAAATCCCCACTCTTTAAGTGTGGGCTGCACATAGTGATTTCCATCCAAGGAGGATAGCATAGAACGGGGGAAAATGGTAACTTTACAGTGGAGAAACTTGACAAACACTATCTCATTCAGGTGATAAAGGTCAACATCACCAGTGATAAATCATGTTGATAGTATGAATCCTTGATAGGTAATGTGGTGCAAATTACTAAACCTCTAGTGGCCTCTAAGGGTAGTGATCTACTGTAATGGTCTTTTTCAAATGTTAAATATAATACATGCAAAATGTCTACCACCAGTGCCTGGCCCATAATAGATACTGAAAAACAGTATCCATAATTAAGAATTAAATGTTTGAAAAGTGCTCTAAATTTTTGTTTTCAAAATGATTGACTGAGGTGTCATTGATGTAGTAATACCTCTTAATTATTTTATAGACTTTTACAAATTTATAATGTGGTTCTTTCTATTTAGATCTTTGCATTGTGGAGCTAATATTGAAAGCATTTGTGTACATTATTATTTTGTTATGGCTGCATTTGTTAGTAAAGCCTCATATTATTTCTGCTTCTGTCTTTCTGTCTTGAGTTGGCTCAACATTGCCTCAAAAAGAATCATGCAAGAAAAAAGTACATGCTGGGCTAGACTTCAGAGTACTCTTAAATGCTCTGAGATTTCTGCTTACTACTGCCCTATTAAAGCTGTAAAAAAGAATCGGGATATCCAACTCTTATCTGTTCTTAGGATGTCTCCTCTGTTGTCAATGCATGATTTCAATACCAATTTGCAGGTTTTGACACCAATCCTTGTTAATGAGTATATAGTATTTAATGTTCAGTAGAGATGGTAGATGACACTGACAATATTGCATTATGAAGAAACTGGAGTTAATAGAATGCTTTAAGACATCAAAAGATTAAATGACACAACTGTTTGCTAGATGCAATTTGCCTAGGAGGTTAAAGGCATACTTTTCCTGCTTCTCAAAAAGCAATTAGAGCCAATTTGTGACAACCTGAATATGTAGAAGAAATTGTTTTTGTTTCAAAACTAAAAAACAGGCAACTTGGATATTCCGAATTTTTGCTTGTAGGTTTAGAAATCACTGGCAGTGGCTTGTTTAAAAGCATCTTACGGCCGGGCGCGGTGGCTCACGCCTGTAATCCCAGCACTTTGGGAGGTGGAGGCGGGCGGATCACAAGGTTAGGAGACGGAGACCATCCTGGCTAACATGGCGAAACCCTGTCTCTACTAAAAATAAAAAAATAAAAATAAAAAAAATTAGCCGGGCATGGTGGCAGGCGCCTGTAGTCCCAGCTACTCGGGAGGCTGAGGCAGGAGAATGGCGTGAACTCGGGAGGCGGAGCTTGCAGTGAGCAGAGAGCGCCACTGCACTCCAGCCTCGGTGACAGAGCGAGACTCCGTCTCAAAAAACACACTTGACTTTTGCCTCTTACCTCTTTTTGTCATGCTTTCCTGTGTTAATCAGACAGACTGGACACTGCTGCTGAGGAATCAAACCTTTTGCAGTAACAGTCACAGATGCATCCCTTACGATAGCTTGCTTTGTTTTAATTTCTGATAGCCAAAGAACCAGGCATCTCAGATCACCCTGTCCCAGGTTTCCTCTGTAACAACTGATATGAATAGGATGTTTTTAAGACATGGAATCTGTATCAAATTAGGTGCTTTTTTTTTTTAAGCTAGCTGTTTCTATAAGCATTCTCTTTTCCAACTATATAACTCCTTAATTTCCGTAAGTCTCTTAAATAGTATACCTTATTCGCTTTGTTGCTTCCCTTCCTAGGAAATTAACTTTGACTCATGCCCAAGATGTATTTAAGAAAGTGAAGGAGGCCAGGTGTGGTGGCTCATTCCTGCAATCCCAGCACTTTGGGAGGTCAAAGCCTGAGGATCTTTGAGGCCAGGAGTCCAGAGACTAGTCTGGCAACATAGTGAGAACACATCTCTACAACAAATTTAAAAAAAGGAAAAGAAAAAAGGTGAAGGAAAAGGCATAGCTCACAATTTTGTCCTAAACTTTTCTGTAGCATTCTAGTGGAAGTAACAATTGTCATACACTTCAACATTCCAGTGGCAGAAGTGATGTTCCTATTAATTGGAAGACAAGAGAACACACAATGGCCAACTTTTAAATAATTTAATCTTTCAACACCAAGGATTTTGTTTTTAAATAGTTTTAATTAGGTCTTTTCCTTTTAGTGTCTTTTAGGCAATGATTCACCCATTCATTTATTCACTTAAGAAATATTTATTGAGCATCTACTCTGTGCCATCTACTATTCTAGTATTTTAGGTACTAAGGAAACATTGAACAAAATGAAAAAAAAAAAATCCCCGATCTTGTGGAGCTTACATTCTAGCGGAGGGAAGGCAATAGAAAATAAAAATAGAAAATGACGATGTTAGAAGGTTAGAAGGTAAGTACTATGAAAAAAACAGAAGCAAGGAAGGGAGGATTCTGGGGAAGGGGCAATATTTTAAATGAGATGATTAGGGTAGGCTTCTTTGAAAAAAGATGACTTTTAAGCAAAGATTGGACAGAAGTGGAAGATCTAGCCATGCAGGTATTTGGTGGAAAGATCTTTGCAGATAGAAACTATACACAGTGTAAGGGCCTCAGGGCAAGAAGATGCCTTGGTGTTACAGAAGCAGGGAGCAGGTCTGTGTAACTGGAACAAAGTGCTTAGCAGAAATGAGGTCAGAGGGGTGGAGGTGAGGTAGGACTTGGGAGGCCAGCTAGCATAGGATTTTTAGGTTGCAGAAAAGACTCAGGCTGAGAAAATTAGGAAGCCATTGGAAGAGCGACTACTTTTGGTTTCCTTGTAAGTCTGTAGACAAACTTCTGAAAGTTAAAGGCATATTCATGTCATATCACAGATTGGTTCAATACTCAAGTGTCAACACTTAATGCCTTGCTTCTAGAAAAGATAAAAAGATGTAGTAAATAAAACTGAATACTCAAGCCAGACAACTACATTGCTGTTTTAATTTACTAGCTGGTATCTTAAATATTAATGAACCTCCTTCTCTGTTTTCTTATTTACAGGTTGGAACACTATCTTTTTCCAGGTTCCTTGTTGTCTCTAGTATCTCTTGGTATCCTTTGATACCTCAGTCCAGGTAGGATTTCCATGCTCATTTTCTATTTGTGGCTTCATCTGTCAATACCAGTAACACATTTTATTGTATTGCAGAGGTCAGAATTTTGCTGGTCCAGCAATGTGGAAATGATGTACAAAATGCAGATTAAAACAACAAGAAAAACTACTTTGCTTCAATTAGTTGAATTGAGCAAAATCAGTTTTTCTTGAATTTTTTGCATGACTGCTTAAATGAACCGTTTTGTTTCCTTGACACGATAGAGATAATACAAGGTTTGCAATGCCCTTATTGTTTTGAGACTGTAAGAGTAATACATTAAGTAAATTTCATTTAGCACAACAGTACTATTGTTAAATGGAGGGAAAAGATTCTGGTAAAAGGGAAGAAACTCCTGGCTTTAGTTTTCTAAAATGCTTTTGTACCTCTTGTAAGAATGACATGGAGGTGTTTTTAATGTCAAGTCTGAAAATTTGCTTTTCAATTTACTTGGAAACTGGTTTCTAATACAAAACAGGGTAGCACACTTTCCCAGCATGTTCAGGTAAACTACTTTCATCACAATTCAGGTAGAAGTGACTGCCTTTAATTCCGTACATCGCAAACCATCTAGTGGTAGATCTAGAATGGCGTCAGTCTCAGGGACTTCTATGCACATTGAGTTCCAGAGTTCAATTCCATTTAAGTTGGGACTATTTACAATGACATTTGCTGAAATTTGCTCACCTTGATATACAAGCATATTGTATTAAGCAGCTAGTAAACCTGTGGAGATAGCAGGTAAAACGTAAAGCCTGTTTTACGTTTTTTTAGAGGTGCATTACTTGTAGCATAACTAAACCTTCATTGTTAGGCAGGTGCTGGCCAATTACATCAGCAAGTCCTAACTCCGCTAGGATCGGGGTAAAGCCGATAAGCCGCATCATATCTACAACCTGTCTCGGACCCCTGTAAAGAACTCACTGAGGATTGGTAGGGACAAAGGGAAGTTTCTGTCAAAGTTTAGGAGAAAAGGGCCGCGCAGGGAGCTGTTTCAAATAACACTTAAATCCCAGGAGAAGAAAGCCGAACCCCAACTCTTCGGTCGCCGCGGGGCCAGGGAGACGCGAGAGGGAAGTTTTTCTAAAGGAAATCTGCCGCCTTGTCCCCAAGACCAGCGAGGTCCGCAGCGCCATCAGTCAAGTGTCGGCCTCTGGCATTTTCTCCTCTCCCCAGGGCGGGCCAACGCTAGTGGGCGGTGGATGATGCGCCGGCCCCAAGGGCGCGCACGTCCATTCCCGGAAGGCTCGGGCGCTGGGGCCCCTCTGCACTCCCAGCGGTCCCAAGTTGGCCCAGGCGCCCGGTCCCGGGGTCCTACAAGTCAGCGCCAAGCCGACTGCCGACAGCCTACCTCCGCTTCTCCGCGCGCCGGCGCTATGGAGACGGTCACGAGACGCCAGCAGCCCCTGCGCCCGCCAATGGGAACGCACGTTGCAGCGAGACGCGGACGTCGCTCTTCCAAGATGGCGGCGCGTCCGTCGCGAGCGACCGGGCCGAGGGGAGGCCAGCGAAGCCGAGTAAAACCGCCGCCCGGGAGAAGACTGAAGGAGCAGTTGCCGCCGTTGGCGGCGGCCCGAGCAGTTTTCGCTGCTGCTACGGCTGTTGCCATGAGGCGAGGCTAGGGAGGACCTCACTTCCCCGGGGTGTAATAATGTTAACTGAGGTAAGCGGCGACGGTGGCCAGTGTTTACCTGTGAAATGGGGAAGGGGCCGGCGCCAGCCCGTCAGAGAACATCATCTGTACGGAAGGTGGGCCTGACCCTTCGCCGTGGGCTCCAGGGCCCGAGGAGCAGCGGGGATCCTACAAGTGCCCTCAGAGTAGGAGCTGTGCTGACTCAACAGAGTCCCACCACCTCCGGCTGCCAGTGCCTCGCCTTTCGCAGTTGCCACTTGCCACTCGCCCCTGGCACTGGTCTCCCTCCTGCTGTCACTCCCTTCTAACTCATCGCTCCCTTCTTCGTGTCCCCTTACACGCTACTCTGTGGCAGCGTTGGCCTTTCCACGTTACTGCTGGTTCTTGTGATCCTATGGTTTGCCCTAGGTCTCCTTTCTCTGGTCCCTGGGCTCCAGGGCCCTCCGCCTCCGAGCTCGGTCAGCACCCTGGGGTTGTTGCTCGGCCCGACCGGTTTGTTTCCCACCCTCTACTTTGACTGCTTCATGAAGTGGACTTTTTTATCTCAAGCTGCACATGTATGGCTCAGTTGGGTCATCCCCCTCCCCCACATCCATCACCTTTTCGGTTAAATCGTGGTCATCACAAAGTTCAGTTTAGCATCTGCCACCTTGATTTGCGTGTGGCCCCCTTGTTACTCCCTATGGAATAGTTTTTTTCTTTGGACCTGAAATGGAAGTAGGGCAACTATGACGAACCAATCAATTTCCCTTTTCTAGTGCCTAATGGGCATTGCAAAAAGCCGACTTTTTGAAGAAGTAGAGTTTGCCTTTACTAGCAACACTTTAAGGGGAAGAACTAAATCGGTGCAACTAGGTACTTGACCCAGGTTAGCCCAGTTATGTGTTGTAGTATCTGCAGGTGTAGGTGTCACTGAACATAAAATACTGAACCTTGTGATTTGATGAAATACCTTTTTCGAAGCCTTTCACTTTAAGTACTGTGAGGATCCTGACGTGAGGAACTGACCGGATTGGGCATTTTTATGGGCTGAACTGAATAGGAAACAGTTTTAGTGGGCAATGGGAAGTATTCCTACATGGGCCAAAAAGGAAATACAAACATTTGTAGGTGAGTGGCTTTTATTTTGTGAAAAGTGATGGTAAAGCACGTACTTGCCTGAAATTTCAGGTCCTTGGAACGTGACTAACTTTGAGGAACTTTATACTTTGCTGTTTGTACTTAATCTAAGCACAGAGCCTGGCATATGATAAATACTTACTGGTTGATTGTAACTTCTACAGTACGTATTTTTAGTTGTTTGAAGTTCATTTTATATTTCTAAATTCTACAGATTTTTCATTCTTGGAGTTAATTGAGATTATGGTTATAGCATAAGTTTGTGTTGTGATTAGCAGTAATAGATTAGAAAAAAGAGTTATAAGTAGCAGAAGTTTCATTTTTACCTTAAGTGTGATATTTTAGTGGGAACAGTTAGCCTTATAATAAGTGTTTAGTGTTGTCTCTAATGTGTAATATTATATGATATGATCTTTTCCTTAAACTTAGCTTATGTTAACATGTTTCAGAGTTTTAATACTTTCAAATGAACTACTTGTGTGTCTGCCAGTAAAATGATTTGGAAAGATGGAGCTTTCTCAGCTTCTGTATTTTAATGCAATTTTGCGTTTTAGGGAAATATTTTAAACAGTAAATCAATGATAATATTAAGTAAACTGTACTTTAGTACTTTTTGTGTGAACACTGCACAACTTATAAGTGGCAGAAGCAGGATTCCAACCTTGGCAGTTGCCACCTAGCCCATTCTGTTAACTTTTCTAGATTGCCTCGCCAAAGTAAGACCCAGATTAAATTGTACTAAAGTCTTCCCTATAGTTTTCAGTAGTCGTTTATAGATTAGGAAACTGAAGCCAGAGACTCTTGTCCAAGGTCAATTATTAAATATTAGTGACAGTCGAAACTGGAATCTCATCTCCTAACTCTCAGTAGAGAGCTCTGACCGTTTTGCTCAGCTGCCTCTCAAGTAGTTTTCAGCTCTCTTGATAGATTTTAAAACATGCTATTGTACTTCCTTGTCTGAATATTGTCAGTAAACTGAAAATGATTATTACTTAAAAAAGACTTTCTGCTTTACCTTAGCTTTTTTTCCTTTTCATTTTTTAAACAAGGCTTCTAAGCCTCGTAAACTAGTCCTATTTTGAGATATTTTAGATATAAAATTTCACTCAATATTGGCTACTACAAAATTAGTGTGAGACTTCCTTTTTATTGCTTCTGCTAGACATTGCTGACTTAGATCAGCAGCTTTTAGGAGATGTGATTTAATTCATGTTAGGTCTCAAAATGTGTAGTGATGAGCTGTGCTATGAAAGATTCTCCTGTCTTTATATTAGTCATGCTCAGCAAGCATTTACTGTGCTCAGAAAGTGGTGAATTGTAGTATGTGCCTGGATTCTTTACATCTCAACACTGAGGTAGGTGATATCCCCATTAACCAATGATAAAACAGGTTGAGAAAGTTGAAAGAGCTTACTTAGAGTTGTATAAAGAATGGAGGAGACAGAAATCATATTTAGGTCCTCTTATTCCACATTGTGTGCTTTTTATGACTCAGTGTGGAATGCATCATTAATTTTCTTTGTAGCTGATAAAATCAGCATACTATTTTTATTTTTTTTTAACCAAGGTGAGGATACTAAGTACATAGATACATAATGAGAATAGTAATGATAAGTGTTCATATGAAACTTTTCAGTTTTGCGTTTTGTGAAAATATATCTTTTTTTTTTTTTTTTTTTTTGAGACGGAGTCTTGCCCTGTTGCCCAGGCTGGAGTGCAGTGGCGCGATCTTGGCTCACTGCAACCTCCGCCTTCCAGGTTCAAACTATTCTCGTGCTTCAGCCTCCCAAGCAGCTGGGATTACAGGCGTGAGCCACTGCACCGGGCCAAAAATATATCTCTAATTGAAACCTTTTCAGAAATGAGAAGCCACACAAGTGATCAATTAAGGACCATTTTATATTAAGCTAAAATGGAATATCACTCAGTTGAGCAAACTAATATGTACATTGAACTTTGAGCCTATGAAATATAGATTAATGTAAATTGAAAGTATAGCTCCCATATAGTTCTCGATGTAAACTTTTTGGCTTCAATTTATATTATTTTATCTTAAATACAATGGAATTATTTAGAAAACTTGCTAGTCATATTTATGTATGTATTTTTTTTTTTTTTGCATTTTACATACAGGGATGAGCTGTATGTAACGTCTAGCTAGTTTTTTTTTTTTTATTTTATTTTATTTTTTTTAATGTTAGTTTTTTTCCCCTTCTGTTGTCCTTGCTCCTGTTAGGACTTCCTGCTTCTAATGTGACTCCTGCTATACTTGGCAAAAAATTTGTCATAGTGTACATGAAAGTTACTTGTTTAATATTCACTCCTCACTCTCCCTCTATCCCTTCTTTTTTTTTCTTTTTTTTTTTCTTTTCCCCTAACAGTAAACTTCATATATCGAAATTAGAGCATGGGATGTTTGTTTACCTGAGAATTTGTTTTAATTAATCCGAGTTTTCACAACATTAGAAGATAATGAAATATTTATCAGTGAATTTTTATCAAACACACTTTTAAACTTTTCTTGATACCAGGAGCAATTAGGATTATAATTCTGAGCATTTATTATTACAGAAAACTAAAGGTAAGAAATGTGGGAAAATGTGCTGAATACATTCCAGTGTTGTGGCATACTTTGGAGGTTGTTTTTGCATGGAAACCAGTTATCAACGTGTTGTCACTTGTCCTGTGTTTTAAAAAATAATAAACAGTGTAGCTATTTAAAGCTATTAGTTGTTTGAGTTGTCTGTAAATATGAATCATTAAGTGACTATTAAATAAAAATAGTTTCTATTTGTGTTGTTACTTCCATCCAGATTTGTTGCTTTTTCAATATTAACACTGATTCTCAGAGTTAACAGATCTGATATAAATGGGAAAAGGCAAAAAATGCAGCACTTTGAGAAGTTCCAGGTTAATAGTTGTTAAGTAAAAGGTTTTGTAGTTGAAATAAATTTGGAGGATATTTGCCTAAAGAAAGTTAATAGGTTTCTTCTCTGGATGACTTAACATAGTTAGTTTTTGATAGGTGATTTATTTTCAAAGAAGATGATAGAATTTACAGCATATTGCAGAGTCATTTAACCATGGAGGTGAATACACTTTCTTGTATTTCACTTAGGGAAATCCTGGAGTGATGAGTTACGTATCAAGAAAGGCTCCCTGAACATCCAGGGGTCCTTTTGAACACACACATGCACATACATCATACATCCACGCTCACACACAGTTGTCTTGCCCATAAGTGCTTAGTAAAATATTATGACTTGGTTTTGTTGATTAATATATTTGTAATAGAAATACTCTTGGGGCACATTAATCTTTAAGCTATATAAGCTATTTCTTCAATTATTAATGACACTGCAAGAGCTACTAACCAAAGCAAGAAGACCATAGGTCCACTGGCATTCAGAGGTGTCAAGAGGTAGGAAAGGGATTTTATAACGGGAGTGGAAGGACATCAGTATCTAAAATGAGTTTGGCTTGCCACTCTACACACAGCCTTACTTGGCATCTTTTGACAAACCAAGAGGAATATTGATAAACATTCTTAAAGAATTTTTTCTTTTTAAATATTATTTTAATTGACAGTCATTTTTATGCATTTATGGGGTACAGGGTGATATTTTGAAATGTGTGTACAATGTGGAATGATTAAGTGCAGCTGAATAACATATCACCTTGATTATTTTCTATGGTGAGACAATTGAAATTTAGTTATTTAAAAAATAAAATACATGATTGTTGACAGTTGTTTAATTGATCTAAAAATTTCTTCCTTCTATCTATCTGAAACTTTGTACTCTGAGCAGTATATCCCCATTGCTCCCTCTTCTCCAGGCTCTGGTATCTGTCATTCTGCTGTCTACTTCTGTGAGTTTGACTTCTTAAATTTCACATATAAGTGAGATCGTGTGGTATTTGTCTTCCCATGCTTGGCTTTTTTCAGTTAGCATGATGTTCTCCATGTTCGTTCATGTTGTAGCAAGTGACAGAATTTCCTTCTCTTTTAAGCCCAATTAGTATTCCATTGTATCTACCACCTTTTCTTCATCTGTTTATCCATTGATGGACACTTAGGTTGATTCTTTGTCTTGGATTTTGTGACTAATGCTGCTGTGAACCTGGGAGTGCAGATATCCTTTCAACATATTGAGTTCCGTTTTTTGGAAATATACCCAGGAGTGAGATTGTATGGTAGTTTTATTTTTAGGTTTTTGAGGAACTTACATACCATTTTTCATAATGTTTGTATTAATTTGCATTTCTACCTACAGTGTACAAGAATTCCCTTTTCTTCACATTCATGGCATCACTTACTCTCATTTTTTTGATTATAGCCATTCTAACAGGTGTGAGGTGATATCTCATTGTGGTTTTAATTTGCATTTTCCTAATGGTTAGTGATGCTGAGCAGTTTTTCATGTATTTGTTGGCCAGATTTATGTCTTCCTTTGAGACATGTCTATTCAAGCCCTTTGCCCATTTTAAAAATGGTTATTTTCTTGAAATTGTGTTGAGTTCCTTTTATATTTAGTCTGTTAACCACTTATCACATGTATGGTTTACACTTTCTCCCAAGTTGTGGAGTGGAAAAGTGTATCCCAGCTCTGGTAGATATACCTCTTTCTGTTTTTGTTATCTCTGGGCCCCCAGCAGATTGGGTGGTGCCTGCCCACATGGAAGGCAGACCTCCAGGTAGTCTACTCAGACTCACATGCTAATCTCAGTCTCCTCTGGAAACATCCTCACAGACACATCCAAAGGAATGCTTTACCAGGTTTTTAGGTATTCCTTAATATAGTCAAGTTGACATCTAAAATTATCCACCACAATGACTTTACAGCTTTCCCTGAATGAGGTTCTCAGATTATGGCTTTTTAAACTGTGCTTTGAAATTTTGTGGTTTCATAGACCATGAAGTGCCTCCTCAATTGATTGTAATCTGGAATTGACTTTCTATTTCAGAGTCAGGTTTAATTTTGGTGTCACAAAGCCTTAAATATGTGTAAGGAGAGGAAACGTTGAAGCAAGCAGATAGCTCTTAAACTGTTTAACGTTTTAAAAGTATTTGGAATTAAATGAATAAATAGGCTGGAGTGATAGTGATAAATACTGTGTCTATCAACAAATTATACATATGGCAACACACAAACCTGTATGTTAAGCACTATAAGGGATGAGTCTCAACTTTATCACTTATTTATGATGGGATTTTGGGGAACTAGTTTGAACTTTCTAAGCTTTTAATTTCCTTCTGTGTAAAATTGGGGTAATAGCACCTTTCTTGCTGTTCTTACATTGTTATGAAGATCATATAAGATGATGGAGGGTATAACTTTGTAAATTGCCAGTCATTATAGAAATAGTGGTAGTACATCGGGTTTTTTTTTTTTTCTGTATATTCCTTGTACTAATGAATGTAAATCCTAGGCTCCATGTAGTTTTATTGCTCACTATTTTCTTGGTGGATAGGTGGGTGGGTCCTGAGGGGAAATTAGGAGGGGAGTCTCCTGGCTAGTGGTGCAGTTACAGGGGAGACAGGGAATAGACTAAAAGAAGTGAAAGAGAAAAAAGGGGATAGTTTCTTGTGTGGTTGGTAAACCGATTTCAATGAATGCCTTAAAGCAAGTTCTCTCTTTTTTTTTTTTTTCTGAGACAGAGTCTCGCTCTGTTGCCCAGGCTGGAGTGCAGTGGCGCGATCTCAGCTCACTGCAAGCTCTGTCTCACGGGTTCAAGCGATTCTTTTGCCTCAGCCTCCTGACTAGCTGGGACTACAGGCGCGTGCCAGCACGCCTGGCTAATTTTTTGTGTTTTTAGTAGAGACGGGGTTTCACCAGGTTAGCCACGATGGTCTCCATCTCCTGACGTCATGTTCCGCCCGCCTCGGCCTCCCAAAGTGCTGGGATTACAGGCATGAGCCACTGGGCCCGGCCGCCTTAAAGCAAAGTTCTAAAAAATGTTTTGAAAAAGATGATTTATTTGAGGGTTACCAGTCATTTGTCTGTACATATTCCCAAACATTTGTGGGAAGAAAAATCTTTTATTTTTAATCAGACTTGGTAAATCCTTGAAAAGCTGTTATTAAGGATAATGTTTATAAGGCTTTTGTTATAACTCGTGCTGGAGATTGATTTTTATGGATTGATTTCTTCACCAAACAAGAGTATGCCTACTTTGTACTAGGCACATGCTGATAAGTTCTAGTGTTGAAGTGGTGAGTCAGTTGGGAAACCTGTCCTCAGAAATCACTATCAGCGCTAAATTTAGCATTGTACCACTTAGGCCATCAAAGTGGGAGCCTTGAGGTCTTTTGTCAGAATAAAATGATACCACTAAAGGGTGAAAAGTTAAGAGGGGAAAAGATTGGAGAATATAATTAAAAGATAACTGTGACTTGGGTTAGCTTTACAACTCCTGGTAAATCTACTAGTTTGGATGAGACAGCAGCTCTGAAATGGATTTCTTGCAATTGAAGAGTCAACCTGGTGAAAGTAGTACTTGATCCTGCTGTTCCCACCTCCATGTGTTATGTATATATTTATTTGCTTGTTACATGTTTTTCCCTAATAGAGTAAACTCCTGAGGATGGGCCTCATAGGTGTACTCCCAGAGCCTAGAATAGAGCTTGATACTTAGTAGGCCTCACTAAATATCTGTTGAATGAATGAATGTTGAATATTTCCTCAAGAAAAATTAAGATTAAAGTGAAAAATTACGGAGATGAAATTGTCAGTGATAAATTTAAACCATCATATTAATTACCCTTAAAGGATTGGTTACTATCTGTTCATTAGACATTTTATATAGTAAGTACATTGTGGTTAAATATTGTGTTTAAGAGCAATGGGACAAAAAAAAGTTGAACCTGAGGCTTTTAGTTAGGAATGAAATTCTGTCTTAATTTTTCCTACAGGGAAAAATCTGATTAGGTTGTTACTTTGATATAACCAATTATAAATGCAAGAGGGACTTGGATTTTGTTTTGTATCTCTTACTACTTGATATTATGATTTCATTAATATTACTTAAAGTTTAATTCCTAAACTAGATACATTTAAAGAAAGCTTTGTCTGTAATAGTACAATAATGCTGATTTTCATGGCACTTTGTTGACTGTTTCAATTTGTATGACCTTTGATGCTATCTTGAAAGTTTGTAAGTATCAGTAAAAATTTGGCCGTGGTTTCAAAGTTGGAAATTTTGGGGGTCCATTTTTAAGGAGGGCAGCTGCTACCACAGTCTCTTAACTAAAATGCGTCTCTGTTCAATGTTGGAGACAGAGTACTGTTATGTCGTTTGCCCATCTGTAATTCCACTGTATATTCAGAAATAATATATACCAGAAAAGTTCAATAAGATGATTCTGCTCTGTTCCACTGTTCAAGTAGAATAATGGTCTGTAAATATACTTATGAGAGGATCATGTATATTAACTGGAATAATTCACCATTGTTTACTTATTGCACTGTTTTCTCTGATTTCCTAAGGGATCTTTTTATTCTGATGCATCTGTGAAGACCCTAAGGTGAATCCAGCTTTGCTCTTGACCTTAGCTGTGCATTGTTGGAGAATCCTTGGTTCTTATTCCATTTAAACCTGAATTGGTATTATACCTGAAATTTGGGGGCTATTTTTAGCCTGACTGGCTTAGCATAGGAAAGAGTTGTGATTCTTTGTTTTGTGATTTCTTTTATTTTCGAGCTAGAGTTGTGGAGAATGGCCTTTGGATTCATTGTCCTGTGAAGTTTGGAAATTATAAAACTGAAGTTGTACAATTTTAGTGGAAGAGTTAAATGTGAAATAAAATTTCACCGTATTTCTGTTATTACATAAATATTAGGAAATAATGTTCTGACTTTAAGATGTGATATTGTGTTATCCAGTGTTTCTCCAAGCTGTAATATTGTATTTTGCAATTTGTTCTCTTCCAGAGTTTGAGATAGCTTGTTTTCTCAGAATTTTTCTCAGCTGAGAAACACAACTGGTGTTTAATTCAGACTGCAACTATTAATATAATCAGCTATTTTACATGTGGTATTAATTACTAACATCTGATCTTTTTCTTGTATGGTACCCAACTGCTCAACACTTAAAGTATTGCAATAGTGTTAATCCTGGTGGGAGTCAGGAGAGTAAAATAAATGGGCTACAATGACAGTCTCCAGCCTTTTTGGCACCAAGGGACCGGTTTTGTGGAAGACAGTTTTTCCACGGACGGCTGTTGGGGGGAATGGTTTCGGGATGAAACTGTTCCACCTTAGATCATCAGGCATGAGAGTCTCATAAGGAATATGCAACCTAGATCCTTGCATGTGCACTTCACAATAGGGGTAGTGCTCCTATGAGAATCTAATGTCCCAGCTGATCTGACAGGAGGCTGAGCTCAGGTGGAAAAGCCCACTCCCCGCCACTAACCCCTGCTGCTCACCTCCTTCTGTGCGGCCTGATTCCTAATGGGCCATGGACCTGTAATGCTCTGTGGCCCAGGGGTTGAAGGGCAGAACACCACAAAGTTACAGGAAAAGAAACTGAAATAATATACTTTCCAAATAGTGAGTATTGGTTGCATAAAGGTTTAGAAAAACCAAGTAGACTTGAGAGTATTTTATGATGCATTAAAAATGTATTTTATGAATCTGAAATTCCAGAAATTAATAACAGCAGCTCAGAATATTCAATCATATAATAGGCACTAACACAAAATTTATGTGATGATGAAAGATTATCTTTATACTAGGATTCAGTGTTAATCATCTTTTTTATATATGTATATATATCTCCTCTAGTCCCAAACCAAATATTCCTAATTTCTGAATAAAAATGTATACTTTTGGTTAAGAGTGATGGCTGGTGTCAGATTATTTGGATTTGAATCTAAGTTTTCTCGATTCCGAGCATTTTGACCTTGGAAAGGTTGCTAACGTTTCAGAGCCTCAGTTTTCTTATATGTGTGACTTATAAATGAATGGTACTGACCTCATAGGGTTGTTGCAAGTATTAAGTGAAGTAACACATGTACTGTGCAGTGTTTCCTACAGTAACAATAAATCTTTATTCTTATTTCTTTATTCTTATTCTTTATTCTTTATTCTTATTCTTATTCTTTATTCTTTTTCTTATTCTTTATTCTTATTTCCTCTGATGTAAATAGCAAGTGGTTTATTTTCAAAACTTAGAATTTAATATGTTTGAAGTTGTTTTAGTGTTCTTTGATTGAGGTAGTTTTAAAATGTCAAGAGTAATCCTGTATGACCCAGATGATCTAATTCTTTCCTTACTTGCTATCTCAGTTTTTACTAACTTCTCAATTTACGTATTGCATTTCCAAAGTGAATACTAAGAGTGAGATTTAGACTGAATTTCGGGAGGAAATACAAAGGGATGACACCTGTGTAATATGAATTGATCATAACCACAATTTTTGGCTAACCAGTATGTTTCTTTTGGACACTAAAACTTTTACTGTAGATGAAATGAAAAGGAAAGATTGTAGTACACTTGCATATTATGCTTTTGAAATGCTATTATTGTAGTTTTCTGACATGAGAAGTACTATGGTTCTTGTCAGTTTGATAAAGTTTTATGTAAAGTGGCTCTCATTTATATAAGCTCTTCTGTTGAATTGTCTTAGAGCATAAAGGTGAGGAGTGTTAAAAATCTTTTTTTTTAAAAATATGTAGTTGACTTGAGTGGTGTTAATAGTATTGTGCAGTAGGTAAAGAGACTTAGGGCTAAGGTATTACAAATAAAATTTGTGCTGATATAAATTTAAATTGTAGATATTAAGCATATACATAATTTCAGTCCCTTTATATGCAGCAGTTGCTTATCTTTTCACATAATAATAGAATAAACTATTATACTCAAGGAGTGGGGTCTTCTGCCTGTTACAGTAACATTTTACTTAGTTGGAGATTATGCCATTAAGGTCCTTTATGGGTGAATCTATATCTCTCTCTATTCCTTTATATAGTTACACTCTATGCTTTCCATCTTTTCTTTCTTGTCACTGATGCTTTGTGTATTTGTTGATTTGTTTTTTCTCCTTTCTGTATTCATTATTCTTCTCTGTGTCTACAGGCCTGCAAGTTTCTCTCTCAGGGTATATTCCCTAGCCTTTAATCTTTCTACCCCTTCTCAAATAGATTAAAAAAGCCAAAATAGAAAATTTAACTTCTATTTTTTGTTATACTTTATAGGTTTGAAAAATGCTTTTTATTGTTAATTTAAAAGGGTAACAAATAGAATGGTTTATATACTTTTTTCATGAGCAGTAGAGCCCAGTATAATTTTCTCATATACCCCTTATCTGAATTTATCTTGATTGAAAAGACATCATCTTGGACTTAAATGAACACTATTAATCTTACTTTTTATTGTGAGTTAAAAGAATCTTGTAGTATTTTCAGGGTCAGAGTCATTGTTCTGATATTGAGTTGTTGCTAACTTTAGAACATACCCTGAAAGTTATCTTAACACCTACAAAATCTACATCAGATTCCTAAAAAGCATCAAGGATTTTAAGATGTTAGTGGCGGGTTAGTTTGTTCTGTTTTTTTCTCATAATTGAATTTTTTGAATCTAAGTTAATCAGTTGTGTTTGATTATTTAGATATTATGTGCAGAATTTTGCCCATCCTCCCTTTTAAAAAACCTTGAGAGTCAGTGTAAAGTAATGGTTCAAGAACATGCTTGGGTTTTAAGCCAAAGCTCAGTTCATGCTCCAGTTTTATCACTTAGCTGTTATTTCTTAAATCTGTAGAATAGTTAGTATAACTTATGTCATAGAATTGTGAGAACTAGATATAGTTAAAGTGGTTAGCAAATCCTAGCCAACTGTAAGCACTTAATATATATATTTTTTTAGAGATGGGGTCTTGCTATATTGCCCAGGCTGGAATCAAACTCCTGGGCCCAAGCAACCTTCCTGCCTCAGTCTGAGTAGCTGGGGCTACATCCACGTGCTGCTGTGCCTGGCCAAGTAAGCACTTAATAAATGATAGCTCCTATTGTTGTTTTAGAGGGTGCTCCTTTTCATAAGAAAGAAATGAAGTGTTAATACCATGCATTGAGGATCTAGCTTTCTCTGCTGTGGTAGGATTGTGTTGCTTTGATTTCCCCTTGGAGTCTGTATTATGGAGAAAAGCAGAAGTCAAAACTTGTAAATATTAGGACTTTTATTGTATTGTAGTCCTGTATGAATGAGAGATGGATGGGGGGACATTTGTGAATATGGCCTGTTTTATCTTGCTTTTGTACCAGGGAACTGCTGTGATAAAAGTTTTGTGTACTTTATTTAGTAGAGGAACACTTTGTGAGTGGAAATCTTCTGATATATAAACTAAATTTGTTCTAACTCAGTTAAAGGAATTGAAGGTGAATTTCCATGTAACTGAGCTTATTTTTAGTATGAGGTAATGATAGAAATGGTCTTGATGCTTGAGGATTTTAAGTACTATCATGTGGCCCAAACAGAGTGCTTAGGAGGTAGACAGAAGGTTAGAAATGCCAAGTGTAGTGTTGTATTATGTCAAAATAATAAATTTTATTTTGGTTTAGTGTCATAAGGACAGGCAATCTAAAGAGAACAGAGTATTTATGGAATAGGAAAATTATTGAGAAACCTGGACAGTCAAGAATATTTTAATTTCTGGCTGAGTGCTGTGGCTCATGCCTGTAATCCCAGTACTTCAGGAGGCTGAGGTGAAAGGATTGCTTGAGCCCATGAGTTCTAGACCAGCCTGGGCAGTGTAGGGAGACCTTGTCTCTGCAAAAAATTAAAAAATTAGCCAGGCATGGTGGTGTGTGCCTGTAGTCCTAGCTACTCAGGAGGCTGAGGCGGGAGGATTGCTGGAGTCCAGGTGTTGGAGGCTGCAGTGAGCTATGATCGCATCACTGCACTCTAGCCTGGGCAACAGAGTGAGACACTGTTTCTAATATATATATATACATATATATATATACACACATGCACACATATATATTATATATACACATATATATTATATGTACACGCATAATATATAAACATATATGTAATGTATATATATGTCAAAAATGTCAAGAGCATAGTTTATATTTTTTAATCTTGTTTAGCTTATTAAAACAAAAAATTTGACATAAGTTTTTATCTTTGCTTATTACATAGGTGAAAAATTACATTCTTGCTTTAAAATTTTGGATTTCTTTGATTGCTGGTAAGGTAGATAATCTTTTCATATGCTTATTAGCCATTTATATTTCCTGTTTTGAATTGCTGTTCATACCCTGTTTTTCTTTGGAGTAGTAGTCTATTCCTTTTTCTTTTATGAGACAGGGTCTCACTTTGTCGTCCAGGCTAGAGTGCAGTAGCACGAACACGGCTCACTGCAGCCTTGACCTCCTAGGCTCAAGTGATCCTCCTGCCTCAGCCCCCCAAGTAGCTGGGACTACAGGCACGTGCCACCATGCCCAGCTGATTTTTGTATTTTTGTAGAAATGGGGTTTCACCATGTTGCTTAGGCTGATCTCAAACTCCCGAGCTCAAAGTAATCCATCCACCTCAGCCTCCCAAAGTGATGGATTTACAGGTGTGAGCCACTGTGCCTGGTCTGGAGTAGTAGTCTGTTTCTTAATGATTTATAAACATCTGTTTACTCATGGATTATAATATTTTGTTGCATATGGTGCATGTATTTTTACAAGTATATGTATACTTTCTGATTTTGTTTTGTTATTAGGAAAAAATTAATTTTATGTTTTCAAATATGTTGATCTTTTTCTATAGATTTTGCCTTTCTAAAAATGACCTTTCCCAGCCCTAGATAGTACAACAATTTACCTTTTTTTAAGCCAGAATTTCCAAGCAGTTTTCTACATATTGTTAGTATATTTGTGATGTGTTTTGTAGGGGAAAAATATTCCTAATTTAAATTAATTTTTTATATAGCACACTTTCAAACATACAGAAACCCTGAAAAAAAATACTGTCACTAGCACCCGTTATACAGTTACCTAGATTTGTTAAAACTGTCATATTTGCTTTCTCTCTACTTTCTTCGTATTTATCTTCTGTTACCTTAGCTCTATGGATGTGCCCCAACTTTCTCTGTTATTTTTGTTGTTATTATAGCTCAACTATTTTAAGGTAAATTGCTGATATTATGTCACTTTTTAAAATGCTCTCCTGAATCTCCCAGGCTAAAGAATTTAAAAAATACCTATAACCACAACATTATTGTTACACCTAGTAAAATTATCGGCAATTCCCAATTATAATCTAATACTTGGTATGTGCAAATTTTCCCAGTTAGAACCAGGTTCTAATTCAGTAATGTGATTGTTATGTTTCTTTAATATAGAATACCTTTATTCCTCCTCCACTTTCTCCTCTTTTTCTCCTTTTCTTTTCCTCTTTCTCCTCCTCTTTTTTCCCCTTCTTCGTCCTCTTCATTGTTGTGAGAGATTGTCCTGTGCATTGTAGGATGCTTAGCAACATCCCTGGCCTGGTCTATGATAGTGCCTTCCCTAACAAGGTGTGATAATCCATACTTTCTCCATACATTGCCAAGTGTCTCATGGGGAGCAAAATTGCCCTTGGCTGAGAACCACTGCACTAGAGATAGTACCTTATTTTTTAAATTACTTATTTTTTAGAATTGCTTTTATTTTGTTTTATCTTGAATCTGTTTTGTTCCCTTGATCTGTATGTCTGTCCTTTAGCCTATTCTGCTTATGTATTTTACTTCTCTGGGTTGTTTAGTTGTAATTTGAAAAGTAGCTTTATTGAGATATAATTCATATACCATGCAATTCACCTAACTAAAGCATTCAATTCAACGGCTTTTGCTATATTCACAGAGTTGGGCATCTGTCATCAAAATAAGTTGAAGTACCTCATTACTCCAAACTGAAGACCCCTCCTCCTTTTACTCCACACTTCTTTCTCCTTCACACAGCAGGCTATCACTAATCTGTCTTTATGGTTTTGCCTATTTTTTTTGAGACGGAGTCTCACTTTTTCACTCAGGCTGTAGTGCAGTGGCATGATATCGGCTCACTGAAACCTCTGCCTCCCAGGTTCAAGTGATTCTCCTGCCTCAGCCTCCTGAGTAGAGTAGCAGGAATTCCAGGCACGTGCCACCATGCCCAGCTAATTTTTGTATTTTTAGTAGAAATGGGGTTTCAACCATGTTGGCCAGGCTGGTCTTGAACTGCTGAACTCAAGTGATCTGCCCGCCTTGGCCTCCTAAAGTGCTGGGATTACAGGGGTGAGCCACTGTGCCAGGCCGGTTTTGCCTGTTTTGAACATGTTATATGAGTGGCGTTGTACAATATGTGGGCCTTTGTGACTGGCTTATTTCACTTAGCTTGTTTTCAAGATTCATCCATGTTGTATCATGTAATGGGACTTCAAATTTATTTTTATTGCCAAGTAACATTCCATTGTATGGATATACTACATTTTGCTTATCCTTTCATCAGTTGCTGGACATATGGGTTATTTCTGCTTTTTGGTCATTACAAATAATGCTGCTGTGAACATTTGTATTGTGTTTCCACAGTGTTTTTTGTGGAAATATGTTTTCATTTCTTTTGAGTCTATACCTAGGAATGGAATTGCTGGGTTATACAGTAATTCTTTAACCTTTTGAGAAACTGCAAACTATTTTTCAAAGTGGCTGCACTATTTTACATTTCTACCAGGAGTGTAGGAAGGTTTTGTTTTCTCCATATCCTCCAGAACACTTGATTACAGTCATCCTGGTGAGCGCAAGTAGCATCTCTTAGTGGTTTTTGTTTGCATCTCTCTAGTGCCTCTAGAGAGCACCTTTTCATGTGTATATCTTCATATTTCATTTGTATATCTTCTTTGGAGAAATGTCTATTCAAGTCTTGTGCCCATTTTTAAATTGGGTTATTCATGTTTCTTACTCAGTTTTAATAATTCTTTGTATATTTCGAGTAGAAGTCTATTAATCAGATACATGATTTGCAAATATTTTCTCCCATTTATGGGACAGCTTTTCATTTTCTTGATGGTGTCATTTAAGCACAGGATTTTCTAATTTTGATGTAGTCTGATTTATGTTTACCTTGTTGCTTTTGGTGTCAAAAGATAATTATTTAAATTCTGTAATGCATTAAAAAGTTAGCTTCATTAGTGGTGTCAAATAGCATATATACAAGATAAATAGATAAAAGAAGAGCTGAAGTTAAACCATTATAGTTTTCCCCAAATTGAGTTTTGAATAAATGTATTTTTGATGAATTCTATCATATCTAGATGGTGTATATATTTATAGAATATTTTATTGAGGATTTGAGGGCAGTGGGGGCTTGGGTTTACTTTGTAGCAGTGTCGAATAATTAACAACAACCAGTGTACTTTGTAGTGGAAACTAAGACCCCAGTAACTTTAAATTCTGCAGTGTCCTCTTCCACTGCCCTATTGTGAGTATTCTTCCTGATTAGCCACAACTCCGAGAAGAAGAGGACTCCCAAAAGTAGAAACTAGTATTTGTTTCTCTGTTCTCCCTGCATATGTGATCTGTTTTCTTCTCCTTGCTTCATGATCTCCTGGATTATTGGGGTGCTTTCTGTTATTTTTTCTCTCAGCACATTCTCTCTGGGTTTTGGCTTTGGAGATCCCTACTGGGCTGACCCGTTCTTTTAGCAACACTCCAGGTCTAAGAATTATAGCTCAAATCATGGTATTCTTGAGGATCGTCTGTTTTTGGTCCAGCTGCCTCTTAACAGAGTCACTTGGCAGCAGTCTGTTTGCCCTCATTGCTACCACCTTCCTAATGTTACACCTTTTCTCATTGAGGGGTTTTAAAAGTTTTATTTGCCATTTAAATAGTTAAACCTTGACAGTATATAAATACATATTCATTTTCTTTTTAAAACTTTCTATATACAAGTCTGTTTTAAAGATCCTGTGTATAGTAAGTTATTTTTCCTGATTATTACCACAATTTGGACCAACTTTCTTGTTTTGCTTTCTCAAACAGGATATTTCATGTTTTTTCACGTGGTGGAGTACAAGTTTTGGGACAGCCTTATGACTTTTGCATGGTAGAAATAAATGTTAGGAGTAATGCCTTCACTTAAATATTTTAAATGAGTGTTAACTGAATGTAAATGAGTTAACCATGTGGTGTGTTCTTTGTAGAAAAGTGGTATGTGCTATCTAAAAATAAAATATTATTTGCAATGCATTTTTTTGTTTATAATACTACCTGCTACTTGAAAAGTAAACCAGTGTGAAAGTGTATTAAGTAAAGTTAAAATATTGTTTACCGTTTTCATTTTAAAAACAGTCTGCATGTCTACTTTCATACCTTTTTCTGAGTAAGCACATATGATTTTTCATTACATTTTAAAAAATTACTCTTAAAGGTAGTGTTGTGAATTATGTTTTTCTGCCTTGATAATTTTCTCTTTATCTTTTTTTCCCAGTAGTTTTTGTTTATTGCTACACTTCGTACTCTAAATCTTCTCCCTTTCTTTCTGCTCTGAAGATAGTAGTTGCCCAGTGAATTGACTGGATACAGAAACCAGGGTCAAGCTGAACATAAATGTTATGATGCCAATTAATGATCAGAAAGGAAAATAAACTTGTGAAGATGTTCACTGAAGAAAAAAATCTCGATTTAGAAAACATTGGTTTAGATGATTAATCAGAAGTTCTACTCTATTTTTGTTTTACTTAGTTAACACATACTTACTGGGAGCCTACTTTGTGTGGCAGATGTTGTTATACTTGGCATGAGACAACACTGAACAAAACATACACAGTTTATGCCCTCAGGAGACTTACAGTATGTGGTATATACATGAGGGCAGTGGGGGCTTGGGTTTACATGTAGCAGTGCTGAATAATTAACAACTGCTGTGCTTTGTAGTGGAAACTAAGACCCCACTAGCTTTAAATTCTGCAGTGTCCTCTTCCACTGCCCTGTTGTGAGTATTCTCCCTGGCTAGCCGCAACTAGAACAGGACTCCTCCAAAAGTGGAAATGAGTATTTGTAACCCTGTGCTCACTGCCTGTGTGACCTGTTTACTCCATTAGTAGGCAGGCAGTTCCAACATAATGTGATAAATGAGGATATTTGCTAGAGAATGGTTGGAATGGTGAACCATGGAGTCCAATCTAGATAGGAAAGTGAGTACAGAAGTGGGTTATGTAAATGAGGGTGTGTGGTCTTGTAGTGTCTAAAGTGAAGTTGTAGTGAATGTTGGTGGAGGTGAAATGCTTATGATATTAAAAGTAGCATATTTGATGGATTATCCACATGTATGTTAAAATAACTGAAGGTTATTCAGCATTCCTGATAGAGAAGAATGTTTATGGATTAGTAGTGCATACATCGGTGGTTCTCAAAAGTAACTGCATATTGCAATCATCTGGGGAACTTCACAAACTAACAATGCTCTTATATCAGCTTTCCTGAACATTGGAAATTCTGATGCATGGCTCACATACCTAGCTATTTTGATTTAATTTGTATGTGGCGTAAGCTGGGTAGTGGGATTTTAAAATCCCCCTACTTCCCCAGGTAATGCTAATGGGCAGGAATTATACAGGAACAACAGGGGCTTTTACAGGAAATGGGCTGGGAGTTATGGTTTTGATCGTGACCCTACATTCTGAAGTTGGGTACATGATTAATGAAAGAATAAGCAGCCTTTGTTTGAGAGAGCTGCAGGAGAAGCAGCTTTTACTTGAAGCAAAAATAGTGAAGTTGTCGGGGATATGGAAGTGTTTGTTTTGACTTTGGAACAGAGTGATCCTAGAGGGAAAGTTTAGGAGGGATGGAATCACTGGGAAATTGTATAAGGGAGGAAAAAGCAAGAACAGTACAGTGGTCAGAGTGTAGGAGAGAATCGATAACTGAATGTATTTATCTCTCTATGATGAACAAGGATAACAAGGCTTAGTGGGTTCATTATTAGTCTAGAGAACACATCCAGCAGTCCTGTAGTGCCCAATAATTGGGAATTGGGTAAACAGTTCTTAGGAGTCAGTCCAGACCTTGATAGACTGAATTTCATAGGAAGTCCTATCCTTGTATCCTCTGGTAAGGGGTTTGGATTGATTGTGCAAGATCTAAGGAGAGCCCTAGAGTTTGGGGCTGTTGTCCCACAGGCTCCTGATAGTGGTTGGAGTCTTTTCTAACACTGGCGGGGGAGGCTGTGAAGTCTTAAGGTTTGGTCAGATTTGTTCTTCTCACTCCAGTGCGCTGCTTGGCTGAGTACACGCTGCTGCACCAAATGATGGCAAAGCCTTTACTATTTCTTTACTTTTATACTTCATACTTTTCAGGAACACTTTAAATTGTCCAGTTCTAGATTTGTGAGCAACTATTTATAGGTTTCACTTTTTCAACATACAAGAAATGATATAGACTTAGAGTGAAAAAGGGCCTTATATATTATCTAGGCAAACTCTTCTTATTTATGCATTAGAATTTTTATGCATAGAGAATCAAAGTGAAATTCACAAAGAACCCTCTTACTTAGATTAAAGTATAAACGGTATATGGGGCTGGAAATTTATAATTGCTGCACTGATTCAAAGTTTTTGTAAGAATAAATGGGTTAACTGCAACTCATTTTATTAATTTGACACGTAACTTGATTTCTGTATTTTTTCACTGTTAAACTTTGAAATATAAGAGCATCAGACATCACCGCCCACAGAGTGCTTCAAATTTATTTTTCTTTTACAATTAAAGAAAGCTTTTAAAAGTACAGTGTATGTGTAGGCTTTAAGAGCTACTCTAGTTATGCAAGAGAACTATGAAATTGCTTTTGAATGAAGAGTTCATTCAAACCTTCTCAAAAATATTCAAATATATTTTTGGTCAGAATAAGGTAAGTAGTAAAATGGTAAATTTGGTAACAGTTTGTTTTAGAAATAAGAAAATTGCTAAGTGAAAACAAGACTTTCACATAATTATAGTATATCATGTTAACTAGTAATTAAAACCCATGTGCTTTTACTAAGCGAAATAGATATCATGATTAAAGCTTTTATACTTTTAAACATTAGTCTATTTTGCGTATAGCGATCTTATTTCACCTGTGTTTGAATTGTGAAACGCAAGGTAACTTTTTGAGGCTATGACACCAGATAGATGAAGCCTGTTTTAAGTCATGGGGATTTAGGCCACATCAAAAGGATACTTTTTTTTCTTTTTAAAATTTTATTCTTTACTCATTCATTAATTTAATTAATTTATTTAGAGATGGGGGTCTTACACTGTTGCCTAGGCTGGTTTTGAACTCCTGGCCTCAAATGATCCTACTGCCTTGGCCTCCCAAAGTCCTGGGATTACAGGTGTGAGCTACCCTGTCCAGCCCAAAAGTAAACTTTTAGTAGCTGAGTGACATACATTTTTATAATGTATCTTTTGTATTCATGTTTTAGATGTTTTAGATGTGCAAGATAAAAACTGAAGAGCAATTACGTTAAATGATGCTTGTTTCGCTTTCCTCCTCCTGAGTTGCTTTCATTGACTTATCTGATGTTTAGGTGGATATGAATAGTATCAATTTTTCTAAAACTCGGGTATTTGTTATAGAACTCTGCACATTAGATCAATTGTCTGTCATCTAGGGGTACATTTCTAAGTTGTGTTTTATAGATACAGTTTCAGACTATTTGTAGGAATGCTATTAAGATTTTTCTTTGGCTATGGTAGGTGACATCATTTGGCTGAGAATTTCTAACCAAAATTATTTCTACTGAACTGTATGGTATGAAATTCTGGTAACTCAGGACAACATTAGTTATGTTGGAATATATTCGAAGCTGCTTTCTGAGGAAAATTTTGGCTTTTATTTGACTTTGCTATAGTATGTCACCTTATAATAGGGTGGTGAGAACACTAAGTAGGTTATTTAGTATTTATGGCTTTTCTGATTTTTAGGTGTATATGGACCAACTATTTTTGTTTTTCAAATTATTTTAAGTTCAGGGGATAAATGTGCAGGTTTGTTACATGGGTATTTTGTGCATTGCTGAGGTTTGGACTTCTATTGACTCCATCAGCCAAATAGTGAACACAGCACTAAATAAGTAGTTTTTCAACCCTTGGCTCCCTCCATTCTTCCCCTCTTTTGCAGTGGCCAGTGTCTTTTGGTCCCGTCTTTGTGTCCGTGTGTACCCAATGTTTAGCTCCTACTTTTAAGTGAGAACATGGTAGTTAGTTTTCTGTTTTTGTGTTAATTTTGCTTAGGACAATGGCCTCCACCTGCATCCATGTTGCTGCAAAGGACATGATTTCATTCTCTTTTGTGGCTGCGTAGTATATGTACCACATTTTCTTTATCCAGTCCACCATTGATGGGCATCTAGGTTAATTCCATGCCTTTGCTATTGTGAATAGTACTGTGATAAACATATGAGTGCAGATTACCTTTTGGTAGAAAGATTCATTTTCTTTTGGGTAAATACCCAGTAATGGGATTGTGGGGTCCAGTGGTAATTACATTTTTAGTTCTTTAAGAAATATCTAAACTGCTTTCTACAGGGGCTGAACTAATATACTTCCAACAGTGTATTAACATTTCCTTTTTCTCCATAACCTCACAAACATCTGTTATTTTTTGACTTTTTAATAATAGTCATTTTGACTGATGTGAGATGATACCTCATTTGCTTTTCTCTAATGATTAGTCATAAGCATTTTAAAAAATATGTTGGCTGCTTGTATGTCTTTTGAGAAGTGGCTGTTCATATCCTTTGCCCATTTTTAAATTTTTTTTTTTTTCTTGTTGATTCATCTTAAGTTTCTTACGGATTCTGGATATTATTCCTTTGTCAGATTTATAGTTTGCGAATGTTTTCTCCCATTCTGTAGGTTGTCTGTTTACTCTGTTGATAGTTTCTTTTGCTGTGCAGAAGGTCTTTAGTTTAATTATGTCTCAGTTGTCAATTTTTGGTATTGTTGCATTTGCTTTTGAGGACTTATAAATTCTTTGGCTAAGCCAATGTTCAGAAGCGTATTTCCTAGGTTTTGTTCTAGGGTTTTTACAGTTTTAGGTCTTTAATTCATTTTGAGTTAGTTTTTATACATGGTGAGAGGTAGTCCAGTTTCTTTTGTATGAGGTTAACCAGTTTTCCCAGCACTGTTTATTGACTAGGAGGTCCTTTCCCCATTGTTTATTTTTGTCGATGTTGTCGAAGGTCAGTTGGTTGTAGGTGTGTGGCTTTATTTCTGGGTTCTCTATTCTGGTCTGTGTGTCTGTTTTCATACCAGTACCATGGTGTTTTGATTGTTGTAGCCTTGTATAGTTTTAAGTCAGGTAATGTGGTATAGTTTTAAGTCAGGTAATGTGATACCTATTTTCTTTTGCTTGGGATTGCTTTGGCTATTCAGGCTCTTTTGTAGTTCATATGAATTTTAGAATAGTTTCTTCTAACTCTGTGAAAAATGATGTTGACACTTTGATAGGAATTGCATTGAATCTGTAGATTGCTTTGGGCACTATGGCCGTTTTAACAGTATTGATTCTTCTATTCCATGACCATGGATTTTTTTTTTTCCTGTTTGTGTCTTCTCTGACATATTTCTGCTGTGTTTTATAGTTCTGTTTGTAGAGGTCGTTCACTTCCTTGATTAGCTGTATTCCTAGGTATTTTTTTCTTTTTATTGCTGTTGCAAATGGGATTGTGTTCTTGATTTGGTTTTTGGCTTGAATGTTATTGGTCTATAGAAATAATATTGATTTTTGTATCCTGAAACTTTACTGAAGTTGTATATCGGGTCTAGGAGTCTTTTGGCAGAATCTTTAGAGTTTTCTAGGTATAGAATCATATGGTCAGCAAAGGGAAATTATTTGACTTCTTCTTTTTCTATTTGGATGCGTTTTCTTTCTTTTCCTTGCCGGATTGCTCTAAGACTTCTGGTACTATGTTAAATAGGAGTGGCAAGAGTGGACATCCTTGTTTTGCTCCAGTTCTTAGGGGAATGCTTCCAGCTTTTGCCCATTTATGATGATGTTGGCTGTGGGTGTGTCATAGATGGCTCTTACTATTTTGAGGTATGATCCTTTGATGCCTAGTTTGTGAAGGGTTTTATCTTGAAGAGATGTTGGATTTTACTGAATGCTTTTTCTGAATATATTGAGGTGATCATATATGGTTTTTGTTTTTAATGCTGTTTATATGGTGAATCACATTTATTGATTTGCATATGTTGAACCATCCTTGCATGCCAAGAATAAAGCCCACTTGATGGAGGTGAATTTTCTTTTTCATATGTTGTTGGGTTCAGTTTGCTAGTATTTTGTTGAGGATTTTTGCATCTGTGTTCATAAGGGATATTGGCCTATAGTTTTCCTTTTTTGCTGTGTCTTTGCCAGAAATTGGTATCAGGATGATTCTGGTTTTGTAGAATGAGTTAGGGAGGAATCCCTCCTCCTAGTTTTTTTGAGAATAGTTTCAGTAGGATTGTTACTAACTCTTCTTTGTATATCTGGTAGAATTTGGCTGTGAATCCATCTGGTCCAGGGTTTTTTTTTTTGGTTGATACGTTCTTCTTTTGTTACTGATTCAATTTTGGAACTTGTTATCGATCTGTTCAGGGTTTCCATTTTTTCCTAGTTCAATTTTGGGAGTTTGTGAGTTTCCAGGAATATTTCCATTTCCTCTAGATTTTCTTGTTTGTGTACATACAGATGTTTATAGTAGTCTGAGGATCTTTTGTGTTTCTCTTGGGTTGCTTGTAATGTCACCTTTCTCATGGCTGATTGTGGTTATTTGTGAATCTTCTTTTTCTTTGCTTAGCTAGCTAATGATCCGTCAGTCTTATTTATCCTTTCAAATAACCAACTTTTGATTTTGTTGATCCTTTGTATGTTTTTTGGCTTTCAATTTCATTGAGTTTTGCTGTGATTTTAGTTATTTGCTTTCTTCTTCTAGTTTATGAGTTTATTCTTCTGCTCGTTTTTGGAGTTTGTTTTTGTTTTTCTAGTTTTTTTAGGTGCGAGGTGAGGTTGTTAATTGGACGTCTATCTCCTTGGTGTAGACGTTTAGTGCTGTCTAGTCCTCTTAACACTGTGTTTGTCGCAACCCAGAGGTTTTGGCCTGTTTTCATTTTTTAACAAATGATTTTGTTTTCTGTCATAATTTTCTTGTTTACCCAAAAGTCATTCAGGAGCAGGATGTTTAGTTTCCATGTATTTTTTTGTGGTTTTGAGAGTCATCTTGGTATTAATTTCTATTTTTAGTCCACTGTAGTCTGAGAAGATACTTGGTATGATTTCAGTTGTTTTGAATTTGTTGAAACTTGCTTTGTGACAGAGCAATGTGGACAGTCTTAGAGTATGTTCTGTGTGCAGATGAGAAGAATGTGTACTCTGCAGTCATTGGGTTAAGTGTCCTGTAGATGTCTCTTAGGTCCAATTGGTCAAGTGTCAAATTAACTTAAGGATTTTTTGGTTAGTTTTCTGCCTTGTTGATCTATCTTATGTTGTCAGTTGGATGTTGAAGTCCCTATTATTGTGTGACTGTCTAACTCTTGTTTTAGGTGTGGTAGTTGTAGGTTAGCTGAAAGAAAGGACGAGAGAGAGAGACAGACAGACAGACAGACAGAGACACACCTCCAAGGTCAGGTGAGTAAGTTCCTTCACCTGTTGGGCTGCTCCACCACAGTCAGAGGAGGCAGCCCTGATCTTAAAAAGTGTGGTGTTTATATGGGGGAGAGAGACCCTGGGGTTGTTTGTCGGTTGACTTTACCGCATATCATTGACGGGCTTACAATATAGGAATTTACAAGAGGGTGTAACTTAGGTTTATCCACATTTCTTGTGACCTCCCCAGTGCCGCCCAGGGGGCTGTAATCAGGGTTTTGCTCAGCAAGTCTGGTGACCTTGCTGTGGCGCCTAGGTAAGGGTTCAGGAATGCAGCTGCAGAGTATTCAGGGTAAGGGTCAGCTGCATAGAGGGGCGGGGGTCCTGGGGCAGCTTGTCCCTAACAGTAGTAATTTTATAAATCTGGGTGCTCCAATGTTGGGTGTGTGTATATTGAGGACAGTTACATCTTCCTGTTGATGAACCTTTATCATAATATAATGCTCTTCTTTGTCCTTTTTTAGTGTTTTTGGTTTAAAGTTTGTTTTATTTGATACAAGAATAGCAATCCCTCTATCTTTTTTGTTTTCCATTTGTGTGATAGATCCTTCTTCAACCATTTATTTTGAGCCTATGGGTGTCATTACATGTGAGATGAGTCTCTTAAAGGTAGTAAAAGAATGGGTCTTTGTTTGCCCAATTGCCATTCTGTGTCTTTTAAGTGGAGTGTTTATTCCATTTACATTCAAGGGTAATACTGATATGTGAGGTTTTGTTCCTGCCATAGTGTTGTTAGCTAGTTGGCTTTATAATCTTGATTGTTAGTTGTTTTATGGGGTCTGGAGACCATGTGCTTACGTGTGCTTTTGTGACAGCAAGTATTGTTATTTTGTTTTCATGTTTAGAACCCCCTTAAGCTTCTCTTGTAGGGCCAGTCTCATGGTGGCAAATTTCTTTAGTGACTGTCTGGGAAGGACTTTATTTCTTGTTCACTTATGAAGCTTAGTTTGGTGGGATATGACATTTTTGGCTGGCATTTCTTTTCTTTAAGAATGCTTAAAATGGGCCCCCTGTCTCTTCTGGCTTGTAAAATTTCTGCTGAGAAGTCCGCTGTTAGTTTGATGGGTTTGCCTTTATAGGTAATATGGCTCTTTTCTCTAGCTGCCTTGAAGATTTTTTCTATTTTGGATGGTCTGATTACTATGTGTCTTGCAGATTGTCATCTTGTACAGTATCTTGCAGGATTTCTCTGGAATTTTTTTGTATCTGTATGTTGATCTCTATAGACAGATTGGTGAAATTTTCCCGAATTATTTCCTCAAATGTGTTTTCCAAGTTGCTTACTTTCATCTTTTTCAAGAATGCCAATAAGGCATAGGTTTGATTGCATTACATAATCCTGTATTTCTCGAAGTCTTTTTTTTTTTCTCCCATTTCCTTAAATTCTTTTTTCTTTTGTCTGACTGGGTGGATTTGCAGGATCGGCCTTTGAACTTTGAAACTCTCTTCTGCTTGGTCTAGTCTATTCCTAAGGCTTCCAACTGTATTTTGAAATTTTTCAATTCCAGACGTTCTGTTTGGTTCTTTCTTAATACAGCTATGTCATCTTTTGAATTGGATTGTTTTTCTGGCTTCTTTGTGTTGGATTTCATCTTTCTCTTGGACCTCATTGAGTTTCTTTGCTCCATATATATTCTGAATTTTATACTGTCATTTCAGATATTTCATTCTGGTTAGGATCCATTGCTAGGGAGCTAGTGTGATCCTTTGGATGTGACAAAACACTGGCTTTTGTATTGTCGGAGTTCTTGTGCTGGTTCCTTCTCATCTGAGGGAGCCGATGCTGCTTCTTTTTTTTTTTTTTTTTTTTTTGTTTTTGTTAATTTGCTATTGTTTGGCTCGGGCTTTTTGATTTTTAATTTCTGTTTTCCCTTGAGGGTATGACTGACGTATGTTGCTTGTGATCAGTTGGCTTTGTTTCTGGGTGCTTTCAGAGGGCCAAGGCTCTGTATGGGTTCCTTGGTTGCAGATAAATTCATATGGTGGTTTTGTCAGATATTGTTTATTGTAGCAACATATTTTTGTTTGGTGTTATGATTTAGGCTGCAGTCCAGTAGGTGGCACTTAAGATTAAGAATTGGCAGGTGGGCTCTTAACTCTGCACATGCTTACCCTCAGCAGAGGTGGAGGCGGTGGAGAAGCCTGAAAAGTGCTCCACCTTTGGTGAGGGTGTGCTCACCTTTGGTGAGGGTGAAGCTTCTGGAGAAGTCTAAGAAATGGCCCCTTTCAGACCCCGTTCCCTGGACCCCAGTGGGAAGAGCCACTGCTGTCTCTGCAACAGTGCACTGGGGAGTGGTGGGGATTAAGAGATTACCCCCTCTTCAAGTTCATTCCCAGATTTTGGTGGTCCCTCCTTTTGTGGCTGGCACCACACTTGTGTTTCCTTTGACCCAAGGTGGGTTTTGGTGGGGTGCTCTCCCTTCTCCCTCAGGGGCAGTCCCTGCCAAGGGTTAGATCTCCATGGGAGTGGAGTCTGCCTCCCTCCCGCTCCTCAGAACTAGTGAGACACTCTCCCTGAACTGTCCATGAAAGCAGACTGGGGTGCCCAGCAGTGACACACATAGACCAGTTTTAGGTTGCAGAGCTGTCCCTGGCTGCGAGTCTTGCATCCTAGGAGAAACCTCAGCTTCACAAGTCTCTTCCTGCTCCAGTCCTGTGATGGGAAAGTCTAATTTCAGTGCTTGCTGCTTGGGTGCTTTCCACACTCGCCACTCAATTCTGACTGTGAGGGTCCTTTCCCCACTCCAGGGCAAGTGCTTCAGTCTCTGGCCTGAGACTAAAATGCCTGCAATGGCTGCTGCTGCCAGGTTGCCAAACAGTGACTTACTTTGCATGAGCCCAGATTAGAAATGGCATCCTCTGGCTGGGTGTGGTAGCTCAAGCCTGTAATCCCAGCACTTTGAGAGGCCAAGGCAGGTGGATGACTTGAGGTCAGAAGTTCAAGACCAGCCTGGCCAACATGGTGTAAACCCCGTCTCTACTAGAAATACAGAAATTAGCCAGGTGTGGTGGTGGGCGCCTGTAATCCCAGCTACTCAGGAGGCTGAGGCAGGAGAATCACTTGAACCCGGGAGGCAGGAGGTTGCAGTGAGTCAAGATCATGCCACGGCACTCCAACCTGGGCAACAGAGTGAGACTCCATTTCCAAAAAAAAAAAGCATTTTCCTCTTATTCCCATGCCTGGGAAAATGCCTGCAGCTTTTCCTGGTGTCTTTTCCTGTCTCAGTCTCTCAGCCTTTTCCCAGTTTAGTGTCAGTGTTTGGGAGAAACAGGGCGCTCTCCCATGGCCTGGGTTGCACAGATCCCCAGTGGAAAGGTGAGTCACAGAGGGATACTGACTGTCCCTTTCATGTACTGGAGCTTCACTTACTTTTCTCAGCCAAATGCTGTCCCTGGGGCTGCCTGCCCACCTTCTTCTTCCTGGGTTCTGGGGTGTTCTTTGCATTCTGGTGAATCCTGTTTTCTTTCTTGAATTAAAGCTTGCAGAGTTGATCTTTATGCACTATTTTGCTAATTCCAAGTGGCTGAGGCACACTCAAAACCTCTAATCCACAATCTTGGGAAAAAAATCTGCCTGGATTGACTCTGATTGCAAATATAGAATGCCAACATTTAGTGACCTCAGACTATGTGATACTCTTGAGTATCTCTCAAAGCCTGAAAGAACTGATGCTGGGGAAGATGCCCAAGACTTATTTAGTCTAGGCTTTTTGTGTAGATTCTCTCTCTCTTTTTAAAAAAATCTACTTATTTATTTTTGATTCTCTGATTTCTATCCTTGGGTATAGTTTGACCGCTAAAAGATAATAATCTTAATAACATATTGTACTCCTTGTAGCATTGCCTTCATTGCATTATCTTTTAATACTTACATCAATTTTTAAGTAAAGTCGTTATGGGAAGCAATTATGTTAAACTTTTTTTTTTTTTTTTTTGAGACAGAGTCTCGCTCTGTTGCCGTGGCTGGAGTGCAGTGGCGCGATCTTGGCTCACTGCAATCTCTGCTTCCTGGTTCAAGCAGTTCTCCTGCCTTAGCCTCCAGAGCAGCTGGGACTACAGACATACACCACTACGCCTGGCTAATTTTTGTATTTTTGGTAGAGGCGGGGTTTCACCATGTTGGCCAGTCTGGTCTTGAACTCCTGACCTCAAGTGATCTGCCTGCCTTAGCCTCCCAAAGTTCTGGGATTATAGGCATGAATCACTGCGCCCCGGCAATTATGTTTAGCTTTCTAATGACTTTCCTGAAAAACTGTTGCTGAGAACGTTAAGTACTACTTCACACTTTGTTTTTCAGATACATTCCTATATGATACAATTCTTTATAAATTCAGTGCTACAGATACAGTTAATGAGAGGGACCTTGGATATCATGTGTTTTCAACTGTTGTACAGATGAAGAAACCATGGCTTGGAGAGGTCAACAAAAAGTAGCTAGCCTGGAACCTGGTCTAGAAATTGTGTCTTCTAACAACAGGCCCAGTTTTGTTTTGTTTTGTTTTTTAACGTTTGGAAGTTGAGTTAGCATTGACATAATGTAAAATTAGCCATTTAAAAATGAGTGATTCATTGGTATTGAGTTCATTCACCATGGTATGCAACCACCACCTCTAATTAGTGTCAGAACATTTTTATCACCCTAAAAAGAAGACTGTATCCATTAAGCCATTTTCCTCTTCCGCCCCAGCCCGTGGCAGTCACCAATCTGAGTTCTGTTACTATGGATTTATGTATTCTGGATATTTTATATAAATGAAATCACACAAACTGTGGCCTTTGTGTCTGGCTTCTTTCATTTAACATAAGTTTTTTAAGCTCATTCATATTATAGCATGTACTAGTACGTTATTCCTTTTCATGGCTGAATTATAGGTAGATACCACAATTTGTTCATTCACTGATAAACATTTGGGGCATTTCCTCCTTTTGGCTATAGTAATTAGTGCTGCTGTGAACATGTGTGTACATGTTTCTGTTTGAGTACCTGGTTTTAATTATTTTGGGTATGTACATAGGAGTGGAATTGCTGAGTCATATCATAATTCTGTGTTCAATTTTTTGAGAAACTGCCGATTGTTTTACACAGTGGCAGCACCATTGTACATACCTCCATTTTGTTTTTATCTTCCTTGTCCTCCATCATGCTGAGATCATGCTGACTTGAAAAAGAAAGCCAAAAATTAGTCGTTTTGTTTGAGGTACGAACTCTCGGTACATCTTTTGCAACAGATTTTTCAACCAGTTTTATCTGTTATTTTTCCAGTGGTTTATTGAATTGTATTTTGTTTTATTCCTTTCATTCAAACTGAGGTGAATTTCTTTTCCCTTATTATATTTATGTTCCTAAAACCTATGGGAATGATTTTGGAGGTCTAATTAAATATCAGTCTATTTATTGCACAAAATAAAAGGAAAATAATCAAAAAGAAATAGCAACACTGAAATAGTCTTGGGTACTTTGAAGGAGTTATGTTAGGTTTTAATTGACTTAAGTACAGGTCAGATCTCTTTGTCTTCTACCTTTGCTCTAGGAGTCAGTTTGTAGGGCTCGGTTTTGAGTGTCCTTAAATTTGAGGCCATCGTATTGCTGTGACATATTTACTAAAACAATTTCTTGTATTATATTTGATCAATGGATTTGTAGAAAACGTAAATGGCTTAAGATAGGTTAAATACTATTCAAATATGTCTTTTTCAACTTTTAAGTTCAGGGGTACATGTGCAGGATGTGCAGATTTGTTACATAGGTAAGTGTGTGCCATGGTGGTTTGCTGCACAGATCATCCCATCACCTGGGTATTAAGCCCAGCAACCATTAGCTGTTCTTCCTGATGCTCTCGCTCCTCCCATCCACACCTGCCAGACAGGTGCCAGTGTGTATTTTTCCCATCTGTGTGTCCATATGTTCTCATCATTCAGCTTCTACTTGCAAATGAGAACATGCAGTGTTCGGTTTTTTTGTTCCTGCATTAGTTTGCTGAGAATAATGGCTTCTAGCTCGACCCATGTCCCTACAAAGGATGTGATCTTGTTAGTCTCTTGTTCCTTTTTATGGCTGCATAGTATTCCATGGTGTATATGTACCACATTTTCTTTATCCAGTCTATCGTTGATGGGCTTTTGGGTTGAATCCATATTTTTGCTACTGTGAATAGTGCTGTAGTGAACATACATGTGCATGTATCTTTATAATAGAATGATTTCTATTCCTTTGGGTATATACCCAGTAATGGGATTGCTGGGTCAAGTCGTATTTCTGCCTCTAGTCTTTGAGGAGTTGCCACACTGTCTTCCACATGGTTGAACTAATTTACACTCCCACCAACAGTGTAAAGCATTCCTTTTTCTCCACAACCTCATTAGCATCTGTTGTTTCTTGACATTTTAATAATCGGCATTCTGACTGGCGTGAGATGGTATCTCATGTTTTTTTTAATTTTTTTTTGATTAGCATTTCTCTAATGATTAGTGATGTTGAGCTTTTCATCTGTTTCTTTTGCAAAGTGTCTCTTCATGTCTTTTGTTTGTTTAAGGGCTTTCTTTTAACACACAGAACATCGTTCCTTGCTTCAGTGCCTACTCATATTATGGTCTCTTTAT
The DNA here is from genome assembly GCF_000001405.40 of Homo sapiens. Classification (NCBI taxonomy): domain Eukaryota; kingdom Metazoa; phylum Chordata; class Mammalia; order Primates; family Hominidae; genus Homo; species Homo sapiens. The sequence goes on along the minus strand of NC_000007.14, from coordinate 17,908,972 downwards.
CAGTTATTCTGTTCTTCACCTGGCTATATCCTTATAATTCTTGGAGACTAATCTTAGGTGTCGCATTTTCCAAGATGCTTCCTCTGACTGACCCCCCTGCCCCACCCTTTCTAGCTGAGTCAGATGATATGTTCCTTCCTAAAGTCTTGTAATAACTGAAGCATATGTCATTTTACTTACTGTATTGTTTTGTAATTATATGTATGTTGTCTCCTACAAAACTGTGAGCTTTTTGATTCCAGGAAAACTATGCTTTATTTACCTTTGAAATTGCAGAACCTTACTATCCTAGGCACATGATAGACTTCAGTAAATGTTTAGTGAATGAATGAAAGAAGCTTCTAGTTTAGAAGAGGCAAATATGCATAAATAACTATTGTAGAATTGTAAATTGTGCAGTGGAAGCAGAGAATACAATGAAAAATATATTTGGGAAGAGTGTGAGGTGTTTATGAGGGAAGGTTTGCTTCATGGGAGATAACAATTTCAGCTGGTTCTTGAGGGGAACTTGATAGAATTTTTTGCTAGGGAGTAAAAGTAATCCATCCTAGAGAACAGAAGCAAGAGAGCAAGTCATGATCATGGAAAAGCCAAGTATTTTAGAATCTTTCTCAAAGGTCATTTTGGCAGTAAGGAGGATGGAATACAGGGAGAAGCAGTAATGATATAGTCATGCAGCTATAATGAAGGTTTTGTGTCAAGCTTTGGCTGTGAGGAAGGGAAGGTTTCAAAAGATACTTAAGATATAAAATGGTCAGGCAGGCCCTGATAGCTAATTGGCTGAAAAATTCCAAGAGGATAATCCAAGGCAACTCTAGAATTTCTCTTCTCAGTAATTGGGTAGGTATTGATGCCTCCTTTTAAAAAAGTAAAGGAATATAGGAAACATTTGGGATCTTGAATGAATTTAATTTTGGACATGATAAGTTTATGATCTTTATGACAAATTCAGGTAGGAGCGTTCAGTGTGTAGTTGAATATAAGTTTCTGAAACTCAGGAGATATTTCTGAGCTGGAGGCACAGTTTTGGAAGTCACAGTACATATGGGTGGACATATAAATGGTGGACTAGAAAACTCAAGGATTGCATATCTAGTAAGACTATAAGAAGGTAAAAACAGAACCCTGGGAATTGCAAGCTTTCTTCTGCTTAAAGGTAATCAAGGGCATACTTGCAAACTAGTGTTAATTTTTCTTGGTCCCTTTTATTTCCTGTATGCTTTCCCAACTTTAATCAAAATGGCAGTAAAATTATGTTGAGATATCATGTCTTGGACTCAGCATCAGATAAACCTTATAGCAAGTGTGGGGCTGTAGCAGTACTAAAACATTCATGGCTTATTTTCAGGGGGGGTGTTGCTGCCTACTCAGTTTTATCCAGTTATTGCCTTGCAGGTGTGCAATTCCACCGATTCCTGATTCCAGATATTTCTGTTTTTCAAGAAAAGCCAGAAATCCTGATTTTTACAGATTTTTAAATGCTTACTCAGAATTTTAAAAAGTGCTGTTGTTGGTCAGGTAAAACATTGTCAGTTTCTGATCCCTTTCTCAATCCTTACATTCTCTGTAACAAAGAGCAACTAGTATCACCTTCTGAGGTATTGAAATGTACTTGTTTCTGTTGCATACTAGGATGAAAGAAAAAACTTGACTGGAAGCTCCAGAAAATTATAGTGGAAAAGGAGACAGACTGAGTCCCTGGGCTTAGAAGATTTAGAGATTGAGTGAGTAATAGAGGTTATAAGTCAGATGGGCTGAGACCCATCTTTAGTGACTGTACTGGCAGTGAATCAATCATTGCCACCTTTGGCTCCTTGTTTGCTGAGGTCTTGTTGTTTCTGGGACTTGAAACTGGAATGGTTTTTAGGGAGGATTTTTTTCTATTATTTTGTCCTGCATATTTTAGTACAAAATTATAAACACAATACAAAAAATACTTGGTGTTTCGCCCCAAGAACATAACCAACATGAATGGAAATGTTTCTGTCAGCTTGTGGCTTTCAAAATCTGAACACCTGATACACCAAATGAACTCACAGGATGATTTGTTAGGGCTGACTGTATTATCTTTATTTATTTATTTATTTTTGTTGAATCAGTTTAAAGAATTTTTACAGGAAGTCTCCTATTTATTCTATAGAAAAATCAAGGAGGTAATTGGAACTGACCTTTGGCTCTTCTGTTGGTTGACCCTGTGGAAATAAAGAGTTATGATTCCTTGAGTTTGTGTGTTCACTTTTAGGAACAGATTTCTCTGGAAGTAAATTCCACTTGTATAACAATTAGATCTTACAGTTAAAAATTATAATTAAAAAATGTGTCACAAGATATTATAATTTGATCATTGATTCTTGCTCTAACCACCTTTTGGCCATATCAGATTATGAGAGGAAGTTAAGGAGTAGGCCTCCTGAGTAAAGGAGGTGTGATTTTTTTTTTCTTTGAGGTGGGAGTATAGTTGGAACTAAATAAACTACGTGTGAATTTACCATATCAACTAAAATTTTGATCAAATGGTTTTTTTAAATTGTGTGGTACATATTTTATATATATTTATAGTTTCCCTTAAGGTTTTCTATACCAGAGTTGTTGATCTATTATTTCCTTATACTAATGTTAGGGATGATAAAAGCTATGAGATGAATCTAAGCAGTTAATTTTAATATCATGTGGAAATAGTTTTGTCTATGTTTTATTAAATGTCGAATGAATTGTGACTTTTACATTTTTTTTCTCTTTCATTTGTTCTTTTGGGCACTGATAAGTCTAACCATGTATCAGTTTATTATAATTCATGGCTAGTGCCATCTGGCTGTCGTTCTCCCTCTTTTGTAAAATCATCTTGTACTTGTGATTATTTATATATGGTTTTAAAATTACTTTTTGGAAACTCTTGAATAGTGCATTTATCCCACACAAACTAGTATATGTTGAGTAAGAATCATATTCTTTCTTTATTATCATTTATAAATGAAATATTTATATATATTTAGACATGCCAGAGCAAGGTAAAGTGGTATATGCTGGTAGTCCCAGCTACTCAGGAGGCTGAGGTGGGAGGATCCTGTGAGTCTCAGAATTGGAGGCTGCATTAAGCTGTGATGGCACCACTGCATTCCAGTCTGGAAGAGAGTGAGAGACTCCATCTTTTTAAACAGACAAAATCTGTAAAAGTGTAAATAGCCTTGAGCGTTGGGCTTAGGTTCACTAAACAAATGTTATTTTATATTCTCCTGTTGAATCAAGAGTTTTAAAGAGTACTTTCCCTGTGGGTACACTGTTGAGCAGCCTCAACATTTGTGAATATTTGTTCACTTCAAGTTTTTGTTTTTGGAATTTACCAAAACTTTAGCATATAAAGTTAGTAACTGGTTTTGGGTAGTACTATTTTGGTGGAAAGAATTGGGTAATTGTAAATAAAGGAGATTAATTTTTATTGTTCACCTGCAAAACTGCCTTTTGAAGACAATTTAAAAGGAGTTCTAAAAATATTTAAGCTCTAAAGGCATTATCTTTTCTGTATTCCCCAAACACTCTGTGAATCAATGTGGTATTTACTACACTTATGTTATCATTACATGTATATTTTACCTTTTTAGCTTCTGAGCATATTAGGGGCAGAAACTGCCTCATTCATCTTTGTATCGTTAAGGCCTAGCACATACCCACCTAGTAACAATAGAATCAATATGAAGCCTCCAAAATAATTGGGTTGGAGGACAGTAGTTTTTATATTAAATGTACTCATACCCACACATAAAATAGAATACTAAGGCTCATTACTTAGTTTCATATTTAATTTTTTTCTTAATTGTATAGCCATGCATATGTTGCTGCACTATAAACTAATCATAGGAGTATATAGCATTGTATCTGAAGCCATCAGGTGAGACTGAGGAGGAACACTTTAAGGTCCTTTGCCTTTTCACTGTCCTTTCCCTCCTTCCCTTGGTCTCCCCTTTTCTCTCCTTTTTCCATTCCTTCCCTCATTTCACTTGTCTAGTTAGTAATTTTCATACTTAATGAGCAGCTTCTGTGTACTTGGCCTTGGTTACATTATTATTTGATGCTGAATGAGACAGGGTTCCACATCAGGAGCACATTTTATTGAAATTACCTGGAGAAGAACGTTCAACTTATTGTACATAGAATAACGTGGGAGGAAAACAGTCTGTACTTGTTATAAGACCACTCTTCTTATGGCTACTTATTTTTATTGTTGAACTATATATATAATTTCTGTGACTCAAGTTGGCACTGAAGTAGTATCAACTAAGATTCTTAGCCCTGTTTGGCAGCCTTAAGCCATATAATGTATTTAAATATACCAGGTGAATATAAGTTGGAGAGTGGTTGACCCCATTCTAGTGAGATTGATCTCAGAGTCGAAGTTCCTTTCTATGGTAGTTCTGACAGTCTATTCTAAGATAGCTGGTATAAAACAGCTGATCTAAAACTGCATTTTCCACTTAACCCCCACTCTCCACATGAACCAGGATAATCTACACCTGAATTAGCTGAATTAAGCACTGATAACCTAGGCCTAAATTAAGCACTGATAACCTAGGCCTAAATTAAGCACTGAATTAGTTGTGTGATTGTGAAGAGTTACTGAACCAGTCTGCTACAACTAGACTTGAGAGATGATGTCACAACTCAGCCCCTTCATGGTGCTGATGGGTATTCTGGATCAAAGAGAGGGTTAGTGATTTTGCAAAGGTTATGCAGAAAGTTAGCGGCAATCTGGAATCTGTGATTTCTGACTCTTAAGTATTTTATTATGCTGCCTTTCCTATCATAAATATCTTTTTAGGATCAAATGAGATAAATGTCAGTACGCCTTGATAGGCAGAAAATATCACCAGATAAATTATTTCTACTTCCTTTCTTTGGTCAGGATGCATATGTGATTTTTTGCATTGCCATTTCTTAATTTTCAGAATCATGGAAGTCGAGGTCATTTTTTATGTTTTTTTGTGTCCCTGAGTTCAAACCAACACAGGTAGATTATCTAAGCATACTAGTAAGTAGACACCCTTTGAAACTTAAATTTTTTCCATTATGTATTTAGAAGATACATGGATAAATTGATTTTCAGACCAGGAATTTATTATATTCACTTATTGCAGGTAGTTTTCTGACTACTTTCTTGGGAGGCATATTAAGCTGATTAATATTTAGATAAAAGCATTCATTTATGATATTAACATTTTTTTCTGTGACTTTTAAGACAATTGTCAGCTGACAAATTTTATGGGTTAAAGAGTCAAGATTTGTTTAGTATCAGATCTTACCCTGATAGCTGTGTGACCTTGGGCAATTTTTAAAAACTTTTTTATTGTTTAACTTTGCATAATAATAGTGATTAAGCCAAAATTGACCTTGGACTGTGAACTCATTTACTCCCCACAGTAACCACATGACATAGGTGAGGAAATGAAGGCATGTAGTGGTTACACAACTAATGGTAAAGGTGAGATTTGAATTCAGCTAGTCCTAACTCCTAAGTCTGTAGTTTTTGAGCACTATGCTGCTGCCTTCTACTGCTTCATAAGTTGTTCTGAGGTGTATGATTTCCACAGCATTTTAGATTTTAAAATTGTGATTAAGATTTTATGGCCTAGAGATTAATTTAGGGAAAATTATAAATATATAATTGTCCTTCCTTCTAAACAGTTTTGGTAGCTTGTTAGAAATGAGAGAACTATAGGCCCTATCCCAGACACACTGGATCATAATCTGCATTTTAAGAAACTGTATTTAATATCCTTAAAGTTTGAGAAGTATTGCAGTAGATGATCTTGAGAGTTTCTTCCAATTCACAGTTGTGAGTGATTCTGGGACCAGTCAGCATGGATATCTCAATGTTGATTATTGTATTTAGCAAAGAAAATGGTACTATATTAAAGTAGCAGTTCCCAACCTCTGTGGCACCAGGGACCCCCAGTTTCATGGAAGACAATTTTTCCATGGCCTGCGAGGTGGAGGGGATGGTTTCAAGATGAAACTCTCCCACCTCAGATCATCAGGCATTAGTTAGATTATCATAAGGAATACTCAACCTAGAGCCCTCACATGCACAGTTCACAATAGGTTTCACGTTCCTATGAGAATCTAATGCTGCTGCTGCTCTGACAGGAGGCAGAGCTCAGGTGCTAATGCTCGCGGCATGCTCACCTCCTGCTGTGCGGCCCAGTTCCTAATGGTCTGCAGCCTGGGGGTTGGGGACTCCTGTATTAAAGAATTTTAAAAATGTAAATCACTGTCATATAGATTTGTCTGTATTCTTTGGATTCCATTATAGGACAACTCTTGAGATAATACTTGTTTGAATTTGTGAAAGGTTTCTTATATAGAAGAAAATTACCCTAAATTTTATCCTGTATCATTTTAGGAAATAATTAGAACCCAATTATTTTTATGTGGCATTAGATCAAATGTTTTTCCTAATTTATCTCACTAATAAGATTATAATGTCAGCCAGTTATACATATGAGAACACTTAGAATAACATAACTTGATTTTTGGACAATTCGCTATTCTGATGTTTCAATGAACAGTTTAACATTTGAAGTTAACTGTTGTAATAGATTAACTACCAAGCAAATTAGCACTGCACTTGCTTGATTAGAAAAGCCTAATTTTTGTAGTCTGTGGAATTTAAAAATTTCTCTCAAACTTAATTAAGGAAAGAATCTTTTTTTTCTAAAAAAAAAAAAAAAAAAAAAAACCATGACAGTAATGACTGTTTTTTCACTGTTAAATTATCACCTGGCACATTGCAGAAATTCACAGAATAGTTGTTGAATGAATGAATAGGACTTTGGTTTAGGTGATTTTGCTACTGTTTTCAAATGAATAATAAAACACCTGTTAGAATATGAAAAGTTGAGTTTTTAGAAAAATCAAGTATTTCCCCTTGTTGACAAATTGGTGCATGAATCTTCTCCATATCAACTCATTTTGACTCTTTTTTGAAAATTTCTTTAATTGTGAAAGATATGATTTGTACATAAGAGAGAATAAAACATTTATACAGTTTAGTCCTAACAACTGGTTAAAAAATAGAATACTGGGGGATGCAGAGCAGGATGGCCAAATAGAAGCCTCCACTGATTGTCCTCTCCACAGGAACAACAAATTGAACAACTATCCACATATAAAGCACCTTCATAAGAACCAAAAATCAGGGACTGATCACAGTAGCTGGTTTTAACTTCATATTGCTGCAAGAGGCACTGAAGATGGTAGGAAGGACAATATTGAATTGTCAATGCCACCCCTCCCTCATCCCCTGGCAGAAGCTGAGTGGTGCAGAGAGAAAATCTGTGCACTTAGGGGAGGGAGAGCACAGTGATTATGGGACTTTGCATTGGAACTCAGTGCTGCCCTGTCACAGTGGAAAGCACCACTGGGCAGAACCCAGCCAGAGCCTATGGATGAAGCATTTGGACCAGTCCTAGGCAGAGGGAATTGCCCATCCCAGTGGTTGGAACCTGAGTCCAGCAACCCTTGCCACTGCTGGCTAATGTGCTCGGGGGTCCTAAGTAAACTTGAAAGGCAGGCTAGGCCACAAGGAGTGCAATTCCTGGGCGAGTCCTGGTGCTGTGCTGGGTTTGGAGCCACCGCACCACCCAGTGAGACACCAGCTGGGGCGACGAAGAGAGCACTTGCACCACCCTTCCTCCCACCCCAAGTAGTGCAGCTTGCAGGTCCGGGAAAGACTCCTTCTCTCTGCTTGAGAAGAGGAGAGGGAAAAGTGAAGAGGATTCTGTTTTGCAACTTGGATACCAGCTTAGCCACAGTAGGACAGGGCACCAGGCAGAGTCCTGAGGCCCCTGTTCCAGGCCCTACCTCCCAGACCGCATTTCTAGACACACCTTTGGCCAGAAGGGAACCTACTGCTTTGAAGGGAAGGACCTAGTCCGGGCAAGATTGATTGCCTGCTGACTAAAGAGCCCTTGGTCCCTGAATAATCAGTAGCAGTAGGTACCCAGGCAGTACTTTCCCTGGGCCTTGGGTGAGATTCAGAGACATGCTGGCTTTAGATGTGACCTAGTACATTTCCAGTTGTGGTAACTATGCGGGGGGACTTCTTCTGTTTGAGAAAAGGAGAGGGAAGAGTGAGGGGACTTTGTGTTGCACCTTAGCTACCAGCTTGGTTACAGTGGAATAGAGCACCAAGTGGGCTCTTGGGGTCCCTGATTCTAGGCCTTGGCTCTTGTATAGCATCTCATGACCTACCCTGAGCCAGAGGGGAGCCCATTGCCCTGAAGGGAGAGTCCCAGGCCTGGCAGCATTCACCACAGCTGACAGAAGAGCCCTTGGTCCTTAATGAACGTTGGTAGCCAGGCAGTACTTGCCATGGGCCTGGGGACTGTGCTTGCTGTAGGGAGAGACTCCTCTACTTGTGGAAAGGGGAGGGAAGAATGGGAAGGACTTCATCTTGTGGCTTGGGTGCTAGCCCACCTGCAGTAGAGTAGAGCAGCAGGTAGATTCCTGAGGTTTCCACCTCCAGACCCTGGCTTCCAGAAGCATCTCTTGACCTGCCCAGGAATGGGAGAAACTCTCCACCTTGAAGGGAAGGACACAAGCCTATCTGGCTTCACTGCCTGTAGATTGTAGAGTCCTAGGGCTTCAAGTGAACATAGGCAGTGGCCAGGCCATGGTTACCACAGGCCTCGGGTGTGACCCAGTGCTTTGTTGACTTCAGGTATGATCCAGTGCCATCACAGTGGAGGTAGCAACAGGGTTGCTTGTGTCACCCCTCTCCCAGCTCCACACAACTCAGCAGAGAGACTGACTCTGTTTGGGAGAATGTAAGGGAAGAAAGCAAGAGTTTCTGCCTGGTAATTTAGATAATTCTTCCACATCTTATTTAGGACCATAAAGGCAATACCACTACAAGTCTTTCAGAGCCACAACATTAGTAGGCTTAGGGTGCCTCTAATGTATATATGGCTACAGTTACTAGAAACATAGATCACAACACCCAAGTTCCTTTGAATACCTGGAAAGCCTTCCCAAGAAGGACTGGGACAAACAAGCCCAGACTGTAAAGACTGCAATAAATGCCTAACTCTTCAATGTCCAGACATCAGTGAACATCCACAAGCATCAAGACCATTCAGGAAAACATTGGCCTCACCAAATGGACTAAATAAGACACCACAGACCAATCCTGGAGACAGAGATATGTGTCCTTTTGGGTGGAAAAATCAGAATAGTTGTTTTGAGGAAGTACAACAAAATTCAAGATAATACAGAGAAGGAATTCAGAATCTTATCAGATAAATTTAACAAAGAGATTAAAATAATAAATAGAATCAAGCACAAATCTTGGAGTTGAAAAATGCAGTTGACCTACTGACGAATGCATCAGAATTTCTTAACAGAATTGATCAAGCAGAAGAAGGAATGAGTGAACTTGAAGACAGGCTAATTGAAAATACACAGAGGAGAAAAAAGAATAAAAAGGAATGAGGCACAACTACAAGATCTAGAAAATAGCCTCAAAAGGGCAAATTTAAGAGTTATTGTCCTTAAAGAGGAGGTAGAGAGAGAGTTAGGCGTAGAAAATTTATTCAGATAGATAATAACAGAGAGCCTCTCAAACCTAGTAAAAGATATCAATATTAAAATACAAGAAGGTTATAGAACACTGAGCAGATTTAACCCAAGACTACCTCAAGATACTTAATAATCAAACTCTCAAAGGTCAAGGATGAAGAAAGGATCCTAAAAGCAGCAAGAGAAAAAGAAAAAAACATGGAATGGTGCTCCAGTACATTTGCCAGCAGACTTCTCAGTGGAAGTTGTACAGGCCAGGAGAGAGTGGCATGCCATATTTTAGTGTGGATTAGGAACTTCAGCAAAGTATTATCAGAGGAACTGAGTGTCTCTGTACTTTATTCTAAATAACTATGTCCTACTTACCCGCTCTTAGAAGGAAGTCAGAGGACACTTCTGTAGGTGAAATAGTATTCCCCCCTGATTCAGAGAGAAGAGAGCATGGAGGCAGAGCAGAAACTTCGTTAGCAGGCATTCTGTCCTTTGGTTAAAAGATAAAAGTGGCCAAGATGTGGAAAAAGGATAATAAAACACAAAGGAATAAGAGTTGTATAACTCTGAGGGACGTAAAAGAAGGTATGATTAATGGAAAAATGTCATTTTGGGGTAGGAAGACTCAGTATTATATGTCTCCCTAAATAAATCTTATCCAGGATTTCTGTTTATTTGTCATCTAATCATTTAGAGTTGCTTAGACCAGCCCTACACAGTTGCTTTATTTTTCTCCATAGCACTTATCCCCGTGTGATATAACTATATATTTACTTAATTTTCTTTTTCCCCACTTCTGGAATGTAAACTTATGAAGGTATGTGAACTTATGTGGGTATGCTTGTGTTTCTTTCCTTACTAGAATGTAGATTTATGGGGGTATGTTTTATCCCTTATGGTATCCCCACTACCTTGAGCTGTGCTTGGCACGTAGGAAGCAATGACTGGTGAGTGAATGAATGAATAAATAAAGCCCTCCTTTCTCTCATAATCCACAGCACTTACTGTCTGTTCTGTAGTTTTTTGGTCATTAATTTTGTTCAGTTTAGCATCTTATAATGCTTTCTATTATTTTCTTTTGGTTCAGTATCTAATTGTTTCATTCCTATAGGAGATTCTTCTCTATGCTCCTTGACGGCATGAGTGGGACAAATGCTTCCTTTGTGTACTACCTCACAGTGCAAGGCGAATGGATGTAGGAACTTGTTGAATTGAACACATGTATTTATTCATAATGACTTAAGTTGCCAAATTCTAGTTTGCCTTTAATAAAAGGCGTTTTTTTTTTAATTGGCTAAAACAGTATAATTCTGTATGAAATAGGTTTTTTTTTTAATGTATGGATACTTTTTGGTGATGTTTTGTTGAGCTCATAGTAAATTTCGGTAACTGGAAGTTGGAACTTTTGTAATTATAATTGTATGAGTTTCTATACGTAATTTGAGTAAAATAATATCACAATTTTCAATGAGATAATTTCTTACCTTGAAATTTAAATTTCTAATAAAATGTCTCCTTATGCTGTAGTTATATTGGGAGCTAGTTTCAAGATGAAATACTAATTCTAAGTAAGTATAACTTTGTAGCCTACTTATCCTTTTGTATATGCATTTGCAAATATAAATGTACAGATGTTTTTGTACATACTTTGTTGTATTTCTCATGCTAGGATTTCATTTAACAGTTTGTATAACTATTTCTGTCCTGTACCTTTGCATTGCCACTAGGATTTTTTAAAAAAGTAATTGCAGATGCTCTGTAAATCTCTCTATACATATAAATTTTGTATATTGTTTTGTGGAGATAAATTTTCAAGTATACACTTCACATTTTCAAAAGTTACTGAAATAATACCATGAATGTTTACAAGAAGAAATTTAAAACTATGTAAAAGTTTTGTTGGTTCTTTTCTAATTCATGTGGAGAATTATTTACTAATTTACTTATATTTTTTCTGTATTTCAGGCCAGTCTATCCATATGGGGATGGGGAAGCCTTGGCATTGTCCTTTTTCTGATAACCTTTGGACCCTTTGTAATATTTTATTTGACATTTTATATCCTCTGCTTTGTGGGTGGGTAAGTATACTCAATTATAATTTTATAATTCATGTGTCATATCTTGTTAAAATGGAAACAAATGACTGAGAAACGGGAGTATGATTTATTTGTGAATGCCATTTTTAATAAATTGCTTTTACTAAAGTTAAAAAAATAAGGATACCCATAAAAATAAAAACAGTGATTGTCATTATTTGTATCAGAAATATGGGTAGTCCTTCAATAATAAGATGTCCATTTCCAAAGGTATGAACTTTTTTTGGTGATAATGTGTAAAGTTTAAAAAATTTTTCAAATTCCTTTTGGTGGTGTTTCTCCTTTAAAGTTGAAATTTTCTTTTGCATTATGTTAATAAGTAAGTTAAATTGAGACTGCACATGAAGTTTTACATTATAGAAATTGTGATTAGACTTCAAACAAATGTTAATTTTTTCCTTTAATGAATGTTGTCATTTCGGTCTAGAAAATTCAAATACCTGATTTTGCAGTTTTCTCTTCATAGTTATTTGGTGTACGTTTATGTTTTCCCTTAAGTTGATAAACCTTTACAAGAGAGGTTTCAGTCATAATTTATTGTAGCTTTGTATGCAGAGCATTTGGTATCAGACACGAATTACAAGGAAATATTAGAAAATATATAGACAAGGGATGTTTGTTAGACACTGTTACCAAAATAGCTTAGTTGAAATGAGTCTTTTGTTGTTAATGTGTTTGTATGTATGTTTATAATATGACGTATTTATGTAGTTAGTTGTGGAATGAACACTGATTTCTTTCTGAAAAATCTTTTGAGACCCCAGATATTTGGAGGAGTTTTTTGAGCCTATAGGTTTGGAGGATTTAGCTGAATTGAATAGCATATATAAACAGTAGCTTGAGAAACTGTATAGGACACTGAAGGGTTAGCTTCTAAATATATCTATCACTTTTTTGGGGATACAGATTTGATAGTCATGTTGTAGTCTTTCTATAGGGAGCATATGCTTGAACAAGTGAGAATTTCTTTAATTGAGCAGCTATGTCAAGGACTCTCCATAAAACTGTATTTTATGTTAGATTTAGTATTTTCATATCTATGGCCTAGATACGATACTGTGTACTGAAACATTTAAACTTATTTCAGCCATAAGAGTCTGATAATGGAGTTCAGAATATCTTTATTGATGATAAAGATGACTGAAGATGATAAAGATGATTGAAGATACTACAGATCTGCAGCCAAATGGGTTTCCTAATTATACTTCTCAGTCACAGTTAAGGCGACAGCATGGCTGAATAGTGACATGGTTGCACCTCTCCCTCTCAGAGTCGAGGCTGCATTTATTAATTGGAAGGGAAATTGTCTTGACATTTTTTTTTGAAAGGTAGAAATTTCTTCTAATTTCACTAATTGTATTAGCCCTTGTAAGATTGAAGGAAAAGGATTTCAGAGTATTTCCCAATACTTTGTCAAGGGAGGATATTGCAGCTTTATAGGCTAAGGTAGGAGCCCTTGGAAGGTGGGTAAGTGAATAATTATTTCTTTTTTTACTCAACTGCTCCAAATAAATTTAGGAAAAAGAGAAGAGTAATCAGTTTATTAATTTTTTAAGTTTTTAATCTTTAATAAAACCAGATCCTGCACAAAGTTTATTCATTTTTAAAGTCATGAGAACCTTCATTGTTCCTTTTTTAAATGTTGTAGTTTATCAAGGAATAATTTCAAAAAATCTTTTGGATGCTTACAAAGTTCTGTAAAAATTTGGAGATAAGGTGGGATACTAGAGGATAATGGGTACTAAAAAACTCTAGAGAATATTAAGAGTCACATGGTAGGGTCTGTGGAATCCTCTCTTGTTTTTCTAATAAAACTTAAGTTTTTAACTTGCATAGTTTATTCTTGTCAAGTGTTGATAATGTCTATATTTTGCTTATAGTCAAAGTTAACTCCTTATTTTTTAATATAAAGAATGCTTTTGGAAAGAAAAACACTTGGGGATTTTTCGTTTTTGTTGTTGTAGGATACTTTCATCTTACTGCATTATGGTTATTTTGTGGCATTCTGTTGTATTTGTTGGGTTATATAATTAATTTATGGCACCCAACTACAGTTTAAATTATTACTTAAACTTTACAGCTGAAACTACTATTTAGGTTCTTTTAAAATCAGACTGCTCTTTATCTTGTCTTCCTATCGTTACACACTTGTGGGCAAAAATTAATGTCTTATCAGTCTGTTTCTTGATGATGTTTTTAATAACACAGTGTTAATATAAACATTTTATTTTGTCTATAAATATGCTTAATAACCAGGTAAAACTGAAATAGAGGGCCAACTTGAATCTTAATAATAATATCAGATATAACACAGATAGATGACATTTAGCAGTAATTCTGAGACCAGCCTTTTACAAATAACAAAAACAGAATTAATGACTTAAACTGATTTGACTTTATCCATGTTCTCAACCCCCAACCCCTGCTTTTGTGATACTTGTACTGAGGACTAGTGAGAGGGCAGGTAGACACAAAAATTGGAGGACTTTGAGAATCTTCCTTTCAGTAGTTGAGACTGACAATATTTAATGTTTTACTGTTCCCTTCCTGTCATTACAGTCTTTGAATCATTGTAACATTACTATAAGATCATTATTAGATTAAATGTTTTTTGATGGATTTCCAACACTTTGCTTTATTGGTAAATTTAAAATCTATGAAATATTGATAATATTTAGTCAATACTTAGAGTGAAGTAGTTCTAAATCACCATTTATCTTCCTTGATCCTGTAATTATTTTTCAAAATAATTAACTTTTTTTGGGATACATTTATATTTTCTTAATTCCAGCCTTATTTTAAACAAATCATAGATTAGATTTTTTTTTCCCTAAATAGCCTTTATGTATTCTGTATTCATACTGGAAAGTTATAATAATGTAATACCTCACGTGAATTGGTTAACAGAACTATAGAATTCTGTCATTTAGCTACATATTTAGATTCATTTGTCTTTATCCATGGTTATTAGCTAGCCTACTTGTTTAATAAGGGCTGATTTTTCTTTTCTTTTTTTTTTTGAGGCGAGTCTTACTCTGTCGCTAGAGTGCAGTGGCGCGATCTCGGCTCACTGCATCCTCTGCCTCCCCGGTTCAAGCAATTTTCCTACCTCAGCCTCCTGAGTAGCTGGGATTACAGGTGCATGTCACCACACCCAGCTAATTTTTGTGTTTTTAGTAGAGACGGGGTTTCACCATGTTGGTCAGGGTGGTCTCGATCTCCTGACCTCAGATGAGCCACCTGCCTCGGCCTCCCAAGGTGCTGGGATTACAGGTGTGAGCCACTGTGCTCAGCCTGATTTTTTTTTAAGTTTGAAAAATGTCACTTAAGTTTTTTTTTTTTTTTCGAGACAGTCTTGATCTGTCACCCAGGCTCAAGTGCAGTGGCGTGATCTCAGTTCACTGCAATCTCTGCCTCCCAGGTTCCAGCGATTCTCCTGCCTCAGCCTCCCAAGTAGCTGGGACTACAGGTGCAAGCCACCACCCTGGCTAATTTTTGTATTTTTAGTAGAGACGGGGTTTCACCATGTTGGTCAAGCTGGTCTCGAACTCCTGACCTTGTGATCCTCCTGTCTTGGCCTCCCAAAGTGCTGGGATTACAGGCATGAGCCACCACACCTGGCCTTGTCACAAGATTCTTTAGGAAATATATTGGATTAAAACTTTAAAAAGTATTATTGTATAATTCACAAAATGTTCATAGTTGTTTTAAACTTCAGAACCTAATACAATCTGTCAATTTCTTGCTTTGCCAAAGTCACAAATTGACTTTTTAGTAAATGATAAGCCATCTGTGAACTCTGGAAAATATACTTGGTAGTAGATTCATTAAATTATAAGGAAATTTTGTTTTTATATTTGTGATTAAATTTTTCTTTCTAGGGGTTTAGTGGTTACTCTCCTGTTTGGAAAAACAAACTCAGAGAAGTACCTAGAACAGTGTGAACACTCATTTCTTCCTCCAACATCACCTGGGGTTCCTAAGGTAAATCGTTTGAGGGAATATAAAACCTCAAAGTCCAGTTCTTTGCAATGATAATAGAGTAATCATCTGTATATATAGCGTGACAAATTTTCGTATAGTTTACTAATGCTCACTGGGAATTTATGTGAGATTGTCTAATTATACTTAGAAAATATATTTTAAAAGGCCATCTTAAAAACTTTCTTAGTGTTAGATTTAAAAAGTGGGAATACAAACTTGAGAAAACGATAGAAATTGGTTAGTTTATTTTGGGTATTTTTCCTGCTGTCTTATCATAGTATTTCAAAGCATCATGCATATGATTTTTAACAATGTCAATGAGTATTCTGGTTTGAATGAAATAAATTGCAGAGGAATCAGAGGAAAAAATGGATACTTTTCATTACTTTGAAAAATACAGCTTGTAATTAGATTATGCAGTATCTATAATTTTAATAATTCAGGCCTAATTTTTATCATCTTGAATGGTGCTATTATTTTTTCAGTATCATACTCTATAAATAAAATTGGAATTGTGTAAGTTTCAGATTGTAGTGCCTTCAATTCTTGTGCAGTTGGGTTGGTTTCATTTTGTATGAAGAGAGGCAGATGGCCTGGAGTTGATGCTAATAACAACTTTCTTTACAGTTATTAATTTATCTGTTACATGCTAAGGTGCAGGAGATGTAGAAGTAAATAATGTCCAATATTATTTTACATTAATAAAAGAATTTCACTCTATTCCACTGACTTTTATATTGATAAACAAATTTTTTAATACTTAAACTTTTTTATAATCTGAAACCTTTCTCTCCTTTAGGACTCATATTAATATGTATTTTTTTTTTTTTACTTATAAGTCTTAGGAAATTAACCTTTCCTTTTTTGAACCATTTCTTAGCTATTTATAGTGTACTTCATTTGAGTGGCATATACAGAGAATAGGAAATATTTTAAGAATTAAGATCCTTAACAGTAATAAATTATATTCAAGAATGGTTAAGTCTTTATAATCCATTTTTAATAGATAGTATAAAACAATGGGTTTTATTTGCTATTTCTAAAATATGATTTCTAAGTATGTCTTATGAAAAAATATCCGTGGTTTCATATTATAACTTTGAAGCATGTATTTTTAATATAGATATCTATGTCTATATCTGTATCTATGTTTATATATATTTATGGTTTGTTTTTTTAAGAATCTCCCACTACCTTTTCCCCAATTTTCAGGCCACTGATCTTTCTGAACACAAAAAAGTAGAGAAGTACATTTTCTTAAGTTGCCAAAACTATCCCTACATAAAATCCGTTTAAAAATTAATTATTTTGCAGCTGGTATACTGTTTTGGGCTGGGAAAGGGGAGGGGCAAGAGGGAGAGTGTCCAGTAAAGACAGTTTGACTCACATGAAACACTAATTTTATAGTTGTAGAGTTTCATTGAAATATGGCAGCAGCATACCTGTACATTTGCAGTTTTCCCACATTCTAAATAATTTTTGCTGATTAAATTTTTGAGGATAATCATTTTTTTGGGAGTGTCTAATTTTGTTAACTTGAGAAATAGTGTTTGGCTTATAGAGTAGCACCTCAAATAAGGTTATTTATTTACTTGAGGATAATGAAGGGATGTTACATTGAGTATTCAACTGGAATTAAACTGGAGAGATTTTACATCAGAAAACTACTCAGTAAGATATTTTGATTTCCTTTAAGTGCTTAGAAGAAATGAAACGGGAAGCCAGGACTATTAAGATTGATAGAAGATTGACGGGTGCCAATATAATTGATGAACCTCTCCAGCAAGTGAGTTTCAGCGTGTGGTATTTGAATTCTATATATTGTGTTCTAGGTATATTTCTTTTGAAGATACCAGGAAATACTTTTTGCTCTTTAAATAATATCCTGGAATTTCTTAATGTTATCCTTGAATTTTATACTTGAAGATGCTTCCTTATTTATTAACTCACTTCTAATGAGGTGGTTTACTTTATGTAAAAGCCTTTCGATTGAATTTGGATTTAGAAAAAAAGTTGTTATTGACATTTGATAGTGTTTCTTAAAATTTTACAGTTAAAGTGTTACTCTTTCGTTGATGAACAAGCTTAGTGGTGTGGTAAATCAGACTTTTTTTCCTACTTGTTACCTTTTAAAAAATGGAAAAGAAATATCCGATGCAAAAACATTAAAAAATTAGAGATAGGTAAAAAAACTATGCCCCCTGAAATATTTTTCATTGATGTTTGATTATATGATTATAAAAATGTGTACTTTAGAATTTTAACATTTATTATTATTACTAATATTTAGTTTATCTGATTTGTAAAAATTATACATTGAGTTGTATTATGTACTATTTATTGTCTGAATACTGTTGGCAGTATCAAAGGTATTAGTAGAAATAAGTGAACTCCTGTATCATTTTTATAATTAGACTGCAATGGATCTGATGATATAATCTTTAAAAAAACTTTTTTTGTGGAATTATAGTCTCTATTATTTTACATCTCATTCCATTAAACTGATTGATATTATTTATTAGATTATAGCATGGAAAGTTTCTTTTTTTTCTGCAAACCCTGTCTTTACCTGGATTTATGTGGGACTTGGCCATAGATAGTGTTTTATTTTATTTTTTTTTTTAAATCTAGGCAGTAGGTAAGTTGGGATACCAGAATAATTTAAAAATGTTTGAAATGGTTTTTAGTATGTTGATGTTTTTGTAATGAGGGCAGGTATTTACCACCATAAATTAATACGTAGAGAGTAAATATAAATTGGTAGATACAGCATACTTTTTTAGTTTACCACTGTAACTTTTTAAATCCTAAAATGTTGTAATTTTTTTTCCAATATTTTTGTTATAGGTTATCCAGTTTTCCTTGAGGGATTATGTCCAGTATTGGTATTATACACTAAGCGATGATGAATCTTTTCTTCTTGAAATTAGGCAGACTCTTCAAAACGCACTCATTCAGTTTGCTACTAGGTAAGGACACGACATTGTATTTATGCAGAAAAATTTAGATGTATGGTTTGTACCAGTAAGGAAAACAACTTTTAAGGGGAGGAATTGTTTATTAAAAGGTAAGTAGAACAGCAGATTATTACTGTGGGATAACTCCAAGATTTTACAACTAGAGCTCTTAAAACCTTTAAATTACCCCAGATTTTAGGTTTTTACAGAATGTTATTTTGATTAAGCCCTGCTTTCTAAGTCTGTTTGGTAGTTTTTTCTTTAGGGTCCAAATCAGGTGACTTTTCAAATCTGTTACCCCACTTATTGCTACTTCCCCCCTCCCCCTTCCCTAGACCCTCTGTTTTATGTGAGTGCTATGAAAATAGATTAGTTTCAGTGTAACTGCTCTTCTCCACATAGTTTTGCTGTAACCCTTCTCCTAATTATGACACATATCTATTGGAAGTCCTCTTGGACGAGAAGGGACCAAAGGAACATAAGTCAGTGGAAAATATTCAAGTTTATATTTTTCAGAAAAGAAGTATATTTTGGTGAGTTTGTTTTAACAAACTTTTTTTGTCAGATATACTAAAATTCTTACTTTACAAACCAGCTATATACTGCTTCCCATATGATGAAAGTGTTTTGACTTCTATTCTTGTACTTAAACTGCTTGATTTTTTTTGATGGGAGGCTATTTCACACCTGTTTAAATTATGTTTACTTTCATTTTTATTTTTGAAGGCTTTTTTTCCCCTCCATCCTTGATGTCTAACTTTTTGAAAGCCTTTTAATGGGCAACGTTATGTGAAAGGGAATACTTGTGTTCTAGAAATTATTTATTTTTGAAAGAAAGATTTTATGTTTGGATGAGTTTGTAGATTTTTTTTTTTTATTCCATTAAAATATGTTGCTACCATCACACGCAAAGATTGCCCTGCTAGGTATTTCCAGCCATGCTGCCCTCTCAGGCCCTTTCCTCTATCTCCATTGATTATAAAGCTTTAGATTTGGAGTTGGCTAGAGGAAGGGCATTGGATGTGTTTCCCAACCTCATTGGGGAGCCTGGCACAAGTTTTATGATTTGAACAATAATTGTTACAGAGATAGATTTGTACTCCTCATCCCTCGTGATTAGGAGCAAGAATTTACAAAGTAGCCAGCCAGAATTACAGATGCAGACTCACTGTGGAACACAGAACATATAATTGGTATAATCAAAGAAAGTCAGAATTTGAATTTAATCTCTTTTATTTCATATGCACCATTATTGAGTGTTAGGTATTCTTTCAGATAACTCTTCTAAATATTTTTTATTGCTTTCTATAGCAACACTATCCTGATGACTTTTTTTTTCTTTGAAAGGGTGAGAATAGGAAGAATTCATTATTCTTGTGCCTGACTATTGAAAAATATATAAAAATGTGTAACACATTTTAGACCTGGGAAGAGATTTGAACTAGTAATCTGAAAACTTGAGTTTGCATTCTAGCTCCACCTCTAGCTATGGGACTGTGAGCAAGTGTCTTTAAACTCTGAACCTTGGTTTTTCTCATATGTAAAATAAGTGTAATAATAACTGCCCTGTTCTGTGTTCCTCTCAGGATAATTGTCAGGATCAAAATTCATCTTATTCAACTAATATTTTGGGCATACTTTGTACCAACCAGATGCTGGGGATACAGCAGTGAATAAAACAAAGTCCCTGCTCAGTGGAGTGAAATGAAATACCTGTGACAGTGTTTTGAAAATTGTGAAGGAATTTAGAAATTTAAGTTTTTATGCCATCCAACACCCATAATTTTACTGATGAGGAAGCTAAGGTCCAGAAAGGTAAAGTGGTTAGTCTAATGTTATCTAGTGAGTTAGAATCAAATTGTTCTTAAGTTTGGTATTTTTTCTCCTACCCAATTAAATATTTTATAATCTAGGTTATTTATCTTAGTTTCCTGCTCTTCTTTCCTGTTATTGCAATACTTTCCCTGTTTTTGATCCCCTAGTCACCTTTCTTTTCACTGTAGGTATTAAGTTTTTTTTTCTTTTGAAAACATTCAGTGCTATCAAGCTTAGTGAAAAAGCAAGGTTTTTTCCATCCTACACTGATCTAAATTTATATCTTTGCTTGACCATTTACCTTAAATTTCTGGAAAATTAAAACAATACAGATAATAACTACTTTAGAGGCTGCTTTGAGGCTAAAAAATGGTATCAAATAAAGTTCTTAGCGTGCAGTAAAACTCATTAATTGTTGGTTTGTTCCTTCTCTGTTAATGACTTTCCTACATTCCCTTTTTCTATTACTACACAAATATATGACTTACTAGAGGCTCCATGACTTCCGGTGCCAATATCAGGAAGATTAGTCTGTTTACAATCATTCATATACTTCAGAAAGCCTTATTCTGTGCTGTCTGCTGTATACTGTGAAACATATGATAGCAGCAAAAACTATCACCTCTATTCTTTAACTTACAGTCCTTTATAGGGCTCTTAACAGGGGCCCACAAACCTGGAAAAAAACTGTGGTTTTTTTTTTTTTCCTATCCAGTGGTTTCATAGGTTTGATTTCTTTAAAGGGTCATGAACTCAGAAAATGTTTAGAACCCATGATTTCTAGTGTTTGTATTTATTCATCAACTTTGAGAAACAATTAGAGAATGTCACTGTAAAATGAAGTGCTTAATTTTGAAAGATGGGAAGAAAATAATGTATGTTTTGAGTCCGAAGCTGTTGATTTGAGCTTAGCTCTATTACTTCTTAAGCTCTTGGCCTTGAGTGGACAAAACACATACATTTTTTGTCTGGAGATGATAACTTATATCTCCTTATGAGGTGGTTGTTAGGATTAAATGACATCATGTGTGGGAGAGTGCTTTGTAGTCATAACATCTTATTTAGTATTAGTACTTGTTATTCCAGTACCAGCTTGGGGAAGGAAACTTTCCTCCAGCACCCTTGAGTTCTCCTTCTCTGTGGAATTTGGGTGTGGATTAGACGGGAGCCTTAGGGAATGAATCCTGGATAACCCATGTATTTTTATTCACCCTCTAAATAAGATATTATAGTGTGATGCAGACAGCCTTGGCCTGTGTCAGAAAATCTATAATTCTATCTCTACTGTTAAGTTTTAGTGTATCGAAAAGAAAATTTTTAATGTCTCTGTAAAATAGTAATAGTAATTCTTGTAGCAAACTTAGAGTTGTAAGGGGAAAATGAGATGATGTGGGTGAAACATTTAGTAAAGTATTTGCCAACCAGTAAATGACATTTTTAGCAAATCACTTGACTCTGTGCCTCTATAAGCTGGCACATAGTAAGTGTTCAGTAAAGTTAACTTCTCTGTTATTATTGTTGCTATTATGTTCCTAGGTTGTGTACACAGATTCTTTGACCCTGTCTTAGCTCTTTTTTTTTTTTTTTTGTAGAGCAAGGGAGGTGGAGAGGGCAAAATTAAGGCACATGAAACATAGAGAAATAAAACAATCATTTCTGTGGTATTGAGAGCGGTTTGTCATGTAGCGATAGAGTGAACCACAGTAGCTGATGAAGACCTGAACGGAGTTGAGACCAAAACTGGTTTTCAAGAATGGGTTATTTGGATAGATAGAGAGGAAGGACATGTTAGGAAATAAGAATAGTATGAGCAAATTTCTAAAAAAGAAGATAAGGATAGTGTAGTAGAAACTATAACAAGCAACCTTGTTGTTGATCTTGAAAGTGAAGTGTGGGTGGTAAATCCCTCCATCATTGTTCCCCTTAACCCAAGATTAGCAGAAAGTACATAATATATTCTTTTTTTTTTTGAGACGGAGTCTCACTCTGTCACCCAGGCTGGAGTGCAGTGGCATGATCGGTGGAGAGCAGTGGCACGATCTCGGCTCACTGCAACCTCTGCATCCCAGGTTCAAGCAATTCTTCTGCCCCAGCCTCCTTAGTAGCTGATATTATAAGCGCACGCCACTACACCCGACTAATTTTTGTATTTTTAGTAGAGACGGGGTTTCACCATGTTGGTCAGGCTGGCCTCGAACTCCTGACCTTGTGATCCGCCCCCCTCAGCCTCCCAAAGTGCTGGGATTACAGGCGTGAGTCACTGTGCCCCCCAGCGAAAGTAGGTATATGCTAATGCCACTGTGTTCCTAACTGAAGGATCTTCCTGTAGAGGGAGGAGGGATAGATACATAGGTTTCAGGATTCGCTGGCTGTGATACTAATGATATAGTATCACAGGGAATGATAGGGAATGTGTTCTTGAAGTTTTACCAATTTTCTTACTACCTTTTGCCATAGAAATAATGAAAATAAATGGTATATCCCTACACTTGTTAAAAGGCAAACAAAACTCAAATAGTGGACATTTGCAACAAAGTTTTATCCTTTTTTTTGTTTTACCATTTTATATTCTTTGCTATATGAAATTTGGGTAAAAACTGACATTACTTGGAAAGACAGTTATTATATTTATTACAGTACAGCAAAAACAATTAGAAACTAATTTAAAATTAGAAATTTTATCTAAATATTTAAAAGAAGGGGAAATAGTTAATGTTTTTTGTTTTTGTTTTGAGGCAGACTCTTGTTCTGTCACCTAGGCTGGAGTGCAGTGGCACGATCTCGGCTCACTGCAGTTTCCGCCTCACAGGTTCAAGCGATTCTCCTGTCTCAGATTCCTGAGTAGCTGGGATTACAGGTGCACGCTGCCACTCCCGGCTAATTTTTTGTATTCTAGTAGAGACGGGGTTTCACCACATTGCCTAGGCTGGTCTGGAGCTCCTGAGCTCAGGCAATCCACTGGCCTCAGCCTCCCAAAGTGCTGGGATTACAGGTGTGAGCCACCACACCCAGCCTAACGTTTTTATAATCTGTAGAATAGACCTGGGGTAATAGTTCATTATTAACTGATACAATTCACAAACTATACAGTTCACCCACTTAAAGTCAGTAGCTTTAGTTAAGCATTGTACAGCTTTCATCACAATAAATTTAAGAACATTTTAATGACTTCACAAAGAAACCTTATATCCATTGTCAGTCACTTCTGCGTTTCCCCAAGCTTCTAGCTCTAGGTAACCACTAATCTTTTTTTTTTTTTTTTGTCTCTATGGATTTGCCTATTCTGAGCATTTTATATGAATGAAATAATATATGTGGTCTTTTTTCCTGTTTCTTTTACTTAACATTATGTTTTCAAGGTTCATTCATGTTGTGGCATAAATTAGTGCTTATTCTTTTTTATTGCTGAATAATATTCCGTTGAACACATACCACATTTGTTTTTCATCAGTAAATGGGCATTTAGGTTGTTTCTAGTCTTTGAATCATATGAATAATGCTACTATGAGTATTCATGTACAAGTTTTTGAGGGACAAATGTTTCCATTTCTCTTGGATATATACCTAGGAATATAATTTCTGGATTGTATGATCAGTCTTTTGAGGAACTGCAAACTTTTTCATAGTGGCTGTATTTTGTTACGTTTCCACCAGCAGTGTATGAAGGCTCCTCTTTGACCAACACTTAAGTTATTATTGTCTGTCTTTTTGTTACCATCTTAGTGAGTGTGAAGTAGTATTACATTATCGTTTGAATCTGCATTTCCCTGATAGCTAGTGATATCGAGCATCTTTTCATGTGCTTATTGGTCATTTGTATATTTTCTATAGATATGTGATTTGTTCTACAGATAGATGGTTTGTTTTCAATCATACTTTTTTCCCAGTGTCTATGAAAAATGAAATGTTCATAGACCCAATGGGAGCATATTAAAATGTGTGGAAAAAACATGGAAGTCACAAGTGGGAACTCTATTAACAATAATTTATTGGGTATTTACTGTTCCATCGTGTACAAACCATGGTAGTAAGAATTTGTTTCCAGATAGTGGCTGCCTATACAAAATTGTTATCTATAGTTGAAAAAACAATTCTTATGTTTTCGTTCATAAGAACACAAAGAATAGAAAAGAAAAATGGCAAATAAATTAACTTTTTAAAAAGTCATCTTAGGTATCTTTATTACTGACAACCAAATGTTTCTGTTTCTGGCTGTAAAGTAATATACACCTATTTTGTAAAATGTAATTTTCTTCTTTAGATTTTCTGAATTAGCTATTTTCAGCCATAGACCCACAATCCAAAGATCACTGTTAATGTTTTAGTGTATTTCCTTTTAATGTCTTAGCTGTGCATACATAGTCACAATTTTTATATAGCTAAAAATCATACAGCATATGCTACTTTGTATAGTTGTGATTCTATTTTCTATATATTTATAATTCTTCTTATATATTTTAATGGCTATAAAACTGTCTGTTGCAGGAATCAGCAAACTTTTTTCTAAAGAGCCAAACAGCAACGATTTTAGGATTTGTAGGCCACATCATTTCTGTCACAGCTAGTAAATTCTGCCATTGTAGCACAAAAGCAGCTACGGACAAAATGCAAATAAATGAGCATAACTGTCCAATAAAACTATATTTATAAAAACAAGCAGAGTACATGTCCTTTGCAGGGACATGGATGAAGCTGGAAACCATCATTCTCAGCAAACTAACACAAGAACAGAAAACCAAACACCGTATGTTCTCACCCATGAGTGGCGTGATGAGATGAGAACGATGAGAACACATGGACACAGGGAGGGGAACATCACACACCGGGGCCTCTTGGGGGGTGAGGGGCAAGGGGAGGGATAGCATTAGGATAAGTACCTAATGTAGGTGACAGGTTGATGGGTGCAGCAAGCCACCATGGCACGTGTATACCTGTGTAACAAACGTGCACATTCAGCACATGTATCCCAGAATTAAAAGTATGTATTAAAAAAAGCAACAGCACACTCAATAATAAAATGACAAGTAACCTAATTAAAAAATGGGGAAATAATTTGAATAGACATTTCACTATAGAAGAAATGTCCAGATGTTCTGAAGGACTTATATCTTAGTTTTAGTAGTTTTATTAATACTCCTGTTTACTAAAGTAGTTAACATCATGAGTTTAATTTTCTATACTTTAACATACTTAAGAAGATGTGCACTTAGCCCCATGTTATGTTTTTTCCTGTATTTTATCTTAACTAAGGTGTTCACGTCTTGTTTTTTGTACTCCTGAAATGATGACTATACTTTATGTGTGTACTTCTGTGTAAATTTTTTACTATTTTCTGAGATCTAAGTCCTTCAGAACATCTGGATATTGGAATCTCTTTGAAGCATTGAAATATAGGATATAGGACTGCACTTCTTAAGCAGTGTTATAGCTCACTAAATACCATTTCCTTTAATACAGTCATATAAAACTGCATGCCTAAGTTCGTTTCCACCAATTTGCTTATTACTTCTATGAATCAGGATGTTTTGTTTTCTTGTTATGGTAGAGTAGAAAGAACACTGAACTGAAAGTTAAGAACCCTGTTTGTTTTTGTTTTTGTTTTTGTTTTTGAGACAGAGTCTCGCCCTGTCGCCCAGGCTGGAGTACAATGGCGCAATCTCGGCTCACTGCAACCTCCGCTTCCTGGAACCCTGTTTTGTTTAACAAAACCTTGGTCTCACTGTGTCTCCTAGAATATGTAATTTAAATTCTGGCTCTGAAATTACAGGGAATTGTGGTAGTGATTTGAGAACCCTTTCAGTTCTAAAATAGTAAGATTCTCTGGTCAGGTTGTTACTAATCTTGATTTCTTTTCAATCATGTTTCCTCCCAAAACACACACTAACATACTCCATCACACTCCACATTTTGAATACCATTTGGGGAGTTATTTTTTTTTAAGTATATAGGATTGCTAATTAGAGTTAATTTACTTTGGGATTAAAGTACTCTTCATATCTATTGTTTTATTAGTAGGGGTCTTATAGTAGGATAACAAAATTTATTTAAACCTTTTAATATATTTCTAAATGATCAGAAAGAATGCTTGATTCTAAACATAAAATACATTTACTAATCTCTTCTCGATGATTAAAACCCTTGTATCAATGAAATAAAAAGTTTTTGTACAACCAGACTATTGCTGTTCTTTATAGAATGCTGAAAACAATAAATCTGTAGTGTTATGAGTTTGATTTTTTTTAAGTTTTCTGAAGTGTAAGTTCTCCCACCACGTTCAGTTTTAAGCTATCAGCATGAAGTCACTGAACATGGAAATAGGAAGAGATGTACACAATTGTTTGCCTACTCCAGCTCACAGTTGGAGAGGATACAGCTAAGTGAAGAGGGGGCAGAGGCAGATTTGTAAACCTGAAGTAATGAGTTGTATTTCCTTGTGTGGTTGCTAATTTAGCTCCTATGAAAGAATTCCCCGTATATTTTTGAGGACTATGGTAGGGGGTACTCATACATTAACTTTAAGTTCAGGAATGTTTGTGAAGAAGGTCAAATTAGTTTCATTATTTTAATCAATACTGACAACTAAATCCTTAAAGTGGATGATAAAAGGAGACTCTGGAGAGATGGTTATGGTAACATGTAGTATTTATGACTGAATTGACGTAGGGGGGATTGATTTAGTGGATTCAAAATGAAGCTTACAATTCTGTGCCTTTACAATTTTACCCAAATTCAATTTCAGCCTGAGTTTTTGACACCGTTAACAAAGTAGTTCTTCAAGGACTCTGAAGGATGGAAACAAGTAAAGGATTATGTATTTAGAGTGAAGAGTAGTATATCCTTTCTAATAGTGAATTAAGAGGGGGACTTAGTATCTGATTCAGAGACTCAGGAGAAGGAATTTTTTTCTTTCACAGATAAGCCACTCAGTTGCTTTCTCTCAACAAAAAAAAGTCTGAGTCAGTTGATCAAAAGGCCTTCTAATGGAGTAAAACTTTTCTCAAAATCTACTCAAAGTTACTTGTCAAAAATCTACCCAAGAAAACTAGGAATTCTATTTTAATGATTTTTCAAAAATTTCTATTTTTTTTACATAGAAGATAAAGACCTTTTGTTGAAGATTAATACATATTATTATAATTTTATGTGATTGGTTATTATATTGATCTTATTAACATACCTTTAAAAAGGCCAACTCTTAACGTGCGTGTGTGTGTGTGTGTTTGTGTATGTGTATATGTATATACCTTTTCCCTTGAGATTCCTTTCAGTTCTAAAATACTAAGATTCTATGGACCTCTGTGTGTGTGTGTGTGTGTGTGTGTTGTACATATAGTGTCTATGTATACCTACACATTATGCAGTATATAGTATACTCTACCATTCTTACTGTTTTTAAAAAAGGTCTTCGTAGTCATTTCTCTGAAAAACTAATGTGGCATCAGGAGCATAACATTTATTATAGGATTGTTTTCTGTGGAAAAAGCAGCTTTTACTTTTATCATTTTGACATAAGGCACCTTTTCCAGGAAAATATTCTGCCATGAATGTGAAGATCGCCTTTACTGCCAAGCGATCACCCTCTCCTCTAGTCAGGCAAGTCTACAAGATGACCCTTGCATATATATTTATCATGCTCATCCCCCTCTTCTGCTCATTCCTGTGTCCTTTCTTCTCCCATATAAATACTGCTCTTTCATCAAGATTTAAGTGTAGCCTCTTTAATGAAGCCTCTTTAAATTATGACATATTCCTTAATCTATAGTCTTTGTGTGTGTGGTTCTCGTCAACAAAATTTTAAGCTGATTTTGAAATGGTTCCTATTCTGTGCTATTGCAGTGAAAGTTCTCTTAACTGATGTTTGGTTAGCCAGTGCTCTCCATTCCCTTTGTATGCTGTACTGACTGATAACCTTAGCATTAAGACTAGGCTCTATTACATCTATCCACTTCTGTTTCCACCCTTGGAGTTGTATGCTTATCAAAAGTCAGTTGTGTGATACCTGGACCCCACCTCCAGAAAATCTGATACAATTAGTCTGTAGTGTGACCTGAATATTGGTGATTTAGAGGAGACAGATAATCAAACACGTTGAAATAAAAGTTGTATTTGTTTTTGAGCCTAAATATCCCAGTTACACTTTTTATGATAATCAGGTCGTTTAATTAACAGTCAACTTAGATTGAAGAAATATGAATATGACAAGGTAGTTTCTATGAAAACCAAGTCACTTGCTTTGGAATTACTCGCAGCTGGTTGAAGAGTGTAATTGAATTAAGTGAGCGAAAGGCAGCTATGAAATTTGAAAGTCTTCAAGGACTCTGCATGCAGATTTGTTCACAAATGTCTTTATTGCCATGCCATTTTAAAGAAACTGGAAACCATAGGTTTTGCAGTGTAGGAACAGTTCATAGTTTTTTCAAGACCCAGGTCATGTTAATACCACTCAGCAGAGCCTTAACCAAAGAAAAAGTCTTATTCCTACACAGGAAGATTTATATAATTGAACTTAAAGTGAAATATATTCATGGCTCCCTCTTTTGATCGAATGTTTAAATTTACCTACTGCCCAATTACCAGTTTTTTATACACTCCATCCCTGTGTATGTATATGTGTGGTTTTATGTAGCTAATATAATCATAGACTCAAAGATGTAATGAGTGTTGTTAGAGAAAACAAACTTTGGGAAATGATGTGACTTGCTGAATTTCATAGACTGGCACTGATGCCTTTGATTTGAGTAAAAGACCCATCATTTGGGGGAGTCTTTTGTTAGAATCAAAGGCATCTGTGTCAGTCCAGTGCGTTTTCCAGAAATACTTGATTTTGGTAGTGTTTTGTGCTACTGATGATGAGCTGTACACTGCTTAGAATAGATGGAACAAGTGAGGCAATTTACAATCCTAAACTCAACCACATATTTGGGCCTTTACTTGCCTTTTTAAGGGATTGGCATTAAGTAGCCATGGGACAAAAAGAGCTTCTCAGTACATATTCTACTTTAACACTTTAAGGAGTAAGGAAGCAATTGTTGTTTGTGCCTCCTGTTGCCATTGTCCAAACACCCATTGTAAACAGTGCTCCGACCCTGAAAAAGGAATCAATAAATCAATATGCATTGAGTGCCTCTAATAATGTTTGAATCATTACTTTTCCTTGGGGGATACAGCTATGAATAAAACAAACACAGTTGGCTGAGTGCAGTGCTATGTGCCTGTACTCCCAGCTACTCAGAAGGCTGAGGTAGGAGGATCACTTGAGCCCAGCAGTTTGAGGCTGCACTGTGAATATGCATGTGAAGAGTCATGGCATTCCAGCCTGGACAACATAGCGAGACTCTATTGAAAAAGAACAAACAAAATGAACAAACAAAAAAACAGACACAGTCAATCTGTGCCTTACTGAGATTAATGTTCTAACAGCAAATAATTCAACTGTAGGTTGTAAGAGCTATAAAAAGTGGAAAGTTTGGTATTATCAGAATGCATAACTGGAGACAGGGCCTAGTCTGAAGGAATAGTGGAGAGGGTGGGGGTCAGTGAAGGTTGGCATGTGGAATTGACATTTTAGATGAACTTTAATGTGTAAGTGGGAATTGTCAAGTGAATGGGGGGAGAGAAGGAAAATTTATGGAGAGTAGGCAATGCCAAGCAAATTTGGTAGAGGGAATAGTCTGTCCAGAGGCACTGAGAGTAAAAGGGGCATATTTGCACTTGACAAATGGAAAGAAAGCCTGTGAATCTGCATAACAAAGAGGAAGGGAGAGGGTGAAATAGATGGTGATGAGGAAATACACAAGGGCTTTCCGTATGGAAGATCTTAGAGAAGGTGTTTGTGCTTAGTCCTAATAATAATGGGGTGTTATTGCAGTTTTAAAGCTGTATATATCCTATTTTAAAAATTTGACTGCTTTATGGAAATTGGAATGCAAGGGAAACGAGTGGATGTGGGAGACCTGTAAGTAGAATGGTGGCGAGGGATACGATGGTGGCATTAGAGACAGAGATGAAGGCATGCAAAATTTATGTTCAGAGAGACACACTTTATAGTTTTGTTTTGCTTTTGTGCTTTCAGTTAAAATTTCATTAGTTGTTTGCATTCCTAGTTAACCTTCTTAATTTTTTCTTGCAACCATTCTGTCAAGATATATAAGCTTCAGGGGCCTACTATAAATGTTTTCAAGCTAGGGTTAATTGTATCACTTTTTTTGGCCATATAGGGATTGTGTTCTTTTATTTTTAAATTCAAGAAATTACAGCTTATTAGTAATAATAAAGCTCAAGTGTCGGTAATAAGATGCATTATGTAATAGCCCGGTTGTTTTACTAAGAATTCTATGGGGGAATATTTTAAGCAAAATGAAAAAGAGTTTTGACTGTTGGCATAATGTAAGAATAATTGATACTAAGAGCTCTAATAGAAAGCTATGTAGTAAATGCAGTAGAAGTATGGCTATTACATAAATGAAATATTTCTTACTCATTTTCACATTGCATTTATTACATATTTATCATGTCATGATTTTAGAAAGTACTTCACTGTCATCAAAGTATTTTCCAATTTTGTTAAGACAAACATTATTAGAAATTGTTAGTATATATCCTAATTTATAAATGGGAAGAAGTGTGCTATTGTTCTTCCTAATCTAGAAAGTTCTTTTGAGATTTATATTAAGTTTGCATGAAGTCAGTGGAAATAAGTCAAGCAGAAGGAAAATAACCTCAGAAAGAGATAAGATATCGGTACTGTTTTTCCTATTTTTCCTACCCTCAACATATTTCTGTATTGAAAATAGAAATCTGTACATCAAATTTAAAATAATTTTGTATGTATTTGCATTGCTTGATAATTTTATTCGTTTAAAATGTCATTACATCCTCTATAATGAATCAAGATGGATTTAAAATGTCTTCTAAATTGGTAAAATTTATTTTGTTTGAAAGTTTCAGTAAATTAAATAAACAGCATTGTAGCATGAAACAGGACAGATGTAACTTGAAATATTATATATTCTGCTTTCTTCTAAATTTGTCAAAATGAACCTTTTATGGATTAAATGAGCTATGGCCTATACTAAGTAAATTTTGTTTTTATAAAATTTTCAGTATGGATGATTTTGAATAAATATTCATGTAAAGATTTTTGAAAGATGCTTACACAGATTGTGATTTATTTTTTTAAATAAGAAAAAAGAGTTTCTAGAGACTGCTAGGTTTAAGTTTTTATTTTAGGTTTATGTTGAGACTGAATATTGTTACCAAGTTTAGTTATATGCTTATATGCATGGCTCTTATATTCTAAATAATGTTAATTAATTCATCCTCGGATTACTGAGCTTAGGGATCCACCTTTTTATGTTAATTTGTTTTCGTGTTCATATACTTACGGCTTTCTCTTTAGTTTCATGTATACAACAAACCTTAGTGTTAATAACTTATTTTTTTACTTGAAAACAGCCATTTATTTTTCAACATCATACTGACTCTTTAAGGCTTTTTTTTTTTTTTTTTTTTTTTCAAAAAGTAACAGTAATTAAGTCAGCATCTTCACTAGCCTTTTTATTGTATGTGTGGGTAATTACCATAATGAATTATGGCATACTTTTTTGGTTCCTCCATTGTCTAGCATCTTCATGAATAGACTCTTCGTTTTCTATCTACTTGGTATGTTCCTGGGTGAATTAATTTTAGTGCGATTTTATGAAAAAGAACATTATATTAAAAAATCACCCAATCCAAGGAGAGATATAAATTGTTTTTGAGTTATCTATTGTGTTTTTTACCTGTTACACTGGTATACTGAATTAACAGTATCTTTTGAGGTCTGTTGCTTTTGAGATAGAGTACTAGGTGACTTCTTAAAATTAGTAATCACCTTTTTCATGAGTATTCTAAAGGCTTTTATATGTGTGATATTTTATATCATTCTTTATACCATTTCCTTGTAATTAGTTATTTCTAATGGTTAAGGCTTTTTTTTTTTTTTTTGATGAGATAGCTCTGTTCCCAGGCTCGAATGCAGTGGTGTGGTCACAGCTCACTGCAGCGTTGACCTCCTGGGCTCAGGTGATCCTCCCACTTCAGCTTCCCTAGCAGCTGGGACTATAGGTGCATGCCACCATGCCTGGCTAATTTTTTGTAATTTTTGTAGAGACAGTTTCACCATGTCGACTAGGCTGGTCTTGAACTTCTGGACTCAAGTGATCCTCCTGCCTCAGCCTCCCAAAGTGTTGGGATTATAGGCGTGAGCCACTGTGCCTGGCCATGGCCAAGTTTTTAAGTGCTAGTGTATTCAAACAGAACGTTCAGAACATGTGTTGCATAGCTAAAAAGATGAATGTGGAGAATTCAGAAAGAGTTCAGAAGAAACCAAGAAATGTTTGAAATGCTCTTTTAAAGCAAACAAAACTATTCAGAATTCCTTATGTATTCTTATGTTGGGGCTGAGAAATTACATGATATACTGTTGTCAGATTCACTTCAAATTTAACTGGAAAAAATTAATTTCTTTTTCTATTTTAAACCTTTAGATAGTAGTTTTAAGCTTTGGCACATAAAATAATTCAAGTAATATTGTTAGAAGACTTAGTGAAGTAGATTTGATTTACTTTGAATCTTGTGAAACAGTACTAACAGGTAATAATGAATGAAAATCTCAATTTAAATTTACAGTCTCAGATAATCATGTTGTTTGTCAGTAGTCATTAAAATGAATTTATATTTTCTGATAAAGCATTTATATAATCCTTTTATGTAATGTGTTTTTTATAAGGTCAAAAGAAATAGACTGGCAACCTTATTTTACTACACGCATTGTAGATGACTTTGGCACACACTTACGAGTATTCAGAAAGGCTCAACAGAAAATAACAGAGAAAGATGATCAAGTGAAAGGTAATATCTTTATTCCATTTGAAAACTAGGATTTGAAAATCTGTTTTCCTTTCATCATTTTATATATCTTGAATTGTTTTTCTTTAGGTACAGCAGAAGATCTTGTAGATACCTTCTTTGAAGTTGAAGTTGAAATGGAGAAGGAGGTTTGCCGTGATCTAGTGTGCACTTCCCCCAAAGATGAAGAAGGTTTTCTTTTAATTTAACTTTTTTGACAATAGTAGCTGGCTAGAGTCAAGTTAGCAGAACCAGTGAAAAAATCTAAGGGTAAAATTATTCTTACTTAGGGCAGGTAGCATAGTAAAGATGCTATTCATTTTATTTTATTTTGTAACTCTTAAAAGTAGTTTCCAGATTCTGTTTTCTTCTTTAAAGGTCATCTTTAATAATTAACTGGTCCTGGCTGGGTGCAGTGGCTCATGCCTGTAATCCCATCATTTTGGGAGGCCGAAGGGCCTGGATTGCTTGAGTCCAGGAGTTCAAGACCAGCCTAGGCAACATGGCGAAACCCTGTCTCTACTAAAAGTACGAAACATCAGCTGGCTGAGGTGGGAGAATCACCGGAGCCTGGGAAGTCAAGGCTGCAGTGACCTGTGATCATGCTATTGCACTCCAGCCTGAGTGACGAGAGTGAGACCCTGTCTAAAAAAAAGAAAAGAAATTATCAATCTACTTTTAAAATATAGCAAACGCAAACATTTTATGACTGAATTTTTTTATCTGTAGTAATTTCTCTTCCTCTTGAATTTATTATTTTTGCTTCAGAAGTATACCTGTTACCATAAAATATTTCCTAAGGGAATGATACAGTGATTTCAAATAAAATTTATAGATTTCAACGGGCTTGTCTTTTATTGGTAGGAGTTTACACTAGACAAGTTTTAGCTGAGGACGTTATCTTCCCAGTTTTGCAAGTATTAAGTCTTTGTTAATTGGCACAGTTTTAAATTAAGAGGATCACTTATGCAATTATATTCCCAGAAAGTGTCAGCATAGGAACAACTATAGAAAAGCCCTTCTAGTTGTTGAAATTGTTTTCTTAGATTTTGAAAATGTTTTAAATATTTTTATTTATTTCTTTGTTCTTCCTTTCTTCTTTTGCCTTTTCTTTTTATGTTTATTGTATAATTCAGGTTTTAATGGCCAGTTTATTAGCACTGTTAAGAAGTATAGTTGACACTTGAACAGTGAGAGGGTTTCGGGTACTGACTCCCTGTGCAGACAGAATTCTGTGCATAACTTTTGACCCCCAAAAACTTAAATACTAACAGCCCACTGTTAACCATAACCCTTATCAATAATGTAAACAATTGATTAACACATAGACTAGTATCTGCATATATTTTATGCATTCATGGCATACCTTTTTGTGAATTTTTTTGATATTTCTAGGCTATGCGGTTCATCTCTTGAGTTTTTTAAATTGTCACAAATCTCTAAAAAATTTTCCAATATATTTACTGAAAAAAATCCACATATAAGTGGACCTGAGCAGTTCAGACTCTTTGTTCAAGGGTCAATTTATATTACAGTAACTTAGAATGTAACACATAGATATACTGATGTGCAATACTTTTATGTAAGTTGAGCTCTCTTAAATCAGCAGAATAGAAGAGCATACTCTTTTTTTCCTTTGTTATAGCCTGCTGAGATGATGGAGGTGTTTTCTTGAAAGAAGAATTACAGCTATGTTTTTATATGTGTGAATAACTTTTAAGTATGGAAAGCTAATTAACGTGTGGTAGAATTACAGAGTACCTGGTCCATCTAAAACTATTTTGGGAAAAAAGACTTGTAACGAAATTTTTTTATGATTCAAAAAACTGGTTAAAACAGCAAAATTAAAAAAAATTAAGTTGATTAATGAATAGTTACTACTTGGAGAATAATGAAGGAATTTTTAATGAATACTGATGTGTACTAATTACTAAAATAAGCCATTGTAACCAGGGAACTGGTTATTTCTGCCTTTTTAAATGTATCTTATATATCAAGAGGAAGTGTAGACTTTATATTTTCTAATGTTATGATAGCTACTTTTTCTACTTTTAGGATTCCTAAGGGATTTGTGTGAGGTCTTACTATATTTATTGCTACCTCCTGGAGATTTCCAGAACAAGATCATGCGATACTTTGTCAGGGTAAGCTTAAACTCATACCATATCATACCTGCAAAAAAATGTAGAGCAGTAGTTTTCAAAATTTTTGTCTTAAGACCCTGTTACACTCTTAAAAATTATTGAAGACTCCAAAGAGCTTTTGTTTATGTGAGTTTTCTTTAAAATATTTACACAAGTGAAGACTAAGAAATTTTTAAAACATGAAAATATGCAAGCATGTATTTCATTACCTAATAGCTCGATACCATCATAGCATTATGTAACTTTGTAAAGGTCACTGTGTGTACATGAAAGAACAAGAGTGAAAAGTTAAATAATGTCTTAGCATTATTATGAAAATGGTGTTGAAAGGGTCACCTGAAACCCAAGCTTCGGGGGAACTTCAGGTTCATGGAAACCTCCCACTAATCCCCCAGAAGTCTCTGGCTGATAGTTAGGTGCTTTGGTTTTTGGTTATGACAAAAGTTTGTTTTAAATTTTCTTATACCCTAGTGTTATCTAAATCAGGTTAGATAAAAATAACATTTTTGGACAGAAACTTTAAAAACTGTACAGTTAAGATTATGTTTTTTAGCAATTGGAAAATTAATGTCAGATGAGAATAGTAGTCTTGGACTTGTTATTCCCTGAGTATAAACCTTCAGAGTAAAGTTCTGTGTGTAAATTTAAAGGAATAACATTTGTCTTTGGCTGCTGGTAATGATTTAGAAAGGCTAGCTACACAAGAACATGTCCTGGTTGAATGCGTAACGTGAAAAGTTTTGAATTTTCCTAAAAACAAAAGCTTATGATCTCTTTAGTCTGTCCTGCAAAATAGATAACAATTCCTGAGACTTGCTTTTATGCTTGCATGTTATTGTTTATAAGCCATACCATACAATTTCCTAACATCTACCTAGCTTGGGGTTCAGTGTACTTCTCAGGTATGTTAATGGTACTTATGTGAAGTAATAGAAAGTGCTTGGTTTTGATGGGAGGAGCCTGATACATTAACTGTATATTGTTAAGGCCAATTATTTGGGCTGGTCATTATGACGGGTGGCAAGTACCTGGATGTCTATCACTAGATTCATATCTGCCACTTAAGGAAGATAGTACTAGTCAGGTATAGCATTTGTTCATGCAGAGTATCCATTTGGCATAATAATCTGTTTATATATTACTCCAGCCAGCTACTGTTACGTGGAATCTCAGCATTATTTCGCATGTCTTGCCATCTTTTCCTTATTGAAACTCTATTTTCTCCTTTCTTTCATGTCACTGGTCTCATTTTTAGTCACCTTTGCTTTCCTTTTTAGTCATGTTTATACTCCTTAACTTCTCTTCTGCTTAAATTTTGATTATTCAAGATCTTAAGTCCCAAGACTTTTTCTTGCTCATCCGTTACTGTGGCTTTAAACGCCTTTCCAAATGCTAATGCGTTTGAAATTTATAGCTTTATTTCAGATTTACCTTCTGAGCTCCGGGCAACTCTGAGCTGCCCTCTTGAAATCACCACTTGAGTGACTCACAGCTTTTTAAAACTGAAATGTCCAAAGTGGAAGTCTTATTCTTACCTCCATATCCTGTGTGCCTTTTAGTCTTCTCTCCATCCTAGTAAGTGGTATGATCATCTAGTAAATTTTTCAGATCTCAAGTCCTTCAAGAGGCTTATAGGTTCGCATGTAGTGTGGCCTTATTTACCTCTCTAGCCTTCATGCCAAGCAATGTCAAGGAAAACCAGAACTGGACAGTAAGTGTAGTAAAAAACAGACCTTATCCAGCAACTGTTGCAGTAGGGGAAAAGTGACCTCGGTTTAGGACCGAACTCAATTCTGAATAAAAAAGAACAAGTTGGGATTTATAGCCAAGGAGCAGGCTGGGGATCAGTGGATGGAAAATTACTAAAAGGAAACATCAGATGTAGTGGGAATTCTGGTTAAACAGACTTAATAGGATTCTTGTTGAAAGCAGGATGGGATGTTCAGACACAAAGGGTGGGGACTGAGGAATTTAAGGTGAGGGAGGTTTGGCTAAACCCACTTGATAGAATTCTTGCTAAAACTGCAATGAAAAGATGAACAGACATGGAAACTCAAAGGTTAAGGCATAAATGGGTGGAGGATTCAGAGGAGCCTAAGTTTGGTCAAGGATGGTCTTTGTTAGTGGTCACTATACTCCAGCCACACTGGCATTTTCCCCCAAAAGTGCCATTTTCCTCCCTGCCTCTCATGTCCTTTTTTTCTCTGTTAAGAATGATTCCTTGGCCAGGCGCGGTGGCTCACGCCTGTGATCCCAGCACTTTGAGAGGCCAAGGTGGGCGGATCACGAGGTCAGGAGATCGAGACCATCCTGGCTAACACGGTGAAACGCCGTCTCTACTAAAAATACAAAAAATTAGCTGGGCATGGTGGCAGGCGCCTGTCATCCCAGCTACTCGGGAGGCTGAGGCAGGAGAATGGCATGAACCCGGGAGGCGGAGCTTGCAGTGAGCTGAGATCGCGCCACTGCACTCCAGCCTGGGCGACAGAGCCAGACTCCCTCTCAAAAAAAAAGAAAAAAAAAAAAGAAAACCCGATTCCTCTTATTCTATCAGCTAAATTGTATTCATTCTTCATATCTCACTACATGTCGCTTCCTTAGAGATGCCCTCCCTGACCACCCAATCTATATCTCCCTCATAATTCCCTGTTATTATGGATAGTATCCAATTGTTTTCCTTCATAGCATTTACCATATTTTAAGATGGTAATTTGGTTGTTAATTTGATACCTCTTTCTCCCAGATGAATTGTAACTCTAATGAGGACAGAGATTATATCTGTATTTATCATAAATATATACTTAGTGCTTAACGTGATACTTGGCACATAGCAGATGCTCAGACAATCAGTTTTAATGCAAAAGGAAACCCATTTACCCTCTTGATGGCTGTGGTGCATGTGCTACTGCAGCTTCTTGAAGATTAAGTTGACTCCTAAGAGCCATGAATGAAAATCTGCCTTGTTACAGGAAGTTATTTAAAATAAGTAGGATTTTAATGAGCACATTTTTTTAAAATAAATTTCTCTTTTAGGCCGGTATTTTATTACTTTTTGGTTGAATCTAATTAAGTGAGGATAATTGCAGACCATGCATTCAGCAAGTCAGTTTTTTTTCCTTTAGCTCTTTCTTTGTTTTCTTTTGTCAGTAATTCTAAAATTTCTCACAGGATATTTTTGTTTAGATTAAATAACAGACGAAAGAGTTTTAATTTTCTTTGTACGGATACTTTGTATAGATTGTGTAAGTCACAGTATTTGAGATAATTGCTATTTAATTGCCTCTACTTTCTTGCCGTTACTATGTTTTATTCCTTTAAAGATATGGCTTCAATGATTTTGTATCTTTTAGGCCCCATGTTTGACAAACATTGCTGTCTTCTAAAAATTGGAGGTCTTAAAGTAGGAATTATGTGGAAGTGCCTACTTGCTTGGAATATTTAGAGCTCTCACTAGGACCTTGAGTCATATGACTAGCCCTTGACTAACCAAACCCTTTAATGTGACAGATTAGAAGTTTTCTAATACAAATCGACTCATTGCACCAACTAATAAGAAACACAAAATTTAATCAAAAATTTTCCCCAGGTGTTTTTTTCTCCTTTTGAAAAGAAGCATTGGAAAAAGTGTGTGTGTGTGTGTGTGTGTGTCTGTGTGTGTGTGAGTAAATTTTCTCCTAACAAAGTGCATTTTAAAATTTGAACATGTGGCCAGAGACATAATTTGAAGGAAGGAATTACATACGTAAATACAATTTTGAAGAAGTAGGAGACTAAAACTAACCTTGAAAGAAGCAATTTTTTGTCATTTCAGACTGCAAAGTGTCTCCAAAGACATTTCAAAAAAATTACTGGTGCCTCCATTAGTGCTTTTTGGAAATACTGATTCATCATGGGGGTAATAGTTGGCAGAGACTTGTACAGCTTACAAAAGAGACTTGTACAGTTTACTAAAAATAAAGACCACCTTCTGTGATCCTTTACTTAGAAAAATTATACATCCTGTTAAGCTTATTGTTATTTAACCTCCCCCAATATTCTTAAGAAATTAGGGTTCATAAATTTATATATTACTGGCACTAAAGGGTAATACCAGGTGAAATCATTGTATTTATAGAATCTACTAAATTCTTAGTTTCTTTTTTTCTACTCATTTATCAAATGCCTGCCATGTTTAAAACAATGACCTTGAGAAGATGGGATGAGGAAGGTAAATATTTTTGAGAATAAATAATTCAGTAGATAAGTTGACCAATTCCACTCATATGGAGGTTTCCTAGATAGTTGCCTCTATTAGAAAAATATAAGACTTATAATTACAGAGAAAATATCAAGTGTTAAATGCTGTAGATACAGGGCATGAGTATTTCAAGCATATTTCTGTTGGAATGATCAAGATTTATTTAATAGGGTAATTGATTCTGCAGTCAATTGTTCTGCATAGGAACATAAACAACTGCAAAGAATGGGAAGGTAGATTTTAGAGAATGTTGAATCGATTAACATATCTATTATTTTAAAAATGTTTATTAGGAAACTATTCAAACACAGAGAAGCATAGAGAATAATACAGTAGACATTTATGTACCAACCACCTAGATGTAACCAGTGTTGATAATGTACTGTAGTTGCCGTTTCCTCCCTTGGTAGTAGTTCTAAAATCAGTTTGTATCCTTCCCTTTTCTTTTCTGTTTCTATAGTTTTAATAAAGATAAATGAATCCATAAACACTGTTAGTCTTATATTTTGTCTTTTTAAAATTGACATCAATGCTAACATACTAGAGGTATCATCTTGCTTTATTTCACTCCACAGTTGTTACTGTGGAGATGTGTCCAAGTTGATACAGGTAACTGTATCTCATTTATCTAAACTGAGGCATAGTAGTTCATCTTTTTATAAGACTGTGTTGCTTATCAAGTCCTAGTTACATGTATATCATACTTTTCTTAAGTAACAGCATTGTGTTAGAATATTTACATTATGCTGTTGATTTCAGAAATAGATTAAATTTGTTTTTGTTATTTACTTTTTTTTCAGGAAATCCTTGCACGAGGAATTCTTCTTCCATTAATAAATCAACTCAGTGATCCTGATTATATTAATCAGTATGTCATATGGATGGTAGGTGCCTTTTAAAATTACAACTCTGTTTTAGAAATAATTTTTGAAATGTAAAAATATAGTTGGGAGATAGGGTGTTTAAGCAGTAATTTATTAAAGAAATTAAGTAAAAATGTTTCTGAAGTAATCTCTGTGTTTCCAATATTTTTATTTGCTTATATTTTGAATGTGTTGGCCAAATTCTCTTTAAGAATTTTGTTGATTATCTTCCTTGCGGTTATGGTGCTACTACTATTTCTTTAAAAAAATAGAATATTTTACTACCTGTGTCTATAGATGATGAGTATTTTTAATGGCTACTATTTGATTTTTAAATACAACTTGGGATTTGAACTACTTGACATGTAACTCACATTTTATACTGTATAATGGGGAAAATATGGAGGACAGAATAGTAGAATGAGAACCAGAAGATCTGGATTCTAGATGTTTCTGTAAGTTGCCTAGTGTCTGTAGTAGTTAACTCAATAGTTTTCTTCTGTCAGACATATCAAAGACTTAGTTATTACTAAGTCCACAAGCCCTATTTTTTTTTCTTTATAATGTATCCTTTTCCTTAATAAACTCATGGTCAAGGAAGAATTGTAAATGGGCCACCTTCTGGGAATACTTTGATACCTACTTCTAGATCTTTGATTTATTTTCTTAAATCTGGGATTTCTACTCTACATTTGTCTTCCTTTAACTCAGTGTAGCTTTCTTAAGAAAGAATTACTTGATTGTTCTTTGATTTCCCTTAGGCATTGTCAGACTTGCCATTGTTTTATTTTTTTTTTTACTTTATTTTTATTTATTTATTTTTGAGATGGGATCTCACTCTTTCATCCAGGCTAGAGTGCAGTGACAATCTTGGCTCACTGCAGCCTCCGCCTCCTTGGCTCAAGTGATCCTCCCGCTTCAGCCTCCCAAGTAGCTGGGACACAGGCATGCACCACCACATCCCGCTAATTTTTTGTACTTTTGGTAGAGACATGGTTTTGCTATGTAGCCCTAGCCAGTCATGAACTCCTGAGCTCAAGCGATCTGCCTGCCTCAGCCTCCCGAAGTGCTGGGATTACAGGTGTGAGCCATTGTGCCTGGCTGCTGTTGTTTTATTTTTGTTGTTGCAAAGGTTTACCCTTCGACCAGATTGTAGTACCTGCAGACAAAAGTTGTTATTAATTGTGTACTTCTGGAGCCTTTCCTGGAGACCATGGAACTTGATTCTTCTTTTCCTCTGTGAACTTTTTTAGACTTTGCATTAGGCACTATAAAAGCTTTGAAAATACACATATCTGCACAATTAAAACTATAAAAAAGTGAGTCTCCTTTGGCTAGGAACTCCTAAGAAGTTATTTTAAAGTGATAATCAAATTTGTGACAATCTGTATTTAAAAATTTTAACAAGTTTTTAATTTTTAAAAATTATGGATATGTAAGAGTTGTACATATTTATGGAGTACATGTGATATTTCGATATAAGCATACAATGTATAATGTTCAAATCAGGATAATTGGGGTATCCATCAGATCAGCATTTATCACTTCTTTGTGTTAGGAACATTCCAATTCCACTCCTATGGTTATTTTGAAATATACAATAAATTATTGTTAACTGTAGCCACCCTGTTGTGCTACTGAATGGTAGATCTTACTCTTTCTGTCTGACTGTGTTTTATACCCATTAGCCATTCCTTCTTTATTTCCCTTCTCAGCATCTGGTAAAGAAACATTATTTGACACTGTATCTCCATGAGTTCAGTCTTTGTTTTGTTTTGTTTTTAGTTCCCACATATTTGGCCTGCTGTGCATGGTTAATTTGACTTAACATAATGTCCCTCAGTCAATATTTCATTCTTTTTTTAATGGCTGAATAATATTCTATTTTGTGTATGTACCATGTTTTCTTTATCCATTTCTTTACATACTTGCAAGCATTTGTTATTGCCTTTCTTTTGGTTAAAAGCCATTTT
The DNA here is from genome assembly GCF_000001405.40 of Homo sapiens. Lineage (NCBI taxonomy): Eukaryota > Metazoa > Chordata > Mammalia > Primates > Hominidae > Homo > Homo sapiens. The sequence goes on along the minus strand of NC_000007.14, from coordinate 17,866,454 downwards.
AACTGGAGTGAAATAGTATCTCATTGTAGTTTGTATTTCTATGATGATAAGTGCTGTTAAGCATTTTTTAATAACCTGTTTTCCATTTATATGTTACCTTTTGAGAAATGTCTATTCAGATCTTTTTGCCCATTTTTAATGGGATTCTTTTTTTTTTTTTCCTATTGAGTTGTTTGAGTTCCTTATATATTCTGGTTATTATTTCTTTGTCACATGAGTAGCTTGCAAATATTTTCTCCTATTCTGTGGATTGTCTCTTGCCTTTGTTGATCATTCCCTTTGCTGTGCAGAAGCCTTTTAGCTTGATGTGATCTCATTTGTACATTTTTGCTTTGGTTCCCTATGCTTTTGAGGTCTTATGTAAGAAATCTTTGCCCAGACCAATGTCATGGATTGTTTCCCCACTGTTTTCTTCTAGTAGTTTTATAGTTTCACATCTTAGATTGAAGTCTTTAATCCATTTTAAATTGGTTTTTCTATATGCTGAGAGATAGGGGTCTAGTTTCATTCCTCTGCGTATCGATATCCAGTTGTCTTGGCACCATTTATTAAAGTGACTGTTTTTTTCCCCAATGTGTATTTTTGGCACATTTGTAAAAAGTGAATTTACTGTGAATGTGTGGGTTTATTTCTGTGTTCTCTATTCTGTTCCATTGGTTTATGTGTCTGTTTTTATGCCAGTACCCTGCTGTTTTGGTTACTGTAGCTCTGTAGTATAATTTGAAGTCAAGTAATGTGATGTCTTCAGCTTTGTTCTTTTCTGCTTAGGATTGCTTTGGCTATTCTGGGTCTTTTGTGGTTCCATATATTAATACATTTTGGGATTATTTTTTCTATTTCTGTGAAAAAGGTTATTGGTATTTTGATATGGGTTGCTTTGAATTTGCAGATTGCTTTTTGTACTATGGACATTTTAGCAATATTGATTCTTCCAATCCATGAACATGGAGCATCTTTTCATTTTTTTTGTGTCTTATTCAATTTCTTTTATCAGTGTTTTACAGTTTTCCTTGTAGACATCTTTTACTTCCTTGGTTAAGTTTATTCTTACGTATTTTATTTGTGATTATATGGGATTACTTTTCTTGTTTTCTTTTTCAAATTGTTCACATAGAAACACTATTGATTTTTGTATGTTCGTTTTGTATCTTGAAGCTTTACTAAATTTGTTTATCAGTTATTTTTTGTTGACTTGTGTTTTAGTCATCTCACTAAAGATATGAGTGGATTGTACACCACAGTTGCAGTATTATTCTGTAGTTGTCTGTGTACTTAGTATCAATGAGTTTTATACTTTCAGGTGATTTCTTATTGCTCATTAACATGCTTTTCTTTCAGATTGAAAAACTCCCTTTAGGATTTCTAGTAAGACTCATCTGGTATTGATGAAATCCCTTAGCTTTTGTTTGTCTGGCCAAGACTTTATTTCTCCTTCAGAGTTGACAGATAAATTTGCAGGATATATTTTAGGTTGGAAGACATTTTTTTTTCCTTCAGCACTTTGAATGTATGAATGATCCCGCTCCCTCCTGGCCTGTAAGGTTTCTGCTCAGATGTGTGCTGCCAGACGTATCAGAGCTCCTTTGTGTTATTTGCTGCTGCTGCTGCTCCTCCTCCTCCTCCTCTTCCTCTTCCTCCTTCCCTTTCTTCCCTTTCCCCTCCCCCTTCTCCTCCTTCTCCTTCTTTTCCTTCTTTATGCAGCTTTTAGGACTCTTTATTTATCCTTGACCTTGGAGAGTTTGATTTACATGCCTTTGGTCATCTTATTTGGATTGAATTTTATTGGTGTTTTTCGACCTTCTTGTACCTGGATATTCATGTTTTTTTCTGGGTTTTAAAAGTTCTTTGTTATTATTTCTTTGAATAAACTTTTTACCCAGTCTCTCTCTTTACATCCTCTTTAAGGCCAATAAATCGTAGATTAGCCCTTATGACACTGTTTTCTAGATCTTGTGGGTATGCTTCATTTGTTTTCAGATTCTTTTTTTCTCTATGTGTTTTCGTATAGCCTGTCTTAGCTCGGTTCTTCCTTTTGCTGGACCAATTCTGCTATTAAGATACTCTGATTAATTTTTCAGTTTATCAATTGAATTTTTCAGTTCTAGAGTTTGTTTATTATTTCAGCCTCTGTTAAATTTCTCAATAGAATTCTGAATTCCTTCTCTTTGTTATCTTGAAATTCTTTGAGCTTCCTCAAAACAGCTCTTTTGTATTTCATGTCTGAAAGGTCACATATTTCCTTCACTTCCAGAGTGGTCATTGGTGCCTTATTTAGTTTCTTGAGGTGATGTTTTCCTGGATGTTCTTGGTGCTTGTAGATGTTCATTAATGTCTGGACATTGAAGAGTTAATTATTTATTTTAATCTTCTCAATCTGGGCTTATTTGTACCATCCTTGTTGAGAAGGCTTTTCATGAAGTCAAAAGGGATTGAATGTTGTAACCTAAGCCTATGGTCACTATGCTATTTCAGCACTAGTGGGATCCCTAAGCCCAGGAATACTGTGACTCTTGGAGACTCCTAAATACACTGCCATGATGCACTTCAGTAAGATAAAGGAGAATTCCCTAGGTTACCAGACAAAGTCTTTCATGCTCTTCCCTCTCTTTCTCTTAATTACAAAGGGTCTGTTTCTGTGTAATGCTGCCTAGAGTTGGGGAAACAGTGACATGGACACTGTCATGGTCACCATGGCTGGCACCGTGCAGAGTTGCACCTCAAACCTTGCAGAGCAGCACAGTACTGGGGCTTGCCTAACGCCTGTGGCCACTGCTGCCTGGCTGCTGCTGCTATTTATTCATGGCCCAGGACCACTTTAGTCAGCAGATTGTGAATTCTGCTAGGGACTGGGTCTGTCTTATCAGGGCAACAGCTTCCCTTCTGGCCAAGGGTGGGTCTAGAAATGCTGTCCAGGAGGAAAGATGTATATTCTTGGGTTTCAGCAATCTGCCTGGTTTTTGGTTTTACTGCGGCTGAGCTGTTACCTAAGTTTTAAGACACAGCCCTCTGTATTCCTCCCTTTCCTTCCTCTGAGTGGAAGGAGTCTTTGCTGGAGTTACACTGCCTGGAAGTGGTGGAGGGATGACACAGACACTCTGCTGGCCACCATAGCTGGTGTTACACTGGGTCATACCCGAAGTCTACTGACCGCTGAGAAGAGTGTATGTAGCACCAGGGCTTGCCCTAGGACTGCAGTGCTTGTGGCCTGACTGCCACTCATATTTATTTAGTGCCCCAGGCCATGTCAGTCAGCGCAAGTGAAGCCACCTGGATTCGAGTTATTCCCCCTGAGCTGAGAATTCTGCTCTGGCTCAGGGCTGGTCTAAATGCTCCTTCCCTGGGTGCTAGTGGAATTCTGTCCTGTGCTGTGACAGAGCAGTTCTCAGTTTCAAAGCAGAGTTCTATACTTACTTCACTCTTCCTCCCACAAGCCCACAGATTCTCTTTCTGTGCTGTGCTGTCCAGGGTTGAGGGGAGGGGTGGTGGAGGCAATACGAGACTGTCTTTCCTACCCTTTTGAATGCCACTTTCCTTGATATTATGCTCAAACCGGGTACTGTGATCACTCACCTAATTTTATGGTTCCTATGAAGGTGCATGGACGGTTATTTAATATGGTGTTCCTGTGGGGAGGATGATCGCTGGAGGGCTCTACTTGGCCACCTTGCTCGGCCTCCTCCAATAATGTATATTTAAGACCGTTCATAGCAGCATTGGTTATAGTAGCAAAAAATGGAAAGCAACTTAAATGTCCCAAATAGGGGATTAGTTAATATATAATAACACATTGATACAATTGAATACTATGTAACCATTTAAAGTGATGATAGTATATCTTTATGAACTTGAAAAATTGTTCATATCTTTTGCATGAAAAAGATAACTAAAATTAGCATATATGTTAGATAAATATCCCATTCTTTAGAAAAATATACTTATTAATGACTGTAATTCTCATAGGATATACACTGAAATGTTAATAGAAAGGTAGTAATTTTTCTTTTTTATGTATTTCATTTCACTTGCAATGAGTATGGATTATGTAATAAAATAGTATGTTTTTAAGCGGTAGAAACTTACATGCAAAATTTATAAACATTTAAGTTAAAATTCAGGCAGGGTAAATAATAATAAAATTTGTTTAGTAGTACAGAAAATGGATATTGTATACTAAACTTAAATAATCAGGATATAATTATTAACTCTGGTCCAAAAATGGAAGCAAGTTGAACAGAATGTTATGGTTATCTCTCACTCATGGGATTGGGAATTATTTTTATTCCCCTCTGTCTCTATACAGATATTTTTTAGTGTTCAGTTTTCTGTTTCTGAGCATGTATTAACTGCATTAACTGTAATTACGTATATAGTAAAAACATTTTGGAGTGGGCTTAGCCTATATTCTAAAAATATTTCAAACTGTTGGGGGCAGCAAATAGCTGAATTACTGATGGTTCTGCAGAAACCTCACTTCTTGCCTCCTCAAGAAAGAATTTGACTGAGAGATGTGAGGCATAAAAAGAGACTGAGGTAAGTTTCAGAGCAGGAGTGGAAGTTTGTTAAAAAGCTTTATAGCAGGAAAGAAAGGAAAGTACACTGGAAGAGACCCAAGTGGGCACTTCGGAGGTCAAGTGCCTTGTTTAACCTTGATCCTACGATTTTATGTACTGGTCCACTTCTGGCATCTTGCATCCCTTTTCTCATGATTCTTCCCTTTGGGTGGGCTGCCCACATGCACGGTGCCCTCCTTACACTTGGGAAGTGAGCACACACAGTGTGTTTAGGAAGTTGTACACATGTCCATCTGAGACTTTCTTCACTTTTCTGGGGGCATTCCACCAGAAGGTCATACTCTGTCATTTTGTCTCTCAATGCACATCCTCGAGCTCACTTGACTATTTCCTGAGATTTTATTGGAAGCTAGTTACCAATTTCAAGTGTTTTTATCTGTTTGGGAAATTGCCACTTTCTGGTGCCTGTGACCAATGATTACGTTAGTGTGACAGCTGTGGACCATCAGGAAATTGCCTCTTCCTGGTGTGGGCTGCGAATTATTTTTGCAGTTATCACACTGTGTGTGTGTGTGTGTGTGTGTGTGTGTGTGTGTGTGTGAGATAACTGTATGTGTGATAACTGTATGTGTGATAACTGCCAAACCCATCACCTGATGGCTGCCTGACATTTCTGGCAGGGGCGGGGTGAAAGGGGTGCTCTCCTGCTGAACAAGAATGCAGTCCCTATTGTACTGTGCAACAAAATATCAGGAATAAAAATATCTGTGCATGGTGGTGCATACTTGTGGTCCTAGCTACTCCAGAGGCTGAAGTGGGAAGATCATGTGAGCCCAGGAGATCAAAGCTGCAGTGAGCTGTGATTGTGCCATTGTACTCCAGCCTAGGCAACAGAGCAAGACCCCATCACAAAAAAAAGACACAAATAAATGGAAACACATACTATGTTCATGAAGTGACCTAATATTGTAAAGACAGCCATACTGCCCAGAGCAATTTACCGATTCAGTGCAATTCTTACCAAAATCCCAATGATATTTCTTTGCACCTCACCCTTCCTGATTTCAAAACCTATTACAAAGCTACAGTAATTAACTGTATGGTGCTGGCATAAAGATAGAAATGTAGACTTAGTGGAACAGAATAGAGAACTGAGAAGTAAGTTCTCATGTGCATACTCAAATGATCTGCATAGATTTGTATCAAGGCTACAAAATGGGAAAGAATAATCTCTTCAGCAAATGGTATTGGGAAAACAGGATAGCCACATGCAAAAGGATGAAGTTGGACCCTTAACCTTGCCCTGCATGTAAAAATTAACTCAAAATGGATTAAAGATCTGAAATGACAAAACTCCTAGAAGAATATGTAAGGGAAGAGCTTCTTAGATTTGATTATGATTTATTTGATATGATACCAAAAACTCAGACAAAAATAACAGCAATAGAGAGTGGGAGTGTATCAGACTAAAAAACTGCCCAGCAAAGGAACAATCACCAGAGTGAAAAGGTACCCTATACAATGGGAGAAAATATTTGCAAGCCATATATCCGATTAGGAATTAACATCCATCATATATAAAGAACTCATACTACTCAACAACAGGAAAAAGAAAAGTATTTAAAAATGTGCAAAATAGTGTATCTCCACAGAAGTTATACAGATGGCCAACAGTAATATGAAAAGATGTGCAACATCCCTAATCATTATGGAAATGCAAATCACAACCATAATAGTAAATGAATTATCTTACAACCATTTGGTCACTATTAAAAGAAAAAAAAACAAAATATCAGGTATTGGCGAGGATGTGGAAAAATTTAAACTCTTGTGCACTATCGATGGAATGTAAAATGGTGCAGACACTTTGGAAAACAGTTTGGAGGTTCTTCTCAAAATTGTTACCGTATGATCTAACAATCCCACGTCTAGGTCTCTATCCAAAAGAATTGAAAACAGGATCTTAAAGGGAAATTTGTGTAATCATGATTGCAGTATTCACAGTAGCCAAGAGGTGGAAATAACCTTAAGTGTCTATCAACAGATGAATGCATAAAGAGAATGTGGTATATACATACAGTAAAATATTATTCAGCCTTAACCAAAAAAAAGGAAATCCTGTATATCCTACAACATGATGAACCTTGAGAATACTGTGTTAAGTGAAATAAGCTTATCACAGAAAGACAAATACTGCATGATCCCTCTTTGAGTAGTCAAACTCTTAGTAAAATGTTGGTTGCTGGGATCTGGGAGGAGAGAACCAACAGGATTTGTTGTTCAGTGGATCTAGAGTTTCAGTTTTCAACATAAAAGATCAGAGAACTCTTTAAAAACAATGTTCTAATAGTTTATACCACTGTTAACTTAAATTGTTTAAGGTGATAAATTTTATGTTTTCTGTTTTTGACCACAGTAGAAAAAAGAATGAAATGAACAAATTGTCTTTCAGAGTTGTATTATAATTTTGCCTTTCCAGTAGCAGTATTTTACAGTTCTGGTCTTTCCACATTCTGATTAACATTTAGCATTGTCAATCTTAAATTTTAACTTCTCTAGTATGTGTGAATTGGTATTTTGTTGTAGTTACTTGCAGTTTCTTTATTACTAATGATACCGAGCGTCTTTTCCTGTGATTATTGGCCTGTTTTGTATCTTTTTTCAAGTGCTCATTTTCTCCCCGTTTATCTTTTTTAAATTGATAATGTAAGAATGCTTCGTATATTCTACATAGAAGTTCTTTATCAGATATATGTATTGCAGATATTATTCCCTAGGTTATGACTTGGTATTTTTTCTCGTTCAGTGATGTCTTTTGATGACAATTTTAAAGTTTTGATGAAACGTAATTTCCCAATTTGGGTTCCACAGCTAGTATTTTTTTGGTCTTCTCTAGGAAATCCTTGTTTGTTTGAAGATTACCAAGTTATTTGCCTATGCTAAGTTTTATAATTTTTACTTTTATATTTTGTTCTATGATTTATCTCACATTTTTATGTGTGTGGAATATGACAGTTTAGATTGATTTTTAAAATACAGACATCTAGATATTCTAGCACCATTTGTTGAAAAGACTTTTTCATAAAATTAATTTCCTTGGCACCTTACTAAAATATCAGTTTGCTCTAATATGTTTGGTTCTGATTCTGGCCTCTTCTTTTCTGTTGCTCTCTTTGTGTACCCATATGCAAATATCATACTTTCTGATTACTTTAGCTTTATCGTAATATTGAAATGGGACAGTATGAGTCTCTTACACTTGTTCTTTTTCTCTAGGATTGTTTTGACTATTTTTCACATAAAATTTATCAAACGTTTAGTTTTTATTAAAAACCTATTAGAATTTTAACTGTGATTACATTGAATCTATAGATGAATTTAGGAAGAATGGATAGTTTAACATTTTGTCTTCTTATCTAGGAACATGGCATCTCTCCATTTATTGAAGCCTCTGTAGTTTCTCTCAGCATTGTTTTGTAATTTTTAGTGTTTATGTATCTTTCACATTTTTAAAATAAATTTTTATAAATATTTTATATTTTTGATGCTGTTATAAATGTGATTTGTTTCTTGATTTATTTTTCAGATTGTTTACTAATGACAAATGGAAATGATACTCAGTATTATATGTTGATTTTGTATTCTGCAACATTTTTTGGAATCTTTAGGTTTTTCTAAATGGTGTTCATGTGGTCTGCAAACAAGGACAAATTGACTTTTTCCTTTCCAATTAGGATACTCTTTATTTCTCTCTTGCCTAATTACTCTGGGTAGGACTTCTAGTACTAGGCTGAATAAAATTTGTAGGAGTAGGCATCCTTTTTCTCCTGGTTCTTAAAGGAAAAGCTTTTAGCTTTTCTCCACTCAATATGATGTTAACTGTGAGTTTGTCATATATGGTGTTTAATTGTGTTGAGGTATTTTCCTTCTATACCTAATATTTTGAGAGATTTTATTTTGAAGGCATGTTGAATTTTATTGAATGCCTTTTCAACATCTATTGAAATGATAATGTTTTTTGTGCTTCATTCTGTTAACATCATGTATTATGCTTATCGATTTTCATATCTTGAACCATTCTTGCATTTCTGTGATGAATCCCACCCACTTAATCATGGTGAATAATCTTTTTAATGTGTTGTTGAATTAAGTTTATTAGTATTTTTTTTTTGAGATGGAGTCTTGCTCTGTAGTTCAGTGGCGCTGTCTCAGCTCACTGTAACCTCCACCTCCCAGGTTCAAGCAATTCTCCCTGCCTCAGACTCCCGAGTAACTGGGATTACAGATGCCCGCCAGCATGCCCTGCTAATTTCTGTATATTTAATAGAGATGAGGTTTCACCATGTTGGCCAGGCTGGTCTTGAACTCCTGACCTCTGGTGATCCGCCACCTCGGCCTCCCAAAGTGCTGGGATTATAGGTGTGAGCCACCGCACCTGGCCAGTTTACTAGTATTTTGTTGAGGATCTTGACATCTGTGTTCATCAGGGATGAGCTTGTAGTTTTCTTTTTTTGTTGTGTCCTTGTCTGGTGTTGGTGTTAGAGTAATGCTGGGCTTGTAGATTGAGTTTCAAAGTATTCCTTCCTCTTTAATTTTTGGAAACATTGAATAGAATCAATATTAGTTCCTTTAAAAATATTTGGTAGAATTTAGCAGCACTGAAGCCATCAGGTCTTGGGCTTTTCTTGGATGGGATACTTTTACTACTGCCTCAGTCTTATTACTCGTTACTGGACTGTTCAGATTTTCTATTTCTTTATGGTTTATTGCTGGTAATTTTATGTGTGAGGAATTTATTCAGTTCTTCTAGGTTTTCCAGTTTGTTGGAGCATAATTATTTATAATGGTCTCTGATGATTCTTTATATTTCAGTTGTATCAGTTGTAGTATATCCATTTTCATCTCTGATTGTATTTTTTTTGGTGCCTCTTTTTTTCTTAGTCTAGCGTAAACATTTATTGCTTTTGTTTCTCCCTTTAAAAGATCACTTTTCAACTCAATCTTTTGTATTGTTTTCTTAGTCTCAATTTCATTTATTTTTGTTATAAATCTTAATTTGGGGTTTGGTTTGTTATTGCTTTTCTAGTTCCTTGAGGTGAATTTTCTTTTTCTTTTTCTTTTTCTTTTCTTTCTTTCTTTCTTTTTTTTTTTTTTTTTTAAGAGAGTCTCACTCTGTCAGCTAGGCTGGAGTGTGGTGGCATGATCACAGCTCATTGCAACCTCAACCAGGCTCATGTGATCCTCCCAACTCAGTTTCACATGTAGCTGGGACTACAGGGATATGCCACCATACCCGGCTAATTTTTTTATTGTTTTGTAGAGACAGGGTCTTACTATGTTGCCCAGCTGGTCTTAAACTTCTGGCTCAAGTACCCCTCCCACCTCAACCTCCCAAAGTGCTGGGATTACAAGTGTGAGCCATATACCTGGCCTACATTCAGCTGCTCTATGTCTTTTAATTGGAGAATTTAGTCCACTTACATTTAGTGTTACTACTAATAGGTAAGGAGGTAACTATTTTCTAGTTGTTTTGTAACTTCTTGGTTCCTTCTTACTGTCTTCTTTTGTGGTTAAGTGATTTTTCTCTGGTAGTATGTTTTAATTTCTTGCTTTTTAGTTTAACTATTACAGGTTTTTGGATTGTCATTACCATGAGGCTTACAAAAGATACCTTAAATTTATAACAAGTTATTTTGAACTGATGACAAATTAACTTTGATTGCAAAGAAAGAAACAAAGAAAATTGTAAAGAACTTTAAACTTTAATCCTCCCACATTTTGACTTTTATTTTCAGTTTACATTGTTGATATTGTTCAGGGTCCACTTCTAATTCTACTTCTCTTGCCATTTCTACCACATCTGTGGTGACTTCCTTCACTGAAGTCTTGAACCCCTTAAAGTCATCTATGAAGATTGGAATCAACTGCCAATCTTCTGTGAATGTTGATATTTGACCTCATCCCATGAATCATGAATATTCATAATGGCATCTAGAATAATGAGTCATTTCTAGAAGGTTATCAGTTTACTTTGTTCAGATCCATCAGAGGAATCACTATCTAGAGCAAATATCCATAGCCTTACAAAAAATGCATTTCCTAAATAGTAAGACTTGAGAGGTGAAATTACTCCTTGATTCTTGGGCTGCACAATGGATATTGTTTTAGTAGGCATGAAAACAACATTGATATCCTTCATCAGAGCTCTGGGGCGACCAGGTGTGTTGTCAGTGAGCAATAATATTTTGAAAGGAATCTCTTTGTAAGTGGTACATCTCAACAGTGTGCTTAAAATATTTAGTAAACCGTGTTGTAAACAGACATGCTATTATTCAGGCTTTCTTGTTCCATTTCTGGAGCACAGGTAGAGTAGATTTAGCATAATTCCTAAGGGCCCTAGAATTTTTGGAATGGTAAATGAGCATTGGCTTCAACTTAGAGTCACTACTAGCCTCTAACAAGATACTCATTCTGTCTTTTGAGGCTTTGTAGCCAGACACTGGCTTTTACTGTCTAATTGTGAAAGTAGTAGATGGCATCTTTTCTCCATATAAGGCTGTTTTGTCTACAGTGAAAAATCTGTTTAGTGTAGCCATCATTATCAGTGATCTAGACTAAATCTGGATGACTTGCCGTATAGCTTCTACATCAGGACTTGCTGCTTCACCTTGTACTTCTGTGTTATGGAGACAGCTTCTTTCCTCAAACCTCCAATGTCTGCTAGCTTCAAACTCTTCTTCTGCAGTTTCCTTACCTCTATCAGCCTTTATAGAATTGAAGCTAGTCCGGGCCTTGCTCTGGAATAGGCTTTGGACAAAGGGAATGTTGTGTCTGGTGTGATTTTCTGTCCTTTACCACTAATACTTTCTCCATATCACCATAAGTGTTCTTCACATTTATCATTCATCTGTTCTGGAGCAGCACTTTTAATTTCCCTGAAGAACCTTTTTTTTTATTTTTTGCATTCTCATATTGGATAATTGTTTAGTGCAAGAGACCAAGCTTTAAGTCTGTCTTGGCTTTTGATACATTTTCCTGGCTAAGCTTAGTCATTTTTAGCTTTTGATTGAAAATGAAAGATATGTGGCTCTTCCTTTTGCTTGAACGCTTAAGAGTTCATTGTAGGGTTACTAACTGTTCTAACTTCAATGTTGTTATGTGTGAGTTAATAGAGAGGCCCTACTAGAGGGAGAGAGACGGAGGAATGGTCAGTTGTGGAGCTGTCAGAATATACAAAACAATTTATCAATTAATTTTGTCATCTTAAATGAGGATTGTTTTGTAGTGCACCAAAACAATAATATCAAAGATCACTGATCACCATAGTAGATATAGTAATAATGAAAAAGTCTGAAATATTCTGAAAATTATTAAAATGTGACTATGCACATGACATGGGCACATGTTGTTGGAAAAAATATGCTGGTAAGAGTTTCTGGACACAGCGTTGCTAGAAAACTTCAGTTTGTTAAAAAAAACACAGTGTGATGTGTCATAGTCAAGCACAGTGGAATTGAAACAAGGTATTCCTGTATTCTGTTTTATTGTTTTAATGACTTTCTAGCTATTCCTTGTTCCTATAACCATTATTATTTTAGTGGTTGCTCTAGGAATTAGTGTCCTCTTTAAGTTGTCATCATATGCCTAGAGGGCAGTACTTTATCACCTCATATGAAATATGAAGAACCTTGCTGTAGCATAATTTTAATTAGCCCCCATCCTTTGTTCTTTTTCATTATATATTTTACATCTGCATGCATAATTTACTCCACAGTGCTATGCAAATTGTTGCATTAAACACCCTTTCTTAAATAAAGAACAGAAAAAAAATCTTTTACACTCATACATTTACTTAGTGTTTTCAGTACCCTTCATTCTTTTTTGTAGGTACAAATTTCAGTTTTGTTGTCATTTTTCTTTATTTTGAAGAACTTTCTTTAGGATTCTGTGTATTGCCAATTTTCTTTTCTTTTTTCTTTTTTTTTCTTTTTTTATTTTTTTTGGAGATGGATTCTCGCTCTGTCGCGCAGGCTGGAGTGCAGTGGCACGATTTTGGCTCACTGTAACCTCCGCCTCCCGGGTTCAAGCAATTCTCTGCCTCAGCCTCCCAAGTAGCTGGGATTACAGGTGCCCACCAGCATGCCTGGCTAATTTTTGTATTTTTAGTAGAGACGGGGTTTCACCATTTTGGCCAGGCTGGTCCTGAACTCCTGATCTTGTGATCCACCCGCCTCAGCCTCCCAAAGTGTTGGGATTACAGGCGTGAGCCACTGTGCCTGGCCTATTGCCAATTTTCTTGTGACAAATTATCTGAGCTTTTTATTCTCTGAAAATATTTTCATTTACTGCCAAGTTTGAAGGATATTTCATTGATGTAGAATTGCTGTATTTTTTTCTTTTAGTACTTTAAAAATTGTTTTATTTTCCTTTTGCCTCTGTTGTTTCTAATTAGAAGTCAACTTCCACTGTATAATTGATCCCCTCTATGTAATGCATCTTTTTACATAGTCTTGTACTTTTACAGTATTCAGTTATTTGGCTTTTTGTTTAAAATAGATAACATCCGAAGTCTATTACCTTTTCATAGCCCACTCTTCCTGCTTTGCTTAGTTTAAATTTTATTTACAGTCATAGTTATTAATCCCTCTACAACATCCTGTACTTCTTTACCTCTTTAACTTTATTTGCTTATTGACACCACAACACTGGTTAAATCCAACATAACTGCTTCTACATTCCTATTTTTAAGCAGGTGAATGTGGTTGATGAAAAAAAAGAAACCTACACTGGTCTCATTTTAAATTCATGAGCACTCATCTCATTTGTGCCCTTATTCTTGCCTTGCAATCATTAAATTTTTCCTGTTATGTTACCTGGCCCACTCTTCTGACCAACTCTTTTATACTTCCTTCACTTTCATTTAATATATTTTTTCACATCTTTTCTCTTAGCTCATGACCATAGTTCTCCACTGAAAAATTGAGGAAATTGAAAGAGATGTTTCATAATATCCTGTTACCACGTACATTCATAACCTGTATCTATGCATGTATATTTTATATTTTCTTCTGTTACTGTGGATGAAATATCCATGTATCTAGCTAAAGCAAGTCCTTTATGTGAGCATTGTAACCAACTCCTTCTAGACAATTTCATTTTATTGCTTTGGCAATTTTACACTTTCTTTCTGTACCATCACATTTTCACTCTTTATATGATCATTCTTATTATCATACACCTTTGTCATTATCTCTCTCATCTTAAAAAGAAGATGAAAGAAGTCATTGATCTTACATTCCATTTTAGGCAGTACTCTTTACTCCTGCTTATTTTTTTTACAGCAAAACTTTATAAGAGGGTTGACTGTTGGCTGTCTACATTTTCTCTCTGCTCTTTCTTTCTTGAACTCCTCCAATAAACTTTTACAAGTCAAAGAGAATAATCCCCATTGTTATGGTCAATTCTTAGATTCCTTATTTTTGTTTTACATCTATATGAAATGCTTGACACAGTTTATCCTCTTTTCCTCTCTTCTCCCCTCCCCTCTCTTTTTTTCTTTTCTTTTCTTTTTGAGACGGAATCTCACTCTGGCGCCCAACCTGGAGTACAGTGGCACGATCTCAGCTCACTTCAACCTCCGCCTCCTGGGCTCAAGCGATTATCTCGCCTTACCTTCCTAGTAGCTGGGATTACAGGCACCTGCCACCATGCCCAGCTAATTTTTCTATTTTTAGTAGAGACGGGGTTTCACCATGTTGGCCAGGCTGGTCTCGAACTCCTGACTTCAGGTGATCCGCCCGCCTTGGCCTACCAAAGTGCTGCGATTACAAGCACTGCACCTGGCCGTCATTTTCTTTTTTAAAACACTTCTTTACTTGGCTTGTTAGAACACCAAAGTTTGTTGATTTTTTTTCCTACGTTTTTGGCCTTTCTCAGTCTTTTTGCTGTGTAAGTAAATCTTCTGAGTATCTGTCCTTAGATCTCTTCTTTTTTCACTCTACCCTCATTCTCTTGATTATTCCCATCCATGTTCATGGTTTTAAGTGTCATCTCCATGTCAGTGACTTTAAAATGCGTATTTCTGTGTAGTCTTCCTTTCTGAACTCTTGTCCATCATATTCAAAAGCATACTAATGGCCATTTTTATATTTAATGGGATCTCACACTTAATTTTGCCAAAAACACCCTCATAATATTTTGCCTCCCCGACTCCCCGCCCCCCCCGCCCGGCAAATGCTGCATCTCTTAATTTTTTTCTCCATCTTGTTTAGTGGTAACTCCACTATTCCAGTTGTCAGGCCAACGATGTTAGTGTAGTTCTATGTTCTCTTTATTTCACGGCCATGTCTGATTTATCAGCAAATTCTTTTGGCATTGTCTTTACAAAACCCGTCTTACCAGAAAACATTCTATAAAACACTTTGTACCACACCACCATTGTCACCACCCTGCTCCCTGACTATATTATATTTCACTTGTCTTATTAACTGGTCCTTTTTTCTGATTTTGGCTCTGCCTTTATTCTATTTTTATACAACAACACAGTGGTTGTGTTATATTTTAGGTTAGAGAGTGTTACTCTTCTGTTTAAACCTTCCAATATAACTTCTGACTTGCTTCAGAGTGAAAGCTAAAACCTTTGTACTATAACAGAAGATTTGCCCTCCATTGCTGCTGACCATATCTTTTGCTCAGTTTGTCTTTGGTTTAGTTCCAGTCATCATGGCTTCTTTGCTATCATCAAATACTGTGAGCATGTTCCTATTCCTACAGTTTCAAACATGCTGTATAATACTTTATTTTATTTGCAGTCTAAGATCCATTGGAAAATAGGTGCCCAAATATAGAACTTTTTTCTTTTTGTTGTAAGCACTGAGTATGTAGCAAATTGTCCTAGCACATAGTAGGCACTCAAGATTCAGTTTTCCTTTTCATAAGTGAGTTCCTCTCCCACCTGTTTTTCTTAAACTTGTTTTCAGATCCGTGATTCTAACTGCAACTATGAGGCCTTTATGAACATTATTAAATTGAGTGACAATATTGGAGAGCTAGAAGCAGTCAGAGATAAGGCAGCAGAAGAATTACAGTATCTTAGATCTCTAGATACAGCTGGTGATGGTAAGTAATGTATTTAATTTAAGATATATTTTTTTGAAGTATTATTTTATCTTCAAAACTTTGATTAATTTACCTAAATGTCATTTTCTGATATTAATGTTTTCACCTTAATTAAATCTTCCTTATTAGGTTAACATGTGCTTAGTTAAAGTAAAAGCATTATTTTCAGAATGTGAGAATGTGATTATTGTAATTATCCCTAAAGTGGAGGTAATTGGCATGGTTTACTTTTAATTAAATAATTTCACTGTATAATTTCAGATGGTTTCTTTTATTGACTAAAACAGTTGCTGTATTATTGGTTATTTTGTTAAATTACAGTAAGTGCATGTTTAAAGTATTTCATAAATAACACTACCACTTTCTAGTTCATGATTTCTTTGCTTTTAGATATCAACACTATCAAAAATCAAATAAATAGCTTACTATTCGTAAAGAAGGTATGTGACTCAAGAATACAGCGATTGCAGTCAGGCAAAGTAAGTAAAGTAGTTTTGAATTAACGTTTAGTTATAAATACTATACTATAGGGATTAAAAATGCACAGTAAAGGACAAAAAGCAGGACGTTTACCAGTGCAGCACTTTACAAGAGGACTTTAAAAAGAGTTTTCTCTTCTACAATGTGATATAAATATTTGTTAAAACATGCCAAAAAGGTTAACTAAAATGCTTCCTGAAAAATGTTAAAGTAATTGAAGATTTTATTTTATTCCTTGATTTATTTATACATTTACTTGTGTATCATTTGTTTATTCAAAACTTACATTTATTCAGTTTTGTGAGTTGGGTACTTTTTAGAAGAGCCAAGCAGACAGACTCTTTTCGTGGAGTTTACATTTTAGTTGCAGAGTCAGGAAATAAACCAATAAGCAAATTGACGCGTAATATCAGGTGGTGATATCTACTGCAAAAAACAGTAATAAAGCAAAGTAGCGTATAGAGAATGTCTTGGACTGGTTTAGATAGGTTCCAAGAGGTTCGATGACACTTGATCATAGTGAGATCTAAATAACATGAGGCAGTTAGTCCTGTGATGTATTTTTGTTTGCCTTTGAAGTATCTATCTTAGAGGCAGTCATGAGAGCAAATGCAGGGGCACTAAAGTAAGAATGTCCTTGGTGAATTGGAGGAGGTTGTTGTGGTTGGTATGGAATGAATGAGCTATTGTGCTAGGAATGAAGTCATAGAAGAACCGGGGGGTTAGATCTTATATGGTCATATATGGTCTTAGTGGCCATAGTAAGAATTTTATTTTATTCTAATTATGATGAAAATCAATTGGAGATTTGCCCTGACAAGTGACATTACCTGACTTACAAGCTAAAAGTTAAAATTATTATCTTTACTCTTTGTGGAGAATAGACACAAAGTGTGAGATGATGGGGGTAAGAATGGAAACTGAGAGATTATTTGCAATACTCCTGATTTAAAACTAGATAAGAGATGTCTATGGAGGTTGTGAGAAGCGATTAGAGACTGGATATAGTGCTAATAGGATTTTCTTAATGGAGTGAATATGGGGTGAGAAAGAAAAAATAACTCAAGGATAATTTCAGGGTATTTTGGTTTGAGCAACTGTATAAATAGTGGTGCTGTTTACTGAATTGGGTAACACTGAGAGAGGAGGAAGTTTAGAAAAGAGAATTGAGTTTTGGGTATTTTAATTTGAGATCCCTGTTTGACATTCAAGTAGACATGCCAATTGGCAATCTTGAGTTCTAAGGAAAAGTTAGTGATGGAGATGAATTTTGTAAATCCTCAGAATTATCAGATGTTTAATGTTGAGAGCCTGGATGATGTTATCTAAAAGAGTGTGTGTAAGTAGGAATGCACTGGTGACTTGGTCCTACTACACTTCAATGAACAGAGTTTAAGACAAAGTAAAGAGTCTAGCCAAAGAAACAGAGTAAATAGCCAGTGAGATTGCAGGAAAACCTGAGCATGTGATATTGAAGCAGGGTACTTCCCTGACCCCTTCGCAGGACTTGCAACAGGGGTGTCTTGTTTACTGCTCAGCCTGCTGTTCTCAACTCTTTGTGGTGGGGAGCGCGTGAGCAAGCCAGTGGGAACTTGAGTGAAGGAGTGCTGGAACCAGCCTGCCACTTCGGCACTGGCGGGATCAAACTCCACTCACTCGGACCCACTGTATTCCACCCCTCGCGAGAGGGAGCACCCAGGTGAGTGGGTGGAGGAACTGGCCGATGCATTAGCACTGGCAAGAGCAAACTCTGTTCAGGCCCTACAGCTGTCCAGTCAGAGGTGCCTGTGACTCCCAAAGCCCTAGAAGGTGTGTTACAGCGCTCTCTTAGCTCTGCTGTCTGTGGATGGCTTAAGGGTTAACAGCTCAGTGGACCATTTGCCTTTTTGCATGAGGCGGCTGCCCTTCATCAGTGAGGGCACAGGGCCAGTGTGAAAGCCTTTTGTGTGCACACTCGTGGCTTCTGAGCTCTTACTCGGCGTCCAGGAAAAATGAAGTCACATGAATGAGTTGAAAGATGGTAAATGCTGGAGACTTTATGGCCGATGAAAGTGGTTCTCAGTGGGAAGGGGAGCTGAAAAGGGGAATGGGGCGGGTAGGTAATCTTCCCCTGAAGTCCGGCTGTCTCCATTTGGATTCTTTCCGAAGTTATGCCATCAAGCTGTCCCTCTGAAGTTGAGCCGCTTCTCTCCAATGTCCAGCCGTAGTCCCGGCTACCAGCTGAGTCTCGGTTTTTTATAGGCACAGGATGGGGTGGTGTGCGGCCATGGGTGGTTTAGGAAAAGGCAACATTCGAGCAGGAAAACAGGGATATAAATTCTCATTTAGGACTGTGGGCTCAGGCTTTTTGGCTTGAGGGGGTGGTGTTTCGCCAGGGACCACCCTTTTCTGCCTAGAATTTTGTGCCCCCTGTCCCTAATAATATCTCAGAAGCCAAATGTTAAAAGTGTTTATAAAAGGGAAAGAAGAGGTGTATCAAAGGATAACGTGGAGAAAGATGAAGACTGAGAATTGACCATTGGACTTCCTACCTTCTGGATTATTGGTGATCTGATGAGAGCATTTTTTGTGGAGTAGTGGAGAAAAATCTTAATTGGAGTTTGTCCATGAGAGAATGGGAAGAGGTAAATTAGAAACAGTAACGATAGTTGCTCTTTAGAGAAGTTTTGCCCTAAAGGAGAGCAGAGATTTGGGGCTTTAAAGCAGGAAAAAGCATTTCTTAAATACCCTTAGGTTTTTAATGAGGTCACATTTTTGCTGTGGTTTTGTTTTGAAAATTTATTTGTGAGTCTCTGGTCTTATAATTTTACAGTGTATTTAAACTCCTTAAGGAATAGAAGAATTATTTTTAAAAACCGTGGTGGCATATGCCTGTAATCCGAGCTACTCGGGAGACTGAGGCAGGAGAATCACTTGAACCTGGGAGGCAGAGGTTGCGGTGAGCTGAGATGGCACCATTGCACTCCAGCCTGGGCAACAAGAGCGACACTCCGTCTCAAAAAAACAAACAAACAAACAAAAAAACCCTTAAATTTAGTTTTCTAGGTGAATTATAACTTAAGAAACATTACTTGAGGCCCATATTTGTTACGTGTGTGTGTGTGTGTGTGCACCTTTGTTTTGGTTAACTTTATTTTAAAACTAGTTTATATACTCGTGCAAATGAGCGTAGAAGAAAGATACGGTTTCACTTGTGCTTTTCTTTAACTACTTCCTTATCTAGATCTCAGAGGTAGTGATCTTTCAGCGTCATTACTCAGTGTATTTACCCAGGCACTTTTTGATATTGAATCCTTTTAAAATTTAGATATTTTGTTTGCAAGCCTGTCAATTCCATTTTGAATACAAGCTTTATTTTTTAATGAGCTCAGATCATACAGTGTTTTCCTTTGTAAGTAAACTCAGAATCCCCACGGATTTGCAGTTATATAGCCATGTTACTTATCTTGAAATCTTAGAAACCTTTATCCTCAGCGAATTTTCCTTCCATCCTGTATCTGTGGAGCCGCTGCTGGGCAGGAGAAAGAGGTGATACAATTTGAAGAAGGGAGACTTAGTAGGAATCATGTGCTGCCTCTAGATTGCTCTCTACCAGACATCTAAAGTCAGTTAGCTGTTATTATTCAGTACTTACATGAAGGAAAATACAAATTATAGAGATGGATTTGTTTTTTTTTTTAATTCTCTACATTTTCCTTTATTTACCACCTATGCTTAATTTAGTATCTGCCTCTGAATATGGCAGCCTACTTCATTTACAGTAAACCTGCCTATCTTTCTTTTTTAAATAGAGGGTTCTGAAATATGAATTTGGGAATATAGAGAAGCCAGTGAAAATAAATAATTCATGGAAACATCATGGCTCTTATTGGAAAGGGCAGCAGCATTTGAAAACATGTAGTCATACTTACCGGCTTTGTGACTTAATAGGCAACCTTTTTCATCTTCGTTTTCCTTGTCTGTTAAGTAGACGTGGTGATACATATCCAACAGGATTGCTGTGCGGATTAAATGAAGTAATATCTGTAATGTAACTAGCCCAAAGCCTGATACGTAGATGCTCTTTAAATTTTGGACGCAATTTTTCCCTTTTTTTTTTTCATATGTAGGTTGTTTCCTTGCTCTGTGACTTTGAAAAGTATGTCTGAAATTCACTGTTTAGAGAGTCTGGAAAAAAAACACATTTTATCTAATAATTAGAGATTTTACTGAGTTAGGAGCAAAATTACTCTTTAGGCATATTTTGTTTTCCTAGTAGTAAATAGACTTTATACATGAAAATGTTGAGTTTTTAAAATTCTTGCGTATATTAACCATTTCCTTCACCCTTTTAGCCTTTGGAATGTTCATTTTCATTTGGAATATATAGAGATAGAGAATAATTGAAAATATAGTGATTTCTATTTATTTTATATTGAAACAGTTGAATGCTATTATTTTTAATGTGTTAATATTTTTAATTTGCTAAGCAACTCTTAACTAGGAATTTAAATTCACACAATGTATATCTATTGGGAAACAACATGCATGAGAAGGGAAAAACTTCATCTTTACTCCGTTTTAGCTTGATTTTTTTCCTTATATTTATGTACACATCTTTAACAATGAATGATTAGATAAAATATTAACTTATATTCACTTTTGCCTGTAGGAAATAAATACTGTGAAACTTGCAGCAAACTTTGGGAAACTTTGCACAGTCCCCCTGGACAGCATTCTTGTAGACAATGTTGCACTACAATTTTTTATGGGTAGGTAGATCAATTCTATTTAAATGATACAGCCATTGAATTTCTTTTTCGATTTTTTATTGTAAAATACACATAAAATTTAGTATCTCAACTATTTTTAAGTGTATAGTTCAGTGATATTAAATGTATTCATGATGTTGTACAGAGTCTCCAGAACTGTTTTTATCTTCCAAAACTGAAACTCTACTCATTAAACACCAACTCTCTCCATTCCTCACACTCTCAACCCCTGCAACCATCATTCTGCTTTCTGTCTCTATAATTTTGACTACTCTTAAGTACCTCACGTAGGTGGAATTGTACAGTATTTGCCTTTTTGTGACTGGCTTACTCACTTAACGTGGATATGCCCTCAGGTTTTATCCGTGTTATAGCATATGTGAGAATTTCCTTCCTTTTTAATGCTGAATAATATTCGTGTGTGTGTGTGTGTGTGTGTGTACACACACGCACACACTTGCTTCTCCCCTTACCTCTTCTCCCCTCCCTCCACTTTTCCTAATTTCTCTGCCTAGTACTTCCAGTACTATGTTGAAACGAAGTGGCAAACACAGGCATCTTTGTCTTGTTCCTGATCTTAATCTTTTTGTTCCTGATCTTAATCTTTGTCTTGTTCCTGATCTTAAAGAAAAGTATTTTGTCTTTCATCATTGAGTATATTATTCACTGTGGGATTTTTCAGATACAGCTTTTATTATTTTGAGATAGTAGCCTTCTGTTCCTAGTTTATTGAGTGTTTTTGTCATGAAAATGTGTTGAATTTTGTGATATGCTTTTTGTGCATCAATTAAGATGTGGTGTTTATCCTTCATTCTGTTGTGCTGTATTAGACTGATTTTTTTTTTTTTGTATGTTCAACCATCTTTGGATTCCAGGAATAAATGCCACCTTAGTCATGGTGTATAATTTCTTTAATATGCTGCTGAATTTGTTTTGCTAGTATTTTATGGAGGATTTTTACATCTATATTTATAAGGAACATTGGTCTGTAGTTTTCTTGTACTATCTTTATCTGGTTCTGTTTTCAGGATAATGCTGGCCTCATAGAATGAGTTAGGAAGTGTTTCCTGTTTAATTTTTTGGAAAAATTTAAAAAGGATTGGTGTTACTTTTCTTTAAATGTTTGATAGAATTCACCAGTAAAGCTATTCAGGTCCAGGTCTTTTCTTTATTGACGATTTTTGGTTACTGATTCATTCTCCTTACTACGTTATCAGTCTCCTCAGATTTTCAATTCCTTCATGATTTAGTTTTGGTGGATTTTCTGTTTCTAGGAATTTTTCCATTTCCACTAGGATATCCGATTTATTGGCATACAATTGTTCATAGTACTTTTAGTTTTGTAGAGTCATTAGTAATATCCCCACTTTCACTTCCGATTTTAGTAATTTGAGTCTTTTCTCTTTTTGTCCTCCTGGATAAATGTTTGTTAATTTTGTCACTCTTTTCAAAGAATCAACTATTGCTTTCATTGACTTTTACTATTGTTTTTCTGTTCTCTCTTTTGTTTATCTCTGCTCTAATCTTTACTGTTTCCTTCCTTCTGCTAGCTTTGGGTTTAATTTGTTCTTTTTCTATTTCTTTATGTTGTAAAGTTAAAAAGCTTTACAACATAAGGAAAGATGATTTGAGATTTTCCTTTTTGCTGTGTCCCATTAGTTTGGTGTGTTATGTTTGTTTTAATTAATATTTATGTATTTTCTAATTTCTCTTGTGATTTCTTCTTTGATCCATTGGTTGTGTGAGTGTGTTTTCATGTTTTCAGAGGATAAGTAGGGTAAATAAAAAGTGTGTTGTTTGATTTCCAAAAATATATGAGTTTTCCAGTTTTAATTTTGTTATTGTTTTATAATTTTATCCCATTGTAGTTGGAGAAGATACTTTGCATGATACCCATTTTTAAAAACTTTATGAGACTCAATTTGTGGCCCACTGTATGGTCTGTTCAGAAAATATTCCATGTGTACCTGAGAAGAAGCTGTATGCTGTTGTTGGGAAGTGTTCTGTATGCTTGTTAAATCTACCTGGTATATTGTGTTAAGTCCTCTATTTCCATACTTATCTTCTGTCTGGGTCTATCCGTTACTGAGAGTGGGGCATCGAAATCTCCAACTATTATTGTGGCACTGTCTCTTTTTCCCTTCAAATCTGTCTGTTTTTGCTTCATATATTTTGGTGATCTGTTAATAGGTATGTAACTGTTTATAATTGTTGTATTATTTTGTTATGCTGAATCTTTTATTAATATATAATGACCTTATTTACATCTTAACCATTTTTGATTTAAAGTCTATTTCAGCTGATACTAGTGTAGCCTCCCCTGCTCTATTTTGGTTACTGTTTGCATGTGATGTGATTTTTCATTCTTTCACTTTCAATTTATTTATGTCTTTGTATCTAAAGTCTTTGTAGACAGTATATCATTGGATTGATTTTTTTAATCCATTCTGCCAGTCTCTGTCTTTTGATTAGAAAGTTTGATCAATTTACATGTAAAGTAATTATTTATAAGGAAAGAGTTCTGTCATCTTGTTATTTGTTTTCTACATGCTTTATGTCTTTTTTGATAGTCTTTTCTACATAACTGACTTCTTTTGTATTTAGTTGATTTTTTTGTAGTGACATGTTTAAATTTCTTTCTCATTCCTCTTATGTATATTATGTAGCCATTTTCTTTGTGGTTACTATGGGGATTACATGTAACATCCTAAATTTATAACACTGTAATTTGAAATTATGCCAGCTTAATTTCAAATGTATTCAAAACTTTGCTCCTTTACAGCTCTGTCACCATCCCTCTTTTGATGACGTCACAAAACTAAGTCTTTACAAATTGTGTGTTCAAAATATGAACTAATAGTTCTTTTAAATGAGTTACTTTTGTAAATTATGTAGAAACCAGGATGTGCAGTAACAAAGTACAATATTTCTGGCTTTCAGACTGATAGTTGATTTTTTTTAAAATCGTATTCGTCTTTCCAGTCCCATAGAAAACAAAAAAATAGAGTTACAAATCATTGTTAATAATACTAGCTTTTATAATTGCCCATATTTTTATTTTTACTGAGATATTTATTTCTTCATATGATTTCAAAGTACTAAGTTACTATCTAGTGTCCTTTTGTTTAATTTACCCTTCAGCACATTTTGCAAGGCAGGTCTTATGGTAAGATGCTTCCTTTGCTTTTGTTTATCTGGGAATCCTTACTTCTCTCTCATTTTGAAGTATAGTTTTGCCAGATATAGGAACTTGGTTGACAGTATTTTTCTTTTAGCACTTTGAATATCACTCCATCACCTTCTAGCCTCCAAAGTTTCTTGAAAGAAATCTGCTGATAATCTTTTGGATATTTTGTATGTGTTGTTTTTCTCTTTCTGCTTTTGGATGATTTATTTTTTGAAAGTTGAATTATAATGTGTCTCCATGTGGGTATCTTTGAATTCATCTTAGTTGGAGATTGTTGAGCTTTTTGGGTGTTTATATTCGTGCCTTTCTTCAAATTTGGAAAATTTTCAGTCATTTCTTCAAATATGATCTGCCTGTTTCTCTCTTCTCCTTATAGAACTCCCATATGTAACTTGGTCCAGCAGGTCCCTTAGGCTCTGTTTACTCTTCTTTGTATTTTTACATTCTGTTTCTTGAATCTAAAACTTTTATTAATCTATCCTTACATTTGCTGATTCCTCTGCCTGCTCAAATCTACCTTAAATTTCCTTTAGTGCATTTTTTATTTTGGTTATATACTTTTCACCTCCATTTTATTTTGGTTTCTTCTAGGTTTTCTGTCTCTATTGATCTTTCCATTTTGTTCATAGATTGTTTTATTGACTTTTTTACATCTTTCTTTAGTCTTTTGGGCATCTTTAAGGTAGTTGTTTTAAAGTCTTCATCTAGTAGATATTCCATCAGGTCTTTTTTGGGGACAGTTTCTGTTCATGTATGTTGGCTTTTTTTCCTCTTTGAATGGGCCACACTTGCCATGTACTTTGTATGCCTTGGGGTGTGTGTGCGTGTGTGTGTGTGTGTGTGTGTGTGTGTGTATGAATAACTGGCTGTTTGAATCTAATAATGTAGTAACTCTGGAAATCACTTCCCTTTCCTTAGGGTTTGCTGTTCTTTATTGTTGTTACTGTTTTTGTTTTTAATATGTAGGCTGTTTATGCTAAGGATCAGCCTGAGGTATAAACTTAAAAGTCTTCTCAAGACTATTCTGAACTTGTGCTTTTCCCTGGGCATGCATAGTCACTTTCTAATTTTCCCACATATGTGGTTGCTTTTGAATGTCCTCATTTTTAATGCATGGCTCCCAAAGGGAGATAAAGGTAAAACTGTAGGAGTCAAGGGAGAAAGGGTGCCAGTCTTCTAAATCTCTTGCTTGTTACTTCAGCAGAAAGGAAAGGGGCTTGGACCAATCAAGAGATATGCAACAACAAAGGCTGCCTATTTGTCTGCACCTCTTTGATCAGAAGCAGCAGTGTGCTGTCAGAGCCTAGATCCGAATATTTGAAGGACAAGTTGTTTTTTGTCCACCCTGGTTCCTACTTGCTGTGTACAAGCTAATTCTGGAGTGCATGCACAGCTACTTGTTCTAGTAGTCTGAGAGTGGGGAATGGTAGCTGCAGTTGTGCTAAGAGCTGGAATGGACTGAGATTAACCAAAGCTTACTTCCCAAGCCTTCCCTTAAATGTTGCAAATCTTCATTAGATTCCAGAGTTCCAAATTAGTTACATCAGATTCTGCCATTGCACTTGTTGTGGAGGTGGAGAGATAGAATTCTGGTGCTTCACACTCCCACATCTTCTTTGAAATTTTTAAGAATTTTAAATATTATTGAATTTTAAGTAGTTAATATTTTGCATGCCAAATTCAGTCCAGCCTTTATTCTCTGAAATGTTTTTCTTTAGAAACCATGGAGGTAGAGCTTTGTTTTGTTTTGAAGGAAATAGTTATCATAAATAATGTGCATTTACCAAACTGCTTTTAAAATAAATTCTAGGAAATTCTAATGCAAATTAAAATTCATTGAGAAAGAGTACTTTATTGGGAACATACAATGTATATAACCTGTTTGTATCGTTTTTGTTCATGTGTACATGAGGGATTTTGTTTTTATACCATTTTAATATATACTTTTTAATTTAGATCTTATTGCTATTACGTTAGGATTGCTTTTATCTGGAGGACATTTTCAGCAAACCTCTATACATTTTCATTTTTGTGATAAAAATATAAATATATGGTTTGAAGAGTCATTTTTAAAAATGTCTAGAAATATTCATATTATAACAATCTTTATTGAGAACAAATGTTGAATGTTTTATGTAACAAATTTATTCACTAGAGATTTTATTATGAAAAGTGGGATTGAAAAAATTCTGAAATACACGACTTCACTTTTGTTTTTAACATAACTGGTTTTTTAGCGTAACTAATTTACAACTATATTTTCACCTCAGGGATTTGCTAAAACATTTTCAAAATGTGGAGTTTTAAACACTTGAAACTTTAATCCTTCTTTACTTGTCATAAAACTACATGGACCCCAAATTGTGTGACACTAATATTTATGTTATTATGGATTTTTGATTGCTAGATTACATGCAGCAAACTGGAGGTCAAGCACATCTATTCTTTTGGATGACAGTGGAAGGATACCGGGTTACCGCCCAACAGCAGCTAGAAGTTTTATTAAGTCGTCAGAGAGATGGAAAACATCAAACCAACCAAACCAAAGGTCTTTTAAGAGCAGCTGCTGTTGGAATTTATGAACAGTATTTATCAGAAAAGGTGAGGCTGTATTTTGATTACTGTTTTCTTCTTTAGCAGTATTATTAATAATTTTTGTAATCCATTGCTTATGCCAGGCTGACTACCTCGAAAACATTGTCTCCTTTAATCGATAACAATCTTCCTGTCTGTCTGTATCCTCGTTTAAGTGAAGATTCTGATGTTTAGCCAGTCAAATTATCATGGCCACAGTCATGCAAATACTAAATGATAGAATAAGATTCAAGGTCACACATTAGATTCACCACAGGCTGAAAGTAAAAGGATAGAAAAAGATAAACCATGCAAAAGTAAACAAAAGAGAGTACGTATATATATTTAAAAAACGTATATATGTTTAAATGTATGTATTAAACATATGTACATTTAATAACAGAGCCCCCCAATGAATGAAACAAAAATTTGCACAATTGAAGGGTAAGAGAGACAATTCAACGGTTATAGTTGGAGACTTCAATACCCCACTTTCAATAATTGATAAAACAATTAGATAGAAAAACATCAAGGATATACAAGACTTTAGGAACATTATAAATCACTTAATCCTGTAGAATAATATATATACTATACTATAATTCTATAGAATATATGTAATACACTATAATTCTATAGAATATATATAATCTATAGCGTCTATAGAATATATTTTATGTAATATGATTGTATAGATTATTTTATTATAGAATGTATAGAATACATATATAGAATAGAATTGCTTTAGAACTTATAGCATACATGTATTCTAATAATGTAATCTAATAATATTGTAATAATTCTAATCTAATAACAATTCTAATAATATTGTAATATATGCATATATTGTTATATATATAATAGGTAATGTAATACTGTAATACATATATGTATATTATTCTATAGACTATTTCCCCTAATGAAAGCAAAATACACATTATTTTCCAGAACACATGAAACATTCTCCAAGATAAATCATTTGCAAGGCCATAAAAGCCGTCTCCATTTAAAAGTATTGGAATTGTTCTTTGATCAGAATGGAATCAAATTAGACATCAACAAAAGGAAATTTGGGGAAACTACAAATAATTGAAAATTAAACAACATATTTCTAAATAGCCTCTGAGTCAACAAGAAATGACAAGGAAACTAGAAAGTATTTTTAATTGAGAATGAAAATGCATTGTATCAATTCATGAGATGCAGCTACTTAGTGCTTAGAAGAATATTTGTAGCTTTAAAAATGTCTAGGATAAAAGATCTACAATCAACAATCTTTTTTTACTTAAAAATCTAGAAATGAAAAATAAATCCAAGGCAAACAGAAGAAAGGAAACAAAGATTATTGTGAGAATCAGTGAATAGAAAACAGAAAAACCATAGTGAAAATCTAAAACCAAAAGTTGGTTCTCTGAAAATATCAACAATATTGTCAAACCTTTAGCTAGACTGGCCATGAAAAAATGGAAGAAGACACAGATAACCAAATTCATAAATGAAAGAGGAGACATGAACCCTGACCCTACAGAAATTAAAAGGAGTAAGCAAATATTATGATCAACTTTATGACAACAAATTAAACAACTTAAAGTGGACAAATTTTTAGACACAGATTGCCACACTAACTCAAGAAGAAATAGAAAATAAAATAATTTGCTTAATAAGGTCTGATTCTTGCTAGCTATAGAAAAAATGCTAAAATCTTGGTCTGTGGTAAAATCATATTTTTTTAAGTATAGGACAAGAAAAATGTTTTTCTCTAATTTGAAATACTTTTTGAATGAAAATGGAGAAAAGGATTACAGTAAACAGAAATTTATATACTGTTTCGCTAAAATTGGTAGGTGATCTTTGACGAGGCCAAAAGCAGCCTAGAAAAGAGTTGACACACTGACCTGAGTTGTTTGATGATACATGTAGGTTGTGATAAAAACTCATATAGTGAGCAAAATGACTCCTATTTTTAAAATAAGACTACTTGAATATTAAAAAAAAAAAATGTGTCACCAGAAAAGGACAGCCAACTTTAACAGGATTTTCTAAATTTCTTTACTAAAAGTAATTTATTTGGAATTGAACTTCAGTTTGACAAGTTTATCTGTCTATTTAAAAACCATTTTTCCTCAAAAAGGGATTTAACTTATGATGACATCATTATGCTTCAAAGTATTTAAAAATGAGCATTGTAGGCCTGGATAGCCTATATGATGAATTTATAGATGAAAAAGACCTGATTGACAAACAGTTGATCTACCTACCAAACAAGCCATATATATGGTTTTTGGACTTTTTTTGGAGCACCGAAATCAAATTTCTACACATTTAAAAACCTGTTTTTAATAAGTAAAATCCCAATTATTACATTCCCAAATTATTTTGTTGAAAGGATATTTAGGCTAGGTGCAGTGGCTCACACCTAAAATCCCAGTGCTTTGGGAGCCCAAGGTGGGAGGATTCCTTGAGGCCAGGAGTTTGAGACCAGCATGGACAACATAGCAAGATCTTGTATCTACAGAAAGAAAAAGAGAAAAGAAAATTAGCTGGAGTTGGTGGCACAAGGCTGTATTCTTAGCTACTTGGGTGGCTGAACCAGGTGCTTGATCCCAGGATATCAAGGCTGCAGTGAACCGTGATCATATGATTGCGCTCCAGCCTGGGTAACAGAGCAATATTCTGCCTCTTAAAAAATTTTTTTTTTAAAAAGTTTATTTAACTTGATCCTTCACATTGGATTGACACAAGAAATAAGTGTGAGGTGGGCTTGAAAAGAGCAGAGCTAAAAATCAAGGTGAATTTTTATGTTTGATTATATTCAGTGGTAACACTGCATAAAAGATGTCCTAAAGGCTGCAGGCAGTTCAGAAAAGTATTAGAGAAGGAAACAGAAAAAGCAAAAATATCCTACTGCATCATGGACTCGATAGAAAAGTCATTATTTATTTTTGTTAAATATAGATAATACCTGTTTTGCATGTATATTTTGCTTTTATGTACATTTGTCTTTTAAAAAGTCTTTCTGTATTTTAAGAATACAAAACAATATAGCCTATAACATTTAAGTATCCAATAGAGTTTTAAAAAAAGTTAAATTGGTATATTAGAGGACAGAAACATTGTAAATTACATATTGTTGTATTTTTCTCACACAGATTATTTGCCACTGTTAACTAGTCCCATTGGTTTGTTTAAATAATCACATTTCTGTAATAGAAAAGTAAAGAATACACATTAAGAGATAATTTTGGGAAAACATTCACTTTTATATTTTCACATTAAAGTAATAACAAATGTGTACAAATATTTCTTTTTTGTTGTTGTTTTGTTTTTTGAGACGGAGTCTCACTCTGTCGTAAAGTTTGGAGTGCATAATCTCACTGCACCCTTTGCATCCCAGGTTCAGGCAATTCTCTTGACTCAGACTCCCGAGTAGGTGGGATTGTAGGCATGCACCCACATCCAGCTAATTTTTGTATTTTTTTAAAGAGACAGGGATTTTGCCATGTGGGCCAGGCTGTTCTCGAACTTATGCCCTCGAGTGATCCACCTGCCTTAGCCTCCTAAAGTGCTGGGATTACAAGCATGAGCTATCATGCCTGGCCATATAAGTATTATTTTTGTATTACTTTTTTTGGAAGAGGGGATCTTGACTGGTTGTGTTTCATGTTGGTACACTAAAAGTGTTGGTCATCCTATACCAAAGATGTGGCTTAATCTATTCTGTATACTTGAGATATATAGGAAAAAGTAAAGTTTAAATAAACGTAAAATATGATGTTTCAAATTCACCCTTTTTATTTCCTAGAAAGTGAGTTTAGTGAGCTTAGAGGGCAAATGAAAGGGCAAAACCAAGTAACATCATATTCCTCTCTAATGTTTGTTAAATACTTGAAGCTGTTTAGTTCTCCCGTTTCTATTTCAGGGCAACTCTACTACCCCCCGAAACACAAAACAAATAAGCATCCCCCTCAAAACAACAACCACCACACAACCTACTTAGGTTTACTAACAAAAGCGTCAAATTGACAGTGGGGCATTAGAAGTTGTATAGCCCTTTTCCTACATATTTATATCCTGATGTTTACTTTTTTTTTCTCCTTTCTTGATTTATCTACCTGTTCTTTATTTTATTGGATAAATTAGAGAAGTTATGTAAATAATGCTTTTTGTTTTTGTTAGTTTCTCTAAATGTTATCTCTAGGACTCATTTACTCTCCAGACTTTTCAGAACTGAAAATGCAAAAGTTGATGTGCTGAAGCTGTTGACATGTCTAGCTTTTCAGCATTTTTTCTTTTAATAAAGTAATTTTTGAAGTTGAAATGTCAAATTTTGTATTTCCTTGTGTTATATACTTTGAAATTGAAGTTCTTAAAACAAATTAATTTTAAGACTTTTTTTTCCCCATATCACACTGGAACTTTGCTGCAGCATTAGTTATAAAACCAAATTTAGGATAACAGTAATCTCTTTAAAGGACATTCAAAAGGTTTCTCTAGGGTCAAATAATAAATGAAATGGCTTATTCGTTCAGCAGTCATATTAATACACATCTAGTACTACTGAATACTAAACACTGACTCCTAATGACAGTGTTTCCTATGTGCCAGACACTATGGTATATATCTTATATAGATCTTTTTTAATCCTTACAATAATCCTAAATAACCTTATATAGTATTATCTCCATTTTACAGATGGGGTAAATGAAGCTTACTGAGAGATAACTTGCTAGGCAAAAGTTGAGATTTAAATCCGTGTTTGTTTGCCAGCCTGCTATGAGGAAGAGTACATGAGGAAGAGAAGGGTTTAGTCCTGTTTCATCCTTCTTAAACATCAAGGTGTCGTTTACAAACCAATGATTCTTACCTGCCAGTTATTTTCAATAATATGATTCCATTATTATCATACTATCAAGTATCATCTTGTATTAAGAAATTACAGAGATCATTACTATTATTTTTCTCTGTTAGGCATCTCCAAGAGTTACTGTTGATGACTATTTAGTAGCAAAATTAGCAGATACTTTGAATCATGAAGATCCAACCCCTGAAATCTTTGATGACATTCAAAGAAAGGTATTATTATGTACAGCATTTATCATTTTATCTTTTTTGAGAAAAAATACTTTTATGTAATGTAATTAGTTTTTAAAAACTTTCTAAAAGTAGAGTGGTATTAAAAAGATAAACTATGGCAATTATACTTCTCAATTCCAGAAATGTAAACCAGTATTTTTGTTTATTTCGTTAATTTTCTGAGGAAAATCCTTAAGTTGGGTTGTTTTATTTGAATTTGATTGTAGGGCTAGATATTGTAGTCTCAGAATTTGATGAATTGATGCCATATAAATAACATGTCTTTCAAATTCATTTTAACATGAGCCTTGAACCTTTACATGTACTTGTTTCTTAGAAAACAATTCCTAGAATGTGCTGTCTGTGACTTGTGTTGCAGTAGGATTTTTTTCAATATAATTTAGTTACTGGAGGGATCAGAGGAAATCATTAGTTGTGAAATAGTCTTATTGCTGACAGCTTGTAACTATGATACATTATGGCAAGACCTCAGTGTGTCTTTTGGTGAAATTGTGTTTTGTAAAAATCACCACACACCTGTATTAATTGTTGAATATCTTGATTTATTTCACCAAGGTATATGAATTGATGCTACGAGATGAAAGATTTTATCCTTCCTTCAGACAGAATGCACTTTATGTGCGCATGTTAGCTGAGCTTGACATGTTAAAAGATCCTAGTTTCAGAGGATCCGATGATGGGGATGGAGGTAAGGTGGCACCCATTTTACACATAATATGCATATATATTTATATATATTCTGCTTACCAAAAGAGCTTTTGTATAAGTTAAAAATGTTGTTGGAGTCCAAATATAAACTGTAATATATTAAAAAATCTACAAATGAATGACAAAGTTTAGTGACTATACTAAATTAAAATGCTGAAAATTTAATAGTGGATTAGAATGTAACTATAGAAGCCTTGAATTCTTAAAGAAGAAGAATGTTTTCTTCAGGTGAGTCACTGAAATATTTTTATGGCAGTTTCCCTTTTGGGAGTAAGTAACAATATTCATGATTAACAATAGAATTATTGAGAAGATTTAATATGCAATAAGTAATGACTCAGAGTATATCATAAACTATAAAGCATTATTAAAAAACTACAGTTTTAAATATCTTTAATTGTACACTTTTCCAAATTCTACACAGTGTGAGAGACTTTTGAGCTAGAAAAAGCCGCAAGAGTCATTTATCCCAACCTTCAGTTTTTTCCAGTGAGGATAATGAGTTCTATTTACATGTTATAGTGAAAAAAATGGTTTAAGAGTCAGAATATTTCGATTTTACTCCCATTCTATCACTTACTACCTGTGTGAAGTTGTCCAACTGCTTAAATTCTTCAAGCCTCATTTTTCTGAGTTGGTAAATCTGGAATAATATCCTCATAATATCTTACGTTAGTCATTGTTAGATTTAAATGGAATTATGCATTTGAAAATGATTTATAAAGTAAAACACAAGTATCAATTTTTATTAGTAAATAGTGAGTTATATAAGAATAGTGGGAGGGATAGCCTTTAGAACACAAGCTTCCAAATTCTTAGGCCCAATGATCATTAACTTGTGATTCAATTCAGAAGTATTTATTAAGCTCTAATTAAATATCTAGGGTTGGATGATCTTTCTGGTATGTTCTACCAAGTGAATGAAGTCAATAAAAAGTAAATGGGAAAGATTTAAGTATTTTAAGAAAGTGCTTCAGTTATGACTGTTTACTTATGAATAGGTTTTATGGCAAGCACACTTGAGAATGGAGATAAAATAGAGCTGTTAGGTAGTGAGCACTGCTTTAAAAAATACCTTTATTATGGAAGTCTCCCAGCCTCCCCTCTCCTCCACCTCCTATCCCTGTGTCTACACTAGTGAGATTTTGTTTTTTAAATAATCTAAGAAATCTAGTTACTGAAGTTTACATTTGAAATTTAGTAACTTTTCTTTGATTATTTATCTGATGCCTTGGGTTTTTAAATTAATACTCTATAAGTTTACTTATGTGTACAATTGGAATAATGTATTAACTGATTTTGATTGCATAATTAAGGAAGATTTTTTAAAAAAACAGAGTTCTTCTCTGAGTTGAATGGTAAAATTTTATGTACCTCTAGTTTGTTCTATATATCTGTACTTACTCTATTGAAAAATGTTCTTTTATAGAGATGCTATGAAATTTGCAATAGCAGCTCTGTCAACTAACCATCCTAAAATGACTATTATAAAAGTTTTTGTTGTTTATACTAATTTTATCTATTTTAGAAATTTCTTCGTATTTGTGAAGTGGATTTGCTAGGTGACTCAGAAAGAGAGAAGACAAAGTCATAACCAAATAATTGTGTGGGCTTCTAAGTAATGTGTAATTTAAACTGGTGATAGTAGCAATATATTCTGTGGAAGTAATTTTTGATCCTGTAACTTAAGAATGCTTCCAGTCCTTTAAATGGATTTCTAGCTTCCATTCATATCTTTCTAGCCAGTCTGTCTTCTTCAGTACAGCTATTGGAAGCAAACTATAAGCAGTCTCAAACTTCCTAAAATCATACACTGTACTTTTTTAAAACACGAAGTACATTAAAAAATTTTTTTTTGGAACTGGTTTTGATCTGAAGTAAATATGCTTCTCTTATATATCAGTTATTGAGTAACCCCTCACATTTGAATCATTGATTGTAGTTTGAGATTATATACTTATGTATCTTATTGTCTTTCTAGGACATTGCTCTCTAATATTTTGTTTCCTAATTGATGAGTTTTATACTGTGAAATTACCTATCCCTTTTTTGAAACCATTCAAAAAAAGTATATGGAGTGATGGGTATAATATGAAACATTACTATTTAAAGTAACTGTCAGCTTTGTTGTCTTTGTCAGTGTTTAGGTTTTAGGCCACTGGTTTACCTTTCTCAACTAGTAATGCTTCTGATATACTTCTTTTTATATGATTATTTAATCAAAAATAGGCCTTTCCACTTTTTTTGTTATAAATTAGTTTTCTGACTTTTAAAATTAAGCTGCTGAGCACTACATGCATTTTTTAGATATTCTGAAATTTTGACCACCTTTTAGACATTCTGAAATAATTATCTAACCTAGGGATTAATGTACAGCTGATTTTTTTAAAGTAGTCTACATTTGAGCCTAAAATTAAAGGACCAAGTCATATCATATGGTATAGTACTGTATCCTCTGGTGGTTTTTCTTTGCTTGAGTAGAAATTTCATTCCTATTTAACCAAACTTAACAGTAGGTAGAGAATTAGCTGGTTGGCTTGCTTGTGCTTACTATCTCTCCTCTCTCCTTTTCTCCTCATTTCTTCCTTTGCCCTTTCTCTTTATTCATTATTACTTTCTTTAGTTATGAAATTATTTTAAAAGTAGATATTTTCTCCTTTATTAAAACAGTCTCATAGGCTTTTAAAACTATATGAATTATGCTTTCCTTTTTAAATTTTAATCTCAACATTATTTGTCTCACCATGTTGAACAGTGCTTTCTTTTGTTTTCTAATATTTGTAGGTAGTCATCCAATTCTTGATTAAATGTCGACCAAGATTGATTTTATACTGTATTTCTGGATCTTCTTATTGTTGATCAAGAAAATAAACTATGCCCTATTTTGCTCCCAAATTCTCCTTTAACTTGACTTGTCTTTGGTGGGAAGATTTAAGAGGTGGGCACACTACAGAAGAGGTAGGAGGCATATAATTGAATAAGGAGGATAGATAACTATTTTACTTATTTTAAGTATCACCAAGGGATAATCCTAGGTGAAATTCCCATTTTTTTATGACCAGAGGGCTGAAGAACCAAGAAATGTTCTTGAGCATTTAGAGTAAATTTGGAAGGCAATATCAGCTGCCTCCTTGTAGGAATAGTAGTGTTGCTTTTTTGAAGACCCATTTAGAGAACCAAATTCATATATAACCTCTTAAGTGCTCGAAACCATATATTAAACTGTGTATGAATATTGCTTTACCATAGATTTGTTTGTGTGTTTAATA
The DNA here is from genome assembly GCF_000001405.40 of Homo sapiens. Classification (NCBI taxonomy): domain Eukaryota; kingdom Metazoa; phylum Chordata; class Mammalia; order Primates; family Hominidae; genus Homo; species Homo sapiens. The sequence goes on along the minus strand of NC_000007.14, from coordinate 17,830,762 downwards.
AAGGAACACCTTAATTGGTAACTTAATTTTCTTAGATTTATAATAGAACTCTAAGGGAAAAGATTGTTGTTTGACATTAATGTTAATAATCCAGCATTGACTTATTCTCTCACATTAATTTGTCCTAGTTGCTTTTTAATGAAATGGAATTGCATATGCAGTTTTAACTGTCTTTTTGTTATATATTGATTTAAAAATCTGGACTTCCAGTGTTTTCAAGATAATCTACCACCAAGAATAAGAGGACTTAATAGACCTATTAAAAATAAGTCTGTTTATCCCTCACAGTACAGACTGATTTTATTTGTAATCTTTCTTAATCCAATGAGACAGAAGTTACAAAATAGTGCTGGTGTTTCCTAATGGGCCTCATTCTGCAATGTTTTCCTCATGCTTATATTGTATTAGGCAACTTACTTGATACCATGAGAATAAAAACATTTAATAATTACTCTCCTGAACACGAATGCCTTTTTGATTTTTGGCCAGCTATCAGGTACATACTATATTGTCACTTAAATGCCTGTCTTAGAAAACCATGGGACTTTAAGGGATCAAGTTTTTGGGAGTATCCACAATTTTTTTTTTTTTTTTTTTTTTTACTATTATGTTATATCTTGGCTTATGTGACTTTCATTCTTAGTGTTTGAACCTTAGATAAAGCAACCGTTTTAAAGTTTTTTGCTGTATACTAAGTTGAATTTCCCCCCTGCAGAATCTTTTAATGGGTCTCCTACAGGAAGCATAAATTTGGTAAGTACTATTATGGGTACTTTATTAAAGTGACTTGAAAATAATGTAAAAGGCTGAGCCTTAACATATATAAATAAATGATATATAAAGAAGGCCCCAAATCATCCTTTAGTATTGTAAAAAGTTATTATGCTTTTAAAGAAATGCTAAGTTCACATATAAGGCATCTATGAATTAGAACTTAAAAATTATATTTTATCTTTATTTTAAAAATTGGCTTAGGTTATACCTGCATAATTGCTTTTCTGCATTTTATAAATAAATTGATTTCATTATTTTCAATTCTAATATTTAGCATGTTTAAATTACTATGATTACTAAATTGCTATGATAGGCAATAAGTTTGTGACACATAAATGTTTATATTGGAATCAGTTTTTTTCTCCTCTTGTATTTAGAAAGAAATACAAAACTAGTGGGGATAACCAAAACCGAATAGATATTTCTTTAAGTCTACACTAAAACAAATTCAGGTCATTGTAAACAAAAAATTTTTTTTTGTAAGTTTAGACAGTTTTACAGCAACTACATCCTTAATGATTAGAGGTTAGAATGGCATGTTTTTAGAATCTCAACTGTCATTGGCATTTTATATATTCAAGGTACAGTGTAAAATAATGAAAGTTTCAGTTCTCTTATATATCCAGCCTTGCCACTGAATAACTCATTTTCTAAGATGCTGTTAGGAAGAAATATTAGCGTTCTATGAAGGTTTCAGTCCAGTTTGGCTGGGTTGGGGAGGGGAAAAACAGGTAAGGTGTTGTTTGTTTTGTTTTTCCTCCTACCTGCATTACTTTTTCTTTTAGACCTTTCGTAATAGCTAAATGTTTTAGAGGTTAGTCGTCTTAGGTGTTAGCTGTACTACCATGTCTGCTTCTAAAATAACCTTATTGAGTAAATGTTCTGTTACTGTATTATAACCTTTAGTAAAACACTAAAGCAAATCTGTGGTAGAATTGTCAGATACTTTGTAACTTTTAAAATATTTCCTAAATCATTTGGTGTCATTACCATTTACTTGTTATAGTCCAGAGCTTTAAACTAAAAGGAATTGCTCCTAGAGCTTGAAGGAAGTGTTAAAAATAATGTTCATTATATAGAAAAGTTTCCAAATGTGATGAAACCCTTCCTTGGTTTGAAATTTTTTAGTATTCACATTTGTAGTACTTGTGTAAATGTTTAAACACTAGTAAAAAATTTTTTTTCTTTATTCCATGTCTGGAATAAATGCTTTTCCAAATAAGATAAGTCTCTTTTGTCACATGGTAATATAAACCAGAATAGTCTCTGGATCAAAAAACAGTCATACTTGAAGTCAGTGACTTGGAGTATTTTTTTATTCCCATAAATCTATTTAATTCATACTTCTAAGTAGTTGGACCATGTAGACAAATTTTAGTGAATATCTGCATTTTAAAAATAGCTTAAGATTGTAAACTAGATCACGATAGTTTATTCCAATGTACTAAACAAAGGAGATATTTAATGTGTTTGGTATTTTACTCATTTTGCCATTGGTAGCTTGGTAGGTAAATTACAAGCATTTCCTTTAGTGCCATTTTGGTTGTGTTTGATGACTATCATTATAAATTTGAATTTTCAGTTTTTGTCTTAGTGTTAAAAAACACTTTCTTACAAGGAGTTTAAGAATCATAACTTAAAGAGTACTTTGCAAATTGTGCTTATTTCAATATAGCATTAATGTACTTGTTTTGAAATCACAATTGTCTTTTAATATATTCCTAAATCAAATGTAGTTTTGTAAATATTATTTTACCAATTGTAACTTTATAGTCCACTTGATATTTACGTGCACTATAACTGTAACTAATGTTTTTCCAAAGTTTTCATCATATGTAATGAAAATAATATTTACTAATTGCATATTTTAAGAGACAAAAAGACATTTCTCCACAAAGCCTTTTTAACAACTTTTGGATTGCATAGTATGAGATGCTAACATGTTTAAAGAGATAAGTACATTTAGCATGTTAAATGTTAACATACAAGGGAAGGTTACCATTATTAATAATGCTTTTTTAAAAAAATAGATTATTTTATGTTACCTGTGCTGGCTTATAATTAGAAGAAGTTATAGTAGATAATATGAATTTGGTAGACTGTTCCATTTCCTCTGAGTCTTCTATCTTTCACATAAAAATATTGAAGTAAAGGTTGTGCTATTTCTATCAAAATGATTTCTTGAGCACATAAAAATAAATGCACTCCTTTTTTTTTCCAAAGCATTTTCATTCCCAGTATGTCCTGACAGAGATGTAGAGCAGGTATTAGCCCCATTTTACCATTGGGAAAACTGAAATCCGAGAAAGTAGTTGATATGGTTAAAGTCTCTTAAGGTATTGGTAGTAGAGCATGGACTAGATCTAATTTAATTTGATGTCTTTGCCATTTGAGTTGACCAGGGAAGTCTTGTGGATTATCTGTATAGAATTATCACATTTTGCTTCTCTTAACAATCAGTTTTTAGTAGATACATTTTTGGCCTTCTTCTTAGAATGCAATTGCCTTAATTTAAGTGACTTTGTGCCATATGGATGGTTGCTTTTAAGTCATTTAGATGACCCTTTTAGTAATAATAATATTACATTAGGACTCAAAAGCTCATTCACATCCTATTATTTTTAAAGTGTGAAATATATCTGAGTTATATAATATGAATATGTGAAATGTGTGAATGATATAAATACGTGAAACATGTCTAGATTATATATGTTCGGTGTCCCCAAGACCACTCCCAGGCTCAGTGATTTGCTAAGAAAACTCACAGAACATACCATAGTCTTACTCATGGCTGGAATTTCTTATCATGAAAGGTTATAAAGCAAAATCAGCAAGACAACACATGTGAAATGTTGCCACCAGGAAAATTCATTGGAGACTAAATGTACAGGTTTTTTATTGGAGGCAGATTATATAGCACATACCAAAATTCTGGACTCCTAGAAGGAAAGTAGGTGTTCAGCATAAACATTTCTTATACAGATAGTTTAGGTATGGTAAACCACTCTTATTGATTAGAGAATGCTGAGAATCTTCCCTAAATTTAAGTTCCCATATTCCATCCGAGGGACAAACTTGGAAGCAGTCTTTTCTAGACAGAGCAGTTTCAGGCTGCCATGTTAACTCTGCAGCCTGCTTTAATTACATGGTTATGTTCCTTTTTATATATGTGTGGATATATGTGTATGTGGCAAAAACATTTTTAAAGTTTAGACCCAAAGGCCGTAGTTATAAAAGATTCATTTTGAGTCAGTCAATAGGAATTTATGTTTGTGGAATTGTTTTTGAAAACTAATCATTTAAAATCTATCATAGTCTATGGATTCACCTCATTTAATAAATAATCAGAATAATAGCTAACAGTTGTTATATTAGGCAGTTTTCTAAATGTCTTACATGTCTTATTTAATCTCCACATAATTCTCTGACTTAGGTAGTATTCTCATTTTATAGATAAGGAATCTGAATTAAATTTAAAAATTATTTCTATATTAACAAAAGTATTAAGCTAAAAACTACAGAGCTGGTTCTAGTATATTTCAATGTAAATGTTAACATAATATGTCTACTTATTTTTATCTAGATTTTCTTGCCATATAAGGATCATAATTGAAAAGTAGCAAGTTACAGTAGATGGACAAGCAATTAAGGGAGAAATAATCTAATATATTAAGTTTATTACTAAATTTTTTGTTATTGTTTCTTAATCTTTGCTTTTTTTCTGTTAGCCTAAATGGAAAATATTATTGTGTATGGAGGGGATGGAGGGTATACAAATAATATATAGTTTACATGCAGGGAAATGAGTAATTGTAATGCATATATGATGTAGAATTCTTTACTCTTTTTTTTCCCTATAAAATTTTAAAAATTTGTTTCCTGATTTTTTTTTCTCAGTCTTTAGATGACCTTTCAAATGTTTCTTCTGATGACTCAGTACAACTTCATGCCTACATTTCAGACACAGGTAAGAGAGTTTGAAGTATAATTATTGCATTAAAACTATGTATTATTATATCCCTAAATAATTTTCCACACTTAATTTTTACTAACCATTTTTTTGTTCTCTAGTCATAGTTTTGTTACTTTTTTTCTGCAGCATGTCCTTCATTAAATTCTGCTATATTTATTTGCTTATGTATTTGATCTCTCTAAGATTGTCACTATCAACATTTGAAAATGCTTATATTCTAAGTGTTCTACTATTTCTAATAAACTCTAAAACCATTCTTTTCCTCTTTGTTCTTGGGTCTAGCTGATAGTTGTCTGTATAATTCTCGTTAAATCTTTTCTGGAGAGATCTTAGTTCAGGATTAGTTTTCATATATACAAAGTCAGGCTAGATAACTGGGGTAAATGAAGCCCCAGGTATAGGGGTTTGCAGAACTTCAAGAAGTGCTTGAATAATGAGGTGAGAAACCTCTAAAACTTTGTGATCATTCAGCATATGTGAAGAATTGTTAGTAAATTCGGAAAAATAACCAGTTTTCATCATTGCTATTGAGTTATTAGATAACACTAATGAGTATTAAATAATGATAGTTTTCTTATCTGACCTCTTACTGTTCTTAGATTGTAGAAGTGTGTTTGTCATATTACATACTGAAGTATAAACATACTGAGGTATATACCTTAATTCAGTTTCATGCTTACATTTTAGACACTGAAGAGATTTTATAGTCTAGTCTAGTCTAGTCTAGTCTAGTCTAGTCTAGTCTAGTCTAGTCTAGTTTAATCTAGTTTAGAAGACATTAACTTGTATCTTTTTAAAATAGATCTTCATTTCCTTTTTCTTGTCACTGGAACTGAAGTCTCAATTTACATTTGTTGCCTGCCAGATTTCTGGAAGAAAACAAGTATTTATTAGCTTCTTAAAATGTATGGAAGCACTGTGCTAGGCATTGTTAAGAAATTATTTCAGGCTGGGCTTGGTGGCTCACGCCTGTAATCCCAGAACTTTTGGGAGGCTGAGGCAGGCGGATCACGAGGTCAAGATATTGAGACCATACTGGCCAACATGGTGAAACCCCATCTCTACTAAAAATACAAAAATTAGCTGGGCGTGGTGGTGCACACCTGTAGTCCCAGCTACTAGGGAGGCTGAGGCAGGAGAATCGCTTGAACCCGGGAGGTGGAGGTTTCAATGAGCCGAGATCACACCACTGCACTTTAGCCTGGCGACAGAGCGAGACTCCGTCTCAAAAAAAAAAAAAAGTTATTTCTTCCTGACAAACATATGTAAATACTGAAGAAGCAGCATACTATAGTGGTTAAGAGTATAACTTTTTTACTGAATTGCTTGGGCTCAAACCCCAGCTCTGCCAGTTAATAGTTGGGTAAGCCATCCAAAATTAAGATTTAGTTAAAAAAAAAAAATAGCTGGGTGAACCTGAGTGAGTTCCTTAACTTCCTTGTACCTCAATTTCCTTACCTGTGAGATGGGCTAGTAATAATAATAATAATAATACATAACTCATAGGGTTGTTATGGAACTAATTCATTACATTGGTAATTATGCATGGTAAACATATTTGATTTTTGGTTCATTAAATACTTATTTTACCAACTGGACTTCAGAGTCTCTTTGATTCTAGATCTTTTAGCATCTTTATTTCAGAAAGTAGGAGCTTATAGACTAGTCCAGTGCTACTGAAAGAATGGCCCAAGGAAGCAGTACACACACAAGAATGGTGGTCTAGTATGTGTATTGCTTCCTTCATTGAGAAATCTTGCTTTAAAAAGTATTGGCTAAATTAAACAATATGATTAGTAATGGAGTTGATTTACATTCTAGTGCTATTTTTTTTTTACATAATAAGAATTACTAGCAAATAGTTTGCAGATCGCCTGCTATGAGTAACATTGGCCTAATAAAAACAAACCCTTCTAGCTAAATCACCATCTTCACAAAACCAATATATGTAACCCCAATATCTTCCTTTAAGTCAGATTACCTTGATGTCTTCTGCATTTTTTTTAAATAATTACCTCATTATTCTTCCTATTGTGCATCCACCCTGGGTGATCTTCCAAGCCTGTTGGTTTTTGACAAATCCTGATTATTCTTTCTTATATCTCTTCTCCTTTTTTGTTCCTTGCTATTCTCCTTACTGTTGTTAATTTTTAATTAGTTATGGTTAGCTGCCTAATTGGCCTCTGCTTTCTATTTTCCTTTCCCAAACCTATCTTGGACACACCTGATAAAACCATTCCCTTGTTGCCATGCTAACTCCATTGAGAAATGGTGGTTCTCTAACGTGATTAAAACGTGTTGTGCTGTTTAATTTGCATAAGTCTCTGAGAGAAAGATAACTGGACAAGGTGAACAGTGAATAATAGTGCTACTTACAGAGCAAGATGTCCAAAGTCTATTTCTAGTCATATACTTTGTTAAATCAGAAACAGTGATAATAGATGGAAAGGGAATGAAAGATAATTTTGGAAAGAAAGTACAAATCTTAGAAAAAATTTTAAGAAAGTTTGGGAAGAGCTTCTGTCCAACTACTCTTGCCAATATAGAGTCCTAACTTTTATGTTATTAATTTACCAAAAAGCTGTAGTGACCTTCTTCTGCCCAGTTATATACGAAATAGCAAAATGTTAGCCCCAGAACTTGACCACGTTTATTCACACTTATGAATAAACGTAATCCATTATTACAAGATCAGTTTTAGACTTCTGGTTAGTGTGGTAGTCTGAACTGCTATGAGATATCATGCCTTCCACGCATAGAAAGGCTAAAAACAATATTATAAGTATAGCTGAAGGGGAAAATCTACAGATGCCGTAGACCATGGGGAAAAATAAATTCAGAGAATTGAAGGGGTGTTAAAGCAAGGGGCTCATAGTAGCATAAAGACTGGATCTTGATTTTGATAGCATTTTCCTGCCCTCAAATTTAGAAGAGGCAGGATGGGCCAAGGCCATGGGATGCTGGAACAAAGTGCTTTACATAAAGCCTAGAGTCACAAAGGGCAGCTCAGTGTCAAAGAGGAACTAGGAAAACAGCCTACCATCAGTAGAAAAACAAGAAATGTCAAGATCATGACTGGAAATGGTATCTGTCACCCACAAAAAATTGAAAGCCCAGCTTGCATCCTATCCTGAGTATGTCTGGATTTAGCTGTCCTCAAGTGATTATGTACTGCAAGATCTCAAGCCAGAGAGTTAGTATTAAAATTATTTCTGAACCACTGAAACCAGCAGTTAGAGTGGTGACACTTGACACTGTTCAATGTGAACGCTTCCCTAGCCCAGGGCACTCAGAACACCCAGGGAGAAATAAAACCAGCTGGAAATGAGCTTACAGAAAGCAATTAATAGCAACAGAAAGAAATACGAACCACAATAAGAGAAAGCCAACAGAACCAGCAGATAATTTGCATCCTGTGAACTTGGAGATGGCAGTCTTAATAGACTTGGCCGTAAGTATGTTAAAAATATTCCTAGAGAGAAATACTAAGACAAGAATAAACAGTATGAAAAAGAACCAAATAAAACTCTAGAGATCAAAAAAATACAGTGATTGAAAGTAAGGTCAGAGAATGGATTAAGAAATAGACCAGATACAGATGAGAAGAGACTCACTATTAACTTTTGGAGACGTTAATTGTAGAGTGCAGAAAGATAAAGAAATGTAACATCAGAAAGACAAGTTAGAGAAAATGATTTAAAGTGCATCTCCTTAGTTAAGATTAGTACAAAATAGGAACAGGCTTTGATTTTAGAGATTACCTGACTTGCTTGGTATGTGGCAAAGTAATGCGAAAATGCTTTGAAAAAAAAAAATCCCCAGAATAAACCGCACTTGTGAACTACTGAACGTATCAAAGAAAAAGAAAATTGCCAGAAGATAAATGTTATCCCGTGGCTGTTGCTGTTTAGTTGAAAAGATTTTAATTGTAATACAACTGAAGAGTGAAGGCTAGTACAAAACATCATTTTGTTTATTTTTTCTATATTAAATTTAAGAAATTCTAATTTTACTCTCTAAGGTAACATTAGATGTAGCAATGTAATGATGTAGTGATGTAGTAACAGAAAGCTCTTTGGAAGAGAGAATTGTAATAGGTACCGCTTTGTGATTGATAGTGTCATACTGAACTTAGTTTATTTTGTAATTTAGCCATTATATGTAATACCTTATGGATGTGAATATGGAGGATGGGAATCTATCCTTTGCTGACATCCTTCTGTCTCAGTCTGTCATTTCAGATTCTTCTTCATTTCATATTATCTTTTTTGTTTTCTTCATCTTCCTCCTTTTTTGTGTCTTTCGTTCCTCTTCATTTTGTTTTAAATGATTAGTATATGCTGACTATGACCCATATGCTGTGGCAGGCGTTTGTAATGATCATGGCAAGACATATGCATTATATGCCATCACTGTACACCGGCGCAACCTAAACAGTGAGGAGATGTGGAAAACCTATCGTCGTTATAGTGACTTCCATGACTTCCACATGAGAATCACTGAACAGGTAATGAAGTTTTAAAAACTTGTGTACTTTATGTTGTTTCTTGATTTGATTTTGATTATAAATCTGAGGATGCCCAGATAGAGTGATTAATTAAAAAAATAAGGTAAGAATTTTTGGTATAATCACCATAAATCTTAGAATTAATCTGAGCATTTAACCAGTAAATCAAATGTTGAACACTTCCTCAGTCCTAACCATCATGGACTAGTGACAGACTATCAAGAGTATACCTTGGAAAATTAAAGTGAATACATGTTTCTGATTTTAAAATTTGCGTGTGTGTATTGTGCTTTTCAAAGTTTTTTGGGCTTAGATTGAAGTAGGAATGGGGATTGCTGTAGGACATTTTGTGCTTTTGTTTTTGAAGGCATAATTTAAACCTAGAAGTTATTTTAAATGGCAGTTTAATCCAGCAGTGTAACAGTGAAATGAATCCTTGATCCATTACTCAAATTATTTTGAATCACAACATAAAATAAATTTAATATTAACCAAGTAATATTTTCAATTCTTATTAAATACAACCCTCTTGTTTTATAGAAATAATTTAAAAGTACTCTTAAAGATAACAAATCTAAAGAAATTATTTCCCTGTCCTATTTTTAAATTAAATATTTTCTCAACTTAAAAAAAAGATCTTTGATGAATTGGAATAAATGATCTATGAAATTTATTTTAACTTATTTTAACTCTTAAAAAGTCTGACTCATTCAGGGATTTTAGGTATACAACTGGTATTAAACCAATAATAGTTAAAAGTGACATCTGATTGGGTGAGCTAAAGCTTTGAAATGACGTTGTACTACTTTAGAAATCAGAAATTATCTTTTTCAACTTAATATAGTGGAAAATATATAGTTGGCACCATGATAATCTTATTAAAATATCTTGTGGATAGAGTGAGATAAACTATTAATAGCTTTAAAGTGATGAAAAAGAAGTTAATGTTGACTTCTGAAGCCTATATTAAAAGGACTATTTTGTGTTATATTAATAAGAAAATTAAATTAATAACTTTGGACATGCGCATTCTTCTGGTGTCAAATATAACCTTTCTTCATGTTTAGCTTGATTTGTTTGCAGAGATGAAATAATTTTCTGCCCCACATTGAAGAAATAATTGCTTTACTTTTTAAAATATTACCTGTTTGATATTTTAAAAGCATATAGCTCATATATCTTTTTATTCCCATCCTTACACTTTAACCAAACATGATAATTTAAAAAATAATTTGAGTTGGTAAGAGTTCTATTTATTTGCAAATGAATTTACTTGCAAATTAATGAGAGTTTAGTTTAATATGAAATTTTTTATTGTGTAAATAGTTGTAATTTTCTTTCTAGTTAAGAGGAATAATCATTCCCTGATTTAAATGTTCTAGACTAGAACTGTAGGCATTATTTTACATATTGACAAATGTAAATGAAGAACATACTTTTGAAGAAAACTTTAAGAGGACAGTTCATACAGAAATTTCCCTTTTCAGTTCAGTGCCAAAAATTACATGAAATTGATACAGCACAATTTCTTTTTCAAACAGCTCACGTGAGTGAAATGGACATGTTTTGACTTGGTGTTTCCTTTTGTGTGTTTGTGTGTGTGTGTGTGTGTGTGTTTCTTATAAAGTTTATAAACTTTATAAAACTTATAAAGTTGTGATTACCTAAGTGTTTAGATTGTTCACAGAACTTAAGAAATTAAAAACTCCTTTTAAATGAAAATCAGGTTTTAGTAAAATATTAAGTATCTGTAAATAAGATTTAGGGTCTTTGCCTTTTAGCTCAGCCTTATCTATATTTTAAAAACTCAAATCCCTTATAAAATAATGGAAGAAAAATGTAATGATTTGTAATTCAGCAGTTGGTCACAGTATAGCCTGTTAACATGAATAAATGGTAACTGCATAGAGCTCTTAAAGTAAAATTATTTTACAACAAGTTTCATTTGTTTATATAATTTTGTGATACAACATTTTTTCCAATGCCAAGCGCGGTGCCTCACGCCTGTAATTCCAGCACTTTGGGAGGCTGAGGTGGGCAGATTGCTTGAGGTCAGGAGTTTGAGACCAGCCTGGGCAACATGGCGAATCCTCATCTCTACAAAAATACAAAAAATTAGCTGGGCTGTAGTCCCAGCTACTCAGGAGGCTGAGGTGGGAGGATCACTTGAGCCTGGGAGGTGGAAATTGCAGTGAGCTGAGATCTCAGCACTCCAGCCTGGGTGACAGAGTGAGACCCTGTTCCATAAATGAATGGATAAATGAATGAATGAAAATCCAAGCTAAATGTATGAGCTATCATTTATTTTCCTTAAAGATTTTAATAATCTTATTTGATATTTTATGGAGACTTATAAGAAAATAATTAAAATGTTAAATGTCATGATTTTGGAAATGGCCTGAGCTGCTCATTCATTGATTTAACAAATATTTCTTAAGCTTTTCCTATGTGTCTGGTACTTTTCTTGATGCTAGCAACATATGAGAGAACAAGACAGACTAAGTCCTTGCCTCTAAGAGCTTGTAGTGTAATAGCTACTGTGCATTTCTGTTTTATTTGGTGAAATCTGTATAGGTATAGATAAACTCATGATTTAAATGATCATATTAAGTATTCATTAAGGTAACTGAGTAAAAATATGCACCATATTAAACAAATTTTGAATTATTTTAATACAGAATTTCACATCTGTTCTTTAAATTTTCCAGGAGTGTATTAGGAATCTAAACTTGTGTTTTTAATGTAGAAAAGTAAGATCTTTGATTGTAGAATGTCCATGATTTATGTGTAGTATTTGAATTATTTTTAAACATTGAAATCCTCTGATATAATTTATTTTAGTTCTTTTTTGCTGAATTTTGAATTTCTTTTAAATGCCTTTAAAAATATTTTCATGAATTTTTGGCAGAGGGGATTATATTACTTTTCAGGGAATGGGCAATTGTTTTGTTCGTAGTTTAAAATAATCTTTTAAATAGCAAGTTTATGATGAGTTAATATAGAGTATAAATTTTCACATTTTCTCCCTTGCTTTTATAGTTTGAGAAAACTGTTAGTGATTTATGTTTCTGTTCCAGACAGACAACTTACAAAGGAGTTTATTTTGGTAATTCAGGCTTTAAGAAAATAACTGTTACTGTGGTTTTTATTTCTTTTTATTAGTAAGGTTTAATATTTTAAAGTTTCTGAAATAAATTGTTGTTTTAATGGATAGTGTCATATTTCCTTGGTATATTAGTTTGGTAGGGCTGCCCTAATAAAATGCCACCAACCGGGTGGCCCAAACAACAGAAATGTATTTTCTTACAGTTCCAGAGACTAGAAATCAAAGATCAAGGTATTGACAAGTTTGGTTTGTCGTGAGGCCTCGCTTCTTGGCTTGTAGATGGTAGGGTTCTTGCCATGTCCCTACATGGCCATTTCTCTATGTGATGCATTCCTGTTGTCTCTTAGTGGGTCCAAATTTTCTTTTCTGATAGGATACCAGTCAGGTTGGGTTGGGGCCCACCCTAAGGGGCTCATTTAAACTTAATAATCTCTTTAGGGGCTTTATCTCTCAATTCAGTCACCGTCTGCGGCACTGAATGTTAGGGCTTCAACATGAATTTGAGGAAATACAGTACAAGCACACAAGACTTGGTAATACCAGGAAAAATATGTGTTTTCTAAAATTGAGTCAGTAGTTTAATGTGGATAGGTCATATTGCAGGAAATATCTCTTAGGACACCTTGAAAAAGTAAATTTACTTCGAAAATTTTTTTTTTCACATGTGATGTTCAGTGAGGACCCATTTCTAATACTTTTGTAAATCACCAAATTTGAGAATATAGCTATAGTTAATGTTTTCTCTATAAATTACCTCTACCCTTTATTGGTTTTCCTCCCAATACTGGAGTAAAAAACTGCTTTTACCTTTCATGTGTAACATATAATGAACTTGTTCACATTTTAGCTCCAAGCAGCCATCAGATTTGTCCTTCTTTTAATGTATCAGAATCTTCCAGTTTGGGGATGGAAATTATCCTAATCCTTTTCATTTCTCTTCTCTTTAATCTCTGCACCAAGAATTAGTTTTCTTTACAGAGACGTTTTCAACAAATAATTGTTTTAAAAAGTTTGTTTCGCTTTAGGATATGTATCACAAGGGAAAAGTGGTAAGGCTGTTTGAATTTCAGCACTAGGCTGTTGGTCAGGTACAGTCACTAGTTAAATGACTTTGCTCTTAAACTATTTTAGCAGCTCGTATGGTTAAAAAAAGTGTTTTAGCAAGGCATTACAGATTACGATGATGGACCTTTGAAGGTGCATCCAAATGTTAAGTCCATAAGTGCTAGACTTATGGTATACACATTTACTTTGTGCTTGTGATTTTACAAAGATAAAGTATATGCTGACTGTTCTTAATTTTTTTTGGTTAGTGTAATCTATGAGTTTATGTTTAATGTGGTTGATGGGGCAAAGGTATCAATATTTATTATAATTGTGTATACACGGGGTTATATAACTACTATCTGTATTTTGAAAATTGCCTTTTTATTTGCTAGTACTTCACAGGTCAAAGGCTTATTAAGGAAAATATTTTTTAAAACCTTTTATTATGAAATTTTTGAACAATGTCAATATTAGGGAGAATATTAAATGAAACCCCACATAGTCAAAATCCATCTTCATCATTTATGCAAATCTGTCATTCTTGATTTAAAATACTTTTATTAATAAATAATATTAGAACTGTGTTTTGAGTATATTTGGACAATGTTTTTTATTTTCTGATTTTCATGTAATATATTGCAAAATTATCTGTTGAAGATGGGTTTTTGTTGTTGTTGTTGTTGTTGTTTTTTGAGACGGAGTTTTGCTCTTGTTGCCCAGGCTGGAGTGCAATGGCACACTCTCGGCTCATCACAACCTCTACCTTCTGGGTTCAAGCTATTCTCTCCTCCCTCATCCTCCCAAGTAGCTGGGATTACAGGCATGTGCCACCATGCCCAGCTAATTTTGTATTTTTAGTAGAGACAGGGTCTCTCTATGTTGGTCAGGCTGATCTCAAACTCCCGACCTCAGGTGATCCGCCTGCCTCAGCCTCCCAAAGTGCTGGGATTACAGGCGTGAGCCACCGCACCTGGCCTGAAGATGTTTTTAATATGTAGAGAAATAATCACTTGGGAAAACCTTTTGTCTTTATAAAAAGTGCTATTGAATGTATTTTGTCTTACAGTTTGAAAGTCTCTCAAGCATATTGAAACTTCCTGGAAAAAAGACTTTTAATAATATGGATAGAGATTTTTTAGAAAAGAGAAAAAAGGATCTAAATGCATATTTGCAGGTAAGCTCATGTTTACTATAATCCACAGATTTTCATTTAATATAGCACACAGGTGTAGAATGTTTTTCATTTAATATAGCACACAGAATGTTTTTACTGTAATCACAGGGTAGCAACCACTTTTGTGCAGCATGTCAAATGTGACGTGCAGTCTGCTTAGTAATTTGTAAACATTATTTCTGTATGTATTGATTAACTTAGAAGTTTTCTAGACACTCCATGTTAGGGATTTTGCTTGTTTGTGTTTAGATAAATGCACTTGCCTGTCTTCTCCTGGCTCAAACATTTGAATTTTTTTTTTAAAGTGCTAAATGTCTGTGTCATGTATTTACAAGATTTTGAAGAAAAACCACCTTTTCCCAAATCTTTTATCCTAAATGTATCTTTTAGATGTCGATGTATTATATACTTCTTAGCTAATGAACTCAGTATGTCAAAACTTGTTCCATTGAAGGAACCAAGCTAGAATGTTGTTATATTAGCAGTTGTGAAAGCAGTGTTTTGTTTGGGGCTTCCATATAACACTTGAATGTTTTTGTTTGGATTATTTTATGTACTTTATTTCGTACCATTTTTATTTAATGTTTTGTTTGTTTTGAGACAGGATCTTGTTCTGTCACCCAGGCTGGAGTGCAGTGATGCAATCATAGCTCACTGTAACTTTGAACTCCTGGGCTCGAGGGATCATCCTGCCTCAGCCTGCTGAGTAGCTAGGACTACAGGTGCATGCCACTGTGCCTGGCTAATGTTTTAAATTTTTTTGTAGAGATGGGGTTTTGCTTTGTTGCCCGGGCTGGTCTTGTATTCCTGGCTGGGGCAATTTTCCCGCCTCAATCTCCAAAAGTGCTGGGGTTACAGGCATGAGCCACCTTGCCCAGCTTATTTAATGTTAACCCTAGAATTGTTATGCAAATAACGTGACAGTTTTCTAACGTGGATCTTCTTAGTATAAGCTGTAAGATCTGAAAATAAAATAGTAAATATGTTCAGACAACTTTCACATTAGATACACTTAAAGTCAAAATAGCTGATATAAAGAATATATATACCAAACTGTTAATCGTCATAAAATTATTGGTGACTTTATCCTAACTGTATAATTGGGTTTTTAAAAATATAAATCAATATTTTTTACTATACATTCTTAAAATTTATGAGCTAAAATTATAAACAATGGTAATTTCTAGCATTCTGTCAGTTTAAGATAATCTCTTCTTTTTTTTTTTTTTCTTGTTAGTTACTGTTAGCTCCTGAAATGATGAAGGCATCCCCCGCTTTAGCTCACTATGTGTATGATTTCCTTGAGAACAAAGCCTACAGTAAAGGAAAAGGGGATTTTGCTCGCAAGGTAAGTAAGCAGACCACTGCACTGGGTTTCTTTCTAGGTCTGTTTTCTTACTTTGTTTGTAATAAAAGAAAATAAATTTAGATTTGTACGTGTGTTTTAAAACTAGAAAATTTTATTAAGTTCTCGGCATGTTTATCACTATTGGTAGGAATATCTACATATAAACTCCTGTCTTGACATGTTGATTATAATTCAGCAGACGCTTGAAAGGAAGAAATAAAAAATTTGAAATGGTACATTAAGAAAAGTTTGCCTGAGACAAGTCACAAGCTTTTCGTTATCTTTAGAGGGAAATGTTTCATTCTGAGAGAAAATGTCATTTACTTGGAATAATGATAAAAATATTAAGCAGGATATGTTCTGAAAGTATGCCTTTTGAATAAAATCATTATTATATAAAATATTTTAAATAATTTAAAATAGGGTTTAAGACCCATACTTGGAATAAAATCGTAAGGTAAGACAGTAAATAAGTGCTTAAATTAGGTAGGATAGCTTAGTGGGTAAGAACACAAGCTTTGAAATCAGGCAGTCTTTTGTTTCAGATCCCTGCTCTACTATTTACTAGCTGTGACCTTGAGCATGTTACTGAACCTTTGGTACTTCAGTTTACTCAAGAAATGAAGATTTAAATTTCATTAGAGCATTATGTGAATCATGCAATATTCTGTATATTACAGTGCCTGGAAAATAATAAACCTCTGAATAAATGTTTGCTCTTAGTAATAATAGCAATAGGAGCAGGAGGAGCAGTGGGGGAAGCTGGTATTATTTATACCACTCTTTGTATTTTATCACTTTTTATAAGTCTGAAATTATTTCAAAATGAAAATGTAAAAAGAACAAGGAGTTTCTCACTATTCTTTGTCCCCCTAAAAAGACCATCTTTTTAAAAAGATTAAGGAATTCATACAAAATAAGTAAGAATTAACAATTATAGGAAGTTTGGGCCAAGCACAGTGGCTCATGCCTGTAATCCCAGCGCTTTGGGAAGCTGAGGTGGGTGGATTGCTTGGGCCTAAGAGTTCAAGACTAACCCTGGTAACAGCGAGACCCTGTCTCTACAAAAAATAAAAAATACTAGCTGGGCATGGTGGTGCACACCTATAGTCCCAGATACTCAAGAGGCTGAGGTGGGAGGATTGCTTGAACCTGGGAGGCCAAGGCTTCAGTGAACCATGGTCATGCCACTGCACTCCAGCCTGTGTGAGAGAGCAAGACCCTGTCTCAAAAAAAAAAAAAAAAAGGAGTTCATATGATTACTTCAGGATTTTTGATTGTATAGTTTGGTGCAAAAGTAATTGCAGTTTTTGGACATTTAAAACAAATGGCAAAAACCACAATTACCTTTTCACCAACCTAATAACATTTCTAAGTTAGTGTTTTCTTTTAATAATAAGTTCTAGGGTGTGGACCTTACAATGGAGGGGAAAAATATATGTTGCTTTTCTGCGTATTTCATGATTGAAGTGATTGAGTTAAATTCCAACTTGGAACAGTTTTATTGTCACTAGAGATGCATTTTAGTGTTCCATGTTTTTTATGTTTATATATCTTTTCTCCTTTAAAGATTATATCCATTTTAAGATAAAGTAATAAATTGATATCAGCTTTTGGAGATAAAAGAAATATTAAAGTACACTTTTTTTTAACCAAACAACAATAGCACACGTGTATGTCCCAACAGTTATACAACACTTTTTTTTCATTTTTTATTTTTTATACTTTAAGTACTTGGATACATGTGCAGAATGTGCAGGTTTGTTACATAGGTATACATGTGCCATGGTGCTTTGCTGCACCCATTAACCTGTGATCTACATTAGGTGTTTCTCCTAATGCTATCCCTCCCCTAGCCCTCAACCCCCTGACAGGCCCGGTGTATGATGTTTCCCTCCCTGTGTCCATGTGTGAGAACGTGTGGTGTTTGGTTTTCTGTTCTTATGTTAGTTTCCTGAGAATGATGGTTTCCAGCTTTATCCATGTCCCTGTAAAGGACATGAACTCATCCTTTTATATGGTTGCATAATATGCCATGGTGTATATGTGCCACATTTCCTTTATCCAGTCTATCATCAATGGGCATTTGAGTTGGTTCCAAGTCTTTCCTATTTTGAACAGTGCTGCAATAAACATACGTGTGCATGTGTCTTTACAGTAGAATGATTTATCATCCTTTGGGTATATACCCAGTAATGAGATTACTGGGTCAAATGGTATTTCTGGTTCTAGATCCGTGAGGAATTGCCACACTGTCTTCCACAGTGGTTGAAGTAATTTATACTCCCACCAACAGTGTAAAAGCATTCCTGTATCTCCACATCCTCTCCAGCATCTGTTGTTTCCTGACTTTTTAATGATTGCCATTCTAACTGGTGTGAGATGGTATCTCCTTGTGGTTTGATATGCATTTCTCTAATGACCAGTGATGTTGAGCTTTTTTTCATGTTTGTTGGCTGCATAAATGTCTTCTTTTGAGAAGTGTCTGTTCGTATCGTTCGCCCACTTTCTGATGGGGTTGTTTTTTTTCTTGTAAGTTTGTTTCAGTTCTTTGTAGATTCTGGATATGAGCCCTTTGTCAGATGGATAGATTGCAAAAATTTTCTCCCAATCTGTAGGTTCCTACAGTTTATGCTGATGGTAGTTTCTTTTGCTGTACAGAAGCCCTTTAGTTTATTTAGATCCCATTTGTCAATTTTGGCTTTTGTTGCCATTGCTTTTGGTGTTTTAGTCATGAAGTCTTTGCCCATCCCTATGTCCTGGATTGTATTGCCTAGGTTTTCTTCTAGGGTTTTTATGTTTTTTAGGTCTTATGTTTAAGTCTTTAATCCATGTTGAGTTAATTTTTGTATAAGGTGTAAGGAAGGGGTCCAGTTTCAGTTTTCTGCCTATGGCTAGCCAGTTTTTCCAACACCATTTATTAAATAGAAAATCCTTTCCCTATTGCTTGTTTTTGTCAGGGTTTTCAAAGATCAGATGGTTGTAGATGTATGGCGTCATTTCTGAGGCCTCCGTTCTGTTCCATTGGTCTATATATCTGTTTTGGTACCAGTACCATGCTGTTTTGACTACTGTAGCTTTGTAGTATAGTTTGAAGTCAGGTAGCATGATGCCTCCAGCTTTGATCTTTTTGCTTAGGATTCTCTTGTCTATATGGGCTCTTTTTACTTCCATATGAAATTTAAAGTAGTTTTTTCTAATTCTGTGAAGAAAGTCAATGGTAGCTTGATGGGGATATCGTTGAATCTGTAAATTACTTTGGGCAGTATGGCCATTTTCACGACATTGATTCTTCCTATCCATGAGCATGGAATGTTTTTCCATTTATTTGTGTCCTCTCTTACTTCCTTGAGCAGTAGTTTGTAGTTCTCCTTAAAGATGTCCTTCGCATCCCTTGTAAGTTGTATTCCTAGGTATTTTATTCTCTTTGTAGCAATTGTGAATGGGAGTTCACTCATGATTTGGCTGTTTGTCTATTATTGGTGTATAGGAATGCTTGTGATTTTTGCACATTGATTTTGTATCCTGGGACTTTGCTGAAGTTGCTTATCTGCTTAAGGAGATTTTGGGCTGAGATTATGGGTTTTCTAAATATACAATCATGTCATCTGCAAACAGAGATAATTTGACTTTCTCTCTTCCTATTTGAATATCTTTTCTTTCTTTCTCTTGCCCGATTGTCCAGGCCAGACATCCTTCCAATACTGTGTTGAACAGGAGTGGTGAGAGAGGGTATCCTTGTGCCGGTTTTTAAAGGGAATGCTTCCAGCTTTTGCCCATTCAGTATGATATTGGCTGTGTTTTTGTCATAAATAGCTCTTATTATTTTGAGATACGTTCCATTGATACCTAGTTTATTGAGAGTTTTTAGCATGAAGGGGTGTTGAATTTTGTTGAAGGCCTTTTCTGCATCTATTGAGATAATCATGTGGTTTTTGTCATTGGTTCTGTTTATGTGATGGATGACATTTATTGATTTGTGTATGTTGAACCAGCCTTGCATCCCAGGGATGAAGCCAACTTGATTGTGGTGGATAGGCTTTTTGATGTGCTGCTGGATTCAGTTTCACATTATTTTATTGAGGATTTTCACATTGATGTTCATCAGGCGTATTGGCCTGAAATTTTCTCTTTTTTTGTTGTGTCTCTGACAGGTTTTGGTATCAGGTTGATGCTGGCCTCATAAAATGAGTTAGGAAGGACTCCCTCTTTTTCTGTTGTTTGGAATAGTTTCAGAAGGAACGGTACCAGCTCCTCTGTCCCTCTGGTAGAATTTGTACCTCTAGTAGAATTGTACCTCTGGTAGAATTTGGCTGTGAAGCCATCTGGTCCTGGGCTTTTTTTTTCTTTGGTAGGCTATTAATTACTGCCTCAATTTCAGAACTTGTTGGTCTCTTCAGGGATTCGACTTCTTCTTGGTTTAGTCTTGGGAGGGTGGATGTGTCTAGGAATTTTTCTGTTTCTTCTAGATTTCCTAGTTTATTTGTGTAGAGTTGTTTATAGTGTTCTCTGATGGTAGTTTGTATTTCTGTGGGATCAGTGGTGATATCCCCTTTATCATTTTTTATTGTGTCTATTTGATTCTTCTCTTTTCTTCTTTATTAGTCTGGCTAGTCCTGTATCTATCTTGTTGATCTTTTCAAAAAAACCAGCTCCTGGACTCACTGATTTTTTGAAGCGTTTTTCGTGTCTCTATCTCCTTCAGTTCTGCTCTGATCTTAGTTATTTCTTGTCTTCTGCTAGCTTTTGAATTTGTTTGCTCTTGCTTCTCTAGTTTTTTTAATTGCGATGTTAGGGTGTCGATTTTAGATCTTTCCTGCTTTCTCATGGGGGCATTTACTGCTATAAATTTTCCTCTAAACGCTGTTTAGCTGTGTCCCAGAGATTCTGGTATGTTGCATCTTTGTTCTCATTAGTTTCAAGGAACGTATTTATTTCTACCTTTATTTCGTTATTTACCCAGTGGTCATTCCAGAGCAGGTTGTTCAGTTTCCATGTAGTTGTGCTGTTTTGAGTGAGTTTCTTAATCCTGAGTTCTAATTTGATTGCACTGTGGTCTGAGAGACTGTTTGTTATGATTTCCATTCTTTTGCATTTGCTGAGGAGTGTTTTACTTCCAATTATGTGGTCAATTTTAGAATAAGTGCGATGTGGTGCTGAGAAGAATGTATGTTCTGTTGACTTGGGGTGGAGAGTTCTGTAGATATCTGTTAGGTCCGCTTGGTCCACAGCTGAGTTCAAGTCCTGAATATCCTTGTTAATTTTCTGTCTCATTGATCTGTCTAATATTGACAGTAGGGTGTTAAAGTCTTCCACTATTATTGTGTGGGACTCTAAGTCTCTTTGTAGGTCTCTTGCTGTATGAAACTGGGTGCTCCTGTATTGGGTGCATATATTTAGGATAGTTAGCTCTTGTTGCATTGATCCCTTTACCATTATGTAATGCCCTTCTTTTTCCCTTTGTTGGTTTAAAGTCTTTGTTGGTTTAAAGTCTGTTTTATCAGAGACTAAGATTGCAATACCTGCTTTTTTTTTTTTTTTTTTTTTTTTTGCTTTCCATCTACTTGGTAAATATTCCTCCATCCCTTTATTTTGAGCCTATGTGTGTCTTTGCATGTGAGATGGGTCTCCTGAATACAGCACTCCGGTGGGTCTTGACAATTTATCTGAATGCCAGTCTGTCTCTTTTCATGGCGGCATTTAGCCCATTTACATTTAAGGTTAATATTGTTATGTGTGAATTTGATCCTGTCATTATGATGTTAGCTGGTTATTTTGCTCGTTAGTTAATGCAGTTTCTTCCTAGCATCGATGGTCTTTACAATTTGGCATGTTTTTGCAGTGGCTGATACTGGTTGTTCCTTTCCATGTTTAGTGCTTCCTTCAGGAGCTCTTGTAAGGCAGGCCTGGTGGTGACAAAATCTCTCTGCATTTGCTTGTCTGTAAAGGATTTTATTTCTCCTTCACTTATGAAGCTTAGTTGGGCTGGATATGAAATTCTGGGTTGAGAATTCTTTTTTTTTAAGAATGTTGAATATTGGCCCTCACTCTCTTCTGGCTTGTAGGGATTCTGCCAAGAGATCTGCTGTTAGTCTGACGGGCTTCCCTTTGTGGGTAACCTGACCTTTCTCTCTGGCTGCCCTTAACATTTTTTCCTTCATTTCAACCTTGGTGAATCTGACAATTATGTATCTTGGAGTTGCTCTCCTTGAGGAGTATCTTTGTGGTGTTCTCTGTATTTCCTGAATTTGAATGTTGGCCTGCCTTGCTAGGTTGGGGAAGTTCTCCTGGATAATATCCTGAAGAGTGTTTTCCAACTTGGTTCCATTCTCCCCGTCACTTTCAGGTACAGCAATCAAACTTAGGTTTGGTCTTTTCTCATAGTCTCATATTTCTTGGAGGCTTTGTTCGTTTCTTTTCATTCTTTTTTCTCTAATCTTGTCTTCACACTTTATTTCATTAAGTTGATCTTCAATCTCTGATATCCTTTCTTCCACTTAATTGATTCAGCTATTGAGAGTTGTGTATGCTTCACAAAGTTCTCATGCTGTGTTTTTCAGCTCCATCAGGTCATTTATGATCTTCTCTACATTGGTTATTGTAGTTAGCAATTCAGCTGTTTTTCAAGGTTCTTAGTTTCCTCGCATTGGGTTAGAACATGCTCCTTTAGGTCAGAGGAGTTTGTTATTACCCACCTTCTGAAGCTTACTTCTGTCAGTTTGTCAATCTCATTCTCCATCCAGTTTTGTTCCTTTGCTAGCAAGGAGTTGTGATCCTTTGGAGGAGAAGATGCGTTCTGGTTTTTGGAATTTTCAGCCTTTTTGCACTGGTTTTTCCTCTTCTTCGTGAATTTATCTACCTTTGGTCTTTGATGTTGCTGACCTTCAGATGGGTTTCTGTGTGGATGTCCTTTTTGTTGATGTTGATGCTGTTCCTTTCTGTTTGTTAGTTTTCCTTCTAACAATCAGGCCCCTCTGTGGCAGGTTTGCTGGAGGCCCACTCCAGACCCTGTTTGCCCGAGTATCACCAGCAGAGGCTGCAGAGCAGCCAAGATTGCTGCCTGTTCCTTCCTCTGGATGCTTCATCCCAGAGGGGCACTCTCCAGATGCCAGCTGGAGCTCTCCTGTATGAGGTGTCTGTCGACCCCTGATGGGAGGTGTCTCCCAGTCAGGAGGCATGGGGCTCAGGGACCCACATGAGGAGGCAGTCTGTCCTTTAGCAGAGCTCGATCGCTGTGCTGGGAGATCTGCCTCTCTCTTCAGAGCCAGCAGGCAGGAACGTTTAAGCATGCTGCAACTGCGCCCACAACCGCACCTTTCACCAGGTGCTCTGTCCCAGGGAGATTGGAGTTTTATCTATAAGCCCCTGTCTGGGGTTGCTGCCTTTCTTTCCTGCCCAGAGGAGGAATCTAGTGAGGCAGTGTGGCTACAGTGGCTTTGCTGAGTTGTGGTGGGCTCCGCCCAGTTCGACCTTCCTTGAGGCTTTGTTTACACTATAAGGAGAAAACCACCTCCTCAAGCCTTAGTGGGGGCCCCTCCCCCCACCTAGCTGGGCGCCCCTCCCCCCACCAAGCTCGAGTGTCCCAGGTGGACTTCATACTGCTGTGCTGGCAGCAAGAATTTCAAGCTAGTGGATCTTATAGCTTGCTGGGCTCCGTGGGGGTGGGATCTGCTGAGCTAGACCACTTGGCTTCCTGGCTTCAGCCCTCTTTCCAGGGGAGTGAACGGTTCTGTGTCGGTGGCATTCCAGGCACCTCTGGGGTATGAAAAAAACTCCTGCAGCTAGCTTGGTGTCTGTCCAAACGGCCGCCCAGTTTTGTGCTTGAAACCCAGGCCCGTGGTGGCGGAGGCACCGGAGGAAATCTGCTGGTCTGTGGGTTGCAAAGACTGTGGGAAAAGCGTAGTATCTGGACCAAAAATCACCATTCCTCAAGGCACAGTCCTTCATGGCTTCCCTTGGCTAGGGAAGGAGTTCCCTGACCCCTTCCACTTCCCGCGTGACGCGACGCCCCACCCTGCTTCAGCTCGCCCTCTGTGGACTGCACCCACTTTCTAACTAGTCCCAGTGAGATGAGCTGGGTACCTCAGTTGGAAATGGAAAAATCACCCACCTTCTGCGTTGATCTCGCTGGGAGCTGCAGACCGGAACTGTTCCTATTTGGCTGTCTTGCCAGCCACTCACTTTTTTTTTTTAATTAATAATGGCGTCTACCTATCTTTCTGATTCATTTCTGGCAATCCACAATAACACACATTTTTCATAAACCATATTGGTGATAACCAAGGTCATGTTGACCTCTTTAGAATGTCAGAATAATTTTTATGCATATTAAGAATTTGGGGTTTCCAACTTTATTTCCTTTTTGGCTAAATGATAGTTTAATATTTTTTTCCTTAATTATATTTCACTGGAAATTAAATAGCTATTAAAGTAGATCATCTGCAAACATTTTATCAATGGCTATTCAGAACTTGAGAAATAATACTTTATAACACATTAATTTGGTCACACAATGTATCCTAGCTTTGGAAAATCTGTGAAACAATTTTTAGAAAAAGTAACAGACAGGTAGCCTTTCTCCTTTGTACACAGTATCTTTCTATCCAGTTTTGTTATCATGGTGAAGGCATTTTAAGCTATAATTAGAGATCTAAATTTAAGTTAAAATACCATTGTGTATGTTGTTAACAATACAAATAACTCAGCTGGGGTGGTAATTGAATGAATATACAGCATCTGTGTAAGGACAGCTAAGTGTACACTTAGCTGGCAATCCGTAATCTCCTGTGCATGATCATCTGAAAGTTTTTCTTTTTTTCTAAAAATCTACTTTAAAACAAATCTTGTTTTTGGAAATGTTTTCATACAATGATGGACTTTGCTTTTATGCTTATGAAATTCTGCCTCTTTCATGGTTAACCAACAGTCACCTTTAGAGGTTTTTCATTCTTCTTACCCCACTTCCCTCCTAATACAAATGCTTGGGCTTTACCTTTTGGTGGGGAAAACAAACAAAAAAAAGGCTTCAGTACTTCTGGGATGCTACACAGACAACTATTTTTAATTAGGAAATTCATTATATAGATTTACTTTCTCTTAGAGTATCAATGGTAGTATAGCCTCATGCCTAGATAAGCATGTGAGATAG
Source organism: Homo sapiens (assembly GCF_000001405.40). Classification (NCBI taxonomy): domain Eukaryota; kingdom Metazoa; phylum Chordata; class Mammalia; order Primates; family Hominidae; genus Homo; species Homo sapiens. Next base: position 17,805,685 of record NC_000007.14, on the reverse strand, counting down.
TATTCATTTAACCAGTTCATAATAGGTAAACTCAAGTTTCTGCTGTGAAGTGTAAGATGTATAAATTTCTAAAATATTTTTGAGGATATCACACTATTTAAACTCAGGTTGGAGATTAAATTGAAATTCATGCCTTTTATGCTTCTGAAATGCTATTTCTTCTGTGAACATTTTAGCTTATTAGCAAGGTGGCAATTTTTTCCCAAGCTGCACATTTTAAATGTTGCATTGTCATGCTTAATGCTTATTTCTCTTTAGAATTCTACGCTATATTCTCATGACTTAGCTTATTTATATGTTATTACCATTTAAAAGAAAGGCCACAGTGTTGCAAATAATGTCCCGATTGATTTGAACATACTATTCTGGTTGACCAAAAACTACAGTATATAGAATTAGAATTACACATGTGCATGCATGCGCGCGCGCGCACGCACACACACACACACACACACACACACACACACACACACAAAGAATCATTAGCCAAACGTGAGACTTAACTTCATCTTTTTATCTTTATGTTTCTCTCCACCAGTGGTCATGTTTTTCAAATCCTTATTCAAGCCAGTTTCTGTTCTTTGGTTTTATTCTGGGTTGTACTGTGACAGTCTCTTCTAGGGTTGGATGTTCCGTCAAGCATATCTATGGTACTATTGGCTGAGCTTAAGCCAGGGAGTAACCAACCAAAACTCTCAGCCCTTGTACAGTTATCTTGAAATTCACTTTTTATTAATATGCATTTTACCTCTTCTAGTTTTTCTTGATGGAAGCTATGAAAATAAAATTAGAGTGAAGGAGTTTTGTCTTCTTACCATCTATTAACGTTGCTATGATTCCTAAGCAGTGAGATTCAGTTTTGTTACTGTTATTCATTTTTTTGTTTTTGCATGAAACATAATTTGTTTTCACTGGTAGCTTTTATGATACTTAACAATTTTTTTTTTTTGGAAAACATTTCTGTAGTTTTGTATGACTTTGGTTTTGTGTCTTTTCTTTGATTTCTTTATTTCTGTTAAAGAATCGCTCAGTCTCATCTGCATCTCTAGTTTGGTTTCTTTAGATGTCTCTTTCTTTATTAATGTAAATTATTTTAATTTTATACCATTTTTGCTTTCTGTCACTCTGAAGATTTTTAATTCCTTTTTATATCTCTGGTCATATTTCCTTTTACAGTCTTCGTATTCCACCTTGCTAAGATAAGATTTACATGTCTGATTTGCAACGTCTCTTTTCCTTCTTTGTAATGAACTTCAAATTTCTTCTGTAGATTTTAATTGCACATATAATGTATTCTAAAATTATTTTAAAAAATAAATCAAATACTTATTAGTTATTTCAGTTTTCTGTTTATTTTACCTGTTTTCTGTTCAGTATCTACTCAAAATACCTAACTGTTGCCTTGAACTGTGCCAGAAGTATATAGTGGCTAATTCTAGTTGCATCAATTTCTGTTTTGGAAAACATTTTTTTTTGTTTTACAATTTTGAATGGAAAACTTTTTTTATTCAAAATTTCTTTAATAAGAAGGCAGCCAAAGCTTATATTGATTTTCTAAGAATAACCTCATCTGGCAGATTTTCAAATCATATATATGTATGTGAAAATACTTTTGTTTTTTGTGACAAGGGTCTCACTTTTGCCCAGGCTGGAATGTATGGAGTGCAGTGACATGATCACGGCTCACTGCAGCCTTGAACTCCTGAGATCAAATCATCCTCTTGCCTCACCTTCCCCAGTAGCTAGGACCACAGGTGTGTACCAACATTACCAATATACCTGGCTTTTTTTTTTTTTTTTTTTTTAGAGATGGGGTCTCACTGTGTTGCCCAGGCTGGTCTCAAACTCCTGGATTCAAGTGATCCTCCTGCTACAGCCTGCCGAAGTGCTGCAATTATAGGCATGAGCTACTGTGCCCAGCTGAAAATACGTTTTTAAGACACACTGAAGACAACATTTCTGTACTTTTAAAATGTAACGACATAATATAGACCAGAAAATTACTGCATCTTTCCAGTGTTGCACTCTATATTTTCCAAGGCTTGTCATTTGGATAACAACTCTGGTACAATAAAGTCATGGTATAATATCTTTTTTCCCTTTAGATGGACACTTTTGTAAATCCACTTCGCAATTCAATGAGGAATGTTTCAAATGCAGTTAAATCCCTTCCTGATAGCTTGGCAGAGGGAATGACTAAAATGTCAGACAACATGGGCAAAATGTCAGAAAGATTAGGTCAAGACATAAAGCAATCATTTTTTAAGGTAAGAAGACATTTTCAGTAATGTCTAAAGCAAACTATTTTTAAGTCAATAAGATGTATTGAATTCTGGTTGGATTTACCTTAGTCCCTTAACCTTATTTCTTTTCCAAACATTGCTAGACACATAGTCTCATAAAGAATAAAGAACTAAAGAGAAAAATTCTTACCAGAAATGAGTATAGTAAAATCCACTTGCTTGTTAGTCTCTGCTGTGGTAGGGTTTTAAAATTCATTTAAAACAAAAACTGAAAATTAGTAAAGTTAACATTCTTTATCTTGTTTTATTTCATTATGCCATTTTTATCATGAAGTACTATTAAATTTAGTAGCAAACAAATTCTGTCGTGCAGATGAGTTATACTAGTATTCACTCAGGAAGCATAAAGTCTTATTTCTCCTGATTTACATGATAGAATGATTACCAGATCAAAGAGAAGAAAAGTTCATCATTACCATCAATCTCTGGGCTCATACGTTACTGGGTATAGACCTCTGCGTGTCATAGAAGAATTTCACAGGGAGATTTTTTTTTTAATTACATTAACACATAAAGGTACTAGACTGTGTAGTTTGTTGAATTCCTAATTAACATTTTAAAAATCATTTTGACGTAGTTATTTGAAGTTGTAATCAAGGCTATAAAACATATAGGTATTAGAATTTTGTACTTGATAGATTATGCTTGAATGTAGGGGAAATGTATATAAACAGGTTTTCTTTAATGTAAGGGCCACTCCTAAAATTGTGTAAATCATACTTTTCTGTTAATTCTCATACTTTCTCTGATGCCTCATTTTTATTTCTATTTGTGAGGAAGTATACTAACACTGAAATCAGTATTGTTCAGTCGCACTTCTGCTGTTCATTACTCATATGAATTTGTACAAAAGTCACTGAAGTTTTCTAGGCCTCTTTGTCATCACCAATAACTTGAGATGGTCTTGACAATCCTTGTGCTGACAAATGATTTTCAGCTAATACTGATCTTTCTGTCCTTCTTTCCATCTAACATTTTGTTAATTTCTTAAACATATTAACATACTATATCAAAAGCTCTTTATGGTAAAAAGAAAGAAGATTGGAACTCTGTTCCCTGGCAGTACTACTAACTACAGATGTGCATCACTTAACAACAGGGATATGTTCTGAGAAATGTGTCACCGGGCGATTTCATCATCTGGGAGCATCATAGAGTGAACTTACACAAACCTAGATGGTATGTGTAAGTTCCACAAACCTACTTCTCACCTAGGCTATATAGTATTGCCTATTGCTCCTAGGCTACTAACCTTTACAGTATGCTACTGTACTGAATACTGTAGGCATTTTAACACAATGGTACACAAATGTGTATCTAAATATATCGACACAGAAAAAATGCAGTAAAAATGTAGTATTACAATCTTATGGGACCACTGTGGTATTGTTGAACAAAACGTCATTATGCGATGCATGACTTTTTGGCTTTCAAGTCATTTGACCTTTCTTAGCTTTGAATTCTTCTAAAAAATATGGGAGTTTGACTGACTAATTTTTATTTCTAACTCAAAAGTCATTTATTTTGTAAAGGAGAAAACCCTTTTAGTAATGAAATAATTACCCTTTATATTTGGTTCCAAATTTTAGATTGTTAAATTTGGCTTATATATTGTACCAAAAGTCAGATCAAATGCTGATACTCATTTAGGTTTATGATTGTGTTGTGTTCTTTCACTGTCTGCTTTAGTGTGTTTACTTTGTGGATTTGGTTTTATTTTTAGGTGCCTCCTTTAATTCCTAAGACTGATTCAGACCCTGAACATCGCCGAGTTTCGGCTCAACTTGACGATAATGTGAGTTAATTTTATTCTTGGTAGTATTTAGTTTAAGTCATACTTGGCATATCTTTTTAACTTTTTAATGAAGTGTTCTATGTATCATTAATGTGCACATATTATAAGTGTTAAGCTTGATGAATTCTTACAAACTGAACATGCCCATGTAATTAACACTCTAATCAAAAAATAAGATTATCACTACTCCAGAAAAGCCCTTCATCCTCTGTTCCTGTTAGGACCTTCGCCTCCACCAAGGACCATCACTATCCTAACTTCTACTCTGCTTTTATACTTTGTATATATGAAACTGTAAGGTACGTATTCCATGAAGTCTGACTTTTTTTTGCTCAACATTGTGATGTTCTTCCATGTGGTTTTGTATGATTTTAGTTCCTTCATTCTTGTGGCTTTATAGTATTCCATTTTGTAAATATAGTACAATCTATTTGTTATATCATGAATAATACTTCTATGAACATTCGTACATGTCTGTACATGTTTCTATTGGATCTATACTTAGGAATGAAATTGCTGTATCAGGATATATATATATATATATATATATATATATATATATATATATATATATATATGTTCAGTTTTAGTAGATACTGCCAAGTACTTTTTCAAATTATTTGTACCACTTACATTGCCATCAACAGTACATGAGAGTTCCAGTGTTCTACATCCTGCCAGTACTCAGTATTTTGTTTTTTTAATTTTAGCCATTCTGGTTGTTATATTTCATGCGAATTTGCGTTTCTGTGATAACTGTTGAAATGTTACACACCTTTTTATATGTTTATTGGCCATTTGAATGTTCTGTCTTATGCGTCTGTCAAGACCTTTTGTCATTTTTCTGTTGGCTTAGCTGTCTTAGTTCTTAGCTATCTTAGTTCTTTTGATTAGTAGGAGTGCTTTATGTAATCTGAATGTGAGTTGTTTGTCAGATATATGTAATACATTGTCTTCTCTCTAGGTTTCTTTCTTGTGCTATATATGTTATCTGTGCCTATTGCAGGGTCACAGAGATGTCCTATAATTTTCTTTAAAAACATTTTTTGTTTTACTGTAACAACATTTAAGTTTGCAGTTCATCTGGGATTGATTTTTGTATATGGATTGAAGTATGGGTCCAGTTGATCCAAGCACCATTTACTGAAAAGGCCATCTTTTCCCCACTGTACTGTTTCTCCCTTATCACAAATCAGGTTACCATATATGTTTGGATCTGTTTTATTCTGTTCTATTAGGCAGATTTATTTTAAGTTGTAATTATCTCCTTTCTGTTTCTAATCGAATTTGTTTATAATCAACTGTCTTAATCAAAAATAATATTTTCATTTGGTTTTTCAAGATTATTTTAGGATGTTTATTATGTTTATTGATGGTATAATATCCATAACATTGTACCTTTGGTATGTGGTTTTTACAGTTTAGCTATTTATTAGATTTTCATATGGCACCAAACTCGTAGGAATATACTTGATCAGAGAATACAGAAGTTTTTATTCTGTCTCAGTAATGAAATGGGTCTCCCTCTCCCTACTGGTTTTGATTAAGCTGTATGATTTCAGTTTTTGAAATGGAAGGTGCACTAAGGAAATGTTTGTAACGTGACAGTGAAAAATGTATAACTCATGCTTTCTTGCCAGTATTTAAATTACAGTGTTGATGAGGAAATAATTGGAAACAGTTTCTCAGTGATGAAAAAATTATAAAATTACTAACAATTATATGTGGTACTAAATCTGTACCTGCTTTTTATTTTATACGTATTTTTTTGCATCAAAGCATTCCGATCGTCTTCCTTTTTACCTTAGTGGTTGTATACTTAGTGGTTGTATACTCCCATAATACTGACTTTTATTTGCTAAAAGCTAAAAGAAAATTCTAGTAATTTAGTAAACTATGCCTTTTGTAATGTGAATTTAGTTGTGTGATGGATTGAACTTCAGCATCTTTTTCCTGAAAGTACATAAATACATACAATTTACTAACTAAGCAAAATACATTATTCTGTATCATTCATGTTTTGTTCTATTAAATATATGGAGATGTTGAGAATATCTTATTCTTGTGAAAAAGATGCATCAGAAAATAGACAAAGGGTCTAGCATTTGCCTTATCAAACTCATACAGTCTCTTCCAATAGTAAGAACCAAATCATCTTTTCCTAGGACCATCATGAATCTACTTTGCCTTGAAAATGTTAAACTATAGCCTTAAAATTTATTCATTATTGTGGGGCTATGAAGTTCTGTATTCTGTCAGAATGACTACTAGAAATATTTTTTCTACATTAGAATTTAATGTCAAGTTACAAAGGCTAAAATGTAACTTGTTCTCTGACTTGTGAAATATCAATCATTTCGTAAAAGCAACAAAAGTAACAATTCATAGTAGATAGCTAACTCAAACTTATTCTTATTTCTTATATTTTGTCAGGTGGATGACAATATTCCACTTAGGGTAATGCTGCTTCTCATGGATGAAGTATTCGACTTAAAAGAAAGAAATCAGTGGTTGCGAAGGAATATCAAAAACCTACTTCAACAGCTTATTAGAGCTACATATGGCGATACTATTAATAGGTAGCACTCTTTCCTCCTCGCTTTTAATCTGATCTTACTTAGCTATTAAACTCTTACTTCTGGAAGTAGATTGCTCAACCTTTGTAGGAGAATTTTTTTCTCTGGGCCTTTTAAGGACATCATTAAAGCAGTCTGTTGCTCTCAGGGATAATTTACATCCAGATTAAGTTGCTTGCTCTATGAAAGTCACGTTTATTTTTTTCACCTTCTAAAATTTTAACCTTCCTCATTTACATTAATTTACTTTCAGAAAAATAGTTGACCATGTTGACTGGATGACTTCACCTGAACAAGTAGCCGACTCAGTGAAACGTTTCAGGTATATCTTAAGACACAGTCACTTCTTTCAGGTAGTACAGAGTTTAGCATTGTTATCACTAATTAACTTTCATTGCTTTTGTTTCCTTCCTGGACATAAAGTTGGTTTAGTTATCATTGATGAGCAAAAAGACTTCTAAGAATTATACTAAACATTTGTCTTATGAACCTATTGATCTTTGTTTCTTTAAAACCAGAATAGGAAAAGTAAGAAGAAAGATCTTTCAAATGATAGGCTACATTTTATCACAGTACCATGGCTGTAAGATAATTGAAATATTCACCTAAAAATGATATGGTTGTATCATCAAATATCTAGTTTTGGGGATTAGTTTTTCTCAGTTGTATTTTCTAACCTTCATTTTAAATGAAATTGTTTTAAGTAAGTCTCTCTGGCTATGTTGTAATTTTTTATTAAATATTGGAACCTCTACAAGGAACAAAAATTAAGTAGGTACCCTACTTCATATTTCTTTCTACAAAAAATACTGAGCGCCTCCTCTGTGCCTAGCACTCAGCCCATTGCTGAGATAAGATGCAGTCCCTTGAGGAAAGTACAGATAGTAGAGAAATAAACCTCTTTTCTGAAAGTGAAGATAAGCAATGCGTAAAAATTCATGGCATCATGTATTTTGAAGGGAAGGAAAGGAAGCAAGAAGGGAACTATCAGTATTGAACACTAAGTTCTTGGCACTGTGCACAGTACTTTATGTATGCTTTCTGATTTTATGCCATTTTTCGAGGTAGGTATTTTTGTCTCTATTTTGTTATAAGGAAATTGAGGATTAGAGAAGTTGAATAGGCTCTCAGGCTACAAAGTGGGGAATCTGGTTTCTCTAATCTGAAGCTAAGTTTCTTCCCACTGTACCATACTGTTTCCAAAACTTGGACTAGCTGCCCTGGCATGTTCATTTTATTTCAGGGTAGGTAAATGATGTTCCTCTGGAGTGGTGATTATCAGCTTTGGCTGTTCATTGGAATCACCTCTAGAGCTTTAAAAATTACTAATGCCTAGATCCCATGTCCAGGGAGTCTGACTTAATTAATCCAATGAAAGGCCTGAACATGAAGAGCCTGTAAAGCTCTCAGGTGCTTCTAATGTGTAAAGTTAAGAACAGCTGCTCTGGGGAGTCTTGCCCTTACACCAAATTCCCAGATGAAAGCTTAGTTTTTGTGCTCAGTCCCTGCCTTCAGACCAAGAATTAGGGAACAGGAGTAAAGCACACTGAAAGTTAAGAAGAATGGGTTGTTTTACTTGTGAAAGGACCATTATAGTCAATCCATCTGTAAGTTGTGGGCTTAGAATTTAGTATTATGTAGGCTTAATTATAAGAGGAGTGGGATGGCATAACTGAAGGAGATAGCTATTAAACTCTAAGGCATTGAGATTCAAGATATTGTAGGGTTGCATTTGGATGAGATGTTCAATCAGCAGATGCCCACTTTGAGTTTAAATGGCTGTGATATAGTCATGTACATATTCCATTTTGCTGTCTTCATTAGTGTTTATGAACTGCATTGGTGCAGACTTTATCTGGTATTTTTCTTGTGTTCGTTTTTTTTGAACCCCTAAAATTGAACCCTACACTTAGTTGATCTTTCTTGAATATCATTATAGCTATATGTTATTATTCAGAAACTTTTCTTTCTGTTCACATTTGTATTTTCTGTAGAAATTTGAAATAATTTTATCAACTTGTATCATTAGAAAATGAAAATGTTTACAAAATGTATTTAATCTTCTCAAATAGAGATGCATTTTGGCCAAATGGCATTTTAGCAGAGGCTGTTCCATGCAGAGATAAAAGTATTCGAATGAGAACAAGAGTAGCAGGAAAAACGAAATTACTTGCAATTATGCCAGGTGAGTGAGCATGTATAGTTAAAAATCTTTATAATTTGTCATTCTTCTGAGTTTTTAGCATTCATCATGCCAGTGTAACTGCCTTTTGATTATAACAACTACCTTTTGATGGCTTAATACATATCAGGCACTGTACTAGGCATTTCTCATATGTTCTTAATCAGTCCTCATGACAGTACTGTAAAGCTAAGGACTGTTAACATCACCGCTTTATATGTGAGGAAACGGAAGCTCAGAGAGGTTAAATAACCTATCCAAGGTTTATAGCTACTAAGCAACAGTTGGTATTCTGACTTGGCTTTAAGTGATGTGAAAGCTTATGCTTTTAGCCACTTCGCTCTGCTGCCTTGAAACATATTGGGAGTTAAGTTAAATAAATAAAATACATGACAGGTGAAAGGGCTAATAAAATATAAAGTATGAATTTTTCAGGAAGAATATTTGTTGTACTTAGGAAAACAAGTTATTTCAAAAACTCCATTTACATAGAAAGAACTGATTGGCTGATTATTAATCTTTATTACTTAAAATACAATCCCAAACAAAGTATACTTAGTAGCATTTTGTTGGTCTGATTTTGGTTGCTTCATTAGGGTATAGCTATCTCACTACCTTAGATTTACTTTTTCTCGTTTTTCTTCTTTCAATCAGAGAAGTTATATAATGTAAAAAGCAATTTAATGCGGCTGGGAGGTGGTGATGGTTGTTTTGCCCCTTGTTAATGAGTATCTTTGAAAATGCCTGCATGTCTTTTCTCTGTATTTTAATTCTGGATGTAGAGAATGAACAGACATATTTGTACATTCTTTAATATCACACAATACCAATTTTTTTCTCTAATTTTGTTTTCTTACCTGTATTTTCTCTATAAATTTTAATGACCAGCCTTCTCTTCTGTCAATTAAATTAAAAATTTGCCACAATTTTAATTCTTACCTATATACCGTTTCATTTGCTGATAAAAAAGCAAATTATAGAAATGACATTTTAGAAAAATAAGAAACAATTGCTTAGGATATTATTTAATATACTATTATAGTAAACCTGATTGTGCTATATGGACTGACTCAGTTATCTAGCTGGAAGAAATCTTTATTCACTAAATATTTATTGAAAGTTATTATGTGCCAGGTGCTGTTCTTTGCACTTATGTTTGCCTTCTTGGAGCTTACTTTCCAGTAGAAATAGAGAGACTCAAAAACACACAGAACAAATAAATGGAACGTAGTTTGTTAGATAAGTGGTAAGTACTAAAGAGAAAGATACTGCAGGAAAATGGAATAGATAGTGTCAGATGAGTTGCAGTTTTAGATGGGGTGGCCAGGGCAGGCCTCACTGAGATGATGATGGTGGTGTGAAGATCTGAAGGAAGTGAGGGTAAATATGAAAGCATATAAATTTATATATACATAATCCTTGCCTATTTTTTAGTAAATTCTCAAAATTTTTGCTTTAAATTATATCTTACCCCTAGTTAGATAAAGACTTTTTGGAAATTGCATGTTTCTTTCCAAAGCAGCAAAATAATATCTATATTATCAGTATTATGAATAATTATTTGTAATTATGAATAAGAATATGAATAATTAATAATCATACATGTTGGTCTCATAACTTGGTGTTATTTATGATTAAACACCAAATTTGCTCACTCTTAGTCACAGCACCATCGGTTTTCTATTTTCTTTGCTTTCTTCACTTTGAATTTAAATAAAATTCAACCCAACTTGTACTATCCCTATTTCTTGAGCATGCTTTGTTATTCTAGTTACTGCTTATTTGCTCATTCATGTTCTTTTCACCAAGGCTAATCCTTCATCTCATTGCACCTATCAAAATCCTGCCCAAGTAGAAAGTCTCCTTTACCTGCCACTTCCTTAAAGGGAACTTTTCTTTGTTATCGCATCTGAAAGTCTCCCCACTACCAATATTCTTATACTTTTAGCATTTTTATGGTATAGTTACTATGCCAGGGGTTTTTGTAGATCAGGGATTAATTTTTTTTTTTCCTGTGTTCCAATGAAACTTTATTCACCATCATGGATTAGTTTGTTTCCTTACAGCATTTGTCACTATTCATTAGGCCTACTAAGAATATTTGTATAATATTACAAAGTTTACAGATCACTTTTTACATTATTTCATTAAAGACTTATAAATCCTTATAAGGATGTTATTATAAATCCTCCTTTTCAGATGAGAAAAGAGAGTCAGGGTGGTGGGTAAGTATCACATGGGTATTAAGGGACATGTTTGTAATCATAGTTTGGGATCTTTGAGACTGTTTTTTATTTTTTATCTCTTACACCTGTGCTATATTGTCTCCCAGTAGCTTTTGCATTAAGTGCGTAAATAGATGCATGCATGCAAAGATGCATATTAAGTTTCAGCTATAGTACATAGCTGAAATGCATTAACTGGTTACCTACTGTTCATCAGTTACTCTGCTGTGTACCTTAATTTAAGAACATTTAAGAGTTTAGGCCTTGTGTTTCCTTTGAATAATTATGTGTGTTTTCCTCCACTTCATTTAGATGAGCTGAAGCACATTATTGGGGCTGAGACAACACGGAAAGGTATTCTTCGTGTTTTTGAAATGTTTCAGCACAACCAATTAAATAGGAGAATGGTTTATGTCTTCTTGGAAGGCTTTTTAGAAACCTTATTTCCACAGTATAAATTCCGTGAACTTTTCAACAAACTGCATTCACGGTCAAAGCAGATGCAGAAATATAAACAGAAACTTCAAACTACTCAAGCGCCTTCTTTGCAGAAAAGGTGACACTCCACTCTATGAAGCTGGTGTTCATTTTGTCCAGGACTAATGGTATGGACAGATCTTCTGGGGCTTAACTCAAATACTGTTGTGTCTGCACCAGTCTTTTAGTGTCTCAAAATAGATTATTAATACATCCATAAGTCTGTGGTTCTTCTCATTCTCATCTATAATCCACCACTACCAAGAGAGATTTCTGTGTCTTAAATGATTTGGTGCATATTTTGCAACATTGAGAGAAAACTGCCCCCATCTCAAGCAAGAATGGCGTTGGTTTCTTCCATTTCAAACTAATCAGCATTCTCCAGCAATGACAAAGTGCCAGAGTGTATATATGAAAGCTAAGGAAAGCACAAAACAATGGTTCAGAGATAAATTGGCTAATTTGTTTAACAGTTGGAGACTGTGCAATGTACGACTTGGAGGAGTTTGTTTGGCATAATGATTTTGTAGGTCTGTCAGCATTTTGATATATTGTGGATTAGCCAGGTGAATGATCCTTGAAACATCTCTTTCAGGTCTGGAGAAAGAGACAGAATGCCCTTAAAGTGTGAAATAACCTTATACCTGAATTACAGTTTTGTGATATAAAATAAAGCTGAGTATAAAATAAAACCAATCAAACACAGAATTTGATTGGATTTGTTATTCATTGGTATACAACAATTTTTATTCTTATGTGTGCTTTAAGGGCTGTGTTTTGCTCTTAGGGTACTCAATTTTATGTTTCCTTTTGGCATTCTTTGTGCAAAAAGAAGCATGTGGTGGCTCTCATTTAAATTTCAAAATTATTAGTTTTATCTTTAACAGATTACTGATTATACAGAAGATATAATTTATTGGAAGAACTGCCAAATACATTTTGTCCTTCTAAAAATATGGAAATTTAAATAGTAGTCTGGAAAGTTACCATATGATAATTTTTAATTGTGTGATCTAGACATGCCTTAGGTAACTGCAGAAATAGCAAATTAAATGATTAATGAGCTTATTAGTCATAGTAAACATACAGATTCCTAATTCTATGACAGTGTACATATATGAAAATAAATGATGAAAAAAGAACTATAATATTTTTAAAAATATGCTTTTATTTATATTTCACATAATGTAAAGTTCTACAAAATAAAGCTAGTAGGCAAGACCCCTCAGTGTATACCTTTAAACCCATAAATTAATTTTATATCAATAAAATAAAATACTTTCTCTAGTTTTGGAGCTTCTGTATTTCCTATAGTTTTCTGACTGTCCATTTTATCCATCTTAGAAGTATTCACATCCCTTCTATGCAGGATTTCTGCATAGTTTTAAATACTTTCATTGCCTAAGGGTTTGGGTGTGTCAGCTTTTTTTGTTTTAAAAATATTTAACACTAAAACCTTAAAATAATGAAGCTACTTATCAGACCACTGAGCCAAGATCCTGGTATTAAAAGAAAGTCTGGGTGCTTAAGATAAAGGGACAGAGTATTGGTATCCCAGTTATTTGGGAGCTTTAAGATTGGAACAAGATATCACTGTCTTGTTTTCACTTAGATCCTACTTACAAAGTGAGGGTTATTAACAGAATAAAGCCTTCCTTTAAAGCTTTATAATAATCATATTTATTAATAATGCTGTTGTGCATACTTATAGTATGCATATATTCAGCATATGTTGCATGTCTTCAGAATTACATAAAATGAAATCCCTTTCATTGCAACTTGCAAGTGAGAAAAGATCCTTAGTGGCTCTGGTGGAAGAAATAGTATTTCTTCTTCTCAGGGTGTCTCCCTGCCTTGGCCCCTCCCTGAGCCCCAGGCTTTAAAAGTGAAAATGTTTGAAACATGAAACATGTCTGTAGGAAGCATCAGCATGGCCATAAGTGCAGTGATTTTCATATATGCCTCTGCCCATTTCAAATATATTTTTGACATGAATAAATCTAACAGTATACAGAATAATTCATGTAAGACCCTAACGTGTACATGTGAAAAAGCATTTCTATATAATGTGAGGAGCACTGGCCATCAATTAGGGAAATAAAGGTCATGTAATATTGCAAATTTTCAAAATAGAGCCCTGCAAGATAACTGCAATCATACCAAAAACTATTTGAGTAAATGGATTTTTAAAGTAATTTTTGTTTAGAAGAGTTTATATTTCAGAAGCAGAAAATGTCAAATGATAGTCTTTGTAAATGGTGGTGCACCTTCTCTATGCACATCTGTCTTTTACATCAGAAAGAGCTGTGGTCATGCTAAAATTAGAGATAACTTTTTGAATGACTTGGTCAAGCTGTGTGTAAAATATTTAACCATAAGTCAAGTACAGTGTACTATGTTTAATAAAGTTACATTTAATGCATTTATTGCATATATGAATATATACATGAAGAGGCTTTATGTCTTCTGGTATTTGATTTTGAATGTTTTTTAAGTCAGTGGTGCCTTTAGGCAAGAACTTTCGAAATTAATCATTCTTTGTGTTTTCTGATTTTTCAGGTAACATGTACACTATTTAGAAACCATCATAGTTTATTCACCTTAAAAAATTGATTGTATTATTTAAATATATCACTTAGATGGGCATTTCCTATAATTAGGATATTCCAAATAGTTGCTGAAATCAATTGTGCCATTGACCAATGGATGCACTTGGTTAGCCTTAATTTTTTTAAAAAAAAAAAAAACAAAAACTTTCTTGAATATTTCAGTTTGTTCATTTTAAGTTTGTGCTGCTGGTATTTGGGAAGAAAAATCAATCAGTTAAGTGCTACCAGAAAGTGTACCAATTTTTATAAAAATTAAGAATGATATAAATTTCACAATCTAAAATTTTAATTTTGTGCAATATTTTCATTTAATGCATGTGTATTTGAGTAATTGTAAGATAAATGAATTTTTAATTTTTTGAGATGTAGCTTAAACTGTCTTCTTAATCCAACAACTTACATTCCGTTGTTGCTGCATCCTTTTATTTAAGGACTTGTTTTAAAAGTCTTTTTGTCACTCCTTGGAAAATTCTTTTATTAGTAGTAAATTTTGCTTTTAGGAGCATGGCTCCTGTATTACAAGGGAAAAAATATGAAGAGCACATTTTAGGATTATAATTGTTAAAAGATAATGTGTGCATATCATTGTACAGTAAGTGTCAACTGTGTGCCTAACTGTTCTATCAATACTTTCTTTCTTTAACAAAGAAGAAACAACAATCAGAATGTCAGTTATTTTTATTCAACTAAAAGGATTAAAAAATTTATTTGGTTTGTGTTCTGTCCATTAGAAAATACTAATAAAGTATTAACAAACATTTTTGTTGAGTTCATTTAATAGTAATGTATTTTTGTTACTTTTAAGATGCTTGCTCAGTAGTCTTATTTTTAGTATCTGTTTGTATTTTCTTTTCTTTTAGATATCAACCAATTCAAGTTCCAGGTTGATAGATGAGTGCTTGAGTGATTACTGACTTAAATGGACTGAATTTAACTTTTTCTTTTATGGGGCAAATAATTTACACCACAGTGTTAAAGAAACTTTATACTTCCTCATCGTATCAAATTATAAAGTATTTTCCCACAGATGAAAAGATTTATAATTAGTAATCCATTTTATTTGATCTCATTTTAAATTCATATTTTGGCTAATATTTTAGATTTTGCCATTCTAAAAGTAGATTGGTCATAATATTTGCATCTTTCTTGGAGCTGTATCAACAGACTTCTAAGGCCTCAGATGTGATAACTTCTAGCCCATCAGGGATTGGCATATTTCTTAAAATGCATATGGTAAAATATTGTTCCCTATAAGATGTTCCTGAGGGAGAAGTTTTATACTTTTATGTAACTTATACAGGACTATCTGTAATATGAACCAAAAAGCAAAAATGTTCCTTCATAATTCAAATGATTATATCAAAAATTTTGAGACGTTCCATAAGAAACCTGTTTAATTTTGCTTACCTAATTTCCTAAACTTAGTTAACCACAGAATCTTTTGTCATGAACAGCTTGAGGATGATGTTCTCATGGAATGTAGTTTGGAAAATCTTTAGTAGGAGAGAAAAAAAAGGTGAGGTGTCTTTATTTAGGGAATGTAAACTGGACAGAAAACCCAGTGGATTTGGAGCACAAAGATTTTTTTCTTGCCTGCCATTTTAATGGAAAGTTCAATCTTTGGAAGAAAAGGGAAAGATGGAAAAAGGGTGAAGATGGAAAGTTAACAGCTGATTATATAGCAGATATTAAAGAGTTGAATTTGGCTCTGAATACCAGAATAATGACTTCAGTGAGGAATAATAGAGCACATCTCATGAGAAGTGGGAAAGATACTTCCACAGATTTTGCTCATGTGACCAGAAGAACAGTAACTTGGAAATGTAAGGGGAAGAAGGAAATGCCATACAGTTTAGTTTATAAAATATTTGTGCCAGATATTGACCCATATATATGATGACAGAATATGTTTGATTTAGGAAAACTTGCAGTAGCTGAGTGAAAATGAAATGTAACCCGTCTGTTTACCAATGCAGTGTATGAGACATGTATTAAACGTGATACTTTAAATTGGTAAACATGATCTTTTACATATCATCAAGAATGAAATGAAACAACAAGAACTATTTGTTAGGAGTTTTCCCCCTTGGTGATTGACTAGGAGGGCTTACAAAATTCAGCATATAGTCATACTCACAGATAAGATTTATTATGGCAAAAGGATATAGAACAAGAGCAAAAAAAGTGCATGGATGAAGTCTGGGGGAACCAGGCTCCAGCTGCCAACTGCTCTCTCCCAGTAGAGTCACACAAGATGCAACTTAACTCCCCCAGCAAGGAGTTGTGACAACACCTGTGAAATGTTGCCAACCAGGGAAGCTCATTCGAGACTTGGTGCCTGGGGTTTTCATTGAGGGCATTTATTTAGGCACCCTCTGCCTGGCACATAACAGAATTCCTTTATGGAATTTCTTTCTCAGAGAATTGTGTTCAACATACGCTGTAGTTTTGGTATAGTTTAGGCTTACTGAGCCACTTTTATCAGTTCTGGGAATTGATGGGAACACTCCTAAAATCTTAAATTCTCAAACACCTGAGAACAAGGGCCAACCTTGTAAGCAGGCCTCCAAGGAGAGCAGTCAAGCCTCCTATGTTAACTCTTCTGTATGACTATATATAATAGAAAGTGATGATGTTGAAAGTCCATTAAGATTTATCCTTGTGTTGAAACCTCCATATCTAGAAGTGGAAACATGACAGAGGAAATTTTGACGTAAATAAAAGGAAAAACTATTGAAGTGATACTGATACGGATATATATTGCAGTCTGAGAAACAGGAGGAGTATTTCCGATAAAGATTACCATGGCAAACAGTTATATGGCACTTAATAGTCACAGCAACCTTAGGCATTATAGGTACTGTTTTATCTTACTCAGTTTCTACATGAGCAAACTAAATAAGACAGAGTAGTTGAGTCAGTTTGTCCAAAGCTTCACAACTGGTAACTGGTCATCAAGCTGAAATCTCAACCCAGGTGGGCTGGCTCCAGAGTCTATGTCATGGTTTCTCAGCAGTGGCACTATTGACGTTTTGGGCTATGTAATTCTTTGTTGTGGGAACTATCCTGCGCATTATAGGTAATCCATTATTTTACTTATTCTGTCCATTAGTACCTAATATTTAAGAACATTTACAATAGTAATGGAATTAATCTAAGAGAAGTTCAACTTAATTTTTTTTAACATCTCAACACCAGGTATTAAGAGATACTCAAAATAATTGTCAGATTTATATTGAAAACTAATAAATGCTTGGTGTTAATATGTCTACATAAAATTCTTTTTTTGGTGTAATATTCTTAGGCTGTTAGAAAAAAAAACATGGTTTACTTCACTAGTAGAAATACCTCTTAATGTTGAGATGGCCTCTTCCCTGGGCTCTGCCCATTAGGTGATGCCAGTAGCACCCCCTCCCCCACTGTAACAACCAAAAATGTATGTGGACATTGCCAAATAGTGTCTGGGGTGCCAAATTACCACCAATTGAAAACTACTGACCTTAGCTGTCAGTCAAATAACCAAGGTAAGTAGGGACTGAAGATTGAACTGTGGATTGCTGAATGTCTTCTCTTTTTAAGCAATCACCTGACAAATTTGTGGCTTGCATTGTAGGGGAATGTAAATGGAATGCCTACTTCTGCCCTAAAGGGATGGAGGTGGCCGGGGTGCAACAAGTCCAAATTTCTTACCTTGCTTTCAGTTAAGTAAGCATCCCACAGTTGGGGGAGGTTGGGTAGGGAAGGGACTTACAACCTAAGATAAATAAGAAAAACAGTTTTTCAAGATGTTTGAAGATGTGAGGTAAATGATTACATGAGAAAATTGTCATTTTACACCCTGACCAGCCTAATTTTTAATTCAGTAATACTGGTTCTTAGGAAAGTTATTTTTCTTTCAAATAACTGTTGTCCTTTTTATTTGTGAGCCTGTCCTTCTAAAGCCTGAAAATTTTCTTGCAGCCTTCTTTGCAAGTAAACTCCCGTCCTAAATGCTGTTGTCTGAGTTTTCCTTTGACAGGTGGATGTTCCACTGGGATGCCCAGGTGACTCACCTGCTGAGCCAGCTTTGCCTAGTTGGCTGTTTACATCCAGGCTCACCTTGCCTCCAGGGATGAACCTCATTAAACAGTTAGAGCCTTTACACTTGCTGACTGTTTTCTACTTTCCCCTCCTCATGGCTCTTTTTCTGGGTCTTGGTTAAGTCTGGTTCTGGGTTTGATAAGTGCATGGCTGCTTTATTTCTCAATTGGTGGAAGCAGTGTTAGAGAGCTGACTTTTGTGGTCTGACCTAATTTTCTGCCAAGCAGCTATTTATCTTTCTTGATTGTCTTCATGTCTTCAAGGCTGTTGATATCAACTGGCATCTCAGTCAGGCCAATATCTTGTCTCTCCTGTATGATTAAGTTGTTCATGTTGCAGCCTAGATCAGTTTCTTCTGCCAGTGGCAGAATCCTTCATGTTCCTTGTCTTATTTATTTTATTATTATTTCTTAATGTGTGGGTGCTCTCTTGTTTTGTTGTATTTGGGGTGAGGTTATTTTAGGGCATGGTCCAGGGTAAATTCCTGTAAGGCCTGGGTGCCCTGCTGCGAGGTCAAGGGGGAATGGGACTAAGACTGCAGAGCCCTGGCTCCCCCACTACCTACCAATTGCCGGCCCTTTGTGGGGGTCTCTTCTGCTTTATCTGGCCTGAAAGAGACTGGGATGTTTCTGATCCCGGGGCTC
The DNA here is from genome assembly GCF_000001405.40 of Homo sapiens. Taxonomy (NCBI): domain Eukaryota; kingdom Metazoa; phylum Chordata; class Mammalia; order Primates; family Hominidae; genus Homo; species Homo sapiens. The sequence goes on along the minus strand of NC_000007.14, from coordinate 17,786,794 downwards.
CTGGGGGGTTGGTTTGCAGTATTTCCAGGGATGGAGTGTGCTGTGGCCACCGGTGGGAAGCTTGAGTGTCTCCTCCCAGACTATCTGTGCTTCCTCATCTGTTTCTTCAGCTTCTGGACCTTGAGCACCAGGGCTGCGGCCCTGACCCCCTCCTGCCCTTCCAGCAGGGCCTGATTCAGCTCCAGCTGCTGCTCCAGCAACTCCTCAGCTTGGTCCAGCTCAGCTGTGTGGTGGGCTTAGGGCCCTGTTAAGGGGGAGAGGGGGAGGGAGCATCAGCCAGGGCAGGGGGCTAAGGCCCTTGGAACCTGTGTGGCAGGGTCTGGCTGTAAGGGAGGAATTCGACCTCCCTTTCTCCTTTTCTAGCCCATTTGCTGAAGGCCCCCTGTACTGAGAAGCCCAGAGAGCTCCCTGTCTTGTGCATGTTCCTCGTCTTATTTACACAGTGCTATGAGCGTTAAAAAGTATTCAAGAAGATAGTTTTCATGCTTGCTGGAAAGCAGGCATCTTTCAGCTATCCTTTGTGTCTCTGATCTCCCTCCAATAAGTTGGTGAGTTTTATTCTTTATTTTTGATTAAGAAGGATGAAGTTACAAAAGTTAGGCTGCTAGTTCTGTGTGTGTGTGTGTGTGTGTGTGTGTGTAAATATAAGACCTCTCCTTGTAAAGTGTGTGTGTGTAAATGAAAGAAAAGACCTCTCCTTGTAAAAGCTTTTTACAGATGTTTATACTTGTAACACTTTTTGTATTTGCAGCTGGCATTTACCCACTTTATGGTCTCTCAACTTCTGGAAATTATTGATATTAATTAGACATACAAATTGATCATTTCTATGCACTACTGGTGATACGTAATTTAAAAATACAGATTAACCATCAAATATGAGGGAGTGATGGGGAGTGATGCGGGGATTTAAGTAAAAAATTGAAATTAGTTTTACATAGTTGTAAAGACTTCAGATTTAAGAATTTTCCTTTAAAAAACACTTATATTAATGAATGTGTAAGTGTAATGGAATGAGACAGCAGACTGAATGGGAAAATTACTTCTGTTTTTTTCTGGAGATTGATGACCTCCTAAGCAACCTAAAGGGTGCTGAGTAGCTTGGATTTTTATTTTTCCTTTCTTTAAAAAAAAAAAAATCCCATAAAATAAAATGAATCAAATACAAATCAGATGGTCTGAAAAAGCTTTGTGTTTAAAAACAAAACATACACACATAAATACTGAAATGGAAAGAAATTTGGCACTAAACTCCTCCACAGTACCCTAGTTTGCCCAGATGTTGGATAAAAGTATTTTATGAGTGTACAATATTTTCTAAATACATTTGTTGATAAACTTGCATGCCTTTGCTTCTCTCCAGAGATAAGTACTAAATTAGATTTTAATGTGTCTTAAATTTAATGGAGCTCTGTGTCCCCTCCAAATCTCACGTTGCCCCAGTGTTGGAGGTGCGGCATAGTGGAAGATGTTTGGATCATGGGGACGTATCCTTCGTGAATGACATGGCACTATCCCCTTGATGACGAGTGAATTCATGTGAGACCTGGTTGTTTAAAAGGTGTGTGGTACCTCCCCCTCCTCTCTCTTGCTCCTGCTTTCACCGTGTAACAATCCTGCTCCCGCTTCACCGTCTGCCATGAGTAAAAGTCCCCTGAGACCTCCCCAGAAGCTGAGCAGATGGTGGCTTGAACAGCCCGTAGATCCATGAGCCAATTAAACCTTTTGTCTTTATAAATTACCCTGTCTCAGGTATTCATTTATAGCAATGCAAGAACAGCCTAACAGAAGCTCCTATTTCGATTGGTATAAACAAAGTAAGACTTTTTGTAAGAAAACCAAATTTTCAGAGAGAAAGTAAAAAAACAAAAAACTTCAATGGGTGAGTTTACTGGCTTTTTAAGGAATTTCAAATAGTTAAGGAGATGGGTTGAAGAAGTTAGCCATGGTTTAATGGCCTTGATTGCCAGATTACAAGAAACAAAGATACGCATATGTTATCAAATAACAGGAAACAATCTAAGACCGTCAGTATTTTTAAATAAGAGGTTTTTAAACCTATGAAGAAGTGGGCAAAGGATCTAAATAGACATTTTTCAAAAGAAAACATACAAATGGCCAACAGGTGTATGAAAAAGGGCTTATTATCACTAATCAGGGAAATGCAGATCAAAACCATGAGATGTCATCTTAGAATGGCTGTTATCAAAAAGACAGAAAATGACAGATTCTGGGAAGGATACAGAGAAAAGTGAACTCTCATACACTGTTGGTGGAAATGTAAATTAATACAACCATTATAGAAAAACAGTATGGAAATTTCTCAGAAAACTAATAAAACTGCCATATGATCCAGCATATGGGTACTTATTCAAAGGAAAGGAAATCAATATATCAAAGAGATGCATGTGCCCTCATGTTTATTACAGCACTTTTTACAATAGCAGAGATACGGAATCAACTTAAGTGTCCGCCAACGGCTGAATGGATAAAGAAAATGTAGTATATTTACACAATGAAATACTATTTGGCCATAAAAAACAATGAAATCACGTAATTTGCAGCAACATGGATGGAACTGGAGGTCATTAAGTGAAATAAACCAGCGACAGAAAGCTATTATATGCCTCCCAACTCATATGTGGGAGCTAAAAAAGTTGATTTCATGGAGGTAAAAGGTAGAATGATTGTTATAAAAGGCTAGGAAGAATGTCAGTGGGGAGGTGTTGGGGGGAGACAATGAAGAAAGGTTGGTTAATGGGCAAAAACATACATTTAGAATGAGTAAGTTATAGTCTAGTAGAGTAGGGTGACTAAACAACAATGTATTGTACATTTCAAAATAGGTAGATGTAAGGACTTGAAATGTTCTCAGCACATAGAAATGATAAATGCTTGTGGTGATGGATGTCCAAATACCTGATATTACAGAATCTATGCATGTAAAATATCACATATGTTCCATAAATATGTACAAGTATGTGTCAAAAAATTAGCTCTAAGAAAAATGAGGTTTTTGTTATTAAGTAAATGGTGGAAAAAGATCAGGTAATATTACTAAACAAAGTGAATACTTGGACAATTTAGACAAGTGTGATAATTTTTAAGTCAATTATATCTTTGCCCTGATGTGAAAAATAATACTGCTCTAAAGTTTCTAATTTATGTAAAATTTTGATATGTTTTTCTATGGAAAGCATAATTTGAATGCCATAAAATTTTCTACACTGATTTAATAGATCAGATTTTTGTTTCCACAAAACACTTAAGATTATGAAGATATAAAAAATATGTGTTTAACTAAATCAGTAGTTTTCAACTGGGGGTGATTTCACCACTCATGGAACATTTGATAATATCTGGAGACATTTTTGGTGGTCACAACTGGGACATTGCTACTGGTGTCTTTGTGGATGGAGGCCAGGGATGAGGCTAAATAACCTATAGCTCCCCACAGTAAAGAACTGTATGGTCCAAAATGTCAAGAGCACTGAGGCTGTGAAACACTGAACTAAATTACAGCTTTATAAAAAAGCATTTGTTTCTCTGATGCTACAGATCATAAGATGATGCTGTATTGATAGTTATTCCATTTACAGTTTCTATGTAAAAAATTGTCATATTCTTAAAATTCATCCATGTTATTGTATATATCAATTGTTTCTTTTATTGTTAACATTTCATTGCATGAATATACCACAGTTTTATCCATTCACCAGTTTAAGGACAATTGGATTATTTCAAAGTTTGGGTGATTATTAATAAAGCTTCTATAAACATTGTTACATAAAGAATTTGGGCTTTTTCCTTCATTCTTGGGAGACTATAAATCCTTGGAATTTCTCTAGGAATAGGAATGTATTTGATTCATGAGCCCCTTGGATTATTAAAGTTTATGCTAACAAGATGAGATGACTTAGGATGGAGGCTGGTCCCCAGAAAATTTAACCTGTGATTAGAGTGTTGGGTTTTTGAGCCAGCTGACCTCTAAGGAGGGGAGAAAGAGTTGAGATTGGATTCAATCACTTGGCTGATCAGTTGTGCCTGTGTAATGAATCCCCAATTAGAACTCTGGACAGCAAAGCTCAGTAGAGTTTCCTGTTTGAAGAACACATTGGTGTGCCAAAAGGATATCAAAGAAGAAAATTTAAACATTTAATTTCAAAGATCTAATTGGCTTTTATTAGCAATTCATGAGCCCGGCAGCATCCAGTCTACAAAATAGAAAGGAGTGCCAATAAGCTAGACAGAATGGATGGGTTTTATGGCAGAAAAAAGTGGAAGCAAGCAAGAACAATGAACAAATTAATGGATGGATTGTTTTAAGATTACATTTCTTTTATGGGAGTAAACAAAATCTTGTTAGCCTAATGGAATTTGGCATCATCTCCTGATTTCTCAGAAGGTCATATCTTGTAAGTGAACCATTTAGGTTTGGTGACCTGGAACCTTGGCATAAGTGACTCCATTTTGGGCCTGCTGCCTTTTCTTTAAAAAAGAGTGACACCCTAATTCCATGGGAAGAGCACACAAAAGCCCTGTGTTGCAGAACCTCCTAGACCTTGCCCTTTGTCTCTTCTGGCTGTTTCTGATTTTTACTTCTTATAATAAAGAATAAAACCACAGTCATGATTACAGTGCTTTCCTGAGTTATATGAGTCACTCTCTTATCGAACCTGGGAACGTTGTGGAAACCACAGGATTGGTAGCCAGTTGATCAAAAATGCAGGGGACTTGGGCACCCGCAAGTGCATCTGGGCCTCAGAAGTAAGGGAAGTCTTACTGAGGAGCATGCTTTTAAACCTGCGATGTGTGGTGCTAACTCTGTGTGGTTAGCATTGAAGTTGTATTACAGTACACCAGGTGTCATCAGAATAAACATTCATGTGCCAGTCCATGGACATATGTTTTAATTATCTTGGATAAATTCCCAGGAGTGGGATTGCCAAGTTATGTGATAAATGTATATTTAATTTTATCAGAAACTGCCAAACTATTTTCCAAAGTAGTTGTAGCATTTTGCATTTCCACCAGCAGTGTGTGTTTCCGTTGCTCTGCATCCTTGCTAACACTTGTATTATAAGGCTTTTCTCGTCTTTAAGTTTAGCCATCTTAATGGGCATACAGTTATCTCTGATTGTGGCTTTAATTTGGGTTTTCCTGATGACTAACGTGTTATACACCTTTTTATATGCTTGTTTGCCATTCTGTCTCTTTGGTAAAGTGGGTGCTCAAATCTTTTGCTCATTTCTTTTTATTTTGGTTTTTTATTAATGAGTTCTAGGAATTATGGGTACATTATGGATACAGGTTCTTTATGTGTGCTTTGCAAAGGTTTTCTCTGTATCTTTTAATTTTCTTAACAGTATTTCTCAAAGGGTAGGAGTTTTTAATTTTGATGAAGTGCAATTTATCAATTTTTCCCTTTCATTCTTAGAAAACTTTGCTTAACTCAGCACCACAAAGACATTCTCTTACATTTTCTTTCAGAAGCTTTTTATTTTTGGATTTTACATTTAGGTCTATAGTCCGTCTCTCAAATATATTTTTATGTATGATGTGGGGTATAAGTTTGGGGTTTTTTTTTATGAATCCCCAATTATTCCAGCACAATTTGTTGAAAAGATCATTTTGTCCCCCATTAAATTACCTTGACACCTTTGTTGAATCATTTGTTGACCATGTATGTGTGGTTTTATTTCTGGATTTTTGTTCCATGGATCTATATATATATATATATATATTATTTTGCCAATACTGTAAAGTTATAGTGAATCTTAAAATTGGGTAGTGTGAGCCCTCCAACTTGGTTTTGATTTTTCAAAATAGCTTTAGCTATTTGGGCTCCTTTGCTTCTCCATACAAATTTTAGAATCAGCTTGTCTGCCAGACAAAACAAACAAATGAAAACCAAAAAAAAAAAAAAACAAAAAACCTCTAAGGTTTGCATTTAATCTATAGCTCAGTTTGGTGAGACTTGGCATCTTAATATTGAATCTTCCAATCTATGAATATAGCAGAATTTCTCTTATCAGTGTTTTATAGTTTCATTGAACAAACCCTTTACATATTTTGCTAGATTTATTCAGTGTCTCATGTTTTTTGATGTTATTATAAATCGTTCTATATTTTAATTTTAACTTTCAATTGTTAATTGCTAGCATGTAATAATACAATATTTTATGTTCACCTTATATTTGGTGACCTTGCTAAACTCACTTGAAGATTCTGTGGGATTTTCTGCATAGACAATCATATCATCTGTTAATAAAGGCAGTTTAAAATCTTCACTTTTAATTTTTTTTGTATTTTTTATTAATTTTATTATGTAGAGGTGGGGTTTTGCCACGTTGCCCAGACTGGTCTCAAACTCGTGGGCTTAAGTGATCTACCCGCCTTGGCCTCCCAAAGTGCTGGTATTACAGGCATGAACCACCACACCTGGCCTAAAATCTTCATTTTCAATCCCTTCGCCTTTTATTTCTCTCTTGTTTTATTTTACTGTCTAGGAACTCCAGCATATTGCTGAACAAGAATGATGAGAATGGACATCCTTACCTTGTTCTTAATCTTAAGGGAGAGGTGTCTTGCCATTCAGCTTGAAGTTAGTTGTCGGCTTTTTGTAGATGTCATTTATTGGAATGAGGGAGTTTTTCTTTATTCCTATTTGCTGACAGCTTTTATCACAAATACATTTTGAAGATTTCAAATCCTTTATATCATTTTCAGTTATCATGTAGTGTTATTTTTTACTCTGTTGATATGGAGAATTACATGATTTTCAAACATTGAATAAACTTTGCATTCCTGAGATTAATCCCAATTGGTCATGACATATGATCCTTTTTGTATATTGTTGGATTTGAATCTCTATTATTAAGGATTTTTGCATATATAGTCATGAGGGATATTAGTCACTTGTTTTCTTTTAATGTTTGGTTTGTGTAGCAAAGCAACAACATCATAAAATGAGTTGGAGTGTATTCCCTCTCTTTTTATATATTCTAGAAGAATATATTATTTCTTCCTAATTGTTAGAATTTGCCTGTTAGGCTATGGTTTTCTTTTGTGGAAAGTTTTGAACTACAAACTCAGTGTCTTTTATAGATAAAGGACTGTTTGAGTTATTTATTTCTTCTTGAGAAAGCTTTGGTAGTTGGAGTCTTTGAAGGAATTTTATCTGAACTGTTCATTTCATCTAAATCAGGATTTCTCAACCAAGGTAACATTTGGGCAAGATAATTCTTTGTTGTGGGAGGATGTTCTGTGCAATATGGGATGTTTTAGCAGCATCTCAGGCCTCTACCTACTAGATGCCAGGAGCAAACTCCCCAGTTGTGACGATTAAAAATGTCTCCAGACATTTTGCCAAATGTCCCCTGTTGGTTGAGGACCACTGATTTAAGCAATCCAATTCATTGGCATAAAGTTGCCTATATATAGTATTCCCCTCCTACTCTTTAATATATATGAGAACTGTGAGGATATTCCTTCTTTTACTCCTGATATTGGTAATTTGTGTTTCTTCTTTACCCTTCCATTCCCTCTGTTTCTACTCTGCCTCCTCTCTCTTTCTCTCATCAGATTGGCTAAAGTTTAATTATTTGTATTGATCTTTGCAAATACCTGTTTTTTGTTTCATTGATTTTTCTCAGTTGTTTTGTGTTTTCTGTTTTATTTATGTCTACTCTTTATTGTTTATTTCCTTTTGCTTGATTTAGGTTTAATTTACTCTTCTTTTTCTAATTATTAAGGTGGAAGCTTAGATTGTTGACTTCAAACTTTTTTTGTTTCCTAATATAATCATTTAATACTATAAATTTCCCTCTAAGTATGCTTTAGTTATATCCCACATATTTGGAGTTTTTTAAAAATTCATTTTGATTTAATTCAGAAGATTCTCTTTTTCTATTTGATTTATTCTTTGTCCTATGGGTTATTTAGACGTGTGTGTTGTTTAATTTCTAAATATTTTGATTTTTTCATATTTTTCTATTGATTTCTAGTTTAATTCCTTTTTAGTTGGAGAACACACTTAATGTGATTTCTTTTAAATGTGTTGAGGTTTGTCTTGTAGCCTAGAATATGATCTGTCTTGTCAAAAGAATATATATTCTGCTTGTTACTGGGTAGAGTATTCAGTGATTGTTGGTTAGATCAAGTTGGTTGATTGTGCTATTCAAGACTGTAATATCCTTACCAACTTTTTTTTTTAATTTGGTCTTTCAATTACTGAAAGAAGAATACTGACATCTCCCACTAAAATTATAAATTCTGTCTATGTTTTCTTTTATTTCTGTCAGATTTTGCATCATGTTTTTGAAGCTTTGTTCTTAGGTGTATACATGTACAAGGTATTTATATCTATATGATGAATTGACCAATTTATCATTGCCTAATGTTCTTCTTTATCCCTGGTAATATTCTTTGTTTTGAAGTCTACTTCATCTGATATTTGTAAAGCCACTCCAGCTTTCTTTAGATTAGTGTTTGAATAGTGTATCTTTTTCATTCTTTTACTTTTAAGCTATTTGTGTCTTTATTGTTTAGAGACAGGGTTGGCGAACTTTTTCCGTAAATGGCTAGATAGCTAACATTTTCGACACTATAGATCACATATGTAAAGCCATTCTTTGCTTTAAGGCCTTAAAAAAATATGTGCGGCTAGAGTTAGCCAGTGGGTTGTAGTGTGTTGACCCTTTTTTTAACAGGTTTTTTTGTTGGCAAAACAGAGTCAGCTTTTTTTGTTGTTTTAAAAAAACTCTGCCTTTTACTTTGTATTATTGTATTATTGTATTGTAATGTATTAGATGTGGTCGTTTTAATGTGTTAAATGTAGTTAAACCATTTGTTTTTAATTATTGATACGGTTGAATTTAAATTTGTCTTGCTGTAGCTGCTTTATATTTGTCCCATTTGTTCTTTATTCCCTTTTAATCTTTTTTTGTATTGAATATTTTTTATGATTCCATTTTATCTTCTCTAGTGGGTTATTATTAGTTTTACTTTCTATTTAAACTGAGTGGTTTCTCTAAGATCTGAAATATACAACTTTAATTCACCACAGCTGCCTTAAAATATTATACAGCTTTGTTTATAGCCGGTCTTATAACAGTATATTTCTATAAGCCCTGTAATAAACTTATTTATTTTATGTTAGTCAGACATCTCTTAAAGTGATTAAAAAGAAGAACAGTACTGTTTATATTTACATTTCTTGTTACCATTTCCAGTGCTTTTGTTTCTTTTTGCAGATCCAGGTTGCTATCTGGTAATATACTCCTGCCAGAAAATTTTTAATTTAACATTCACTGTGGCACATGTCTGCTACCTTTGACTTCTCTCAGTTTTTGTTGCCTAAAAGTTTTTATTTCACCTTCACTTTTGAACAGTATTTTCACTGTGCATAGAATTCTGTGTTGACTATACTTTTTTTCAGTACTTTGTATATGCCACTCCATACGTGTAAAAAGGTCAGTGGTTGCAGGGACTTGGGAAGAGGGAAGGGAGGGATGAATAGGTGACACATGGGGGAAAACTATTCTGAATGAAATCAAAATGGTGGATACGTGTCATAAGGGCTTGTGTCAAAACCCATATAACTGTACAATACAAAGAATAAACCTTAGTGTAGATGATGTACTATAGTTACTAATAATGCAACCCTATTATGTAGTTATTATAATTGCATTAATATAAGCAGTTATAACAAATATATCACATTGATGTAAGATTTTAATTATAGGAAAAACTGGGGATAGGGAATGAGGAGGGGGGTGGTGTAGATATATGGAACTCTGTACTTATCTCTCAATTACTCTGTAAATCTAAAACTGTACTTAAAAGTAGTCTTAATGATTTTTTAAAAATATCACTCCGTTGCTTGCCTTGCTTGGTTTTGTTAGAGACGTCTGCTGTAATTCTTTTCTTTTTTTGTATGTATTGCACCTTTTTTTCTATTATTCTAATTTTTTAGGTGCGTTCAGTAATCCTTATTTTACTATATAGTTTGACTATGATGTGTCTAGGGGAGTGTGTGTGTCCATAAGCACATGCTCCTGTGCACATGTGTATTTTCATCTTGCTCACAATTGTGTTCCTTGGGTCTATAGTATTATGTCTTTTATTATTTCTGGAAAATTATCTTTACCTATTTCTTGTGTTTGGTTCCTTTACTGTATTTTCTGGGACTCTGCTACTCAGATGTTCTCTCAGTGGTGTCCTACATTTCTGGAATTTTTTTCATTGCTTTTTCTCTTTGTGCTCAATCCAGGAGAGAGGATTTGATTGATTCACCCAGTCAACATCCAGTTTAGGGCATTTCTGTTGGGTGGAGATTTCAGAATGGGGCACCTCAGAAGTCATCTTTGGATCAGGAGCCATTCTTTGTCCCATCAGCCATGGCAGTGCTTTATGGTATGGAACATGGATGCCTGCCACTGATTCTCTCCTAGAACATCACAAGCAAGGAGATTTCTAATGGAGAGATGTCATAGTCATGGTCAGCAGCCCAAGTATGCAGACTCCTGTCCAATAGATGTTACAAGGGCAACAGGAAAAGCAAAATCATCCTTTGGGAGAAGGAAATCAAGATAATTTTCAAATGCATGTCTTAAAACCCAGAAATACCATTCAGAAGTTCCGAGTATACATATATGAGTTTGTAAGATATAGTTATTTCCGTTTTACATAGGAAATATTTGAGATAGAATTAGGAGTTCCCTCTGAGGAGTCAGTTTAAATGATACTTACAATCATGCAATTAATAATATCCTGATGATTAGATACCAGGTTTGGGTTCCTATTACAATAGAAGTACATCCCACCAAAACTGCACTTGTCTGAAGTCGGTGCATAGAAAACAGCTTTTAAGGAATTCACTAATTAATTCCCTCTGCTGAAGGCTAATTGTTGAAAAGATACTCCTTTATCAGTTGTGGTGAGACTCTGTCCCTTCCTGGCTAGTTCTACTTGTAACTGACCTGAGCTCTTTCACAGAGTGAGTCAACATGAAGTGAGGGAAATGAAAAGGGGCACTGGAATAAGAGTCTCCTGACTAAAATACTGTTTCTGTAACCCACTGGCTAAATGACCCTATTCACTGATAAAATCATTCCAGGGCAGGGGCTAGCTTGAGCCTCAGGTGTGCCCATTCTAGGATTCAGATGCTTTTTGGTATATAGTTGACTTATGGAGAGGCCCTACAAACCGTCTGGAAGACAATGTGTCCTAAGAGAAGTGAGAGAGAGTCTGGAATAAAAGCTTGGTCAAATAACCTTGCTCCAGTGATGAGTAAGGAATAATAACACAGAGGGCAGTATCTCAAAGAGGGGCTTTCCCAAAATCACTGCAAAACCTTGGAGTCACAGGGCAGTGACTCCATGTAGCCAAGATTGTAGCCCAGAAATGAAATCAATGAATTCTCAGTTCAGCGGAACAGTTTTGGTGTGCCAGGTGTCTGGAGAGCAGAACATATCTTAGGCACCTGTGAACCATTGGCAAGCAGAGCTCTGGTGGACGTGAGACCCAGTGAGGTTCTGGATCCTGGCTCTTCTCCTTGGATGTGTTGCTTTAGGAGTTATTTTCCTGTTAGCCTAAGTCATTTGTTTTTCTTAGGAAACTTTTCACTCATTAGAAGTTAAGCTTTCTAAATGATGTTCACACATTCTTTTGCAGAGCTATTTATATTTCTTGAATTATTGCTGAGCTTGCAAATTACATTGAGGATTTTCTTATATAAATAAAACAGCATCAAATTAGAGTTTAAAAAAAAATTAGTTTCTGTTTCTTTAGTTCATCTGCCAGCTGGTATTTAGAGCCCATCCGTTGGTCTTGGTGCTGTGAAGTGCAATGATATAGCCTTCCATTTATGGAGTTACTTACTTCTTTTGGGCTGCAGTCATGGAGATAAGCTTGCCACGAGTCAGCTTACAACTTATAAAAAATAATTAGGCACTTTTACATTCTGTCTTCTAACTCTCCACTTCAGAGTGGCCCTTCAGAGTTTGATTCTTGAGGCTATTCTTTATTGATGGGTGACATGCCTTTCCCTGAATAATAGCAATCCTAGCTAACAATTAGTGCTTGACATTTGAAGTGCTTTAAATCCTTTGAAAACCCCCAAAGATTTAAGTATTATTATTATTGCCTCCATTCTATAGCTGGAGAGACTCAGTTACAGGGGCAGGGTACATCATCTGTGCACAGCCACACCGTTGACACTTGGCACCAGAATTCCAAGTTGCTCTTAATCACTCTGTAGTTCTGCCTCCAAATAGTGAGAGAAGAGAGCCACTGGGTGGAAAGCCAAGTTTGCAAGCAGAGAGACTGGACTGTGAGTCACAATGGGAGCAAGTGGTTAGGACAGCAAAAGCAGTGGCTCATGAGATGTGAGCATATGTGGTTGACTGATTGATGAATGTGGGAGCTCTGAGTACATAACACTATTAAGTGGATGACTCCTTGAAAACTGGACATAGGACATGCAAGGCATTATTGATTCGTATCAATTAGTGGGTCTGTTTCTATAAAGTGACAAGCATGAATTCATTTTCTTTGTCTTATTAATTCTTGCTCCCCTCCAATGACTTGGAAAGAAATTCAGATGACTTCTAATATTTATCAGAGATGAAACTATTGATTCATACCTTTAAGGATGATACGTTCAGAATGCTAATTTCAAGAAGAAATAACAGTTGCAAAGTTGTTTTATCTCAATGTTTTACTAGAAGGAAGACCTACGTAAGTTTGTCCCAAGACTAAGGCAAATCTAGAGGACTGATGCCACAGGCTGGCCAGGTACCACTGGCATGAGGGACTGAGAAACTTGGGATGGAATGCACTGTATTGGAAGAGGGTTAAAGAATGGTAGGTCAGGAAGGAAGGGGTGGGATGTCTATCACTCATTTAGATGGTCCTCAAGTCCTGTTTCTGCTATGAGTCTGAAAGTAAAGAGTATAATGAAAGATAAGATCGAAAATGAATAAATCTAGGACATTGAGAGCACAAGGTGTCAGGAGCTTGGCATGGAACTTAGGGCTTTACAATCTGGGCACAGAAATGTGAGAGTGAGGGCCTTAGCAGCCATGGTGGTACCTTTACAGGCATTAATCAGCACAAAACTGAGCAGATGAGAGTTAAAAAAAAAAAAAAAAAAAAAAAGGCTGAAACCTAAAGAGTAGTCAAGAAGACCGGGCTAAGGGACACAGGCGATGTCTTCTGGAACAATTTAGGGAGAATTTAAGGCACCTGTAGGTCTCCCAGGATGGATGAACAAGGGAGAGAACCGGTCATTCGTGGCTATATTGCAACCCAGTGTTTATCTACAGGCTGTGCTGACAAAGCTTATTGTGCAATGGGGTTGTGTGGCTGCTCTCTTTAGAACTGCTGCCCCTTTGGTCTCCTATTTAGAATTTATGAATCATCTAGTACAAGAGAGTTACTTCAGACTATGACAAACCAATCAGTGCTATTGTGGTGAAAGTTTCTAGCTTCCTTAAGTCTTTCTAATAAGCTAAGGCTCATTAACAGATAATCCTCTGGCAATAAATTGGAAAATAACAATAAAAGGACAGTTGTTTTATACTGTTCAGCTAGTTCTTGAAGAGATTGGTTTCTAAAATACACAGTCTTTAAAACTGTCCACAGAGTAGGATAGTTAAGCTTTTGAGATTGTTGGAGAACAGAGCCTGCTATTCTCTTGGAATATCTTTCATCAGCAGGTGCTGTTTCTTTTTCTTTTCAAGACATTAAAAGATCAAAGAAGTATGAAATGTGCCCTAAGGCAGCTGAGCTGCTAATCATACACATAAAAATGAAACTGTGATGGGGGTTGTGAACAAACGCCTTTTGGCACCTGCTTTTGTCATCTTGGTTTGTTTTTCTTCCCACAGCATTTTACACCTCCTAATTTAATTTGTGTCGGGGGGGGCCCCCCTTCTTCCAGCTGTTCAGACCTAGAGGGCACAAACACACTTTCCAGCTGTGGTTATTGCAGCTTAACATGGAGCAGGGATTGAGCCAAGAGCACTGGCCAAATCATATTCAGGCCTTGAGGTCTAGCGCTCACACCGCCTTATCCACTGTGAGCTGCTAACTTGAGACTGTGAGTCTGATAGGGAGTCTGCAAAGTTCAAACACTGTCAGGAAGTTTATCCTATTCAAACAGTGCTTTCAAGGGGACTTAGAGGGACATTGGCTCAGAGTGGCCCATGTAGGAGCTTTGCAATATGAAAAGGAATTTTGGTTGGAGTAGCTCCTGTGACATTCTCGCCATACTCCATTGAATTTGTGCCAGTCCACCTCTCCATTCTCAGGAGAGTCAAGCTGCTGTTTTGATATGCTTTCTAGGGAATATAGGCAGATCCTGGGTGCCAACAGCAGGCACACACACCAAGCTAGGAGTATGAAAAATTAGAAAGTTTGCTTTTGGTTCTGCACTTTAACACAATGGCAATAATATGAACAGACAGTGGTAGTATGCTTTCTCTTTGGACCACAGACAATGGGAATTTAACCTTAATCCTCAGTCCTGCTGCTTTCCAAAGGAAGATGAAAGGTAGTTGCAGAGTTGAGCAGACAGAATGATACGAATTTGAAAATCTCAGCAGGTGTGGGGCTCAGTGCGCTATCCTCAGGGACAGTGCTTCTCTAGATCTGTTTTCTGCTGAAGCCATCACTGTAAAACTACTGTTCATTATTTCTGTAACTTCCCCAGGACGATAAGGGATGTCAGCAATAACATGGTACATTAAACAGACCATAAATTTATCTCCAGGACTAAAATAATACTTGAGTGCAAAAATAAATGGATCTGGCTGCCTCATAAACTAAAAACTTAGTACCCAAAGGGACAAAATAAGCCCAGAAATAATTCAAAATACATAAGAAAATTCACTTCATGATAGAAGGACATCTGAAATTAGTGGGGCAAAGAGGGCAATTTAATAATGGATGTTGCGACAAATAATGAGCTTGTTCATACCTTACCTGTGTATCACAGTAAACTTAAAATACATTAAAAATCACACATTTAGAAAGAAATCCTGAAAGCACCAGAAGAAAGTATTAGGATAATTACTTTTTATCCTTGAAGTGGAGAAGGTCTAATGATGACTCAAAATCCAAAAACCATGAAATAAATAACGCAAGTACATAAAATTAAAGATAACTTTTGCATAGTAAATTATACCATAAGTACCTAAAAAGTTAAATGAAAAATTGGGAAAATTTTTTAACTCATGTAACAAAGACTAAATTCCTAATACATACAGATCCAAAATTCAATTTGAAAAAAGATTTATTTTAAACATAAAGTCAGCATATTATACACATTCTGACCCTTGCCTTTCAGCTCAGTGAAAGCTTCTTAGTTTTTCACAGCTGCGTTTCATTGGGGGAATCATAATTTCTTTAACCATTCCCCTAGTGATGAATATATGAGTTTGTTTTTCCAAATCTTCTGCCATTAAATCATTTTTCAAAAAGAAGAATTATAATGTTCAAAAGCTTAGACTCTGAAATCTGGTTGCCTGTGGGTTCGAGTTTTGGCTCTGTCAATTTCAAGCTACTTAACCTTGGGCAAGTCTTAACCTGTCTGTTTCCTCATTTGTATAAGAGATTTGAAGTTAATAGAATCAACAACAGGAGACAGTTGTGAGGATTCAGGGTGCTAATATGTAGGTAAAGGACTTAGACTAGTACCTGGAGCACAGTAAGTCCTCTGAAAGTGTTAGCTGTTATTACCACTATGTGCCAAATGGTAGAAATTGGACTAACTTTATAAACTTCTGCTTTTATAATGTTTAGGACTCATGGTAAGAGAGGCAGAACTTAAAGGGCAGATGCTGTCTCTTAATGGCAAAAAGGGAAGTCCAATGGTGAGGCAATAACTGTTTCTTGCTGTTTAATGAACAGCTGCTTAAAAATGCAGCATGTCAGTCACCAGCGTAGACATCAGTAAATGAAAGGAGTGGCTTTGAAACGTGAATTTTATTAAGTATAGCAGGAGATTCTGCTGCAGATAGACCCAGAAGACATTTTGAGAAAATAATACTATCCCCTGGGTGAACGATACTCAAACTGTAACTATAGTGCCTTAGAGAAATTGATCAGGTTCAAGCTTCATGGACGTTAAGCCATAGTTTAGATATTTAAAAACATCATAGACCAGCCCAGGGAAGAAAATTTCAATGAAGTATCAGAATGTATGATGTTAACTTTATCAAGTCATTATTACTTCATAACTACCTTCTGGGTATGTTGCTTGTTAGTGTTTTGCATTCTAATTTATACTGTAGGTCCTGAGGTCTGGAAGCTTGATTTCTAGTTTGTCCCCTAAGTCCAGGACATATTCTCTTAACACATTTTGTTAAACACATTTTAATGCTCTCTAAACACATTTTTACGTCATTTAGAGCTACTAAAGATAGAGGGAAGTTCTAATGCTTGCTTCAAGATTTTTTGTAGCCCTGTGAGATCGAGATTGGTGGTATAAAAGAAATAGTACAAGCTTTATAGTCAGTCAAATCCCAGCCCATCAATTACTAAACTGGGAAATGTTGGGAAAGTTATTAAACTTAGAAAATCAGTTTCCTCTTTTATATCATGGTGGTAATACTGTACTCTATTCCCACAGTTATTCTAGAGAATAGAGATAATGCCCATAAAGAGGAAGCCACGCAGCAGGTTTTCAATGAATGGCAGTATTATTTGATTAAAGCTGTCTTTTCTAGGGACTTCTCTTCTTGTTGTCTGATGCCCCCTCCTGGACAGTCCAGAACCTGAGCTGAGCAACTGTCAACATCACTTGCTTGAAACTAAAGGTCATGAGGTATGCAGAAGCAGTGTTTTAGGAAGAGTCTGAAATCAAAGCCAGAGCCAGTCCAACCAAGGGGCAAATCCAGAGGGTATGGTAGAGGTGGAAACCAGAGAAATTAGATGAGGGTGGAGGTGGAAGCCTGGAGGAATTGTCTGAATGACAATATAAGATATTACTTCCCACTGATAGTTACATGCCCAGAATTTACATACATTATCCCAGTTAATCTTCACCAAAATCTCATAGGACAGTGGTCCCCAACCTTTTTGGCACCAGTGACTGTTTACGTGGAAGACAACTTTTCCACAAATGGCTGCGAGTGGGATGGTTTTGAGATGAAAGTGTTCCACCTCTGATCATTGGGCATTAGTCAGACTCTCATAAGGAGCACAACCTAGATCCCTCACATGCACAGTTCACAACAGGATTCATGCTCCTATGAGAATCTAATGCCACTGCTAATCTTACAGAATGCGAGGCCAGGTGCGGTGGCTCACACCTGTAATCCCAGCACTTTGGGAGGCCGAGGTGGGCGGATCACCTGAGGCCAGGACTTTGAGACCAGCCTGACCAACATGGCGAAACCCTGTCTCTACTAAAAATATGAAAATTAGCCCGGTGTGGTGGCGTGCGCCTGTAATCCCAGCTACTTGGCAGCCTGAGGCATGAGAATCACTTGAACCTGGGAGGCAGAGGTTGCAGTGAGCCAAGATCGCACCACTGCAGTCCAGCCTGGGCAACACAGTGAGACTTTGTTTCAAAAAACAAAACAAACAAACAAACAAACAGAAAGTGGAGTTCAGGTGATAATGCTTGCTCACCCACTGCTCACCTCCTGCTGCACAGCCTGGTTCCTAACAGGCCACAGACCAGTACCGTTGATGGCCCAGGGATTGGGGGCCCCTGCTGTAAAACATAGGAGTAAATATTAATAAATTTTGATTAAGCAATAGCTTCTTACATGTGACACCAAAAACACAAAGAACCAAAGAAAAAAATAGATACATTAGACTTTATCAAAATTAAAATTAAAAATTTTGTGTTTCAAAGAGCACTATCTAGAAAGTGAAAAAACAACCCACAGGGAGAAAATATTTGTAGATTATATATCCGTTAAGAGACTTGTAACCAGAATTTCTAAATATATATATATATAAAGACTGTATAAAGAACTCTTACAACCTAATAATAAAAAGGCAAACTATTTAATTAAAAGATGGACAAAGGATCTGAATAAACATTCCTCCAAATAAGATTTACAAATAGCGTGTGAAAAAGAAGTTCAACATCATTAGTCATTAGGGAAATAAAAACCAAAGCCACAATGAGTTAGTACCTCATATTCACTAGAATGACATTAATAAAAAAGATAAAGACATGGAGAAATACAAAACTGATGGGAATGTAAAATGGTGCAGCCCCTTTAAAAAACAGTGTGGCAGCTCTTCAAAATGTTTAGCATCGAGCTACCATAATACCCAGCAGTCATGCCCAGATTTATACGCAAGGGAAATGAAAACATATATCCACACAAATTCTTGTACACGAATGTTTATAGCAGCACTATTAATAACAACCCGAAGATGGAGGCAACACAAATATCCATCAATGAATGTATAAATAAAATGTATTTATACAATGGAATTTTATTTGGTTGTAACAAGGAAAAAGTTTTAATACAGTCTACAATATGGATAGAACTTGAAAATACTATGCTAAGTGAAAGAAACTAGTCACAAAAGGCCACATAATGTATAATTTCATTTATATGAAATGACCCAACAGGGAAATTCCATGGAAACACAAAGTAGATTAGTGTTTACCAGGGGCTGCGGGAAGGAAGAGAGCTGGGGAGTGACTGCTAATGGATATGTAGTTCCTTTCTGGGGTGATGAAAACATTCTAGAATTAAATAGTGGGGATGGTTGCATAATTTTATGAATATACAGACATACCTCATTTTATTGTACTTCTTCACAAACTGAAAGTTTCTGGCAATCCTGTGTCAAGCAAGTCTTAATCATTGGCATCCTCCAATGAAATATACCTGCTTTGTGTCTCTGATTCACCTTTTGGTAATTCTTTTTAATATGTCAAACTTTTATTATAATTTTTAAATTTTATTTTAAATTTTATTTTTCCATAAGTTACTGGGGTACAGGTAGTATTTGGTTACATGAGTAAGTTCTTTAATGGTGATTTGTGAGATTTTGGTGCACCCATCACCCAAGAAGTATACACTGCACCATATTTATAATCTTTTATCCCTCGCCCCCCTCCCACCCTTCCCCCCAAGTCCCCAAAGTCCATTGTATCACTCTTATGCCTCTGCATCCTCATAGCTTAGCTCCCACATATCAGTGAGAACATACGATGTTTGGTTTCCATTCCTGAGTTACATCACTTAGAATAATAATCTCCAAGGCCAGGCGTGGTGGCTCACGCCTGTAATCCCAGCACTTTGGGAGGCCAAAGTGGGCGGATCACCTGAGGTCAGGAGTTCTAGACCAGCCTGGTCAACATGGTGAAACCCCACTTCTACTAAAAATACAAAAATCAGCCAGGTGTGGTGGTGGGCATCTGTAATCCCAGCTACTTGGGAGGCTGAGGCAGGAGAATCACTTGAATCCGGGAGGCAGAGGTTGTGGTGAGCCAAGACCACACCATTGCACTCCAGTCTGGGAAACAAGAGTGAAACTCTGTCTCAAAAAAAAAAAAAAAATAATAATAATAATAATAATAGTCTCCAATCTCATCTAGGTCACTGCAAATGCTGTTAATTAATTCCTTTTTATGGCTGTGTAGTATTCAATTGTATATATGTACCACAGTTTCTTTATCTACTCATTGATTGATGGGCATTTGGGTTGGTTCCACGATTTTGCAATTGTAACTTGTGCTGCTATAAACATTCATATGCAAGTATCTTTTTTGAATAATGACTTCTTTTCACCCAGTAGTGGGATTGCTGGGTCAAATGGTAGTTCTACTTTTAGTTATTTAAGGAACCTCCACACTGTTTTCCTTAGTGCCTGTACTAGTTTACATTCCTACCAGCAATGTGGAAGTGTTCCCTGTTCACTGCATCCGCACTAACATCTACTGTTTTTTGATTTTTTGATTATGGACGTTCTTGCAGGAGTGAGGTGGTATCACATAGTTGTTTTGATTGGCATTTCCCTGATCATTAGTGATGCTGAGCATTTTTTTGTATGTTTGTTGGCCATTTGTATATCTTCTTTTGAGAATCGTCTATTCATGTCCTTAGCCTACTTTTTGATGGGATCTTTTGTTTTTTTCTTACTGATTTGTTTGAGTTCATTGTAGATTCTGGGTATTAGTCCTTTGTCAGATGTATAGATTGTGAAGATTTTCTCCTACTCTGTGGGTTGTCTGTTTACTCTGCTGACTGTTCCTTTTGCCATGCAAAAGCTCTTTAATTATGTCCCAGCTGTTTATCTTTGTTTTTATTGCATTTGCTTCTGGGTTATTGGTCATGAAATCCGTGCCTAAGCGAATGTCTAATAGGGTTTTTTCCAGTGTTATATTCTAGAATTTTTATAGTTTCAGGTCTTAGGTTTAAGTCCTTAATCTATCTTGAGTTGATTTTTGTATAAGGTGAGAGATGAGGATCCAGTTTCATTCTCCTACATGTGGCTAGCCAATTATCCCAGCACCATTTGTTGAAAAGGGTGTCCTTTTCCCACTTTATGTTTTTGTTTGCTTTGTTGAAGATCAGTTGGCTGTAAGTATTTGGGTTTATTTCTGGGTTCTCTATTCTGCCCCATTGGTCTGTGTGCCTGTTTTTATACCAGTACCATGCTGTTTTGGTGACTATGGCCTTATAGTATAGTTTGAAATCAGGTAGTGTGATGCCTCCAGATTTGTTCTTTTTGCTTAGTCTTGCTTTGGCTATGCAGGTTCTTTTTTGGTTCCATATGAATTTTAGAATTGTTTTTTCTAATTTTTTGAAGAATGATGGTGATATTCTGATAGCGATTGTGTTGAATTTGTAGATTGCTTTTGGCAGTATGGTCATTTTCACAATATTGATTCTACCCATCCATGAGCATGGGATGTGCTTCCATTTCTTTGTGTCATCTATGATTTCTTTCAACAGTAGTTTGTAGTTTTCCTTGTAAGTCTTCCGACTCCTTTGTTATGTGTATTCCTAAGTTGTTTTTTTTTTTTTGCAGCTGTCGTGAAAGGGGTTGAGTTGTTTTTATTCTCTGCTTGGTCGCTGTTGCTGTATAGAAGAGCTACTGATTTGTGTACATTAATCTTGTATTTGGAAGCTTTGCTGAATTCTTTTATCAGTTCTAGGAGCATTCTAGAGGAGTCCCTAGGGTTTTCAAGGTAAACTATAATATCGTCAGCAAACAGTGACAGTTTAACTTCCTCTTTACCGATTTGGATGCCCTTTCTTTCTCTTGTCTGATTGCTCTGGCTAGGACTTCCAGTACTATGTTGAAGAGGAGTGGTGAGAGTGGGCGTCCTTGTCTTGTTCCAGTTCTCAGAGGGAATGCTTTCAACTTTTCCCCATTCAGTAGTATGTTGGCTGTGGGTTTGTCATAGATGGCATTTATTACATTAAGGCACGTCCCTTCTATGCCAGTTTTGCTGAGAGTTTTAATCATAAAGGATGCTAGATTTTGTCAAATGCTTTTTCTGCATCTGTTGAGGTGATCATGTGATTTTTGTTTTTAATTCTGTTTATGTGATGTATCACATTTATTGACTTGCATCCCTGCATCCCTGGTATGAAAACCACTTGATCGTAGTGGTTTATCTTTCTGATATATTGTTGGATTTGGTTAGCTAGTATTTTGCTAAGGATTTTAGCATCTATGTTTATCAAGAATATCAGTCTGTAGTTTTCTTTTTTGGTTATGTCCTTTCCTAGTTTTGGTATTAGAGTGATACTGGCTTCATTGAATGAATTAGGGAGGTTTCCTTCTTTTTCTGTCTTGTGGAGTAGTGTCAAAAGGATTGGTACCAATTCTTTGAATGTCTGGTAGAATTCTGCTGTGAATCCATCTGGTCCTAGCCTTTTTTTTTTTTTTTTTTGCTAATTTTTAAATTACCATTTCAATCTTGCTTCTTGTTATTGGTCTGTTCAGGGGATCTAATTCTTCCTGATTTAAGCTAGGAGGATTGTATTTTTCCAGGAATCTATCCCTCTCTTCTAGGTTTTTCTAGTTTATATGTGTAAAGGTGTTCATAGTAGCCTTGAATGATCTTTTGTATTTCAGTGGTGTCAGTTGTAACATCTCCTGTTTCATTTCTTAGTGAGGTTATGTGGATTTTCTTTCTTCTTTTCTTGGTTAATCTTGCTAATGGTTTATCAATTTTATTTATCTCTTCAAAGAACCAGCTTTTTGTTTCATTTATCTTTTGTATTTTTTGGGGGGGGCATTCAATTTCATTTAGATCTTGATTATTTCCTTTCTTCTGCTGTGTTTGGGTTTGGTTTGTTTTTGTTTCTCTAGTTCCTTAGGTGTGACCTTTGATTGTCTGTTGGTGCTCTTTCAGATTTTTCAATGTAGGCATTTAGGGCTATGAACTTTCCTCTTAGCACTGCCTTTGCTAAATCCCAGAGGTTTTGATAGGTTGTGTCATTATTGTCAATCAGTTTGAAGAATTTTTAAATTTCCATCTTGATTTCGTTTTTGACCCCATGCTCATTCAGGAGCAGGTTATTTAATTTCCATGTATTTGCATGGTTTTGAAGGTTCCTTTTGGAGTTGATTTCCAGTTTTATTCCACTGTGGTCTGAGAGAGTGCTTGATATAATTTCAATTTTCTTAAATTTATTGAGGCTTGTTTTATGGTCTGTTATACAGTCTATCTTGGAGAAAGTTCCAGGCACTGTTGAATAGAATGCATATTCTGTGGTTGTTGGATGACATGTTCTGTATATATCTGTTAAGGCCATTTGTTCCAAGGTATAGTTTAAATCCGTTGTTTCTTTGTTGACTTCCTGTCTTAATGACCTGTCTACTACTGTCAGTGGAGTATTGAAGTCCCCAACTATTATCGTGTTGCTATCTCATTTCTTAGGTCTATTAGTAATTGTTTTATACATTTGGGAGCTACCGTGTTAGGTGCATATATGTTTAGGATTGTGATATTTTCCTGTTGGACAAGGCCTTTTACCAATATATAATGTCCCTCTTTGTCTCTTTTAACCGCTGTTGCTTTAAAGTTTGTTTTGTCAGATATAAGAACAGCTACTCCAGCTCACTTTTGGTGTCCATTTGCATGAAATGCCTTTTTCCACCCCTTTACTTTAAGTTTATGTGAGTCTTTATGTGTTAGGTGAGTCTCCTGAAGGCAGCAGATAGTTGGTTGGTGAGTTCTTTTCCATTCTGCAGTTCTGTATCTTTTAAATGGAATATTTAGGCCATTTACATTCAATGTTGGTATTGAAATGTGAGGACATTATTGTTATTATATCTGTTATGGTCATCTGTGATCAGTGATCTTTCATGTTACAATTGCAGTTGTTTTGGAGTGTCATGAACTGTATCATTATAAGACAGCCAAATTAATCGATAAATGTTGCATGTCTTCTGCCTGTTTCACCAACCAACCATTCTTCCATCTCTTTCCCTCTCCTCATGCACACAATATTGAAATTAAGCAGTGACTTCTAAGTGTCCAAGTGAAAGAGTCACACAACTCTCACTTTAAATCAAAAGCTAGAAATGATAAGCTTAGTGAGAAAGGCATGTCAAAACCTAAGATAGGGCTACAATTAGGCCTCTTGCAACAGTTAGCAAAATTGTGAATGCAAAGGAAAAAATTGTGAAAGAAATTAAAATTGCTACTCCAGTGAACACACAGATGGTAAGAAAGTGAAATAGCCTTATTGCTCATATGGAGAAAGTTCGAATGGTCTGAATAGATGATCAAACCAGCCAAAACATTCCCTTAAGCTAAAGCCTTATCCAGGGCAAGGCTATACCTCTCTTCAATTCTATGAAGGCTGAGAGGAGGCAGCTGCAGAACAAAAGTTTGAAGCTAACAGAGGTTGGCTCAGAAGGTTTAATGAAAGAAGCCATCTCCATAACATAAAAGTACAAGGTGAAGCAGC
Source organism: Homo sapiens (assembly GCF_000001405.40). Taxonomy (NCBI): domain Eukaryota; kingdom Metazoa; phylum Chordata; class Mammalia; order Primates; family Hominidae; genus Homo; species Homo sapiens. Next base: position 17,762,879 of record NC_000007.14, on the reverse strand, counting down.
AAGTGCCGATATAGAAGCTACAGCAAGTTCTCCAGAAGATCTAGCTAAGATCACGGTTGAAAGCATCTACACTAAACAACAGATTTTCAATGTAGATGAAACAGCCTTCTATTGGAAGAAGATGCTAGCTAGACTCTCATAGCTGAAGAGGACAAGTCAATGCCTGGCTCGAAAGTGTCAAAGGACAGGCTGATTCTCTTGTTAGGGGCTACTGTAGCTGGCAACTTTAAGTTGAAGCCAATGCTAACTTACTATTCTGAAAATCCTAAAGCCCTTAAGAATTATGCTAAGTCAATTTTGCCTGTGCTCTAGAAATGGAACAACAAAGACTGAATGACAGTATATGTTTATAGCACAGTTTATTGGAATATTTTAAGCCCGCTGTTGAGAACTGCTGCTCAGAAAAGGAGATTCCTTTAGAAATATTACTGCTCATTGACAATGGACCTGGTCACCCAAGAGCTCTGATGGGGATGTACAAGAAGATTAATGTTGTTTTCATGCCTCCAGATACAATATATATTCTGTAGCTCATGGATCAAGAAGTTATTTCGATTTTCAAGTCTTATTATTTTAAAAATGCATTTCATAAGGCTATAGCTGCCATAGATAGTGGTTTATTTGACAAATCTGGGCAAAGTAAATTGAATTCTGGAAAGGATTAATCATTCTAAATTCCATGATGAATATTCATGCTTCATGGGAGGAGCTCAAAATATCAACATTCAGAGGAGTTTGGAAGAATTGATTTCAACTCTCATGGATAACTTTGAGGTATTCAAGACTTCACTGCAGATGTAGTGGAAACAGCAAAAGAACTAGAATTGGAAGTGGAGCCTGAAAATGTGACTGAATTGCTATAATCTCGTGCTCAAACTTGAATGGATAAGGAGTTGCTTCTTATGGATGAGCAAAGAAAGTGATTTATGGAAATAGAATCTACAGGTGATGATGCTGTGAATATTGTTGAAGTGACAAATGCTTTAGGGTATTACATAAACTTAGTTGATAAAGCAGCAGCAGGGTTGGAGAGGATTGACTCCAACTTTGAAAGAAGTTCTACTGTGGGTCAAATATTATCAGCAAGTTAACCACATTACATGCTACAGAAAAACCTTTTGTGAAAGGAAGGCTCAATCGGTATGACAAACTTTATTGTTGTCTTATTTTGAGAAAATGCCACAGACACCCCAGCCTTCAGAAAACACCAGCCTAATCAGTCAGCAGCCATCTACATTGGAGGTAAGACCTTCTACCAGCAAAAAGATTACAACTTGTTAAAGGTTCAGGTGACTGTTAGCTTCTTTTTAGCAATAAAGTATTTTTAAATTAAGGTTTGTACATCTTTTTAAACATAATGCTATTGCACACTTAATAGGCTACAGTATAGTGCAAATGTAACTTTCATATGCACTGGGAAACCAAAAAGTTGGTGTGACTTGCTTTACTATGATACTTGCTTTATTGCGGTGGTCAGGAACCCAACTTGCAGTATCTGCAATATACCTGTCCTAAAAACCATTGAGCTGTGTTCTTTAAATGTGTGCATTTTATACTGTGTGAATTATATCTCAATACAGTTATTGAAAATGAAAACTTTAAAAGTTTAGGAAGTAAATATTATTTCTACTTAATAGATAAAGTAACTGAGGCTTGCTGAAGGCCACTATGGCTAGTATTCAAAAGCGGTTTGTCAACTCCAAAACCTGGATTGCTCTTTTTGAAAAAACTTTTAATGTCTGGGCTTTTATTTTAATCTTTGGGTGGAACCTTGGCTCCTTCACTTACTGTCTTCTCCTGCTTCTCTTTCCTTTTTATTATTTTAAAAATTTCAATAGCTTTAGGGGTACAAGTGGTTTTTGGTTACATGGGTGAATTTTATAGTGGTGAAGTCTCGGATTTTAGTCTACCCATCACCTGAATAGTGTACATTTTACCCAACAGATGATTTTTTGTCCCTCACCCTCCTCCCACCTTCCTCCCTTTTGAGCCTCCAATGTCCATTATAACACTGTGTATGCCTTTGCATACCCATAGCTTAGCTCTAGCTTGTAAGTGAGAACATGAGGTATTTGGTTTTCTGTTCCTGAGTTACTTCACTTAGGATAATGGCCTCCAGTTTCATCCAAGTTGCTGCAAAAGACATTACTTCGTTCATTTTTATAGCTGAGTAGTATTCCATGGTATGTATACACCACATTTTCTTTGTCCACTCATCAGTTGTTAGGCACTCAGGTAGATTCCATATCTTTGTAACTGTGAATTGTGCTGTAATAAATATATGCATGTGGGTGTCTTTTTGGTATAATGACCTTTTTTCCTTTGGGTAGATACCCAGTAGTCGGATTACTGGATCAAATGGTAGATCTACGTTTAGTTCTTTGAGAAATCTCCATACTGTATTCCATAGAGGTTATACTAATTTACATTCCCACCAATGGTGTGTAAGCATTCCCTTTTTACCACATCTGCGCCAACATCTATTGTTTTTTGATTTTTCAATAATGGGCATTCTGACTAGGGTAAGGTGGTATCTCATTGTGTTTTTAATTTGCATTTCTCTGAGGATTAGTGATATTGAGCATTTTTTCATGTTTGTTGGCCCTTTATATGTCTTTTGAGAAATGTCTGTTCATGTTTTTTGCCCACTTTTAAAATGGGATTGTTTGGCTTTTTTTCCTTGCTGATTTCTTTGAGTTCCTTGTAGATTCTGGATATTAGTCCTTTGTCAGATGTATAATTTGCAAATATTTTCTCCCATTCTGTCGGTTGTCTATTTACTATGTTGATTATTTCTGTTGCTGTGCAGAAGGCTTTTAGTTTAATTAAGTTCCATTTATTTATTTTTGTTTTTGTTGCATTTGCTTTGGCGGTCTTAGTCATAAATTATTTGCCTAGGCCAATATCTAGGAGAGTTTTTCCTAGGTTTTCTTCTAGAATTCTTTTTTGTCTGTTTGTGAGATAGGGTCCCTCTCTATCACCCAGCCTGGAGTGCAGTGGGGTCATCATGGCTCTTTGCAGCGTCAACCTTCCGGGCTCGACCAATCCTCCCACCACTCACCCAAGTAGCTGGGACTACAGGCATGTGCCACGACACCCAACTAATTTAAAAAAAAAATTTTTTTTTTTTTTTGTAGAAACAAGGGCCTCCCTGTGTCGTCCACACTGGTCTTGAACTCCTGAGCTCGAGCTGTCCTCCCACCTCGGCCTGCCAGAGTGCTGGGATTACAGGCTGAGCCACCGCACCCTGCTCTTTCTGGAATGTTTGTGTCTTTAAGTGTTACGTTTATGTCTTTAATCCATCTTGAGTTAATTTCTGCATATGGTGAGAGATAGGGATCCAGTTTCATTCTTCTGCATGTGGCTATCCAATTTTCCCAGCACCATTTATTGAACAGGGTGTTCTTTCCCCAGTGTTTTTTGTTTGTTTGTTTTTGGCTGCTTTGTCAAAGATAAGTTGGTTGTAGGATTTGGCCTTATTTTTGGGTTTACAGTTCTGTTCCATTGCTCTATGTGTCTACTTTTATGCCAGTACCATACTCTCTGGGTTACTATAGCTTTGTAGTGTAATTTCAAATCAGGTAACGTGATGCTTTCAGATTGGTTATTTTTGCTTAGGATTGCTTTGGCTATTCAGGGAATTGTGTGTTTCCATATAAATTTTAGGGTTTTTTTTTTTCTAATTCTGTGAAAAATGACTTTGATATTTTGATAGGAATTGCATTGAATTTGTAGATTGCTTTGGACTATATGGTCATTTTTACAATATTAATTATTCCAATCCATGAGCATAGAATGTTTTTCCATTTTTTGTGTCATCTGTGATTTCTTTCATCAGTGTTTTGTAGTTCTCTTTGTAGAGATCTTTCACCTCCTTGCTTAAGTATATTCCTAGGGATTCTTTGTTTTGTTTTGTTTTGCAGCTATTGTAAATGGAATTGAGTTCTTGATTTGATTTTCAGCTTAGTTGTTATTGGTGTATAGCAGTGCTACTGATTTATGTATGTTGATTTTGTAACCTGAGACCTTTCTGAATTCATTTATCAAACCTAAGAGTCTTTTGGAGGAATCTTTAGGGTTTTTGAGGTATAAGATTATATCATTGACAGATAGTTTGACTTCCTCTTTTCCGATTTAGATGGCCTTTATTTCTTTCTCTTGCCTGATTGGTCTGTCTAGGACTTCTAGTACTATGTTGAATAAGTGTGGTGAAAGTCAAAGCCTAGATTCTTGACCATGATGTTCTCATATTGTAAGACCTTAGAACATCATGGTCTTAAAACATGGTGCTAGAGAGAGAACCTGTATTAGCTTTTAAAATAGCCTTATAGTCTTAGATCTGCCAGGGAGGGAGCCATTTCTTAATGGTCATGCCTGGCTTCTATGAAAGATTATTCTGACATGATTCTGGTTCGCTATTTCATTAAGGTGTAGTTTCAGGATTCTGAAGCTATTCATTGGTTGCTAAGACTTTGATGAAGCAAACTGATGTGTAGGGCACAGAAAGCTCTGTTCCATTGCAGAGAACATTTACTGGGATATGCTGAGTCCAGATGCTTTGAAACCTGATTATGTTTCACCATCACCTGATGATCTTATTCAAATGCAAATATCTATGCTCCACACCAGACACACTGAGTCAAAAACTGAATATCATAGTCTGGTGATTGTTATCAGCAGGGAAGGATAAGAGCATGGAATCTGGTGATAACTGGTAGGTTTCTGTAAATAGGCAGTGTTAACGAGGGAACTTAGTGAGCAGTGGGCTGCTGTATGCAAGAAGCCGAACCCTGGTCATTGTCTGTAGAGCTCAGAGTGCCTTGCTTTAAGTCTAGGACCACAACACTGGCCGGAGAAGCAATATTTTCATGTAGGGGGATCTGATACATGCTTTGATTACATTGGTAAAAATAATTTGTCCTTTTTGGAGCAACTTAAACAATCAAGAAAAAATATGAAGTTTTAAGTAGAATCATCCCAAACCTTTCCACCAGAGAAAACTGTTGTTTTATACTTTGATTAACATAATCCCAGATATTATTTGACTCTGAGCCTACATACATGTAGAGATAGTCTTATACAATTTTACATAAACGGGATAATACAATCAATACATGATATACTGTAGACTTGCTATCAATATCTTTGGGACTGCCATGTTTTAGGAAGAAAATACTTCATTATTAAAGGAAATAAGCCAGCTCGCTTTTCCTTCTCTACTGTTTCATAACAGCACCATTTTACACGAAGCATAAAAACAACCCCAGTCTTAGAATACATATCTCAAATCAACAGATCACAAAATTTTCGTTGACATTTGTATCATTACTTTTTCCCTCCCTGTACTGCCAGACTAATCTTTTTTAAAAGGGTTAAAATAAATCCTTAATTTGTACTGTAAATTTTTAGCAGTGGTGGAAATATTATGGTCAAAAAATTTTTATTAGTGCTTTCTAGCATGAATCTACACAGGTCCTCAGAAATAAAGATTGTGATGTTTTAGAGTTTATAAATTTTAAGTTAGTTTTTTTATATATAGAAGGACAGAATATTAGTTTTTTGTCAGTGAGCTTTCTTGCAAATCTAAAATTCTGCTAGGGCAAGAATCAACTTATAAGCTATTCTCTCCACTTTGTGGTACTTTTTAGTAAGCATACACTGGGAACATACCCAGTAAATGTTCACTGACAGAAATCCTAGAATTTTTGAAAGTCAGGCTTTGGATCCTGCTAATCATTTTTCCTATCTTCACGAATTTCTACAGACTATTTTCTGCTTTTATGATGGGGGATGTCTACATGAGACTGAAATTCTTTATTCTAACTGGGAAGAAGAGGTAGGTTGATCCAAAAAAGGAATTAGATGGAAAAAATTTTGTTTTGAGACATATCCTAAAAATATTAGTTGATTTTCAAGAGAAATGCTCAACTTGATCTGCATAAACGAGAAAGAATAAATCTTTTTTATTCAAGGTTAAGTGGATTAACTCTTAGTAGGGATTAAGGAAACATCTTGGACAAACGGACAGAAACCTCTTATGCTAAATGGTAGGACATTGAAATATAAAAATATATATTTGACACTTTTCCCACCACATATAACTGCCTATTCCCACTCTTTGTATGAATTCATATTCTTTTTTTAGAGGTGTATTCCTCCCTCTAGAAAATATTAAAATTCTCAGGATATCCATAAATAAGCAAAACACATTTTTACTTTGAAGGGGTTTCACACGTAACTATTCTGCTTGTTACCGCCTCCATCCATGTAATTGGAGACCTTGATAAAAGTGAAAACTGAACTTTCTTTAAAAAGCGTAAAAATACCAATCACTTATTAAAAATTTTTCCCTTTTGTGTGTTCCCAGGAGACCACATTGGCTCACAAGTTCTCCTAACCCATCGCATGCAGTATCTATTTTCTTTGCTTTTTTTGCTGAGCCTGATGGCAATGTCTGGGCATTGGGGTCAGGAAGGAATGAGGGAAATGGTTCTCAGTTTTTGAAGAGTTAGTGTTAGAAGTCCAACTATATATTTGATCATATGCTTTTAGCAATGTTATTTACTGACTAACCGGTTATCATATGAACATAGTGACAGAGGTAAAAAAAAAAAAAAAAACAAAAAAAACAAAACCAAATAGAGAAAATGTAGAAAAAGCATAAATTGACATTAATAGTGCTAGGCATGTCCTACTTTCCGGCCAAAGAACATTGTCAAATGAACTTAAGAGAACCTTTTCATGTTGGCACTCACATGTGGACACCACGACTTAATAAAAACTACTGCTTATGCTGAAAGAATTCTTAAGGTTTTCCTTTGAATGTTACCATCAAGACTTGGGGTGAGAACTCTCAACTTGATCACTCTTCACACAGATGTGAATGCTAGAATACTGAATTCAAGCCCAATTAAGGATTTTCAGTCTTTATGGATGCCCACTTATTTAGAGAGAGATTCTTAATTTTCAGGAAAATGTCAGCCTAAGTTTATATGATCCTCAAAGAGAGGCAAAGGCATTTGCAGAGGCCAATGAATTCCATTCAAAAGGAAAAGGGGGACACATACGGCTAGTTCATATTGCTCAACTAAGGATTTCACTTACATTCTGAAATTATAGCTAAAGGCAGTTAAGTTGCTTAAGGAAATGTGGGGCCCTACTGAGAGAATCAGAAAATGTTAGGAGACTGAAACAAATGGGATTCACCACTTTCCACTTCCATGTGCTAGAATATCAGTAAAATCAGAGTTGCAGAAGCCTAACCAGGAGGTGTGGTAAGAATTACAAAGGGAATAAAGGCTGAAGTTTGAGAACCACCAGGCCACTTTTCATGTGATGCCCCCTAAAGTGACTACCATTAGGTAATAACCTTGCAGAACTCTTATTTAGATCTATTGAAATAGAAAAATTTTCAGAGACCACTGAATAGACTACATTTGCAATTCAAAAAATATAGTATAGTTGAATATGGTGGAAAGATTGTTAAAGAAATTTGCAGTACTGGCTGTCACTAACTAGCCATGTAACCAGGAAATTTAATCTCTATGTCTCATTTACCCTATAAGAAATTACTGTAAAAATAGATGAGAATATAATTATGAAGTATGATACAAATATATTATTACCATTAAAGTTGTGATAACTCTGTGAACCTTAGAGATGGAATCTTTCATAGCCTTCAAGCTTCTTGAGATATTTCAACAGTGTAATTCATTATTAAATCTTAAGTGCAAGATAGGATCTTGTATTAGGCCCTGAATGGAAATACCTTTTTACCATAACTATGAATGCTGTGTATGCTAAACCCCCTAGTCCAAAGGGTGAGAGTCAAAAAGTCACTTGATAAACTGAAATTAGTAGGCTGAACTGAGTGTAGGGGCTGAAAGAAAGCTGCCCTCTGAAGGTGCTGAAAATGAACCAACAACAGACAGATTAATGGGAGAAAAAAAGCCATTTATTTAAGCATAGCACAGGATAATCACAGGAGAATGATTACCCAGCAACCCAACTCTTCTTCATCAGGGAAGGGGAGATTGTAGGAGTAACTGATTTTCAGAGGAAATGAATGAACCCAAAGAATCATGGCCTTGAATGAAGTTCCTCTGAGCACTGGGGGAGGTGGTAGGCAGGTGAGGGACAGAACTTCACTGTGAGCAAAGGTCTTTTATGCAGATAAAACCACCCAGATAATCTCTTGGACCTACCCTCAGAAGAATAGAGGAAAGTTTATTTGAGTGTGGAGATAACTCCCAGTCTCTTCTCTTCTTTGCTGGTTAATCATTCCTGGTTACTTGATGAAATTCCTAGAGAGAGGAGTTTTAAGATGATTACATTTATTTTGGAAAGAAGTTTTCTTAGTCAGATAGGGAAATTCCAGAGAGTCCCTCCTGGTGCTTTGGGAAAGAAGATTAGTGAGAAAGGAAGGCAAGGGAAGGTCAGAGAGACCTTGAGGCTGCTTCTTTAGTTCAGCATGTGAAAGTGCCATATTTGGGGTATTGTTTTCTGAGCCCCAACATGAAGAACCACTCTGTAAGGAAGTACATTTATAGGATCCTGATGCACAATATTGATAGATAGGGCAGGAGTTGCAGTAGAGCAAGATGGTGGAACAGAAGGCGTCACTGATTGTTGCCCCACAAGAATGCCAAGTTAACAACTATCTACACACCAAAAAAGTACCTGTATAAGAATCAAAAATCAAGTGAGCACTCACAGTATCTGGTTTTAACTTCATGTCACTGAAAGAGGCATTGAAGAGGTAGAAAAAAGCCTTGGATCGCCAGTGCCTCTCCTCCTTCATTGCCAGCAGCAGTGGTGTGGTGCAGAGGGTAATTCTGTGCACTGGGGAGAGGGAGAACACAGCAGTTGTGAGGCACAGAACACAGTGCTGCCTTGTTATAGCGGAAAGCAAAACCAGGCCAAACTCAGCTGACACCTGCTTATGTAGGGAGCATTTAAACCAGCCCCAACAAGAGGGGAATCACCAACCCCAGCCATTGGAGCTTGAGTTCCTACACGCCTTGCCACCATGGGCTAAAGTGCTCTGTGGCCCTAAATAACGTTGAATGGCAGTCTGGGTCACAAGGACTGCAACTCCTAGATGAGTTCTGGTGTTGAACTGGCCCCAGAGCCAGTGGACAGAAAGGTCACACAACCCACTGAGACTCCAGCAGGGCAGCTTAGTGAGTGCTGGCATCACCCCTTCCCTAACTGCAGGCTGCACAGCTCACAGCTCCAAAAGAGACCCCTTCCTTCCACTTGAGGAGAGGAGAGAGAAGGGTAGAAAGGACTTTATCTTGCACCTTGAATACCAGCTCAGCCATAGCAGGGTAGGGCACCAGTCAGAGTTGTGAGGGCCCCCTTCCCAGGCCCTAGCTTCCAGATGACATTTCTAAACATGCCCTGGGCCAGAAGGAAACCCATTACCTTGAAGGGAAGGACTCAGTCCTGGCAGGATTCATCACCTGCTAACTGAAGAGCCCTTGCATCCTGAATAACCAGCAGGGACACCCAGGTAGTACACTGTGGGCCTTGGATGAGACTCCGGGGCTTTCTGGCTTCAGATGAGACTCAGCACATTCCCTATAAGGCAAGACTCCTCCCGCAGAAGAAAAGTGCAGGGAAAAGTAAAGGGGACTTTGTCTTGCACCTTAGTTACCAGCTCAGCCACAGGCGGCTAGAGCACCAAGCGAGCTCTTGGGGCCCCATTTGCAGAACTTGGCTCTTGGATGGCATTTCTGTACCTGCCTTAGGCCAGAGGGTAGCCCACTGCCCTGACATGTGAGTCCCAGGCCAGGCAGCATTCACCACAAGCTGACTGAACAGCCCTTGGGCCTTACCGGAACATCAGTGGTAGTGTAGCAATACTTCCCGTGGGCCCTTGGTGGAGGCCCATGGGGTGAGGTTCCTCTGACTTTTTGTTTTGTTTTGAGACGGAGTCTCACTCTGTCGCCCAGGCTAGAGTGCAGTGGTGTGATCTCGGCTCACTGCAAGCTCCGCCTCCCGGGTTCACACCATTCTCCTGCCTCAGCCTCCCGAGTAGCTGGGACTACAGGCGCCCACCACCACGCCCGGCTAATTTTTGTATTTTCAGTAGAGACGGGGTTTCACCGTGTTGGCCAGGATGGTCTCGATCTCCTGACCTTGTGATCCGCCTGCCTTGGCCTCCCAAAGTGCTGGGATTATAGGCATGAGCCACCGCACCCGGCCTGCTCCTCTGACTTTGGAAAGAAAAGAGTGGGGTGTTGGAAGGACTGAATCCTGTGGTTTGAAAGCCAGCTTGGCCACAGTACATTAGAGCACCAGCTAGACTTCTAAGGTTTTTGGCTCTAGTCCCTGGCTCCCAGATGGCACCTCTGGACCCACATAGGGCCTAGGAGAACTCACTGCCCAGAAGGGAAGGCCACAGGCCTGGATGGCTTTGCCACCTGCTGATTGAAGAGCCCCAAGGCCTTAAGTGAACACAGGCAGTAGTTTATGCAAACATTATTGTTATCAGCTTAAAATAATGGGTTATAAGGTAGTATGTGCAAGCCTCATGGTAACCTCAAACCAAAAAATATACAATGGATACACAAAAAATAAACAGCAGGAAACTAAATCATATCACTATAGAAAATCACCTTCACTAAAAGGAAGACAGGAAGGAACGAAGAAAGGAAGAGAAGACCACAAAAAAAAAAAAACAAAAAAAACCCCAGAAAACAAATAACAAAATGGCAGGAGTAAGTCCTTACTTATCAATAATAACACTGAGTGTAAATTGACTAAACTTTCCAAATCACAGAGTAACTGAACAGATTAAAAAAACAAGACCCAGTGATCTGTTGCCTACAGGAAACACACTTCACCTATAAAGACACAGACTGAAAATAAAGGGGTAAAAAAAGGTATTCCATGCACATGGAAATAAAAAAAGAGCAGTAGGAGCTATACTTATATCAGACAAAATAGATTTCAAGACAAAAACTCTGAGACAAAGAAAGTCACTATATAATGATAAAGGGGTCAATTCAGCAAGAAGATATTATAATTTTAAATATACATACACACAACATTGGTTCACCCAGATATATAACGCAAATATTATTAGAGATAGGGTAGAGAAGGGATGAGTCCATCCTGAAGCTAAAGCCACAGCACTGCGTTTGAATTCTGGCAACAGTAGTTTATTGAAGCCACACCACATTGTCCACTGAGTACAGAAATGCTAGCTAAAACAAATGAACACTAGTTTGAAGACACTGACCTACTACCAAAGCAATCAGAAATTGTGGTACCATGATCCCAGAGAGAAGGGAAGTCACTGAGGTGTGTACTTTTCCTCCAAAAACATTAGTTGATTTGTGAAACCAAACCAAGAAGCTAAGAAGCCAAACAGCTGCTGCTGAGAAGCTGGAAACTGAGTAGAGCTTTGAGCTCTCTCACAAGGGTAGGGAAATAAAAGTGAGGTTTCAAGGCCCATCAAGGTAGAGTGACACTGGAAACACCCACATTTCCAGTAACGATGCCAGAAGGGGCTAGAGCCTAGGAGAGAGGGAAAATTGGAAAAATACCAGCCTTTATAAAGACTGAAACCTGGCTTTGATACAGTTAGAGCCCACATTTTATTATGATCATCTGTCTGTACTATAACTGCCTATCTTCACTCCCACCCACCCACAAAAGATAAAATAAATCCTTTCTGGAGGAATATAACATCAGCCAGAGATTCAAGTAACCTCCAGAATCTATCATTCAATTCTTTATTTTATTGTGCAAGAAAATAGAAACAAATGACCCCCCCCCAAAAAAAAGAAAAAAGATATTAGAAACCAACCCATAAGTGATTCAGTTATTGGAATTTTCCTGCATAGACTTTAAGATAACTATAAGTGTTATTTTAATAAAATAGGTAAGATGGAGAATTTCACCAAAATCAAAACTTTGTAAAAAAATAATGAAAGTTCACATATGAAAAATAACTCTATAGATGAGTTTGTAACAGCAGATTGGGAATCTCAGGAGGATTATTGGACGGAAAGATAAATCAGGAGAAAATACACAGACAGAGATGAAAAAACTAGAAAGTACATGACAGCACAATGGTCTATCGTGTAATAGTAGTCTCCAAAATGTAGAATAGAATGGGACAAAAGAAATATTGGAAATGATTCTGGGTGAGAATTCTCTGAAACAGATAAAAGTTATCAATCCACATATTGAAAAAGCTCTATAAACCCCAAGTAGGAAAAATACAAAGAAATCACACCTCAGCACGTCCTACCGCAACTGTTAAAAAACAAAGACTAAGAGAAAATATTCAGAGAAATCAAAAGAAAAAATACATAACAATAGACCAGAGTAACAATAAGACAGCTGAATTCTCCACAGAAACGACAGAACCGGAAGACAATGAAATGACACCTTTAAAGTCCTAAAAGGAAATAACCACCAACCTAGAATTATACATCCAATAAATAGGCCTTTCAAAAATGAAGGCAAAATAAAGATATTCATAGATAAAAACAAATACAATTTGCTACTTTCACTAGACTCACACTGAAAAAAAAAAAAAAAAAAATCTGCCAGGCGTGGTGGCTCACACCTGTAATCCCAGAACTCTGGGAGGCTGAGGTGGGTGGATCACTTGAGCCCAGGTGTTCCAGGCCAGCCTGGACAAAATGATGAAACCCCATCTCTACAAAATACAAACAAATATAGCGGTTAGCTGGGTGTAGTGATGCACACCTGTAGTCCCAGCTACTCGGGAGCCTGAGGTGGGAGGATCGTTTGAATCTAGGAAGTGGAGGTTGCAGTGAGCCGAGATCGTGCCTCTGCACTTCAGCCTTGGTGACAGAGGGGGACTCTGTCTCTAAATAAATAGACAAATAAAATGAAATGAGATAAAATAAAATAAAATAAAATAAAATAAAATAAAAAAGGAAAATCAAAAGCGAACTTCAGAAAGAAGGAAAATGATTCAGGATAAAGCATTGAAGTGCAAGAAAGATGGAAAGGGTAAATAAATGGGCAAATATAAATAATTATTTACAATATAAATAATAATGTTTTGTGAAATTTAAAATATGAAGAGTTAAAATACATGATAATTGTAACACAAAAGGCAGGAAAGTGAAGAATGCAGTTACAGTGTTGTAAGATTCTGAAACTGTCTGGGAAATGATAAAAGTCAATGATGCATGTTATAATCCCTAATACCCAGTAAAAGCAGAGTAAAATTTTCTATTTATGTATAAATAACAAGCTAGTAAAGGGCAGTAATGAAATGCTAAACATAATTGACTAATGCAAAGAAAGGCAAAAATGAAGAAAAGGTAATATAAAACAGGTGGACCAAATTGAAAAAAAAAAAACAGTAATATGGTAGACTCTAACCCAAATACATATGTTATATTAAATAGAAATGGAATTCAAAATCAAGAATTGTGAGGCTAAATTTAAAAAATAAAACATATACAAATACATTCAAGAGCTACATCTTACATATAAAGAAAGAGAAAGAATGAAAATAAATGGATAAAAAATATATCATGCAAATTCTAACCAACAAAACAACAGGTATGCTAATATCAGATAAAGTAGACTTTAGGAAAAGTGTTTCTTGACATAGAGGGGGTTGCTTCATAATTTTAAAAGGATCAGTACAACAAGCAATTGTACAAGTTTCATGTATCTATCTAATAATATGACTTCAGCTTCAAAATATATAAAGCCAAATTAATGATAATAAGTAGGCAATAATGATATAAGTAGACAAATCACACAATTATGGTGTGAGATTATATCTCTTTCAATAACAAGTATATTAATAGCAAGCATACAAAGTAAATCTATAATGTTACAAAAGATTTGAATAGCTAACTCAATTCTCACACTTGACCTGAATAACGTGTAGTCTTAGATGTGAACATGGAGTACTGGTTGTATTTTTTTTTAAGGTATTTATCAGTTAGAGAAACATACTAATGTAGTTATGAGTAAAAAAAGAAAAAGACCTTGAAGATCCTAGCCTTACGTAAGTAATGAGGAATAGAAGATGGACTGGAAAAGGTAATGGGAGCACAAGCAAGAATAGAGAAGTTGTATGGCACAGACTTCTGGCCATAATATTGGAGTGAGACTGAAAAACAACAGGCAACCCAAAGACAAATAATTTCCAAATACATCTTTCAGTACCTTAGGTTGCTCATATCTTTATGCTTCACAAAAATTTTTAAAAGTGTGACAGTAACATGGAATATTTAATAAACAATCTTATTAATAAAACAATGATATTCCAGCATTTTATGTGTATGTTAATTTAATAAAATTTTGTTGTAAATCTGTAAAAAATAGTCTCCCATTTCTTCTGTTCATATGCGTAATTGCTTTGATATTTTATGGTAATTTCCCTTTTCCAGTGAAAACTTTTTCAACCAAATATGTAATTGGAAAGCTATAAATAAGTAATTAGGTTCTTTCTGCAAAAAAAAATAACTATAAGAGTCTTAATGGATGTAAGCCTTTTATAGTTACACTAGTTAATTTATGCTTTCCTCTCAAAGTCAATTTTTAGCTCAGTTAATTCTTCCTGAAAATGATGGCTAACATGTTCCATTTCTTTTTTAAAAATGGGTAAATCACAGAAAATTGTATTGTAAAAATCATATAGACCATTGAATGTCATCAAATCTTTATAACAGCTTCCAATTCAGAGTGTATATATTCAGATCATTAGTTTAAACCAGTCATTTTCTAATTGCTGCAGGAATGGAAACTGAAAATTCTCTGGGCAAGCCTCCTTTAAAATTATGTAAAATTATCTATAAACTTTCATTAAGCTTTCTTTTACTTTAATAATCTTTTTCTTCTCCCTAAAGAAGGACTTCATTTAACCTTCAAATGAAGGAAGTTCTTATTTGAAAGGGATTCATGTAACTTCATAATATTTTAATTTCCTTAATTTTTTATTTGAGAGACTAAAAAAACAATAATAGTATTTAATAATGGTATCAAATATTAAACTGAAAAAGTCAAATAATTTCCTTTGGAGGGTCAACTTATTTCCTTTTGTAGCATAATATATACAAACTCTTCTTTGTGTCATCAAACATTTACAAAATAATCTATCATTCAAGGGGTTACTCTCACTATGTAAATAGAACTAAAACCATCTGTTGATTTGTTCAGTTTCTCACTATAATTCTTAGCAATTAGTTGTCAAGGAATAATATAGTGAATTGCTAAAACATCTGTTGCTACTTTTTAAAAGCTGCTCTTAACCTATGTTGTCAACTAATCATAGCTGTAGCTTTATCTTTTGCATAAGGAACAATTTTAGGAAAAGTGATACTTTTCCCCATTACTTTTTAGAGTTTCAAACATTGACAAATCTTACATTGTCAGTATGTTTTTTAAAAATCAGTCCTTCCGTTGCTTTTTATCCTTAAATCTGTTACATAAGTATAAGTGCTCTCATCACACAGAATACATGTTCATTTCGTTTTCATTATACTTATTAGGCAGCTGAATTTTGCCATCTTTCACCACATTATTGGTTATCCTTAAAACAGTATTATTTTTTAATAGAAGGTGACACATTTATTTAGATTTTTTTCTGTCATATTCTAAAAATCCTGTCATACCCCTGGTAGGATCACCTTTTTTCCATTTTGTGAATAGACAGAAAATAAGTTGATTTCTGGCAAAAACTTGGAGATCAACATATTGGAGAGAAAGAAATACTTTAGTCAAAACTTTTATTGGAAAAAACAATGTCTTGGTTAATTTGGAATTGAAATATTGATTCTCTATATTCATATTTGTGGACATATCATTGATGATGGTATTTGGGCTCAGAAATACGCAAGATAAGGCAAAAAGAGTCTAGTATTTGGACTTTAGTCAAATGCCTTGTAGTTGTCTAATAGTATTAGATAATAACTGCAGAAACACTGTTACAGCCTCGATAAGAGAAGTTTTGGCAAGTATAGCCTAGTTCACTTTAACTGACATGGGCTACAGGTATGGGATTCTTATTTATTTATTTTATTTTTATAATAATTATATATATTTTTTGAAACAGTCTCACTCTGTCACCCAGGCTGGAGTGCAGTGGCATGATCACAGCTCACCGAAGCCTTGAACTCCTGGGCTCAAGTGATCCTCCTGCCTCAGGCTCCTGAGTAGCTAGGACTATAGGTATGCACCACCACACCTGGCTAATTTAAAATTTTGTTGTTGTTGAGACAGGGTCTTATTTTGTTGCCCAGGCTGGTCTTGAACTCCTGGCTGCAAGCAATCCTCCTGCCTCAGCCTCCCAAAACTCTGGGATTACAGGCGTGAGCCACCGTGCCAGGCCAGAAGATTTCTTTTCAACAAATGCAATGTTTAAAACTCCCCCAATTTTTCCCTTTTGTCCTCTGAAGTTTTGCTGAAAATCAACTGTCAAAAGGCAGATTAATAGGAGAAAAGAAAGGCATCCCAAATTTATTAACATACACATATGCATGGGATTCATAGAAAATATGAACAAAGGGCTCAGATGGTTGACACTTTTATCCCTTCTTGAGGTTGTAGAAAGAATAGGGGCTTGGAGTGTGGTAAAAGAGATTATGGGGGGGAGAGAAGGGGAAAGGCATGGCTAGCAAGGGCGATCTTGTTATGTACATGCAATCTCACTAGTAGCAGCTCCCAGAAAGAATAAATGTCTTTCCTAGATCCAGACTGGAGGGGAGGCGTTGTCAGAGAAAGCCTGGCTATTTATTTCACTAATGTAGATTTTTCTCTACAGATGCAAATCTCCTCCACAAAAGGCAGCTTTGCAAGACTATTTCTGTCTGTAGGCCCTCTGAATAGCCATCTCAAAATATGTCAAAGAAGTATATTTTGGGGTGAAATATTTTTGGTTTCCTTTAGTTCCTCATTTGAAATTTTATTTTCAGAAAGTTTCACATATTAAAGTAGGATTGGTAGCTATGGAGAGATTTGGGGTTGAGGTTGTGAGATAAGAGATTGGTAAAGGGGAAGAAAAAAACCCATAGATTGGAACAAGTCACCCATATCTTCTTGACTCAGTCCTGAGTCCTGAGAGCACAGGTCAGTTCAGTTCAACAGTTGTGTCTCATTTCAAGAGATGGCATTGCAGATGGGCCTCAAAGCTAGGCATCTATATATGGTGTAGAAAAACAGATCTTCAACAAGAGACCTTTCTGTGAAGAAAAAAGAAGAACCAAGATTAATGTCTGGAGTCATCTATAAGCTGGTTTTTCTAGAGTCTCTAAAGCATTTGCAGTTGGAGTGGGTAGGCAGTGACAATTTGATGGATTTTTCTAAATTGAGTTTGAATCATGAACTTTCTGAATAGGCCATACATCAATAGGCATGAAGGCTGTTTATATTATAGTTAATGTAGTGATTTTTCCCAAAATTTATATCAAGTTGTCCAGCTTCAGTTTTTAGGGTTAATTTTTAGTAATTTTAAGTCAAGTGAGTGGGAGACCAAAAAAGTCATAAAGTTATTTTAGTCCTCCATCAGTTCAATCTCATGTACTTGATTCTTGTTCTGCTTGACGTTTGGTTAGCAGTTCCATGAGTCCAGTTTTGTTTATGAGATGTTTTAAAATTCTTACCTCGTCCTGTTGAGTAATCAGCACAGGTCCGTATTTCAGAGTACCTGTCAGTCGTTCATCCTTTTCATGAACCTCCTTAACATATCTAATCAGGTTGTTTATTATCTCTCTTTTGGATGTTTCAGGAGCCCTCTGTAACACCCCAAAGCTAGTTTGAGTTCAAAAGAGCTTAATTTGGATTTTGAAATTTGATGTTGGGAAGACTGTGAGACATATTAAAAGTTTAAAACACTTTATCAAAATAGGAAAGATTTAAAACACTTTATCAAAATAAGATTACAGGTTGCTATAAAATAATAGTCATTCATTAGTCAAAGTGATAATTAAAAGATTTCAAAAAGAAAAATATCCTACCCTTTGTCAGAGAGGAGATTCAGTTTTCCATACCACATGAGGCAAGCATAATTTCTCTCCTTCTATCCCCCCACCATTTATTGCAGTTTACTCAAAAATGAACACTTTTTTTTACCATTACTAAAAATACATAAAAATCTTCTTCAAAAGAGAAAGTCAAATTCTAATTTTGCGTTAGTGGTTTTTTGATATTGAGGCTCAATACCCCCATACAAATTTTAAAACAACTTTAAAAGTTGTTTAATTTTGGTCAGTTTAACCATATGTTTTGAGATTCCTTTTCCCCCAACTTTCTGACCCCATTTATTTTTATTTTTATTCATATCATTTTTCCCTCCATTTTGTTTTTTGCTTTTTTTAAATTTCAACTTTCATTTCGATTCAGGGGTACATATGCAATAGTGTTAGAAGTGTATATCACATGATGCTGAGGTCTGCGGTATGAATGATCCTGTCACCTAAGTAGTGAACATAGTGCCCAATAGTTTTTCAATCCTTGCCCCCCTGTCTGTTCTCACACTGCTATAAAGAACTACCTGAGACTGGATAATTTATGAATAAAAGAAGTTTAATTGACTCACAGTTCCACTTGGCTGGGGAGGCCTCAGGAAACTTACAGTGATGGTGGAAGGTGAGGGGGAAGCAAGGCACGTTTTACATGGAGGCAGGAGAGGGAGAGAGCAAGTCGGGGAAGTGCAACACTTTTAAACCATCAGAACTGGTGAGAACTCTATCAAAAGAACAGCAAGGGGAAGGCCACCCCCATGATGCAGTCACTTCCCACCAGGTCCCTCCCTCAACACATTGGGATTACAATGCAACATGAGATTTGGGTGGGGACTCAGAGCCAAACCATATAACCCCCGCTACATCCCCCTTCTAATAGGCCCCAGTGTCTGTTATTCCCAGCTTTATATCCATGTGTACCCAATGTTTAGCTCCCACTTGTAAGTGAGAACATCTGGTATTTGATATTCTGTTTCAGTGTTAATTTGCTTAGGATATTGGTCTTCGGCTGTGTCTACATGCTGCAAAGGACATAATTTTATTGTTTTTTATGACTCGTGTTCCACGGTGTATATGTACTACATTTTCTTTATCGAATCCACCGCTGATGAGCTCCTAGGTTGATTCTATGTCTTTGCTATTGTGAACAGTGCTGTGATAAATATGTGAGTGCAGGTGTCTTTTTAATAGAACAACTTATTTTCCTTTAGGTAGATACCCAGTAATGGGATTGCTTGGTCGAATGGTAGTTCTATTTTTAGGTGTTTGAGAAACCTCCAAACTGCTTTCCACAGTGGCTGAAGTAATTTACCTTCCCACCAACAACATATTGTGTTCCCTTTTCTCTGCAACTTCACGAACATCTGTTATTTTTTGACGTTTTAATAATAGCTACTCTAATTAATGTGAGATGGTATCTCATTGTGGTTTTGTAATGCCATTCTTTGTCCTTTTTTTACTTTTGTTGGTTTAAAGTCTGTTTTGTCCAATATAAGAATAGCTACCCTTGCTCTTTTTTGTTTTCCATTTGCATGATAGATCTTTCTCCAACCCTTGAATGTGAGTCTATTGGTGTCATTACATGTGAGATGAGTCTCTTGAAGACAGCAGGTGGTTGGATCTTTGTTTTTTTTTTAAATTTTTTTTTTATTTTTTATCCAACTTGCCACTCTGTGCCTTTTAAGTGGGGTGTTGAGACCATCTACATTCAAAGTTAATATTGATAGGGGAGGTTTGATCCTGTCATGATATTTCATAGTGCCAGAATTCTTGTGTTGTTTTACTCTCATCTGGCGATGCTAATACTCCTACTTTTTGTAATTATTTTCATATGAATATTGATTTTTTTCTTCCCCTGTATATTTCTTTCCCTTTTCCCTCTCCCTAGGGGAGTGTGACCATAGAGTACGTTGCATAGAATCCTTTGGATTTGCTTCTATAGCTCTATGCACTTCTGTCAGCAGGCTTTATATTGGGCTGTATGGTTTGACTTAGAGGCCACTAGATAGTGCTTTTAAGAGGCAGCTGTGGCTCAAGCAGATGGATCTGTACCTGATCTTCATTTACTGTGAGATATTCTCTGTTGTTACAAATGGAGGGCTGGACAGCGGGGTTCCCAGCACCCTTAGGTTCCTATTCCATGGGGGACACAGCTCAGCAGAACTGGAGCCCCTGGCTTGCCCACAAATACCCCAATGGTGAGTGCAAGCACCAGCCCTGACAAAGGTGGCTGGGAGGAGCTCCTAATGAAATGCACTGAGGTCTCTGCCCCGGGGTGAGCAGGCTCCACTGGCTCCCCATGCTAGATAGGCAGGACTATGATCCGTTTCCCTATCATACCCCTGTCCCAAGACTCATGACTCCTAGTTCAGATGCACACTGTAGTCCATCTCTGGACCCCAATGTGATTGAGAGCCATGGTAAGTCTCTGTTTTGTCACTGGCCATGGAAGTGGTTTTAGGGCAGAACCTCTCACTCGGTCTGATACAGATCGGTTTATGGCTTGCTTCTTCTCTGATGTAGTGGGACTGCTGCTTCATATAAAGTGTGTGGGGGGTCTCCACCTTTGGCCCTGTACAGGTGTGTGTTGGTTGTGGTATTGTCAGCTGGTTTGGTTGACCCAACCTCAGGCCCTGGGGAAGTGGTCAGGTGCCAGCAGAGTTGGCAATGAGGTATTTAGTTCCCCAGTTTCTAGGCCCCTAGATGGCCCACTGGACAATGTGTATGTGTCCTGAAGGGGCTGGACCTTGGTTGGGTGAGCCCAGACTTCAGGTGCTGACTATGATGGGGAGGGGTGGGCTGGTCCCCAGGTCACCTGCTGAACTCTCAGGTCGGGGCAGGTGGAATGCTTAGGTGGTGGGAGCCAGAGGGAAGATCACAGGCCTGTGGTGCTAGGATTTTCAGAAGGGCTCTGGACCACAGCTGAAATGTGCACATGAGAACACGGTGGGTGCACTGGGCAAGCCCCATTTGGCAGGGATCATCAGAGGTAGGGAGCTGTGTGGTGGGTAGTCTGTCCACTGCTCCTCTGTGTCTAGGCTGTGGCATCCTTGCTGCAGGTGCACAGAAGTGCCCAGTTTCCTTGTTCCTTCCCTTGCCTGAGGGCAGTAGGGATGGGAACAACAGCAGCAGCAGTTATGAAGGGCTTATCAGCCACCTGTGGGCGATTTGGTCCCAGAAGAACATAAAGCCACCATTGAACAGTGTTCAGGTGGGGACAGGGTGGCTACCCTGGGAGCCCAAGGTGCTGGGCCCTGCCTGGCGAGGAGCAGCAGGGGTGGGGTTGCACAGTAAACAGTCTGGCCACCTCTTAGTGGGGTGGCTGTGGCACCCCTGTGAAGGCTGCAAATATGCTCAGCCTCTTTATTCTCTCCCTGGCCTTAGGAAAGAAGGGGCAGGGACAGCAAGAATGGTGATGGCAGAGTTAACTCTGGGAGTTCCATCCTAGACCACCCACAGAGTGTAGAAAAGGGCATGGCAACTGCTCTGGGAGCTCAAATCAGCAGGCTCTGCCTGGTGCAGAGCAGCAGGGGTTTGGGATCAAGCAGTCTGCAGTCTGTGAGCTCCTCAGCACTGAGGCTGTGGCATTTATCCTAGGGGAGTGCAAAAGAGCCTGTCCTCCCTTTTTGGCAGGGCTATGGCAGCTGCTGCCAGGCTGCCCAGGGACTCAAGGCCTGTTGAGCTCCATGTGAACTTTGGTTCCTCTGCACAAGGTCCAGGTGACTCTCCGTGTCAGTCTGGAGGACCAGAGGGGCCAGGGGGTCTCCTGTGCCCAAGATTGCCAAGATCCATGGCTGAAGTGTGGATCCACTGGGGACTATCACTCACTCCCCTTTTCTCTGCATTAGGGAGCTTCCCCTACCTCCATGCCAGTTCCGAGAGGGCAGCTGCCCAACTTTATTCCTCTCTGTTCTCCCCATGTCCCCATTGTTTCCTTGCTGAATCCCAGCACGATCTCCTTGATGATCCATGTGAAAAACTAGTATTTACTTGCCTCTTGGTTGCCTCTTCGTGAGAGTGCTGTACACCAGCTGCTTTGAGTCAACCATCTTTCCCCCATTTTTTTAATCTTAAAATGTTTTATCTATTTATTTTTATTATACTTTAAGTTCTAGGGTACATGTGCACAACGTGCAGGTTTGCTACATATGTATACATGTACCATGTTGGTGTGCTGCACCCATTAACTCATCATTTGCATTACATATAACTCCTAAGGCTATCCCTCCCCCCCACCCCCCACCCCACAACAGGCCCTGGTGTGTGATGTTCACCACCCTGTGTCCAAGTTTTCTCATTGTTCAGTTCCCACCTACAAGTGAGAACATGCGGTGTTTGATTTTCTGTCCTTGAGATAGTTTGCTCAGAAGGATGGTTTCCAGCTTCATCCATGTCCCTACAAAGGACATGAACTCATCTTTTTTATGGCTGCATAGTATTCCATGGTGTATATGTGCCACATTTTCTTAATCCAGTCTATCATTGTTGGACATTTGGGTTGGTTCCAAGTCTTTGCTATTGTGAATAGCGCCGCAATAAACATACGTGTGCATGTGTCTTTATAGCAGCATGATTTATAATCCTTTGGGTATATACCCAATAATAGGATGGCTGGGTCAAATGGTATTTCTGGTTCTAGATCCTTGAGGAATCGCCACACTGTCT